>NC_000006.12:132570790-135070790 GCF_000001405.40 Homo sapiens | reverse complement strand
TTTGTCGGCCTTGGAAGGATTATGTATCTTTAAGAATTAAAGCTAGAGGCTGGGTATAGTGGCTGACACCTGTAATTTCAGCACTTTGGGAGGCCTAAGCGGGTGGATCGCTTAAGTGCAGAAATTTGAGACCAGCCATGGGCACCGTAGCAAAACCCCATCTCTACAAAACAAAAAACAAAAAAACAAAAATTATCTGGGTGTGGTGCTGTGTGCCTGTAGTCCCAGATACTCAGGAGGCTGAGGTGGGAAGGTTGCTTGAGCCCAGGAGGTGGAGGTTGCAGTGAGCCAGGATTGCACCACCACACTCCAGCCTGGGAGACAGAGCAAGACCCTGTCTCAAAAAAAAAAAAAAAAAAAAAAATGAGAACTAGAAATTTGCTCGTATTTCCAGACTTTCTAAGAACCTAAGCACACACCAAGACTTAGTGTGTTTTCTGCTTTTACATTCAAAAATGATAGACGCTATAAATGCTGTGATTCAAGTATCATTTACATTTTAAACTGGAGGCCAGGCACGGTGGCTCATGCCTGTAATCCCAGCACTTTGGGAGGCCAAGGTGGGCAGATCACTTGAGGTCAGGGGTTCGCGACCAGCCTGGTCAACATAGTGAAACCTGTCTCTACTAAAAATACAAAAATTAGCCGGACATGGTGGCGCATGCCTGTAGTCCCTGCTACTTGGGAGACTGAGGCAGGAGAATCCCTTGAACCTGGGAGGCGGAGGTTGTAGTAAGCCAAGATCACACCACTGCATTCCAGCCTGGGCAACAAAGTGAGATTCCGACTCAAAAAAAAAAAAAAAAAAAAATTAAACCGGAAAGAAACTTAGAGGTCCTGTGGTAAAACCTGTTTAAAAGCAAACAAACAAACAAACAGAGGCTGGCAAAGTGAGTTGCCTTGACACAGTTAGTTGATTGCTAACCTGAAGCGTTCCTAAATTATAGATAGATATTCTTTGCCTTGCACCAAGTTGCTTTTTGATAGGAGGCAAAACAAAGGAGCCTTCCCATGCATTTCTTCATGACAAAGTTTTCTGCAGCCACTGCTTCTATTGGTAAATGAAGTACTCTTCTTAGGTTCTTTGAGAGACATGCTAAATACTGGAAATTTGCCATGACATGAAGGATACCAGAAATCAGTCCTACTAATAGGCTTACCATGATACAGGTTATTTCCGAATTCCTGATTTACCCCTTATTCTAGAGTGCCTATATTAAGGCACATAAAGAATTTAAAAATCTCTCTCCTTGTGGGACACTTCCTCCCTAAACATCAGTGTGCCCCTGAAAGGTTCTTTTCCCTAAGTAGAATGAGTAAATCACAAGGCAACAGCTCTATACAAGGAGTTCAGAATTCATCAAGCCAATACTCCTAGGTCCAGGGCTGAGAAGAAGAAAGAGGGGCCAATATAAAGGCCAGTCTATGTTTGGCTCTTCTTATTGGTCTCGTTAAACAAATTGTGATTTTAAAAAAATTTCTAGTATATTTTTCCTCTAAAGCTGTTTATTGTTTTTTCTTCTTTTTCATTGTCTGTCAATAGGCTATGACTAGTGGAGAAAGCAATAATGACCTATATATTAAGACAGATTTATGTACACTAGTATGTCTGAGTATAGGAACAAAATTATCTCAGCTTTTGTCTGGCCTAAAACTCTTGGAATGGAATAATTAATTCTTAAGCATTTTACTGAAGGTTTAAAAATATCTTTATAGAGAATTTTCTGTGTTTAATGGATTAGGAGTATCCTAATAACATGACAGTGTACTTCATTGCATGCTGCTTAATTTCCTGTCCTCTTTTTCATTCACTAATAAAAGCATGACTTAAGGAATAAACTGTCCTTGGGACACATCTGAATCAATTATCAGTGCAAGTGAAATTTAATATCCCTGTAGTAATTTTTTTTTTTTGACGGAGTCTCGCACTGTCGCCTGGACTGGAGTATAATGGCACGATCTCGGCTCACTGCAACCTCTGCCTCCTGGGTTCAAGCGATTCTCCTGCCTCAACCTCCCAAGTAGCTGGGATTACAGGTGCCCTATACCTCACTCAGCTAATTTTTTGTATTTTTAGTAGAGACAGGGTTTCACTATGTTGGCCAGGCTGGTCTCGAACTCTTGACCTCGTGATCTGCCTGCCTTAGCCCCCCAAAGTGCTGGGATTACAGGCGTGAGCCACCACACCCGGCCATAATTTTTTTTTTGAGACAGAGTTTCACCCTGTTGCCCAGGCTGGAGTGCAATGCTGCGATCTAAGTTCACAGCAACCACTGCCTCCTGGGTTCAAGCAATTCTCCTGCCTCAGCCTCCTGGGTAGCTGGGATTACAGGCACGTGCCACCATGCCAGGCTAATTTTTTGTATCTTTAGTAGAGAGCGGGTTTCACCATGTTGGCCAGGCTGGTTTCGAACTCCTGAACTCATGATCCATCCGCCTCAGCCTCCCAAAGTGCTGGGATTACAGGCGTGAGCCACCGTGCCTGGCCAACACTGTAGTAATTAAAAATAATAATAATAAATGACCTACATTAATATTACTTGGGAAGATGATATTTTATCAAAAGTTTCCTTGTTCAGCTGTCATTTTTTTGAAGGGCATCAACCTTTGAATAAAGTATTTGTTCCTTAAAACTTCTCAGGCAATTAATATGTTGGGTAACAAGTGAAAGAATGGAGACTACAGAATTTCATAACATAAATTTTCCACACAGAAAATCAAGTCCTTGTTACACTAGCTTTCTTGATTCGTTTTAGTGTAACATTTCAATGGGGTAGAATAAAAAGATCTTTTATGATTATTTATGGTATACGTAGGAGGCAGTTTTCAGAATTGTGACTAGTGACCAAAGAAAATCTCACTTAAAGCAGACTCTCTAAACTTGTATTCTTTGTCATATAAATAATCCGAATCAATAGTACTTATAATTAACTTTATATAACTATCATTAGCATTTTTGTGAATTATGAGAGTCTATAGACATGTAACATGGCGGTATTTACTACTGTCTCTGTGAGATGTTTTTTGGGTTGATAATTATTCTGGTTATCTATTGCTAAACAACAACCCCAAAACTTAGTGGCTTAAAATAAACATTTATATTTGTTCACAATTCTGCAACTTGGGTAGAATCAGTGAGGACAGATGATCTCTATTCCACTCAGCATCTGCTGGGGTATCTGGAAGGCTGGACACTGGGATAATCTGAAGCCTCATTCACATACATGTCTGGTCATGAAGGCCGGTTGTCATCTGGAATCTCAGCAAAGGCACTACTGGGCACCTACATATGGCCTTTCCAAATTGCTGTTTGCCTTCCTCGTATTATGGCGACTGGGTTCTGAGGGTGAGCATCCAAAGAGGACCAAGTGAAAGCCGTATCACCTTTTATGGCCAGCTTTAGCAGGTACGTAATGTGGCTTCCAATGCAGTCATAGGTCCGCCCAGTTTTATGGGGAGGAAAGATCTCTCAATGGAAAAGTATGTCTCAAAGGCAGAGTCTCCCAATCTCTTGGTGGAGAAGAGTCGGTGTATTAGCCTGTTCTCACACTGCTATAAAGAATTGCCTGAGATTGGGTAATTTATGAAGAAAAGAGGTTTAATTGACTCACAGTTTCACAGACTGTACAGGGAGCATGGCTGGGAGGCCTCAGGAAATTTACAATCATGGTGGAAAGATGAAGGGGAAGCAAACACACCTTCAGATGGCTGCGGGAGAGAGAAAGCAAAGAGGGAAGTGCTACACACTTTCAGACAACCAGATCTCATGAGAACTCACTCACTATCATGAGAACAGCAAGGGGGAAATCCGACCCTATGATCTAATCACCTCCCACCAGGCCCCTCCCCCAACATTGGGGATTACAATTCAACATGAGATTTGGGTGGGGACACGTAGCCAAACCATATCAGTCAGTATTACATGGAAAGAAGATCATGTTGGATAGAATGTACTGGTGTGGACATCTTAGGAAAATATAATCTACCACAATACCACAGTCATAACGGGAAACATAAAGGACTAATTTTTGCCCAGTGTTCTACTTGAAAAGGATTAATATCTATTCTGTTTATCTAAATGCAAACATGGCTTTAAAAACTTCTAGTTATATCAGTGTGATTATGTGTATCTCAACCAGAGTCAAAAGCAACTCTTGCCTAATAAAACCATCACAAGTCAGGAAATAAGGAAATATGAACAAATATGAAGAAAATGACTAATCATATTGAACCATTTCCTGAGAGAAACAGAAATTAGAAACCAAAGCCTTCTAAATGACCCCTGGTAAAATTACACAGGCAATTAGTATCAAGTGGCCTCTTCTAAGTGTGAAAGTTTTTCAGAGCTTCTAATAAATTTTACGGGATAGTTTGCAAAGTCTATGGCCCAATATACAGGCAACACTGTTGTGTGACTGTCCCATATCCAAGTTTTTCAAGATGAGCAATGGCTCAACCCTATACACATATTGAGGTGAGAAGGAAAACAAGTGCTTCCCTTTGGCCGTTCCCATTTTCCAACTTGTCTTTCTGAAGAAAATCTAGTAAGAACAATATCTAGTGGCTGAAAGGGTTTTGATTTAAATTATTTTACTCCTTTCTTAGAGTTTTTCTAGATATAGGTTTCTAAACAACACATTGACACTATAGCCCATTTTCTGCCTTTTCAAAGAAAACAGAGCATGACAGGGCAAGGAAGGGAAATTCCTCAAACAGTTCAGTGTTTTAAATGACTTTTAATGAGAGCCGCTTTTACCTTTTAAAACCCTACCTTTTATGTGTATGCTTTTTTTCTGGTTTAAATTTGATTTGCAAATTTTCTTTGCTTTGAATTTTCCCCTAGGATTTAAAGATGCTCTGTCCTTTGATTTGTCATTAACATTCCGTTGGTGCCTTGCAGCATTTTATACTGCAGACACACCTCTTTCCCATGGCTGAAAAGCTGTATGTGTCCCTACATTATACATACACTTGGAGCGCTAAGATGATACCCAGAGGTAGACAGTCTATAAATCCTAGAAGAAATTGTGCATACACTAAGATGGTATATTGGCAAGTCTGGATTCAGACTAGGATGAATCTAGAAAATAAGTATTTCATCTTTGAAATATTCCCACCCAACTTTCTTTCTTAAAGTACTGTACTCAAAATGGACAGTTCTCTTCAACCTGTATGGAAGCTGTTGTATTAAAGATTTCCAGATGTACTGGATATATCCAGCAATATTGGGAGCTATGCTAATTTCTTTTTTTTCTTTTCTTTTCTTTTTCTTTTTTTTTTTTTGAGACAGTCTTGCTCTGTTGCCCAGGTGCAATGGCACAATCTTCGCTCACTGCAACCTCTGCCTCATGGGTTCAAGCGATTCTCCTGCCTCAGCCTCCCTAGTAGCTGGGATTACAGGCTCCCATCACCACACCCAGCTAATTTTTGTATTTTTAGTAGAGACAGGGTTTCATCATGTTGGCCAGCTGGTCTCGCACTCCTGACCTCAGGTGATCCACCCACCTCGGCCTCCTAAAGTGCTGGGATTACAGGCGTGAGCCACCGTGCCTGGCCAAGCTGTGCTAATTTCTTGAGAACATAACCTGGAAAGGCTGAAAGTCCCTCAAAAAAGCCTCCTACTTGGCATGGTGCAGTGTTGAGAGTTGGGCAGGAGGGTAGTGATATTACCTGGCTAGGGACTGAAAGGAGTGACCGAGGGCAGTCTCACTGAGTGTTGCATGCCGCAGCATAGAGCTGAGAAAACACTTGACAATCATGAGCCCTACCAAGGGGCAAGAAAATGCTAAATGTTTTGTTGGCCCAATAGGTGTGACATAAAGACAGGGAGGCCTCCTGAGGGCCTCATCACCGGATGCAGTGATAAAGTTCAAGGGCAACAGTAGTGATGTCAGCACCCAGGCAACCAAACCAGACCAACCTCATCTCATAATTTTCAAGACCCAAATGAAATCTGTCCTGTGCAGTGGAAGTCAGTGGGGCCAAAGAAGAATACAAGCATTGTTGGAGTACTTTCTATGTGCCTAGAGCTGCTCTAGATGCTTTAATGAATTAAGCCATTCAAATCTTCACAACTGTTTAGAGTAGTTCAATTTTTATCCTCTATCTTACAGTGTGACAACTAAGGCCCTGAGATGAGAAGCATTTGGCCCAAGTTTATGCAGTGGCTCATGCCTGTAATCCCAGCACTTCAAGAGGCTAGGCAGGAGGATCCCTTGAGCCCAGGAGTATGAGGCCAGCCTGGGCAAGATAGCAAGACCTCGTCTCTACTAAACATAAAGAAAATTAGCAGGGTGTGATGGAGCGAGCCTGCAGCCCCAGCGTGAACCCAAAAGTATCTGAGACAGGTCTCAATTTAGAAAGCTTATTTTGCCAAGGTTAAGAATGCACTCATAACACAGCCTCAGGAGGTACTGAAGACACATGCCCAAGGTGTTCGGGTACAGCTTGCTTTTATACATTTTAGGGAGACATAACACATCAATTAATACATGTAAGATTTACATTGCTTCTATCTGGAAGGGCGGGACAATGTCAAGTTGGGGGTCTTCAGGTCATAGGTAGATTAAAAAATTTTCTAATTAGCAATTGGTTGAAAAAGTTATTATCAGTAGTAAGGAATGTCTGGCTCACAATAAGGGATTGTGGAGACCAAGATTTTATCATGCAGATGAAGCCTCCCAGGAGCAGGCTTCAAAGAGGGCAGACTATAAATGTTTCTTGTCACACTTAAGGTCTGTGTTGAAGTTAATGCTGGAGGGGTATAATGAGGCATATCCAACACCCTCTTCCATCACGGCCAGAATTAGATTTTCATGTTAACTCTGTAATGCCGTTGGCCAAGAGAAAGGGTCCATTCAGATGACTGAGGGGCCTTAGAAATTTTTGGTTTATACCAGCTACGCTGAGAGGTTGAGGAAAGAGGAGCACTTGAGCCTGGGAGATTGAGGCCGCAGTGAGCCGAGACTGTGCCACTGTACTCCAGCCTGGGCATCAGAGCAAGACCTTGTCTCAAAAAAAAAAGATTACACATTTGGTAAATTGCAGAACAGAGCTTTTTGCCCAAGTGGCTTATAATCATTACAGAAATTGCCATTGTGCCAGACCTTTCTCCTTCTCTGCCTCCAAGTTACAGAAGTTACAGAAGCTTCTCATTGCACCCATGTTTCTCAGGTGGCTCTCTGCTTTCAAATTGACTGAATACCGCCCAGGTGCAGTGGCTCACACCTGTAATCCCAGCACTTTGGGAGGCAGAGGTGGGTGGATCACCTGAGGTCAAGAGTTTGAGACCACCCTAGCCAACAGGGTGAAACCCCATCTCTACTAAAAGTACAAAAATTAGATGGGGGTGGTGGCACGCGCCTGTAGTCCCAGCTACTCTGGAGACTGAGGCAGGAGGATCGCTTGAACCCGGAAGGCAGAGGTTGCAGTGAGCCGAGATCGGCCACTGCATTCCAGCCTGGGTGACAGAGTGAGACTCCGTCTCAAAAAAAAAAAAAAAAAAAAAAGATTGAACATCTAAAACAGATTGTTTCACTGAAAGAGACTCTTTAAAAAAATTAGAGCTATATTGATATATAATTAACACCATAGAATTGAAGCAGCTACCTTGTCTGGGGTAAATACCTGGGGTTCATCATCTCGTGCCACGAAAATTAAGGACACGGACACACCTGAGGAGTTAAGGAGTAGAGGTTTAACAGGCAAAAGAAAGATAAAGGAAAATAGCTCTCTCTAGTGAGAGAGAAGGGACTTCTGAGAGGAAAGAACCAGCTGGTGGATGCGCCAGATTTTATAGTCAGGCTGGAGGAAGTGGTGTCGGATTTATATAGGGCTCACAGATTGGTTGAATCAGGTACTAGGTTTACATAGCTCAGGAGAAGGCTGGCCGCCCCACCCTAATCTTATTATGCAAATGAACTTTCCCCTTGTCCGGTGCCACTTTGTTTGCTCCTTCCTGTACACCTGGCTGGCCAAGAAGGGAAGATGGAGTCGCCATTTTGAACACAATTGACAACAACTGCCAGCTTGTATGTCTGCAGCTCGATTTTACAGGCTGCTCTTTGTTAGTAAGCAAAATGACTTGGGGCTGCTTTTCATTTAAAGGAAAACCTTACCGAGGTCTTCTATACCCTCACTATCTGTCTAAGTAATTTCTTTTCTTTCTTTTTTTTTTTTTTTGAGACGGAGTCTGGCTCTGTCGCCCAGGCTGGAGTGCAGTGGCGTGATCTTGGTTCACGGCAATCCCCGCCTCCCAGGTTCAAGCAATTCTCCTGCCTCAGTCTCCCGAGTAGCTGGGATTACAGACACATGCCACCATTCCCAACTAATTTTTGTATTTTTAGTAGAGACGGAGTTTCTCAAACTCCTGACCTAAGGTGATCTACTCTCCTCAGCCTCCCAAAGTGCTGGGACTTTACAGGCATTAGCCACTGCACCTGGCCCAGTAATTTCTTCTTAACTCCTATATCAGAATTTACCCATTTAGGCTGGGCACGGAGGCTCATGCCGGTAATCCCAGCACTTTGGGAGGCTGAGGCAGGTGGATTGCTTGAGCTCAGGAGTTTGAGACCAGCCTGGGCAACATGGCAAAACCCCATTACTACAAAAATAAAAAAAAAATTAGCTGGGCATGGTGGCATGACAGAGTGGGTGACAGAATGAAACCCTGTCTTAAAAAAAATTACCCATTTAAAGTGTACAGTTTTTTAAGTGTTTTTTTTTGTATATTTACCGAGTTGCACAACCGTCAACACCCCCAATCTTAGACCATTTCCATCACCCCATAAGGAAACGCCCCTGTCCATTAGCAGTCACTCCTCATTTCCCCCAACCTCCCCATCCCTAAGCAACTACTAACCTACTTTCTGACTCTATAGACTTGCCTGTGCTGGAAATTTCAAGTAAATAGAATCATGAAATGTGTATTTCTTTTGGTTGTGCATACAATAACAAGGTATATTTGGCAAGCCTGGATTCAGACCAGGATGAATCCAGAAAATAAGTATCTCATTTTTCACTGAAGTATTCCCACCCAACTCAGAAGAGGGGCTTCTTTCACTTCATGTAATGTTTTCCGGTTCATCCATGTTGAAGCTTATTATCAGTACTTCACTTCTTTTTATTGTTGTATAATAGTGTACTCTGTGAATAGCCCACATTTTATTTTTCCATTCATCTGTTAATGGACATTTCAGTTGTTTCTACTTTTGACTCCTATGAATATGCTGTTATGAACATTCATGTACAAGTCTGTATGTGGACATAAGTTTTCATTTTTGGGGGGTATATACAAAAGATACCTTTAAATCTAGAAATTTCTACTTATAGCTCTCACTGCCATATTACGCACTCTCTTGCACTCTCTCATTCCTTGCAGATGGTGTCCTTCTCCAGAATATTACTGATATTGGTCTCCAAAGTAATGAACTTCTTACAAATATATTTATTTTTCATGTTATAACTTTATTCAACAATAATTCAATAACATTTATTTTATTTATTCTAGTTTTGTACCAGCCACTACACTGGATGCAAGAGATATAAAATAAACTAGAGTGTCCCTGCCTTTAAGGAATTTACATCTAACTGGGGAAGTGGAGAGGGGTAGAAGAAAACATAGACAATTAGAATATTATTAATGTGTGTTGTAGCAGAAACAAATACTGTGCTTTAAGGCACACAGGAGGGACACTTATTCTGCAGAGTCAAGGAAGGTGTCGCAGAATGTGTGATGGAAACTGGGCTTTGCTGAGCAATAAAGAGGGAATGGGGACAGATGGGCATTCTAAGCAGAAGAATTAGTATGTGTGAATGTCCCGAGTCAGGAAGACCATGGCTGGACTTGGAACCATAAAAGTAGGAGCTGATGTAGAGTGCCCCACGTCTGGTGGTAGAGAGGTGGCAGGTGAGGTGGCAAACCAGGCAGCATTGACATCATAGTGGAACTCCTATGTCCTTCTAAGGGTTTGGACTGAGTTTGTAAATAATGTGCTTCCATTGAAAGATGTTTAACCTGGAGAACTGATTATTATTAGAGAGTTTAGAACAATATGAACTTTTGAATAAGTATCATAAGGAACTCCTGAAACATCTTTATTATTATATTTCATGATTAAGTGCTTGACAGCTGGAAAGCCTAGGGTTGGTGGTTGAAAGAACCTATCTACGCAGGAAGCAGATTTCACCCAGGTGGTGTTATTTTGTTGGTATTCCCCATTTAGTGGTTCATGGCTCAGTGTAGAACTCTTTGACTTTATTTTGTTGTTGCAGGGCATTACTCTGCCTTATGAAATGCATGACCCTATCATTACCTCTCCAAGGTTTTGGTATGTTCTGCATTAAGCTCTATAATACTACACAGAAATTAAAAATCACCCACTGAGTCTTCTTTGAAGATCCGTTTCAGCGTCCCTGAATACCTTCTTGTTTGCTTGGTTATGCTGTCAGCGCTTCTGTCAAACATGGAATTCCCAGATAGCCTCAAGTCCTTTGGGGGCAAAACTTTGTCTTGATCACAGGATCTTGTCACAGGATCTTGTCACAGGATCTTGCCAATTTTTACTTAGCTGGATTTCTGTCAAGAAACAAAGGGGCAGGGAGTGGGGGAGAGAGAGAGAGAAAGAGAGAACAATATGTGAGGAAAGTAGTCAGGGGGAATTGCAAATAGGAAGGTAAGAATATCATTCGTTGAGACAGAGGGTTATAGAAGTAATTCGGCATATCAACAGGAAAATAAATACATCTGTTTATAAATTTTACAGATATTTGGTGACAATAATCAAGATGAGCAGATTTACATTATTAACATATAATAACAAGTATAATTCACAAGTCCTCAAAACAATTGCAAAACTGCAAAGGACCCCAAAGGATCTTCCCACACACCCATGACATTTTCTAGTTTGTAGCATAGGCCCTACTTTCCTAGACACTTAACTAGAAAATTCTAGAACTTTTCTTATATACCATGTCTAATGTCACAATTATAACTATCCTCCATCCCTCCCATTCTTTTTTGGAGATGGTGTCTTGCTCTGTCACCTAGGCTGGAGTACAGTAGCACGATCTTGGCTCGCTGCAACCTCTGCCTCCTAGGTTCAACTGATTCTCCCACCTCAGCCTCCCAAGTAGCTGGGATTACAGGCTCCCGGCACCACGCCTGGCTAGTTTTTGTATTTTTAGTAGAGACATGGTTTCACCATGTTGGCCAGGCTGGTCTTGAACTGCCCGCCTTAGCCTTCCCAAGTGCTGGGATTACAGGCGTGAGCCACCGCGCCCAGCCTTATTCTTCCTTTCTTAATGACTAAGATCAATTCCTTCATTTCTTTTTAATAGTTATGGAGTAGAAGCGTCACTATAATTTATTTACCAAACCTCATATGAGTATTTAAGTAGCTAACAAGGACAGTGTTATTTCAGGAACAACAGAAAATTTTAAGTGTAAATGGATGAGTAATTGTTTAGTTTCAAATACAGGATGAAGAACAGACTATACTCTGAGAAATACTGATATATTGTTAAGTAAATTCTAACTCAGATGTATCACAGTGCTTAGATCTTTAAAACAGGACACTATATGCTGGGCATGGTGGCTCATGCTTGTAATCCCAGCACTTTGGGAGGTGGAGGTGGGAGGATGGCTTGAGCTCAGGAGTTTGAGACCAGCCTGGGGAACATAGTGAGAACTTGTCAATACAAATAAAATAAAATAAATAAATAAAACAACACTATGAGGCATAAAGGAAACATCTGACATATATGTATATATTAAAGACAGGAATGAAAATTCCATTTAATAAATTTTTGCATTTTTTAATTTGGTTTTTAAATTGAGGTATAACTTATTACTGAAAGGTGCATAAATTTTAAATGTACAGTAAAATAAAATTGTATACATGTATAAAACCTTATAATCCTAACCCAGATCAATATATAGAACATCTCCAGCACCTCTGAAAGCTCCCTTTAATTCTCTCTTTCCTGACTCCATTAATATCTACTTCAAAAGTAACTATCATTTTGACTTTTTTTAATTTTATTTTTTTTACACAGAGTTTTGCTCTGTCGCCCAGGCTGGAGTGCAGTGGCGTGATCTCGGCTCACTGAGACCTCCACCTCCCGGGTTCAAGCAATTCTCCCGCCTCAGCCTCCCGAGTAGCTGGGATTGCAGGTGCGTGCCACCACACCCGGCTAGTTTTTTGTATTTTTAATAGAGATGGGGTTTCACCATGTTGACCAGGCTGGTGTCAAACTCCTGACCTTGTGCTCCGCCCATCTTGGCCTCCCAAAGTGCTGGGATTTACATGCATGAGCCACCGCGCCCGGCCGTAAGCTTAACATCTTTAGACCTCATGAAGTGTTGGCAATGATGTTGAGAAAATAGAGAAAATGGAACTACATTGCTGGTGGAAACATAAAACTTTACAACTGTTTTTGGAAAACAGTTTGACAGTTTCTTTAAAAAGCTGAAGATAACCTATCATATCATTCTACTCCTAGGTATTTACCCAGGAAAAATTAGTTTATGTTTATACGAAGATTCGTACACAGATATTCACAGAAGCCTTATTTACAGTCGTCAAAATGGAAAACAAACCAAATATCTCTCAATGGGTGAATGGAAAAACAAATTGTGGTATATCCACACAGCGGAATCCTCCTCTAATAAAAAGGAATGAACTGTTGATTCAAGCAACTACACAGGTGAATCTCAAAATAATTATGCTGAGTGAATTAAGACAGATAAAAAAGAACACATACTATATGATTTCACCTGTATAAAATTTTAAAAAATGCAAACAACTCATAGTGACAGAAAGACGATCAGTTATTTTGAGGGGCCATGGTGAGGAGGCCTTGACGGGCAGGAAGGATTCCGGGATATTCTGGAATTTTTATTCTGGATATAAAGGTACTTCAGGAAAATTTTGAAAGTCTGGATATGTTCATTATCTTGATGGGGTTGATGGCTTCACTGGTGTATACATACGTCAAAATGTATCAAAATTACACATTATGTGCAGTTTATTGTCAATGATATCTCAATAAAGTTGTTAACATTTTTTCAGTAATGTAGTTATCCTTTCATTCATAATTTTTTTCACAAATCAATATAAAATGATTTGTATTGTTTTTTATGACATTAACAATTCCATAGCAAGAGAAATGTCATTTTATTTCTCTTCTTTTACTCATTAATTCATTCAGCAAACATTTAAAGTGCCAGACATTAGGGTGCCGGAGAAACAAAGATAAAGCTTTGAAATTAGTAGGGGTAGAGAAGTGGCATTTACTGAGTACCCATTCTGCAACACCTACTGTTTTTACATATATCATTTACTTTTCACAAAACAGAAGACATACATTTTCATATATTCGATTTTACAGATGAAGACATTAAATCTGAAGTGGTTAACAGCAACAAAACTGGGACTGAAATCCAGGTTCGTGGTACTCCGAAGTCATAGTACTTTCCATCAAAACACAATACCAGAGTTTTATTCATTTATTTTTTGAGTCGGAGTTTTGCCCTTGTTGTCCAGGCTGGAGTGCAGTGGCACGATCTCAGCTCACTGCAACTCCTGCCTCCTGGGTTCAAGCGATTCTCCTGCCTCAGCCTCCCGAGTAGCTGGGATTACAGTCACCCACCACCACGCACAGCTAATTTTTTTTTATTTTTAGTGGAAGATGGGGGTTTCACCATGGTGGCCAGGCTGGTCTGGAACTCTTGACCTCAGGTGATCCACCCGCCTCAGCGTCCCAAAGTGCTGGGATTACAGGCGTGAGCCACGGTGCCCTGCCCACACCTTACAGAGTCCTGAGGGGAGTGGAACAATCCTAACTTTTTCTGAAGAAGTCAGTGAAGGCTTTGCCATTGAGGCTCTACTGTTTGAGATGCAGTAGATGCTGTGCAATATTTAGAGTTTTAAAGGAGTGCGTTATTGACGACCTAAGGGCAAATTATATATTATCTGACAGAAGTAACGTTTTCTTATTCATTGTTCCTGTAGTACTTTGCTTATGTGGTCTATAACTCATTCACTTCATACCTCAGTGAGTTGTAGTTAAGCTTGTAATTGACAATTACAGTGGAGTGGAAGCTGCCATTTGTATTTTAATAACACAATTTTTTTGGGGGGGTGCAGAGTCTCACTCTGTCTCCAGGCTGGAGTGCAGTGGCACAATCTTAGCTCACTGCAACCTCTGCCTCCCGGGTTCAAGCGATTCTCCTGCCTCAGCCTCCCGAGTAGCTAGGACTATAGGCACGCGCCACCATGCCTAGCTAATTTTTGTATTTTTAGTAGACAGGGAGTTTCACCATGTTGGCCAGAATGGTCTTGATCTCTTGACCTCATGATCCGCCTGCTTCAGCCTCCCAAAGTGTTGGGATCACAGGAGTCAGCCACCGCGCCCGGCCAATAACACAATATTTTTAAGCACCTACTATGATCTGTGATAAATCCTCTTATACGGATACATTATTCACAGCTCGCGAGTTAGTGTCTCTATCTCCTTTTTACAAAGAAACAGGCTGCAAAATAAAAATTACCTAAGGGTGTAAAATAATAAAAACACTTAAGCCATGTAACATTAGCAACTATCTCTATTTTTCTGTAAACTTTTATTTTGGAGCCACATTAAACAACTATTTTTGTAGTCAAACACATTCAAATGCATGAATAAATTACGTTCCAAGCCACTTACAAATATAAACTAAATTTGGATTACTCTTATTTCTTTCTATTGTGCATAGCAAAAAGCTGAGGAAGCTTTTAATTATCTCTAGAACTCAACATTTGCCTTTGATGTGAAGTATCATCATTTCAAAAACACAAGCTAAAACTGAAGTGGTGTTCAGTATAATGAGGTTGGTTTCTTATATAGCATTATTAACTTTATGTTCTGAGAAATGAGGACATTTAATAGCAGGTTATAGATTCATGCATCAACAACATTCAGCATTACCACCTAAGGCCAGTGCTATGTCTAAAAAGCTATATTTAATACTCGCAATGTTACACACAATTATGTCTTCAATGAATGTTCAGTGAATCCTTCTTTATGATGCTGATAAATATCGTCTATATAGCTAAAATCGTTTACATAGCTAAGGGCAAATCGCTGTTTACTAGGGATAGTAATGCCGAACGGAGTGAATACATGAAGTCGTAAATTATATGAATGCAGGGTGACCTAATATAGCCAGGGTCTCAATTTAATAATATATACCCGTTTAAAAATAGCCTTATTTCCTTCTCTAAAGCTTGGACTCTTTTTTTTTTTGAGATAAGGTCTCACTCACTTTGTCGCCCGGGCTGGAATGGAGAGGCCCGATCTCAGCTCACTGCAGCCTCGACCGCCTGGGCTCAGGGGATCCTCCCACCTCAGCCTCTTCAGTAGCTGGGACTACAGGTCTGCACCACAGGGCCGGCTAGTGTTTGTATTTTTTGTAGAGACGGAGCCTCGCTATGTTGCTCAGGCTGGTCTCGAACACCTGAGTTCAAGCGATCCGCCCTCCTAGGCTTCCCAAAGTGCTGGGATTACAGGAAGGAGCCACCGCACCGGCCTGGGCTAAATCTGATTCCAAGTTTACACAAGTTTGTTGAATGCCCACTGTGTGCTTAATGAAAGATCAAAGTTTGATAAAACAAGGTCCCTGCTCTTACTGAGCGCATAGCTTTCTCAGATTATCAGGAACCAAATTTGGAAAATAATCCAGAACGCTGGCGTAGGTAGCTCAAGGTTCCCCGCTTGCAACATTTAGTCCAAACCAGTCAATTCTAGGCGGCGGATTTCCCCATCCCCCTCCGTCGCCCAACCTTTGGGTGGGGCCACTCCCAAACGCTCCCTCCCCTCGTCCCGCCATGCACAGCAGTGCGCATGCGCCCTCAGGGAGGCGGACAGTGACCCTGAGGCATTGCCGTCGCGCGGTGCACAGCTAAGACGTCGCGCTTGCGCAGGCGCTCGGCGCAGAGGCCTGCGGGAAGCCAAGATGGCGCATAGGGGTTCTCCAGGCTGCAGTTGGCGCCTTATCAGTATCTAAGCGGAGTGTTTTGGAAGGAGTTAAGGGGCTGTGGCAAACGCCCTCTCCGCCGTCATGGCCCGGCATCGGAATGTTCGAGGCTATAACTACGATGAAGGTAGGTGGCAGGGTCATGCCGGGACGTTCTTTTCCCGGCTACAGCTGGGATCCTAGCCCGTTGGCATCCACTTCAATCTGTGAGTTTCTCGTCAGTGTTGCCCTGTCGGGATTGGGAGAGCCCCAGTTGGGGAATATAACAGGCCTTCTAGTGCTTTCAAATGCCGTCGTTTTTAAGTCATGATTTCTGCCCTCTGGGGTTGATTTTATTTGGGGAGGGGGAGGTGCTGCATAGCGTCATATGGGTAGGATATTGGTGAGGTTGAGATCCGGTGATATTTAGGCACGTAAGCATTATCACCTCTTCCATTGTTTCCTCCCATGTTGGGCACTAACGTGCCTGCTTCTAGCTCCTCTCTCCCAGATCCCCTTTGAGAAATGTCCATGAAACGTTGCTTATTTGTAAAACACAGATTGACTTAATACATTCAACGGACGTGTACCTGTGTTAGATTTACATGGTAAACCTTTTGTGTATGTCCATACATACCTAGTGCAGAATCAGTTTGCGCTAATTTATTTTTCAACGAATTTCAAAGTGGAAACTTAGGAGACGGTAGAAAAGACACATGTTAAAAAGGCCCAAAGAATGAGTCGATCAGATGGATCTTGAAGTTTATACTTAGTTCTTGGCTGGTAATGCTTGATATAAATGTATTTTGAAATGTAAATAAACGGCAGTACTAGAGGAAAGAGTGTATAGGAAAGGACTTTTTGATATTAAAAAATGAAATAAAAATGTCTGTATGAATGTTCTGTAGGAGTTAACAGGAGTTAGAATTATTTTTAGGAGGAGCACATCCCTCTTCATGCAGTAGATAACTATAGGCATCACCAAGCATCACATAAACTAAAAATATAAACAAAAATGAACTAATGCAGGAGAAGAATAAAGAACTATGCTTTACGAAGTGCAGAACATGTAGTGCTTAATATGTTGGTGATTGTCATTGGCACCCCAGTAGATTATTATAGAACATCAGTATGCTTTAACTAGAGTGAGGGCAGCTAACACCCTGTTCTCCATTTGGAACCTGTGACCTCAGTCCGTCTAGAACATGTGAATTTTCTGGTGGTTACTTTAGAATGGAGGCCCTTTTAAATAAATATTGCAGTGGATGGTATTGCATGTGGACCATTGTCACCTAAGAAATGACTTTAGATTGAGAGAGATTTTTGCAAATATAAAGTACATGAATAGGCCTATTTATTATTCATTCATTTCTTTAATAGTTGTTTATCATTTCCTCAACCACCATTAAGTTAGTGCTTAGAGTACTGTTCTAAGCTTTGAGGACTGAAAGTAAGATATTTGAGGGTGGTCTAAAAGGAGAAGATTATACGAGTTACAGATTATTAGAGTATGAAAAATGCTACAAAAGGTACTGAGAAAACGCTATGGGAGGGATACACAGATGAGAACACTTAATTCAGAATGGATTGGGGGGAATTTAAGCAGGATTTCTACGTTAAGGAATGCTTCATGGAGGAGAGGTGGTTGGCCTCAGGGAGCACCTTGGCTTCTTGAGGTTAGGTTGTCATGTTGTCATGCTTCTTTGAAACAATTGGTGACATCATAACCAAGCTGTTCCTGTAACATTAAGGAGGTTCATCCCCTTTTCTTGTTTATAAAAGTTGTACTCATTAAGGTCCAGTTTATTTCTCTTCTTCCCAGTTAGGCTTTCTCTTGAATTCTCAGAATAATAATTTAAAAATTCTGTTAAGAAATATAACCTCATTAGAGAGAGTTTGTGTTCTAAAACCTACTGGTTCCGCTACTTAACTCCCACTTTGTTTTTCTCTGTAATTTATGTAATACTTTACATGACTGCCTCAGTCACTGATTTAAAAGTCTCAGGAAGGCAAAATCCATACTTTAAGTAGCTGGCACAATGTTCTTTACATGTGGTAAATATTTCATAATTTTGTTGATTGAGGAAACAAACTATGAAGATTGCAGGAAAGAATTCTCTTCATCTTTATATGTTGTGGCACTTTAGGGTCAACTTCAGCATTGACAAACTGACCTAGTAAAAAAGAGTTTTTTTTCTTTTTTTTTTTTTTTTAAGAGACAGGATCGCACTTTGTTGGTTGGCCAAGCTGGAGTGCGAGTGCAGTGGCATGATCATAGCTCTCTGTAACCTCCAACTCCTGGGCTCAAGCAATCCTCGTGCCTCAGCCTCCCGAGTAGCTAGGTCTACAGGCATGTGCCCCCATGCCCGGTTAATTTTTTATTTTAGTAGAGACAGCATCCGGCTGTGTTGCCCAAGCGAGATCCTCCCTCCTCGGCTTCCCAAAGTACTGGAATTACAGGTGTGAGCCACGATGCCTGGCCTATTGTTGTCTTCAATATCTAAAAATACTTTGTTTGTGAATGGCCCCTTGTTTATTTGCAAATAAATTTTTATTAACTTGGGATTGTGATCTAATAATTTATTTAATCATATATGTTTTTGCCCAATAGTAGCATTTATCTAATTTTTCTTTGCTGTAAGCATTTGGTCTCAGCCTTTGAGCATGCTGTTCCTGCTGCATGAATACCCTCAGAAACTAGCTAACTCTATCCTTTGGAATTGGTTTGGATATTATATTAATGGGGATCTTTCCCTAGCTGCCCCACTCCCGGTTCTAGTTTTGTCATTCATGTGTGTGTTCCCAAATTGCTCTGTGTTTCTCACATCAGGCACTTGTCACATGGTTTTGTAATTGCCCATTATCTTGTGTGTATTCCTTGTCAGATTTTAGGTGCAGTGATAACTGGAAATGTGTTCACTGTTATACCACAGTTGTCTCAACTACTCCCTGGCATGGTGTTAGTGTTTGTCAAATGAAATTTATGTAAATATATTTATGTTCTTTGTGGGTTTTTAGTTGTAATTAGTTTGATTCATTAATTTATAATAAAACAAATATTAATCTAGTGCCCCATATGTGCCAGGTAGTTGGCTAAACCAAGTCTTGCCCTGAAGAAGCTGATAGTCTCATGTAGTGAACAGGCGTAGCGCTCTGTAAATTGGGTAAGTGTGCTGGAGGGTAACAGTAGCAGAGGGGCTTACTGCTTTACCCAGAGTGGTCAGGGAAGACTTGTGCAAAGAGGAGACATTTGAGCTGGAACCTTAACTAGCAGAAAGAAATGGCCTCGGAAAATCTAGGCAAAGAGCATATCCCAGGAAGCAGAAAAAAAGGGCAGTTAGCCATCAGCAGGTGGGCATAGGGAGTTTAGGGTAAGTTGGTTTGTATAGATGTTACCTAGCTCTCCATAAAGAAATACTACTTTCATGATCTATTATATACCCCCATGTTCTGTGGAAGAGAAGTGCTTTGGTTTTAGAGGGCACATGGTGAAAAAAATGGTTTATTTCAGATTTTTGTCAACACTGGAGAGACTAAGTATTTTTTTTTCTTTTTTTCTTTTTTTTTCTTTTTGAGACGGAGTCTTGCTCTGTCGCCCAGGCTGAGTGCAGTGGCGCGGTCTTGGCTCACTGCAACCTTGCCTCCTGGGTTCAAGTGATTCTCCTGCCTCAGCCTCCAGAGTAGCTGGGATTACAGGTGCACGTCACCATGTCTAGCTAATTTTTGTATTTTTAGTAGAGACGGGGTTTCACCATATTGGTCAGGCGGGTCTCAAACTCCTGACCTCATGATCCACCTACCTCGGCCTCCCAAAGTGCTGGGATTACAGGCGTAAGCCACCGTGCCTGGCCTCAAGTATATTTTTTATAGGATTATTGTATTTGATCCTATGAGGTGAAAACTTGGGACCTGGGTAAACCCAATTAATTTAACAACTGAAGAACTGTGTATGTCTTTATAAATATAGAGTTAGTAAATAACCTATTTTGTGGGTGAAATTCTTAAGAGTTTTTTTGAAAATAGACATTCTAGGATCCTTAAATTTTGATAAACAGTTTATTTTGGAGAGGATTCAGATGCTTCCTCACTAGTAACTAAGAATATAAAAAGAACTTGTAAATGAATTTATCTCTTTTGTCTTTATTTTAGATTTTGAAGATGATGATCTCTACGGCCAGTCTGTAGAGGATGATTATTGTATTTCGCCGTCAACAGGTGAATTTTTAAAAATAATTTGATTCCTTAGATTTGGTGTTTAAAAATGTAAATGTTAGTCGTTCAAGGACTGGAGTGTTCTGTGAGACTGTAATATATAACATTTAAAAAGTTAATTATATGTTAATTATTAAAGGCATATAAAATAATTTCTTTTCCTGTGAGTAGAATTTAAATTTGTGATTCTATTATTTAGTTTTAAATAATGTGAAAAAGACTGTGGCTTCTTTTCCACCATACTTTGCATCATGCAGTTAATCTAAATATACTAAAATGGTAATTTAGTCAATAATGAAATTCTGAAGCCTCTGGAGGCAGGCAGCCATTATATCCTCAAGGATCTTTTGAGTATTAGAAACTTGGAGGTGTTATGCCTAGACTTTCCTTTATACAGTACTTTAGTTTATCTGTTGAACAGTTTGGTAAATAAACCAATATATGTAGTTCAGACTTCTTTTGGAGCCACAGAGGAATTTGGCATTCATATTTCTGTATAATTCCACATCAGAGCTGCATCTTCTAGATTATCAGCCCAAAGATTTCTTCTCTGCCACCATATAAGGAGAACATTGATATATTCTTCCCAGCAAAGGCTGAGTCATTAATCCTGATCCTCCTGTCACTTATTTCTCTAACACTACATTTGTCTCCAAATTTCAGCCTACTGTCTACACAGGTTAAAATGCCCTGCTAAATTTTAGTATGGTGTAGGCCAGGTACGATGGCTCACGCCTGTAATCCCGGCACTCTGGGAGGCCGAGGCAGGTGGATCACCTGAGGTCAGGAGTTCGAGACCAGCCTGGCCAACATGGTGAAACCCCGTCTCTACTAAAAATACAAAAAGTAGCCAGGCATGGTGGCGAGTGCCTGTAATCCCAGCTACTCAGGAGGCTGAGGCAGGAGAATTGCTTGAACCTGGGAGGCAGAGGTTGCAGTGAGCTGAGATCACACCATTGTACTCCAGCCTGGGCAACAAAAGCTAAACTCCATCTCAAAAAATGGAAAAAAAAATTTAATATGGTATAAAAAGAGTGTATAATAGTATATTTACCTGTGGTTGGGTATAGCATAAATATAATTTATAAAACTCATTTTTCACAAGTTTAAAGGTTTGATATAATTAACATTTCTTTCAGAGCCTTCTGCCATGGTCTGAATGTTTGTTTCCCCAGATTCACATGTTGAAATTCTAACCCCAAGGTGATGGTATTAGGAGGTGGGGCCCTTGGGAGGGGAGGTGATTAGGCCATGAGGGTAGAGCCCTCATGAATGGGATTAATTTCCTAGTGAAAGAGGTCCCAAGGAGAACTCTTTCCCTTCTGTCATGTTAGGACACAGCAAGTAGGTGCTGTCTGTGAGCCAGAAAGCGGGTGTTCACCACACACAGACTGCCTTGATCTTGGACTTCCTAGCCTCTGAACTGTCAGAAATTTCTGTTTATAAGCTACCTAGTTTATGGCATTTTGTTATAGCAGCCTGAATGGACTAATACATCCTCCTTGTCTTAATTACCCTCTAGTCCGCTGGGCTGTCTTATAAACTGTACCTGCTTTCATCCTATTTTTAGCCTCTGCAGACCAAATATGCCCCTTCTGACTTTTATAATTTCTTTTTCTTTGTAAAGGCATAGATATGCTAGAAGTTGTCTTTATCATATCTACTCTGTCATCCTTTTCCTGTTAACTGGTTATTCTGAAATGCATCTAGCTCTTTATGTACAGGCCTGCTCTTCTGGTCAAGTACTTTTCTCATTTAGCTTAATCATGGCTTTTCCTCTCATCTTTTAATGTTTCACTGTTATCAGTCTATATTCTGTTAGGAGATAAAAATTGCACCAGTTATTTTATCAGAGAACATTTAACATCAAAAGTTGTTAATGAGGTATTATAGAACAAATAATGCAAAAAGTGCAACCAGGATATCAAGAAGGTAGTAAGTTCAGGAAGCACTTTACTGTCCCTAGTTCTTAGGGGAACAAAAGGCAAGGTTGAAACCACCTTTTAGAAGCTGATGGAGGCTCCTTGCAGCTGTGACTTAGACCTTGAGGAGAGGGTTCTTTGCTGCTTTGCCTCTGAAGTTCACAAGAGGGACTGTGGGGCCAGGACTCAGACCTCTGGGCAGGGAGGCACTGCATGGCTGATGCTGGTGCCTCAGAAGGTCCCTGAATCTTAGAGCTGGGATTCAGCCTTTTAAAGAGGGGATTCCGCCTTTTAAAGAGGGGATTCCAACCTACTGGCTGGTCGTGTTGTCTGGGGAGTGAAGAGGCAAATTGAAGCTGGTTCTGGGAGTTTTGGAAAAACTGAAAACGGATATTAATTGCAGTTACTGGAAGAAACTGCTTCTGGAAGGTGAAGTGAGTATTGCTGGGGTGATACTGGAACAAGAAGCAAAAGGAAAGGAGCATGTGCCTGCCTTCTCTGGCTTTCCGGTGTCCCTTTCATATCTCCTTATTGGATGATCCTAAAAGGGAGCCGGGTATCAAAGAAGAAATGTGCTTTGCAGTGACTTCAATCCAGCATCACAAAGCTGAGTAAAGGATGGTAGGTTAGAAGCTGAGAGGTGGCTTAATAAGCAGCATTCCTTTATAGCTCCTTATTCAGGGGTTCAAAAGAGAAGACATTTTGTAGTGACTTAGGAATAAAACAATTTCACATTTTTCTAGGAACCTCCTAGGCATTTGCCCTTTGGGGCTCCTATAATTCAGCATCACAGTTGACTAGGTAACTTAAATATTAGAGGTGACAAAGTGATGTCTGGTAGTGCTATCCTCATCACTCACATTCTAAGCACATTAGAGAGCATGGCATATAGAACTGAGAAGATGATATGGTTATATTAGATTTGAGTTAAAAAAATCTCTAATACATAGTTAATGGATTAAAGGTGGTATATGGGTGGATGTAAGTAGACTCGTTAGGAGACTGTTATATGTATTTATCTAGAGGAGATGAGGCTATTTTAGGACAGTGTTCTCAAAGTGAACCATCAGCATCGCTTGAGAGTTTGTTAGAAATGCAATGTTGGGGACTCCACCCAAGAGTCAGAAACTAGGAGTGAGGCATAGCAGATGTTTTAACAAGCCCACTGGGGTATGCTCGTGGTATGCATTGAGAACCATTTGTTTAGGGCAAGAGTTGGTAGCATTGGATTTGGAAATACATTCAAGAGAAAATTTACAGGAGTTGAGGTCTGCAGGACTTGGAAGTTGGTTGAATATGGCTTTGTATAAGCGTGGAATCTTTCAGAGGGGGGATTACTGAAAGACACCTTAATATTGCAGGTTAACCCAGTCATTTATCTAGGCTTCTCTGGATAAATGTTATGTTATCTTGAATAATAAGGTAATAGTACAAAGTCAGACCTTCAAAGGGTGTTTCTCTGAGACTTGCATTTATGGCCTAGCTTCCTTGAGGACAGAGACGGAGTTTATCCATGTGTCTCTCATAGCTTTTGATGTGGCTCTTACCTGTGGTTTGTATTCAGGACAGTCTGACTCTGAGAGTTACTTTTCAAACACACCAAGAAGCCAACTGATCTTATCAAAGCAGGAGATAGTTAAATGTTTTTGGTTTCTTCTGTGACAAACTGATTTTTAACAAAAGCATACGACTTTGGATTTTTAAATTTTTCAAAACATTTTAAAATAGCAGTAACATCAGATAAGAAACTTACTTTCCTCTATAGTGGTATATTTTCCAAGTAATTTTCAATAAAAAATGAATGGTTTTAGAAGAATATTTTCTATTCTTAAGCAGCTAATGTCATTGAAAAGCTGATTGTATTCATGGTGTAATGAAGTCTGATAATTGAAAGACTTTATCAATTAATTGGAATTTCTTTCTAAAATTCATCAGCACGTGTATATTTTTTTGAATTCTATTAAGCTCAATTTTCCTGGTCTCACTATGCTGCCCAGGCTTGTCTCAAATTCCTGAGCTCCAGTGATCCTCCTGTGTCGGCCTTCCAAAGTGCCAGGATTATAGGTGTGAGCCACCATGCCCAGCCTAGGATGGTGATTTTTAAACGTTAACTTTTCTTTCTTTTAGAAAGATTGATACTGAGTATTGAACCTATGTCAAAGAGTAGGGGGTAGCAAAAGGAGTTTGCATATAAAACTTTATTTGAATGGTGATGTATTTTGTTTCAGCTAATATGATTAGAAGTAATCTTTGTTTGCTCCATTCTAATTTCACACCTTTATTGTATATTCTTTTTTTTTTTTGTAAGAAAAACACTATTCTAATACATTTATAAATTAGTTTGGTATAAGGAAGCTTGTTTAAAGTCTTGTTCAAATAACTTGCTACAACAGTACTGTGGGTAAAGAAAATAACCCTGACTGAAGGAGTCTGGGAAGGCTTCTAGAAGGAGGTGGGATTGAAGCTAGGAAATTTGGGAGTAAGAATGGCATCCCAGCTAGAGGAAACAACGTTGCTTAAGCAATGGCCTCTGAGTGAGGCTTGTTTCATCAGACTACCAGGATTAATGCAAGTGGCAGGAGGAAAGAGGGCTAGGAAAGAAAATAGGAATGAAATTGTGAAAGACAGTTTCTAATTTTGTGTTTTTAGTGTCAACTTATTGGAGTTTTTTGAGTAAGGGAGCTAGTATTTTGTGCAGATAACTGATCATGGTCCACAAAGTGGCGTATAGGTGGGCCAGAATAAAGGGGAGACTTGTAGTTCACCAGTGTTTCTTAATCTTACCTTGTGATATGAATCTGCTGGGAATCATTTTTTTTTTTTTGAGACGGAGTCTCATTCTGTAGCCTAGGCTGGAGTGCAGTGGCACGATCTCGGCTCACCTCAACCTCCACTTGGCTCCCAGGTTCAAGCAGTTCTCACGCCTCAGCCTCTCAAGTAGCTGGGATTGCAGGCGCCCGCCACCACGCCTAGCTAATTTTGTATTTTTAGTAGAGATGGGGTTTTGCCATGTTGGCCAGGCTGGTCTTGAACTCCTGACCTCAGGTGATCCACCTGCCTGGACCTCCCAAAGTGCTGGGATTACAGGCATGAGCCACTGTGCCTGGCCAGAATAATTCTTAAGAATACAAATTTCCTGCTTCATTCCAGCACCACTGAGTCATAATCTCCCGGGGAAGAAGCCTAGAAATCTGTATTTTTAATGAATGCCTCATGTGATTTTTATTTTAAGATGTTTAGGAAACCATTGTAGGAAGTTTCAGGTGTTAGGTTTTGAATTCTTTGCACTTTTATGTTTGTCAAAATGCCTTAAATTTTAAAAATTATAGGTGTCTGTTTTTTCAGAAGGCACTTCCATCAAAGTTTGTGATTTAAAATTTTAGAGAATAGCATTTTGTATTTACCATTTTCTCATCATTACTTTCTCTCACTCCTTTATTTGTTGTATTTGTTGCTTTTGGGGCTCTCAGTACAACTTCAGAGGTTTGGACCGCTCCCCACCTCACCCACCCACCCTTTGAAAGTAATGGAAAGACCTGCGGTTACTTTTGCAGCGACCCAATACTTCTCCTGGGGGAGTTTTCTTACTCTTCCCCCCACCCACCCTTTGCAAATCCAACCATTACTACTTCCAAAATAGTGGCCACAGTATGGGTTTTTGAGTTGGAGTTATGTGTTGGGTGTGTGTGGTCGTATAGGACCACCCTCGACCCCACCACAGAAAAAATAGCTCCTGGCAGGCAGAGGAGAAGCCTGTGCATTGAAAACTTCCTCTTCCCTGTCAGTATTTCCTGACTGAAACTTGTTGAGGGAAACATCTGATTTCATGCCTCACTTAGTTTTTTAATTTGTCTTAGGTTTCTCCCTCCTAGTTCATGGGTAGGAGGAGAAGTTGGGGGAAGGATGTTTGTTACTTTTAGACGAAACTGAATACAGTTTATTAAAGCCAGGAAAGCACCAGGGACCAAAGGGCATCATTTATGCCACATTTTATTAAATCTAAAATGCCATGAATTGTAAGGTGTATCATTATTTTAAGGACCACTTTAAAACAAAAGGCTATCAGTCTAAGTATTATGTAATGCTAAGATGTCATTTGATTGAAAGACACATCTCTAATTCTGAGATTTGTAATGTGAAAAAAGTTGTCCTCTTAGAGAATTTATGAAATAGGATGTCTCTTCTGCTATTTAGCCATGCTGACCTTATACCAGTGTTGTTATCTACTTGCACAAGAGGGGGAAAATAGGGATATATGTATCCCTACACATACATACATACACAACATAACGTGCATTCTTAAAAAACTTTGTGGTCTTCAGAATTATATACTAAAATTAACAACTTATGGGAAAAAATAAGATCAGGACAAACCACTCCACCTATAGAGTGGAAACAGAAATAATTATCTTAATAAAAATGCTTGCACATTTGAAAAGATACATTAATTTCCTAATAAGTACTCCAGTAAATATAGGATTTTACACTTTTAAAAAAGGTGAAAGCTTGATAGGAGATGTAAGAAAGGGTTGAAACTAAAGGATAATATTGTAAAGGCACAATGCTCACAGACCTTGGAGAGCCAAGCAGTAAGGGCTCTCCAAACAGGGCACATGTCCAAACTGAGCCAAGGGGAGGAATGTGGAGCTACGTGGCATTACAATACAATTATCTTGCAGCATAATATTTCTCTGTGGTTGGTGTTATCGGACTTTATATGTGTTGTTATTATGCAGTGATGCAAAACTTTGAAGTTTTGGGAGACAAATTTCATAAAATTTCATAACATCCTCAATGTTACACTTTCATAGCCCATTGACATGAGCTAATTTGTTTTAAGGAAACGTGCATTATAGTAGAACGGATTGAATTCTCTCAACTGCTCTTTATTAATATTTCTCTTATTCTTTTCTCCTTGTTCAGGATCTCTTCCACCTCTTCAATTTTCCCTATATTCCTACCTCCTTTATTATAATGCTCCAGTCTTCATTGGTTACTTCTGTGCTTCCGCAGTGCTTGTTGTCTGGTATTACTCATTTGGCTTTTAGAATAAGTCATTACGTTTTTCTTCTTTGCCCTCCCTTCTAATCTGTAAGGCCATTGACTTTTACAATGAATAGAGAGTGGTTATGCTTTAACCTTCCGAGTATAGGTGTTACACATACACTGCAGCTTTATGTTCTATGCATTATCTATACATTTTGATGTCTTTTTCTCTACCCCTCAATGTGATTGTATATCTATAAATTTTGAATGTAGCTTCCCTTTAATAAATAATATCTTCCTGATAATCTATACACAAGTCAATGAACTTAACATGTTTTGTGCTCTTATAGAAAGCTAGATAATACCTCTAATAATACCTTGCCTTTTGAATATTATATCTATATTTCTGTCCTTCTTAACATATTCTTTAATTTTGTTCCTTTACAATTGAACACAGTGTCCAGGATTCAGTTCAGTGGCCATCCAGTAGAGCTGGAAGCATTAGTACTGTGGATATGCCTGTGATTTTCTCCTTTGCTCACTTGTATTTCATTTATGATACTCAGGCATGTATTGGCATTTAGATAATCTGCCTTTCCTTTCCTTAATGAGATACATATGAATACCCAGTTATATATTGAGTGATGATGTTTGGCAGTATTGCAGAGTAGCACAGATGTCTGAAAGTTAAAGTTAGGTATATGACACTAGTTTACAGTGTCAGTGTATAATTGAAAGTGTGTGATTGAAAGCATGAGTTGTTTAAAGATTAAAGTCTGTATTTTCCGTGAACTCTTAGATTCAGGCAAAATTAGCACTTCATGTGTTTTCTTTTCTGTTTTTTTTTTTTGTTTTTTTTTTTTGAGACGGAGTTTTGTTCTTGTCACCCAGGCTGGAGTGCAATGGCGTGATCTCGGCTCACTGCAACCTCCGCCTCCTGGGTTCAAACGGTTCCCCTGCCTGCCTCAGCCTCCTGAGTAGCTGGGATTACAGGTGCCCACTGCCACGCCCAGCTAATTTTTATATTTTTAGTAGAGATGGGGTTTCACTGTATTTGCCAGGCTGGTCTCGAACTCCTGACCTCAGGTGATCTACCCGCCTTGGCCTCCCAAAGTGCTGGGATTGCAGGGGTGAGCCACTGCGCTTGGCCACCTTGTGTTTTCTTAATTATGTAAATTAGAAGTTTGATATTTGGTTTGAAATATTTGTATTGAAGAGAAAATTTCAGGGAACACAGAATAGTATACAAAGAAGAGATATTAGGAAAGGTAGATTTTGGAAACCAGGGAGAAAGTAGGCTGAGTGGAATGGTTTCAGAGATTGGGGGAAAGAAGGAAGAAGATTATAAGAGAATAATAAATTGTAAGCACCTTCGAGTAGGATTTTAGGTATATGTTTTGATATGATATTGTTTTTGTTTTCATCCCTTATGAAATATGGGTAACTATAGGTGATTGATTAGAATTTTTAATTTTTACTTTAACTTTTGTAAAAAAAAGTTAATAGGAAATGGCTATACCATAGCATTCTTTGATCATTTTATATTCTAGCTGCTCAGTTTATTTATTCACGGCGTGACAAACCTTCCGTTGAGCCTGTGGAAGAATATGATTATGAAGATCTGAAAGAATCTTCCAATTCTGTTTCAAACCATCAGCTCAGTGGATTTGATCAAGGTATAGCAAAAAGTAGTGTATCTGTTATCTGAAAGTGATTAATGACCAAATACACCAGAATTTATCAGTTTTATTGTGTTTATAACAGTGACTATGAACAGTAATGATGTAAACATATCTTTCATATTCAAGGACAGTTTATGTTTTATTAAGTATGTTTTGTGAGGAGTGTATTTAACTGTATGATTGAAAAATTGTATGGCTATTGTTTAGTAACTGAAATTTTAATTGAACTATCCCATTTAAAATTTTTTTCCATGGGAGAGAAACTCTAGTGATTCGTTAAGAAGAACTTTTTCAGATGATTTAATTGTTTCATAAGCTGTATATGGAGCTTATGATTAGAATACATAAACTCCTTTACTTACAAAGATGTTAAGTTCAAGAGGTTTCAAAAAAAACCAGTTGAAGTCTAAAGTGACACTGTATAAGTGTCCTCAGGATTTACATCTGTGTGAATTAAGTTTCAAGATTTACATCTGTGTGAATTAAGTTTCAAGATAGAACTTGGTAATGACATCGGTTCTGAGTTTTTGCATATTTTCAACTCTCTTAAACATTTTAATGAAGATATTTATATTTTAGCTTTCTTCTTTTATAAGTATAAATAAATAAATAAGTATAAATAAATAAATAAATAAAAAAGAGGAGGCCCTGATGCTAGCTAGCTATACTATTTTGTTACAGTTTCAATAATTGATGTATTTATCAAAGAGATAATATTATCCCATAGCTTATTAGCCTTTAAAAGTTAATCTTAAATTGAAGCAAAGCAGAATTGCCCAAATATTTCAGGAATGTATTTTTAATAATTAATGGGCCAATGAAAGAAGTATCAAATACTTTTTTTTTTAAAGAAAGGGTATTGCCAGTAGATTACTTGTTCAGCATATGAGCATGTACAATTAAATATAAATTGCATTCTGTGAAATGGTTTTGTGGAATAGGGAGTTTGAAAACCTCTATTCTATTTTGATTATTGCTAACTTAGTAGTGCCATGATTTTCAATCTTATCTTTATTAAGTTAGAATTTGCTTGATATATCTAGCTCATAGACTTATTATGAGGATTACAAAAGAAATATACATAAAAGTATTGTGAAAATTGTCAAGTGCTATACAAAAATATAAGGGAATATATCATTCATTTTTATTCATTGGCCCCTAGTTACCTGGTACTAGAGATACAAAGGGTTCTAGGGATACAAAGCCTCTCTGCTCTTATGGATTTTAAATCATTAATAAGTATTATTAATAATTACTTTTAATACTAATGTCATCAGAAAATTAAAATTCATAAACAGCTTAGATAATTCCAGACTTAAATTTTTTTCTTTTAAAAGTGAATGCCGGCTGGGCACGGTGGCTCACGCTTGTAATCCCAGCACTTTGGCAGGCCGAGGCAGGTGGAAACCTGAGGTCAGGAATTTGAGGCCAGCCTGGACAACATGGTGAAACCCATCTCTACTAAAAATAGAAAAATCAGCCGGGCATGGTGGCGGGCGTCCATAATCCCAGCTACTCAGGAGGCTGAGGTGGGAGAATTGCTTGAATCAGGGAGACGGAGGTTGCAGTGAGCTGAGATCACGCCACTGGCATTCCAGCCTGGGCAACAGAGTGAGACTCTGTCTCAAAAAAAAAAAAAAAAAAAAAAAAGAATGCCTATCCTCCCCTTAATCTCCTGGACTTTCTTATTTTTATGGCATTTTTATATTATGTTATCTTGCCGTTTTTTAAAGAGTCATTAAGGATTATTTTAGTTAGCTGGGAAGAACTGAAGTTAGCCAAAAAGGAAACTTAAGGTAGCAGCTTGAGAAATATAAGAAATATACTTCGTGAATAACTGGATTCACTAACAAATTAGAAATAGTTCCACACTCACCCCTTCCTTTCTGTACATGCAAAAAATGATCATTGCAGATACCATCATCACTGGTGACTGAAAATAGATATTAGTGTATACTGTGCAATGTACACTTTTTTGAAACATTAGTCACTATTATTCAGGAGACATTTTATTATAGTGATTTTTAAATTAACGAAATCGTTCCTTGGATAAGGGAAGATAGGTATATTGTAGATAAAAATACGATCATTAGAGATAATTTTTGCCAAAGAGAAGGGAGAGTTGAATATTCTAGTACAGCTGTAAATTTTAAAATCAGTTTTGAAGATTAAAAGTTCTTTCATTGCACCATTTAGTATAGCTTTTGACCATTGTCGTCTTTTCTAGCTCGTCTTTATTCATGCCTTGATCACATGAGAGAGGTACTTGGAGATGCTGTGCCAGATGAAATATTAATTGAAGCAGTTCTGAAGAACAAGTTTGATGTGCAGAAGGCTTTGTCAGGGGTTCTGGAACAAGATAGAGTGCAGAGTTTGAAGGACAAGAATGAGGCAACAGTATCTACAGGAAAGATAGCAAAAGGTATGCCTTTACTTGTTCTTTTTCACTTGTTTTACATAGTTAATGCCTAAAGAGAGGCTTTCGTTTGCTTGAGCTTTTAAGAAAATATTTAATTTGCTTGAGCTATTAAAATCTTGCATGTTATTGTTAACTTTTGATTATCAGTTGATCTAGTTGTGGATTTTTAGGATGATGACTGTGTTTCTTCTGTTGTAGCCTGTTTTTGTGGTTATTTTACTGCTTGATTGTTTTTGTTTGTTTTTTTGTTTGTTTTTTGAGACAGAGTCTCACTCTGTCACCCAGGCTGGAGTGCAGTGGCATGATTTTGCTCACAGCAGCCTCCACCTCCTGGGTTCAAGTGATTGTCCTTCCTCAGCCTCCCAAGTAACTGGGATTACAGGTGCGTGCCACCATGCCTGGCTTTTTTTTTTGTTTGTATTTTTAGTAGTGATGGGGTTTCACCATGTTGGTCAGGCTGTTCTTGAACTCCTGGCCTCAAGTGATCCGCCTACCTTGGCCTCCCAAAGTTCTTGGATTGCAGGCGTCAGCCACTGTACCTGGCCTCACTAGTTGATTTTATAACAACATAGTGGAAATAAAATTAGATAAGACAAGACATCTTTTTCTTCTTGTTAGTAGCTTATAGAACTTTTTAATTGTTATTTTTTTAAACTCTGATGAGATAGGAAAAGGAAATTGACAGCCAGCTAATTAATGTTAAAAAAATCCCTTTATGCTTTTATTATGTATAATTTTGTTTTATTTAAAAATAATTAGGTATAAGTATCATAATTATACTACTTTGCATTTTATAGCCAGAGATTTAATTTTAAATTTGTAAAATTTGGGGTTAAATTTGGAATTCAGTGGACATAAGAGGGGAACTGAGGTGGTAGCATTATATTAATTGGCATGCTATCTCTCAGTTTGAGTATGGCGATTTGTTTACTATGTCAGTGTTTGTTGTAACCTCTGGGCTAAATTTTTTCTACAACAAAGCTGTGTACAGCCTGTTACCATGAAATAAGAGTGTGTTTTCCAGGGATGCTGGGCACACAGATGGGCACTTGTAACTGGCTGTGATGGGAATGAGTCTGTAATATGTCATCTTGTATTGATAGTGTATCCCAGATTGTGGTAGAAATTACCGGGGGTTGTTTGCTTATTTGTTTCTAATACATTAAAATACAGAATAAAAGGAACCTAGTTTTTTTTGTTTTTTTAAAGAAGTTTTTGAATTTGAGACAATCCTGACTACAATTTAATTATGGTTAAGACCTCACATTTTTAAATTCGTGAAAATTAGAACATTGACTGACTTACATTGTATGTATCAGTGAACAGAGTATAAAGGTTACTTTAAATTGGTAAAGGAAGGTAATACTCCCTTATTGTTTTTTAGAGTATTCATGTTAAGTAATGATCAAGTATCACTTTATTCATGTCATAATCAAAAGAAGCATTTAGTAATTAAATGCCTCATTTCATGTTTCCTTTTGGTTGCTGTGACTGTCTTCTGCGTATATCAACCTATTCATCTGAAAATTAATGGCTCTTGTAAGGTAAGGAGTCTTATTTTCTTCTTCTGAAGTTTCAGCTGATAATGTTCAAAGTTCTTATCCTCAGTCAGCAAATCATTTGGATTATAGTAGCAAACCCTTTGATTTTGCTAGCTCAGTAGGAAAATACGGATTATCTCATAATTCTTCAGTTCCAACTCACTGTTTACTCCATAGAAAAAAGAAACTTGACACACGTAAAAGTGAAAAGAAACTAGAATCATGTAAGTTAACAAAAGAACTTTCACTAGCTAACCTAATTCATGATATGTCAAGAGATTCCTGTGAAAGTCAGCCATCAGTCAGATTATCATCTACAGACAGTCTGGAAAGTCTGCTTTCAAAGAACCTAGATGCCGATTTGTTGAGACCTCATGCATCTGAATGCATTTCCAAAGATGATTCTGCATTCAAAGAAATACCAGATTTAAAGACCATAATCATAAAGGGCACAACACCGAATAATTCTTTATATATTCAAAATAATTCACTGTCTGATTTTCAAAACATTCCAGTACAGGACAGTTTAGGAAGTTCAAATAATCCTTTGTACTTAACTAGCTCGTTGGAAAATATGACTGTTGATAATTTAAATGCTAGTAAAGAAACTGAAGTTGGAAATGTTTCTTTAGTTGAACAAAGTGCCAAGAATCACACTTTTAAAAATGATAATTTGCAGTTTTCTCAGTGTGAAAGTCCATCCCTAACTGAACTGTTTCAGGAACACAAAGAAAACAATATAAGCCAGTGCTTTACTTTATCTGACCTTTGTAACCAGTCATCTGCCAGTTTCACAGATCTAAGTTTGGGATCCTTTCCCCTGTCACAATTAGCAAATCGCTGTCAGTCTTCACCCGGAATATCAGAATTAACAGGATCTCTGTCGTCATTGGCATTTCATAAAGCTTCTCCCACAAGAGACCTTGAGAATTTGTCACTTTCTGAATTGATTGCAGAAACAATTGATGTAGACAACTCTCAGATTAAGAAAGAGTCCTTTGAGGTCAGTTTATCTGAAGTGAGGTCTCCTGGAATAGATTCAAATATTGATCTTAGTGTCCTTATAAAAAACCCAGATTTTGTTCCAAAGCCTGTAGTAGACCCATCCATTGCTCCATCATCACGAACTAAAGTTCTAAGTTCAAAGCTAGGGAAGAATTCCAATTTTGCTAAGGATAATAAGAAAAACAACAAAGGCTCTCTGACTAGGAAACCACCTTTTTCTCTCTCTTGGACCAAGGCCCTTGCTGCTAGACCTTCAGCTTTTGCCTCAACACTGTGTCTTCGTTACCCACTGAAAAGCTGCAAGCGACGCACCCTTGACCTCTATAAGACTTTTCTTTATAGTAGACAAGTTCAAGATGTAAAGGACAAAGAAATAAGTCCACTTGTAGCAATAACACCATTTGACTTCAAATCAGCATCACCTGATGACATTGTAAAAGCTAATCAAAAAAAAGCATTTACTAGAGAATAGTAACAAAAGGAAAACTTGATTGCTGTTGTAGAGCTTTTTATTTTTAATTAAAGTCTTCAGAGGATCACTTTATATTATGGGATTCAAATTCTGATTTTTATGAAAATTGTCGTAGGTCAGTTGATTAGTTGATACGTATTTTTGCACTGATTTTTTTTTTAACTATGTCTTCTTTCAGTGATAACTGGCTTTATTTAAGTTGGTAACCTATACTGAGTATATGTTTACAAAGTGGATATGGAAACTTGATGTTGTGAAATCAGACCTCATATATTTTTGTTTGAAGCATTCAACTTTCTATGTTTTTTATAATGAAATATTTTTTTCTATGAAATATTTTTGTGCTTTGTTCTTAAACGAAAATGCCAGCACTTGGGATTATTATAGTTTAGTGTGAAGATTATTCTTATGTGGCACAGCATAACTGAGATGTTATATTTTAAAATATGATATAATTCCTAGTTTCATTATTTTTCTGTAAATACTAAAATTTTTCTATTAGAAAATCTTAAAATTCCTGACTTTTGAGAGTACTGTGGAGATTGTTGAAATACATTTTTGATAATAATAAAATGAAAATCTTTTAAGGGACCATGTAAATATAGAAGTTGGATTAATATGTGAATTATTTTTATACATTTTTAAAAACCATTTGTCCTAAGTATACACTTTAAAATAAATATATAAAAAGTGTTTTCAAGTATGGTTGCATGTTCTTTGAATGGAGAATTTTACCAGATCTCTTTAGCTTCTGCTGCTGCTGCTGCTTTTTTTTTTTTTTTTTTTTTTTTTTTTTTTTTTTTTTTTGAGACAGAGTCTCGCTCTGTTGCCTAGGCTGGAGTGCAGTGGCGCGATCTCTGCTCACTGCAAGCTCCGCCTCCCAGGTTCACGCCATTCTCCTGCCTCAGCCTCCAGAGTAGCTGGGACTACTGGTGCCCACCACCACACCCGGCTAATTTTTTTCTTTTTTGTATTTTTTTTAGTAGAGATGGGGTTTCACCGTGTTGGCCAGGATGGTCTCAATCTCCTGACCTCATGATCCGCCCGCCTTGGCCTCCCAAAGTGCTGAGATTACAGGCGTGAGCCACTGCACCCGGCCTGTTCTTATTATTTTTTTTAAGATGGAGTCTCTCTCTGTCGCCAGGCTGGAGTGCAGTGACGCTCACTGCAGCCTCCGCCTCCCGGGTTCAAGTGATTCTCCTGACTCAGCCTCCTGAGTAGCTGGGACTACAGGTGCATGTCACCACGCCCAGCTGATTTTTGTATTTTTAGTAGAGACGGGGTTTCACCATGTTGGCCAGGATAGTCTTGATCTCTTGAGCTTGTGATCCACCGCCTAGGCCTCCCAAAGTGCAGGGATTATAGGTGTGAGCCACCACGCCCGGCCTAACTTGTTCTTTACAATAAGTAATGGAATGTGGAGTTTTCCTTTTTGCTACTGACAGTTGTGTGCCCCACAGTGACAAAGTTTCAGCAATGCAGGATCAATAGAAGCTTTTCTAATCAGTAGAATAATTATGTAATTCATCCCTTAAAGCAGTGGTTCTCAACTAGCAATCAGAATCACTGGAGGAATTACTTCAGAACACAGATACTGTGGCTTCACTCCATATATGCTGAAGCAGTCTCTGTGGAATGGCATTTGGGAATGTGTATTTTCAAAATTATTCCCCAAAATGTGTATTTCTGTTCGAGAACCATTGCCTTAAAGGGAGGAATCAGTAGAATGAGTTATCAATGCCAAGAATAACATCTGACCAACTTGAATGAATAATTTCTAGAAATCAGGAATACCAAGGAAAAATGCTACTTAGGAATTAATGGCCCTTTGCATAAAATGATGGAGATATTATTAGTATTCCTTGGAAAAATATAATACAGTAGTATCTAAAATGTTATTTTATTAGTTTTTTTGAGACAGAGTCTCACTCTGTTCCCCAGGCTGGAGTGCAGTGGCATGATCTCGGCTCACTGCAACCTCCGCCTCTCGGGTTCAAGCGATTCTCCTGTGTCAGCCCCCCGAGTAGCTGGGATTACAGGTGCGTGTCACCACACCTGGCTAATTTTTGTATTTTTAGTACAGACGGGGTTTCACCACGTTGGCCAGGCTGATCTCAAACTCCTGACCTCAGATGATCCGCCCACCTCGGCCTCCCGAAGTGCTGGGATTACAAGTGTGAGCCACCACGCCTGGCCAAATATTTTTTTTAATGAAAATGAAAAGGCTGGTCTTTTCCTAGTAAATATTTTTTCTCTGGCAGCTACTTTACTGTGCATTTGATAATTTTTTGTATTACTTTTGTTTCTGTTTATTTTCAGAATGACATTCTAAAATTTTAATCTGTGTCATGTTTTTATATTCAGTATTTTGATGGGAAAAGTTAAGATGGCATTATGTCTTTTTTTTTTTTAAACCAAACACTTCTTGATTTCTTGTGTTGTCTTCAGGTTTTTGTTTTTAATTGAATGTATCAGTGCACCATAATACTAATGCTTAGGACATCATTTAAATCACAAGCTATATTTTGTGAATGATTTTAAAATTTGAGTTATCCCAGTGGTTGAGATTGTTTTTCTGGTCTTGAACCTTGATCAAACATTTTAGTAACTTTGAATTAGTATATGACTGAACTAGATGTATATATTAGCAGTCTCCAACTTAGGAGTGAATTAATTGAATTATAAGAGTTTGTAACTGATGATAATTACTGATAGGTTAGGTGCTGCACAAGTGGTCCACATTGCACATGAATCCCCAAATACTTATGTAATCTACACTGTAGTTGAATAGCAGCACTATTGTGTTACCTTCTTTTATAACAAAGTAATTTTCAAGTGGAAATGCAATACTTTTAAAACCATATAGTAGACCTTCTAGGGTGAACTAGGTCTCCATTTGTTGGCTGATTAGGGTTGTAACTACTAGGTATGAGATTCTTTTGGTGGGGAAAAAATTAGATATTATAGGGTGGTAAGAGAAGGCAACAATACCTTAAATAGGTTTCCAGGCTTCCTATTTTCCTTGGCTTGGCTGCTGGTCTGTCAGGCATGTACATGACAAGTACTTGCCCTGTTGACTAAGGGAATGTCACAGTCTCTTTGAGACTGCGAAGGTGGAACTGAGCAGACCTTTCCACCTTCCACCCTTGGCCATCGATCCTTGGTAAAAAGCCAAGTGTCTGCTTATTCATGAATACACTCCTTGTGATGATTGTTGGCACTAAGTGTATATTCTGTACCAGCTGCTGTTTATTGATTGCTGTCTTAGTAGCTCAGGTATGCTACGTGTTTTAGTTGACTTTATTTTCCAGTTCAGCTGTAAATTTTAAGATGCAAAGCTGTTTTTATTTGCATTATGATCAAGGGCATTAATAATTTACTTTAGAAATAGAAATAATATTGTAATTATATTCTAAATGATATAAAATACATTATAAACAATTTTTGCTCTTCACTCTTTTTGGTTTCTTAAAAGATCTGATGTTGTTCATGGATGGATGTTTTGTCCTTTTGCATTCTAAAGTCTTTAGGTGGCTCTTTTGGATATGATTCTTCTTGCAATAAATTGCCAAGAACCAGGGTTTCATTTCTGTACAGAGCACTTTTTAAAACTTTTCCTTTTTCCTAGTTACTAAACTGGCATTTTAACCTCTTTTTCTCCTTTTAGCTTTGAATCTGTCTTTCTTAAACTTGTCTTTTACTCTTTTTCTTCTCATATGTATTAATAACTATAGTCAGTGTTTTATATTTAGTTTTTAGTACTCAGTGGGAGGTCATGTAACTAATTGTCATACCAGGGATAAAACTAATAAGGTGCTCATTTTTTGTAAGTAAAAGGAACCACTGAAGATAAAATACGGTTATAGAGAAGAATAATGAGTTCTCATATGATTATTTACCTTTTTAAATTGACCCTGAATCTGTATGTGGACCATTGCAAATAAACAAGTATACATTGTATGTTGAGAAAGTACTGTGTATCAACATGTTTTTTGTGTTCATGCAGGTATATATTTGGTTATAAAGTCAGTTTTATAATAGTTTAGAAATTGTTTTATATATAAACAGATTATATATAAATGTGGACTAGACAGGGAGGGATTAATATGAATTTCTATACTAGTTTTCCTTTACCTATATATTTATAATGACATAAAGCTCAGCTTATGCAGTTATACAATTTTAATTTTTAGATTGTAAAAAATTTGTCACATTTTGAATATATATATTTTGTAAAAGCTACATTGAAAGAAATTAAAATTCTGAGATTTTCCTAAATCAAATGTAAAAACATACAATCTATCCATTAGGATTTTCTATATAAACTTGATATTTCTGAATGGTCTTTTACTCATTTATGCTGAAAGTACTGTTTTATTTCTATAAACAAATTAAAAAACAAACTACCTGGTTGTGAAAATTTTATTTTAAGGTATTTAGCATTTAGAATTCTTGCCTTCCATGGGGTAAAATTTTATATATTCTTTTACTTTTTAGGACTCACATAGAAACACTCTTTAAGTATAGGTTGTGATGAATATTGGTGATGTAATTGCAGAGATGACAGTGCAAGGCAAAGGAAATGATAAGCTGGGTATGGTGGCATGTACCTGTAGTCTGAGCTGTTTGGGAGGCTGAGGCAGGGGGATTATCACTTGAGTCCAGGAGTTCAGGTTCAGCCTGGGCAGTGTGGTGAGACCCCATCTCAAAAAAAAAAAAAAGAAAAAACAAAACTGATAAAATGCGTATTTATTTCCGACATTGACATGCCTAATTTATATTGGATGAGTGAAGGAAAGCAGTTTAGTTGCAGGATATAACCCAAGATGAACAAAGATATGATTCTTACGTCAAAGGGGAGGAGGATATATGCACACTTCAGCACATGATTATCTTTATTGCAGTGTGGCATATTATACCCTTCAAAGCTGACACCTTTGTCTTCCTCATCCAAGGTGCCACCTTCTCTTCTGTTTCCCGTCTTTGTTATTACTGTCACCATCTAGTTAACCAAAATCAGGAATCTAGTATCATCCTTGGTTCATCTCTCTTCACCTGCTACTCATAATTGATTACCATTCCTGTTATTCCCACCTTATAAATAAGTAAATGTATGTGTGTGTGCACATAATATGCATACATATATAGTCGACTCTTGTTATTTGCAGTAGTTATGTTTTATAGTCACTACGAACACTGAATTAATGAATACTGAACCATTGCTCCTACAAGAAATACAGAGGTAGGTTCCTGTGAGCCTCTCATAACATTTTCATCAATCAGTGAATACATAACATTGTTTTATATGTGTCTCTATTTAAAGACACCTTATTTAATGGATGTGTATAGCATGGATTCATTAACACCGAACTCATGGCCCACAGCACTGGAAGTCATGCCTTATCTAATATCTTTTATTTGTTAGGCACATCCTAGCCTTCTTGTGTTTAGAATACTAAGCACTACACTTACAGGCCATTTTAAAAATTACCAACAAAAAGTACAAAATTACCAACAAAAAGTACAAAACTGGAAAAAATGCGACACTAAGTAGACCATGAAAAGGACATTTGTTTACAGTATGAGAGCTGTATCAAAAAGGCCGACGTCACCTTCTGTGAAATTGCATGTTGGATGACTCAAATTTTTCGCTGCTCTGCACATGTCCACAAGTGATTGCAAAAGTGAGTAGTGATTTTGGGATTACAAGTAAATTGTGATTAGGTGAATTCACAAATGTAGAACCTGTGAATAATGAGAATCAACTGTACATTTTTTGGCCCACTACTCTTTATTGTTATTTTTCCTCTTTATTATTTTCTTCTTTATTGTTACTTTTCCTCTTTATTGTTACATCTTTATTGTTACTTTTGTTTTCATTATTTTATTTACTGTTACTTTTCCTCTTAAAGGCCATTAGCTTTTAGCAGAATTACCTAAACATCTAACTGGTTTCTTGACTTTTCAGTTTATTTCGGCCAGAATAAGTTTTCTAAACTAAAGATCTAATTTTCTGTCTCCCTATCTAAATCCTTTTATTTCCTGAGCCCTTTTATGAACTCATTTCTGTTTTGTACCTGTTTACCCAGACCTACCCAAGAACACCTACCTGAGTTTCCTCTCCTTCTATAGTGCTTGCCTTTTTTCTCTCCCCCTTCCCTCCTGGCTAATCACTGTTTGAATTGCAGTTTCGATATCACTTTACTCTCAATCATGGGGTAGGGGAACTTTCATATGCACCCATAGTTCACCGTTCTCCCTTTATTACCACCCCATGTGAAGTCATAATTCCTCTCCCACACATACATAGACTTTCTGTTGTAACTGTGCTTTATTCTTCACAGCACTTGTATCCTCTGTGTTTGTTGTATATACACTTGTTTTTGTTATGTTTTCTCTCTGCTCTCCCTCCACCCCTCTTCCATGTAAGTTCTACAAATACAGGAATTTTGTGTATTCATTGCTGTATTCCCAACTCAGAATATGTCTGGCACATAAACGTAGGCAAGGCTTTTAAGTAAAAATTGAGTCTGTCTCCTAATATGGTCCCACAATCTTGTTCCTTAGAGGAAGCCACTGTAAATACACTGTTTCTTCTTTATTCTTCCAAAGGTTTCCCTAGCATGTTACACATATGTGAATGTACGTATACATTTTTATACAAATGGAGAATATACTGTAACACTTATATATGTATCACTTAATAAAGCATTTTGCAGAACTTTGCTGCCATATACAGATCAATGTCATTCTTTCTTAACAGCTACCTAGAATTCTGTAATATGATTGTACCATAATTTATTTAAACAGCCTCTATTGATGAACATTTTAAGTGTTCCAGTTGTTATTGCTAATAATAAATGAGCATCCTACATTTCTAGAAATTGAGTTTATATACTTGAAAGTTTTGGATAGATATTGCCTAATTGCCCTTAATAGAAATTGATTTCCCTCCCACTAGTTTATGAGCATTTCTGCCCAAATTCTTATAGATAGGGGTATTATTTCTTTTGTTATTATACCAACCTGATAATTGGAAAATGTTTTTTCATTTATTTATATTTCTTATATATAAAGCTATATTTTTCTTCCTGTCTATTCTTAATCTGCCCATTTTTCTGCTGGTTTATCTCTCATTTCATGATTTTTTAAGGTGTATGTGTCTGTGTATGTGTGTGTGTATGTGTATGTATATGTGTGGATCCACATATGCATATTTATATACTAAGGAAATTAGTCATAAAATTGTTATATGCATGGAAAACACTTTCTGATTTCTAGTGTGTCAGGTCATTTGTTAGAAGATAGATTTTGAATTTGTATATATTCAGATTTATTAGCTTTTTTTCTTAAGGGTTTTGGAAAGTTATGCTCCACTACAAGATAATTTTTGAAAAAATATTATTTTTTCTCATATCTGTGTCAGATTCATTATTTTACATTTGTATCTTTGATTTAGCTGCTATTAAGGGCTAACATAGGAATCCCATTTCTCCACCATCTTTTCTCTATGGAAAGATGGATTTATTGTAGTACCTTTTTAAATTACTATAGCTTTTTAGTACCTATTTTTTGGTAGGCTGTCTTATTTTTTTCACTCCTTTTTATAGTTTTTCTGAGTTATCTCACATGCCTCTTTTTCCCATATGAGCTTTAGAAACAGCTTGTCTTGTTACTAAAAAAAGAAGAAGATCCAGCTATAATTTTTGTTGTTGTATTTACTGCTAGCAAGAGATTTTTGAAGGAAAAAAATACTGTCTCCAGAGATGCCAAAGGCTTTAGATAACATTAGACATTATTATTATCTTAGTAGATTTTCTAGTATTGTTCTAGTCTTATGATGAAGAACCGTCTCCAGTTGGTCATGGTGGATTATTCTTTTAATGTGATGGATTTTATTTGCTAACATTTAAGATGGTTTCATCTATTCATAAAATTACTTGCATTCGTGTGTATGTGTATGCTCTTTGGATTTTGGTTTTTCTTGTGATGGTTTTACAAAAAATTTAGAATGATTTCATCTTCAAATAATTCAGTAGCATTGAAATGATTTGTTTTATGATAGGATTTATCTTTTTGAAGATTCTGGGGTCAAATTTGAAAGTTTTAATTTTCTTAGAAAAACGTCCATTTCATCCAAGGTGACAAATGTATTTGTTGTGCATTGTACCAAACATTGTCTTATTCTTTTAGATTTTTCTGTGTCTGTAGTTACTTCTCTATTCTCATTTTCAGTATGGTTTTCTCTCCTCTAGTCTCCCCTTTCTCTCTGCCCAGCATTTTTTTTTTTTTTATTACCTTGCAATTTGTTTTTTTCTTCCCTAAATTTTGGTTCCAAGATCTGTAATTAGTTCTCCTGGTTTAATTCATTACTTTGTAAGTTTGGGTATGACTTAATGTATTTTCCTTATGTTTTTTGCTTTTCATTTCCTACCCTTCTGAGTAGAATATTTAACATACATGCATTTTTAATTCATCTTAAAAGTTTTTATGGCCAGGCGCGGTGGCTCATGCCTGTATTCCCAGCGCTTAGGAGGCTGAGGCAGGTGGATTGCTTGAGCTCAGGAGTTCAAGACCAGCCTGGGCAACATAGTGAAACCCCATCTCTACCAAAAATACAAAAAAATTAGTCGAGTGTGGTGGCACGCATCTTTGATCCCAGCTACTTGGGAGGCTGAGGTGGGAAGATTGCTTGAGTGTGGGGACAGGTTGCAGTGAGCCAAGATTGTGCTAATGCACTCCAGCCCGGGCGACAGAGTGAGACTGTCTCAAAAAAAAAAATGAGTTTTTATTTATGGAATTTCTAACAGAAAAATGCAGAAAATAATATAATAAACACTCATGGAACTAGCACTTGGTTTTAATAAGCTAACATTTTGCCATGTAAATTTCAGATCTCTATTTAAATAAACTGTTAGATTGGAATCTAGCCTCATCCTTTGCTTGTTCCTTCCTAATATTTTAAAGTTGATATTCATCATTCCCACTTTCTTCTTATTTAATTATATCTTACTTTCCTATGAATACTACATTTGCAGTGGCTGATGGGTTCTTTTAGAATTACTGTTATTTTCTGGATAATCCACAATTTTAATTTTCATTTCGTTTTTAAGCCAAGAGTCCAAGAGAGTTTTAGAATTTTGGTTGCTGGGGAGTTTTGTTATTTTTGTTATGATTACTGGTTTTATTATACTGTTTATCAGAGTGTGTGATCTGTACTCTGTTTATTGAGTTTGTGGCCCAGTGTAGTTCTCTGTAGTTTCATAGGCATTTGTCAACAATACTGTTCTGTTTGCAGAATACAAAATACAATACTTTTCTGTTAGCTATTTTTTCTTTTCTTTTTTTTTTTTTTTTTTTTTTTTTTTTTGAGATAGAGTCTCTGTCACCCAGGCTGGAGTGCAGTGGCGCAATCTCGGCTCACTGCAACCTCCGCCTCCTGGGTTCAAGCTGTTCTCCGGCCTCAGTCTCCCGAATATCTGGGATTACAGGTGCCTGCAATCACATCTGGCTAATTTTTTTATTTTTAGTAGAGATGGGATCTTGCCACTTTACCTATGCTGGTCTCGAACTCCTGGGCTCAAGTGGTCTACCCGTCTCGGCCTCCCAAAGTGCTAGGATTACAGGCCTGAGCCACCCCACCCGGCCTGTTCATTATTCTTATAATCTGTTTTTTTTTTTGGATTGGCAATAGGCTGAGTGTGGTAAGTTAATATATAACACTCTTGCATTTTTATTTCATATTGCCTGGAGAGTTTACCCTGTAAAATTTGATATATAAAGATACATGAACTTTCTGTGCATTTGAATTTTTCATTAAATTTCCGTTTTTACTAGTTTTTCAATTTTTGCCTTAAATTCAGTTTAGCATTAATATCATGATTGCTGCTTTCTCTAAGTTTTATTCATCCCTTCTTTTGCTTTTAGTGTTTTGAGTGACTTTGGTTTAGTTGTATCTCCTGTACTTGTATATACTTGGGTTTGGATAGAGAGTCTTTGTTTTAATAGATGGGTTTTTCTCATTTATGTTATTAATAGACCAGATAATAATGTCTGTCATTTTAAAAAAAGTTGTTGTCTTTTATATTTACATATTTTGATACGATTTGTGTTTGTTTTTATCTTTGTGTGTTCTTTGATAACTTGGAAATTTTATAGTTTATTTTTATCATGTAATAACATACTTTAACTTTTTAAATTCACCAACTTTAAACAATGTATATTGATCTCTCACTGTTAAAAATGGAGATGTGAACATTTACAATTTACCCCTTTTCTATTTCTCATTAATTTTGTTAATATTTTAAATTCTTAGGTAAGGTGTTCACCTTTACACCTTTGATAGTATATTTAAACTTCTGTTAACTGAATTTATTAGCTTTTAAACAATTATTTTTTTAAACAATTTATTAAACAGTTTTTAAAAACAGTTTATTAGTTATTTTTAAAGTGATTTTGTGGCCTATATTTGCATGACAAATTGAAAAGAATAGTTTAGCATTACTCTTTCTTTCCTGGAGGACTTTGCAGCTGTTGCTCTACTGTTTTCTATTGTTGCATGTTGCTAACTAGCTACCTCGATTCTGCCACCTCCAGTGCGGCTTTTATTTCTACAGAGTTTCCCACTCTCCCTCTGTTCTTCTCCTGAGCCCTGCTGGCTTACTTTTCAATTTTTCCTCCTATTTGTTTTTATCATCTTTATTTTATCCTGTCTTTCTTTTTCCAAGCTCTTCTGTCAGAGGCTGTATTTTCTTTGCTATATTTGATATCATAAAACTTCAAAAACCCTGTCTTTTTCTTTTTACATTCAACTGTTATATATTCTTCATCTACCTTGTTTTCCTCCATATTTATTCTTAGAGTATCTACCTATAGCTTCTATGTCATGCCCTCTTTGAATATTTGAAAAGGGAGGGATTTCTTTTTTGACAGCATTTTATAAAGAATAATGGGAGGGGTGTGGTGACTGAGCTCGGACCACCTTGTACTCTCGAACTTGCTGTTTATCCTTAGGTCATGTTGCAGCAGTTTTGTCAGCATTGTCAATTTTGTCTCTGAGGCAAAACAGAAGCAGTGAAAGGCTAAGTGAAATTCTCTTCAGAAGGTTTTTATGATTTCCTTGCTTGGTGTGGATGGGTTCTGAGATTCTTCCTTAGCCTTCACTGTTGCTATTTTCTTGATGACTCTTTTGTTGGGTCCTTCAGAGGTACGCCTCCAACTTTGGAGAACTCTGGCTTCTGGACAGAATCTGGAGTCCTATGTTTCTCATGTGCTCTCAGTTTGATCCACATTTCTGTTTGGTAAGAAGTTCTTCATAGTTTGTGCTTTGGTGTTATGACTGTTTCCTACTTTTTTGAAAGTACAGTTTTCTGTTTTTCTTGCTCTCTTTCGGGAAAATGGGATGGGTGTTTTTTGGAAGAAGATTGGGATAGAAACATCTTTGCATTGGCTCTTAAACTGGATGTATTTTTCCAAGGGCACTTGTTAGATTAGATACCCCCTTTTCAACTGTGAAACTAGAGTGATCTGAGAGGCTTGTGATAATTTCTTTCTTAGTATGTGATACAGCAGGCCTTGTCCTAAAGATTTAGGAGCTTACGTATAATGGTTCCAGTATCATGTCAACTTGATGCCACTAAGCATTCCGGAAGAAGATTTCTCTTTTTTCCCCCAATTCAGAGCAATTTTTAGTATTTTAATATATTTATAGTTTTGGAATGTGAACTTCTTAGTATTTACATAAAATTAGCCTCTTCTGGTAATAAATTAGAACTAACTTCTAAAATAATATACTAAATGTTAACATATCTTAATTTAGACAACATTTTAGTTCATTTTGTTAACAGCAAATACATATAACCTTAAAATGTTATTTTATAATTATGTTATACATTCCCATGAATGAACTGCTAAAAAGGCGCATATTTGGGTAATAAAATTGTGGAATAATCTTAGTTTTCTGATGTTATTTCCCTTGCCACCTTAAACCTACCAAGAAAAAAAAAAAACACCCCCAAGAGTATAAAACTGAGTAACACAAACTCTTCCACAGGAAAATTCAGAAATTAAAATTCATACATCATTCTTGTTTTGTGTTTTTTTTTTTTTTTTTTTTTTTGAGACGAAGTCTCACTCTGTCACCCAGGCTTGAGTGTAGTGGTGCAATCTCGGCTCACTGCAAGCTCTGCCTCCTGGGTTCACGCCATTCTTCTGCCTCAGCCTCCGGAGTAGCTGGGACTACAGGCACCCGCCACCATGCCTGGCTAATTTTTTGTATTTTTAGTAGAGACAGGGTTTCACCATGTTAGCCAGGATGGTCTGGATCTCCTGACCTCGTGATCCGCCCGCCTCGGCCTCCCAAAGTGCTGGGATTACAGGCGTGAGCCACTGTGCCCGGCCCATCATTATTGTTTTAAGGGACCCTTTTCTCAGAAAAATATTATTTATGGATTAAAATTTTATAATTAGTCAACTGGAAGATAGTTTTCAACAGAGTAGATATTATTATGTGGAGCGAGGTTTCACTCTTAACGATTCCTATTGAGGCTTTTTCTACCACTGGATTAATTTTATTTCATTGAAAAAATAGTGTTAAAAAAAAGTGAGCATTGAGAAAAATAGTTGGTCTAAAAATCTGGAAAAAGTATCATGTATAATTTAAATTGGACATTTTTTACAGTTTTCAAAATTGATATTTCCATTGCCTCACAAATAAAGTAGCTGATAAATGTTTATACTAATCAGATCATTAAGATGATTGTTTAAAAGTATTGCTTGGTTTGAAGAAATATATTTTATAATTGAGCTACTATTTTTGACAAGGTGTGCTTTGTAATAGTGGTCTACCTATACTGGTTAGAAACCTGTTATATATCATTTTCCTTTTCTTTTGAATTTTATCTAGTTTTCCCTTCAAATAAAGCTTTTATTTAGAAAGTAAAGCCTAATTTTATATGATGAGGTTATATTCTTTCTAGCATTGTTTTGCCATTTCATAGTGTTAATAATCTGTTAAACTTTACATAGTATGTCTGTATGCAAATATCTATTTAATATTATTTATATCTCAGGTGATGATTATCATACTTTTGGTTCTTTTGTTGTTGTTGTTTTTGAGATGGAGTCTCGCTCTGTTGCCCAGGCTAGAGTGCAGTGGCGCGAAATCGGCTCACTGCAAGCTCCGCCTCTGGGGTTCACACCACTCTCCTGCCTCAGCCTCCCAAGTAGCTGGGACTACAGGCGCCCGCCATCACGCCCGGCTAATTTTTTGTATTTTTAGAAGAGACGGGGTTTCACCGTGTTAGCCAGGATGGTCTCGATCTCCTGACCTCGTGATCTGCCCGCCTCGGCCTCCCAAAGTGCTGGGATTATAGGCGTGAGCCAGTGTGCCCGGCCACTTTTGGTTCTTAATGGCAGGTTGTTCCCTATTCTTCAGTAGGGAACTTCAAGAAGTTTAAAAAAAAAAAAGATAAAGAACAGCCATAAACAATTTCCCTAAGATCATTTTTTTCTACTTGTTTATTTTGCTGTATTTGTCTTTCTCTTAGATATCATCACTATGTATCTCATCAGTAAATGGGAAACATAGTAACATTTGATTTTTATGAGGAGATGCAACCTCTTTTTTTTTTTTTCCTGCTTAGGTCAAATGTATTATGAGATTTTATCCTTATCCTGGAAATAAATCCTGTGATTAATTTGAAAAGTTTATGTTACAAAGAAATATGAGATATTATGAATACTACTAAATCTATATGAACTTTTCAATAATGCACTTAAAATGCATCTTTTAATCCTTTTTAGTAGATTGTTAACAGTCATATTTAATGCATCTTTTTTGGTTTTCCCTTTTAAATATAATTTTCAATGAAAATATTTTTTCACTAATTTATTCATCACTGAGTATTTTTATTTAGACAATTAGGAGAATTTTATACTTATACAGGTAACCAGAATTAATTGGCTTTCTGCTTAAAATTATGTGGGCTTTGTAAAGGAAGTGGTTTATTTCAGTGAAAAAGCTTTAGTTCAGAATGTTCTCAGCTATGTTTTAAGATTCTCTTTGTATGTACACCTACACTGGAAAAACTGAAACACTAATTGCTTAATTTAAAAATAATTTGCTTTAGACTCTCAAAACTGTGTATCTTCATGAACAGCTGATACCATCTATGAATTACATGAATGTTAAATATAGAGTCTTCTTTTGACATTAATTACCTTGCTTTTTTTTTTTTTGACCTTACAAATTCTAATCACATGTATATTTGTATATACTTTCTTGTTTTATTCTAAGGCAATTATACATCCTTTTAGTAAAAAATTATTTTTACTGCTTTTAATGTGCTAGATATTACTAAGTACTTTAGCCAAAGAATAGAATGAAGGGAGAGGACAAATAAAATTCAGCTTAGCCAGCATTTATTGCATGTTCCTTTTTTTAAATTAGAAAAACGTGCTAGGCATAGGGGACATAAAACTGAGGTACAAACTTTCCCCTCGAGTTTTAGAGTAGCTCGTAAGGGGCTAGGTCTCTGATTTAATAGAAGTACCTATATGGCCAACTGCTTTCAGTCTGAATATGGTATCTGCTGCTTTTTCTTGGTTGTCTGTAAAGCTTTCTGTTCTGGGAGCTACCTCTCAAGGGGGGATAGGAAGGTGAATTAACATTTTGAATATCAGCTATGTGTCAGGCTTTGTATATGTTTTATTTGGTCATTATAAGAACCTTTAAGGTGAGGCTCATATAAAATAAATAAATTGCCTAATTTTACGTAGGTGTTAAGAAGCCAGTTGTAATTTGAACAGAGTTCTTTGAATCTCCAGTGCCCTTTTCATTGTTGTACATTACTTTTCTTGCAACAAACTTTTATTCTGTAACAGTTTAATCTTGTTAAGTGATAAGCATCGTAGGGATAAAATTGAATCCATTGTCAAGGAAACCAGCTTTATCATTAGTAAGGTATTTAAAAATTAGGGCTTTTTTTCTGCTAGTATTATTTAACCGAGACTTGTCATTCATGTATAGAGAATTGGTATCAGTTTCTAAATCCTGCAAATTAGCAGTCCTAAGAAATGAAGTCATTTGCTAGTCTGTTTAAATTTCAGATGACTTTGTGGTCTTTGGATTGTAAAACAACAATTCAGTTTGATTTAAAATACTGTATAATTTAGTTTATTAATATTTGCCTGCTTGGTGCCTTTGTAAGTACCAGCTTAAATAATATTGTTTATTGAGAACCAATTTAAGAGAAAGTACATGCCTAATCCTATGGAATCTAGAATTATGTAGCATTTTGATGCATTTAAGCAGTAATTGTAGGCAATATTAATGAGTACTTTACACCAAATGTACTAAATTCTTTATATCTGCTAACACTTAATATTCATAATAATCACATAGAATAGGGATTATTTTTATCCTAGTTTTATAGTTGGAGGATCTGAAGCTCCAGAATGTGTAAACATCTTCCCCAAGACCACAAAACCAGTAAAGGATAGAACCAGCATTCACAGCAATATGTTTCTAATACTGAAGTCTTCATTTTTATACTTTGTGTGTGTTTCTACATATTAGAGTATATTAGTCCTTTTTTTTAAGTGGTCACCTGCCTTTTTGAAAAAACCCATTTTAACTTAATCATGTGCAACATTAAACAACTCTTCATTTTGCCCTCCCCCTAGTTTCTGACAACCACACATAGACCCTTTTTAATACCGATAAATTTAGATTTCATAGTATTCCATTGTCTAGCTGTCTGGTTATTATAGGAACTTAAGTCTTTCAATTTATTATATAAAAGATATGATTTTAGAGTGGAATTGCTGGATGAAAAGGGATGGGCATTTTTAAGACTTATAGTACATATTGTACATATAGTACTTTTAGCACACTTCTTCAGAAAGATTATACTAATTGTTAAATTTAATTATTATTCATAATAGCATTGATAGTGTTATTTCATAAAGGATAATTATACTCCACTGAAGGATTTTGTATTTGTATTGAAGTTTTCATTCATTGACAGTGGATAAAAGATAAATTATGCAGTTTTTCTTGGGCCTGTTTATGGCAATTACCTTGTGTCCCTGAAAATTGTGTCCCTAGTGCATTGAACATGCTGTTATAGGTTGGCATTGCCAAAAATACCATTTATCCATGAGAAAATAATGTCTACCTTACAAGTTTCTGAGAAGTAAAATAACCCATATGATGCAGTTGTCATAAGGTCTTGCTCATGGAAAATGCCCAGGAAATGATCATTGAACTTAGTTCAAAGAAATAGTGTTCTTTTATTACCACTTAAGGAGCAAATGCTGTTAAAAAGTGGATTATTATGTTAAAGTCTAATGAATTGAGGTACTCAAGTTACTTCCACTGATTTTTTTTTTTTTTGGAGGGTTTTTTTTAATCATTCATAATGTTTTTATATAGGCCCTTTTACCTGTTGCCCCTTTCTCCATTTAGCCATTTCAACAGTCTGATATATATTCTTTCACATAACCATTTATAAAAATAGACACATACATATAGGGATTTTTGATTATGCTTTTGTAAATAAAAGGCCTATTATATTTTTCATTTTCCTTTTTTCCCCATAATACACTGTCAAGCTAGATCAAACTACAATAGTTATACATCTACATAGCAGTCCCTAAACAATATTAATTTCCTTTTCCTTTATTAATTGCTTTAAAATTCATTATATTTGTTACTATGGAGTTATTTCTGGATATTGGTGCCATTACTAAGTCTTCTTAAGCCATCTTGCTCACACATGAATTCAAAATGGTGTTTGGAAATAATGTATTATATCTGGAGATATACAATGATCTTATTGTATGTCTTTTTTAAAACTAGAATTTTTTTAAGGATTATTCAAATGGAGTAACCTCTCCCTGTCTTTAAGGTCATGTTTCTGAAAATCCCAAAGGTAAAATGTATTAAAGAAGTTGAAGACTAGGTTGAAATAAGGATTACGCCGAATCTATGAAGGCCTGTGTATGTGTATTCTATTGTCACTAAAAACAGTGTGTGGCACCTAAATATACAGAATATTAATAAATTTTGATGCCTTTTAAATTTGATTAATACAGTTTAATTTTCATTTATCATCTCTGATTCTAGAACCCTTGAAGTTTTCAGTAAGGTCCTTATAAACCTTTTTTTCCTTATTTCAGCTCATGCATACTATGAAATTTTTATTTCTCCTGAACTTTTTCTTGTCTCCAAGTGTGCACTATTTTTCTGATTTTTATGACCAGAGTTGATTCTCACTGCTAGTTTCCACATTAATTTAGAAGAGCACTGGTACTTGTGTTAGACTGCTTGGATTTAGATTTCAACTGAACCAACTACTAGCTGTGTGGCCTTTAGCAAATTACTTAACACTATGCCACAGTTTCCTCATTTGCAAAAGTAGGGTTATAGTTCTTATTTTTTCTGGTGGTTGCAATGCTGAATGAGCCATTATAGCATATATTAAGTCATTATAGCATTTCTTGGTGCGTGGTTGGTACTTACTCAATTTAGATTATTCTGCATTGCTGAGGAGATATTTCTCAAATACACATTCCTAGCTTTGCTTATAAATAATATGCCCAAGCTTAGGACAGAAGAATTAATGTGATTTATTAGGGAGGGACGCAAGGGTAGATAGTTCCAGGGATGGGGATATAAATGAGATCTCTCAGAGAGAGTTTGGGATAAATGAAAGAGAAGTCCTAGGGCAGAATGGTAAAAAAACACCAATGTATTTGTTTAGTGTGGGTTTTTTTCCTTGTTATTTTTTGAAGGTTGTATACTGTTTTCATTCTGTAAAGCAAAAAGGCCTTGTTTTGTAGGCTGTCCTATTTCTAGTCCAACAAAGTTTTCAGTCACAGTAATAATATTTTCAAATAAAATATAAATCTCCTTTTTAAAGGAAAATTATTAGTAACAAGAATTCTTAGTGCTATAGAATGGTCATAATATGATAATTTAAATTCATTGCATGTATTAGATTATAAATTTTGCATATACTACCTCAACGTATATAATCCAATGTAATATGTAGATTGAATTTATTTAAATGTCTTTGTTTTAAAAAATTGCTGGTTCAGTGTTATTTACATAAAATTGAAATCTGGTCTCAGTGAATCTTTTAGGTTGTTTTCTTCTAGTGTGATAGGAGGCTGGATGCTTTATAATGGATTTGATGAGGCAAGTTATGCTATAAAGCTGCTTTAAAGTGAGAAAATAATTCATAACAAATAAATCACAGCCAATGCAACAGTGCTATTGAAGGAAGTGGTTTATTCTCCATAGCCGAGGTGGTGTACTTTCTGAATGTACATCTGGTAACTAGAATTTAAATGTTTAGTCAGATTCAGTGAAATGATTTCATATTTTAAGTAGTGTTTTTTTCATTGGAAATTTAGCACTGATTTCTTTGAAATTTTGAAAATCTTAATTTGTGTGTGTGTACGTGTATCTGTATGTACTGGCATATTGAAACATTTATAGGAAAAATAGCAATTGATGGCAAAAGTGTACGTACCTGGAAAACCCCTGTTTTTTTTTTTTGTTTGTTTGTTTGTTTTTAAATAAGCTTGAATGTTGTTTTCACCAAGGCATTTTGATCTGAATGACTTTAAATTGTGAATTTGTCTTAGATTAAAAATCTGTTGTGAATTTGTTTTGAATGTTTCTAAGCCATATAAATATAAAAAAATTCCCCATTTTGAAATCTTTCAGATCACCTTTTCACAATGTCAGAGTAATATATTAATGTAATAAAAGGGAAAAAGGTCACTCATGATTTTCTTACCTTGAGATAACATAATTTATCTTTGCCTTATTTTTTCAGTTTTTGTCTATGCGTTTCTATTCTTTATGTTGTTAAGGTTATATTATACATACATTTCTGTATCCTATATTTTCCTCCTTTTCTTTATATATTTTTAAATGTGGAATAAATTTTTAGATTTCAATTTGATTCAGAATACTTCCAAAATATTGATTAAGAGTTATAAAGGCATTTTTAATTTAAAACAAAAACTAGTGTTCTACATTAGTGTTTCACATCTCTAGAGATACTAATTAAAATTGAAATTACTTAATGCCACAAGTTTACTTTTAAAAATTCTCCCTTGTAATATTTCTTACATTCAGTTGAGGATTTTATGTGAAGAAAGAAACCGAACTTGATGGTTTGGATTGCATTTAAGAACATTATCCCTAGGCAACAGTTTTTATTAACTAGTACCCTATTTTATGTCAATGATAGTATTAAAATGTTCAAACATCTTGCATTTGATGTCATTTAGAGATAAATGATCTATCTGTATGGGGGAGCGATTAGGATTATAAGGAGATAAACCTTAAAAGGCCATCTGGTTTTCTGATTTCAGGCAGGTCTCCAAACATCTTTTTAGTTAGGAACCTGAAACCAGTCAACACTAGGTGTAGGTGATTATTAATTTGCAAATAATGTTAAACGGGTGTGAACAAATTGTTTAATTTACGTGAGCCTGACTTCTTTATCTGTAAAATTAGTTTTATACCAGATAAATAGTTCTAAATCTTTTTTTCTGTCCCAGGACACATGAGAGAACACTTGTCAGCATCAGTGTCTCCTAGTGACAGTGCTTTTTAAAAGGGAGGAGCAAGGATGTCCCTGTTATTTTAATCTACCTGTTCCTCCCAAGCTGAGAATCACTGGGTTAGAGAGTATGTTCCTTTTCTTCATAAATAAATAATTTTATTAAATATTTCAGTGCCTAATATGTACCAGGCACTGGACTGGATATTGTAAAATATATCATAAAATAAACTTCTGGAACTCTTAGTTTAGTTGAAGAGGTAAGGCACTATATATTTTACAATATAGACAGAAAACAGTATATGCTACATGAGAATATGCAATAAAGGCTTGATATGCAAGTTACATCATTTTGGTCTGGAGCTATTATTTTTAGCAATTTGAGATTATCATGTGTGACTTAAAGTTGATAGCATCATGTTGTGATGTATGCTTTAGAGCCTGAATATACCTTTCTCACCTCCCCAAATCGGCATTCACAGAATGTTAAGTGGACAGTATCCAGGTGTTTATTATTAAAGGAAGATTAGCCTAGCCTTCAGGTTCCCCATTGGAAGTAAAAATTGTAGTAAACGGAAACTTTCTCTTTGTTAAGCAGAAAATGAACTAACTGCTAGGCTTTAACTATGTATATTAGGACATTCTGAAATGCAAACATTAAACCTAATCAGAATAATTGGTTTTAACATTAACTGTTATTCAGAAGTATCTGAGTAGATGTTAATGATGGTTAACCTCACTTAAACTCACAAAATCGTGATCTGGACAAAGCATTAATATTTTTAGAGGGGCTGGGCATGGTGACTCCGGCCTGTAATCCCAGCACTTTGGGAGGCCAAGGTGGGCGGATCACCTGAGGTTGGGAGTTCGAGACCAGCCTGGCCAACATGGTGAAACCGCATCTCTTCTAAAATACAAAAATTAGCCGGGCATGGTGGCAGGCACTTGTAATTCCTAGGTACTTGGGAGGCTGAGGCAGGAGAATCTCTTGAACCCAGGAAGGCGGAGGTTGCAGTGAGCTGAGATCATGCCACTGCACTCCAGCCTGGGCAACAGAACAAGACTCCGTCTGGAAAAAAAAAAAAAAAAAAAGGCTGGGCTCGTTAGCTCATGCCTATAATCCCAGCACTTTGGGAGGCTGAGGTGGGTGGATTGCTTGAGCTCAGGAGTTCAAGACCAGCCTGGGCAACACAGCGAAACCCCATGTCTACTAAAATACAAAACAATTAGCTGGGCGTGATGGCGTGTGCCTGTAGTCCCAGCTACTGGGGAGGCTGAGGCAGGAGAATTGCTTGAACCCGGGAGGCAGAGGTTGCAGTGAGCCAAGATCACGCTACTGCACTCCAGCCTGGGCAACAGAACGAGACTCTGTCCCCCAAGAAAAATAAATAAATCAGTATGTGTGTGTATATTTACATTTAGAGGCACTTTGTTGGCAGTTTTTGTATACATTCAACTTCAAAATCACCCTGCTTCAGTTACCTTGGGAATACCACTTCCATGAGGTCCTGAGATTTAGAGGACAGAGAGTGGAAAGGGGAGGGTGCCGTGGAAGCAACCTAGAGAACACCAGAGCGAGAACTCCACTAATCAGCCATGTGAACTTTGGAATCTCACTTAAATTTTCATCTGTAAAATGATGGACAAGACCAAATGACCTCTAACATATGGCTCTCCAACTGTATGATATGTGAATCTCAATTCTATGTAAGGATTCTATGAGGAAGGTAAATACTTGTTTTCAGCCTCCCTCTCTATTGAGTATTAAGAGTTCCTTCATTGGCTGCCTTCTCATTCTTCATTTTCGATAAGCAATCTAGGTCTTGAATTGCTTCATGTGTTTTAATGTTGGTAAACATTCCTGTAAACCTGATTATCCAACTGTTTTCTATGGATTTCTATCTGTATGTCTGGGTTGTTTTTTGTTTATTTGATTTTTTGAGACAGGGTCTTGCTCTGCCGCTCAGGGTGGAGTACAGTGGCATGATCTTGGCTCACTGCAACCTCCGCCTCCCGGGCTCAAGCAATCCATCTTCCTCAGCCTCCCGAGTACCTAGGACTACAGGCGTGTACCACTATGCCCAGCTAATTTTTTTGTGGTTTTTTTTTTTTTTTTTTTTTTTGTAGAGACAGTTTCTCCGTGTTGCCCAGGCTGGTCTTGAACTCCTGGGCTCAGGTGATCTGCCCACCTCAGTCTCCCAAGGTGATGGGATTACAGGCATGAGCCACTGTAGCCGGCCTCTATCTGTATGTCTTAAAGGAATCTCTGACCAAATGTGTCTATATTCATGAACAGTGTCTAGGTTAGAGTCATAGCAGTCATTGAGGTTCCTATGTTTTGCCTTCCTAAGATTTAATTAATCTCCATGTTCTATTAATGTATTGACTCTCATGTCTGTTCCTTCTTACTCATTTCCGGTACTATAGTACTTGTTCAGCTGCAGTCACAGTGGTTGTGGTCTCCTAGAAACTTATCTTAATTTCTCTGTCTCTTTTTTTCGTTTCATCTTATCGTACTGTTCATCACATCTGTTAGAATGAAAGCTATCTAAAAACAGTCTGTCACTCACCTTTGTGTCCTCAGTGCCAAGAACATGCTATAATTTAACCTGAAAAACTCTGAAGATCCAAGATCGTATCTAGGCAGTCTTTCATAAAATAAAATTTTTGGTGACAGTTTCTGCTTAGGAGGAGGAAGCAGAGTTCCTTTATGGACTGTTGTAATTTTGTGCTGAATGAAAGGAGTAAGAGAAATAAGATTCTGACCAGCAGACTTCTCTTAGTTTCCTGGAAGGTATTTCCTGTTTGTTCATGGCATCACCATCTACCCTTTCTTTCTTGGCAGAAAATCTGAGGACTGTCCTTTCTCTCATCTCCTCTGTTCATTCAGATATCAAGGATTCATGATTTTACCTTGTACACTTGTCCCTTGTTTCCTTGGGTTTCGGCTCTGGTACCCCCCTCCATCAAGCATCTGCTGATGCTTAAATCCCTGATATAAAATGTCATCGTATTTGCATATAACCTATGCATATCTTCCTGTATACTTCTACATCATCTGTAGATTACTTTTTTAAATTACCATTACATGAAAAGGAATCTAGATTATAAGTAATCTAGATACCAAATACTATGTAAATAGTAGTTAAATACTTATTTGTAAATTTTTTCAAATATTTTCAATTTGTGTTTGGTCTAATCCATGGATGCAGAACCCAAGGATATGAAGGTCTGACTGTAATATCTTTTAAAGTAAAGTCTCTTAAATATTCCTTTCTCTATCTCCATTGCTCTTAGATCACTGTAGAATTTCTTACATGTATTTGTACAACAATCTTCTAACTGCTTTCCTTTCAATCTTGCCTCCACAATCCATTTTCTATTCTGGGGTCAGAGTAAGTTTTAAAAGTATGATATGTTTCTCCAACGCTTAAATTCCTTCAGTGGCTCTTATGTTTCAAGATCAAGTGAAATATTAGACATGGTTCTAAATGAGTTACCTGCTTTTCTAATCTTATGTCTCACCACATTCTTGGGTCTGTTTATTTCAGTACCTAGCTCAGTGTCACACAGTTGGCATTTCTCGCCTTCCCTTCATGAATGAATATGTGATAGGTAGAGAGTAATTTGTGTTTGTAAATGTCCTGGTATCACATGAGAAAAAGAAGTTGGCATTTTGGTGACTGGCAGAGACCCACGGACTGTGTGCTTTCATATGTGCCAGTCATTACATGTACTTTACATGTATTGGCTCATTTAATTCTCAGTTCTCCTAACATCTTTGTTAGGCAGATACTATTATTTTATGGACGAGGAAACTAGGCATAGAGAAAAGTTGAGTGATTCACTTGAGGTCATGCAGTGGCAAGGCCTGGCTTCAAACTCAGGTTGTGTTGCAGCAGAGTCTATGTCTTATCTACTAACCTAACTGGCTGGTGAATTGGAGGCATTTGGTGTGGAAAGCTTGTTGGGATTCTCCTTTGAGGGTATGAAAAGTATGCATGTAACTTTATATGTGCTTTATTCTGTTGGTAATTACCTCAGAGGCTCTCAGTAAATCTTTGTGAAATGAATCTAAGAGTCTTTCTTCATACATTGCTGGAGTTGGCCTCTGTGATTCATGCATTACCAAGAAGCCATGGCTTCCTTCTGTTAATAATCACAAATCTTGGCACAATAAAATTAAAGTATAATTTTCATGAAAGTAGTGGCTTTTGCATGAAACATGGAAATAGATGAGCCATGGCCATGCATGTGAGAAAACAAGAGTGTTTATGTCAGGGATTTTCAGTCTGTTTATGGGAGTTTGCAAGGAAGAGGTGGATCTTGAGGGGTAAATTGCGGTCGTGTTAAAGACTAAATTTACAAGTAGATTTTTTCTGTACAGAGCTACAGAGTATATTTTATTAGCTGAGATGATGAAAACCCTAGTGGACAGAAGTAGAACATGGTTTGAGGAGCTAGAGATAGAAAGCAGAGACACCATATCAGATACTACAGGCACAAGTCATTTTTATTATAAAAATAATATACAGTCATTGTAGCATAGAAGTATATAAAGTTTGAATTGAAAAGTCAACTTCTCTCTTGCCTACTGTCACTCCCTAGAAGTAATCACTTTAAAAAGCATGCACTTTTTAATGCCGGTTGCATAGTGATATGATATAGGACCATTGCTATATTATATTTTAGTTGTTTTTTTCTACTTCATGTGTCATAGTTATCTTTTCATACATGTAGGTCTTCTAATTCTATATCTGTAGCATACTATTCCATTGTTTGGATACATCATAACCATTCCCTTATGTACATCTACAATTTTTTGTCATTACATATGGTAACACAGTGAACAATATCATTCATATACTGTTGCACATTAGTGTTAATGTTTCTATAGGCCATATTCTCAGAAGTATGGTGTACATAGCAACATTTTTTTTTTCCCCTTTCCTCTGCCACACCTTTGACTTGTGTTTATTGACCTGGCCCATTTATTGTTCACTTTCTTTTTCTGAGGAGTTTTTTTCTCACTAGTTTGTAGGAACTCCTTTTTTTTTTTTTTTTTTTTTAAGACAAGTTTCGCTCTTGTCACCTGGGCTGGAGTGCAATGGCACAATCTTGGCTCACTTCAACCTCCGCCTCCTGGGTTCAAGTGATTCTCCTGCCTCAGCCTCCCGAGTAGCTGAGATTACAGGTGCGTGCCACCACGTCTGGCTAATTTTTGTATTTTTTAGAAGAGATGGGGTTTCATAATGTTGGCTAGACTGGTCTCGAACTCCTGACTTCAGGTGATCCACCCACCTTGGCCTTCCAAAATTCTAGGATTACAGGTGTGAGCCACCGCGCCCAGCCAGGAACTCTTTATTGTATATATTAACTAACCCCTTGCATATATTTTCCTCACATATTTTATGCTCACTTGTGGTATCTTTAATCAGGGAGAACCTTTTTTAAAGAGACAATGCCTCGCTCTGTTGTTCAGGCTAGAGTTCATTGGCACAATCATAGCTCACAGCAGCCTCAAACTCCAGGGCTCAATTGATCCTCCCATCTCAACCTCCTGAGTAGCTAGGACTACAGGTGCATGTTAATACGCCCAGCTAATTGAAAATTTTTTTGTGTGTGTGGAGACAGGGTCTTGCTTTTTGCACAGGCTGGTTTTGAACTCCTGGCCTTAAGCGATCCTCCCACCTTGGCCTCCCAAAGTGCTGGGATTTGTAGGCATGAGCCCCTGCGCCTAGTCAGGCAGAAATTTTTATAACAAATTTGTATATCTGTCTTACCTGAAGTCCCTATATTTTTATGTTTTTCTCTTTGCTTTACGTTTATATCATTAATCAATAAGGAATTTATATATGATATGCTGTATATATGATAGAGCCTTTTCTCCAAATGAATTGCCAGTGTTCCCAGTATAATGTGTTGAATAACCCATCCTTTCCCCATTGATTTGAAACACTTCTGCATATACTGAATTTGTATTTATAACCACATATAATGTATAAATTCCTATATATTTTTCCATATACTTAATTCCTGTTAATTCCTATATATAACATTCATGTAAATATAGTTCTACTAATTGGATTATTTGCAGATGCCCTATTCTAATTCATTGAATTAGATATCTGGTATCTTGATATCTGGTAGTTCAACTCCCCCATTATTATTCTTAGTTTATTTTATTGGTCATTCTTTTACATTTACTCTTCCAGATGAACTTCAACATCAACTTGGCATTTTCCCCCCCAAAATAGTCCCATTGGATTTGTTCTACCAGATCATTCTTAATTTGTTATGTACTCTTGAAACTTACCTGCATGACACTTAAGCAAATAAAAAACACTGAGTTCAAGCCAAGGTAAGGTACTTTGTGATACTATTTATCTATGGCTAGATACATATTTATTGTAGTACTTCTTGATCCTATTATCACCTAAAATCATTTTAAAACTAAAAGAGGTTAATAGGTACAGAAATAGCCAGTAAAACCAAAAATTATCAGTAAACATATACTGATAACAAACTTCAGCCATTAAGAGTTTTCTTCCAAGGATATTATTATAGAAACAATAAAATAATTTTATAGAATAAAGGTCTGATTTTTTAGTTTTGTATGAGAATTTCTTAAATGCTTTTATGTATATGATATGTATTATATCATTGTGAGGTAGGTGGTACATTTTTCAGATGGGGTAAACTCAGTCTCTGAAATATCCGATGACTAGGTCAAGGCTCAAGTTCTGTGAATTGTCTGGTGGCCGAGCCTTGGATTTCTAGCGATAGTAGACTATTAGGATTGGTTGCCCTTGTGTATAGAAGATATCTATAGAATGTAAATAGGATCCTAGGGCCAAATCTTAGGGAATGCCTTATTAATGGTTTGGAAAAGGTAAGGAATTATAGAATGATGAGACACAGCAGCATATTTTATGGAGAAATCATCATCACATATAAATTTCTATGGTTTTTCTCTTCCATAATCTTAATTTGGCTTTCCTTATTTCTAAACAGTTTTACTAATTATCCTTCCAAAGAATATTTAGGCCGGGCACGGTGGTTCATGCCTGTAATCCCAGCACGTTGGGAGGCCGAGGCGGGCGGATCACGAGGTCAGGAGATCGAGACCACAGTGAAACCCCATCTCTACTAAAAATACAAAAAAAAAAAAAAATTAGCTGGGCGCAGTGGCGGGCACCTGTAGTCCCAGCTACTCGGGAGGCTGAGGTCGGAGAATGGCGTGAACCCAGGAGGCGGAGCTTGCAGTGAGCCGAGATCACGCCACTGCACTCCAGCCTGGGCAACAGAGCGAGACTCCGTCTCAAAAAAAAAAGAATATGTAATACTACTTCTGTTTTACTTTCTACTTATTAAATGAGAAAGGGAGTCCATGAACATAATCTGCAAAAGATCTTTTTTTTTGAAAAAAGCCATTTTTTTAAACTTTATATAGTCTTTAAAAGTATATTGATGAGTGCCCACATTTAGAATTTTTGCCCCACTGACCCCTGCTTATGCCTTTTCTCATATTATTTTTGCCTCCTCTTTATTACTTTTCAGTCAAATCAAATCTCATTTCATTTGTTAAGCCTTCTAGAATTACTCAGGTACATATTTTGAATTTCTCTTGCTTATTGCCTCTACAGCTCAGCTCAACAAGTTTTATAACTTGTCTCTCAGAATAGTGTAGAATACACTTTTTGATAATAGCACCATGTAATTCATATATATATATTTTAATTTAGCTATGTCACAGGCCACAGTTGTATGGCCTCTGGCAGATCAGCCTGTCTGAACCACAGTTTCTCTAAAGAAATGTAGGAGTAATTATACCTATTCTGTATGGTTGTGTAAAGGTAAACGACCATGTAAAGCACCTGGCTGAAGAGCATATGAGAGTGCCATGTTGGCTTTCTAGAATTTATATCTCAACTTTGGGAGGTAGCTGGTATGAAATGCAAGGAGTGAGTGAGTAAAGAGAGTAAATTGAGGAGGTTATTGCCATCTAAGATAACTTATAAAGACAATAGAGGTCACCTTGTAGTTTCACAATTTAAACCCTTAGGGATTAATCATTAAACTGTATTTATTGGTGGCTTACTGTAGGCAGAGCACTGTGTCATGTACTGTGGACTGCGTGAACGTGTAAGGCACTTCCTGACCCCTGACAGCTAGTATTCTGATAATGAGTGTGCTTAAAGACCAAAGGAATGAATCAGAAGAGCATAAATTGGGGATATGCAAGCAGAAGGTTTCATTAAATTCAGCGAGTCTGTATCAGTTGTGTGATGTGAGAGAGATCTACCTTTGCATCCTTCACAAATGAATATACATTGAAAAAAAAATCTTCAGGACCAAAGACCTACATCATTTCATGTTCAAGAGAAAACCTAGAATCTATTTAGATCTTAGCCGCAGGAAGGAACCAGGAGAGCCCTGGGGAAAGCAGCTTCTCAAGGGGTAACCACTGGGGACAGAGTTTCTAATTATGTTTCTAATTATGGGGATGGAGGCAGTTTCTAATTATGTTTTGCTGCAGAGGTAGCTGGAGGATGAGAAAGGTCAACTGGACAGGCAGCGAGGTAATTTGGTTTAAGTGCAAGCTTTGCCACTAAGGTGAAGTCACTTATTTGTCCCTTGTTTCTTTGTCAATAAAATAAGATTAGACTTGATCAGTTGGGTAGCCCTTCAGCTGGGTGGCTATTATTTCTGTCTGAATGAAAACTGTACCTAACGGATGATTAGTTCTTCTCTATTCTAGAGACTGAACACTAATTATGAATATATGAGTTTTCAGAATATGTATCTTTTGGGTGATCATGATTTGGTGGGTGGGTTTTGTGAGGCCTAGGGGAGGACATTAATAATCTTTCTTTGGAATGGTGCATTTTATTTTTATCTCATAGTGGGCTAGTTGATTTAAAGGACATCTTAGTGGTTTAATTCACCTCATTATAGGAAGTGGAAATTTTACGTACTTCATGGAAAAGTTTAGAGGAAACTGAAGCTAGTGAAATTAAATGAACTGCTTAAGCCGTAAGGTGACAGCTAATTAGTGGTAGGGCAGGGACCAGAATCAAAGCTTCCTTCTTTTTCATCCAGTACTTATTTCTTACTGTCATATTTTGGGACTTACTGAAAATTTAGTGTTCAATTTCTTGGGATTGTTAAATGGTGAATGAATTTCCAGTTGTTTGGGGAAGATGGGAGAACACAGTAAACATTTTACATTTTAAAAAATATGGATTTGATTATATATATGTATCTCTTATTGATCTATGACTTGCTATTTTAGTTATGAGTTCCTTTCTGACTTATGTCAGTAGAGTTTGCCTGCCTTCCAGAATGGTGCTAGTTATGAGGGGGAATTTGTAATGTATTCAGTAAGTGGAAGTAAATCACCTTGCTGTTAAGAACAGCTCAGTGGATAATTTACTGAATGTATGTTTTTATCCTTGACTGTGGATAACATCATTAATTTAAATTAATATATTTCCAAAATAGCCTTAGCCATGGTTATCTCTCAGAAGTTCTAGAGTTGGACTTATTGATGTCCTTGAAATAGCATGCAAAATTTTATATGTGTGGTACATTTTTCTATGAAGAATGCCCCATGGTTTCTGTTAGTTTTTAAAAGGGGTACCTGACTGAAAATAAAGATTTAAGAACCACTGCTTTAATGGGGTGGTATTCAAATCCATACTAGACTTTCCCCCTCTACTTTCACTTAAATAACCACATTTTTGAAATGTTACATCGTGAGTTTGATGTTCTATAGAAAAAAAATCAAAAAGTATTCTGATATTTATTGCATCCCCAGAAATATTACAGGATCACATTGTAATTTTTTTGTGTGCTTAGAGACCTTTTATGCCATTGTATGACCCACCTACCTTTTTAAAAGCCAAAATTTCAGTATTTCAGTGTACTAAATGTGTTAAGTGGGACAATAAATTTTTTACGTGCAAAATGGTTGGAAGATACTAAGATGAACTATAACAGGAAGTTGGAATTAGTGTCATAAAGGCTGGATTGAGACATTTTCATGCTCTATGTTTTTTTTTCCTCTTCTTTTGACAGAGGCCAGAATCCCCCATGCCACTTTTCCTTGTTGTAATCAGTCAGGATGTCTCCTTGTTCCTAACACATACACATGCACATACGCACACCCCATCATCGTCATCATCATCATGCTCTTAAGTATCCTCCTTCCTTATCTCCTCACTCACCTGTCACTCCCCTCCACTTTTGCTGTAACTTCAGGAACTGCTTTTTCACGCAAAGCCAATCCTTCTATAATTCTCAATCTATTTTCCTAGTGTTTTTCCTACTTCTTGCTTTACTTCATTTATAGCCTCTTAAACCTGAGGCTCTGTCCTTCCTTTCCATCATTATTCTTTCATCATTTCCCCCCCTTGATTTCTATTCTTTTGAAGTTATTGTCTTTAGCTGAGCCAGCCTTCTGTCAGTCTTTACTGCTGTCATCTAGTGAACAGCCTCACAGTCATTTCTCCTTACTCATGGGAGACTTTGGCAGCTGGCTTACTCTTTTCTTCTCCCTCTAAGCTCTTCATGATCACAGCTTATGACCTATCTGTATGGAAAAACACCACCAAGTCCAACACTGGATTTTCAGTTCTTTGACTACCTTATTTCCCGTGAGCTTTACCTCTCATCAGAAATTTACTAAGATTTCTTCTTCTTTACTTACAGATCCCTCTGCTTTCTCCTAGTGCATCAGGACTCTTCCTTTGTTATTTTATTTATTTTTAAAATTAGCTTAGATTTCATTATTTGTAATTTCAATGCCATATACTTTCTTCTTATACCTGTTGGATAGATTCTTAACTCCTAATGAAGCAGTTAATGTCTTCTCTGTGCCTTTTTCGTGAATGGCTGAACATTGCTAGAAAAAGTCACACAAAGGCAGATAGGTTCCACTATAAATTCATTATCACAAATCTTAAATGGGCCCTCAATACTATCCAACAATTCCTCTAATTTTTTAAATGTTCAACTTATTCTCTTTTTGCGCAGCAGTTACTGAAAACCTTATTCACTTTGCAAATCTTTTTACTTTCCTTGGGTGGTTCCAGAGCATAACTAGGTGCTGTATTATGGAGAAAATAGAAAGCATCCATTAGGAATTTTCATTTTGCAGTTCCTAAACATGCAAAGCTGCCTTCTATTGCAATAAAAGAGCGTTTCTCCCGTCTCAGCTCAGTTTCTACCTGTACTTTGGATTCCATCTCATTCTACCTTCTCAGAAACTCTAAAATATTGATGATCTCTTCGTAATTTATTCAACTAAACCTTCTCCATTTAATCTTTTCTATCAGCTTGATCCCATATCCCCTTTCTACTGCTATTCTGCCATATTATTCCCTTTTCAGACAAACTTTTTAAAAGAATCATTTTCATACAAATGAAATCCCTATCTAAAGCCCTTAGGGCCAGATTTGATTCAGAATTTGGAATATTTTGGATTTAGGAAAACATTAACATGTACATACCATCTGTAGTATAATAGCCCCAGTGAATTGTGGAGCAGTTCCCTGTAATCGACACATTGCCGTTTCTGCCCTGAAGTGTGTGGCTGTCACTTTCAGTAGGAGCAATAAGTGCTATCGATAAATAGCCTCATATCAGTCCATGTCACATTTTGCTTCCAAATGAGTTATTAAAATAACAAAACCCAAAACTTTAATATTTCAATGCTTTTGGATTTTGAAATTATAGCTGAGAGGTAGTGAACATGCCTTCATTTCTCACCTTACATTTTTTAACCTAGTTTGCCTTTTACTTTTCTCACTTTTTTCAAATGGCTCTTGCTAACTCTACCAATGACTTTTATCTAAAGTGATCATGTCACCAGTGAATGTTTTCAGTCTTCATTCAGTTGACTGGCCCAGAGCCCCAGATCCTGGTAATGCCAACTCCATAACACTGTCTTCCCTTAGCTTCATTGGCACCACCCTCCCTGGCTCTCCTTCACCTTTTTGTAGGTGTATTGTCCATTATCTTGGCATTAAATGCTAGAGTTCTTCCAAGGCCTCCTAGGACCACTTCTCTTCTTTCTCTGTGCTCTCTCCCTTGGTGGTCTCGCCTGTATCTATGTCTTCAATTACCAATTATGTGCTGATGCAGCTCAGACCTCTCCTTTGAGGTCAACCAACATGTTCAACTGCCTATTTGATGTTCATTGTCATTTGGAACTCTGAAATATTGGGTCCAAATTTCTAATATGTCCCAATCTCAAAATTTTCCCTAAACTGTTTGTTTTCAGATGTCCCTTTACTTCATCCTCTCCTCTCCCTTGCCCTTTCCCCTCTCTTTTGCTTACCTCATTTTGGTAACTTCCGCCTCCGTTAGAGCAAGCATTAGGATCTTTGGTATGACCTAAAGGTCCTGCACTGTCTGGCCCTGCCCATCTCTCCAGCTTCATGTAGCTCCCCTCTGCTCTCACTCCCTCTGAAGAACTGTGCTTCCTCCTACAGGAGGACCATTATACAAGCTTCTCTTTCTGCTTGGAATGCTCTTTCTTTCTGTGCTAGTTATTATAATTTATATTCATTTTCCCCATCATAGCTCCAATTCTCACTTTCCTAGAGAAGCTCTCTAAGTCATGTGCCCTATCATCAAATTTTACGGCACCATATATGGATTCTTTATAACACTAATAACAATTTTAATTGTACTTTTTTTTTTTTTTTTATCATTTAGTATGTTTTCCCCGCTAGGATGTAATCGCTCTTAGAGCAAGTGTTACGTCTGTTCTTCACCATCACATTTCCAGCATAGTGCCTGGTGTATAGTAGGCAAATAGCAAACATTTTAAATGAATTTTATACATTAACTTATCTTTTCTTATATTGTTAGTGGTTTCTGTATATGTGTTTACCAATGTAGCACATGCAGTTTCCATAGTTTTATGTGGATTCAATCCTGGTGGTACTTTTTCTGAAAATTATAAAGACACATTTTTAAAAGTTCAATGAATTATGTAGGGATCAAATGCAAAAAAAAGTCTTACTTTGATCTAGCTCATAATTTATTCTCCTCCATCCCTCCATTTTTAATTATTTTTATTTATTTATTCATTTATTTTTGGAGACGGAGTCTCACTCTGTCGCCTAGGCTGGAGTGCAGTGGTGCAATATTGGTTCACTGCAACCTCCACCTTCTGGGTTCAAGCAGTTCTCCTGCCTCAGCCTTCTGAGTAGCTGGGATTACAAGCGTGCACCACCATGACCAGCTTATTTTTGTATTTTCAGTAGAGAGGGGTTTCACTGTGTTGGTCAGGCTGGTCTCGAACTCCTGACCTCGTGATCCACCTTCCTTGGCTTCCCAAAGTGCTGGGATTACAGGCATGAGCCACCGTGCCTGGCCTTTTTTTTTTTTTTTTTAAGAGATGGAGTCTTGCTTTGTCACCCAGGCTGAAGTGCAGTGGCGTTATCATAGCTCACTACAAGCTTAAACTCCTGGGCTCAAGCCATTCTCTCACCTTAGCCTCTCGAGTAGCTGGGACTATAGGCACATGTCACCATGCCTGACTAATTCCCCCATGTTCTTAATTCAGTTTTTCTACATTAACCTCTTTCCCTAGATTCTTTATAGATATCAGTATTTTAGTAAGTCTAGTGTTGTGTGCAAGTAAAATATATACTATATTCCAGCACAATTCAGACTCTCAACTTGTTCATCAGTTCATAAACCTCGCAGGATTAAAAATAGTTTAGCCATCTGCTAACTGACCAAACAATTTTAGTATTGTGAAAGGGTGTGGTAGGAAAGGGAGGTATAGGGTCTAGGTATAATGTCAGAACAAGGCTCAGTGCAGAAACTACCTTGTGACCTCTTAATACTGAAACTTAACAGTCAGTTCAAAATTAGGAAGAGATTTGGTGGAGGTTAAGCATAGGAGAGTCCTGACAATAGGGGATTTCCTAGATTAAAGTGACAGAATTTCTTTCAGCATTAATATCTTACTAAATTTTTTTAGAGATAATGTGTTTATAAAGACATTAATTCTGTGAAAGTTATCATAATCTATAATTTAAAATACTATGTAATAGATTTCTTTATATTACTAAAGAAATTAATTGGCCTTTTATATTTTACTCCTTAACTAGGAAAACCAGTAGATTCCCAGACATCGCGAAGTGAATCTGAAATTGTGCCAAAAGTTGCTAAAATGACTGTATCTGGAAAGAAGCAAACTATGGGATTTGAAGTGCCTGGGTAAGACTTTGAGTACCTCCCTCATCCCCACCCCCACCCCCAAGTTTTTGAAATCACTGTTGCTTCTGTAAGAAAGAGACTGTTTCAATTTCGCATAATATATCATTAGCACTGAAGTATCATATATCCTCAGTATAACATAGTACAAAGAGACAAAATGAGAAATTAGGCTTGATTCTGGCCTTATCTTGTGTGTATTACTTACTCTACCTCACTGCCAGTTTTCTTACATAAATATTTTATAGCTACTTTAACATAAAAAACCCTATGATTTTGTGAAACCTAGCACTGTGAGATAGGGAATTCTTATACCACTAGGTGGCAGAGGTAACCAGATTTTGGAGTGAGTCCCCGAATCATGGAATCATTAATTAAATTTTTTAATAACTAAAATATTTTTAAACTCTTTTGGATTTTCATATTGAATAAATTGGACCATTGTAGCAAAGACGTAAATTGGACCATTGTAGCAAAGACATATGATATGAAACATATGTAGAATTTCAAATATGTAGTGAAAAATGGAAATAAACCATACCTTGGTAGCACTTGTTTGTTCTTATCAAAGTCTCTAGAATCCTTCCAGGAGTTTTTATAGACAAGGGAAGTGAGTTGCTTTAAAGCCATTAATTTTTAAACTCTAAAATTTTTCAGAATTTTCAATTGTTACTTATAAATTATATGTATTTTGTCTGCCAAAATGATAAACGCTGTTATCAAATATAAACAATAGGTTTTTACTATAAACAATAGATTTTTATATATATATACTTTTTTTCCTTTTTTTTCCTCTTTTCCCAAGTTATATTTTTTTAAAAATATAAACCCAGGAACCTTATTTATTTTTTTTTTCCTTACAATATTCTTTTGTCTAAACTAGTGAGGTATTATGAGTTTTGGTTGGGAAGAATGTTTATCACCTAGTTCAATTTTTGGATTTTATAGAAACAAGACTTTATTCACTAGATTTCAAAGTCAGTGAAGGAAAGGACTCCTTATCTAGGACATAGTAGGCATTCAGTGTACATTAATTGAATGATTGGATGAATGAAAAAGTTAATTTTTATCATGAGTAACTTTAGCCTGTTAAAATAATTTAGAATTCTGATTCAGTCTCAAAAAGCTTCGTGTATGCCTTTTTTCCTTCTGAATTGGGATTGAGTTGTCAGAATTATAATTGCCCTTTTTGTCCTTATTCTTGAGTACCATTTAATTCTATTATGGGATTTTTACATACAGAGAGAGAGAGAGGGGGGAAATAAATAGAATACACAATTTATTGTTCTAAGGATTTTATAATCTTAGTACAAAAGATTTTTCAGAAGTCTTAACATGCAAATGAACCCAAATTAATGTATTATATTAGAAGTAAATGCATAGGTATCTAAATGAATAATTATAAAGATAATGGGTAATAAATGTATCAATAAATAATGTGCATAATTTTTGAAAACTCTGTAAGTACAATGCAGGCCTTTCAGAATTTTATGACTATATTCTTTGTGAGGCCAGGGACTGTTAATGTTCATCACTGTATTCCTTTTACAGAATAGTTATTAAATATTTATTGCTCAGAATCCTTGGGGAAATATGTATTATTTTAAAAATAAACTTGCAAATAACATAAAGGTAAAAAATCCACCCATGAGGCAACATTTTGATGTGGCTCTATGGGAGAAGTCATTAGAATGTGAAAGGTCTGTAGTTATAGATCGAAATACTCAGAAATGCTTAATAGTGCTCAAGGCCAACCAAGTTGTACTATTACAGGATTTTTTGAGATTTATAATAGGGATAGCACTTAGCCTATTCTGGGTTAGTCTTAAGAAAGCATATAGAAACACAGTGAAACACTTTTGAGTCAAGATTTCAGCATCATAGGTTTCTACGTAGTGTGATTCTCAGTGGTGTCTTATTTTAAAAAGGATACGGCTGGGTGCAGTGGCTCATGCTTGTGATACCAACACATTGGAAGGCTGAGGTGGGAGGATTGCTTGAGCCTAGGAGTTTGAGGGAGCTATGATCCTGCCATTGCATTCCAGCCTGGTCAACAGAGTGAGATCCTGTCTCTATTTGGAAGAAAAAAAAAAAGGATAGTGCATAATGCATTGCTTGGAAGGAAATGAAACAGCAAACTTTCTTTTTCTTTAATAATATTAAAAATAGTAGATGCAAGTAAGTGCATGTAAGTAGAAATGGAACATTGCATATAGAAGAAATATTCTTTTAACCTCTTAAATCTCAGTTATTCGCTTCTAAGTATTTAACTCCAGAAGAAAGATTAAACCTCTAGATTCATGTATAGTTTACTTTTAGAAAGGTAGTTTAGAGAAAAAAAAGACTAGTCATTTTATAATATTAGGTAAGTGTACAGGGTGGGCATTGTGGCTCGTGACTGTAATTCCAGCACTTTAGGAGGCTGAGGTGGGAGCATCACTTGAGCCTAAGAGTTCAAGACCAGCTCGGGCAATATATTGAGATTCCCCCATCTCTACCAAAAAAAAAAAAAAATTAGCTGGGTATAGTGGTGCTTGCCTGTGGTCCCAGCTACTTAAGAGGCTGAGGTGGGATCACTTGAACCTGGGAGGCCAAGACTGCAGTGAGCCAATATTGTACCACTGCGCTCCAGCCTGGGCAACACAGCGAGAGCGAGACCATCTCAAAAAACAGAAAGAAAGAAAGAAAGAAAAAAAGCTTACAAAATGATACCAGAAAGCACCTGAAAAAAATCCAACCAACTTATTCTTTCATTCATACCAGTCAGTAATTAATTATAGGCCTGAAATCCAAATGGTCATTTTTAGACCTTATCTTAGATATTTTTCAAATCTTAAAACATTGACTTTTATTTCATAATATGCAGAAGTTTTTTTTACTAAGGGCAGACTTACCTAGGATACTTTTCTAATTACTTTGGTCATTTCCCACTAACACTGTAGAATTTTAGTGAATTAATTTACAGTTTACCTAAGATTTACTTAAAAGGGGCCGGGTACAGTAGCTCACCCCTGTAATATCAGCACTTTGGGAGGCCGAGGCAGGTGGATTACTTGGGGTCAGGAGTTCAATACCAGCCTGGCCAATGTGGTGAAACCCTGTCTCTACTAAAAATACAAAAATTATCCGGGTGTAGTGGCCAGCGCCTGTAATCCCAGCTACTCAGTAGGCTGAGGCAGGAGAATTGCTGGAACCTGGGAGGCGGAGGTTGCAGTGAGCTGAGATCGCACCATTGCACTCCAGCCTGGGTGATAGAGGGAGACTCCATCTCAAAAAAAAAAAAAAAAAGAAAAGAAAAAGATTTACTTAAATGAAAATGCTATCCTGAAAGCCAGAGGAAAACAAACCTTTCATGTTATTGAATTGCAGATGAAATGATCAAGTCAGCCCTGTTTTGTGAAGCCCTTCCTATTCTGGCAGCCCCTCTGAGGGCTGCCTGGATTGGTGGGGGAGCTGAGCTTCAAGCCCCTGCCCACTCTGTCCACCATAGCTGTCTGCTTTGATCTGTTTTCCATATTGAATTTAATGCAAGCTTGCCTCTGAAGAAAATGTTTTGCAGCTAAAAACAAAAAGATCTGGGGCCCGAGATTGTGATTTCTGCCAGGTCTGATTCAGACCAGAGCCTATGTCTAGTCACAGTAGATCACTTGTATTATAATTTGTGGGGCTTTAAAAATTCTTCTAAGTATAGAATTGTCAAGTTTTGGTTTTAGAACTAGCTGTGGTCATTCAAACAAATATTTGCAAATTATAGTCTGTTTGATTTCACTTAATTTAGCCTGTTAGAATCCTTTAAAAGTATGGGAACATTTCCTGCATATTACTGTTTTTACCTACTAGTTTAAGATGAAGTGCATCTGTCTAAGCAGTGCTCAAAAATGAACACCTAAATTGGTTAGTGGAGATTTGAAAAAGCAAAATAAAATGAGAATGGATATGTGGCTTTAAATAAAGTTGCAAATATAACTATTGTGACTCTTTTCCTGAGGCGTATTGTGAAGGGCTAATGTTGGGCATATAAAAATGCCCTGACAGGGAAAAACCAATGTATTTTTTGTTATAATAGGCAAGAAGAAAATAGATGTGCTTACACATATCCATCATGCTACAATCTTAAATGATTATTATAAATTGCTTTCTATATGTAGTTTTTCTTTGCCAGCTCCACATAGAGTTGGATATAATTGGTTTCATTCTTAATAACTTCCAATTTAACCTGCTCTTTGTCCTAATTCTGTTTATCCATAGTTGTTAAAGCAAAGTGAGGCATATCATAGTCTGATTATTAGGTCACATTCCTTATAGCTATTCAGAGTTGCACTGGTACTAGTTTCTATGTGGAGTGTCAACGAGCTCATGAAGAACTAAGATCAGTGTTTACTTTTGTTAAGGAAAGAATAAGTTAAGCTGGGCAGTCTTGTTTCTCCTTTATATATCTGAGTTCCTCACTAGATTGTAATCTTTTAAGAGTGGTAGTTAACTTTTTAATTTCTATGTCATTTTCTTTTTGACATCAGTCCCTAGTATATGTTGTAGTTTTTAATAAATCAAGTGTTTGTTGAATTAATGAATTAAAGCTCCACTGTCAAAAATGTTTATGAACTGTAGTCATTTAGAGATATCTCCCCTCGGGGTAGTATTTGAGTAAAAAAGATCATAAGTCTATCATGTTGGAAGGATGAGTTGAAGTAAAACTATATTTTAGTACTAATTCATCTCCAGTAATATATTTGGTGCCAATTTTACAAAATATCTCCTTCATACCATTGATTTTGATAGGATGGATTATATGGCCAAGACTGTGGGCTTGATTTTGAATTTCAGTTATTTTTCAACATTATTTTCTTCTTATCTTCATTTTTGGTACAGTTTTTCTCATGGGATCTTCCACGGTTGTATTTGTGTGGTTTGAGTCTAGCTACTTATCATTTCCACCTTAACAGACTTTAGCTACTTAGCAGAGATTATTTCTGGTCTGGAGCATAAAGGATTATGAAGAAACAGTTTCTCTGCCCTTCTGTCATTGTAGGACATCAATAGAGTTGGTTTCAAATACTTTTTTCCTATCTGCCTTCTGTAGAGTATCTTCTGAAGAAAATGGTCATAGTTTCCACACACCTCAAAAAGGACCGCCCATTGAAGATGCCATTGCTTCTTCCGATGTTCTTGAGACTGCTTCTAAATCTGCTAATCCACCCCACACGATTCAAGCATCAGAAGAGCAGAGTTCAACCCCAGCACCGGTGAAAAAGTCTGGCAAGCTGAGGCAGCAAATAGATGTGAAGGCGGAACTGGAGAAGCGGCAAGGAGGGAAGCAGCTACTCAACTTAGTGGTCATTGGTAATGCTCTTTGTCCCTCTGGATCGTCAGCCAGCCATGCCTTAGCCTGCCCACTGTCTGGAGGCAGCATGGAAACTCTGAGTTTCTCCATGGGTGGAATGGACAGAGAGCAAGGAGGCACAGTCTCATAATGCTTTCTAGTCATGTGGGGAGAGATAATGCCAAGTTACCAAAGAGGTCATTACACTTGATTGTGGGATTTTTCATTTTGTGAACATTTTGAAATTGGCGTGTCTTGTTGACAATTTTAATTTCCAAAAATCTGAGAAATTCCCCCCGTCTGTAAAGAGATATGCTCTTTTTTTTTTCTATTAGATGTTTTAACTGTCATTTGATAAATACTGGTATTACTGTAAACCACTGACATGAAATATTGAATTACACATTTATGCAATGCCTCAATGTGAACATCTGGAAATGTACCTGGTATTAATCCTGAATCAATTTTCTTTAGGTCATGTTGATGCTGGGAAAAGTACTCTGATGGGCCATATGCTTTATCTTCTGGGTAATATAAACAAAAGAACTATGCATAAGTATGAACAGGAGTCTAAAAAGGCTGGCAAAGCTTCGTTTGCATATGCATGGGTCTTGGATGAAACTGGCGAAGAAAGGGAAAGGTAGTCACTATATTTCAAAATTTTCAGTTTGAAATCATACAGTCTTCTAAAATAAGTGTGTAATATGTGTTGAATTTGTAAAACATATGAAATACTTTAGAGATTATTTTTAGAAAATAGCTTTTAGATATCAGGGAACTATTTTGACTTTTTTGATGTAATCTGCATACTGTTTTTACTCTTCTGAATTTTATAGAAATAGATTAAAAGAATGTTTAAAAGAAACAAAATAAAAGCCATGCAGAAAAACAACAGTAAAAATCATAAGCTGATTATTCTATGGGATAAGTTTCAGTTGTCACTTCCCTAAGTATTTGTCAAATTGTCTTGATTTTGAATTAAAATTATGAGTAAGACTTTTAATTTCATGTCAGCTTACAAAGGAAAGGTAACTGTCATAAAACCTCTTCTGTGTAGAATCTAAATAACCAGCAAATTCAAATTACCAAACAATTCATTTTTATACTTTACATATTATGTTTTTATGAGACAGTCTGCAAACAAGTAATTCTGTAGCTATAATGCAGTCAGTTACTCCTCTGTCTCTGTTACTGTCTGGCCAAAGAATAGTATTTCTTTTGAAGTCCTTTTAGAGTGTCAGTATAGATCATGTTAGGGTAGCTAGGGTAGGAGAGCCAAAGGACACCTTAATAATTAGTGAAATGGCAGATATATCAACTGTGTCAAAATAATGACTCTTTACAAACCTATAAAGTCCTGTGGAAGTCCTAGATTAACGAGATTAAACTGTGTTCCCTGATGTCTTCAATCTGATTATTGGAGAATATATCTGGATTTTCATGCCTTTTTAATGTGTATTTTCTTGCAGTCTTGGATAGTCTCCATTATAAACATATAAGGTAACGCTCTGTAAAGCAGGTCACAGTATTCCTTAGCTCTTCTGATAAACCAGAATTTGTATCATAATGGTTTCTCTTTCTTTGTGGGTGTCTTTAGTTCTTTATAGTATCACAGACCTGTTTTCTATCCTAGTAAGAAAAATTAGCTGGACAGTTGCCAATTTTGGAAAACAATGTAATTGTATATGATGCAATAGTAGAAGCCTAAATAATTTTCACCTCTCAGTTTAACAAGCACATTACTAAAGTATGTGGCTTTTTAGTTTTCTTTGCATTATCTAGTAAGCAGGTAAAGACATTGAGAACAGTATAATTTAAGTTAGAATGGTTTACTTGAATTTACCTAGTATCTTAGTTGAGCTGGCAAGTGAACTAATAATCTATTTGATTCCTATAATGGTCAGTCATTTTAGCTTTTTTGATAATACATCTGTTGATTGGCTTTCATATTTTTGCTGCTGCGTTTTGCTGCTGCTAGTTTTTTATTGCTCAGCATGATATAAGTTTTAGAATATTTCTTCATTCCATAGATAGCAGATGCTTCCAGGTACATGATGGGAGTTTTAGCTCACCACCGTATGTTCCTTAATAGCATTTACAAAATGTAATATGTTGCTTATCCTGCCATGTTAAATATTTGTAAATCCCCTGGTCTTCTCAGATACTGAAGAACAGAAATTAGTAAATTGAGTGACATTTCATATCCTTAGGGTTACAAATTGAAATCAGAGCTGTGTCAGCAGAGTATACCCAGGTCAGTCTAGGGAGGATCTCAGAATAAGTCTTAGTTCACCATTACTCTGAAGGTGTCTGTGGTCCCTAGAGTATTTGGGAATTATTAAAGAGAATTAAGCGTCACTTTAGCAAACTAGGATGGCCCATGCTTTCAGATTAAGCTAAAATGGCTTGACTAAGGAGACCTACAGTTACTTTATTGCTAGGGCAAACCTATAGTTCATTATTCTAATTGTTGTACTCTTTTGGTAGTAAAAGGGAGTATTATTATTCCTTACTTTGGGTGATTCTGGGGCAAACCTAGTTTATTGCCACATGATTTCCCTGTTTAAATTCCTGAGGCCTAGAATGACTGAGTGCCCTTGTAGACCTTCCTTGGGCCTTCTTATACAGGTTAAGCATCCCTAATCTGAAAATATGAAATTTGAAATGCTCCAAAATCTGAAACTTTTTGAGTGCTGACATGACATCACAAGTGAAACATTCTACATCTGATCTCATGTGACAGGTCACACAAAATGACTGAAAATGTTGCATAAGATTCCCTTCAGGCTATGTGTATAATGTGTATATGAAACAAAGGAATTTTGTGTTTAGATGTGGGTCCCATCCCCAAGATACCTCATTTTGTATATGCAAATATTCCAAGTCCAAAAAAGTCTGTAATTTGAAAAGCTTCTAGTCCCAAGCATTTCACTAATCTGAATCTACATTTTTGTGGCTGAAAAAAGGCACTATGTTGGTCTCCAGGAAGAATTAAATAGGATACAAAGCAATCTGCTGTTCATCTATCTCTGTTTTTTAAAAATTAGGCATCTGCTTTGATATCTTATGTTTTCTAAATATGTAGCATATTAACCAGCCTTGCAAATTAAGTTTTATAAGCTCATTTCTATAATTAGTGAAGCATAAGTGTAGAACGTGAAGAAAATTACCTCTCGGTCGTGGTAATTTTGCATTTGTCTTTTCTCATATGCAGTATTTTCCCCCCATTTAGAGTTGTCCCCATGTATCCTTCTTCACAATTTACACTATTTCTTACAAAACAAATAAGATAATAGGGCATAACTATCATTTTTATTGAGCTCTTACTTTGTCCTCCCTTTTATGTTAAAACCATATGGATGCACTTCTATTATAGCAGAAATTCCAGCCCCGATTGATAATTTAATTATTCAAAAATAATAGTCTATAAAAACAATTTCCATTTTTACCTAAGAATGTAGATGGTCATGTAGACTATTATTAATTTACTCTATAGCACTATTTATATCGTACATTCTAACCATGTTATGTTTTGTTTAAGGGGAGTAACCATGGATGTTGGTATGACAAAGTTTGAAACCACAACCAAAGTTATTACATTAATGGATGCTCCAGGCCATAAGGACTTCATTCCAAATATGATTACAGGAGCAGCCCAGGTAACTGCTGTTTTCTTCACTATAGTGTGCTGATTGTACTTTACATAAAATTTTCTGATGCTGAGGTTACAATTCTAGGATTTTGACTTTTAAAATATTTTAAAATTAAAAATTTTAACCTTTATAAAGCTTGAACAAAAAGAGCAATATTGTATTTTTCATGATCTTTCTACCTGTACTTTGTAAAACCTTTTAAAATTTCTTACAAAGAAACAAAATGTATAAAAGCTATGAGTTTCTTTATCGTAAAAGTAATGGTAAAGGACTTGATGAGTATAGCTTCATATTTCCTTTATTGATAAGTTGGCCTGAGTATTTCAAAATCTGCCTTATGTCTTTCAATATATTCAAGTTCTATATCTTTTTAAAGAGCTTGTTTATGCAGAAATAATGAAGCTTGGGTATTTTCGCCCAGTGGTTTATTTACTTTCTTTATAATATTAAAAAAGCATTGCAATTTGTAAATTACATGATTCTTAATAAGAATACTGCAAAAAATCAAATATAATTTGCATTCATACATCCCTTAATGATAAGGAAATATTCTGAGAAGTGAGTTGTTAGGCAGTTTCATCATTTGTGAACATATTTGAGTTTACTTACACAAATCTGGATGGTAACATCTTTTATACACCTAGGCTACATGGAACCTATAGTTCCAAGGCAACAAACATGTATAACATATTACTGTATTGAATACTGTAAGCAGTTGTGGCACAGTGGTAAATATTTGTGTATCTAAACTGATCTAAGCATATCATAGAAAAGGTACAGTAAAAATAGGGCATAAAAGATAAAAAATGGTACACCTGTATAGGGCACTTACCATGAATGGAGCTCGCAGGACTGGAAGTTGCTCTGGGTGATTCAGTGAGTGAATGTGAAGGCCTAGGACACGACTGTATACTTTACAAACACTGTACACTCAGGGGACACTACATTTATTTAAAAATATGTTTTTCTTTAATAGTAAATTAAGCTTAGCTTACTGTAGCTTTTTTTACTTTATAAACATTTAAATTTTTTTTAACTTTCTGACTCTCTTATAATAACACTTAGCTTAAAGCACAAACGTTGTACAGCTGTACGAAAATATTTTCTTTCTGTATAGTCTTATTCCATAAGCTTTTTTTAATATGTATTTTTTACTTTAAACTTTTTTTGGTGAAAAACAAAGACACAAATACGCACATTAGCCTAGGCCTACACAGGATCAGGATCATCAGAAGTGAAAAATAGTAAGTACATAAACCACTATCATAATTATCATTATAAAGTACTATACATAATTGCATATGCTATATTCTTTTATACAATTGGCAGCGCAGTAGATTTGTTTATACCAGTATCATCACAGATACATGAGTAATGCATGGTGCTATGACATTATGGCGACTATGACATCACCAGGCAATGGGAGTTTTTCAGCTCCATTATAATCTTATGGGACCACCATCACGTATGCGGTCCATGGTTGACCAAAACGTCATTATGCTGTGCATCACCGTAACTTTAAATTATTAAAGCAATGAAAATAGCACTGCATATATAGGACATTGATTTCTTTCATAATGGATGATTACTGGAAAACATGAAGAGTTAAAATAACTTGACTCTGTTACATGGCAAAAACATGACTTCAAGCAATTACCCGTTTTCTGGGATCTACTCATTAAAATATTAATTTTTTGAGACAGAGTCTCACTCTGTAGCCCAGGCTGGAGTGCAGTGGCACAGTCACCAGTCACTGCATCCACAACTTCCCGGGCTCAAGGGATCCTCTCACCCCAGCCTCCTGAGTAGCTGGGACTGCAGGCATGTGCCACCATGCCTGGCTAATTTTTTAGTTTTTTGTAAAGATGGGATCTCACTGTATTGCCCATGCTGGTCTTGAAATCCTGGGCTCAAGCAATCCCCACCTCAGCCTCCCAAAGTGTTGGGATTACAGGCATGAGCCACTGTGCCCAGCCAAAAAGAGAATTTTAACATGAACATTTGTTAACCAAAAAGGATATTGTATGAATACATTATAATATATTTGAAGATAAGAATTTTTTGATACTATTTTAGAAAGTTGACATGTAATTTTAGAATATTAATTCAAGATTCATGGACTGAATGTGATAAAAGATTGAAATAAAGTAATTATCCCTATTAATTGAGTACCTAATGTGGACCAGATACTGTATTAGGTATTACATGCATTCAGTTTAATATAATCTTTATAACAACTCTAGGAAGTGTATATTATCACCATTTTAAATTAGTATACAGTCATTCCTCCATGTGCATGGATTTTGCATTTACGGATTCAGTCAACTGTGGATTGGAATATTTGGGGGGGACAAATTCCACAAAGTTCCAAAAAGCAAAATTTGAATTTGCCACACACTGAGTACTGTGTTGAATCCATGCAAAGGAAGTGATGTGTAGGCATTGTATTAGGTATTACACATAATCTAGAGATAATTTAAAGTGTGTAAGAGGAAGTGTGTAGGCTATATGCAAAGGCTACCCTGTTTTGTATAAGGGACTTAAGCATTCATAGATTTTGGTATCCATGGGTGTTGGGAGGTCTGGAACCAATCCCTCACTGATACTTAGGGAAACTGTACTTCTCATTGCATTTACCAAAGAATACAATATAGTTTTGATTTCTCCTTATATGTGTATATGTGTGTGTGTGTGTGTGTATGTCTGTGAGTCTTTTTCTTTTTTTTTTTCATTGATTACTTATTGAATACTGGCTGTGTAGCAAGCACTGGGGTAGCAGTGTGGGAATGCAATGCCTACAAAGCACTGATAGTTTAATGGGCGAGACAAACACCAGAAGCAGTTGTAGTAAAAAATACTTCTGAATTCTAGGACCTTAGAGTCCACAGTTATTATAAAGATCGTTTATTCCAGGCCAGGTGTGGAGGCTCACGCCTGTAATCCCAGCACTTTGGGAGGCTGAGGTGGGCAGATTGCTTCAACCCAGGAGTTCAAGACCAGCCTGGGCAACATGGCAAAACCCTGTCTCTACTAACAATACAAAAAATTAGCTGAGTGTGGTGGCAGGTGCCTGTAGCCTCACTTACTCAGGAAACTGAAGTGGGAGAATCACCTGAGCTCAGGAAGTTGAGGCTGCAGTGAGCCGTGAGGGAAGGGAGTGAGACCCTGCCTCAAAAAACAAAAATCATTTATTTCAAACTCTTTATGGAATTATGGTGGGAAAGGATTTTAGAGATCATCTAATTGAATTCCATTATGTAACAAAGAGATAAAGAGACTCAAAGATGTTAAGTAACTTGCCGAGTGTGCAAAATATTGCAGTGGGCTTTGGGGACACAAGGAAGCATACAAGGCATGCTGCCTCACCTCAGGGAAATCACAGTATAGAAGACAAGATGTGAAGTGGAAAGACTAACAGTTGCGCTGCAAGAACAGAGAAGATATACATTGTGGAGAGAGATCACTTTATTCTGCTTGATCATCAGAGGCTTCCTTGAGAATGCGTAGTAGGCATTTGGACTCCCAAAGACAAGAGCTATTGCCTAGAAATAATATTAATAGAGAAATTTCCCAGTAATTTTTTGGAGATAGTAATAGGAAGATTAGGTAGAACATTTGTGGCCTTAGGTATCTTAATACCAATTCAATGAATTTCACATTTTAACCTAAGAAGGTAAATATAATTTTACAGTTATTATGAAAACCTAATGAGAAAAAGATTTTCAATTACTGAGCCTAGGACTTGGAAGTTCTGGTCTGGATGTTTTATATAAACTATATTTACTCCCTAGGGTTTCTGTGAAGTAAGTAAGTTGGTAACACAGAGAGGTTAGACAACTTGCCTGAGGTGTGGAGAACAGTTATTGACTACAGGTATGCATGAAAGAGCCAATATTCAAATTGATTGCTTCAGTTTGTATGCTTATTCTAATCTAAGAATCCTTGATCAAAAGAGCTGGATCTCATTGAGGAAATTAATGTTCAGTTTTATAAAATATGAGGGATTGGAAGTGAAGATGGCACTTAAGAGTAGAGACAAAGCAGGAGTATTTAGGTACGAGTAAAAGGAAACAGGAATAGTGTAAATTATCCCACCAAAGTGTATGGTTAGTACTTCAATTTAAATCGTAATGTTCTGTTGTAAGAAAGTATCTGAGACATTCTTGACATATTTTATGACCATTTATTTTCCATTATGGTGAGGATTATATATTATATCTGAAATTCTTTAAAAACTGGAGAGCACAGAAGTAAAGGGTCATTGGGGAAGCAACAAAGAAACAAGCTGTTGTGGACTCTGTTCTGACCAGAAAGCAGGAGAACTTAATGATGTGGATGGAATATAAGAGGACCCTGGAGAGATAGTGATTATCATGTAACAGCCCGAGATAGCTAAAAAGGGGAATGCCAGGTGTAGTCTTTGTTTCCTGGATTTCAGAAAAGTGGATTTCTATGACAAACAGGTATGCATACAAAGCAAAAGCTGTAAAAGAGAAAATAAAAGTGTTCTTTAAAAAATGCCCCTACAGTGCATTGACAGAAATAATTGATAAGAATGAAAAGGAAGAACTTCTATGGTTGCACAAACTGTCTATTGCACATTTTAAAAGGCTGCATCCACATGACGCAAGTGGCATCAACACAAAAGAATAGTGGGAACCTGTAAAGTTAGTTTCAATAAGGCTAACAAAAACTGAGCTAAGCTGAGGTTAGCTTTCTTCTTTTGTGGGGTGTGTAATTTGAGTCTGAAAGGAATGTCTTTCTATCTGATTCACAAGATGGTCCACACAGGTTAGAAAACTTTGTTATACAAGGCTTTTTTTTCAATAGCTGTAGAGGATGAATATGCTGCTTTTTGATAATTCATATATTTGCTGTTTTTCTTCATTATAAACAGTACTCTGATGAATATCTTTGTAGATCTATACTTATTTCTCTGGGATAAATCCCTAGAGGTGGAATTGATGGGAAGTAAAATATGTGTAATTTTTAAGTTCTTGATACTTTTTGTGAAAATACCCCCTGGAAGGTGGTGCACCTACAGTCCCATGAGCAATATTTGAGGATGCGCTTCTCACCGTATCCTTGCCTACAGCAAATAATTTTGTCTTTCAAATCTTTAACAATGTGATTTGTAAAAATGGGAGAGAGGGAATATGTCAATGTGTTTTTATTTTACTTTTAAAAAATTTTAGTTTCTACTGAATTTGAATTTTTTTCATGTTGACCATTTATATTTCTTTAGCAAATAGCTTGCTTGTATCTTTTAAAGCTATGTCTTCTTGCTTTGTTTTGGGGTTTTTTATGTTTTTTTTTTTTGGTAAAGATTCTATAGAGATTATAACCTTTACTTTATATGTTACAAATGTTTGTCCCTCCCTGTCTACTGTTTTTTGTTTTTTTGAGACAGTCTTGTTCTGTCACCTAGGCTGGAGTGTAGTGGGGCGATCTCGACTCACTGCAACCTCTGCCTCTCAGGTTCTAGTGATCCTCATACCTTAGCCTCCCAAGTAGCTGGGATACAGGTGTGCACCACCACACCCGGCTAATTTTTGTATTTTTTGCAGAGATGGGGTTTCACCATATTGGCCAGGCTGGTCTCGAACTCCTGACCTCAGGTGATCTGCCTGCCTTGACCTCCCAAAGTGCTGGGATTATAGGCGTGAGCCACTGTGCCTGGTTGCTGTTTGTTTATGTTTTAATTTTGTTTATATTTTTCCTCCTTTGCTTATATATTTTAATTCTTATATAATCAAGTGTGGACTTTTTTATTGTTCTTTGTGTCATTATTTTTGGTGACTTTTATTTTAAAATTTTAATCCATCTTTGGGAGTCTTTTGTTTGATTTGCTTTGGTGGGGGTAGTTAGGGTCTTCCTTTAAAAATGTGACTAACATAATTAATTGAATAATCTGTCCTTTGAATTAAAATGCTGAAACATTATTTCTGGCTTCGATTATTTTTCTTCTTTAGGCGGATGTAGCTGTTTTAGTTGTAGATGCCAGCAGGGGAGAGTTTGAAGCTGGATTTGAGACTGGAGGACAAACACGAGAGCATGGACTCTTGGTCCGTTCTCTGGGAGTGACGCAGCTTGCAGTTGCAGTTAATAAAATGGATCAGGTATTTAAGGGCTTTGTGGAGATTTGTTTAAGATGCTAATTAAGATGTTATTCTGCTTGTATAGATGACTTAGATGTGACTAGTGTACATTTTATTAGTCGGTTGCCATGTTTTTAAAAATAAATTCTCTGTTCTCATCTTAAATAAATGAGGTGTTAGTAATTTTTAAGTAAGAAAATGTCTTCTTATTTTCAAAATTAATTTTTAAAACCTAAAAATTGTTTTAAATTATAAAATAATACATGTTTATTATAGTGGAATGAAAGCATAAAAATCAGAAATAAACCTATATTACCAATTCTCCTTCCCACCCAGAAACTTATAACATTTCATTTTGTATATTCATCCAATTTATTTTTATAGATAAGAATCTTTTTATTTACAAAATTGGGTTATCTGTTTTATCATCTGCTTTTTAAAAAATAATTTTCTTGTCTTATGCATGTTTCCAAGTAATTGATAATCCTTAGATAAAGAGGGTATTGTTTTTATGGCTGTATTCTAGTCTATTTTAAAGATGTAATTTATTAAACATTTACTTTTGAACATTTCCTGCATATGTATTTAGAAAATGGTTCATTCCATGGAAATTTCTGGGCGTAAGGGAATGTACGTTTTAAGACTTGCTGAACCTGATTAAAATGCCTTTGAGCATTTTGAGGAAGAATTACTTTTAGATCATATTATTAGCAAGGTCTGATATTCCATGTTTTGATTTTAATAGATTTTATATTTATATTTTATATAGTCTTGATTATATTTCATTGCAGAAATTTAAATTTTATGTATCATGTTCTGAAGGATAGTTTTAAAAATAAATTGGATCTTTATCAGGTTAATTGGCAACAAGAAAGGTTTCAAGAGATTACTGGAAAACTTGGGCACTTTCTTAAGCAAGCAGGTTTTAAGGTAAGATCATTTTAGATTTATTTGTTATTACTTTCCTTAAGTCATCTTACTGGTATGAGAGGAAAAACTAATACTTTGATATTCTTATTAAATTTATTTAATTCTCTTTGCTTTATTTTCTCTTGAGTATCATATATATAATATATTCTTTGGATTATTTCAACTTAGAAAATTGCATATGTTTAATATTTGGGTTGGTTTTTATGTAAGCAAAATACTTTTTTACCCTACCTATTAAATTAGATGGTATAGGTTTAGGGAGGTCATAGAGGAGTGTGGAAACTGATAGGGAAGAATTTGTCCAGCAAGCATCTGTAGTATGCCTTTGTTACCAAATGCTTGAATGTTTTGGAATAAATTTGCAAGTTTCCCAATCAAAAAAGTTGAAAATTATTGGATCAGATAACTTTGGGGCTGTAGTTCTGTGATTTCTATTATGTTTTAAAAAGTACATTGTTGCTTTTGCAAACTTGGTGCAGTTATGGTAATGGTGAATCTTTTAATGTTTTAAAAAATGTTGTATTAAGTTTCATAAGTCAATCTTTTTAATAGGAGAGTGATGTAGGTTTTATTCCTACAAGTGGTCTCAGTGGTGAAAATCTAATCACAAGATCTCAGTCAAGTGAACTCACAAAATGGTATAAAGGACTATGTTTATTAGAACAAATTGGTAAGTATACTGCCATTCTAGCTTTAATGCATTATAAACTTGGTATTAATTATTATTTAGAGTTCTTTATGGGAGAGAGTCACACGTATGAAAAAGCATAGGATTTGTAGTCGGAGGAACTAAGTTACCTGTTTTGTCATCATGTGCAATACTTAACCTGTCTAGTGCTCAGTTTTCCTCAGTTTATGAGGCTAGTGCCTGGTTTACATATCTTATAGACTGTTGTTAAAATTAAATGAGATTAACATTCATTTTATAAGCTGCAACTATTACTTGGTTGAATGTCCCTTATCCGAAATGCTTGGGACCCAAAGTGTTTGGGGTCTGAAATTTTTTTTTTGGATTTTGGAATATTTACATTATACTTATTAGTTGAACAGCCCAAATTCAGAAATCTGAAATCCAAAATGCTCCAATGAGCATTTCCTTTGAGCATTATATCAGTGCTCAAAAAGTTTCAGATTTTGGAGCATTTCAGATTTCAGAATTTTGGATTTGGGATGCTCAATGTGTATATTAGTGACAGTTAAGTTGCTATTAGTAATTATAAAAAGTAGTTATTTTCTAGGAGAAGTGGGATTATAATGAGTTTATTGAAGTGAGTCAAAAATTTAATTTTAAATTAAACCTTGCCTTTTGCAATTTCTTTTTTCCAGATTCCTTTAAGCCTCCCCAGCGATCTATTGACAAACCTTTTAGATTATGTGTGTCCGATGTTTTCAAAGGTAAGTGCTACCTTTGTAGTGCTTCTTCAGTATAGCCCCTTTTCCCCATTCCCTCCTAACCTCCTTTCCTGGACTAAGTTATGACAGTATATTGCCTTCAGAGTCTCTCCTCTCCATGCCCAAGTAAGGATCACTGTCAGATTAATCTTAAAATGCACAGATTTAGTCACTTAGCTTCCCTGTCCAGGAAAACCTTCAGTTTACTCACCATTTCTCATCTTTCAAGCATAAGAAAACCTTGCCTTTTGTCTTTCTAACTTTATAGTTTTTTTTTCTCCCATTAGATTCCTTTAGTTTTCAAATCCTTCAACCAAACTGGATTGTTTATTGTTTCTTAACCACACAGGATGTGTTTATTGCCACATGTCTACCCGTGCTTCCCTGTTGTATTGTTCTTTCTCTTTACTTGTCCATTTCCTCCCCATCTGTAACAGTCTGGGTCCAGTTAGGAGTTAGATACCATACATAGGTGAAATGGGAAATGTAATATAAAGAATTATTAACTATGATAAAAATGCAACTAAAAGATATACAGAAACTTTATAGATAGGGCTGAGGAAGGACCAACGTAGAAGAGGTTCAGAGCTTGCTGGAAGAGATGATATATTAAATACCTAAGAATATATCTAACTTAATAAGGGCAAGATCCTATATAGAAGACTATAAAGTGGAAATACAATTTAAAAACTCAATAAATAAAAGGATATAAGATTTATTATTACAATAATAAAAACTGTAAGGATGTCATTTGTCCTCTAAATCTCCATTGTCACAGAGCCAGCAATGCAGAGTGAATGTGGAACTGAGCAGCAGTAAATTGGTAACCGGCGTGCTTACCTGCGCACATGCCCTGACGCGTCCCTCTGTATTCTCTGTATCCTCTGTCATTGTGCTTTCATGCAGCATTATAATTTTTTCTATGCTGTCTGTTTATCCCACTTAGATTATGAACTCCTTGAAGGCAAGTACTATCTCTTCTTTATCTATATCTGCGGCCCTAGCCCAGTGCCTGGCACATAATACATTTAACACATGAATAAAAAAATGAATGAATGAAGGTGCTTTGAAAAAATCATGCAATGAAATCAAAATTTATCATTATCATTATTAGCTTCCAGTGTTCTAGTAATAGAGGAAATATGCTAATAGTTTCCAAGATGCCCATTGTTTATCAAGAATACAAGAGGTGGTTACTTTTCTTTGATTAACAGTGTTTGCTGACTGTACTTTCTCACCTTCTGTTCCCCCTTCAGGCTGCTTCCTGGCTTCCGCCTACGCTGCTCTCCTGAGTGTGTTCCTCCTGAGGTCATGAAATGACCTCTTGGTTGCCAAAGTCAATATACACTTTCAATTCTATCTTACTTGAATTTGGCATTGGTTCTGATGCTGGTAGCCACATCCACCTTGAAACTCCTCCCTTGGTTTCTGTGACCTGCTTTCTCCTGTTAACCTGTCTATTTCTCTGACCTGTCTATCTCTGACCTCTCTATATCTTCTCTATGGGCTCCTCATTCTCTGTCTTTTAAACAGTGTTCTGCTGCCTCAGTCCTCTTCTTAGTCTTCAAGTTCCTTTTGAACTGACATCCATGAGTGTCTCTACCTTCTGCATCTTGATGCTTCCCAAATCTGTATCTCCAACCCAAACCTTTTCACTCATTCTCCACACACTTGTCTAAGCACTACTGGACATCTCTCCTGGGAGAGTGTTCTTTTAGGGGTACCATTCTCATGGAATGTGGTGTGATTGGTCCCCCCGGAATGCAACTTCTGCATGTGTGTGTCTCATAGACACTTCAGATTTACCAAGCCTAAAATGGATCTTGTCCTTAGTTTCATATCTCACAGTTAATGCATCATCATCTCACATTTTCCCCTTTCTGTCATTAGTCTTCACTTTCCTTACCACTCCAAACTTGTTATTCCTTATTCCCGAATTCTTGAGTTTATTCCCTTTCTGTAGTAAGTTTGTGCATTTGTATCAGCCTCTACTCTAAGACAGAAATACCATCACCTTACTTCTCCGGTCACAATATTTACTGGCTTCCTATTACTTAACTGCAGGATGAAATTTAAACCCTAAGCGTGATTTATGAGACCCCTTTATTATTTCTCCCTTGCCTATCTCTGTTGCCTCCTGTCTTACCTTTTCTTCATTATTCTATATGGTCCCCTCCCCATGGCCCCCACAAGTGACACATGACTCTTAGCCCATCCCACATTTGGTTATGCCTTTGCCCACACAGTTTCCTGGGGCAGCAGTGTCTTCCTTTTTCTCCCTACTCATGCATACAAGCTACCTAATAAACACTTATTCCTTCTTCAGAGTGCCAGATGTCTATTCTCACCATCATGGATTCTTTGGTGCACCTTTGTGTTTCTATTGTATATTTTACATATTATTTGTCTCAGGACAATGTAATTGTTTCCATCTTTCTCTTCACTAGTATAATATCTTTATGGGCAGGGACTTACATTTTTATTTTTTTTTATCCCCAGAGTTTAGTATAATATCTGGTACTACGTATTTATTATTTCTCAATAAATATTTGAGAAAGGAATGAACCTTTCTTTGGTAATATGAGTATTTTTATTTGCAAAAAAAAAAAGTAAAGTGTGGTATGCCATATTTAGTAGAGATGTTAATTCTGAAATGATTATTATTTAATGTCCATTGAACTACTAGTTTTATATGACTACTTGAGAACTAAGTATAGTTAACGGTATTAATCATCAGATAACATTGCTGTATGAACCATAAGATTTTGGTATGTTTTGCAGATCAAGGATCTGGATTTTGCATAACTGGTAAAATAGAAGCTGGTTATATCCAAACTGGTGACCGACTACTGGCAATGCCTCCTAATGAAACTTGTACCGTGAAAGGTATTTATCTGCAAGATGCTTTTGCTAAACAAGCCTTAAGTTGAGACAGCAGATTTTTAAAAAGTGGTTTAGTTACAACTCCAAAGTAAGTAACCTCTTACTGAAATTGTAACTGACTGTCAAAATGATACTGACTGTTGAAGATTAAAATGTGAAAACATTAAACGATTTTTTTCTGTTGTGATTGTGTCTGTATATATATGTACATAAACATTCTAACTGTAGTAGCATTCTATTTTTGACACAGATCTGAGAAGCCTGGTTAGGATTTAATCAGATATGTATAGATACCTCACAGATGTATTTGGAATAATATTCTGTAGCAGAAATTAAATCTAGTCCCAGCCTTACCCTAACTAGTCAGTGGCAAAGCAGCCTTCTACAGTCTGTTACTTTGAAATGTATGTTTCAGAATAACTATAAATTAACAGCTTTGATCATGTTTATGCCAAAAATGTAGGTATATTTTATAGGAAGATATAAGTAACATTCAAATGGAGAAAAACCCAATGTTGAAAAGAGAAATTGAACTAGTTTAAATTGCCAGTCACTGTTTCTGCATATAGATCTAATTTTTTTCATAATGACTGATAATTGTTTCTGTCTTCTAATATATACACACATATATATATTTATGTATATGTATACATGTTATATGTTACATGTACATGTATATTATTTTCCAGATTTTGACTAAAACTTTCTAATTCTATACCTCTTTTATTCTGGCTTCCAACTAAGCCTCTGACTTCTGAAGATCTGTTTTATACTATAAAATAATATTATTTGTAACCATTTTAAGCTGAAGTATAACCTATTGGAAATGCAAAAATTTTTTAGATTTTAGTATTTTTCCCTCTGTTACTCTTAATTTATAGTTTATATCTAGAGTTGTACCTGACTAGTTTATCAATTTGAATGTATATTTTTCTTGAATTCATATGCTCTCTTTAAAAGAAGATTTCTTGAAAAGTTTAAGAAATTAATATCTATTGAAGTTACATGGTTTAACCTATATTTAAAGATGAATAAGGGAATGAAAATCAGTTATTTCCATTTGACCTTTTTATTTGTGCCCACTAGAGATCATGAAATTTCAGTTTTGATAAAAAGTAATATGCACTTTAAAAATAGTGTCATTTTCTATAGATCTGTTCATTGTGTGCAAGTACAGGTCTCTGCTTTTGTTTTTTAAAGTGACAAGAGCTATAATACTTTTGAAACACGATTTTTTTGGTATGTTAATGATCTTTTTTGAGAACAAGAATTTTTTTATGATTAAGAGCCATAAATTAAAACCATGATCCTAAAGTTATCACAGACCTTGAGGTTGGCTCCCTTGTAACCTCTAAAATCCTTAGTCATCTCTGAAAGTCTCACATTCTTTACCCTCCTCTTCTCTGTACTTTCCACACAGAGAAACTCTAAAGTATTATCTTTTATCAGTGTAAGTCTTATCAGAAGCCCCAGGGAAGAACCACCCTACTTCTTGAGAGCCAGTCTTTTAACTCAACAGAGAGGTTCTCCTTCCTCCATTCTAACCTTACTGCTTTTGCTTGGTTTACTTGATTCTTGAAAGCACTGTTCTGTCTAAACATTTTTAGGTACTACTGTGGCTCTTTAACCAGTACTGTCCCAAAAGAAAGACTTGACTGAATCTACTACCAACAAATAGAAATTCTAAATTACTTTTTTTTTTTTACTTTATTAACATATCAAGCTCATAGAGTATTAAAAAAGAGCCTCTTTTTGTAATGTTTGTCCAATGAGAAAAGTTTTTTGATAAATGTCATATGTGGAACAGTGTAACATGATTGAGGGGAAGAAGAACCAGAGAATATAATTACCTTTGGAAAATTTTATACTGTTAATTGAACTTGTAGTATAAAACATCTACAAATGTTTAAGCCAAAGTCAATCTCTATTGTGTGTAAATACCTAGCTTCTGTTTTTAATCCCATATTTCATAGCAAAATTCAGATATGTTCATTCTAAATTTACATTTTAAAATTAAATCTAGTAAGTTGATATTTAACAAACATTCCTTAATACGATAATTGCTAACATGTTTGGGAGGAAGAATCTCTGATACCTGAAGAAAGTTATGCCTTCTTTTCTCAGATTAATGCAGATGTGCACATACATGATATTTTGCATGAAACTCTAGATTGTCTCAGAGCTCTTAAAGTTAAATCCTTGAGCTCCCTAAAAGTCAGAAACTCTCCCTGCTGCATAGAAAATGAGTATTTTCAGAAAGATATGGGTGGATTATAATTTACTAAGAACATGTCAATGTGTCAATCAAGAACTATCCACAGTGGTTGGCCTACACATTCTCTTTGTCAAAAGGCCTACATTTCTATGGAAAGGAACTTAATCCATAAATGTATTCCATAAAATCAGAAAATATGGGATATATTTTAAAAGCCTTTGAGTAAGGTAGCTGAGTATTGCCCTTGGGAACTGCTCTCTCCGACTACCTTCAGGACTATGTCTAGGTAAATAGATGTATATCTCTAGATATATAGCAACACCTAGGATCATTTTAAAATTAAATTTTCTTATCACTATTTCCTTAATATTTTTCTTTTCATATAACTAGTCATTAGTATGCAGATCTCTCTCTGGAAAGAAGTTCTTTTGAGCCAGGAGTAGTTAAGGGGCCTGCTGAGAGGACCGCTTGAAATTCTGACTGAGTGTACATGTCCCATGGGTTACTTGGAAAACAAGGATTATTTGTTTAGGTGGTTGTCTAATTAAAAGCAAAACTCGAGAAGAAAATACTGCTAGACATCTTCTCCAGCCCATCTTTTATGTCATTATGAATAATTTGAACTGTGTTTTATTTTGTCTGTATCCATTAATATGATAGAAATATTTGAATGGGGCCTGTTTAATGAATATACCAATTGTGTCAATTAGTTTAAAAATCTTGATTAAATAAGCAGAAGTCAGCCTTTTATGGGCAAATACAAGTCACTTTATGTTTAGGGTGGTATTCTAGAAGAGTCAGTTCTAGAGGAAGTGTGTTTTCCTCAACGCTCACAGTTACACTTCTTACTCTCAATCCATTCATATTGAAAATGATGAGTAGTGACTGATGAAGCACAAATCAGCCAAACTCTGTTGGTTGTTATGGTTTGATATCGAGGTGTTTCACTGTATGCTTTGGTTCTTACTCATTTCCAGGAATCACTCTGCATGATGAACCTGTCGACTGGGCGGCAGCAGGCGATCATGTTAGTCTTACTTTGGTTGGGATGGATATCATCAAAATCAAGTGAGTGAGAAAATGAGTTTAAGCAACCGTTGTCTTCATATAGGACCTCACCTCTAAACACATATATTTTGCAACCTGCTAGTTCAATTTTGAATTTCATTTGACCAAAAATAGACACCTGTGTAAATGTAAGCAAACTTACTTAAAATTTGAATTAATACATGTCAGCACACATACTTGGCATGTGCTTTGAGTGAAAGCTCTAATGTATAAAAATGACATAAGGTTAATAATGGTTTAAAGTCATGCTTTAGCTCAGAAGAGAATATTTAGAAAAAGTCCCTAATTTACTTAATTGTTTTACTTTCCTTGTAAATGTTTTTGAGGTCTTTCTATTTGATGTAAATTTGTCCCCCAATTACCTTTCCTCTTTTTTTGTTGTTCTTACAGTGTTGGCTGCATATTTTGTGGCCCCAAAGTACCCATTAAAGCTTGCACTCGTTTCAGAGCCCGAATCCTCATCTTTAATATTGAAATTCCTATCACTAAAGGATTTCCTGTAAGTTCCAAAATGTTTTATTATTCCTGTTTTTATAAATTCAAAGTAACTTTATCCTAAAAGTGGTAACTTTCTTTACAAGTGGTGATACTATATTTATTTTGAATTAACATCTTATTACTGTAATCCAGAAAAACTTATAATTAGAAAATCGTTTTTATTTTGTTTTTTATTTTGATCTTTGAGCCTGAGGACTTTTTAAAAGGCATTGAGAAGATATTTAATAATAAATAGGATACAAAGTAATGATAATAAAATTTATCCAGGGAAAAATGATAGACACATTTTCACTGTGTTCTAAAGTTTACTTACTTCTAAGTTTTTCTTAGTTACTTCTAAGTTTTTTAGGTTGAATCATTCTGGGTTTCCATTTTTAATATGTCGATTTGCAGTTTTTCTGATAATAAAAGTTATAGATTGCATAGAAAATTTTGGAAAACTTAAAAATATGGAAAATAAAAATGCCATATACTTGCATAATCCATAGATATATATCTTTACATGTCAGTGTGTTTTTATGTGAGCATATTATCCACCCAGTTGGTATGTATTGGGTGTATTCTGGGGATCCTAGACATACAGTAAATGTCTGGGGATCCTAGACATTCAGTTGTGCTGAAGCAACACATTCAGAACCTGCATGTTGTAAGGTTGGTTTGCCAGCATCATTTGAACATATACATTTTATGGGAAGAGGGAGATTTTATACAATAATGTTACTTATCCTGAAAAGCTGTTACTTGTGAATAGTCTGGATTTTTTGTTTTATGTGTAATTGTTTTGAGATATTTGGGACCGTACTCTTATAGTTTTTGTACTTTGCTTTTGTCACGTGACAGATGACCATTTTTCCCATTAGACTTTTTTTTCTAATTAGCTCATATAGTACAGATTCTGCATGACAATAAATGTTTCTCAGTGATGTTTCTACCATTTGATGCATCTTTGAAATAAAAGTAAGAGTTTTTAAAGTTAGTGATAGTGGTTTAGAGGTTGGCAATACATTTATTTGGGTCATTTATACTGATACACCTATATTTGAGATAACCTTGTACTTTATAATTCTTTGTAATTATTTCTATATTAATTTGATCATGTAAAATTATATTTTAAGGTACTATTTAGGTACTTTACTTACATAATTATATTCCATTTCTTCCATACACTAGAAAAGAAAAGCTTCTTTTAAAAAAATTGCTATAGTTGAAGATACTTAAATATTCAGAATTCATGTATTGATCATCAAGTAACAACAAGTTAATTGTTGTGAGCGAATGGAACTCATTCACAGAAAGCAGTATGTCCTATGAGGCAAAGGAGGGGTTGGTTACTGCATATTTTTACTCATGCAATAATAATATTTGCCAATGGAGAGGTAGAGGGATGAAGAGGTCAGAAGTGACTTTGAATAGTAATACTGTCTCCCTGACTACTGTAGTTTCTTAAAAATAAGCATGAATTGCAAGTTTTTCACTGTTGCTTTAGGAGATTCTGCCAGCATATATTGATTCAGAAATACCAGGATCAAATTTGTTTCAGAAAAATATGGCCATATTTTGTCAGTCTACTCCCTATGGGAGAAAAACTTGAAAAAAAATTTTTTAAGCAAACAAAGGTTTCCTAAGCTATTAAAATTTTACTGTTTAGGGACTAATGCCATAATACTACATAAATATATTTAAATTTTCCCTATTTTGTATGGGAAACTCTATTTCAGTAGCTTTTGGGTACAAGTAATTTTTTCCTTTGTTTTTTATTTATTTGTCAATTTTCTTTTTACTTCTTTTTACCAACTAGTGGTTTTTGATTACATGGATAAATTGTATAATGGTGAAATCTAAGATTTTAGTGCACCCATCACCCAAGTAGTGTATATTGTACCCAAGATGTAGTTTCTTATCCCTCACCCCCTTCAAGCCCTACCCGCTACTGAGTCTCCAGTGTCCCCTATACTGTTCTGTATGTCTTTGTGTACCCATAGCTTAGCTCCCACTTTTAAGTAAGCACATATGCTATTTGGTTTTTCATTCCTAAGTTACTTCTCTTAGAATAATATCCTCCAGCCCTATCCAAGTTGCTGCAAAACACACTATCTCTACCCTTGTATGGCTGAGTAGTATTCCATGGTGTACATATACGTTTTCTCTATCCACTCATTGGTTGATGGGCACTTAGGTTGGTTCCACATTCTTGCAACTGTAAATTGTGCTGTGATAAACATGCATTCAAGTATCTTTTTGATATAATGACTTATTTTCCTTTGGGTAGATACCCAGTAGTGAGACTGCTGGATCAACTGGTAGATCTACTTTTCGTTCTTTGAGAAATCTCTGTTCTGTTTTCCTCAGAGGCTATACCAATCCACATTCCTACCAGCAGTGCACAAGTGTTCCCTTCTTCATCGCATACAGGGCAACATCTATTGTTTTTTGACTTTTTAATAATGGCCATTCTGGCTGGAGTAAGGTGGTATCCCATTGTGGCTTTGATTTGTACTTCCTCGATGATTAATGATGTTGAGCATTTTTTCATATGTTTCTTGGCCATTTGTATGTCTTCTTTTGAGAAGTGTCTGCTCATGTCACTTGCCCATTTCCTGATGGAATTGTTTGCTTTTTTTTCTTGCTGATTTGAGTCTTTTGTAGATTCTGGATACTAGTCCTGTCAGATGCATAGTTTGCAAATATTTTCTTCCATTCTGTGGATTGTCTGTTTACTATGTTCAGGATTTCTTTGCTGTGCACTAGCTCTTTAGCTTAATTAGGTCTTATCTATTTATTTTTATTTCCGTTGAATCTGCTTTGGGGGTCTTAGTCATAAATTCTTACCTAGGCCAATGTCCAGAAGAACCTCTCCCAGGTTTTCCTCCAGAATTTCCATGGTTTCAGTTCCTAGATCCAAGTCCCTCTTGAGTTAACTCTTGCATGTAGTGAGAGATAGGAATCCAGTTTTCGTTCTTCCATATGTAGCTATCCAGCACCATCCATTTTCCCAGCACCATCCATTGAATAGGGTGTCCTTTCCCCAATTTATGTTTTTGCATGCCTTGTCAAAGATTAGTTGGTTGTTAAGTATTTGGCTTTGTTTCTGGGTTCTCTATTCTGTTGCATTGGTCTATGAATCTACCTTTATACTAGTACCATGCTGTTTTGGTTATTATAGCCTGTAGTATAATTTGAAGTAGGGTAGTGTGATGCCTCCAGATTTGCTCTTTTTGCTTAGGACTGCTTTGGCTAATTGGGCTCTTTTTGGGTTCCATATGAATTTTAGGATTGTTTTTTCTAATCTTGTGGAAAATGATGTTAGTATTTTGACAGGATTTGCACCAAATCTGTAGATTGGGCAATGTGGTCTCTTCCATGATATTGATTCTTCCAATTCATGAGCATGGGATGTATCTCTGTTCATTTGTCATCCATGATTTCTTTCAGCTGTGTTTTGTAGTTCTCCTTGTAAGAGATCTTTCACCTCCTTGGCTAAGTACATTCCTAGGTGGGTTGGTTGGTTGGTTTTGTAGCTATTGTAAAAGGGATTAAGTTCTTGTTCTTGATTTGATTCTCAGCTTGATCGTTGTTGGTGCTACTGATTTGTGTACATTGATTTTGTAACCTGAGACTTTACTGAATTCATTTATCAAATCTAGGTGTTGTTTGGGAGGAATCTTTAGGATTTTTTAGGTATGTAATTATATCATTGGCAAACAGAGATAGTTTGACTTACTCTTTTCCAATTTGGATGCCCTTGATTTCTTTCTCTTGCCTGATTGCTCTGGCTAGGACTTCCAGTACTGTGTTTAATAGAAGTGATGAGAGTGAACATCCTTGTCTTGTTTCAGTTCTTAGGGGGAATGCTTTCAACTTTTCCCCATTTAGTATGATGTTGGCTGTGGGTTTGTCATATGTGGCTTTTATTATTTTGAGGTATGTTTCCTCTTTGCCTAGTTTATTGAACATTTTATCATTAAGGGATCCTGGATTTTATCTAGTGCTTTTTCCGCATCTATTGAGATGATCATCTGTTTTTTTTTTGCTTTTAATTGTTTCAGTGGTGAATCACATTTATTGACTTGCATATGCTGAACCATTCCTGCATCCTTGGGAGGAAACCTCCTTGATCATGATAAAATGTCTTTTGGATATGCTGTTGGACTTGGTTTGCTAGTATTTTGTTAGGGATTTTTGCATCTGTGTTTATCAGGGGTGTTGGTCTGTAGCTTTCTTTTTTTGTTATGTCCTTTCCTGGTTTTGTTATCAGGGTGATGATACTGGCTTTATGGAATGAGTTAGAGAAGATTCTCTCTTTCTCAGTCTTTTAATAGTTTCAGTAGGATTGGTATTATTTCTTTGAATGTCTGGTAGAATTTGGCTATGGATCCATCTGGCCCTGAGCTTTTTTGTTGTTGTTGAAAATTTTTTTTTTATTACTGATTTATTCTCACTGCTTGATATGTGTCTGTTTAGGATTTCTTATTTCTTCCTGATTCAAGCTTGGAGGGTTGTATGTTTCCAGGATTTATCCGTTTCCTCTAGATTTTCTAGTGTGTGCACGGAGGTGTTTATAGTAGTCTCAAATGATCTTTTGTATATCTGTGGTGTCGTTTATAATGTCTCCATTTTCCTTTTGAATTGAGCTTATTTGAATCTTCTCTCTTACTCTATATTTTTTAAGAGGAAATAATAGAAGAATGGATTAGACTTTAAGTGAATTTATATTTGATTTTTATTATTTTATATATATATATATGTGACATAGAACTTACCATTTTTAAGTGTACAATCAGTGGCATTAAGTACCTCCACAATGTTGTGCAGTCATCACTACTGTTCATTTTTTTTTTTTTCTTGAGATGGAGTCTCGCTTTGGCATCCAGGCTAGAGTGCAGTGGCACAATCTTGGCTCACTGAAACCTCTGCCTCCTGGGCTCAAGCAGTTCTCCTGCCTCAGCCTCCCGGAACTGCCTCAGCCTCTCGAGTAGCTGGGACTACAGGTGTGCACTACCACGCCTGGCTAATTTGTTTTATTTTTAGTGGAGACGGGGTTTCACCATGTTGGCCAGGCTGGTCTTGAACTCCTGACCTCAGGTGATCCACCCGCCTTGGCCTCCCAAAGTGCTGGGATTATAGGCATTGAGCCACTGCGCCTGGCCAGTCATCACTACTATTCATCTGCAGAACTTCTTCAACATCCCAAACTGAAAATCTGTACCCATGACACAGTATCTTCCCATTATTCCCTCTTGGTATCCCCTGATAACCATTCTTCTACTTACTTTCTCTGTGAATTTGCCTGCTCTAGGTTCCTTATGTAAGTGGAATCATACAATATTTGTCCTTTTGTGTCTGGCTTATTTCACTTAGCAAATTGTTTTCATGGTTTGTCCATGTTGTAATATGCATCAGAATTTCATCCCCTTTTAAGCCTGAATAACATTCCATTGCATGTATATACCACCTTTTAAAAATCCATTTATCTGTTGATGCACATTTGGGTTATTTCCATCTTTTGGCTATTACAAATAATGCTGCTGTGAAAACGGGTGTACAAGTATCTATTGAGATTCCTGCTTTCCATTCTTTTGGGCATATGCCTAGGAGTGGAATTGCTGGATCATATGGTAATTCTGTGTTTAACTTTTTGAGGAACTGCTAAACCATTTTCCACAGGGGCTCTACCATTTTACATTCCCACCAGCAGTGCATAAGGGTTCTATTTTCTCTACTTTCTTGTCAACACATTAAATAACAAGTTTTCTAGTAGTGGGGTGTGGGAGAGGGATTTTAAAAATATAATAGGCAAACTAATAGTTGTTAAGTGGTGTCTCATGGTGGTTTTGGTTTGGATTTCTCTAATTAGATGCTGAACATCTTTTCATGTGCTTATTGGCCATTTGTATATCTTTGAGAAATGTCTTTTTAAATCCTTTGCACATTTTGAATTAGGTTGTGTTGTTATTAATAGAAGTTCTTAATATCATCCCTTATTACATACATGATTTGCAGATATTTTCTCCTATTCTCTAGGCTGCCTTTTCATTTTCTTGGTAGTGTCCTTTGTTGCACAAAAGTTTTTAATTTGGTTGAAGTACAGTTTATTTTTTCCTTTGTTGCCTATGTTTTTGGTGTATTATCCAAGAAATCATGGCCAAATCCAATGTCATAAAGCTTTTGTGCTATGTTCTCTTCTAAGAGTTTTGTTGTTTTTGCTTTTATATTTAGGTCTTTGATCCATTTTCAGTTAAGTTTTGTACATATGTAAGGTAGAGAGCTTCATTGTTTTGCATATGGATATCCAGTTTTCCCAGCACGATGAGTTGAAAAGACTATTCCTTCCCTATTGAATGGTGCTGGTACCCTGGTTGAAAACCAATTGACTATGTATTTGTTAACATTTTAAAAATACAGGTTATCTAGAAAATTAAGGAAAATGATTTACTTGGCCACCTAACAGACTACGTAGCCCATTTGAGTTTATAGAACACTAGATAATTTGATTCTCATAACCCTACACGAAGAATAGAATCCCAGCCTTTACCTGAAACCCTTTAGAGCAATGGTTTTAGAATTCAGAAATGTTAGAACTTTAGAAAGGTAAATAATGCATACAAGTTACATAACAGAAGGGAACAACACTCTAAAATCAAAATATTAATGTTTCTGCACCAGAACTTATTAACACTAACTGAGATAAATAAGATCTATACATTGCCTCACTTCAAGTCTGGTTTTGCATTTAAATGGGCTTGTTACAGACTTAAGAAAAAACTTCAAATTTTCAGTCTTTTGGGACTTGGGAATTGCAGATAAGTGATTGTGGACCTGTATTAGTATGGTTCCTATTTACAGATAAGGAATTGAACCCTCCGAGAGGTTGTGCTATATAAATAATAAGTGATTAAGCCAGGACTCCTTATTCATTACCTTTACTCTGAAATTCAGTACTTTTTTTTCCTATTACACTATGCTGCACATTACTTTGAATTATAGATGACTTTGGTTATATATAATATGAATTAAAATATTGAGATAGTGTGCAGTCACTTCCCTCTGTTATTTTCGTGTGATAATTTGTTTGAGCTACTATTTGCAAGATACTGAGGAGATGAAAAGACATATAAGACCTAACTTCATGCTGCCACAACCCATCCTTTGTCCATCCTGATTTTGCATAGCTCACACATAGCTCACCAAGGGTAGAAGAACTTAATTAGGTTTGTATGCTTCTGTTCTTTCAAATTTGGCCATGGAGACTGGTTCCAGTTCCTTAGTCACACCTTGGCTAAGCGAAGTGAATCCTGCTTGTTTACCTCAGTTGTTTGTTACAAACGAAATGTTTCTTAGATATTTAGACTTATATTTATGTTATATTGGTACTGGTTAAGACCTGAATCCTTTGAATGCACACAGGTGTTTCTCACCACTTTACCATTCATTGTGGCAAGTTTTTCATCCCCAGTAGTCAGTTTTTAATTCTTTTGGAATCTTTCCAGTTCTGACTCCTCAAATGCCATTGAAAAATAATACCACTTTTGTCTTTTTGGAGTAATGCAGGCCCAGCTGTGCCCTTTTTTTTTTTTTAATTGAATGAGTTGGTTTAGAAAGTTCCCAAAGTCTAAGATTGTACATCTACAGCCCCCCTTGCATTTCTGTTTTCTGAATGTGCAAACTATTTTGGCTAGGAAATTCCAGAGTAGAAGTGCCAATGTTTCTACAAACAGCATTAAATTGTACTTATAAACCAATGAAACTTTGATAGCTCTGATATGTCCTGGGCATTGATCTTTCCAATATCTCTAAACTATAGACATATTACACACTTAATGCTTATTGCACACTTATTATTTGAGCGAGGATAGTCAGTCTAACTTTGTTCTGGTTTGGATTAGGGTGTATCCAAACCTTAGCTTCATCTTCATAAAGTGAAAGTTTCCATTTATATGATTTCTATAGGCCTCCTTGTAAACTCAAGTGGGAAGAGCTTTGAATTTGTAGTTTCAGCTGACATAAGCCTAAAATTCAGCTCTACACACAGCATCATGGCCACATTAAATTGCTTAACCTTTTTGATTTTAATTTTCCTTACATATAAAACATGGAAATAATAGCTAATATATAAGGCCATCAGTTAACTGAATGCTTGCCATGTGCCAGGCACCACTTTAAAATAACATCTGATTTTCCTCATTTCAGTGATAAGGAACCAGAGGCTGGGGATTTTAGGGGTGGAAGATTGTTAAAGAAATTGCCCCAGGCCAGGCACAATGGGTCATGCCTGTAATCCCAGCACTTTGGGATGCCGAGGCAGTCGGATCACCTGAGGTCAGGAGTTCGAGACCAGCCTGGCCAACGTGGTGAAACCCCATATCTACTAAAAGTACAAAAACTAGCTGGGCACGGTGGTGTGCACCTGTAATCCCAGCTGCTGTAAGGGCTGAGGCAGGAGAATTGCCTGAACCTGGGAGGTGGAGGTTGCAGTGAGCTGAGATCGCACCACTGCACTCTAACCTGGGCAGCAGAGCAAGACTCCGCTTCCAAAAAAAACAAAAATAACTTGCCCCAAAGTTCACACAACTAGAGGTGACTTGAACCCAGGTCTGTCTGACTTCAGGGCCTACTAAGCTGCTGCATAAATTAAATAGTACATATAAATCATAAATCATATCATACAATGTTTGTACCCAGTATAGTTAAAAACGTTATTTTCCTTCCTCTTTACCTCTATATTTATTATAATATTTTATTCTTATTCAACAATGAATACATTAATTACTGTGAATATGATATTATCCCCCTCTCTAATCTGTGTGAGACAATTTATATTGGTTGAACTTCTACCATGGCAAGCACTGTGTCTGATCCTATTTAATTTTCATCACAACGCTATAAAAGCCTACTTATTTTACACTTGAGGAAACTGAGGTACAGACAGAAGAGAAAGAGTTGAGATTCAATCCCAGGTTCTTTCCCTACTACTACTTGTAATAATAAAAATGACAACAACATTTGTTCTAAATGACGAATTCTCTTACTTAATCTTTAGAACAACACTAAGATGTTGTTACCCTCCATCTTTACAGAGGAAAAAGCTGACAGGTTATGCACTGAACTAAAGTTGATGCAGTAATTGGTGGGGTAGAAATTTGAAATGCCTCTCATGACTTTTTTCCTCTTAGTGAGTTAAGTAACCACCTGATTAGAGTGGTGGGACTTAGAGGAAGCAACTGGAGATCCTGAAAGACTCCAAGCAGTAGCACTGAATTGAAGATAATTAAGTATAAGTGCCAAAAGAAAAGGCCAGAGATACTGTGGTAGCAGATTTTTAGTGTTATAATTTTTTGTTTTAGGTGCTGTTACACTACCAAACTGTCAGTGAACCCGCCGTTATTAAACGATTGATTAGTGTCTTAAACAAAAGCACGGGTGAAGTCACAAAGAAAAAGCCTAAGTGAGTGTTTTAATACAGAAATGATAAACAAGCAATTTAAGCCAATTTTTTAAAGATTAACTCATTTGTGTAGTATTTCTCTTTGTGGTAAGTGAAACCCATTTTTACTTGTTCCAGAAATTATTTTTTCAAGGGCTAGATTAAAACAAACATAAAAACAAGCAAGTATTTAAGCTCTTGTTTAGATATGGGTACTAGATATAATTTCTGTTATGTGTGGTGGTGGAGGATGTGAATTATAAATAAATGTAAATATAAACTTATATATGTATGTACATTTCAAGCCATAGATACTGATTATGTGAAAATAAGGGCATTTAAAAAAATATGTCTAGACACCGGTTCCAAATTTCTACTGCGTGTTTAACTTTCTTGTCACCTCCTTAATAAGATCATTCCCTATGCTAAGCTAAGAAGAAAATAATCTATACACTCTGTAGTGCCTGCTCTTTTCCCATCTGGAAAGTTTGTTTTTTTTTTTTTTTGCTCAAAGTCCACCTGGAGCCTTAAGTTGAGGTGATCAGCATCCTGTTGGGCCTGCTGATTAGCATTAATGTCCAGGCTTAGGTGTGACACTTCCCCTTTGGCTAGGACGAGATTGGGATTTTTTAAGTACTTCCTCAGAAACTAAGTACGTAAATAAAAACAAAATACAGGACTAGAGATGAATGTTACAAAATAGATTTCTTGGCCAGGCACAGTGGCTCATGCCTGTAATCCTAGCACTTTGAGAGGCCAAGGCGGGCAGATCACCTGAGGTCTGGAGTTTGAGACCAGCTTGGCCAACATGGCGAAACCCCGTCTCTACTAAAAATACAAAAATTAGCCGGGTGTGGTGGCTCACACCTGTAATCCCAGCTACTCAGGAGGCTGAGGCAGGAGAATCTCTTGAACCCGGTGGGCGGAGGTTGCAGTGAGCGGTGATCGCACCACTGTACTCCAGCCTGGGTGACAGAGTGAAACTCCATCTCAAAAAAAAGAAAAAAAAAAAAAGATTTCTTACCCAAATCCAAGTTAAGGCTAATTGCAGTTTGGCTTGGCTGCTTTAGCTTTGGGGTTTTCCTTCCAACTTCTTTTCCAATAACATCCCAAATCCCCTTTTTTCTGTCCTTGGTGTTCCTCATCTTTTACACCTGCAGAAGAGGCCAAATGTGGTTAGTGGGTTAATAGGCTGACTGCAAGTAGAAGAGAAAATCTCACATTGCTCTAAACCCTTGCCTGTTTCTCTGTTAGGAGGAAGGGCTACTTTACCTCTCTCCTAAAGGTAGATCTTTATATTTAACCTGAGTCTTTAGCTTGTGGCATGAGTGTTTGCTATAATGTTCTGAGAAACACGATATAACTATATGACTAACATTTCTTGAGGACCACTATTTTTAGGCTGTATTGTGAATGCTTTCACATAATGTATATTCTTAGCAATCCTGTGAAGCATCTAGCAAGTGACACAAAGCTCAAGTGGTAGAGGCAGGATTCTAACCTAGTCAGTTGGTTTACATAAATTATATTCTTTTGTTCAGGAGCCAGGTTGTTTGACCTAGACAACTGATACAGAATTTTCAGTCTGAAATTGGCTCATCATATATAATCCTGAGTCTTCCCCTCCATGCTCCTGCTACAAAATCCTAGCTCAATGATGGTAGAGTTTAACATATTCTCGTGTTTGTGTTCCCTGTCATCTTATTTGTAGCTTTATCCTTTTATTTTGCACAACCGTTTGGCCTTTCCCTTTCATTCCTGTTCAGGCACGTTGTAGGCTCTTGATTGCTTTATGCAGAATGGAATTTAATGTTCTAGAAACTAAATTAGGAACAAGCCATTTATGTATTAGATGCTCTCCTTCCTAAGGAATGAACTTAAGCCTGAAATTGTCCAAAACCAATATTTGGAATTTTTGGTGTATTTTTTTAGAACCTTCTTTTAGTCGTCTGCCCCTGAACTTATCTTTCAAAAGGAGAGTTTATGATTTCTGTCCACTATACTTCTAGAGTACATAAAAATTAAATTAGAAAACAATTCCAAAATGTCCCTTTTTAGGTTCTGCCTCTCTCACTAAGTCTGAGCAGGGCCTAGCCTAGAGATTTTTGTTCACTTATTTTTATGAAATCATTTACAGTCTGGTCCATGCCCTGTCTTCCTTCATATTTTACAAGTATCATATTGTGGAAAAGCTACTTATGTGATTTTTGTCCTGAACTCCTGCTAAGGAACTATTATTCCTGTGTGGGGAAAGAGAGAGATTGCTTGATTGATTGAGGGGAATCTTAGCAACAACAGATTGATTGTCCTCTTCACAGATAACTTCCTAATACACATTCCATAAATTACAGTTTTACTAGGAAAGACATAGGGCATTATATTCCTCTTTGCAAATACTTTTTTATAGAAATAAGCCTTAGTATAACTTTCTTTATTAGATAATTGAACTCACTTTCTTGAGGGAATGAAAGAAAAAGCATTTATTTCATGATGAGGGGCCTTAAGCATTTTAGGCTATAGTGGTCCCGTAAGGGATAGAGTTATATTTGGAAGATTGGTAAAAATGAACTACCTAATGTTTCTTAAATCTAGAATTACTCCTCATTTCTTTCAACTAAAGCAGAAAGTCCAAAGACATATATTTTCATTCAAAAAATATTTTTCTTGTTTTTGAAAGACTCAGTTGATATGTTGGTTAAATGTGAAATATTTGTTTTTCAAGTTGTTATTATTACATTTATTCACCTCTATCATATATTCATTTGTTCTTTTTTTTTCTTAATAGGTTTTTGACTAAAGGCCAGAATGCATTGGTAGAGCTACAGACACAAAGACCAATAGCTCTTGAGCTATATAAAGACTTTAAAGAGCTGGGGAGGTTCATGCTACGTTACGGTGGTTCTACAATAGCTGCTGGTGTTGTCACTGAGGTATTTTATTTTAAAGTGACTCATTATATATCCATAGTTATGATGCCTTTTCTTTTTTACCTTTTAGGAATGAAAAGAAAGCATTGAGGGAATGAAAGAAAAAGCATTGATTAGGAGAAGCCTTACTCATTTTAGGTTGTAGTGGTCCTTTAAGGGATAGGGTTATATTTGGAAGATTGGTAAAATCTTCAGTGAGATTTTATGCCTTAAAGGAAACACAGTTATGCTACTAGAACAAGAAATTAGAATTTATATTAAATTCTAATTGCTGGAGAAAACAGCCAGAAATGAACCAGAAAATTTCAATGATTTAATTTCTTCTACACTATCATAATTAATATGAATCTTATGAATATTGTATTTTAAAGGGTACTTCATTACTCCACATGATTGTTTTCTGCCTAAAACTAGTTTATTTAATTGGATATAACATAAACTTTAAGTTGCATCAAAAGTGAGTTACACATATCATGAAAAATCTTTCTTTTAAGTTGCTAAAGCACCAAGAAACTCTATATACATAATTTAAGTAAAATACATATGGAAGGCGGTGTGGGGTGGAGGTGAAGAAAACAGCTTTCAGAGTTACACTGCCCATTTGTGTTCTTGCTCCACCAGTTTTTAGCGGCATAAATGCATTTCTCCTTCAATTTACCTCCTTCAGTGTAAAAATAGGATAATAGAATCTACCTCCTAGAGTTGTGTTGAAATGAAATGATAACGTGCAAAGCACTCAGCACATAAAAAGCATCCAATATTGGTAGCTGATATCGTTGCCATCAATATCACATTTAATCTATCAAGGCATTCTTTCTAAAAGAGCATTCTAAAAATAAGATAGAGTCATTTGTGGAGAATAATGGAGAGATTATAGTAAATTGCAGAAATGGCATGACTAGGAAAGGAAGAAAGTTGCAGGACAAAGAAAAAGATTTTCTCTTGATATAATAATTCTTTCACCATAATTTTCCCTTTGTTGTTCTTATAATGTGATTGATTAAATTACAGCAAATGTCTTTTTTTTTTTTGTTTTAACAGATAAAAGAATGATGGGTCAGAATTTCTACCACGTTTCTGGATACAGTGAAATAGCTAACCTCTGTTTCAAGAATGCAGTTATTAAGTCAAAGGAACAATGTGCAATTGATATGTTTTTAGATGAGAGAGAAAAATTAAAGCTAAAATTAGCTGCAAAGAAGTATTAATAATCACCTCTGCAAAAATTCTAAGTTGCCAACTGGCAAAGAAAGTCTAATGTTAAAAACAACTTTGCCTTTGAAACGTTAATAAATGGATTTACTTTGCTAAGATTTATGGCAAGTGTCAAAAATAGTATCTGAAGATACTGAATCATCATGAAATGAACTCTACTTCTGGCCAAAGCACAATGTATTTGCAGTTTTCTCTTTTGATTCAATTATACTGCACATGTTTTAAGGAAAAGTAACTTAATTGGGTTTTTCAGGCAGTTGATATTTGACCTAAGCTTTTTTTTTTTTTTTTTTTCCAGTTAATGCTAAGAAAAGATTTGGGGAAGGTTATAATAAAAGTATTTTGTGGTGACCATAAGAATGTCCCTCCCCAAACAAGTAAACTTGTGAAAGTTTAATTTGGAATTAGTGGAAGCTGTTCCTTTGAAAGCCAAGATATTATTTAAGTTGTAAAGCCAGCTAATAAAATGCCTTAGTTTGAGCATAATACAAACTGTGTTTTGTTCTTTAGACATTTATGAGATTCTCTGCCACTAACAGTAAATATGATTTAGGGGTTTTGTGGGATCTTTTTCACCTAAGAGTTTCCTAGCTCTGTCACATGAATTCTTTTTTATCCTAATGGCAGATCCAATTTCATCTCATTCATTTTTTTAACCATAACTTGCTTTTCCCATTCTCACTTTTAGAATTATACCTATGATGGCCCTTTCTTTATCTTGCTTACCTTATAGATTATAAGTCCCCTGTGAGTAAGTAAGAGTCATGTTTTTCTTTAAAGTTTCAACAACAAACCCCAAGGTTTATTTATTTAACAACAGGTATTCGTTGAGGTGCCTTCTGGGTGCAAGGAGCTTTAGAGTAGATTTTGACCTCAGCTGAACCTGGAACTCTGATCTGATAGACTGTTTATGATAAGCTTTTTTTTTTATTAGCAGCGTGATTTGTATATCGATGGCTTAACATATACAACAGCATTTCTTCTCCCTGCACCTTTTCGTGAACCTGACATTTTGAACATAAGCAATAACATCTGTATGGTAAAGTAGGCAGATTATACATGTGTTGCTTAGTGAATGATTACCAAGTGAACACACTTGGTATATTGCTTTACCAAAATACATGTGTAGTTGTCACTTCAGATTCACTGAGTTAAGAAAGTTTTATTTAAATATTAATATTAATCAAGAATTTAACAGATATATGTGACAGAAATCTAACTTCAAGTGACTGAAGCAGAAAGAAAAATTTTTGAATGACATAACTGAGAAAATTAGAGGTAGCTCTAGCTTTGATTCCATTTAGATCGAGCAGCTCACACAATGTTAGCAAGGACTCATCTCCACTCTGCCTTCCCTGGTGCTGGTTTTGCTCTCAAACTCTATATAGAACTCTCGGCCGGGCGCGGTGGCTCACACCTGTAATCAAAACACTTTGGGAGGCTGAGTCGGGAGGATAGCGTGAGCCCAGGAGTTTGAGACCAGCTAAGGCAATATAGTGAGACCATGTCTCTACAGAAAAAATTTAAAAACAGATCAGCTGGGTGTGGTGCCACATGCCTGTAGTCCCAGCTTCTCAGGAGGCTGGGGTGGGAAGATCACTTGAGCCCAGGAGGTCGAGGCTGCAGTGAGCCATGATCACATCACTGCAGTCCAGCCTGGGTGACAGAGCAAGACCTGTCACCCTGCCACCCATAAAAAACCTCTTCTGTAATGCCAGGTTCTTGACAAGATGTGATAATTCCACACTTACATCCTCAGATCTCCCATCCAGGGCAAGGACAGACTAAAAGAGCATATCTTCTCCAGAAGTCCTAGAAACATCTCATCATTGACTATGATTGAATTTTATTTATTAATACTTCCCTAGGATATCCTGTGTTTGAGTGTGAAGTTAATATCACACAAAGCATGTAGCTAACAGTTGTGTGAGGGTTGGAAATTCAGGGTGCTGTTAGGAAGGGGAAATGGATTGGGGTTTAAGGTAGGGGGAGTAAAAACAAGAAACCATCCACTCTGTATATTATATAAGACTGTGATCGAATTAAGAATTTTAGTTTACAGTTTAGCATAAACAAATAGTAGTAGAAATGAATGCATTTATTCATTCCTTCCTTCTCCAATAGTGTTTAAGTACAATCTTTTTATTTGCATTTTATTGATGATTGATTGTGGTTGAAAGGAGTGGTGATATTATTTCGAGGATCCACTGTGTAAGAAGACTGTTGGCAGTGGAAGGCTCGAGTTGATTAAGTGACAAAGAGGTAAAGCAGACATGCCCAAGCTTGGTTATGCTCTGATTTCCTACCCTGTTACTTTCATCCATAATTTATAGTACATCCATTTTGTGTCATTTTGCTTCAGGTATTTCTTGTCCTGACTGTCTTCTTTTTTATGATTTTACTGTTTCTTCACACTAATGGCTTTGTCCTCTGACTTTGACTCTTTGTGAGATTCTTCTGAGCAGTTAACCTCTAGGATAATGTGGCTTGAACACATTACAGAACTATGTTTTGACTTGTTAGTATTATTCACACATTCATGACAATTGAGCCTCTCTACTGTGAGAAATGTTTTAGAGGCCAGTTTCTAGGCATAGCTGTTTTTCTCCCATGAGTATGCAAATCAATAGTTTTAACCATTGTTAAAATGCAATCATAGTGACTTCAGAAAATTTGGAAAATACAGAAAATATAGGGAAGAATAAAATTAACCCACAGTTCTGTCACCTAAAGGTAACTGCTGCCAATGTTTTCATGTATTTCTTTTCTGTCTCTCCAATGCATTTTTTTACATAGTTGTGAGCGTTAGCCAAGTTATTTTCATGTTGTTATGTAATCAATATTTTTCAATAGAAGTATTAGAGGTTTTTTTTATTGATATAAAAATAACAATTACAGATCCTGATATATAGAAGTTATTCAAAATTATACAGTTTTCAAAAAATCAAGACAAGTAGGCCCAATACAAACTACTGAATCATCTTCTAATTTCCCTCTAAAATATTTATAGAAATATGTAAGTAGAAAAACATTCATCCTTTCCTCGTCTAATTATGATCCTGCCATATTCCAGGCACAAGAGAAAGCTCTGGGGCTTGAGTCTTAATAGGGCTGATAGTCCAACCAGGGGACAGGGTATCATAAAGAGATAATTCAAAACTTTAAGATTGGAGGGTAGGTGATGGTAGAAAATTCTGCGGCAAACATTTGTTGATGCTCATCATTTGTTGATGTCATCAAAGATCACCAGGGCATAATTATAATCAAAATTAGTTTTATTGATGCTTGCTGCAGCAAGAGAGACTGCACACCACTGGGGTCTATGGGTGCTTCTCAGTGGGAAGGTGTAAGGAGGGGCTTGCTAAGAATTTGAGCACATGTAGCTAATTTTAAGGAGGGCTCAAGTGAGCAAGGGTTTCTTCTGGATTGAGTGCTGTCAGAAAGTGGATTGAGTGCTGTCAGAAAGTGGGAGTGATTTTGCAACTGGGTATCTTAATTTTTATGTTGTGGGTGGGAGGAAAGGAAAGAAGCAACAGTCACCCATGTTAGCCACAAGAAGAGGTTGGCTGTTTATGGTTTGCACAGTGACTTTGTTTTTATCTGTGCTCAGGCATGATTACAGTATCTCATTTTATCCGGATTACAGTGACCTCATCTGATGTTAGAGATTTGAGAATTGTTAAATGTTCAGCAGGAGAACGCCACCGCCTAGTGTGAATGCTAGGTCAGAAGCTGCTTTTTCACACTGAAACCATTTAAGTATGTACAAATAAGTTAATAGTGTAAATGTAGGTGTAAAATACAATGCAAAACAAAATAATGAAGTAAGTGAATTAAATTATTGCACCAAATATGGGGATATGAAATAGGGAAAGAAAAGCATTAAGTTACTTATAGTCCATAAAGGGACTACATTATTTTGTTACTCTGATAATCCCATAAAACAAAGTTTTAAGAATGTTTACAGTAACCATGAATGGAATTAGTGAAACTATTCATATCAATGCAAAAAAAAAAAAAAAAAAAGCAAAGAAACTAAGTCTGTACAGCAAAAGATGGAAAGGAAACAAGAAAATTAAATGAAGACAAAGGTTGTGATTATTACAGTAAATGAAAATAGGTTTTTATCTTTAAAATGTAGACTCAAACTGCAAAGCTAATGATATGCTATCTGCAAAATATTCCTATTTTGTAAATAAATAAAACCATAGATTTAAAGAAGAAAGGGCACAGATGTACTGGGGAGACAAAAATAACTGATCCGTTGGGTGTATACCATGTGCCAAGCAATTTTCATATACTCATTTAACATGACATATCTATAATTATATGAGGCAGATATTATTAACCTCAGTCTATAGATGAGAAGACTAAAGCTCAGAGGGATTGCTAAAAACTAGTAAATAAATTATGGAACCATGATTTGAATTTAGATTTAAGTCTGACTGAGGCATGTTCAGAGACACTACACTGCCTCTCCAGAAATCAGGAGTAGCAATATTAACACTGGACAAAGAATTTAAAGCAAGTAAAAAAAAATTAAGAGAATTTCATATTAATAACAAGTATAATGCACAATAAAACTGTACCAAATGACATAAAAATGCATAATGAAATTTATTAGAAATTAAAAATTAAAGGGCATAGTTACAATTATTGAGGAATTCTCATAGCTCTGCCTTATAGATCATGTAAACAAACAAGGTCATAGAGGACTTAAATAGCAAAGCAGAAAAAAATATATGTAAAAAGAGAATATACTGTTACAAGTTTCCTTCAAGAATTTGATAAAAAGCAGTTAACACTGCTCTTGAAGAGTTACGTTATAAAGTGAACTCAGTGGATCAGACTATAGATATGGGAGTTATCTTTCAGGTTTGGAATCATTTAAATGGACTACAGATATTGGAATTACTGGTTACAGAATATAAAATAGCTGGCTAAAATATTTAAATATTTAATATTTCCTTATAAGACGTGGAAATGTGAGTAAATAAGAGACTATAAAATGACCATATGTGTTTTAAAATCAAACATAACATTTAAGTGTGAAATATATAATTGAAACTAAAAACTATTTAGATTAAACAGATTAGATACAGCCAAAGAAAGAATTAGTAGCTGGAAGCATAGATCAGAGAATTTACCCACAATACAGTACAGTAAGATAAAGATATGAATAAGTTCATGTGGAATAGAGACTAGAATGAGAAGGTATACATCACATAAAATTAAAGTTTTAGAAAGTGGGAATACAGAGAATGGATGTACAATATCAAAAAATATAATAGCTGTAAAATTTTCCAGAACTGATGAAAGATATGAATTCACAAATAGAAGCAATACAACATATTTCAAGGATGGTAAATAAAAAAGAAATCCACTTCTAAGTACATTTTAGTGAAACTGCAGAATACTGAAGAGAAAGATCCTAAAATTGGTCAGAGAGAAAAGTCAAATCTACAAAGGAACAGGAATTAACAACAAAATGGAAAACAAAAATAGCAAGGTATCTGCAAAGAGTTAAAGAAGGTCTGTGCCATTCATAAGAGGGCTTAGTTATCCATGGAATCTTGAGAAAGGTTCACAGCAACAAATGCTACTCATTCAAAGCCTTGTCTCTCAGTCTGTTCGAGCTGCTATAGCAAAATACCCTAAACTGGGTAATTTATAATAACAGCCATTTATGTCTTAACGTTCTAGAGGCTGGGAAGTCCAAGATCAAGACACCAACACATGTGGTGTCTGGTGAAGGCTGTCTGCCTCAAACATGACATCTCTTGCTGTGTCCTCACATGGCAGAAGGGACAAACACCGTGTTCACATGAGGCAGAAGAGCTGAAGGCAGAAACTTGCTCCCTCAAGTGCTTTTATAAGGACACTAATCTCATGCAGGAGGATGGAGCCCTCATGGCCCAATTTTGTAATTAAAAGGTCTCAACTCTTAATACTGTTATATTGGGAATTAAATTTCATCATGAATTTTGCAAGGACATAAATATTCAAATGATTGCACTCTGTCCAGAAAGGAAAGACTCCCTGGCTCCCTTGGCCAGGCCAGGCCCAATCAGAGGATAAATACATAACTCTGAGATAGATTCAAATACTGTTGAATTTTGATTGTCTAATGTCTCTTCTGGTTCCTTGTTGGTCCTTTAACTTTTACTGAGCTGCATAAGTTCTGCTGAAGGTAAGAATAAATGTGCTGAAGTTTGATTATTTGGCAATTCAAGTAGTTTAATTAGAGGAAGGGAATGTGCCAGGAATGAGGACACAAGAATCTGTGGGTTTTCTGATATACTTCTCATAGTACATAAATAAATTGGAATTTGAATGTTAAATATCAACCTCTTGAGTTTAGTTAAATGAGTCTATTCTCAGTATATTGACAAATTCAGATCCCAAAGCCTATAAGCCAGATATCGAACCATGGTAATTTCAGCAAAATACTGTTGATGCCCCAGAGAGCCTCCTGCGTGACAGCATACTGACATTTTCATCTGAGGAGTTTTACCTGTGGCTAGGCTTATTTCCTTAAACACCTTCTAAAATGTTCATTTACAAAAATTGAGTATTCTTAGTGATGAAGAAAACCCCAGGTTATCAAAAGCATAATACTCAAAAGTTCTATATATTAAAATGAGTTTTTAGAAATACCTTAGTCATAGGACATATAAAAGACACTCTTCTAAATAACCTAATGAAGAAAATTTAAGATTATTTTCAAAAATGAAAATGAGACTACTTATTAAAGCTTCAGATAGCTTTATACTCATGATGGTTTTCTCTTTGTTTTGGCTGCCAGGAAGCTGACAGCCAAATTTGAGGCCCCAAACTGTACAGGATCTTAGGCATTTTGTAAACTACCCGTATCCCTGGCTTTATCTTGTTTGCAAGCACTTATTTTTCATTCTTCCTAATATTTTCTCCCCCACAACCTATTATAATGTATGTATTTTTATTTCTGTAAGTCATCTGAAATCATTTGTGGAATACAAAGTAATAGAAATAAATCAGCAAAGTAAAGATTTTTTAAAATGTGTGTAATACATATACCTATGTATTACATGTGTATACAACAAATATATTTTACATATATGCATGTGTATATGTGTATATATTTGTATGTAATGGAAAGAAATCAGTATATCCTTAAATTTTTTACTATAAGCTTATGGAAAAACTAACTAAATAAACATTTAACTAAAAAACCTAGAAAAGAAACAGAATGACTGTCCTTAGGAAATATACCCATGAGTCCATACCAATATGAATAAATGATTGAATAAATAAAGGGAGGTTGAATAAATAAGATAGGGGAAATGAAGAGACAAATCTCCCTTTTAAAAGCATTTCAAATAATTTATGTAGATACTTTGTCTTCACGGAGGTAGAACGTAACACTCCACCCCTCATGTGTGGGGCTGAGCATAGTGACTTCCTTCCAAAGAGTACGGTATGGAAAAGCAGTGAAAAGAATTTTATAATGGAAAAACCTGACAAGTACTACTTCAGCCAAGTGATCAAGGTTAACATCGAGTGACGTCATGTTGATTATACATACTGATATATATCTATGTATAATAATGTGGTGAAGATGGCACTTTTTGATCTTCCTCCTAAAAACTCACAACACCACTCTAATCATGAGAAAAATATCAGGCAAATTTTAATAGAGGAGCATCCTACAAAATTCTTGACCAATACTCATTAAAACTGTGAAGGTCATCAAACATAAGAAAAATCTGAGAAACTCATTGCCATGAGGACCTAAGGAGACATAAGGAAATGTAATGTGTCATGAGTGGGATCCTGTACCAAAGACATTAAGTAAAAGCTAAGGAAACATCAATAAATTACGGAGTTTAGTTAAGAATGTATCACTACTGGCTCCTTAACTGTGGCAAATGTACTATTCTAGTATAAGATGTTCATATTGGGGGGAAACTGGCTGCAGTATTTCTATAAATATAAAACTGTTCTAAATGATAAAGTCTTTAAATTTTTGTTATATAGTATTTAATACAAGCAAAAGAACATTTGTAATTAATATGTAGATTAAAAACAAGAAAACCCCATAAACTGTTCCCTCTACTAATGATTAAAACATTAGCAATAAGTGCCATTGAAGCTATCCTAATCTATCATAGCCTTTTCCCAGCCCTGACTGGGGATTTTAACATTTCCCTTCTTTAAAAAAAAATTTTTGTAAATTGTTTATGTGGTATGAGTAATATGTTCATGATATGAGGTAAGAATCCACTTCCTTTTCTGTTATGAATATTTCGGAAAATATTTCAAATAAATGAAAAGTTCCAAGTCCAATAGAAAAAATTTTTTTCCTAAACCATGTTGCCACATGATGTCCCATCACTACTGAATTGAATATCTGTTTCCTACAAAGTATTCTCCACAGGTCGGGTGCAGTGGCTCACACCTGTATTCCCAGCACTTTGGGAGTTCAAGACCAGGAGAATACCTGAGTCCAGAAGTTAAGATCAGCTGGGGCGACATAGTGAGACCCCATCGCTACAAAAAAATAATAAAAAAAAATAGCCAGTCATGGTAGTGCATGGCTGTAATTCCAGCTACTCGGGAGGCTGAGGTGGGAGGATTGCCGGACACCAAGAGGTGGAGGCTGTAGTGAGCCATGTTTGTGCCACTGCATTCCAGCCTGGGTGACAGAGCAAGACTATCTATCTGTCTGTCTGTCTATCTTCTGCACAACCACAATAATAATCATCAAAATCAAGAAATTAATATATATAGATCACAGCTATTCAACCAGCCTCTGTTAACATTTCATCAACTGAAACAAAAATGTCTCTAACCCCACTTTGTTCCTGCTGTAGGGAGGGCGAGGCTATTCTCTGACTCGTCTTGGAGGCCTGCTTTCTAGGGGTTGGGGAAATCCCATGCTCAGCCACACTCCCACCACCCTAGTTCTTCAGTGGATGGAGAATTGTTGAGAACATTTACCTTAACTTTTCTGGCTCAGCATCCAGCAGAGGGTCTCACTGTCACCTAGGCTGGAGTGCAGTGAGCAATGATTGTGCCACTGCACGATCGCGGTTCACAGCAGCCTTGACCGCCCAGAGCTCAAGTGATCCACCTCAGCCTCCCAAGTAGCTGGGACGACAAGCATGCACCACCACACCCGGCTAATTTTTTTCTATTTTTTTATAGAGATGGGGGTCTCACTTTGTTGCCCGGGCTGGTCTCAAACTCCTGGGCTCAAGTGATCCTTCCACCTCAGGCCTCCCAAAGTTCTAGGATTACAGACGTGAGCCACCATGCCCGGCATTAAAGAATCCACTTCAAGATACAGAGTCTTTTTCTGAAAGCCTCCTGTTTGTGTTGCCCGTGAATCCCACATGGCATAGAGAAATTTTATCTCCACTTTGTTGTTCCTGGCACCTTAACAGAGTGTTAATGTAGATTTCTGGGTACCTATTCTGCCTAATGCTGATCCATGTTCAGCTATATACTAGGCAAGTCTTTGCATCTGTCCTTTGTTCTTGATCCCAGAATGGAAGTCTAGGCAACCAGGGCTTCCTCACAGGGTGAACAAATAACCAGTGAGATCCCTGGCCTCATTCCTGGTCAATTGTATACATGGCCGGAGAAGCCCATGTTATAAGCCCTGCACCTCTTCTATTCTAGATATGCCTGAAAACATCTTGTTAAATCTCTTGGATGATAAGAAGTGGTCCCTGGCCAAGTAAAACCCTTCCTGTGAAAATCAATTCCTAAAAATCTTTGCCTTGGTCAAACTGGATCTGACCACAGAGTTAGGAAGCCTGGAGGATCTGCTGCTGCATGGGAGTTGAGAGTGAGGGAGTCTCATACCTTAGTACGTTTTGAAAAGAAAAACAATGCCAGTCACACCCATTTTAAGGTATTGTGGGTCAGAATCATTTCTATAGTCCACTTTGCTGAGCAGTTTTTTCCACTTAGTATATTTGGTGTAAGGTATTATTTTCTCTGGTTATCCTTGGCCATTTGGCCCAGAACAACTGCATCTTAATTGATCCTAATGTCTGATCCTCCACAAGTGTCCAGTCACAGATATCAATCAAGGGACTGTGGAGTCAGATGGTAGCTGCTTCCACAGTTTGTGGCCTTTGTAATATCAATACAATACCCCTTAACTGGGTTTAAGTTTTGTCATCTTAGCAGTGTTTCCATACTGGAGGAGGTGTACACCTTCGCTCTGAAGGCTCTTACCTTCCTCCACTGACCACAGCTTTAAGTCTTGCCTCTGAGCTGGGCACTGGACTTTCACCTCCTTGGTTAGGGAAGTAGGCTAGGGTTGCATCATTAACATGGTATGTAGCACCTGTCAGGCCCCACGCATTTGGCCATGCCCTTTTCTTTGAGGAAAAGAGCCACGTCTCCTCACAGAGGGCTCTATTCCTGTCTAGATATGGGATCAGTGCCCAGGGACTGGTATCTGCAAGATAGCATCAATGAGAAATTTTGAAATTTTAGCCAACTAAAGTTATATGCCTGCTAACCAGGGTAGGCTTGTTTATGCTGTGATTGGTTAGAAATTGACCCCCAAATACAGTGGTATAGGAAAACACATGTTTATTTCATGCTAATTATCACCACATAATAAGACTGTACTCCATAGAGTGACTCAGCAGTCCAGGCTGACAGAGGTTCTTCATCCTGTACCTGCCACCTGGAACACACAGCCTTCCTGGTCTATATGGAAGTGGGAGAGACAGTGGACAGTCCCCAGCAGGCTTGGCGTTTACTCAAAGACCCTGGCCAGAACTATCCAAACAGCCCCACCTCATTGCAAAGGGGCTGAGGAGTACTCAGGAGGAGAACTGTATGTTAGAGAACATTAGGGTGGCCACCACAGGGGACACCTAGCATTTTCCCCAAAATGGCTGAGTTTAATATAAGCATACGTGTTAAGGTCTTATCTGTTCACACTTGAAACAGAATCCCATATACATACTTCTTGAATTTCTCTCTTATACCTTGTTCCTCTCCTCACTCAGTTTTTCTAGCCTTCAGCTCTATCTCTTGGGGGATCCTGCAACCATCATCCCAAGACAGTGATCCCATTCTGAGCGCTAACCTTGGAGGGCAAGGGCACGTCCCCAGATTCCTCAGAGTGGAGCACATGCAACCAAAGAAACCTCTAGTGTTTCATATTGATAACCTTGCATAGGATAATTCTGACATGCGATTGTGCACAAAAGTTCCTCCTAGGAGTGAGGCTAAGAAGATTGGGGTTTGAGGGGCTGGCAAATGGGCAAGAGAACAACATCATGCCACATATAAGTGAGGGTAGTTATTCCTATAACAACAGCACTTTTCATTTTCATTCATTCTGTGTAATGTTTTCAGTAGGAGAGAAGGATTATAGAGGAGAGGACAGAGGCCAGAGAGCCAGAGAAAGTTCTTTTAAATTTTTGTTTATTATATTATTTTGTTTATATGATATGATATTGGAGAGAGGAGCTCATTTAAAGGCTGAAAGCGCCAGGAGAGAGGAGAAGAATGAAAAGTTAGATGATAATCCAGTGAGCAAGGTTCTTGTGGAGACAGAAGGAAAATGACGCCCCAGAACAGGTATTTATTTGGAATTACCATCTTGTCTGTCTTTCAACCTCCTCTCCATGCTTCTGTATCCATCCTCCCCTATCCTTCTCCAAATGAATGAACTCTGATGGCTCCATTTCACTCATGGCACTCTCTGTTCCCCATCCTGTGTTTCTCCTGAGTCTAGCGTACCCCTCCCAGCTGCCTCATGCTACCATGCTGTGATTTTTGTTTACCACTGTGGGTAAAAACAAAACTCCAGTACACCTGGGGCCCCCTAAATCAGGATTGTCTTTCCCCTTTTAAAGAGAATAACTTTTGTTGTATTAGATAAAAACACCCTATTCTCTTTTGTAATATTCTAGAGCAACTAGTTCTCTTAGAATATTAGTATACTTAATACCTCCCATTTATAATTTTTTCTCAGTTGCACTCAAGGTCTTGAGTCCCCTGTCCTCACTGTGCAGGACCTGGCAGTGAATCCACCCCTTGGGATGTGGTGGGGGGTGGATTCTGTGACCGCAAATGGGAGTACGTTTCACCCATGGGTCAGAATGCTGTTACAGGGATGTGGTAAGAACAGATCTGCATTCAGCAGGACACACTGGCGAGCAGATGGAGCCAGCCAGAATAATTCAGGAGCAGGTGATACCCACATGTCCAGTGAAGCAGGTAGAACTACCTAGAAGTAGGTTCTCAGCCACTAGGCCCAGATATAGGATTTCATGTCTCTTCAAGGGAAACCGACAGGAGAAACGTTGGTGCCAACTTAGAGAAAAGGCCTTGAAGGCATGTCAGAGCTCAGGTATCAGGACTGGGGTCAACTGACATGACCAGACTCTGAATGAGGCCCATGCTCTGTCCTCCAGGATGAAAGTCTCCCAGCTCAGCTGAGCTCTGATTCCAGAGTCATCTCTGTGGTTGACCTGCAGGTGGGGATCAAATGGTTGCACTGTGGACAGAAAAGGGCTGACAGGGGGAAGTGGGGGAAGGCCAAGTACATTATGAAAAACCAGCGAGGCCAGGCACAGTGGCTCACGCCTGTAATCCCAGCACTTTGGGAGGCTGAGGAGGGCGGATCACTTGAGGTCAGGAGTTTGAGAACAGCCTGACCAACATGGTGAAACCCCGTCTCTACTAAAAATACAAAATTAGCCAGGCGTGGTGGCACATACCTGTAATCCCAGCTACTTGGGAGGCTGAGGCAGGAGAATTGCTTGAACCCAGGAAGCAGAGGTTGCTGTGAGCTGAGATCATGCCATTGCACTCCAGCCCGGGCAACAAGAGTGAAACTCTGTCTCAAAAAAAAAAAAAGAAAAAGAAAAACCAGCGAAGGCCCAGCTTGAGCAGCCAATGGCACAAGAAAATGGCACAAGGAGGCCACTGTAACTGACAGACACGCCTGCTCTGCCACTGGGACTGATCTTGTGTGGGGAGTTCTGATCAGCACCAGGCACTCTTTAGAAGCACCGTGTCCGGCTTCTGTCCTCTTCTACTGTCACGTGGCAGAAAATTCCTCTCTCATGCTATCCTGGGTAAAGTCCTTTCTTCAAAAAGATCTCCCTTCCATAGTCCTCCCATTAGAATCTTTTGCACTCTGTACAAAAAGACAAACATTCTGATGAGTCCATCAACATTAGGCAGAGTTGTTGGAGACCCAGGAAGATGGGCTACAGAAGTCTTTATGCACACACCGGGTGGTACTCACTGTCTCTCAGCACCAAGCTCACTTCTTGGTACTTCACTCTGTGGTGCCAGGGCTGGGACCTGCGTATTTCTCTCATTCTGTTTCCAGCTGACCTGACCGTGGGCAGCACCAGAAAAAGCCTGAGACTACCTTCTGTCTCCAGTCCCTGTCAGCGACTCTCCAGCGACAGGCAACGGCGCCAGCTCCAGACTCCAGCTGCTCTGGGCCTCCCAGAATCAGCCACACCATGCTTGTCAGAAGTCTCAGCAAGAATTTTGGAGAATATCTAGAGACCAATAAAGATGGAAGCAGAGAGGGCCTAAGGAGGTGCACGGCCAGCAAGTGCCCTCATGTGATCAATGAATTTTAGAATATTGGTACCTAACCTTCAACTGAATTATAACTATAAATCATAATTATAAAAGTAATATAGGCTTGCCATAAAATATCCAAGCAGTTTAAAACGGCTTCCTGTCAACCATGTAAATAGCCAAAGAAACTATGCTGTATATATTATTCACTAGTTTTATTTTTTCACTTAACAATGCATCCTTCTAATGTCTAAGTAGTATTCCCTGTTAAGAATATAACAATTATACTCTAATATTCTCCAATTGATGGACTTTAGGTTGTTTTGATTTTTAAATTATGATAAAAAAGGATGTCCTGTGACTTATGTACTTGTTCATGAGCACGTAATTCTGTAGGAGAGATTCCTAGAAGAGAAATTGACCAGACCCTGACAAATTGCCCCAAGCAGTGTTCTGTGAACCCTCCCGCCTATGGACTAGGGATGATTCTCCACATCCTCACAGAGTAGATGTTCTCAATCTTTAAAAATGCTCTCCAGTATGATTGGCAAATCAGGCCACCTCTGTATTTCACATTCCTTGCTTAACAACAAGGCTGAACATTGTTAATATATTCATTAGCCAATTGTGTTCCTTTTCCTATGGATTGCTTTTTTGTATCTTTGCTTATCTTTTCTGTTGGGGTGCTCATTTCTCTTACCAATTTGTAGAAATTCTCAGCTACATCAGGGATCTGAAGCCCTTGCTATATGTGTCACACATGTTTTTGGCTTGTCTTTATCTCCATGGCACATCTAGGAAGATGTGAGCAGCCACTGTGGCCCCGGTTTTGGGATGGAGAGACAGCTCTTCCAAGAGAGGGCAGCCAAGGTAAAGAAACACAGATGAGCCACGGAAAGAGGGCATCTGTCTTCAGTTACCTCTGCAGGGTAAGCAGTGATGCATTGAGGAAAAAGTATATGATTTGGAGATTAAAGGGCTACAGTTCATCCCCTGCTAACTATGTGACCTTGGAAAAATGGTCTAACCTCTCCAAGGCTCAGTTTCTTCTATAAAAGAGAGGAAGTAATGGTTACTTCATATAGGATTGTTGTGTGGAATAAACGAGTAAATTCATGTAAAGGACTTGCTTTGGGGCCTGGCATCCAATCAGTGTTTGAGCAATGAACAGTTTACGGTGTGAACCCAATAAAATCACATGCACAGATGCCTTCTGATGATTTAAAGGGCTATGAACACATAAGTAAGTAGCTGTTACTTTTACACACAATTATCCATGTCAGGTAATGTACTAGAAGTCTGTGAAACATTCAGCCACTCTCTTAGTTCTGAGTTTGGAGACTGGAATGCTCTCTGAGAGCGTCAGGTGCCCTCCCACATTCACTGATTGGTAAAGGGGAAGATGGGGGCTGGGAAGGGGGAGGCTCACTCAGGAGTCCAGACAGTGGTGGGGACAACCTGAGTGCTCAGTCGTAAAGAGGAAAGGCAGAATTTTTCCTTGCTATGGCTGGAACAAACGCACTTTTGATGCTGGAAAACTTCATAGATGGAAAATTTTTACCTTGTAGCTCATATATAGATTCTTACGACCCATCAACAGGGGAAGTGTATTGCAGAGTGCCAAATAGTGGAAAAGACGAGGTGAGTATATGCACTTAAAGAAGACTGAAATGTGTTTAATATGTTGGCCAATTATGGGTAACAGTTTTCTAAAAGCAGAGGGAGTTGGGGGAAGATGTAGGATTGTTAAACATGATAGAAGGAAGATTCTAGTTCTCAGAAGATGTACCTTGTAACTGGACTGTATGATACCTAGAACAAATCTCTTCCTATATGCAGAAAGTAAGTCATTTTTCTAGCCAACCTAACACAGCCCTGTGTGCAGTTTTTTTTTGCAATTCTCAAACATTTCCTAATCAGTGTCTAGTACAAAGTATTATTTGTAAGAGCTATCACTTTGTTAAATATTCCCTTTTCTCCACCACGCACTGCTTAAATTTACCACTATATCCATGGAATTAAAAAAAAAGTATAGCTTTACTAAAATAAACAAACAAGCAAAAAACTGTGGGCTTTGTTTTAGATTGTCTTCTCATAATTTGTCATGTCTTCAAAATACCTAGTAAAATAAAATCAATCATTTGAATGATGAAACTCAAAATCAAATTCCCATATATTTTTGGAGTTAGATTTAACAGCGTCTTTTTTCTTATCCAAAGTGTTTAATGGCATATGCATTACATTTTTTTGGTGATGTAGAATTAATTTTACTTGGAGAATTTTGTAAAATATTTGAGATATATTTGATTAGCTATCAATTATTGCACTGAGAATGTAAATATATCTGAAGTGGTAAATGTAGCTGATGTATATATAGTCATCTAATGCCTTATGAATTATAATTTATTCTTTTTAAGGCACAAATAACTAGATTATTTAAAATATAGTCTTCCTATAAAAATATATATTCCATGCAAAGTTTTTTTTTAAGAACATTGCTATTTTTTTTCTTTTTTGTTAATACTTCAAATCTGTCTTGCATTTAAAGTAAACCTTCAGACTTAGGGATTAATGTTTGCAAATGTTGGTTAATGCATTGGTTAAATTATAAACTGCAATTTTGTTTGCTTCAAATGACTTAACACAGCTCTGGGAAATCCAGCTTTGTGTTTTCCACTCTTCCTTGTTTGCCAAAGTGAAGTTAAAAATGACAAACATGCCAAATTCAGCTGAAATATTTCCTGCAGCTAATGGCTCATAACTTTTTAGAAAATAGAATGAGCTATGGATGCGCTAGCTAGTAGAGTAATAGATATGTTCAGTTTCTCAGCAATCCAACTTCCAAATATCCTATCTGATCCCATAAGTCATAGTTTTTTCCGGCTTGAAAAATATGGTTACCATACAAACTGCATGTCCAATTTCCAAAACATCACTCAGGAAAATGTTGCTGGTGCTGCTAACAGTGGCTCCCGTTTATTCAACTTTTGCTTTGTGCTTTGCAGTCATTAAGCCCTTTTTTAACAAAAAATTAAAAAATTGATACATAATAATTGTACATCTTTATGGGCATATGTGACATTTTGATACATGCATACAATGTGTCATGATCAAATCAGGGTAATTAGGATCTCCATCACATTAAACATTTATCATTTCTTGGTGTTGGGAACATTCCAAATCTTTTCTTCTAACTATTGTGAAATATACAATAAATTATTGTTAACTATTGTCACTCTACTAGAACTTATTCCTTTTAACCATATTTTTGTATTAATTAGCCAACCTCTATCCTCTCCTCTACCCTTCCCAGCCTCTGGTAACCATAATTGTACTCTCTACCTCCATGAGATCAACTTTTTTAAGCTTCCACATATGAGTGAGAACATGTAATATTTGTATTTTTGTGCCTTGCTTACTTCACTTAACGTAATATCCTCCAGCTCAAATCGTGTTGGTGCAAATGACAGGATTTTGTTCCTTTTTATGGCTGAATAATATTCCATTGTGTATATATACCATATTTTCTTTATCCATTCAGCTGTTGATGGACATTAGGTTGAGTCCATATCTTGACTATTGTAAATAGTGCTTCAACAAATATGGGGGTACAGGTATCTCTTCAGTATACTGATTTCCTTTTCTTTGGATAAATTTCCAGTAGTGGGATTGCTGGATCATACTGTTGTTCTATTTTTATTTTTTTTTTTTTGAGAAACCTACATGCGTTTTCCATAATGGCTGCACTAATTTACTTTCCCACCAACACTGTATTTGTCTTCCCTTTTTTTTTGCAGCTTCACCAGCCTTTTTTATTTCTTATTTTTTGATAATGACCATTTTAACTGGGATGAGATAATAACTCGTTGTGGTTTTGACTTGCATTTCCCTAATAATTAGTGATGTTAAGCATTTTTTATATACCTGTTGGCCATTTGTACATCTTCTTTTTGTGGAATATCTCTTTAGATCATTTGCCCGTTTTTAAATTGGATTTTTTGGGCGGTGGCTATTGAGTTGTATATGTATATATACAAGCTCAAGCTCCTTATATATTCTGGTTATTAATCCCTTGTCAGATGGATAGTTTGCAAATATTTTCTCCCATTCTGTAGGTTGCCTCTTAACTCTGCTGTTTCTTCTGTTGTGCAGAAGCTTTTTAGCTTGATATTATTTTATTTTGTTTATTTATTTTCTTTTGTTGCCTGTGCTTTTGAGGTCTTGCCCAAAAAAATCTTTGCCCAAATCAGTGTCATGAAGTATTTACCCTATGTTTTCTTATAGTAGTTTCATAGTTTTGGGTCTTACATCTATCTAAGTCTTTAATCTGTTTTGATTTGTTTTGGTGAGAGATAGGGGTCTAGTTTCATTCTTCTGCATATGGTTATCCAGTTTTCCCAGCACCATTTATTGGAGAGACTATGTTTTCACCAATGCATATTTTTGGCAGCTTTGTAAAAAACGAGTTGGCTGTAAATGCATGGATTTATTTCTGGATTCTCTATTCTGTTTCACTGGTCTATGTGTCTGTTTTTACACCAGTGCCATGCTACTTTGGTTACTATAGCTTTGTAGTATATTTTAAAGTCTGGTAGTGTGCAATCAGTAAGCCCTTTAATATAGATTATCCAAAGAAGCGAGTTGTAACAACTTAGAAGTCTCTATTATGATCCTTATTTTACAGAGGACAGTACTAACACTCTCATCTCTGATGCTTAGATCCATGGGCATGTGCACCTGTGCGTGCACGCACACATGCGCACCTGTGCGCGCGCGCACACATGCGCACCTGTGTGCATAGCACATTTGCATTATAGCATTGCAGTTATAAGCACATACTAGAGTCAGACTGCCTGGTTCAAATACAAGCTGCACCACTTGGTATCTATGGCTTTGACTTAGAGCTGAACTTTTGCATGCCTCAGTCTCCTCATCTATAAAATGAGGATAATAATGATATCTACTTTATAGTGTTATTCTGAGGATTAAACTGACTAATATGCTTAAAGCCCTTAGTGCTTGGCATATAGTAAATGCTTTCTATGTATTAACTTATGCTAATATTATTGTATGTAGTACATTAATATGTATTCTATATTACATGGACATAAGTTGTGCTATAAGGCAACTTAGAAAATATGAGTGGACTTGAATTTTCTGAATAGCAAAAAGACCAGATTTTTACATTGACTGTAGGAATTCATGCTCCTCTTGCTGGCTGGCAGTGGGGCTTCCTCATGGCTGCAGCTGGTGGTGGAGGTCACCAAAGCCATCTCTTCCCCTATCCTGTCTGCAGGTCCACATTCAAGATTTAGTTTTTGAGGTGAAGCCACCATATTTCTAGAAATTTCTAATTAAGATGAGAATCATTTTATACCTTACTTCAGCTCAGCTAAAAGTGACTGTATTAGTTCGTTCTAACACTGCTATAAAGATAATACCTGAGACTGGGTAATTTATTAAGGAAAGAGGTTTAATTGACTCAGTCCTGCATGGCTGGGGAGGCCTCAGGAAACTTACAATCATGGCTGAAGAGGAAGCAGGCATGTCTGGCGGCAGGCGAGACAGCGTGTGAAGGCCAAGAAAAACTACCATTTATAAAACCATTAGATCTCACGAGAATTCACTCACTATCATGAAAATAGCCCCCACAAACCAATCACTTTCCTCCCTCAACACAGGGGGATTACAATTCAAGATGAGATTTGGGTTGAGACACAAAACCTAGCCATATCAGTCACTTTGCATGAGGGAAATGAAGGAGGGGTGTGGGTCAGGTTTTGCATGAGGGCTAGCACAGGCTCAGGCGGCTAGATTACTTCGGGTCAAGCGCCCCAAAAAAGATGCTCACGGCTGCCAGAAGCCTATGGAAAAGGATTCTGAGTCTGAGCCAGGGCCCGGTGGTGGAAGACAGCTGTGATTATAATAATTTTTCATGCATGTGAGAAAGGAGAGGAGTGAGACATGGGTTAGGGATTTGTCATCTCTGGAGAAGGCATTACTTAGACATTGCCGGAGAGAAGAGAAAGGCAGAAGAGGACTTGAAAATTATTTTGTCTACATAACATTTTGGCCATGAGTTGACCCTGCCCATACCTTCCCATACATATATTGTTTCCTTTTGTATGTAACTCTAAAAGGAGGTACCCAAGCCATCTGTCCAGCCACAAATCTCCTCTTCTCCAATAAAGCCTCTTCCACTGGGCAGAATCAGGCAGCAGGCAGAGCAACCTGTGGTCCTGGGAACCACCAAAATCTGGGTTTGAGTCCTGATTCTGCCACTTATTAGCTGTGTGACCTATGGCAAATTGCTTGAGTTTCTATGTCTCAGTTTTCTCATCTGTAAAATGGGCATAGCAATACTCATGTTATAGAATTTTGAAAGGACTTAAATAAAAATAATTTGTGTAAAGTATTTAGCATATTCCCTTATATAAAAATTAGTCAATAAATTATAAATATAATTAGTCATTTCAAGTGAAAATGACAATCTGAGGATGTGATTTCACCCAAAATTTCAGACTTTATAAGATATGTCAGAGCTGAGTTAGAAGCTTTAGAGATTCCACATATCTAGATTAATTTTCTTCTTCTACTGTATATATAATATATACATACTATATATACTATATATATATAGTATATATGTATAACATATACATTTTTTTGAGACAGGGTCTTACTCTGTCACCTAGGCTGGAGTGCAGTGGCACAATTACAGCTCACTACAGCTTCTACCTCCTGGGCTCAAGTAATCCTCCCACCTTAGCCTCCTGAGTAGCTGGGACTACAGGCATGCACCACAACGCCCAACTAATTTTTTAAAAAACCTTTGTGTAGAGACAGGGTCTCACTATGTTGACCAGGCTGGTCTCAAACTCCTGGGCTCAAGCGATCCTCCCAACCCAGCCTCCCTAAGTGCTAAGATTACAGGCATGAGCCACCACTCCTGGCCCACAATATTTTTAAAAATTCTAGTTTCTGAAGTGATTGAAAATGTACATATGTTAAAATTCAAATAGCTTCTTTCTAATGATCTGATTACTACATTCAGGATGCATTGGTTGAAATGGAGCGCGTTTCTTTGTTTCTATGGTACCCCTCCTTTGCTGGTCATGTAAACACCTGTGTCATCTACTTTGTGGGTGGCTCAGCACTGGGACATGTTGAATATTCAAAATTAGGGTGGGCCAGGTGCAGTGGCTCACACCTGTAATCCCAGCACTTTGGGAGGCCGAGGCGAGTGGTTCACTTGTATTCAGGAACTCAAGACCGGCCTGGTCAGCATGGTGAAACCCCCTTTCTACTAAAAAATACAAAAATTAGCTGGGCATGGTGGCACATGCCTGTAATCCCAGCTGCTCAGGAGGCTGAGGTGGGAGAATCACTTGAACCCCGGAGGCAGAGGTTGCAGTGAGCCAAAATTGCGCCACTGCCCTCCAGGCTGGGCTACAGAGTGAGAATCCATCTAAAAAACAAAACAAAACAAAACAAAAATGAGGTGTGTGGAGACCTGAGGATTCTGGTTTTGTCCATCCCCCAAGGACTAACAGCTTTAAGGTGACCCTTTCTCCCATTTGCTCCTCAAAGATCGAAGCCGCGGTCAAGGCCGCCAGAGAAGCCTTTCCCAGCTGGTCATCCCGCAGCCCCCAGGAGCGCTCACGGGTCCTGAACCAGGTGGCGGATTTGCTGGAGCAGTCCCTGGAGGAGTTTGCCCAGGCCGAGTCTAAAGACCAAGGTGAGAGTTGCCTCTTAACTGTAACATGGGACTCAGGGCATCTCTGATTATTCATGTTATCCCTCTTGGGGCCATCAGGCCAGCCCATGTGCCTGCTCCTCTGGCAATAGTAGAAGTGGAGAGCAAACCCTCCCCTGCTCCAGGCCTGGGAAGGCCAGGACTTGTGGCTGGCCCAGCCCTGTCTCATTCAGATGGCCAGAGAAAGTCACATGGCTGGATCCAAAAGCTGAGGGGCAAAGAAATATACTCTGTTCATTGGATGAAAGGAAGTGCAAATATATACAGCAAAGGGCATGGATATAGGGAGAGATGAAGAACTAGGGCTGATCATGCAGTCTCCTACTCATTCTAAGCAGAGAATTTCAAAGCAAAGATAATTTGAAAAGCAGTTATGCAGTCAGATTATTTAGGATGTTTTCTGATATGTCAGTCACCATTCCACTCCCGACACATCTCATTTTTTTTTCCCACTCTTTCCCAGAGGTCAGAGTAATGGAGTAAATATTTGTAAATTTTTGCAAGAATATCTGTTAAGATAAGCCAAGAGTTTTAAAAATTACATGTGTGCCATAAACCAATCAAAAATCAGAAAGCAGCCTGAGTCCAAGCCCTTAAAAAGAAAATAGTTCTCTGCTGGTGTTCCTGGCCAGGCTCCCTGCATCGCTAAAGAGAACTCAGTAGCAGTCTAGGTAAGCTTCTGTTTCTCTTTCTGTTCCATCCAGGAGCTAGGACGTGCAGGGCATGTGATGGGCAAGCAGGTGCCACACAGCATCCCGTGCCAGGGCATTCCCAGCCGCTCTTCTGATGACTCTACCATGTGTGGGGAGGTCATGAAATACACATTACATGTGTATAAAAGTGTTTCGTTTTGTGCTGTGCAATTACAACTGTCCTAACACCCGTATTTCAATGCCTTTGTCGCAGGTACAAAGCCTGGTGATTTTGAATTGCAAGAGTTTGTGTGGGTGAAGTGGTAGCATCTGGCAAACTGGTGATGAGAATGATGTGTTCAGTTCACAGAACAAAGATTATTGACTCAATTTTAACCCCCCACCTCAGTTTCCAACCTTATACCTAAATATTGTATGGTTTTATCAAACCATGATCAAGTCTTTGTGAGGTCAAGGAATGCCTGCCCCGGGCTAGAAGGAATCCAGGCTGTTTCAGTGTGAGTTGGGACGCGTGGGCAGTGGAAGCTGATGGATAGAGTGTCCCCATTAGCTGATAGTGCTTTATGTTGTTTGCTTCTTACAGGGAAAACCTTAGCACTGGCAAGAACCATGGACATTCCCCGGTCTGTGCAGAACTTCAGGTTCTTCGCTTCCTCCAGCCTGCACCACACGTCAGAGTGCACGCAGATGGACCACCTGGGCTGCATGCACTACACGGTGCGGGCCCCGGTGGGAGTCGGTGAGTGCTGTTCAGTGAGAGCCCACCTCCCGGTTATGCTTGCAGATGCTCACAACATTCTATGGCATTGTCCTCAAGGAACAGGTTAAAGAAAAGGAAGAGCTGATATTTTTCTTTTCTAAAATCCATTGGCCTCAAAGATCTATTTCTAGTTTATTTTCTTTGTGTCAAATTCCCTGCTTTTCTTTTTAGACAGCGTCTTGCTCTGTCGCCCAGGCTGGAGTGCAGTGGCATGATCTCGGCTCACTGCAACCTCTGCTTCCCGGATTCTAGTGATTCTCTAGTCTCAGCCTCCTGAGTACCTGGGACCACAGGTGCGAGCTACCACACCGGCTAATTTTTGTGTTTTTAGTAGAAACAGGGTTTCACCCATGTTGGCCAGGCTGATCTCAAACTCCTGACCTCAAGTTATCCTCCCGCCTCGGCCTCCCCAAGTGCTGGGATTACAGGCGTGAGCCACCACGCCAGGCCTCATGTTCATGACTTATCTGGAAAATCATAGGGAAAAGAATGATGCTAAGAGTAAATATGTAAATTCACATGCCAGGATTTTTTTTTCTACTTATATTTAAAAAAGGAAAAATCAGGCTGGGCGCAGTGGCTCACGCCTGTAATCCCAGCACTTTGAGAGGCTGAGGCAGAAGGATCATCTGAGGTCAGGAATTCGATCAGCCTGGCCACCATGGTGAAACCCCGTCTCTACTAAAAATACAAAAATTCACCGGGCGCGGTGGCTCATGCCTGTAATACCAGCACTTTGGGAGGCCAAGATTGGCGGATCGCCTGAGGTCAGGAGTTCGAGACCAGCCTGGCCAACATGGCGAAACCCCATCTCTACTAAAAATACAAAAAGTTAGCTGGATGTGGTGGCGGGCACTTGTAATCCCAGCTACTTGGGAGGCTGAGGCAGGGAGAATTGCTTGAACCCAGGAGGCCGAGGTTGCAGTGAGCTGAGATTGTGCCATTGCACTCCAGCCTGGGCGACAAGAGTGAGACTCGGTCTCAAAAAAACAAAACAAAACAAAACAAAAAAACCCAGCCGGGCGTGGTGGCATGCATCTGTAGTCCCAGCTACTTGGGAGGCTGAGGCAGGAGAATCACTTGAACCTGGGAGTCGGAGGTTGCAGTGAGCTGAGATGGTGCCACTGCACTCCAGCCTGGGTGATAGATCGAGACTCTGTCTCAAAAGAAAAAAAAAAGAAAGAACTATTTATGTACATTAAATAAATTAATAAGTGTAGGGCATGTAGTATGGTGCCAGGTGTGTGATAAATAAGCCTCTACTGAGAATTATCTTACTTCATGCATTCCTTTGCCTCTTGACCTTTGGAAGAACGTATAAATAAATGTCTGTGATGACTAAAACCTTCCACCAGATGTCACTGTTTCCTCGGAGAAAAAAATCATCTTTTTAGCTTATTACATTTTATGAATATAAGCTAAAAGGAAAACAATTGGGACATCTCATTGCTTTGGTTACTTGAAACCTTCAGAAATTATGTTTTCAAGGCATTGTGGAAAGCTCTACCTCCTCCTAGGAAGTGTGCTAATATATTTTGCTGCAAAAATATTTTTATCCCCTAAAGAATGGATTTTTCAGTGGGAAATTTAATAATATAAAAGATGCATTTACTTTCATAGCACAGGCTTGAGGGAAGAGTATAAAATAAGGTGAATCAATTTCCTTTCAGAAGGTAGATTTTTATATTTGTTTGTTTTGTGATTGGAAACCTGGATAGGTTCAGAATATTGCATGGAGACACATTCTAGCTGCTGGTTACGTTACTCATCCAGCAAATCTATCTGGTCAGGATACAAGTGACAATCTAGAGAGAATTTTTATTTAAAAATATTCTAAATAGCCAAAATGGATGTCACAGTCCATGCACCAAAGGTTATTGGCTTTACTGATAGGAGGGCCCTCACATGGAACACTCAGAACTCATTGGCCCCTATTTTATGAATAATTATATAAAGCTTGAGATTTTATGTCTCAACCCATGACAGATTTGAAGTAAAGGTAAAGAAACATGTTAGAAGAAATAACAGCCAGACCGTTAAAATAATGGGGAAGGAGACATTTTTGAAAAAGTAAAGCTCAGTCTATAAATCTCAAAATGCGTCACATTCTGGAACTGTTTAGTGACAGGTGACAACTGTTTTTTTATTTTTTATTTTTTTTTGAAGTTCCAGGGTACACGTGCAGGACGTGCAGGTTTGTTACATAGGTAAACGTGTGCCATGGTGGTTTGCTGCACCTATCAACCCATCACCTAGCTATTAAGCCCAGCATGCATTTGCTCTTTATCCTAATGCTCTTCCCCCCGACTCTCCCCTGACAGGGCCTGCTGTGTGTTGTTCCTTTCCCTGTGTCCATGTGTTCTCATTGTTCAGCTCCCACTTATAAGTGAGAACATGCAGGTGTTTGGTTTTCTGTTTCTGTGTTACTTTGCTAAGGATAATGGCTTCCACCTTCATCCATGTGCCTGCAAAGGACATGATCTCGTTCCTTTTTATGGCTGCATTGTATTCCATTGTGTATATGTACCACATATTCTTATCCAATCCATTATTGATGAGCATTTGAGTTGATTCCATGTCTTTGCTATTGCTATTGTGAATAGCAAAGTGCTGCAATGAACATACGCGTGCATGTATCTTTATAATAGAATGATTTATATTTCTTTGGGTATATGATAGGTGACAACTCTTTAGCTCTGGAGTTTATATTGCTGTTGTTCATAATCATGAACTGCCAAGAAATGGGGAAATCATATTGACTTTACTCTGTTTTAAAAGATACAGTTGCTTGGAATATATTTTAGAATTATTTCCCTGAAAGTGGCTACAAATAAGCAAAGCTTGGGAAGAAGTTAGAAGAGTAAGCTAAGTTTTCTGCAGCATGAAGGAGTTTTGCGTTAATAACCCCACTTGGCCAGTCCACCTCAGAGGGGTATGCCGTCACAGGCAGTGCTTCTGCTCTCATCCCTTAGCTGGTCTGATCAGCCCCTGGAATTTGCCACTCTACTTGCTGACCTGGAAGATAGCTCCAGCGATGGCTGCAGGGAACACTGTGATAGCCAAGCCCAGTGAGCTGACTTCAGTGACTGCGTGGATGTTGTGCAAACTCCTGGATAAAGCAGGTAATTAGGTGTTGGGGTTGGGGGGCAGGCACAGAGTTGGAGCAAACCTATAGTTTATAGAAATCTTCCACTCAGCAGCACAATCGATTCCAGTGACATCATGGGCTTTGTCTTTCTGATCCTTGTCTGGGAAATCCCCTCCACCCACAGGGTTCCCTCACCCTGCTTCCTGTCTTCAACACCAGAACGGTGCTACTGCAGGCAAGTTCCACTCCCCAGGGTGGGCGACTGGCAGCACAATAGTGACGCAGACTTAAACAGCCCCATCAAATCAAAGACACCTGCCTGCTCCAGAGAGTCAATTAAAATCTTAAGTTGGGGCCAGGTGTGGTGGTTCACGCCTGTAATCCCAGCACTTTGGGAGGCTGAGGTGGGTGGATCACGAGGTCAGGAGATCGAGACCATCCTGGCTAATACGATGAAACCCCGTCTCTACTAAAAATACAAAAAATTAGCTGGGCGTGGTGGCGGGCGCCTGTAGTCCCAGCTACTTGGGAGACTGAGGCAGGAGAATGGCATGAACCCAGGAGGCGGAGCTTGCAGTGAGCCGAGATTGCACCACTGCACTCCAGCCTGGGCGACAGAGTGAGACTCCGTCTCAAAAAAATAAATTAAAAAATAAAATAATAATAATAATAATAAAATAAAATCTTGAATCACAAGTTAATCCTGATGACAATAAGAATATTGCTAGGTACACCTACAGTTTGCTTGGCTATAGAATACCTAGTAGAAGTAGCCCGATTTCAAGAGATCTAAATATACATCCTTCAGTTTTTCCTGCCTTTGGGACTGCTACTGGAAAGCTAATACAATATGGCCTCTTCCTAGCATATCAAGGTTCACACGTTTGCTCCTTGTTCTTTTTCTGCTAATAGTTTATTGGCCGCATTCAGGATGCGCTCCTGGTTTTGTTCTGGGCTGTAGCTCCGCACAGGCACAGGCTGGCACTGTTTGAAGGCAGCAGGCAGGAGACCCCAGCAGCCCTCCTGTGAGAAGTCCCCTTAATGTGAGGTCTTTTTGCTATGTCACCCCACGGCCAGGGCAGGAGTGCTGGGTGGGGGAGACAGACTCACTGTCTTTCTAGTTGGTCTCCTTGCTGCCTTTCAGCCCATAGAGAGGCACTGCTGGGCTCTCCTGTATCCACAGAATGCCCGGTGGGTAAGAGTCCGTCCCTCTCTCCCGCTTCGGAACACCTTTCTTAGAAGCACAGACATACACATTAACTTCCAGTAAACCCTAGCCAGTTCTTTACTCCACGAGGAAGATGAAGGCTCAAAACTGAGGCTGTTTAGGGAACGGCACTGGGCCTTACGATCCCAGGGTCCTCCAGAGGAATGAGGCCTCCCAGCCTAGGACTCTGATTTGTCATCTATGGAGCTCCCAGGCTTCGAGGTGGAGGGGGTGGGGCGGGGTATATCATTTAAATGTGCCGACCCTTCCCATGTTCCTCCCCTACAAAAGACCTCACAGTCTAATCCCATTCTTTGTAAAATGAGGTCTGTGGTGTCTGCAAAGGCGCGACATACTTCTTCCCTGCCTGGTGACTGCAGGTTCCCCAGAGTGGACTAGGCCTGGGGCTTGCCCTCTACTGGGATTTGGAGGCAGGGGTGGCGTGCAGAGCCGTGTTCCCTTAACCACTCTCTCCTGAGACCAAGAACGTCTGGATAGATGATGAGTTATCTTTCCCAGCCAGTCTGCCCTGAACCTGGCCTGCATGACAGTTTCTGTTTCCATCTCTGCACAGCATTGATTTTATTTCTTGGGAACTAGTAAGCCCATTAAACTAAGACAGCCCTTCTCCTCTTTCCTCCATGGGCTGAAACTTCCTCCCCTGACAAATATAGAGGGGGTCATGTTCACCTTGCTCCTCTCTTGAGCCCTCAGTTTCTCCACTGGGATTGGAAGGAATGCGAACCACATCTGTGTCATCTGCTTTAGAGCAACGTAAGAGAAGCTTTTAGTAGGGGAGGGAAAAGCGAAAATAACTAATTCGTTCTGGATGTTTAAAGAGTTAGCTCCTCTAGTCCTGGGCATTTAAACAGACTTGACAGATAAACTTCCTTTAAAATAAACTCATTTTTAAGATGACACAGTGAATACTTCTGTGGGATTCCTGGAATAGTCATTTCTTCTTGGAAATTTGCCCTCATTCCTGGAGTGCCCACTGACTGCGTTTTCCTGGCCCTTCCCATTAGGTGTGTGTGTGGAGCAGGAGATGTGTGTGTGTAGGTGGGTGTGTGTGTGTGCTCTATTTAAGCCTAAAATTTTTCTTGTTGCCACCCTGCCAAGCCCCTACATTTGAGGGGTTTCCTTCTAGTCTGTTCTCGTCTGTTCCTAACTTGTCTGTTAGCCACCTCCCCTGAGTTTTGCTAAATTGCTATTTGTCAGTTAAACTGCTTTCCTTCTCTTATCACCAGAATCTCTTCAAGGTTAGAGGGCAGACATCTCAAGAAAAATTCCATTAATTTCTGGATAAAATGTCAAAATGGTACTGAGAAATAATGGCCAGCTGACATTAGCATCCAAGCCCAAGGGAATGTAGTCAAAATGATAATACTGTCGTGGGGAAAGCAATCCGCTGCCGCAGTGAGCGCATTTTACTGTGGGGATAAATATGCAGTGCTTCCGCATTCTCTCTCACCCTCAGTTAAAATGCTACTCTGAACATTAGCAGTGATTCCATTCATTTTTTGCCTTCAGGATTGATAAAGCCTAACAGTCCACCCCCTCCTGCCCCACACCCCATCCACCCACATGCATGCCCCATCACTGGTGGAGATGTGGGGCCCTACCCAGGAAACTGTGGGAGACTTGTCCTTGTTTCGTCGCATCACCTACTGAGGGGGATCCTCTCCTTCCACACTTTCCTTTGCCCCAACCCAAAGCTGGGGTGCTCTCACATGGTGCCAGCCACTCCTCTGACAGTGACCTACAATCCAGGACTGACCTAAGCTAGATTTCAACAAATGTGCATGTTGGGTAAAGAGATGCAATGCTTAGAAGTGGTGCTTTGGCCAGGCATGGTGGCTTATGCCTGTAATCCCAGCACTTTGGGAGGCCAAGGTGGGTGGATCACCTGAGGTCAGGAGTTCAAGACCAACCTGGCTAACGTGGTGAAATCCCATCTCTACCAAAATACAAAAACTAGCTGGGGATGATGGCAAGTGCCGGTAATCCCAGCTACTTAGGAGGCTGAGGTGGGAAAATCGCTTGAACCTAGGAGGCGGAGGTTGCAGAGAGCAGAGATTGCGCCTTTGCACTCCAGCCTGGGTGACAGAGCGAGACTCCATCTCAAAAAAAAAAAAAAAAGAAGTGGGGCTCTGCTAGGCACCATCACAACTTGTGGAATCTTCCCACCTGTCTCCTGAGGACTCACTGGGATGGGACCTTCACTGTAGCTTCAAGGTGATTGGGCCAAGGCTGTGGCTGTATGGGAGAATGTTCTGGATGATAATGGATCATCAGTGTGAAATTAGTATTTATATTATTTATAATTTAAAAGTAGATTCTGGAAGAAATGGGTTGTATCCAAAGGAGTATGTTTCTAATGAGGAGAGATTGTCTAACCTGGAGCAAAGGGAAGGAAACCAGAAGCAAGGAAGCAGGTCACAAAGCCGAGATGCTGCAAGATTTCTGCACCTACCGTAGGTCAGGCCTGAGGAAATAGAGGGAATAAACTCTGCTACCTCCAGGCAGACCCTAAGAACTGCCTAGACACAGCGTGATTATACAGATGACTTTCTTTTTGGATATTATAAAGATGATTTTCTTTTTAAAGCTTCCCCATTCATGAACCATTTCTAATTTGAATAACGTACACTAAGCATTCATTCACTCATTCATTTACTTAACAGTCATTAACCTGTCAGCTTTGCTGCTTACTGATTGTTATTCAATCTCACTTTCCCTCAAATTTCTTCCTGGTGAACTAAGTGTAATAAAACTACCTACATCCTAAGGTTGTTGTGAAGACTGAAGTGTGTGAGTCACGGATAGCAGTGATGAGTCCACAGTAAGCACCCTATCTAATGTTTGCATTTACTGGTCTGAGTTCCATGTGCTATCAACTGAAGAATCATAAGGTTCATGCATTTGGAAAGGAGGGTTTTATTTCTTATAAAGGGTTGCAGCCTGCAGGCTAGCCATCTTGCAGGCTGGGAAGCGTAGCCTCTGCCCAAAGCGGAGAACAAGTACTTGGAGGAGGGGCAAAGGGAACAGAAATTTATCCTGAGCAGAGTGGCTGAATATTCACATTCAGTAGGATATGGGAGGAGTCATGAATATTTATGAAAGGGGAAACAGGTGCATGCACAGATGAGCTTAATGCGCTCATAAAACTGTAGGGCCAACTTACAAGTAACACAAACAACCAAAAATGGGTGCCCCAATCTTTTCTATCACAAGACTCTGCTACCCTGTATCTTCATGCATTTATGCATGTGTTTTCTTGTTTTATTATTTCATTTATTTATTTATTTTTGAGATGGAGTCTGGCTGCATTGCCAAGGCTGGAGTGCAGTGGCACCATCTCGGCTCACTGCAACCTCTGCCTCCTGGGTTCAAGAGATTCTCCTGCCTCAGCCTCCTGAGTAGTGTTATATAACAGTGTTATGATGCGTTTATATACATGGTGGACATGAATTCTGGATCACGTGCTCAAAAAATGGCAGCCTTAGCATGTTCCGAGGGTTGAGTTTTTGGCCCTCTGATGTCAAAAGGTGAAGCAGAGGACATGAAAACCCTCACTACGTATCCTCGGGAAGTCAGCCAAAACCAGTCGAGATGGTGATCAGTTTTTAGGAAGGGATGTGTTGTGAGACTGGTGAGCTGTCACATCCAAACTGCAAAGAGGGAGGAAAATTTGGTTGCAGTTTCAGATGGTTAGCTAAAGGCGATAAAGGAATAGATTATCCATTTCTTGTTTTTTAGAGCTGGTTTCTGCTTACACTGAGGAAAGAATTCTGGTTAAAGATTAATAAGGAAGAGTCATACTATGGCGTGTTTGACCTCTCATCCCATAATGGCTGGGAACTCAGTTTTTAAGGTTTCTCTGGGATCGCTTTGGCCAAGAGAGGCTGCATTCAGTCAACTGGGGGAGCTTAGGATTTTATTTTTATTTCTCAATGCCAAACTAGGCTGTGGCACAGAGTAAACAACGGAGAGCAAAGAACAGACACTGTTTCTGCCCTTAGCTAGTGTACCTTCTAGTTGTGTGCAGGCAATGAACAAGTAAGTCCAGAAAACATCATGGATAGGCTGGGCGCGGTGGCTCATGCCTGTAATCCTAGTACTTTGGCAGGCCGAGGTGGGCAGATCACTTGAGGTCAGGAGTTCGAGACCAGCCTGGCCAACATGATGAAATCCCCTCTCTACTAAAAATACAAAATTTAGCCAGGTGTAATGGTGCACGCCTGTAATCCCAGCTACTCGGGAGGCTGAGGCAGGAGAATCTCTTGAACCTGGGAGGCAGAGGTTGCAGTGAGCCGAGATGGTGCCACTGCACTGCAGCCTTGGCAATAGAGCCAGACTCCATCTCAAAAATAAATAAATAAATAAAATAATAAAACAAGAAAACACATGCATAAATGCACGAAGATACAGGGTAGCAGAGTCTTGTGATAGAAAAGATTGGGGCACCCATTTTTGGTTGTTTGTGGTACTTGTAAGTTGGCACTACAGTGTTATGATGCTATTTATAAGCATGGTGGACATGACTTCCAACCTGAAACCCACCCTCCCTGGGGAGTCTTGCCCTGCTTCCCTGGGCCAAGATAGTCAATCTCTTCTTTGCACCTCTGCAGCATGTATACACCTCTCTACTTAATGTTTTCACACAGCATTGTGACTCCTGGACACCAAGATGGAGCAGGGTGCTGCTCCCCTAGTGGGCTTGACCTGCCTGAGACTATCTCTGCATCCTCAACCCCTAAGGCCTAGCCAGTATTATGGAATGAATCACCTAAAATATGTTCCACCCTGCATCTCTCTAGGGCAAAGCATCCAGTGGAATCCCACCTGGTGTTTACTGTGGGCAGAGGTGAATCTGTGGTTTTTGCTTTGCTATTAAACCAGAGGCAGCCATAGAAGTTCCAAGTGTTGTAAAACCCAAGTGCTTCCTCCATCCCTACCCACTCCCATTCAAGCGATTGGACTTTAAAGGAGAATTTCCAAGTAACTTGAACTCTTCAACATACTGAGAATTACTATAACTGATACTGTTTCCTATCCAGGTGTTCCACCAGGTGTGGTCAATATTGTGTTTGGAACCGGGCCCAGGGTGGGTGAGGCCCTGGTGTCCCACCCAGAGGTGCCCCTGATCTCCTTCACCGGGAGCCAGCCCACCGCTGAGCGGATCACCCAGCTGAGCGCTCCCCACTGCAAAAAGCTCTCCCTGGAGCTGGGGGGCAAGAATCCTGCCATCATCTTTGAGGACGCCAACCTGGATGAGTGCATTCCGGCAACCGTCAGGTCCAGCTTTGCCAACCAGGTATGTCCCCGGGGGTTCTTCTCCCTCCCCTCCATGGCCCTGTCAAGCTGGATCTGTTTTATCACAGTGCAATGCCTGGGAGCAAGCCAGTCAATCCAGTGCCATTTCCGAGAAAGCAGGATCAGTACATTGTGTGATTCCCTTAACTCTCTGCTCAATTTTAACATTAATTAGTGGCCTTGCAGAGTCACAGCTTCTGTTCAGCAAACTCCTCTTCTTGAGTTGCACAGCTTTTATCAGGTACCAGCCATGGGTGGAATGATTGATGTTGCTGCTCCAAGCATCTCCATTTCTTTATTCACACAGCTGCCCTGTCTTGTCTTTTATTCTTTTCTTAAACCCTGTCTTTGCTTGTCGTTCAAATGTCCTATTCCCAGTAAACCTTACTCTCATTTCAAAAGTATTCAAAATGCGTTCATCCACTGAGTTCCAAATACCTGAAACTGACTAGAGAAGATTTCTTGGCGTGGATTCATGGATCAGCTTCAGGGCATCGTTGTAGCTCCTGAAATTACATAACAGATGTTTCTCTGTGCTCTGTAGTTTTTGTCAGATTCTTTAAGGCTATGGCATTCCAAAGAGTTAAGAACACTACACCAGATCAACTAAACAGTAGGCTGCAAGAAGATGGAAACGCTGCCTGCTTTTGTGTGGTATTTTCAATGTCAATGCTTAGAATACTGCCCAGGATATAGCAGGTGTACATAAACCCTGGATGATTTTCTTCAAAGGATATTTTTATTTTAACAGAGAGTAAAAACATAGGCCAAAGACTTAGAACTTCATAGAAGGAAACAGCAGTGAAATGAGAGATGTCTATATTGAGCTAACTCAGGTAACATTGAATAGTGCATAAACTTTTGAAACTGCATTGCTTCACTAATAAAATCATGTGAACAATAATGATGTCTTCTAACAGGGTTTTCATGAGTATAGAGTGAAAAATGTTACTTTCAATTATTATCTTCATGATAATCATAAGTGTAATTATTTCTCTCACTGTAACTCTTGAAGTGGCTAGAAATATAATTTCTGGATCAATAGACAATATACTTTTACAATACAACTAATTTAATCATTAAGCAAGTTTCAGGTGAACATTTAAACCAAGTGTTTTCATGGCTTACAGACAACAACAGAGGGACAAATTTTGTGGACTGAGAAACTAAGATGAGAGAAAGGTAAACTCTGTATTAAACAAATTCTGAGGGTCCAGGCATGGTGGCTCACACCTGTAATCCCAGCACTTTGGGAGGCCGAGGTGGGTGGATCACCTGAGGTTAGGAGCGCTCGAGACCAGCCTGGCCAACATGGCAAAACTCCATCTCTACTAAAAATACAAAAATTAGCTGGGCATAGTGGTGGGCGCCTGTAATCTCAGCTACTCGGGAGGCTGAGGCAGGATAATCTCTTAAATCCGGGAGGTGGAGGTTGCAGTGTGCCGAGTTAGCACCAATGCACTCCAGCCTGGGAGATAAGAGCAAGAATCCATCTCAAAAACAAACAAACAAACAAACAAAACAAATTCTGAACATGGAGATAAGAAGTGTAATCTTCTCTCCTACCAGAATTGTGCTACGATTTGAGTTTGCCCAGAGAACCTTCCTTTTGGGGTTGTTTTAAAAAGGAAATAGGGAAAGAGACATACGCCTAACTAATTGGCTAATCCAAGGTCACAAATGGATTTTAGGCAAAATAAATAAAGCAGCTTGATTTAGCTGAGCGATGAATTCCGTGTCGTGCATATTTCTTCCTTAATTGAATGTAATTGGCTTTTTTGAAGCATCTCTGTGTGACCCTGGACATGTACTAATTCAAAACTTTTTCTCCTACCTGTAAACTGGAAAAGCTAACAGGCTACAGAATTATTTATAATGAGGAAAGCACCCTGCGCAGTGTCTGGCTTGACGATAGGCACTCAACGAATGATACTGTCCTTTTCTTAATCTCTCCAAAGTCTTTCTTGTGGGCATCTTGGTATGCTTACCTACGCTTTCTAGGCACAGAGCAACAGGGAACTGGGTAAACCCCTCTAGCCTCTTCGTCATGCTCTCCTTCCCTGATGTCACAGGGCGCTTGCGCAAATGAAACTATCAAGTGTTTAGACATTTCCCAAGCTAGATATGGAGATGATCCTAACAGCGATCCTGGTTGCAAAAAGAATGTGTTATTTCAAAACATTAACAGTTTAATCTGGACAATGTACCTTTGTACAAATACCAAGACAATCAGGAACCTTCTATTTTCTAAGATTGTTGTGAAGTCAGACACAAACATGGTGAAAATATTTATGCATTTCTGTACTTTTCATGCATAAATAATGCTTTGAAAGTCTAGAATGTGGTTACATGCCAACTCTAAGTCTAAACTGTTACATGCTATGTTCAAATGATAGGGTTATTTTTCACTGAGAAATCTGTTATAACCCCTCCCCTGTACACTCAGTATCTCTATTTGATGTCTGTGAGGCATCTGAAACCCAGCGTGTCCAAATCAGAGCTCTCGTTTCCCTCCCTCTCCCTTCCTTGCAATACCAATCCTCTTTCCACCTCGTGTCTGCCCTTCCAGGGAACAACACCACCATCCACTCTGCGGCCTACTCTTGTTCTTGCCCTCTCTTTCCATCGACAGGTCCTGTTGGTTCTGTCTTTAAGGTATATCCTGAATCTCATCACTTCTCCAGTGCATCTGTGCCAACTTCATCACACTTCGGAGGTCCCGTGCCCCTGGAAGAATCTGTTGAACTCAGTGGGTCCTTTTCACTCCTCTGCATCTCCATGGATGCCTCCCTGGTCCCAGCTACCTACACGCATCTGGACTTCTGGAATATTCTCTTAACTCCTCTGCTCTCTTCCCACACTTGTTTCCTTCCATCCTATTTTCCCATGGCTGCCAGAATGGGCATTTTAAAATGTAAATCTGATCATATCGTTCTGATGCTTAAAACCTTCCCTTATTTTTTCATGATACTGAGAATAAAACGTAATCTCTTTATGAACCTATGAGACTGCACGATAGAGCCTTGCTGGCCTCCTGACCTCCTCTCTTACCACACACCTCCTGTCCTTGCCTCCTCTTCCAGCCTCAGCCCCACCCACCTTCTTGCTTTTCCTCATGCACACCAGTTCATTCCTGCTGCAGGTCCTCTGTACTTTGAAGAATTAATTCCCCACCTCCAGATCTTTTCCCGTCTCATGCCTTCACATCAGTCAAGATTCCATGCAAATATCCCCTCTTTGCAAGTGCCCTCCAAGACTCCCTTTCATAAAATAGCTCCCCTCCCCATGCAATCAGTTGCCATTCCCATCCTCTGCTTAATTTTATTTTATGGCTTTGATCACAACCTGAAGTTATATTATTTATCGAGTTTATTTACTTGTGTTCTTATTTGTCTTTCCCACAAGACTATGTGTTCCACATGGTGGGAACTTTGTCTTATTTACCATTGTACCCCATTGCCTAGACCAGTGCCTGATACATGGCAGGTACTCAAAAGTGCAGGGTGCTCTATCCATGAAGGAGAGTGTCCGCAGCCTTATCCCTGTTCTCATTCTTGGCAGGGTGAAATCTGTCTCTGTACCAGCAGGATCTTTGTCCAGAAGAGCATCTATAGTGAATTTTTAAAGAGATTTGTAGAAGCTACCAGAAAGTGGAAAGTCGGCATTCCCTCTGATCCACTGGTGAGCATAGGTGCTCTGATAAGTAAAGCACATTTGGAGAAAGTAAGTAAATTTCTGCCATGTAAGTTACAGAATAAGTTCTTATTTGAAGAGAAGCTCAGTACAGGCATAGCACAATCAGACTCTGAAATATTGTTAGTTACTACCCCATTTTTGAAAAATTATAACCTGGGAGAAATTGTGGACACAGAGTCTAAACATTGTGGATATGAATATGCAAATGCAGTCCCGGTGAAAGTGCATCCACATGAAATTAATGAACTTGAGAAGTCAGCATGGAGATACCACCAGTAGAGAGGGGAAGCCAAATTTCAAAACATAAAGATCAGCAAATAAGGGTGATATGGAAGAATGCCAGTGATTTCCACAGGCAAACATTCTCTTTGGAAAAGGCCTGCCTCTGGTTTATAGCCAGAAGTGCCAACACAAACAGTCCCAATTGTGTCGTCCTTAGTCAGTGGGGGACCAGGGGTAGCCCATCTGGAAGAAACCACTGATAGTCTCTGAATGATTGATGAAACTCAGGTCTTTAGGGTCATTTTTCAAAAAGAGAAGATCTGGCCCTTGATGGCAATTTAGGGTTATTTTAATTTATTACCACATGTGACTCCCAAAATAAGTCATACATTTTGGAGTCAGAAGGACTCTGCTTTCAGCTCAGTGCCACTGAGGGAAACTTGTCCCCATCAGCCAGCCAATGAGAGACAGAGCATTTACGTAAGTTTGTAGAAATCCGTGACACTGCACAGTGCACTCCCACTTTGTCTATATTTAACTTTGACTTTCAGGACACTGCAACACAGTTGCCTGCAGATGGAAAGATGAAGTAGCTTGAAGGCCTGTCCTTATTTCTTCTGTTTTCTCAGTGAAATAGGTGTCAGGGTGAGGAGGGGAAAAGGTGTTGAAGGTTTCAGGAGGGAGGAGAGGGTATGAAATAATCTCGCGGTAGGTCAGGAGAGAGAAAGGACTGGGAAATGACCAAGTTATTAGCAGAGCAGCTCAAAGGGCTCACTTGAGGCTTGTGGTCATTTATTTAAAGTGAGGATGACCAGCATGGCTTGTTTTTCTCCAGCTAAATTTACCTACAAGATTGCAGGTACATAGGCAGTGGTCTCCAGAATGTCCAGGGAGACCAACAGTTGTGGATGGTCCTTCATGGAGTGAAGATTTTCCAGATGCAAGAGACTCCCTTGTTCTCTCTCCTTCTGGCTCTTTTGGACACTAGGGCTCCCTGCCTGCCTGCCCACACCTGCAAATGTCTGGTGAAAAACAATGTTAGTATGCCCCAGACTGCTTCCTGGGAAACAGGAAGGAGTGGAACAAAAGTTAACCTCCTAGAGTACCTTTCAGCAGGCTCAGGCAGTACTTCAGTGTGAGGTTCCCTGTGCAATTCACTCACTCAGAATTTCAAAGTTCTTTCTGTATCAACTCAACAGATACACCATTTTTTTTCTATTTTAGTCGCTGCCATAATAACTATTTTAGTTACCCAGTGAGAGAATATATATTAGTGAAACAAATAAAAGTATTGACTTTTCTGTATCAGTTGAATGATCTCTCTCTGTGTGTGTGTGTGTGCATGCACGCGTGTGTGTGTAAGAGAGAGAAAGGGAGAGAGAAATTGATGCCACACTTTGACTCATATTGGTAGCTATGGCTTTTCTCTGTGATACTCTAAATATTTGTCTTCAATGTGTTGTAATTCCTGTGGACTTTCATACAATATTTTTGATGCCCAGTATGTTCCTGCTTGGCCACAGGAGGCTTCTTCTTCTTCTTCTTCTTCTTTCTTTTTTAACATGTACTAAACTGAAATGGGCCACTGTTGGAGAATTAAATATTTAATATTGTGATGACTTATACAAGACGCTAATGAGTTCTAGTAATTGGCATAGATTGCAGATTCTATGTGTTCATGAAATGCAACACTACATAGGCAACATGCCCTCACCTTTAAAACTACTCCAGGGGCCCTCTCTTTAACCTGCTCTCCTGTCCTTCTGAGCCCACTGGAGGCCCACCTATAGGCATCTCTGTCCTCTGACAACAGGTAGCCTCAGGTGGTCTCAATTGCTCTGCTGCACATGGACAAGAAGACCTCTCTCTACTGAGCCTTGGTTCCTTTCAGTGGAGAACGGTAATCAAGACAAGCATTTGAGCTTAAGGGTGCCCATTAGGAGATTTCCTATTATGTGACAAGTGGTCCAATGGCATCCAAGAAGAGGTCAAGAAGAGGTGGCTTAAAACTTTGTGGTGCTTCACACACACTGCCCTTTTTTTTTTTTTTGAGATAGAGTCTTACTCTGTCGCCCAGGCTGGAGTGCAATGGCGTGGTCTTGGCTCACTGCAACCTCCACCTCCTGGGTTCAAGCAGTTCTCCTGCCTCAGCCTCCCAACTAGCTGGGACTACAGGTGTGTGCCACCACACCCAGTTAATTTTTATATTTTTAGTAGAGACGGGGTTTCACCATGTTGGCCAGGGTGATCTTGATCTCTTGACCTCAGGTGATCCACCCACCTTGGCCTCCCAAAGTGCTGGGATTACAGGTGTGAGCCACCATGCCTGGCCACACTGCCTTTTTTAAGAAGGGTCCTGGCCAGGTGCGGTGGCTTATGCCTGTAATCTCAGCAGTTTGGAAGGCTGAGGTGGGCAGATCATTTGAGGTCAGGAGTTTAAGACCAGCCTGGCCAACATGGTGAAACCCTGTCTCTACTAAAAATACAAAAATTAGCTGAGCACTTGTGGCGCACGCCTGTAATCCCAGCTACTTGGGAGGCAGAGGCAGGAGAATTGCTTGAGCCTGGGAGGTGGAGGTTGCAGTTTCTGCCACTGCCCTCCAGTCTGGGTCACAGAATGAGACGCTGTCTCAAAAAAAAAAAAAAAAAAAAAAAAGAAGGGTCCTGAGTCTATGCTGGTATTTCTAATGTAGCTAAATTACCTTTTAAACCTTGCTCTAATATCATAATTATTTCATCACTGGTGATGATGTGTCATGCTGTGTATGGTCATACCCCATGTTACTCACAGTCCATGCCTAAGTCTTTAGAATAACCTAAGAAACTGGCTACGATCTGTTCCATTACCTCTTTGACCTTCCCTTTCCTCATTCCACTCCTGCATACTGGCCTCCCTGTTCTTCCTGGAAAATACCAGGCACCCTCCTCCTTCTTGGCCCTTGCTCTTGTTGCTCACGCTGCCTGGAATGCTCTTCCTTCAGATGCACGCATGGCTCTCTCCTTCCCCTTCTGAGAGTAGATGTCACCTGAATGAGGGCTTTCCTGCCTACCCTATATACAGTGGTACCTTTTAAAACTTTGACTTCTTTGGAGCTTTATTTTTCTCCACGGTTCTTACTGTCATCTGACATGCAATATATGTATCTTATCCCTTTACTGACTATCTTCCCTGGACTAGAATGTCAGCTTCTTGGTCAGTTTTATTCATTGCTGTATCTTTAGACTCTAGAAAGCTCCTGGAACATAGTAGGTGCATAGTATTTGTTGGGTGAATGACTGAATTAACACCACATGATGTGTTCCAGTTACAATATATCCTCCAAATTTAAGGTATCCATTTTCCTTGAATTCTTTTTGATCCTTAGCTTAAACTACCTGGAATGGGTCCAAAATGCACAGGTCCTGGCCGTCGCTGGCCAGCATCAAGACTCCGAAAGGAAAAACAAAATAAACACAAAAACTAAAACCCAGCCTTTCTCCAAGAAAACGCTTGAAACCATCCGAGCCTGGAGCCTCTAGTATCACCGATCATTAAATCATGACAACGATAAAGGGGCCATATAGACACATACATGCCTTTGAGGTTTGGCTTGAAATTCCTCTTTAACTCTTCATCATTGGTACAAGTATTGGTGATTCCAGCTTACGTCACAAGTAGTTTTGGTATCTAGTTTTCTGAAAACACTTGGTTAAATATGGATCGTTAATACCTCAATAGTATACAAATCTAACTTTTTAAATGCCAATTTAGGAATCTAAAAAATTACATCTAGATTATTATCAAAAATAATTTCAGATTTCTACAGCATTACTACAAATATACAAGTGAAAAAATTTCTGCAGGTTCATATTTCTCCACTGTTCTTGTGTTTCTCAAGAATCAACTTATTAAAAAGGTACCAAGATATTTCTATTATACTACATTTTAGTTAAAGACATCATTCACATTTGGAATGCCTTCCAAATTCTCAAACTTTAGTTTTGTGTTTTGGTGATTCCTAGTAGTTTTCATCACCCATAAAATAAACACAGAATTTAGTGAGTTTAGGTGTCAGAATATTTCAGCATAAAATATCCATATTTTTCCCTAGAGTAAAATATTTACCCTGAACATTGTTGTCTGTGAGTGACTCCACAGAGAAGACCTAGATTACCTTTTCTTTAGTAGGTTTGTGGTTAGAATCTTTCAATCTAAAATAACAACATAGAGAAGGACTCTCTAAAGAAAATAAAAGTGACTTTATTTGGGAATGAATGCCAGAAGATTATGAACTGGGATATGCGTGTTGTGATGGATTCTGGGCATAGCCAGAGAGGTAAAGGAAGACGAGGGTTTTTAAAGGTAAAATGAGGAAGGTGACAGAATGTTGTTTTGAAACAATTATTATTGGCTACAAGGATCAATAATAAGGGTGATTTATTATTAAATGGAGGCACCAGTCCAAGGTTGAGTGGACAGTTACTGTATAAACATCCTTGTAGAAATAGTTTTTGGGCAAGGTTGTGGTGGCCTTTGTGCAAGGTTGTGGTTTGTAGAGTCCCTTGTGATAGTTTTTGTTATCAGGCAAGTATGTATGAGGACTCTGTCCATGGCAGATGGTAGCAGAGGACTCAGTTTGCAAGTGCATGTCCCGGTAGCACCGGCATACAGGTGGGAGGGACACCCTTCTCTGAGTTTCTGAAGATGTGTCCCTCTCTGGCCGGCCCTCCTTCTGCCTCAGCCCAGCTCCCTATTTGGATTTTGTCAAGCAAGTTCTTATCTGAATCTGGACTAAGACATGCAGGGAGAGCTTGGTTTCCCTCGGGCTCCCCTTGTCCTGGCCAGGTCCAAGCTGTGCATGCAGGGAATCAGGGGACCTCGACTACTTTGCCAGGCTTGACCACAGTGACTCCCAGGAAGAAGATTCTCGTGTCAGGGCTCCTAATATTTTTACAACTAATTTTCGTCCCTTTCCCTTGCACCTTCCTAATAATAAATTTGCCTTAACATAGTGCTTATGTCACCCCATCTCATACACCATGTTTTTACCAACTCCATCTTCCCCTAAAGGAAGGAGAAATGAGAAGGCCACTAGTCCTCATTCCTCATTATTTCTACCATCACAGCTGCAGAAGCTGTGGACAAAAACCAAGATTTCTAATAGATCTAAACCACTTATTATATTCAATATTTTTAAAACTTGAAATATTGGCAAAGCCCTAGACATGGTGCCAGCTTCTCCTGGACGTATCTAAATCCAGAAATGCCATCTTCTACTAAACCAAATTATGCCTGAAAACCAAGCATCTGTTTCACATGTTAGTTGTATTATCTTAATATCATTTCAATTTAGTATACTTAGGTGCCATGGATCACTTTGGAAATGATGAATCTTAGCAGTTATCAAATTTTTCTGACCACATTAAAATATAAGGCCATAAACTCAAATTTATCTTTTAAAAAAAACTTTTGAAAACCCCTAGATATTTTTACCATTGAATGCTTTCTCTCTCAGTCAATTTTTCTTTCTTTTTTTTTTAATAAACCTTCGCTGGGCACGGTGGCTCATGCCTGTAATCCTAGCACTGTGGGAGGCCGAGGCAGGAAGATCACTTGAGCCCAGGTGTTCCAGAGCAGCCTGGGCAACATGGCAAAACCCTGTCTCTAAAAATTATACAAAAAAATTTAGCCAGGCGTGGTAGTGCGTGCCTGTAGTCCCAGCTACTCAGGAGGCTGAGGCAGGAGGATCACCTGAACCCCAGGAGGTCAAGGTTGCAGTGAGCTGAGATCACGCCACTGAATTCCAGCCTGGGCGACAGTGAGATGCTGTCTCAAAAAATAAAATAATCCTTCTACTTTGTAATAATTTAAGATTTATAGAATGTTTCAAAGATAAGGCAGAGAGTTTTTATAACCACTCACCCAGTTTTTCCTGTTGTTGGCATCTTACAGTCCTAAGGTACATCTGTTCATGCTAACAAACCAGCACGTTACTATCAACTCAACTGAAGACTTTTCAATCAACTACTTTTGATTTTCTGCTTGATCCTTATAGAAAATAATTTTTCAGCAACTATTCTTATTAAAACTAAGTATAGCTAAATAGTTTGCACTCATCTCAGAAAGCTCCAAAATTCCACTGCTTCAAAGGGGAAAGATTTTGGACATGGTTAAAAAGTTATTCACTGTTAGATCAGGTGCAGTGGCTCATGCCTGTAATCCCAGCACTTTGGGTGGCTGAGGCGGGTGGATCACTTTAGGTCAGGAGTTTGAGACCAGCCTGGCCAACGTGGTGAAACCCCATCTCTACTAAAAATACAAAAATTAGCCAGGCGTGGTGGCTCGCACCTGTAGCCCCAGCTACTCGGGAGGCTGAGGCAGGAGAATCGCTTGCACCCGGGAGGCAGAGGTTGCAGTGAGCCGAGATCACACCATTGCACTCCAGCCTGGGTGACAGAGTGAGACTCTGTCTCAAAAAAAGAAAAAAAAAGTTATTCAAGGTTATTCACTGTTGAAAACTTGAAAATGGTACTTATCAGCAGCCAAGTTTTTCAAGGCAAAAACAATAAGGATGGTATTTCCATAACCACAGCACATCTAAAACGCTGCTATCTATGTGGCTTGCCTTGTTTTGTTGTCCTCTCTGTCTGATCCCTCCCACATAGAGTAGAACTCCTCTCAGCTCTGCCCACAATGCCTCCTCTGTATAAAGCCTCAGGAGGATCTACCTTCTGCTGGGAAACAGGCTGCTGACCCCATGTTCCTGTGGCTTAGAGGATCACTGAGCATCTGCCATCCTCACTGCTCCACTCTGAGCGTGTGCACAGATGAAATGAGATATGGCTTTACACCGAGTGAGCCTCCCGCCAGCTGGACTCCTCATGAGGCTTTCAGCTCAGTTCTAGCGAGAAAGCCCTGCTGTCTCTGCCCTTTGGGAGAGAGCTAATAGAAACGCCTAGAGAAATGTTAAGTATGGCCTCTTCAGATTGTGACTCTTCAGTTCCGTGTGCCAAACCATCTGGGCTGGAGGAGGCAGTGGATGCCCTCTGCTGACAGTCATCTTTCCTAATGTTACCCCAGAAAGCTTTGGGGCTGAGTGCCCAGGAAGACTGGGCTGCCATCTGCATTCCAGCACTCTCTGCCCCTGCAGTGTGTTTTTGTCTTCTCCAAATCAAATTGGCCATGTGGAGTCTGGAGTTTTCGTGTCCGCCCTACCTCTGCATGATTGCCACAATAGGTGGCGATGCCTTTGGTGAAATAATCCAATTAGAATATGTAAAAGTTGTTTTGTAATGGCCAAGGGCTCAAGGACTTATGGAGATACAGCATGCTCCTAAACGGAGGTATGATTTCCCAGGGTCTCAGTGACTCCATGGGGATGCTCAGTAACCTGCAGGGGATTCTATCCTTGTGGCTTGAAGATAAGTCTCCATTTGCCTTTTCGCAGGGTTGCTTTTTGTTTTTCTTTCTACCTGCTGAGTCCTTCCCTACTTGACACTCTGGAGGATCTGGCTGTGTAGCTGCCTACCCAAAGATGCAGGCAACTATATGGAGAGAATTCTGGAGGGTTTACAATGAGGCCGGAGGAAGCACAGAAGAAGCTGATGGGTGCATCCCCTGCTAGGGCCAGGCTTCAGACCTAACCAAGGCCCACTGTTGCAGTTTCCTGTCCCCTTTTGTCAGATAAAAAACCTGACCTACAGAATGAGGGGCATCTCTGAGGTCTCTCAGCTAATAAGTGTCGGGTCAGTCATTTCATCATCATCACCAACATCATCAATAACAACAGAGGCTGACAGTCAAAAAGGCTTATTATGTACTAGGCGTCATGCTAAATCTTTTGTATTTATTATTTTATTTAATCCTCTCAAGAGCCCTATGAATTAGTGACTGTGTTAATTCTATGTTTCAGATAAGGAAACTGAGGCACAGGACATCTAAAAGCCCTCAGCTAGTAAATGGGTGAACTGGGATTTGAATACAGCTTGGCTCTCGGGTTACTCTTCTAACCCCTGTACTCTGACTTTATGTCTAAAGCTGCTGAGTACTAACTATTCTCTCTCCTGAAGAAAACATTTTATAATAATTTCTTGTATTTATAGCATATTACTAGTCATGGTTTTTTTTCTCCCCCCCAGAATTTATTGAAAATCTCTGTTCCCAAGCTGCTGGGGTAGATATTATCTAGTCATACTTTCTCTAGGAAATGAATTCAATTAGTGTGAGTCACCTTATATATTAAATGTTTTGATAAGTTCACAGTTTGAAGACTGACACTTCCCTTTACCTTTTATGATTCCAAGAGCTTCTGAGAGATAAATCATGTGATCACATTCGACATAATGGTCTAAAGCCAGGTACTCCTCGTGGGGTGCTGAATCATTGATGAAGTTCAGCCACTGCATCCCAGCAGGGCCTCTGGACAGCTGCACCTCCATTCCCCTATTCACACAGGACACTCACCTTTGGAACCTTTTAATTAGTGTGGATGAGTTATTTTCAAAAAAAGAAAGAGGGTACGGATCAAGAGAGGTACAAACTTATTTTAGTTTCTACCCACAAACTAGAATAGCGTTATGTTCTGGGAAAGCTTTGAGATCACTATGGATGTTGGGAGTGGAAGTTAATGGAAGGGAATATAAATCTGTACCAAATGCTCTATTTTTTAAAAAAGTCTTGAGCTGGGTGTGGTGGCTCATTCCTGTAATCCCAGCACTTTGGGCGGATCCCTTGAGACCAGGAGTTGAAGACCAGCCTGGGCAACATAGCAAGACCCCATCTCTATAGGAAATTAAACAAAATGTATTAGACGTGATGACTTGTGTTTATAGGCTCAGCTACTCGAGAGGCTGAGGTGGGAGGATCTCTTCAGTCCAGGAGTCTTCAAGGCTGCAGCAAGCCATGGTGGTGCCACTGCATTGCAGCCCAGGTGACAGAGTGAGACATTGTCTGTAAAAAAAGTCTTTAACTTCATGGCTTATTAATTCTACAAACTTGGAGCAAATTTAATAATAGAATAATATTACCTCTATTTTACATGGAGAATATACATATAGTTCTACACTGAATATAGTTCTACAATGGAGTTCTAATGTAATCCTGGGGCAGAATGCTCGATAGATAAGTAAAAATCCAAAATATTATTGCAAAATTTACCCTGTCTTTGGTTTACTTCTTTACTGCTGTTCTACATTTTTAATTTTTAGGACTACTTTTATACTTCTCTTTTGCTTATAATACCTCTTGGGGTAGAAAAACATATAATTGTGACTTCAACAATGTTTATATATATATAATTATTATGAGCTATTTCTACAACCATTGTTAATATACATCTGTCATTATCTCTGAGTCACTGAGTTAACTAGCTACATAATTTATTTCCCATTATAGTTAGCTAAAATATATTACCTAGATATATTTTCAGAGTATATTCAGTAATGAGACTAGAAATTAGAAATGATTTGTTCTGGAAGCTCATCTATTAAAGGGCATTCTGGCCTTTAACTAAATCTTACACATCTTTCTCTTCCCATTTTCTGCAATGGACATAGCTCCCAAAAAGGGAGAAAATATTCTTTCATGTATTTAACTACAGAATATACCTGAGTGTGAATTCTAACTTTACTGTTTATTAGCTCTATGAACCATTCATATTTTTTACACTCAATTATACTATCAGCAAATAGAAGATAATAATAGATTAACAATAGCTAATAATGTTTTGAGACAATCAAGTGAGAGTGTATGAAAAGCACTTATCTGAGTTCCTGGCACTTAGACATTAAATAATTACTTCCCTCCCTTATGTATGAAAGGTGACTGCCCAAATGATGCTTGGAGCGCCTCTGCCCTCTGGCTTAGCAGCTGAGTGATAAGATAATCGACCATAGATTTCTTAGGAATGACCTTATCCCTCCTTCCGAGATGATTAGAAAACATTGAATTTTCTGCTGATTTGTGTGAAGCCACATGGTAAGACATTGCTAATTATGATTTTTACCCACGCAGGTCAGAAGTTACGTCAAGAGAGCTCTTGCTGAAGGTGCCCAAATTTGGTGCGGTGAGGGAGTGGATAAGTTGAGCCTCCCTGCCAGGAACCAGGCAGGCTACTTTATGCTTCCCACGGTGATAACAGACATTAAGGATGAATCCTGCTGCATGACGGAAGAGATATTTGGTCCAGTGACGTGTGTCGTCCCCTTTGATAGTGAAGAGGAGGTGATTGAAAGAGCCAACAACGTTAAGTATGGGCTGGCGGCTACCGTGTGGTCCAGCAATGTGGGGCGCGTCCACCGGGTGGCTAAGAAGCTGCAGTCTGGCTTGGTCTGGACCAACTGCTGGCTCATCAGGGAGCTGAACCTTCCTTTCGGGGGGATGAAGAGTTCTGGAATAGGTAGAGAGGGAGCCAAGGACTCTTACGACTTCTTCACTGAGATCAAAACCATCACCGTTAAACACTGATCTTTGCTAATGGTGGAGCCACTATGGCCAATGCCTGGCTGCAGGCATCAGTTGTTCAATGTGGTAGATGAAAATCATGGCATGAATTCCAGCTATGCCTTGACTTGGCAGAAGGTTATCTCTAGCTTATCCTCAGTTCTTAGTAACTTTACCCACTAGTGAAGAGATACTGTCTATTTTCAATGTGGACTCGGAAAAAAAGACTTATAAGTAGGAAGATAGAACAATGATGCCAGTTGTCAGGCTCCTCCCAGGTTATGTTTTCATAGTGTTTCTTTCATCATCTTCATTGAACTCTTGGGAATCTCCAGATAATCAGATTATTTCATTTGGTAAATTTTAAAAAATATGCAATCAGGCACAGTGCCTCATGCCTATAATCCCAGCACTTTGGGAGGCCAAGGTGGGTGGATCACTTGAGTTCAGGAGTTCGAGATCAGCCTAGGCAACATGGTGAAATCCTGTCTTTACCAAAAGTTTAAAAATTAGCTTGGTGTGGTGCCCTCTGCCTATAGCCCCAGCTACTTGGGAGGCTGAGGTGGGAGGATCGCTTGAGCCCAGGCGGTTGAGGCTGCAGTGAGCCATGATCATTCCACTGCATTTCAGCCTGGGGGATACAGTGAGACCTTGTCTTTAAAAAAAAAATGCTGCAAAACCAAAAATAAATAGCCATAATTTGCCATCTTTGGAGAGATTATGGAGATAATCTCCTTGTCTATTAGCCACTAGCATGGCTAATTGATCATTGATTGGACCTCATTACATAAGGGGGCTGTGGACGTCTTTGGAATTTGTTAGGGGAAGGCTATGTGGTAAGCTCTACTAAATGTATCTGTACAAGGATGAAGAAAAACAAAATAACTACTACTTTTGGAGGAAACTTGGAACAAGAAGAGTACATAGTTTGATCCATTCCTACGGTCGAGTCTAATCAATTCCATTTCTTAGTGTATGCATCTAATGAGGCTTACAACTTGCTAACCCCAAAAGAAGCAATAAATGTTAAGCAATTTTAGTAACCAGTATGGCATGTATCTTATTTTTGAATGCATTCCTCCTTATCCCCATCCTCTTAGGAATATGGACGTTTTACTAAGTAATAAAGATTTCAAATGCTTTTTTTTTTTTTTTGGATCCCCAAATGATCACAGGAGAAAACTGAGGTTTACAGAGCTCGAGCAACATACCCGAGGTCACACACATGATATGGGTAGAGGCAGGGTTTGAACCCAGGACTTTCAGGCTCCAAAACCCATGATCTCTCACCCCCTTCCACTTGCCTTAGCTGGTGCTCAGGAAGCAGTGAAGTACCTGTGGTTCCTGGCACACATGGTGTTTCGTCTCCCCTCCAAGTCTCCTTCTTGTTTTGCCTCCTCCATCCTCTCTCCTACCCACCTCCACTTCAAGGCCCTTCCTCAGTGGCCGAGCAACTCAGGAACACCTCCAGCACGGGCCTTCCTACACTGATGGGAGTGATCTGTTTGCATGTCTGTCTCCATAACTGGACAGGAGTGTCCAAAGCCGAGGCTGCTGGTACTGCACTCTGAAGAGTCTCAATTCATAGCATAGTGCCTGGCATACAGAAGGTGCTCAAAGCAAGTTCTGGGAAGGGAACAAAGTCTTCCTGGTGCTCTGGGGTATTTGTTCCATGGTTTGTGTGTGTGTGGTTGAGGGTGATGAGAGGGGAAGACCAAGCTTTACAATTTTGCTTAGGATTTCAGATATATTGGCTTGCTTGCAACTGCTGAGAAATAAAAGCCAGCCCCTTTCAGATCAAGTGATGTTGTTGGATTATACCTGGCTCTAGATTCTACCTTCCTTTCTCCTTTCCTCGCCTCTTCTGTTCCTCAGCTGAGTCCCCTTGACCTTAATCACTTTAGTGAAGAACCAATTTGAACATCAGCAGGAGGAATTTCAGCAACTCCAGTCTCTAGGAATTTGCATCTTCACTCTCGTAAATGGGCTGGCTGAAGCCATCCTTATTCCTGAGACCCAAGCCATATCTTGATTCCAAATTCTAGCAACTGACTCCTTGCTCCCGGTGCCTGGACAGCCACCTTCCACCAGCTTGTCTTTGCCCAGGAGACTGTTCTCTCCAGGGCTCAGAGTCAGCCCTGCTCTTGTTTGTTCCTGTCTCGGCCCTGGGTCCTGCCTGCGGAGGGGCCTGCTTCCAGCTGACAGACATCCTGGATGCCATTTCCCTACTTCTGGGTCTTTTGGATCTCTAAAACTCCTCCTGGGCTCATAAGGCAGCCTCATTAATGCCCATTTGAACAAATGCTTTTCCTCCAGCCAACACTATTCCATCTCTCAGTTGTTATAACATTGTCTGAATCTTAGCAGTGGAGCTAGAACTTTCCTAGTTTTGTTCCACCCGCTTCAAGTGAGTGAGTATGGATCCGAGACTGAACTCCTCCCAGGCCATCCATGCAGTCTCAGGTCCCCACAGCAGCTGAGGCACCACTCCATTCTGTGCCTACACTGCAGCAGAGTCCCATAGGACTGGTGTATCCTGGCTTGGGGCTTCCACACCCCTGCCATACTGTGCTCAGAACTAACAATAGAGAGAATTGGGGTGAGGGTGTCCACAAGGGCTTTATTTTTTAAGCCAGTTGATGGGCACATAAGTGTTCACTATATTATTTCATAAGGCAGAATTATTTATATACCAAAAAAGGAAAGTGGATCATATTGAAGGGACAGCCAGGAACAGGCTGAGAGGAGAAGCTGAGAAAAGATGGGAGAGACACCTCCTGGCAGAGCCCAGAGGTCCCAAGCTTGAGGCTCAAGGATGGACAGCAGCTGAAGAGTAGTGCTTCTTAGACTCGGAAGTGCTCCTGAAACACCAGGGACTCTGTTAAAATACAGATTTGGATTCAGTAGTTCTGCGGTGGGACCTGAGATTGCACTTGGAGTGTCGAAGAATTAGAAGACACTGATTAGAAGACAGGTGCCTCCTCTCCTCTTCCTAGGTTTCAGGAGAAGCTGGCTACATTTGCTCCCTGCTGGAGACACTAGAGTAGAAGAACTTCCCAGGAATGCCTCTAATGGAGCTCCAGGCACAAAGCCTGAGATAGCTCAGGACCTTCCGTGCAATGCTGGGGAGGAGGAAGGGAAAGGCAGCCCCATCTTGGAGTGAGATGCACTGCCAAATTTCACCACCCAAGGCAAAGTCCTCCTCCCTGGTAGTTAATGAGGGTGCAAGATGAACTCTCCACACGTCTTAAAAAGAAGCTTCTTTTCTTCAGAAAATGGGGATTTAGTCCCCCATTCAGCAATGGGTCTTATGGGTAAACTGTTTTTCCAAATTGCAAAAAATAACTTTGTCAATTACCCATGCCAATCAACATATCATTTTTTTTTGTCCTTTTTTTTTTTTTTTGAGTCAGACTCTTGCTCTGTCACTCAGGCTGGAGTGCAGTGGCACAATCTTGGCTCACTGCAATCTCCACCTCTTGGCTTAAAGCCATTCTTGAGCCTCAGCCTCCTGGGTATCTGGGATTACGGGCAACCGCCATCACGTCTGGCTAATTATTGTATTTTTAGTAGAGACGGGGTTTCCCCATGTTGGCCAGGCTGATCTCAGACTCCTGACCTCAAATGAGCCATCTGCCTCGGTTTCCCAAAGTGTTGGGATTACAGGCATGAGCCACCGCGCCCAGTCAACAATACCGTTTTTATTAAAAAAATTACTGGCCAGGCGCAGTGGCTCATGCCTTTAATCCCAGCACTTTGGGAGGCTGAGGTGGGTGGATCACCTGAGGTCAGGAGTTTGAGACCAGCCTGGCCAACACAGTGAAACCCCATCTCTACTAAAAATACAAAAAATTAGCTGGGTGTGGTGGCATACGCCCAGCTAATTGGGAGGCCAAGGCAGGAGAATTGCGAGACTCTGTCCCCCGCAAAAAAAAAAAAAAATTACCAAGCAACCAAGGATTATTAAATTTTCGGTAAAAGAAAAATATCAAGATGTGTGAAAGAGCAACTTACTGTGGTAGAAACAGATAAAAGAAGGAGCGGAGACACTAAAAAGTTGAATGAGTCCCCTCAGAAAGATGTGAGGGGATAGCGCATTTATAAATAAGAACAGGCTTCTATGAAAAAGGAGCAAGCAAACAACATAAAAGAGGTCTTGAGAAATTAAACACTGATTCTCCAATTAAATTTTTAAAATTTATAGAATTGAGTCATTGATATGGCTGAAAACAAATTAGTAGTCTGGAAGATAAAGTTGAGAAAATAGCTCAGGATGTAGAGAATGACAGAAAAGGAAAAATATAAGAGAGTTGGTGAGATGCAGGATAGATCCAGAGAGCTATTAATATGTAACTAATTCAAAATGTAAAAACAAAGACAAAAATATGGAATCAGCCTAAATGTCCATTAACCAACAAGCGGATAAAGAAAATGTATGTATGTGTGTATATATGTATGTGTGTGTATGTATATATATTATATATGTGTATATATACATATACCATGGAATACTACTCAGCCATAAAAAGGAATGAAATAACAGCATTTGCAGCAACCTGGATGGAGTTGGAGACCATTATTCTAAGTGAAGTAACTCAGGAATGGAAAACCAAACATCATTATGTTCTCACTTACAAGTGGGAGCTAAGCTATGCTATGAGGACACAAAGGCAGAAGAATGATATAACGGACTCTGAGTTCCCTGGCGGGCAGGGTGGGCGGGGCATAGGGATGAAAGACGTTGGGTACAGTGTCCACTGCTCGGGTGATGGGCGCCCCAAAATCTCACAAATCACCACTAAAGAACGTATCCATGTAACCAAACACCACCTGTTCCCCCAAATGTATTGAAAAAAAAAAAAAAAGACAAAAAGGGGGAAAAAATCAAATAAATAGAAAAAGAAAATTTCTCTGAACCAAAGACACTCTTTTTAGATGGAAAATACCATGTTTCAAGAAATACTCTGTTGAAAATTTGAAATTCCTAGTGTAGGCTGGGTGCAGTGGCTCACACCTGTAATCCCAGCACTTTGGGAGGCCAAGGCAGGAGGATATCTTGCGGCAAGAAGTTCGAGACCAGCCTGGCCAATGTAGTGAGACCCTGTCTCAAAATATCAAAAATAAAAATAAAAATTCCTAGTGTAAAGCTTACAGAGTGAATCAACAGGATACCTACCACAAAAAAGCATATAAGATTATCATCACTATTTTCATTAGTAACATTGATGCTAAAAGACAGAGGAGCAAAACTTCAAAGTTCTCAAGGAAAATTATTTTGAACCTAAATTTATAGGCAGCCAAACTCTTATTCACGAATGAAGGCACAATAAGATATTTAATGACTCGAAAAGTTTCTCCCTATCTCGAAGGTTTCATCCTTTCTGGTATGACTTGGGGATGTAATGCAGCAAAAAGAAACAAGAATTCAAATAAATAGAAGAACTGCCTGAAAAATGAAATGAAAATTAATTTTAAGTTGTTAGATATTTAAAAAGAGGCCTAGAAAGCTGTTGGCTCAAGTTAGGACAGGGAAGACAGGACGTGGTGATTGAAGAACATCTTTAAAAAGAACATGGATTTAAAAATAAGGTTTAATAATCTGGAAGATCTTAGATATGTAAAAAAGCTAAAGGGGAACAGAATATCCCATCCCAATATATGCTACTTTGATACATTGATTGTTTTGAGCTGAGGGTAATTGAGAAAAAGCAGACACAGGAAAAGCTATTTTCCCCCTGTTTGCCTAAAAGGAGGGCATAACATTCCCTTATGATAGTTTTCTCTCTTGTACCAGGAGAGAAAGAGTAACCTTTATTTCTGGAGATGGAGATGGTGCCGAGATGTCTGCATAAACAAATCTCACTAAATAACTTTTACCTTCATTGGATTTTCCCCCAGATTTTTACCTTTCTACAATTTACTGGCCCTAAAAACCCAAACTCCCTCTTCTTTGTTAGTCATTTCTCAACAATCTTTCACCTTTGGTTAAAATGGCACTTATGGCCCCAAGACTAGCCACTTATTTGGGTTTTTACTTCTTTTCTATGGAGCTCCCATGCACATAAAATTTAAAATAAAATTCGTATGCCTTTTTCGCCTGTCAATTTGACTTTTGCCAGTTTAATTCACAAGGCCCAACTGAAGAGGGTAGAGGAAAATTTTCCTCTTCTACATAAATAAGATAAAAAACGTGTTCATCTACTTTGTGTTTGTCAAGCATGGATCAAATTCAAAACTTTACATTTGCCATGATTCTAGAACTAGCACAGAAATAATTTTTTTTTAAAAAGGAGAAAAAGATGGCTTCAGAGTTTTTAGGAGCAAAAATTAGAGGTTGTGGATGACATGATTAAGTACTGGCCCCAGGGTGTTCTCTCCTCATTAAATGGTCTGATCATCCTACTAGAAGGCTTCATTTTATAAGAGAAGAATTCATTGCTTTAATAAGTTTAATCCAAAACACTTGAGTCAGTAAATTCCTGATTTAAAATTCCTACAAAATATTACTCCATACTCCCAAGTTGACTTTTTTCTTGTTAGATTGATTTATTAGTACCTACTCTCCCTCCTAAGTTTTCAACTACAAAGTATTGTTTTCTCTTTTGAAGCCCAAGCACATACTTTGGAGAACATTATAGAAATGCTGTGATTCACCCTATGAGTTATAACCACAGTCTCTCAATCACATGATGGAGAGTAGAGCCCTGGAGAGGCTATTCAAGGGGTTACGTGTAATGAACTCTCTAAATACAATTCACTTGAACAGTGGGCTGGGCCAGGCCACACCTGTCTGGGTGGTGGTCAGAGGGCTGTGGCTCCATTCCCCACTGGTTGGGCCACAATCCTTGCCAAGCAATAGGCACCTATTAGCAGATTTTACACTGTCTGATGAGCCAGGGTACATGGCTTCCATATTCTCACTTATGGGATGTGTGGTTGCTACTCAGAAATCAATAAAATCTAAAATAATTATAATTTGGTTTCTGCCTTATTGTAAACAAATGTGTCATTTCTCCAGACATGGGACAATTACTGTAGTGATTTTGATTTTTATTACATTCAGTGCAGCAGATTTTTGTGGAGTCTCTATGCTGTCATTGCAAGATCATGGCATTGATCTTGAATCTATAGGGATAAAATAAGTCCTGGCATACATCTAATATGAAAAATAATCTCTACCTTCAAGGAGTTTGCACTCTATGGAGAATGGAAGAGTGTTGGAATGCATTTTCAGAGCACTGCATGTGAAGCAGAGAGATAATGCTTATGTATATTTAGAACTACATAAATAATAAAGAAAAGAAAAAGAAAAAATGGAACTGGGATGCCTTAAAATTCTTCAGAACATGGAAATGAAATGTTGCTTTCTGGCTGGCTAACCTCTAAGGCAATCAAAATAGAATATAATTAGCTATCTATTGCTGCCAGGGCTTAAACCATTTTTCCAAATTGTGTTTGCCAAGACAAAAGGAGGTATTTTCTGTAGTACAGGAGAGGTGAATGAGAGGATGAGTGGGTTGAACAGTCCTGAGTAATTATTGCATTTATTTAGGTTTCTGCAGCTATCTATCAGGCCCTTGGCTTATGATAGCAAATGATAATGAACAGTCAAAAGGCAGAAATAGCAACATTCACCCTATCATGACACAGGGACATTATATTCTTTTTATACACAATACAGTGCAAAGGTTCAGGGAGAGCGAGAAGTATGACCTGAAGCCATTTTTCCACTACTCATCATTTTTGACAGTTACAAGAAATCCAGAGAAGGGATTTTCTTGTCTAATTATTTCTAACCTTAAAGTTCAGGGAGTCAGTCTTTCTCAAGATTAGGATTCACTAAATACATCCTGAGGAAAGGGTGCAGTACATGTTCTGCGAATACTGTCCAGGAGCTGTGAACTCTCTCCCTTTATTTAGGATATCAGAGGAAGGGGCAGGAGAGGGGAGGAGAGTTCAGTCATCTCAGCTTGAAGCAAGTGCTCGGTAAGCACTTTGGTATCGCTCCCAAGGGGGACTGTATCACTTCCATCCCAATGACTGAACTCGACCTGAATGCAGACCGCTGAGTCCAAGTCCCAAGTCTCAGGACCCCAGGAGTTACTAGAAAGAAACGCTCAGAGCTGCTTTCTGGTAGATTATTAGTGGGAGAATACATTTCCCCTAAGATACCTAAAATCAATGCAAAGAGGACCTCAGAAGTATGTATTTTGCTGAACTTGAAACATCAGAGAAATTGTTCAAAAATCCCCTGAAGAGATAAATATGCTGATATTCAAATTTTTACCTATCTTGATGATTCTCACATGCTTTGATTTCTCAAGGATGTTGCATGAAAATCATTTTTCCTCTATTAGAAATTCATGAGCGCCTGCTGCTTACTTCCCAGCGGCAGTCCTTGGGACCTGGTATGTGGGCACTTTAAAAAGATGCTTCAGGAGAGCATTTTATGCTCTGTGCAGGGACCTGCTCCTGCAGGCAATTGGCACGTGTAGTCACAGAGCCCGAAGCTCTGGGGCTGTCACATAAATTGCACAGAGTCAGAGGCTGCTCCCCACACAGCAGCCCAACCACCCCAGATGGCCCCACTCTACCTTCAGTCCCCCAGGGAAGGGGTTTCCACCCTCTCCCGCCATTCACTATGTCTGAGCTTGAAATATTAAAATAGAGTACTTGTTTCACATATAACTCCAATTCCAACAGCTGTAATTAAGAACACATAGAGGCCAGCTGCTTATTATATGTAGGCAGGAGCTCCAAAATACTTAATCAGAATTTGCAATTAGTTGTCATTATCCTCAGAATACCTCTACTTCTTTGATGCTTGTATATTTCTATAGGTTCTGTATATTCTGCATTCTAGTTCTGTTTAGGAGTTGTTTGCTGTAAGATCCTTGGCAAGCCAATAAGCTTCTCCATGCCTCAGTTGTCCATCTGGCAGTGGGGAGAGAGCTACACAGGGTGATTTCAACAACCCTGGCAATTAACCTTGTTATGATTCAGTGACTCCATGAATCCCTAATATTCCGGGAGTATTTTTCAAGGCTTTGTTGGAAATTGTTGAGTCACACTGGAATGAACTGCCATTATGAGATGAGGTTGGAATGTTCTGATCGCTCCAAGGGTAAGACTGGACTGAGGAATGTGGAGGAGGGCTGCGACGAGGTGTGGGATGGGAAAGTCATCATCAGATGCGTGGAGCTGGCATATCCTAGGCCAACAGACAAGATTAGGCAGATTCCCAGCACCTGATGAATGGCCAGCTGCAATCAGAATTACGATTCTTCCCCGAAGAGCAAGCAGCCTATGATTTGTTTGGCAGAAGCCTCAGAGTCGTGATGATGATGATTTGCACCGGCCTTTGGGTGAGTCAGCGCTGACACGAGGCACCGACAAGCTTGGCAGCAGAGACTGACAGTGACTGTTCTGGACTGTTACACACATTTCAGAAGGCTTGCTGTAGATACCCAGGAACAAAATATCTTCCCCACACTACAAACTGAAACCCTCATGAACAAAGCCTGAAGTGAGAGGCTTGGCCCTGGGACATCTCAGGGGTGAATCCACCCTATATTAATGGAGTCATAGTCAGCTGCAGGCACCCCCAAGCAAAGGACGCTGGAAATTCCCAGAAGATAAGCAGATCTGAAGCAAGGACCAAGGGCTTTGAAACTTTCTTTTCTTTTCTTTCCTTCCTTCCTTTGTTTTTTTCAAGACGGAGTTTTGCTCTTGTCACCCAGGCTGGAGTGCAATGGTGCCATCTCAACTCACTGCAACCACCACCTCCCAGGTTCAAGCAATTCTCCTGCCTCAGCCTCTCACGTAGGTGGGATTACAGGCATGCACCACCGCGCCTGGCTAATTTTTGTATTTTTAGTAGAGACAAGGTTTCACCACTTTGGCCAGGCTGGTCTCGAACTCCTGACCTCAGGTGATCTGCCCGCCTCGGCCTCCCAAAGTGCTGGGATCATAGGTGTGAGCCACCGCGCCTGGCTGAAATTGTCTTTCAAAAGTCTGAGCTCAGTGGCTTATGGGAATATCTAACATGGATGGCCTGAAGGCAGGTGAATCATCCTAGACCAGCCCCCGGCACTCCCTGTGCCAGGCAGAAGGGAAAGAGTAGCGCAGTGGGAAGTTGGTTCCCAGGGGGTCTGCCTCTCCAGGTCTTCCTGCTGAACAGCCGGCAGCACTTCGGGCACGAGAGGACATTGTCCTCCTTTGACCTCACCTGGAGCAGGCTTTCCAGGTTGTCTCTGGGGAAGGTGTTTATTATTATTATAATAAAAAATATTTTATATTATATAAAAATATATATATTTTTATATATAAAATATATATAAATATAAAATATATATTTATATATAAAAAAATATATATAAAATATATATTTATATATAAAAAAATATATATAAAATATATATTTATATATAAAAATATATATAAATATAAAATATATATTTATATATAAAAATATATATAAATATAAAATATATATTTATATATAAAAATATATATAAATATAAAATATATATATATATAAATATATATAAATATAAAATATATATATATATAAAAATATATATAAATATAAAATATATATTTAGATATAAAAATATATATAAATATAAAATATATATTTAGATATAAAAATATATATAAATATAAAATATATATTTATATATAAAAATATATATAAATATAAAATATATATTTATATATAAAAATATATATAAATATAAAATATATATTTATATATAAAAATATATATAAATATAAAATATATATTTATATATAAAAATATATATAAATATAAAATATATATTTATATATAAAAATATATATAAATATAAAATATATATTTATATATAAAAATATATATAAATATAAAATATATATTTATATATAAAAATATATATAAATATAAAATATATATTTATATATAAAAATATATATAAATATAAAATATATATTTATATATAAAAATATATATAAATATAAAATATATATTTATAAACATATATTAAGATATTTAATGGTTGCATGGATAACTTTAATATGTATAAATTTTAATCTGTTGATTTATCGAGTTTTGACATTATCTACCTTCTCCCTGTTCTGTAAGATGAGGAAAGTAGATGGTGACCACCATCCCAGGCCTCCATCCTTTCCCCTCTCAACTGGCCCGCTGATTAATTTCATTATCTAGGCTAGTAACTTCTGCACTCTGTTCTGTAATTTTAAGTTGGCTTTCTGTACTTTGTGTATAGCTTGACTTTAAATAAAAAAGGCTAAAAACCAATAAGAGACATTCCTAATATTAAGATAATATACAGCCTGGGCGTGGTAGCTCATGCTTTTACTCCCAGCACTTTGGGAGGCTGAGGTGGGAAGATTGCTTGAGGCCAGTTCAAGACCATTCTGGGCAACATGGTGAGACCTCATCTCTACAAAAAATAAACAAAATTAGCCAGGTGTGGTGGGATGCACCTGTAGTCCCAACTCCTTGGGAGGCTGAGGTGGGAGGATTGCTGGAGCCCAGGGGGTCGAGGCTGCAGTGAGCTGTGATGGTGCCACTGCACTCTAGCCTGGGTGACAAAGTAAGACCCTGTCTCAAACAAAAGATAACATAAATATTAATTGCAGAATCAAATAGTATGTAAGATCCATAAAGATGGAAAGGTAATTTAATGTTGCCAAAAATATCCACCCAAAAAGGTGAAAAAATGGATTCCTTTTACTTTTACCCTTCTATTTATTCAAGTCATATCACATTTCAGTTTGCTCTTCTTATAACTTCTGAATAGCTTTTTCTTTCTGTTTCCTTTAATGGATAGAATAGACATATACCTTGGAAGGGAGGGAAAAAAGCTTTCCTCTATCCCCCTAAGTTTTGTGTCTGGGACCTGCAAATTAGACTGACAAAAGACAGATTAACAGAAAACAAAAGACATACAGGCCGCGCACAGTGGCTCATGCCTGTAATCCCAGCACTTTGGGAGGCCAAGGCGGGTGGATCACTTGAGGCCAGGAGTTTGAGACCAGCCTGGCCAACATAGTAAAACCCCATATCTACTAAAAATACAAAAGTTAGCCAGGCATGGTAGTACACGGCTGTAATCCCAGCTTCTTGGGAGGCTGAGGTATGAGACTTGCTTGAGTCGGGGAGGTGGAGGTTGCAGTGAGCTGAGAAAACGCCACTGCACTCCAACTTGGGCAACAGAGCAAGACTTTGTCTCAAAAAAAAAAAAAAATACCAATTTTATTCAATATTTACATGCACAAAGGTTTTCATAGAAAAGAAGATCCAAAGAAATGGTTAAATTTGGGGGGCTTTATACTATTGTGTCCGGAATTGGTGGGTTCTCGGTCTCACTGACTTCAAGAATGAAGCCGCAGACCCTCGCGGTGAGTGTTACAGCTCTTAAGGTGGCGCCTCTGGAGTTTGTCCCTTCTGATGTTCAGATGTGTTCAGAGTTTCTTCCTTCTGATGGGTTCGTGGTCTCGCTGGCTCAGGAGTGAAGCTGCAGACCTTGGCGGTGAGTGTTAACAGCTCTTAAGGAGGCGCGTCTGGAGTTGTTCGGTCCTCCCTGTGGGCTCGTGGTCTTGCTGGCTCATGAGTGAAGCTGCAGACCTTCGTGGTGAGTGTTACAGCTCATAAAAGCAGCATGGACCCAAAGAGTGAGCAGTAGCAAGACTCACTGCAAACAGCAAAAGAACAAAGGTTCCACACCGTGGAAGGAGACTCGAGTGGGTTGCCCATGCTGGCTCGGGCAGCCTGCTTTTATTCTCTTGTCTGGCCCCACCCACATCCTGCTGATTGGTAGAGCCCAGTGGCCTGTTTTGACAGGGCGCTGATTGGTGCATTTACAATCCCTGAGCTAGATACAAAGGTTCTCCACGTCCCCATCAGATTAGTTAGATACAGAGTATGGACACACAGGTTCTCCAAGGCCCCACCAGAGCAGCTAGATACAGAGTGTCGATCGGTGCACTCACAAACCCTGAGCTAGACACAGGGTGCTGATTGGCGTGTTTACAAACCTTGAGCTAGATACAGAGTGCTGATTGGTGTATTTACAATCCCTGAGCTTGACATAAAGGTTCTCTAAGGCCCCACCAGAGCAGCTAGATACAGAGTGTGGATTGGTGCACTCACAAACCCTGAGCTAGACACAGGGTGCTGATTGGCGTGTTTACAATCCCTGAGCTAGACATAAAGGTTCTCCACGTCCCCACCAGACTCAGGAGCCCAGCTGGCTTCACCCAGTGGATCCCGCACCAGGGCTGCAGGTGGAGCTGCCTGCCAGTCCTGAGCCATGCGCTCGCACTCCTCAGCCCTTGGGCGGTCGATGGGACTGGGCGCCGTGGAGCAGGGGGCGGCGCTCGTCGGGGAGGCTCGGGCTGCACAGGAACCCACGGAGGCGGGGGAAGGCTCAGGCATGGCGGGCTGCAGTCCCGAGGCCCGCCCCGCGGGAAGGCAGCTAAGGCCCGGCGAGAAATCGAGCGCAGCGCCGGCGGGCTGGCACTGCTGGGGGACCCAGTACACCCTCCGCAGCCGCTGGCCTGGGTGCTAAGTTCCTCATTGCCCGGGGCCAGCAGGGCCGGTCGGCTGCTCCGAGTGCGGGGCCCGCCAAGCCCACGCCCACCCGGAACTCCAGCTGGCCCGCAAGCGCCGCACGCAGCCCCGGTTCCTGCTCGCGCCTCTCCCTCCACACCTCCCCGCAAGCTGAGGGAGTGGGCTCCGGCCTTGGCCAGTCCAGAAAGGGGCTCCCACAGTGCAGCGGTGGGCTGAAGGGCTCCTCAAGTGCCACCAAAGTGGGAGCCCAGGCAGAGGAGGCACCGAGAGCGAGTGAGGACTGTGAGGACTGCCAACACGCTGTCACCTCTCACTATCTTAACAAAAGGTAATAAATCATGAGGAAGTGATAAGAGGAGGAGTGTGGGCATCTAGGGGTGGTAAATTTGCTTACCAAAGTTGAGGAGGTAGGGGCTGGTCATTTAAGGAACATTAAACTCTCTCTATGGAACCAGGTGGAGGGCCTACAGGAATAAGTGTCTGTTGTGGTGTGCTTGTGTGGACACTTAATCTGAGTGTGGGGATTTGGGAAGCCTCCTTACCTTCCCTCATTTTGTATTCTTCTCCTCCTCTTCCATTTTCTTCTCCTCCTTCTCCTTATTTTTATTTTTTGGTATGTTTTACATTGTAACTTTATTTATCTACAGATCTCTGGGTTTTTAAAAATATCTGCACCAGGCCGGGCGCGGTGGCTCACGCCTGTAATCCCAGCACTTTGGGAGGCCGAGGCGGGTGGATCACAAGGTCAGGAGATCGAGACCATCCTGGGTAACACGGTGAAACCCCGTCTCTACTAAAAATACAAAAAATTAGCCGGGCGTGGTGGCGGGCGCCTGTGGTCCCAGCTACTCGGGAGGCTGAGGCAGGAGAATGACTTGAACCCGGGAGACGGAGCTTGCAGTGAGCCAAGATGGCGCCACTGCACTCCAGCCTGGGTGAGAGCGCAAGACTCCGTCTCAAAAAAAGAAAAAAAGAATATCTGCACCATCGAACATTTTTCACCCTCCTCCCTCTGTCTCACCCAAGGGTATTTCTTTGATACCGTCGGAACAGCCTGTACCCAGAGCTTGGATCACGGACTCCTCAGCAATCTGTACATGCGTTTGTGTCACTGAGTACTGCTAAATAAGATGAAGTGTTAAGATTATAGGGATCTGTATTAGGTTACAGATCCCGAGACATCATGTGAGGTGGTATGACGACTAATGTTCCCTGGCACATTTTCCTAGCTTGGCCTTTCTGCAACCGGTGCAGTTTTCAAGGAAATGGCTGAGTGGTTTTGTTCTGGTTGAGTGGCAGGGAATGGGGACATGTTGGGAGACACCCATCTTATCTTCTTTTCAAATTGTGCCGAAGATCAGAAACAGGACAAAAAAAAGTCCAGCCCGGCTGGTTGTTACTGTTGACATGGCATGTGAGCTAACTCATGCTGAAATGCCCTCCTAGGTACAGTGATTGCTAAGATAGCTGGGCAAATATAGGCTCCTTTTCAGCTAAGTGTTTCCTTATATGGGGCTGCTCAATACTGAAAAGAATTGATGTTTTTTACTTTTCTACTGCCTTGAGTGCCCTGGTGTGGGAAAGCCCTGGGCTGGGAGCATGATGCTGCTGAGAGTTGAGCAGAGAAACTCGGTGGCTCTCTGCAGCCTGTCCCCGCAGAAATCCTGGCTGATTTCAGGGAGGGGAAGTGGGTGAGATCTCTTTGTATATCCTGACCTAATCATCATAGCCCTTGGCCCCTCGGTCTATGGCTCATGGTCTCTGTCCCTCTGTAGACAGTATGAGTTTCATCAGGCTGAAGATGGCTGATCAAAATAGCATTCTGCAATGAAGCCAAGGAAATACACTGAGTACAATGACACTCCTTTATTTTCAGTACAATGAAAATAAAATCCTTCTCTAATCATGAATTATTTTTGACATCTGAATCTGAGCTCACAAATCCCAGTTTGCAGAGCTAGTTTTATTTACTTGGATGGAGTGTGAAAGAGTCCTAGACCAGAGGTTTAGGAGAGGTGGCTCTGCTGTGTTTCAGGCTGGGGCCTGGTGGTGCGACTGGGCTATGGCCTGGTTAGTTGTAGGAGACTAGTAAGGGGGCAGGACCCTGCATCTGATGTTCCCAAAGGACTGAGGCAAGTGCTGAAGGGCAGGATCCCCAGCAGAGTTCTGACAGGAATTGAGAGCATGACTATGGCAATGACCACGAGGCGGGGTGGTTGCTGCAAGCAGGGGGAAGCAGAAAGGCACCTCCTGTCCTAACAGGGCCAGGGCATTACAGTGGGAAGCAGAAGAGGTTCCCAAATTCTGGCAAGCAGAGTGCGGCATCAGGAAATCTGGTTTTAGACAGCAGGGCTCTGCTGGAATTCAGGGGTGGGACTCTGATTCCCAGCAGGGAGATAGGAAAAAAGCCAGGCAGAACCCCAGTGCTAGACAGTGATGGGAGCACCGGCAGGGTTATCCAGACAGGGAGTTTTTACTACGTTTTCAGGGAACTTAGAGAGTCTTATCTTAGTGACCTATTATCAGAACTGAGGCACCGTGTCAGGGATAAGCTAGTTACCACATCAACTTGAACCTGGAGTCCTTGAATCGCTCCTTTCTCAGCCCAGGAAGGCTCAGCTGGGCTGAACCTAGAGGTGAAGGCCAAGTGGATGATGTGTGTGCAGAGGAAGCGAAAGAGGTGGGGCAAAAATGAGCTACAGATGCTGGGACCTTGCCTAAACCTGATAATTCTTGGTCTAACAGGGCTGTTGTGAGTTCAACATTAGGTATGGCATATTAAAGCAATTTCAGAAAGAAAATTCATGTGAAAACTCAGGTCACATAAGAATGGAGGTTTTTCCATAGAAATTTTATAAGACAGAGGTGCTAGGGTGTCTTCAAGCATAGAACTTTTGCCTTGGCTGTCTGTTTTTCTGCAAAAGCCCTTTCTTCCTCCTCTAGGCCTCTGTAACCCCTGCTTAGTCTACTGGTCTTTTATTATTATTATTATTTAGAGATGGGGTCTTGCCATGTTGCTCAGGCTGGTCTTGAACTTCTGGGGTCAAGCAATTCACTGGCCTTGGCCTCCCAAAGTGCTGGGATTACAGATGTGACCCACTGCACCCAGCCATACTAAGCTTTAAAAACTCATTTCAGGCCGGGCGCCGTGGCTCATGCCTGTAATCCCAGCACTTGGGGAGGCTGAGGCGGGTGGATCACCTGAGGTTGGGAGTTTGAGACCAGCCTTACCAATAAGGAGAAACCCTGTCTCTACGAAAAATACAAAATTAGCTGGGTGTGGTGGTGCATGCCTGTAACCCCAGCTACTAGGGAGGCTGAGGCAGGAGAATTGCTTGAACCAGGGGTTGTGGGGGGCAGAGGTTGTGGTGAGCCGAGATCACGCTATTGTACTCCAGCCTGGGCAACAAGAGCGAAACTCCTTCTCAAAGCAAAACAACACAAAAAACCTAATTTCAGTAACCCTTTTCTGGGGAAGCCTTTTCTGCATCCCTGACCAGGTGGCATCCTGCTGCAAAGTTCTCAGCTAGCTGAGTTGGAATTTTACATATTTTTGCCCTATCATTTAATTACTACCGACCTCTCCCACTGAAAGGCACATTTCCTGAGGATAGAGGGCATGTCTGTCCTTTTGTTGCTGTGTCCATAGACTTAGCCCAGTGCCTGGTATATTTTAAGTGTTCAGTTAATATTTGTTGACTGATTGAATGAATATTTTGAGGGAAATAGAATTCTTTTTTTGTAGGAGAAAGCAGGAGCATTACTGATCGTATTTGGTATTGTAGAACACTTAGGGAAATAGACCTAGAAACGCATTTCAAAGATCTGAGGAGACCAGACTGGAAGGAATTGTAAAGCCTGGAAATACTGATAGCTATGTCCTTATATCTTTGGCCCAGATTTGACATAAAAATAAGCAAAGGTGAATCTAAATAGGTTTTTAAAGGAAATTCGAGTTCATCTACAGGACAAATAGAGGATACCACAGTTCTATCCTGTTTTCCCCTCTCCTTACCCCCTACATTCTGCATTCTGCATCTTGTCCCCACAAATCTATGTAAGTTGATACAAAAATAAACACTGGATGCATTCTTTTTTTTTTTTTTTTTTTTTTTTTTTTGAGGAGTCTCGCTCTGTTGCCCAGACTGGAGTGCAGTGGTGCGATCTCGGTTCACTGCAACCTCTACCTCCTGGGTTCAAGTGATTTTCCTGCCTCAGCCTCCCGAGTAGCTGGGATTACAGGTGGCCACCATCACGCCCAGCTAATTTTTGTATTTTTAGTAGAGACAGGGTTTGCCATGTTGGCTAGGGTGGTCTCAAACTCCTGACCTCAAGCGATCCTCCCATCTCGGCCTCCCAAAGTGCTGGGATTACAGGCTTGAGACACTGCACCCGGCCTAGATGCATTCTTTAAGGAGGAAATAAGTCATGCCCATAGCTAGAATGGAGGCTGTAGAGTGGGGTACCCCTTATTTAGTTTTGATGAATGTGAGAATTCTTTGGTTTCCAGCAGCAGAATCTAACATTGGCCATGGTGTAAATTGCATAATCCAAGGGAAGGGTGGAAAGCCAGGCTTGGAAGTGAATTAGAATGGGAACATCTCTATGTAGCCAAAACTACGATTCAGCCTTGCCTGGGTAGAGCTGTGTATATATTTTCTAAAAGCCTATTTCATTTTTATTCTATTTATCAGTTTGCTTGGGTTTCAGGTTCTAAGAGAAAGCAGCTGTTTGAGTTGTTTTCCGCCCAGAAAATCTTAATACTTCCACCAGACTTTACCCAATGGGGAAGATAATTTCTTAAAAAAAAAAAAAAAAAAAAAAAAAAAAAGTTCGCCAGGCGCAGTGGCTCACGCCTGTAATCCCAGCACTTTGGGAGGCCAAGGCGGGAGGATCACGAGGTCAGGAGGTTGAGACCATCCTGGCTAACATGGTGAAACCCCGTCTTTACTAAAAATACAAAAAAATTAGCCGGGCGTAGTGGCAGGCGCCTGTAGTCCCAGCTACTCAGGAGGCTGAGGCAGGAGAATGGCGTGAACCCAGGAGGTGGAGCTTGTAGTGAGCCGAGATCACGCCACTGCACTCCAGCCTGGACGACAGAGTGAGACTCCGTTTCAAAAAAAAATAAGGGGGGGACGTGCTATTCCCTAAAAGAGGAAATAGGAGTGCAGGGCACTCCTATTCAATGAATGAATGGATGAACAAAAGGTTGTATATAGAGATGAAATAGGATATTATTCAGCCTTAAAAAGAATTGAAATTCTGACACACGCTACAATATGGATGATCCTACAATATGGATTCTGACACACACTACACAAACATTATGCCAAGTGAAAAAAGCCAGAAACAGAACCAATACTATATGATTCTACTTATATGAAGTTCCCAGAGTAGTCAAATTCAGAGAATAGAAAGTAGAATTGTGGTTCCCAGAGCTAGGGGAAGAGGGGAATGGGAAGTTACTGTTTAATAGGAACAGAGTTTCAGTTTGGGATGAGGAGAAAGTTCTGGAGATGGTTGATGATAATGGTTGCATAACAATGTGAATTAATTAATTAATTTATTTACGTTGTATTGTGTAGCCGTTTGTTAGCAACTAAAATAGAAGGTATCTGTTGTACAACATGGGTAGTAATTGACTATAACTGGAGATTTATTATAATACAGATCATTTATAAATGCAATTTCTTTATTGAAAAGCTTCTACCTTTTTGTTTGTTTATGTACAATTTGCAAAACTATTCTGAAAGCGGAATATATGTGCACAAGTCTGCAAAGAGTGCAAATTTAGGATACGGTAAATGCTTTTCAAGTTACTTTCAAAAAGCTGTCTGCCACAACTGAGCCTTTACATTGTTATCTTTTTTGATCAAAATATTTTGATGCCAGCCTTCCTTCCACTGCCCTAAACTATAAAGCACTTTTTAATGAGTTGAAATTAAGGAAGGACTACGCCTACTAGGAAAAAAGAGAAGAAAGTTCTATTAGTTTGAGATTTCAGAATCACCCCAAACTAGGACCAGTATCTTGGTAAAGGCTAGGCTGGGACCCTGGACAGAGTATGAGAATGTGCAGGTGGCCTCCCTGAGGATTCAGAGCTTCAGCGGACCGTGAGCGCTCCAGTTGTGTAACTCACTGAACTGTCTTGCCAGTTTCTACACTGGCTTGACTGGGCATAATTCAAAAAGGAAAAGCTCATATTCTTCCATTCTTCTGGAGCTCTGTGATAGCATTTAACACCCTAAAGGGATGTCTTCCACATATAGTATTATGGTGTTTCCTCAAGTAATTGCTAAAAGATACAGGGTCTAATTGTTCTATAATACTCATACCCATTTTATCTAGATGTTCAATGGATCTATAAGTCTCCCCCTGGGATTCATCATAGTAACTGTAACGGAATCTTTGACCCCAATGGCAAAAATCAGAAGAAACCACAAAGAAATTACTAGGATCTGCTAGATATTTACTGAAGAGTTTTCCGAATTCCTGTTCTTTTGACTCACTCAGAGCTCCAACCAGTACAGGAATAATGGTAAACTCATCCTTATGGATTTCCATGGCTTTAGCTGTACAAGGCAAATGCATTTCAATACCGTGTTCATCTTTGTCTGCAGAGACATGCGTTCAAACATTCCTGTCTTCCACAGTTCTCTGTAAATCTTTTGGTCAATACGAAGGTCATGCAGAGGTGTCCTATATATATCCACACTGGAAAGTGCACACTGAGAGAGGGACACATGATGAGAAGGCCCAAGGATGAAAATTCCCTGGGTAATAGACGGATCCACTTGTTTATAAGCATGGGTGGCACAAGACCCACAGTACGTATATCCTGCATGGGGTGCAATAATGGCTCTAGCAGGTCTTTTTGTAGACTTTACTTGTGAAAGCCAACCTTCTAGCTGTGCATTCAGCTGTGGTCCTGAGGCTGTGTACCAGTTCCCAGAGTGGCTGGCTTCCCAGCGGACCACTCGGTTGGACATCTTGATGCCTGTGCTGCCTATGGTGCACAAGGATGAATCAACAGTGTGAGTATATTTAATGCCACTGAACTGTACACTTAAAAATTGTACATTTTATGTTACGTATATTTTACCACAACAAAAATAAAGAGCCAGAATTAATCAATGTCAAGACAAGGAGAATGGAAGGTCATGGTCATTGGAAGAAAAGGCCACCTGGACACCTGGTAGAGTGGACTGGACACCTGCAAGCTCCAGCTTTTCTGTGCATCTTTCGGCAAGTCCCAAAACCTCCCTGGACCTCTTTATCTCAAGGATAATAACACCGGCCCTATTACCTACTTCATAGGAACTGGATGGTACCGTGAAAGTATTTGGTAAATGTTAAGCATTCGGTACAAAGGGAAGGCATTAGCGTCTGAGGGAATGGAAAAACTCTTTGTAAATCCATATGTCAGTAGCCTGGATAAGTGGAGACCACCTTCCTTAGGTTAGTATTCTGGAGGTGACTATCCCACGTGGATGGAAAGGGTTCAAACAGAAAAATCAGAGCAGGACAGGAAACAGTCATTTATGCACATGCTACAAAATCTAAATTGGCCTGAATTGCCCTACTGTGCTGCCACTCCATTAAGGCTTTACAACCCTCGGTGGAAGGCCTAGCCGTATTCATAACTTTGGTGAAGCAGCTGGTGTTTCCAGCTGAGTGTCTCTAAATGGCCTGGCCAACAATGGAGCTGTTAATGAACATCCATAAAAACCCAATAAGGGGTGCCTGTTGGATGCATATGACCTATGACTGGTACAGGATTTGGGCAAATAAAGTAATGATTGGTTCCAGGCAAAATTCCAAAGTTTCAGCTTTGCAAACCAAAGGTCTATTTCTATGCTAACTGCTTATTTGCTAACATGAGACCCAAGGTACAGGGTTGGAAGAGATTTCATTTCAAAGATTCTTTTTTTTCCTTTTTTTCTTTTTTTTTTTTTTTGAGACAGAGTCTCACTCTGTTGCCCAGGCTGGAGTGAAGTGGCACAATCTTGGCTCACTGCAACCTCTGCCTCCTGGGTTCAAGCAATTCTCCTGCCTCAGCCTCCTGAGTAGCTGTGATTACAGGCATGCACCACCACCCAAGGCTAATTTTTGTATTTTTAGTGGAGACAGGGTTTCATCATGTTGGTCAGGCTGGTCTTGAACTCCTGACCTCGTGATCTGCCTGCCTCAGCCTCCCAAAGTGCTGGGACTGCAGGTGCAAGCCACCATGCCCGGCAAATTGCAAAGATTCTTCTGGTCCTGATTTCTGCCTAGATAAAAGTCTTCAGAGAGGGACCATTGTTAGAGCTATGGTTTGATCAGCCTCTAGAGTTATTGGAAGAAATGCTAGTATGTTTATAACCTTTGGGTAGAGTTTTCTGGTCATCCTTCAGTGATAGCATTTGGCTTTTTCACTGTTAATGCGTAGAATACAGTTCCAACACCTGCTGAGCAGGTGCTTGGGGCTTCAACCCTAGTTCTGAAATACGTATTTCCTCTTAACTCACTGAGGGCTACCTGGCTTTAACACCTTCTCACTCTTGTGTCCTTAAAGGTCCTATTCTCAAATTTTCATTTCTTGCTTTTGAATTTGACTATGTTACATAACTTTTATCTATCTCTATCTCTGTCCACACGCACACCCTCAGGTGGCCTCTCTTTCCAATGACTATAACCTCATATTCTCCCTATCTTGGCACTGATTGACTCTGGCTGTCCTCGTTATTTTTATCGTAGTAAAATATACATGACATTTACCATTTTAACAATTGTACAGTTTAGTGGCATTTAGCGTACACACACACACACACACACACTCGTATATTTCTACCCATTCTTTATGTTGGGAGTGGAAGGAGAGCTTCCTATACATGCTCAATTTTCCATTCTGGTGATTTTGATGTTTGGCCATTCAGAGAACCTGAGAACCAAGATGGCACTGCCTTATGGAGCTTGGTGTATCCTCCTGGGGCTGATGATTCCATGATGGCCAGCCCATGACCATTTGGAGTCACTGCACCCTATTGGGAGGAGAGGATTGGTTCTACTCATTACCATACGACTAGCCTTTTCATGGCATTGGAATTATTGATATTTATTGGTTGAAAGTGACTTCATTTCTGTCTGTCCAGGAATAGACAGACCAGAGTTGGGGTTGGGTATTAGGGAGAAGAGACATGGTCAAGAGGAAGATATGAAAGCGATAGAAAGAGGAGCAGAGAGGGGAGAGTAAGATTGAAGACAAAAGAGAAAGGAAGCTCGGGGGAAATCTGGATGGTCCAAGACAGAAAAGAGAAAGAGGAGTTAGGATGGGTGGGTGGGTGGAGGGTAGGAGTCGCTGCTTTCTTCTCTGCCTGGGAAGGCTCAGCTTCCAGCAGCAGCCAGCCTTGGTCTGTGATTACATCTGGATGTGGCTGGTGGCAGGGGAACACCTCTCTAGTTCTCTCTCTTCATTTGTCAGACACATTCAAAGTCTAGCTCAGACCCTGGAGCCTACCTCCATGTGGCCTGAGGGAAGCTCATTTTAAATGAACAGATCACCTGGGGAAGCGACTGGTTGCTATTTTTCACAATTTCTGTCTGGATATTGACTTTAGGGCAAAGCTGCTGCAACCACATTTGTTTTCCTTTTTGAGTTGGGATGGGGGCATGCAGGGGCAAGTTTTCAAGCCGCCCCATTTCTGTATAGCAGGGAACATTATTGAAACTCCAACATGAAAATGTTTGTAATAGAAAGGTTTTGACAGTGTTCTTGAATGTTCTTGAAGGTCTAAAGAAGCAATCTATCTGACTGACCTCCTGCATTCAAATGATCTGCCATACAGGTCTTGCTCCAGTGCACAGAATTAATGTGTGGCCTCTGAATTGTGATGAATTCCAATTAGTTCCTCTCTTTAAACAGCAGTTTTTGGTGTCTGGTGGTATTTAGAAACTTCTAGCACCCCATTCTATTTATAAATTTATAAATTGCTTTTATAACCAGAGGATTTAAAAACTGAAAGAGACCTTAGAAATGCTTTAATGAAAAGAGCACTTTTCAATTCCAGCTTCAAAACCCATTTGTCTGTGACCTTGAATACACCACTTAACTTCTGCATGTCTGATATTGCTCCTCTGTAAAAGAAAATGCTTGAACTAACTATGGGGTTACTTTGGTTCTCACCTTCCTTTATGCATCGCTCCACTGTTACTTCCCAGTGAGTGGTTTCCAGGGAGAGGCTCTGAGTCGTTAAGTGCCCAGGCCAGACCACACCCCAAGTTAGAGGCAGGTCCCCCGAGACCCTGCCTCACGGCTCTACTCTTAGGATGTCTCCACAACGCTCTGAGGAGCTGTGCTGTCCAGCTCACGGGGAAGCCCAGAGGCCAGAGTGGACCCACACTAGCTCTAAAGAGTCAGTGAGGATGGGGATCCTTGTTCAGCAGGAAAGGGACCTAGATCCCAGAACTCACCATGCTTGTTCTGGGTGCGTTTCTGCTGAGAGGTGCATTTCTCTGCCATGGAGTAAGGTCTCTCTCATCTTAGAGAGAATGAAGGTGAAGGTTTTCCAATCTGAATGCTAACACATTTCAAACTGAATTTGACATCTCTTTAGACCCATTCCCCATAGTCCAGGCTATCTTGTCCTCTCTGCTCAGCTTAGCTGACTGGACATGTCCACACAGGTGGACCCTGGGCCATGACCTACCACATCAGACATTAAATTCCTTACTCATGTCCTGCCCCAACCCAGCTGCTCCCCATTCTATGTTTTCTACATCTATCAGCATAGTTCACGGGACTAGTGTGGACACAGTGGCCCAAGCCAGACTCATCTGAAGTCATCTTTGATTTCTCTGTTCCTGGCCACTTTTGCCAGTTGGCCTCTATTCATTTCCCAGGGCTGCTGTAACAGAATACAGTAGTTCCCCCTTATCTGCGGGGGATATGTTCTGAGACTTCATTGGATGCCTGAAGTCACTGATAGTACCAAACCCTATATATACTGTGGCCTTTTTTTTTTTTTAATCTGATAACGGAGCCAGCTCCTAAGTGATTTGCAGGTGGTCAGTGTCTACAGCATGGATCCGCTGGACAAAGGGATGATTCATGTCCCGGTGGGATGGAGTGGACAGTGTGAGATCATATCACACTACTCAGAATGGTGCACAATTGAAAACTATGAATTGTTTACTTCTGGAGTTTTCCATTTAATATTTTCAAACTGTAGTTGACCACACATAACTAAAACTGTGGAACGTGAAACAGTGGATAAAGAGGAGCACTGTGCCACAAACTGGGTGGCTGAAAACAACAGAAATGACAGAAATGTGTGCTCTCATAATTCTGGAGTCTAGAAGTCCAAAACCAAGTTGTCAGCAAGGTCGTGCTCTTCCTGAAGGTTGCAGGGGAGAATCCGTTCTATGCCTTTCTGGTAATCCTGGCAATCCTTGACATTCCTTGGCTTGTAGAGGCATTGCTTCTTTCTCTACCTCCATCATCATGTGACATTCTCCTTGTATGTCTGTGTCCCTTCTCTTTTTATAAAGGCATCAGTCATATTGGACTAGGACCCCCCTAATGTGTGAATATGACCTCATCTTAACTGGATTACATTAGCAAAGACCCCATTTCCAAATAAGGTCACATTCACGGGTACTGGGGATTAGGAATTCAATATACATTTTTGAGGGACACAATTCAATCCATGAGAGCCTCTAAGTCCTGTTAATTCAACCTGTTAACTATCTCTAGTCACTCTCCTCTTCTTCATCCTCACAGTCATTCTCTTTGTTCCCTATGTGAATTTGTTCAAAGCCTCCCACCAGTTCTGCTCTTCCTACCTCCACACTGATGGGATAGAAATCATCTCTCAAAAAGTTCGGAAGATTATTATTTTTTTAAATAGAGTGCCGGAAGTGGAATTGTTGGCTGAAAAGGCATATGTCTTTAACATTTTGATAGCCACTGACAATTGTCATCCAAAGAAGGTATTTATATTTGTAGTTAGCTATGGCTTGTATATGGTTTGTCCCCATCAAAACTCATGTTGAGGCTAGTCCTCAATGTAAAGCTGTTGACAGGTGGTGGCACCTTTAAGAGGCCCTTGGATCATGAGGGATCCACTCTCATGAAGGGATTAATGCTGGCTAGAGAAAGTGAGTGATTTCTTGCTGTCTTGGGACTGGATTAGTTACTGTCACAGTGGGTTGTTATAAAAAGTGACTCTGGCTTTCTTGCTTTCCTCTTGCTTCCTCTCTTGCCCTGTGGTACTTTCCACCATGTTATGAGGCAGCACAAAGCCTTCACCAGATGCTGGTGCCATGCCCTTGAACTTCTCAGCCTCTAGAACTGTGAGTTAAATAAACCTCTATTCTTTACACATTGATCTGTGGTATTCAGTTGTAGCAACAGAAAAAAGACCAAGACATAGTCATATATGTACTGTATGAGTGCCTTTCTCCACACACTTTTTCCAACACAGGATTTTTATCAATCTTTTGCATTTTTGCCAACCTGTCAGATAATGGTGTTTCACTATTTACATTTGTGTTTTCCTAATTACCAGGGACTCAGACCACACACCATTGCCATGCTGAATGGTGAGTGTGGCGCCTTATCCTGCTGCTGTTCTCTCTTCTGTGCAGCTCCAGTCAGCCTTAGTGCCCTCAGGGGGGGATGGGGACATTAGTGCCTTCAGAATCTCCAGGTGAAAAGCAGGTGCCAGTTTCTAGGTGTTCGCATGTGAAGGGACACATTGCAGGCTCATTCACAAAGTCCCACAGCTGAGTAAGCATGCAGTTGCACACAGATGCCAGTCTCCTTTTGGTGCTGACACCCTCCTTCTCTATGATTGGCACTCTTGGTGCCCTTTTTGGTTGGATTGGGCTGAGGGATTGGAGGGGGACATTCCTGGTTCTGCCAAAGCACTTTTTCCCTGGGCATGCACCTCACTACCTGGATGATTCCCTTTCTCCTTCAGGAGACTGACCTTCTGCTTCTAGAAGCTAGATGGGGTGGAGGGGCAAGGTAGAAGGGCCAGCTTAGCCAACTCTTTATAAGGCCAAAGGGTGATTTGGGCAACTCTTTGGCACTGTGTTTAGAATGTGTGGCTTTGTTGAAATGACTGGCTTCAGCTTTGAAGATTTAGCCAAGATTTCAAGACAAAAGGAGAGAACTCAAGCAGCATTTTGTTACATATATGTTCCATATGTGTATGAACATGGGAAAGTGTCTGCAAAGTACTACTCATGCCTTTGTTCTGGGGATTATAACATCTGTGACTTCTTTTCCATGTTAGAGTGCATGCATTGGGGCACTTTTACTCTGGGCTTTATAGTTTTATATTGCTTAAATTTTTTAAATGAACTTTTGCTATTTTTGTATATAAAAAATTTTAAATATCAATAATTCACCTTTGGGAATCTCCCTTTTACTAGGTTGTAGAAACCAAAAGCATTAACACATCATTTTTCAAAAGGAAAGGGGTAATTTTTAAATTATTTTCTGAATGTTTGTCCTATGCACACCTTTGGGACAGAGTTTATTACACTACTTTTTTGTTGTTGAAATCCCACAATGTCTTGTATAGGTATTGTCAAATAGGAGGCGCTAAAAGCAGAAAGAAAAGAAAGAAAAGCCAGAAAGAAGGAAGGAAAGAAAGCAAACAGGCAGGTGAGATTGACTAAGCAATGACAATGCGAATCCCAAGGACTTCTCAAAGGTGAGCTAGGTTATCACATTCTCTCTCTCTCTCTTTTTTTTTCTTGAGACGGAGTCTCGCTCTGTTGCCCAGGCTGGAGTACAGTGGTGTGATCTCAGCTCACGGCAACCAACCTCTGCCTCTGGGTTCAAGTGATTCTCCTGCCTCAGCCTCCCAAGTAGCTGTGATTACAGGTGCCTGCCACCACACCCAGCTAATTTTTAGTAGAGACAGGCTTTCACCATGTTGGCCAGGCTGGTCCCAAACTCCTGACCTCAAGTGATTTGCCTGCCTCTGCCTCCCAAAGTGCTGGAATTACAAGCGTGAGCTACTGTGCTCAGCTGGACTGTCACATTCTCAAGACTCCTCTTTAACTTTACACAAAAGCATTAATTGCTATTTAAATTTATTTTTCAGCAAAGATTCTCTGGCAAGGTGCTTATCTGATTGCTGCCTCCAAGACCTCTGAGCTTGTCTTTCTCCTCAAAGATGACACAAAGAACTCTTTGAGGTTTTTAAATTAAATTAGGTGCCCAAGAAATTTGTGCTTCAAGAGATGGTCATGCACTTGAAAGTGGTGGAGAGTGATCCAGAAATGCACGGATTCTGACCTGAAATGCAACTTGGAGTCTGTCTTGCTGGCTAGTACTTGAAACATAAATTTAAGTCTGGGCTCAAGGATAGCTGAAGATGAGCCAATGTTTTCCTCCCAGGAAATGTAACTGAATTGCCAATTAAAAAGCAAAGTGCTAGGCCAGGTGCGGTGGCTCACGCCTGTAATCCCAGCACTTTGGGAGACCAAGGCAGGCAGATCACCTGAGGTCGGGAGTTCGAGGCCAGCCTGACCAACATGGAGAAACGCCATCTCTACTAAAAATAGAAAATTAGCAGGGTGTGGTGGCAGGTGCCTGTAATCCCAGCTACTCAGGAGGCTGAGGCAGGAGAATCGCTTGAACTCAGGAGGCAGAGGTTGCGGTGAGCCAAGATCATGCCATTGCACTCCAGTCTGGGCAACAAAAGCGAAACTCCGTCTCAAAAAAAAAAAAAAAAAAATGCTAATAAGAGCAGAATAACCTAACAGCATAAAAAGCGAATCAAAATAGAAAAAAATCAAACCTCATTAGTATTCAAAGAATTGTAAATTTACATAATGAACACAATTTTTTACCTATCAGCTTGGCAGGGATTTAAAAAAGAGGACACTACTCAGTTACTAAGGAGTCAAACACTCAGGCACTTCTGCCAGAGGCTAATCGGAACAAAATTTTTAGAGTGTACTTTTTCAACTTGTATACAGGTGTGCAGAAATTTGAACCCCAGTAACACTTTTAGAAGTTTCAGAAAATATCCTGAATATGCAAAATGATTTAGCTACATGCTGCTTACTACAATCTTATGTTTAAAAACCTGGACATAAACTGTATAGCCAACAAAGGGAATATGTTTAGAAAATTATGGTTCATCCATAAATAAAATGCTACTCAACCATTAAAGTGGATGCTGCCAATCATTCCATTCAAACTGTGTTCCACAGAGCCCTGGGGGTCTCCCATGATGATCTTGGGAAGGCTGAGTGTGGGAGAATCCAAGCTTCTCACACCCACTCCAGCCAGAGCAGCAAAATGCTGTGAATACTACGTGGGAGAGCTACTACCAGAACAAAACACGAATTTTAATATAAGGAAAAGTGTTGATGGTATAACGTGAAAAAAGAAAAACGCAGCAAGAGGTAGGAATACTCTTAAGTTTAGTTTTTAGGTGGCATGATGGTTTTGCTTTTTTCCCCTCAGTTTTCCCATCCTGAGGCCTTTCTACCTCCTCTGTGAGGCAGTGCATGTATAAAGAGTAACAGAAGGGAGTCCTTCTAGAGGAACTCAAAGTGGGAAATGGAAAAAGGAGAGAGACTTAAAGCATACTTATAACAAACAAGTAAGAGGTACACTAAGCAGTAGTCATGTTTGACACAGTAAAAGATCTTTTTATTGTTGTTTTTGTTTGTATAGACATTGCACTTATCTTCAGTCGAAATTAGTCAGAATTACACGTCTCATTCCTTTGGGACCCACAGCATTAACTAGCACATCTGACACTTGAATCCAGTTGCAGCGCTGATGTGAAGGTCTGTCGTGGGGAAGGGCATGTAAACCCAGGGAGCATCTCCTATGGGTCTTGTGGAGAAGAAGCCTTTATAGTTTTGCCAGTGCCGATGTTGGAAACTTTAATCTCGGTGTATTGGAGGCTCCATTAAAGACTTATCTGGGGGGAAATGGGCATGGTGGTCCACACCTGTAGTCCCAGCTATCTGGGAGACTAAGGCACAAGTGAGATGATAACTTGAGCACAGGAGTTTGAGGCCAGCTTGGGCAATATAGTGAGACCCTATGTCAAACAAAAATTTATCTGGGGGTAATATGCTCCTCGAATGCCTCTGTGTTCTCGCATTTGAAAACTGCCCTCCTGTGAAGGATGCTCATGTCTACTCGGAACGTTATGCAGATAGGTGCTGGTCTGTCTTAAGAATGCCAGAAAGCTTCCAGAGTCCTAAACTGATTTTAAAATGGTTATCAGAGCATATTTTGCACATCACTCTTTTCAAGTGATTTTTTTTAGCAAATGTACCAAGTTGTGCAACCATCACCATAAATCTGTTTTAGCACATTTTCATCATGCCAATTCCATCCCTCATGCACATTTACTGCTAATTTCCATTATCCCCTGTCCCTAGCAACCACGAATCTACTTTCTATCTTTATAGCTTGCCTTTTGTGGATATTTCATATAAATAGAGTCCCAGCACATGTAGCCTCTTCTGCCTGGCATCTTTCACTGAGTATAATGCTTTTGAGATTCATCCACATCATGGTGCATATCCGTAGTTTGTTCCTTTATCTTGCCGAGTCATATTTCATTGTATAGAAGTACAAGTGTATTGACTCTTAAGTATGCATTGCATGTATAGCTTCCATAGTAGATACACACAAGAAGAAAACCAACTTGCTGAAATGTTAGTAGCACCAAAAAATGTATTTCCAAGACAGTCTTTCTAATGAGAATAGAACATTCATGTTATAATACTATCTAATCCATCAATAACTTGGACTTTATTTTAAAAATAAATATTCATTGAGCTCATGCTAACTGTTGTGCTAGGTGTTGGTGATGTCTGGACATGGGTAAGACATAATCATTACCCTAAACAAACTCAGATTCTTTGTTTTTTTTTTTTTTTGAGATGAGTCTCACTCTGTCACCCAGGCTGGAGTGCAGTGGCACGATCTCGGCTCACTGCAACATCTGCCTCCCGGGTTCAAGTGATTCTTCTGCCTCAGCCTCCCGTGTGCCACCACGCCCGGCTAATTTTTTGTATTTTTAGTAGAGACAGGGTTTCACCATGTTAGCCAGGATGGTATTGATCTCCTGACCTCGTGATCTGCCTGCCTCGGCCTCCCAGAGTGTTGGGATTACAGGCATGAGCCACTGCACCCAGCCAACAAACTCAGATTCTTATGGTAGACAGACACAGAGCATAAGGTGAAGAAATGAAGTGTTGGGTGTTGGTAGAATATCAAAGTAGCTGATTTGGTTTGGCTGTGTCCCCACCCATATCTCACCTTGAATTTTGATAATACCCACGTGCCATAGGAGGGACCTGGTGGGAGGTAACTGAATCATGGGGATGGGTCTTTCCCGTGCTGTTCTCATGATAGTGAATACATCTCAGGAGATGTGATGGTTTTATAAAGGGCAGTTCCCCTGCACACGTGCTCTTTGCCTCCCACCATGTAAGACGTCCCTTTGCTCTTCATTTGTCTTCTGCCATGATTGTGAAGCCTTCTCAGCCATGTGGAACCATCAATCCATTAAACCTCTTTCCTTTATAAATTACGCAGTCTCAGGTAGGTCTTTATTAGCAGCATGAGAACGGACTAATACAGTAGCCAGGCCTAAAATTCTAAATTGGAACACTTGTGCACATTTTAAGGTTTTTAAAAGTTCCTATTCTAGGTTCATGGTGGATAATTAATAACCTCAACGGGGAGGAAAACAAGTCATTTCCAGGGTCTTCTATTAAATTCTGTATTAGTGACATGATTTTGATGACCTTGAATGAAGTCACACAAAGACTTGCTTATCTAAATATACATTGTGGAAGGCATGTGTGCTAGGTACTTGTCTTTATTGACCCAATATTCATATCCCTCCTTTCCTGCTAACAGAACTTAAATTTATTTGGGTAGTAGCAGAAGTCCTTTTGTTTCAGGGAGGAAGGGCCCACCCTTAGTCCCTGGGAATTAATAGTAATTCTAAGCCAGTTATTCCTCTTGGCCAGTCATTAGTCTAAGGATGACTGCGTGATCCAGTTCTGGCTGATAAGATGCAAAAGAAAGTATGGCTAGTGACACTTCTGGGAAAGTTCTTACTTTTCTGATACAAAGGGGACAGACCCAGCTGGCATGGAATTTGTCCCTTTGCCCTTTCCCTTGGTTCTTGGCCGAAATGTGCGTGTGATGTCTGTAGGTGAGATAGGCATCTTGAGACCAAGGGACAAAAAGCGTGAAGATGAAAGTAAGCTTGCTAAGGATAATGAATCTGAAAGATGAAAGGAAATGTGGTCCCTAATGGTGTCACTGGCAACATGAGCCCAGGGCTGCCTACTCTCAGATTTATTGTTATGTGAGAAAAATTAAACTCGTGTGTTTAGGTTTTTGTGCTCAAATTTTTCTGTTACTTGCTGCCAAAAGCATCCCTAACTGATATAGTATGCCTGTCAGATTTTCAAATGTTTGGAAACTGAGAAGAAGTGTAAACATATGTGCTGACAGAATGTAAATTTAAAAAGTATATCCTTTGATTTATTTATCCACCAAATATTAAATACTTTCCAGGTACAAGATCTAGTGCTAGGTCTGGGCTGAAATGCTGTCAAAAAAATAAAACACTAAAGGGAGTAACAAAAACATGCCACATTTAGGTTCAGCACAGTTAAGTGCACAAGTGTAGGACTGAAGTAACCTTGTTTACTTGAGTATCTAATAAAAAGATCCTCCCCCTTGTCCTGCACAGACACAGACTGAGCACACTTACAGGCTCTGCTCTGTGAACCAAAGCAGGGAGATGTTATCATCCTCTTCAATACTCTGATTTTTAGGACACTTTTAAGGCAATGTGCTCAGTAATGCTGGCCCCTGTATGTAGAAGGACATTGACAAAATGGACAATCTGGAATGGCTGTGGTGATCTAACCTTTGGAGGAAAAACGGGTGTTGAGATATGTGTAATCATATGTGATATGTGTAATCATATCTGATACCTACCTCTGGGGGTTTGCAAGTCTTTGGATAGTCCACTTAGCACAGGAGTGACCTCACATTATTGAACCCAACGCTGAAGTTGGAAGGCTATTTAAAAAGTTGTTGCACAAATTCTTACTGTCCTGAGAGGAAGATGATTTCTAAGTCTCCCTCCTGCCCAAACCTTTATAATGAAAGAAAATTAAATAATTAGTCAATCAATTAATTCATTATTTATGCATTATTTGCAATGTGAAACAATGTCTAACCAATTCTTTTCCCAATTCTTTTCTCAATTCTTATTCTTCTAGATGTCTCGGGGGTCTTTAAAACACTGTCAATGCTTCTCTTAGGCTTTGGGTCAGAATCCTTCTCTTTAGCTTTTTTTTTTTTTCTTCCTTTTCATTTTCTTTCCATGTGACCATTCCCTTGGTTAATATAGAGAATTATTATTTTTTGTATTTTTTATTGACATATCACAATTGTATATATTTTGGGGGTATATGTAATATTTTGATACATGCATACAATGTGTAATGATCAAATCAGGATAATTGAAATATCAATCACCTCAAACATTTATCATTTCTTTGTGTTGAGAACATCCAAAATCTTCTCCTCTATTTTGAAATATACAATAAATTATTGTTAACTATAGTCGTCCTACTGTGCTATTGAACACTAGAACTTATTCCTTCTATCTAATTGTATGTTTATATGCATTAACCCCCCTCTCTCCATCTCCCCTCCTCTACACTCTTTCCAGCCTCTGGTAACCATCATTCTGTTCTCTACCTCCATGAAATCAACTTTGTAAGCTCCCATATATGAGTGAAAACGTGATATTTGTTTTTCTGTGCCTGGCTTATTTCGCTTAACATAATGACCTGCAGTTCCATCTGTGATGCTGTAAATGACAGGATTTCATTCTTCTTTATGGCTGAATAATATTCCATTATGTACATGTACCACATTTTCTTTATCCATGCATTCATTGATGGGCATTTTAGTTGATTCCATATCTTGGCTATTGTGAATAGTGCTGCAATAAACATGGGAATGCAGAAATTTCTTTGATTACTGATTTCCTTTCTTTTGAGTATATACGCAGCAGTGGGATTGCTGGCTAATATGGTAGTTCTGTTTTTAGTTCTTTGAGGAACCTCCATACTGTTTCCCATAATGGCTGTACTACTTTACATCCCTACCAACAGTGTCAGAGCGTTCCCCTTTCTCAACCTCACTGGCATTTGTTAATTTTTGTCTTTTTGACAACAGTCATTCCAACTGGGGTAAGATGTTCTCTTGTTGTGGTTTTTGATTTGCAGTTACCTGATGATTAGTAGTTTGAGCATTTTCTCATACACCTGTTGGCCGTTTACATGCCTTCTTTTAAGAAACGTCTATTCAGATCTTTTGCTTATTTTTTTAATTGGATCATTTTGGGGGTTTTTTCTTGTTTTGTTTGCTTGTTTGTTTTTTGCTATTGACTTGTTTGAGTTTCTTGTATTTTCTGGTTATTTATCCTTGTTGAATGGACAGCTTGCAAATATTTTCTCCCATTCTGTAGGTTGTCTCTTCACTTTTTAAAATGGTTTCCTTTGCTGTGCAGAAGCTTTTTAGCTTGAGGTAATCCCATCTGCCTATTTTTACTTTGTTGCCTGAGCTTTTGAGGTCTTAATCAAAAACCCTTTGCCCAGATCAATGTCCTGAAGCATTTCCCCAAAGTTTTCCTCTAGCAGTTTCATAGTTTTTTAGCTCTTACATTCATGTCTTTAGAATTATTTTAAATTGGCCAGGCGCGGTGGCTCACACCGGTAATCCCAGCACTTTGGGAGGCTGAGGTGGGCAGATCACGAGGTCAGGAGATCAAGACCATCCTGGCTAACACAGTGAAACCCCATCTCTACAAAAAATACAAAAAATTAGCCGGGCAGGGTGGCGGGCACCTGTAGTCCCAGCTACTCAGGAGGCTGAGGGAAGAGAATGGCGTGAACCCAGGAGGCAGAGGTTGCAGTGAGCCTAGATCCCGCCACTGCCCTCCAGCCTGGGCGACAGAGCAAGACTCTTTCTCACAAAAAAAAAAAAAAATTATATTAAGTTAGAGTATATTGTTTGATACAAAAAAGTATCAAAGAGCCAGATTTCTCTGCTGCTTTTACATACACATTTGTGACCTTGAAAATCCTCTTTCTACCACTCTGCCTTTTACACATTCAGGGCATCTTTTCACATCTTAGAATCATTCCTTCCTGCATGTGATTGCCAGGTGAGTCTTCTTAAGACACAGTTCTTATCACTTTATTTTCCTTCCCAGAAATCTTCAATGCTTTTCAATTGCTTACAATAATAAGCTCAAACTTCCTTATCCTTGCATTTACAGAATCATCATGTCTCAGCTTCCTTTTCCTGCCTTATCTCAAACTATTCTCCTAAAAATTCCTACTCAGGTTAAATTGATTTTCCTGGTGTTTCTCAAGCACATTTCATTTTTTTCTTATCAAAAACGTTTAACATGTTCTTGGTCTCCATTTTTTGGTGCTTACTTCAGTTTTTCTTATTATCCATGAATTTCATCAAAATTCTTGTTATTTTTTCACATGTGGCTCAAGAAACCCTTAAATTCTTTCTGCCCCCAGCCAGAAATACTGGCTCTCAGAGTAGCCATTGGTCTATACCACTCTTGAACATACTTTATTTGTTTAATAGCGTGATTATTAACTTTTATAATTACTATTTATCTTTGTATACTTTAATGCCAAGTCTCCAAAACAAGAGATCAGGAACATATCTTACATTTCTCCATACATCTTTCAGTACACAAAATGTCCCGTGTTTAACAGAACTCAGTAAATACATGTGGCTAAATTCTAGAGCTGGAAGGAGACTTGGAGGTCTGGGAAGCTGATGAGTTGGGTGGCTGTTTAATGAAGCCTGAACTAAGGGAGACTTCAGCCCTGTGATCCTAGCTGTGTCCTCTAAATAACAGATTTTGACTAACTGGCTTTTACTAGCACATATCATTGAGTCTGATTTATAAAGAAAGATGTATAGCATGGGTGAATAGTTTGAAGCAAAAATAAATCTAAAACATGGCTAAAATTAACCTGCGGAGAAATCTTTCCGCAGTTTGGTGGTCTTGAAAACTCAGCTTTTGATTAAGATTAATGTTCCTGATTTCATATTCAGTAGAAACCCAGGCTGACGATTCGTCATTTCACTTATCACATGCAACACCACTGCATCCCAGCAGGTGACGCTGCTTCTCTGCAGAATATTTTTCCTGGCGCTTAACAGCCTTTCCAATTCTCACAAGCTCTGCTCCTGCAAAGGCCTGACCCAGAAAAGCAATTTTAATCTTTTACGTCAGTAGAAATAGGAATCGCTTATATTTAGTACATATTCCTTGCTAGACACGCGTTTCAAAGAGCCAGTTTTGGTTTGTTTTCCTTTGAATATTTCAGACCTTGGAAGACTTGGGTCTTCCCTGAGCCCTTCCCACATCAAGGAGGTCTTTCAGGTACTATCATCAACTGAGACTGAGAGGGCTTGAGTAGGTTTCGAATCCCACCCCTTCTTTCCACATGCGAGCATCTTGAAGCCCAGATCCCCTGTCAATGTCATTCATAAAGTCAAAGGCAGAGCCAGGGGTCAAACTCCTCTCAGTCATCATCACTGTCCCACCCTGTCTTGGCCCTTACCCCGCTCAACAGAACGGGGCATGCTGCACCCTAAACTGTAATGTGACAAAAGCCAACACTGGTCTCAGTCCAAGAAGCCACTCTCCGAAAACAAGAGAGCTTTGGTAACATCATTGTGTGTGTGTGTGTGTGTGTGTGTGTGTGTGTGTGTGTGTGTTAGTGTTAGGGATTCTCTTTGTCTCATTCCTCTCTGTAGCATCTGGTCTGTGATATTCTCTTTGTCTCATTCCTCTCTATAGCATCTGGCCTGTGATAAGCCCTCAACAAGGAAGGAAAGGAAGAAGGGGGAGTGTGTTATGGGCTGAATTGTGCCCCCCACAAATTCATAGGTTGAAGTCAGCCCCTGTATCTCAGAATGTGACCTTTAAAGAGGTGATTAAGTTAAAATGGGGCTTTTAAGGTGGGTCCTCATCCAATCTGACTGGTGTCCTAATGAGAGAGGAGATCAGGACATGAGGAGAGACACAGGTTTTCACAGAGGCAAGACCCTGTGCAGTCAGCAAGAGGGCTGCCATGTGCAAGCCAAGGAAAGAGGCCTCAGAGGAAGCCAACCCTGCTGGCACCTTGATTGTGGACTTCCAGCCTCTAGAACTGTGAGAAAATACATTTGTGTTGTTTTAGCCACTCAGTCTGTGGTATTTTATTTTATTTTATTTTCCTTTATTTTATTTTATTTCATTTCCTGAGACGGATTCTCACTCTGTTGCCCAGGCTGGAGTGCAGTTGTGTGATCTCAGCTCATGGCAGCCTCTGCCTCCTGGGTTCAAGCAATTCTTCTGCCTCAGCCTCCCAAGTAGCTGGGATCACAGGCATGCACCACCATGCCCGGCTAATTTTTGTATTTTTAGTACAGACGAGGTTTCACCATGTTGGCCAGGATGGTCTCAAATTCCTGACCTCAAGTGATTCGTCTGTCTTGGCCTCCCAAAGTGCTGGGATTACAGGCGTGAGCCACCGTGCCTGGCCTGTGGTATTTTTTTATGGCAGCCCAAGAGAACTAATATAGGAGAGAGGGAAGAAAGGAAAGAAGAGAGGAGAGGAGGGGAGGAAGGGAGGAGAAAAGAGGGGAGGAAGGAAGGAAGGAAGGAAAAAGAAGGGAGGAAAATAAGGAAGAAAGAATAGGAGAACAAAAGCAAAAGAGGGAGGGAGGAGCTTGGTGACTTGTAGCAACTCCTAATAACCAGTGACATCTGGTAGATCTGGAGATGATTCAACTCGGTTTAGAGCACTCTTATAAATAAGATATAAAACACTTTCTGACCAACTGAATTATTTCGTTAGCTCTTATTTCCTCCTATTTCCACTCAGACAATAAGTTAAAAAATGAATTCAGTGGCTTGTGTATCTGGGTGTGAATAAATCTTCACCTGCCACTTGGATGAGATCTGGCAGCAGCGGGCAGACATCATGGCAGCTCCCTGCATTTCCTCTGCTGACATCGTGGAAACTGCCCATTTAGGAGGGCAGATGGAACGTGGAAGTTTTTGGGAACAAGTCTATATTCACAGTCAGAAAAATTCCAGGAAATCCAAACACATGGTTTTATTAGATTCATGTCTAGAATGAGAATTATTACTCTAAGTAGAAGCAGAGCCTAAGAGGCTGTGGCCCCAGACAGGAAGTATAGCCTCTCCTATTTCTGACTCAAACATGAATTATTGGCTTTTCTTTCTTATGATACATCTAATTTTACAGGCAAAGCCTAAATGACCTGAGTTTTAGTTCTGTAATTTTCCTTCAGACCCGGTTCCTCCATGGGGCAATGTCTTATGCTGTGGATCTCACTTGACCTCCTTAACCGCCCCCCAACTCACCTGTCCTATGTCCCATTCCCTCTGGATCTCGAGAGTTGGTGAAATACATTGATCTGAACTGATGTGATAATTCATGTCTTAGAGAACCTATTTGATTATTACCACAGATCTCCCGGAAATATAACACTTTAGCTCGGGAGTTAAATCCATTCCACCAGTGGAGATTTCTAAGGGAGGTCCCTTTGTATCACTTCTGGATTCCATTTGGTTTCCTGCCAGTCATACCACCTGGGCACCCATATGGTTTCGCAAATGAAGGAAGAGATTGCATAAGAAAAATCGTTCATTTAGTAAGCACAATTGAGACCCTACTAGGTGCCAGGCACTGTGTTGTCAGGAGCTGAGGCACAAAGACCAAGCAAAAATAGGTCTGCTCCTTGAGGGAAGAGACAGACTTTTTACTGCAGAGTGTTGAGTGGTGGGATTGGGCGGCTGTCTTAGGGGGAGAAAAGGATGGATATCAGGGTTTTTAAAGAGGTAGATTGCAACAAATGGTAGCTGCCCAATGCCAATGGAGAGGGAGAGGACAGAATCAAAGATGACTTCCAGTTTTATTTTGGAAACCAGGTGGATAGAATAATGTAGCTATATAGGGAAAATCATAGTTACACAAAAGCAAGTGTGTGTGCGTGTGTATGCACGTCTATGCTTGTGTGAGAAAATGTGAATATGTTGGAGAATGGGATGGTATATTTTCAGTTTAGAAGACTAATAGCTTTTTTTTTTTTTTTTGAGATGCAGTCTTGCTCAGTCACCCAGGCTGGAGTTCAGTGGTGCAATCTTGGCTCACTGCAAGCTCCACCTCCCAGGTTCACGCCATTCTCCTGCCTCAGCCTCCAGAGTAGCTGGGACCACAGGTGCCTGCCACCATGCCTGGCTAATTTTTTTTTTTTTTTTTGTATTTTTAGTAGAGACAGGGTTTCACCGTGATAGCCAGGATGGTCTCGATCTCCTGACCTTGTGATCCGCCTGCCTCGGCCTCCCAAAGTGCTGGGATTACAGGCGTCAGCCACCACACCCGGCCAGAAGACTAATAAGTTTAAGCCTAAAAAAATGTAAGCCTCAGGAGACCTCATTGGTACCAACCAGAAATACAGTACGTATCACCCTCTTTAACGTAGCCTTACAATTTTAATCATTAAGAGACTAGGCTTGTTTTTTTTGTCCACTCTGTATGAGGTCAAATATGCACAGTTCTTTCATTTCAAGCTCTTATAACTAAGAAAAACTGTACAGATAAGGACTGTAAGAACAACTGTGCACACACGTAATTTGAATTTCATGCAATTTTCAGGTCATAAAACTTTTTTTTTTAAGCATTAAATAATGGAATATTCATTCTTGGGTCATGGGTTGTACAGAAACAGTCAGTGGGCCAGATCTGGCATAGGGGCTATAGTTTGCTCACCTCTGCTATAAGACCATGGTTAGAAGTAATGTGTTTTCTAACAGCAATAGAAATTTGTTAAAGGGGTTTAAGGAGGTCTTGGGGGAGATTTGTGACATAATTTTATTCATTTGTAAAATGAATGAAATTTAAGAATATTTATGAAATTCTTTTTTTTAAAAAATAATTTCAACTTTTATTTTAGATTCAGGGGTTACATGTGCAGGTTTGTTACCTGGGTATATTGCATGATGCTGAGGTTTGGGATATACTTGATCCCACCACCCTATAAAATTGTTTTCCAAAATGACTTTGAAGACTGTATGGAGGAGGAATGTGAGGGGCTATGTGTGAAAACAGAGAGGCACCTTAGGAGTTTGGAGTGTGAAAACAGAGAGGCACCTTAGGAGTTTGGAGCAGTGGTCCGAGTGGCTGGGTGAGGGTGTGGTGGGATCTATGGAGCGTAAGCAGGGCAGCTGCCTGCCTGCAGAGAGAACTAACAAGGGCTCAAATCCCACCCTGCATCAGATTCGGGCTGGGTCTTTCTACACATCTCTTTATTGAGGCCAACTGCAAATCTCCACATTTCCTCGAACATTCCTATTTTCAGCTTTCTAGATGCCTGAAATTCTTGCCTTGCTAGTCCCATATTTCTGTAATGAGCATTGTCCCCAGAAAGCTCTTGTCACCTAGGAGATTGATATACTCACAAACTGAAAGAAGCAAATTGTTTGCCACCTATAATTTGTCAGATAATTTGGCTTTAATACTTGAGAGTAGATATCATGGCCCAAAAGGAAAGAAGGAATGATGCATTTTGAGTGGGTGAACAAAGGGAAGATGAGAGCAAAAATGGTCCTCTTTTTGGGAAGCAATGGCATGGGTGGTACAGGAGAAAAGAAATAAACATTGACTGTTACAGGTTGCATTGTGTTCCCTCAAAATTCATCTGTTGAAGTCTGAACTTCCAGTATCTCAGAAAGTAATTATTTGGAGATAAGATTGTCAAAGAAATGATTAAGTTAAAATGAAGTCTTTAGGGTAGGCCTTAATCTCATGTGACTGCTGTCCTTATAAGAGGGTATTAGCAGCCAGGCATGGTGGCTCATGCCTGTAATCCTAGCGCTTTGGGAGGCTGAGGCGGGTGGATCACCTGAGGTCAGGAGTTTGAGACCACCCTGGCCAACATGATGAAACCCCGTCTCTACTAAAAAATACAAAAATTAGCTGGCATGGTGGCACATGCCTGTAATCCCAGCTACTCAGGAGGCTGAGGCAGGATAATCGCTTGAACCCAGGAGGCAGATGTTGCAGTGAGCCAAGATCGCTCCACGGCACTCCAGCCTGGGCGATAGAGCAAGACTCCGTCTCAAAAAATAATAATAAAAAATTTTTTAAAAAGAGGAGATTAGGACACAGACGTGCACAGAGGGAAGCCCATGTGAACACACAGGGAGAAGGCAGCCATCTACCAGCCAAATAGGCAGACTTTAGGAAAAGCGGATACCTTGATCTTGGACTTCTGGCCTCCAGAACTTTGAGGAAGTACATTTCTGTTGTTTAAGCCACCCAGTCTGTGATATTTTCTTATGGCAGCCCAAGCACACTAGTACATGACCCAAGGGCATGCATAGAGATGCTGCTTACTATTATGTAGAGATTCTTTGAGCCAGAGTCAGTTGTTTGGTTTGTTTGTTTTTTGAGACAGGGTCTCGTTCTGTTGCCCATGCTGGAGTGCAGTGGTGCAATCACAGCACCTCACTACACTGCAACCTCAACCTCCCAGGCTCAAGAGATCCTCCTACCTCAGCCTCTTGAGTAGCACATGCTACAAGCATGTGCCACTATGCCTAGCTAATTTCTTTTCTTTTTTTTTTTTTTTTTAGTACAGATGAGGTCTCACTATGTTGCCTAGGCTGGTCCTGAACTCCTGAACTCAAGTGATTCTTCTGCCTCAGCCTCCCAGTTGGGATTACAGGCATGAGCCACCACGCCTGGCCCAGAATTGATTGCTATTATGATTTTTCTGAGTATATTAGGACTAGGACATTGCAACAACATTTGTGGGTTTTTTTTTTTTTTTTTTTTTGAGATGGAATTTTTGCTCTTGTTGCCCAGGCTGGAGTGCAATGGTGTGATCTTGGCTCACTGCAACCTCTGCCTCCTGGGTTCAAGTGATTCTCCTGTCTCAGCCCCCTGAGTAGCTGGGATTATAGGAGCGTGCCACCATGCCCAGCTAATTTTTGTATTTTTTTAGTAGAGACGGGGTGTCATCATTGGTCAGGCTGGTCCGGAACTCCTGACCTCAGGTGATCTGCCTGCCTTGGCCTTAACATTTATGATCTTAAAATGCATTTTCTTTATCCCTGTGCGTGTAAGGGGAAAGTGGAGGCTGGAGTATCTCTTCAGTGTGTGCTGTGGAGTACCAAACTAAAGAAAATATTCTTAACACATTCAAGCTAAGTGATTCAGAATTAAATGATATAATTGTCCATTTGTCAGGCTTTACAAAATTGGAGTGACACCACTGTTCTGTGTCAAAAGCAAGATATGTCTTTGCTTCATTTTACTGGTTAAAGATTATTCCAGAGTGCATTTACACCATTCTTCTACGCTGTAACATTTTAAAATCTGTATGATCTTTCTCAGTAAAATATGAAAAATAATTTGCAGTTTGAGCTCTGCTTGAAATGATAGCCATAGGAGGCTAACTTCCTCCAAATCCCTTCTTTCTCTCTCACACTCCTTTTCATCAGAATTTTTTTTAAACTTATTTTTTTTTCAAAACATGAGACTGCATGGCTAAAGGACTCAGTTTTCTACCTGTTCTTGGTAGAAGAGGCTATATGGAGGTAGAAGGAATGCAGAATAAAGAAAAAGAAAAGAATACAAGCCTGGGTGGGTTATTCTCCTTTACCTTGGTTCCCCAGCTCTGTCTTGCACCCTGGTGTGTCCTGCTCTGCACCCTGGTAGGGGACCTCAAGCTCTTGCCGTCTGCTTTCTGGTTGGTTTGGCCAAAGGGAGGTATTAGTAGAGGAGGGAGGTAGGCATGGAGAGAGGTCTGGATATTTTTCTCCCCTGTCCTTGCACACCTTGCCACAGTTTTGGAAAATCCTCTCCCTGTGGCTAGCACTCCCATTGGTTGGTTCCAAGAACAGCATCCTTTCCCTTTGACCCTGCAGGCCTGGGGACCGCAATGGCTCCTGTCTCCTCTGTTGCTAGTTCTTGGATGCTTCCCCATTCCTTGTTGTTTCCCTCAACTCTGCCCACAGCTCTGCAAATAGTCTTCATTAAACTGTTCTCAGTTAAAGCTTTGCGTGTGCTATTGTGGGGATTCTGATTGTAAGGAAAATGGATGTGCTGTGGTCAAGAATAGGCTGAGGCAGACATCTGGTCCAGCATGACTCAGCAAGTTTGGAGCACAGGCGCACAACCCCACACATTATGTAACCACACCATGTGAGGCACATTAGGTGATCACCCATGTGAACTCTTGCTTGGCTTGGAGCCACTATTGTCTGTAAAAGGTATAATTACCCTGCTGATGCTGTACGTATGGCTTGCACCCAGAGAGGGAGTAAAGCCATGTCAAAACTGTCTACGATTCCTTGAGTGTTTTTCCAGCTACCAGCCACTCACCCACTTACTCCCCTCAGACCTCAGTTAGAACCTGACGATTGGTGTTATGAACAGGATCCTGAGCTGTGCTGCTGGAATGGGCTCTGATGGAAACCTGGCTGGTGGTGGATGGGTCCCTCATGAGCATGGAGAAGGCAATGAAGCAACTGGAAGTGCAGAGAACTGAGAAGGAGCGAGCTTTTGCCTGCAGATTTCGATGGGCATTTTTGACTGTGCTACAAGAAGTACACACCCAGTTCCTGAAGGATGCAGTGCAGGTAAGGGCCCTCCAGGTACAGATGGAGCACCCAGGGGCCCAGCTACACAGCTCAGAAAAGGAGTTAGAAGGCCGGGTGTGGTGGCTCATGCCTGTAATCCCAGCACTTTGGGAGGCTGAGGTGGGTGGATCACAAGGTCAGGAGTTTGAGACCAGCCTGACCAACATGGTGAAACCCTGTCTCTACTAAAAATACAAAAATTAGCCGGGCGTGGTGGTGCATGCCTGTAATCCCAGCTACTTGGGAGGCTGAGGCAGGAGAATAGCTTGAACCTGGGAGGTGGGGTTTGCAGTGAGCCGAGATTGCACCATTGCACTTCAGCCTGGGTGACAGAGGAAGACTCCGTCTCAAAAACAACCCCCCCACAAAAAAAAACAAAAAAAAAACAAAGAAAAGGAGTTAGAAGCTGCTGTGAATGGGGACCTCCAGGTGTGGGCAGGGTGCTTGGAGGCCTGGCTACAGAGCTTGGAAAAGGAATTAGAGGCTGCTGTGAATGCAGGCCTGGGTCCATCACGCTCACAGATGTGGATAGATTTCATTTTGGTTGGGGTTGACCAAGAGAAAATTGATAAGAAGCCCAATGAAGTACTCTTAACTTTGTGGAGATAGTTGTTTTCAGAGCAGCAATTCCAGAAATGTCCAAGGGGGAGAAGGACATTGCTGTGCAACCCCGTCCCACCCGGGTGCTGCAGCTCAAATACTACTTGCTACAGCCAGGTGGAGGTGTAAAGCCTTTTCTGTTTGATTAGGGAAATGGCCCAGGTGCCTGGCTTGGGGGGATACTGGATGACCAGAGGCCATATGCAGACTTGGCAATCCACTGGTCCCTGCATCTGGATAAGTTTCCAGGCAAGGCTGCATAGATGGCCATGGAGGCCGGTGAGTGAAAGTGAAACCTGTATCTCTGCACCTTGGCATCGGCCGCTTGGCTTCCTGCTTATGCACTATGTATATCTCTCCCATACCTGAATACATTCTGGGGGGTGGAAGTTTTACACGGGTTGGCAGCTGTGCCGTCTATCATGGGTTTGGTGGACTGCTTGACAACAGAACTGGGACAGTACCCCTATGTAGTGGACTTGGCCAATGCATTCTTCTCAATTGACATTGCTCTAGAGAGCCAGGAACAGTTTGCCTTCAGGAGAGGGCAACAATGGATTTTCACAGTGCTGCCACAGGACTACATGCATAGCCCCACCTTATGTCATGGTCTTGTTGATGATATTATGTTAACCTCTGACTCCCTTGCAGATTTAGAAGCAGCAATGCCTCTCTTGCCTGGGATTGAGATAGTGCGGCTGAAACTGCCTTCCTGGCAGCCAACCGGGCTATTCAGCAGATGCAGGCTCTATGAGTGATTGACCAAGGGTGCCCATTTGAATTTTATATGCATGTGACCACAGATGGGTTTGACTGGGGCCTGTGGCTGTGCATGGAGCACTTTAGAACACCAGTAGGCTTTTGGTCCCAACTTTAGAAGAGAGCTGAGCTCTGGTATTCATTGATAGAGAAGCAGTTAGTAACTACATATACTGCCCCTCAGGCTCATGAGAGTGTGGCAAGATGAGCTATAGTCATCATGCTGATGACTTACTCAATAGCAACATGGGTACATTTATGGCTATGGATCCCCCAGCCTGGGACAGTGCAGACATCCCTTTAGCAAAGTGGGGCACCTACTTAGAGCAGCAGAGTACACTGAGTACAAGCCCCTTAACAGCAGAGTTGCAAGAGGTCTTGGGACCTGTAGTCTTTTTTTTTTTTTGAGATGGAGTCTCGCTCTGTCGCCCAGGCTGGAGTGCAGTGGCACAATCTCGGCTCACTGCAAGCTCCGCCTCCCAGGTTCACGCCATTCTCCTGCCTTAGCCTCCCAAGTAGCTGGGACTACAGGCGCCCGCCACCATGCCTTCCTAATTTTTTGTATTTTTAGTAGAGATGGGGTTTCACCATGTTAGCCACGATGGTCTCTATCTCCTGACCTCGTGATCTGCCTGCCTTGGCCTCCCAAAGTGCTGGGATTACAGGCATGAGCCACCACGCCCAGCCAGGATCTGTATTCTTTTTTTTTTTTGAGACGGAGTCTCGCTCTGTCGCCCAGGCTGGAGTGCAGTGGCGCGATCTCGGCTCACTGCAAGCTCCGCCTCCCGGGTTCACGCCATTCTCCTGCCTCAGCCTCCCGCGTAGCTGGGACTACAGGCGCCCGCCACCACGCCCGGCTAATTTTTTTGTGTTTTTTAGTAGAGACGGGGTTTCACTGTGTTAGCCAGGATGGTCTCGATCTCCTGACCTCGTGATCCGCCCGCCTCGGCCTCCCAAAGTGCTGGGATTACAGGCGTGAGCCACAGCGCCCGGCCGGGATCTGTAATCTTAATGCAAGAGAAGGCCATGGGACCTGAGGCACCCCTAGTCATGGGTCTAGCCAAGGTGCTACTGCTGCTTGGACTGCTGTTGCAGTCCAACCTAGTACTGGCACCATATGGTTTGAAACCGGGTATGGACAAAGTAGCTAATGGGCTGAACTCAGGGCAGTGTGAATGGTGATGACCAAGGTGGTGACACCTATGGTAATCTGCACCAATAGCTGGGCAGTTTATTGAGGCTTAACCTTGTGGTTAACTACCTGCAAGTTACAGAAGTAGCTAGTTAGTCACCATTCCATGTGGGGCCAAGCCATAGGGAAAGACCTGAAGGAGGAAGGATGACCTTCTCCAACCACGTGTGGGGACAAAAGGTAACCTGTTGTTGCCTGCCCCAATGCCCCTAAAGGTAGGAAAATAAAAACCTGGCTTAATGTATAAAGCAGCATTGGGGTAACGTCACCTTGGGGTGGTTGCCCGCCATAACCTGGAGTTGTTGCTCCCTGTAGTACTGCTGTGGCCTCTGGATCCAGGGTTCTGCCCTGCAGGCATGTCTCCCACTAGAACTCCCTTGGCCTACAGGGTGGAATGTAAGGCCTATATGTCAGACCTGTGTGTCCAAAGCCTATGTCTCGCTCAGCCTAGGGGGTGGAGTGTAAGGAAAATGGATTTGCTGCAGTCAAGAATAGGCCAAAGGCCGGGCACGGTGGCTCACGCCTGTAATCCCAGCACTTTGGGAGGCCGAGGCGGGTGGATCATGAGGTCAGGAGATCGAGACCATCCTGGCTAACAAGGTGAAACCCCGTCTCTACTAAAAATACAAAAAATTAGCCGGGCGCGGTGGCGGGCGCCTGTAGTCCCAGCTACTCGGGAGGCTGAGGCAGGAGAATGGCGTGAACCCGGGAAGCGGAGCTTGCAGTGAGCCGAGATTGCGCCACTGCAGTCCGCAGTCCGGCCTGGGCGACAGAGCGAGACTCCGTCTCAAAAAAAAAAAAAAAAAAAAAAAAAAGAATAGGCCAAGGTAGATATCCAGTCCAGCATGACTGAGCAAGTTTGGAGCACAGGAGCACAACTCCACACATTATGTAATCACACCATGTGAGGCGCATTAGGTGATCACCCACATGAGCTTGTGCTTGGCTCGGACCCACTATTGTCTGTACAAGGTATAATTACCCTACTGATGCTGTACATACAGCTTGCACCTGGGCTCACTCGTGCCCAGAGGGAGAGTAAAGCCATGTCGAAACTGTCTACGATTCCTCGAGTGTTTTTCCAGCTACCCACCACTCACCCACTGACTCCCCTCAGACCTCAGTTAGAACCTGACACTGACTAAGACACAGTCATAGCTCAGAGGATGTTTGATTTCTTATCCTGGACACTGAAAGCAGTTACATGGATTCTAGCATACTTTGGCATAATTTCTCCTCCTGCATACCTTATGGGGTGAGGATATAGAATATGTCCCCGTTGCTAATCTCTAAGTGAACTCTGTACCTTTAAATCTTCATGGACAAGCATCCTTGTGGTTTTCACCAGGTGCACTCAATCTAGAACAGGAAGGAGTGTGGATGAAGTTTCTTGTGTTAAGCAATAACAGATGTATGTATCCAGTGCTGTGCCGGTCAATGTTTAAAGCTCAGCTCTGGTGGAGGTGGGGTCTAGGAAGCCCTGATTTGTAGCGTTTGCCATTTTCTGTGGTGTAAATATTTTTACCATGCTGATTTTAAACCAAAAGTGTAACATCATTGAACATACTTTGGGAAGAGATGCTACCCAGCTCTTGCAAGCTGATGCGAACTGGTTCCAGCACCTCCCAGTTTACACCCAGTTACAGACAGATTGGGATAAACACATTTATGTTACAGTGGGAATTTCATAGGTTAAAACATTACAGTAAAGAAGTTTGACGGGAAAGTCATTGTGGGGGTATTATTAGTCAGCAGGTGACTATAAATAGGAAGCACAGGTGTGTTTGTGTTCTCAGTGGAGGGCCCTGCTGCTGTTCACTCACTCCGGGTTTCAGATGCAAAGTGAAGGCAGCCTGGTGATCCTAGAATCCTGATACATTGTCACAGCGTCTGAACTATTGGATATGTTGGCTTACTATTTGCAAATAAAGCTTCAGTTATAGCTTGAAGCTTATTTTATCCTTTCTCAAATTAGTTTTATGTCGAATTAGCAACATAAGGTGAGAATGAAAAAATTAACTAAAAATGACAGAACAACTAACGTGGTTTCTTGTTTTCCTTCTTTTCTTCTTTTTTTTTGTTTTTTGTTTTATGTTGTTTTTGAGACAGTCTTGCTCTGTCTTTCAGGCTGGAATGCAGTGGTCCAATCTCGGCTTACTGCAACCTCTGCCTCCCAGGTTCAAGTGATTCTCCTGCCTCAGCCTCCTGAGTACCTGGGATTACAGGCTTGTGCCACCACGCCCCACTAATTTTTTTTTTGAAACAGTATCTCACTCTATTGCCCAGGCTGGAGTGCAGTGGCACGATCATGGTTCACTGCAACCTCCACCTCCTGGGCTCAAACGATTCTCATGCCTCAGCCTCACGAGTAGCTGGTACTAGAGGCGTGTGCCACCATGCCCGGCTAATTTTTTGTATTTTTAGTTGAGACGGGTTTTCACCATGTTGCCCAGGCTAGTCTCGAACTCCTGAGCTCAGGCAGTCTGCCCACCTCGGCATTCCAAAGTGCTAGGGCTACAGGCGTGAGCCACCATGCCCGGCCATAATTTTTGCATTTTTAGTAGACACGGGGTTTCACCATGTTGGCCAGGCTGGTCTTGAGCTCCTCACCTCAAGTGATCCACCTGCCTCAGCCTCCCGAAGTGCTAGGATTACAGGCATGAGCCACACCCCCGGCCAACTAACATGGTTTCATTGAAGTTCTCTGAATATACTCCTGAAATTTGACCAAAATCATATAACCAAATCTTGGCATCTAGAACCCAGGAGCTGGCCCGTAATACTTGAAAGAACAAAGTTTGAAGAGAGAAATATATAGAGATAATAAACAGCAGCTATTAAAGTTGTGGTACTTATAAGCCCCTAATGTGGGCTTTGATGAAAATATTAATAGTTTCTAAAAGTGGTTAGAGAAATTATGGAATGAAAGAAGTATCATAAATAAGTTATCATGGAAAACTAGTTAAATTGCAAATTAGTACCCAACTTCTTAAAATGGAATAAGTGCCAATCAAGATCCCTTATATATCTTTATTTTTCATTTAAAATTTTAATTTTATTTTTAAAAATTTTTGAGGTAGGGTCTCACTCTGTTGCCCAGGCTGGAGTACAGTGGTGGGATCATAGCTCACTGCAGCCTTGACTTCCTGGGCTCAAGCGATCCTCCCGCCTCAGCCTCCCAGGTAGCTGGGACTACAGCTACTACAGCTACCTGGGAGGCTGGTGATGCGCAGCTAATATATATATTTTATTTTGTAGAGATGGGGGTCTTGCCATGTTGTGTAGGCTGTTCTGGAACTTCTGGCCTCAAATGACTATCTTCCCGCCTAGGCCTCTTGAAGGCTGGGATTGCAGGCATGAGACACCATTCCTGGCCTTAAAAATTTTTTTGAACAATTATAAATTTTTAAACAAAGAATTTCAAAACACAGACATTATGTAGAATAGCACACTATATATTTTATAATTTATGTTCCCCATTTATGTTGCTTTTTTCAAATTATGTAATATATTAATGTATATTAATATATACTGTATATATAATGTATAGTAATATATAATGTATTTATTAATGTGTATATATATTAATGTAATATATTCTCAATGTAACAATTCAAGCAATAGAGACATTTATAGAACAAAACGTCGACATTCGTCTTCATTAACCCCACCCCCACAGGTGGTGGTAATCTCTAAGTTGACAAGCATCATCTACTTATATGATAATGCACATATACACACACCTTTTTAAAGTTTTTTACATGGATGAGATGAAAGTCTATATAATTTGTTTTTTATAAAATATAATTTATTTTCCCTTCACAATATAACTTGCAGAGATTTCTATGTAAATATATATATCTCAATCCTTTTAATTGGCTGTATAGAATAGTTACACATTATTTAACATTTCCTCTATTGACAGTTATTTAGGTCATTTAAAAAAATCTTTATAATTAAAGATATGATACAATCTTTTTGTGGGGGATGGAGTCTCACTCTGTCACCCAGGCTGGAGTGCAGTGGCATGATCTCAGCTCACTGCGACCTCTGCCTCCTGGGTTCAAGCAATTCTCCTGCCTCAGCCTCCCAAGTAGCTGGGATTACAGGCATGCACCACCACGCCTGGCTGATTTTTTGTTTTTAGTAGAGTTGGGGTTTTGCCATGTTGGCCAGGCTGGTCTGGAACTCCTGACCCCAGGTGGTCCACCCACCTTGGCCTCCCAAAGTGCTGGGATTACAGGTGTGAGCCACCGCGCCTGGACCTACAATCTTTTAAAAACACATCTGTAAAGTCGAATTTTAGTATTGGACTTGTTGGGTTAATCCTAATACATTATATCTTTAAATGAAACTGTCTAAAGTCCAGTGGAGACCTGGATAGACCATTGAGAATCTATTCTATTTTAAAACTTGCATGCAAATTGAGTTTCTGCAACCTTCTATTGCATTAAATCCATCAGTAGAACTTAGTGGTGTACCAGCAGTGAGCTAGGAGCGGTCAGCCCTCTGTGCAGCAATACAGAGATGCGTTGTCTATAAAGGATTGAAAAACCATAAGAAAACTGACTGCAAGTCAACCACTTTTTATTATTACCATGAGCTAGCATTTCTAAAAAATGTCCATGATAAAATATTCCTTAAAGAAAATCTGTTGTTGGTTTAAGTTCCAAACAATTTTTATGGCCACTACTAAGTTTTAATAATATGTATGTTATCTCCAAATTTACATATATTTATTGCTTGTCATTTAATAAACATTGTGTCCTCCAAAAATTAGCCGGGCATGATGGCAGGTGCCTGTAATCGCACCTACTTGGGAGGCTGAGGCAGGAGAATTGCTTGAACCCGGGAGGTAGAGGTTGCAGTGAGCCGAGATCGTGGCATTGCATTCCAGCCTGGGGGACAAGAGTGAGACTTCATCTCAAAATCAACCAACCAACCAACCAAACCAACGAGTATTCTCGTTGGTAGTTAATTCAGAAAATTCTCAATTATCCAGTTGGCTCCCAACACATGTGAATTTAGCTATATGTGTTTGTTTCTAGCATAAGCTCATAACAGTGTAGAGTTCAAGCTCCCTTCTGACAAATTGAGTGTCTCCGACCCCTGGGAAACTACATATACCGCATTTAAATTCTAGATTTGAAATAAACATGATAGTTTAGAGATAATAACGATGAAGAAACAGAACTTGAGTTAATGTCTATTCTTCATTTTATTGTGACCACTTTGCTTTTATTTGTGTTTAGATTAAAAACAGTGAAACTGTGCTAGCTGCAAGGTGCAACATTCAAGAAAAGAAAACACTATAATATCAGTGGTATTATTTAGAAGTCACTGAAATTTTAACTTTTGTAGATGTTTTGGCTTTATTAAAATCACTTCTTTTTAATTTTTACTGGCATAGTTATAGATATAAAATTCAATAAGAGTCTAACTGTCTGCATTTATTTTGCCTATTACTATTTGTTTCATTTTCTATTTTTACTAAAAGCAATTTTGTCATACAGAGGGGGTGAAAAAATGCTGTGAGTGTGTGCGCTAGGTGAATGCTTTAAGGAAAATATAGTATGTACTGGTTATTTGAATGATCTAAGATGAATGCTTTTATATAATCACCCCCTAATGTGCATGTTTTGTAACTATAATGTTTTACAAATTCTTTAACAGAAAATCATTAAAATCCTACTCTAAAGGATGCCAGGTATAAACAGACTCAGTGACACAGAAATAGAAATGATACGTGTCCACAGCAGCCTGTGAGGAAGAAGCGCATGCACATCTGAGTGACAGCTTCCTCACACAGTGAGCACTGCAGGCTCAGAGGCTGGAAAACTGCAAACCAATGCTAAATAGTCAGAGGCCAAGAGACCAAGAAGTATAAGAAAATATCCTTCTAGGCTGGCTGCTGAAGAGCACACACACACACACACACACACTCTAGTAAGACAGCATCTTCCTTTGGCAATATTGTCACCTATGTGAACTCTGCCCATCTGTAACTCACAAATGAGTGATATGAACAATCAGACTGTTCCATCACCGAAAATACTGATCACAACCCCCTTTATTGTTTCCTGCAAAATATAATACCTGGAGATGGAACTCGTTCTAGACTCCCTCCCTCCCTCCCTCCCTTCCTTCCTTCCTGCCTTCCTTCCTTCCTGAGTCTTGCTCTGTCACCCAGGTTGCAGTACAGTGGCACGATCTTGGCTCACTGCAAGCTCCGCCTCCCAGGTTCACACCATTCTCCTGCTTCAGCCTCCCAAGTAGCTGGGACTACAGGTGCCCACCACCATGCCTGGCTACTTTTTTGTATTTTTAGTAGAGACGGGGTTTCACCTTGTTAGCCAGGATGGTCTCCATCTCCTGACCTCGTGATCCGCCCACCTCAACCTCCCAAAGTGCTGAGATTACAGGCGTGAGCCACCGCGCCCTGCCAGTTCTTGGAGTTTCTTACCAGTAACCAATAAAATAAAAATGTTGCTACTATTATATTTCAAATTTCAAATTTCCTACTCAATCTGCTATCTTACGTTTTGAATGAAAATCACTTTTTATGTCCTAGGTGAGGGCAGGCAATGATGCAACTGTGTTCAGTTACGAAAGTTAGTTGTGCTCAAAAAAATTGTGCATAGCTGATAAGAAATTGCATATTCAGAAAAGTTTACAATTGGGACTTAATTTAAAAAATTTTATTTGTCCTTTCTTTTGAAGAATATGTGTGGTGAGGGCACTATGTTGAACTTAGTTACTAGTGAAGGTAGGTTCCCTGAGCTCCTACTTAATGTGCTTTAATCACATATAGAATCCGTATTATGTCTTTCTTCAAACTAAATCTATCAGAGTTTGGCAGCATCTCTTGGATGATGAAGCTTAAGAAAAAAGTTGCCGAGGTCGGTGGCTCACGCCTGTAATCCCAGCACTTTGGGAGGCTGAGGCGGGAGGATCACGAGGTCAGGAAATCGAGACCATCCTGGCTAACACGGTGAAACTCAGCCTCTACTAAATAAAAAAAATACAAAAAATTAGCCGGGCATGGTGGTGGGTGCCTGTAGTTCCAGCTACTTGGGAAGCTGAGGCAGGAGAATGGCGTGAACTCAGGAGGCAGAGCTTGCAGTGAGCTGAGATCGCGCCACTGCACTCCAGCCTGGGCGACAGAGGAAGACTCCGTCTCAAAAAAAAAAAAAAAAAAGTTAACTCCTTGATAGTGTCAGATTTAGAAGTTCAGGACTAAATTAAGTAAAAAAATTTTTTAAAGAGATATACTGTACACCAGGGCATGAGAGATGTGCCCATTTTGTAAGCCAAAGCCAAAGTATATTAATCTTGTTGATCTGATCAAATCTACTTTTTTTTTTGAGACAGGGCCTCATTTTGTCACCCAGACTGGAGTACAGTACGATCTCAGCTCATCTCAACCTCCGCTTTCCCAGGCTCAAGTGAGTCTCCATCTGGGACTACAGGTGGGCACGTCTATGCCTGGCTAATTTTTGTATTTTTGTAGAGACGTGGTTTTGCCATGTTGCCCAGGCTGGTCTTGAACTCCTGAGCTCAAAGTGATTGCCCACCTCAGTCTTCCCAAGTGTTGGGATTACAGGCGTAAGCCACTGTGCCCAGCCCAAATCTACCTTTTTAGCTTCAAGTTAGTTACTTCCTTATATCCTTTAGGCTGCTAATCATAATGGGATAGAAAACTGTTCAGGTATTGGAACAACCTGATAAACTACTTTTCAGGTATTGGAACAACGTGATATACTACTTCAAGTAAGACTGGTCACTAATCTGAATGTTTAAAGAAGCACTGACTGGCTCTACAGGTTGATGTCTGTGGTGGTGTCATAAATTTGAGATATCAACCTGCATGTTTTTTTCTTCTTCGTTTGACTATACCTCAAATTGGGTGGGAGATTTGGGGAAGTTATCAGAACTGTACTTGGGGACAAAGATAGCAAGTTCTTAATATTCCAAGCTTAAGAGCTACAGGTCCAAGTGCAAGACAGCCTTCCAAAGTGTGTCTACTTCTGGAGTGGTTTCATTCCCCGGGGTGGGAGTGAGAAGAGAATTTGGCAATGAAAGGGTGAGATCGAAATTGACATATTGTGGAATACCTTTTTCTATTTGAGGATCTGAAAAAACAGTAGACCTGTGCGTTAGTTCCTGGTCAGGGCCTGAGCACTGTGGGCTTTGTGGAGACTCACCCTCGCCATCCCCAGTTCCTCACAAATTGGCTGCTGTATGTACAGCTGATAGCAAAGGGAACTTAAGCTGGAGAAGCTACCCAAGGTTCGGAGCTCCAGAGTAGGTGGGATGGTGTCTGGAAATTTCTGGGGCACTTGGGCAGCTCCATAGAAGTGAGTGGGAGCACAGTTCAAGCCCAAGTTCTTGATCCTTGTGATATACAGTTTACATAATAAGTGATCAATGACATTGTGATAAATCTGATCATCAGACAGTCTTGTCTTCGGATTCATTCTCCAGGGCTCATAGAGTACACGTAAACGTTTACTGCCTCTGAGAGAATTAACTAACACCAATGATAGAGAAGCAGTCAGAAAAACGGAGTATGTTTGTTTTTGATGTGTAATGAACCCTCACTGAGCACACAGTGTCAGGAGATTTCTGTTTATTTGTCATGTCTGAGGACCTTGTGGAAAGTTCATGGTGTTTCTGGACTGTTGCTGTCTATATTGCTGGTGGGTGGGAAGTGGTGAGCTTGAAATTCCCCTTTTCAAGTGTGTAAGGTAAAACGTAAAATAGTCCGTGTAATTTATAGTTTTAATAATTCCCAATGGGAAACATTTTGGCACTTAAGATTGTTTCCTAATTGGTTTTGATACATACAAATTATAGAATTTCAGTCAGTACTGTCCAATAGAACTTCCTGGGTTGATGGAAATATATCTACACAGCCCAATACAGTGACCACCAGCCACATGTCACTATGAAGCACTTGAAATGTGACTAGCGGAACTGAACTTTTAGGTTAATTCATTTTAATTTTAATTTTTTGTTTGTTTATAGACAGGGTCTTGCTCTTGTGTCCAGGCTGGAGTGCAGTGGTACAATCATCGCTTACCGCAGTCTCACACTCCTGGGCTCAAGGGATCCTCCTACCTTGGTTATGGTTATAGAAGTGAGCCATAGAGCCAGGCTTTAATTTTAATAGCCACAGGTGGCTAATGTCTATCATAATTGGACAGTGCAGATCTAAATTCTTTTTTCTCCTTCCAAAGTCTATGTAAAACAATTCATGAAATAGCTATAATGGGAGTAAACTGTAACTTTTATAAAACTATAACTTTTGGCAGGGCACGGTGGCTTGCGCCTGTAATCCTAGCATTTTGGGAGATTGAGGCCGGAAGATCACCTGAGGTCGGGGTTCAAAACCAGCCTGGCCAACGTGGTGAAACCCCGTCTCCACTAAAAATACAAAAATTAGCCGTGTGTGGTGGTGCATGCCTGTAATTCCAGCTATTTGGGAGGCTGCGGCAGGAGAATCGCTTGAACCCAGGAGGCGGAGGTTGCAGTGAGCCGAGATCATGCCACTGCACTCTGGCCTGGGCGACAGGGTGAGACTCAGTCTCAAAAAAATAAAATGAAATGAAATAAAATAAAAATAAAATAAAACTAAGTTTTAAGAACTTTTATAAAACGTTTACTGTATAAAACTGTACTTTTGTATAAAACATACATTATCTTCATGAATCTAGTCAATGTTAGCTTTCTCCTGGCTTTACTTGTTATCGTTTTATACAAATGCTTTGACCCCCTGATAATCTGTGCATTCCTTGAGGAAAGCTATTGTGAATTCTATTTTTTGTACCCTTTAAGCATCTACCATAGAACCCTGCAGCCAATAGTAGGCATCCAAAAATATGGATTGAATCATAATGTGACTATCAAGTGATGACACTGATTTTATATATTTATATATATGTAGTTGATACTCATACTTTGCAATACTGTAATTGTGTACTTGCCTACTCACAAAAATTTATTTGTAACCTCCAAATCAACACTTGCATGCTTTTGTTGTCCTTCACGGACATGTGCAGAGCAGTAACGGATTTGAGATGCTCATTGTGCCTTTTCCCAGCTGAAGTCAAACAAGGTGACACTCTTGTCTTCTTGCTTTAGGTCTCATATGTAAACACATGTCTATTTTGTGCGACATTTTCCGCATTTTTGTGCTTTTTGGTGACCTCAATGTTTAAAATAGCCCCAAGCATAGTGCTGAAGAGCTGCCTAGTGTTAGAAAGCCCACAAAGGCTGTGAGGTACCTTACAGAGAAATTGCATGTGTTAACTTCAATCAGTTAGGAGGTATAGTGCTGCTGGCTGTGAGTTCAATGGTAATGTATCAGCGATATATATTACATAAGGTGTCTTTAAACAGATACACACATAAAACAAGGTTATATGTTGATTGGTTAACAGACATTGTGACCAGAGACTTGCAGGAACTTAGGAGCAATGCTTTATTATTCACTAATTCAGTGTTTGCAGAGACTTTGTAGAGCATAAATGCTATAAATGACAATTTATAGCTTATGGACACACTCTCTCTCTCACACACACACCAAATCTGGGGCATGTTGAACAAGTGCATTACTTTACAAGCCCACCATGCACATTATTCCAAGGCTGCAGAAAGATTGATTGTAGTAGATAATTTTTTTTTCCTTTGAGATGGAGTCTCTCTCTGTCACCCAGGCTGGAGTGCAGTGGCGCAATCTCAGCTCACTGCAATCTCTGCCTCTCTGGTTCAAGTGATTCTCCTGCCTCAGCCTCCTGAGTAGCTGGAATTCCAGGCGCCTGCCACTATGCCTGGCTAATTTTCGTATTTTTATTAGAGAAAGGGTTTCACCATGCTGGCCAGGCTGGTCTTGAACTCCTGACCTCAGGCGATCCACCCGCCTTGGCCTCCCAAAGTGTTGGGATTACAGGCGTGAGCCACCACGCCCAGCCTGTAGTAGGTGATTTGTAATTGTAATGACACTGATGAGAGGGGAGGTTCTTTTTTTTTTTTTTTTTTTTGAGGCAGTCTCTCTCTCTGTTGCCCAGGCTGGAGTGCAGCGGCGCCATCTCGGCTTACTGCAAGCTCCGCCTCCCAGGTTCACGCCATTCTCCTGCCTCAGCCTTCCGAGAAGCTGGAACTACAGGCGCCTGCCACCACGCCTGGCTAATTTTTTGTATTTTTAGTAGAGACAGGGTTTCACCGTGTTAGACAGGATGGTCTCGATCTCCTGACCTCGTGATCCACCCACCTCCGCCTCCCAAAGTGCCGGGATTACAGGCGTGAATCACCGCGCCCAGCTGAGAGGGGAGGTTCTAATGGAAGCCAGGGTTCCTATTTCTGGTGGCCTGTAATCACTGTCATAATTTTCATTTGTATATTCCTTCTCATTCCTTGGACTCCAGCTCTGCGTGTTTTTTCACCTAGGCTCTGCAATGCAATGGGGAATCAATTGAAAGAACGCCTCATAGTGGGTACTGAATACAGAAGCAAGGCCAACCTTCCATAGTTTAGGTTCATCCTAATAAGGTGTATAATAAAGGGAAAAGTGTCACTCTTCAATGGTATCACTTTTCCCAATATAATGCTTATTCTTTGTGGAGGGGGAGGGAGCAGGACTTACTTGTGCTTTTTTTTTTTTTTTGGGACAGGGTCTCGCTCCATCACCCAGGCTGGAGTGCAATGGCATGATCACAGCACGGCTCATTGCAGCCTCGATCTCCTGGGCTCAAGCGATCCTCTCGCCTCACCTTCCCAAGTAGCTAGGACCATAGTCACACACTACCATGCCTAGCTAATTTTTAAAAATTTATATATATATTTATTTATTTTTTGTAGAGACAGGGCCTCACCATCTTGCCCAGGCTGGTCTCAAACTCCTGGGCTCAAGTGATCCTCCTACCTTGGCCTCACAAAGTGCTGGGATTACAGGTGTGAGCCGCCACACCTGGCCTTACTTGCTCTTATTTCAGTAATTATAGTTGTGCTGGTCAATAGCAGATGAAATAAGGGTCCTGTAACCTTCAGTCTGTGCTAGTTTAGCAGCATTGGCAGCGACACTAGGTCCCCTTGAATAAGTCATGTTGTCATTTTTATCTGCCCCAGAATACCTCATCTTTGAAAGGAATAGGGGTAAGAGCCATGAGTGGCTTTAGTAGTTGTGAATCCTTCAGCCATAAGTTAAGATTTCAAGGATCAAAATGAAGAAGTGGAATCTCTAAGAAGCTATAGGACTGTAGCAGAGAACAAAATAGCTATTCTCCCACCTGTGTTAAGTAACCTGTGTGACACCCAGAAGAAATTTGGACATAAGCTTGCTGCTTCTTGAGGAAGTACAATCAGTTTTAACCAAAATTAACTCCCAGTCTCAGGTAAACCAAACTTTAAATCTGTCTTTTATTTATATAAACATAAAATGTATTAGCCAGGAGACTTTCTGGAAACGTAACCCATTCTCTTGATTGCAAGCATTAAAAACAAGACACCCTCATTCTCTACCCCATGGCCTGCATTTATCAACACCCACCTGGTGTGAATGGTTATATTTGCTCGAGCAACTTTGAAGGCAGCTAATTTAGTGCCCTTCTCCAGTGTTAGATGCAGTCATGTTATGTATCTTCAGCTTTCATTTGACTGGAAATTGACAATGTGCCAGGATTGTAAGCAGCTGCCATTTTATTTGTATCTACTAACCATATTTTATTTACTGAGGACATTTTTGTGTCTTTGTAAAAATGCATGTATCTTTTTTACTTGTGACTTGTTTTTATTTTAGGAGGGCATCTGCCACTTCATTTAAGTCTGGAAATAATTTCAAAAGTTAGTTGTCAAAATTTGTCAGCATCCCTCATTCTCCCTTCTGTTTCTCTCCCTCCCCCAACACTCTTAAAGGTAGATAAGCATTGAACCAGAATTTTGTAATTTCATATTCTTTTTCTTAAAAAGTATCCCCCCACACTCCTGCCCCTCCACAATGGTCTAAGCCTCAGGACCCTCAAAACCTGGGTCCACCTCTGTCCCCATGGCTATGTGGGTGGGTGGTCCCCAGACCTGTCTGTCCTTCTCCCCCATAATATAGGCAGCCTCTCCTGGCTTTGGAAGCTAAGGCTGTCTCAAGTCAAAGCTGAAGTCTGCAGGTTGTTGCAGATGCAGGAAGAGCAGGTGTTCCAGTTTAGAGGCCCGTCAGGCAGGAGAATGCTCTCCTACTTGGGGGAGGGTCTGCTTTTTGTGCTATTCAGATTTTTGACTGAATAGAACCCCCACATTATGGATGGCAATTTACTTTCCTCAGTGTACTGATTTATTTATTTAATTTAATTCAATTTTGAGATGGAGTCTCGCTCTGTTGCTCAGGCTGGTGTTCAGTGGCACGATCTTGGCTCACTGCAACCTCTGCCTCCCAGGTTCAAGTGATTCTCCATCCTTGGCCTCCCGAGTAGCTGGGACTATAGGCGTGCACCACCACACCTGACTAATTTTTGTATTTTTAGTAGAGATGGGGTTTCACCATGTTGGCCAGGCTGGTCTTAACTTCTGACCTCAGGTGATCCACCCTCCTAGGCCTCCCAAAATGCTAGGATTACAGGTGTGAGCCACCACGCCTGGCCTCAGTGTACTGATTTAAATGTTAATCTCATCCAAAATATCCTTACAGAAACACCCAAATATCTGGGCACGCTGTGGCCCTGTCAGGTTGACACAATGATATGGTTTGTCTGTGTCCCCACCCAAATCTCATCTTGAATTGTAGTTCCCATAATCCCCACATGTTGTGGGAGGGACCTGGTGGGAGGTAATTGAAGCATGGGGGCGGTTACTTCCATGCTGCTCTCGTGATAGTGAGTTCTCACGAGAGCTGATGGTTTTATAAGGGGCTTTCCCCCCTCACTTTGCTCCGCACTTCTCCTTGCTGCCACCGTGTGAGGAAGGATATGTTTGCTTCTCCTTCTGCCATGATTATAAACTTCTTGAGGCCTCCCAGCCCTGCGGAACTGTGAGTCAATTAAACCTCTTTCCTTTATAAATCACCCAGTCTCAGGTATTTCTTCATAGCAGCATGAGAATGGACTAATACACACATAATATTAATCATCACACTCTACCAACTGAATTAACTGTTATTTCCGTGACTGGCCTACTTATATCTAGGTGCATAATAACCATTGTTATTTTAAGATATATACACGCAATTCTACTTTAGCAAGCGTTTGAAAAGTTATTGTGTATCTTATGAACACAACATAGGGAATAAAGGGGAAAATAGGGTTTTATCTTTGAGAAATTTGTCATCTAGGTATAATCCTGTGATTAAACTACTCACTGAAACACCTCGAAGAGAATTCAAAGGCAAGGCAATGATTTAGGTCAACTCAGTATATAGATTCTAAGGGGTCTTAAAGCGGGGCAGTAAGAAATCCTCAGGAAAAACTTCAGGTACGTTTTGAGGCTACATTAAAAAATAAACCCCATAGCAAGTGACTTGATGGGGACCAGGAGGTGGGAATTCCCGTCAGACATGAGCAATATCTGTAGAGATGTCCAAAGCATAGTGTGGAGGTCTGGTTGATGGAACAGGTGGTGCTGTCTTGGAGGGAGAAGCTGCTGAGAAACAGGTAAGGTGGGCCATGAGCCAGCAACATGGGAATTCAATGTAGTTGCAGAGAGGTTTTAAATTGAGAGGTGGCTTCTCACAGTAGAGAACTGACATTCACTGAGGACTTCTAATTGAACTAAAGGGAAGAGCAGCTGTGTCCAATAAACAGCATTCTTACTGCAATAGTTTTTCTTTTAAAGCTCTGAGAGCTGTTCCTCCTTATAATGTTAGCCTATGTCTGTCTTTGAAAACTATACATTTTTTTCCTGAGGGTAATTGAGAATCTGCTATATATAAAGGTAATCATTTTAACCTTAAAATGTTTATATCATTATGCCTCACGTTGTCTATAGTAACATGCTTAATTCCCTTTCCTATGTCAGTGGCTCCAAATTGCTTCAAGAATACCTCTGGGGGTGGGGAAGAATCCTCCTGTTTCACAAGTTGGGCTTCTATCTAAAACAGGGCTTCTATCAAAAAGCAAAAATTGGACCAGCTTTAACATTATTTAGTCTGAAATTTAGATTTGATTATTATTTAGTTCATGGTTTAGTCTAGAAGACAGTGTACCTTAAAAAGAACAATTTATTTCATTATTTCACGTAAGTCAACATAAAACATTGTTTGAAGAAAGGGATTCCTGATTTTTAAAAATGACCACAGGTTAAAATTAATAGTTATAGAGAAAATAAAAACCAGCTTAATAAAGCTCAGAAAATTTGTGCATGCATGTGTTGAGGGGTGAGGAGAGAGGGAAGGAGAGAAAACTGATAGAGATATTTGATTTACCAGAGCATTTGGCTAGATAATCTTATCTATTATATCTATAAAACACGAAAGGAAACACAGCTGTACATTTTTACAAGTGGTATATACTCAGAAAGGCCCAAACTAGCCATCAAGTTCAAGGGGTTAGAGGGAAAACCTAAGAAGTTAATGTTTTAATTTTTCTGATTTCTTTTTTTTTTTTGAGACAGTCTTGCTCTGTTGCTCAGGCTGGAGTGCAATGGCACAATCTCAGCTCACTGTAACCTCTGCCTCCCAGGTTCAAGTGATTCTCCTGCCTCAGCCTCCCAAGTAGCTGGGACTATAGGCACGCACCACCATACCTGGCTAATTTTTGTATTTTTTTTTTTTTAAGTAGAGATGGGGTTTCACAATATTGGCCAAGCTGGTCTCGAACTCCTGACCTTGTGATCCGCCTGCCTCGACCTCCCAAAGTGCTGGGATTACAGGCATGAGCCACAGTGCCCAATCAATTTTTCTGATTTCTATCAGCAATATGTTCAAAAAGCAAAACTTGGACCAGCTTTAACATTATTTAGTCTGAAATTTAGTTTTGATTATTATTTAGTTGATGGTTTAATCTAGAAGACACTGTATCTTAAAAAGAATAATTTATTTCTTTATTTTACATAAGTCAGTTACTCCTTTGGGAGCCTGCAAAATAAGGTTGCGATGTGTTAACAGAGACCCTAGGTTGGAAACTCCTAACTTTCTAGCCAAATCTCACTATCTTTTTGTTCCTATAATTTAAAATGTTATTTTAATGACTAGAAATCCATTTCAGATACTCTGGCTGATTGTATTTTTTTTTTTCCAGACAGAGTTCTCACTCTGTCGCCAGGCTGGAGTGCAGTGACGATCTTGGCTCACTGCACCATCCACCTCCTGGGTTCAAGCAATTCTCCTGCCTCAGCTTCCTGAGTAGCTGGGACTACAGGTGTGCGCCACCATGCCGAGCTAATTTTTGTATTTTTAGTAGAGACGGGTTTCCACCACGTTGGTCAGGATGGTCTTGATTTCTTGACCTCGTGATCCGCCTGCCTTGGCCTCCCAAAGTGCTGGGATTGCAGGTGTGAGCCACCACCCCAGCCAGCTGATAGTATTTCTAACCCCTCTTCTCTCCCAAAAACTTTATGTAGTCAGTGGTTGTCATCGGATGGTTTTGCCCCCTAGAAAATATTTGGCGTCTGGGGGCATTTTTGCTCGTTACAGTCAAGGGAGTTGATATGGTTTGGCTCTTTCCCCCCACTGCCCCAAATCTCATCTGGAACTGTAATCCCTATGTGCCGAGGGAGGGACCTAGTGGGAGGTGATGGATCATGATTGCTGTTCTCATGATAGTGAGTTCTCATGAGATCCAGTGGTTTAAAAGTGTTTGGCAATTCCTGCCTCGCTCACTCTCTCTGTTACCACCATGTAAGACGTGCCTTTCTTCCCCTTTGGCTTTCACCGTGATTGTAAGTTTCCTGAGGCTTCTGCAGCCATACAGGGCTGTGAGTCAATTAAACCTCTTTTGTTTATAAGTTACCCAGTCTCCGGTAGTATCTTTATAGCAGTGTGAGAATGGACTAATACAGGAGTGCTACTGGGATCTAGTGGGAAGAGGCAGGGAAGCTGCTAAATAGCCTACAATGTACAGAAGAGCCCCCGACAAAGAATTATCCAGCTGAGTTCTAAGGATGGGAAATTCTGGTCTAAATAGATCTATCAGGTCCCATTTTGTATTAGGTGTCTGATTGGTTGTCCATTTTTCAATGCATTCTTTGCTGTAAAAAAAAAAAAACAAAAGGCAGCATCTGTGATCTCAGCAGAAAAAAAAAATTGCATGCAAGTATTTAGCCTACTTTCAAATTATAAATGTCATGCTTCTTTTAAATAGTCTTAAAATAAATCATTCCTGGGATTGCAAGTAACATTAACAGAGGCCTTCTTTCCCCCAAGAGAGAAAATCCTGATTAAGGAATTTCTAAGTAGTGAGAATAGCAGATTCATGAATTCCACATTAAAAGGCACTTTGGTGCTTAATACATTTCCTCTACTGAACTTTAGTATGGGATTGTTGACAATTCTCATCTGATACTCAGTAAAAAATGATCACTCTAATTATTTGAAAAGTGGAGAGCAGTTTATGTAAAACTCCCCCACCTGCTCTTAGTATCACCAGTGTAAATGATAATAACCCACCCATAAACCTCGTTCTTACTGGATTCAAGGAGAAACTTTGTGTTTTGGCCTCCAAGTGGCAGCAACAGCCTCCCTGAAGGCAGCAAATTGAGTGTCAGAGTGTCAGTGGGTGCTCAATGACATCTGACCTGGATGAATTGCTTCCCTAACTCTCAGTATGTCAGAGGGAAACCTGCACCCCCATGTTTATTGCAGCACTATTCACAATAGCCATAATATGGAATCAACCTAAGTGTCCGTCAGTGGATACACAGATAAGGAAGATGTGGTACCTATCCACAATAGAATAGCACTCAGCCATAGAAAAGAATGCAGTCCTGTCATTTGCAGCAACACGGATGGAACTGCAGGTCATTATGTTAAGCCAGGCATAGAAAGGCAAGCATTACATGTTTTCACTCGTGTAGGAGCTAAAAAATGTTAATTGCATAGTGTAGAGAGTAGAATGATTATTACCAGAGGCTGGGAAGGGTGTGTGTGGGGTGGGTGATGGGAGAGATGGGAATGAAGAAAGGTTGGTTAATGGGTACAAACATACAGTTAGATAGAAGGAATAAGTTCTAGCAGTCTATAGTACAATAGAGTGACTATAGTTAACAACAATATATTGCATATTTCAAAATAACTAGAAGACTTGGAATGTTCCCAGTACAAATAAATCATAAATGTTTGAGGTGATAGCTATCCTGATTACCCTGATTTGATCATTATGCATTGTACACATACCTCAAAATACACATGTACCCCATAAACATGTACAAATTATGTATCAATAAAATTTTTTAAAGTTTCCTTTATTGTAGCAATGATCAGCATTTTCTCCCGGTCCACCTGGGATGCTCCAACTGATAAAAGCTCATGAACATAAGCGAAGGGGGTGAGATTTTCATCTCTGAGCATTTGCAGTAAGAGCATGCTTAAGAAATTAAAAGTTACATTTCTTACAAGTAAAGAGAAGGGATGTCCAAAACAGCCCACTGAGAGCTGTTTGCTTAACTTCAAGTTCGCTTGACCTTGTTTTGACATCATCTGTGTGCTCTTATCTGCCTCATGATGATAATTTTTTCATCAGCTCCTGCAAAATATTCTGACTACAATGAAAGCTGACCTATCTTGTTTTGTTCAAATGGATTGGGAAACAAAACCATTAGGAAATCTCGGGGATAGAAATGAAGCCGAAATGGATTAACATTTGTTTTTAATTCATGAGTTCTATCGGTCTGGGTCACTGTGTATCAACTGGAAATGCAGGCTACATTTATTTAATCCCAAAGGTAGTTTAAACGTGTTTATATGTATATTCTGTGATTCACAGAGCTGTTTCTGAGCTTTTACAGTGTGCTTTGAAGTTTCAGTGCTTGAGAGGTGATAAAACAAGGTGACACCCAGCTTTAAGAGGAGGTACAGTATGTACAGTAGGCCTCTTGTCCCTTTCAAACTGTGCTGGGTTGGAACGTGACCTCACTGCTATCAGCCTCAGTACCATAAAAGAATGAATGTCCAGAGATCATCACTGGGTCCTTTGATAAAGAGGGCTGATTTAGAATAAAGAAATCCCAGTCAGCCTGAGTAATCATGTAATCAGAGAAACCACATGGGCAAGGAGAGGGAATTCTTAGCTACTGGCATGAGAGGCAAAGTCCACTCGGGTGACAACACAACCTTTCCTAGACCCTCAAATATGGAAGTGCAGCAAGTGACCCATAAAAGTGGAACCTAACACTAGGTCCATTTTATAATTAGCTTGCTCTTACTCAGGTACCAGTCACACAGCTTATGTTTCATGCTCTGCCTTCTCCTTCCTGTGGCTTGACTGTTAGCCAGCTTGGAGCTTAATGCCTTCAGAAACATGGTGGTTTTCCTGGAGAGATGATAGAATGTTCTGCCCCTGTGACAATTAAAAAGGAAGGGGCCAGGCACGGTGGTTGACGCCTATAATCTCAGCACTTTGGGAAGCGGAGGCGGGTGGATTGCCTGAGGTCAGGAGTTCGAGACCAGTCCGCCCAACATGGTGAAACTTCACCTGTAATCCCAGCTACTCGGGAGGTTGAGGCAGGAGAATTGCTTGAACCTGGGAGAAGGAAGTTGCAGTGAGCCGAGATCGTGCCATTGTACTCCAGCCTGGGTGACAAGAGCAAAACTGTCTCCAAAAAAAAAAAAAAAAAAGGTGATAAGTACACCTTTGTTCTTTAATCTCTATTGCTACATAAAAGAATACTTTCATATGTATCTGTATTTATTCATTTAGAGACAGAGTCTCGCTCTGTTGCCCAGGCTGAAGTGCAGTGGTGCAATCTTGGCTCACTGCAACCTCTGCCTCCCTGGTTCAAGGGATTCCCCTACCTCAACCTCCCGAGTAGCTGGGACTACAGGTGCGTGCCACCACGCCCAGCTAATTTTTTTGTATTTTTAGTGGACATGGGGTTTCACTATGTTGGCCAGGCTGGTCTTGAACTCCTGACCTCAAGTGATCTGCCCACCTTGGCCTTTCAAAGTGCTGGGATTACAGGTGTAAGCCACTGCACCCAACCTTTACTTTTCATATTTAATCCTGTCTCTGCTTGACTGAAGACCAGTGGCTTTCTGGAATTTTTACTCAATTCTCAGACCACTTATTGATGAACGGAAGCTCAGTGGGCCAGAAGTCACCACTTGCTTTTCCCTTCCTGGACCTCAGTCTGAGTGTGGGAGCTTATCCCAGAGAGGCTTGATTTTGATGCTACATTCTCACATAAATTCATCAGTCAGAGAAATTCTGGTAAATTCTTAGAGCCGGAGGAGTCTGGGGGATTGTCGTTGTTTTACATTTGAAGAAGTTCAGGACAAATAAGAGTAGTTGTCTAAAGTCACAAGGACATTGAATGAATGAGTCAAGATTTGCTTGAGGTGTTTTGGGTCCCAGTGTATCAGTCTTTTTACCACACTGCCTGAACAAAATTATGTAGTCTCATGTTTGGGCAATGCAAAAAAACATCATAGTGAAACAAATATTCACAGTGAATTATATTCAGGTGCCCAGAAGTCTCAGCTACAAAATATAAATTTATTTTAGCATGGTTTCCATGAACATATATCTTCAATAGGCTTTTCTGAAACTAGACCCCTAATTGTGTCACCGAGATGGGCGGGCTGTTCCCCATCAGCGCACCATGGCTCATTGGCTGCTTGTGGGAAGTGTCCTGAAGGTCCAGAGGTTGACACCGCCTGCCTTCTGTTAACTCACGGCTGGTCATGTTACCCTACTTCTGGCTATAACCTCCTCCCTTCCATGCTGCGATTCTCCACAAGATCTCAGGGATTTGAGAAACCAATACAACATACTTTTGTTTTCTTCCAAATTGAGAATGAGTTTGAGATGTCTTTTATTCTGCATTATTTGTTTCTAAGTGCAATATTGAGGTTTACCCCCTTATAAGCAATTAAATAGCATCTCTCAGGCTAAGAGATGACTCCAGGATATTTTAAAGCAAGAACTACTGGCTGGGCACGGTGGCTCACGACTGTGATTCCAGCACTTTGGGAGGCCGAGGTGGGTGGATCACTTGAGGCCAGGAGTTTAAGACCAGCCTGGCCAATTTGATGAAACCCTGTCTCTACTAAAAATACAAAATAATTAAAGAACCACTGCTCATGTGATTTAAGCCCATGGGGATTCTTAACTGGGCCTGTTATGAGTTTTACAAAGAGTTTATCATTTCATGAAGCTTCTACCGTAAGTCTCCTTCTATAGGTCAGGTCTGAAGGAGGGAGTCCCCTAGCAGGGAAGATTCGTAGTCAGTAATGAGACTTAGTCGTCAGGGTACTCTGCCGACCTTTGTGGAAAATGCGGAAGGGGGAGGCTGGAACAATAGGCCTGCTGCTCTGCATCTCTGTTGTGTTACGTGGGATGGAAAATGAACTTCAAAGCCTAACATGTTTCAAAACCCGAATCAAGCTGAGCCTCCTCCTGTCAGCCCACTGAGAGGCTGTTACCACAAGCAGATGCAGCTGATGCTTTATTATTTTGCAGGGAAGGGGTGGAGGGATCCTATTATTTTGCTTCCAAAGTGTAAAGCGTTCTTTTATGGTTGTGTCATCCTCACAAAAGGCCACATATTTGTATGATTCCATGTATATGAAGTGTCCCAAATAGGCAAATCCACAGGGACAGAAAGCAGACTCATGGGTGAGAGGGGACGGCGGAAGGGGTAGGGAGTGACTTCTATCGGGTAGGGCTTCTTTTTGGGGTCATATGGAACATCCTGAATTAGATAGTGGTGGGGTTGCACAATATAGAAAATATGCAAAAAACAATGAGCTGTTTACTTTTAGATGGTGAATTTCATGCTTTGTGAATTATATCTCTAAAAAATTAATATATAGTTGTGCCATCTTAAGATGAGAACGGGTGAAAAGTGACGGCTCTGCAATGCTCTGGATGACAATCGTGGCAGCTCGTGTTTATTGTGTACCAATCACTGTTCTAAGAGCCTGACCTGTGCTCACCCATTTAACCCTCACAGCAGCCCCTGAGGTGGATACTATCACTACTCCCATTTTACAGATGAGGGGACCAAGGCACAGAACAGTCCTGTGACTCATTCAATGCAACACAGCAGGAGCATGGCAGAGTCAGGCGCCTCACCTGGCAGTCTGGCTCCCAGGTCTGCCTCTGGCCTGCAGCGCAGCACCCCTTCTGGATTCCAGCAAGGTCACTGCAGGCAGGATACTGAAAAGACCATCAGAGAGTTCACATGAATGTGGGAGCTTAAGGTGACCCAGTCTTGAGTGTTGGCATGGGCTTCGTCTGCAGCAAAGGTCATTTGCACAAACAGATTAGCCCACCTAACTGTTGTGCCATCACAGTGGCTGACGTCAATGTCAATTCACCCTATTTGTTCAGAGCTGGGGCACACAGGTGTTTCTCACTGCAGATTGGTCTGTACCCATAAGCCTCTACCTCTCCAGGAGAACTTCCAGTGGGTGGGAGGGACAAACAAGCTTGGCACTCACTTCTGATGCAATATTGGCAGCTGTCTCAATGCATGCTGACCTTAAAGGTTATTATGAGCACAAAATACCATCCAATTTAGGTCCTCTGTAAGAAATAGACTAAAGCAATTTTGCAAATTGTTTTATGCTTTAAAATCAGACATCTGATCTCTGGGTGCAAGAAAAATGAGTCACTTTGAAGATCTTTAAAATGACCTTCACTTTAAGTCAATAATGCATAGAAATAATGCTCTAGCTACTTTCTATTTTGTTGAATACTTCAAAATATATAACGTCCAGTCTTCTAATTTATCCTTAGATTTCCCTTCTTCTTTCTTTCCTCCCTCCCCCCTCCCCCCCAACAAGTGAAACATAGGTACATGCTTGGCACCTGGTGCTCTAAGCCATGTGAACTGAGAGGTGAGATAGGGTACTGGGTAAGAAGAGTACAAGGACTAGCACAAACCCATTGCATGGGTTTGAAGCCCTGTGTGGCTACTCATCACCCGTATACCCTTGGGCAGGTTTATTTAGACTCTCCTTGCTTCCATTAGAAAGTGGAAGTGTGGGCTGGGGGCGGTGGCTCATGCCTGCTGTAATCCCAGCACTTTGGGAGGCCGAGGCAGGTGGATCACTTGAGGTCAGGAGTTCAAGACCAGCCTGGCTAACATGGTGAAACCCTATCTGTACTAAAAATACAAAAATTGGCCGGGCATGGTGGTGTACACCTGTAATCCCAGCTACTTGGGAGGCTGAGGCAGGAGAATTGCTTGAACCTGAAGGTGGAGGTTGCAGTGAGCCGAGATCACACTATTGCCTTCCAGCCTAGGCAACAGAGAGAGAGACTCCATCTCAAAAAAAAAAAAAAAAAAAAAAAGAGGTGTAAAATGGTGACAATCACAACACCTACCTCAGAGTGTCGTTGTGAAGTTTAAATGGCCCAGCAAGTACAAAACACTTAAGGTGGGCATTAAGGCCTTCATTATACCTGCGATTTATCTTAAATCTAGATACTTCAGTCTGATAAATGAACAATTAAAATGGCAACAGTAAGTCAGACATTTATTTGTGCCAATCCTTGTACTCTTCAGAGTGTGTTCCATTCACGACGTCATTTGATTATAATATAGTCCCCATTTGACCTATGGGGAAATCAGAAGAGTGAGAGGGGTTTGTTCAACATCACACAAGGAATTCATGTCTTAGCTGCTCCAGAACTCAATTTTCCTTATTCCTCAGCCAGTTTTATTTATTCTCAAAAATATTTTTATATAATTTTCATTAATTTCTTAGTGAGAAATTTACAAGAAAAAGAGAGTGTGTTTCAGGATTCAAAAATATTTGAAGATCAAACAACAGAGGCACATTGTTGGAGGGACAGAACTCAGGTCCAGAGCTCCAGCTTCTCTGAGTCCACAGCTGCTAGAGAAAGCCCCTGTTGGGCACTGTTTGTTCACGGATTACAGATTGTTGGAGCTTGTAGCAGTATCTGGTATAGTCAATCTTAACTTTTCATTTTATGGATTCAGAAACATTTCCAGGGAGCTGGAATGACTTTATTGAGGTTGCTAAACAGGTCAATATAAAACCTGAGAATCCAACTTATTGGTTTACTTCCAAGTCTATTTCCTTTCCATCTGAACACATTCCCTCTCACGGAGAAGAGAGCATACTCAGAGCTCCCAGGATGGCATCAGAACCAGGAAACGGCCTCCCTCTCAGCCTCCTTGTGCGTTCCTCTCCCGCTTCCTTACATACTGCACTGTGAGGCCCCGTCTCGATGGAGAAGCAGGGATCTGCCTGCCATACTTTATAATGTCTGATGTTCATGTACACATAGCAAGTTCACTGCAGTCCTCTGTTCCTGGGTTACAGCAAAGCCCTCTCTTCTGCCTCCAGTTCTCTCATAGCACTTTCCTTCCATCTAACCACCAGACTTGACAAATCATTTAATGTTTCTGTGAATCAGTTTTCCTACTACTAAAATAGGTACAATTCTACACATTTCATAAAGTTTATTGAGAGGATAAAATGAACTAATAAATGTACATGCCATGGCACAGTGTCTGGTATAGAATTAATATTGTTTCAGTATTATTATTATTCAGGACTGTTCTTCGGATTCATCTTACTAAGAATGGATACTCTCTTGGTGGGAGTGGGGACAAGTGATTTGCTCTGGGCTCCATATCACACAGTCTTGTATCTCTGGCTTCTGGTTTACCCAACTTCTGTTCTTAGTATTCTCAAGGGAAGCTTTACTAACCCTTTTTTGATGAACCCCTAAAGGTACTGGCTAGATTTCTTTTCTGATTAGAAGGTATGATCAGAGACATAATTTATATTCATCCAGAATGCTAAAGAGAATTGTGCATGCCTTCTGTCGAAAAGAAACATGCACACGTGACATTGAGAAGTCTCCAGGAGCAGTGGCGGGGTAGGTTCCATTTTTCCTGGCTTCGCCCAGGCAGTGTGCTGCCCCTCCGGACTGAGAGCCCAGCGTCAGAAGAGTGTGTGCTGATGCCTTTTCTCAGGAATGGTGCACAAGTCTTTGCTGAACTCTCTGCATTCTCTTGGCTGGCATCTCCATCAATAACAGCACACAATTATTTAGTGCTGGGGGCTTAGCCTAGCACAGACTTTTCATATGCAATTGAAGACTGGCTTGCTTGCCTTCATCTCCTGCTCAACCGTGCACCCCTTAACAGTAGAGATTATCTTGTTCATCCATCCTTTTCAAATAAATCACTGAATGGACAAACTTCAAAGCAAGGGAAATATCCATGAACAGGGAACAAAAGGTGTAACTTACTGAACTCTCCAGGCTTAGAAGACGAGACTTGGCATGACCTGGCCTTACCTTATCTTGCACTGCTCTCTCCTTTGCCCTCAGTGTGACCATCACTCTGGCTTCCTTTCATTTCCCCGTGCTTGTCATGTCCAGTCCTGCCATGCAGGGTGTGTGGTATTGTCTGGCAGGTTGTGCAGCACCCAAGGCTGCCCTATCAAAGGGTGCACTGATGCTGTTGAATACAAATATCATTCAAAACACAAACCACGAATGGAATTTTAAATTAAATTTTCTTGTAGCCTTTTTTAAAAAGTAAAAATAAAACTAAGCAAAAACCAAGTGAAATAAGGAATATGTTTTATTTAACCTAATATGTCAAAATAGTATAATTTCAACATATAATCAATGTAAAAATAATTGAGATAGTTTATATTTTTTACACTAAATATTTAAAATCTGATGTGTATTTTGTAGCATAGCACATCTCAATTAGTCACATTTTAAGTGCTCAGTAGCCACAGGCGTCTGGTCACTATGGTATCAGGTGGCATAGGGTTCTGCCATGAACACTCCAGATGATGTATTACAGAATTGTCTAAACAGTTTTCTGGAAGCTTGCAGTAAAAAGTCTTGCTCTAACACAAAATTAGTAAATTACGACAATTTTCCAGTAGAGGCAAAGGGATTGAGGAGTTGGTAACTGTTTTCTAATCTGCACACAGATGCTATCTGGACCAGTGGCCTTGCTACCATGAGGCTTTTGTGCATGCTGTTCCCTCTGCCTGGAAGCCACCCCCGCCCCTTACCATTTGGTTAATGTCTGCTGGTGTTTCTGTTGAATTGTCACGTCTGCGACGTCTTTATTCTGTCTTGTTGCAGAACTCTATTTCTTTGCTTATAGCACTTATGAGGATTTGTAATGATATATTCATGTGTGAGATGATTTGATTACATTCTGTCTTCAACACAAAATGGTCAGCTTTAAGAGGGCAAGTTCACATCTGGTTTTGCTCATCGTGAATCTCCAACTTGGAGCATAGCACTTGGTGCAGAGAAGCTCAGCAAAGATGCCCTAAGCAACTGCTTGGCTGGACACACGAGTCAATGACAACCAGCCTGAGCCTTCTGAGACACTCATCTCCTGTGACTCTGGATATAGACGCCTTCTTCTCTGGCACCAGGAAAAGGCACAGACGGGGATGTCATCCAGGCCTTCTCAAGGGAAGAAAACTGACTGTCCTCTCTCTCATGGCTCATAGGTGTTTCTCATTTGATGTGTGTTGAATGCATCTGGCTGGTTTCATCGAAGCTATTCCCTGTTCTCAGGTGCCCTATGTCTCTTTAGAGTTGAATAACCTTGAGTTTCATCTTTGACTCACTCAGGAGATTAAATCTTTAATGGCCACTTAAACACATTTTTAATGTAGGTCAGTTGGTTATAGGGAAAGCCAGCAAGTCAGCCGATAAAACACTCTAAATCTTGACATCTACAGGATTGTGTAAGTACTTATTTGAAATCTGGGAGATGGCAAGCTGGAAAATGTACTTCATTGCTTCATATACTATCTTCTCCCTTCCCATCCTTGTAGGATTCCCATCAAGTAAAATCCAGGCCGGTCGTGGCGGCTCATGCCTGTTACCCCAGCACTTCGGGAGGCTGAGGCAGGCCAATTGCTTGAACCCAGGAGTTTGAGACCAGCCTGGGCAACATAGTGAAATTCTGCCTTAAAAAAAAAAAACCCTCAAAAATTACCTGGATGCACACCTGTAGTCCCAGCTACTTGGGAGGCTAAGGTGGGAGGATCACTTCAGCCCGGGAGGCAGAGGTTGCAGTGAGCCGAGATCGTGCCACTGCACTCCAGCCTGGGTGACAGAGTGAGACTCCATCTCAAAAAAAAAAAAGGACACTTCAGATAATTGTGCAGAAACAGCCTCAATTTGAGGGGAAACAAACCAAGTCAAGAACCCACTAATATTTCTATTTCTTTTTTTCTTTTTTTGAGACAGAGTCTTGCTGTCACCCAGGCTAGAGTGCAGTGGTGTGACCTTGGCCCATGGCAACCTCCGCCTCCCGGGTTCAAGCGATTCTCGTGCCGCAGCCCCCCGAGTAGCTGGGATTACAGGCATGTGCCACCACGCCTGCCTAATTTTTGTATTTTTTAACGAGAAGGGGGTTTCACCATGCTGGCCAGTCTGATCTCAAATCCTGGTCCAAGTGCTGAGATTATAGGTGAGCCAGTGTGCCCGGCCTAAAAACCCACTAATATTTTCGATTGTTCCTTGAGTTCTTGATAAGGCCTTACTGAAAAAAATGTTTCAACCAAAAAAATGCCTTCCATTACTAAAGTGAAAATAGAACTGGTGACTTTAGGGTGTTGGGCCAGATCTCAGTGAGGCCTCTAAATTTCAGGCCTGTCTCTGAAATTTAGAATTCTATATCTTATGGCTAAAATAGTCAAGTAGGAAAAAATAGTTAAGACATATAAAAGGCAATAGAAGTATTTCATAAGTTAGGAAATGCTCAGTGCTCATATTAGCCAGTTTATTCCAACCGGGCTCTAATGATCTTGGAGGATAATTTGGCTCAGCTGGGGAGGTAAAGCAACACATCATTAATTAAACACTTTCTACTCTAATTTCTACCAGGCTTGGCAACACGCATGTAAGGTGGTTTCTTACATAGTAAGATTAAAAGGAAGCTGCCTTGAAGTGTCTTGATCAAGACTGTGTCTTGCACAAATCTGCCTAAGTGCCCATAAGCCCCAGAATTGAGATATACTCCTTTGTATTGAAGTATTAAATCTCAGGCAATATCATATTAAAATGGAAATTTTCCTCCCCACACCCCTCCCTTACCCTAAGAGAAAGTGTGCAGTCAGCTATTCTCAGCAACAGCCTCCTTGGGTTGTCTTTGACAGGGGTCCCCAACACCAGGCCACCGGTCCATGGCCTATTAGGAGCTGGGCTACACAGCAGGCAGGTGAGCCAGCATTACCACCTGAGCTTTGCCTCCTGTCAGATCAGTGGCGGATTAGATTTTCACAGGAGCACAAACCCTATTGTGAATTGAGCATGCAAGGGATCTAGGCTGCCTGCTCCTTATAGGAATCTAATGCCTAATGATCTGAAGTTGGATCAGTTTCATACCAAAACCATCCCCTCCCCTCACCCCACTCCCATGGAAAAATTGTCTTCCATGAAGCCAGTCCCTTCCGTGAAACCAGCCAAAAAGTTTGGGGACTGTTGGTCTTTGACACTTGGTAATGGTAATTGTGGGAAGGACACATAGGCTTTTAGATCAGAGCCATGATGTAGGAAAAACTGTCTTAAAGCATGTTTTCCTGCTCCTCTCATACTAGCACCACAATCGTCAACACAGAAGACTTCTGTGACCAAATGTGTGGGGGTTTTTCCTCACACACCAAGCAGTGGACAACAGTGGAGTGTCTTCCAGTTCAATTCCAACACTATCTACCTGGAGATACGTCAGATCCCACAGGCTGGGGGCTCAGTCCCATAAGACTGCTTCCCATAACCCCAGACACCAGCGGTAGCAAGTCCAGGCTTCCTAAACTTCTAACCTACTGGCTTCGAGTTGGGGTTCCCACAACCCCCTCTTTGGGTCCCATTAATTTGCTGGAGTGGCTCACAGAACTCAGGGAAACGCTTACTGGTTTATTATGAAGGATATTGCAAAGGATACAGATGAAGAAATGCATAGGGCAAGGTATGGGGGAAGGGGTGAGGAGCTGCCATGCTCACCCTGGGGCACCACCCTGCAGGAACCTCCACATGTTCACTATCTGAAGCTTATTGACCCCTGTCCTCTTGGGTTTTTATGGAAGCTTTGTGATGTCAGCATCCCTTCCTCCAGTGTATAGGGCAGGACCCTCTTTTGGGAGGGTCTTAGGACCTACAATCAGAAAGGTGGGGGAAGATTAGAGTCCTGCCTTGGGGCCAGTGGAAGGAAGACAGGAGAGAGATTCTATATCCTGAGGTCTGCCCGTGAGGCCCAACACACCCAACATGATAACAAAAGATGGTAACAAGGGCTTTGGGAGTTGTGAACCAGGAACCGTGGATGAAAAGCAATATATAACATAAACATCAAAGCTTAAAACTGGACCTTTATAAACAAAATTCTATTCTTTTTTTTGAGATCAAGTCTTGCTCTTGTTACCCAGGCTGGAGTGCAATGGAGCGATCTCAGTTCACTGCAACCTCCGCCTCCCAGGTTCAAGCGATTCTCCTGCCTCAGCCTTCCAAGTAGCTGGGATTATAGGCACCTGCCACCACACCGGGCTAATTTTTGTATTTTTAGTAGAGACGGGGTTTCACCATGTTGGCCAGGCTGGTCTTGAACTCCTGACCTCAGGTGATCCGCCTGCCTCAGCCTCCCAAAGTGCTGGGATTACAGGTGTGAGCCACCGTACCCAGCCACAAAATTGTATTATCTTTACAAGTTCTTCAAGTTTAGGATTTGTTTTCTTGCTTATAATGAGGGGTAGTATTAATAGACTACTCATTAGGGCTGTTATGAAGAATGAATTATGTGATGGCTGTAATGCAGGGAGTACATAGTTACTCAAAATGGTTGTCAATACACAGAGAAGTGGAGAGGTAAATTATGATAAAGATGGAAGTTCAGATTAGGGGCCCTGCCTGGATCTGCTGATCCAGAAGACTGGAGAGAGCATGAGGCCATGGGTTCGTGAGTGTTTGGGGGAGAGGCCTGGGGAGGAAGAGAGGAGGGAAAAGTAGAGCATCTGGCAAGGGAGAAACATGCCAGCACAATTATCACCGACTTTAAGCTTCACACTTATCACAGCACCTAGGTGATGTATGTGAACTAGGATTAATAGAACGATGATGATGTCAATATATCACAATTAGGACAGGAAAAAAAAATGTACTGCATATACAGAAAAGAACTGTAGCATGTAATCCAAATTTTATGTAAATTCACTGACTTATGCAACCTGCTTTGCCCAGCATCGAGCTTGCTAGGTACTGTTCTAAGCACCGGGGGGTACAGCAGTGAGAATAACAGCCTGTGGCCACGGAGCTCACATGCTTATGGGGGAGGCAGACAGAAACCAATAAATACAGAATCTATCAGGTAGCGATGAATGTTAAGAAGAAAAAAGAAGGTAAAGATACAGGAAGTGTTGAGGGATGGTGTTTTAGATAGGGTGACCAGAGAAGTCCTCTCTAATATGGTAAAACTTATTAAAAAACAAAAACTCTCTTCATTTGTTCAACTTATTGAACATACCCATTTGGAGTACCAACTGTGTGCTAGGTTCTGTGCGAAGAGATGGTAACACAGTCATGGAGAAGAGTCACAAATTCCTTCCCTTTCATGGAGCTTTCATTCTTATGGAGAGGAGGAGAAATAAATATATAAACAAATAAATAACTTCAAACGGTATAAATGTGTAAAGGCAGTAGATAACAATGGGGAATATGATAGAATTGTTCTTTGGAGGTGGGGGCAGGGATAGGGGAAATGGGTGAGCAGTTGTAAGGCAGAATTAACAACTCTAGGCTGGGTGCAGTGGCTCATGCCTTGAGCTCAGGAGTTTGAGACCAGCCTGAGCAGCATAGGGAGACCTTGTCTTTATTCAAAAAGTAAAAAGAAATATAAAAAAGAATTAACATCTCTAGAGGACTTTAACAAATGCATGATAAAAATTATAATTTAGACTGGGTGTGGTGGCTCATGCTTGTAATCCTAGTGTTTTGGGAGGCTGAGGTGGGCAGATAGTTTGAGCTTAGGAGTTCAAGACTGGTCTGGGGAACATGGTGAAACCCGTCTCTACAAGAAAATACAGAAATTAGCCAGGTGTGGTGGTGCATGCTTGTAGTCCCACCTACTCAGGAGGCTGAAGTGGAAAGATCACCTGAGCCCAGGAGGCAGAGGTTGCAGTGAGCCAAGATCATGCCACTGCACTCCAGCCTGGATGACAGAGCCAGACCCTGTCTCAAAAAAAATTATAACTTTATTTTAACATGTAATATGTATATTTGTAGTCCTAGAACATCTTTAATACATCAGAATATGTTAATAAGAATTTGGTCACAATTAATTTCTATGTATGAGAGTATGAAAAAAATTGCTGGGATATTGTATATATCCCCCCACATTTTTTTAAAACCATCTCCCTATTGATGGACCCGATTTTTCCTCTTTATGGTTCCCCATGACTTGAGTATTTTAAAGGAGTGGCTAACATTCTCCATACTCTTCACTTACTTGAACCATCTCAGCATATCCACCATGTGCTGACATCTCTAGCTAAATGAAGTATGCTTAATATTGTAGTTTAAGGCACTCTGGTTATTTCTAGAGTAATCTTGAGATCTTTACACAGCCCAGTATGGCTACCCTTACTCTCCCAAAGTGAAGCTTAATGTCAACTTTTTCAGATCTACTTTCTGCTACTGAGACAATGTTTAACAATTTGTAAATGATCCCAGACACAAAAAGCCTTATGATGTCTTTTTTCAGTGGTTCCAGCTGGAGAACTGCAGGATGGATTCCTTCCAGCCATTTTGAAATTGAGTCAAAGTCTCTTCTTTAGAGAGTTCATTCTTAAGATATTTTGTCCCCATGACTTAGTTACCTAAAAACGTAGTAATTTGCTCTCCTCAGATTTTAAACTGCTTTTCCAGGTAAACACTTCTATTTCTATAGCTTGAAGTGATGATAAATAATATGCTATTGCTTTCCTTTCTGTAAGTCCAGCCCGCACCACATTCACTTATCAATAATTTACTGGCAGCTCTGCCTAGATATGCCATAGGGTGAGAAGCTTACCATCTAAAATGAAACTCTTCTTTCCCCTCCAGTTGGTTCTACCTCCTGTGTTTCTTCTCTTGGTTAATGATTTCCCACTTCAGCCACTTCAGCCAGAAATCTAAAGGTCATTGTCTTTCTTTTACCCACCCCTCTCACCAACTGCTGGTGGGTGAGTCCTATTGTTTCTACTCCTTAACGTCTACAAGATCTGGCCTCTTGGCCGGGCGCAGTGGTTCACGCCTGTAATCCCAGCACTTTGGGAGCCCAAGGCAGGTGGATCACCTGAAGTTAGGAGTTCGAGACCAGCCTGACCAATATGGTAAAACCCCGTCTCTACTAAAAATACAAAAAAAATCAGCCAGGAGTGGTGGCGTGCACCTGTAGTCCCAGCAACTTGGGGGCTGAGATAGGAGAATCACTTGAACCCAGGAGGTGGAGGCTGCAGTGAGCAGAGATTGCACCACTGCAATCCAGCCTGGGTGACAGCAGGACTCTGTCTCAAAAAACAACAACAACAACAAAAATCTGTCCTCTCCTCACCATGCCCCAGCTGTTGTCTCAGTTCAGCCCTCATTTATTCTCTTGTGCTAGTTTTAAATTCATCCTTCACACAGTTAACTGAGAGATCTTAAGACGCAAATCTGATTATTTAGCACTGTGTTACTTAAAATTCCTCCTAGGTTTTCAGTCAGTGTTTACAGATTAAAATTCCTTGGCATGGTGCAGAAGACCCTTCTTCACTGGGGGTCAGGCCAACCTCATTTAGACTCATCTTGTTCTGTTCCTTGTTGCTGTAGTTCCAGCAACCATCCTCACGATCATTGTGCCACACATACTGTGCCAAGGGCCTCCCGGGTAGGATTTCACTTACTTTGCAATTAATGTTCACAACATTCTTATCAGGTAGGCGCTATTCTTACCTCCATTTTACAGTAGGTATAACATTCCCAAGGTTACACATGTGGAGAATTGAATTTTCAATACAGGTCTGCTTTCTGAAGTCTGGGCTTGTGACAATTTTGCCTTACATTATGTCCATTTCTCTTACCTGTGGCACACTTCTTTAGCCCCATGGCATTCGCACCTACCATCTCCCTTGGTCAACGTGCCTTCTGCCACACTCACCTTCAAGGACGCTCTTTAGACAGTACTTCCATAGGGCAGTGGGATACACCACACTCTCCTTCAACTTGCATTACGCCCCCTCCTCTCTTGTGGCTCTCATAGTTCTGTATGGCACTTATGTTTTGCATGTCTAGTATGGTTTGGCTGTGTCCTCACCTAAATCTCATCTTGAATTGTAATCCCCATAATCCCCACATGTTGTGGGAGGAGCCAGGTGGGATATAATTGAATCATGGGGACAGTTTCTCCCCATACCGTTCTTGTGATAGTAACTGAGTTCTCACAAGACCTGATGGTTTTGGAAGTGTCTGGCATTTCCTCTGCTTGCCCTCATTCTCTCTCCTGCCGCCCTGTGAAGAGGTGTCTTCTGCCATGATTGTAAGTTTCCTGAGGCCTCCCCAGGGATGTGGAACTGTGGGTCAGTTAAACCTCTCTTCTTTATAAATTACCCAGTCTCAGGTATTTCTTCATAGTAGCACGAGAACAGACTAATACAAGTTCGGACCCCCACCTCTGGGCTATGTATTCCTTGGGAGCAGAAAGAGTATTTTATTATTTGTAGAACTCTAGTGCCTAGTACAGTATCTGAAACATGGCAGGCTAAATGCCCATCAGTGATAGACTGGATAAAGAAAATGTGGTGTGTATATGTGTGTGTGTGTATATATATATCATGGAATACTAAGCAGCCATAAAAAAGAATGAGATCATGTCCTTTGCAGGGACATGGATGGAGCTGGAGGCCATTATCCTTAGCAAACTAACACAGGAACAGAAAACCAAACACCACATGTTCTCACTTATAAGTGGGAGCTAAATGATGAGAACACATGGACACATAGAGGGGAACAACACACACTGGGACTTATCAGAGGGTGGAGGGTGGGAGGAGAGGGAGGATCAGGAGAAATAACTAATGGGTACTAGGCTTAATACCTGGTACCCATTATTAGATGAAATAATCTGTACAACGAACCCTCATGATACAAGTTTTATCTATGTAAAAGAACCTGTACATGTATCCCTGAACTTAAAAGTTAAAAAAAAAAGAAGTATGGTAGACACTCAACAAATATTTGTTAAATAAATGAATGAGTATATGAATGAATAATTAAGTCTGGGAACAGGATCAAGGCTGAGCTTATCCATCCTCTTTACTAAAGTGAGTTGATAGAAGTCTTTACCTTTTATCTGTTAAACTCCCTCCCTGAATTTTCCCAGCATCTGTATTCTAGGTTGAACGCACATGCGTTTATTCCCTCATTCATTAATTCCTTACGCATGTATTGAGTGCTACTAAGTCCCAGCTAAACTCTATGACACAAAGATGAATAACAAGAATCTCTGTCCTCAAAGAGCTCACAATGTAAAAAATGAAAACTAGTCAGTAGATGATTATAATACAATGAGACACGCTTAAAAGAATTGTGTAATATGTTCAGATTGCATAAAGAAGAAAGTTTCTACTTCATTTAAGGAAAGAAGAAGGGATTTAAAAGACGACATAGTAGCTGAGTCTTTTTTTTTTTTCCTGAGATGGAGTCTTTCTCTGTTGCCCAGGCTGGAGTGGTGCAGTGGTGCAATGGTGCAATTTTGGGTTCAAGTGATTCTCCTGCCTCAGCCTCCCGAGTAGCTGGGATTACAGGTATGTGCCACTATGCCTGGCTAATTTTTGTATTTTTAGTAGAGGCGGGGGTCTCACCATGTTGGCCAGGCAGGTCTCGAACTCCAGACCACAAATGATCCTCCCGCCTTGGCCTTCCAGAGTGCTGAGATTACAGACGTGAGTCACAGTGCCCAGCCTAGGAGCTGAGTCTTAAATGATGGAAAAGGTAGGAGGCAAAATGATTTCAGGGTTGTGGAAAGGCTTGAAATGAAGTGCACTGGAAGCGGCAAGCAAAGTACAAAGACATGGAGGCAAATGCGTTCATGGGATGATGAGGGTGGTCTCCCTGTATGGGAACATGAAATTGACAGGTAGCTGGGATCCAGGTCCACACAGATTTTGGGTGCCCTAGGAAGGAGTGCAGACTTGATTGTAAACACAGGAGCACCAGTGGAGGAGTTCAAGCATGCGAGTGAAGCAATCCATATTTTTGGCTTTTAGAATGATCACCCTGGGATCTACATGGAAAATTGATAAGGTCCTAAGTTAGGACAGCTGCTGTGGGAATGAAGAAGGAGGGATGGAATTGAGAGGTGTTTGAGATCTAGAACAAGCAGAACTTGACAACTGAAGAAATGTGGGTAAGCCCTATAGAGAGATGTGGAAGAAGAGGAGTGAAGGTTGGTGCCACTAAGTGAACTTGGGATATGTGGTTCTATCTCTTTAAGAGAAAAAATGCTCCAGATACAATAGGAGGCTAAAGGATTTTTTTAATATTCATTTAATTGAATAAAAATATTCTCTTAAAAACTTTTTATTTGGATGGAGGGCCATATGCTGCCTTTAAATATTTAAGTACTTTTGTGTCAGGGATATGTTCCAAAAATCCATTGGTAGTTAATCTCTCTGAATTAGTGGCTCTTCAACTTAGGTTCTTTAGGCCCCTGGGAACAAGAAGGACCTGGGCAGGCAGAGCTCAGGGCCACTTCCAGGCTGCAGCAAGCACAGCACCACCCTTATTTGTTGTCACAGTGAGCTTACATGTGGAATTTCAGAAATGGCTCTGGGGCTGTAAAATCTTCAAAATCACTAGTCTAAATATCAGTTACTTATGTGATATGTTTTATTAAAGTGTTTGGCTGTAGTTCTGTGTTATGGGGTGTTTCTTTTGTTTGTGTTTATTGTTTGTTTCTATCTTGGAAAATGGGGTTCACATCAGGGGAGCTATATTCACAAATCTGGTATATTGTGTCTGATTGTCTTTAATGTAAGAGAAAGGTTGTCTTACTTGCTACATTTTCTGTTTCCTAATAAACACACAGCCATCTCAGGCCACAACGAACGGTCCATGTTTCTCTTAACAATGGCATTAGAATAAAACATCTGTCACCAGAGCAGGCCACAGGGCCCTTGGTGTTTTTTCCCATCAGTCCTACTGAAGTGAAAAGTGAAAGCTAGCCACAAATCAGCTGAGAATTAGCACAAGCTGTTGTTTTTTGAGTTTTCCAAATATTTTCCAACTCCCATTGTGTGTTTTTGTGTTTTGCACTCAAAACCCTTGCCAAAACCTCCTCCAACAGCATTCCTTCCTGGATTCCTAAGTCATTTGGAGAGCAAACAAAACTCCTCATAGGTCATTAATCTCATGGATATATTTATATTTGTTAAAAATGAGGAGATGACTAGAATACATATTTTTGTTACCTTTGGATCCACAAATTCATTTTTTAAAATTAAGACCTTTGCAAACTGAATTTATATAATCTATGTTTGATTTGCATTTGGGGGATAGTTTTCAACTGAGCGAATACTTAAAATGTATTTAAAATGAAAATCACACCCTCGTGGAGTTAGTAGGCATAGAAATTGAAGAAAGCATAGATAGAACAAGAAAAGACAGAAAGCTGGGTGACTTACCTACAAAGCACAAGCACATCCATGTTTTTCTTTTTCTGATATATGTATTTTACTGCCCATGGACAGACTAGTCTTGGAAAAAATCTTCTGCTTATATCTTTTTGTTAGATACTTTGAATTTTCAGTATGACCTTTCCCCTGCAACCATCATTAAATTCTCTAAATAATAACAAGACAGTTTTCCTTTTTTCTACTTGTATTTATGGGAACTGTATTAAAATTGATTAAAATAAATCATGTGTGTTAAGTACTAATCTCATTTTCTTTCTTTTATTCCCATGGCCAATGTTACAGTGTCAATATGGATGTCTTTGTGCCCTAGGGAGACAGAAAACAGAGGTTATCCATCTTTGCCAAGGAGATTGATGTCTTAGTCAATATCATCATGGGACACCTGGAAAAACTGGCCACTCTTCTCCCTACAACTCCTTCCTGATTTTCAGCTCACCAGGGGTCCTGCTCTTGTTCCTCCCATTATTATGGCCAGAGAATGTCAAGCTTTAGTAACTCCCTGTACAAAATGCCCTTGAAGAAAGATAAGAAAGTGTCAGAAAAGAATACGTCCTCATTATAATTCCTCCACCTCCTTGGAAAGTGTTATTTGACTCAGTTTCCCTCTCACTTGGGGATAGTGGGTGTTTCAGGCATCCTAGGTCTATTGCTTTTGATTCTTATCAGTCAACACAATAGTAAGGTCTTTTCTATGATGTTGCTTTTGCATTTTATATTGTCTCACTAAGTTTCAAAACATCTAGTAATGACCATTTCCTTACATTATAATTTAAAGTCAGCTCCCCGCTTTGTAACAAGCCAATTAGTTCCACCTTGCAACAGATAGGGGGAGAAGCTGTTGTTCTAAATGTTAGGCCATTTTTTTCTTATTATTTTAAATCAGTGTTCCATTTTTCCCTGTTGATTTTTAAACTCAAAATCTGTTGTGTGATTTTGAAGACTATGAAAATGGGAGGAAAATGAAAAACATCTCCAAACATACTAATATTTTAAACCCCTTTGGTACGTACACACAGAATTATTGTAGTTTGCATGTGGGATCTTGATTGTGTTGCTATGAATTATTTAAACACAGCTTATGCAACATAGAGAACTAGTGTCTAAAACTATGAACAATCATTTCCTTACTTTTGAGGTCGTGTGTTTATTGGTTCTGCCGATGTCATCAAGGGATATTTTATTTTCTATCAGCCTAGCTTTCAGACTTGCTTCTGGCTTTGACTGCTAGTCTATTAACAAGTTTTTCTAAATTCAACCTGTTGTGCGTGGAAACCGTGTCACATGTGACAAAACAATGACCCACATACCACAAACTTCAGGTTGGCATCTATGACGTTCAGGCTGACTCCTGTTTCAAAAAATGTCTAAAATTATAGCATCTATTTGATTGCTTTTCCACAAGGGAAACGGTCTAGGAAAATACCCCCGGGCTCTGAAAGTTGTTAGAGCTTTAGCTTTAGTTACCTTTATTTTAGGGTCCAGCTTAGCTCTCTGCAAATATCGTCTTATGTTTTTGTTTTTCCCTTATGAAATAACTCACTATATCTGTGAGCTAATTAAAGGTCCTTTGAATTTCTTTACTGTACCTAGAAAAGTCTCCTGGGGTGAAATGAGTGCACAGTAATCTCTGTTTTTCTCTTCCTCCCTCCCTCCCCTAACCCACCCTCCCTCCCCCTTTCTCTCTGTGGACTTGAGGAGGGATCCCTCCGTTAGTGATAAATATTAAATCCTACACTGTGCTTAAAAGGATAACTAGGCCGGGTGCAGTGACTCATGCCTGTAATCCCAGCACTTTGAGAGGCCCAGGTGGGTGGATCACCTGAGGTCAGGAGCTCCGAGACCAGCCTGGCCAACATGGTGAAACTCCCGTCTCCACTAAAAACACAAAAATTAGCCATGTGTGGTGGCAGTCACCTGTAATCCCATCTACTCGAGAGGCTGAAGCTGTAGAATCACTTGAACCCGGGAGGCAGAGGTTGCAGTGAGCTGAGATGGCACCATTACACTCCAGACTGGGCAACAAGAGTGAAACTCCGTCTCAAAAAAAAAAAAAAAAAAAAAAAAGGATAACTAAAAATACACATATAATGGGGTAGATTTGATTTAATAAACATTTAATATGAAAAAAAGTCCCCTGGAGCAGGGGTGGGTGACTAGTTGGCTGTGAGTTAGCAGTGTGGCATGGCCACGAGTCCTGCAGAAGGCTTTTAGGTCTAGGTCAGCACCAGAGAAGGGTCCACAGTTGTGGAGCAATCCTTGAGGCCTCTGACACTATCTTTGTCTCCAGGTCCTGCATTTCAAGTGAAATTTTCCCCAAAGTTCACCCAGTGAGGAGCAATCAGAATCATTGGATCTTGAAACAGGGGCATTTGAGTGATGAGCCAGGAAAAATATGATTCAGGATGGTGCATAATTACTCTTCCAGATGTTTGAAGGGTGTTAAGAGGAAGACAGAGTCCATGTCTTCATGTGGCTTCAAGAGCAAAATTCTGGCCAGCAGGTAAAATTATAGCAAATATATTTCAGGCTGGGGGCCGTGGCTTATGCCTGTAATCCCATCATTAGGCAAGGCCGAGGTGGGAGAATCCCTTGAGTTTAGATGTTTGAGACCAGCCATCATGAGATCCCTATCTTTACAAAAATCTTACAAATTAGCTGGCATAGTAATCCCAGCTACTTGGGAGGCTGGGGTAAGAGGATTGCTTGAGCCCAAGAGTTCAAGGCTGCAGTGAGCCAAGATTGGCCACTGCACTCCAGCCTGGGTGACAGTGAGATCCTGTCTCTAAGAAAAATGAAAAAGAAAAAGCCCATTTCAGCTTAAGGAAAGAAAGCCATTTCCAATGGTCCCAGCTCTCTGAGATGGGAGAAGAGTGCTACAGGATGTATGTAGTGAGTCCCTGTTCCTAGGTTGAGGACAGGGAAGATGGCTGCTCCCCTTGAGGGGATGTGGCAGGGATTGGACCGAACGTCTCTGTGGATCCTATCAACGCCAAGATCCTCTGGTGCTGTTAGAAAACACGAATTCTCTGTTTCTAAATAAGTGAAGTTTCAGCCTATGACAGGCTCTCTACAAAAACAAAATGCAAATGTACATTAGGGACAAATGGGCTAAGTTCTGGGATCCTGGAATGAGGCTGCCTGGGTTTACCGTTTATGAGACAATATTGTTACCTTCTCAATTTTCCCATGTGTAAACTGGAAGTGTTAGTAGCATGTGTCTCTTAAGGTTGTTGTAAGGATTAAGCAGGTTAGTGTATGTAAAGATGTTAGATGGGGGAAGGCACAAGCAAGCTCTGTGTATGGGTTAGCTGTTTCTAGCATTACCAAGGCACTTTCTGCATGAAAGTACAAAGTTAATGTTGCATCTTCAAAAATCAAAGTAATCAGATATTCAGATAGTGGAGTCCCGATGAGCGAGATTCCACTGGGCAGTCTGGTCCAAATTCATCCTCCACTTTTTCAACTGAATACAGAACATCAATCTAGAGAATTGTTTTGTTTTGTTTTTTTTTGAGACAAAGTCTCACTCTGTCGCCCAGGCTGGAGGACGGTGGTACGATCTTGGCTCACTGCAGCCTCTGTCTCCTGGGTTCAAGCAATTCTCCTGCCTCAGCCTCCTGAGTAGCTGGGATTACAGGCACGCATCACCACGCCCAGCTAATTTTTGTATTTTTAGTGGAGATGAGGTTTTGCCATGTTGGCCAGGCTGGTCTCAAACTTCTGACCTCAAATGATTCACCTGCCTCAGCCTCCCAAAGTGGTGGGATTACAGGTGTGAGCCACCGTGTCCAGCCCCAATCTAAATTTTTTGTACCATTAGTGGACAATGATTTTTCTTTTTTACTTTTTTTTGTTTTTTGAGGCAGAGTCTCGCTTTGTTGCCAGGCTGGAGTGCGGTGGCACGATCTCGCTCACTGCAACCTCCGCCTCCCAGGTTCAAGCAATTCTCCCGCCTCAGCCTCCCAACTAGCTGGGATTGCAGTGGCGCACCACCATGCCTAGCTACTTTTTGTATTTTTAGTAGACACAGGGTTTCCCCATGTTGGCCAGGCTAGTCTTGAACTCCTGACCTCAAGTGATCTGCCTGCCTTGGCCTCCCAAAATGCTGGGATTACAGGCGTGAGCCACCGCGCCTGGCCATGGACAATGATTTTTCTAACTCAAACAAATACCAAAATGCATCATATAGTTGTTCAATGAGTAGCTTTCACCATGAGACAATAAATAATTTAGTTAACATTTCTTGGTCTTCTCTAAAATATCAAAAGCTTTCCAATTCACTTAAGCTGGCTAAACCCCTAATTATTATTCTAGCAACAAAACTGGGGCCAGTTCCAGGCATCAGTGTGAAATGGCTTTCTCTGAATTGTAGCATAAATGATAAATAAATAATGCCTAATATTAGAGGTAACTGAATTAGAGTATGTTTAGTGCAAGCATCTATTGCAGCAGAAAAAAGATTCAGCAGAGAGAGAAGAGGACATTTTGGATCAAGAAAAAAACACAATAGCATGTGTAAGAGGTTATTAACTCTGCACCATTTGCCCACTCCCTTAGTAATGTTTAACAAGGCTTTATTGATTACAATAGCCTTGATTTGTAAATGGGAACAGAAGATCACATTGTTGGCACCAGACCAGTCCTTGCCTACAGCATCTGCCAGCTGAAGACTTCATTAATAATTGACTTTAGGGGGATTATACGCGCCCATATGGGCCTGTCTTTTGCCAGCATCCTTCATCACAATATGCAGCTTGATTTATGAATAATTGTAGGATATTAGTTCTGGAAGACACCACAGACTGGAAATTGGAGAATTTAATCAGTGGCAGAGCCAGAGTCAGATTTTCTGACTCCTATTGCAAAGCCTTTTACACTAAATATATGTGGACTCTCATCAGCAACCTGAAATGTTGGCTGCAGATTTAAAAAATCTGACAGCTCAATAATATAAAATATTTCTCCAAGCGGCTCACTACAGGTGACCTCCAGACACTCTTGACTTCATCATCTTACCTTCCCCTTGAGGCTGAATCTCTATGTCAGAGATCATGAAGACTGGGGTTAGAAATTGCTTGTCCCTGGTAAGTAAGAAATGGACTCAAGTGGCCCAATTCACAAGCCAGAACTCTGTCCAACCTTGCATAACATACTCAACTGGAAACTACAGTTTTTGCTTCTCATTAACACCCAGGATGGCTGGTAGTGTTAACAGGCCATGATTCACCAGGTGCCTGGCCTGACCTGCCCTGAGAGCCTGCCCGCTGACCTACAGAGAAGGCCACAGCTATGTACCAGCAGCTCTGGGGGTTCTTTCTTAGCTCTAGCTTCTAGCACTCATCTAGCATTTCTGATTTCTAACTTCCTGCCTGCAATATTTATGGATCGTGTTTCTGCGTTGTCCTTGGCAATGGCTGTTTCATGTGGACTGCCTGCTTGGTGTTCAGTCTGGCCTTGCTCATCCTCAGCTCCATGATCCATGGGCCAGCACCAAATCACTCTTGGTCCTACTTGGCCTGTGTCTGACAACGCAGGCTCTTGTTTTTCTAGGAGGGGAGTTCAGATATTCAATCCCTTCATTGCCAGTAGTGTGAATTTATCATTAACTTCTTGTCTGTGGCTGTGGCTGTGGCTGTGGCTGTGGCTGTGGCTGTGGCTGGAACATGGTCCTTGCCGGGGAGTCCACCATCAATCCTGGCTGGTTTCACAGAGCTGAGTGTTCTAAGTTCAAGAGAACACGATGGATGTGCTTCCCACCCTCCTCTGTTGGATAGTGGCCACTGCTGGCTGGAGATGAGGAGGGGAGAGACTCTGCCTGTGGCTTATAGGAACTTTCTAGTTATAGGGCAGACAGCCACTTCTAGCATCACAGAACACCATGGATCCCCCTGGCAAGAGATGGCCAACAATACCAGCCAGAGGCTCGTTGGGGAGGATGGATGCACTGCCAAGTCATGAAACCTTGAAATAAAAATACAATGCAAACTGGCATTACAGGGAATGCTCTGGAAAGGTCTCCTGAGAGAGCCCCAATGCCCTGAATGTCCCAGTCTTCCTAAAGCTCATATTATGAGAATAAAACCCCTCTTGACCATTCATTCCTGCCCCCTCCAGACATGATTCCCTTCTTTTCCTCCTCTCACAGGGGGATTCTCTTTTTGCCTATAAGTGTCCACAACCTTCTGACACCCACAATATGGGCCCATTGGCATATTGGGTGGCCAGCCTTTGCTGGGTAAAGTTCCCGTTTTCAGTGCCTAGTCCTGGGAGGTTCTCCTACCTCACTGCTCCTCCCTGCATTGTACCCCAGCTCTCGGTCTCAGTAAGAGGTGATTACCATTGCACTGAAGTGCTAGAATTGGAGATGTTGGGTTGCTTCATGGACTAAGGTGTGGTCAGTCAGCCTCCACTTCTACTTCTTGGGAGACATGGACCCCATTTCCTCCTGCTTGAGGAAACCAGTGGTCTGTAGGAAAACCATGTCATTGTGTCTTATCTCGAGCTGCCCCTGCTGCAGTCTGAATTATCCTACCATACAGCTATCTTTCAGAGAGGCAGTCCCTCAGCCTCTGTCAGAAGCAATGGCTCTGTCTCCACCAGCTTCCACCTTCACTGTAGCCATCATGCCAGGGGTTCCAGTCCAGCTTGTCCATTGTAGGAAGGCATTTGCAGTTGTAGAAAAAGAAAAATGGACTCATTGATTGGAGTGTTATTGTGAAATCATGCTGGAGTGGTGGGCTGTTTATTGAAAGGTGGATATAATTTTCTGAGCCTGATATTGGTGCCCTCCACAAATATGCGGATGCCACGTCGTGGAAGGGTTCATCAGGCTCTCCATCTCTCAGGGCCAGCATGTGACCCTGTGAAGTTGCTTATCCTTGACTGTCTTAAGTATCTAATGTTTGGCATGAGGCCTAGTTGGCATGGCTGCAATCTACTCAAGAACCCTATCCTAACATTTCATGAACTCAGTTCCTGCAGTCTCTATCAGCTGCGGCAGGGGATGGTGATATGGTTTGGCTCTGTGTCCCCACCCAAATCTCATTTCAGATTGTAATCCTCATAAGGGATTGTCGAGGGAGGACCAAGTGGGAGGTGATTGGGTCATGAGAGTGGTTTCCCCCATGCTGTTCTCATGATACTGCATGAATTCTCACGAGATCTGATGGTTTTATAAGTGTTTGACAGTTCCTCTTTCACACATGGTCTCTCTCTCCTGCCACTGTGTGAGGAAGGAGCCTGCATCCCTTTCTGCCATGATTGTAAGTTTCCTGAGGCCTCTCCAAGTCACGTGGAACTGTGAGTTAATTAAAACTCCACTGTTTATAAATTACCCAGTCTTGGGTAGTATCTTTATAGCAGTGTAAAAATGGACTAATACAGATGGCAAACTTTTTCTATACAGAGCCAGATAGAAAATATAGGTGTTATGGGGCACACTTCCTCTCTGGCAGCTACTCAATTCTGACATTGTAGTACAAAAGCAGCCATGGAGAATATGTAAATGAATGGCCATGGCTGTATTTTCATAAAACTTATTTACAAATTCAGGTGGTGAGCCATAATTTGCAGATACCTGAGATATCGTAATACCCCTTCTAAGATGCTCCTGAGACATGTACTAGCCAAACTCGAATGAAGTTTTGGGACCATATTTTGTACAGTTCAGCAGCCCGTATAATGGCATAGTGGCAGACAGAATCTCAGCTCTTCAGAACAGCAGCCCTGTCTAGGTCAATCAAAAATCCGGGATTCATCTCTTTATTCTTGTGCCTTAACAATTGTGGTTCCTTCTACCTCTTTTTTTCTTAGTCTCTATTTAAATACTACTTCCTCTAAGAGGCACTTTCTGATTTGGACTCTAGACTAGATTATTATTATTTTTTTTGCTCTGTCACCTGCAAGTTTCATAAGAACAGGACCATGATCATTGCCTAGCACAATGCCAGGCTCATGGTAGGTGTCCATTTATGTTCTGATTTTTTACAATTGTTCAGTTGAACTTGTTTCCCATGCATGTTTCTCCCCGAAGGTGGCTCTGATGAATGTGATCAGTTTTCCCTGGTAACGGCTCCTACCTTTTCACAGCCACCTGAGGTCCAACAGCTTTGCCATGTAGTGTACTTGCATCTAAGCCAGGGCTCTCAGCAGACCCAGAATCTCAGTCCAGTCAGACCCACCCTCTTTTCTAAATGTGTAGAGTTTTCACTTCTTATTTGTTAAGCAGTTAAAACCACAGAGCCAACACTCTCTCAGAAAGCCAAGTATGGAGACCAAGTTCTCCAGCTTGTGGGTTCCATGGTCATCTGGCTCTGTTGACAACAGACAGAGGTCCAGTGTGGATGTTGGAGATATAATCTGGGCTTCCAAGAGCAGTAGAGTCTGCAGAGGTGATTCAGAGAAGGGCAGGGTGCCAGGGTAGCTGGCTGCATGGGAACAGAAAGCTGGGGAGGCAGCCCAACTTCAGGTCATTCCCACCTCCCTGCGGTCAGCCTGGGCTACTACTTTTCTGGGAGAATTTGGAAAGGACACACCCATATCTATGAGTTGACTCTTGAGCTGTGCCAAGGAGAAGCTGTATAAGTTTGGTTGTCCTTTGTGGTCTGGCAGCTTCAGAAGCATGACAGTCCATTTTGTTCCTTATCCCACTGGGTGTTCACTTGATGAATGATGAATGGAATGCTAGCCTTGACATGAAATACTGCAGTAACCACATTGGCCAGTGCACCACATCATATGATTTTAGCTTTTAGCTCTCTGTGAAATATCTGGCATTCATTTGGATAAAAATGTCAGCCCAGACACATATCTTGTATTATCTATTGCCAAGGCCTGGAAAATGGAGTAGAGTTTTGCAAGACCTGGCAATTGAATAAATATAGCTAATAAGAGAAACAAGAGCAGGAGTGGCTGGGTTGCCTTTTGAGTCAAGATTTTAGCAAGGAGATACTCTGCTTGTATAAGCAAAGCAGGAATAGGAAACACTGACCAATTTCGGAAACAACGTTCTTCCCCTCCCCCCTCTTTCCCCCTTCCCTCTCCTTCTTTTCTTTCTTTCCTTCTTTCATTTCTTAGAGACTGGGTCTGGTTCTGTCACCCAGGCTAGAGTGTAGTGGTGTGATCATAGCTCACTGTAGCCTTGAACTCCTGGGCTCAGGCCATCCTCCTACCTCAGCCTCCCAAGTAGCATGTGCTACCACACCTGGTTAATGTTTTTGTCTTTTTATTTTTGTGGAGATGGGGTCTCATTTTGTTGCCCAGGTTTATCTTGAACTCTAGCTTCAAGTAATCTCCCCCGCCTTGGCTTCCCAAAGTGTTGAGTTTACAGGCATGAACCACTGCACCTGACCTAGAAAGCTCTTACAAAGAAATGCTGACCGGGCGCGGTGGCTCATGCCTATAATCCCAGCACTTCAGGTGGCTGAGGTGGGTGGATCATGAGGTCAAGAGATTGAGACCATCCTGGCCAACATGGTGAAACCCTGTCTCTACTAAAAATACAACAATTAGCTGGGTGTGGTGGCACACCTGTAGTCCCAGCTACTCGGGAGGCTGAGGCAGGAGAATCACTTGAACCCAGAGGCAGAGGTTGTAGTGAGCCAAGATCGCACCACTGCACTCCAGCCTGGAGACAGAGCGAGATTCCATCTCAAAAAAGAAAGAAAGAAAGAAAGAAATGCTGGCCTCTAAATAACCAAGTTAGAGTTGGTTGCCATGATTGTCTTTTAATGACATCTACGTACTATCCTTTTCTGACATCAAAACCGACCCTGGCCGGGCGCAGTGGCTCACGCCTAAAATCCCAGCACTTTGGGAGGCCGAGGCGTGTGGATCACGAGGTCAGGAGATTGAGACCTTCCTGGCTAACATGGTGAAACCCCATCTCTGCTTAAAAAAAAAAAAAAAAAAAAATTAGCCAGGTGTGGTGGCGGGTGCCTGTAGTCCCAGCTACTCGGGAGGTTGAGGCCAGGGAATGGCATGAACCTGGGAGGCAGAGCTTGCAGTGAGCGGAGAGCTCACCACTGCACTCCAGCCTGGGTGACAGAGCAAGACTCCGTCTCAAAAAACAAAACAAAGCAAAACAAAAAAACTGACCCAATGGTCCCATAGACAGTTCTTTTTGATAAACATAGAAATTGACCTTTCTAGTCTTAAAGCTTGAAACTAATATTCGTTTTATCTGAGTTCCTTTCTTATGAAAGGACTTTCATACCTCTCAAAAAAAGTATCAAAGGACTGAAATTCACGAAGTCACCAGATCCAGACAATGAGATGCCTGACCCCTCATTCGTCATGATTTCTTCTTTGCCCCTCCCTAGTTCCTGTTTTCTTACACATTGTTACATTTTTCTCCCTGCTATATAAACCCACGTTTCAGTTGATAAGGGAAATGGATTTTTTTTTTTTTTTTTGAGATGGAGTCTTGTTCTGTCACCCAGGCTGGAGTGCAGTGGTGCAATCTCAGCTCACTGCAACTTCCGCCTCCCAGGTTCAAGCTATTCTCCTGCCTCAGCCTTCCAAGTAGCTGGGACTACAGGTGTGTGCTACCATGCCCAGCTAATTTTTGTATTTTTAGTAGAGATGGGGTTTACCATGTTGGCCAGGCTGGTCTCAAGCTCCTGACCTCAGGCAATCTGCCTGCCTCAGCCTCTTAAAGTGTTGAGATTACAGGCATGAGCCACCATGCCTGGCCAGGGAAATGGATTTGAGACTGAGCCCCCATCTTCTAGGATGTAGCACCCAATTAAAGCCTTCTTCCTTGGCATGTCATCATCTCAGTGATTGGTTTTCTGTGCAGCCAGCAGCAGGACCTAGACTGAACCCTTGGTGTTTCGGTAACAACATCAGTGTGATTGATGTCCTCATGAAACCAATGGAATCAGAATTTCCTAGAAATCTTTACAAAGCTTTTGCTTCTCTCATGTTGTATTCTTCAGTCCATGGTGGTTTACATTTGCCTCTTTTATCATCTCTTTTAGTCTGAAAATTTTCTGTTTCTCGTATTAGTGCTTTCAAATAGATTGCCTATTGGATTATTTTCTCATTTATATAGCAGACTCGGATTGGATGGGGGGATATGATTAAAAGACAATTACATATATTTAATACTTTTAGAGGATTTATACAGGAACAAAAATCAGAGGAAGACCTACAAGATTTTCTAATTTAAAAATTTTTAATTATTCTAATAAGCATTTCATGCTCTTAGCTCTTTACTATGAAGAAATGGACTGGGAGCCAACAGATCTGAGTTCCTGTCCCTGCATTGACAAATAATTCATTTTCAGAGCCTGTTTCACAAGCCATGAAATAAGGGAACCATTTTATGTAGAAAGTAGCTTCAAAACAGCTGGGATGAATAAAGTACTTTATTACCTGGAGACTTCAAACACAGTTTTTTTGCTGTGGCCCATAATTTGATAGTGTCTAATTGCATCTAAAATCCAAGTTTTCGGCCAGGCGTGGTGGCTCACACCTGTAATCCCAGCAATTTGGGAGGCCAAGGTGGGCGGATCATGAGGTCAGGAGTTTGAGACCAGTCTGACCAACATGGTGAAACTCCATCTCTACTAAAAATACAAAAATTAGCTGGGCGTGGTAGTGTGTGCCTGTAATCCCAGCTACTCAGGAGGCTGAGGCAGGAAAATCGCTTGAAACTGGGAGGCAGAGGTGGCAGTGAGCTGAGATCGCACCATTGCACTCCTGCCTGGGTGACAGAGTGGGACTCCGTCTCAAAAAAAAAAAAAAAAGTTTTCTGCGATGGCATCTAAGCATCTTTCTGTTCCAGTCCTGAACTGCCTTCCACATCACTTCCCACCCATCTTCTTGGGCCCTGATCCTTTATCACATGCTGTACTCTCAGGACTCCTGACCTTTGCTTCTGCTGTTCCCCCTGCCTAGCATACCACACCCATTTCTTTAGAAATCAAAGGCCCATCTATCTCCTTCAAAACTCAGATCTAGTGTTTCCTCTTGCATGCAGCTTTTTCTAACCTCAGCAGAATGAATTTCCCCCTTCCCTTTGTGCTTTCTCATAATGGAACATTTATCATATGGGATAATTACTTGTTACATGTTTTGTTTTCTATTTAATACCTCCTAAGTTTTGACTGAAGCTTGTCCACATGCTTGGTCACAGAACTGTCCTGGGAAATTCCCTGATGAATTATTTCAAAAGCAACCAAAGTGTCCTAACTTGATGGTAGCAGGGGAAAAACAAGGATCATCTCAGTGTGGCTGAATGAAAAGCAGTATCTATCTGGATCTTCATAAATGATGGAATTGATTTGCCACACCATTTGGTAAAGGCCTGAAGCCGTGGTTAACAGGGTTATTTTGATGAAAACTTGAAACAAAAAACACTCAAAGGACAACAGCCCCGGTGGCCCTTGAGGCAAATGATTGATTCCTGGGGCTATGTTGGAAAGTTTGGCAGAGAAGAGACTGAAATATGCTGTGGGGTGAGGAGGTTGTAGGAGGGGGCCCCACTGGGAGATTCTTGGGCTTTGGAAACATGGGGGAGAGAAAATGGTCCAGAAATGTTGTCTTGGGAAATTAGGGACAGCAGAGCTAGGGATAACAGCATGTCTAGAATACGCTGATAAATTTCCACTAGATGACGCTGTTTCCTCATTTGGCGAATGAGATTTATTACCCTACCCCTACCGGCCAACCTAAGCCCCGGACCACGGACCACGGACCACAGAGGCGTGAGAGCCTGGAGGCCTGGGCTCTAGTTCCAAATCTGCCCCTCCCTGGAATGAGGCCTGGAAGGAACAGACCTCCAAGATTCCCTGAGATTCCTCATTTGTAAAACAAAGAAATCCTCAACCAGGTGCTTTCTAAAACTTCTCCAATTACTTTTTAAAATACGTTTTATTTTTCCATTTTAATGAAAACTGTGGGGATATGTATTGCCTTTTATGTAAATATATACTTGTCATACAGAAATATCAATTTTTATTTAACCAAATCTCATTTAGATAATTAGACTCTGTAAAGCATACGGGGCAAGAATCAAATGAATAACAGTATACTTGTACACATTGGTATGCCTCCTGGGCCTAAACATTTCCCATTTATGTATGCAGTGAATTGTAGAGCTGGAAAGAATCTTAGAGGTTATACAAATAGTTCAGTCTTTTACGTATCTAATATCTAAACATAAGCTTCTCCAGGGGAAAAATTCTATTATTTTTTTTTCCATGATGAATTTTTTTTAGGGTCTGTAGTTGTAGAACTATGTCCTTGTGCTTGAGGCCAGCTCTATACTGAGTTCTCTCATGCAGGTTATCATTTGACGCACGACTTCCGAAGCTCGCTTAAGTCATAACTGAATCATTGAATGACATCAAACACCTAGCTGTTGTGTTTGAGCTCCTTTTTTTTTTTTTTTTTTTTGCCTACTCTTGTGATATGGGTCTGTCCAGCAGTGCTTCTCTCTGTTTGCTTCAGATGTTTTCAGTTATATGGAAATTAAACTCCAAGGGAAGAATATGGGGTGGATCAAATTCTGTAACTGTGTCAATCCCTGCCCCCTCCCCAGAGGACACATCCAGATCCATGTCTCTGCCTCGTGTTTACCATCAGTGGAGCCCAGATTGTTTCAACACATAGAAAGACCCACTGCTTTTCCTGGCAAGTCCTGAAGGTCATTTGTTTGCTGCTTTTTACGGTAATTGCAACAACCATTTATCCCCTTGTAAACAAATAGTGTGCTTCTAACCTATGTACCACAGTTAAAACGTTATCCCAGTAGGACAAGAGAGTTGCTGACAAAGAGAACTGGCAACATAGGGGGGAGAAAGAAGCAAGGCGTAGTCTGTCTCTTACAAATGTGGGTCATATATATTTCTGTCTGAAGGAGATGATGGACTTCAATTTTGTTCTTCCAATTCCTTTCTATACCCCAGTGAGAACAGTTTTTAGTACATATTTAAGTTCTTTTGCTTTAAGAAGAAAGATAAGAATGATAATAATCTCTGAATGTACCAATCCGCTGTTAAACCCCCTCCACCACCCACCAAATAACTCCTCTCACTAGATCAGTTCAGCCCCAGGGTTCATAGTTAACAAGGCTTCATTAGGGCTGAAAAAAAAATTGCCTTTGCTTCCAAACACGGGTTGAGCTCTGATACGGCCTCAGCAGGGAACAGATTTCCCCCTTTTATCTCTTTGCTTCACTGGTGTGTAATCTTGTCTTTTGGAACGGTGGTAATCAGAACAAATTACCTAGAGTGGGGAATAAAAAGACTTCACAGTCATTGTGGGTAATTTTTTGTTTTCTTTAACAATTGGTACCTTCCTTTAGTAATTGAAAATGATCCAAGAAATCTCTATGTACTTCGTAAGACTTTCCTAAGCGTGCCAGCTAAAGCTTTTAAGGTGGTAGAGATGGTTTCAGCGAGGGCTTGGAAGCTCCAAAAAACCAGAAACTTGCCTTGTTGCCTGGGTCCCTCAACAGGGATGGCCAGAGTTTCTTGAGACAATTGCTGCTGTGGTCTGGAAAGAAGCAGAGCCATGAAAGAGGAGAAGGCTTTGTGGCATGTCTAGGCCCAAATTCCAGATGCAGAGTTTAGTGTGAACAGCGTGTCCCTCCCAATCTTGAGAAGAAGATAAAGAATGGTGCTCCTCTAGGATCTGCCCTCGGTTTTTGTTGGGGGCTCCAGTCCCACTAGACCTGGGTTATTGTCAGAAAGGCAGCCTCACAGTACCTCTGCCACTCAGTGGGGGTCTCTGCGCCTGCTGCTTCATTCATCATCCCCTGCCTCTCCCACGTGCACTGGAAAATGTTATTTGCTTCTTGAGGTTCAGAGAGATGAAGAACATGCCTGAGTTCACTAGCATGAAGCAAGTGTTAGAACCTCTGAGAGACTGAAGGGTTGGGGGTGAGGGTTTATGACATCCATGGGGATGCTTAGAGGAACATCTGCCATGTCAGGTGTCATTTCTGAAGCTTCATACTAGATGAATTTGAGATGTGTGGAAATAGGAACAGCCTATTTGTGAGGTTACCTTCCTGGGCAAAGCAATGTTATCCAAGATTCACTCAGAAAGCCGCAAGAAGCATGCTGGAGCTAGGTGTCAAGAGGAGGTTTATGGCATGTCATTAATGGAAAGTCAGGTGGAAAAGAGCTAACACTTCTCAAGGTATCATCCTTCTGTGTCAAAGTCTCTGCCTCTACAGGACTGTAAGTATGTGGGTTGATAACAGCTTCTAGTGCCTTGAACATGTTACCAGTGGTTGAATGAACAAATGAGCAGAAGTTGGAGATACCCTCATTAGGACGTAGGATGTTCTGAGCCTTAGGTTATCTAAGACTAAGGAGTTTATGAGATGGACTATATCTGCAAAGTCCTGGAGGACTTTAAGAGGTGATAAAGGCTCAGTTGTGTGTAGTAGTAGGGATTTACATAAGAAAAATTTTGGATGGCAACTTAAACTAGGTCAGCATTTTTTAAGGGGGGGTAAGGACATGTGTATGTTAAGAAAAGTGGATGTAGTCTCAAATCTGGGTATGTCTAAGTGGGAATTAGTGCAAGTCGTCTCTGCAGGCATACTTAACCAAAATGAGAAATTAGGGAGCTAGGAGAGTTTAGGGTCTGAGGTGTAATCTTCAGCTGAGACACTGGGTGCCTGCCAGCAAGCTCAGTCATTAAGGGACTGAATTCAGGGTAGAAAGTCCAGCCATGGGTGCTGTGGACTCCAAGTTCAGAGCAGAGTAACCACTTTTATTGTGGTTACTAGACCAAGTTCAACATAAGTTCCAATGTCTCCTCTTTTCCCTTGGAACAATGCAGAAAGTCTATTTCCTTCTTGAGTTACTCTAAGGCTTGGTGTTTCTTATATTCATTTCTAGCTTCCTTTAGTCAAGCCAAATTGTTAATATGCTTGACCAAAAATGATGGAAAAATCAAGATAATAGTCAGAGTTGAGTAATTTCTAACATGAGTCAAAATATAAAAATTATTAGACTGCCCATGAACATAAAAACAGTAACATTACCAACATCAGTTCAAACACAGCATCACAAAATAGAAGTATATTTGTAAATTTTAGCAGCTGCGACTGAACTACATTTTCCATGTATTGATAAAGCAGCCTGGGCAAAAAAAGAAATTATGAGTCACAGGGATGTCTGTATCAGACTCAGAGTAGTACGTCAATTTCTAAAATTGATCTTGAATATATTTATGTCAGAGTCATCCCAAGATGCTTCTGATACGAGTCTTGTGCTAGAGAGTAACATGACTTTGGAGATGTCCTAACCAGGGTTATGAGAAACCCTCTTCTATTTGCCATGGTGATGGTTCAAAGCACAGTTCATCTGGTTCACAAAAAGCAGTTGATCCCTGGTTGGGTCAGAGAAGGGCTGGTGGAGGAGATGAAGAAAAATGAGGGGGGAGATTGTCTTGGGCAACTCTGCTGAGCAACTCCTTGAATTTGACCTGTGGTTCCACCCTTCTTAAATTTCTTCTGAGAAAAGAATACTGGCAGAATGTTGACAATTACTGAAGCCTGGTGGCAGGTGAAGGAGGTTCATTAGGCTATCTTTACTTTTGTTTAACAATTTCTATTATGAAAGTTAAAACATTTCTTCAAAGTAGTTGGTAGGATTTTTTTTTTTTTTTTTTTTTTTTTTTTTTTTTGAGATGGAGTCTCACTCTGTCGCCCAGGCTGGAGTACAGTGGTGCGATCTCGGCTCACTGCAACCTCTGCCTCCCGAGTTCAAGCAAATCTCTGCCTCAGCCTCCTGAGTAGCTGGGATTACAGGCGTGTGCCGCCATGCCTGGCTAATTTTTTGCATTTTTAGTAGAGACGGGGTTTCACCATCTTGGCCAGGCTGGTCTTGAACTCCTGACCTCGTGATCCACCCGCTTCAGCCTCCCAAAGTGCTGGGATTACAGATGTGAGCCACTGCACCTGGCCAGAATTATTTTTAAATGGGAAAACAATTTATGGGATTTCTGTATTCTTATTGCATTTCTTGATTAAAAAACAACTAAAAATTGAAATATAAATATATTGTTATATATGACTATTATTTTGCCTATTTTGCACACTTATATATGCCTATTATTTACACTTCTGGTATATAGGAGAGAGAAAGTGAGCAAATGGGTATTTTCCCTAATGAGACGATATATTTTTTCTTACCATGCTAGTGTTTATAGTCTGGAAAATTCTGTTAAGATATGGAAAGTGACAAGTAGAGCCCACTTTCCACTTTATGGGACAGGCTTAGGGAATGACTGTTCATTGAATCCACTCCCAAAACATAGACTTGCCTTTGATTATATTGGCCATCTTTTATGTTGAGGAACTCTAATGGGCATTTTTTTTTTTTTTTCTGGGGACGGAGTCTCGCTCTGTCGCCCAGGCTGGAGTGCTGCAATGATGTGATCTCAGCTTACTGCAACCCCTACATCCTGGGCTCAAGCGATTCTCCTGCCTCAGCCTCCCAAGTAGCTAGGATTACAGGCGCCTGCCACTATGCCCAGCTAATCTTTGTCTTTTTAGTAGAGACGAGGTTTCACCATATTGGCCAGGCTGGTCTCGACATCCTGACCTCAGGTGATCTGCCTGCCTCGGCCTCCCAAAGTACTGGGATTTCAGGCATGAGCCACCGCACCCAGCCAAATGAGCATTGATTCGGGCCCTGAGGTGTGCTCTGAAATATGTGGAGCAACTAGGTTTCCTGATAACTCACATTCACGTGGGGATGGCACTTGGTTTAGCCACATAGACGTCATCTTCATTTTAATAATTAGGCCTAGCTTGTAAGTTACAAATCACAGTGTGACATGTCTGGTTATATTTTTTAAAGACTTGTGTGAAAACTCATTAAACCTGGTGTGTGTGTGTGAGTGTGATGTGTGATGGATTTGATTGCATTCTATTTTGGTACAGGAACTATAAGTACTTGGGGAACCAAATTTGTTATATTTTATGAATATTAAGTAAAACATTAGACCCGTCTATTTATTAATTTAATACGTTCAGTGAGGAAATATTTATGAAGTGCTTTCATGAGTCAGGCACTGCGTTGGGTGCTGGGAATTCAGTAAAGACCAAAAGCCCTGTGGTCATTGTCCTCACGGGGCTCCCAGACTAGCATGGGAGCAAGCATGAATCTAAACAACCACACATGTGATCCATGTAATTATGCGTGCTACTAAGCGGTGTGACAAAGGTTAGGGTCCTTCACGCGTGTGTAATAAGGCGTCTGCACCCAGCGTGGGGCTCAGTGAAAGCATCCCTGAGGAGGTGGTATCTGATTTGCTATCTGAAGAGGAAGAAGAGCACCAGACTGAGGGAAATGCACTTGAGAAGACTCTGATTGCAGGGAGGACACTCGACAAGACCTGGTTTCAGGGAAAACACTGCACTTTGGAAGTCCTAGGAGGCTAGGGTAGCTGGAGAGGAAGGCGCGGAGGGAGACTGGTGCGCAGTGAAGCCAGAGAGGCAAATGCAAGCCGAATCCTGCAGGGCAACGTATCCCATGGAAAGAATTTGGTCTTCATCGGAAGAGCAATTGGAAAGTCTATTAAGGGTTCAACGCAGAGGGATAACATGATCTAATTTATACTTTTCAGGAAATCACTTTCACTGCAGTCTGGAAAATGGATTAAAGGAGGGCAGTAGAGGCTACAGCCCCTGGGGAGGGGGTGGTGATGAGTCAGCTGTGAGCCAGCCTCTTGGCCATGCACTGGGAATGTGCCAGGAGGTGAGCGGAATGTTCTCTTGTCCTCTTCAAAATCGTGAGCTGTGGAGAGCAGGACTAGTAAACAGATGATGATACAGTGTGATGAGCTTCATATTAAAAGTGAGTAAGACACATTATGTGAGCACAGTAGAGAAGGCAATTAATTTTGATTTGGAGGATCAGGGGAGGCTGCCTGAGGAGGTATCATCTGACCTAGGCCTTGAGGAATGAGTAAGAACCAAAAAAGAGATTCAAAATTATCCCAATGAAAGGAATAGCAAGAGTAAATTTCAAAGTAAGTTTGAAATGCCTTGAGCTTCAGGGAATGGTCAGTCATCTGATGTGGCTGCCTCACTGCCAGTCCACCCACCCTCCAGCCCAGATCACATGCTTCCAGATTATGGCCTCTAGTACCTTGACTTGAATAATTATTTTATCATATCAGGGCCAGGAATTCCTCAAACCCTCCAGCCTCTCACTGTGTCTCACTTCCTTTGTAACCTTAGTTGCCCAAATTAAATCCCATGAGTCATCATTAACATCATTTTCTGGTAAAGACCCTCAATGTCCTCACCCGTCTCTAACTTTATCTTAAAGACTCAATAACCCTCAACTCTGATTTGCTGCAGCCTGTCTACTCTGCCTTATGCTTGAGCAGCTGCCTTTGGTTGGACAAGGGGACATATCCATGTGCTCTGGTCTTATTTGGGACCACTAGATGCAAGGGAGCTCTCAGGGCAGCCAGGCCATCCTACAACACTTTCCTAGTCCATTCATTTCCCCATGCTCCTAAACCATTCTACACTTTCTACTCTCTCCTCAAAACACCAAGATCGGCACCCTCACTCTCAGATGACAGCTTAGCCTCTGAGGTCAATGAGAAAATAGAAGCAGCCGCAAGAGACTCCACACTGTCTCACACTGCATCTTTCCACAAGCCTGCATCTGAGCCCATAGACTCTACGTTCCCTCCCACTGCTACGCATGAGCTCTCCCTGCTCCTATCAAAAACCATCTTCTTTACCTGTGCATATTGTCTTTCCCCTCTTCAAGGACATGGCTCCAGTAGTCTTTTTCTGGTCCTTTCCTCCATCATTAATTTCCCCCTCTATGAAATTATTTCCATCAACCTGAAATATATTGCAATATCTCCTATCTTAAAAAAAAAATCAACTCTCTCTTGACCCCACATACCTAGAGACATCCTTGTTACCTTACTCCCAGTTATAGCAAAACTTCACTAAAGATGTGTCGTTGTCAGTTTTAGTTGAGCTTATTTCCATTCTTTCTTAAACCTATTCTAATCAGTTACTTCCCCAATCACTTCCCTGAAATTTTTCTTTTCACTAACCAAGACCTGTATGTTGTTAAATCCCACAGGAAATCCAATCTTCATTTTACTTACCTATTAACAATATTCGATATAATTGATCATTCTCCTTCCTTGAAACACTTTCTTTATTTCCGTCGGAGACCAAAATTCTCCGAATGTTTCTTCTTTTTCATGGGCTCCTCTTCCTCAGTCTCCTTTGCTCTATCCTCTTCTCACCAGCCTCCAAATGATAACAGAGGGTCTCAGGGCTTAGTCCCTGGACCTGTCCTTTCTGTATGTGTATTTATTTCTTAGATGATCTTACCTAGTCTCATAGATTTAAATATCATAATACACTGATTACTTCCTTTTCCCTGCTTTCTTTTCTAGCCTGGATCTCTTCACTGAACTCTAGGCTCAAAAATCTGTCTACCTGATGTTTCCATTTGGATCTCTGAAAGGTACCTCAAACTTAGAACTGCTTATCATTTACCTTCAAGCCTGTTCTTCACATTTTCCCACCCTCACATCTAATCCATCACCAAACCCTGTCATCTTCATACTCAATAAATGCCCCAAATCTGACCATTTTTGTCATCTCTATTGCCAACACCCTAGTCCAAGCCACTAGTTCCGCTTCCTGGATTATTATATCAGCTTCTTAACTACTTCCACTCTTGCATCTCCACCCCTGCACAGCATAGTCTCAACTCAATATCAACAGTAATCTTTTTTTTTTTTTTTTTTTTTTTTGAGACAGAGTCTCACTCTGTCTCCGGGCTGGAGTGCAGTGGAGCGATCTCAGCTCACTGCAACCTCCACTTCCTGGGTTCAAGTGATTCTTCTGCCACAGCCCTCCCAGGTAGCTGGGACTACAGGCACATGCCACCACGCCCGGCTAATTTTTTTTTTGCATTTTTAGTAGAGACAGGGTTTCACCATGTTGGCCAGGATGGTCTCGATCTGTTGACCTCGTGATCTGCCCCCATCGGCCTCCCAAAATGCTGGGATTACAGGCGTGAGCCACCGCGCCCAGCCTATCAACAGTAATCTTCTTATAAGGTAAATAGGAATATGTTGTCATTCTTCTGCTCAAAATCCCCCACCAACATTCCATCTCATTCAGAATAACATCCAGAGATCTTACGATGGCCTAGAAGGCACTGGGAGATGAGACACCTGTTTGCTCTCTGACCTCATCTCCTATAAGCCATCTCATTGTTCACTGCACTCCAGGCGTCCTGGCCTCTTTGATGTTCCTTAGACATAGCAGGCATGTTTCCTTCTCAGGACCCACAGGTTCACTGTTCCTTCTTTCTGCAAAGTTTTACCCAACAGTTTTCACTTGGCCTGCTTCCTCACTTCCTTCCAGTCTCTGCTCATGTCATTGGATCAGTGAGGTCTTCTTTGACCACTTTGTTTAGATTAGCAGCTCTCCCCACCCATCAGATTTGTCATTACTCATCTATGTGTTATTTTTCTCCATAGTGCCTATGGCTATGTGACATACTATATTAGTTAGGTTAGTGGTAGAACCTGTAAACATCAGCTCCAACATTTCTGCAGTTGAATACATTGTATGTATTTTAAATGCTAATGTTCCTAATTGGGGTTGGTTTTCCTTCCCCTGGGATTCAGACACTCAGATCCTTCCATCTTGAGGCTCTGCCTTCAGGGCTTCAGAGTCCTCTGTGTCTAGCAGAAACCAAGGAAAGAATAGTAAGTGGAGGAGGCACATCAAGCTCTTAAAAAAGCCTGTCCTGTAAGTGACACATATCACTTCTACTCACATTGCATTGGTAAGAATTTGTCATATGGACACAACTGGTTGCAGTGGAAGCTGGAAAATGCAGTCCCTGTCTGGGCTACTGCCTGCCAGGGACAACTCCACTCTGGAAATTTGGTGCACAGAAGGTCATCCCTGCCATACACACTATGCCTTTACTTGTCTAGTAACAGTGTTCCTTCATTAGAATGTAAGTTCTATGGAGAAGTGATCTGTTTCCATCCCTCTTATAACTCTAGGACATAGGACAGCTTCTAGTGCATAGTAGGTATCCAGTGATTATTTGCTTCAATTTTTATTTTTTTTAAAAGGTCCTAGTCTGGAAGGGGGGAAGAGTTATAGTAGTGTGGGAGCTGAGGCTAAAAAGATAGAGTCAGGTAGTGAAAGGTGTACGTACTTGCAGCCATCATGAATACGGGCTATCCTAATGCATAAATGTGCCCAGATCACAGGCAAATTGGACTAGAACCAAAACATTTGGCCACATTTTTTTTTCCATAAAACCATTTGGACAATAGTTACACAACAGGAATTTCTCTATTGCCATCCTGTGGCTTTGTAGATAAGCAGCAGTGGATCAACCAGGACCAAAAAATGTAATTCTGTTTGATTTAACTGCACTTGTATACACATGGCCTATGTTCCTCCATGGGAAAGTTTTACTATGTTCAGTGAACTGTGTGTTAAATCTGTGGCATAATTCCAAATTATTTCTCTGGCTTTTTCCTCTTCATGTTCTCCTAATTTAGGGTTGAGCTGTTATTAAACAAGTAAGTGTCAAGCATGAAATACTATCAATGCACTTTGGGTTCCAGTTGTATGTCTTAGTCCATTTAGTGTTGCTATAACAGAGTACTCAAACCCGGGTATTTTGTAAAGAAAAGAGGGCTGGGTGCAGTGGCTCAAGCCTGTAATCCCAGCACTTTGGGAGGCCAAAGCAGGTGGATCACGAGGTCAGGAGATCGAGACCATCCTGGCTAACACGGTGAAACCCCGTCTCTACTAAAAATACAAAAAATTAGCCGGGCATGGTGTTGGGTACCTGTAGTCCCAGCTACTCGGGAGGCTGAGGCAGAAGAATGGCGTGAACCCAGGAGGCGGAGCTTGCAGTGAGCCAAGATCACGCCACTGCACTCCAGCCTGGGCAACAGAGCAAGACTCCGTCTCAACAACAACAACAACAAAAAAAGGATTATTTGGTTCGTGTTTCTGCAGGCTAGGAAATTCAAGAAGCCTGGTGCTGGCATCTGCTGGGCTTCTGGTGAAGGCTTTTGTGCTTCATCATAACATGGTGGGAGGTCAAAGGAGAAGCAGATACCAGTGGAAAGGCAGAACCAGAGGGGCATCCTGGCTTTATAACAACCCTCTCTTGCAGGAACATCCCCATGAGAACTAATCCAGTCTTGTGAGACTGAGAACTCACTGGCTACCAAAAGAACAGCACCAAGCCATTCGTGAGGGATCTGCCCCCTTGATCCAAACACTTCCTACTAGGCCCCACCTCCCAACTTGCCACATTGGGGATCCAATTTCAACATGAGTTTGGGTAGAGACAAACTTAACCATAGTGTAGTGTAATGGAGATAACTTCAGACTTCAAGCCAAGCTCTCAGGCTCCAATACAACCTTCTCCAGTACAACCATTTGAGACCAAACACTGAATTGCATGGACTGTGTTTTTGATTTAGAAATACATGTTAGGTTCTTTTAAAATATAGCTTGGCTATTATATATCAAACTGAGAGAAGATACACATGTATATGTTGACATAATCTTTGTGTACTTGAAGATTTGTTGTTGTTGTTGTTGTTTTTGTTTTTGAGACAGGGACCCACTGTGTTGCCCAGACTGGAATGTCGTGGTGTGAACATAGCTCACTGCAGTCTCGACTTCCCAGGCTTAAGCAATCCTCCTGATTCAGCCTCCTGAGTAGCTGGGACCACAGGCAAACGCCAACACAACTGGCTAATTTTTAGATTTTTCTGTAGAGATGGGGTCTTGTCATGTTGCCTAGGCTGGGCTCAAGCAATCCTCTCGCGTTGACCACCCAAAGTGTGGGATTACAGGCGCCAACCACCATGCCTGGCCTGCAGGTATTTTTTGTTGGTCACATAGCTTATCATTCCATCATAAAAATCACCCATGAGATGTGTCCCCAAAACAGGTTATATAATGTCAATGATCAAAATATGCATAAAATGTTGGCTTTACAAAGCCTTTTATTAAACATTGGAAAGTATGCTTATTATTTGGAGAGAAATCAGTCCAAAGAACTTGTCAAGCAAAACAGTGGGCATGTGTTTGCAAGGAGGCCATACAGAGCTATCTGAGAGACAGACTTGGCAAATGCCTCACAAATCCCTCATGCTCTTACCCAGAAGTATTTTTGTTTGAAAGACCAAGACATGTTAGGGTCAATTTGCTAATTAAATAATTTGCATCTCTAGGCAACGTTCTTTTGGAAACATCTCTGTGACTTTGGGATCCATCATACGATGTTTACCATATAGTTGAGACGCAGCTACTTCTATACCTCAGATTAGGAGATGGGAACAAATAGGAAGCACCCTCATCTCAGATGCCTGGGAATTCCAGGACATAACATTGGAGTAGGTGGAATAAAGTTTTGATTCTGGTTTTTTATATTATACAACTCCCTTGATTACAATTGGAGACATACAAATGATGTATTTATACTAAACAGTAGGTAGAAAAAAGCTAAGGGTAGGATGTGTGAGGATTCTTTTCCATGTTTCTCTTTCTTTTGCTAGTATTTCTTTCTCCAGAACACCAAAAAAAAATTTGCATTGAGCAAGCTGTTTCTCTGAGTTAATTTACTGTAGAGCTGCTTGCAACTCCTAAGACCTATGACTATCACAATTGCCTTTCAGAAACCTGTTGATAAATGAACTTATTTGTTGATTTTTTTTCCTCTAACATAAATGGTAACTAGTAATCTGATCATCTATGGGGAGGTGTTTCCTATCTGTATCAATTTTCTGGGGTTGGTGTAACAAAGTACCATGAGCTGGGTTGTTTAAAGAATGGAAATATATTATCTCTCATTTCTGGAGGTTAGAAGTCTGAGCTCATGGTGTCGGCAGGTTTGGTTCCTTCTGAGGGCTGTGAGGAAGGATCTTTTCCATGTCTCTCCCCTAGTTTCTGGTGGTTTGCTAGTAATCTTGGCATTAATTGACTTGTAGACAGAGATCCACCCCATCTCTGTCTTCATCTTCACATGGTGTTCTCCCTGTGTGTATCTGTGTCTGAATCGCCTCTTTTTATAAGAACACCAGTCATATTTAGTTAGGGGCCCACCCTATTCCAGTATGATCTCATGGTAACTAAGTACATCTGCAACAACCCTACTTCCAAATAAGGTCACATTTTGAGATACTGGAGGCAAGGATGTCAACACATGAATTTTGTGGGGATACAATTCAGTCCCTAACAGTGTCCATCCAGTTCTCCCAGAGAAAGAAGAGGAGGGAGGGAAATCTAACAAGTGACGGAGGGAAATTTTAACAAGTGACATTTACATTCTCAGTGCTGTATATCTAAACCCAGTTTGTTTTTCCCTAGGTAGTTCATTTTCACTTAAGAAGGTGAAAGAGGACATTTCAAGTTTCCTTTCCCCATTGAACTTGGTTTCTACTTTCATCTAAGGAGGATAAAAAATATCTACCCCACATTCTGCCCAGCAGCAGGTGTATATCAAGTGGAAATGAAATAAAGGATGTCACAATACACTGAAAAAATATACTGCATTGGTAGTGTCGATTTTTCATCACTATTTTCAGAAGTGTCAATGGTTACCTAAGTGGTTGATTATGAAAATTGCCTTGGGAGCTCTGTATTTATAAAGACTCCTGGGCCCAACCCCAGAGATTCTGATTGAGCAGGTTTGAAATAGAGCCTAGGAAATCTCTTTTTAAGTGTTTTCCGATCATTCTGGTGATTAGCCAGGTTTGGAATTACTGGTCTTGGACAATTTCTTAAGAGTGAGCACTGTCAGTAATGTCTACTTAATTAGATTACTCACACGACACGAAAAAATATTGATGAGTGGTTTCAATAATGGCATCATCAATTGGTTTTAGAAAGGCAATATCCATTTTAGTGGGAAAGTTTCAGTTTGGGTGTTTCTGGATTTGAATCCTGATGTGATATATGGTGTATAATGCTTATATATTCATATAATAAATGTCAATTGGGGCAAGTAACTTCTCTGTTACTCACTTTCATTATCTGTAAAGTGAAGACAATAATGCCTACCTCGCAGGGCTGTTGAGAGAATTAAATTGGATAGTTTATGAAAAGTCACTGGAACTAAACAAGTCTTCATTAAAAGATCATTTTTTCCCTGACTCATCTAACACTTTGATTTATTTTGAGTCACGTAGTGGGAAACAGTTAAAATTGACTAATAGAACTACCCACAATGTACTAATCCAAAAGGATAAAATCTTGGATTGAAAAGTTTAAATGAGGAATTTTGAATGCTGGATATTTTCAGAGTACACCCGGTCCTAATAGTGCTATATTAATTTTATGGAAAAGTGAAAATGTTGGCAGGAAATCCTGAATTCTAAAGAGGTGAGTGAGCTAAGAAAAATCCAGTGTGATGAATGACCCATTAACTTATAAGAGGCTTGGGTACATGCTGCAGGGCAGGTCAGAACTGAAAGCACTGGACCATCATGTGGTTAAGCATTAAACTTTGAGCAGGGTCCAGCGGCGGTCCCCATAGCATACCCGTGGAATGGTTTAAGTAAGCATCTAGCTTTTTTTTTTTTTTTTTTTTGAGACAGAGTCTCGCTTTGTTGCCCAGGCTGGAGTGCAGTGACATGATCTCGGCTCACTGCAACCTCTGCTTCCCAGGTTCAAGTGATTCTCCTGCCTCAGCCTCCTGAGTAGCTGGGACTACAGGCGTGTTCCACCATGCCCAGCTAATTTTTTTTTTTTTTTTGTATTTTTAGTAGAGACGGGGTTTCACTGTGTTAGGCAGGATGGTCTCGATCTCCTGACCTGGTGATCCGCCCACCTCGGCCTCCCAAAGTGCTGGGATTACAGGCATGAGCCACTGTGCCCAGCCAGCATCTAGCTTTTAACAAGTCACTATTAATGAATGGCTGGGCTTTGGTCTTTTCCTCCTTAGAATGTTCATGTTACTTACCCTCCAACAATGCCACTGGTGTACCAAGACTTTTCAAAGTTGGAAAGAAAATAGTGGAAAACAAGAGAAATGCAAAGTTTATTTTGCAATTGGTTGGGTCTTGACAGAGCCATCAACTTTTTAATTCCTGAATCTATTATTCTCTTTCCAAATCAGTTCAGGCACACTTTAGGATGCCCAATCTGAAATTCTAAGAGAATCTGTTTTATTTCAGTTTCCTTCTATGCACATTAAAGGCAGATGTTAGCACCTGTTTTGATTCCAAAACTTCTCTTCAGAAGATTTTCCTGCCTCTCGAGGTATTTCACATTCTTGCATAAGCAAACAGCAAGCCTATCACTATATGGACTATTTTATTATTGATCATGAATTAATTATAACTTGGCAGGACAACCTCAAATACTGTAGAAACTTCCATTTTTTTTTGAATGGTTCTAGTGTGTATTTCAGAAGTTATTGCTCCATCTTATGTGTTATCATTAATAAGAGACGTGGCCGGGTGCAGTGGCCCACACCTGTAATCCCAACCCTTTGGGAGGCTGAGGCGGGCGGATCATGAGGTTAGGAGATTGAGACCATCCTGGCTAACACGGTAAAACCCTGTCTCTATTAAAAATATGAAAAATTAGCCAGGCGTGGTGGCAGGCACCTGTAGTCCCAGCTACTCAGGAGCCTGAGGCAGGAGAATGGTGTGAACCTGGGAAGCAGAGCTTGCAGTGAGCCAAGATCACGCCATTGCACTCCAGCCTGGGTGACAGAGTGAGACTCTGTCTCAAAAAAAAAAAAAAAAAAAAAAAAGGTGGTATGGCAGCACTATGTTGATGAATATTAAATGTGTAGTCAGGTTTTTCTCCATCTATAGACAGTCTGTGATGGCCTTTCATTCCCACTGGCAGAAAACAACTAAGGGATAAGTTTTATAAAGGAAATGCATAAGTAAATAAGTAAAACCAAAGAGAAGGGAACCTGTTGTTTTCAGGTAGACGATCTTTGTAAGAAGACTCTGAAGTGAAACAATATTTTCCTCTCTAAACCCATGGGGCCAAGATAAGTAGCACATCTTGATGTGTTTCTAGCCAACACTTAATCTAAGAGTTATTATGGTAGAGTCTAGCGGGTTATCAGGATTTAGAATCTGGAGAAGGTGTGGATTAGTTACTGACATCATCGAAGATTGGAATTGTCAAGCCAGAAGGTAACACTCTATATGACACAAATGTTGAGATCGTCGTATGGTATCTGTGCATTTCAACCAGAATGTTTGGAGTATTACCAACAAAGGAGAGAAGGTTGATCACTGAAGAGCTTGATCCACTGGGGTCAAGGGTGGGGCTCCTTGATTGACCAGGTGGCCTGACCTCTGTCTTTAGATGAGATGCAGCCAAAGTCAATGCTTCTCAGAGAAGAAAAAAAGAAGAGAGCATGAGGGAGCCTGAGCCCATCATAGAGAAACAAAATTAGTGTGAGCTGAACTGTTGACCTGGCTAGAGGCCAGAATAGCAGAAGCAGAGAGCTTTTAAGGTCAGGCTCAGACATGGAAAATGGGGAAACTGAGACCCTTGCACTTACCCACAGATTGATAGCATAGGTTGGAGAAGAAAGAAAATAATGTCTAGAAACAGGTCCCAGAATGTTGCTTTTAGATACTCACTTGCTTAGTTAGCAACATCAGGGCTCAATTTTCTTGATTTCAGAAAAAATGGAATTACTGATTAAACAAGACCATGGTTGTCCTACTACTTGGAGTGAGCAAATACTGGGAATGCTGCAAATGCAACTCTTCTGCAAGGTATATTGGTACCTTGGGTGCCTTTTGCTCAGATGTCTGCTGTAAAATGCCTGTGAATGTCTGTGAAATTGCACTGTGGCTGGTGAGAGAGAGAGACTTTCTCTAACTTCTTGGCTTTATGTGTGGACATAATAACTCTTAGATTAAGTGTTGTCTGGAAAATCATCTCTTATTATTCCCAAGCAAAATATGTTTTCTGCTGCAACAGTTAATTGCTTCACTGTTGAACTAATTCATTCAACCAATAACTGGGTACTCACTGTCTAGCACGCACAGTACTTTTCATGTACGTGCAGATGGCATTTACACTGATCGTTGTCCTGTTAGTGGACATTTGGTACCATTTAGACAGGGATAGAATGTAAATGTGGGAGTACATTACAGATGAAGCTGCTGCTTCTTAGGATGAAGGATTCCTAGAGATATAATAACATCAATTATTTCTATGAAAAACCACAGCATAAAAGGCTGACTTCCATCAATGTGATTTGAAGAAAGAGATTTATTTATAGGTTACCAGGGCTCATGCCCTGGCTGGACGATTCATCTTTTCACAAAGAAATTCCCAGGAGAATCTGCCTGATTTCTAATCTCTTCGTGTTCACAATGGGAGGATCCATTTGACTTTATATTTACTTTGTAAATGTCTTTCAGCCATGCATAGCTTTTCTAGAGCATAAACCTCAAAATACTTCTCATGCCTCCAATGCAACATTAAACTAAAAGAAAACTTGAGAGCTGTATCAAAGACAAATCAAGAATTATTTAAGTTCTGGTTTTTTTTGGCAGGGGGAGGGGGAAGTAGCAACTTATTTTTATTTTTGAGATGGAGTCTCGCTCTGTCGCCCAGGCTGGAGTGCAGTGGCATGATCTCAGCTCGCTGCACCCTCCACCTCCTGGGTTCAAGCGACTCTCCTGCCCCAGCCTCCCAAGTAGCTGGGATTACAGGTGCACGCTACCATGTCCAGCTAATTTTTGTATTTTTAGTTGAGATGGGGTTTCATCATGTTGGCCAGGCTGGCCTCAAACTCCTGGCCTCAAGTGATCCACTTGCCTCGCCCTCCCAAAGTGTTGGGATTACAGGCGTGAGCCACTGTGCCCAGCCCATGTGAAGTCTTTTAATCCTTGTAACAACCCTCTGAGACTGGTACTATTGCTTTCCTATTTTACAGATGAGGAAGTAGAGGTGCAGAGACCAGGGAAAAAGGTCAAGATCTCAATGCTAACAGTAAGTGCAAATTTGGGGTATGAACTTGTACAACATGGATTCAGAATGGGTGCTTCTGTCTACCACTCTAGGCAAGGAGAAGCAACGAGAGCAAAGTAGGTGGTTATTATGTGCGAATTCTGCTCCTAACTTTGCATCTTAACTTATTTCCAGTCACTATATCTGCCTTGTTGAAAATGAGAGCAAGTTAAAATATGAGAACTAAAATGATACCCAGTGTTCTGTTTTTCGGTCAAGGGCTCTGGTGTGTGAGCGTGTAAAGGGCTGGAGGAGGGAGAGGGCAGAGGCAGAAATGGGAAGCTTTTTAGGCCAGATGCCAGCTCCAGAATGTGATCATATAAACGCAAGCCCTGTAAATTTAATAAATAACAGGCCTGGTTCTTAGCTCATTGACTTATCTCCAAATGCGCCTCAGACTTTACCCTGGTTATCGGTAGTGGGGGTCGGGGCAGGGGTAGGGATACAAGAGAAAGACAACTGATATCTGGAGATGGATTCAGATCAGATACCTTTGAGAACAGAGATATGGAAAATCTAGGTGGAATGACAGAACTAAATAATGATTTTTTTTTTTTCACATTCAGGGGAGTTGGAACATTGGGCAGGGGAATGTCTCTGGCATTAGAAAAAGAGAGAGCGGGCAGTTGGGGTTTGTTTGGAGCCAGGTTTGGCTTCTCAACCTGCTAAAGGCCAAAAGGATCATAGCCAGAAATGCTTCCCCCCAACACCTCCCCCAGCAGAAGGCTTTTTGAGCTTTGCTGTGGAAATAAGGGGAGGAAAGCTGAGAAAAATGCCTCACCAAAATGAGACTTCTTCTTGGCTTTCTGAAATATCCATGCCAGTTGGCAGGTATGTGAGCTCCTGGTCTGTGCATCCACTAAATTAATGCCTTTAAAGCCACCGCCTTCCGAGGTTTCATTGCCTTGCCTAGGTTGGCAGGGCTGGACGTTTACATTTAGGGCTCTGAATGAAAATGAAAGCATTGGCTGTATTACATTTATTTATTTGTTTGTTTGTTTGTCTCGCTCTGTCGCCCAGGCTGGAGTGCAATGGCATGATTTTGGCTCACTGCAACCTCTGCCTCCTGGGTTCAAGCGATTCTCCTGCCTCAGCCTCCTGATTAGCTGGGATCACAGGCATGCGCCGCCATACCCAGCTAATTTTGTATTTTTAGTAGAGACGGGGTTTCACCATGCTGGTCATGCTGGTCCCGAACTCCTGACCTCAGGTGATCTGCCCGCATTGGCTTCCCAAAATGCTGGGATTACAGGCGTGAGCCACTGTGTTTGGCCTATTTATTTATTTTTTTGAGACTGAGTGTTGCTCTGTTGCCCAGGCTGGAGTGCAATGGCACGAACCCAGCTCACTGCAGCCTCAACCTCCTGGCCTCAAGGGATTCTCCTGCCTTAGCTTCCCGAGTAGCTGGGACTACAGGCATGCACCACCATGCCTGGCTAATTTTTTTTAATTGTCTTGTAGAAATGGGGTCTCACTTTGTTACCCAGGCTGGTCTCAAACTCCTGGGCTCAAGTCATCCTCCTGCCTTGGCCTCCCAAAGTGTTGGGGTTACAGGCATTAGCCACTGCACCTGGCCCAGCTGTGTTACTTTTTGTTACCTGTACAGTACACAGGCCTCCAAGAGAGAACCTCTATACATCTGCATCTCACCTTTATTCCTGCAAAAAGGACATTTTCATTGCCTGGAAGGACCTACATGGAACCTACAAGAGATTGGCCTCAAATCTGGCAAGCAGGCCCCTGAATAAGCTTCATATCATTGAGTAAAGAAAAAAGTCAACTGTTTGTTTTATTCCTTCATTAATATCTACAATGTTTGCATTTTGCCATTCAGGTTTTAAATAAATATACCCAGTGATGGACATTTATGTCAGTCACTTAAATTTTCCTCCGAGTATCTCAAGCCTGTGAAAGGGGCCACAAAGAAAGGCAACTGTTTATCAAGGTCTTTCTTCTCCAATTGTCTCTGACTGTCTCTGATCTGAGATTTGCTGTGATATGAAAAACCAACTCACAGTCATCCAGGGGTGCCGTGCCTCACTTTAAGAGAAAGGAGATGTATTGATCTCCTGAACTCGTGATCCACCCGCCTCGGCTTCCCAGAAGTGCTGGGATTACAGGCATGAGCTCCGTCTCTACTAAAAATACAAAAAGTTAGCCTGGCGTGGTGGCGGAGGCCTGTAGTCCCAGCTACTCGGGAGGCTGAGGCAGGAGAATGGTGTGAACCTGAGAGGCAGAGCTTGCAGTGAGCTGCGATTGCACCACTGTACTCCAGAGTAAGACTGTCTCAAAAAAAAAAAAAAAAAAAGAGAGAGAAAGGAGATGTTAGAGCATTTCCAATAGACATCTTTGCTTTAAAGCTATTCAGGACATATCTGTTCTAAATAAAGCTTTTGCCTTTAGAGATCATTTGCTTGTACTTTTTCATAAACAAGTTTACTTATTGTGTGCTGCTTAGACTCTAGAACTTCTGAGAAGAAAGAGACTGTACAAAAACTCTTTGGTGAATTCTAAGGGCACCCTTGTTGGGGACCTTGTGGCTTAGTAATAAAATCCCCATGGCTCTGATGACAGCATTATCCTGCCCTCCTTTCTGGCCAGACATTTCCATCCTGACAGAGGCTTCTCTGGGAGCCTAGAGCAGGTGAAGTGGGGAGGTGCAGCCAGAGAGCTGAGGTAGTGGTGCAAAGAGTCAGCCCGGCCATGGGCTTCGGCTGTCCTGAGGACTGAGCCTGCATCTACCACAGGCTAGATTTGTAGCCTTGGATAACTTTTTCAACCCCTATGAGTCTAGGTTACCTCACTGGGAAAGTAGACCTGGTCACACATACTTCACATGGTTGTGGTCAAAAGTCAACTTCCCCCTCCCTCTCAATCCCTGGTTTTGCTTGGATAACCCCTCCCTAGCCTGTCTTCCCCAGCTGAGATGTCACTTCTTCCAGAAGCTCTTTCTAACTATCTGGATGAGGATCTCTCCTCCTAAGGGCCCCAACTTGACTTTCTCCTGTCATAGTTCCTTTCGGGCTATCTTATATTAAGTCTCTTGCTCATTAAACTGTGTGAAGACAGGAAACAGGTATGTCTTGTTTGCGATTCCTGGCATTGTTGGCTCTTGCTATTTGTAGAATGGAGTTGAATGGACGCATGTGAAATAACCTAACAAACATGTGGCCTATGGTGGTGATCCCTCTCCTATCCTTGCTCTCTCTTTAACAGGTTACAACTCTAGGCAGATGATTAATACTCTAGTAGTCACTTGCTCACACAGCTGGATTTCTCTTCTGACCAAATCAATACCTAAAGCTAGAACTTTCTGGTTTCTGTGTCTCTATAAGCTCCTGTCTGTATAAAATTCCTTCCTGTTTACATCAAACAGCTTGGTTTTGGAGGTTTTCTGAAACTTTCTTAAAAACTGACCATTTGGGCTGGGCACGGTGGCTCATGCCTGTAATCCCAGCATTTTGGGAGGCCGAGGCGGGCGGACCACCTGAGGTCAGGAGTTCGAGACCAGCCTGGCCAATGTGGTGAAACCCCATCTCTACTAAAAATACAAAAATTAGCTGAGCATGGTGGCGGGTGCCTGTAATCCCGGCTACTTGGGAGGCTGAGGCAGGAGAATTATTTGAACCCAGGAGGCAGAGGTTGCAATGAGCCGAGATTGCACCATTGCACTCCAGCCTGGGAGAAAAGAGTCAAACTCCATCTCAAAACAAACAAACAAACAAAAACCTGACCATTTGATGTGCTCCTCTGAGAGTGCCTGTCTTAGGAACCAAGAAGGAGCTGGTTGTTTGGAGATAAGAACCTGGATAAGTCTGTCACAGTGATGGGAGAGGAGAAGAGAGGAGCAGGGCAGGGGCTGGGGGAGACACCATGTTGGATTGTCGGGGAGACACCATGCAGAGGGGAGGTGAAAATATTTGGCACAAGGGATACTGACCTGGCACTCCTCATACATGTTTGACAAGTGGAAATATTGAAAATAAGATGATATGTGATGGTTCATCACAGCTGTTTTCTTCTGAATAAAAGGGGTGGGACTAGGAAGAGGTAAAATAGGAGAGTTGTGATCAGAGGGAAGTGAAAAACATTGCTCTACCACCATTTGGCCTTAAAACCAAATGGGACCTGTGCTGGAATAAGAGTGGTGCTTATTTTTACCATACTGCTTGGCCTCACCTGGGCCTGCCCATTCTTGTCACCTGGTTCCCATGGCTGCAAAACTTGGCTGGGTTGGAAGAGTTCAGAGTCAGATCTATTGTCAATTCTAAAGTTATACTGATCTTCTTTAATAGTAATGATTAACTTCATGGCTAACTATCACTGAGAGATGAAAATTCAAGTAATTCTCAGGCTAGTAAGGTAATCCCTACCTTTCACTGTGGATTGCTGGGAAAATTCAGTGAGGAAAGGTAAAGGGAAAAATGTAGATAAGTCAAAATGCCCTCAGAGGATGGGAAATGGAGGAGTTTCCCTGTTGCTGCAATTAATAAACACCACCTACACTAAGATGTACGTGTTAAGAAATGGTAGAAGTTGAGAAGCAACTTTCAGGTTTCAGTGACCTGGATTTAAGTGAGCAGTGGCTGAGGGTTGGGTGGCGGGTACTCAGTTGTTGACTGCGTATAAGCAAAGTGGCTTCATTTGGCAATGTGCCCCTTCACTCCCTGATATAAAAGCATAAAGGAAACAGCTTTCCTTAGCTTTCTTCACTCATGTTTCCCATATACTTGTTTCTATCTCTGTTTTTGGTTGTTGTCTCACCAGTTTTACATGTACTGCCAAGTTAACTGATTTTCTTATATTTATTTGTGTATTCCAAGGACTGTGGCCACCCCCATCCCAATATTCATTGTTATTCTCTCACCTTCACTGACTCAGTACAATTCCCTACCCTGTACTCGTTGAGATGTCTCCTTTAGAGGCTTGCCTCTCTGTGCTTAAGGCATTACATCTGGTTTCCAATGCAAATACTTTCAGTGACCAACACCTCTAGCTCATTTCACTCATCTTCACCATAAATGAGCATGCTGGATAACCCAGGTCTGCATACAGAGAGAAAGGATGGGGACGAAGGGAAAGGGGAAGGTGATCGGAGACCCTGGAATTCTTCATATGACAGGTGCAGGGCAGAGTGGGCAGAACATGGTGTGCTCAGCATAAGAACTGGGTGCCAGAGGTGACCTGAAGCTTGGTCAGAGAGTACTGAGTGGGAAAATGTGGGCCAGCCTAGCAGGAAGTGACTCTGCCTTGCTGTCACCCCTGTGGACGGCCCTTCTCCTTTGCATTGGGAAGGGTTAAATGAACATTGCTTGTCTGACGACCTAGCTGCATTGTTTATCCTCCTGTGTTGAGAAAAATGTTCTTATGCCTTTGATCACTGCATCTTTTTCAAAAATACATTACTTAAAATGTTGAAGAGGTGTCTTCAGTTCAAGGGGATTCTGATTTATTTATACTTGAAAAACAATCCAAAGGGGAAAAATGTCAAGGTTCCCTGTGTAGAGATGAAGACAGGAAAGCAGGAAAATACGATGGATGTCTTCTAAAGGAATATCCCACGTGATCCTGCAGCTCTCCACAGTTCTGGCTGTAAGGAGATAGATAATGAGGAGAGAGAAGATTTAAGAAGAGAAAAAAGATCAGAGGGAAAAGTCCATGCCATAGACCAGGGTGGGCACAATCCCAAAACAAAAATGCAATTGTCCCATGTACTGGGATATGTTGGATATGATTTCATTGAGAGGCCTAATGTCCCATAAAGTCCTGTAGCTCCTATAGGTTGGGCTTTGCATCCTAGACAACTGCCTTGTTGTCATTTCTTAGTGTTATGGACTAAGGAATGACAGCATTCTGCATTCCTTAGCATCATACAAAGGTTTGTTCATATTCATTGTTTACCAATTAGTGGTAAATGCACTAATTGCTTATGAAATCAAAACACACCTTTCTAAATAAAATATTCTAACCAATGTATGATAAAGAATATAACTAAAAGAGTTTAAAATATAAATGAGAATTAGGTTCAAATCTCTCTGTTTCCACCATTTGGATTAAGGGTGAGGTAGGCATCATGAAGCTTGTTATTGTATTCCCCAAGTTAAATTTTCATTTCTTCAGTCAACAAATATTTATTATGTGGGTAAGGGCCTGACACAGTACAAGGCACAGCGGTGTGCAAGCTGGACCCTGTGTTTACCCTGGACCCTGTGTTCACCCTTTTGTCACATATGTCCTGTTGGATGAGACAGGCATTGATTAAATAATCACACAAGTCTGTGATTACAAATGGGAGAATGAGCTATGAAGGGAGGTGCTATCCACTTATTTACTTCGCTGCAGAAACAGGTGCTGATGTTTCAGCAATGCCAGCCCTGAATGGAAAAGGCTGGGCTCTGAGGAGACCTACATCTAATGGTTACTCTTTTTGCTGCAAAGTTGGAAAGAGGAATGAGGATGAACTGAATTGCTGAAGACCTGATTGGACAGTAAGAATTTTATTACACTCAGGGCAATATTCTTTTGGCTAATAAAGCTGCTACTGGAATAAAGAAGTATTCCTCTTCTTGGGTCGCTGAGTGTTCAAGTTAAACTGACATTACTTTGGCTACAAATCTATCAGGTTGAGGCATTTTTAAGATCCATCCTTGCAGAAAAATTAGCTTTACAAAGGCTCCACAGAATTTCAGATGATATTAAACTACTTTCCATTCATTAAGTATAATATTTAATGCATTGAAATAAGCACTAGTGATAAAAATTTAATTAAGATAATTAGTGTCACAGCCAAAATAAAAATATATAATTAACACTGAAGTGACTATAAAAACATATTTTGACACTTCAGTGGGATTTTAAAAAATGTCTTCAATAAATTCTCATGAAATTAGATTTCCAAATTTATGGCAAAATGATACTTTATTTTTTGAGATGGAGTCTTCTTCTGTGTCCCAGGCTGGAGTGCAGTGGCATGATCTTGGCTCACTGCAACCTCTGCCTCCTGGGTTCATGCAATTCTCCTACCCTAGCCTCCCAAGTAGCTGGGATTATAGGTGCCTGCCACCACACCCAGCTAATTTTTGTAGTCTTAGTAGAGACAGGTTTCCCCATGTTGGCCAGGCTGGTCTCGAACTCCTGACCTCAAGTGATCCACTTGCCTCAGCCTCCCAAAGTGCTGGGATTACAGGTGTGAGCCACCACACCTGGCCCTGCAAAATGATACATTCTAAGTATATATAATTGATGAAATATTTTGCTTAAGTGCCAGAGTTTATACAGTAACTTTACTATAAATTCAAGTGGCCATCTGGAATTTTTCATACCTAAAACAAATACCAGAAAGTTAATTTGAAGGCTAAAATCTATTGCTTCCTTTATGATCATATTCTCATAGAATTTTAGAAATTTAAATTTGTTATGTCTATATTTATAATTAATTGTTACCCCATGTCAGTTTTCCTATTTGGACTGTTAAAACTTTATTTTCTCTTTCTCCTGATGTAAGACCCCCATGCCTGCTACATCTTCACTGTTTACCATCCCCTTTTGGGACTTCATGCACTCATCCGAATAACTTGATTTCAAAGGTCTTCAAAGTATTAACGCAGTAAAGGAATTTTGTAATTTATTCCAGTGACAGAGTCTTTACAGATATTTCTGTCTGTAAGGGGCATTAGTTTAGCACTCAAATGAGGACTTAAGTCATAGCCACACGTGTCAGACTGGGCTCATTGAGTAACGTCTCATGGTTCTGTTTTAATAACTTCTTGGCCTTAGTAGATTTACGCTGGCCAGGCTGACGTTTTATTTATAGCCCGAGACATTTACACTAAGCCAGAAGGTCTGGACATTCTCAGGAGGCCATCAGTCACTCTAGTGACTAGGACAAGTTTGACAATGTCTGTCATCTTTCACGTTATCCAATCTCTAGTCTGTATATAAAGAAAGGAATGACTTGCTTTGTAAAAGATGAAAGGCGAAGGTGGTTTCTAATCATATAAGTAAGAACAGGTTATAAGGATTTGGCCTTAAAATGGGATCTGGTTTCTTTAGTCACAGACCATGGCTATGAATTTTCTTTCTGTTGCAGTTTGACAAAGTGTTAGATAAGCTGTCAACAGTAGGCCTTTTCTCCTCAAAGAGTTTGTACATGCTTACCAGCAAGTCCTGGGTTCTAGAATTCTGGGTCCATCTACTACTCCCTTCCCAAGCCAGTTCCCAGCTTTGGAAATACACATACCTATACTCATCACCAAATATGAAATTGATTCAGAGGAATGAATTGAATTGACAGAAATATAGATATATTGTTTCTGTTTTATTTTATTTTATTTTATTTTTTTTTGAGGCAGGGTCTGTCTCTGTTGCCCAGGTTGGAGTGCATTGGCACAGTCTCAGCTCACTGCAACCTCTGCCTCCCAAGTGATCCTCCTGCCTCAGTCTCCTGAGTAGCTGGGACTATAGGCAGGTGCCACCATGCCCAGCTAAGTTTTGTATTTTTTTTGGGGTAGAGATGGGGTTTTACCATGTTGCCCAGACTGGTCTTGAACTCCTGGGCTCAAGCAATCAGCCTGCCTCAGCCTCCCAAAGTATTAGGATTACAGGTGTGAGCCACCGCCTCCAGTTATTTATTTCTATTTTTTATTTGTAGTAGTGCTTTTGCCTATTATTGAAAGAAGCCACAAGAAATAGCCAATTAAGAGCCCTCCCCAACTAATATTAGGGGGGAGTCATCCATCATAATCCTCAGCATCAGATGGATAAATACTGAAAATATTTTGCTTTGTTTGGGAAACCAGGGCTTTTCTTCTGATGAACAATGTGGGGAAACAATGACATTGACAATATTTCCATTTTTACTTTGGGTCACAGGGAACTCAGACAATTTGCAAACCAACCTTTGTTATCTCTCTGGGCCTTTTGGCTTATGGAGTCCTATTTTTTCTGCCTCTGATTCTAACAATATAGTCTGATTTATATCTTTCTTGGTGTTCATTTTTATTGTACTCTTTTGTGTATATATTACTTTTAATGTCACCTCAGAACCTTTGTGATTTAAGAAAGATTATCAATCAATAAGTAAGTAAGAAAAGGAGTTTCCAATCATTCTCCTAAGTCCCATTTTCTGACACCATTTCTTTTTTTTTTAATAATTGTATATATTTATGGGGTACATGTGCAATTTTGTTACATGCATAGATTGTGTAGTGGTCAAGTCAGGGCTTTAAGATATTAGGCCGGGCACAGTGGTTCACGCCTATAATTCCAGCACTTTGGGAGGCCGAGGTGGGTGGATCACGAGGTCAGGAGTTCGAGACCAGCCTGGCCAACATAGTGAAACCCCTTCTCTACTAAAAATACAAAAATTAGCCAGGCGTGGTGGCACACACCCGTAGTCCCAGGAAGCTGAGGCAGGAGAATCACTTGAACCCGGGAGGCAGAGGTTGCAGTGAGCCGAGATTGTGCCACTGCACTCCCGCTTGGGTGACAGAGAGAGACTTCATCTAAAAAAAAAAAAAAAAAAAATCCTTCCCCTGAATAATGTACATTGTACCCATTAAGTAATTTCTCATCACCCAACCTCTTCCCACCCCCTCCCATTCCCTCTCACTTTGATGCCTCCATTGTCTATCAATCTACTGTCTTTATCCACATGTGTACATTTTTTAGACCTACTTATGAGTGAGAACATGTAGTATTTGACTTTCTAGTGACACCATTTCTTACAAATGGTCAGGTCCTATGTGTTTTTGGATCAGTATGTCAGGAGGAGGAGGCTGGGAGGAAAAAGTTGGATTTCCTTGAAGTTGGCTTCTCTTGACACCTCCCACTGTTTAAAGAGTCAGCTCATTGTCTCAGAGCCAAACTGCTGAGATTCTCAGAGCCATTCCTCATTCTCTTGGAAGTAAAGGGATTCATGTTTGAAAGAGGCAATTTATCTCTAAAGGGGAAGCAAAAAGACCTAACTTGTGTAGTATAAAATCTTGGGAAGTTTTAGGATTATTTCACATTCCTATTTCTACCGGCAACCAAATTCAAAAAGTATGTTTTGTTGAAAATAAGGTCAGACTTATTTTCATTGTTTTGTATCTTTGGTAGAGTTCCAGTTTCTTTTTTCTTTTTTTTTTTTTTGAGACAGAGTCCTGCTCTGTCACCAGGCTAGAGTGCAGTGGCGCGATCTTGGCTCACTGCAACCTCCGCCTCCTGGGTTCAAGCAATTCTTCTGCCTCAGCCTCCTGAGTAGCTGGGATTACAGGCATGTACCACCACGCCCAGCTAATTTTGTATTTTTAGTAGAGACGAGGTTTCACCATGATGGCCAGGATGGTCTCAGTCTCTTGACCTCGCGATCCACCTGCCTCAGCTTCCCAAAGTGTGGGGATTACAGGTGTGAGCCACCGCGCCCAGCCGAGTTCTAGGTTTTACAACGTAAAAGCAACTGAAAGTATATTGGGTTAAGTGACACCCTTGAATGTGCCAAATTCCAGGGCAGCCTCTCTTTTGCCTGCGGAAGTCCCTACTCAACCTTGAGTATCTTGGAGCCCCTCCCCCACTCCATTCCCAGGGCCTGTTGCCTCAAATAGCAAAAAACACAATGACAGGTTGAAGAGACACTACAGAAGAAAGGAGAAAGTGTTATATTTTACTAGTCTTGAAGGCACTTTTTCCCCCTGCTTGATAAACATGGGGCCCTATATTTTCATTTTGCACTGGGCCCCACAGATTACGTAGCTGGCCAGGCCTGAGAACTTATAAGAAAATGCTATCTACAGCCAGTGACCCATCAGCCCTGTATAATCATCCTACTGAAAAAGACCTAAAAAATCAAGAGCAGAAACTTTAATTAATTAATTAATTAATTTTTTGAGGCAGAATCTCACCCTGTTACTAGGCTGGAGTGCAGTGGCACGATCTTGGCTCACTGCAACCTCTGTCTCCCAGGTTCAAGTGATTCTCCTGCCTCAGCCTCCCAGGTAGCTGGGACTACAGGTGCCTGCCATCATGGCCAGCTAATTTTTGTATTTTTAGTAGAGACGGGGTTTCACCATGTTGGCCAGGATGGTCTTGATCTCTTGACCTCATGATCCACCCTCCTTGGCCTCCCAAAGTGCTGGGATTACAGGCATGAGCTACCACACCTGGCCATAAATGTCGTCTTTTGAGAAATGTCTATTCATGCCCTTTGCCCATTTTTTTTTAAATAGGATTGTTTGTTTTTTCTTAAATTTGTTTAAGTTTCTTGTAGATTCTGGATATTAGACTTTTGTCAGATGGATAGATTGCAAAAGTTTTCTCCCATTCTATAGGTTGTCCGTTCACTCTGATAATAGTTTCTTTTGCTGTGCAGAAGCTCTTTGGTTTAATTAGATCCGATTTCTCAATTTTTTGCTTTTGATGCAATTGCTTTTGACATTTTCGTCATGAAATCTTTGCCTGTGCCTATGTCCTGAATGGTATTGCCTAGATTTTCTTCTAGGGCTTTTATAGTTTTGGGTTTTACATTTGAGTCTTTAATCCATCTTGAGTTAATTTTTGTATATGGTGTAACAAAGGGATCCAGTTTCCATTTTCTGCATATGGCTAGCCAGTTCTCCCAGGACCATTTATTAAATAGGGAATGCTTTCCCCATTGCTTGTTTCTGTCAGATTTGTCAAAGATCAGATAGTTGTAGATGCTCAGACTTATTTCTGAGTTCTCTATTCTGTTCCTTTGGTCTATGTTTCTGTTTTTGTACCAGTGTCCTGCTGTTTTGGTTACTGTAGCCTTGTAGTATAGTCTGAAATTGGGTAGCATGATACCTCCAGCTTTGTTCTTTTTGCTTAGGATTGTCTTGGCTATATGGGCTCTTTTTTGTTTCCATATAAATTTTAAAATAGTTTTTTCTAATTCTGTGAAGAATGTCAATGGTAGTTTAAGGGGAATAGCATTGAATCTATAAATTACTTTGGGCAGTATGGCCATTTTCATGATATTGATCCTTCCTATCCATCAGCTTGGAATGTTTTTGCATTTGTTTGTGTCCTCTCTTATTTCCTTGGAGCAGTGGTTTGTAGTTCTCCTTGAAGAAGTCCTTCACTTCCCTTGTTAGCTGTATTCCTAGGTATTTTATTCTCTTTGTAGCAATCGTGAATGGGAGTTCATTCGTGATTTGGCTCTCTACTTGTCTGCTGTTGGTGTATAGAAATGCTTGTGATTTTTGCACACTGATTTTGTATCCTGAGACTTTGCCGAAGTTGCTTATCAGCTTAAGAAGCTTTTGGGCTGAGATGATGGGGTTTTCTAGATATAGGATCATGTCATCTGCAAACAAAGACAATTTGCTTTCCTCTCTTCCTATTTGAATATGCTTTATTTCTTGCTCTTCTTGATTGCTCTAGCCAGAACTTTCTGATACTATGTTAAATAGGAGTGGTGAGGGAGGGCATCCTTGTCTTGTGCTGGTTTTCAAATGGAATGCTTCCAGCTTTTGCCCATTCAGTATGGTATTGGCTGTCAATTTGTCATAAATTGCTATTATTTTGAGATATGTTCCCTCAATATCTAGTTTATTGAGAGTTTTTAACATGAAGGGATGTTGAATTTTATTGAAGACCTTTTCTGCATCTATTGAGATAATCATGTGGTTTTGTCTCTAGTTCTGTTTATGTGATGACTTACATTTATTGATTTGCATAGGTTGAACAAGCCTTGCATCCTGGGGATGAAGCTGGCTTGATTGTGGTGGATAAGCTTTTTGATGTGCTGCTGGATTTGTTTGGCCGGAATTTTATTGAGGATTTTCGCTTTGATGTTCATCAGGGATATTGGCCTGAAGTTTTCTTTTTTTGTTGTATCTCTTCCATGTTTTGGTATCAGGATGATGCTGGCCTCATAAAATGAGTTAGAGAGGAGGCCCTCCTTTTCAATTGTTTGGAATTGTTTAATAAGAAATGGTACAAACTCCTATTTGTGCCTCTGGTAGAATTCAGCTGTACATCCACCTGGTCCCGGGCTGCTTTTTTGGTTGTTAGGCTATTTATTACTGCTTCAATTTCAGAACTCATTATTGGTCTATTCAGGAATTCAACTTCTTCCTGGTTTAGTCTTGGGGGATTTATGTGTCCAGGAATTTATCCATTTCTTCTAGATTTTCTAGTTTACTTGTGTAGAGGTGTTTATAGTATTCTCTGATGGTTGTTTGTATTTCTGTGGGGTCAGTGGTGATATTCCCTTAATCATTTCTTATTGTGTCTATTCTGCTCTCTTTTCTTCTTTATTAGTCTAGTTAGTGGTCTATCTATTTTATTAATTTTTTCAAATAAACAGTTCCTGGATTCGATAATTTTTTGAAGGGTTTTTTTGGTCTCTAGCTCCTTCATTTCCTGTTCTGGTCTTGGTTATTTCTTCTGCTAGTTTTGGATTTGTTTTCTCTTGGTTCTCTAGTTCTTTTAGTTGAGATGTTAGGTTGTTAACTTGAGATCTTTCTAGCTTTTTGATGTGGGCATTTAGTACTATAAATTTCCCTCTTACTACTGCTTTAGCTGCATCCCAGAGATTCTGGTATGCTGTCTCTTTGTTCTCATTAGTTTTAAAGAACTTAATTTCTGCCTTAATTTCATTATTTACCCAGGAGTCATTCAGGGTTAGGTTGGTCAATTTCCATGTAGTTGTGTGGTTTTCCTTATCTTGAGTTCTAATTAGATTGTGCTGTGGTCTGAGACTGACATGATTTCAGTTCTTTTGCATTTGCTGAGAAGTATTTTACTTCCAATTATGTGATCAATTTTAGAGTAAATGCCATGTGGTGCTGAGAAGAATGTACATACTGTTGTTTTTTGGGTGGAGACTTCTGTAGATATCTATCAGGTCCACTTGATCCAGAGTTCAAGTCCTGAATATTTTTGTTAATTTTCTGTCTTGATGATCTGTCTAATATTGACAGTGTGGTGTTAAAGTCTCCTATTATTATTTTGTGAGAGTCTAAGTCTCTTTGTAGGTCTCTAAGAACTTGTTTTATGAATCTGGGTGCTCCTATTTGGGTGTATATATATATTTAGGATAGTTAGATCTTCTTGTTGAGTTGACCCTTCTACCATTACATAATACCCTTATTTGTCTTTTTTGATCTTTGTTGGTTTAAAGTCTCTTTTGTTGGAAACTAGGATTGCAACTCCTGCTTTTTTCTGCTTCCCTTTTGCTTGGCAAATTTTCCTCCATTCCTTTATTTTGAGCCTATGTGTGTCTTTGCATGTGAGATGGGTCTCTTGAATACAGCACACGTATGGGTCTTGACTCTTTATCCAGCTTGCCATTCTGTGGTCTTTTAATTAGCGTATTTAGCCCATTTCCATTTAAGGTTAATATTGTTATGTGTGAAATTGATTTTGTCATCATTATGCTAGCTAGTTATTTTGCAGACTTGTTAATGTAGTTGCTTCATAGTGTCATTGGTCTGTATACTCAGTGTGTTTTTTGTAGTGTCTGGTAACAGTTTTTTCTTTCCACATTTAGTGCTTCCTTTAAGAGCACTCACAAGACAGGCCTGGTGGTGTTGAATTCCCTCAGCAGTTGCTTGTCAGAAAAGGATTTTATTTCTCCTTCACTTATGAAGCTTAGTTTGGCTGGACATGAAATTCTGGGTTGGAAATTTCTTTAAGAATGTTGAATACCAACCCCCCAATCTCTTTGGGCTCGTAGGGTTTCTGCTGAGAGGTCGACTGTTGGTCTGATGGACTTCCCTTTGTAGGTGACCTGACCTTTCTTTCTGGCTGCACTTAACATTTTTTTCCTTCATTTCAACCTGAGAGAATCTGATGATTATGTGTCTTGGGGTTGATCTTCTCATGGAGTATCTTACTGGGGTTCTCTGGATTTTCTGAAATTTGAATGTTGGCCTGTATTGCTAGGTTGGGAAGTTCTCCTGGATGATATCCTGAAGCATGTTTTCCAACTTTGTTCTGTCTCCCCATCTCAGGTACCCCAGTCAGTCATAGGTTAGGTCTTTTTACATAATCCCATAGTTCTCAGAGGTTTTTTTTGTTCCTTTTCATTCTTTTTTCTCTAATCTCGTCTCCCTGTCTTATTTCAGCAAGATAGTCTTCAAGCTCTGAGATTCTTTCCTCTGCTTGGTCTATTTGACTATCAATACTTGTGGTTGCATTGTGAAGTTCTCATATTGTGTTTTTCAGCTCCATCAGGTCATTTATGTTTCTCTTTAAACTGGTTTTTCTGGTTAACACATCCTATAATGTTTTATCATGGATCTTAGCTTCTTTGCATTGGGTTAGAATATACTCCCTTAGGTCAGCGAAGTTTGTTACTACCCACTTTCTGGTGCCTACGTCTATCAGTTCATCCATCTCAGCCTCAGCCCAGTTCTGTGCCCTTGCTGGGGAGGTGTTATGATCATTTGGAGGAGAAAAGGCACTCTGGCTTTTTGAGTTTTCAGTGTTTTTATGTTGATTCTTTCTCATCTTTGTGAACTTATCTACCTTCAATCTTTGAGGCTGCTGACCTTTGGATGGGGTTTTTGTGGGGTCTTTTTTGTTGACGTTGTTGCTTTCTGTTTGTTTTTCTAACAGTCAGGCCCCTTTTCCATTGGGCTGCTGTGGTTTGCTGGGGGTCCACTCCAGAACCTATTCACCTGGGTCCCTCCCACACCTGGAGGTGTCACCAGTGGAGGCTGGAGAACAGCAAAGATGGCTGTCTGCTCCTGCCTCTGGGAACTCTGTCCCAGAGGGGTACAAACCTGATGCTGGCTAGAACATATATGAGGTGTCTGGTGACCCCTGTTGGGCGGGGGGGTCTCACCCAGTCAGGAGGCACGGGATTAGGGACCCACTTAATAAAGCACTCTGTCTGCCCCTCTAGGGAGCAGGTGCACTGCACTGGGGGGATTCCCCTCCTCCAGACTGCCCAGGTGGCAAAGACTAAGTCCCCTGAACCATGGAGACCATGGCCACCTCTCCCATCAGGGGCTGTGTCCCAGAGACATCAGAGTTCTGTCTGTAAACCCCTAGCTGGAGTTGCTGAAACTCCTGCAGGGAGACCCTGCTTGGTGAGGAGGGATGGATCCGGGTCCCACCTAAAGAAGCAGTCTGGCCACGATCTGCCACAGCCATTGTGCTATGTTGTGGGGATTCCTCCTGGTCCAAACTGCCTGGTCTCCCTGGCACCAGCAGGGGAAAACGGCCAACTGGAGCTGCATTGATTTTGGTTGACCCTATCCCTAGGAACTCAGTTGTCTTAAGCAGTCTCGCCCCTGCTGCTGCTGGCCACAACCCGAGCGGCTGCTGAGGGTCTTCACAGCTCTGTGCTTGGGACCCAAGGGCCTGGTGGTGGGGGCTCAGGAGGGGATCTGATCCACAGGTTGCACAGATCCATGGAAAAAGTGTGGTTTCCCCAGATGGGGTAGCACAATCACTCAGCACCTCCTTGGCTGGGGTGGGAGCTCCCCTTGCCCCATGCAAATCCCAGGTGGGCTGTCACTCTACCCTGCTTTTCCTTGCTCTCCGTGGGTCACACCAACTGCCTAGTCAGTCCCAATGAGAGAACCTGGATACCTCAGTTGAAAGTGCAGGATTCACTCACTCACTGCATTCTTCCTGGTAGGAGCCACTGACCTCAGCTGCTTCTAATCAGCCATCTTGACCCCTCCCAATAAATATATTTTAGATGTAATTTTACTGGTTTCTTTTTTACTCTTAATAAGGATATTAGAAACCTTTATATTAAGTAGTGGCTTGCATTTGTGACTCATATTTGTGCCTCACATTATATGTATATTTATTATACACTTATACATTATATATACATTCTATATATTTATTTACTTATTATTTATTTATTTTTATTTTCTTAAGATAGAGTCTCTCTGTCACCTAGGCTGGAGTACAGTGGCGCCATCTCGGCTCACTGCAACCTCCACCTTGTGGGCTCAAGTGATCCTCCTGCCTCAGCCTCCTGAGTAGCTGGGACTATAGGCACGTCACCATGCGTGGCTAATTTTTTGTATTTTTTTCTAGAGACAAGGTTTTGCCATGTTGCCAGGCCGGTCTTGAACTCCTGAACTCAAGTGACTCACCTGCCTCAGCCTCCCAATGTGTTGGGATTACAGGTGTGAGGCACCACAGCCAGTCACACATTATATTTGTATTGGACAGCACTGGCCACATCCCTTTTCTACTTATTTTTCCATCTATGCTCATTATTTTCTGTCTCATTCTTTCAGGAACAGTTTAAGTGATTAATATATTAAAATTGCCAATGATTCAGAATAAAGTACATGTCAATCTAGTAAGGCATCATGTTACCACTTCTAGTTAACACTGAATTTTAACTGGGATCCTTAATACCTTATTCTATTGCAACGTTCTCTAAGTTTAGCTTACATCAATATCCCCTGGAGGGCTTGTTAAAAATGCAGATCAGATTGCTGGATCCTGCTCCTAAACTGTCTGATTCCATTGGTCCGAGGTGGGGCCAAAAATTTTATTTCCAGTAAGCTGGTGATGCTAATGCTGGTTTGAGATCCATGCTATGACAATTGCTGTTCTCGTGACTTTCAACCATGGCCGCACATCATAATCACCTGAGTACTCTCAAAAAATTACCTATGAGTGCCTAAGCCTCACCTCCAGAGACTGTAATTTAATTGGTTGGGATGGGGTTTGGACAATAACATTTTTAAAAGCTCCCCAGGTAAGCCTATCATGCAGCAGGATTGAGAATACATGCCTTAATTCAAAAGCAGTAATAAGTGGAAATTATAGGTATTGGGACAAGGCCAGACTAGAGATGCTTTTCTTTACTCTTTTTTGAGGGAGGAGGTGTTTAGTCTTTACCATAACCTGGTAGGCAAATAGGTTGATTTGCACTTTTAATTTCATAGTAATGAAGCTGAGGTTAAGGAAAATACAGTGATTTGCATTGCACAGGAAGATAACAGAAGCTCTATGCTCTCTCTTCCTTATTTTCCAACATTCCTGATAAACCCCTGATATGCAAGAAGGTCAGGACCTGGGCATTTCAGGTTTCTCTTTCGTGTTCCCTTGTGTGGCTCACACCTTTCAGGGCCTTTTGAAACGCATGGCTCTGTCTGAGTTCTGCAGAAATATCTGATTTACTTCAGGGAAGCTTGGCATCAAATGAAGTTACCGTTTTTACTTGCCAGTCTGGTGTGTTTGTCAAGAAGATGCATTTTAAAAATAATTTAATCTCTTGTGTTTGCCTTCAAGCATGGAGAAACATGAATATAAATTCAGATTAATGATGAATCATTAGCTTAGCATAGCCTTGACTTTACTGACTCACCCAGTGTATGACTCGTGTCGTTGGATTTACATTGTTTGAAGATGGATTGCTGTGGCTTATGGAGGTGTTGTATGTTCTTAATGTTTGAAAACCATTGTTTACAGTTTATAAAAATTAAAAAGGCAATACAAATGGTTAATAATGAAATACCGCTATTGTGTGTAGGTATACGTTAACTCTGGCGAGAGAAAGGCTGTAGTTAAAGTTATGGCAGTTCTTAAGGTTTACTTGAGGGTAGAGTAAGTCCTTCATCTTGACTAGATCAATAATATATTTTTTTCTCAACAAATATGACTGATGTACATGAACAGCCATCCCCAGGATGTGTATTCTGAGTTGCTTCTCAATAGTTTGGATGAGTTTGAATGATGGTTCACTTCTCCTTGCTTTTTTGGCCACTTGTCATTCTCAAGGTGACTGTGAAGATTAAGAATGTGAGCATTTTGGCCGGGTGTGGTGGCTCACGTCTGTAATCCCAGGACTTTGGGAGGCCGAGGCAGGCGGATCACAAGGTCAGGAGATCGAGACCATCCTGGCTAACACGGTGAAACCCCGCCTCTATTAAAAATACAAAAAATTAGCCGGGCGTGGTGGCAGGCGTCTGCAGTCCCAGCTACTCAAGAGGCTGAAGCAGGAGAACGGCATGAACCCGCGAAGCTGAGCTTGCAGTGAGCCGAGATCACACCACTACACTCCAGCCTGGGTGACAGAGCGAGACTCCGTCTCAAAAAAAAAAGGCATTTTTTAGGCCAGACACGGTGGCTCATGCCTATAATCCTAGCCCTCTGGGAGGCTGAGGTGGGAGGGTTGCTTGAGACCAAGAGTTCAAGACAAACCCGGCCAACATAGCAAGACCCCACCTCATGAAAGAAAAAAAAGAATGCAAACATTTTAAAATTAAAATTTCTTTCGTTTATTTCTTGAGTTTTAGCTTAGATTACAGGGGTTGTGCTAGTTCTCAATACTTAAAAACATTTTTAGGCCAGGTGTGGTGGCTCATGCCTGTAATCCCAGTACTTTGGGAGGCTGAGGTGGGTGGATCATGAGGTCAGGAGATTGAGACCATCCTGGCCCACATGGTGAAACCTCGTCTCTATTAAAAATGCAAAAAATTAGCCAGGCGTGGTGGCAGGCGCCTGTAGTCCCAGCTATTTAGGAGGCTGAGGAAGGAGAATCACTTGAACCCAGGAGGCGGAGGCTGCAGTGAGCCGAGATTGCACCACTGTACTCCAGCCTGGTGACAGAGCGAGACTCCGTCTCAAAAAAAAAAAAAAAATGTTATTTTCTCTTCTCCCATAGATATATACAAATTAATTTCCATGTTTTCTGGGTTCTAAATTTAATATCACACCATTCAATTGCCTGTCATTTTTTCTAGCAGAGATAAGACATAGACTTGGAGCCAGGCACACTTGCTTATAGGTTGCTATAGCTGTGGTGCCACTCGGGACTTTGTTCTTCAGAACAATGACCACCTTTTACCTTGGTTATTACTCAAAATGCATTGAGAAGATATCTTCACTAACCAACGGTAGGCTAGATGGATGATAGAAATCAATCTTTTAAGTCAAGGCATCCAAGGTAGTATGCTGATAATTTTAACAACAACCATTAAAATGACCAGAAATAAATATTCTTTTCTGGGGACAACTTAAGGAAATAAAGATGTTTTAAAATACCTGACCTTTCCAAATGTTAGTGATGCACAGGAAATGAAACTGATTTGGGAATCTAAAATAAGCATCCTAATGAAGTAACGCAAAAAGTACCATCTCTAATATAATGGGTAAATAAAATCTCTGAATACTCATTTCAATCCATAATATCCTCTCTTGACACACTGTTTCACGAAGTTAATAAAAACTATGGGAATGGTAGGTTTGAATTTTGTCCCTCTTTTATCCCTAAATTTTAATTGGTGAAGGTGCTATTGATCAGCAACATGTTTAAAAGGACTCTAGTAGTTATGCAAAGAGCCCACATGTTTTTTTAAAAAATGTGTAATTGAGTTTAGCTGAAAGAATGGAGTGTTAAAAGACTTGGCAGACATCATCAAACCAACTCAATGTAAATAATTTGTGAATAACAGTAGGTCTGCTAAAACAATCTGGAAAATTTATAAAATCTGTCTAAGACAGACATAACTTTATACACCAGCAGATATCTTTAGTTTTCCCCAGAATGCCGTTTGGTGTATATGTCTTCTGGTCTGTAGTAGACAGGCACTCTTAGGAAACCCAGAGTGAGTAACAGAAACCCAATACAAACTTTTTTTTTTTTTTTTTTTTTGAGATGGAGTCTTGCTCTGTCGCCCAGGCTGGAGTGCAGTGATGTGATCCTGGCTCACTGCAAGCTCCGCCTCCCGGATTCACACCATTCTCCTGCCTCAGCCTCCTGAGTAGCTGGGACTACAGGCACATGCCACCACACCTGGCTAATTTTTTTTGTATTTTTAGTAGAGATGGGGTTTCACAGTGTTAGCCAGGATGATGTCGATCTCCTGACCTCGTGATCCACCTGCCTTGGCCTCCCAAAGTGCTGGGATTACAGGCGTGAGCCACCGTGCCCGGCAACCCCATACAAACTCTTTAAAGCAGAAAAGAAAATGTGTGGAATCCGAGATCCCAAATATTGTTTTCAGGGTTCTGCCTCTTTTCATCTTGCTATTCCTGACCGCTTTTACATATTAGCCTCTTTTTTGTCTATTGTAGATAACTTATTTCTAGGGTTAGGGACGATGGTTATAGGCAGCTCCAGATTTCCTTTTTCTCACAACTTGCCACCTTTGAGAGAGAAAGGCCCTTTCTTTTACAACTTCTACATGAGAAATCTTAGCCAAGACCCAGGCTGATCCTGACACACTCTGGCCTCCCCAACTGGAGACAGGGAGAGGGTCAGGACAGCTGCATTGAAACCACATAAATTGCAGTCCTTTTAGGAAATAGCTGTGCTGGCTTCCAGAAAAGAGGGGTGTGCTGGAGGAACAAAATACAACCAATAGCCACTATTTGTCCACTTTATTTTCATTTTTATAAGCCATAAATTTAGCGGCAAATATGTTTGTCTGTTTAGTGATTTCTACATTGGTTTTTGGATGTGTGTGCATGCATGTTTTTGTTTTGCTTTATTTTGTTTTAGATCTATGACTTTTTTTTTTTTTCAGATAGGGTCTCACTCTGTTGCCCAGGCTGGAGTGCAGTAATGCAATCATGGCTCACTTCAGCCTCAAACACCTGGGCTTGAGTGATCCTCTTGCTTCAGCTTCCCCGGTAGCTGGGACTGTAGGTGCACACCACCATGTCTGACTAATTTTTTTAATTTTTCTTTTGCAGAGATAGGGTCTTTCTATGTTGACCAGGCTGCTTTCAAACTCTTGGGCTCAAGTGATCCTCCTATCTCGACCTTCCTAAGTGTTGGGATTGCATAAGCTACCATGCCTGGCATAAGCTACCATGCCTGGCCAATGGTTGTATTCTTTAAAGGAAGGTTCAGTTTTTACTGGGAAATATATTCACCCAAATTCTGAACTCAGCTTGTCCCCAGAGCTTGTCCTTGGAGATGCTTGGGCAGCTCTGAACTGGAAATAATCTGGTGATGGAGATCATAGAGATGGAGGAGAAAGAAGTGCAGATACAGTGTGCAAGTGGGGAGATGGATTCTTGTTTTTATGACACTACATTAAAAAATCTTTTTTTTTTTTTTTTTTTTTTTTTTGAGACAGAGTCTCACTCTGTCACTCAGGCTGGAGTGCAGTGGCACGATCTTGGCTCACTGCTAGCTCTGCCTCCTGGGTTCATGCCACTCTCCTGCCTCAGCCTCCTGAGTAGCTGGGACTACAGGCGCCCGCCACCACACCCGGCTAATTTTTTTTTTTTTTTTTGTATTTTTAGTAGAGACGGGGTTTCACCATGTTAGCCAGGATGGTCTTGATCTCCTGACCTCGTGATCCGCCCGCCTCAGCCTCCCAAAGTGCTATTACAGATGCGAGCCACTGTGCCTGGCCTAAAAAATCTTAAATATGAGCAAACTGTTCTCTACTATGAAAAAAAATGAGATATGGACTATTTTTTAATCAAAGTATATAAGTAATCTTAAATGTTACACAAATTTTTTATCTGACCTCAGGACACTCTGGAGCTCTGAGGAAGGTACATTTCATAAGCAGAACCTATATGTGTTATGATGGCTCCATAAAAAGAAACCTTCTGATAATGGAGGCAGGAAAACTAGGATGAAGAGTCAGAGTGGTTATAGGAACTCCTCAAAATAACTTGTCTTTTGGGAAAGGAGGCTGCATTGCCAGTCTGGCAGTGGCAAATGTGAAATGAGATTATAGTAAAAGGCCAGGGAAAACCCAGGGTGTTTGGCTTGAAATAAAATTAGATAATAATAGTAGGCCAGGCACGGTGGCTCATGCCTGTAATCCCAGCACTTTGGGAGGCCAAGGCAGGGGGATCACCTGAGGTCAGGAGTTTGAGACTAGCCTGGCCAACATGGTGAAACCCCGTCTATTAAAAATACAAAAAATAGCTGGGTGTGGTGACACACGTCTGTAGTAACCAGCTCATGGGGTGGCTGAGGTGGGAGAATTGCTTGAACCCAGGAGGCAGAGGTTGCAGTCAGCTGAGATCATGCCACTGCACTCCAGCCTGGGCAACAGAATGAGATCCTGTCTCAGAAAAAAAAAAAAAAATCAACTAATAATAAGAAAATCATCTCTGCCTAAAAATTTAAGTTAAACTCCATTGAGTTCATGTAAATAGTTGGAAACACTGGACTCAATTGCATATCCTGAATTTTTTTTTTTTTTTTTTTTTTTTTTTTTTTTTTTTTTTTGAGACGGAGTCTCGCTCTGTCGCCCAGGCTGGAGTGCAGTGGCGCAATCTCGGCTCACTGCAAGCTCCACCTCCTGGGTTCACGCCATTCTCCCACCTCAGCCTCCTGAGTAGCTGGGACTACAGGCGACTGCCACCACACCCGGCTAATTTTTTTGGGGTTTTTTTGTGTTTTTAGTAGAGACGGGGTTTCACTGTGTTAGCCAGAATGGTCTCGATCTCCTGACCTCATGATCTGCCTGCCTTGGCCTCCCAAAGTGCTGGGATTACAGGCATGAGCCACTGCACCTGGCGTCCTGAATGTATTTTATTAACCTTAAAAAGACATATTTGTGGAATACAAAAAAAGACAGCATGGTGGACCATGTGGCAGTGATGGAGGAATTGGAGGACAATGGAAACATGTAGGAAGGGTGGAGAGGGTCTCACTGTGATGAGGCACTTGTTCATGAGAGTGCCTAAGTGCGTATAAGAACTTATTCCAGAAACTTCATATTTTCTTATAAAACAGTTAAAAACTTAAAAAGAAAATATTAGAAGGGCAAACCTAATTGTTTAAAAAAACTGTATTACCAATTCTCAAATCTTGAGATAATTGTAGTAAATTAACAGAAACTTTTTTTGTAAAACAATCCAGAGTATTGAGAATAAATCCACATTAGTCACTTTCTGTAAAATAGAAGAAAACTTGAAAAATTGAGGACAGACAGGATAATGAACCATTGAGGTTATTGAAAACTCAGTGACATGAAAGGTATGTTCATCAGGGTGTGCTCCTGTCCTTGAGGAAGGAAAAAGTATTCCTCTTTCATCTAATCTTGGTAGCCCTGCTCTAGACCCCATCTTCACTTAATTTCTCTGGAACGTTACTCCAACCATGATCTCTGTGACAGAGGCTGCTAGTTGCCAAGCCAGTATCCATTTTCCTCATCTTTCTAAGGAGAAGGATCAATTCTGTCCCAGGAGGCAATGTGTTCAACTAGAAGACCTCATTTTCTAGTCTACCTTGAGATTAGAGATAGCCAATGAGAGTAATTATAACTTATTGGGTGGAGTTTGTGGGAAGCATTTAAAGAGGCAACATATTTGAAAAACACATTTTTGTCCTTCTCTTTTTCTTTTCTCTGGCTGGGGAGCTAGATGTTAGACTAGGATGTTGGCACACCCTGATGAACAGACCTTTCATGTCACTGAGTTTTCAATAACCTCAATGGTTCACTATTCTGTCTGTCCTCAATTTTTCAAGTTTTCTTCTATTTTACAGAAAGTGACTGGATCTCCAGTAGCCATTTTTGATGATCAGGGAAACATAAAGATGGAAGATGTGCTAATGATGGAGAAATGGCAAGATGGAAGAGGCCCGGGTCTCTGATGACCATGGAGCAGCCAAACTTTTGTCTATGCTGATCATGTCTGAATCCCCAGGATATACAACAGTGTCAGTTACATAATAGGTGCTCATGAATTTTTGAATGGATCAATAAATAAATGATGTGTGTTCACCTGGACCTCCTCCAATTGTCTGCAGCTGGTTCTGCTCCATCCTGTATATTTGATGATTTGATGATCTTTACTTTCCAGTTCTACCAATATCTCCTTGAATGTACTTTTGCATCTTAATTTTGATGTAGCTTTGAACTTCTTTACATCACTGTCCTATTACCACCTGGAAAACTCTATCTGCCTAGACTTACACTTTGACTTAAATGGCATATAGTTTTAGAAAAAGCAAGACTTCATAGGAAAGGCCATCATAATTTGATTTATTTCTACAATGGAAAAAAGTTAGATACTCTGGACTTTAGAACAATTTGTACAAATAAATTTATTTTTCAGAAAAAGTGTCTGATTAGTTTCCATTTTCTATGGAAATCAAAATAGGAAGAAGAGATTTAGAAGGCTTTGAAAGTAAGTGCTAACTATATCACTTTCATCTGATGCTAGAACCATTTCATTTGGCTGTAACTTTGGGCCTACCTATCAGCTACTCTTTCAATATGGGAGCAAAACCAATGCAACCAATATATCTGATTCTGAAATGTGTGCCTTGCTTGGTAGACAGATTACAAAGAAATGGCATTCATTGGACATTTTATTCAGGATGTTTCTGAAATATTTTAAGTATGTAGCCATAGTAAAAAGCATTCATGTATTTATTCCATAAGTTGATTAGGCACCTACTACATGTGAGTCTCTGGGAGTGGGTGCTGGGTTTAGAGTGGTAAATTAATCACATATGGTCCCTATCTTCATGGATCTTACAGTCTATTGGAAGAGCTATACATTAAATAATCACACATAAGTACGTTTTAGTTACAAATTGTGATAAGTACTATAAGTGAAGAGAACAGGGTGCTATCAAAGGGAAAAACCAGGGAAATTTAGTTTATATTGGTTCATCAGAAAAGGCCTCTCTGATATTGAAATTAAGACTTGAAAAATGAGAAATATTTAGCGAGGAAAATGGTTGAGGGAAGTGTATTCCTGACAGAGGAAAGAATGTGCAAATATGCTAGGCAGAAACAGTTTATGAGCATTTAAGCAACTCAAAGCATCCCTGGGGTGTAGAAAGCCAGAACAATGCCTGCTGCAGTTAGGTAGGAGAAGCAGGCAGGACCAGCTCATGCAAGGCTCTGTGTACCATACTGCATCAGTGGTCTACTGCTGTGTAACAAACCATTCTAAAATGTAGTGGTTTAAAAGAACAACAGGCACCGTGGCTCATCCCTGTAATCCCAGCACTTTGGGAGGCTGAGGTGGGCAGATCACCTGAGGTCAGGAGTTCAAGACCAGCCTGACCAACATGGAGAAACCCTGTCTCTACTAAAAATACAAAATTAGCCAGGCATGGTGGCAGGCACCTGTAATCCCAGCTACTTGGGAGGCTGAGGCAGGAGAATTGCTTGAACCCGGGAGGCAGAGGTTGCAGTGAGCCAAGATTGTGCCATTGCACTCCAACCTGGGCAACAAGAGGGAAACTCAGTTTCAAAAAACAAACAAAACACAACAACCCTTTATTTGCTCATGATTCCATAGGTCAGCACTTCAGGCTGAGTTCAGCTGGGTGGTTTTCTCCTGGTCTCACCTAGGCCCACTCAAACAGTTGTAGTCAGCTGGTGACTGTACTAGCCAGTGGTCCAAGATGGCCTCCTTCCACCTGGCAGTTGGTGCTAGCTATCGGTAAGGCCTCCCTCTCCATGTTGTCTTTCATTCCCCTAGGAGGATAGCCTGGGCTTCTTGACATGGCAAATTCAGGGCAGCAAGAGAGCAGATCAGAAGCTGCAAGGCCTCTTGAGGCCTTCCTTGGAAGTTGTGCAATGCTACTTCCTTCCACCTTAGTCTATTAGTTGAAAAATGTCACAGGGCCAGTTCAGATTCAAGATGTGGGGAAATAGATTATACTTCCTGATGGAAGGAGCTGCAAAGCATGTATGGCCATTTTTAATCCCTTAGATTTAAGATGTATAGATTTTAGGCTGGGCATGGTGGCTCATGCCTGTAATCCCAGAACTGTGGGAGGCCAAGGCAGGCAGATTGTTTGAGCTCAGGAGTTCAAGACCAGCCTGGGCAACATGGAGAAACCCTGTCCCTACAAAAAATACAAAGATTAGCTGGGCATGGTGGCATGTGCCTGTAATCCCAGCTGCTTAGGGGGCTGAGGTGGGAGGATCACTTGAACCTAAAAGGTTGATGCTGCAGTGAACCATGTTTCAGCCCCTTTACTTCAGCAAGACCCTGTCTCAAAAAAAGAAATAGATATTTTATTTTGAGTATAAGGAAAAGCAATTACAAGCCTTTAGATAATGGAGTGGTATCATCTGGTGTATGTGGGGTGTTGCCTCTTCCTTCCTCCCCACTCATGTCCCGGCTTTTGAATTTAAGAAGTCTAGCTACTGAGGCAAGTGGAAAGGACTCATGGTATAGGCTACAGCTTTGAGGGAATACATGACATCTAAAAGTGACGTCATTCTGGTGGGAGAGCAACAAGAACTTGGATGCTTATGGTTTACTTGAAATGGAATATTGAGTTCTTTCTCTCTGGAGTGCCAACAGGAATTGCAGGAGGCAATATCAAAATTCTTATATACAGTTATAGGATAACTCAGTAGGAACCTGTGTTGTGCTAAAACCCAAAACAGTATGCTGGCATCTCAGCAGATACCACCATGGATAGATGATAGACAAAGTCAGGTACTCACATACCCCAATCTTTCTCCTAGATAATCATCCAGAATTAGATGCACTCTCAGGGGCAAGGGAGTATGGAATGCTTGAATATGAAGGATGGAACTCAATGCTTGAACTCAATAGGAAGAATGGAACTCAAAATAGAAACTTAGTTTCTATTTTGTTGCTTGGCAAGCACATGTATACATTTCTCGTTTATATACCAAGGAGATAAATTACTAGATCATAGCACATGTATAGATCAGCTTTAGTACGTGGACCAAATTATTTTCCCAAAGTGATGCTAATTTATACTCTTACCAGCAATTAGAATTTTTTTTTTTTTTTTTTTTTTGAGAGAGAGTCTCACTCTGTCGCTCAGGCTGGAGTGCAGTGCTGTGATCTTGGCTCACTGCAAGCTCCGCCTCCCGGGTTCACACCAGTCTCCTGCCTCAGCCTCCTGAGTAGCTGGGGCTACAGGTGCCCACCACCACGCCCAGCTAATTTCTTTTTTGCATTTTTAGTAGAGACGGGGTTTCACTGTTAGCCAGGATGGTCTCAATCTCCTGACCTTGTGATCTGCCCACCTCGGCCTCCCAAAGTGCTGGGATTACAGGCATGAACCACTGCACCCAGCCAATTAATGAGAATTTCATTTGTTTTCCCATATTTACTAATGCTTGCTATTGTCAGAGTTTTAAATTTTAGTTATTTTAGAAGGAATGCATGTGTTATTTATTGTGTTTTTATATTTAGGATAGTTAGCTCTTCTTATTGCATTGATCCCTTTACCATTATGTAATACCCTTCTTCGTCTCTTTTGATCTTTGTTGGTTTAAAGTCTGTTTTATCAGAGACTAGGATTGCAACCCCTATTTTTTTTTTGCTTTTCATTTGCTTGGTAAATCTTCCTCCATCCCTTTATTTTGAGCCTGTGCATTTCTTTGCATGTGAGATGGGTCTCCTGAATACAGCACACTGATGGGTCTTGACTCTTTATCCAATTTGCTAGTCTGTGTCTTTTAATTGGGGCATTTAGCCCATTTACATTTAAGGCTAATATTGTTATGTATGAATTTGATCCTGTCATTTTGATGCTAGCTGGTTATTTTGCCCATTAGTTGATGCAGTTTCTTCATAACGTCAATGGTCTTTACAATTTGGTATGTTTTTTGCAGTGGCTGGGACCAGTTGTTCTTTTCCATATTTAGTGCTTCCTTCAGGAGCTCTCGTAAGACAGGCCTGATGGTGACAAAATCAGTAAAAGATTTTATTTCTCCTTTGCTTATGAAGCTTAGTTTGGCTGGATATGAAATTCTGGGTTGAAAATTCTTTAAGAATGTTGAATATTGGCCCCCACTCTCTTCTGGCTTGTAGGGTTTCTGCAGAGAGACCCACTGTTAGTCTGATGGGCTTCCCTTTGTGGGTAACCCGACCTTTCTCTCTGGCTGCCCTTAACATTTTTTCCTTCATTTCAACCTTGGTGAATCTGATGATTATGTGTTTTGGGGTTGCTCTTCTCGAGGATATCTTTGTGGTGTTCTCTGTATTTCCTGAATTTGAATGTTGGCCTGCCTTGCTAGATTGGGGAAGTTCTCCTGGATAATATCCTGAAGAGTGTTTTCCAACTTGGTTCCATTCTCCCTGTCACTTTCAGATATACCAATCAGATGTAGATTTGGTCTTTTCACATAGTCCTATATTTCTTGGAGGCTTTGTTTGTTTCTTTTCACTCTTTTTTCTGTAATCTTGTCTTCTCACTTTATTTCATTGAGTTGATCTTCAGTCTCTGATATCCTTTCTTGCACTTGATTGATTCAGCTATTGATACTTGTGTATGCTTCATGAAGTTCTTGTGCTGCATTTTTCAGCTCCATCAGGTCGTTTATGTTCTTCTCTAAACATAGTTATTTATTCTAGTTAGCAATTTGCCTAACCTTTTTTCCAGGTCCTTAGCTTCCTTGCATTGGGTTAGAACATGCTTCTTTAGCTTGGAGGAATTTGTTATTACCCATCTTCTGAAGCCTACTTCTGTCAATTCATCAAACTCATTCTCCATCCAGTTTTGTTCCCTTGCTGGTGAGGAGTTGTTATCCTTTAGAGGAGAAGAGGCTTTCTGGTTTTTGGAATTTTTAGCCTTTTTGCGCTGGTTTCTTCTCTCTGTCTTCATGGATTTATCTACCTTTGGTCTTTGATGTTGGTGAGGTTGACACTATTCCTTTCTGTTTGTTAGTTTTCCTTCTAACAGTGAGGCCCCTCTGCTGAAGATCTGCTGGAGTTTGCTGGAGGTCCACTCCAGACCCTGTTTACCTGGGTATCACCAGCAGAGGCTCAGTTGGAAATGCAGGAATCACCTGCCTTCTGCATCAGTCTCACTGGGAGTTGCAGGCTTGAGCTGTTCCCGTTCAGCCATCTTGCCAGTTACCAGCTCTATTTACTGTGTTTCTAATTCGCATTTCCCTGATGATTAATGTGGTTGAGCATCTTTTCATGTGTTAAGAGGCCATTTGTTTATTTTATTCTGTGGAGTGCATGTTCAAGTCTTGTGCTCATTTCTCTATAGGGCTCTCTTTCTTTTTCTTTTTTCTTTTTTTTTTAGATGGAGTCTCACTCTGTCGCCCAGGCTAGAGTGCAGTGGCACGATCTTGGCTCACTGCAAGCTCTGCCTCCTGGGTTCATGCCATTCTCCTGCCTCAGCCTCTCGAGTAGCTGGGACTACAGGCATCTGCCACCATGCACGGCTAATTGTTTTGTATTTTTAGTAGAGATGGGGTTTCACCGTATTAGCCAGGATGGTCTCCCAATCTCCTGACCTTGTGATCTGCCTGCCTCAGCCTTCCAAAGTGCTGGGATTACAGGATTGAGCCACCACGCCCAGCCTCTTTCTTTTTCTTACAGATTTGCAGAAACGCTATAAATTCTGGACACAAGACTATACACACACATACCCGTACATATTTATGGTTTACTTTACCACAATTTTAATGGTATCAGTGAAAGAAATGAAGTTCTTATTTCATTGTATTTTAATAGATCACTCTCTTATTTTTATTATTAGAGCTTTGTACATCTTCTTCAAGATTCTTAGTTTTTCTTGGTCCTTTGCAACTTCATATACATTTTTTTATTTGTTTGTTTTTGTCTTTTGCATCCCATATACATTTTACTGTTAGCTTGTCAACTTCCATAAAAAGCCTGCTGGTGTTGGGATTGCTCTGAATCCAAATTTTAGGAAGATCTCTCTTAGAAAATCACATTTAGATTTAGACCTAAACGATTAGAAGGAGCTAGTTGTGTAAGGAGTGTGTAGGGTGGGGAAGTGGAGAATTTTCTAGAGCAAAGAGAACATTATGTGCAAAGACCCAAGGTATAAAAAAGCACAGCAAAGTCAAGAAATTGAAAGGTTGTTGGTATGGCAGAAGGAAAAGGATTGAGGTGAGATTGGCAGGCGGGTCAAAGCCCAGATCCTACAGTCTTGATGCTGTTGTGAGCAGTTTAGATAAATAACGATCAGCAGAAACTTAGAAATTGGCACTCTGCTTTACTTGCTTGCTATTAAAATGTTTCTTGTTGAAACAAGATTTGGCCTTGACGTTTATTCAACACTTTTTTCTGAAAGGCTGTTTATTTTGAAAAGCCCTAGAAATTTACAAAGTTATAATTTGATTCTCTTTGACTGAAAACAAAAGTCTAATATAAGTTTTGTTAGATTCTTTGACTCACATTTGTGCTGAATACATCCATGTATACTTTCTGCATCCATTTGACTCCCACAATTCCCTGTATTGGAACTCAGGATGCTAAAACATTTCTTTGAAAACAAAGCAAAAATGTTCCCCACATGACTCAGCATATGTTCAGTTCATACCTACTTTTATTTTTCTTTGTTCACCAAGAAGAGTCACAAAAGAGATGAATCAACTGTAAGTGCAGGAGTGTGAATCTGTACTCATTATCCTCAAGCATCCATGGAAGCACTTGTAGCTTAGAACTCTTATCAAAAGATCCTTTGTAATTTCAAGGGCAGCACTAACATATACAATGACTATATGTTTTTGAATGCTTCAGAGAATCTTTGCTATTCTCTAGAAAGAATGCAGCTGCTTTAGCAATTGCAACACCACTCCATGTATAAAACACTTTGCAAGCTGGTTCAAGCTGTTATATTCATGTCAAATTGGGTAACCTTTACAATAGTACTTTATATCAGAGCGATTGCATATGGTTCTAGAAAGTAAGTCCTTGTTACTTTGACTTAATACCATAAAAATGCAGTCAATAAATAACTAAGTACTACTCTGAGCAAGTTAGATTGTTAGATCCTTCTGAGGATGCAAAGATCACCAAGGCTGAAAAACAAGCATCGAGGACCCTATCTATTCCAGAGTGCGGGGGGGCAGGGGTGGGGTGCTCTTAAAGAAAACAATGTGGGGTAAAGAGAGAGGACATGAAAGAGTAACATGCAAGTAAGGGAGAATTTACCAAGCACAAGTGAGCTATGCATCAAATAATGGTATCAATTTTTTATTTTCCCAGCTCTGCTTGGCCTTGGTAGCCCTGGCCTCATCAACAGGTGTGGTCTGAAAAATTCTTGTCACCTGAAGTCGATTACTTAGTAGGCCGGGACCAATTTCTTTACAGTGCATAGTTACTCCTGGATCTAAGCTCCACATAGAACTCCTGAGCCCTGGATAGGGGCTAGCCTCTTTTCTGAAGGTATGACTGTGCTCCCCAAATACTCAGATACTGTCTTGGCTCTGTGATAAATGGGATGGGTCCCTGGGACTCCCGTGTTTCCTTTTGTGTTAGGCTGTTCTTGCATTGCTGTAAATCAATACTAGTTGGGCGCAGTGGCTCACGCCTGTAATCCCAGCACTTTGGGAGGCCGAGGTGAGCAGATCACCTGAGGTCAGGAGTTTGAGACCAGCGTGGCCAACATGGGGAAACCCCATCTCTACTAAAAATACAAAAATTAGTCGGGCATGGTGGCGCAGGCCTGTAATCCCAGCTACTCGGGAGGCTGAGGCACGAGAATCGCTTGAACCCAGGAGATGGATGTTGCAGTGAGCCAAGATAGCGCCATTGCACTCCAGCCGGGGCAGCAGAGCGAGACTCCGTCTCAAAAAAAGAAATACAATAACATACCAGCACTTTGGGAGGCCAAGGCAGGCAGATTCCTTGAGCTCAGGAGTTAGAGACCAGCCTGGGCAGCATGGTGAAACCTTGTCTCTACAAAAAATGCAAAAATTAGCTGGGCATGATGGTGCATGCCTGTAGTTCCAGCTACTTATGGAGATTGAGACATGAGGAATGCTTGAGTGGAGGAGGTCAAGGCTGCAGTAAGCTGCGTTTGCACCACTGCACCCCAGTCTGGGAGACAAAGTAAGACCCTGTCTCAAAAAAAAAAAAAAAAAAAAAAAAGAAAAATACTGGAGACTGAGTAATTTATAAGAAAATACATTTAATTGGCTCATGTTTCTGCAGGCTATACAGGAAGCATGGTGCCAGCATCTGCTTCTGGGGAGGTCTCAGGAAGCTTTTACTCATGGCAGAAAGTGAAGTAAGAGCAGTATTTCACATAGCAAAAGCAGAAGCAAGATGGGGGATAGGTGCCACATGTTTAAATGACCAGATCTTGTGAAAACTCGCTCACAACAGTGAGACAGCACCAAGCCCCAAGGGATCTGTCCACATAACCCAAACATCTCCTACCAGGACCACCTCCAACACTGGGGGCTCCCCTCTACATTTGGAGGGGACATCCAAACCATATCACCTCCCACTTGATTTCTGAATGTATTTCTGCCGAGGGGCTCACCCACTGCAGCCCAACTGCCAGGCCCAGGGCCTGTGAGTAGTGGTGCTGGCATATCCTGCATGAGTGGCCAAACTTTCAGGGACACGTCCATGCGTACTTCCTTACAATGGAGCTAATATGGCAGCTTTGTTTATCCCTTAGCTCTTGACCCACCAGGTTCTAGTTCTCTTTCCTTTCCTTAAGCCGCCTTGTTGAGGGCTTCTTGTTTCTGGTTTACACGAAGACAGAAAAGCTTAAGTTGTGTGTAAGGGAAGAGACCATTGGCCAGTTTTGGTTGAATGTAGAGGGAATGAAGTAAATTGTGGAGATAACTCTGGAATGATCTGTTAGGACTGTTTAGCAGGAAAGGAGAATGATACAATTGGAGCTATAATTTAGCACTGATTGATACATAATGGGTAGTGCAGTCAATGTTACACATTATACTAATGTGTAAAAAAAAGAGCAAACATTCTTTATTTTCTGGAACTGATTGAATTTTGCTCTCAAATCTTTCTCTTAATGGTAGAAAGGGAAGAGGACACTTAAACTTGCCAATTAAAGGCTTTTTCAGATGATCATATTCTATTTTAGAAAAATATTCAGCTAAATTCATACTTTAAACTTCCTCTCTGGGCTGTTCATCCTTTTCTCCAAAATAGTGTCTGGATATAGGAACTCTTTTTTCTTCATGGCCATGACGTATGGTAGTTTCACCTGTTAGTCCTTATGCTGACCTCTAGGTCTTCACTGGGCTTATTTGAGATGTCTCTTGCTGGCTGACCTGTTGAAATCTGCAACTGGTTAAACTATTGGTCTATTCTCTTGAAATGTTTAAAGCCTTATGATTCTCTTCTTAAAATTTCTCTCACCCTGTAATTCCGCTGACTTGCCCCATACTGAGTTTCTCTTGCATTATAGTTTCTTAGAGCCTTAGCCACACTTCTGTTACCCTGCCTCTGGTTTGGATAGAATACATATCTATAGTGACTGGCAGAATGCTAACATTGGGTCTGATCCAGTGGATTATGGTCTATTATGAAAGGGAGAGTCAAGAGGATACCATGGATCTCTCCACCCAATGCAACTTGCAAATTGGAAGCAATAATATGGCCCTCAAGGAACTGCAGATACTATGCCAAGCAAATACAAAATACTGGGATGTTGTTTCCTATTACTTTCCCTTTTAATTTCCCAATTCAGAACTTGCAGAATATGAATGGATCTTGGAGAATAACAATGGATGTTCATAAATATAGTAATGTGGTGACCCTAAATACTACTGCTCTTCCAGAATTGGTCTTCTACAGAAAAACAATGCTCTAAAACATATCTGTTATGCAGTTATTGATACAGTTATTTTTTTTTCTTTATTCTAACCAATAGGACTCATTTGCTTCATCTGACCTGGTGAGAAAGATCCCTTTACTATCCTGTCTCTAGGATACATTAGTTTGCAGATTCTGTGCCACATTTTAGTTTTTGGGGATGTTGCTGGTCTCATAGTACCATGCTGCTGTGCTGTATTGATGACTTCTTCATGATAGGACTGAAAAGCAGGACGTGGCTGGTACTCTATATATCTTGGTAAAGGATATATATGACAGGGTAGGAGGTAAACTCTAGAAAACATACCAGAACCTAATGCCTCTAGCATCCCTGTTATCTAGGAGATATCCTGGGATTTGCCTTCCAAAATGAATAAAACGGAATATAAGTTGCCACCTCAGTTAGTTCTCTGTCACTAAAAGTGAGGAAAAGCTTGGTGGTGTGGGTGTGTGCTTCTTTGACACAGCCAGGTATTCTGCATGTCCAAACTTGGTGGTGACAGCAGTAGCAAACAACCCTGAGTGTCCCTCTGTTCCTGCCAATTTGATGCTACACCCTGGAAAGACTAGCTAGCCTCTTGGTGAAAAGTTCCCTGATGGAAAGCCAACCATGGTGAGCCATTCCATCATGGAGGGGCTGTCAATTTTTCTTTTCTTTTTTTTTTTTTTTTTTTTTTTGAGGCGGAGTCTTGCTCTGTCACCCAGGCTGGAGTACAATGGCATGATCTCAGCTCACTGCATCCTCCATCTCCTGGGTTCTAGTGATTCTCCTGTCTCAGCCTCCCGAGTAGCTGGGATTACAGGTGCCCGCCGCCATGCCTGGCTAATTTTTGTAATTTTTAGTAGAGACAGGGTTTCGCCATGTTGGTCAGGCTGGTCTTGAACTCCTGACCTCAGGTGATCCACCCACCTCGGCCTCCCAAAGTGCTGGGATTACGGGCGTGAGCCACTGCACCTGGCCGGGGCTGTCAGTTTATCCTTACTATAGTAGGTAATGATTCTGGATTTGTATTTGTCTTTTTGGTTTCTGCCGTAGATCTACAAAATGCTCCCTATATATTCTTGGAGTCTCACAAAATATTGCTTTGGTCCAGGAACTCACTGTATAGAAAAAGATATAAAGCTGATGTCCATAAGGTTCGTTGGTCTTATGTACCCATCTCTTAGAAGCACCTGGCCTTGTAGAACAATGGAAAAGCCTATTGAAAACTTTGTTAAAATCACAGCTGGAAGATATTACCTTTCAGAGTTAGTGTTTGTCCAGCCTGATGCAGCATATACTATGAATCAGTGAATGGTGCTATTCTTCTAGAACCAGGAGACATAGGCAGGTGTACAAGGGATGTAAATTGGAGTTGTTCCTTACATGAAGCTCTTACAAAAGTCTTTAATCTCTGCAAGTCTGGGCTCAGCTGATTTAGAGAGTTCAGATCCTAACAAAGATGTGCATCCACCAGGAGACACAATAGTGTTTCCACTGAGTTGAAAACTGAGCCTCTTACCTGCCTATCTGGGCTCTTTGTACTGCTAGGTGAACTGGCAAAAAAGGGATGGGTTGGGGGGAAAGACTTTCTCTTTCAGTTGAAAATATGGTTTTGCTCTAAAACAGAAGCTAATAGGAATATTGAGAAATAAATGGAGGGAACACGAAGGATCCCTTGGAAACTTTGTAAAACTACCATCCCCAGATAAAAGGTAGAGAAAACTTCAGCAACTCTATGTGGCTAGGACTAGCAGAGGTCTCAAGTTCTTCAGGAATAGAAGTTTGGGTGAAGTCCCTCAACTGGGTGGAGTACTGGCATGAAAAGACTGGGTGACATAAACATGTAATAAATTGCAGCTATGGTCCAGCTCACTTGTCAGGGAACCTCTTTTCTATTTCTTTCATTGATGTATACTTTAACTATTATCACTGTTTTCTTTCTTCTCCCTTCTCCCACTATGTTTTGACGTTGATTTTACAACTTAGTCCATAGGTCCTGAAAATCAAAATAGAAAACTGGTGACAATTGGAGGAGGAACGGACAGAACATAGAAACCCTGGATTTGGTGTTGAATACAGGGACAGACACAAGCTGTATTTTCCTCCGTCTGAGAAAAGGGATTGTGTTAGTCCATTTTCACACTACTATAAGGAAGTAACTGAGACTGAGTAATTTATAAAGGAAGTAGGTTTAATTGACTCACAGTTCCACATGGCTGGGGAGGACTCAGGAACCTTACAATCATGGTGGAAGGTGAAGGAGAAGCAAAGACCTCCTTCATGTGGTGACAGGAGAGAGAATATTGAAGAAGGAGCTTCCAAACATTTACAAAACCATCATATCTCATGAGAACTTACTCACTATCACAAGAACACCATGGAGAAAACTGCCTCCATGATCCAATCACCTCCCTCCCTCAACACATGGGGATTACAAGTCTCTTCCTTGACAGATGGGGATTACAATTCAAGATGAGATTTGGGTGGGGACAAAGAGCCAAACCATATCAGGGATAGTGCATTTTTGTACAGGGGTAGATTAGCATTATATTAGGTAGGAATGTTTATTATTTATTTATTTTTGAATAAATGAATTGGGAATGAAAACATAAGAATGTTGGGCAGCCGAAGGTGGGAGAGTAAGCTCGTCATACATTGTGTTTTTGGCTGTCTAGCCATGCAGCACCCTTCTCATTTGGTGGAGGTTTTGCATTGGGTTAATCTTGGTGAGGGTAGTACCCTGTTTCTCATTAAAGGGGCTGAGGGACTGATCTTCCTTCCTGTCCTATGAAGGCTGGCATGCAACATTATCACCTGGCTCAACCAACCAGAAGCTTGCATCTGGATATGGATTCTTGAATGAGTGTGGGAAAGATGAGATGATGGCTAGAATTCATTTGCGGAAGGGTATTCCATATAGTAGTTATTTAAAAAATATGTACCAATGGAAGTAGCCTAGAAACCTATTTGATAACTCATATAAGATTATTCTATAGATGTTACATATTAGGAATATTTTTTGGTTGCCTTTCTCTTTAAAAACAATTATGATACCCCAATTCGCAGTATATTGTACCCAAAATGATCACAGAATATTACTTATGTGCTGCTATGTTTTTCCCTCATTTATACCTAGCCCCTAATCTGACACACTGTAAGTGCCTAATAAATGTTTGTATGAATGAATTTCAGGAGAAAGGAAATATGGTATATCAATTAAAAAACCTATTCTGTTGCATTCTTTGATAAAATTTCTAGTAATATAAAATATTGGCTATTTCAGCTTTACATATTTTATTAGTAGTGTTATCACCTTTATATTACCCTTTGCTTATTTCTACAACCAATACTCCTTACTTGTTACTAGTATTTTATTTTTCTCATCTGCCTGGTAGTTAAAAGCCAATAAAGGTAATCATTTTTCTCCAGTTTCAAGATTAAACTGATGAAATTTATTGCTGTAAATCTTTGAAACATGGATGACCCTGTGATACTACATTTTGACAAAACCCTCACTAATTTGGAATCATCACTTATGTGTCATTCTTGGCTGGTGTCATCAAGGGCTTTGAGGTTCACAGTTCATTGTCTTCAAAATTCTATGTAATAAAATTACAAATATATTATAATGTAAAGAGTCAGAGCTATGATCCGATTGAATATCTCCATCACCTCTCTGGAGACCTGCTTTCTTAGAAATGTAGAAGTATGCTATGTACATAAACAGTTTATCAATCAGGGAAAGTAAAAGGAAAAAGAAGCAAGAATTGCAGTAGCTTTCTAAATCCCACTCATTCATGAAGTTTAAATATTTTCCTTTTGGAAAAAAATGCTAAGATGCTAATTGTGGAAGTTGCTTTTCATGCAAATAAAACCTAGTTGGCATCTTCTGGGACTATAAGAATACTATTAGCATAGAACCTTGCCATGATAAATATTTAGAATGTGATTTCCAATTGTAAGGTTAGTCAGTATATCTGGAAATAGATATATGACTTGATTAGGAAGCTTACAGTTTTTTTCCCTTCTTTTTGCATTACGCTTTATTTAAAGGGGATTTTGCAGACTTTTCTCATAAAGAAGAATTGCTGGTAATTTTAGTGCCAATATTTGGCTGAAAGAAACAGCACATTTTTTCTCTCATCCTACCTCATATCTAGCACACATTTTACAAAGGTACCTGAGGATTGAAGAGATTGGTAAAAAGCCAATAAACTTCATGACATGAATACACTTTTCCCAACAAAAGAAGTAATTCTCATGAAGCTAAAGCAATTTAATTCCAATCATGGAATTTGTTATTGAGCTGCTCCCTGATAACAGGTGACAACATTCGTAACAGGATTGGCAGGAAAGGAGCCAGTAGAAACCACTTCTGACCATCTGCAGTTACCTAGTAGATTCCTATTAAATTACTGCAGCTTATCTGAAAAATTTAAGCTTTCTATTTAAAAGTGAGCAAGAGGAAGAAAGAACCAGTTAGAAGGAAAATGAAGGCTCATGCAAGATCAGCCTTCAAATCTGACAGGCACAGAGAGTCCATTGAAGGATTAAAGGTGACCTTCTTTGAGGACACGTTCCTGTTCTCCTACACCCTGTCACACTGCCCCTGCAGAGGCAGAAGCAAGTCACAAGGTCCAGGTTATGCGAGTGCTGGGATGTGGGGCCTGCTGGCCCAGTGCTTTCATGGAAGCATGCATAAAACCCCACTTGCTGACACTCAGGCCTCTGGGCTGAGTTGAGGGCCAGCACTTAGACTTACTTTATTTTAATTCTAGCTTTGTCCCTCTAGCTAGCCGCATGGGTGATTCACTTAATCTGTAGATCAGTTTCTAAGAAGACTTGTTGTGAGGATCGGATATAAAGTACCTAGAACAGTGCTTGGAATCAGCAAAGTTTTGATAAATGATGATGATGATGATGAAGAGGAGGAAGAGGAGGAGGATTAAAAGAAGTAAGCATTGGCTAGGGCTAGCTTTTCCCTAAACTTTGAATGAACCCGACTCACAACCCAGATGAAGGTCCTTTCTTCTTGGCACTGGATTAGACATTACAATACACCTTCTTGTTTTTATAAGAAGATTTTATGCACACGCATGCACACACACACACACACACTCACACTCATCATTTCTGTCATTCTAGCCTTACACCAAAGTTCTTAAAAACAAAGAATGGCAGTCTTACAAAAAATTGAGGCATTACAAAACCCATTTGGATAATATCATTATAATTTTAAATTACATTTTCTTTCCTTTTTGAAAGAATGAGAGAGCATGCTATATTTTAGGGGAATTCAAACATCCTAAAAGAACAGAAAAACAAGTAACATAATTAGCACATGACCTTGGACTTCAGCTATTTTCTGGATCTATATATAAAATCAATAAACATTTTTGCAAGTGGAATGTTGCAAAAATTTTAAGTCATGCATAAGTCAAAATGATTTCTAGTAGCATCTTTTTCTGAGATGTCCTCAAATGAAGACACTAGCTCTATCATGTGGGTGGAGAAATTGAGGCTCAAAAGAGTGCTGAACAAACCTACTTGGGAACTCTGCAGGAAAAAGAATATACCTATATGATCATATTGCGAATTCAACTGAATTTAGTCATATTATTGCTCATATCTCCATTAGTGCCTGCCAAATGGCATCCTAAAGAATTGTTTTCTCTTCCATTGGACTGCAAGTTTTGCAAATGGTCTATCAGTTCAGGAGGAGGGAGAGGGGCTGGATGACAAAACTGTAGTCATTTCATTATGTTTCTTGTACTGTCTCTGGGTTGGCAAATAGTGCTCAATGGATGGTTGATGAATAATTGAATAGATAATTGAATGGAAGATTCCTTGTGAGAGACCTGAAGATATCTGGTTCTTGAAATGAAAAGCAACATGCTTTGCTTTTTCATTTCTTTGCTCAATTATACAATTTGGTCTACGGTTGGCTTAGGTAAGGGTGGTAGCAGCCCACAGTGTGTCTGGACTGGGTCATCTCATAACCAAATTGCTCGTGCATGAGGTCTGAAGCAGGCAGTGAATGCTATTTGAGAATAAATACCAACACTGCTGAAAGCCAAGAAGTACAATTGATGGGGGGAGGCTTTGAGGAAATTTAATAATAAAATTCAAATTTTCCATCGAGTTTATTGACTCCTTAAAACTCAAGAAAATAACAATTTTCAAAAAGCTTTTCTTTGCAAATTATATACTCACAGTCGAGCACATAGCAATAAAATTGATCATTAAGATTACTGGGAGAATAAAATTCGCATGTAGGGTTATACTTTAGAACTTTTTAAATGAGTAATGTACTCACAGAGATAAGCTTTATTGCATAAAAGTGATTAACAAGTTTATCGTCTGTAGAGCACACATTGTTCCTGCATGCTGAGGCTACTGGAAAATAAGATGGAAAAGACATTTGAAGCATGTTCTTTTTCACATTCCTTGATTACATCTTGTTTGCCTCAAATCCTTACACATGGATAAGATCATATCTGGAAATTTCCCCTTCTATATTTTGAGATACACTATGTTCTTAAAGTGTATGTAGTTCTTAGACCATAACTTATGGTCTAAGTTATGGTTTGGGGAACCGTATAAATTATTTTGAATAAGTTTATCTTCTTCAGTCCCTTTGTAAACTGGTATCAGCTGTAAATCATTGCAGACTACATTTCGGGACTAAAGAAAAATAAATAAAGCTCAAATATAGAATGTGGATAATCTCCCTCAAGTGTCATATTCTTTCAAGTCAGGCATTTTTGTAGAGGATTTCTCAGTGAAAATTCTGAAGACATTTCTGTGATTCTGAATCCGCTTTATCAAATCAGTACAAATTTTGTACTATCTCCAAAAGTGGAAGAGCAAAATATCTATCAGGGTATGCTTCAAGGTAGACCCTTTTTGTGTAGAAAGGCATGACTGTTTCCTCTCAGAGCAGAGTATTAGAAATATGGCTGGTCCGCCTCACCCTTGGTAGTACTTGCTACTGCCTAACTTCCTTTGTGGAACTTTTTTTATACCATCAGATTTTCCACATGGTATTTATTAATTGTCTCCCAGTGGCATAGCCATCTGGGGGGAGGAGATAAGAAGAGTCAAAAAACAGAACCATGAGCCAAATTAATTCTATTAGGGCCCACTTTATGTAAGGTGACAACAAGTCTAGGGGTAGAGGAAAGAACACCATCCTTAAGATTATTAAAAAGTCAAGAAACAACAGATGCTGGTGAGGTTGTGGAGAAATAGGAATGCTTTCATATTGTTGGTGGGAGTGTAAATTATGTCCAATCATTGTGGAAGACAGTGTGGTGATTCCTCAAAGACCTAGAGGCAGAAATGCAATTTGACCCAGCAATCCCATTACTGGGTATATACCCAAAGGAATATAAATCATTCTATTATAAAGATACATGCATGCATATGTTCATTGCAGCACTATTCAGGATAGCAAAGACATGGAATCAACCCAAATGCCCATCAATAACAAAATGGGTAAAGAAAATGGGGTACATATACACCATGGAATACTATGCAGCCATAAAAAGGAAAAATATCATGTCCTTTGCAGGGACGTGAATGGAGCTGGAAGCTGTTATCAGAAAACCAAACACCACATATTCTCACTTTATAAGTGGGAGCTGAACGATGAGAATACATGGGCACAGGGAAAGGAACAACACGCACTGGGGCCTGTTGTGGGGATGGGTTGGGGGAGGGAGAGCATCAGGAAGAATAGCTAATGGATGCTGGGCTTAATACGTAGGTGGTGATGGGATGATCTGTGCAGCAAACCACCATGGCACACATTTACCTATGTAACGAACCTGCACAGGTACCCCTGAACTTAAAAGTTGAAGAAAAAAAGTATCAGAGTTCTTCCCTAGTTTTGCCACCTGGAAACTTTGGGCAAGTCACTTAAACATTGTGAGACTTAGTTCCTCCATCTGCCCTTTCTACCCATTGGATTATCATGAACATTAAATGAGATAACCAATATACAATTGCCTTGTGAAATACAAAAGATTCTATATGTGTAAGGTAATATTTTTCTCTCTAAGGTATAGTGAATCTTATTTGGGACATATGTTGAAAGACTGCATAGGAATTTTTGCCAATCTAAAAACATTCAAAGTTTCCTCTTTTTGATACATCTACTTTACTTAAACAAGATTTCTTGGTGATGTGGTTAGGACATTTTCAAAGTAGAACAAGAATGTTTTCATTTCTTTTAGGCTTTTGCAATCATCATGTGAGAAATGTATCCCAGGCCTTAGTCACAACCCTATAGAATTGGAAAAGGGGCCAAAACACCTGGGTCTCTATCCAAATCTATCATTAACTGTATGGCTTTGGGTGGGTCCTAGTACCCATGTGAACCTATTTTCCAAACAATATTAAAAAAAAGTGCTACCCAATTTGCTTATCTCACAGAATTATTGTGGAAAGCAAATGAGAAGATGTACATGAACCACTTAATAAGCTTAATAAAACCCTGCTCAAACACAATACATTATTTCTCTGACATGACCAAGAATAGTTTGATTATAGCTTTTCATTTTGGGGGCATTTTTCTCAAATGTACAGTTAAGTGGAACCATTATATCAATGTTTGCATATAAAGGCCAGCAGGAAATGGCACTGAATTATGTAATATCTTCAGTGCAGTATCTACTCAAATGTAATTGGAATACATTATCTTAAAGTATTGGAGGATGGACCATTAGCTGCTTGGTTATTATGGCTAAAAATAGCTTTCTCTGGATAAAAAATTATCTCTCGGGGTTGAAGTTCAGTATCATAAACAATCAGTTCTAAACTTTAAAACAGTTAGTTGTAGGTAACTTAGCTGTTTTATACAACCTAAGATGAAATGGAAAAGGACCAATTCCTCAGAAAATACAGGCAGTTATTTAGATAATTTCTAACTGTATTCCACCTATTAAAGTTTACAGCATTCCTTTAGTTTCTTGAGTAACTGATTCAAATCACCAATCAAAAGGCTCTTTGGGCTTCAGATTATTCAAACAGCCTATATTGATCCAATAAATCAGATACCTGGTGAGCAAATATCAAATTTTCTTTGTGCTGTGCTAATACAGCTTCAAAGATGAATTATATAACTGACTATATAACTTCCAGAACAAAGAAAAATTCTCCCAGAAAGAACAGCACATAAAGAAAATGTTGGCTGGGCACAATGGCTGAGGGCTTTAATCCCAGCACTTTGGAAGGTCGAGGCGGGTGGATCACCTGAGGTCAGGAGTTTGAGACCAGCCTGACCAAGGTGGTAAAACCCCGTCTCTACTAAATACAAAAAATTAGCCAGGCATGATGCTGGCGGGTGCCTGTAATCCCAGCTACTTGGGAGGCTGAGGCAGGAGAATCGCTTGAACCGGAAGGTGGAGGTTGCAGTGAGCCAAGATCATGCCATTGCACTCCAGCCTGGGCAACAAGAGGGAAACTCTGTCTCAAAAAAAAAAAAAAAAGAAAAGAAAATGTTTTTTCTCAAATAATCTAGACCTTTGACATTTTCATTTTAAGAAAAAATAAAGTTAGTAAATCAAAATTACATATTCTTCTTTACCCTGTGTGCTTCTAAAATAGTTTACTGTGAAAATGCCCTAAGGTAATAGGCTGACAAGTTCTGTTACTGAAAAAAAGCTGTATTCTTATATGATAGTGAGCACCCTGCTATTTATTAATTTTCATTGGACTTTGTAGGAAAAAGTCACAAGCAACATCAGAATGTTTTGAACTCTTAGCAGAGGACCGAGTGGAATGTGAAGTAAACTGAAGGGCTCATTTTGAATGTGCCAGTGTATACCAGTTCAGTTCTCACAACAGGAGTTAGTGATCTCCCTTCTTTTTTATTTTGAGACGGAGTCTCACTCGGTTGCCCAGGCTGGAGCACAGTGGCACGATCTCAGCTCACTGCAACCTCTGCCTCCAGGGTTCAACCAATTCTCCTGTCTCAGCCTCCCAAGCATCTAGGACTACAGGCACCCACTACCATGCCCGGCTAATTTTTGTATTTTTAGTAGAGACGGGGTTTCAGCATATTGGTCAGGCTGGTCTCGAACTCCTGACCTCAGGTGATCCACCCACCTTGGCCTCAGAAAGTGCTGGGATTATAGGCATGAGCCACCGCCCCCAGCCATGACCTCCCTTCTTATCAATTAGATACTCTTTCCACTCTCTTTCCCTTGAATAGGCAAGCACCGGTCATAGAGACTCAATCCTCCCATCTGTGTCATCTTTGGTCATGAACAATGGTCAGCTAACCATTCACAAGCTGTACAGGCTTCAGAGAAGAGAGTAGAACATGCTGGTGGCAAAGTGGAACATCTGCTGAGTGCTGAAAAGAGTGTTCAGTCAAGTTTAGCCTAAAGCTGCCTCCTTACATATTTAAGCTCAGTCTAAATGTTTCCCTGTACATCATGAACTATAACAAGTAGAGGTGTAAACCGACCATTGCTCACACTTGTGCCAGTCACTGAATTTTGGGCAATCAAATGTAGCCAATTGTTTGAACCGTGATCAAATAAGGCAAAAGCTGAGCTGTAACCAATCCAGTGTTTCTGTACCTCACTACCATTTTCTCTATGTCCCTTTCCTTTCGCTGTCCATAAATCTTCCATCACGTGGTTGCACTGGAGTCTCTCTGCATCTGCTGTGGTTCTGGGGGCTGCCCGATTTGCTTATTGTCATTGCTCAATACAACTCTTTTACATTTAATTCGGCTGAAGTTTTTCTTTTACTGAGAGTCACGAAAATAACCCTGGCAGCCTGAGATAGGAATGTCTCAAACACAAAGCAGGTCACAGTTGTGAGGTAAAGGCCTCTTGCTGGCAATAATTGGCATCTGGGGGAGGAACAAACAAACATGGCTAAAAGTACTCTTTGGTAATGGCTATACATGAAAGTCACAAAACTGAATGCATCTCTGATCCCTTTGCAGGATAGCAAATTAGTACTTGGTTTGTCAAAGAATTGAGTAACTGGGGTTCACTCAATATGTGGCCATATCCACTGATAAGCACTAGACTTGTCATCAGGTGGGTTTTCTTTTTTATTTTGAGACGGCTTTTTGCTCTGTCGCCCAGGCTGGAGTGCAGTGGCTTGATCTCAGTTCGCTGCAACCTCCGCCTCCCGGGTTCAAGTGATTCTCCTGCCTCAGCCTCCCAAGTAGCTAGGACTACTGGTGTGCGTCACCACGCCCGGCTAATTTTTTGTATTTTTGTTGGAGACGGAGTTTCTCCATGTTGGCCAGGCTGGTCTCGAACTCCTGGCCTCAAACGATCCACCTTTCTTGGCCTCCCAAAGTGCTGGGATTACAGGTGTGAGCCTCTGTGCCCATCCTGGGTTTTCAACTTATATCCCCAACTCTAAACTGCCAAAAAATAAAGACCATGTTTGAGCAATTCAGTGAGGCCAGGAAGTTGGCCACAAGAATTTTCCATGGGCTAGACACTAAGCAAGATCTGTCAGATAGATCCTTTCCCCGGATGGTGATTCTCAGTTCTTGAAATGATTTAAATTGGAGCCTCTGAAGTGAAGAAGTGTAATCGGAGTCAAAAGAAAGTCTGTTGCTTTCTTCCTTGTTTTGTTTTGTTTTGTTTTTGGTCTTCACCTTGACAAGAGCTCACTAAAAGCAGAACAGGAATTTAGTTACTTTATGTAGTTTGAGATAGTTGAAGCCATACCTCTAGTTTAAAATACTAATATTTGTTAAAATCCTATGCCACTTACACCAAGTGAAACTTCATTATGGAATACCGCAGATGGCCTTTGGTCCCACTGGTCACCTTGTTCGAGCTTCTGTCGGGGAAATTGTTTTGTCTCGTCCTGGGATTTCTATGACAAAACTTCTGCTAAAGCATTGATTCTCAAACTTTGATGTGCATACATATCTCCTGAGGATTTTGTTAAAAGGAAGCTTGTAAGTCAGTAAGGGTGGGGCCTGAGAGTCTACTTTTCTAAGAAGCTTCTAGGGGATCATGCTGGTCCAAGAGTGTGCTTTATTTTATTTTTTTGAGATGGGTTCTCGCTCTGTCGCCTAGGCTGGAGTGCAGTGGCACAATCTTGGCTCACTGCAACCTCCATCTCCCAGGTTCAAGCAGTTCTCCCTGCCTCAGCCTCTGGAGTAGCTGGGATTACAGGCACCCACCACCACACCCAGCTAATTTTTAAATTTTTTAATAGGGACAGGGTTTTGCCATGTTGGCCAGGCTGGTCTTGAACCCCTGACCTCAGGTGATCCACCTGCCTCAGCTTCCCAAAATGCTGGGATTACAGGCGTGAGCCACCGCACCTGGCCCAAGAGTGTACTTTAAACATAATAGCAAAGCAATAAACTTTGACCTCTTTTCCCACCATTTACTCCACCTCATAGGAGGAAGACTGATTTATCTAATTGATGAGATAGCAAGAATGTGACACTTATCCATGATTCTCCTGTGAAGGGAGCTACGGGGGCAGAGGCCACTTTTTGCATGTGGCTCACCTCTGTCTCCCTCTTCCTTTGCAGCTGCCCTGCCTAGGAGTGGTAGCTTTCATCTCCATCTGGCAGACTTCCCATGCAGTTTCTGCCTGTGGGTGCAGGAAACCTGCAGCTGGGCCTAGGACAGAGTCAGGTTGAGAAAGTCAGTCCATTCGGTGAGGCTGCACATTAGGAAGCCCCTTTGGCATCAAGTCTAAATAACTGTTCTTCATCCAGCTCCACCAGCAATAAAACTGATCTTTTGATCCTTCATTGGAATCTGGTGTATGTTTCTCAGTTTGTTCTGAACCTGGTAGGGAGATGAGGGTAATTAATTGGTCCTTTTAATTCCAGCCCATGCTGTTGAAATGCCTGCCTTCTGATACAGGAGCTCGTTGTGGCCTCTGGGAGATGAGAGGGTAGATTATCTACTGTCAGGGATCTTTGGCTCCTTTTTCCCATCAGTGTCATGGAGAAGGCAAGGGTGAGGGTTATTTTGAATAGGGTTTTTAAAAAGGGGTACACTACGCAGCTTTGTTGCTGGGATTGCTACATTGTCAGAACCTGTTGAGCAGGTTTAGGTTCTATTTAGAATGCTGGAATTCAGGTCAAAAAAGAGCCTGTTTTACCTATGGACTTCCTGGAAAAGCCACTGGGTTTGGGGCTCCTCCCTAGGGGAGAACAGGATGCTATTTATTATTATTTTTTTTAGTGACAGGGTCTTGCTCTATCACCCAGGCTAGAGTGCAGTGGTGCAATCATGACTCACTGCACCCTTGAACTCCTGGGCACTAGTGATCCTACCTCCTCAGCCTCTGGAGTAGCTAGGACTACAGGAAGTCACCACTATGCCTGGCTAATTTTTTATTTTTTGTAGAGATGGAGTCTTGCTATGTTGCCATAGCTGGTCTCAAATTCCTAGCCTCAAGCAATCTTCCTGCTTCAGCCTTCCAAAGTGTTGGATGACAGGTGTGAGCCACCACTCCCACTGCAGGAGGCTATTTTAAGGAGGTTAGAGGCTCCACAGGTTGGCTTCATCAGTCTTTGGTGAGTTGGGCCATAACGACAATGCCTCTGGTTTTATTTCGATCCCATTGGCTCTTTTCTTTGAATGCCTTGCAATGTGCAATTACTCCTTCTCCACCAGCTTGCAAGTTTGCCAGCCACTCTACTTCACATGGTGATGTTGCCATTAACCCTTGTCTGACCAAAAGTCTAGACCTGAGGCAACCATCACTAATTGGCCAATTTTGTATTCTCTTTTATGGAAATTATCTTGGCTCAAATGAGCTTGGAATGGAAGGATTTGTGGAGTATTTGAAAGAGTGTTGGCTATAGAGTTAGAAAGACCAACATTCAGATATCAGCCCTGTCAATTCTAGCTGGGTGCTTGAGAGTCTAGAGCTTATTTAACCTCTCTGAGCTCCAACTTATTTATCTAAAGGTGAGAAAAATGGCTAGGGTTAATGAGATAGCATACATAAAGTGCTGGCCAAATAAATGATGGCCACTATTATTAATACTATGGCATATCATACTCAATTTTCACTTCTTGCTATTCTGCATGCTTTCAGAGAGCATTATCTACAATATCCACTTTCTGCTACAATCCCCAGGATAACACACACATCTTAATTCCATTTCCTGCCAATTTTAATATTAACTTACAAAAATAAAGTCAATGTGCTTCAAAACATCACGTACACAATTCGGGATTCTCTGTTGTATTAAGAGTTCTGGTGTTGTCCATTCTCTTGATCTTTGATGCAGGATAAACATACGCAAGGTGTCTCTGAGGACTTAGCATTTGAGGTCAAGAGCAAGCCTATGAGTTTGAGCCTTAATAGGTAGCCGATTCAGATGAATGAACTCACTCATCAAGATCATTTGATCCTTCCACACTGAAACAGAACAGATACTCAAGTTTGGTAATAGGACATTACTTCCTATGATAGAAAACATGAGGGAGGTACTAAGACTATTAAGATGTGACCTGGCAGGTTTGATAGTAATATGCAAAGTAGTGTGTTACAGTAAGCCACATCTTCCTTTTCCTTCTTTAAGCACAGTTTGTAAGGAAGTCACATATCCACTCTTCCAAACTCTTTGTTTCAATTCCTTAGAGAGCATTTGGAAGTCATGGCACAAAAGCCAGCTAGTATTTACTTGTCTTCCAGATTCATGCCTCTTTAAAATGAGATATTACCATAATTGAGTATTCCTGATGTCTGTGCTAATGCAGGCTGATGAAGACACCAGACCCTGCTCCCGTCTCTTATGCAAAGTGTCCTGTCAGCACACAAGCAACTCCCTTTGCATCTTTACAGTTCCAGGAGCTAGGTTTGGGTCCAGGATTGCTCCAAAGATCCTCTCTAGCTTGAAATCACCTAGGGAATTTGTTTCTTTCCAGAGCTTTTGCCCCAGATCTTGAAAATTAACATAGCAGGTAACATTTTAAGATGAGTACAGAGCCTCATTTGACTAGTAGGTTCTGAGATTCTTTTGGAGGTTTCTGATTACACCAGGACTCCTTACCTGCAACTCTAGATTTCCCATCATGGAGGAGTTAGGAGAGAGAGAGAGATATGATGATGTTTGAGGGGGCCAGAGCTGAACAAGAAAACCTCAAGCCACCTTAGCTTGTCTAGGTTTCCTGGAGGTATCCAAGGTTTTGAAATAAAACCAGGAATGAGAGCAGCCTTGCTATTGCAAGGTGTTACTTTAAAGGTCCCTTTCTTTCTTTCTTTCTTTCTCTTTTTTTTTTTTTTTTTTGGCATGGAGTCTCTGTCACCCAGGCTGGAGTGCAGTGGTATTATCGGCTCACTGCAACCTCCACCTCCCAGGTTCAAGTAATTCTCCTGCTTCAGCCTCCTGAGTAGCTGGGACTACAGGTGTGTGCCACCATGCCTGGCTAATTTTTGTATATTTAGTAGAGACTGGGTTTCTCCATGTTGCCCAGGCTGCTCTTGAACTCCTGGCCTCATGTGATCCTCCTGCCTCGGCCTCCCAAAGTGCTGGGATTACAGATGTGATTCACTGTGCCCGGTGGGTCCCTTTCTTTACATAGTGCAACCAGAGACTTGCTCATGATTCATGAAGTGAGGCGCCCATCCTCTTGTTGCACCCTGTGTAAGGCTATTCTTGCATTGCTATAAAGAAATAACTGAGACTGCGTAATTTATAAGAAAAGAGGTTTAATTGGCTCACGGTTCTGCAAGCTATACAGGAAACACAGCAGCATCTGCTTCTGGAGAGGCCTCAGCAGGCTTATATTCATGGCAGAAGGTGAAGTGGGAGCAGGCACATCGCATGGCAAAAGCAGGACTAAGAGAGATAGTGAGGTGCCATACAGTTTTAAACAGCCAGATCTTGCAAGAGGCCACTCACTATGTTGAGGACAGCACCAAAGGGAAGGGGCTAAACCATTCATGAAAAATTCACCCCCGTGATTCAGTCACCTCCCACCAGGCCCCACCATCAATACTGAAGATTACAATTCAGCATGAGATTTGGGTGAGGACACAGATCCAAACTGTATCACACTCCTTTGGAGTTTTCATTTTCTAGGTCAGGTTCATGGATAAGTACTTTGCTGCTACCCCATCTTCATGGTAAAGAACACCCATGGGAACCAATGATAGCACTGACTATTAAAGACTTTTGAGTCGGGCCAGGCGCGGTGGCTCACGCCTGTAATCCTAGCACTTTGGGAGACTGAGGCGGGCAGATCACTAGGCCAGGAGTTTGAGACCAGCCTGGCCAATATGGTGAAACCCCATCTCTACTAAAAATACAAAAAAATTAGCCGGGCATGGTGGCATGCGCCTGTAGTCCCAGCTACTTGGGAGGCTGAGGCAGAAGAATTGCTTGAACCCAGGAGATGGAGGTTGCAGTGAGCTGAGATCGCACCACTGACTCCAGCCTGGGCAACAGAGTGAGACTCCATCTCAAAAAAAAAAAAAAAAAAAAAGACTTTTGAGTCACTAAATATCAATGGTTGTAACTACTCGGAGTCGAAGCTGTAATTTCATAGAAAATTAAGAGGCATCTATATTTAACACGTTTCCTTTTTGGGGGTAAGGATAGAGAGGGTAATGACATTTGATAAAGATCATGCTGAATATAAACCTTTGAACTATTGGAAAAATAGCTTATTAAAAAAATTTCATCAAGAGAAAACAATTTAAAAGGAGTTGATTTAAGATAATTTGACAGTTGGAAAAACGTGTGCTCCTTTAGGGCAGGGATCTTACTTCATTTTGTTCTCTAGAACCGCCTAGAACAGAACCTGACACTCAGCAGGCACTGAATAGATATTTGCTGAATGAAGTCACATACCAACTTTTTGTATATGACCAGTCATGCTATTAAATAAATTACCAAAGCAAGAATGTATTGTTTAATCATCTTAAGGCAAAGAACATTTAATCCATTTCCTCACTTGCCAAATTTGTAGATTCTTTTACTCTTTTCCTAAAAAGAGAAGGGAAAAAAAGCAGTTTCCATTTTCACACATATAACCCCAACATTCATTCTTCTAAATGAAGAGAAAAGTGAGGACACACTCAAATAAGTTCAAATCTCATTGCTCAACTTCATTCTGCCCTTGGCAGGTATGGGACAAGTCGGGCAGGTCTCCTCAGAGCCTCTCCTCCAATGGTGACTCAAGGATCTGAGCTGCTTTTACCTTAAAACTCTGTTCAGTCTTGGATGATCTTTGCTTCTAATCATACAGATAGCAGGGAGTGTGGAGAACTCACAAACACTTTTATTTATTGTTTTGAGACAGGGTCTCGCTCTGTCACTCAGGATGGAGTGCAGTGGTGTGATCATGGCTCACTGCAGCCTCAATCTCCTGGGCTCAGGTGATCCTCCCTTCTCAGCCTCCCAGGTAGCAGGGACTACAGGTGTGTGCCACCACACTTGTCTAATTTTTTCATTTTTCATAGAGATGGCATCCCACTGTCTTGCACAGGCTGGTCTTGAGCTCCTGATGTCAAGCGATCTGCTTGCCTCAGCCTACCAAAGTGCTAGGATTACAGGTGTGAGCCACCATGCTGGGCTTCACAAATACTTTTAATTTTTGTTAATTTTTATTTTTTTACTTTTTTTAAATGTATTTGCTTATCTTTGCCATTTCATTTGCTTGACTACACAAACACTTTTAAATGCCTTGGACCAGCAGGGCACACCACTTCAACTCACATCCCCATTGGTGAGGACTCAGTCACATGATTTCCGCCTAACTGCAAGAGAGGCTGGTAAATGCAATGAACATTAATTGTCTCTTCCACAGTGAGCATGGGTAGCTTGGGAGCACAGATTTGATGTTAATATGTGGTTTAAAATGTAAATGGTTGCATTTTGAGAGAGGAAATCTGGTAGTGGGCAAGGAGAAATACTATAATATCATTTGTAATCTACTAGTATATTTCATTTTCTTCAGCCAATTAAAAACGATTGTGGATTTTTATTCCCTCTGATTGGCATTTCTTTTGGTCCTGTTCAATGCATTCCTCCCAGTGGGTTAGTGGCTTAACAGCAGCTCTCATTGTTTTTCCTCTACTTATTAACAGGGAAAGTTCTTTGATTTCCTTGATGCTGGTTTCAGCCAGCCATCCTGGCATGCAATCTGGACAAATGTGTCATTAGTTTCCTTTAACTGATTCTGGACATTGACTAATTATGTTTTCAAAGTAGATATACTTTGCCTCGAGATTCTGGAATGAGAAACTAAGAGCATTTTACTCAGCAACTGAAACGAATATTCAAAGGTTAATAACAGCAGCAGGAACAAGAACAAGAACGTATATTTCTTAGTTCTTGAAGGCATGAGGTCAGGGCACACCTTCCCTGGTGTTCAAGTAACTGCTTATCGTGTTATATACTGAATAAAGTGGTTTGAGTGCTTTCCTAACTGATATCTATCTCAGCCTCAAACTATGGTTTCACAGGTTGCTTTGTCTTTTTATCAACAGTCTGAAAACTTTTTTCTATATTAATGGAACTGATTTCCAATGGAGATTAAACATATTTCCTCATCTAGGCAAAATCTTGATCAAATTACGATGTGATCATCATCCCTTTACCTTCTGTATAATTTTACTGATTGCGTAAAGAAGCACTTAGAGCCTTTTAGATATTCCCTGAAATTGAGAGAATCTGATTTGCACGGGAAACTTTGCCTAAGTTAATGATTTGGGAAGGGATCAATGATCTAAAACATAAGGGTAAACTGCCAGCTTCTTTTCCTACTTTGCAGCAAGCCTTTCTCCTGTTTGCATGACGTTACTTTGACTTTCCAAGTCCAACGGCAATTTTTGCTGTAAGAATTTTGGCTTTAAACTTCCTGAATATTTTCTTGTTTTAAACAATTTTGAGCCTTGGATACTTAGGGCTATCTCTTTTGGTTACGTTTTGAATATCTTCTAGATGAACTTGTACAAATATTTTGAATGAGATGCATGTCTATACATAGAAAACTTGCTGGGTTTCATGTTTTTTCACTTATTTTCCTTTTTAAAGTCAACACAATATTCTTACTTCTGGAGAGTTCCTCTATCATGTGTATTCTCTACACTGAACCATCTGTATTTTAGAGCATGTATCATGAGCTATCAGAAAGAAAAAGTAATTGTGATAGGCCACAATCTGGAATCCCCAGGGACCTAAAGATAGGGCACATTTACTTCTCTCAGCCTCAGAATAGTGATGGTGAAAAGAAAAGAAAAATTGAGAAACAATGTGATAAATTTAACATAGAAATGTGTTATGTTATGAAACTCTGATGGAAATGAATAGAAAAACTTTAAAGCTGTTGAAAAATGATAAATAACACAACATACAAGTCTATTTGAAAATGTTTTATGACTCAGAGATTATGGATTTTTTGATGTGCTAGATACAACTTTTTCTTTTTAGATGGAGAACAGCAGATGGAAGGGAGATCAAGGAGAAGAAGGGGAAGGAAGATGAGACCTAGCTACTTTCTAAGCAATATAAGATTGTTGTCTTGTTATATAAGATTGTTGTCAGCCTATTCATCTTAATCTAATTTTAGCTATCACCAGACAAAACATACAGTATATGTTTCATTGTGTGCTAGTCAAGCCTAATTTACTTTATTGACTGGAAGGTCGATGGTAAACATGCTAGTTTCTTATGCTATGTCTATTTCCTCCATATTTTTTCAGTGAATTTCATCGTTTTGTTTAATTGGCAATGTGCCTAGAGTTACTTGCAGTTGAGGTTGGCCATTTTACTCAATTTTATTTATTTATTTATTTATTTATTTACTTTTTTGTTTTTTGAGACAGAGTCTCACTCTGTCGCCCAGGCTGGAGTGCAGTGGCATGATCTCGGCTCACTGCAAGCTCCGCCTCCCGGGTTCACGCCATTCTCCTTTCCTCAGCCTGCCGAGTAGCTGGGACTACAGGCGCCTGCCACCACGCCCGGGTAATTTTTGTATTTTTTAGTAGAGACGGGGTTTCACCGTGTTAGCCAGGATGGTCTGGATCTCCTGACCTCGTGATCCACCTGCCTCGGCCTCCCAAAGTGCTGGGATTACACGCGTGAGCCACCGTGCCCGGCCCATTTTACTCAATTGTAGCCAATAAAATGTAAGAATGAATCCAGTGAATAAACCTTCCTTTTTCTAATAAAAGGAGGGAAACTCTGCTGATACGTATTTTTTGTTTTTTACCCTTCCCCGTTCTTTCTTCCTGGAATGATAAATTTATGCCTGAAAATGCAGGGGCTACCTTGTGATCATAAAGAGAAAGGTCACATGTTAAGGTCAACAAAGCATGAGCATGATACAGAAAAGAGCTTGGTTCCCTGAAGAGTTGTCTCATCTCTGGGCTCCTTACCCTTAGTGTCCTTGTAAAATGAGAGTCAGGGCTTCCTGTTTGTTTAGGCCACTCTGGTTCATTTTTGCTTCATGCAGCCAAATGGAATCCTAAAATACCTAGCTTAATTAGACAGTGGTTTTCTAAATCCCTCATTGGAATCCTTCCAGCTACTTCCATGGTGAGACTGGAGACCAACTGTTCTATTGTCTGCTTCTATCTGTGCTTAGAATTGGCATTATAGGTATTAAAAGGCTAAAGTTAACTTGAGGGGTATCTCTTCTCAGGTAGGCTAAAACATTTGGTAGGAAGAAATGGAGAAGCAACGCTTTTTGTTGGTCTTTGTTTGTTTGATCCATTTCCTGCCTTTAATGCCCCTTAACTGCTCTTTTGGAAAATGCTTTGGGGTTTACTCCTTCCCTGTTCATATCTACCATATGCCATCCTCAGCACTCCTTCCCACCCTGCCTGCCTTTCACTATGGGTTACCACAGATGCATAGCTCTCTGGACACATCTTACAATCTATTTTATTTTATTTTATTTTATTTTTTATTTTATTTTTTTGAGACAGAGTCTCACTCTGTCACCCAGGCTCGACTGCAGTGGCATGATCTCGGCTCACTGCAACCTCTGCTTCCTGGGTTCAAGCAATTCTCCCGCCTCAGCCTCCCAAGTAGCTGGGACTACAGGTGTGCCACCACATCTGGCTAATTTTTGTATTTTTTAGTAGAGACAGCGTTTCACCATGTTGGCCAGGCTGGTCTTGAACTCCTGACCTCAGGTGATCTGCCTGCCTTGGCCTCCCAAAGTGCTGGGATTACAGGCATGAGCCACCGTGCCTGGGCTTACAGTCTATTTTAGAGCTGAAAAACCTGAGAGATGATTTACTTCAATTCTATCAATCATTTCACTGCAGAGGAAACAAGAAGAAAAGATAGTAAAAAAAATTGCCCAGATGAAAACCTTTAAATACAGCAAGACTTGTTGGCAGTCAGTTGTGTGTAACAAACACAAATTACAATGGTAAACATTTATGGCACATTTTCTATATGCCAGACCTAGTGCTAGACATCATTTATGCTTTATCAATATTTAATCTTTCCAACACTACCATGAGGAAGGACTTTTACAGATGAGGAAACTCAGACACAGAAAGGTGAAGTAACTTCTCAAGGTCACATACCTAGATCTGCTTCCCTTCAGGAGAGGCTGAGAGGTGGAGTACTGAGCTCCTCAGCCTTCAGCATGAAGGATGTCAAGCAAATCAAGCCACAGCATCTGTCAGAATGGAGACTGAAGCCGGGCGTGGTGGCTCACGCTTGTAATCCCAGCATTTCGGGAGGCCAAGGCGGGAAAATAGCTTGAGCTCAGGAGTTCGAGATCAGCCTGGGCAACATGGCAAAACCCCATCTCTACAAAATACACAAAAATTAGCAGGGTGTGGTGGTGCATACCTCTAATCTCAGCTACTCAGGAGGCTGAGGAAGAAGAATTGCTTGAATCTGGGAGACGGAGTTTGCAGTGAGCCAAGATTGTGCCACTGTACTCCAGCCTGGGCAACAGAATGAGACTCTATCTCAATTAAAAAAAAAAGGAGATTGAAATAATGTGTAATTAGTCTGTCACAGATTAATAAAAATTTTAAAAAATTATTCAGTCACATATTAATCACTTACAGGTAGTTTGAGGGCAGTAAGATTTTTATTCATTCACTCAACAAATGTGAGGCTATTATATTTCAGGCATTAAGCCAGGCCCTAGGAATATAACACGATACAAGTTCCACTTCTTTCCTTCAAGAGACTTACAGTCTATCTGTAGGGATTGAGAAGTAAACAGGCAATGGTTGGGCTTGGTGGCTCACGCCTATAATCCCAGCACTTTGGGAGGCCTAGGTAGCTGGATCATCTGAGCTCAGGAGTTCAAGACCAGCTTGGGCAACATGGCGAAGCCCCATCTCTACCAAAAATACAAAAAATTCGGATGTGGTGGCATGTTCCCATAGTCCCAGCTACTTAAGAGGCTGAGGGGAGGATCACTTAAACCCGGGAGATGGAGGTTGCAGTGAACCAAGATCACACCACTGCACTCCAGCCTGGACGACAGAGTGAGACTCTGCCTCAAAAAAAAAAAAAAAAAAAAAAAAAAAGACTATTCTTATTTTGGATTTGAAACAGAGCAATATGTTGAATTTACTGCATTCGTGTGCATCTGCCTGTGTTTGTTGAAAACCTTATATGGCTGAGTAGGATGTGCAGTAGAGTTTGTGCTGGCAAACAATGCACTTCATTTCCTGGGCTTATACATACAAAACTAAAACCTTTCCTGCCCTTTCTAGAAGGTCAAAGGCGCCACTCTGAAGGACATCTCTCTAAGCCCAATTATGAGACAGTTTTACCACAGTTGAAGACACTTTTCTAAAAATATAAAAAACATTGCAGCGACTGCTCTGTGCCACATTAAAGTTATGACACAAACTTAATGGCAGGTAATTATGTAAATGGAAGCTCCTCCAATTGTGCTAAATATTAATGATGGTCCTTGTGTTCTTTGATTCATTTTTGTGCTCAGATCCATTAACATGTTTGTGACTGCCCTTTCTAGACAAATGTGGAGGAAGAAAAAAGCCACACTTTCAGCATCATCTCCAATAATGAGTCTCTGCAGTAGAGTTCAGAATATGACACAAAGTACATGTGCAATAAATATTTTAAAAAAGGCATGCTGAAAAGATGAGACTCTTTTTACTCATTAATACCAAATTTATCTGCAGCAAATAGAGAACATTTAACTTGATCGAGTTCCAAGATTTCAATTCCTGAGTGTGATTGTGATCTACATTTGACTTCTCCAGATGACGCATTTATCAATTACTTTAGAGTATTAGAAAAAATCATGAGTTAGTGCTAATTCTTTTTTTTTTTTTTTTTCGAGATGGAGTCTTGCTCTGTCACCCAGGCTGGAGTGCAGTGGCATGATCTCGGCTCACTGCAACTTTCGTCTGCCTGGTTTGAGCAATTCTCCTGCCTCAGTCTCCTGAGTAGCTGGATTACAGGCGCCCGGCACCACACCCGGCTAATTTTTGTATTTTTTTTTTTTTAGTAGAGACGGAGTTTCACTTTGTTGGCCAGGCTGGTCTTGAACTCCTGACCTCGTGATCCACCTGCATCAGCCTCCCAAAGTGCTGGGATTACAGGTGTGAGCCACCACACCTGGCCTCTATTTTTTAAAATGCTGTTACCTTGTTGAGAGGAAAAAGTAGTTCCATGTGATTAACTCTATTGAATGCAAAGTTATTGTTAAATTAGTGAATTTTTCTTAAAGTTTATAGCTGGTAAATGAAAATAGTGTATGTGGTTCCTATTCTTCACTTTGATATTTTCACAAACAGTAATGATTTATTATTTCTGGTGCTTTTCTTCCTCCTCCTCGTCTTCCCTCTTCTTCTTAAGATCTGCCTGTGCCATTTAGCATCAGTGTGACTGAGCTACTCATTCACCCTGAGATCCCATTTTCCACACTTAGAATCTATAAAATGTAGGCAGGTAATTCTACCACAAGGGATTGTTATGAGGATCAAGGCACATATATGCCACGGAATACTATGCAGCCATGAAAAGGATTAGTTCATGTCCTTTGCAGGGACATGGATGAAGCTGGAAACCATCATTCTCAGCAAACTAACACAGGAACATAAAACCAAACACTCCAAGTTCTCACTCATAAGTGGGAGTTGAACAATGAGAACACATGGACACAGGGAGGGGAACATCACACACCTGGGTCTGTCAGGGGGTGAGGGGCTAGGGGAAGGATAACATCAGGAGAAATACCTAATATAGATGGCAGGTTGATGGGTGCAGCAAACCACCATGGCACGTGTATACCTATGTAACAAACCTGCACGTTCTGCACATGTGTCCCAGAACTTAAAGTATAATAAAAAAAAAGATAATATGAGTGAAAATGTTTTACACAATATCGGGCATATATTAAGTTCTCAGTGGAATATAAACTAAGTCACTGCTCTTTAGAAAGCAGAGGTTAACATCTCAAAGTTAAATGAAGGTAAAAATGGTGACAGACATTAAGTTCTTTTCATGATGTGATGTTTTTGTTCCTTTCCTCTAAATTTAAAGTGGGAACTGTCAACAAGATTATAACTGTCCTTACACACTTAATTTTAGGACAGTTAGTGAGGATTTGAAAGAAATTTAAAGTAGCAAAGTGAGCAATTGCTATATGCTATAAGATTATGCTGTATTTTTCCTAGTATAGCTGATAGAATTTTCCTTTCTAACTTTTAATAGTAAGAGATCCCACATTGTTTTACTTTAAAAATGTCAAATTAAATATGGCTTTGAGTCTCCAGTCTCTAAGGTTGGCAGGCTGTGAATCTGTAGGGATCATCCATGGACCTATATAAAAAAATGAGACTTTGAAGCATGGTTGCAACTGTGTTTGCCATTCCTGCTTTCAGGCTCTGCCTTCCTCTCTACGGGAACTAAACATTAACTTTTCAGATTCTCCCAATTGTCTTCTCCTTTATCTCATCTGGCTGGTGCCTCGCCTGAACCTCATTGCCCCTCCATTTCAGGTTTGAATGGTATACCATCTGGCAGGGTGTGAGATTTGATTGCCTGAGTGCCACCAACAGGCTGGATGGTGGTGAAATACAGAAGTGCAGGAGTGTTAGCTCCTTATGGAGTGAACCTTGACCAATGGCAAGTAGGAGATAGGAGGAGCCAGGAAAAAGGACCTGTTTTTTGCTTTTGTTTTCATTCTTTGGTTCTTCTGGATGGCTATAAGGTACAACTCCTTCTTTGCAGACCATGCTGGAAAAGACCGTAATGCCAAATGACCAAACTTGCAGAGCAACCTGCAATCTCTCTTCATGATTTATGAAATGGTATCCAGCTAGTAACTTACGGCATCATGTGGTTTCACATCTTTCCCAGCCTCCTCTCCCTGTTTTCCTTACCTTTATTTGCATCTCCTAAATAAAGTCTTACCACCTTAATCTTTGCCTTAGCCTCTGCTTTATAGAAAACTGGGCTAAGACATGACATGCCACAGCCATTCCCCTATCAAGTGCAACAGGGAAGTGGGGCATGAATCTTTGCTATAAGAGGGAATGCCTCCCTCTGAGTTGCTCCCTTCCTAGTCTTAGAATATTCATCCTTCCGACATGAATAGATAATTCTCAAAAGAAGATATACAAATGGCCAACAAACATATAAAAAAATGCTCAACATCACTAATGATCAGGGAAATGCAAATCAAAACCACAATGTAATACCACCTTACTCCTGCAAGAATGGCCATAATCAAAAAAAAAAAAAAAAGATGTTGGTGTGGATGCAGTAAACAGGGAACACTTCTACACTGCTGGTGGGAATGTAAACTAGTACAGCCGCTATGGAAAACAGTGTGGAGATTCCTTAAAGGACTAAAAGTAGAACTACCATTTGATCCGGCAATCTCACTACTGGGTATCTACCCAGAGGAAAGTAAGTCATTATACGAAAAAGATACTTGCCCACGCATTTTTGTAGCAGCACATTTCGCAATTGCAAAATCATGGATCCAACCCAAATGCCCATCAATCAATGAGTAGATAAAGAAACTGTGGTGTGGCTGGGCACAGTGGCTCATGCATGTAATCCCAGCACTTTGGGAGGCTGAGGCAGGCGGATCACCTGAAGTCAAGAGTTCAATACCAGCCTGGCCAACATGGCGAAACCCCGTCTCTACTAAAAATACAAAAATTAGCTGGGTGTGGTGGTGGTTGCCTGTAATCCCAGCTACTTGGAGGCTGAGGCAGGAGAATCACTTAAGCATCGGAGGCAGAGGTTGCAGTGAGCCGAGATCATACCACCACACTCCAATCTGGGGAACAGAGCAAGACTCTGTCTCAAAAAAAAAAAAAAAAAAAAAAAAAGAAAAAAGAAACTGTGGTCTGTCTATCTATATATGATGGAATACTACTCAGCCATAAAAAGGAATTAATTAATGGCATTTGCAGCAACCTGGATGAGATTGGAGACTTTTATTCTAAGTGAAGTAACTCAGGAATGGAAAACCAAACATAGAATGTTTTCACTTATAAGTGGGAGCTAACCTATGAGGATGCAAAGGCATAAGAATGACACAGTGGACTTTGGGGACTCGGGGAAAGGGTGGGAATGGGGTGAGGGATAAAAGACTACAAATTGGGTGCAGTGTATACTGCTCAGGTGAGGGTGCACCAAAATCTCACAAATCACCACTAAGGAACTTATGTAACCACACACCTCCTGTTCCCCAATAACCTATGGAAATAATTTTTTTTTAAAAAAGAATGTTTATCTTTTCAAGAGTAGGACAGGTTCTTTCCTCTACCTGATTCCTCAGCACCAGTCTTTCTTAATGAGTTCAGATTCCCAAGCAAAGCCTGGGTGAAGACTTGTCATCAAGGGACTTCACATGATCTATTTTTACCCCTGAACACCAAAGTCATGAGTTACTTCTTGTGGTAGAGAAAATCAGACTTGGGACTCAAGCTTAAACATTGTCTTAAGGTGGAGAAGGGAAAAAATACTTGTTTCTTATATCTCTGAGAATACAACAGAAAAGAATTTCTCCTTTGATTATCTTGCTACACCAGCAGCTCTCTGTTTCAGTGCCCCACATAGGAATGCAAACAACTGATGAATAAAAGAAATTCATTTCAATCCCAGAGAATGCTTCAAAAGTGCCAGCAGTTTTCCCTAGCTTTCTGGGACTCAAAAATTTGTACTTTCTCTATGGAAAGAGAAACTTTAAATGTAATTTGCCAAAACTGGCTGAACAATTAAGGCAATCCTCTTGCATAGGAAAGAACTGCTTCTCTGTTCCTTTTCTCCTCAAAGGTAGGATGATAAAGTAATCTAGAAAAGAGGAGCAAAAACTCCGTATCACAAAAAGATCAATTCTCCCTAAATTTTTAGATCTATTCAAACTGATTCTAAAGTTCATGTGAGAAAACAAACATTCAAGAATTGCCAGGATAATTTGGAAGGGAAAGGAATAAGAAAACTCACTCAACCTAGAAAAAATAAAGCTCGTCTCAAAGTTATAGTCATTTAATAGTGTGATACCTGCTGGTAGAACAGGCAAGAGTCCAGAAATAAAGTCAGATCCATGTGGGGGAAATAAACCCTTTTAAGTGTGGCTGGTCCTGGTGCAAATTGAGACAACCTTTTTGGGGGACAATTTTTTTTTTAAACAATAGCTAACTTAAAAATGTACATGTTCTGTTTAGCAGTTTTATTTTTAGGAATTTTTCATATACATATACTCAGAAACATTCAAATATGTCTAGCATGTACAGATGTATTTGTTATAACATTTTTGTAATAGCAAAAAAACAAAAACAAAAATAAAAGCCAACAAAATGTAAATGTCCTAAAGCAGACAACAATTAGGTTAAACAGTTAAGTAAATGATGAAATAGCCATACAATGGTATCTTAAGCAGCCATTTAGCAATTTATGAGGCATCTTTACCGACATTGATATGGCTTAACTGCCAAGAAAGTTTCAGTGAACAAACCAAGGAGCAGAACATATAGAAAGAAACACACACACATGCGTACATATACATACATACACATACATATATACATACACACACATACAAATATATACATGTGTGTTTAGGGCAGTCGGACTTTCCTGTTCTAAGATACCATGAAATGAGTTGAAAATGTTCCTAGAAATTTCCTTTTGATAGCTATAGCAAAAGCCTCTAATTCACAGCCAGCCATTCTTTTTCTCTGCCCCTCCATCTCACACCTTTGGGCTGGTAACTAAATATGTAAGTATATTTACATTTCAAAAAGATGAAGCAAATTTGCCTTGTTAAAAATTTCAAGCTTATATAAGTATTTCAAATAACAATGCTTACATTATGGGCTTATCTCGGTTTGCAACATATATTAAATAGCAAAAACACTGGAAAATATTTGTATCTATGTTTCTGAAAATATTTGTTAAGAGATTAAAAACATTTCCCATTTCTTTGCAAAAGAACAATTTATTATCCTTTAAAGTTTGTTCTTTTTCACATTTCCTTTTGTAGATTTCAAGATTTCAAAATCACATTACTCAGCCTGTTTATGTGGCTTAGTTTTTTTTCTTCTCATATTGCTATATTTTTAAAAATAAGCCAGTAAGACTCTATCTGCTGATATTTGAAATGAGATGTCGGTGACCATCTTAAGGAAGGGAGCATATTAATACATGAACTAATGAGGAAGGACCTATCATTGGGAATAGTAGAATAAAGTAAATAATTCTTATTTATAATCTTATATCAATATGTAATTTTTCTGAAGCTATATATAAGTTGATTAAGCACATCAAAATCTCAATTGCAGTTTGCCCTGGGTTCTCGCATATCTGCAAAGTTTTACTCAAACACATTCAGTACTTTCCAGAAATCACTGTTTTTGGAAGCACTGACCTCAAGCAAATGATGGTTTTCTGGTCAATTATTAGATCAAAGTTTAATTGCTTCATATTATTTCCCATTTTTTGGTTCAATTTTTCTGATGTAGTCTGCTTTGTCATTTAGTACTATCATTAGCTGAGTAAGTAGTAGAACCTAAAAATAATGGAACTGAAGGAAATGTTAAGAATTATTTTCTTAAAGCCTCACCTTGAATAGAAACCACAGAGATAGTAATTTTCTAATCTAACATTTATCGTGGAGCACATGTCTTATGAGTTGTTAATAAGTGTCCATAATAAATGAGTTTCATGGTGAAATTGTCTCTTGCCATTTTGAAATTCATAATAGCATACTAAAGGTGCTGAGATATTCTGCACAAAGAAATCAATCTTTGTTTAACTCAGTTTTCTTTGTATTTATTTGGCCATGGAAATCCTTTTTGTTTTTTTGGTTTTTTTGTTTTTTTGAAATGAAGTCTTGCTCTGTCACCCAGGCTGGAGTGCAGTGGCACAATCTCGGCTCCCTGCAACCTTTGCCTCCCAGGTTCAAGAGATTCTCCTGCCTCAGCCTCACGATAGCTGGGATTACAGGTGCCTGCCACCACGCCTGGCTAATTTTGTTTGGACTTTTATTAGAGATGGGGTTTTGCCATGTTGGCCAGGCTGGTCTTAAACTCCTGAACTCAAGTGACCCACCCACCTCGGCCTCCCAAAGTGCCTGAGATTACAGGTGTGAGCCACTGCACCTGGCCCGCCATGAAAATCCTTTTTTGCATCAGGAAACCTTTTGGAAACCTGCTGTGGTTTCATTAAGTATAAATATCTGCAGTCTTCCTTATATTCTGCTACCATCTCCATTTATCATGCATTATGACTCAACTCCTGATCTAGTCTGATATTTTCTGTGTCTAGCTGTCCTTCCTCACCCTCGTCCCATCACTACCCCTAAAATGACATTCTTCTTCAATAGATCACGCACTGAGATGCACACTTTCTTTAATGTGAGATCCCTGCTGGCCACTGACATCTTCTTTCAAATATCGGCAGTCTTTTTGGCTTGTAAAAAATGGAAAAATGTGGGAAATGACAAAAACTCTGACTCCCATCTGCTTTTGCTGTCACACTGTCACTTGAGACTGTTTGTCACTGAGAACGTGATGAGCATACTCAGCCGGTGATGCAGAACGCCTGGCCCTACGCTCCCCACCTACTGGCCATCTGAGGCAGGCAGCGGAGGTGAGCCACAGATTATATCCTGAGAGGTGGCATTCGCTGTGATTAGAGCTCCTGGCAATACATATAAAACAACTCTGATTTGAATTTCATGTTTTATATATTGTCTGCTGACCTCACTTTACAATTAGGCTGAAGTGTGCGTGGGTATAATGTGAAACTAAGCTTAGGTCCTGCAGCCTGAAGAGGTGGGGTGGAAGCTGAACTTGTACTGAACTTGTCCGCTTCCTGTTCAGTTGGTGTGAATATGCTATTGAGCAGGGAAAAAAAAGACACAAAAGAAACAACAACAGCAAAAAACCACCAACAAAAATCCCTTTCCATTGAGATTTAAGTGGTCTGACTGAAATCTAGCCTGGTCTTGCTGCTGCCGGGACCTCCACACATCAGCGTCTGTGTGTGTCCATCCCTGGGGTATCCTCCACTGACTTTTGGTAGGATGGGCTGTGTTAGGGAAGTGGCCAAAGAAACCAAGAAGGGGTGATGGACAGGAAGTATCTAGCTGTGAGGACCTGCGTAAGCCACTGGATTTCCCTTGTCATCTTCACTGTCTGACCTCTAAAAAGTCCCTTCCATCACTCTTTCTGCTGTGATCTTCAGACAGATATCCCATCTCTTATTATCCATTACTTTCCTGGACCAGCCCACTAAAAATCTTGTTTTGATGTATCTGCCAAGGCATAGCTATGACTCACAGATAACAGATGTTATAAATCATACACTTAGTATTTTTCAAGTGATAAAGTGTCTGGCACCATGGAGCTCTCTCTCAAAGCTCCATTTGACTAAATCTAGCTAGAAGTATTCATCTGAGAGTTTCTTCTTTTTTTTTCTTTCTCCTATTAACAAGAAAATTATCTTAAGCATCAATTTTAAGAATCAAATAAGCTGAAGAAGGAATTAAAATAGCATCAACGTGTGTAAAGTTTGGGAGGGAAGTAGGAAATGTCAAAAATTGGAAGTTGTGTAAATAATTTGGTAACCTGCGAGTATTATGTAATCAAACTCTGGTCCATAGGCGGTGTCGGATGCTGTGTCTGCTTGAATGAAAACTGAGCTTGCAATGTCAACCAATCTCAGTGCTTGCTGTTTTAGAAATACCATCTGCAAAACCGGTCTTGGTAGGAAGTTCAACCATAGTGATAAACCATCTGATTACTTGTTTGTATCCATACACCAATTTAGAGTTGCCTGGGGCTGTCTGTTACAGTTTTCTTCCCCTTCTGATACAGAATGAAAAGAAAAGCAGTGGAAATTTGTTTCAGTCTGCAAGTGCTCCTAGCACTCCATGTAACATGATCCAGTGAAATATGGAATTTGGTATGGGATTTCCCATTCGAGCGCTTGCTCACCAGGTGCAGTGAGAAGGCCTTGTCATAACTCATCCCGAGTTTTTCCTTTGGTTCTTGTTTCACTGCTCTCATATTATTAGCGGCTTTATGTTTTGCATCTCTAGTTTCCCTCTTCATAGCTAATGATTATGAAATCATGTACTTGGTCAATTTCCTAGAAATTTGGCATGAGCATAATGATTCAGACTAAGAAAAATCAGTTTCTTTCCTCTTCAATGTTAACATATAGAAATCCATTCCCACTTAATACATAGCTTTAGAGATTTTCACTTACCTACACAGTAGCATTTTAGAGTGCAGGTGAAAAAGGTCCATTTTTCTGAGCAAAGAAAGAAGAGATATGGAATCTAAAGGGAATTCTTTCTTGAGCGATGTGTGGTCAGCCTTATTCAATTACTATGAAGAAAGTGGAGAATGGCAGGAGGTGACTCAAATGGTGTTAAACATTCTTCCAGGTTGTAGGAGGGAAATATACTTCCTCTTAAGAAGTACAAATGCTCCTTGCCTTATCAGTTATGTCCTGATAAACCCATTTGTAAGTTGAACACATTATAAATAAGATATGCATTTAATACACCTAACCTACTGAAAATCATAGTTTAGCCTAGCCTACCTTAAACGTGCTTGGATTGCTTACACTAGCCTACAATTGGGCAAAGTCACCTAACACAATGCTTATGTTATAATAAAGTTTTGAATATTAGGTAATTCATTGAATACTGTACTGAAAGTGAAAAATAGAACAGTTGTATGGGTGCTCGAAGTACAGTTTTTACTGAGCACATTTTGCTTTCACACCATTGTCAAGTTGAAAAATCCTGTCAATCCATTGTAAGTCGGGGACTATCTGTATTTGAGGTAGAACCTCAAACATGGATAGTAATGATGGGAATGAATGAGCACTCAGTTCCCATGAGGAGTTGTACTGTCTGCTTCATATTCCTGCATATTTGTTTTTTTTTTTAACTGACAAGTTTTGCCAACCTTTAATTATTTGCTGGGTTTTTACATAGAAGATAGAGCATTCTGTAGATAAATATAGGGAATAATTTTATACTTTTTTTTTTTTTTTAACTATACCTTAAGTTCTGGGGTACATGTGCAGAAAGTGCAGGTTTGTTACATAGGTATACATGTGCCATGGTGGTTTGCTGCACCCATCAACCTGGTTTCTGCATATTTGAAGATAAGTATCCCTGGTATTACTCCAATAGCTAAGAAGAGAATCTGCCTTAAGGCAATGCTTGAAGGTTGGGCAGGACAGTGAAAAGGAGGTAGGAGTTTAGAAGGAGAACTTGATTCCTTCTCTGAGTATAGGGAAAAACACTTAAAACATTATGCTAGAGACTGATGTTGGAGAAGCCCAAAGAGAGTTTTCTCATTGGGTGGGAAAAGCTCTGGGCTTGGCACTTAGGAGGCTAAGATTCTAGTCCTGGAACTGCCACTGGCTAACTGTGAGCCCTAGCTTCCTGCTTATGAGAGAAGGAGATCCAAGGAGAATGATCTTCAAGATTTCTGTAACTTCTGTTTTTCAGCACAACTATGTTGCTATGTGGCAAATAGAGCTACACAATTTCCAGATTTGCTCTCTATATGGCCAATGAGAAATCTGTATTGTTCTAATAGACAAAAAACAAAAAAAACCCTGATTTCCTCAGAGATTGAAATTGCATGTATAATATTTTGTCACACTTTCTCGTTTCAGATGAGATCCAGAGCATAAATGTTCACATGCAAATGGATCTAAGTTTTAGTGGAAAGTATCATACTGAGAATCTTACTGGGCTCATGCCTGTAATCCCAGCACTTTGGGAGGCTGAGGCAGGCGGATCACAAGGTCAGGAATTTAGGACTAGCCTTGCCAATATGGTGAAACCCCCTCTCTACTAAAAATACAAAAATTAGCTGGGCGTGGTGGCACATGCCTGTAGTCCCAGCTATTCAGGAGGCTGAGGCAGGAGAATTGCTTGAACCTGGGAGGCAGAGGTTGCAGTGAGCTGAGATGATGCCCCACTGCACTCCAGCCTGGGCAACAGAGTGAGACTTGTCTCAAAAAAACAAAAAACAAAACAAAACAAAAAAAACAAAGAAAACAAAACAGAAAACAAAAAAAAAATTGGCGTCAATGGAAATTTAAGTGAGAAAGAGATCCAGTAGATTTTAATCAGATAAATAACATAGATTTATAACTAGCCACAAATGAAAATTTGAGAGTAATTACTAAAATAAAATAGGCATCCATTTTTTACTTTTAGTGCCTATCACTCTAAATAGTATTCTCTTACGGATACTTTTGTTCTCTTTAAGTTTGCTACGTATAGCACTTGGCAGACTGCATTTTTTTTTTTCTGGAATTGCAAATTTGCTTTATTCAAATCTAAGTATAATGAAATTTACTTCTATATACCTTTTCAGTACCCAAGAGAATTTTGGTTCCAAAAGATATTAATTGCACAAGATAAAAATCTCTCCTATGAGAGCTGAAACACATGCTTTACTAGCTTTTCCTCCCTTGACTTTAAACTCCTGGAAAGTTGATTCCCTGTCCCCCCAACTATTTCTGGTAGTCCCCAAGGGGAGTTGTATATGTTGTATTCAGTTTCCATGTGTCTTTCTCCCTGATTCTTATCTTTTTTTTTTTTTTTTTTTTTCTATTCCAACATCCTTGTGCTGGGTATCTCTGTCTCCGAGAGCCACTGTGCTTGATATTGTAGGACCTCTTAGTCACTTTTGCCACTCCTGGGAGGATGACGGTCTTCTATTGGGAACTGACTTTGCTGAATTACTGGAGCCCCATAGGTGCTGCAGGAGGTGGTATTCTGTTGTGATCATATGTCAGAGAGTGCTATTTTCCCTTCACGGTCTAAATGTTTGTGTCTTCCAGAATTTACATGTTGAAACCTAATCCCAATATAATGGATATTTGGAGGTAGGACCTTTGGGAGTTGATTAGGCCATGAGTATGGAGCACTCATGAATGAGGTCAGTGTTATTATAAGAAGATGCCAGGGAGATAGCTAGGTCTCTTTCTGCCATGTGAAGATACAAGGAGTATGTGACAGTCTGCAACCCAAAAGAGGGCCCTCACTAGAACCTGACCATGCTGGCACCCTGATCTTGGACTTCCAGCCTCCAGAACTGTGAGAAATAAATTTCTGTTCTTTTTAAGCCACCAGTCTATGGTAATTTGTTAAAGCAGTCCCAATGGACTAAGGCATGCCTCTGTGGATGTTACTCTCTGTTAAACTGGTACAAAATCACTGCTGCTTGTACCCCAACAGAACTCTTGGTTAAAAAAGTATTTTTTATTGCTTATCTTGAGTGCTACCTTTCACCATAAGACTCAGGCACAAGTCTACCGGGGATTAGGCTGGGAGAGATACACTATTGTAGAGTCGAAAACTGTCCCTCCTCTCTGACAATCAAATCATTGTCATGCCTACCTCTTTTCTTAGATTTGGAGGTTTCTCAGGTCCCCATCCACATAAATTTGAGGCATACCCTTCTTCCCAGTTCACAGACATGGAAAACGTGTCTGAAATTCATGGAAGCAGACAATTTATAATGCAATCTGAAGCCCCCTTCTTATACAAGGATAAATAGAGAAATGAAGAAAAAAGATGTCAACTGTAAAGGTGGTGAAGCATAAGGCAGAGAAGCAGGAGAGTGTTTTGCAATAATGCCGCCTGAAAGATCAAAAATGTTTCAGGAATATTAATCTTAGAACACAAATCTAGAGACAGCTGGGAGGGGAGAAAGAGGGAGTGTTTGAGAGAGACCAGCTGAGACAGATCAAGAGGAAGGGAGTGGGAGGCAGGATATATATTGGAGGTGAGACTCAGGGTATAGGAGTCAATAATTCCTGGGTCTTGCAATTGTAAAAGCATTGATGATACACCGTTATTCACTTACCAATTGACAAAGATTCAAGAAGTAATAATACTCAATTTGGTGAAGGGTATGGTAAGAGGAACTCTCCTTCACAGCTAATTTATGGTTTTGCTTTGTAATTCCTTTGTTTCCTTTCAATTTTCATTGATAACAATTTTTTTTATACACGATAGAAAGTTAGAAGTAAACTATTGCTCTATGCACTATCCCAGGCAGAAATTTGGGTAGGTCAGAGCCTTACCAAAGCAGATGCTTTTGTTTGATCTTTTAATGTATTTAACAGTACCTTATGAATAATGACATGTCTATAACTGGGAGAAATATTAACTGATTTTCACATGTGGTGGATGACTGTGCTGTGTGCTTCTTCCACTTCTCTGTAGAAAGCACTGTGAGTCAGACTCAGTTTCTTGAAAGCATTTAGAGCCTTAGGAACACATTTCTCTTTAGGCTTTTGGTTCTAACAGAATAAAGTAGATAGAGAATTGTAATGGCCTCCATTAAATTGTGTGTGATTAAATAAATGGCTTCACAAATACCATTTTCTAATTATTAAGGAAATTGCTTAAATAATTTACTTTCAGATATGATTCAGAAAGAAACATTTGTGCCATAGCACTGGAATAAAAATAGTTTCTGTTGTTAATATGATGGTACCAAAGGGTTTTTTCCTTATGCATTTAAAACCAATTTTACAGATTTGCTTATTTCATTAATTGATTTCCAAATACGGCTTTTTGAGTGGGAGAAAATCAGAAATGCATTATATTTTAATGACTGGATGAGAAAGGGAAGGACTCCAAGAGTAAATTGTAACGTGTTATCTACATTTATCAAGTGAGCACATTCATTCTTTTGTAAATAGAATCTTTAACTTTATTTTCTTGGCAATGAATAAATATAGAAAGAAAATAATACTAACTGAAACAAACGAGTCCATATATATCACTCCAGAATATGTCCAGAATATGCTTAGCATCATATTGCTCCCCTGTTTATTTGGGAAAGGAAAGGAAAGGAATACTTTTTCTTTTTTTTTTAAGACAGGGTCTCACTCTGTCATGATCCAGGCTGGAATACAGTGGTGTGATAAGGGCTCACTGCAGCCTCAACCTCCTGGGCTCAAGTGATCCTCCTACCTCAGCTTCCCAAGTAGCTAGGACCACAGGCATGTGCCAGTGGATTTAATTTTAAGTGTCGATTTGACTGGATTAAGGAATATCTGGAAACCTGGTAAAGCATTATTTTGGGTATTGTCTGTGAGGGTGTTTGGAGGAGATTAGTGTGTAAGTCTGAGTAGATTAAGTGGGGAAGATCTCCCCGCAGTGTTGGCAGGCACCATTCAATCGTCTAGGGGCCTGGAAAAACAAATACAAAAGGCGAAGTAATCTCTGTTTGAGAGCCGGGATTGACTTGCTGGCCTTTGAACTCCATGACTTACATCAGTGGCCAGTCTGATCCTGAGGCTTTTGGCCTGAGCTATGCTACTAGCATCCCAGGGTCTCTGGCTTTCAGATGGCCTGTCATTGAACTTTGCAGCCACTACGATCACATGAGCTGCCAATTCCCCTAATAAACCATCTCTCATATGTGTACATTCCTATCCTATTGGTTCTGTCTCTCTGGAGAACCCTGACTAATACAAATTTGGTACTGGGGAAATCAAATATCATTCCTTTGTCAACCTAAGTAACAAGCAGAGAGAGGCTCTCTGAAAGAAAAGATGTTCATTTGGGAATAGAGCTTTGCCTGCCACAGAATACTATGTGTGTATTCAGGGAGGTAAAGGAAGACATAGGTTTTTAAAGGAAAAAAAATGAGGAGGTTTACATAATTGTTTTGAAATAATTATCCTTGACTACAAAGATCAATAACAAGTGTGATGCCCGTCTGAAGTCAAGTAGGCAATTTCTGGGCAGATGTCCTTGCAGAAGTACTTTTTGTGTAAAGTTGCAATGGCTTTTGTGCAACTTTGTGGTTTTTGTAGTCTTTTCCATGATCAGGCAACAAGCTTGAGAACCCTCCTTTCATGGCCTTCCCCAGCTGTATTTGTTAGGGTTTTCTTCACATTAGTGACTCTGTTTTGATTCTGACAACTTTCACAACCTACTTAATATATTTCTTACAACACAATGAAAGAGATTTGTGAAACTGTTCCTTTGCAGAAAGGCTGTGACAAGTATATGAGGCTACTTAATGATGAAAGAAAAATGTTTAGAAGCTAATCATTATTGGTGCCGTGAAAGCAGAAAATCACTTAATTATGACAGCCAAGCAATAGCCATACTTTCAAATGGACAGCATATACCTGTAAAATCTGTAGACCACAACCAATCTTCAAATACAAGTGTGGAGAGTGTTTTGAAGATCAGAGAAGAAATGAAAATGCAGGTAAAAAATACAATAAATCTCCTTTGCCAAATTACTCCATCAGGCACAACTTCTACCCCTTCACACATAGCACCATGTTTGCTTCGAAAGACACCCTTCATAAGAGAATAAAAAGAACTTGGCAAGCTCAGTGACCTTCTGAACCAAAGACACTTGTGTTATAGAGGTTCCTCCAGTGTTGCAAAGCACATTAAATGGTGAACTATTTTTGATTAGGGATTTGACTGTCAAACAAAATAGACTTCTTATAATCACCACTAAATCTAACATAGAAAAACTAGCACATACCTCACTTTGGCGAATGGATGGTACTTTCAAAACTGTCCCCAGTTTTTTTTTTTTTAAATCAAGTATATACAATTCATGCCCCTGTTGGATTAGAAAATTCTAGAACTTATTAACTCATATAGATATTAATGACTGGAAAAATTGAAACACTTTATAAGTAGTTATTTAAAGACTTGGTGGACTTTGCAGAGAAAATATATTTCAATTGCATCTCCAAACCATAATGACTGATTTGGAATTAGGTACGATCAAGGCTCCTAAAATTGAATTTCAAGATGTTACCAAATAGTTTGGTTTTTCTATTTAGGCCAATGCATTTGGTGGACAATCCAGATGAGTTTGTTGGTCATGCAAAATGACAACGACAAAAACATCAGTTTAAAAATGAGTCATTTGCCTTCATTGGCATTCCTTCCAGCTGATGACATTCCGGGAGCTTTTTATGAATTAAAGCTGCATTTGCCTGAAGAAGCCAGCAAAGTTACTGACTGTAAGTTGTCAGCATTATTATTATTATTATTTTTTTACTATTTGCTGTGTATTCATCTTTGCATCATTTCCAATACTGGAGGTAGAAATTGCGTGGAGACTCATAGAGAGTTTGAATTTGTTTTATGCACTTTTTGCAAATTTGACTCCACCAAAGTGTGTTACTACAATGTTGACTTTGTGTGTAAGTACTATGCATGTATAGATGTTGAAAATTCCTCGGCAATGAAGAGATGTCCTTTTCGTATATCCGCATTTATACAAGATAAGTTTTCTCGAGATCTTGGCTCTTTGGGCGATTGCGTACATGGTGGGACTCACCTCGGTTTTTGATCAATCTCATCAAAATACTTAGATTGCTCATCACAGTATTTCAGATGACCACAGTTATAAAGCTGAGTACACACAATCTGCAACCATAGTGATTATGTATTTATACATTTCCCTTTTTGACCTATTTCTTTATGAATATGGTTTGTCTGCTTATAACTCTTATCCCAGTGCAACTGTCATGCATGGCATACCTGAGTATTTATGCTTGCAAAAATATGTATGTTGTTATTGCCTGTTTTATTGTGTAAAGTGGCCTATGAAGTGTTTTGTCATGATTTTATATGTTCTCAAATAAATCCCTTTTTAAAAATGTAAATAAATATTTTAAAGATTTTTTTTAGTTTTTTCAGAATTACATTTTCGGGATTTTGATCTTTTGGGATTTCAGCATTAAGGATAATGGTGTTCAGGATTGTGTTTTTGGGGATTCTATTTGGCACCCCATATGCTCACATTCTTATTGTAACCCTTTCTTCTTCTAGCTTCCACAGCCCCAGTCTCCGGGTTTGCTTCATTTGATTATTTGTTTTTCTTTTCCACATCTCTAATCTTCTTCAGGTCAATTTTCCTTGTTTTCTGTATTTGCTGTCCTCAAATTCCATAGGACTCAAAGTATGGCCCAAGAACAAGCTGCATCAGCAACACTGGGAGCTCTTATTATAAATGCAGAATTCAGGCCTCACCCCAGAGTTACTGAATTGGAAACTGCATGCATTTTAAAAAGATCCTCACGTGATCTACTTGCACATTCAGGTTTGAGGAGCAGTGTTCTAGATGCTGGTGCTCTCTAAGGTTCTGTCTGTCTGTTTCTCTCTCTCTTTTTTTTTTTTTTTTTTTTTGAGACAGAGTTTTGCTCTTGTTGCCTAAGCTGGAGGGCAATGGCATGATCATATTTTTAGTAGAAATGGGGTTTCACCATGTTAGCCAGGCTGGCCTTGAACTCCTGACCTCACGTGATCCGCCCGCCTCAGCCTCCCAAAGTGCTGGAATTACAGGTGTGAGCCACCGCTCCCGGCCCTGTTTCTCTCTTTTTATGGGCAGTCACATCTGCACCAGACTTTGATATTTACATCCTTATGACTTTCAGAGTAACTCCAGTTAGATATATCTTGAGTGCCAGGCATTTATTTGGATTTGCTTAACTGCTTGCATATCCCATAGGCACCATGAGCCAAATATGTCTAATATTGAACTAATTTTCATTTTCTCCTCCATCTGCCTAAGCACTCAAACCAGAAACCCATTATCCTTGATTCCTCCTTCTCCCATCAGTGGTAGAATATACTAATAGAGAAGCATCCGCTATATAGCATACCATGGGAAAATTTTAAATTAAATGCTCCTATTTTCTCATAAGTCAGTTTTTCCCCTCCCTTTCACCCAAAATAAGAAATAGGAAAATTCAGTTGAGGTCGGCTGTCAGACCTGGTTTGCTTGTGGATTCCTGAGAGAAAGAATGAGAAAGCACAAAGTGTTTCCATTGGAAAACACTTGCAAATTTGGCACAGCCTAGCTCTTTTCATTTGCTTCTAATAGTTTGAAATCAGAGTAGAGGAAGAACTGAATCCTAAACAAGTCAATTAAGAGTGGAAGCGGAGGGCCTCTCTTAATGCAAGAGATGGCAAAAAGGTATACACCCTGGCACCCCTTCTGACCGCTACTAAAAGGAACTATCTGTAATACTTTGGGAGTTTACTGGATGTTGTCATTTCTTGATTCTTTTTTTTTTTTTTTTGAGACGGAGTCTCGCTCTGTCACCCAGGTCAGAGTGCAGTGGTGCAATCTCGGCTCACTGCAACCTCCGCCTCCCAGGTTCACCCCATTCCCCTGCCTCAGCCTCCCAAGTAGCTGGGACTACAGGCGGCCACCACCACGCCTGGCTTATTTTCTGTATTTTTACTAGAGACAGGGTTTCACCATGTTAGCCAGGATGGTCTCGATCTCCTGACCTCATGATCTGCCCACCTCGGCCTCCCAAAGTGCTGGGATTACAGGCATGAGCCACCGTGCCCGGCCTTGATTCTTAAAGCTATATGCTTTCGGGAGCAAACGTTTATGTTGAATTTTCTTATTCTAGGACTTGTGTTGCCTTCTGAATGACATCTAGATTTGAGTTAATCTTTTTGTAATTACACATGTGGGGTTGGAGACTGCTGTTTGCCTACTGATATTCTGCATCCCCTCCTCCTCAAGGACAGAATTGTGACCTGATTTGAGGTGGCCTCTCTCCCCTGCAGTCTTTAGCACACTGAGCAGCTGGAGAATGGTCACATACCGCAGCATCTCCCTTCACCGCCCCCTCCTGCCTGGCTCTGGAGTGAGCATCACACCTGTGGTGCCTATCAGCCCTGGGGGGACAGACTGCTGCTGCTTGTCGCCGAGTTCAGAAACCTCAGAGAAGCATGTCGTCTCCGCTGGCAAAGCTCCCACCAGTACCCCGGAGCCCCAGCACGCTGAGAAGCAGAGGTCTCTGTGTCAGCAAGGTGGGAGATGTGCTCCAGGCCCTCACCTCTGATTCTCTTTTCCTTAGAAACTGTTAGAAAGAAAGCTTAGCATCTATCAGTCTCTTAAGATCATCGTTCACCTGGATTTTGTCTACACAGCCATTTGGTATCTGGACTGGATAACGAACCACCATCTGTAACTCAATTTGTATGGGGAAAGTGTGTTTGGCACTCCAAACATCTAATTTACTAAGCACCATTTGCAGCACGGCCTGTGTGTGTTAAGTGGATTCCTGCCAGGGTATGTGGACTGAGATGAATCAGGAATCAGGAGCCTCAAAATGAAAAGTGGATTGGATTCCTAAATATGGCTGTGGCTATGCACAGGAACAGATTTAGAGAAGTTAAACCCATAGATGGTTGAATTCAGTAGAAAAAAAAAAAAACTAGCAATTTGACGTGATTCAACTATTTCCTCACTCACTCACTCTGCTGGAACCAAAGTGGTTTATCCTTTCTTTTATCTAATACTCCAAGATATCCTCATATAGAAATGTAAATCAGGCCACCACTGAGTGGGAATGCATCCCCAGAAATGCTCCTGCACAGTGAGTGTTGAGTAAGGGAACAGCAGTTCAATGTCCCTCCTGTTACCACACAGAAATTTCTTTAAGAACTGGCTGAGAAAATATCTGTTTGACATGACGTTAAATCCTTTAAACCAGCATGCTATGCTAGACCACTATTATTCCTCTTTTTTTATTTTGAGATGGAGTTTCTCTCTTGTCCCCCAGGCTGGAGTGCAATGGCGTGATCTTGGCTCACCTCGACCTCCGCCTCCCAGGTTCAAGCAATTCTCCTGCCTGAGCCTCCTGAGCAGCTGGGATTACAGGCGTCCACCACCACGCCAGGCTATTTTTTTTTTTTTTTTTTTTTGTATTTTTATTAGAGACAGGGTTTCACCACATTGGCCAGGCTGGTCTCAAACTCCTAACCTCAGGTGATCTGCCTGCCTCGGCCTCCCAAAGTGCTGGGATTACAGGCATGAGCCACTGCACCGGGCCTTTTTTTCTGGAATAGTAGAGCAAACAACTTGAAGGATACATGTTTTGTGGGATTCATCTGGGGTTTATTTCTTTGTAACTTGCCAATTTCTTGTAACTGGCCAAATCTTTGGAAGGAGATTAGAAATACAAAGAAACAATACAGGAAAAATAGCAATTTTCTGTAGCTTTCCCAAAGGGACTGAGAAGTAAGAGCTGATCAAATAGGTACAGATCAAAGAGGCTCAAACCAGAGGGGAACCAAAGAGAATATGATTTGCATAGGTGATGGTGCCACAGATGGCCAGGGGTCATGTTCCTTACTGGCTGTTTGGGCTTGGGCAAGACAATGAAAATATTTAAGTCTCATTTTCTTTCCCTGTAAATGGGGAGAATAATAACAAATGATATCTGCTGCTATTGTTATTTGGCCAAAATAATTATCCTAGGCTTGAAATGGTACTGATGAAAAGAAAGTGTATATAAGATCTAGTAGTTGATAGCACAACAGAGTGACTATAGTCAATAATAATTTAATCGTACATTTAAAAATAATTAAAAGAGTAGAACTGGATTTTTCATAACACAAAGGATAAATGTTTGAGGTGATGGATACCCCATTTACCCTGATGTAATTATTGCACATTATGTGCCTGTATCAAAATATCCCATATCCCCCATAAATGTATATACTTGCTATGTACCCATAAAAATTAAAAATTAAAAACATTTTAAAAAGAAAATGCTTGTGTTTTAGAACATTATTCTCGTTCTTTTGGGCTTTGATGGACCAACCAATTTGAAGTAAATTCAGCATTTACTTTTGAGAAAAATTACTTTTAGAAAAGGAGACACTTGGTTTTAAAAATGCACACTTTAAAGTTTATTGTTTTCTTCATAGCATCTTTGAGATTCTCCTTACTGTCTCTCTACCCTAAAAGAAGCATAATTGCGCCAAAATCTCATCATTATTTTAAGAGGGGATTTCATATACTGCTTTACTTTGGCTTTAGGCAACTCCATCACCTGAAGTTTTACCAGAAAGATTGAGATGAAAATCAATTTGATAACACTGTCATAACAAATCATATGACATAGTAGAGGCTCTTGACTTGTGGTCTTCCAAATTTTCTCTGCTTCAGGGTCTTGGGTCCTAATACCCATGGGGATGCTAGGATAGTGTTATTTACTGAAAGCAGGGATGCTGGGGCTAGGGAGACGAGCAGGATGGACAGATGTTCTTCTGTAGGTATGAAAGTTTGAGACACCAATTTGACATGCAAGTATAGACACCATAGCCTTGAGCTATGGAGATGGTTGAGCAGAACAACTCCTTTAGCACTGTGTTCTTTGAAGTCCTAGAAACTTCTCAGAGAGCTTCCAGAGCACCGAGGTGGGGTGGGAGAGTGACTTTGGGTCTTCCCACCCTACCCTGCTTCAACCAGAGCATGTTTTACTGTGTTTCCCATCATGGTTGCCATGAAGCTTCATTTGAAGGAAAAAAAAAGAGACATTTCCATAACTTAATTTTTTAAAAAATCCACTGAATTGCAGAAAGGATAAAGTGGTGTCCGAATATGTAAAATATGCAGATTTTATTTGTTTGAGAAACACAAGGATGTATTGTTTGACAGATCATCTAAACCAATTAATCCCTAGAATGGAAGACAGAGGGAGAAAGAGGAACAAAACTGTTCACACAACTGCAGTTGGTAATGGGATTATTTCATTGGCCTAATTCACTAGTCAACTGAATAATCAAACACTATATGCATCTCCCTAGATGACGTCAACAGTGACCTTTTCATGTATTATTTTTTTTTATTCTATGTGTCATGAATCCAGTACAATCTGAGAACACAGACATTATTTTATTCCTGTACTGTGTTTCCAGGACTTGGCTAAACAATGGGCTGGACATCATTTCTCTCTCTTCAGAACATGGAAGAAGAATTTGAAAAGTTAGAAGACTATATTAGATGCCTTTCTTCAACCAAAATTATTCACTCCCAAGAAAAATATGGGGTAAAATGCTAGCAGATAAAACTGTTGAACCAGGAGGAGATATAAATCTAGGTCCCTAAATTGTGAAACGGTACCGAGTGTAATACCATTCCCTGTGTTCCTCTCCTTCCTTCTAATTCTGTCCCCCTCTCAAAGCACAGCTTTTGTCTTACTTTCCTAACAATTTCCAAGAATGCCTAACATCTCCCTGCCAGTGTACACACATAGCCTTGATTATGTGATTATGGTCCACTCCTTTGATATCTTCCCAACCCATTTGAAAACTTTGAATACTAAGGTATATCTTATATGTTTTTATTCTTGAAGTGGGCATATACTAGATGTTTAATGAAAACATTGCCAATGCCCTTCAGATGGAGACCACGAGGAACACACCTGTACTTAAGCAAGGTCAATTCATGACTCCTTGCAATGAGGGAGAACACATACCGTGTGAGCTATGGAGGATGTTGGGAATGACTAATTGTACGATTTGAGCTTGTGTTAGGTGACTTGAGGGAGAGTTTTAGAAAATGAGGCTTTGCTCTGGATTGAACAGTTCTAGGAAGTGCAGTTGATTCTGTGTTTGGATATTTTAACACATCTAGAAGGAAGGACAACTAGAATGACGCTAAAGCTGTGATTGGTAAAACAGCAGCTGTCACTCAGATTCATTAGGATAGGGGAATTTGGGTCATTTTTGTTGCTCCGACAAGGTTCATGCTTTTGTGGTTTAGATGTTATTATGGAGTCGTCTTGTTTTTGTCCTGATCCATCACGGTCATGGAGTGGCCTTGTCTAGTGTTGATGTTCTGTGAAACTATTTGCATCCAACAGGAGGGCACCAGGGCTAGCTGTGAGCACCAGACCAGCACTCGCTGTTGAGGGCTGCCTTGCTCTTTCTCGGTATTGAATTGAGTTGATTTTCAGCTGCAGTGTGCTTCATTAAAGATCCTTGTTTTATACTCAAGGGTGGGTGGAAGGCATCCCGAGAGACAAGACCTCTGAGCTCTAATAACTGATCAGCCCTGTCTTACTTACACTGAAGACATTATATAATTTCTTTTCAAGGTTGCCTTTTGATCTGTAGAGGGAGTTGCCTTTAACTTCAAGAGGGTGTCCTAATTCTTTCCTTTAACTGGAATTTCATCATCAGGATCAAAACCTAATTTCTTGTTTATGCTAACGAGGCTCTGGAAGCTAACCTTTAGCATGTTTACCTCATTCTTTAAAGAGTCTAGGCTACAGTGAGGGTGAGCTGAAAACAATGCAGTCCTCTATGCCTGAGGACTGCATTCTATATTCAACCAGTGTGGCCATTTCATGACATCAACACTGTTGGGAAGGTTTTGGTAAAAAGCAGCACTGCATCTATTTGATTCAATCATACCTAACCCATTTGTTTAGTGGTTTGCAATAAATAATGACATTTGAGAAGTGGTTTATAATCCTTGTTGCACAGTAGAATCAAAGGGAAGCTTTTAAAAAGAAATCCTGGTTTAATTGATCTGGTGTGGGGCCCAAGCAGGTACTAATTTCTTTAAAGAAAAATACTCCACAGGCAATTCGAACAAGACTCACTGGGAAAAATAAAAGGGTCTTTTGCCCCTAGTTTATAGTGTAAATTATTCTTCGAGGACATCAAGGGAGCTTTGTGACTCTTGGTATCCAGGCTTGGTATAATTTGTCTTAAAATAATGGTAGCACGTTTGCTTAGGCCAATGCATTTTATGTGACTAGATGTTGGAAAAGCAATATTAAGTTAAAGACTCAATTGAAGAATGAGTCATCTTAAAACAAACAATATTGGCTAGTTTCTCCAAGACTTTGGTGAGTTAAAATAATTCTGCATCCGTGGTCATCCTCCCTGTCCTATAAACAGGATGAGGGTGCAGTGACGGTAAAAAAAGGGAGCGCCAGTGTCTGGCGCGGGGTTGACAAGCAGACATATAAACAGAGTCTTGGGAGGAAGCTGTGTTTATAGCAACTGAAAGGGAAGCCCTAACCTCTGAAGTAAGTAGGGGATGCTGGTGCCTATAAATAGTCAGGCAGGTTATTTTCAACATTTGATAAAAACTATTCACCAATAAATATTTTCTATTATGTATTATAAATTAATCATTAGTTTGACACCCCTGCAGCTGTCTATTGTACTTAGAGTTTCTGCAAAAATAATTATAGATTGAGCAACATAACTTCCTTGTGTATAAATAGCAATATGTTTGAAGTCACCGAGTTACAGTACTAAAACTCTGAAGGAGAAGGCGACAGTGTAAAAGTTAACTCATTTAACTCCACTGCGTCTGTAAAAGCCAGCATCAAATGCCTTTAAAAGTGTACCTGTGTAACTGATGGTAGCCGTTACCCTAGTGAAAAATATTTGTTGCAAAGAAAAGGCTAGACTAAGCAATGTTCTCTGAAACATTTAAAACATCTGAAAATAAACATTTGTGGATTGACTGATGTGATGTAGACACAGAAAGGTCTTGGACTCATAGCTTGTTAAGTTAATAAGTTAGGCTCCTGGGATACATGATTACCTTCAATTGCATTCTAAAGGGAGACATTAAAAATTTTATTATAGTGGAAGCATGCCATGTGATGTCCCCAATTTTGAAGATATTAACTTTCATTTTAGAAAATAAAAAGAGAAAATACCACTGAGTGGTTAACATTAAAGACTCTGGAGCTAGACATTTTGGGTTTAAATACTAACTCCATCATGTACTATCTTTGTGTAATTTGGAGCAAGTTATTTAAGGTGTTTTATTTCTTCCTCACCTATAAAATGGAGATAATAATGACATTCATAGAACTGTTGTGAAGATTAAATTATGTAATATAATAAAACACCTGGAACAGTGCCTGGCCCTTAGTAAGCATTTGTTTTACATATCAGGTGCTTGGATTTTTGGTCCTTCAGAGAGAGTCGAATAGTTGTGGAGTGAATTTCAATTGAGCAAGAAAACCTGCTGAAACAACGTTTGTATATGGATGATTACTTTCTGAAATTAAACCTGGTTCAGTGTCAGTAAAATTTTATGCTAAGTATCTTGTCTAAGGAATAAGGCTTAGAAAACCCTGAGACTAGGGCTGTTGTTTTTTCATCAGTTGACCTTGTACTTCCCATGACTTCTGAAGGGGAACAATAATTTCTTTGAACAGAAATCTCTCTGTTTCCATCTCAAGATGAAAAAAAAAAAAAACACCCCAAGCCTAATTAAAACAATTTCAAAAGATTTTTGTTTACAGTGTGAATAATATTTAAGTATCTGTTACAGAAAGTGTTTTCACAAGCGTGGAGGAGCCTCAAGGACAGAGAGAAGATCTGTAGCCCTTTGTCATATACTTTTTTCATCTTCAGGGGTTTTACAAGGTTGACTTATTAAACTCTCCAGTGACCTCATCTACTCATAGTACCTAGGGAGCCTGTAGGGAATGTTTCCACACTGGGGCTGTCCACTAGCCTTTCTTAATAAAGGAAATTAAACTGATTTATGATAGCACATGAGCTCAGATGCTAGAGAGTAAATGAAAGAGATTTTGAAGATATTTGTGTGTTCATATCTCAGGAGGCTATGTAATTAGTTCCACTCTGATTACCTTTAAATGATATGGCACTGACATTGAAATGGAAGGTTCCATTATTTAGCAACCACTATCTAAGCAATAATAACAGCAAAACTAAAAGTGAATGTTTACCTGACATTTATTACATTCTGGCAAGGTTCTGTGCTTTACATATTAGGCATACTGGATTCATCCTCCCAACAACCCTGTAAGTACCATTATTAACTCAGTCCCAGAGCATGGGTGGCGGGAACCCATACGTTAGAAAATACATGGTAGAGTCAGTGGTGCTGGAATGTATTCAAAGGCATAAGATGATTTAGAGATCACAAAGTCTGGATCAAACCCAGATGCTATGACCCTGTGTCTCATGACCCAGCATTTCTCCAGCTAAAGAATTTCAAAATGTGAAGGAGAATAGCTCCTGAATATAGATTTTTTTTTTAAAGGTAAGGCACTGTTCTATTTATTTAGTGCACTTTGCTGAAACTGTTTTCTATCAGTATTAGAAAAGCATACAGTATAACTCGAAGATTTTTTAAAATAACAAAAAGTTCAGCTTGTTGTATGGCTGTGTGCTAATTCCTGATGTAGTGGGACTCTTTTTTCTCCACAGGAACTGTATTCTGTGAAGCAAATCTTTCCATAATCTCTAATACTGCCCCACAAGTCCTGAGTGAATTACATACTTTCATTATAGCCCTCCCTCCTCCACATTCTCCCGACCCTGGAAAAATAGCCTACTTTTCTATGAGGGAAAGAAAAAGAGGCCGTTAAAGAGGCCGTTACTTTGTGTCTGAAAAGAGTGAAGGAATTACTGAGCTACTTACAAGCTCTACACATGTGGAATCAATATAATTTTCCATCAGATGGTTCAAAAATGTATTCAAATTATGTGGTTTTGCAATGCTAAACTTTGGAATTTAGTTGTTAATAGGAAAGTTTTTAGGATAGTTTGCCTACCGAGTGCCATTATTGAATTTGAATAGCAAATTGTTTATAATCATACACAAACAATCTTTATTTAGGTTTTACCCATGTTTCCTGAAGGGCAGGGCAAGTTCTGAGTATATTATTCCTCTCTGTCTACTGGGAAGGTCAGGATTACAGACAATTAGAAGAAAGTCAGGGCATGAACAGATCTCTCTATGTATTCCATTAGTCTCCTGTTTTGATATTTATCCATGAATTTGAAGTCACATTTACTTAGCTACCATCTGATTTCCATGCAAGGTTTTTCGTAAAGAATATGACAGTGCTTAAAAATATGTGAATTTTTAAATAAGACTTTTGAAGCAATAATATAAAGGTAGATCAATGATTAATGTGGAATTAGATATCTACAAGAACTCCTGAGATGCAGCACCTCAAAATATAGTTGAACTGGGTTAAAATATGTAAATTCCTTAAAGTCAATGAAATGTAAAGTTACATTTCAGTTATGTGCCAAGCAAGGTCCATATAACTGGCCTAGTATAAACTTTTCACATGTGTTTATAATAATGAGGCTGACAGTGGAAGAGATGAACGTGGAATTACTATTAGAATAACAATTTACATTTCTGTAAAATGCCCTCATATAGGTAATCTCTTGATTTTCATTAGTTAGGTATTATTATTCCCATTTTATAGATTAGAAAACTTAGGCATATAGAGCATAAAAGATACAGTGCATGGAAGATAGCATCATCTAATGGAAACCGGGTGAGAGGACGGACTTTGGGATCAGACAGATTAAAAATCCCAGTCCCACCCCTCAATGCCTATATGATCTATGGAAATATTATTTGGCCTTCTTAAGCTTCATTTTCATTATCTGTGAAATTGGGATAATTCTGTTGACTTAACAGAGTTGCTGTGAGGGTCAAAGGCAATAAAGGTATGTAAAAAGCTTAGTTTAGATTTTTCTTGAAGATATGGGGCTCGATGCTGGGAGACTCCAAACACAGTGCTTCATGAATATTTGGTTGAGATCTCTGTTTTGCCATTTGCAATGTCAGGACATGCATTTTTGGGCCCTCTTGCCGAAGCCATAGAGAGCCCCTGTTAAGACAGGAGCAAAGTGACCTCTGCCCCAGATAAAAATTATTACCTTCCTGATGTATTATTACCCTCACCTGGATTAGGCCATCGTTATTCCCAAATAGTAACAATCTGCAAATGCATTTGTACAATAAGAATTGCATGGTCCTGGTACATCTATTTTACACACATTCCTTTTAGGGATTTTGTGGACACATATGTTCACCAGCTTTAAGAAATTGCTCTATCCACATAAAGAAGGATCACCCACAGCATGTGTTTACTGGTCTCCTCAATGTGTGAAGTTAGGGCTATTTGTTTGTAACATGCTCATATTAACTCTCTTTAATGTCTGCAAGTGAGGAAGATGACTGATGTTTGTTCACGCCTAAAATAGAGAAGTGGAGGAGTGGGAAGGAAAATTATTTGTGCAACATTACACAGAAAGTCCGTGATGAAGCAGGAATGAGAGCCTGAGTTGCTGACCTCTTAATTCCTTTCCTGTCTCCCACAGACAATGATGCTTCTGCAACTCCTGGGCAGGCAATTGCACCTTCATTCTTTTGTACACTTACAAGTGTATTTTCCAGGGAACCCACTGCAAGGGCCTCCACCCACTTACATACAACTTATATTTAGCTCTGATGACAGGGGTTTGCTTGACCTGACCAAAATCAAAGGAGAAGTGAGCCTACTGGGGCCTAGACAGGGCAGGAAGAAGCTCAAAGAACTGGCTCTATAAGAACTACAGAAAAATCTCTGACCTTGAGGTCCCACATCTCTGACCTTGAGGTCCTCAGAGAGAAGCAGCTATAACCCTGATGATGACAGAGATGAATTAAAATAAAAATGCTTCCAAATATCTGTTGCCAGGAAGCAGATGACATGCTAAATTACTCTGCAGATTGACTACTTAATTCAGCGATTTCCTGAGTCAGGAGTTGCCAGAAGAGCCATTTTGTCCTTTCTGGCAAAAAAGCCGCTGGGATTGCTGTCTCCAGTCCTCTTTCCTCTGCTTCCTGCTGTAGGAAGGCCTGTTTCCGCAGAGAGATGCCTGATTAGACAGCACTGTTTTAGTAGGCAGAGGACTAGGTAACAAGTTAGGTCTTTCATTTGACATTGATTGTGGGCAGTGTGGAAGTCATGCACATCATAAAAATACAAGTCCTTTTAGAAAATGTAAACTAGTGAATGAAAAGCAAATTAGACAAAGCAAATGTCTGAAAAGTAATATTGCAACATTTTCATCTATTTGATTTCAAATGTTTTGAAATGCCTGGTTTATTTTTGCACAAAGAGTCCTGCTTCAGTCCCAGTGCAGTTTTTTGGAACTGAATTTTGAGTGATGAGATTAGTATTTGCCAGGCGAATATGATGCAGCTAAGCAGTCTGATGTCAGTGAGTGGTGACTTTCAGAAGGCATAGCAGTTGGCTAGGGCCAACTCAGTTGACCCTGAGCCAGAATGGGCATTTTATAGAAACTGGTGGATAAGCTGTATCTCAGCTCCTAACTACTTTGCTGTACTGCGGAGTAGTGCCTCCACCTTATCTCTAAATTGCTGAATAAGATGCATATAATCCAGCAAGGCTAAACAAATAAAAAGCTCAGAACATCCAGGCAAAAGGAAACAAGAGTAGGAGGCAAAATGGAACCACAAATGAATGGGTTCACAAAACATGGAGTGAAGATTTATTTCTTCTGGTACTTGTTTAGCATCAATGTTGTGTGACCTTGGGTTAGTGTGTGTGTGCCCTGACCACTCAGGCTGTAAGCATCTCAAGAGCAAGGCTTCTGGCATTGGCTTCTTTCAAGTTCGTGTCTTGTTCAGAGCTTTACTTGTAGCCTGTGCCGCTTATATGTTTGCTAGTATTGACTGGTGATGGTTGAGTTTCTTCTCTTCCACAGGGTTCTACCTTGGAACTCCCAATATTGCAGCATCAATAAACGTATCAGCAATTATTTCCGGAGCTGTTGTTTTGGATTACAGAGCATCTCAGGTTATTTGCATTTAAGCAAATTTGGAGTGATTTTGTTGAATAATTTCTATTTTTAGATTTTTCACTCCAACAGCTGGGTGTTGGCTAGAAAGTCACATGTTACTAAAAGTGTTTGTGTAGAAGAAAAACGTCTATTGGCCACGAGGTGTTGTAGAAGAAATTCCTTCCCTGGAGGAGAGAATGGCTAGTTGACTAGATGTTCCTTTTAAACTACTCCATCATATTTTACCCTTGGCAATGAATTTGCAATGGAAGCTCTAAAACCTATTCTTATATTTGGGATTTCTTTAATTCCAAAGAAAAGAATATAAATAAATACTTCATAGGTGGCTTTAAAGTTTCTGCTCTGCCCGGGCGCAGTGGCTCACGCCTGTAATCTCAGCACTTTGGGAGGCTGAGATGGGCGGATCACCTGAGGTCAGGAGTTCGAGACCAACCCGGCCAACATGGCGAAACCCTGTCTCTACTAAAAATACAAAAATTAGCTGGGCGTGCTGATAGGCGCCTGTAATCCCAGCTACTCGGGAGGCTGAGGCAGGAGAATTGCTTGAATCCAGGAGGAGGAAGTTGCAGAGAGCAGAGATTGCGCCACTGCACTCCAGCCTGGGTGACAGAGCGAGATTCTGTCTCAAAAAAGAAACAAACAAATAAATAAATTAATTAATTAAATAAAGTTTCTGCTGTGGACTTTTTTAGGGGATATTTTTCAGTAGGAGGATTATACAGGACTGACAGGCCACTGGCTGTATCATCAACTGATTTGGGGATTTGTTGTCAACTCTGCAAAAGAAGGTTAAAAAAAAAAAGAGAAAAAAATTGAAACTTTCTCTTTGGCTTTTTTCCTGATAGCTCTGGTGAAAAGTTTAAGAGGGAAGAAGCCATAGATACTAACTAAAATAAAGTTCTGGTAATATTTTTATCCAGGCATGCTGTGCTACTTTGTTAACATAGTTAAGAGATAATCCATTTTAGTATAAATCAATAATGAATAATTAATTCCATTGTATATCCAAATAAAGGAGGAAACATTTCTAAATAAAATGGATAGTTCGGCTTGCAAATATGACATGGATATAAATTTTATGGTATCTTAACCTGTATTTTGAATTTCTTTCTTATTTGTATCTGATATTCTCCAGAGGACTAATTTAAACTGAAGAACAGGTCTCATCTGGAAGAATAAATGGAAAAGCACCTTCTGAAAAAAGAAAGTAATGTAGGAGGAGAGGAAGAACTTTCTACATATGAAATTGTATTTTAAAGCTATTTTATTTATTTATTTATTTATTTATTTATTTATTATTATTTTGAGACAGAGTCTCGCTCTGTCGCCCAGGCTGGAGTGCAGTAGCACAATCTCAGCTCACTGCAACCTCCACCTCCCAGGTTCAATCAATTCTCCTGCCTCAGCCTCCCTAGTAGCTGGGATTACAGGCACCCACCACCACGCCCAGCTAAGTTTTGTATTTTTTTTAGTAGAGACAGGGTTTCACCATGTTGGCCAGGCTGGTAACTCCTGACCCCAGGTGATCCACTCTCCTCAGCCTCCCAAAGTGCTGGGATTACAAATGTGAGTCACCTAAATCAGTGTGGTGCTGACAGGAGTATAGACTGCTCAGTGAATCAAGATGTCCCAGAAATAGATCATAGTATAAAAGATTATATAGTATATATCAAGGTGATACCACAAATCACATTGGAAAGAGAATATCCAGTAAATGATGTCAGAAAAATTGGTTATTTATTTGAATAAAAACCTCACTAGATTTCCATTTAATACCATATACCAAAATAAATCAAGATGGGTAAAATAGTTATACACTAAAAAGAAATCATGAAGCAACTGACAGAAAAGATAGGTTCTTATTTATTTGATCTTGTTATGAAATAAGATTTGTAAGAAAAGAAACCCCAAAGGGAAGGTTGTTACATTTGACAATGTAAATTTAAGAAAATTCAGAAACTTTAGAAACTTTATATGTTTATTAAAAAATATGAATTGGGCCCCGCGCAGTGGCTCACGCCTGTAATCTCAGCACTTTGGGAGGCCGAGTCGGGCGGATCACCTGAGCTCAGGAGTTCGAGACCAGCCTGCTCAACATGGTGAAACCCGGTCTCTACTAAACATACAAAAAATTAGCCGGGTGTGGTGGCAGGCTCCTGTAATCCCAGCTACTTGAAAGGCTGAGGCAGGAGAATCGCTTGAACCCGGAAAGTGGAACTTGCAGTGAGCTGAGATCGTGCCACTGCACTCCAGCCTGGGTGACAAAAGTAAAACTCTGTCTCAAAAAAAAAAAAAAAACAAAAGAAAAATATGTGATTTTTTTTTTTTTTTTTTTTGAGACATAGTCTTGCTCTGTCACCCAGGCTGGAGTGCAATGATGTGATCTCGGCTCACTGCAACCTCTGCCTCCTGGGTTCAAGTGATTCTCATGCCTCAGCCTCCCGAGTAGCTGGGACTATAGGCGCATGCCACCACGCCAGGCTAATTTTTGTATTTTTCAGTAGAGACGGGGTTTCACCATGTTGGCCAGGCTGGTCTCAAACTCCTGACCTCAGGTGATCCACCCGCCTCAGCCTCCCAAAGTGCTGGGATTACAGGCGTGAGCCATGATGAACTGTGAGTCAATTAAGCCTCTTTCATTTAGAAATTACCCAGTCTTGGGCAGTTCTTTATAGCAGCATGAAAACAGACTAATACACAGGTTTCCATGATTGTGAACCATGAACACTCATATATATATATCTCCTGGTGAACACATGCAGACTTTCTCTTGAGTATATGCTTATACTAAAGAGAAATTGAGTATATGCTTATGCTCAATGAAATTGCTGGATCAAAGGGTTATGTGAGTGTTCAACTTCAGGAGCTAATGCTAAAATAGTCTAAATAGTTTTACCAATTTTTACTCCTACCAGCAACTTTGTGAAATGCCTTGTGGATATACATCTTTTCCAACATGAGATATTATCAGACTCTTCAATTGTTGCCAACCAAATGGGTACACAATAGTACTTCATTGTTGCATTAATTTATAATTCCTGATCACTGAGATTGAACGTGAATTCATGTGTTTATTGCCCATATATGATTCTTCTTCTGTGAAATGATTGTTCATGTTTTTTGTCTATTTTTCTATTGGTTTCTTTATTGACTTATTGAACTTTTATATATATATATATTTTTTTTTTGAACAAATCCTAGTTGGTTGTGTATCTTTCAAATGGCTTCTTTCAGTTTATAATTTGTCCATTCTATTTAAGGTGTCTGTTGACAAATTTCTTAATTGTAACGCCTTAATTTTAATGAGGTCGAATTTGTGCAGCTTGTTTTTTTGCTTTTAAAAGTTAACATGTTGTGTGTTTCATATGTTATTTCCTGCTCCAAAGTCTAAAAATCATTGACTGATAGTTCCTCCTAAGAGTTCTAAACATTGATTTTTGACATTGAGAGAGAGAGAGAGAAATGTTTTCTTTCACTTTAATGCAAACCAAGTTTAACACTCGTCCTTCAAGATCCAGTGGAAGTGAGAGCAGTGTGTGTTGAATCAGACAGAATGCAGGAGAAAAAGCAGCAGGGCCTGACAATATAAAGTACCCAGTAAGGGTGGTAATGTTACCCTGCGGTACACAGATGACAGGGCTCTGATTAGGAATAGAAGAAAGAAGTACATCCCAATTCAGTAACTTACCAATTTTCCAACCAGATTTGATCATGTACTCCTAGAAACTCCCAAAATAGCCAGGTGATACGTAAAGGGCCTGAGTCTTTTTGCCAGTTGGGGAAAATACCACTGATTGGACTATATTATCAACAAAGACCATTGGGAAAAAACTGAATTACATTAATTACAGAGATATGTCTGTTTCTCCAAGTTCAATCGTTGAAGCCCAGTTTTCCAGTATAAGGGGTTTCAGAGGGGAATTTCTCCTACGTTTCCCACTCTTGCATATGCTCCCTGCTATGTATTGTTGTAATAAGAAGAGTTTTATAGGCATCTGTTATTTTAGGTGGGAAAATGAGAATTTTCTGGCTATTTTCTAGCAGTCTCTTTCCTTATTTTTTTCCTCTATGGTTGTACTCTTGTTTCCGTTACGATAGATAGTTAAACATGAGTAGGGCACAGAGGTTCCCCCGCCACCAGGAATGTCAGGCAATCATCATGTGGTGGTCAGGTGCTTGTTAAACTGTCTCTCTAAAATAATATTAGGTTGGTGCAAAAGTAATTGCTGTTTTTGCCACTGGAAGTAACGGCAATTACTTTTGCACCAACCTAATAATTGGTTGCAGCCAGTGCCAGGGGAAAGGCAGTCTCCCTAGATTAACAAAACATCTAAAGTTGGTGATTGGCAGCTTCCTGACAAGATCTCAGGAGTTGGCCAAGTGGGCTCATGCATGCGCACTAGGAGGCAAAATGGGAGAGTTTCCTAAGTGGCATATGACCGTCCTATGGGAACATTCCGCTGGTGAAGGAAGAATTCCTCAAGTGAGTATGTGCACAACTCTAGTAAACATACTGCGCATGCGGCCCCTCCCAAGTGCTGGCAGGCCACTACGCATGCGGACAGCCCACTCCAAGGAAGGCTCACTGGAGAAGAGACGCAACCTCTGGAAGCTTGCCAACATATTAAACCCCAAGTCAAAGGCTAAACCACACACTTGAATCTCTCAAGTTGCTCATTTGGCCCTCTTCCAGGTACTTTACTTCCTTTCATTCCTGCTAAAAACTTTTTAATAAACTTTCACTCCTCCTCTAAAACTTGCTTCAGGCTCTCCCTCTGCCTTATGCCCCTTAGTCGAATTCTTTCTTCTGAGGAAGCAAGAATTGAGGTTGCTGCAGATCCATGTGGATTTGCCGCCACGAACATTTCTTACTACCTATGTCGTTTTTCCATTTCTTCCTCTGCTTCCAGAGACACCTAAAATATCAGGGGCAGCAGGTGGAGTTGTAATCTCCTTCTATATTAGTAAGGCAGGGCCAGTGGCTACACTTAGTTGTTCACATATATGCATTGTTTTGCAAGTACTGGTTGCGATTCAAGTTGCAACAGGTGTCCATGAGTAGGCTCTGGGCTTCCTGCTACAGGATTTCTTTCTGTCACACTTTGGACAATAGTTGTGGACACTGGCACCGGGAAATATAAATAATAAAGATTAAGGTATGATTAAATATCCCCAGACTTTAAAATAGCATTTGTATGCACTACAACTTCCTGTTACGTGAAAGACTGCTTATGACATCCTTATAAAGGCAAAAGCCTTTCTTCACATGTTAGCCTTTGCAGTCAGGCAGCATGCTTCTGATCTGTGCAACAGGTAGTCAGGACTGTTGGCGGCCCCTAGAAATTCATGTGCTCTGGGGAAATTTGGTACTAAGAACTGAGGATTCTTTGCAATATAATTTTACTACGTAAAAGGGTCCTCTGTGTCTGGTTATGTAATATGGGGATGATATTTTGCAAAAAGATAGTAAAAACAATTAAAGGCAGTAAGTCAGCCTTTAAGCACATATTAGGTGTTGTTATAAAATAAGGTTACTATCCCATTTCTATTAGATCTTGAATTAACTCTTAAGTTACTAAAAATCAAGGCTAAAATAAGGGCAATTTCTCTGGCAAGGATTTGGCCCTTGGGTTAGGTTATTCTTTTTTTTTTTTTTCCTTTAATTTTACCTCCTCTGTGGACAGGGTTAGGGTCTTCCACAGAAGAAGAAAAATATTTAGCTGATACATAAATGATGAGGTACACAACATCATTAGTGGTCAGGGAAAGCAAATCCAAACTACAACAAATAGTATTTTTTTTTTTTTTTTTGAGATGGAGTCTTGCTCTGTCTCCCAGGCTGGAGTGCAGTGGCGCGGTCTCGGCTCACTGCAACCTCTACCTCCTGGGTTCAAGCGATTCTCCTGCCTCAGCCTCCCAAGTAGCTGGGACTATAGGCACCCACCACCACGCCCAGCTAATTTTTGTATTTTTAGTAGAGAGACAGTTTCACCATATTGGCCAGGCTGGTCTTGAACTCCTGACCTTGTGATCCACCCACCTCGGCCTCCCAAAGTGCTGGGATTACAGGCATGAGCCACCACACCTGGCCAACAAATACTATTTTATACTTAGATAGTAGGCAAAAATTGTAGTGTCTGATATCAAGTATTAGAAACGATAAGAATCAACAGGATCTCAATACTGTTGATAGGATCATGTATTGGCTTGACATTTTCTCCTGGAGTTGAACATCTCCTATGTCTCCTACACCCCAGAAATACTGCTACTAAGTAGATACCCAAAGGAAAGTTACATACCAATAACAGGATACAAGGATTTAAAATGTATAGCAGCACTGTTTATTATAGAAAAAAAACCTAGGAAATAGCTCAAATGCCCATCAACAAGACTGGGAAATATTGTACATCAATCAAAAATAATGAACTACAGAGACATGAAACAACATAGATGAATCAAAGTTAAAAATAACAAAACTAAAAATATGTCCTTTGTAAGGAGTTCATATAGATGCAACATATACGATTTTAAAATGAATCAAGGAAGTAAGGAACACAGGATTCAGGATAATATTTATCCCGGATGAGTTGAGCTTGGGTTTGGGATGCTGGAGACTGTGGAGTTAGATGGCGTTTGGTGTCAAGGTTCTGGCCTTTGGTTTTGGTGGTGCGTTTGCGGGTAATTATATATTTTTAGAGATAGCTTACTGATAAACCAATAAAATCAGGCTATACATTATCAGTGATAAATCTAATTATGATTAATCCCATTCTGTCCACCTGAGTCTAGTGTTGAAGAGAAAAAAGCAACATTTTTTATTTCTGAGGTGAACCATATAGGAAATTTAGAAAGAAGTCAAAAGTACAGGGTTATGACAGGTTTAAAATCTGACTCTGCCTCTTACTAAATTCATCATCTTGAGCAAGTTACCTAACATCTTGGAGCTTCAGTTTTTTCATCTGTGAAATGCAGATTACATCAGTGCTTTTATGATAGTGTCATCATGACAATTCATTAGGATCACACTTATAAAATGTAATGAGTTTAGCACAGTGCCTGGGACAGGTTAAGTATGATAATATTATTAATAGTAGTTTCAGTAGTCTCATATTACTTGGACTGATTAAACATTCAGCTTCTCCTTTATGTAGTTCGGTTCTAATTCACAAGCTTTTCCTGGTTCTTCTAATCACTGTATCGTATTTTCAATTTTTATTCCTAGGTTAGGCTTGAGTCTGCATCCCATGCCAACTTTGGAGAAGAAAGATTCTTCTTTGTTTGAACTGCAGATCTCTTCCTTTGGCTTCTTGCTATCTCTAAATCTGCAGACCCTGTGCAAATGGAATCCGCTGAGAAGGCTTTGACTATATAGGGTGCTGGCAGATGCTTACACTTTCTTATTTAGGCAAATTGGACAATCACAAAAATGCAAAGACGGGAAAGATGGTATGGCTTTTGGCAATGTAAGTGGAAAATAAAACTGTGCCGGCTGAAATGGTTTCTTTCTGTAGGTATAATATTTCTTTTAAAAAGTCTGAAAGAGCTCATATATGGCAAAAAAAATGTATCTCCACATTTTTCTCTATGCCAATCAGAAACAATGCTAAATAGAGACTAGATTTTCTATATAGTGATACAACTTTGATCTAAATAACTTAGTATATTCTATTCTTTTTGATAAAGGTTAAAATACAGATTAAAATAATTCACAGATAATAGAGTTGTGTAATCATAGCTATATAGTTACATAAAATTACAAATAAGATTTCTGTACTGAAATTTTAACCCACGTACAAAATGGGATACTAATTATATTTTTCAATAGTTTGAAGTTCCAAATGAGAAAAGATCCTACGGTGAATGGCAAAATCATATGGCAAAAATGAAAAGGAATAGAAAATTATACACATTTTTAAAGAATCATCATTTTGTAGTTGCTGGAATTTTATTGTTGCATTAAAAAATATTCTACATTTAACTAGAAGACAGCAGTTTGCCCTTCCTGGAAAAAGGTGAATAAAGAAACTTCTAAACTGCAGTAAAACAAAAGTAAAAAAAACAACAACAACAAAAAAAAAAACTCTGTATTATAGAAAATTTTCCATTTATCTGTAAAAATCCACAGTTAAACTACTTCAAAAGAAATTTCATGAGACCTCTGCCTTTGGCTCTGTGTGATTTCAATTGAAAATGGCTGTCAGTAATGGTTGCGGAATTGTGGAGCACAGGAGATGTGTCCTGAGACTGGATGGAGATCAGAAAATGTCCTAGTTTTCAGACATGGGAAGAAGTTTAGACTCTTCAGTCCACAAAACAGAATATTTGATACTGATACTGAAAAAACTCTGAAATATATTGTCATGATGAGACCATCATGGGAAGAGGCCATCACTAAAGTCAGAACAAGATGAATAATAGAGAGGGAAGAGGCCATCACTAAAGTCAGAATGAGATGAATAATAGCTCCCTTGCCAGATCTCACTTCCTTTTGATAGGGCCTCTGAGCTGCCAGATTAAGATGGTCTCTTGATGACTCTGCAGCTGGGTGGGAGGGCAAATACGTTGGAACCCAAAATAACTTGACAGGATGGAACAATGGACCAAATCTAACAGGATAAAAAGTAAAAGGGAGATATATAAAGGTTGCCCTCAGTTCCAGAAAATTAGCAACACAAACACAGGAGGGGTGGGCAGATTGCAAATCCCACTGGTGGGCTTCAACAGTTTGCATGCTGCATACAGGTTCCTGGCTGAGGGCATGAGTAAGGGCTGTGTCCATGCAAAGAGGACACCTCTTCCTAATTTGCAGAAAGATGCCATAAAGCAGAAAGGTGTATGCTTGAAAAAAAATGCAAGTTAAGGTTTTTAACTAGGAACTCAGTGAATTAATGCTACTGTGTGGTTGCCAAGAGTTGGAGAGGGCATTCCCAAGCACCACGTCTGAGTAAGGGTGGTCAGTGTCTGGTTCAAGCTGAGCTGGATATATTGAGAGTGGAGAGAAGAACCGTAGTAAATTAGGGCACAACTAGAAGAGAAAGGTGATAATCTGGGAACTATTGACTTTTTTTTTTTTTTTTTTTTAAGACGGAGTCTTGCTCTGTCGCCCAGGCTGGAGTGCAGTGGTGTGATCTCAGCTCTCTGCAACCTCCGCCTCCTGGTTTTAAGCAATTCTCCTGCCTCAGCCTCCCAAGTAGCTGCGACTACAGGTGCGTGCCACCATGCCCAGCTAATTTTTGTATTTTTAGTAGAGACGGGGTTTCACCATATTGACCAGTCAATATTGCAAACTGGTGTTTGCAATCTTGACTGGTGTTAAGGAAAATTGCTTTTTCTCAGAATCATAGGAGCACAAATGAGAAGGGACCTTAAAAGCCATCTAGCCCTACACTACAGCAACTACAAAAACAAATCATCTTTGTTTTGTAAGCACCCTTACTCAGACGTGGTGCTTGGGAATGCCCTCTCCAACTCTTGGCAACCACACAGTAGCATTAATTCACTGAGTTCCTAGTTAAAAACCTTAACTTGCATTTTTTTTCAAGCATACACCTTTCTGCTTTATGGCATCTTTCTGCAAATTAGGAAGAGGTGTCCTCTTTGCATGGACACAGCATGCAAACATGGAATAGTCAAGATTGCAAACGGGTCTCAAACTCTTGACCTCGTGATACACCCTCCTCAGCTTCTCAGAGTGCTGGGATTACAGGCGTGAGCCACCATGCCCGGCCGGAAACTGTGATTTCTGAAGAACAGTGAAAAGAGAGAATGTTTAATTTGCAAAATGGAAGACATAGAATGGTAATGATGTATTTCCCACTAGCAAGTTAACCATGGATGCAGGATGCCAGCAAGCAAGCACATCAAAGGCCAAAAAGAAACTAAGGAAGACTTTTTTATTTGCTTTTTTTTTTTTTAAAAGAGTCTACCATTTGAAATTTAGAAAGAAAATATCAATGTTTTTAATGAGGAAATTCAGAACCTTAGTTTTGTTCTCCTATTTTACAAATTGGTATTTTAAAAATTTGAATTACATATTGCCTGAAAGGCAGGGAGCATCATCATTTTTTTAAATGCTTAGGTTTTGAAAGTCTTAAGCTCATACAAGATACAGAATTTTTCATCAATTTTACTTGTCCAAAAATGGAACAGAAAATGCAATGTTGTGATGCAGTTTAGTTCCTTGTTGCTAGGGTGGTTGAGGCTGAGAGCAGGCGCTGATCCTTGGATGTGACAAAAAGATGATTTGTTTTTGTAGTTGCTGTAGTGTAGGGCTAGATGGCTTTTAAGATCCCTTCTCATTTGTGCTCCTAAGATTCTGAGAAAAAGCAATTTTCCTTAAGAAAGAGGAAAACTGAGATTACCAATACTATTGCCCTTTCATGACGAACTTCAGAAATGAAGAGAGAAGTGCAATACTTGTGATACAAGAATCTGGAATGCATTCAATATTTCCTTCTTTTTGAGTGATTTACTAGTGGTGTCTTCATGAATTCCCTTCTTAGGCCTGGAGTGTCAGTGGTTAAGGCTTGGGACCTAATACGGAGAGGTCCTTGGATTGATCTTGGTAAAAGCTAGTTAGCTCTGAGAGGTTTGATGTGCTTCAGTGCAAGCACATCACAGCTATTTTATGGTATAAACTTTATTGAAGATTGCAACCTTCTTCACTGAGTATGTGCAGAGTGACAACTAGGCAATGGAGGGTGGGTGGATGAGTTAAGATTTATCTTTCCTGTTAAAAAGGCAGTGCAAGATCTTGTCCTCTGTGTATTTGTTGGATATCTGTAACATCTCATGTTTATTCTCATCACAATGAGACTATCATCCAGAGGTGACCATCCTTTTGAATGGGCCTTGGGTTTATTTTGCAAAAATATTAGATACGCATTTCTTGATGCCACTAAAATAAAAAAAAAAGAAAAATTTATATACTGGAGGATGAAGAGGTTTCTTGTGTCTCAAAAATTATTCACATGTAATGAATTGTCTAATAGAGGAGAATTTGATTTTCCTTGGTTACATCCTTGTTCTATTTATTCTTGGGGGGAGGACAGAATAGCTGATGAGATAGCAATGAAAGCAAAAGACAAAGCCACCTAGAGGTTGCCATGCCCTAAATATACTCCTGCCTCTATTACTTGCTTGGTTCTTAATCTCATTCTGGGCTATTCTGAGAACATGGGAAGGAAATCAGCTACGAAGTAGCCTGTATTGTGTAATACCCCTATTCTATTGAGACAAAATAAAACATATAGCAAAAGCAGCCTTGAAGAACAAGAAAAATCACATCAGAGCAGCCTGAGGATGTGTGTGGATCAGGAAAGAGGCTGTCATACCCACTTAGTTTTGATAATTTGCATTACATTTCTCTACAGCAGCCTTCTTAGCATGGATTGGCAGGGCAAGGATGGGTTTGTATCTGGGAATACTTTTCTCATTTTCATAAGTTATAATCATGATCTCGACAAACAGCCTGAATTCCCTGCTGCTGGCCAAAGATCAGGCAGAACTGAACTTCACAGCAAAGTTACCTGGAAGAAACAGGGTCACTGGAACTTTCCACATCAGAGAAGCAAAGTCAAAGGTGGGGGAACTTTGAGATGATGAGCTGTTCCTCCAAAGTCAGAGTGTATTAGATAATACAACAGCAGGGGTGGGTGGGGTGTTTTCTAGGCACAGCATTCTCCATTGTTGATTGGTTCTACTCTTTCATCTTACAACTAGCAATGTTCTATGCCAGTTCGTGCCAACCACATAAAATCTTACCATGTAAGTGAAATAAATCACTAGTGTTTGTATCTAGGCGATATATTGTTAGGTAACATGAACCTTGAACCTTTATCCCTTAGTCTAAGTAGAGCTTCGCCTCTAGACCCGCATGGAGTGTTACATAACTTACTGCTTAAGCCTCTTTGCACATTGTTTGTTGATCCAAGTCATCACCATGGTTACCTCCTCAGTTTGGGCATTACCTAGAGCTCTGTAGGAGGAGCTGTGTGGGATTTACAGGTCCTAGACTGTATGTTCTAGCACTGGTCAGCAGCCTTTTTAGTTCTGGGCATATTGCAATAAGAATTACTGAGGATCTGGAATAAAAACAACATGAAGAGGCACTTGAGAGAACAAAAGGCGAGAGGGAGAGGGAGAAGAGAAGAGAGTGGGAGAGGGAGGAAAAAAAACAGAGAGAGAGGCAAGGTAATGGGGGAGAGAGGAAGGGCAATGGAAGCAATAAAAGAAACAAAATATGACCACAATAAGATGCAGCTATTGAGATGCACCAGGGGTTTCTCAGTGGATAGACTTCAGCAGTTAAGATCAGACAATTCAAATGAATTCCCAAGTGATTCCTGCACTCTGGAATATAGTTGCTCAGAGATTTAGGAGCATTCCAGGGGTTCTTTATCAATTAGGTCAAACATATAAATTCTTTTCACATAGCTAAACAGTGGTTATATGTAAGGCTCTGAAAGCAAGTCAGATTTCTTCCTTAAGGAGATAAGCCTCGTCCTTGGGATATCTCTCTAGTTACAGAAATGATTCTTGACATTCCTTCCAGGATCATGGGTGAGGCTGTGAAAACAGAGAAACCATGTGTTATGTGACAGGATGCTCCTCTGAAGACTGACGATGTTACTTGGGATTTAAGGTACTAATCAAGAAGTCTATAAAGGAAAAAGATGAGTGTATATACACATATGTATGTATATATGTATTTGTATATGTGCATATATATAATTTTAAAAAACAAATACTAGAGCTGTAGATGTTTGCAGGAAATAATATAGTTTAGGAAGAAATGTTTGAAATGCTTGAAAATGCAGTGTAATGAATTAACTGCCAGCTTCAACTTTTATTCAGTCTTTCCTTGCACCTAAACATAATAAGCGAAGGTAAACTCTAATGTGAGAAGAATTTCTTTCTTGGTTGAGGAGCTCCTGAAGTTGAGGAAGGGAAAGGAGAAACTGCAGATCACCGTTACACAAAGCCTGGGGTTGGAGCGAGCAGTGGAATTAGTCCTCTTCCACATTCAGACAGGGACACAAGCCACAGCTCTAGCTCCCTCCCAGGCAGAAGGGAGAACATTCTGGGAGCACAGTGAGGAGAGAAGGGATAAGGATGAGTGAATAAAGTGGAGAGGGAGCAGCTTCACAGAGCATTGTTCTAAGTCCCCCCATACTGTGCCTGTGATTACTGTGAATTCCTTCACTGCTGATGGTCACAGCAAGAAGATTGTCACGCCACTGAATATTTGCATTTGGACCAATGCAAAGATAGGATGTTTCCATCTGAAGATTCACTTTTTAATAGATAACTTTACATCTAGCTCTCAGATCTCCATGTGTAGCATCAAAAAGCATTAAGTAAATTGCTGTGGAATGTGTCTTCAATGAAATAGTACAGAGGTATATAAGGCACTACTGTTTCATCTTTGGAAAGTAAAAGTGATAGGTGAGACAGTAAATCCATAAGTCATCCTTTATTCCTCCCCTCCCATCAAATCTACAATCTGGCCACACCAACGCGCATTTCATACTTATTTCCAGTGTCTCCTCTCTCTCCCTCCTGACTCCTACTGCTCTAGTTCATGTTTTCATCCTCTATTCCAGACAGATACACCATGAAATAGCTGTTGAATGTCTGCCTTGTGTATTATCCTATGCTCCGTGCTCAAATAGAGTGAGAAAAGATACAGACGGATGCCTGCCTTCATGGAGCTTATAGTTTCTATGGGGAAAACAAAGTGAACAACCAATTACACAATTCATTATTACAGTGGTGAAGAATGCATTAAAGACAAAGTGAAGGGTGCTAGAGAGCATACGGTACCCCAAAAATGCTTCCTTTAGAAGTTAATGTGTGGGCTGAGCTTTGAAGCATAGGTAAGAATTAACTTGGTGTAGCAGATCATGAGATCAGGAGTTCGAGACCAGCCTGGCCAACATGGTGAAACCCTGTCTCTACTAAAAATAGAAAAATTAGCTGGGCCTGTTGGCAGGCATGTGTACTCCCAGCTGCTTGGGGGACCGAGGCAGGAGAATCACTTAAACCTGGGAGGCAGAGGTTGCAGTGAACTGAGATCATGCCACTGCACTCAAGCCTGGGCAACAGAGTGAGACTCCATCTCAAAAAAAAAAAAAAAAAAAAAGAATTAACCTGGTGTAGAGAGAAGCTTTGGGCACAGGGAGGAGCATTCCAAGTAGTTCTTCAGCATGAGAGCTGGAGAAGCTAAAAATGACAATGATGCTGGAGCAAGAAAAGAGGCAGGAAAAGCCCAGGCTGATGGGGGAGGCAGGGCTAGAACCCACAGGACCTTGAAAGTTGGGAAAGGGATTTGGTCTCTTCTTGAACAATACACACTCATTCTTTGGAGATCAGTTCATGCATTTTCTCAACCAGGCAGCTTTCTTTGATGCCCTAACTTCATCCCGACCTCCCTTCACTGGGCCATGTTTGGTGCCCATGGTCTAACATAATGCAATTAATCGCCGTGTGTGTCTATTCTGCATTTGGTGGTGACCTTCATGAGGTCAGGAACCACATATTATTCATCTCTATATAACCCCATATTAAACCATTCCCAATATTCTGCCGAAGGGAGACATTTTGATGTCATTAAACATAAAACTATAGTCCTATAGCCCTATAGTTTCTCCTGTAACTATGAAGGAAAAATCGTGAAAGATAGAACAATCTTTGATGTCAGTGGGTAAACATAATTCTTCAGAGTATTTAGTGAAGTATGAAATTTATTTTCACTCATGAAACTAAGAAATTGTGCATGAGAGATATTAGGTGCTAGACTAGACCAGGGAAGAAAAATATACTGAATAATAGTCATTATACCCTCATGGCCTCTCCCCCTGCTGTTGGCTGTCACCATGACAGGCTGCTTCATGTCACCTGTGTGTTCACTCAGAATCTCCCTCAACACTGGCTTTCTAGTGGCCACCACTAACTTCTGCAGATGAGACCTGTTGGCCAGGTGTGCCTGGCGTTCCGTCAGAGAGCCTGGGGTCATTACTCACATACCTTGAAAGAGCCCCTATGTCTTCTAAGTGGATTCAAAAGGGCCTCAGTTCTAATTACTAGGCGTTTCTGGACCTTATGTCATAATGTAGACCACATTTGCCTCTGGGAATGAATTATAATCAGAGATTACTTTTGCATAAAATTGTGCCTTTTTCTACCAGGTTTTCTGTAAAACTAAAATGTATCAATTTTTTTTTTTGAGATGGAGTCTCACTCTGTCACCCAGGCTGAAGGGCAATGGCATGATCTCTGCTCAGTGCAACCTCCACTTCACAAGTTCAAGCAATTCTCCTGCCTCAGCCTCCCGAGTAGCTGGGATTACAGGCATGCACCGCCACGCCCAGCTAATTTTGTATTTTTAGTAGAGACATGGTTTTACCATGTTGGTCAGGCTGGTCTCGAACTCCTGACCTCATGTGATCCACTCGCCTTGGCCTCCCAAAGTACTGAAATTATAGGCGTGAGCCACCGCATGTGGCCAAATGTATCAATTTTAAACTTCTATAATCTTTTACAATATTAAAATTATTTTTGAGGCTCTAGAAATGTTTGTTAATATGTCATTAATTCTGATTCTACAAAAGGCCCCAATTTGCTATAAAGTGAACATAAATCATAGTGAATATAGTTTTATTGCACCATAAAATCAATATAAAGAAAATACACTGGTTCTAATAAGGCAGGTTAATAATTAAATTAATAAGCATGTTTTTCTTGAAGATTCGGATGTTCCAAATGTATTTTGAAAGCTCCCTGGGAGTGTATGAATGCATATCATTTTTGTCCCTGATCTGTGTTCACACTAGTAAGTAAAAACATTCAAAATCATTCATTCCCCTGACCTTAAAACTGGACTTCTCTAATTGTCTTTCATTTCCCTCCCTCCTTCCCACCACTCACCTTAACCATCTCTGGGTGAATCAATGACTGAGTAAATAAAGTGTTGAAAATTCAAATGTAGGTCTATTTTTAGCAAAGTCAAGGGAACAGCTGAGAGGCAGGTCCTCCCTCCAAAGGCATAATCTTGTTTTCCTGTTGCCATCTTATCATGCCAACAGCTGAGTTGGAGCTAGAGCTAGAGGCTGCTCCATTGCCCTCTCCTTGGAAAATTCCATGGGGACATACAGTTTGGAATCCAGAACTCCTGGTGTATTATCCTGTGTTCAGTGTGTGATTTTGTTGTAGAGATCAGCAATGTTTTCTAAGAGATGTTATATCTGCCATTAGTCTTTTAGAATGAAATATGTCAAATACACAAAAAGTATAATGATTAACAAGATTAATTCAGTCTTCCAAAGCCTTTAAGAGCCATTTCTAATTTTACGGAGGTAGCAAGATAACTAGGCAACACTTAATTATCTCTATCCAGTGGGAAATTCGATTGATAGCCTCCAAACTTATTTTTAGACAATGCTATAGACTTTACAATGTAAATACTAGTAAGGAAAGAAATATAAAAAATGTTAACTACAGGAAGGAGACAAAGGGAGAAAAGTCACTAGCTGATTCTCTACAAGCTGGGTAGTCAGCCCCAGCACCCATTTCCACTGGGCAAGGGTGCTGCTTGTTAAATAGTCAACATTTCATATATATCAAAAGCTCAGACTTGTCTAAGGTTAACATGGATGCAGGGTGGCTTTGCAAGAAAACAGTCCAGATTTTTGAGGCTAAGCAAGATGGTTAAATAGAAGCCTCCACTGACCACCCTCCCTGCAGGAACACCAAATTGAACAACTATCCACATAAAAAAGCACCTTCATAAGAATAAAAAATCAGGTGAGCTGTCACAGTACCTGGTTTTAACTTCATATCATTGAAAGAGGCATTAAAGAGGGTAGGAAAGACAGTCTGGAATTGCCAACACCAATCCCCCACTCCCATTCCCCAGCAGCAGCTGGGCTGTGTGGTGGAGAGAATCTGAGCTCTTGCGGGAGAGAGAGTGCAGTGACTGTGGGACTTTGCCTTGGAACTTGGTGCTGCACTGTCACGGTGGAAAGGAACACCAGGCAAAACTCAGTGCCCATGGAAAAAACATTTAGACTAACACTAGCCAGAGGGGAATTGCCCATCCCAGCAGTTGGAACCTGAGTTCTGGCAAGCATCGCCACCACAGGCTAAAGTGCTCTGGGGTTCTAAATAAACTTTAAAAGCAGTCTAGGCCACAAGGGCTGCAATTTCTGGGCAAGTCCTGGTGCTGTGCTGGGCTCAAAGCAAGTGGACTTACTGGGGGCATGTGACCTAGTGAGACACCAGCCAGGGTGGCCAAGGAAGTGCTTGCACCAAGCCTCCCCTAACCCCAGGCAGCACAGCTTGCAGCTAGGAGAGAGACTTTCCTTCCACTCGAGAAAAGAAGGAACTTTGTCTTGCAACTTGGATGCCAGCTCAGCCATAGTAGGACAGGGCACCAGGCAGAGTCCTAAGGCCCCCATTCGAGGCCCTAGCTCTTGGATGACATTTCTAGACACACTCTGGGCCAGAAGAGAACCCATTTCCTTGAAGTAAAGGACCCAGTACTGGCAGGATTCATCATGTGCTGACTAAAAAGCCCTTAGGCCCTGAATAACCAGCAGCAATACCCAGGTAGTATGCCTCGGATGAGACTCTGAGATGTGCTGGATTCAGGTGTGACCCAGCACATCGAGTTGTGGTGGGCTACAAGGAGAGGCTCCTGCTTGAGAAAAGGAGAGAAAGAGTAAAGGGGACTTTGTCTTGCAACTTAGGTACCAGCTCAACCAGAGTCGGGTAGAGCACCAAGTGGGCTCTGGGGGTTCCCAATTCCAGGCCTTGGCTCTTGGATGGCATTTCTGGACCTGCCCTGGGCCAGAGGGAGCCCACTTCCCTGAAGGATGAGTCTCAGATCTGGCAGTATTCACCACAAGCTGACTGAAGAGCCCTTGAGCCTTGAGTGTACATCAGTGGCAGCCAAGCAATACTCATTAGGGGCCTGAAGTGGTGATGACCATAAGGGGAGACTCCTGTGTAGAAAGGGGAGGGAACCAGCACAGCTGTAGTAGAATAGAGCTATCAGGTAGATTCCTAAGGTTTCTGACTCTAGGCCCTGGCTCCTGGATGGCATCTTTGGTCCTGCCTGGGGCTGGGGGAACTCATTGCCCTGGGGAAGGACACAAGCCTGATGGGTTTTGCTACCTGCTGAGTGATGGGTTTTGCTACCTAGGGCCTTGAGTGAACATAGGTAGTAGCCAGGTGGTGGTTATTGTGGGCCTATTGAGAGAGATCCAGTGCCATGCTGGCTTGAAGTCTGACTCAGGGCAGTCCTAGTGGTGGTGGCTGCAGGGGTGCTTGTGTCACTCCACCGCCAAGTCTGCACATACACGCAAGAGAGAAAGACTCTGTGAGAAAGTAAGGGAAGAGAACAAGAATCTCTGCCTGGTAATCAGAGAATTCTTCCAAATCTTATACATGACTTACAAGACGGTACCTCTATGAGTCTGCAAGAACCATAGAGTTATCGGGCTTGAGGTTTCATCTAATGCAGATATGACTGCAGTGACCCAACATTTAGATTATAAGACCCAACTCTCTTGCATACCTGGAAAGCCTTCCCAAAAAGGATGGGTACAAAAAAGCCTAGACTGCAAAGACTACCATAAATTGGCTGGGCACAGTGGCTCATGCTTGTAATCCCAGCACTTTGGGAGGCCGAGGCCAGTGGATCACCTGAGGTCAAGAGTTTGAGACCAGCCTGGTCAACATGGTGAAACTTTGTCTTTACTAAAAATACAAAAATTAGCCGGGTATGGTGGCAAGCACCTGTACCCTAGCTACTTGGGAGGCTGAGGCAGGAGAATCGCTTGAACCCAGGAGGCAGAGGTTGCAGTGAGCTGAGATCACACCGTTGTACTCCAGCCTGGGCAACAAGAGCCAAACTCCATCTCAAAAAAAAAAAAACAAAAAACAAAAGAACAAAAAGACTACCATAAATACCCAACTCTTTAATGACCAGAGACTGACAAACATTCACAAGCATCAAAACCATCTAGGAAAACATGACCTCACCAAATGAACAAAATAAGTCACTGAGGACTGACCCTGGAAAAACAGAGAATTTAAAATAACTGTTTTGAGGAAACTCAAAAAAATTCAAGGTAACACAGAGAAGGAATTCAGATTCCTATCGGATAAATTTAACAAATAAATTGAAATAATTAAAAAGAGTCAAGCAGCAGTTCTGGAGTTGAGAAGTGCAATTGACATCCTGAAGAATGCATCAGTGTCCCTTAACAGCAGAATTGATCAAGCAGAAGAAAGAGTGAGCTTGAAGACAGGCTATTTGAAAATAAATAGTCATAGGAGACAAAAAATAAATAAATAAAAAATGAAGCACAGCTACAAGATGTAGAAAATATTCTAAAAATGGCAAATCTAAGAGTTATTGGCCTTAAAGAGGAGGTAGAGAGAGAGAGATAGGGGTAGAAAGTTTATTCAAAGGGATAATATCAGAAAACTTCCCAAACCTAGAGAAAGATATCAATATTCAAGTACAAGATGGTTACAGAACACCAAGCAGATTTAATCCAAATAAGACAGCCTCAAGACATTTAATAATCAAACTCCCAAGGGTTAAGGATAAAGAAAGAATCCTAAGAGTAGCAAGAGTAAAAAACAAGTAACATTCAATGGAGCTCCAATACATCTGGCAGCAGACTTTTCAGTGGAAACCTTACAGGCCAGGAGATAGTGGCATGATACATTTAAAGCGCCAGTGAAAAAATTCTTTTATATTAGAATAGTTTATCCAGTAAAAATATCCTTCAAACGTGAAGGAGAAATAAAGACTTTCCCAGACAAATGAAAGCTGAGGTATTTCATCAACACAAGACCTGTCCTACAAAAAATGCTAAGAAGAGTTCTTCAGTCTGAAAGAAAAGAATGTTAATGAGCAATAAGAAACAATCTGAACGTGCAAAACTGGTAATAGTAAGTACACAGAAAAACACGGAATATTATAACACTATATTTGTGATATGTAAACTACTCATATCTTGAGTGGAAAGACTAAAAGATGAACTAATAAAAATAATAACTACAACTTTTTTTTTTTTTTTGAGACAGAGTCTCGCTCTGTTGCCTAGGCTGGAGTGCAGTGGTGCTATCTCGGCTCACTGCAAACACTGCCTCCCAGGTTCACGCCATTCTCCTGCCTCAACCTCCCAAGTAGCTGGGACTGCAGGTGCCCACCACCATGCCCGGCTAATATTTTGTATTTTTTTAGTAGAGACGGGGTTTCACCATGTTAGCCAGGATGGTCTCGATCTCCTGACCTTATGATCTGCCCGCCTCGGCCTCCCAAAGTGCTGGGATTATATCTGGATGCCCTGATGTAGTAGCTGGAGTCCCAGCTATTCGTGGGGAGGCTGAGGCAGGAGAATGGCGTGAACCTGGGAGGCGGAGCTTGTAGTGAGCTGAGATCACACCACTGCACTCTAGCCTGTGTGACAGAGCGAGACTCCATCTCCAAAAAAAAAAAAAAAGAAAAAAAAATACAACACCCAATAACCTGTTGCTTCACACTTCACCTACAAGGACATGCATAGAATGAAAATCAAGAGATGCAAAAAAAAAAAAAAAAAAATTCCATGCAAATGGAAACCCAAAAAGAGCAGGAGTAGCTATACTTAGACACAATAGATTTCAATATAAAAACTATAAAAAGAGACAAGGTCATTATATAATGATAAAGGGTTTAATTCAGTAAGAAGATATAACATTTGTAAATATATACGCCCCTAACATCAGGGCTTCCAGATATTTAAAATATTATTAGAACTAAAGAGAAAAGTAGACTCCCAATACAATAATAGCTGAAGACTTCAACATCCCACTTTCAGCTTGGACAGATCATCAAGACAGAAAATCAACAAAGAAATAATGAACTTAATCTGCACTGTAGACCAAATGGGCCTAATGGATATTTAGAGAACATTTCATGCAAGAGCTGGAGAATACACATTCTACTCCTCAGCACATGGATTGTTCTCAAGAACAGGCCATATGTTAGGTTTCAAAACAAGTCTTCAAAATATTTCTTTAAATGAGATTATGTCAAATATCTTCTCTGACCACAATGGAATAAAACTAGAAATTAGTAACGAGGAATTTTGGAAACTATACAAACACATGGAAATTAAGCAATATGCTCCTGAATGAGCAGTGGGTTAATGAAGAAATTAAGAAAGTAATTAAAAAAATTTTTTGAAACCAATGCTAATGGAAACACAACATTCCAAAACCTATAGGATACATCAAAATCAGTGCTAAGAGAAAAGTTTATAGCTATAAGCACCTACATCAAAAAAAATCTCTTCTGATGGAAAAAAAATAGAAACCCTTCAAATAAACAACCTAATGATTCATTCTAAAGACTAAGAAAGCAAGAGCAAACCAAATCCAAAATTAGTAGAAGAAAAGAAATAATAAATAACAGAGCAGAAATAAATGAAACTGAAATGAAGAAAACAATACAAAAGATCAGTAAAATGAAAAATTGGTTTTTTGAAAAGATGAACAAAATTGGCAAACCTTTTTTTTTTTTTATTTTTTGAGACGGAGCCTTGCTCTGTTGCCCGGGCTGGAGTGCAGTGGCTTGATCTCGGCTCACTGCAAACTCCACGTCCCAGGTTCATGCCATTCTCCTGCCTCAGCTTCCCGAGTAGCTGGGACTAAGGTGCCCGCCACCACGTCTGGCTAGTTTTTTTGGTATTTTTCGTAGAGACGGGGTTTCACCGTGTTAGCCAGGATGGTCTCAATCTCCTGACCTCATGATCCGCCTACCTTGGCCTCCCGTAGAGCTGGCATGAGCCACTGTGCCCGGTCACAAAATTGACAAACCTTTAACCAGACTAAGAAAGAAGAGAGAAGACCCAAATAAAATCAGAGATAAAAAAGGGAGACAATTTGAGACCAGCCTGGCCAACATGGTGAAACCCCGTCTCTACTGAAAATACAAAAATTAGCTGGACGTAGTGGCGTGCACCTGTAATCCCAGCTATTTGGGAGGCTGAAGCACGAGAATTGCTTGAACCTGGGAGGTGGAGGTTCCAGTGAGCAAAGATCGCACCACTGCACTACAGCCTGGACGACAGAGTGAGACTCCATCTCAAAAAAAAAAAAAGGGAGACATTACAACTGATACTGCAGAAACTCAAAGGATCAGTAGAAGCTACTATAAGCAACTATGTGTGAATAAATTTGAAAACCTAGAAGAAATGGATAAATTCATGGACACATACAACCTATCAAGATTGAGCCATGAAGAAATCCAAAACCTGAACAGACCAATAATAAGTAACAAGACTGAAGCTGTAATAAAATGTCTCCCAGCAGAGAAAAGCCTGGGGTGGATGGCTTCACAGGTGAATTATACCAAACATTTACAGAAGAACTAATACCAATCCTACTCAAACTAATCCAAAAAATAGAGGAGGAGGGAATACTTCCAAATTCGTTCTATGAGGCCAGTAGTACCTGATTAAAAAAACCAGACAGACACATTAAAAAAAAAAAAGAAAAAAAAAAGAAAAGAAAAGGAAAGAAAACTACAGGCCAACATTCCTGATAAACATTGATGCAAAAATTCCTCAACAAAATATTAGCAAACCCAATTCAACAACACATTTAAAAGATCATTCATCAAGACCAAGTGGGATTTATCCCAAGGATGGTTCAACATGTGCAAATCAACCAACGTGATACATCATATAAATAGCATGAGGGACAAAAACCATATGCTCATTCCAATTGATGCTGAGAAAGCGTTTGATAAAATCTAACATCCTTTTAAAATAAAAACCTCAAAAAACTAGGTATAGAAGGAACTTACCTCAACACAATAAAAGCCATATACAACAGACCCATGGCTAGTATCATACCAAATGGGGGCAAAACTGAAGGCCTTTCCTCTAACATTTGGAACATGACAAAGATGCCTACTTTCACCACTGTTATTCACCATAGTACTGGAAGTCCTATCTAGAGCAATCAGACAATAGAAAGAAATAAAAGACATCCAGATTGGAAAGGAAGATGTCAAATTATCCTTGTTTGCAGATAATATGATCTTATATTTAGAAAAATGTAAAGACTCCACCAAAAAACTATTAGAACTGATTTAAAAATTCAGTAAAATGGCAGGATATAAAGTCAACATAAAAAAATTAGTAGTATATCTGGCCAGGCATGGTGTCTCATGCCTGTAATCCCAGCAGTTTGGGAGGCCGAGGTGGGCAGATCATGAGGTCAGGAGTTTGAGACCAGCCTGGCCAACATGGTGAAACCCCATCTGTACTAAAGATACAAAAAATTAGCTGGGCGTGGTGGCGCATGCCTATAATTGTAGCTACTCAGGAGGCTGAGGCAGGAGAATTGCTTGAACCTGGGAGGTGGAGGTTGCAGTGAGCCAAGATTGCACCATTGCACTCCAGCCTGGGTGACGGGGCGAGACTCCATCTCAAAAAAAAAAAAAAAGTAGCATTTTTATATGCCAACAGTGCAGAATCTGAAAAAGAAATCAAGAAAGAATTACATTTACAATAGCTATAAATAAAATAAAATACTTAGGAATTAACTATAGAAGTGAAAGATTTCAACAATGTAAACTGTAAAACACTGATGAAAGAAATTGAAAAGGACACACAAAAAATGGAAAACTTCCACGTTCATGGATTAGAAGAATCAATATTCGTAAAATGTTCATACTACCTAAAGCAATCTACAGATTCAATGCAATCCCTATCAAAATACCAATGACATTCTTCACAGAAATAGAAAAACAATCCAAAAATTTATATGGAACCACAAAAGACTCAAAATAGCCAAAGTTATCATGAGGAAAAAAAAAAAAAAGGGAAGGAATCACATTACCTGACTTCAAATTATGTGACAGAGCTATAGTAAGCGAAACAGTATGATATTGACATAAAAACAGACACATGGACTAATGGAACACAATAGAGAACCCAGAAACAAATTCACATCTATGAACACATTTTTGACAAAGAGAACACACATTAGGAAAAGAACAGTCTCTTCAATACATGGTGCTGGGAAAACTGGATATTCATATGAAGAAGAATAAAACTAGCCCCCTATCTCTCATATTTACAAAAATCAAATCCAAATGGATTAAAGACTTAAATATAAGAGTTCAAAGTATGAAGCTACTAAAAGAAAGCATTGGGGAAACTCTCCAGGACATTGGATGGTGCAAGGATTTCTTGAGTAATACCCCAGCAGCACAGGCAACCAAAGCAAAAATGGACAAATGGGATCACATTAAGTTAAAAACCTCTGCACAGCAAAGGAAACAATCAACAAAGTGAAGAGACAATCCACAGAATGGGAGAAAATATTTATGAACTGTCCATCTGACAAGGGATTAATAACTAAAATATATAAGGAGCTCAAACAACTCTAGAAAAATACCCTAATAATCCAATTAAAGATGGGCAAATAGACATTTCTCAAAAGAAAACATACACATGGCAAACAGGCATATGAACAGGTGTTCAACATCTTTGATCATCAGAGAAATGCAAATCAAAACTACAGTAAGATATTATCTCACCCCAGTTAGAAATGACTTTTATCCAAAAGACAAGGAATAACATATGCTGGTGAGGATGTAGAGGAAAAGGGACCCTTGTGCACTGTTAGTGAGAATGTAAATCGGTACAACCACTGTGAAGAACAGTTTGGAGGTTCCTCAAAAACTAGACATAGAGTTACCATATGATCCAGGCATTCCACTGTGAGGGATATACCAAAAAAAAGAAAAAAAAAAAAGAAATCAGTATATTGAAGAGATACCTACACTCCCATGTTTATTGCAGCGCTATTCACAATAGCAAGATTTGGAAGCAACCTAAGTGTCCATCAACCAAGGAATGGCTAAAGAAAATGTATGTGTTATATATATATACACACATATATATAAATGTGTGTATATATGGTATATATGTGTACATATCATATTTACACACAACATTTAACAATAGACCTCTATATACCACAGAGTTCTATTCAGCCATAAAAAGAATGACATTCTGTCATTTGCCAACAACATGAGGTCATTATGTTAACTGAAATAAGCCAGGCACAGAAAGGCAAACTTCACATATTCCCACTTACTGATGGGAGCTAAAAATTAAAACAATTGCACTCATGGAGACAGAGTAGAAGAATGGTTACCAGATGCTAGGAAGGGTAGTGTGGCAGGGTACGGGGGGAAGGTTAGTGGGAGGAATGGTTAATGGCCACAAAAATATAGTTAGACAGAATGAATAATATCTGGTATTTGATAGCACAACAGGGTGACTACAGTCAACAATAATTTATTGCACATTTTAAAATAAATAAGTATAATTGGGTTGTTTGTAACACAAAGAAAGGATAAATGCTTGAGGTGATGGATACTCCATTTACTCCGTGTAATTATTATGCATTGTGTGCCTGTAGCAAAATATCTCATGTACCCTGTAAATATATATACCTACTATGTACCTACAAAAATTAAAAATAAAAAAAAAATACAGTCCAGTCAGAGGAAAATAGCCACCTAGCTTACTCAGGTTGTCTGGGCAAAATATGATGAACAGTGTTCAGTATTTTGGTCTATGCTGTCCATATCCCAGTGTATCTTTTGCTCACATTCTTTGTTCCTGCCCTTGCCCTGTTAGAGAAAAACTGGGGCCGGGTGTGGTGGCTCATGGCTGTAATCCCAGCACTTTGGGAGGCTGAGGGGGGTGGATTGCTTGAGGTCAGGAGTTCAAGACCAGCCTGGACAACATGATGAAACCCCGTCTCCACTAAAAATACAAAAAGTAGCTGGGCGAGATGGGAGATGCCTGTAATACCAGCTACTTGGGAGGCTGAGGCACGAGAATCACCTGAACCTGAAAGGCTGAGGTTGCAGTGAGCCAAGATCGTGCCACTGCACTTCAGCCTGGGTGACAGAGCAAGACTCTGTCTCAAAAAAAAAAAAAAAAAAAAAAGAAAGAAAAACTGATCTTCAGATATCCTTAGTTATTAAATAACCGGATATTTTTAAGCATTTCAATGAATTGACACAAATATGCCAGTGGACCGTGTGTACTTTGTACTTTGATGCTCTGCTATGTTGGTCATTTGAATATGCGAGACAAGGAGCCTGCCTCTTGGTTATAGCCAAGTGAAAAAGCAGATGTACATCTGTATTACAGAATCATTTCACATAAGCCAATTATTGTCCAAAGAGAGCTGGTTATATGTGGACATCTAAGGGTATTGTCTCCTTGAATGAAACTACATAAAAATATTTCGAATGTCCAGTACTTTATAAATGGTATGTATGTGGACAGCTAATCTTGCAAGGGGACGATTTTCTCACTAGGTTTATTTTCAGTTTATTCCCCATATAGGATAATGTATAGCCTGATTTGTACCTTTGGAAGACATGTTTGAGAGATGACAGGAAACAGTGGTAACTTTCCTTCTGAACAGATTGTGTGCTCTGTGTATCTGTAGATGCCCCGAGGCTGAGGTTTCTTTAAAAATTATTTTTAAACTGCTTGAATGCTTACCCTCCCACCATCCCCCATATGGCAAGTTCTTCGTGGTGCTTTTCCAAAGGAAATCCATGATTGTGATATGATGTGTGTTTGTGTATGTGTCAGGGAAGAAAAGAAATATATAAAGACAAGAGGAACAAAATTTATCTTAAAAGATATTTATTTTCTCAGAAACCATATTTAGATACAAATATATTTTTCTTGTCAAAATTAATCATTCTTTCCTCATCTACATTGTACTTTCTTAAACCTATGTTATCATAATCTGATGTGAAATATTGTTGTATGTGTGCGTGTCTTTCTAGTCCACTTAATAGGGATTCCTTGGAAAGCAGGGACCATGTTTGAGTGTTTCCACCCCCAGGATATTTAGCCAGTGCCCATGGTAGATGATCAGTTATGATCTCTTGTCTTGAGTTCAGCATTTCAGACCTTTAGAGAAAACTAGCTCTCAGGGAGGACAATTCCATTTTGTTCTTCTATGAAGGACTGTGTTCAGGAGATTAGGATTAGAGCCACAGGAAGAATCTTTTTCTATTTTGAAACAATCCAATTTAAAAAAATGGAACATGGTGAAAGTCTGTCTTTACTAAAATACAAAAAATTATCTGGGTGTCATGGTGTGCACCTGTTGTGTGCATGGTGTGCACCTGTTGTCGTGCATGGTGTGCACCTGTTATCTGGGCGTCATGGTGTGCAGCTACTTGGGAGGCTGAGGCAGGAGAATCACTTGTACCTGGGAAGTGGAGGTTGCAGTGAGCTGAGGTCGCACCACTGCACTCTAGCCTGGGTGACAACACAAGACTGTCTCAAAAAAAAAAAAATCAAAAAACCACCACCACCATCACCACCACCACCACCACCACAACAAAAACAAACAAAAAATACCTAAAATCTGAACAGACATTTCTCAAAAGAAGACATACAAATAGCAAACAGGCATAATATAAAGGTGCTGAACATCCTTGATCATCAGAGAAATGCAAATCAAAATTACAATGAGATATCATCTCACCCCGGTTAAAATGTTTTATGTCCAAAAGACAGGCAATAACAAATGTTAGTGAGGATGTGAAGAAACGGGGACCTACATATGCTGTTGGTGGGAGTGTAAAGTTTCTTGCTGTTAACTGCCCTAGAAAATCTAGCTTATGAAATGGCAAGATGAAATACTACATGGTGAACAAACAAGTGGATCTCATAGACTGAACTGTCTTGAAGAAGCAATGGCTGGGGAATTATACCCCTATCTTCAAGGAGTGTCAACAGTGATTTGAAGTGTAGAGATGCCTATGGCCAGGCACCAGAAATATGTGTTGTAAACTCTGAAAAAACACAGTCCTACCCAGAAACCACACTAGTCATCTCTTTTGCATTGAACTCAGGGGCAGGAAAACTTTTGAGCCATCTTTTTTTCTTGATTCTGCACAGAGCTCACTATGGAATGCTTTGGTATTTCAGTTCCTTACATGGGCAGTGTTATGGATCATCTCGTTGCCCTGTCCCCCTATTGGTAGCCCCTGGAGCCACTAAGTCAGTACAGGCAACCCAGGCTGTATTCTCGCATCTCCTGGGGAGCTCAGAAAATGCATATATGATGCCTGAGTTTTCCCTCAAGAGCTTCTTCTTCCTCTTCTCCTCCTTTTCCTTCTCCTCCTCCTCCCTCCTTCTTTCTCCTCTTCCTCCTCTTTTCTTGTTCTTCTTCTTCTTTTTTTTTTTTTTTTTTTTTTTTTTTTTTTTTTTTTTTTTTTTTTGAGACAGAGTCTTATTCCGTTGGCCAGGCTGGAGTGCAGTGGTGCAATCTTGGCTCACTGCAACCTCTGCCTCCCGGGTTCAAGTGATTCTTGTGCCTCAGCCTCCCACGTAGCTGAGATTACAAGCATGCGCCAACACACCCAGCTGATTTTTGTATTTTTAGTAGAGACAGGGTTTCACCATGTTGTCCAGGCTGATCTTGAACTCCTAACCTCAGGTGATCCGCCCACCTTGGCCTCCCAAAGTTCTGGGATTACAGGCGTGAGCCACCACGCCCAGCCAAGAGGGTCTGATTAATTGGTCTGGGGTGGAGCCTGGACATCTGCACAGATTTTGTAAAAGTGATCCAGCTGATTCTAATAGAGGTAAGAATTCCAATGGCTGAGAAGCCCATGCCAAAGTATTAAGAAGAGCACAAGCTTAACAGCAGACAACTGAACAGGGCTGCGGAGGCAGCAGAGTTGAGGACACCTGCAGCAACCACCACTGTAACCACAGTAGCAGCAGCCACAATGACAGAGGGGTCAACCTGGGATAAGAGAATGCCTGGAGAGGAAGACATCTTGCTCATATGCTCAGCTTTTCCCAGCACTGGCCAGATACACAATCATTCTTTAGTCGGTCAGCACTCATTCGTTCACTGAGTGCCATGTTCCTAGTACAGGGACGGGGCAGACAGAGGTAGACAAGACCCAGTCTCTGTATTTGAAGAGGGGAGACTAACATTACAGGTGCACAATAGAAGTGTGCACAGAACACAAAAGAGACACAAATGAGGGAGTGCACATTCCATCCGGGAAGGCTGTGGGACAGGAAAGACAAAATATTACCATTTAGTCCACCAGGTGGCTGGGGGATGGAGACAGGTGGAGAGGTGTTAAGGGGATGGTGATGGTGGCCATGGGAGTGGCCATTGATTGAATCAGAGATGCAGGATGGGGTTGGTTGGGATTAAACATTTCCTGGAAGAATCCACTCAGGGTATGCAGTATGGTAGAACAATTTCACTATGTACCCATTAAGTATATATGGGTGGCAGTCGAGTGGGTGGGAAGGAAGGGACTGTGGAGGCAGCAACAAGAAAGGCTTTGCAAGGAACCCATTCTTAGCTATCTTCCTCCCACTTGCAGCATCTCTCAGGGATCTGTGGTTCCTGGGTTCCTGGTCTTCTTAATCCTCAGTCGCCACAGGACTGTGTGCTGGCAGGCAGAGGGCTGGAGCCTGGCAGAGGTACCTCCGGCCCCAGGGCAGTGCATGCAGCCAGCTCTGACCTGGCTCCTGCTATCGGGATCTGTCATTAGTAAAACCCCAGCTCCTTTGCCAAGTGCCAGCGCTCCCCACCACCCTGCCATGGCTAGGCATTCTTAGTACAGTGTAACAGTATCCACACTTTTAAGAACATCCTGGGCATTTGAAACCTTGTCAAGTGTAAAGAAAACTATGGCTTGAATCTCTGAGCCTTGTTTCCTCTCCAGGGGAAGTAATAGGCAAGGTTGTATCCTTTGGATATCATTTCAAAAAAATCTTTCAATTTCCCAGGAGAAGAGACTGCAAGAGAAAAAAAAAAACTCAGGAGAGTGTATAGAATACCTTTCATTTAGCAAGATAAAAGCTAGTCTGCTAAATTAAAAATAGCGCATTCTAAGAACTGGAAGGGACAATGCTGGGCTTGTTCAGTGGCTGTGAAAGGACACTTTATCTCAGTCATGCTTGTCTCGTGGGGCAACTGGCAATGATTGGGAATTAGCAAAGCCTGGGAAGCCTGAGACAGGCACCTCTTCCTGGGCAACTGATTCATCATATAGAGTGCAGTCTCCGCTTCTCTGCTTGTAAAACTTATAAGGTACTTGCTCGGGAATAAACTAATAAAATCATTTATAGCCTCACAGAATATAGAATTTGAAATGGCAAATATTTTTATCAGGTTGCTCCTGATACCTTAGCTTTTAGGAATTTATTGTCCCCTTTGAAAACCAGAAATAGGTGAAGAAAAGATGTGATTCTAATATTACTTGTCTTCACCAGCAACTTTCATTTCTCTCTGGGGAGATGGGCAGGTTTCATTGTGTTTTTGATGCCTGATTACCCTCTCTGAGGGGAACATTCAAATTCTTAGACGAAATTCATTAAATTGTTGGAAATTCCTAACGAACCCATCACTCAGTAACCTTAACTGGGTGGGTTCTTAATTTCCTGGTACCACCACACCCTGAATAGCATTCTAATGAGGAAATAGATGTAGCAATTCTTTCATTTGTATGACTTTTTAAAGCGTATGTTTTTATTTCCCTTGCAAAAGAAAGTATTTTAATACAATGGAAAGAATTTGTAACAACGTTAAGAGAGACAAGCTTCATACATAATATAGATCTCCATTGTTCCTGTAGAGGAGAGAGGGGTAGCTGAGTAGGGATGCTTTCCAATGATGACCTGGTTTGATTTACAATATGACAGAATCAATGGCAGTTCAAAAAGTGGTTTCCAGCACTTTGGATTCTGGTAATTTGGGGATTGTTGTATTTGCTATCTAAGGAAGGTAAAGTTGAAGAATATAATTTCTTCTAAACTAAGTGTACTCATGCTGAAAATGAGTTGGTATGTTACAATATTGTTTATAATAGGAAAGATTAGAAACAATTTAAATATTTGAAATAGTTAAATAGACAATGATATATTCAGTCAAATGTTATGCAGTATATAACAATCGAGTAAGGTGGAGGTATTGACTTAGAAAAATGTCCATGTTGTAAAAAGTGGGGATAATTACATAACCATATGTAAACCATAATTCCATTTTGGTAAAAACAATCTACATATATGTTCATACAAGGATGTGAACACATATATACTTTACAAGGTGTAGCAGTGTGGTGTGTACACATGTTTAGGGATGGGTAAATAATGGTGGAAGTAGAATGTAGGCAGGCAAACATTACATATTTTCCTTTTTATACCATTGTTATTTTATATATAATATACATATATAATATATTTATAATATACATATATCATATATCATATATGATATAGATACATATATCATATATCATATATGATATAGATACATATATCATATATGATATAGATACATATATCATATATGATATAGATACATATATCATATATGATATAGATACATATATCATATATGATATAGATACATATATCATATATGATATAGATACATATATATGATATAGATACATATATCATATATGATATAGATACATATATCATATATGATATAGATACATATATCATATATGATATAGATACATATATCATATATGATATAGATACATATATCATATATGATATAGATACATATATCATATATGATATAGATACATATATCATATATGATATAGATACATATATCATATATGAATCTATATCATATATGAATCTATATCATATATGAATCTATATCATATATGATATAGATACATATATCATATAATATATAACATATCATATATAATATACATGTATTACATATAATATATATCATATACTATATAATATATAGTATATATAATATAGTATATATAAAATAATATATAGGTATAGTATATATAATATGCTATATAGAGTATACTATATATAGTATATATAATGTATCATATACATATACTATATATGTAATATATATTATACATATACTACATAATATACTATATATAGCATATATAATATAATATGTAATATAAATATATATAGACCACACACACACACATATATAGAAACACACACACATATATATAACAGTACACATGCAATACTTCTGTAATTGAAAAAGAAACATTACCAACATAATAGATGGATTTTGTCAAAATAAACATTATATTTTAAAGCCATCATCGGCCGGGCACAGTGGCTGATGCCTGTAATCCCAGCACTTTGGGAGGCCAAGGTGGGCAGATCACGAGGTCTGGCGTTCAAGACCAGCCTGGCCAATATGGTGAAACCCTGTGTCTACTAAAAATACAAAAAATTAGCCAGGGGTGGTGGCATGCTCCTGTAGTCCCAGCTACTCAGGAGGCTGAGGCAGTAGAATCGCTTGAACCCAGGAGGCATAGGTTGCGGTGAGCCGAGATTGCACCACTGCACTCCAGCCTGGGCGACAGAGTAGACTTCATCAAAAAAAAAAAAAAAAGGAAAAAATCATCAAGTCAATACATTTTATTTAAGGCCACTATGAAAGCACATATGTCTGAGCCAGGACCAGAGAGCTTGGCAATTATGACTTGATGCTTTTAAGGTTCTTGTGTTCACAGCTCTAATTATTTTTATTCCTTTAAGAAAGTGTACTTCAGCACTCTACCTGAATAATCCAGAGTTTGGAATTGTGTATCTGAGCACCCCAAAATAACTATCATTAGGCAAGCAGGAATTTACAAATTATGACTTCCTAAGCATGTTTTCATTGCCCAGTATAAATATTTTGACAGTAGCCTATGTACACTAATAATGTTTTGCATAACAAAGAGTAACAGGTGCAGCAAAAAGGGAGGCAAGTTACTTGAGGATGCATTCTCAAGTATGTATTATTTCTAAATGTATTGTTATTATTATTGCTATTGCAGTAAAATTGGTTGCTATGGATAATTTATAGCAATGAAACTCTCTTTTGGAATAAAGTAAGAACTCGATTCAGATGAACTCAGAAAACCATCAAGCAGTATGCCAATCAAATCTCCGCTTCCCAGGATGTCACCATCTTACACTCCGGGGTGATTCATTCCCCAAGGCTTTGTTGAACACATGTTATTAATGGGCAGAAAGAGGTAAAGGGTGTTGCAGGAGAGCAAGAACTCTGAGTCAATTATTATAGGGAGTACGAACAAGCTCTTGAATCCACCACACACCCACACAGATGGAGGGGATGTGAGCAATTTCCAATTTAGAAAGGAGAAATTACCCTTGTGATCCGCCAGGGCCAGAGGACATGACCAACTCTTTTTGGCAGGTAGACGTTTTTTTCTTTTAATGGATATATTTAGAAAGCCAGTCTCAAGTACACTTAGAAAAGAAACTGTAAAATGGCTTTTCTATCATGATAAAGTCATTTGGAAGTCAAGGAAAGTGGATTTTCCTGACTCCCTGAATTGCCAGAGCTACAGTTTCTGTTAGGATTTGTAAACTAAGCTCATACATTTCATGTTATTTCTTATCATTTGAAGTCAGCCTGAAAATAGAATTTAAAGAAAAATCAAGGCTAATACAAAAGGATAAAATCCAAAGTGCTTTTCAGCTGTCTTGGCAATGAAATCTTGGACAGGAAGAACAGCATGTCTGTATCTTTAGATGGAATAAAAATTCTTGGAAAATTATTTCAATAATACTTATGTAAATGGCTGCAGAAAAATATTAATCCAAGTTAACCAACCTAAAATCAAATATATTTGGCTTTTCCCCTACTTTTGAGGTTCCTAGTTTTGGGATATTCATTTTGCATAGTTTTATGAAAATAAGATAAATGGCTGGGCGCGGTGGCTCACGCCTGTAACCCCAGCACTTTGGGAGGCCGAGGCAGGCGGATCACGAGGTCAGGAGATCGAGACCATCCTGGCTAACACGGTGAAACCCCATCTCTACTAAAAATACAAAAAATTAGCCAGGCGTGGTGGTACTTGGGAGGCTGAGGCAGGAGAATGGCGTGAACTCGGGAGGTGGAGCTTGCAGTGAGCGGAGATCATGCCATTGCACTCCAGCCTGGGCGACAGCGCGAGACCCCATCTCAAAAAAAAAAAAAAAAGAAAAGAAAAGAAAATAAGATAAATATAGCTTTGTGATTAGATATGGGCTTATGGTCCTCCTTTTTTTGATATAAGTCACAGTTCCCCTAAATAAACATTTTTAGTCTATAAAAATACTAGTTTTTACATCCTTGCCTGAAACCAAGTGGAAGGCTAGTAACTTATTGATTGAATCTTTCTTTCTATGTCATTTTAATTCATCTATACTGGACAGTGCAAGGCAAACTATTAAACACCAGCCTTTCATTCATTTAATAATTTCTCTCTTATAATAAACACAGCTTTTCTATTTTATGGCTTTAATTACTGAGTTTGTAGACTCTTGTTCTGTGTAATCGTTTAATAAGATTTAACAGTGTAACACATTTTACTGGAGGAAATATCTGGTATGTTTCTCCTGGCTGTTGAGTTATGAATCCTTAGCTTTGACCTAGGATGCTCTTGATCTTCAGCATGCCTATATTATTGATGAAAGAAGAGTGATGGAAACTCAAACAAGAAGATAAAATGATAGATGACAGATCAATGGCTAACTGAGGATGTACAGTGCTATACGTAAAGAGTTCAATACATGTTGAATAAATGGAAAAAAGTATTTGGGATTTTGGATCTCAGTCCTGTAGAGTGTCCACTCAATTATATTAGGCTTAGTATGGATAAAAGAGAAATCAAGTTTCTCTTTCTGGGAGCTAATTTAAGGAACTAAATAATTTCAGCAGAAAAGAGAACAGTAGTCCACCACTCTGACTTCAGACAATGCCTCACTAAACGACCAATTTTCAGAAACTGTGCACCAGAATTGAGTTTCTTGGATTCTGACATGCATAATCTGACTCATGGAAAATAAAATTTATAATTCTCTATTGTTACATGGAATGCCAAGTATTAGAAGTTTGATTGTATATGTAGGTTTCTATGATAATTATTTCTAGAAATATAGAAATGAATTATTTAATAAATTCAAGTAAAAGTACTTGGGAGAGCAAGAGTTAGACACTTGAACCCAATTAAAATTCTTTCAGGAAATAAATTCAAACTTCCTTTTGGGTTTCCCAACAAACCACAGAATTAAATGATGTTTCAAAGGCTGACTCACATGTGTTCTTTAGTATTTCTAATATAAATATCCTCTAAGCAGATTTGAAAAGTGACTTTTCTCAGGTTGATCAGTGGAACCCTTGAGCCCTTACTGCGTGGAAGTTACCATGTTGGGTTCAGAGGTGCACAAAGATGGAGAAGAAGCTCTGTCTTGAGGAGCTTACCCATTTGCAGGTTTTCTACTGATGAATTACATCTATTTAAGGTAAATTTATTAATAAAATTCTATTCGAGGCAAGCAAGGGCTTACAAAATGAGCATGACACAGGCATTTCCTCCAAGTGTTTAATGTCAAAAGAGAAAGCAGACTTCTGACTACCCAATTATAATATGATATAATCAGAGCTACAGTAGAGATAAAATTGCATGAAGAGAGAAAATAATTCCTATTAAATTAATAGATTTTTTCTTTTCCAAAAGTAAGTTCCCTTCATAATCTAGCACATGTAAAAATTTTGGATAAAATATATTTGACAAATATATTTTTAATGCAATTTTTACTGGCAAGAAAACAAGGGAATTCCTTGAAGGCCAGGAAAAACATTTAAAGGAGATGCAGAAACTGACTTCTGTGGTGTTATGGGCACAAAATTTACATTTAAAAAAATAAACATAGGGCCCGGCATGGTGGCTCATGACTGTAATCCTAGCACTTTGGGAGGCCAAGACAGACAGATCACGAGGTCAGGAGTTCTAGACCAGCCTGGCCAATATGGTGAAACCATGTCTCTACTAAAAAAAAAAAAAAAAGACAAAAATTAGCTGGGCATGGTGGTGAGCACCTGTAGTCCCAGCTACTTGGAAGGCTGAGGTGGAAGAATAGCTTGAACCTGGGAGGTGGAGGTTGCAGTGAGCCAAGATCACACCATTGCACTTCAACCTGGGCAAAACAGCGAGACCCCATCTTGGAAAAAAAAAAAAGGGACATTTCTGAAAATTGATTAAATGTATTAGGCCTTAAAGAATATCTCAAAATTTTCTTAAAAGATTGGTAATATATCTATTATATTTTCTCACTACAATGCAGTTAAGATAGATTACTGAAAATGTCCTATACATTCAGAGAGTTAAAAACACACTTCTAAATAAAAGAAGAATGAATAAAAATTAGGAAATTCTTAGAAATGGATAATAATAAAAATGCTGTATGTCAAAACTGGGATGTAGCTAAGACTGTGCTGCTAGATAAATTTATAGCCTTGGCCGGGTACGGTGGCTCATGCCTGTAATCCCAGCACTTTGGGAGGCTGAGGTGGGTGGATCACAAGGTTAGGAGTTTGAGACCAGGCTGGCCAACATGGCACACTCTGTCTTTACTAAAAATACAAAAAAATTAGCTGGGCGTGGTGGCACACGCCTATAGTTCCAGCTATTCGGGAAGCTGAGGCAGGATAATCCCTTGAACCTGGGAGGCGGAGGTTGCAGTGAGCTGAGGTCATGCCACTGCCCTCCAGCATGGGCAACAGAGCGAGACTCCCTCTCAAAAAAAAAAAAAAATTATAGCCTTAAATTCTTGTATAAAAAATAAGAAAGGCTAAAAAGTATGAGCAAAATACTCAATTTTAGAAGTAAGGGGAAGAAACTCACTGAATAATTCAAAGAAACTTGAAGAGACAAAAATCAATAAAGTAGAAATCAAAGATACAAATGCAAATAGGAAGAAAATTTGTTTTCAAAAGAGTAATAAAAATGGTGCATTTCTGTGAAGATTTATTAAGATGAAAAAGAAGTCACAAACAAATCATATTAACAATTTAACAAGAGAATGTTACTACACATGCGGCATTATGAGATTAGATAAAGGAAAGAAAACAAGTTTATACCAATAAGTTTAAAAACTTCTGAGAGGCCAGGCACGGTGGCTTATGCCTGTAATCCCAGCACTTTGTGGGGCCGAGACGGGCAGATCACTTGAGGTCAGGAGTTCAAGATCAGCCTGGCCAACATGACAAAACCCTGTCTCTACTAAAAATACAAAAATTAGCCAGGCATGATGGCACATCCCTATAATCCCAGCTACTTGGGAGGCTGAGGCACAAGAATCACATGAACCCAGGACTCGGAGGTTGCCGTGAGCTGAGACTGAGCCACTCACTGCACTCCAGCCTGGGCGACTCCGTCTCAGAAACAACAACAACAAAAAAAAACAAAACAACCAACTTCTGAGAAATGGATACATCTCTAGGAAAATAAAAATTATCAAAACTGACTCAAAAAATAAGACAAAACCTGATTAGTGCTATAACCGTTAAAGAAATTGAATTAAAAATTAAAAATCATCTTGTGAGCAAAAATTTGAGCCCAGATTATTATTTTTGAGACAGAGTTTCACTCTTGTTGCCTAGGCTGGAGTGCAATGATACGATCTCGGTTCACTGCAACCTCCACCTCCTGGGTTCAAGCGATTCTCCTGTCTCAGCCTCCTGAGTAGCTGCTATTATAGGTACATGCCACCACACCCAGCTAATTTTTGTATTTTTAGTAGAGACAGGGTTTCATCATATTGGTCAGGTTGATCTTGAACTCCTGACCTCAGGTGATCTGCCCACCTCAGCCTCCCAAAGTACTGGGATTACAGGCATGTGCCACCACCCCCGGCTGAGCCCAGCCTATTTTTATAGGTGAGTTCAAGATATTGGTAATTCCAAACTTAAACTCTTTCAGAGAACAGAGATGAGCTCTCTTCGGTTCCTTTGATGTCTATTATAACCTTGATACCAAAATCAGACAAGAACATTATGAGAAAAGAATTGAAAGCCAACCTGACTGTTTACAATAGAGGCAAAAATCTGAAAGAAAATATCAGCAAACAAAATTTAGCCGTTGTTTAGGGAAAAAAATCATGGCCAAATAAAAAGTCTAGTTTAGCTGATAGGTTAAAGGAGTGTGGGAAGTGGGAGAGAAACATGGGCATCTCTACAATCATAGAAAAAACATTTGATAAAACACACCCGGCCAGGTGTGGTGGCTCATGCCTGTAATCCCAGCACTTTGGGAGGCCGAGGCGGGCTGATCACTTGAGGTCAGGAGTTCGAGACCAGCCTGGCCAACACGGTGAAACCCTGTCTCTACTAAAAATACAAAAATTAGCCGGGCGTGGGGCGGGCATCTGTAGCCCCAGCTACTTGGGAGGCTGAGGCATGAGAATCGCTTGACCCTGGGAGGTGGAGGTTGCAGTGAGCTGAGATCGCGCCACTGCACACCAGCCTGGGTGACAGGGTGAGACACCATCTCAAAAACAAACAAACAAACTAACTAAAAATGCACCCGTTCATGATTTAACAAATCAACAAATCAAACTTCTTGCAATAGAAAGATGATCGCTCTCTTAATTGGAAAAAAGTGAGTCTTGAAATTTTTATTTATTTCTCAGAAATCTGATAGCCAAAAATGAGCTTTCTTCCTCAATAGGAGAAGAAGGAAAGTTGTTAATATTTAAACCATTTTCCCTATTACATATATGTGTGTGCGTTTGTAAAAATATATATAATCCTACAAAGAGACATCTATGGAAGGCAAGTCTTTATTGCACAGTAGTTAAGAACATTAGTTCTGGAGGCAGATTGTTAAATTAAAATTCTAAGATTGTATGATTTGGTACAAATTTCCTAACCTCCTTCCCTGTGCCTTAGTTTTCTCATCTGTAGAATGGGCAAGGACAATAGCACCTACCTCATTGGGTTGTTGTGAAGGTTCAAGAAGTAAATTCATGTGAGGCATGACAGTGTCTGGTAGATTATAAGCACTCAGTATTAGTGGCCATGGTGGTTTTTAAAAATCAGAATGTTAACATGATGATCTTTGAGTAGATTCATGGGTGGTTTTTAAGTTCTTCTTTATATTCTTCTGTATATTCCAAACTTTCACACTATTTTACTTTTATAAAAGGAGGTGTTTCACACACACACACAAACACATATACTCTTTTTCTCTCTCTCAAACACACACACACACAGACACACACCCCTCCACAAAAGCTCAAGGCTTTGATTCGGGTTGACTCATGAACTTCCTGGAAGCTTTGGTTGTGTGCAGAGCATCTCTTCTGAGACTCTGCTCTCGCCTGCCAGGTGGCTCCATGTTTGCTGCTTCTTCTAAGGCAGGACAGGGTAAGCATCGACTCTTAAACACATGTCATCCCCCCCACCCCACAGCAGTCCACTTTGGGCACTAGTGATTTCAGAGTCAAGGGACAGGTTCTTCCTAGACATTTTTAGACATAGATGCATCAGAATCCCTCATGGCACCTCCAAACCAAGGATGTTCAGACTCTTCCACAAAAGACTGTGTTTGGCAGGTTAGAGTGGGCCTTCAGATTGTGATACTGATGGGCACCTGGGTGGTGAACAGCTGCTTTATTCTGTTGTCACTCAACCTTGGTACAGGCAGCTCTGGCTAGTGCATGTCAGGCCTGCAGAACTTCTCAATTAATTTTAAATATGTAGGTAATGCCCACTCTTTCATTCAAAAATGTCTGTTGGTCCAATTGTTCAGGAAATGCTCTAGATGAGAAATTGGGAACACAGAACAAAGTTCTTATTCTCAGAAGTTTAAATTTTTATATAGGGAGGCAGAAAATGAAAATGAACACATTACCACATGATAATTATAGAGTCTATAGTAAGTGCTCTTAAAAGAGAAACAGAATGATATGATAGAGTAACAGGAGGGTAGTCTATAGACGGTGCTGTGGAAAAGCCAGCTGGGCTTGGAGAGAGAAGACTTGGAGGATAAGAGGGAGCAGGCCATGCTCATTGTTGAAGTGAAGATTGTCCAGGCAGAAGCAACAACCAATGCTCTGCAACAGAAAAGAACTCAGGATGTTCAAGGTTAGTGTGTCTGGAACATTCCATGTAAGAGAGAGAGTGGCATATAGAAGATTCTGGAAAGGTAGATGCCTAAGCACTTGTTGTCCAAGCCAAGGATTTTAGGTGTTCTTCTAAGTGCAATAGAAAACCACAGAAGGGTTTAAAATGGGGCAAGGTGAGGTGACATATTCGCTTAAGGGAATTTGTGTTTTCAAAGATCGCTCTAGCTTACATTTGAAGATTGATTGGTAGAAGGTAACTGCAGAATGGAGAAAACCAACAGGAGGCCACTTCAAGAACCTAAGTCAGTGATGGTGACAGCTTGCACGTGGTGGGTAGCAGAGGAGATGATGGAGTGGACTGGTTGAGGGTCCCTTTAGAGGTAGAAGGCAGCTAGGATATTTGTGGCAGATTCATGGATTCTGACTGGCTATGTGACAGATTTAGAACAGGCTATTGGATCAAAAGCCACTGCAGCATCTTTTTCCTGAGAAGATAAATGGCAAAAACGCTGAGTAATCTCTAGGCCTAAAATATAGTTAGTTCCACACAGCACTGAGGTGTCCTGACCTCGCCCAAACCTTTGGGACCTCCCCCTCATGAGGCTCTAGAGTGAATCTTCTTCTTAAAGGCTTATTGTGAACAAAAGCCAACCTGAGTCCAGGTCAGAGTCCGCCTCTCTTTGCAGTCTTATTCTATGTGGCTGTAGTCTTGAATTCCTGCCCAGCCTCCTGGAATCGCTCCAGAGAATCTAGGCTGCATAATGACTAGGGGATGGCGCTTGGGGGAGGGAGTGTAACCGAAGTCTGGGAGAACTGTGAGGGAAAGCAGGATGGAGTTAGCACATCTCACTTCCCCACTTCCTATCAGGAGAAATGGTGAGAGACTGCATGACTCCACAAATTTTCTTTGGGGTATGACATGACAGAACATTATTAATTGCACATCCCTAAAGAAAACATAAGCCCGGGCACAGTGGTTCACGCCTGTAATTCCAGCACTTTGGGAGGCCGAGGCGGGTGGATCACTTGAGGTCCTGAGTTAAAGACCAGCCTGGCCAACATGGTGAAACCCTGTCTCCACAAAAATACAAAAAAAAAAAAAAAAAAGCTGGGCATAATGGTGGGTACTTGTAATTCCAGCTACTCAGGAGGCTGAGGCTGAAGAATAGCTTGAACCTGGGAGGTGGAGGTTGCAGTGAACTGAGATCGCGCCACTGCACTCCAGCCTGGGTGACAGAGCGAGACTCCATCTCAAAAAAAACACAAAAAACAAGAAACAAAACCATCAATAAACCAGTGTGTAAGTCAAGTGACACACCTATTACCCTCAGTTTTATAAGATATTTTTATTTTGTGTGCATTTTAGTAGGTACTTCCAAGAGTATGATCCAAATCCTTTATCTAATCTGCAAAAAAATTTTATAAAGAACTTGGACCGTTATGCTCATGGTACTGAGGGAGGGTCAGGAATACATTTAGAAGCGATTTGAAGATGTGAGAGCTATAGCCATATATTTTTCAGCTTAAAAATATCACACAATAATGTGGATATAAATGCAGTGAGAATGTTAAATATTATGTAAATAACTTATTTAGGCTCTCTTGAAAAGCAAGTTTCAGAACAATACATAACGTATAAGCCATTTCATTAAAAACTTAAAAACGTGGAGTTTCACTGAATCTAACAAGCCATCAAATGTAAGACAGCCCGATTTCAGAAATGTTCATATGTGAAAACATATGTATTTTAAAATCAATAAATGTTTTTATAAAGCTTTTTTATACAATCATTTAAATAAATGTTTTTAAATGCACCATGTGTCAGAACGATATGCTTTAAAACAGTTCAGAGAGAAATATACTTGAAAATGTTAGCAATGTACCCCTGGGAGAGGGGAGCAAGCTGAGATAGATAAAGAGGCCTCCTACATTTTTATTCCATATACTTTTCTATTATTTGATTTTTTTACAACGAGTATGTGCTTAGGTGATTTGTGTGTGCATGTGTGTGCATAGGTATATGTGTAAATGACACCAGTTCATATGAGTAATGTTATATATAGATTTTTTAATCAAAAAAAGTTTGTGTCTGGAACACATAGCCTAGTGGATCTTCATTTTATTAAGCATGACGAGCACATAATTCATGGAAGGCCAGAGAAATGTTCTGTTTGTGCTGCAACTGCACATTCCTACCTGCTGTGAAATAAACCCAACCTTCCTGCTGGGGTCTGTTGATTCAGCTTTGCCATCTGGAGCAATCTCACATTCACAGTCTGAATGGAAAAATGCTGCTTTGGTCAGGGTCTCTGCTGGTAGCCAGGTTTGTGGTATATGGTGTTAATTATATTCTTTCCATAAAATAGCAATGCTCTATGTATGGAGGGGAGCTGAGCACAAGTGACAGCCAAAATTCAGGATAAAGGTAATCCCCTTGCATTTCATCTGGTATCTCACTTGGGAGAAGAGAATCCAGATTCCCGTCAGCAGGCCAAAGGGCTGTGGGCGAGGGAGCACATCGGGCAAGGAAGGCTGTAAAGTCCAGGAAATGGGCTGCCTTATTATTCATGAGTCTTGGTGCTTCTGAGAACATTCTGTACCATGTGCACAGTTGGCTTAGTACAAATTCCAAAGCCATTTTTTTTTATCACTTAGAATCTCATTTTCAGAGTAGGTAGATAAGTAAGTGTATAGTTAAACATTTGTAAACCAATGCATTCCAATGAAATCTACCCATTGGCCATGTGACCAAAGGACATTTTGGTGCTTTAGAGTCACCACAGAAAGCAGCATTTTCCAGCCTACTGGAAAAGAATATTCTTTCACCCATTCATTCATTCATTCAAGAAATAACTTGTTGAGTGCCTACTGCATGACAGGTACTGTGCTAGGAATACACACTGCTCAAAACCGCCAGACACGTTCCTGCCTTTGTAGGGTTTACATTCCGGTAGAGTTGGCAGATGATGAACAAACAAAAAAGAAATAATTACAGATTGTGACAATGCTATGAAGGATATGAATAGGGTGACATGACAGAGTGTAAGTGGGAGTGAGTGAATGGAGCTCTTCATATGGTTTATGAGTAAGTGAAGCTTCCCTGGGGAGCTGTCACTGGAGCTTACTGCTGAAGGGTGACAATCAGCAAAAGCTGTGGGAAGTACCCTTCCCTGGGCATCAGGAGACCTAGGTGTAGGTACCTTGCTGGGATATGGCTTCTGTCTCTGCAGATCTCCTACCCTTTCCATCAATTTCCCCAGAGGCAAACAGCAATGTGTGAATCTAAATAATTACTAATCAGTTAACTGAAGAATAATGACTTTTATGTGATAGTACCTTGTAAACTATAAAGAGTTACCCAATATTACCCGACGTGATCTTCGTAATAGCTCTTCTAGGTAGGCAAGATATGGATTGAAATAAGCTGGATGCTGGCAGTTCTGGCTGCAAAATTTGTGGTACCCAGTGCAGAATTAAAAAGCAGGGCCCCTTGTTAAGAAACGCTTAAGAATTTCAAGATGGCAATGATAGAGCATTAAATCAAGCACAGTGCCGCTGGAGCAAGGACAGGTTGTATGTTCACGGGGCTGGCCTGGATACTGCACTGTCATCAGATTTGTCGGTGGTGTGTATGTGTGTCATTTTTTTTTTGCTGCTTTTATATCCAAGTTACATATTTCTGCAAAATACTAAATTGTCAAATACTATTTTTATTAATGTCACTATACCATTAAGTCTTATTCTGGGAAATCTGGCCCGTTTTTCATTTGGTGTTTTCTACCTCCTTCTTTCAATAATTTAAAAATCTGTGAGCGCACTTAGAAGGCCAATATCTTTGCCAAAAATCTGTAGCAGTCGAGTTGTTTGCTGCAAGTCATCTTGGCAAACAACTTTCATGCGGGAAAGTGCTCTTGTTTCAAAATAGGAACATCTAAATGTGAGTCCTGGTTCTGCCATTTACTATGTGCGTGACCTAGGGTAAATCACTTAGTACCTCTGAAGTTTAGTTTCTTGTACAAAATTGAAGAAATATCCCTTTATATATGTGTCGAGGTTGTTGGTGAGGATTCAGTGAGATCATGAGTGGTCACCTGTAGTGTGTAGCACTCGGAGACAATGACACTTAAGTGGTGTTCTGCCTGATGCCTGGCAGGGGGCACTTTCAGATGGCTTCCATTCATTGTTAATGGCAGGTGTTACCTCTGATTCAGGGGCACATGTTTCTTGCTGGTTATTAAATATTTTGAACTTCATGCTTGAATGGTAGGATTTGTACTACACTGATTTGCAGAAGAATAACAAATTTACCATTCTATTTAGTGTATTAACAACATCTCTATTGGAAAACATGCAATTTTAAAAATTGAGGTGAGATTCACAACATAAGATTATACATATTCCCCAGCTTTACTGAGGTATGATTGACAAAGAAAAATGGTATATATTTAAGGCATATAAAATGATGTTTTGATGTATGTATACATTGAGAAATAATGACGACAATCAAGCTAATTAACATGTCCATCACCAAGCTCAACAGGGCCTTCTTTCCTTGCTGACTCTGCTAAGCCCATTCTCTTGGCTGTGGTTTCCCTGGATGGTAGGCAGGGGTGGTGGGAATCTCATTCATCCATTCATGTGCATCACTAATTAGATGATGAGGCATTTAGCTACCTTAAGACAGTCAAAATTACTCCCACATGTTTACCCACCCTTCATTGAATTTCTTCATGTTGACATTCAGAGCACTGGCGGAAATTGTATTATGTCAATTCACCTGCTACAAACCTTTGTGAAATTAGCCATTGTAAAGTAAACAATTCAGTGGCATTAATACATTCACAGTGTTGTGCAACCATCACTTCTATCTAGTTCCAAAACATTTTTGTCATCTTAAACGAAAGCTTGCACCCATTAGACAGGCATTCCTCATTTTCTCGTCGTCTCAACCCCTGGAAATCATTCATCTGCCTTCTGTCTCTATGGATTTACCTATTCTGAGTATTTCATATAAATGGAATTATACCATATATCTCTCACCTTTTGTGTCTGGTGTCTTTCATTTAACATAATATTTACAAGGTTCATCTGTGCTATGGCATGTATCAGTACTCATTTCTTTTTACAACTGAATAAGTTTCTGCTGCACGATCTTTCTACCACAATTTGTTTATCTATTCATCTGTTGACAGACATTGGGCATTTTCTATCTTTTGGCTATTGTGAACAATGCTGCTTTGAGCATATATGTACATGTATCTGTTGAAACAGAGTAAAATCCTGGGTCATACAGTGATTCTACGTTTAACTTTTTTGCAGAAAAATATATGCAATTTTGAGGCAAAAAGTAATAATATAGATTATCATAAAATATAATAAGAAGAAAACATTTTTATACTTTTTTCACCTTTCTGTCCCAGCTGCCAATTATAGAACTGCTGCTACCTGGAGACTGACCAAAATAGAGAATTTGAACTCCAGAGCCCCCACCTCTGACCAGGAGGCCTCCCAACAGAGAGCTCTAATAAATAAGAGTGCGTGAGATTATAATGCAAGAGTATATGAGCCAAATTGCATTTCGTGTCTCCATCTTCTCCCGTCTATCAAGTGAGCTTGTTGCTTTTAGGAATCCCTGAGTCACTCCAGTGAAGAGAGCTATTAGCTAAGGTTAATTATCATCACTGAAATGTGAGTAAATGAAAGAAAGTGAGTCACGCACTAGTGCGATTTTATGGTGGTTATGAAGAAGGGGCAAATCAAATGTACAAATCTAAACTAGAGGGAACATTGGAGTGGTTGAATCATGGGTCTGAGTGAATATATATTTTATAGAATGTGCTTGTAGATTCTTAACATAATTGTCCCAGTGCTTTACTCAGACTGTTCTCTTCCTGGAAGCCCCGTGGTGACCTCTCTAACCACATTAAGTGAGCCCAAGTGAAGCACCCATTACTGGGAAGACAGGGAAGAAAGAGAGCTGCAAGTTCACATTTCTACTCCAGAGTTTCATCAAGAGCCAGCTCACATCCTGCAACTGACTGTTTTTTCCTACAAGTTATTCATTTAACAAATCTTAGCACAGTACCCTGAGCAAAGGAGCATGCAGACAGTACTTGGGAATGAAGTGAGCAAAGAGAAAAGATGCTGTTTCTCCCAGCTCAGCACCAACCACATTTGCCACAGATGTGTTCTCACTGACTAACCCTAGATGTCCTTCCACCTTATTCACATGTTTGTTTATTCACTTATTTAGTTAATGATTGGTTTCTAAGCTTCTGCAGGCACTATTTTATTTATTTATTTATTTATTTATTTATTTATTTATTTATTTATTTATTTTTGAGACGGAGTCTCGCTCTGTCGCCCAGGCTGGAGTGCAGTGGCATGATCTCGGCTCACTGCAACATCTGTCTCCCGCGTTCAAGTGATTCTCCTGCCTCAGCCTCCCAAGTATCTGGGATTACAGGCACCTGCCACCACACCCAGCTAATTTTTGTATTTTTAGTAGAGATAGGGTTTTGCCATGTTGGTCAGACTGGTCTCGAAGTCCTGACCTCAGGTGATCCACCTGCTTCGGCCTCCCAAAGTGCTGGGATTACAGGCGTGAGCCACCGCACCCACCCTGCAGGCACTATTTAAAGTGTTACATGGAATATAAACATGAATCAGAATGAGCTCTATTCTCTAGGAACTATCAGCATAGATGAGAAGATTGGGCATGGAGGCCTATAGCTTCAGCACAGTTAGAGGGTGCAGGGTGGAGGTGAGAGCATGCACCCTGCCCTAGACTCCCTTGGTGTGAATTCTGTATTACCTCGTCAGAGTTATCTCCCATCTCTACCCCACAGGTTCTTATCTGTAAAATCAGGAAAATAACAGTACCTATCATATGGGATTATTTTGAAGGAAACACTTGAAACAGTGATTGGTAAGTGCTACATAAGAGTTGCCTAAACAAATAAGTGACAACTATCCTAACAGAGAAATAAATGAAGTTCTCTGGAAGTTCAGAGGCAGACTTGTGTTCTGAGAGAGTAGAAAAGGCTCATGACAGAGATAGCATTTGAGCAAGACTTGAAGACTTGGCTTAACTTTCTTCCTTCCTTCCTTCCTTCCTTCCTTCCTTCCTTCCTTCCTTCCTTCCTTCCTTCCTTCCTTCCTTCCTTCCTCCTTTCCTTTCTTTCCTTTCCCTTCCTTTCCTTTCCCTTTTTCTTTCTTTTCCTTTTTCCTCCCTTCCTTCCTTCCTTTCTTTCTTTTTTCTTTTCTTTTTTTTTTTTTTCAGAGTCTTGCGCTGTCACCTAGGCTGGAGTGCAGTGGCACGATCTTGGCTCACTGCAACCTCTGCCTCCCAGGTTCAAGCGATTCTCTTGCCTCAGCCTCCCAAGGCTTGGCTTAACTTTCTATACAACATTCTTTGTTCGTCTGAGTCACTGCTACCAGCATTATTACATAAGTAGGACTTTGCCCAAATTTCTCTGTGCACGTCTATCGGAGTTTAATGTACAACTGGCTTTTTAAACATACGTTCTGAGGACTCCCTGGAAAAGAATTATTTTCTTACACAGGGTTAGTTATTTGTTCTTCTAATAATCAAACTACTATTGCTTGACTTTGGGTAAGTCACTTAGTTTCTCTGAAACTTGGTTCATCCATTTGAAGTAGAAAAGGTCTGAACTCAGTAAGCATTTTGCATTGTGGCCTTTCTTTCTTTCTTTTGTTTTTCCTTTTTGAGATGGAGTTTCGCTCTTGTTGCCCAGGCTGAAGTGCAATGGCATGATCTCGGCTCACTGCAACCTCTGCCTCCTGGGTTCAAGTGATTCTCTTACCTCAGCCTCCTGAGTAGCTGGGGTTACAGGCGCCTGCCACCACACCCAGCTAATTTTTGTATTTTTGTAGAAACGGGGTTTCACCATGTTGGCCAGGCTGGTCTCGAACTCCTGACCTCAGGTGATCCACCCACCTTGGCCTCCCAAAGTGCTGGGATTACAGGTGTGAGCCACTGCGCCTGACTGTGGCCTTTCTTTTTTTAAACCAACTTTAAATTATTGTGATTGTGATTATTAACAATAGTGTTATGAGTTTTAGTCTTGTACTTCATTCACATTGTTTATAAAGAGTTCAATACGAATTATGTAGGACTTAGGCCTGAGTTTTAGTGATTTGTTTCTCTCTGAAGTTTTATATTATATAGTTTTAAAAGGAGCTTTTCAAAATCATTAGACTGCCAAAAATATTTGACCAACAAAATTTACAATGCCTACGCTCACATTTACGAATTCCATCTCTAATCACCCACCCACCCTTCTGTCCGTCTAAATTTCTGCATTCACCTAGTTAGTGAAGAACAACTAGTTTACTGCTGCAGTCAAGTCAGAGTTCATTCTATGAATATGGACATTTATAAAGGGAGTAGATTTTTATTTAGAGATTTGTGACCTAATTTCAATTAGATCCATTACCTAATTTCACTCTGTTTTGTTTATTTCATACTTATAATGGATTCACGTACTTGCATTGCTCAAATAAAAAAATATAATTTTTGTTGGTTTTCTCTGGGCAGGAATCCTTGATGCACTTTGGAGTGTCATTGTCTTCTTTAGTCAGGACAAAGGGCACAGATTGCAGACAACAGACTTCACTGGACCTAGTTTAAGCAGAAAGGGACTTAATTCGAGGAAGGGCAGGAGCAAGATCTGTAGGCTGAGTTTTAAGAAGCCACCACTGAATATACATACCTAGGTAGCTGCTGACTTTAAGATAATAAGAAAGGAAATCATGAAACTGAAATCATAACTGCTGGCTCTAGGAACACTCCACTAGGCTATGATGTGCCTCCTCAAAGTGGATGTTACCCTGTCCCCATCCTCTGCCCCCCAACACCTACAAAGCTGAGGACCAGACATGAGACCTGTATTGTCTTGTCAGGGCTATTGCAGCAAAGTACCACAAATGCCATGGCTTAAAAAACAGAAATGTATCGTCTCATGGTTCTGGAGGCTAGAAGTCCAAGCAAGGTGTCGGCAGGGTTGGTTCCTTCTGAGGGCTGTGAGGGAGTGTCTGTTCTATGACTCTCTCTTAACTTCTGGTGATTTGCTGACAATCTCTGTTTTTTCTTGTCTTGTAGATGCATCTCCCCATTCTCTACTTCCATGTTCACGTGACATTCTCCTTGTGCACATGTCTGTCTCTGCCTGAATTTCCCCTTTTTTTAAGGTCAACAGTCATAGTAGATTAAAGCCCACCCTACTGACTTCATCTTGACTGGTCTATCTGCAAAGACTCTATTCTCAGATAAGGTCATGTTCATAGGTATATGACCTAAGAATTTCTAGGGGGTTAGGATTTCAACAGTTTGGAGGGACGCAATTCAACCGCTGACAGGACCTATGCAACAATCACTGCAGAAAACACAACAAAACTGAGAAATAGCAGAGGTGGCAGAATGGTCTTGACATTGTGATTTTCACCTCTGCCTTCTAAATCTTGTGTGGTTAGATCTGCTTGGTGGAAGGAAGTAGTGCTATAAGAAATCTGATAAATGGCATAAGGGATTCAGCTTTTTGGCCTCTGAGATGCTATAAAATCTGCCACAAGGGGTTGGGAGTGGAGATGGATAGGCTAAAATGGAGTTGGATGAGCCAACCTGTATTATCTTCCACTTAGGAAAGTAGAGAGCTGTAAGAGATGTTGTGAAGGTTAATGAGTCAATGAGTGATAGAGTTAAACAAACAACAGCATGTTGGTAGTGAATTACTGCTCTCTGTCTCAGGATGCAATTAATTAAATCTCCTTTTCAATTGCTGCAAAAAATTTACTCATGGACTAGGAATTGTAAGTACCTAAAAGGCAAGTGATTTAGTCTCTTCTTACCAGCAAGATTATGTTAGGCCCAATATCTTTGAAACCTGTCAGAGCCTAGGAAGAATGTGGTATATACATACAAAGAGAAGACAAAGAAAATAAAGGAAAATCCTGACATGCCCCAGGCTGATTAATAGTGTGTACCACCTAGTCTCCTAAGTTAAACTCTTAAAAACATCTTCAAGCTTCTCTTTCTGTCTCTTCCTAGCCTAATATTTTCATTGCCACAACCTAGAAATTTTGCCTTAAAATAAACCTCGAATTTGACCACCCCACTTTATTCCTGTGGCTATTTTCTGAATGTAGTTCCTCACTGCTTCGAGATAGACATTTGTAATAACCTGGTATTCCCATCTCTAGATTATTTCCCATCTTAGGCCTTCTTTCACCCTACAGCCAGAGTTATTCTTCCTAAAACCCGAATTTGGCTATGTCCAACCCACGTTCCAAGTCACTGCTGTCCTCATTATTGTTACTAATGATCATTGTAGAAGTAAATATTCGTTCTTTTGATTTTGTAATTTTCTGGAACTTTCCCCTAAGCTTCTGCTACCTTTTAACTATTTGCTGGATAGCTCTGCTTAGAAATCCTATGAGTATCTCAAGCCCTGAAGTGACATGTACAAAACTGAATTCTTATTTACTGATTTCCTTTCTGGCCCCACAAACCAAACCAGAAAAAACAAAAACAAACTTCTTTGTCCTCTCATCCTGTAACCTCTTTGTCATCCACCATTTACTACCGTAATGAGGCACATTATCTTTTATTTTACAATGAAACTTCACAGTTTTCAAATCCAGAGTCTAAGTTATTAGCAACCAAATCAATTTGGTTCTTTCCCTGAAGCCAGAAAAATTAGGTCTCAAAATACTAACTGGAGGTGAAATATTCTCATTCCCAAGCTGGGCTTATTAAGCCAGTAAAATAAGTGAAAACCAAATTAATGAAAATGCAAACAAAGAATGTCTCTATTAAATCAGGCTATATAGGGATGAGTGGTTCCAATCCTGTTATTTCTGTGCTCTACAAACTTCAGTGGTTTCTAGTTGCCTATCAAAGTAAATCACCAGGAGGAAATTACAGTTTGAAACTTTAATACCCCAATCGCATAGCCTTAAAATATAAGCAAAAATTCATGGAACTAAAATAAGAAATAGACAAATTCATCATCACAGGGGAAGACTTTTATACTCTTAACTACTGATTTATTTAATGAATCTGTAAATATATACAATGTTTGAATAACAAAAATGAGCATTTATATAACACTGTACTCAATAACCAGAGAATGGAAATTTATTTCAGGCACACATGAAACATTTATGAAAATTTATGATGTTCTAACACTTAAAGCAAGTCTCAATAAATTTTTTAAAGAGGGTCTTCTATAGACCATGCAATTAAATTGAGGGAAAGAGAGAAACTAGATTTCTTAAGGTAAGAAAAACCAAGGACACACTGGCTGAGATGGCAAGGAGGTGGACCACACACCTGGACCCAAAGAGGAAATTTCCTCACTCTTACAGAGACCACAGGCATACTTAAATCTGAAAGTTGGACCAACCAGGTAATCCATACCTGTAAAAGAAGGCTGTGGACAAAAGGGCAGTGAAAAAATGATCCACTTGGAAGAAACTGCTTAGACTTTAAAAACATAATGATAGGCCAGGCATGGTGGCTCATGCCTGTAATCCAAGCACTTGGGAGGCCAAGGCGGGAGGATCACTTGAGCCTAGGAGTTTGAGACCAGCCTGGGCATAGTGAGACCCCATTTCTACAAAAATACAAAAATTAGCTGAGCGCAGTGGTGCATGCCTGTAGTCCCAGCTACTCGGGAGGCTGAGACAGGAGAATCGCTTAAACCTGGGAGGCAGAGGTTGCAGTGAGCTGAGATTGTGCCACTGCACTCCAGCCTGGGTGATGGAAGTGAAACCCTGTCTCGAATAAAATTTTAAAAGTAAAATAAATAAACATAATGATACCTTGTGCAAATCTGATAGATGCACTTGCTAGATTGTTCCACTATGATTAACTTGCACCTCCAAGCCTCCCCAACTTGTTTGGGGCCCTAAACTGCAAGTAGAGTCTGCGTGTATGTGTTTTGGGGTGTGGGTATGAGCGGAGGATGGTTAAGAGTGAAGGAATGACATGCACTAAAGAGAATGAGTAAAAGGCTGGTTAGAAAAATCTCTCTTCATTAAAAAAAATTTCACTCCCAGGCAGTGGCAGCCAAAATAGTACTTAAGAAAATAAACTGGAGATAGAACATCCATTAATGTTGAATGAGTGAGTACATGAGAAAATTCACTGGGAACATACAATGTAATTCTATTGCAATGTCCTGATGGAAAATTTTCACACATTCTCTATCTTCTTCCTCTTCTGGCCTATTACTGTTTATTTTTTGGTTTTGGTTTTTGTCTTTTTTTTTTTTCAAGACTGGGTCTTGCTGTGTTGCCCAGGCTGGAGGGCAGTGGCATGATTATGGCCCACTGCAGCCTCAACCTCCTGGGCTTGAGCAGTCCTCCCATTTCAGCCTCCCCAGAAGCTGAGACTACAGACACACACCAGCATGCCCTGCTAATGGCCTATTATTATTTAAAAGAGAAGAATGGTGTATTCATCAAAACACATATAGAGAAACAATTATGAGAATGTGATTTGGGCTTGAAATACCTCCTTGTGTAAGACTCAGTTTACGCTTCATAACACGAAGGCCACCTCAGAGGCTGCTAGAAATGAAAAGGTCACAGGGTTATCAGTGACGAGGGCATATTTGAGACTTTCTCAGTCCTAGAACTGTTGTTGTTGGTTCTCCTCCTTTTACCTTTAGACCCAGGTTTCTGCAAGTGGCAAAACACCCAGATTCAAAGCCCTGACCTACTTGTCTCTTCAGGGTTCAAGAGACTCTGTTTCCCTCTGGATAACTGGCTAGGGGAGCACACAAACAACTCTCTAGTCAAGTAGACATTCCGCTTCTTTTTTATTAATCTGGGAAAGCATGTTATAATCCCTAAACTGTAAGGCGGTTTAGGTAAACTGTGTTGGTTAATACAGTGTAGACCTGAGGCCAGAGGAGGTCTTCCTATTCCATATTCTGTGAATTGAATACACCAAATGGCAGACACAAACTCGCCCTCCCAGGCACAAGAGTAGAGCTAGCAAAGACAGTGAGAAGGGACTTCCTCTCTGCCTGCAGGGAGGTTCCTCCCAGCTTTCCTTAGGTCTCAGAGGGCCTGCTGATCACAGGAAAGCAAAGAGGAAGGGAAGGGGCGACTTCTCATATCTGACAAACTTTCCATGAGGAAATATGTCCCAGTAAATGTCACATGCTGAGCAATCAGATGAGCCTTGCCTCCTGTGGGAAGCACTGGTAAGGGGGTGCAGAGAGGGAGCAAGCTCTCTTTCCAGTGCTTTCTCATTATTCCAGTGCTTTCTCCATGACTGGCTGCAATGTGTGGAGAAGGAGTCACTGAGTCACTCTGCCGCCTCTGTCAGGCTCAGTTGAGACGAGAGGATTGGAGTTGGCTGGGTGTGAGGGCCACAGTGGCCTGAGAAGCTCCCTATATTCCCAGAGACAGAAGGGGAAGCTTGCATATGCCACGGAGCATCAGTGTGATCCAGGGAATCCTGAGCCACTGCAAGAAAGATATTGCTGCTTGGGGTAACTTGACTGGTTATCCCCCATCTCAGGAAGGACCATGCAGATATTTGTCTTATTGACTGGTTCACTTCTTGTCCATCTGGCAGAGAGGAAGCAAGATGAACTCTTGGCACAATTGATGCTTTTGTCGGGCACTCAGATATTAACCAAAGCAAATTAATTATTACATATTTTCAAGACTAATTATTACATATTTTCAAGTGGACGTGAGCATTTACTGTACCTTAACTCTTGACTTGTGAGGTAACAATCTTAATGAAGACAGCCTATAAACAATAAACCTATCCCAATGATGGGAGGCCTGAGGAGCCCAAAGGAACTTCACCTTAACCTGGCATATTGTCACCTAGCAACTCTTCCAAAATCAGCATTCTTGTGTGAGCCTTGGTATCATCTGATGAGTACACATTCCCTTGTGCTACTGGTCTAAATATTCTCTCTTCCTTTCCACCAAAACCCATCCCCTTCCCCCTCCCCCTTCTAACAATTATTGCAGATATTACCCCTTCAAACTAGACAAGCTTCTTTACAATCTTGTGGGTTTCACTTTAGAATAACTGATAACATTTGTCTCTGTTGATTATAAAAAGGACACAGGTAGTAGATGAATGGACCTTTAACCTAAATTTTATTTAGCCCTAAAGATCAAAGGAAGCCTTCAGAATCTGCTTGTATGACTATAACCTTATAAAATCTTGAAAAGCAAGCTACACGTGGCCGGGCACGGTTGCTCAAGCCTGTAATCCGAGCACTTTGGGAGGCCGAGGCAGGCGGATCACAAGGTCAGGAGATCGAGACCATCCTGACTAATGGTAAAACCCCGTCTCTACTAAAAAATACAAAAAATTAGCCAGGCATGGTGGCAGTCGCCTGTAGTCCCAGCTACTCAGGAGGCTGAGGCAGGAGAATGGCGTGAACCCGGGAGGTGGAGCTTACAGTGAGCAGAGATCACGCCACTGCACTCCAGCCTGGGCGACAGAGTGAGACTCCGTCTCAAAAAAAAAAATAAAAAAATTTTTAAAAAAGAAAAACAAGCTATATGTACACTTTTCTCAGCCTAATTGCTGTAAATTACTCCTTGTTTGGTTTTTGGTTTGTTTGGAATACTGTCTTCATGTAATTATGCCTAACCGAAAAGTATGAATTATATTTTATTTCCTTGTTGCACAGCATATGGTGAAAAAACAAAAACAAAGATAGGCTAGTACTTTTGTACTAGCAAGGTTCACTGTTATTCAAGGTCTGAGTCCTAGGAGGGTGTTTATTCTGATCTCCTGCTCACCGACACCATGGCTTTAAAAAGAAAAAGCTGAATTAATTTCTCATTATTTCAGCTTTTCATATAGCTCTTATTTTTTGTAGTTACACATTTATTTATTATGGTTGTGTATATTGGGCAGTGCCATTAATTATATCCTGAAATTTGAAATATTTGTTATGAAATTAGATTTTTAGGACACTTAAACATAAAATCTGTGGATGGTCATAAGGAGAATATGTGTGGTATGTATGCATATGTGTGGGCATTTCTGTCTGTGTTTATGTAGTGGCAGATCCCATGACCTCCAAAACAGCCACAGGGAGAAGAGTCTTAGAAATGAACTATGTAAACACTTTCCATTTCTGATCCTTCATGGAGATGATTCCTCATCTATATAAATACACCTGTAGCTTTTCCCTGGGGATCTTTTGGTCAGATTTCTCTATTGGGGGAAAAACAAGCAAACGCAGTTACTACTATACATTGAAATAAAATATATGATCTGCTCTTTGTAAATGTAGGGACATACTCACCAAATGCTCCTCCCACTCTGTATGCTTATTGTCTTCTTGGGAACTACTGGCCACCCATGCACTCCTCTGCTATGGATGGTACGAGATCTTGATACCCAGCCTAGTTCTCACTGGGACTCCCACACTCAGCACATCACGGCTTCACTGGCCTTGCCTCCCACAAACATGTCAACATAAAATATGTACCAGCAGCAAACATTTTTAGAAGAACACTGAGTACTGTACTTAGAAACTCTTATTTACATTGCAAAAAACCCAAAACAATAGAAATAAAAACAAAGACAACTGGGCCAAAGTATGGAGGGTCAGAGAGCCAAAGGACAATATTAAGGGAGTACTGAAACGAGGGAGCAAGCCTTCTCATTAAAGTTTGGGTTTCTAGAAGATGGTGGGCATTCCTTTACCCATTCTGGTGATTACTAACACACCCTAGGGAAAGGGGAAATGCCTGATACCTTTACCTTCTTTCCTTCCCGACAGTAATCTTCCTCCTTGTTTGTTAAGAATGGGCATATTTTCTAACAGAGGCCACAGACATTCATCACTCATCCGGTGACAGGCCTGTTGTACTCTCCAGCCTATCCATCTCACCATCAAAACCCGTGGTGAGGATTTACTGCTGGCTGTCTCCTTGACCCTCTGTTTGGGGAGTGCAGTATCACAGTCAGCAGTCTTTAATAGAAAGTGGAACCTGTGGCTCTCTGTGGCTCTCAGCACCAATACTCTTCCACGCATAGGTATGCAACTACACTTCATGTAATAGAAGAACTCAAGGCTGAAGGTCATGAAGCTCTCACCACATGAGAAACGTTCGAATTTCTCAAGACAACCAGTAGGTCCATTTAGGTCATTTTCTAGAACCTAAATGTATCTTCTCATTGATCCTTATTATCATTTAAGCCTATAGTTTCAACATTTCAACATCTTCACAAAAAATCTTGATCTGCCTTTTGACATATTGGCTATTCTTTTCAGTTTTGAGTCACTTGCAAATCCAGTTACTCAAAAAATATTTATTGTCTCTGGATTACTCAAGTTATTATGCATCCAGTAACTGTACTATACTGTAGGTGATTTTAGGAAGATATGGAAAAATGTGTTAAATACCTTAAATATATATCACATTTATAGCATTTCTAAACCGATATTCTAATAATTTCATCACATAAGGATATGAGGCTAATTAGCCATGCCCTTCCTTTTCTAAGTTTTACATTGCATCTGTTTAATCAACCTATCTTTGATGAATTTGCTAAAGATTAATGTCAGACTCTTTCATCTGTAATTTCTAGAAGCTGCCTTTTTAAAAAGATAGGATGTTTGTCCATCTCCAGGTTTCCAACCTCTCTTCTGTTTATATTAATGCAGAAATTACTGAAATTGGCCTTTCAATCAAAATGTGGAAGCTTTCAGAAGCTTGAGTTACTTCATCTGAGCCTGGGAACTTGATGCTGAATCAAAAAGGAAGATTAAAAAATGAACTTATTATTTTGTCTACTATTTTAATCCCAAAGCCTGACCATGTTTGTTCTATACTTTTGAATTTGAAGATACTGTCTTTCAAAGGCAGAAACAAAACAGGAAGGAAGTAGTTCTGTCATTTCTCATCTGTTAATTTTGTGCCATCTGCTCAAGCAGTGGGCCTATTTCTTCTGTTTTTAAAAAAAAGCCTTTGCCTGTCCTTGGGAATTTGCACAAGTGCTTCTGGCCTCTAGCCTCCATTTCAACTTGTGCCATCCTCCCCCTCCCCTGCTTCTATCTTACTTACTTATACCCTTTTAAAAATATATATATTATGTAGTTGTTTTATTTATTTATTTATTTATTTATTTATTTATTTATTTATTTTCTTAAACTTCTCAGAAAGCTTCTTGTGAAGTATGGGGTTTGGACCCAAGTCCATTGCCAGCAAATCTTAAGACACTGGCCAACTTCCTTGATTTTTTTTTTTTTTTTTTTGAGATGGAGTCTTGCTTTGTCACCCAGGCTAGAGTGCAGTGGTGCAATCTCAGCTCACTGCAACCTCCACCTCCTGGGTTCAAGCAATTCTCTACCTCAGCTTCCTGAGTAGCTGTGATTACAGGCACCTGCCACCACACCCAGTTAATTTTTGTATTTTTAGTAGAGATGGGGTTTCACCATGTTGGCCTGGCTGGTCTTGAACTCCTGACCTCGTGATCTACCTGCTTCGGCCTCCCAAAGTGCTGGGATTACAGGCATGAGCCACCACACCCGGCCGGATTTCTTGATTTAATTCCCTCATCTGTAAAATGGGGATGAGAATGCATGACTTACAAAGTAGGTGTGAAGGTCAAATAGAATGATTACTGCAAAAGGTTTTGGTAGGCACTAAAGCACTATCAAGAATGTAAGATCTTATAATCTAGGTAACCAAATAGTACTTTACAGAAGCATATGTTCATACATGGTTGATGCTGGAAATGACCTGGGAGTTCATGAAGTCCAACACTCCCAGTTTACAGATGAGAAACAGATTTGGAGAGGTGAAGGAACTTTTCAAAGTTCTCAGCTGGAGACTCAATGGTAGAGAGTTTAGAACACTATGAATAGTGAGTGGCCTGTTAGCTGAACCATTATTGTGCAAATTTGATAAACTTGGTTCTAGTTTTAGCTCTAGTTATGACTTCCTCAGAGTTGAATTTGAAATTACGCTACAATTAAATTGTCCACAATTCCAAATTGCAGGTGTAGCCATTCATTATGCTCTTTTCCCATCCCTTCTCAACACAGTATCCCAGACAGCCATGACCAACCTTCCAGAAACTGGTTTGCCTGCTTTAGATTCTCCTTTTCTATTCAATTGAGGCTCATTTGTTGTTCTATGGTCAGGGTGGTTTTGTTTTTAGTTTTTTGTTTTGTGCTTTTTTTTTTTGAGCCTCCCATTCTTTGTCTGCCATTTAGTGGGAAACTAATTCAAAAGACATCAGTGAAATTAATAAATAATCATGGGAAATGGAAGCTGTGGAGGAAAGCTGGAATAACATGTTCATTTTGCAGAAAATATATATTTAAGTCAAATTAACAAATATTTAATCAGTGCCTATTAGATACGAGGTTCACCAGCCTTTGAAATGGTTCACGCCATTCTCCTGCCTCAGCCTCCTGAGTAGCTGGGACTATAGGCGCCCGCCACCATGCCCAGCTATCTTTTTGTATTTTTAGTAGAAACGGGGTTTCACCATGTTAGCCAGGATGGTCTCGATCTCCTGACCTTGTGATCCACCCACCTTGGCCTCCCAAAGTGCTGGGATTACAGGAATGAGCCACCACGCCTGGCCTATTATTTCCATTTTATGAATGATAAGACTGAGACTCAGAGAGTTTAAGTTGTTTGTCCTAGGGCACACAGACCAACTAACATAATCAGAATTTGAAGTACATTGGCCTGACTTCAGTTTGTACTTTGTATGAAAGTTTAAGATGTACTCCTGTTGCAAATTACATGTCTGACTACAGCCAGTATTATGAAGTCTGAGACGACATGCTCATTTTCTGTAAGATTTGATTCATCCAAATAATTAGGGATAGAAGCAAGGAACACTTAATTTTAGAACACCAGCCGATAGCCAGTTGAAATTTTGCCAAGAACCAAATCTAGCCTGGAAGTTTCCTATCCCAGCTATTGGCCTTTCTGTCTTCAAAATATACAGATCAAATGTTTGCTTTAAATTTGCCTTTAAAGTATTCAAGAGCAGGGGTGGGCATGGTAGCTCATGCCGGTAATCCCAGTACTTTGGAAGGCTAAGTTGGGAGGATCCCTTGAGGCCAGAAGTTTGAGACCAGCCTGGTCAACATAGCAAAACTCTATCTCTATAAAAGTAACAACAACAAAAAAAAGTATTCAAAAGCAATCTAATAATTAACTAACCCAGAATCTGTATATCTTTATTCAAAATTTTTATATACAACCAGTTACTACATTTTTTATTTTTAGGCAGAGGACACATGTACTTAATTTTACACAGAACACTGAATTCGCCAGAATTTTCTCAACTAGGCACTCTTTATTCCATCCTGCTTTGTGGGGAAAAGCAAGAGAGATCAGATTGTTACTGTGTCTGTGTAGAAAGAAGTAGACATAGGAGACTCCATTTTGTTCTGTACTAAGAAAAATTCTTCTGCCTTGAGATTCTGTTAATCTATAACCTTACCCCCAACCCCATGCTCTCTGAAACATGTGCTGTGTCAACTCAGAGTTAAATGGATTAAGGGCGGTGCAAGATGTGCTTTGTTAAACAGATGCTTGAAGGCAGCATGCTCCTTAAGAGTCATCACCACTCCCTAATCTCAAGTACCCAGGGACACAAAAACTGCGGAAGGCCGCAGGGACCTCTGCCTAGGAAAGCCAGGTATTGTCCAAGGTTTCTCCCCATGTGATAGTCTGAAATATGGCCTCGTGGGAAGGGAAAGACCTGACCGTCCCCCAGCCCGACACCCGTAAAGGGTCTGTGCTGAGGAGGATTAGTAAAAGAGGAAGGAATGCCTCTTGCAGTTGAGACAAGAGGAAGGCATCTGTCTCCTGCCTGTCCCTGGGCAATGGAATGTCTCGGTATAAAACCCGATTGTATGCTCCATCTACTGAGATAGGGAAAAACCGCCTTAGGGCTGGAGGTGGGACCTGCGGGCAGCAATACTGCTTTATAAAGCATTGAGATGTTTATGTGTATGCATATCTAAAAGCACAGCACTTAATCCTTTACATTGTCTATGATGCAAAGACCTTTGTTCACGTGTTTGTCTGCTGACCCTCTCCCCACAATTGTCTTGTGACCCTGACACATCCCCCTCTTCGAGAAACACCCACAAATGATCAATAAATACTAAGGGAACTCAGAGGCTGGCGGGATCCTCCATATGCTGAACGCTGGTTCCCCGGGTCCCCTTATTTCTTTCTCTATACTTTGTCTCTGTGTCTTTTTCTTTCCTAAGTCTCTCGTTCCACCTTACGAGAAACACCCACAGGTGTGGAGGGGCAACCCACCCCTACACTGCTTTAGCTACCAATTCTTTTTGGAACAAAGATCTCTCCCCCTATGCCTTTTTCAAAAATATTCAGACTGTAATGTTATTGTAATTTGTTTAATGGAAACGGGGAGCTGCAGTATAAACATATTTACCCAAGTCTTATTGTGATTATGGTGTCCTGAGCTATATCCTAAAGATGGAGAAGGGCCTGGAAAACCCTGTAGAACATCCGCTGTGTCCCTGAGGATCAATAATGAAAGAAGACATTAGCATGTGTGGATGACCTGGGTTCTGCCTGGGAGGTTTGTTTATTTACTTGTAGATAGGAGCATACCATAGATGTTCTTTTTCAGACAGATTAGCAAATTTTTTCTTCTTTAAAGAACCAGCATCCGTTTGCTGTTTATAAAAATAAAATTGTTTATAGTGCTGCCAAATCTAAGCAGCTGTTACGTAGAATCTCCTCCAGTATCATCGCCAGTTGAATTCGATATTCATTAGCCCATCTACTTCTGGTCAAATGAGGCAGGGGTTTTCTGTCAAACATGTTAGATTGGGCAAGTGATGATAACACAAAATTGGGCATCTATGAGCTTCATTCTCTTCACGGTTCTTCCACAGACAGAAGTATGAGAATTTGACCTTTGATTCTATTTACCTGTCTGAAAAATAACAGTAATAGGCACTTTGGAACTACCTATTTATCTTTATTTATTTATTTTTTTGGTGTACAGAGGATTTAAGAGTTAAGCTCCCTTAGTTATCCAAATGAAAGGTTTGGCATAAGCACCAACTATGATTAAGGAAATGACTAAAGTGACAGGCATTCTACCACCAGAAGGTATTTCTGAAGTGAACTGATTTTACCTTTCAATTCTTCATCATCAAATTCATACTTGGATACAGCTTAATATTAAGCAGATAGAATAAATTGCCTGTACTGTTCACATACTGAAGAGCTTTACTTAATTAGGATTTGGTTGGGAACAAGGTAGTAAAGAGGCATTATTAGTGATTACTCCTGACACTTTTAAACAGTTTTTAAGTTCTTAAAATACATCTAATCCTGAATTTCAAAGAATAGAAAGAATAATGGGGTGATGGTAAATCAGAATGGATTATGCCCTTCCTATAAACTGCAATGTAGGGTGAGTTAACAAACCGCTTTAGGCTCTGAATTAACTTTTGATCTTCTTACTGGAAAAAATTGTGCAAGTAAGATGTGTTTAACTTTTTCCTATTTGTCTGTGGCATGTCAGAGGACGGGTAAGCCTAGGAGGTTTATATTAAAGTAAAACACTGTGGAAAGTAAGGAGAAAAGTTGAGGAGCACTTAGGAATACATGTTCCTCTGCAGTTTTTCCTATGGAAGAATTTTGCACTAAGATGCAACATTCTTGCACTATTCTTTGCACTAATATGCAAAATTTTATGAGAAGAAAAGATAGTTAGTTCTTTGGTTCCTAGATTCCTTAGTCCTCTGTGACTTTAATTCAAGAAACATCAAACAGCTACTACATGTAGGTACTAGTCCTAGGCCTCAGGAGCCACCAAAATGAATAAGCTACAGAGAGAACCCTCACAGTTCTTCTGTCTAAGGGAGGAGACAGATACATAACACAACACAGAAGGTGGATTTAAGTGTCTGGCTGGAAGTAGGACAAATTATATGCTCGGGGAAAATACAGGAAGATACGATTAAGTGTGGCCCAGTGGTCAGGAGAGCTTTTGAGAAGACTTTGCACGGGGTTGGAGCTTAGGGCAGATTTGGGAAACAGCATTTCCTGGTGAGCACTGACAATGAAATTGAGTAACAGAGGAGCCCGTTTGGGAATTGATGAGAAAACTGATGGGGCTAGAGGGTAGGATGTAGTAGAAGAAGTTGGAATCATAGTTTGGGGTTAATGCGTGAAAACTGATGCTCTTCTCCTACTACTAATTGTTTTTAGAACAAAACCTCACATGAAACTGCAGAGACTCTTCTTCAATTGCCTTTCTTCAACTTCACTTACTCTTTAGAACAAGCAACACCTGATTAACAGTCTTGGCTGGGTGTGGCAGCTCATGCCTATAATCGCAGCAATTTTTTTTTTTTGTTTGAGACGGAGTCTCGCTCTGTCGCCCAGGCTGGAGTGCAGTGGCATGATCTTGGCTCACTGCAAGCTCTGCCTCCCGGGTTCACGCCATTCTCCTGCCTCAGCCTCCCCAGCAGCTGGGACTACAGGCACCCGCTGCCACGCCTGGCTAATTTTTTGTATTTTTAGTAGAGATGGGGTTTCACCGTATTAGCCAGGATGGTCTCGATCTCCTGACCTTGTGATCCACCCGCCCAGGCCTCCCAAAGTGCTGGGATTACAGGCGTGAGCCACCGCGCCTGGCCTAATCCCAGCGTTTTTAAAGACAAAGATGGGAAGAGAGCTTGAACCTAGGAGTTTGAGGCTGCAGTGAGTTATGATTGTGCCACTGCACTCCAGCCAGAGCGACAGAGTAAGACCCTGTCTCAAAAAAATAACAACAACAAGAACAGCAACAAAAAGTCTTGAAAGTCTCGTCAATGTTCCTTTTAACAAGATCCTTTAGTGCACTCTAGTGTTGCAAAGTCTAGGCCATTTAGCAATGGGTCATAGCTATGAAGCAGCAGTTAGAGATGGAAGCAACCACAGAAGTCACGAGTACAATCTTGTATTTGTTTCTTATTGCTGCTGTAACAAATTACCACAAATTTAGTAGCTTAAGGCAGCCCACATTCATTTTCTTATAGTTCTAAAAGTCCAAAATCAGTTCCACTGGGCTAAAGTCAAGGTGTTTACAAGGTTAGTTCCTTTGGGATAATCTGAGGAGAGAATCCGTTTTCTTGACTTTTTCAGCTTCTAGCAGATGCCTGTCTTTGTTGGCTTATGGCCACTTCCTTCATTCTCAAATCACATCACTCCAATCCCTGCTTCCATTGTCATATTGCCTTCTCTGATTCTGACTCCTTTATATAAGGACATTTGGGTCCCTTTCCTAAGGACAGTTGTAATTACATCAAGTCCACTCAACTAGTCTAGTAATAGTTTCCTTATCTCAGGGTCCTTAAGCTAATCACATCTGCAAAGTCTCTATTGACACATAAGTTAACATTCATAGGTTTCAAGGATTAGAAACCGGGCATGTTTAGGGGTTCGTTATTTAGCTTGCCACAAACCTCCCTATTTTACAGACAAGGGAGTTCATGCCCAAGTTGGTATAAGACCATACAAGTCGTGACAGAGCTGAGCCTACATAGCTTACTGTTTCTGATGCCCATGATGTCAATCTTTCATGCTTTCCTTGAGGAATCAGTGGTGCTCTTTGAAGAACAGATCCCCTCTGGGAGAGCCACAGCAGACATCCCAGCCAACTGAGAGTGAGACTGACCAGGCATATCCAGTGCGGCCGTTCAGGAGCAAGGAGGGCTCTTCATCCTTAGTGTCACTGGGCAAGAACCATCCCAAGAGAGAAATAAATGCTTTTTGTGAGACCAGAAAAGGGCTGAGGAGCTCTTCTTCCATTAAACTAAGAAATTGGAGAAAAGAAAAGAAAGAAATGGGAAGAACAAAGAGGGCAGAATGTAGAGAAAAGAAGGACATGTTGTGGCTCAGAGGCAAAGGGAAAGAAGAAGAAGATGATCATAACATGATCTCTTTATTAGTGTCTAGAGTTTATCTTCTATGTCACCTTGTTTCTTTATGTATTTGTATCTGCTGCTTGCAACTTATGTCCTTTACTGATTGATCTTCCTCAATATTAGATTCCCCAGAGAGTAGCAATAATTTCCATCTTTTTATATACCACTGAGCACAAATAGGTGCTTTATAACAGTTTTAATCATTTTAAAGACAATATACAGAGTGCAGCGTATGGCTATTATTAACATTTTTCTTGAAAATATTCTGGAAAAATTCCAACCTGATTTTGTACTTTAACTGAAAGAAGAGCTTGAGACGAATATGAAGAGCACATTATATTTGAAACAGGAAAATGAAGATTACCAAGAAACAGCAAAGGCATATTAACATAAAGTTGAAAAAGCAACACAAGAGATAAAATGGAACATTTGGGAAGAAAAAGTAAGTTTAAATATTATTTTCAGCTATAAATAGAATAAGGAAAGGAGAAATAAACTGTTTCCCCATTATTACATGAGGAAGTACTGCTGATTGATGATACTAAAATAGAAACACATTGCTTCTTGGCCTTTTGGCTAAGATTAAGTGTTTAAAATAGAAACAAAACATTATTTTTTCCCAAAAAGTGACCTATAAAAAGACTCAAACCATACATTAATTAGTAGGGAGGTAAATCAAGTTGAAAGAATATGGACCATTATCAATATATCTGTTAAGAAATATTGAGTATTTTTTATCTTAACATTTCCACATTTTATTTTTTTAGCTTCTTCAAGGTAGATGAGTTTTATGTTATTGTTATATTTTGCCCAATACCTGTTAAATATCAATACGCAGCAGGTACTTAGTAAATATGTGATAACAATTATTAGTGTTAATTAAGCCCGTTGAAAATATTTCATTGTGCCCCTATCAACAAACTTAGATATTTAACTTAGAATATTTATTTATGCTTAACACAAAATATATCAAAATTAAAGTGAATCTAGTATACCTCAATTTTGATTTTGGATATTTTAGGCAAATGCCTGAAAACCTACTCAAATGCTCTCCATTCCTGCCCTTGGAAATCTCACTCATTCTTCATAACCCAACTTAGTGGCTACATCCTCATAAGACCTTCCCTGATTCTATAAGCCATTTCTGACCCTTCTGAATTTCTACACTTTAGATAATTCACATTGTCTTTATAGTTACACTATTGACTTTAATTAGAATTCTTTCTATGTCTATATCATCTACTACATTTTAATTTTTCTTTTTTTTCCTTCTTTTTTTTTTTTGACATGGAGTCTTGCTCTTGTTGCCCAGGCTAGAGTGCAATGGCACGATCTCAGCTCACTCCAACCTCCGCCTCCCGAGTTCAAGTGATTCTCCTGCCTCAGCCTCCTGAGTAGCTGGGATTACAGGTGCATGCCACCACACCCAGCTAATTTTTTGTATTTTTAGTAGAGATGGGGTTTCACACTCTTGGCCAGCCTGGCCTTGAACTCCTGACCTCAGGTGATCCACCCTCCTCAGCCTCCCAAAGTGCTGGGATTACAGGCATGAGCCACTGTGCCCAGCCTAAATTTTAATTTTTCAAAGGCCAAGACTGTCTATTCATCTTTGCATCTTCATATGCTTCATGTACTAGTTATCTACAAGTGGCCAATATACATGTAAGCAAATAGATATGGATAGATATAGAATAAACAAATAACTGTAATGACTGGTCTACAATAATAACTCAGAATTACCTTCATCAGTCCCTCCTTAATCCACCTGTTGAATCAGTTCCTCAAGGTGTGATGGTGGGATCTGCAAATCCATTATTTTTTTAAACAAACCTCCTAAGTTATTCACACAAAGCCTGCCAGGCACCTGGCACCAGCTGCATTTGGGAATCATTCATCAACAAATGAGCCAGATAGACAATTCATCTTATTGTGAGAGCAATGTTCACCATAAGCATGGATAATTAGCAGATGATGGGTAAATTGCTTTGGAGGGGAGAGAATACATGATTTCAAAAGTAAGAAATGGAATATATCAACTAGAGGTGAGATAGATTGGTAATTTGGGTAAAACTAATCTGAGAAACAACTGAGTCAGCTCTGCTTAGCAAGCCCAGTCCCATTCACCCCCAAATGGAGAGTTAAATTAAGACCACTAACTAGACTCCAGGGTACTATCTTTCTTGTTCTCTGTAAGCCATCAGGATAATTATGAGTCACTCTCCTTTCTTTCCATCAAGACCTGTTACAATAATTTATCTATATATGAAGGCTACCTTTGGAAGGCTACCTTTGATACCTTTGACATTCTTTTGTTTTTTTTTGTTTTTTTTGGTTTTTTTTTGAGATGGAGTCTTGCCTTGCTCTGTCACCTAGGCTGGAGTGCAGTAGTACGATCTCGGCTCACTGCAACCTCTGCCTCCCAGGTTCAAGCAATTCTCCTGCCTCAGCCTCCTGAGTAGCTGGAACTACAGGCATGCACCACAATACCCAGCTAATTTTTTGTATTTTTAGTAGAGATGGGGTTTCACCATGTTGGCCAGGCTGGTCTTGAGCTCCTGCTCAAATGATCCACTTACCTAGGACTCCCAAAGTGCTGGGAGTACAGGTGTGAGCCACCACGCCCAGCCAGAAGGCTACCTTTGACATTCTAAGTATCAAATATGCACCACATTTTTCATGTTGTCAATAGTAACTTACAGGAATTTTTCCTTAAAGATGACTCCTTGAATCTTTCTCAGCAATATCATAATATGCTAATTAAAAAAAACTAAACTAAAAAGTCTCGAACATTAAAAAAATAAATAAAAATAAACCCAGGAGAAGAAAAATCAGGAAACTTAAGATCTCAACCTTTTTGTGAGATGGAAAGAGGATGAAGTGGTAACTGACTCAACAGAGAGTAGGGGGCTATAACTTATATGGCCTCTAAAGTTGAGTATTAATGAAAAGTGAGCTTATTCCTATCATGGAACTCTTAACATGTCTAACATCAGAGACACCAGGTTCTGCAGAGGACAAGAACTTAAAACAAAGGAATTGGTTGTAAGTCATGCTATTTAGTGACTGGACCCTTAAGCCTCTTTTTGTACTTACATATAACCTGGGATTAACTTACACCCCATCACAGGCAAAAAATCTGAGGTTTATTTTCAAGCAGCATTAAATAGGAGGACTTCAGACATGGAGGCACCAGAAAGATGGGATGAAATACTGGGCTGATCATGGAAGGATTGAAAGAGTCTGCATATTGAATGGTAGGAGCCTCCTCCCTCCTCCACTCTATTTTTATGTTCCAGACATTTACTTCTTAGGCAGAAGACAGAGGATTCCTGTTTGAAGAAAATAAATGCCATCTAAGGAGACATTGATTTCCGCATCCTACTGTTTGAGAGTTTCATTCAAAGTCTCTGACTCCCATCCAATTATTCTACTAGTTTCATCAGTTAATAAGCTCATGTTTACACAGAGCTTTTTTAGTGTATTGTTCTTAAATGTTAATTAATAGCCAGGGATTATCAGACATTTCAAGAAAGCCTTTAGTATGAAAGAGAAAAATCAAGTATATAAACAGAAAAGGAAACAAAAATCAGAAATTCAGATCATTTAGAAAATGGCTTTATTTTTCCACTGCCTTCCATTTACTGCTAGTCCTGCTCCAGTTCTGATAAATGGTTTTTGCCTCTTTTCTCTTTAAACGAAAGAGTTCTACCCTTGTACCTCTTCTGCGGGTTTCTGTCTTGTTTTCTCATACCTGAGACTGCCTTGATAACCCCCCCAGCACTCACTTCCTCCCAGACCTGAGCTTTACCCTGCTCTAACCACCATTCCTAGACACACATAGGTCACTTGTCCCTTGTATACTCAATTCCTGACCCAGAAACCCCGCTTTGTAGCATTGACCTTGTTCCCTGCTCATGGTTGTCTCTGACCTGTCCACCTGCTTGCAAGAGCTTAGATTTTCCATTGTTTTGCTCCAATCACCTGCTGTAATGCTGGAACTTTGCTGGTCCTGCTGTCGTCTACTGGCTGCCTATGCCTTCCTCTCCTGACTATCTCCAACCTTCAGGACGTTAGCTGGTCTTCTCCCATTGCCTGCATCTGCATCTGATCCCTAAGAACTTAACTTACTCCATTGGATATGTGTTGTTTTCTTTCCTGGCCCCTCTAAGGCTGAGCCATCCTACTGAGTCCTTAACTGAGTACTAAGTAACAAAATGGTTTGGGCACCTACGAGTCATCTACTATTCCCTAGTCTAGAGCATAGGTTGGCCCAAAGTTGCCAGTTAAAAAGACACAGCAACTTGGTTAAATGAAGAAAGGATCTCTATTATTCTTAATTCTCTCCCTGCAAGTTGAAATTCTGATTGCCTGGGTCACTCTGTGGCATAAGTTAGCAGTGGTAGAGACCTGTCCCTACTGTCTGCCTCCACCAGGTAAACCATGCTCTGCCACCTCAGTGTCCACAGCCATGAAGCCCTAACCACGCTGTCCTGAGCACCTAGTGCTACCTTCTTCTAGCCCACCTGGATGCTGAGTGAAGTCTCTGGGGAGGTCTCTGTTCCCAGAATTTCATAGTTAATTGCTGCTGCTGCTTTGAATATTCTCTTTTAAAAAGAAAGAAAGAAAGAAAGGAAGGAAGGAAGGAGGAAGGAAAGAAAGAATTCTTTGGAGGTGAATGTTTGAACTAAAAAAAATCTCAGAATGATTAAAATGTAGGCTGACGCATGAAAATATACTCCCCAAAGATATCTTCAAATAATCATCTTTGAATTTTTTATAGATTCTGGTGGAAATAAAGGAGATTAAAAGGCATTATTTAATTTTTTTGTACTTATCTTTCAGAAGTAGGGCTCTAGTTGGTAAGCCATTAAGTGCCCAGTAATGAAAGAAATAGTCTTAAAATGTAAATTGAAATGGGGAGATCTTCTAAATCCACCTACGTTTTTCATTGTTCTTTCTTCAAAAGTTTCTTTAAATGTAACTTTTCTCATAATGTTGAGTTCATATTTTAGCTTCTGAATGTTACCTACTTAGTCAGATATTATAATTCCTTTAAAAATGATGAAGTATTATTGTCTTTAGTGAAACATGTCACAATTCAAAACACATGATCATAAATCAGAACACCGACTTAAAATGTTAATTTTAGTCCACAAGTTGATTGTTTTGATTATGGTTGTAATTCTCTCTTTTTTTTTTTTTTTTTTTTTTTTTTGAGACCGAGTCTCACTCTATCACTAGGCTGAAGTGCAGTGGTGCAATCTCAGCTCACTGCAACCTCCACCTCCCTGGTTCAAGTGATTCTCCTGCCTCAGCCTCCCAAGTAGCTGGGATTACAGGAGCATGCCGCCATGCCTAGCTAATTTTTGTATTTTTAGTAGAGATGCGGTTTCACCATATTGTTTAGGCTGGTCTTGAACTCCTGACCCTGTGATCTGCCCACCTTTGCCTCCCAAAGTGCTGGGATTACAGGCCTGAGCCACCGCGCCTGGCCTGGTTGTAATTCTTAAATGTAGTCTGGTGCCATCCATGGTATAAAGGTGATTTTTTTAAGGAATGTAATAACAATGGTTAATAGTAAATAAATTACACAGAGACAAAGCTATGTGCTTTTAAAATTTCTTTCAGTCTTTCCTTTTAGTGCTAATATATATATATATTTTTTTGAGATGGAGTTTCACTCTGTCGCCCAGGCTGGAGTGCAGTGGTGTGATCTTGGCTCACTGCAACCTCTGCCTCCCGGGTTCAAGCGATTCTCCTGCCTCAGCCTCCCGAGTAGCTGGGACTACAGGCACCTGCTACCATGCCAGGCTAATTTTTGTATTTTAATAGACACAGGGTTTCACCATATTGGCCAGGCTGGTCTCGAACTCTTGACTTTGTGATCCGCCCCCCTCAGCCTCCCAAAGTGCTGGGATTACAGGCGTGAGCCACCGTGCCCAGCCAGTGCTAACTTTTTTTTTTTTCATTTTCTTTAACATTTGTCAATCTCACTTAAAAAAAAAAAGAGCGATTAGGCCTCAGGCACCAAGGCTTTCCTACATTCCAGCTGGAATTAGAATCACCTCGTTATGCTTTTAGTTTTTTAAAATAATTACCTCTTATTTATGACAAATGATGTTGGCATTTAATTTTGGATTGGTTTATCACAAGTATTAAGTTTACTACAGTATAAGGCATGATATACGGTATTTGGCACACAGATACAGTTCATTCTGGGCATGCAGTATGTTAATGATAGACACTTGGGAACCACTGGTTTCTGGGAAGTGCAAGGTTTCAGAGTTTCTCAAACTTGAACTATTGTTGGTTGATTTTTTCACTAAATCAACCAAGTCCATTTATTGTTTGATGTTAGATATAATCACTTGTGATTATAATCTTACCACTTATATTAATAAAATGCAACTGGTCTTGTGGCATTTAGGCCTAATACTGGTTTTGAAAAGAAATAAAATCTTTAAACCCCCCTGAAACAAAAATATCCATTGCTAGCTCCTGTTTATCTTTAAACTTGAGGGAAGTCTATGGAGCATATCTCCTGGCATCAACAAGATCACAAATGCAATGTCATTGAGAGAAAGGAATCTTGTCATAGGTATCAGTAAAAAAAAAAAATATATATATATATTTATTTATTTATATATATGTGACCAAGAATGTTTGTGTATTTTAAAAAATTATTGTCTATATAAAATAGTAAAATTTAAAAATTCTTATAGAATTTCTAAAGCTGACCACAAAATACATACAACACCCTGCCACACACACACATATACCTTAGATGTTTGAGAAACATTTGGCATAGTATTGGCTTAACTGTTTTTCTGATTTCCTACTATTATTCTGATGTCCTGTTAGGAATCCCCAAATAATAGGTTCAAGTAATTCCCCTGCTTCGGTCTCCCAAGTAGCTGGGACTATAGGCATGCACCACCACGCCTGGCTAACTTTTTGTATTTTAGTAGAGGTGGGGTTTCACCATGTTGGCCAGAATGATCTTGATCTCCTGACCTTGTGATCTACCTGCCTCGGCCTCCCAAAGTGCTGGGATTACAGGTGTGAGCCACCGCGCCTGGCCATGAGGTATGGGTAGAATTTAAACAAAAGGGTCATTCTAAATAAATTATCCTCAATCTTTCACTGAGGATTTGCCCTGTGCCAGCAACTGGGGGAAAAATTAACATAATTAAAACAATAAAAAAGTCTCATAGAAAAATATATTGATAGAGGACATGGATATAAACAAATCATTACTATACAATGTGTTGACGGGTGTAATAGAACTCTTTGGAAGCATCGGGGAGGAAGAAATTAGTTCTGTCTGGGGAATTGGGAAAGCATTTATGAAGGAAATGAGCTTTTATCTGGGCTTTGAATAATGAATGGAATTTTACCAGATGGAAAAAAGATGAGAAATACATTCCAGGCAGTGAGCATAACATATGACAAGGCATGAAGACATAAAGACAGTGCTGTGTTTGGGAAGGGTGAGACCTTTCTTTGTGGTTGGAGTTGGGGTAGGGTGAGGAGAAAATGAAGTTTAATAGAAAAATTACCTTGAGAGACATGTGGGGACTAATTTTTAAAAGGCTATGTATACCATGCTCAGGAATTTAAACGCATCCTATAAGAAGTTAAGTACAACAGTGCAGTTCAGATTTTTGCTTTTAGGAATATTACTTTGATGACAGGATAGAGGTAAATTCATGAGATATGGCAAGGGTGGGTAGTAAAGAGAAGGCACCCTCAAGAGAAAGTATCTTGCATGGGATAACACCAGGAGTAGGGAAGTTTGCGGTAAATTGTAGAAAGCCTTGGAGGCCAGATTGAGAAGTTGGCATTGAGTTCTGTGACAATGCTATACTTTATAAAGATTGATCTCGATAGGGTCTGTGCCACAAATTAGCATAAGGAGACTCTAGTGGCTAGGACATAGTTGGGAGTCTACCATGACAGCCCAGGCAAGAGATGGATATAGAAGACATCACTGGTCAACCATCCACCATCCATTCTGTTCTTCCTTCCTTCCATCTTCTAACTGAATCCTGGTTTTAGTGCATGGTACCCCCATCTCCTCCTAGCTATAACCTTCAGAAGAGGAGGCACCATCCCCTGCCCAGAGGAGGAATCCACTCTAGGATGAGCCCTTAGGGTCTATTTCTAGACAATGAGATGTGAAAGAAGTCCTTTAGGTGCCTTCTCGGAAGTGTCTTCTCCTTTTGAAAAAGGGAAACAAAAAAAGAGACGATCTTTTCTTCTGCTGGAAGTCGTCTCCATGTGACACTTGGAACTACCATGCCACCAAAATTTTGCTATGATAGGAGGAGCTAGTCTGTGGACAAAGCCAATATTCAAGGAACCTGATTCCTTGATTATGATTTAAACAAACCTGGAACTGCCTTCCCTTCAGACATCTTGTTATATGAGATAATGAATATTCTTATTGTCTGTGTCAATATGAGTTGAGGTTTTATGATATGTGCAGCAGAAAGCATTCATGCTAATGCAAGAAGTAATAAACGTTTGTGAATTAGAGCAGAAGCAGAAGGAAAGTAGTAGGGAACAAATGTATGGGACCCAGAAGTAAATCTTTGCTGCATTAGGGTTGGTGGGATTAGACAACTGAGTATCAGTGGAAAGGAGAACTATGACGAAGGTTCTAGGGCTGCTTGGGTCATTGCGAGCGTGGAGTGACAAACACAGAAACAGAGACTTAAAAGGTGAACCATATTGGGAAAGAAGTTAATAAGCCAGATTTTATGGATTTATATTGATTGTAATGTGAAGAAGTCTCTACAAAGTTCAGGGTTGGCAAACTGAGAAATGAGACCACAAGCCAAACAGTTATTTTCCTTTCCATAGGCTTGGAGGAATTCTTAAATTATGAATGCTTGCTTCTTGCTGTAGCTTCTACTATTCATTATTTATGTTTTCATAAGTATAATTAATGCAATTTATATTCACAACAGCAATGGATAACACAAAATGTAATAAGCAATTTCTTATTTGGAAAATTCCATTAGTACTTTCACAATACTAACATTCATAAAAGTGTTCTGCTATTACTTCAATTCACAGAAATGTGCCCATCTGCAGTGTAGCAGAGAAGAAGGAACACAGTCTTGGGCTCAAATATCTGCTCCTCCACTTGCTTACCGTTGGGCCCCAGCAAGTGGCTTAACTACCATGAGGCTCAACTACCATGAGGCTCAATTTGATTAAATTTTAAATAGGTTGCATAAAACTTGATCTGCAGGGTTTATGTTTAGTAATGGTAATTACCATACACACCCACATTTTCAAAATTGCATTTGTTTTCATTCTTGAAGTTTTCAAATTTGTCGTTTACAGATCATGACTACCTAGTCTTGATTTCCATTTTAGTTTTCTCCCTATGGAGGCCATTGTTATCCCCGGAACCCTCAGGTCCCAGAAAGGAGGAGTTGCAAATCTGATTGTTGAGCTGAAGGGCACCGTTTAGGCCATGCCATTTGTCTGGCAGGTCACTGTGTCAAAAGTGTAGGCCCAGCTGTCTTGTTTTCTCTGTTTCTTATTGTAAGACTAGCTTTCCGAGCTCCGGAGAACTCATCTCTTCAGGTGCTGGAGTTAGCTTGTAGGAAAACTAGGACTCAGCGGTGTCATGAACATGGTGAGCTGGAACCTACAACAAGGGTTCCAGTTCAACTTACCAGAGAGGCCTCTATTGGGATCTCTTGCAAATAATATGTATTTTTATTTTTCACTTTTCCTTGTTTTTTATATGCATAACTCCTCAGGAAGCTCATTAGGAGAAACTGATTAGGCCAAAATAGGCCTAATCTCGTGATAAGTTTCCCCTAAATCTTAAGTAACATTTGTACATTCTAACATTCAGCAAAGATTTATTGAATACCGACTGTGTGCCAGGCACTGATTTATGCTATCACAACTTTTTTTTTCTGTGTTGTTTAAATAGAGGCTTTTATTTTTGAGAGAGTTAAGTCAGTAATGCACTTAGGATCCATTTAAGCCATCACAATTCATAAGTTTTCACTTGTTGAAACATCCATAAGTCTAAATCTAGGTTCTAGGTCTACAAACTACTTGTGAATGTAGAGTCTTAGTAATCAGAGCAAAGCACTGTGACCCCATTCATCCATAATATCAGAGAGTAAGGACTCTTTTTTCTTTTTTTTTTTTTTTTGAGTCTTGCTGTGTTACCCAGGCTGGAGTGCAGTGGCGTGATCTTGGCTCACTGCAACCTTTTCTCCAAGTTTCAAGTGATTCTCCTGCCTCAGCCTCCCAAGTAGCTGGGATTATAGGTGCCTGCCACTACACCTGGCTAATTTTTTATATTTTTAGTAGAGACAGGGTTTTGCCATGGCCAGGCTGGTCTCAAATTCCTGACCTCAGGTGATCCACCTGCCTCGGCCTCCCAAAGTGCTGGGATTATAGGCATGAGTCACCGTGCCTGGTCGAGTAAGGACTCTTAAAGAAAAGGAACACACCTGACTGACTCACCTTGCCCCACCTGTGCCTTGTAACCCAGAGCTCTGCCCACACATGAGTTTCTAATGACCTGGGTGCAGCAAGAGCTCTGCCCTGCTTTTGATGATCAAGGACCCAGTGACTTACAGGGTTGGACATATTCTGACAAGGCACCAGTCTTGACATTGTTCCTAGATAATCTCAAATACTTGGGCCATTCCTTTTAAATTTAGTAACCACATATCCCTTGTGAGGACACATAAACTTTGCCTTTGTGTGTGTGTGTGTGTGTGTGTGAGAGAGAGAGAGAGAGAAAGAGAGAGCTGCGTGATAATTATGGATGTCAGTTTCACTTTGACATTTGGGAACGAAGTGTTTCTACTGGTGAAACTCAAAATTTTGCTTTTATAACAAATACATTCATTATATAAACTCTAAAATACATCAGAAATATTTGGTCATTAAATGATTCACTACTTTTTTTTTTTTGAACCACTCCCCCAGGGAAAGAAAGAACATACTCAGTTTATTTTCTTTTTCCTGGGAGTAGCCCAGTAGAAAATCTGTGTATGGTGGACACACTCATGTGTAAAGAAGTGAAAACTTTAATATTTATCTCCCAACCTGTACCCTATACTTTCTGGGTGGACTCAGGTTTGCCTGCCTTCCTCTATTACACACACCCTCAGAGTTTGAGCTTGCAATGAGTAAAGTAGAAGAAGATGAACCTGAGATTCTTATTTAATTAATTTGAGTGCATTCTCTATCTATGTTCTTCCTTCTTACAAGGAAGCAGCTACACAGAAACATTATAACGATTATATGAAAATAAATGAGTTTAGTAAATGCATATTCCAGTCTAAGCCTTCATTAGCATGGAGCTATTCTAAGCTGAATGGGTTTCTTTGCATTTTTAAACCAGGGTTTCATGCTGAATATTAATATTATGGAACAGTTCCTGGGAAATTACACAGGAGCAAATCTGCTCTAATATTCAATATTTTATGGAAAGCCTGTGTTTAACTTTTTTTTTTGAGGTGAAGTCTTGTTCTGTCTCCCAGGCTGGAGGGCAGGGGTGCAATCTCCACTCACTGCAACTTCCACCTCCCGGGTTCAAGCGATTCTCCTGCCTCAGTCTCCCGAGTAGCTGGGATTACAGGCATGCAGTGTGCCACTACACCTGGCTAATTTTTGTATTTTTAGCAGAGACGGGGTTTTGCCATGTTGGCCAGGCTGGTCTTGAACTCCTGGCCTCAAGTGATGCTCCTGCCTCAACCTCCCAAAGTGCTGGCATTACAGGTGCAAGCCACTGTGACCAGCCTTGTATTAAACTTTTTACTCTCATTTACAAAGCCCTGCATGAGCAAGCCTTGGTCTCGGGGGTTTACCTTATTTTTGACCTCCTTGTCTCCTGGCCTTCTCTCCAGGCATACTGGCTTTCTTTCTTTTCCAACTCACCAAGCTGGTTCCCACCTCAGGTTCTTCGCAATTGCTGTTCTCCTTGCCTGCACTACTCTGCCCTGAGACCTTTGCATGCCCAGTTCCTCCTAAGTGTATTATCATCTTCTTAAGAGGCTGGGTGGCCCACCCTGACGACACTATCCATCCATAGTGCTGCTCAGTACAAAAAGGTAAAGAACAAGTGTGAGTGCAATTTTAGATGCTCAAGTAGCCACAGTGAAAGCACATAAAAAGAGGTTAAATCCTTCTTCATGATATTTTTATTTAATCCAGTATATCTAAGATATTTTCAACGATTAGTATAAAAATGTTAATGAGATAATTTTCTATTCTTTTTCTCATACTAAGTTTTTGAAATTCAGTTCATCTCTTACAGCACATCTCAACATGGACTGGACACATTTCAAATACTCAGGAGGCACATATGGCTAGTGGCAACTGTATTGGACAGCACAGATCTAAAACAAACCCTCACCTCCAGCCACTCTCAATCACATCGCCCTGCTTTATCATGATTGTAACGCTTATTAGTGTTTGAAATTACCTGGCTTATTTACTTGAACATTATTCCGCCTTGTTCTCTATCTGTACCCTGCCCATGAAAAGTAAAGTCCAAAAGACCAAGGGCTTCATTTTATTCTTTGTTGTGTTTTCAAAGCTTAGTATATTGCGAGTTTTCAATAAATATTTATTGAAAGTTAAATGAATGAGAAACAAATGTAATGTTAAAAACAGTGGAATCTGTATGTGGCTTTTACTGTTTCAGTTTTCCCTCCCTTGTGCGATATTTCAGATAGATGATGAAATGATAATATCAACCCCACAAGTGTTACTCCCCTTCCTCTCCATTTCCATGTCCCAGTGTAACTATTGGGCATTGTCTGTGTCCTATATTTTTTCTGGTATGAATTGACTTATAAAGAGAAAGCATTTTCTGATCTACTTTAGACCTAGTCTCAAGTTAGCATTCAACTCACACTAAGCAGGGAAAAAAAACAAACATCTGGACTTTCTCTTCTTTCTTCCATTAACCATTACAAGATTTTTTCAGACAGTAGTCAAGCTGTAACTTGTATTTATTATCTTTTTAGCCAATGGGAGGAAAACCAGGATCTGTGATCAGTTGCAGGCCTTGGAAACTTCCAAGACACCCAGAGTCCTGGGAATTTCCCTCCATTGCCGCTCTGGAGCTGACCCAGGCTTGCCTGCTACTGCGGCTGTATGTCACAGTAGGCAAGGGTTCCAGATCTGTCTGTGCTTATTGCCTCCATCTGTAAAGAATAAACTACAATTATTGCTTATTCCAATATAAGGCTATAGAGAAAATAACAACAGAGTACTTTATGCCCAGTAATGAAAAGCATTGTTCGTGGCCCTACAAAGCAATGGGCATTGCCTTAGTAATTAAGCTTATGTTCCATGCACAGATACTACAATTAAAAACTTTCAGAGTCTTGGAGGGTGGATCCATACTATAGGCAAAGGATAAAAAATAAGTAGGATTTGAAAAGCATGCTTACTCTTTGTAAACTTAGAGAACTTTGAGAAAAGAGAAAAGTTTCTGCAAGCTAGTTTTGGCATTTAATTACATTAGCGTACAACTATTCCTTGGTGAGACAGAATGAAGAGAACCTTGACCCAATTCAGTCCCACCCCTTCCCTATCTTCTCCTCTCTTCTTCCCCTGGTTATCTTTGAAATTATACTCCAGGATAAGCCTGGCTTTGGTTTATCTGCAAACAAAAGGGCTGTCAAATTTAAGAATGTTATGTTTTCGCTTCAGAATTCATTCATTCATTTAAAAATTATGTTGTACACCTATGGGAAATGCAAATGTAAATAAGACCTTAGAGGGGCTTACATTTTAGCAGATTGTACATTCATTAAACAATTTAGTTATTCAATTACAATCGTAATGGGTGCCTTGAAGGAGAAGAATCAGGTGGTATGAGAAGATTTAAGGAAGTCCTGATTGAGACTTTCCTGTGAAGGTGGCCCTTCAGCTACATTCTGAAGGAGAGATACGATTTAGGAGATGAAGGGGGTGAGGAAGTTTTTAGGCAGAGAGAGAAGCACATGTCAGTGTGTTGAGTCAGGGAATAACCTGGCATAATCAAGAGACCCAGACATGGCCAGGGTGGACCAGCCAGCACCCCAGAGGGCTCCCAGATGAGAGGCTAATGAAGCAACAAGAGCCAGAGCCCAGAGCCTCTGCCATTCTCCCCAGTGGTGCTTCCTGTTACAGAATTGAGAGATCCTCTTCATTCATTTCCCTGACACTTGCATATTTAGGAGGTATCTGACATGTGACGCACTGAAAAGTTGTGGCTTTGCTCATGTGCTATAAGCAGTAGAGACACAATTCCTTCTGCTTCTGTCTGGAACATATCTCAGCTGACTCATCTGCTGCAGTAGCAGACAATGAGCACCAGGGGGCAGAAAGCATTCTTCTGTGTTTGCTCTGGTAGACCACAAAATGGTGAAATGTGCACTCACTTTGACCTAAAGTATTAAACAAGGAATTAGCTACTACCATGATTGGAGGTCATTGCCTTTCTAATCTTACCCAAGCATTACACAAGAAACCAACAAAACTCTTGGTGAGTTTATTGAGTATGATTTAATTCACTCTGAATTAAACCAGGAAGCGTAACTAACATGTCTTAATGAAGCTGTGACTGTCACATGATGATGGTTTAGAAAGAAGAGGGCCATTTGAGGGGATGTCTCAAAATATTGTACTAGGGAAACAAGGAAGGACGAACCATAGAAGCACAGTCTTCAGCTGTCTTCCAAGACTGTTTCCAGGTAGAAATGAGAGGTGGAAACCGTAAGAGAGGTGCAGAAGGTCTTAAATATGTAATTGGGTAGGTCAATGCAATTTGAGAGTTGATAAGCTATTAATACGAAGACAATGTGACTTTTGGCAGCTATGTTTCCAACAAATGATTACCTCTGGGGAAAACCGATAAATAAACAAGGCTTCTCATTACAACAAATTGGTCATGGATTGGGTGGTATTAACCTCACACTAATCATGTCTTACTGATTGATGCAGATGGAAGTCTCATGCCAGTCACGAGTCAAACCAAATAATTAGCAGATGTCACCAATGCCGATCTGCTGATGTCTAAAAATGGAACAAGTGAATCAGCAAACTATTTAGGAAAGTAAGGCTATGCCAACCATTCTGTCATTAAGAGCCTTGTAAGGGCAATATGGTCTATGTGTCATCAGGGTCCCTCAGCGTGACCATGAAAAAGAAAATGGATACCTATATGCTAAACATAACTATAACCATTGACTATGTGTATAAATACCATATTATGTAGATTATTTTTAAAGTCTCAAAAAGTACTTAAAACTAATTACTAGGACAATGCCTCCCTGTTATTATTGTTATTGTCACTGTCATCATCAAAAGCAAATGGCACTGGTTAAAGTGAGGCATGATCTTTTTTCTCTGGAAGTACATACTTTGATAATAAAATACTAATACACATGAATGTAAGAAATATATAAGTAAATATACATGGAGCTAATATAGAAAAGCCTAACACAGGCATCACTGAAATAAGAAAGGAAAGTTTGATTTACTGAAACTTAATAGACATACTTATGTGACAGTTATTATGCTGGGCACTTTATAAACATTGCTATATTTATATTTCATAGCAATCCTGTGGAGTTGGGTTTACCATTACCTTCATTTTACAATAGACTTGGGAAAGTGGAGTAATTTGTATAGCAAGTGGCAGAGTCAAATATGGAAACAAGTCTGTCCGTAGGGACCTTTGTTAATATTGGTCACCCAACATCCATCTCCACTTCCTATCAACATCTTCCATTTCCTTTGGAGGATTTGCTTTTCCCCCATTGTGGAGAGTTCTAGTAGATCAGAAAATTCAGATAATCTGTTCTTCCTCAATGAAAGTAAAGAGTAGCCTCTGGACAGATTCTTTCTGTTGAAAGGATCTGGAGGGAAGGCCTTCTAAGATCTAAGCCTGGTCAACTGGACTTTCAACCCAGATACAAGGAGGGAAGAAACTGTTCCTGCCAAAAGTCTCTTTCCTTGTTCCTATTCTACTTCTGGAACTGCTCCTTCAGACTTCCATTGATTTGGTGTGTTGTGGTCACCAATATCCTTCTAATAAATTGAATCATAGTTGCCCATACCAAAGAACCTAATGCCTCAAAGTAAATTCACTTTCAACCCCTCCAAACTTCAATCGTGCCAAGAAAATACAATATTTTTAATCTCTATTTCAAATACTGAAATAACTTCACAAATAATAGGTTAGGTAGAAGTCTTTGTCACAAATAGAATAATTTGCAAATCAAAGCAATGTTAACCTTTGTTTTCATCGCAATCATTATTTTTGTGTAAATTCAATACATGGAGTTGGTTATATCTATGTAACAATAGCTTATCTTTTAGGTAGATTAGAATTTTTTCTAAGACTACCATTTATACTTTTTTCTTTTTCTTTTTCTTTTTTTTTTTTTTTTTTGAGATGGAGTCTCACTGTGTCACCCAGTCTGGAGTGCAGTGGCACTATCTCGGCTCACTGCAATGTCTGCCTCCCAGACTCAGGTGATTCTCGTGCCTCAGCCTCCCGAGTAGCGGGGACTACAGGCGCCTGCCACCACACTCAGCTAATTTTTGTATTATTATTATTTTTTTAGTAGAGACGGGGTTTCATCATGTTGGTCAGGCTGGTCTCGAACTTCTGACCTCAAGTGATCCACCTGCCTTGGCCTTCCAAAGTGCTGGGATTACAGGTGTGAGCCACTGCCCTGAGACCATTTATACTCTTTTCTGACATGATTCCTTCCCTTTGTAATACAAAAGTAAACTCCAGCTGCTTACTGTGTCTAGATAGGCCAATTCTGAATTTGTAGGTAATTCACAGTAATTGCTCTTATTAACTGAATTCTTACCAAGTGTTACAAACTATGCTGAACTCTTCCCATACAGTAATTGTGTGTGGTAAATGTTATTATCCCATCTCACACAAGAAGCTGAGGCTTGGAGAAATTAACTGACTTTCAAACAGTAACATATCTAAGAAATCATAAAGCCAGCCCTTGAACCTGGTCTGCTGAGCTCAAAACTTAATATATTCCTACTAGGTTATTCTGCTCAGCTGTTCTACTGAAGGTAGGGTTCTTGCTCTTCACCATAGCCATTTAAGGTGGGCCTCATTGTCCCAAATTCACAGAGAAGAAAATCATGACCAAGAAAAGTGAAGTGTCTTGTCACAAGCACACTGATTGTAGCTGAGTCAGTTTTCAAGAAAGAGGTCTTTGTCATTTTAAAACTGCCACTACACTGAGCTACCTGCTTGGGAGGTTTCAGGGTCTGTGGATTAAGTAAAATCACCATCACAGCATGTTTATAAAATGAGTAGGATTCGCCCAGTGCATTGCATGTTTCTAAGAATGCACTTTTATCAATGCTTTTAAGTCACTAGGGCACAACAGTAGATGCTCAATAAATATGTGCTGACTCAATAGAACTGAACTGTTAAAACATTAGTTCTCCTCTAATAGGCTTGGCAAAACAGCATTCTGGAGTGAGAAGGGATTTGAAAGGTAACTTTTCTCCATTATTTTATCCCAGTGAAGATACTAAGGGCCAAAATTTGCTCAAGGTCACAGAATTTCTGAGTCTCAAATGAGGAACTAGAGTGCAGGTCTTTAGATTCTCAGGTGAATGCTTTCTCCACCACAGGATACTTCCTCCCTGGGTACAATTTAAATGGAAAGCACAGACTAGTTTAAGAGAATATCAGTGGCCTGATTAGACAGTGAAGTTTCAATTCTTGCAAAAGTATTTTTATGTGAGGGCATTTGCCTACTGAACAGATCCTAGGTATATGGAATTAAATGCATTTTAGGATTGCCTAATTTGGAGAGTAAGTGCTTGATGGAAAAATAATGAAATTTTAGCAGACAAGGAGACAGTGTGATGGCGGTGGTGGGAGCAGAAGAAATGTGGGCTGCCCACTCGCACTTCTACCTCTAAACATTCTCTAAAGCTGCGAGGTATTCCTCTTGTGCTCAGCTCACTAAGTGATCGCCCCCTCTTCTCTCCTTCCCCCTGCTAAATAATCTTAAGGAGATCTTGATTGGCAGCTTGCTTTAGTCTACCCACACAGTACGAGGAGCTCTCACTCCCATCCCTAAAACACACTTTCTCAGCCCTCATATTTCATGTATCTTATTTTTCATTGCTCACTCACATTTAGATAGGAGTTTTGGCAATTCCTAAAGGACTGTGTCTTAGTTTTTTTTCCATATATCACCAACACTGTGAAATACAAAGCTGAGGATGAAGGGAAAGTAGACAACACAGGCCCACAAAACAGTAAAGCATCAAAATTTGCTCTTTCCATTTTGTTATTAGTATTATGATTTTTAGAGACAAAGTCTTACTCTGTCTCCCAGGCTGGAGTGCAGTGGCTTGATCACTGTAACTTTGAACTCCTGAACTCAAACTATCCTCCTACTTCAGCCTCCTAAGTAGCTGGTATTAGAGGCATGTATCACCATACCTGGCTAATTAAAAAAAAAATTTTTTTTTTGTAGAATCAGGGTCTCATTATATGGCTCAGCTGGTCTGAAACTCCTGGCCTCAAGCAATACTTGTGCTTTGGACTCCCAAAGTACTGGGATCCTTCCTTCCCTTCCCTTCCCTCCCTCCCTCCCTCCCTTCCTTGCTGTTAAATATATCAGGTGACACAGAAGGACTGGATGTAACTTTCTTTCTCCTCAACCTTTCTTCTAAAATAGGAGGCCCATGAAACACGGTCTGGTCTGCAACCCATGGCAGGATGGACTGAGACTCAGACTGATCAGTGTTATAGGCCGTGGGCGCTCTTTAGACCTGTGATGCACACACAGCAGCTGGATGGGGAACTCCCTGGCTGAGAGCCAGCTGGTTATTTTTTGCTGATGCTGTCAATAACACAAATTGTTCAGAGTGCCTACCCTTGCATTGTTCTCCTCTTCATCCTGCACATCTTAAAATTAACGAGCAGTCCTTTGACTACCCTGGCTCTTTCTTCTCCAGTTTTCTCAACCACCACACAGAATATGTCAGCAGTCAGATGGCACTGGCATGCCACCTATGGAGAATCGCCTCTGGCTTTAAGCCCAGACCAAGAGAAAACTAGAATTGGAATTTTTGGATGACGACTTTTGTCCTGATGCTTCCCAATAGCATTCGCTAAAGACTAGAGACAGATAGTTTGCAACTTAGCACCATGAGCAAAAGTTGCCTGGTTTTGCATTTTGACCATTGAGTAAAAGGACTCATGTTTAGCCAAGATTCTGAACTGGCTGTTGGGGCTGACTTGGTTCTCAGAGGTCTCCCTAATGACTGTGGAGCTAAAGGCTTAACTTCAAAGAATGTTTTGGAGAAATAGCCCCAATGAATTCCAAGCTCTGGGAAGGGGTTGGGGGATAGGGGTGGGACACAGGGGCTGGAGTGGGGAAGGGAGGGAATCCTTTCATGCCCATTAATGTATTGCTAATTGCATCATATCCAGATGTTTCCTTTCTCAACTTCAGAGGTAGAGGGCCTGAGAGATGGTGGTGCAGATGTTAAAAGCCTTGTCTTAAGTTTATACAAGTATGTAGCAGAGTGAAAAGATTGCCAGGTCTGAGTTGTACTCGTTACACCACTTCCACTACATTCATTTCAAAAAATGAATATAAATTAGCCAGCTCTGTTCTCATCATGAAAATACTTTTATTTTCCTGTGAAGAGGTTTTATCTCCCCAGTCAAATTATTGGCCCTCTGGTAGACTGTTAAGTCCAATACTTGTGTTCTCATCTTTGCAAACAATAAGTGCTCCATGAATAAATGCTGATTAATATAACAATAAGGTGGTTACAAGGATATACTTTCAGCCCTGGCCTACCCTACAACTTTTTTCTTTATTTTTCCTACTTTAAAAAAATTGCTGAGCCAATACTGCTCATCGTAAAAAGGCACTGAATATAAAATAATCATCTCCCACCTCTGCCCCATTTTATATATTTAAAATAATTAATGCTGTTAGGTAGATAGTCTTCCACATCTATTTCCATGTTCATACAAGTATATTCAAGCTATGGACACATACACAGTATTCACCTGTATTATTTTTAAAGCAAAACCAGCATTATTCTACATACATTACTCTGCAACCTTGTTTTTTCACTTATGTTGATATCACGGACAACTTTCCAAGTCAGTAAATATGCAGCTTATTTATTCTAATTGCTGCATAATAGTCCTATAATGGATATATCATAATTTACTCAACCATTCCCACGTCAGTGAATACTCAGCTTCCCACTGTCTTCTAAATAGCTTCTTATTTAATCAACACATTGCCTGGCCTCTTGCATATCAACTTCTGCTTTTTTATAACTAGGACAGGCCATGTCCAAAATGAGGTAATCTACTCCTTGGGCGAATGCCTCCAAACCACCAGGAAATTTGTTTTCTATGAATTAAAATACCTGTACTAAGGTGTCCTTTTTATTCCATAATTAAGGTTAGAGTATATCTTTTCTGGACACTGTTGTCTTTTAGGTAAGGTATGATATACAGATAATATAATATCTTCACTAGAAAATGGAATAGTCTGAGGTTACCAAAGAATCTTAGATCTTTTGTGATAGTGTCTAATACAGGTATATTTATAGTACATGATTTCTACCCCATTGTAATGCAACAACAACATCATCGAAAACGATTTGAGGCTGCTTTTTGTTTTTTTTTAATTTTTCAAAATTGTTAATCTATCAAAACATGGGCTCCAAAAGTGTAGAGCATTTAGTTCCCCAGGGCATCTCCAGCATGTGTAATAGAAGGATGACTGATGCATGTAGCAGGGACTGTGTAAATATTCATTGAATGATGAAAATCGACTCCTAAATTTCACACTCTTCATCTCACTCTGGGCAGAAGGAAGTGATATTCTAACATATGCTGTACTTTTCTTTTTTCCAAATGACAATAGGTGACCCAGATAGTTCCAGAGTCCTGAGCTCCATTAATTCCCAGAAGTCTAACCCTGGGGACTGACTATGTGTTAGCTGACAGCAGAGGCACAGACTCAGACACCAGCTGAGACTATAACTCCCAAGACAACCAAATGCGGGGAAAGTGGTTTAAAAGTTGAAGCTCTAAAAGCATTATTTTTCCTGAGTCCATACATATTTGCCTCAATTGGTGAAATACTCATAATATAGTAGAGTACTATTCTGCCATTAAAAACGATAACATAGAAGAACATTGAATAATGTGGGGAAATAGGATATATAACACGACAGTGTGACCCTGCCTGAGTTAAAGGAAATATATAGCTAAAGGAAATATATATCAATTTGTATATGTACAGAGCCAGAACTATATACACCAAAATGTTAACAGTATTTTAGGTGAAGTTGAGAGGTGACGGTGTGCTGGCAGTCCTCAGAGCCCTCGCTTGCTCTCGGCACCTCCTCTGCCTGGGCTCCCACTTTGGCGGCACTTGAGGAGCCCTTCAGCCCACCGCTGCACTGTGGGAGCCCCTTTCTGGGCTAGCCGAGGCCAGAGCCGGCTCCCTCAGCTTGCAGGGAGGTGTGGAGGGAGAGGCGCGAACGGGAACGGGGGCTGCGCTCGGCGCTTGCAGGCCAGCTGGAGTTCTGGGTGGGCGTGGGCTTGGCGGGCCCCGCACTCGGAGCAGCCGGCCGGCCCTGCCGGCCCCGGGCAGTGAGGGGCTTAGCACCCTGGCCAGTGGCTGCGGAGGGTGTACTGGGTCCCCCAGCAGTGCCGGCCCACTGGCGCTGCGCTCGATTTCTCACCTGGGCCTTAGCTGCCTTCCCGCAGGGCAGGGCTCGGGACCTGCAGCCCGCCATGCCTGAGCCTCCCACCCCCTCCATGGGCTCCTGTGCGGCCTGAGCCTCCCAGACGAGCGCCGCCCCCTGCTTCATGGCGCCCAGTCCCATCGACCGCCCAAGGGTTGAGGAGTGTGACCGCATGGCACAGGACTGGCAGGCAGCTCCACCCGTGGCCCCGGTGCGGGATCCACTGGGTGAAGCCAGCTGGGCTCCTGAGTCTGGTGGGGACGTGGAGAGTCTTTATGTCTAGCTCAGGGATTGTAAACGCACCAATCAGCACCCTGTCGAAACAGGCCACTTGGCTCTACCAATCAGCAGGATGTGGGTGGGGCCAGATAAGAGAATAAAAGCAGGCTGCCCCAGCCGCAGTGGCAACCCGCTCGGGTCCCCTTCCACACTGTGGAAGATTTAATCGTTTGCTCTTTGCAATAAATCTTGCTACTGCTTTCTCTTTGGGTCCACACTGCTTTTATGAGCTGTAACACTCACCGCAAAGATCTGCAGCCTCACTCCTGAAGCCAGCCAGACCACAAGCCCAACGGAGGAAGGAAGAACTCCAGATGCGCTGCCTTAAGTGCAGTAATACTCACCGCGAAGGTCTGCAGCTTCACTCCTGAGCCAGCGAGACCACGAACCCACCAGAAGGAAAAAACTCTGAACACATCTGAACATCAGAAGGAACAAACTCCAGACGCGCCACCTTAAGAGTTGTAACACTCACCGCGAGGGTCCGTGGCTTCATTCTTGAAGTCAGTGAAACCAAGAACCCACCAATTCCGGACACAAAGTGATTAGGATTATGACTAATTTTTTATAATGTCTTCTTTTTACTTATTTTTCCATCAAAAAAATTCTAAAAGTAAAGAAAAGCAAGAATTATTTCTGAGACTGTGACTATTCCTAACTCTTCTTTTCCATCTTATCAAATCATAGCAGTTGTTTTCTTTTAATGAAAACTCTTGCTACAACATACTACTAAAACAGATAAGGGAGACAGGGTAACATATTTCTAAAGACAGAAATAGCGAGCCAGACTTTAATGACCAAAGGAATGGTACAAATAGGCCAGATAAATTTTCTATCCATGAAAATGTTAACTGCGATTTACATGACTACTATGCTGACAACTTCTAGTTGCAGGAAACTAGGTATAATTATAAGAAATTTTGACAACGTACAGAAGTTTTCTTCACAAAATGGGTGAGTGTTGTGTAGAAATATCTCACCTTGCTTAAAAATCTTCCACTGGTGTAGAGGGTCAGCTGTTCATTGTATGAGCGTTCAGATGAGGGATAGGTAACATGAAAACACACTTTGTCATGATTTTAGATCATCACATGTATCTCAAGCTGGGTGAGTGTATTTCACTGTGTCTTCCCTAGAACAAGCCACCACTTTGTTATATTGCTGCATGGTCTGTAGTCCTCATTGCTTGTAAAAGTGACTAACATGCAGTTGTTCATTCTAGTTCCTGCTCATTACAAGCTATGGAGCATTACATTCTGGAAACTTCTGGTTTGGTTAGTCCCCACTCTGACGCTTATTGGGAAAATAGCAGAAGAGCAGCTAAAAAGTGACTCTGGGCTTTTGCAGCCCTCACTTAGGAGACCATGTGCAATTAGCAGCGTGGGAAATATCCACGTCCCTAGCACAGTCCTGTGAAAGTTTCCCAACAAATATTTGTTAAACGAATGAATGTGTCGTGTAGGTCTTCTGATCTAGGACCCTTTTGCAAACACATGCTTTCTCTCAATCTCCCCTTGTGCATTTGTTTTATGCAAATTAATTAAATGAAACTAAACCATCTCTTCAGGTGGTTCTGATATAGTTCTACTGACAACAGGTCTCAAGTTTCTTGTGATCTCTAGAAAATGCCTAGAAATTTGGTTTCCAGGTTTTATTTTCTTAATTCTATTAACAAAATAAAAATGAACACGTGAAAGTCAACACAAAACACATGCACAGAAATATTTGCAGTTGAACAATCTGCAAACAGCTTCTTGCAAAGAGACACACACACACACACAGAGAGAGAGAGAGAGAGAGATGGCATTAACTGGCACCTAGACATAAACTAGAGTTGGTAGTAACCTGTTATTTTATTAGACAATTTTTATAATGTCTGAACCCACTAAAATAATTCCCTTTGTTCTCTTCCTTCTTCTCCTCCTCCTTCACTTTTTTGCTGTTTTAAAGCAACTAATAAATAGAACTATACCTAAAAAAGAAGGTGAAAAAAGGGAAATAGAGTTTGTCTATTATTAAACCTCTATTGTATGCTAGGCATTTATTCTGGGCATTTTACCTATAACATTTCTTTTAATCCTCCTAAAACCTTGCCAAGGAGATATAATTCACAGTTTTATGGATCCAAAAATGTATTCAGAGAGGACAAGACACTTGTCCTCAAACAGCTGATAAATGACTGAGTTGGATCAAGTCTTTCTATCTTAACAGCCTGCAGCTTTTCACGGCACCACTGTCAATAGTGTAGTAATATTCCTGCTCTTTCGCAGTTCTTCTCCTTGGAAAGTTACTGATGACTTGGAAGGCCAAAGATAATAGTCATTTAGCCTATAGTGCAGTGTCCTTCCCTAGCCTCCACGTATTTGGCTGTGGGCTCTAATTTTGGGCAAATGTCCCTGGAGATTGAGCAATAAGAGAACTGTGTTATCTGGGGCTGTCCTGGCTGATTTGACGTTTGTCTGGGGCAGCGTCCCTATTGAGTTATCTTCCTCTTCTTAGTTTCAGTTCCTAGCACCAGCATCTATGTCCTTTGTACAAAGAACAGGTGGCCTTCCATGCTTCCACAGGATGACGGTCCACAATATTTATGGTAATTTGTCTCACGATGTACAGTACATTTTTTATTGCACCAAAGATCAGCCTGGGGCAGGGTCTGGGACAGCGTCCCTATTGAGTTCTCTTCCTCGTCTGAGTTTCAGGTCCCAGCACCAGCGTCTGTGTCCTTTGTACAGAGAACAGGTGGCCTCCCACACTTCCACAGGATGACAGTCCACAATGTTTATGGTGATTCGTCTCACAGTGTACAGTACATTTTTTATTGCATCAAAGATCAGCGTGAACTTGAGTTTGTACATAAAGGTGAAAGATCTCTTTGGCAAGAGCTGGGCACACTCTTGGCATTTCCCTTAGCCTGCTTACTTTTTAAGTTTGTGCTCCTAACAGATGTCCTAGATTTTAAATAACGCGTTTATTTTCCAGTTAAACGTCATGGTAATTAACATTGTTCCTGCAGTACAAAATTAATTTTGATGAGATGACGATGTCAGGAGTACATTGGGCTATTCTTTTATGGCCTCCTTTTTGCACGTGTTTCATGACCTTAAATTTATCTATTTACTCTGGGAGCTAAGAAGGTGACACTACTGTAGTCATTTAGTATCTGTAAAAAAAATGTGTAGTCTTTCTATTGAACAAGGAGAACACATGGAGACAGGGAGGGGAACATCACACACTGGGGCCTGCTGAGGGGTGGGGGGCAAGGGGAGGGAGAGCATTAGGACAAATACCTAATGCATGAGGGCCTTAAAACCTAGATGACGGGTTGACAGGTGCAGCAAACCACCATGGCACAGGTATACCTATGTAACAAACCTACACGTTCAGCATATGTATCCCAGAACTTAAAGTAAAAATAATAATAATAATAATAATAATGTAGTCTTTCTGAAATTTATGTCCCTGGTTTTCAGGGCTCACAGAGCCAGAAAAGGAGATGAAATCCCTTTAATGGTTCATTGTCATCATCTTCATCCAGCGTCCTTCAGAAGTATAGAGGGTATGATCATATGTTTTATTATATTTATTTATGGATGTTATATGATTAATATTGTACAGTATAGGGTGTTCTATATTTCATATTATTTCCTTAAACATATATCATATTTTCTTCAAGTCAATAAATATTTTCCTGAAGCATAATTTTTCTAGGTTGTATGCCATTCCTTTTCAGGATGTGACACTATTTAACTAATTGCTGCTTGTTTGAAATTCTAATTGTTTCTACTTTGTCCTTGCTATAAATGTTTTTATATTTGCATAAATTAATAATAATAATATAAACAAATATTTTTATATTTCTGTATTTGTACTTCTTTAAAATATTTTCGTATGTTAATTTTTAGACAATCATTCTTATTATAAATTTCTATAAATATGGAATTACTGAGTAAAAGGTACAAACTTTTAAAGGATTTTGATAGATTCTGAAAAAGTGTGATTAATGCCTGTTTTTACTTTCTCCAACGCCTTTTTTTTTTTCCCCTAGACGGAGTTTCTGTCTTGTCGCTCAGGGTGGAGTGCAATGGCACAGTCTCGGCTCACTGCACCCTCTGCCCCCTGGGTTCAAGAGATTCTCCTGCCTCAGCCTCCCAAGTAGTTGGGATTACAGGCGGCCACCATCATGCCAAACTAATTTTTATATTTTTAGTAGAGATGGAGTTTCACCATGTTGGCCAGGCTGGTCTTGAACTCCTGACCTCAGGCGATCCACCCACCTTGGCCACCCAAAGTGCTGGGATTACAGGCTTGAGCTACCATGCATGGCCTTCTCCACCAGTTTTATTCCTGCTTCCTGCTTCCTTGTTTTGCCATTTCTATGTTGGCCTTATCTCCCAGCACATGATTTGGGCTCCTTTAGGAGCTGGAAACATATATTCATCTTCACCACTCTGCTCACTTTGATGAACACCTACATCTGTAATTCCTGCAAAATAAGCTTTTGTGGAGTTGTAATGACAATGAGTCTTACATTTAGCATACTGAATATCTGCACTGAAAGTTAGATGATCCCACATGTGTCAAATTAATTGTTGACAGCTCTTTGTGGAGCCTAGTAACATGCCAGAGAAATTCTGTAATTGACTATAGACAAGATTTCTCCTCCAAGTAATTTTCTCATTCTTCTATAGCATGAATGTTATACTTTTCTTCAGATAGTATCGAATAAACCCCAAGAGATACAGAATTTTATTTTTGAATAAGTACTCAGGATTCGTCATTAATAGTTTTAGTTTTAGACTTGTTTGTTCATCTGCAATACATTGATCTTATATCTCATTTATTAGCTGGGGCACCCGTGCATTTAAATACTATACCAATTTGTCTGTTTGTCCTGGAATTCCTGTCTCTTCTGTATTGCTTGGCCAGGTTAAAGGAATTCAGATAATATTGATATTGAGAATATAGAAACAAGTGTACCAGCCACCGGCTTACTATAAAAACATGGGTCTTTGGCATTGACTGAGCAAACAGGTCTTCTCACTTGGTGCATACACAATGTCTCAAACAGCTATTATGATTAATTAACTTTTCCATGTTGATGTAGGAAGGTGTACTAGCTCTTAGAAAACCAGCTCCAACTAGCTTGTAGTCTGATCAAATAAAGACCGAAGTGAAGTGAAAATGGAAAAAACAAAGCAACAAGTCCTTTAAGGTTTAAAAAATCAATGATGATTTTTTAAAAGGCATTTCAATCTAGCTAATAAATTCTTGTGTCTCTTTCTGAAAAGGATATTACTTGATACAGAAATTCTAAATACATATTTGAACAATTAAATTGTAATATATGCTTATTTGCTACTGTCTGTTCATATGTGGCAATCTCCACTGCAAAATAAAAACAAAAACAAAAACAAAACCCTCCCTTGAGCTCTTTATGGTGGATCTGGCCTGGGAGCTGTTCACTCTTAGCTCTGCCCTTGTGTTAGAGCAGAAAGAACCTAACTACACAGAGATTTTTTTTTTTTTTTACGTAGTTAAAACTCTTGATACCTATGAAGTGGTGCTTGATGCTAGTGGACTGAGTTGGAGTCTCATAATAATAAACAGTTCACTTTGTAAGCACTTATATGTACCAATACTTTATATATGCTAGTCAACACTCGGAATAGTCGTGCAAATTATTTGACAGCTGATAGAGCTGAGACTTAGCGAGGCTATGTTTCTTACTCAGGGTCACATAGCTAGTTGTTGGCAGAGCTGTGTCCATTGTAGGACACTTCTGAAACTTTTCACACATCTCTCTATGCTGTTGTTGTGTAAGATGCAATGCAAGAAATTTCAGGTGAAAAAGGGAGTGCAGAGCTCATCCTGCACAGTTGTCTCACGTGTTGCTTCTTGAGACACATCCTCACCAAGAATTGCCAGGCTTTGATAGCACAACAGATTCTCCCCTTCTCAAACCAACTTTGAAGAAGGAGCAGAGCCTGAAGACGGGCAAGTTTTGCTTTTCATTCCATACAGGTGCCTCTTTAGGTATTCTTGAGATATAATGTGCAGAAAACTGAGAAACTGTAGGGAAATTAAAAGTAGCACAAACATAATAGTCACATACGTGCTCCTCATCAGCACAGATGGAGAACACATTTGTCCAGTGTGGCACAGTTAATGGCAGCAAGGACAATGGGGAAAAATGCTCTGTTTTTAAACTCTGATGCTCTAAAATTCACCCCTAGTTTGACAGGAATGTTGGGAATGGTGATGTGGCCTCGTAGGTTGAATAACAGCAAAAACATATGGGCATTCAGAAGAGTATTTCTTTAGCCATTTTCTTTAAAATTCTGGGCAAATTGCTCATTTTTATATATTTTTAAATAGTTTGGCGAAGCATCACAAAAATGATTTTTAAGTTAAATATTTAAGATTGTTCATAAATTCTTTGTAACTGTTTGTTCTCAGTTGCCTGTCCCCAGCAAGAGATACTTCAGATACAGTATTTCTTAAGGAAGCCAGGATGGACTAGAGTTTTTCAAGTTTCCCCAAGATAATAGTGTTCACTTTGCTAGGTATTTTCATTTTCATACAACCCCCCTTTGTGGTTGGTAATATGATTGCACCCAATTTTCAGATGAGGAAACTGAGACCCAAGGGAGGCTAAATAGCTTGTCCACTAACATGCTTTGAAAAAACATAGTGGAATCAGGATTTAGACCCTGGTAGTTTGGTGCTAGCATCCAGGTACAGTACTTGAATGCCAGAGAGAGCCAGGCACGTGGTTGGGAAGTTAATTGTCAGTGAATACAACTCTGTGTTCAAGGTCACAGAAAGGTCTCCCGCCATGGCTTTATAAGATCACCATTAACCTCAGGAATGGGCTGGTAGCATTACAGACCAAAGAAAGAAAAGCAAACTGCTTAGGATTTAGGCCTGAGGTTCTGTGAAACACCTAAAGACCCATGGGAATGGAGAGCCCTCCTGGGGCATTTCCTGCAGAGGGACAGACAGGAGAGAACATGAAAAAAAAAAAATAATCTCCGGGTGGAAAATTAATTCAGACTTCATGAAAGGTTCACATTGTTGGAAGTGATGACTCTTGCTTGCTGTTCTCTTTTGAGTCCATGCCTAGGATTTTAAGTGATTCTTGACTTTGGCTTCTGGCACACACACAGCAAAGCAGCAAATGCTCTTTACCCCCAGGATGGATCTTTCCCACACGTTGTGCTGCCATATGTGGGCACACCCACCTGAAGCTCTGGTGGTTTTCCCTGGAAAAACACAGAGGGTTTCAAACTTCTGTGGCCTTACTTGGCCCATCCCCTGGGTAGGGCTGTGAGCTTCTCAAGACAAAATAACTTCTATCTTTAGGAAGCTCATCTAAAAGAGGCAAAGCTGCTTTATTTATAGGCTGATCATTAGGGCCATAATTGGATCAGGACTGTCTGCCAGTCACCCTCAGATATTTGCAGCATGTTTTTCTCCAAGTGTGCCTCTTTTCATTATCCAGATCAGAGGCATAATAAGAGAAGGAAGTTAAGTTGTGGAGTTAAGTTTTTAATTTCCCTACAGTTTCTCGGTTTTCTGCACATTATACCTAGAGGTGACTTGCCATAGGTGTATTTTAGCACTGGGTAGGACACACAGTGTTTGCAAAAACAAAAAGAAAGAAAAGAACAGCATTTTGTGCTGGAAATAAGGTACAATCATTCTTTCCTATCTTGCTATTGCTTCTGAGTATATTCAGGTAAATTTAAGGAATCTCAGGATTATCTGTTGTGGTTGTTTTATTTCATTCTGTTTTAATTTGGGGTTTCTTCATTTCAGTTTGTGGTTATTTTTGTTTATTGTTTATTTCATATGTATGTTTTTACTTGGAGGAACCACTGTGGACCCGGATACTTTAGAATAAGTGGTGTGTGTTGGAAGAAAGTAAAACTGAGAAACGATGACCTAGGTTCTGTCCTAGCCCCAGCTGTCAAGCAGCATGATCTCGGGCGAGTCACGTAACTTTTCCATTTATAAAAGGTTTGGCGCCATATCAGCGATTCCCCTGCATGGCTGCCCATCACAATCACCTAAGGAGTGTTTTAGAATAGAGTGTCTGCCACAAAGGAGCATGGGGGAACATTTCCAGATGATGAAACTGTTCTGCATCTTGTTATAGTGGTGGTTACATGACTTGTACGTGATGTCAAAATCTGACAACTGTACACTAAAGAGAGTGAACTTTACTGTAGGCATATTATCTTAATTTTAAATTAAAAAAATTTAAATCTCTTGAATATTGATATAGTGAAAAAATTGCCCAGGCCACCCCAAACCAACTGCCTACTGAACGCTATCTGTCCTTTCGACCATCTCCATAGTTGTGAACGTAATAGAAACTGACTCAGACATTCTAAGTTGCCACGATCCTAGGTTCAGCTGCTGTTTGTCTGTTGTGGCCATGAAGTCAAGAGTAACCGAGGTGCAGGACAGCACTGTGGGCACCTGCGGTTAGAGCATGTCTGGACAGGCTACTTAAATCACAGGGAAATTGGAGGGGGAAATGTGGCTGAGCTCTGGGTTAAATACTCAAGTGAAGCATCCATTATGGTCAGTGAGCAGAAAGTGTAGGCACAGCCAAGTACTGATCACATATAAGAAACCAGTGTATAGAAAGAAGATGTTGTGGCTGGGTGTGGTGGTTCATGCCTGTAATGCCAGCACTTTGGGAGGCCCAGGCAGGCAGATCACGAGGTCAGGAGTTCGAGATCAGCCTGGCCAAGATGATGAAACCCTGTCTCTACTAAAAATACAAAAATTAACCGGGTATGGTGGCGTGTGCCTGTAGTTCCAGCTACTTAGGAGGCTGAGGCAGAAGAATCGCTTGAACCAGGGAGGTAGAGGTGGCAGTGAGCCGAGATCTTGCCACTGCACTCCAGCCTGGGTGACAGAGTGAAACTCGGTCAAAAAGAAGAAAGATAGCAAGGAAGAAAAAGAGAGAGAGAGAAAAAGAAAGAGAAAGAAAAGGAAGGAAAGAAAGGGAGGGAGGAAGGAAGGAAGGAAGGAAGAAAGAGAAAGAAGATGTTGTCTGTTAATAAAAGCTATTGATTTTGGTTTGGGGCATTAAAAAGAAAGAAACATTCTGTGGGGTGAGTTGGACACCAGTCACAAGACAGCAGGTGTCTGGCAGACACAGGCTCACTGATGTGAACTGTGTGGATTTTAAGAGAGAAGAGAACATGCTCTTAGGGCTGACAGGTATTTTGGGGCCCAGCATTAACCTCTGAGAGGATTTCCCCCTAACATTAAAAAAAAAGATATATGAGACCTTCCGAATCAAAAGTGTTTCCTGACGATATTCATGCTATACTGGACTCCTAATAGAAAATAAGGAGCTTTAAGAATAATAGCTTTAAGAAAAGCTAAACAATATTTAGCTTTGTTTTAAAGTTCATGGAAGAATGTAGTAGGTATGTTTTGGGGGTGTCACATTCAAAGCATGCTTCCTTAGGAGCATCCCTCACTAACAGACCCTTCTGATGAGAGCTTGGGTGACAATATTGCTCTAGCATAGCCACCATCCTCCCTGGCTACAGCTGATGGAACCATGGCAGGCACCAATGTGAGCTTTATTGAGAATACCATAAACCAGGACTGTTCTCTGGGGGAGCTAGAATGCAAGGTTGCCTAGGGAGTAGATTGCCTTTGTGTCCTGCAAAGCCAAAGCTATGGGCCAACTCGAATTAGAAGAAGTAACTATAAGCAGTGACAACAGCAGCAGCCACAATTGATAATGCTAGTTGCTGCAACTTCTGACATGCTTCCTGTGTGCCAAGCACTGGACTAATCCTATCAGGTGGGCAATAGCGCTATCTTCATTAGAAAATGAGGAAACCAGGTCTTAGATGCGATCACTTTCCTAAGGTCACACAGCTGGTAAGTGGCAGAGCAGCTAAGGCAATTCTCGAGCTCGTTTATGAAATATCTGCAGGCATTATTCTGTCTCCCAGGAAGCTCAGGAAGCAGAGGCAGTGAGGAGAATGGAAGGGATGTGCGAGAGAAGCAGAAATACAAGACACAATGGTGCAGAGAGAGGGGGCAGAGGAGCAGCCCCATTTCTGAGACCTTCTGAGGTTCCAGCTCCAATTTGCATGTGATTCTGCTGAGCTTGGTGGGCGGTCTTTTATCTTATGTAATCCTCTTTCTCCTTCTCTCTGTCTTTGTTTGAATTAATTTCAGTGGATTTCTGTTCCTTGAAATCAAAGACTATTAAACTAGAATGAAGAGGCATCTAAAGGGTAAGGGAGGTGGTGGTTGGGGGGACATTTCTTATAGAGAGGTAAGGGCAGAGAAAATTATCCCACTCTCTCTGGTTGTGATACTTTTTTTTCCAGCCTTCTCAGGTTTAGGAAGATGAGCACCTGCAAGTTCATTAAGGAAACATCTTATCAAGGGAAACTCCAAAAGAGGATAGTAAGCTGCTGAGTAATCTTGGAATTACTTAGCAATACACTTAGCTAAATTACAGCACTTGAATCAGGTTTCTTAACATGGTCTCTTTTAGGACCTTTGCCCTAATTACTTTAATGGAATTACTTGTCCATTTTTTAAAGGTTTTACCCACCATTACCTCCCTCACTTCTCTCGTCACCTCTCTCTGATGCAAGGCACATTTTAAAGGACTGCCATTCTCCTTAAGAATAAAAACTTGGAATCCTAAATGATTGAGTCTTTGGGATGCTTTTGTGAGAAAGCTGTCCTATTGTGAAAACAAAATGAGCTAGCAAGTTCCCCCAGTCACATGAGTTTACCAGGGAGGATCAGATCAAGAATCGCCTGGGAGCCTGGGATCCTGAGTAGCACAAGGGAACCTTTCTCATCAAGAGAACCTTACTGATTGAAAGACTCCACTGGAGGTCAGTCAGGCAGACACAGAGGAACCCAGGAGGGTTTTGAGGGTATTGAGATGCGCAAACTCAATAGCAAGCCAGCCACTGTGCAAATTTCAGAGCCGTGGACTCATGGGGGTCAGTCCTTGGTTGTCAGTGTCTGGAGAGTGGGCTCTGATTTTTTTCAATGACACTGAAACACACCAGCAAAAGAAAAATCCACTCTGACTCTCCTGTTCGTTTATTCTGCTCTCTGTGATTTCCCAAAGGGCTTTATTAACACTGTGTGACTTTAGCTTCTTAATCCCCTGAAGAAGGTTTGGAAACTGACAACTTTTTCTCTCATCTTATGTTAGTCTTCCTTCTGAATTGAGTCACTGAGGACTTCTGCCAGGAAGCAGCTCTAACCAGTTTGACATGGCATCAGAGCTGTTGCTGGGCAGGGCATTTTAATATACCAGCTTGGAACAAATGCATGGTTTACCTCACCTGTCCTCCTAGTTAATCTTATTATGTTAAGGATGTGATTTCCCCACTGTGGAGACTGGATGTTCTTGGCACCTGGACAGTACCCTAAGGCTTGACTCAGAGGTGTATAAGAACTGGGGGAGAACTCAGTTGCTGGCAGAAAGGGCTGCTGGAGCTCCCTGACCAGGTTCTTAGAATGTGCACACCTGTGGACTGTGGAAGACCTGCTCCAGGAAAGCAGCTCCGGACAAACTGGAGGAACTTCAGGGATTCCTTCGGCCTTCAGAGCATGTTTCCATTCTTTATGGCATCATGGCTTTCTTTGCCTTTCCCAAGGGAAGCATAAATTTACATATCCATGTGCTGCCTTGAATATGGCATCTTAGCTAAAGCACTATTACATTCCCATCCGTCTGCAGGACCTTTCTTTGTAACGGGAATTAGCTTCATAAAACTTTTATGGAACACCTAGTGTAAGCGTGTCTTAGGTGAGAGGGCTGGAGAATGAAATTCACGGCACCTCTTCATCATGTGGGTGGAGCAGCCCCTAATTACCCCAAGGGTATTTATTAATTTTCCTGCACCTGGAGAGCAAGACTTTATATCTTTAAAGAATGGCGAGGCTCAACTGGCCACTGCACACTGCCTGGCAGCCTGGGCAGTTGCCATTATCTGTTTTCTTGTCCATTATTATTATTCGTGGCCTCATTTATAGTCCACAAAATGCCTAGGAGAAAACTCACCTGCTAATAAAGTTTTGTTTTCTTATTTAGGGGAAAAAGAATAAAGGTTTGAAGCATATTTTTGGATTGTGTTGAAAAAGTTGAGTCATTTCTAAAGCTTTGAGAGGAGATTCTGCTAGGCAAAGAAGAGGGAGAAGGAATGGGAAAAAAGAAGCTAATCGAGGTAGAGTTTGTCTCCTGTTGATTGGCTGAGGGCTTTATTTAAGTGGTGGGTTAGACTCCTAGCTCTGTCTTCTTCTACCTGAGAGCCGTTGGGCAATTTATCAAGCTCCAAATGCCACTTCCCAGGGCTGATGAGCTGACTAAATAAGAACACATTTGTAAACTGGCTAGCCCAGTCTGGCACATTGTAGGTCCAAATAGAACATACAGATACCTGTCTGGTCTTTTGTGCTAGAAGTTAGTAGCCATTTTTCCAAAGAAAGCATTACAGAATTAGTTTCTGGGTTTCCTTTCCATAAGAGCCATTTCAAGAAAGGACCTTCCAAACCTTTATATTAGGAATCCCTAAAATAAACCTGACATAAGAAAACCTCTTTTCACTTATTTTACCCATTATAGACTCTGGTATCTAAAGCTATGGAAGTGATATCAAGATAAAGGCACACATTTGAAGTCCTGAAATTCGTTGTCTCCCAAAATATCTTTGAGGAGGGAATCTGTGGGACACCTGCATGGGTGGCCAAGGTCGTGGAGTCCTGAAGTCACTGCATAAGAAGCACAGTCATTCTGGGTCACTCCCAAGGTGCGGGGAGGGCATCCCTCCTGTCATATCTAATGATATTTAGTCATTCGACTAGAGCACAAATGATTAATATATTCATACATATGGGAGTGTGCACTTTCCATTAAATCTTCAAATCCACCAATTTTTGTTACAAGTGTATGAATTTTTTTTTTAAGTTTTAAAAATAAAAGTAGCTTGTTCTGTGTTCCTGGGCTTCCTGTAGCATGTTTTGCTCAGGACTCCAACCCCTTTTCTAGTGAGTGTCCTCACTAGTCTCGGAGCTGACCAAGAACACTGGGTTCAACTCTCAGTTATTTCTGTTACTAAACATATAAGTTTGAGTGAGCTATGTGTTCACTTTAGCCTCGGTTCCTTCATTTATAAAATGGTGCTAATAGCACTCATTCTCTGGCATAGGCTTTTTTTTCGTGAATATTCTTTTTGATAGAGAGCTCAGCATGTTGTTTGGCATATATGAAGAGTTCTCTAATTGTTATTATTATTGTATTATTGTGATGTCAGTGTCTGGCATGGTTGTTGACTCACATGAGACTTTTTAAATTGATTTTTGTGGTTAAACCACAGTCTTGCTGATCCAGCTCCGTGCTTTCTCTGTGTTTTGACCTACAGGGCTGAATGTGGCTGGAGAAGAACAACAGCCAGTCTGACTGGCCTCACTTTAAATTCCCGACTGTTAATCTCAAGTAGGCACTTAATGCTGCCCTGCCCAGTAATCACACCGGATTTCTCTAATCCAGTCATTTTCCCACTCTCTTAGGTGATAGTTCGTTCTTTCTTCTCTAGCCTCAAACCTCCCCCATTCTCACTCTTAGCTAATAATCCTACTTCTATTTCAATGGGAAAAAAAAGATGCAATCAGAGGAGATTGCTCCCATCCTCCCTGCATCTCCTCACCTACGTGTCTAGAAACCTATGAATTCTAGATTGCTTGAAACTGTGGCCTGCTGTTCCCCTGGTAAAGCCAGTGCCTTCACTCAAGCACTAGCTCCCATTTTCCTCTTACCCACTCTAGCACATTATTCCAGCATTTTCCCCATCTCCCTGCATCATTGATTTCTTTCTGCTGATTGTTCCCATTGGCATAAAAATATTTTTTCCTCCCACCTTAAAAGATCTTATTTTGACCTTTCTTTATCCTTCAGTTATATCTTTATTTTTCTTATTCCCTTTAGAGCAAAGCTCCTTGAAAGCCTTGACTGTATCAGCTGCCTCTAATTTCTCCTCTCCCCTTCTCTCTTGAACCCATCCCCATCAGATGCACGCCTGCAGTTGTTCTTGTCAGTCACTGATGACTTAAACGCACTGCTAAACCTAATGATCAGCTCTCAGAGTTCTCAGTCCTCATCCTGCGTGACCTATCAGAAGCATGTGCAGAGTGGATCACTTCCTCTTTCTTCTGGGACAATGCACATACCTGCTTTTTCATTTGCCTCTGGCTCTTTATCCTTGGTCTCCTTTGCGGATTATCCAACCTCTCAGTGTTGGAGAACCTCAGAATTCAGACTCTGTATCTCTCTCGCTCTTTTTTTTTTTTTTCCTAGACAGAGTCTCACTCTATTGCCTAGCCCAGGCTGGAGTGCAGTGGCACAATTGTGGCTCACTGCAACCACCACCTCCCAGGTTAAAGCGAGCCTCCCACTTCAGCCTTCTGAGTAGCTGGAAGTACAGGTGCATACCACCACGCCTGGCTAAATTTTGTATTTTTTGTAGAGATGGGGTTTCGCCTTGTTGCAAAGGCTGGTCTCAAACTCTTGGGCTCAAGCAATCTGTCCACCTTGGCCTCCCAAAGTGTTGGAATTACAGGCACAAGCCACTGTGCCCGGCCAGACTATGTATCTCTTTTTTTCATCTGCTCTCACCTCTTAGGTCCTCCTTACTAGCCAAAGTTGGGAGCTAGCAATGTCAGCTTCACCTTGTAGAGTGTTAGACATGTCCTACCCCAGACCTACTGACTCAGAATCTGCATTTAAACAAGATTTCCAGGTGATCCATTTACACATTAATATTTATAATCACCCTGTAATACTATCGAATTATGTGGCTTTAAATTCCACTTATTTGCTTACTTGATTCCCAAATCTTATATCTCTAGTCAAGATTCTCTGGTAAAAGACAGACTTATTCATCCGACTGCCTACCCACATTTTCACATGGATGTCTTACAGGCATTCCCAACTGAAGCTGTTCAAAACTGAGCTTCCATTCTTTCCACTAAACAGGCTTCTCCAGTATTCTTTCACCTCTTCGTTAATAGCAATTTCATTCTTCCACTGCTCAGGCCAAAATGCTCGGAGTTATGCTTGCTTTTCCCGTATCTAGTGTGTCAACAGATCTAGTCAGTTCTACATTTGAAATGTCATCAGGATTTAACCCTTCTCATCACTCCTGCTACTTTGGACCAACTCTGCTTCCCTGCTTGCCCTTGTCTATTTTGAAAATGACAGCCGGAATACATTTTGATAGATCATGTCACTCCTCTGTTCAAAGCCTTCTAATGTTCCTGCCTCACTTAGGGTCTGACCCATGAGACCCCACATGGCTAGTTTCCCCCACCACCTCTTTGACTCTTCAGTGACTTCTCTCCTCCTTTTTCACTTTTCTCCAACCTTACTGTCTTTTTTGCTGTTCCTCAGACACAGCAGGTGGGATTCTGCCTCAGGGCGTTTTGTACTTGCTGGTCTCTCTGCCCGGTGCTCTTTCCCCAGATCCTTGTGTGTGGCTACCTCCCTTCACTCAGGTCTCTCCTCATAAGTCACCTTCTCCGATGCCTTCCATGGCCTTGCCGTCGAAAATCTCTGCCTCCACCCCTTCTCCACTGCATACCCTCCTTTCTCTTATTTATTTATTTATTTTTAGCAAATCTAACTTTCTCTGCTTTCTCTCCATACATATGCATATATTTATATGTGTATTCATATATGTATGCATATGCATATTTGTTTCTGGTGTTTTTATCCTGTTCCACTGGTTTTTTGTTTGTTTTGTTTTGTTGGGTTTTTTTTTTTTGAGATGGAGTCTCACTCTGTCACCCAGGCTGGAGTGTGGTGGCGTGATCTTGGCTCACTGCAACCTCTGCCTCCTGGGTTCAAGCAATTCTCCTGCCTCAGCTTCATGAGTAGCTGGGATTACAGGAGCCCTCAACCATGCCCAGATAATTTTCGTAATTTTTTTTTTTTTTTGAGACGGAGTCTTGCTTTGTTACCCAGGCTGGAGTGCAGTGGCGCAATCTTGGCTCACAGCAACCTCAGCCTCCCAGGTTCAAGTGATTTTCCTGCCTCAGCCTCCCAAGTAGCTGGGATTACAGGCATACACCACCAGGCCTAGCTAATTTTTGTATTTTTAGTAGGGATGGGGTTTCTCCATATTGGCCAGGCTAGTCTCTAACTCCTGACCTCAGGTGATCTGCCCACCTCAGCCTCCCAAAGTGCTGGGATTACAGGTGTGAGCCACAGCGCCAGGCCTGTTCCATTGGTTTTATTTGCCAACATCTATAAAAATGCCACACTGCTTTACTTACTGTGGCTTTATGATCACTTCTGTTCTTTGATATTGGAATTGGCTTTTCTTGTCTCTTTGCTTTTTCATATGCTTTTTAGAATCAGTTTCTTGAGATCTGTGAACAATTTTATCAGCATTTTGATTGAAATTACATTGAACTTACAGATTAATTTAGGGAGAATTGATATTCTTATTACATTGAAAGTTTCTATGCATAAAGTGGCCTTTCTCTCCATTTGTTTAGGTCATCATTAATGTTGTTTGATAGTTTTATAATTTTCTTACAATGATCTTGCACATTTTTGTTATGTTTTTTCTTATATTACATATTTATGTTGTAGAGGTTGTATATGAATAATAGACTTTTTTCTTTGGGGATGGCTTAGATTTATAGAAAAGTTGTAAAGATAGCACAGAGAATTCTCACAGACTCCCCTCAGCCAACTTCAGTTTCCCTAATGTTATCTCACATACACCCTGCTATGTTTGTCAAAGCTAATAAACCAACATTAGTACATTTCTATCAACTAAACCCCAGACTTTCTTTGGATTTGACCCATTTTTCCATTATCTTTTTCTGTTCCAGAGTCCCACCCAGGATACTATGTTGCATTAAGTTTTTATGTTTCCATAGTCTCCTAAGATTTGAGATTTATGATTCTCAATCATTCCTTGTTTTTCATGACATTGACAGTTTTGATGAGTAGTAAGTATTTTGAGAAACCTCCCTCAATTTGGGTTTGTGTATTTTCTTATGATTAGCCTGGGGCTCTGGATTTTAGAAAGCTAGCACAGTGGTGAAGTGCCCTTTCTTATTACACGACAGCAGGACATCCCTGCCAGCCATGTGATATCACTGGTGATGTTAATCTTGATCCCATACTTAAGATAGTGTTTGCCATCACATATGATATATTTTACTCACGAATCCTGGTTTTGTGTGTGTGTCTGTGTATTTTTGTTTGTCTTTTATAAAGTAACCTCCGTAATTTCCCTCTTTTTTGTTTACTGCTCTTTCTCTGGTGTTAGCACAGTGCCTGGCACATAGTGGGCACTCTAAATATTTGTTGAATGAATACATAAATGGATATTTTCTTTCTCTGTTTTGTACCAACTACTGATGATATTCAATAAAATGTTAAATATTTCATGTGAATTTAATACCTAGAAAGTATTTATAGCTGACAGTTGATCAATTGCTCCAACATGTCAATAACGTTGGGTTAAATTAAACAAGAACAAAAACAAAAATCAAAGAATAGTACCTAAACTCTTGAGACATGAATGGAAATATTATTAAGAAAAACTAGGCAGATTTTAAATGGCAAATATATTATGATTATAAAAGTAAAATGAGGCTACTCTTGATCTTTTCAGAAATGTTTATCTTTTTTAAATTTACAAAAATTTTATATATTTATAATGTACGACATGATGTTTTGATATTATCTACATACATTATAGAATGGCCAAATCACGCTAATTAACATATGCATGACCTCACATCCTTATAATTTTTGGGGTGTGAGAACACTTAAAATCTACTCTCTTAGCAATTTTCAAGTATATAGTGTACTGTTATTGACTGTAGTTACCATGACGTACAGTAGATTTCTTGAACTTATTCCTCCTGTCTAGCTGACATTTTGTAATCTTTGACTAACATCTCCTCAATCTCCCCCACCCCTCAGCCTCTGGTATTCTCCATCTTGAGATCAAGGTAGCATTTTAAAAATACCAAAAGTTTATTGGATGACTCAGTTAATACCTAGATGTGTTGAAAAACCAAACATGAATATACAGTTACCATTTAAATTGGATACCTCCAGTTTCATCTCTGGGCGCTCCCCCCAACCCTCAGATTATGCTCCTGGAGTATGCAAGCATGTGCTTTTCCCTTAGTGTGTGAGATCTTCCCCTCCAGTTGCCTTATCCCCTTTCTTCTGCTTAGAATACTCCAGCCCTCCTCCTGAACACCCTACTCCCACCCCCCATTTCTTCACATGACTAACCCGTACTCAGTTGCATAGCACTCCCTCCAGGAAGATTTTCCCAAGACTTCTAGACAGGGTCAGGTGCCCCCTGAATGTGTTCATAACTCCTGACATTTGCCCTCCTCAAACATTTAGTAGCTGTACCATGACTCTATTCATTTGCCTGGGGCCACCCCTAGAGTGGAATCTTGTCCACTGTTTTATCCCTTGTTGAGAAATGACTTGTTTATCTTCTAGAGAAAGGAAATTTGTATATTGTACCAAATACCAAGCACAGTGTAATAAATTGTCAGAACACCAAAGATTCATTTATAATAATAAGTAAGCTTACGCAATATTTAAATTAAAACCAGTTGTTCTACCGTGCTTCCTAATGGTAGCTTTTGTATTATGGATAACTTTTTATGCAATATTTCTTTAATTGTGTAATGAGAAAATACATTATGGGTTGAGATCGCACATGGTCAGATTGCCTTAACCACACAGCCTCATATGTAGCTTATTCGATCTAGTCTTTAGGGTTTGGAAACTTTCTTGTCTAGGCCCTTTTTATCATTGCACACATTTATGGGTTCATTGTGGAGCTGGCTTATTACCTGGTCAATGTGTTTTATTGTAAGTAAGCAATCTAATAATTCAGACAAAAAGAAGATGACTTTTTCTTTCAAGACCAAGTTTTTTTTTTTACCTCAGTTATCTAGATGCTAAATTCTTTGCTTAACAATGACTATATTGATCTACAATATGACTGTTAAAGAGTGTTATATCATTTTATGACCAGAATGTTGGTGTCCCTACCCCAAAGTCATATGTTAAAACCCTCACCCCTAATGGGATGATATTTGAAAATAGGGCTTTGGGGAGGTAATTAGGTTTAAATTAGGTCATGGAGGTAAATCCTCATAATGGAGTCAATGTTCTTAACCCTTTTCCCGTTTGCCCTAAGAATAGTCACCACAAGTGCTTGTGGCTACAGTATTTACCCCAAGATAATTTGCCACGAAATATCTCACTTTTATTATTATTTTGGCATTGCTCTAGTATATCAACTTTGGAAACAAAAGACATCATTCTTTTTATAGTATTCTGTTTGTAGTAGTGGTACTTCTATTTACAAAATATAGTAATTCTCGATTGCTGAAAATGTCAAATCCTAGAAAACGTAGCATTCCTACGCGTGATGTTAACATCATTCTCAAGCAGTTGTTGGCCGTAGATTCATTTGATGAAACTGATTTTTCCGAAATAGATAATTCTGATGATTCAGATGATTCTGATGTTAGTTCTGTTTAGAAATAACTCCAAGAACAGTTTTCTATTTTATTTTCACATTGAAAATCAGATTTGCTTCAGTCCCAAAGAGCATGTTTATGTAAAATTCAATGAGCACTGGCAGCAAGCTGCATTTTTTTTTTTTCTAAATGGGAAAAGGGTTAAAGAAGAGGAAGAGAGAAATTTCTCTCTCAATCTTCCTGTATAGGTGTCAGGGAAAAGCCATGTGAGTGCACAGCCAGAAGGTGTCTGTCAGGAGAGAGCCCTCACCAGAACTCAACGACACTGGCACTTTGATCTTGGACTTCCCAGCCTCCATAATCATGAGAAACAAATGTGTGTTGTTTAAGCTACCCAGTCTGTGGTACTTTGTTATAGCCACCTGAGCTGACTAAGACACATATCATATGTTCTTCAGAGTGCTGAAAAATTCTATCTAAGAATTCTCTCAAAATCTTCTGGGAAAATGTAGCTAATGTAACCATTTGAGGAAAGATATGGACATACTGAAGATCCCATCAGTATTCTGGAAAGATTTCATTTGCTTAAGTGATTCCTTATTTATCATTTTTGCCTTTATCCATAATTCCCTTGTATGGGAATAAGTCAAAAGGTGAAGTGGTGAAATGATACAAATAGAGAAACTCTTATAGGATTTTTATTTAAAAAGGTATACATGTAATATTATATGTAAACTCTTGGAAAAACTCATTTTAACATGAGCTACCTGTATTCTACAAATTTTCCTGGGTTAATATCACCCAAAGTTTACCTAGATTAAGAAAAAAATTAATAATAACAATTTGTCAGCCAAGTGCGGTGGCTCACACCTATAATCCCAGCACTTTGGGAGGCTGAGACGGGTGGATCACTTGAGGTCAGGAGTTTGAGAGCAGTCTGGCCAACGTGGTGAAACCCCATCTCTACTAAAAATACAAAAATTAGCCGGGTGTGGTGGCGCACACCTGTAGTCCCAGCTACTCAGGAGGCTGAGGTGGGAGAATTGCTTCAACCCGGGAGGCGGAGGTTGCAGTGAGCTGAGATTGTGCACTCCAGCCTGGGCAACAGAGAGAGACTCTGTCTCAATTAAAAAAAACAAAACAGCAACTTGTTATAAAATAATGATATTTAATAAATACATAGAGATAATAGAAGGACTATATTAAAATTAGGTTCTTATAGTTTTTTCATAGCTTGATCCCACTACCACCAAGGAACTAAATGCTTTACTATATCCTTTAAACAATGTTGCACATTTAGATGGTGTCCTGAAAATTTTATATCCTTTAAACAATCTTGCACATTTAGATGGTGTCCTGAAAATTTTATGTACTTTTGAGAGCCCAGAGGATGTTCCAAAGAGGTTTCAAGTATTCTGTGTACTTGGCCTAAGTTTTAAAATTGAAATTGAAAAAAATAACTTTAAACCAACTAATTATCTCTTCTTTAAGTGTGGAAACAGGAGGAGGAAGTCTTCAGTTACCACTCCTGGGATTGGTATGTGTGTTAGTCAGGGTTCTCTTAGAGGGACAGAACTAACAAGATATAAAGGGGAGTTTATTAAGTATTAACTCACATGATCACAAGGTCTCACAATAGGCTGCCTGCAAGCTGAGGAGCAAGGAGAGCCAGTCCGAGTCCCCAAACTGAAGAACTTGGAGTCTGATGTTTGAGGGCAGGAAGCATCCAGCATGGAAGAAAGATGTAGGCTGGGAGGCTAGGCCCGTCTCTCCTTTTCACATTTTTCTGCCTGCTTTATATTTGATGGCAGCTGATTAGATTGTGCTCACCAAATTAAGGGTGGATCAGCCTTCCCCAGCCCACTGATTCAAATATTAATCTCTTTTGACAACACCCACACAGACACACCCAGGGTTAATACATTGTATCCCTCAATCTAATGAAGTTGACACTCGGTGTTAACCATCACAGTATGTATTACCTAGGAGGGACTGTATATACATAAGCAGTACTTAGTTAACTTAGGTATTTGAGATCATTAACTTTCTATTACTCCTTTGACACAAGGGGCCTCAGAACTTCAGGAGACATACTCTTATATTACTTGGAATTTTATTGTAGTTGTATCAGTGGGGATAACCTAGTAATATGGTAGGAAAAGAAAAACAAAAACAAACAAACCAATGACTTTGCATAATTCCCTCCCATACCTAATGCATATTTCCCTCCCATATTTATACTTAATGCACATCCATAGGGAGTTCAGCTCCCCGTAGTCATTCAGGGACCTAGAACCAAGGTATAGGAAAGAGAACATGGTAAATGGTGTGGTTGCTATTGATGCTTTCATGCCAGAAGTTGCATGTGTCACTTTTCTTCACATTTTATTGGCCAGAGCAAGAAAATGGCCATACTTTAGTTTCAAGGACAAAGAAGCATGGAGGTTCAATTCTGTATGTCCAGAAGGGCAACAGGAATACTTGCAAACTATTCTAATGACTTAGGGGTCCACTGCCATGCACTCCCCCAAACCTAACAGTTACTCAATATTACTGATATAGGTAGAGAGATATACTACACACATACATATACAGCATTACAACAATAACAGGATATTATAACTTATGTGAAGGAGATTATAACTATGTCAGTTAGAAACTTGTATATATAGATGTAAGAAGAGACAATATATCAGGTTATTTGATTTTAAAACCTCATTCTGCTATATCATTGCCCTTATTCAACCTGAAGAAGATACAAAAGATGTATCTTTGTCTCTCTACAACCCTTAGGATAAAGGATCCCCTTGTAAAAGGGAGGGGGGAAATATTTCAGAGTCATTCGACCCAGAGTGATTCCATCTTGAATAGGGGCTGGGTAAAATAAGACTGAGACCTACTGGGGTACATTCCCAGGAGGTTAGGCATTTTTAGTTACAGGATGAGATAGGGGGCACGAGATACAGGTCACAAAGACCCTGCCGATAAAACCGGATGTGGTAAAGAAGCTGGCCAAAACCCACCAAAACCAAGATAGTGAGGAAAGTGACTTCTGGTCATCCTCGCTGCTCATTATATTCTAATTATAATTCATTAGCGTGTTAAAAGACACTCCCACCAGCGCCATGACAGTTTACAAATGCTATGGCAAACATTCACAAATTGCCCTATGTAGTCTAAAAAAGGGAGGGACCCTCAATTCTGAGTAGTACCCACCCTTTTCCTGGAAAACTCATGAATAATCCACCCCTTGTTTAGCATATCATCAAGAAATAACTTAAATGTACTCAGTTGAGCAGCTCATGCCTCTGCTCTGCCCCTGGAGTAGCCATTCTTTTATTCTTTTACTTTCTTAATAAACTTGCCTTCACATAAAAAACAAAAAACAAAAAAAACCTCATTCTGCTGAATCCCAGGAAACAAATCCTAGATTCTGGGAAACAATGCAGAGCTTTTGGAGAAAGTTGAGTAGCAGGTTGAGGTGGAATCTTGTGGAACACCAATATTTGGGTGCACAAAAGAAGTGGTAAGGGAGATTGGAGAGAAAATGTGAGCATTCAAGAAGAACCAGAAGAGTATTGATTCAAGAAAGCAGAAAATGTGCAGATGTAATGAGCAGTTAACGGTGTCAGATGAGGCAGAGCACTCCAGAAAGCTAAAGGCTGAAAAGGGACCAATGAAATGGGCACTGTAGAGGTCTTTGGTGGCATATCCATGGAGAATATCAGTGCACCTCAGATTCAAAGTCACAATTCTGAGCTCATTATCCTTCTCTCCAATCATACTCTTCCTCCTGCACATTCTATTTTAATTTTGGCATCTAGCCAGCAAAGCTAGAAAGCTGAGAATAATTACATGCTCCCAGAACACCCACATCCACTCAGTTTTGTGTGTATTTATATCCCTGAATATTTGTTAGATTTTACTCTTCTCTGCATCTGAACCCCACAGCTCTAATTCAAGCTCTTGTCAGCACTTGCCTGCACTATTTTATGACCTCTTTACAAATCTGCATGCCTCTGGTCTTGTTCTCTTAAACTCATCTGTGTTGGTTATGAATGTCTGCATTATAAATTATTTTAAGACTGTGTAACTTAAAGCAACATGAATAAACACTATCTTGTAGTTTCTGTGGGTCAGGAATTCAGGAGAAGCTTAAGCTCTGTGGTTCCGTGTTGGGGTCTCTGATGAAGTCATAGTCAAGATTCTAGCTGGAGTCGCACTTGTCTGAAGCTTTGATTGGAACTGGAGGATCCACTTCCCAGGTGACTCTCAAATGGCTCACATACTGGTTGGGATTGTTAGTTGAAGGCCCCAGTTCCTCCTTGGTAACCCTCTCTACAGAATTGTTTGAATGCCCTCATGGCCTGGCAGCCTAGCTTCCACAAGAACAAACAGTCCAAGATGCCAAGGCAGAAGCTGAAATTCCTTTTATAACCTAGCCCCAAAAGTTACCTTTGTCACGTCTACTGTACTCTATTGGTTATGCATGTTCTGTTGGAGGAAGGAGACTATGGAACGGCATGAATATCAAAAGGCCATGATCACTGGAGCCATCTTGGAGGCTGGCTATCACAACACTCACCTCACTGCTATCAGAGTGATCCCTTAAACATGAACCTGTCTAATTAAAGTGGAAATGGTGAAGATACACTGTGGATAGAGGAATTGAGAAGAATGGTGGTGAAGGCCTGAAAGAGAATGGAAGATAAAGCAGCAATTTACTATGGGCATCAAACAGATACGTCGAATGACATTGAGGGTTTCACTGAAGACCAGTGGTAAGCATTCTAGCTGTAGAATAATAAAGCAGAGATTTTGAGTGTGGTGCAGTGTTGGGACTTTGACAGAACATACAGTATAAGAATAGGAGTGCGTGGTTGTTGGTGATGAATTCAAGTCATCAACCATGGGGTCCAGACTAGGTCGTAAAGGAAGTGACTTTAGGAAGACACTGATTGTTAGGAGAAAATGGAGTCATCAGGGGACTTGAAATAGACATATAACACCAAAAATAGATTTAAAGGCACTAGTGAATGTGAAAAACTTCAAAATATATGAGGTAAGTTCAGAGAGTAGGCATTAGAGCTCAAGGTGTCACATGTGGGAGGATTCTGGATTATAACCCAGTCTAGGATGTGGCAGTAGGTATAAAAGGCTGGAGTTTAGAGAAAGTAAAGGCCACTAGAACTCATAAATTCAAGAACCTGGGAATCTAGAGTGTTGGAAATGTCATCCACATGGACACTAATGGTCACTGGTGTTATCATTATGATAGCAGGACATGGGATAGAGAAGTGCGCTATGAGCAGGTACCAAGATTTATGATGGATGTCAAACAGCTGGTAGAGGACAGCAATCAGGAGGGAAGGAGGCAGAATAGTCAGATGCCATGAGGGTCTTCATGCAAGGATAGAGAAACAAGGATTTGGAAGAAAACCTGAGGATCTGTGAAGATACTGACGCCACCACAGTCTCATAGTTGGCTGATGGCACTGTCATTTGAACGGGTTTGCTGATGTGGAGGAAGGTTTAGCGTCCTTCACTTCAGAAGGTTTTCTGGGGAGGTGGTGACTGTGAAGAAATCTAGTTTTACTGAAGATAAGATGGTAAAGTTGTTGATATGGTTTGGCTCTGTGTCCCCAGTCAAATCTCATGTTGAATTGTAATCCCCAATGTTGGAGGTGGGGCCTGGTGGGATGTGATTGGCTCATGGCAGCAGATTTTCCCCTTGCTGATCCTGTGATGGTGAGTGAGTTCTCACGAGATCTGGTTGTTTAAAAGTGTGTAGCACCTCCCCGCTTACTTTCTTCCTCCTGCTCCAGCCATGTAGGTAGGACATGCCTGCTTCCCCTTTGCCTTCCAACATGGTTGTAAGTTTCCTGAGGCTTCCCCAGCCATGTTTCCTGTACAGCCCGTGGAACTGTGAGCCAATTAAACCTCTTTTCTTTATAAGTTACCCAGTCTTAGGTAGTTCTTTGTAGCAAGAACAAATAAATACAATTGTCTTTCTGTGAAGGTGTGTTTAGGGGTGTATGTGTGTACATGTGTGTGTGTCTGTAAGAAAGTTTAATTACCATGAAATAGGAATTTCAGAAAGTATAGTTGAAAAAAGTTGAAGAAAGGAAAAGAGTGGAAGGTTAGATTGGTGAAAAGGACACATGGAGATATCTGAGGATGACAGTAGGGAAAACAGATGAGAAGCTTACATTTCAGACAATGACCTGTGGGGGCAGAGGAGATGTAAGGTCAAAATAAGTGTCCTTGTGGTTTCAAATAAAATTCTGGCATAAGGTTTTGGCAGAGATACAGCAGACTGAGAATAGGAATTTAGGACAACAGCATTTGAATAGAGTCTCCCTGATTGGAAGAGTGTGAACAGTCCAGCTGAGTCTTAGGGTCGTCAGCTTCAGGTCCCCACAAGAGGAGAAACTATTCCCATCTAGAAAGATACTGGAAGATCAAGGAACTGAGGAGAGTTTCAATCAATGGGCATGGAGTGGGGGTTTAAATCTGGATATGACCAGTTGTCAAGTTAACAATATTGTACCAATACCAACTTCTTGGTTTTGATATTGTACTATATATAGTTACATAAGATTTTATGATTGGAAGAAGCTGAGTGAAGGGTACGTTGGACTCTGTATTATCATTTCTATTTTCTGTGAGTTGATAATTATTTTAAGATAAAAATTTACTTAAAAAGAGGGCTATAAGGCACAGTCTGAGGGGGTCTAAGATCTGCAAGGGAGAAAATGAAGAGTGGTACACGTTGTGGGACTAAATAGAAGAGATAGGTAGTTGAGGGATATGTCTTCATAATTGTTTCTAAATGTCCAGGGGCTAGAAGGGTGTCATTCAAATCTCTGTGGACAGGATACCTAGGAAGCTTACTCAGAAAATTTCACTGAGGCCTGGTGCAGTGGCTCATGCCTGTAATCCCAGCACTTTGGGAGGCTGAGGTGGGTGGATCACTTGAGGCCAGGAGTTCGAGACTAGCTTGGCCAACATGGTGAAATCCTGTCTCTACAAAAAATACAAAAAAATTAGCCAAGCATGGTGGTGCGTGTCTGTAGTCTCAGCTACTCGGGAGGCTGAGGCAGAGAATTGCTTGAACCCAGGAGGCGGAGACTGCAGTGAGCCGATATGGTGCCGCTGCACTCCAGCCTGGGCAACAGAGCAAGACCTTGTCTCAAAAAAAGAAAAGAAAAGAAAATCATATTGAATGTAACTCCAAAGCTCCCCATGGATAAGGACTTTTTGCCTACTTGGGTGACTGCTGAATTTTCAACACCTAGGGCAGTCAGTCAGTATCAGGCACATAGAGGTGCTCTTTGGTTGAATGAATGCATAATTAATATTTCAGGAACTAGTATTGGGGTGTATATTTGGAAGGGTTATTTATCTATTTATTCACACTTTCTTCCGTTTATTTTCCAAGGACTCAAACTTACCCAATATGGCCACTGTTCTCTCAAAAAACGTGAGCAAATGACATCTGGAGCTGATCTCCAATATTTTAGAGAAAGAATTGAAAAGAATTTTTGTGGGGGAATAAAATTTTACCCAGAAAGTAAAATAGATGACCTCTTTTTATGAGACTCTAGTGTTCTTAACAAGCTGTCTAATAAACTATTTCCTATTTAAAAGAATAACTCACACAACTCTGTCTAGAAACTTCTGCCCTAAACAACTTCTTAGCTCTTTAACAGGAGGATAAAAATAGTAATACTTACCATTTATTGTGCACTTGTATGGCCTGGCATCATGGTAAACAATTACGTACATTATTTTATTTAATTTTCCCAACAACCCTCTGGAGTTATTAGCTGTGTTTTACAAGTCAAGAAAATTAGACTCAGAAAGGTTACAATATAGCTTGTGGTCACACGGCCAAAATGTGGAGAAGCAAAGGTTTGAATGCAGTCTGATTCCAGAGCCTGGACCCTTAAATTTTTTTTTATTAAAGTGTAATTTACATGCAGTGTGATTTACCATTTTTGTGTACAGTTCTGAGTTTTCATGAATGCATGCAGCCAGGTGACTACCACACAAGTAAGATGTAGAATATTTCCCTGGATCCAAAAAATTATTTTTTCCTTTTTTTTGAGATGGGGTTTTGCTCTTATTGCTCAAACTGGAGTGCAGTGCCTCAATCTCGGCTCACTGTAACCTCCACCTCCTGGGTTGAAGCAATTCTCCTGCCTCAGCCTCCTGAGTAGCTGTAACTAGAGGCACCTGCCAACACACCTGGCTAATTTCTGTATTTTTAGTAGAGACGGGGTTTCACCATGTTGGACAGGCTGGTCTTGAATTTCTGACATCAAGTGATCTGCCTGCCTCAGCCTCCCAAAGTGCTGGAGTGTGAGCAACCACACCTGGCCCCAAAAAGATTTTTCATGCCCTTTTGTAGTCAACTTCTCCCCCAATACCCGGCTCCTGGCAACCACTTGTTGGGAGAAAAGCTGAGTGTTGGGAGAGAAGCTGAGGAAGGGCTTGCACATCCGCTAGACTTGCTGGCTCCTTGCTTCTAGCACTCCCATTATCTCAAGCAGCCATATGTTTCTCATTCACTTGATACACTGTTTCCTATCAACCCCCACATCCTCACCACCTGTTTGTTTGTTGAGCACCAATAAATAATGTGGGCTCCCAGAGCTCGGGGCCTTCCCAGCCTCCACACTCGCGATGGCCCCGTGGTCCCACTTTCTCTCCTAAACTGTCTTTTTCTCATTCCTTTGGCTCCACCGGACTTCGTCGCTCCCACGACCTGGTGTTAGGTCTGATCACCTCAACATTCCTGGCTGCCCAATGTGGGGTGACAAAGACCCTGGTGAAGGAACGCCAGAGCATGTGAAAGCTGAGGATGCATTGTCAAAGGGCACCCGAGGACATCTAAAAGAAGCTGAGCCTGGGAAGAACCAGGGTGACAATGGGACAAAGTGAAAGCAGACATTCTGCTTATTTAAGTTTTTCAAAGCATTTGTTATGAAGTGGGGGAGTAAAAGTTAGTGCTCAGAATTTGTTGTCAGTTTGGTGCAGTGAAACAGTTTTGTCCATGGTTCCTGGAGCGGGGAACTGTGGAGTTGGATGGATGGGGGATAATTGGAGGAGATTTTGGAAGGGCGTATAGGGACAGAGCAGTGGCAGGTGGTGCGGGGGGTGCTGCTGGAGCGATGATGGCGGGGGTCCCGAGGGGGCACGAGGCCACCCTCCCAGGTGTGTGAGGGCAGAGGGGACCACAAGCCCATCCCTTTTCTGAGGGGCCCTCCTGCTGCCACCATCCCATGCCCCCACGGGGGCCCCCCGGGGCTGGCTCACAGCCGCAGGCCTCGGGGCCGCTGCTGCTGATGGATTGAAGCCGCCCCACAAGCTCAGGAGGTGCAGGGAGATGGCCTCTGGCTCCCGTGTGGGGCTGCAGGAGCAGGCGGGCTGCAAAGTGCCCGAAGCTATGGCACTGTGGGAGAGGCCAGTGTGGCTGAGCACCCATGGGTGCTCCTGGAGGGTGCATGGCTGGCTGTGGCAGTCTGGCTGCTGCTGCCTCGCCTGGCCTGGTGCCTGGTCACCTTCCCCGCCTACTGCAGCCCCCAGCCATCCCCACAGAGCTTCTCTTCGGGTGGCGCTTCTCTCCGGACAGTGGGGCCTGACCTGTGGGCAGCTGCTGGCGTCAGCACCCTTGCTCCAGTCGTGGGCCTGGGACACCAGGCTTCTCATGTGCAGGCGTCTGAGCTGCTCCAGTGAGGAGGGTAGGATCCATGGCCCCTTGGTGAAGCCTGAGCGAGACTGGGCGAGAGGCAGGGAGAGAATATGTTATTCCATCCTTGGGCCACAGATTTATGGCAAGGATGGTGGATTTCTTTATTCTCTTTTTGTAAAGGCAACCATTGTCTTAAGCATTATGCACCTTAGTGGGATAGAGGATATCTCTTTGCTATGCATTACATATTGGAATAAATAGATGAAGGCACATCAATGGAAGACTTGCAGAAAATGATGGTTGTGGCTCTTATATACAGATTATTAGTTTGTTTCTATGAGATAATTTGCATTTGGGGAGCAGGTGGAGCTACCCCAGGGAAGTTCCTGCTGGGGCTTCGAGTTGTGACATCAGTGCTTATTGCACTAAGTTGGGTTTTAGTGATTCCTTCCTCAAATGTTAGTATTACAACGTCCACTATACGAGCTTTGATCAAGAATTTTTTGATTGCTTCTTTTTTCACTGCTTTCATCACACTGCTGTTTTTTCAGCATAATCGAAAAACCTATGACATTGTAGCAGGAACCATTGTGGTAAAAAGAAATGGGGTCAGATGATGCCCCCTAAAGCCCTGATTTCCACACACTGTAATGACAAGACTAAATCATGTATCAAGGCCATCAGTACCCTGGGTTACACTAATTGATGCTTTAGAAATTAAAGCAGTCACTCCAGTGTGATGCAGGTGACTACTCTGAAAGTATTGATTTTGCTTGAATGCCAAAGAACTTTTCCAGAAGAAAAACCTATTTAAATTCAAGTATTAAAATTTTTAGATCAAAAAGGCAAATTATTTTACAAACAATAGACAATATATATTTTCTTAAGATCTAAGAATTTGCTGAAAGCATTTTCAGCTTTGAAATCTCCAAATGAAATTTTAAAATTTATTTTGGTTTATCCCAGAATAATGGAAAATGTCCAGTTGTGTTTTGTAAACACCTATGTAACTCATCTTTTAGTTCACACTTCCTGGGGAGCCACCAAAGAAGGTCCACACAGGAGTTAGGGGACCCTTACCCTCAGGAACAGTTGATCTATTACGTGGAAGGTCTAGTCTAAATTTAAAAGGTGTCACTGTACATATGAGAATAATTGACTGTGATTATACCGGAGAAATTCAATTAGTTATTAGTTCCTCGACTCCATGGTCTGCCTCCCCAGGAGAAAGAATTGCTCAGTTGTTGCTGTTACCTTACCTAAAACTAGGAAGCAGCACAGTGAAAAGAACAGGAGGCTTTGGTAATACTAATCCAGCAGGAAAGGCTGTGTATTGGGTTAATCAGGTGTCGGACAAAAGACCTATTTGCACAGTAGCTATTCAGGGAAAAGATTTTGAAGGACTAGTAGATACTGAAGCTGATGTCTCTATTATTGCTATAAATCAATGGCCCCAGCACTGGCCTAAGCAAAAGGCATCCATTGGTATTGTTGGAGTAGGAGCTGCCTAGGAAGTTTTTCAGAGTTCCTTGATTTTACCATGTTAAGGGCCGGATGGTCAGGAAGGGACAATCCAACCTATCATTACACCTATTCCTGTTAATTTATGGGGTAGAGACCTATTGCAACAATGGGGTGCTGAAATATCTATTCCTATGGATCAATATAGTAATAATAGTAGACAAATGATAAGAAATATGGGAAAAGGACTAGGAAAAGATAAAAAGGGCCAATCAGAACCTTTAGAATTAAAAGGGCAAACAGATCAGACTGGATTGGGCTGTCATTTTTAGGAGCAGCCATTGTTGAGCCTCTGGCTCCCATTCCTCTTGTTTGGCTAACTGCCAAACCAGTTTAGGTGGAGCAATGGCTGCTGAAACAGGAAAAACTGGAGGCTTTACAAGAATTGGTGCAGGAATAATTGCAAAAGGGACATACAGAGCCTACTTTCTCCCTTTGGTATTCTCCTGTATTTGTCATTAAGAAAAAAAATCAGGAAAATGGAGAATGTTAACAGATTTAAGGGCCGTTAATGCTGTGTTTCAACCCATGACTGCAGCTGAACAACACCTGACAGGACAAAAGGAAAATAAAAAGGCTGGACAAGATATATGGTGGAGGGATGCACATACAAAGAGCTGGGAAAAAGGAAAGATAATTTTCTGGGGAAGAGGATTTGTTTGTGTCTCTCCAGGTGACAATCAGGTGCCTGTGTGGGTGCCCACCAAACATCTGAAGATCTATCATGAGGCACAGCATCTAGTGGACCCACCTGTACAGTGCAAATTGAAGGTTTAAGGATTGCTCTTAAGCCTCAATTTGCTTTCTCTATGCCTTCTATTAATCAGAAAAAAGCCTGTTTCTCATTATCAGTGCTAAGTTTTACCCTACGGTAATTAACCAAAGAGGCAGAAGTTACAAATGCTTCAGCAATGGCATGCCTCCTGGCTACAGCCACAAAAGTTTTTGCTTCTGTTTTAGTAGAGTTACTAAAATGGGGTGAGGGTATGCTTGTGTTTTTGCAGGAGATAAACTGTGTAGGTGCCCTCAAGATGTGTACAACCATGGAACAGGAGACTAGAAGGACTCGTGGATCCCAACCATGGATGAGGTTCCCCAGTATGAGCCACGCTGAGAAACTGCTGGAGCACCAAAGTTTTACCTATAGATGCTTAATGGACCAATGCTTTCTGACTGAACTGCTCTCTACCCTGAATACAAGAGACCCCAATAGGTAGGCAGGAGTATCATCACCCCTATTTAGCATGAAGAAGTTGCAGAAGATGGACCTTCATCCTTCTGCAACCCCTAGGATTAAGGGTCCTCTTGTGAAAGGGAAAGGGGAGATATGTAGGAAGCATTCAAACCAGAGCAACTCCATTTGGAATAAGGACTAAGAAAAATGAAGCTGGATCACCAACTGGCAATTAAGGGCTGCACAGCCTGCAACTGCCTTGCTCAATTAATTTTTAAAAAGAGGCCACCTTATGCTAATAATAATGATAGCTGTGGTGGTTTTTACAAAAAAGAGAAGGGGGGCATGTTGGGAGAAAAGCTGAGTGTTGGGAGAGAAGCTGAGGTGGGGCTTCCATACCTGCTAGACTTGCTGGCTCCTTGCTTCTAGCACTCCCATTATCTCAAGCAGCTGTATATTTCTCATTCACTTGATACACTGTTTCCTTTTAACCCCCACATCCTCACCACCTGTTTGAGCACCAATAAATAGCGTGGGCTCCCAGAGCTCGGGGCCTTCGCAGCCTCCACACTCGCGATGGCCCCCTGGTCCCACTTTCTCAAACTGTCTGATTCCTTTAACTCCGCCAGACTTTGTTGCCCCCACGACCTGGTGTTGGGTCTGATCACCCCAACAACCACTGATCTGCTTTCTTGTCCCAAATATCATCTAAATGGAATCATAGAGTATGTAGTCTTTTGAGTCTAGCTTCTTTCACTTAGTATAGTGCACCTGTGAGCTTCCTCCATGTTGTCTCCTGTACCAGCAATTCTTTCTTTCTATTGTTTTCCAGTGGTCCATTGCATGGGTCTATCACAGTGTGTGCATCTAGTCACTAGTTAGAGGATACTTGGATTATTCCTAGTTTTTAGCACTTACATATAAAGCTGCCCTAAATATTTATGTTTAGGTTTTTTGTGTGAACATAGTTTTCATTTTTCTTGGGTAAGATTAGAAGTGGGTTTCTGGCTTATTTGGTTGAGTGTACATTTAGTTTTATAAGAAATCCTGCACTTACAACAACCGTAATAGTTCAAGTTGTTCTCCTGTAACTTTTCTGGAAGGAGCTAATCAGACCAGTCACAGACAAGTCGGAGGCAGAAAGATTGAATGCCGAACTCTGCAAATCTGGCTATAAAGCTTATATATGATTATATTGTACCTTTTTCTAAGGACTAATGTTAGAAGAATCAATAGGAAGGAGAAATATCACTCCTGTAGAATAGTTCTCTTCATGGGATACTTGAGAGGACTGTGTTTACAATTGGCCTCTTTCCAACTATGGTTCCCTCCTGTCATTTTATAAAGTAATAACAAATGACAGATTAGAGGTGATATAAAACAATTAAAAATCCAAAGAAAATGAATGGAAAAATAATAAGAAATATAATTAAAATTTAAGATAAAAAGAGAAAGGGGAAATAACAATATAGAATGATAGTAATCCCAGCACTTTGGGAGACTGAGGTGGGTGGATCACCTGAGGTTGGGAGTTTGAGACCAGCCTGACCAACATGGAGAAACCCCATCTCTACTAAAAATACAAAATTAGCTGGGCACGGTGGCACATGCCTGTAATCCCAGCTACTTGGGAGGCTGAGGCAGGAGAATTGCTTGAACCTGGGAAGTGGAGGTTGCGGTGAGCCAAGATTGCGCCATTGTACTCCAGCCTGGGCAACAAAAGTGAAACTCTGTCTCAAACAAAACAAAACAAAATAACCAAAAAAAAACTAGAAAAATCAACCAAGAAAGAAAGTAAACAGTTTAGGAATACAACAAACACACATTGCTATTATAAGCAGAAAAATTTATGTGGTTTTTTTTTAGGAATATAGGAAGTTAAGGAATAACACCAAATTTTGTTTTTATTGCAATAAGGGAGTAGACAAGGCTGAAAGCTTGCCATACTTATATTATTTTGAAATATTGCCATACTCACTTTCTCCAAGACTTGAGATGACCCACAAGTACTCCTTGAGCAGAGCTCCTCCAGTCTGAGCCCAGGGTAAAGGGACCCTCACTTCAAGGAAACTCTCTTCACCTTTAGTGTTTCTCCTGTGTTAAGATACTTGTGTTACCGATAATGTGCTGTGTCCACTTAGCATTTGTTAAACTTGGCTGCACATCCCATCCACCTTGGCCCCTTTCCACTTTCAAATGCACCTGGGACTATAATCACAAAATATCAGGCTAGACGCACTGTTCTCCTTGGTCCAGATGGAAGGCTGTGAAAGTCCATGGACTTTGAGTCAGATAAATGTGGTTCCACTACTAACTACATAGTGGTTTTGATGTGGAGCTTGGTAATAAGGAGCAGAGAGTTCAGATCAAGAGAGTTTACGTAGAGATTCACATGAAGGCAAATCTCAGGGAAAACCAGGAACAGAAAACAAAGTGCTTCTGGGTCTTGGTGAGCCTGGGACTGGAGCTATACTGGATTCAGGACAACACTAGAGGCCCCTGGGGCTTGTGAAACTACCATTTTGTGATTAATGTGGCTCTGGTCCATTCCCTCTGTCTGCTCTAATTACCTCTCTGACTTCTCTTTAATTAAAATTGTCCTTGTCCCTTTTCAGTTTTTCTAAGAGATATGATTACTGGCTCAGGTCACTTTGTTTTTAATACCATTCCATAAATCAAAAGTTGCTAGCAGCATATGGCTGCTTTTTCCTTTTACCTCTCCTCTAATCACCTAAGTCCCGATGAAGAGGACAGGGAGGGAGGGACAGGACCATGTGACACAAAGTATGACCCCACAGGCCACCAGGACACTAGGAGTGCTTGATAGAAGAGTCTGTGGCCAGACAGTTAATGCAAATATATATGGTACACTGAGCCTCAGTTTCTTCATCGATAAAACAAACCTAGTAGTCCATAATTCAGAGGCAGTAGAGCTTTGCAGCTAAGAGCAAAAACTCTGATGCCAGATTGCCTGGATTTGGTCTTGACCATGCCATTTACTGGCTGCGAAAGCTTAGGCAGTTTCCTAACCTCTCTGTGTCTTTATTAAGTGAGGGTACTCAATATTGTTGGTGGTTACTGCGGTTACATTACTGCATAATGTTATTGTTGGAGTGAGTATCTGTGAGCTGCTTAGAAGTGTCATTTGAAGTTTGCCTGTCATTGTTATCCTTTCTATGTTGTTGTGAACACTGAATGAGATGAGATAAGCAAAAACACCCAGTATACAGTAGATGCACATCTCTAAATAAACTGCCTGCCTGCAAACCTGTATCCTAACCCTGCTTTCAGAGGAACCCAAACTCAAACAAGCACCTGCTATGCACCATCACTGTGCCTTCACGAAAGAGAAGTTAAAGAGATGAACAGCTAACAGAAATACTTACATTTTATTGCATTTGCTTTTGGGTTTTTGGTCACGAAATCCTTGCCTAAGCCAATGTCTAGTATAGCTGGGACCTAATTAAGCTAAAAAGCTTTTGCACGGCAAAAGGAACAGTCAGCAGAGTAAACAGACAACCCACAGAGTGGGAGAAAATCTTCGCAATCTATACATCTGACAAAGGACTAATATCTAGAATTTACAACGAACTCAAATCAGTAAGAAATAAACAATCCCATCAAAAAGTAGACTAAGGACATGAATAGACAATTCTCAAAAGAAGATATACAAATGGCCAACAAACATATGAAAAAATCCTCAACATCACTAATGATCAGGGAAATGCAAATCAAAATCACAATGTGCTATCACCTTACTCCTGCAAGAATGGCCATAATCAAACAATCAGGAAACGGTAGATGTTGGCGTGGATGTGGTGAACAGGGAACACTTCTACACTGCTGGTGGAAATGTAAACTAGTACAGCCACTATGGAAAACAATGTGGAGATTCCTTAAAGAACTGAAAGTAGAACTACCATTTGATCCAGCAATCCCACTACTGGGTATCTACCCAGAGGAAAAGAAGTCATTATTCGAAAAAGATACTTGCACACGCATGTTTATAACAGCACAATTCGCAATTGCAAAATCATGGAACCAACCCAAATGCCTATTGATCAACTAGTGGATAAAGAAACTGTGGTATATATACATATGACGGAATACTAAGCAGACATAAAAAGGAATGAATTAACAGCATTTGCAATGATCTGGATGAGATTGGAGACTATTATTCTAAGTGAAGTAACTCAGGAATGGAAAACCAAACATTGTATGTTCTCACTGATAAGTGGGAGCTAAGCTATGAGGATGCAAAGGCATAAGAATGATACAATGGACTTTGGGGACTTGGGGGAAAGAGTGGGAGTGGGGCGAGGGATAAAAGACAACTAATACAGTGCAGTGTATACTGCTCGAGTGATGGGTGCACCAGGATCTCACAGATCACCACTAAAGAACTTACTCATGTAATCAAATACCACCTGTACCCCAATAACTTATGGAAAAATAAAATAAAATACTAAAAAAAAAGAGAATACTTAGAGCTCTACTCCAGACAAAGACATTGATTATGGAGTGTGTTGTAGTCTCAATCACAGCTTTTTTAAAAAAAGAATATGAGATTCTTCATCTTGATTAATAGCTCACAGCCCTATGTTCAAAGAAATAAGTTGTCTTCCACTATTAATAGAGTTTAGCCTCCTCTGACATGTTTATTTGAAAAGTCCCAAGTCTAGGTTATATGGATAGATGTGAGTGCAACTGCCCAGCAGGAGCCATGCAGTGTCCACACCCCAAAGGTGTGACAGGCACAATAGAGATGGAAGAATGGGGCCTGGGGTGGGGGGGTGCAGGGGTGCTAACTTCTCTCCTTCCTACGGCTTTTAGTTAAAGCTCAAAAACCCAGAATTTCTCCAAATTCCCAAAATAGGAGTACTTGCTCAGTAAATACTGTAGATTTAAATTTGATCTGAGAGTGTTTCCACTTCCACATGCCATATTTGCTTCTCCCCTGTCAAATAGCCAGTGGTGAGTACATGTGTCACTTTAAACAGCTAATAGAAGTGTCTGTCAATATGTCTGTGCCAAATGGCTCAGCAATAGCCAAGAGCTAAGAGCAAGCTCTAAATACAAATGGCTGAGTTAGGGTGGCAGCCACTGGGCAGTCAGTATATCCCTAAGTGGAGTGCCTTTCCACTCAGCATCTAGATCCACTGCGCTGCAGGCACAGTTCAGAGGAGCCCTCAGGGAGTTGCTACAAGATGAATTATCATTAGAATCCCTTGGGCTTCCTGGACAAGTTGTCTTGTGTGTAAGGCTGAAGGCATGGGTCAGCATATGAGCAGGACATTTCGCTGCTAGAAGAGTCCTCTCCTCAGAATCTTGTCCTTGCAATGCATCAACCCCACTGCCTTCGTACTTTTTTGAAATGGAGTCTCAATCTTGGCTTTTGTCACCCAGGCTGCAGTGCAGTGGCGTGATCTCGGCTGACTGCAGACTCTGCCTCCTGGGTTCGAGTGATTCTCCTGCCTCAGCCTTCGGAGTAGTAGCTGGGATTACAGGCATGTGGTACCACGCCCAGCTAATTTTTGTATTTTTTAATAGAGATGGGGTTTCACCATGTTGGCCAGGTTGGTCTCGAACTCCTGACCTCAGGTGATCCGCTCACCTTGGCCTCTCAAAGTGCTAGGATTATAGGTGTGAGCCACCGCACCTGGGCTGCCTTCCTACTTAATACCCACTCTCCAGGGAAGTCAACAATGCCTGTTTGGTGGGGAGTCAGTAGGTTCTCGACCTGAAGAAATGCTGCTGGAAAACCATCTAGCCCTTCAGTAAAGGAGGAAAAACTCACATTTCACACTGCACCCACTTGACCCACATGGGGTGAGAGCTCTGTGTCCCAGTAGAACTAAGGGTCTTGGGTACCTGCTTCCAGTCTCTGAACTTAGGACCACTTGGTACTTTAGAAGACAGAATACTGGCTCAGCAGGCTCAGGTGTAGCTCCCTGTGAGGGCTCTTTTGGGTGAACTTGCTCATTAAGTGACACTCGAAGCAACCTGTTTAGCTGAGCAGGGTCCTCTGCGTGAGCGGTTGGTGTTGACTGCCATAACTGCCTGACTTCCCTCCAACTTCCATCCTTTGTTATTGGACACATTCTAACATGAGGCCTAGACGGTCTGTCACACATGATTGTGCCATTGAACACTATATAAAGAAGCCCTTCAGAGTAGACACATGGGCTCAAAGCCCGCCCAGCCTCCTCAGGCAAGGTGTGTGCCCTGGTGCAAGGTTGCTTCCACCTGGCAATGTCATCATCACCTTCCAAAGGCTGATGCCCTGAAGCTGACTTGTGATCAGAGGGCTCTTCCTGTATTCACACAACTCCTTAGTCCTGCTTTATCTGACTCCCAACCCCTAAGCCTTGCCCTCCTTCCCAGCACCCTGCACCCAGCCCAGGTAGTCAGAAACAGGAAGTGGAGTCTGTGGTAGGAGTGTCAGGCTCCCCCTACCCTGCAGCCAGCCCCCAGCCCCCACAGAGCATGGGACGAGAGGGAGTCATGAGGACCCACCTTTAAAAACATTGTGTTGGATTTCTGTTTTTAACCTTCTTTATATTTGCTTCTTAACTTATCTCCTTTTCTTTGTCTACCTTATTCAACACATTTAATAGACACCACTGACCTCCTATTGTAGGCAAGGATCTCAGCTAGGCCCTATGAGTAACACAAAGATGGATAAAGTAGGCGCAGTGCCCTGGGAACTCACTAACTAATTTTTCTGAAAAGTTAAATAAAAATGCAGCCTTTTCCACATTGCTAAACCTGCTTTGGAGCCTGATTCACTGGATTTGACTAAAGTTTGAGTTAGACTATGAATCAAGCAGGTTCTTGAACACCAGATTGATTTCCTATGGAAGAAGAGAAGGTTTGGGAGTACAAGACCAACTAAACTGCACAAAATGAATTATAAGTCATCTGCTTTTTATTCTCTTAAACATAGAAATGTTACCAGCATTTTAAAAAGACAGCAATAATCTGAAAACAGGAAAATATGACAAGGACAAAAATTACAGGGGGAAAAGGATGCATGAGATTTTCAAGACTTTAAATTCTCAAATGATGGATTGAGGCCTATGGACATACAAGGGATTCCTACTGGAAGTACATTAGGCCAACTCAAAAAAAAAAAAAGCTATTTTTGTGTGTAACTGTAAAAAGGCCCCAATATATTGTAGGCCCCTCATCCAGGAGTGTTGCACAAGATGTAAAAGCCTGACCCAGGGTAGCAGATCATGGGCCTGTCTGCCCACATGACACACGGTTCCCTGTGTGCCTCTCGGTCATCGTCACCGAGGTGGGTCAGAGGTGACCTATGGGACATATCTGCTTCATCTCAGTTTTCTGGGCGCTTCCATTCTTTCTTGGGATGAGCCATGGGGCTGGATGTGTCAACTCCAGTTCACAAAGAAAGGACCTGTCTGTCTCCACACTGGGCCTGACCTCACAAATGTTTATTCATGAGGCTGATCAGCACGGCTCCAGCCTCTTTCTATTGCCTGTTTGTATGGAATAGTCCAGAACTTCCCTTTTTGACAAGAACATTACTCATGCTTTTCATCTTCCTAACGTAAGTTCTGCCAATGCAGTGACCATTTTTATGAGTTGGTGAAGGGTGCTCTTACACATTTTGGGGTGAACTCCCTGCTGTCCTGTGCTTTTTGCCATAGAACACCTTTTTAAAAAATTGTGATAAATCCACTTCCTTTTCTTTGACTGTGGCAAGACCAAACTTGAGCTTGTACTTCTGCAGTGACGTTAAGAAGAAAAACAAATCTCATTTAGTCACTTGTGATTTAAACACACGTACACACAAGGAGTAAAGGCCAGGTGCAGCTAGCATTTATTTCTCTGGAGTTGACAGGCTTCAGAGATGATCGTAATGTGATGACATCTTACAAATAATGCATGACCTCCACTTTTCCAGACACTGCAGCTTTATGATTGATGATCAGCTCTGCCTCCCTCACCTGTTATTATTCCCTTTGTTGAGTGCTTGTCTATGAAAAGATTTCACTTTTAAGACATGCAGTGCCTAAAATTAAGAACAGCAAACTTCATCTTCTCTTTTTTGAGCAGGGGGATGTATTTTAAATGCCTAAGGCCAGATAACTTTGATTTTAGAGGGAAGCATTGTACAACCTAGGAAGGGAAAGGCAAAGCCTGGTCTAGCTCCAGAATGGCAGAGCAGAAACTCTTCAGCCCAAAAACTGCTGAGCAGCCTCAAAGCTGCACACCTCCTCCCGGGACCCTGGCAGGAGGTACAGTACAGGTCAAGAGTTCAGACACTGCATGTTTTTCCAAGGAATAAATGTACCATAGTCACATCTCAGCTCTCAGTTGGGGACACAGGAAGGGTAGGGGAGAGTTTGATTCTTCTGTGGTAGAAATGGTTATTTAAAATAGCAGTAGGGAATTGTTCAGCTAAATTATGGTATAACCACTCAGTGGACTATTATCCAGAACTTTAAAGTGAAAATTTTAAGATACGAAATAACCTAGAAAAATGTTACAATAAAATTTTAGTGTAAAAATCTGAATGCTCAATTTCATCAGTATTATAATTGCAGTGAGTGGGAAGAAATATGGAATAAAAAAAGAAAATAGATGATATGCTATATAGGGGCACTGGGTTTTTTTTCCCTTTTCATATATTTACAACATTTGTTATTGCATAATAAAAATTATTGCACTATTTTAAAAAGTGAAGCCTAGTCTTAAAGATTTGATCTTGCCACTAAATTCAATTTTAAGGCCTCTTATTCCCTAAGGAATATCCACTCCCCATTTCTCTCTCTTTTTTAAATATCCAGAATCTGTGAGCAATAAGAATGTATAAGGTAGCATAACTCTAGAGAATTTACAAGAGAATCTCTGAAGTTCAAGCATAACATCAGCACTACCCTATTAAAATTTACATAAAAACCTTTCTTTCCTTTTTCTAAGTAGTACTAGTGTATTAATTATTTAAATAAATTTCTTTTTTGTATAGTTTTTGATTTACAGAAAAATTAGAACAATAGTATGGACAGTTCCTATATACCTCATACCCAAGCTCCCTAGTATTAACATCTGATCTTAATGGGGTATTTTTGTTAAAATTAATGAACCAATATTGTTAAATTATTATTAACTAAAGCCCATATTGTATTCATATATCTTTAAAGTTTACCAATGTCCTTTCTCTGCTCCAGAATCGCATCTAAGATTCCATACTTAACATTTAGTCGTTGTGTCTCCTTGGGCCCTCATGGCTGTGAGTTTCTCAGACTTTTCTTGCTTTTGATAACCTTGGCTGTTTTGAGGAGCATTGGTCAGGTGTGTTTTAGAATGATCCTCGGCAGGGATTTATCTGATGTATTTCTCATGTTTAGACTGGGGTTTTGGGTCTTTGGAGGGTAGACCACAAAGTGAAGGGTTGTTGCTACCCCATTTATCAAGGCTGCACACCATGAACATGACTTACGCTGTGGATGTTGACCTTGGTCACCTGGTTGAGGCAGCGAAAGATCTTTTTCACTGCTTCAGTAAAAAATCCAGGTGTAGCTAGCATTTATCAGGTGTATTTAAAGCATTTATGCAGCTTTTGGGCTGCTTAAGCAGATCTTTCACTGCTTGAGTATCTGCCAAGAGTAAAAAGAGTCAAAACAAACATGGCAACCAAATAAATAAGCAACAAGCAAACAAACATGGCAAGACTTTAACCTGGGACTCTCAGAATTTATTAAATAAGAAAGCATCACTCTTCACATGGATCCCCTTTTCTCCTCTCCATACACCATCTGCCTCCGCCTTTCCTGCCTTGGCACCTGTATTTGCTTTTATGTATATCTTAGTGTGATTCTATTTATATATAAATATATGTTCATATTTAAATCATTTCAGAAATTGAAGTGATATAGATCCTCCAAAACTATTGAGGGGGTGTCCAATGTTGAATTTTGTGCTGTGAAGATACAAGCCAGATTTTTACGTAGAGGTGGAGATTATGTATTTAAAAACATCTTTCCTCCATTCTGACAGAATAAATAAATTTCATAGCGTTGTCAAGCAAAAACATCCTGCAAATGATGAGGGTTAAATGCCTGACCCTTCACAAGTCTGTTGGGGGATAAGACTTGCATCTCAGGGAGTCACCGGGGAAATTGTTCTAAGAAGCCACATTTGCCCCTCGATTTGTTTTTTGGTTTGTTTGTTTGTTTGTTTGTTTGTTTGTTTTTGAGATGGAGTCTTGCTTAGGCTGACTGCCCAGGCTGGAGTGCAGTGGCGTGGTCTCGGCTCACTGCAACCTCTGCCTCCTGGGTTCAAGCGATTTTCCTACCTCCGTCTCTGAGCAGCTGGGGTTACAGGTGCCTGCCACCATGCCCAGCTAATTTTTGTATTTTTAGTAGAGACGGGGTTTCACCATGTTGGTCAGTCTGGTCTCGAACTCCTGACCTCAAGTGATCAGCCTGCTTCAGCCTCCTAAACTGTTGGGATTACAGGCATGAGCCATCGTGCCCAGCCTGCCCCTCAAATTTTGATGTCTCCCCTGTATCTGACTCATTGAGATTGCTTGATAAAAATGTGTTGAATGAAAAGCTGAATATTTTAATAAAGAGCCAAGAGCATATTAAAAATAAAGTTTCCTAGAGATACTGGCCACTTTCGGCCCGGCCACAGGCCTTTCTGGGGAGTGTGCTCCATCTGTAGTCTTTGCTCTGTAAACTCATGAGCTGCACCCCACACACGCACAGAGATTTCAGAAGCCTGACCTCAAGACAGCCAGCACATAGGTTTGCCATCACATACTCAGGAGCTGGCACACAAAGATGAGCTGGGCCAACCAGAGTCTTTCCTTTGGCAATTTGGACTCAACAACAAGGAATGAATTGCCAGGAAGTAATTTTATTGGAGCTGTCAAATTGCCACAGGCTCACGTAAGCCAAAGCCACGTGCAAGATGAAGTTATGACGTGGCATAGAAAAGAGAGAAAAAGCTGGTCAGAAAAGAATGTCTTTCACAAAGAAGGGAACAACAAACACCGGGGCCTACTTGAGGGTGGAGGGTGGGAGGAAGGCGAGGATCAAAAACTACCTGCCGGGTACTAAGCTTATTACCTGGGTGACGAAATAATCTGTACACCAAACCCCCGAGACACACAGTTTGTCTACGTAACAAACCTGCACCTAAAATAAAAGGTTAAAAAAAAAAAAGAAGAAGAAAGTGATGTCACCGAGAGATACTGAGTCAGAGAGGTCATGAGACAGGGGACATGAAAGAGATCAAAGGAGAGAGACCAGGGCCTAAAACTGGGGAACATCTAGGGCCTTATGACCTTCTGATCCATTCTGGTCTGTGTGGATATTTTCAGGTAACACCCAAGCCCTGCCCTGAAGTAAAGTGGGTCTCTGTTCCTTAGAGGTCAAAGAGCATTATTTAAAACAGTTAAGTTCCCTAGGAACCCAGCCCCCAAACAGCCTACTAAATTTTTCAGAGCTGAATAATTTCCCTTGCAAAAGGGGAAGATTTTAAATATCTTAGAACTGTGGATCCTACAGTCAAAATTCCCAGTTTACCGGTTGTCAAAAGGTTTGTTTAGATATAGTGCAGGAAAGAGGGAGAAGATGGGAACCAAGTGGCCTTCCCACGGCTTCCCATGGCTTCCCACAGTTAACTTGGAGCTCTTTTCCCAAGTCACACCCATGCTATTTTCCTGCCTCCTGGATGAAGCCTGTTGCAAAAGCTCTGAATTCCAACCTTGCAAATGCACCCGATGATGCATATAGCTGCTTGCTCCCGGAGGCTACTGGGCTGCTTCCCTTAGTCATAACGTAGGCATGGATCTTTCCCATCAGTGATGACGTTTTTACAAGATCAGTTATGTTATGAGTTTGTTGAGTAATAACACTGAATTTGTTATTTTATAAATGTGCAAAAACATGACCAAAGAGTGTCTTAAAACATGCCACAAGTAGAATGTTATGCATAGTAACAGATTTAAAGACATTAGTATAAAACTCAGTAGCTATTCAGACCAACAAAATCTGAAAAAATAAATATTTGAATATTTATGCTTCTCTTGAACATAGTCTCTGCTTCTTTTGCATAGTAACTTATTTGTTCCTTTTAAAGTATATTTGTTGATAGTTTCTTGGATTTCGACTTTCTGATTTGGGGAAAAATTTTTAGTCAATTTATGTAAAAGTATAATTGTGGAGTCTTCAATGGATTCTTAAAAAACTATTCTTTTTTTTGTAATAGAAAATGTTTGGCCCTTTTTGTGCTTCATGGATTTGTTGAGTATAAAATTTGAGAAGATTTTATTAGGTTATACTTTTGCCTGAAAAGTAGAATTACCTAATTAAGTTATATAATTATATTATAGAACTGAATTAGAATTGTTTTTAAGCTAAGTAACACATCAGGAGAGTGGCTAAGTTTTGTTGATTGTGAAATCAATTTTTATTCAGTTTTACTTTTTAAGTAAAGCCTGATGAAGGACAAGACCAAGATGTCAAACAGATAGAGTGAGAAACTTGGCAAAGCTAGATTCTTGAATTGAATTTTGTCTCATGTTTGAAGTTGAGGTTTCCCCAAGACTGGCTACAAACTTTATATTTTAGCCACTAAAATCTGAAAGAGTCTTGCTGTATCTGAAAGGACAGAACATTTATGTATTTCACCAGGATAACTCCTGGGGTGCCTGCAGTGTTGAGTAAGCTTTCACTCAACATTGCCTGTGGATTTGAAAATGTAGCAGGGTAGGGTGGTGCAAAGAAAGGTAGAGCTGGGTGTGTGGACTTTGCCAACCATCAAAGCCAACAGCCCTTGTGTGTTCAATGCTTTATGTATTCAATGGTTCACTTATAGAGGGACTGTGAAAATTTAACCTGAATTATTCCTGTGACCTAATAACAGGATCTCCAAACAGCCCAAACTCCTTTGGTTTAGAGAATGCCTTTGTCTATATTTGCTTTATTACGTGAAGATAGACAGACGCTTTATATACAGGGGGCATGCATAAGCCTACCTATTTGAATTGGTGTGTGTTACATCTATGGGGGACTGAAGCACCAAATGAATAGACCTAGACCCTATAATTTCTTTCTTACACATATGTAATCATATTACCAAAACAAAGCAATCCTCAGCTGCTATATACATATGTGTTTGTTTGTGTTTCCAGGCATTATAGATTATGTTCATTTCATCTGCATCATTTTCTTGGAAGCTGCTAATGGGTTAAAAGCATGTCTCCTCTTTTCCCTGGAAGCTGCCCACAGTGCCTGAGATAATGTTGTGCCCACAGAGATGGTTCAGAGAACACGGTGGTCCCTAAGAGATGACTAAGCTAAATATGGGAAGAGTAAATTATTTTCTGTTTCCTTCGTTCCTTCCTTCCTTCCTTCCTCCCTCCCTTCCCTCTCTCTCTCTCTCCCTCCCCATCCCTCCCTCCCTTCCTTCCTCCCTCCCTCCTTTTCTTTTCTTTCTTTCTTTCCTTCCTTCCTTTCTTCCTTTCTCTTTCTTTCTTTCCTTCCTTTCTTTCTCTCAAATAAAGAAGTTTGTTTTTCATTTCTCTTCACACACTTTGTAAAATACATTGCTTATGGCACTCACATCAGAAGCTCCTTTTCTATTTTCACCATTTAATTCTAGTCGTTCCCTCAAATTACAAAAGTGCTAAAAATTATAAATATTTCTGAGGAAAACAACATAAAAAGTCTTGTGAAACTTTATACAAATGGCACTTGAATTTTTTTTAATTGCTTCTTAGACTCTTTTTTTCTTTCTTTCTTTTGTTTTTTTTTTTGAGACAGAGTCTCACTCTGTCACCCAGGCTGGAGTGCAGTGGCATGCTCTCCTCACTACAACCTCTACCTTCCAGGCTTAAGCAATTCTCCTGTCTCAGCCTCCTGAGTAGCTGGGATTATAGGCATGTACCACCATGTCCAGCTAATTTTTGTATTTTTAGTAGAGACAGGGTTTCACCATGTTGGCCAGGCTGGCCTTGAACTCCTGACCTCAGGTGATCTGCCCACCTCAGTATCCCAAAGTGCTGGGATTACAGGCTTGAGCCACTGCACCTGGCCTGAGCCACCACATCCCGCTAGACTTTTCAACCAAAGTGGTTTAAAATGGCAGGGGGTCATGAACACAAACCCAGAGTCCCTCAGTCTCAGGCTAGTCTTCCAACTTACTGCTGTAAACCCAACATTTCTTGGATTTCTCCTCTTTCATCTTATTCATTTTTCCTTCTGCCTTGTAATAAATATTCAGATTTGATTTCACGTAATTTCCTTGAAATCTTCACATAAATGTGGATACTCTTGAGAGATGTACCTCGTATTTCCCATGAGCTGGCTGCAAACACACACGTTGATACGTACACTCCAGTTTGAGAAGCATGAGCTAAGAATATCAGGAGGCCAACTCTTTTGCTATTGTTAAAGAATAAGCTGCCGGGCGCAGTGGCTCACGCATGTAATCCCAGCACTTTGGGAGGCTGAGGCAGGCGGATCACGAGGTCAGGAGATCGAGTCCATCCTGGCTAACACGGTGAAACCCTGTCTCTACTAAAAGTACAAAAAATTAGCCAGGTGTGGTGGCTGGCGCCTGCAGTCCCAGCTACTCGGGAGGCTGGGGCAGGAGAATGGGGTGAACCCAAGAGGTGGAGCTTGCAGTGAGGTGAGATGGTGCCACTGCACTCCAGCCTGGGCAACAGAGTGAGACTCCGTCTCAAAAAAAAAAAATGCTACTTCACCTATGACTGAAAGCATTAATGACATGTGATTTAAATGTAAAAAGTAAATTATCAAGTTTAAGGTATCCTATAATGAAAACTTATGATTCTGAATTTTTGTTAATAAATGATTTATTTTTAAAAGCTTTGCCTAAAAAAGTATTTAAAAGAATAATAATTTTTAAAAAATGGTCAGAAAAGGCAACAGTGTGAGTTAAAAGAAAAGGCCAAGGACAGACTCCAGGGTCCAGGTGGAGTCCTGGCTTTACCACTCATCAGCCATGTGACCTGCACTGGTCACCACACCCCCCTGTGCTCAGTTTCCTAGTTTATAATATAGGAATAATGATACTACCTACATCATAGGAGTGATTAGATTAGTAAATATATGTAATACGCTTTGAACGTTCTCTAGTATTTAGCAAGTGCTACAAAAGAATTGGATTAAAAATTGCATACATAAGTGAAGTTGATCATATATTGATATTTGTATAATTATAATTATAATTATTATTATTATTTGAGATGGAGTTTCTCTCTTGTCACTCAGGCCGGAGTGCAATGGCATGATATTGGCTCACTGCGACCTCTGCCTCCCGGGTTTAGGTGATTCTCCTGCCTCAGCCTCCTGAGTAGCTGGGATTACAGGCGCCTGCCACCACACCCAGCTAATTTTTGTATTTTTAGTAGAGACAAGGTTTGGCCATGTTGTCCAGGCTGGGATCGAACTCCTGACCTCGGCTGATCCACCCACCTCGGCCTCCCAAAGTGTTGGGATTACAGGTGTGAGCCACTGCACCTGGCCGATGTTTGTATTGTTAAAGAAGTGGCATTAATGAAGGATTGATTTCAGAGGACTCCAAAGCAGGGACCCAGGCCCTGCACTCCCAGATGAATTAGAACGCCAACATTTAACCTGTTGTCTCCCTCTGCCCCAGTCATACGGTGACAACGGTTCACGGCCTGCTATCTCTCTTAACTCCCTGTCCCAAAAGATAAGCCATGAAGCTGTTGGAAAGAAGCCATCCATCATGACATCACTTGGTATAATTATCCTTTAGAAACCCAGCTCTAGGTTCGAGGTGGAAGTGTCCTGCTGGGCAGGACTGTCAGGAAACGCAGCTGAAGAGGCTTTATCTTTCTGACGCTATCTTGTCTCTGCATGTTATTGTTTCAGGGTATACATTTTTTTGTTCATTCCCGCATACAGACTGGGAAACTTTAACCTTTCAAAAAAGCAATGATGAAGATGCTCACTGACATTGACCTCAGACACCACCTCTCAATGGAACCGCTGGCAACTATTTTTTTTTTCCCATCAGCTTGGTCCTTGATTATCTTCTGGCAATAAGCCCTATGTGGATGTTTTTTATTGTGATGATACCCTAGCAACCACACTTTGGGAGCTCATGTTTATACTCTTTACAATAAGCCTGGTTTTCAGCTGAATCTGCTTCCACTACAGCCCTGAGATAATACTTCAAAATGAAAAGGTCCTCATTGTGGCTGTAAGAACATGCAACAGAAATAGGTTTCATAAACAAGAGCAAAATATAGGTATTCTGTGTGTAAAAGAACAATGAGAACAAAGCTCTCTTGATGATGTTTACACATTTGGACCTTTAAAGAGTGAGAAGAATCATGAACATTTGGAGTTCAAAGAGCCTATTGTGCACAAGAATGGGATTCCCATCTGAGCAGGAGATGCCCCTGGTGACTTTCTGTTCACTGGCTGATCACCTGCCTCAGGCCGGGAAACTGTAAACCAAGGGAGGCCTGCCCTAGCATTGCTGAAAGCACTTGTTCTTTTCCCATGGAGCCCAGACAGGTGAAGGGATAACAGAGAATGTATAAAATAGTGGCTGAATGACCCATCTATTCAAAAGAGAGATGAACATGGAGTCTTTTACTGCAGAAGATCAATGGTTATTGACATGACCAGACACACAAATTTCTATTGAGCTTGAGGTGTTGAGCTTCTATTGGCAAAAGTTAAGGTTCATTAAGGGCAGCAAGAGAAAAGGGAGGTGCTGAAATTAGGGTTCTGCCTTTTGGAATTTAGGGAATGAAGAGGCAAATATTTCAAGAGAGTTTTGGAGCCAATAGGCGGCAAAGAATAAAACCATGGGCTTCGTTCTCAGACCAGAGTTGAGATACTAGCTATGCTGCTTAATGGGTAAAACTTTTCGAGCTGCTTCTAGTCTTAGTGCCCTCCTATATAAAATGAGGACTTTTATAAGGCTGTTGTAATGTTTTCTAAAAAGTAATACATGCAAGGTTCCTGCATGATAGGTTTGAATAAATGGTAGTCATCATTTAGTTGTTAACTGAGGAGGGTGAAAAAAATAATATATTTTGTGATTTGATTTAGCATCTGTACATAGTAAGCCTACCGAGTAGAGTTACATTTGGTACAACTCTACTGAATCAGTTAGTTAAATAAACATTTCTAACACCATATCCTTTGCTGGGTATTGTGACAGGAATGGATATGAAGAAGCCATCATGCATGCCAAGTTCAACCCTTCCCCAAGTGTTCTCATGGGATTTTATCTCACTTATTTTCACAGCTACGTTTCCTAACATATAAAGGACAATTAATAAGTATTTAATGGATAAATAAATGAGCCAATGAACAAGTAAATTTATAAATTAACGTATAATTTCTGTACTGAAAGAAGCATGCAGTTCAGAGGAAAGAAATACATATACTGAAATAAGGGTAGGGAGCGAAACAGGGAAGGGTATTATTGCTCAGTACCCCATCTCCAGGATTCCAATCAAAATGTTTTGAAAGCCTAATCCAGTGGAGAGATGATGCTTTTGAATCCTTCAAATATCTGTGCCTAGAAGAGATCTAAAAGGAAGGGCTCGCTAAAGTATCAAATCTGCAAACCCTCGTTGATGCTTATTACATCCTAAGCCCAGGGCTATGCAAAAGAAACACAGACATGAATGATGCTTAACTGGGGCTCTTGAGGAACACACAGTTTACTAGAGCTGATTTCACTGAAGTGTATATATTGTTGCATTGGGTCAGAGCATAAGCTTTACTACATAGAGATCTTACTTTGTATTTGACTACGTGTAAATGAGATTACCTCATATGCCCAAATATAATATGCTTAATGAGTGTGGCCAACAAAAACTAATTATAGGAATGAACTATATCAGGACATTACTCAGAAAAATGCATGCTGATGGATTTATGTTTAAATATATTGAAATTACATCTTTTTACATTTTTAATCATAGTGATCTCTGTATGTTCAAGGGCAAATAAAAACAGAAATACTTACCTTTTTTCTTCTAAGAATTCTTTTCTTGTATTAACTGCTGGTTACTGTTACAACCGATTCACCATGGTTCAAAATCCATCCATCTGATGTCTTCCTTTCAGTTATGTCACTGGGCTCCAGCACCTTCAGGACAAGTTCATAGTAAAGAGGAGCAGAAGGGAAACTCAAATCAGAAATCGGCTCTATCTATTAACCGTTTTCTCCAAAGGCTATATACTAGGCAGGAAAGTGAAGTTGTTAACTAATTTGATTGTATTTTGAACAATCAGAATTTGATCTTCCTCAGCAACTTGGGAATCTACCTATTCCTATTGTAGACCACATGACATAACACTCACCTCCAATTGTGACCATAAACCTAAGTCTAATGCATCTTATCCTCCCTGAACTCAGTAATTATTTCAGGAATTGGTACATGACCTGATTAAAGCCAATAAAATGCAATGAAATTTTGCTAGATTTTCTGGAAAAGATAGCTTAGATTTTCTTTACAGATGTGGATCCAAGAGAATAAAACAAGACTCCACGGCTGCCATTTTGCAGTTTAGCTAAGACTGCAGTAATATAGCTGAAGGCAGAGCTGAGGTTTCTGTGGCATCATTTACAGCCTTGAATATAGGCATATTGGAACCATCCTCTAATCCTAAAATTGCAGTTATTTAAGCTGATAATATTTTCTTTCTGCATAAGTTGTTTTAGCTGGGGTTTTTTGTCACTTTCAACCAAGAGTTCCCACACATTCTGATTTTCCAGGACAGTGCCAATATTAGGTAACTTTCTTAATTTTAATTAAGACAATTAGATAATTGTTAGTTACCTATAAAAGTCAGTGTGAACCTGGGCAACATAGTGAGACCTTATGTTGGACAAGGGTCTACAAAAATGAAAAAATGAAAAATTAGCTGGGCGTGATGGCACACGCCTGCAGTCCTGGTGGCCTAGGAGGCTAAGGTGGGAGGATCACCTGAGCTCAGCAGTTTGAAGCTGCAGTAGATATGATCATGCTACTGCACTCAGCCTGGGTGACAGGGCACAGTCCTGTTTTTAAAAAGAGAAAAACAAAAACAAAACACAAAAACTTAGTATGCCTTAATTTTTATACTACTATAAGAATTTTTATATAAATGAATTTAAAATAAAAGTTTCCCTCTTTTTGAATAATATTTTTCTCTTTTTGGTACAGAAAATACTGTTTCTTGATCTGTGAATATCAAATATTATTCTTACATTCTTATTTTCCATAAATGTGACTTAGCAAAGAAAGAGCATCAAGAAAGATAAAAACACTAGAGAAGAACTCTCTGAATTTCTCCCTACAAAACAATCAATCAAATCACGTTGGTATGCATCTCCTGTTTTTTGTTAAGAACAAGCATCATTCCTCCTGTGGAAGACCAATCCCTTTGCCATTGTTTTTATTTTCATCCTTTCCTTCTTTTTGCAAAAAGTTACAGAATCAACCTTCTCTTTTCCTCAGCCTCTTGCTCACAAGTTTGCCTAGTATTCCTCCCTCAAAGAAATAAAAAAAGAAAAAGAAAAAAAGAGAAACATACGTAAAAATTACAAAATAAAACACAACATTATAAAACACCTCTAATGATCAATCAGTTAATCAAAACCCTCCCTAGCTCCACTTAGCCTGACATCTTTCTCTTCTTATTTATTTATTTATTTTGGGGGGGTATATAGTAGGTGTGTATATTTATGGGGTACATGAAATGTTTTGATACTGGCATGCAATGTGTAATAATCTAATCATGGAAAATAAGGCACCCATCCCCTCAAGCATTTGTCCTTTGTGTTACAATCCAATTATACTTGTTTAGTTATTTTAAAACATACAGTTAAATTATTATTGATTATTGTCACTGTCACCCTGTTGTGCTACATCTGTCTCTTCTTCATAGTCAGATTTCACAAAAAGTTTTTTATTACACTTATCATCTCCATTTCTTCATTTTTCTACTTACTCCTTTACCCACTCCAAGCTGACTTCTTATCCCTTTCTTCCACTAAATTCCTCTTGCTAAGATCATTAATGACTTCAGTATCAAGAAATCCTGTGGTCATTTTCTTTTTTTTTCAGATGGAGTTTTGCTCCTGTTGCCCAGGCTGGAGTGCAATGTTGTGATCTCGGCTCACTGCAACCTCCGCCTCCTAGGTTCAAGCGATTCTTGTGCCTCAGCGTCCTGAGTAGCTGGGATTACAGGCACACACCACCACGCCCGGCTAATTTTTGTATTTTTTAGTAGAGACAGGGTCTTGCCATGTTGGCCAGGCTGGTCTCAAACTCCTGACCTCAGGTGATACAACTGCCTCAGCCTCCCAAAGTGCTGGGATTACAGGCATAAGCCACTGCACCTGGCCCAGCAGCATTCTTTTGAGGACTCATCTAAAAAAACAAATGCTCTATGCCCTTAATTTTCCTTTTTTTTCCTTTCTTTTTTTTTTTTTTTTTTTTTTACTTTAATTTCTGGGCTACATGTGCAGAACATGCAGGTTTGTTACATAGGTATACACGTGCTGTGGTGGTTTGCTGCACCTATCAACCTGTCATGTAGGTTTTAAGCCCCACATGCATTAGGTATTTGTCCTAATGTTCTCTATCACCTTGCCCCCAACCCCTGATAGGCCCCAGTGTGTGATGGTCCCCTTGCTGTGTCAGTGTGTTCTCATTGTTCAACTCACACTTATGAGTGAGAACATGCCATGTTTGGTTTTCTGATCCTGTGTTAGTTTGCTGAGAATGATGGCTTCCAGCTTCATCTATGTCCCTGAAAAGGACATGAACTCATTCTTTTTATGGCTGCATAATATTCCATGGTGTATATGTGCCACATTTTCTTTATCCAGTCTATTATTGATGGGCATTTGTGTTGGTTCCAACTCTTTGCTATTGTAAATAGTGCTGCAATAGACATATGTGTGCATACCCAGTAATAGGATTGCTGGGTCAAATGGTATTTCTGGTTCTAGATCCTTGAGGAATCACCACATTGTCTTCCACAATGGTTGATCTAATTTACAATCCCACCAATAGTGTAAAAGTGTTCCTATTTCTCCATAGCCTTGCCAGCATCTGTTGTTTCCTGACGTTTTAGTAATTGCCATTCTAACTGGCATGAGATGGTATCTCATTGTGGTTTTGCATTTCTCTTATGAATGGTGATGATGAGCTTTTTTTTCATTTTTGTTGGCGGCATACATGTTTTCTTTTGAAAAGTGTCTGTTCATATCCTTCACCCACTTTTTGATGGGGTTGTTTGTTTTTTTCTTGTAAATTTGTTTAAGTTCCTTATAGATTCTGGATATTAGACCCATCTGACAGACAGGTAGATTGCAAAAATTTTCTCCCATTCTGTAGGTTGCCTGTTCACTCTGGAGATAGTTGTTTTTTTTTTTTCTGTGCAGAAGCTCTTTAGTTTGATTAGATCCCATTTGTCAATTTTGGCTTTTGTTGCACTTGCTTTTGGTGTTTTAGTTATGAAGTCTTTGCCCATGCCTATCTCCTGAATGGTATTGCCTAGGTTTTCTTCTAGGGTTTTTATGGTTTTGGGTTTTATATTTAAGTCTTTAATACATCTTGAGTTAATTTTTGTATAAGGTGTAAGGAAGGGGTCTAGTTTCTCTTTTCTGCATATGGCTAGCCAGTTTTCCCAGCACCATTTATTAAATAGGGAATCCCTTCCCCATTGCTTGTTTTTGTCAGGTTTGTCAAAGATCAGATGGTTGTAGATGTGTGGTGTTATTTCTGAGGTCCCTATTCTCTTCCATTGGTCTGTATTTCTGTTTTGGTACCAGTACCATGCTGTCTTGGTTACTGTAGCCTTGTAGTATAGTTTGAAGTCAGGTAGCATAATGCCTCTAGCTTTGTTCTTTTTGCTTATAATTGTCTTGGCTAAACGGGCTCTTTTTTGATTCCACATGAAATTCAAAGTAATTTTTTCTAATTCTGTGAGGAAAGTCAATGGTAGCTTGATAGGAATAGCATTAATATGTCCTTAATTTTCCAAACATACACATACTTGTGTTTTCTCTAAGATATTTGACCTTTGTAGGCTAACCTGTTTCTACACAGACATGAAATGTTATTGACAAACTCAGCTGAGCTCATTGCTTTGATTACCACATATACGTAGGTGACTTCAAATGTCTATTTCTATCCTTCTCACCATCTCAGACATCCAGCTGTACCTTGACAGTTCTTGAATATCTCAACTTGCCCAAAACCCAGCTCACCCTCTTTCCCCCTCTTCTACAAATACCTGCTCCTCCTCAATGTTTCTTATCTCTGTGATCCTCATAATCATCATTTTTGGTAAATTTTTTCTACCATAAACCACTTATCTGTCTAATCATTCTGTTAGTTATTGAGAGAAGTGTGCTGAAGTTTCCAACTATAATTATGGATTTTTCTATTTGTTTTTCAGTTGTATTAGTTTTTGTTTCACATATTTTGCAGCTCTGTTATTTGGTGCATTATCTACAATCAGTTCTATATATTTTAAGATTGTTGTATCTTCTGGGTGGATTGACACTTATTGTTATGTAATGTCCCAGATAATTTTCTTTGCTCTGAGTTCTATTTTATCTGATGTTAATACATCACTCCTGTTTTGTTTTTTACTACTATCTTCATGGTATTTTTTCCATCTTTTCAACCTTCCTGTATTGAAGTGAGTTTCTTGTAGGCAGCATATAGTTTTTCTTAAAAAAAAAAAAAAAACTCAGTCTGCCAATCTCTGTCTTTTACTTGGAGTATTTATCCAATTTGAATTTAATGTGATTATTGTTTGGTTAAGGATTATGCCTGCCATGTTTGTTGTTGTTTTTGTTGTTGTTGCTTTTGTTTGCTCTTTGTTTTCTCTGTTCTTTGTTCTCTGCTTTTTTCCTCCTGTCTTCATGCAGGTTACTTGAATATATTTTACAATTTTATTTTGGTTTATCTTGAGTGCTTTTGAGTGTCTCTGTTTGTATAAATTCTTTTAGTGATTGCTTTAGTTATTTCATGTTACACAATTTATCACAATCTACTAGTGTCAATATTTTACCAATTGGGATGAAATACAGAAATCTTACCTTCCTTTAAGTACCTTTATATTTTCCCATTTATAGTATCCATCAATTTTGGTCATCAAAGTTCAGAGGTAGGGTCACATTGTGAGAAATAACTATATATTAGATGAGCAAACTGTGAGGCATCCTGTCATTCTTGCCTCTTTCCACTAGGCAGAAAGTGGAAAACAGAGGCAGTGGCAGCCAGGAAAACCTGACATCATGGGATCTTAAGTACTGTGCTTAATGGAGGTGATCTCATTTTTCTATGTAAAGGAGACACTATTCTTGCCCAAGGTCATCACATAAATTTGCTGTTCCATTTTGATAATAGGAATAATTTGTTATATCAGGGAGTAATATGAGAGCTCATGAAAACAAATAGTACTATTTGGGGGTTCTTTAGATGAATTTGTTTTCTGGAGAGCTTCAAGTACTTTCAGATATTTCTGTCTTTTATTACTTACCTAGAAAAACAAAAAGCTGATAGGGCTTGTTTAGGATCAAGGAATACACTATTAAGAAAGAAAAAGAAATAGTAAAGGAAAGGAAGAGAGGAGAGAAGTGGGGAGGAGAAAGCATGGAAGTAGGAGTAGGGAAAAATAAGGTTTTCCGATGAATCTTCAAAGTTCTAAAACATTTCCCTGGGTCATACAAAACTAATCCAAATGAAGGGCCTTTTCCTTTCTCTCATTTGCTTGACTAGCTAGTGGGCCTGCTGAGGTTTTAAGAATAATCATATTCCCAAAGGCTTCTGACAAGGAAGATGCTGGGAAATGTGTAAATCAAGCCCCTGCAACCATCTAGACAGTCTCTCTTCAGTGTCTCTCATTAATGCCATTTCCACAGGTCAATGCAGAAAACCTCAATGTCTGAATGAGATGGAAAAAAATGGTCTCAATCCTTTAATCTATTCCTAGTAGATCACTATCATTATCTACAATCAGTTCTATATATAATTAGAGGGTTTATTTTTTGCATTACAAAAACTATCCATAATTATGTGTTATTTGCAAATTGCGGCAGATCTACATTCATCTCTGTGATGAAATCAGGGTCTTACTCCTCACTGTATTAATATCATTTCTGCATTCTTGCTCTCCCACCCCAAATCTCCTGATTTAGTGGCAGGTTATGTTCAAAACGTTTTTTAAAAGCATTTACCTGTCTTTCTAGCATCCACATAGCATGTCTTGTGTCAAACCACCCATTCATCACTTATCTTCTGGCAAAAGCAGGAGGTAAATCATGATGAGGAGAAAGCAAAGACTGGGGCAGACTTTTATACAAATACTGTATTTTCTACCTTGGGGTTCAGACAGTTGCTTACTCTAAGTATTTTTGTGACTAGTTATAATGAGGAATATCTTTTCAGATGGAACTCCCTCAAGAGAAAAAAGAGATTCTTTTACACTACACAAATAAATCAAGGCCATCCTGTGACTGAGTAGAGACAGGATAATGAAAAAGAAGTTGATTGTTTCTTTAAACTTTTAGTGCACCCAGGGATTCATGGACCCACAAAGTGACAGAAAATATATTTCAGAAAGCCAAGGAACGTGCAATCAGAGCAAATGGTTCCATAGTCTTCAAAATTTGTTTCAATGATTGACTAAATTATTGCCAGAAAATTGTTTTATTGTTATATAGAAGTCCCTTATTTTTGTATCTCCTAATGTGAATTTAACATTCTTGCCAGTACTAGCAGACTATGTTTGCTGACAAATAAAGGAAAATTCAAGAGATTAAAGTGTGTTTCTGTGACTATATAAAGATTGTGGACACCAAAAATTAATAAGGTCTAAGTATTTGCAAATACCAAGAAAACCAATTGCATTTTCAAGTTCATCCAGTTGAGATATGAGTATGAGTTGTACAAAAAAGACTAGAATTTAAATCCCCATTCCAAATGCTGATTATTGTTGGAGATAGATAACTCATCAGCAATAAAAGCAGTTTTCTTCATATTGGTTTCCACTATTTAACATCTACCTGTAAAACACATTCATTTTGTTCCTTAAAAAAATCTTAACGTAAATTATATTGTCTCCAGGTTACTTCCTCCATTTTCAGCAATTAAAAAAAATACAGTGTAGTTGAAAATATTATGAAGAAACATCACAGCGTGCCATTAGATGATACCTTAGTGAAATATTCCTTCAGGGTCCCTAAGAATACTTATGTTTTCATCATCAATGTTACTATGAAAAAATATTTATTAAGAGTTTCTTTGCAGTTTTACTCTCTGTGTTATCTTTAAAGAGTCCAGTATGGGTTCACAGACTTTTCTTTAGTCTCTTCTAATCCTCTACTTTCATCTGCCACTCATATTTGATGTTCTTCAGGATTCAGTATTTGACCCACATGCATAACATCTTCCTGGGCAATCTCATCCCCTTTGCCACTATTAATTACTCTCAACAAGTAATACAGCACATCAAGGACTAGAATAGAATAATGGTTAAGAACACAGGCTTTGGCCTTGAACTTAGGCTGCCTAAGTTCAAATCTTGTATATGCCACTTGCCACTCACAAACCTCTCTATGGTTCAGTTTTCTGATCTGTAAAATACAGGGAGTAATAATATCTACCTGAGAGAGGCATGAAGTCTGTTTGTCAATACAGTAAAAAGCGTAGAACAGTTTGTCACATTGTGGTTAGTCAGTATTGGTTTTTATTATCTTTAAGTCATGATTCCCAAATCTATATTTCCAACCTCTCACCAAAGCTCTAGATTTAAACAAATTTCTCAAAATAAGTTGTCCTCACCCTTCCCTAGTATCACCTGGGATGCACATTCCAAATGCAGAGTCCCAGGCTTCATCCCATCTTTTGTGAATTGAAAGATCTGGGAATGAGAATTGGGAATCTGCATTTTACAAATGGTCTAGGTATTCTGATACAAACTAAAAATTATACCCACTTTTCTAGGGTTATATTTTGTTGCCTTTGAGTCATCTCAACTTGTTTCATCATATCCCCTTCAGAAGACATCCCTTTTTAGTTACTGACACCGTCATCTGCCTGACATTCAAAAAGACATCCTGGAGTTATCCCTGACTTCAGACCTTGTCAGTCCCACATTTTATTTTCATAATCTTCATATTTCCAAAACATACCCTTTCTCTATCCAATCCTATTGCCATTGACTTCATTCATTCAATAATTATTTACTGAGCACCTACTATGTGGCAAGCAAGGCATACAGACATCTTCATTTTGAGATTTCAAATTAATGTAGCTCAGGCTCTTATTATCATTCACCTGGATTATAATAACTACCTACTAACTGGTTCTTTGCATCTTCAGTCTTCAATGCTTTTGAAATTCCTCCATATTGCTAACTGAAATCAAGTCTAATCATGTCAGTTTTGTGCTTAAAACCCTGTCACTTCTCAAATAAGGCTAAACCTCCTAGTGTAAGAGATGACTTTTGCTGAGATGTGCCAACATCTCTACGCACTTCTTATACTTTCTCCACCTTGGACTTTTGCTTCAAGAACACTAAGCTATGCATCGGTTCCTTTCCTACACTGTGATGGTGTCAGTTAAACACATGTGTATTTGGCTCTACTTGTTTCCAGATGCATGTACAGGATTTTATTTTATTTTTTTGCAAGAAATGAGAGCATGGTTGGAGGGCCTTGAGCCCAGTTTTGCAGAGTTGGAAACCTTCCTGCTCCATGCCTCATGGCTTCTCCAAGCCAGTACTCTTTCTCTCCACCCTGCCCTCCCACTGTCCGCCCTCCCCGCCCCAACCCTGACCTCAATTTCCTCTTTCCTAGTTTATCTTTTTCATCCTTTCATCCTCTTTCCTAGTTTACAAGATTCATCCTTGGCCAGGCACCGTGGCTCATGCCTGTAATTCCAACACTTTGGGAGGTCAAGGTGCGAGATCACTTGAGGCCAGGAGTTTGAGACTAGCATAGGCAACACAGGGAGACCCTGTCTCTAAAAAAAAAAAAAAAAAAAAAAAAAAAAAAAATTGAAAATTAGCTGAGCATAGTGGCATGCACCTGTATCAGCTTCTTGGGAGGCTGGGGCAAGAGGATCATTTGAGCCTAGGAGTTTGAGGCTGCAGTGAGTCATGATCACATCATTGAACTCTGGGTGACAGGGTGACAAAGTAAGACCCTGTCTCTAAAACATAAAATAAAATAATAAAACAAAATAAAATATTCATTCTTTGCAGTCAGTTCCTACATCTGCATGTCAGGCTGGCCTAAGTAGCCCTATTCTGCTGTACAGATGGGATCTATTTATTTTTCTACCTTTCTGGCCAGCCTGAAAACTCCTTGAGAGCAAAATTTTTTTTAAAAGATAGCATGCTTACATTAGCCTTTAAATTTTTTTAAAAAAATTTTAAATTAATCTTTGTCATTCTTGGATTCCTGGCAGCCCTTGGGCTGAGCAACTGTAGAAATGGAGGCACCCTTCCAGTCTAACCCTCTCCCCTTCCCTTCTTACTCCCTGGTTTCCTCATTCTTTATGAGGACAAACCCAAAACCCAAAGTCTGTCCAAAATTTATCTCCCTTCCCCGTCCCCTGCAAGCAGTCACCTCTTGGCCATCTGAGTGTGCATTTCAGAGATGTTATCCACCCCCTGGAAGATGGGCCTAGGAGATGCTGCATCAAGCCATGAGAAGGCTTGGGTCATTTGGGCGGGGAATTCCAGGTCCCAAGTAATTCGAGCATGGTCTGGGGGCACAGGGGAACCTGAGCTGTCATGTTCCCTTCACCTCACGGTGTAGGATGGGTAGAGAAGGGGACCCTTCTGGATCAAAAGGCAGGACTGACTCTGAACTAAATGCAGCAATGCCTGATACACAACAGGTGCTTGATAAGTGTAATGAAAACGCAACTGTGAATAATTGACTGGCTCATCATTTCCCAACCTGCCATCCCCAATGCCTTAACAAACTCCTGTGTTGTCATCACTGTGAGATGGATGGCAGGACAATTTGAGAATAAAACACAAATTTAGAGTTGTCACTCCAGTGATGTCACTCTGACTTGCAATCTGAGGTGTTTTATGATTGGAGAGAAAGGGGTAGTGTCAGGGTCAAGAGCTACTGGGGATGTAACAGGGCATAAACAGCCAAATCATAATTACACAGGAGTGAATTTTACCGTTAATAGTGGTAAAAATTATAAACCTGTACTCCTACTTTCCACAATTTGGGGGCAGGTGATACTTAGCCAAAAGTTTGGTTTTCACATGAATTATACTCCCTAAAAACTAAAAGCATTGAAAAATGCTGGTTGTTCAAAGTTTTAAACACTTTAAAGAAAAATGAATTGTTCTTAGTTGGATAAATACATAGTGAAATTTCAGATGTAGAGTTCAATTCCAACTCTACTACCTGTAAGCTGTGTTTCTTTTTTTTTATTATATTTTTCCATAAGTTAATGGGGTAGAGGAGGTATTTGGTTACATGAGTAAGTTCTTTAATGGTGATTTGTGAGATTTGGGTGCATCTTATCACCTGAGCAGTATACACTGCATCAAATTTGTAGTCTTCTATTTCTTGCCCCCCTCCCACTCTTCTCCCCAAGTCCCTAAAGTCCATTGCATCATTCTTATGCCTTTGTGTCCTCATAGCTTAGCTCCCCCATATCAGTGAGAACATAAGATATTTGGTTTTCCATTCCTGAGTTACTTCACTTAGAATAATAGTCTCCAGTCTCATCCAGGTCACTGCAAATGCTATTAATTCATTCCTTTTTATGTCTGTGTAGTATTCCATTATATATATACCACAGTTTCTTTATCCACTTGTTGATCAATGGGCATTTGGGTTGTTTCCACAATTTTGCAATCGTGAATTGTGCTGCTATAAACGTGTGTGCAAGTATCTTTTTCTAATAATGACTTGTTTTCCTCTGGGTAGATACCCAGTAGTCAGATTGTTGGATCAAATGGTAGCTCTGCTTTTAGTTCTTTAAGGAATTTCCACACTGTTTTCCATGGTGGCTGTACTAGTTTACATTCCCACTAGCAGTGTAGAAGTGTTCCCTGTTCACTGCATTGATGCCAACATCTACTGTTTTTTGATTTTTTGATTATGGCCATTCTTGCAGGAGTGAAGTAGTATAGCATTGTGGTTTTGATTTGCCTTTCCCTGATCATTAGTGATGTTGAGCATTTTTCCATATGTTTCTTGGTCATTTGTATATCTTCTTTTGAGAATTGTCTATTCATGTCCTTAGCCCACTTTTTGATGGGATTATTTGTTTTTTTCTTACTGATTTGTTTGAGTTCATTGTAGATTCTGGATATTAGTCCTTTGTCAGATGTACCGATTGTGAAGATTTTCTCCCACTCTGTGGCTTGTCTGTTTACTCTGCTGACTGATCCTTTTGCTAAGCAAAAGCTCTTTAGTTTAATTAGGTCCCAGCTATTTATCTTTGTTTTTATTGCATTTGCTTTTGGGTTCTTGGTCATGAAATCCTTGCCTACGCCAATGTCTAGAAGGCTTTTTCCAATGTTGTCTTCTAGAATTTTTATAGTTTAAAGTCTTAGGTTTAAGTCCTTAATCCATCTTGAGTTGATTGTTGTATAAGGTGAGAGGTGAGGATCCAGTTTCATTCTCCTACATGTGGTATTGATTGCATTGTGAGTAGCTAGTTATCTCAGCACCATTTGTTGAAAAGGATGTCCTTTCCCTACTTTATGTTTTTGTTTGCTTTGTCAAACATCTGTTGACTGTAAGTATTCTGTTTGTTCCATTGGTCTATGTGCCTATTTTTGTACCAGTACCATGCTGTTTTGGTGACTATGGCCTTATAGTATAGTTTGAAATCAAGTAGTGTGATGCCTCCATATTTGTTCTTTTTGTTTAGTCTTGCTTTGGCTATGCAGACTCTTTTTTGGTTCTATATGAATTTTAGAATTGTTTTTTTCTAATTCTGCAAAGAATGATGGTGGTATTTGGGATTGCATTGAATCTGCAGATTGCTTTTGGCTATATGGTCATTTTCACAATATTGATTCTACCCGTCTGTGAGCATGGGATGTGTTTCCATTTGTTCATGTCATCTATGATTTGTTTCAGCAGTGTTTTGTAGTTTTCCTCGTAGAGGTCTTTCGATTCCTTGGTTAGGTATATTCGTAAGTATTTTATTTTTTTGCAGCTATTGTAAATGGGGTTAAGTTCTTGATTTGATTCTCTGCTTGGTCGCTGTTGTGGTATAGAACAACTACTGATTTGTGTACATAAATCTTGTATCTGGAAACTCTGCTAAATTCTTTTATCGGTTCTAGGAGATTTCTGGAGGAGTCCTTAGGGTTTTCAAGGTAAACGATCATATTGTCAGCAAACAGTGACAGTTTGAATTCCTCTTTACCGATTTGGATGCCCTTTATTTATTTCTCTTGTCTGATTGCCCTGGCTAGGACTTCCAGTACTATGTTGAAGAGGAGTAGTGAGAGTGGGTATTCTTGTCTTATTCCAGATCTCAGAGGGAATGCTTTCAACTTTTCTCCATTCAGTATTATGTTGGCTGTGGGTTTGTCACAGATGGCTTTTATTACATTAAGGTATGTCCCTTGCATGCTGATTTTGCTGAGAGTTGTAATCATAAAGTGATGCTGGATTTTGTCAAATGCTTTTTCTGCATCTATTGAAATGATCATGTGATTTTGTTTTTAATTATATTTATGTGCTGTATCACATTTATTGACTTGCATATGTTAAACCATCCCTGCATCCCTGGTATGAAACTCACTTGATCGTGGTGGATTATCTTTTTGATATATTGTTGGATTCAGTTAGCTAGTATTTTGTTAAGGATTTTGGAATCTATATTCATCAGGGATATTGGTCCATAGTTTTCTTTTTTTGTTATGTCCTTTCCTGGTTTTGGTATTAGGGTGATGCTGGCTTCATAGAATGAATTAGGGAGGGTTCCTTCTTTCTCTATCTTGTAGAATAGTGTCAAAAGGATTGGTACCAATTCTTCTTTGAAGAATTCTGCTGTGAATCTTCCTGGTCCTGGACTTATTTTGTTGATAATTTTTTAATTGCCATTTCAATCTCACTGCTTGTTATTGGTCTGTTCAGGGTATCTAATTCTTCCTGATTTAAGCTAGGAGGGTTGTATTTTTTCCAGGAATTTATCCATTTCTTCTAGGTTTTCTAGTTTATGTGTGTAAAGTGTTCATAGTAATCTTGACTGATCTTTTGCATTTCAGTGGTGTCAGTTTCGTTTCCTGTTTCATTTCTTAGTGAGATTCTTTGGATTTTCTCTCTTCTTGGTTAATCTTACCAACGGTCTATCGATTTTATTTATCTTTTCAAGGAAGCAGATTTTGTTTCATTTGTCTTTTGTATTTGTTTGTTTGTTTCAATTTCATTTAGTTCTGCTCTGATCTTTGTTATTTCTTTCTTCTGCTGGGTTTGGGTTTGGTTTGTTCTTGTTTCTCTGGTTCCTTAGGTTGTCTGTTTGTGCTCTTTCAGTCTTTTTGATGTAGGCATTTAGGGCTATGAACTTTCCTTTTAGCACCACTTTTGCTGTATACCAGAGGTTTTGATAGGTTGTGTGACTATTGTCATTCAGTTTGAAGAATTTTTTAATTTCCATTTTGATTTCATTTTTGACCCAATGCTCATTGAGAAGCAGGGCATTTAATTTCCATGTATTTGCATGGTTTTGAAGGTTCCTTTTGGAGTTGATTTCCAGTTTTATTCCACTGTGGTCTGAGAGAGTGCTTGATATAATTTCAGTTTTCTTAAATTTATTGAGGCTCATTTTATGGCCTATTATATGGTTTATTTTGGAGAAAGTTCCATGCGTTGTTGAATAGAATGTGTATTCTGTGGTTGTTGGAGGAAATGTTCTGTATATATCTGTTAAGTCCATTTGTTCCAAGGTGTAGTTTAAATCCATTGTTTCTTTGTTGACTTTCTGTCTCGATGACCTGTCTAGTGCTGTCAGTGGAGTCCCCACTATTATTGTGTTGCTGTCTATCTCATTTCTTACATCTATTAGTAATTGTTTTATAAATTTGGGTGTATATACGTTTAGGATTGTGATATTTTCCTGTTAGACAAAGCCTTTTACAATTATATAATGTCTCTCTTTGTCTCATTTAACTGCTGTTGCTTTGAAGTTTGTTTTGTCTGATATAAGAATAGCTACCCCTGCTCACTTTTGGTGTCCATTTGCATGAAATGCCTTTTTCCACCCCTTTACTTTAAGTTTATGTGAGTCCTTATGTGCTAGGTCAGTCTCCTGAAGGCAGCAGATAGTTAGTTAGTGAGTTCTTATCCATTCTGTGGTTCTGTATCTTTTAAGTGGAACATTTAGGCCGTTTACATTCAATGTTAGTATTGAAATGTGAGGTACCAGTGCACTCATCATGCTCTTTGTTGCCTGTGTACTTTGTTTTTTTTTGTTTTTTCTTTTTGCTTTTTAACTTGTGTTTTTGTTTTATAGGTCCCCTGTGATTTATGCTTTAAAGAGATTCTGTTTTGATTTGCTTCCAGGATTTGTTTCAAGATTTAGAGCTCCTTTTAGCAGCTCTTGTAGTGGTGGTTTGGTAACGGCAAATTCTCTCAGCATTTGTTTGTCTGAAAAAGACTATCTTTCCTTCATGTATGATGCTTCGTTTTGCTGGATACAAAATTCTTGGCTGATAATTGTTTTGTTTGAGGAGGCTAAAGATAAGGCCCCAATCCCTTCTAGCTGTTGGGTTTCTGCTGAGAAATCTGCTGTTAATCTGATGGGTTTTCCTTTATAGGTTACGTGGTGCTTCTGTCTCACAGTTCTTAAGATTCTTTCCTTCGTTTAACTTTGGATAACCTGATGACAATGTGCCTAGGCAAAGATCTTTTTTGATATGAATTTCCCAGGTGTTCTTTATGCTTCTTGTATTTGGATGTCTAGGTCTCCAGCAAGGCTGGAGAAGTTTTCCTTGATTATTCCCCCAAATATGTTTTCCAAGCTTTTAGAATTCTCTTCTTCCTCAGAAACACTGATTATCTTAGGTTTGGCTAACGATACCAACCTACCAGGTTTGTAATGAAGTGGGAATGAGCCAATATGTGTGAATTCCTAGACTATGTCTGACATGAGCCCTGATTGGTGTGTAAAGGGTGACATATGATAGGCTTTTATTTTCATCTGGCATTTATGTAGTAGGACATGAGATGGAAGAAACAATAAAAACAGGCCACAGACAGAACTAGGATACAAAATAGAAAGATGACCTGCAGCAGAACTAAAACTGGGTTAGAGATACACTTGCAACCATTCCTGACAGATAAAACAAAACAAAAAACCAACATCAGCAACAATAGCAAAAACAACAACTGAACTCCTTCAATCTTCCTTGTTCAGAATTCTTTAGTGAATCAAAGATTAGGCAGAGAGAGAGCACTATTACCCACACCTAGGTGAAGGAGACATCCAGATAGGGAAGGAGCAGCTCTCAGGGGTACAACCAGCACAGGCACATCCAGGCCAGACATTCTTGGATGAGGTAAGCTGGTGCTGGATGGTTGAGTACAGCATAGTGATGAGATCTCTGGAAGCCCCGTCACAGAGGCAGTTTAAGAGCAGGGCAGAGTCTCAGAGAGGGGAGAGCTTGACTGGAATTTGAGAGAATAATTAAGAATGGGCCCAGCTCATACAAAGGTGACTGTAGGGTAGGAGATCTGCAAAGGAGTCCAGAGGACAGTAGTGTCATAGGCCAAGGTCAACCCAGTGGAAAGAGGAACCAAGGCTGCAAATAAGAGCTGAAATTCACCTCCCAGGTCTAATGGAACCATTTGATGCTAAGGCCTATGAGTAAAAGTTGAGCTGAAGGGTCTCCTGGGAAGAGCAGGGGGCAAAGAACCAAAGGAGTAAGGCCAGAGGGGGCAGCTGGTAGCTGATGTGCAAATATACTGATTTGTGTCAGTTTGCTGAATGGTCTAGTCTTAACTTGGCTATTGCTAAACTCAGACTCCTCCATCTTAAGTGAAGCTAGATAAACTTACTTTTTTGCTGTTCTTCTGGAATCTTTTAGACATTGATAACATATGGGTTATCATTGCAGACACATTCCTTCCATCCTTACTAAAGCAGGTTAATACACTCTTTATAAAATAGTGTCCAAACAGAAATCATTTTGAATTTAGCAGAGACATCCTAGGGTGGAAGAGCAATTAAAAGACCATCTTATCCACTGCTTTGGAAACTTCTTTTAGCCATGGGTAAACACAGTTTAAACAGAGGTACAATATGTAAAACAGACCCATGGGGACCTGCTTTGGATGAAGAGAGAGGGCATTTGTTGGGCATGGAACAGGGAACTTGGAGCTCCACTGGATGGCTTCTCACCAATACCCATTCCTTGCTCAGAGAGCAGAGTCTGAAAAATGCCAGGTCAGCTACCACGTTTTTATTCCCTTTTTTAGTCTCTATGTCACATAGCTGCCCACCTGCAGGGAATAAACCTCAATCTCCGAAGCAGAGATTTCTTACTTTGGCCAGTTCTTTTTTTCTGTACCACCAAGCTTTGTCTTTCTGCAGCGTCTATCCATCAGCAGTCCTTGATGCCACATTAAGACATTTTATCCTGGGATCCGATTATTTAAATCAAAGGATTTTACAAAATTCCTAACCTGTATCATTGGAATATATCCTTGCCTTATTCCTTATTATGTACATTATCGGACTGTAAACAAAAAAAAGAATATCTTTTTTCTGAGAAAGGGAGAATCTGCTGGGAGGCAGTCTCAACAGGATTTAGGAAATAAATAACATATAAATTAATCACATGATACATAAACAAAAAGCATGGTTCCTAAAATGAAATTGGTAGTCAATGTTGGAATGTCAAATAAAAACAACTGACTGTATCATTGCCTTAGTAATAAAAATTTTCTTGATTAAAGAAAAAAAGCTGAAGCCAATTCAGGTTTTAAAAAAAGCATATTGAAGAAACATATATATAGAAGAAGTAATGCACAGTTGACCTACAAAGAAATAGTATACACACTAGGCATCAAATTTAACTCATCATTCTGAAGTGATATACATTATTTAACCCCCAAAAGGTAATTAATTAAAAGTACATAGTAGAATTGTCCTTTGAATGTCATGACTTATCTGTAGCACAAGTTCTGTATTCAGAGTCTGTCCATGTATAATTTATGATGATGAACAATGATCTTAGATTGGCATCAGGCTAAAGTTAAGTTTGATTGTCATAAGCAAAAATGGACTTTCTGATTGTTGCTGATAAGTTCATGAAGGACAACAATGTGAATGTAGCTGCCAAACAGGTTAATATGATTTTAAACGATAGAGAAATATAGCTCTGGGTAGTAAAATCTAGGTTTGGGATTTAAGTCAAAGGATAAGGGTCCAATCTGCTGTGCACACTTGGGATATCTTAAAATGGTGTGTATTCTAAGATTAGTGGACAGAATGGAAACCAGATTATATTGAAAAACAAAGGAAATGGGAATATCCAATTTGGAGAAGAGATACCTCATGAGAGATTTGACAGTCATTCCCAGGTCCTGGAAGGCTGTCATAAGAATAACAGAAACATAGATCTTGTCTCTACATGTAGAAATGTCCAAAAACAAAATGGACAGTTACAGAAGAATTCAGATTCTTGTAGTGAGAGTGTTCAAAGGCCAAGGGTCCACTTGGTGGAGATATTTCAGTTAAGAGTTTTTCAAACTGTGTTTCAAGACCTATTGGAGAATCATAAAATGAGTGAATTAGAATCCTCTAATGACTTAGAGGATCATTATATTTGTCTTTCCTTTAAAGAAAACAAAATAGGAAATAGCATTTTGAGCCTGCAGGAAAAGTACATATTATTTTGTTATTATTTTATAAAACTTGTGTTACACACACACACACAGAGTATGGTAGGTCTCAGCAAAAAAAATGAATTTCTTCTTGTAAATTGCAGTCAAAAAAATGTGAAAGTCAAGGTTTGAGTCATCATCTTCATCATTGCCAGGTGAGGACCATGAACCAGACACACCTGAGCTGGCATTTCAGTCACAAAACTTTTAGTTGTTTAACCTCTCTGTGGTTAAGTTTCCCCATTTGAAAAACGGAGAAAATAATCACAGTTGCCTCTGAAATGTATTTATACATATTGCGTTTTAAAAACCTAAATACTTAACATGTTTTAATGATTATGTACATAATCACTTCTGCCTTTTAGTTTCTCAAAATAAAAAAGAAAACCCAGAGTTTTCTCTTTAACCTCATTTTTTCCCTTTCTTTCCTTGGACACTGATATGTACAGATAAATCAGTAGGACCACATCCTTGGGAACAGGTTGTGGGGGCAGGGAAGCGTAACAGAGTATGTGCTCAGTTCCTTAATACAATAACACGATTCATTCCCAAACTCCCAGATGTAGCTCCATTGCATTCTGCCATGGCTTTGGAGGCAAAGGAAGCCTTCCCATTTTTACTCAATGGCTCTTTTGCAACTGTTCACTTTGGCTGTTGGTGTCTCCCCAGCTGGAACTGGACATTCATGTTATCAGAGAACTGAACGTCTCAGCCTCTCGCGTGTAAGATCCATTGTCTAACATGGGCTGCTGTGTAGGGTGCTGTACCATTGGCCTTTATTGCTGTTTGGGTAACAGGAAGAAACCTGGTACTTTTGTACTGTTCAAACACTCATCCTATTCATGGCCACTGTTTATACCAGAGGAAAATGTTCTCACAGAGAGACCAATAATTTAGAAAATATTTGAACAGGAGGTTGAATAGCTTCTATTGGAGTCTTTATCAGTGATCTCTATTTCTGAATACAATGCAACTCTGTTATAAAGTGTTCCTCTCCACTGCAGATTTGGTTTATTGCAAGCCAAATCTTGCTCCCCATGTACAGAATAAAATCTCTATCACCACAAAACAAAAAGGCTATACTATGTGTAGTTCTTTTTTTTTTTTTTTTTTTTTTTTTTTTGAGAGGGAGCTTCACTCTTGTTGCCTGGGATGGAGTGCAATGGCGTGATCTTGGCTCACCGCAACCTTCACCACCCAGGTTCAAGCGATTCTCCTGCCTCAGCCTCCCGAGTAGGTGGGATTACAGGCTTATGCCACCATGCCCAGCTAATTTTGTATTTTTAGTAAAGATGGGGTTTCTCTATGTTGGTCAGGCTGGGCTTGAACTCCCAACCTCAGGTTATCCACCCACCTCGTCCTCCCAAAGTGCTGGGATTACAGGCGTAAGCCACTGTGCCCAGCCTACTATGTGTAATTCTTATTCCTGACTTCTGGGATAATAGAATAAGCTATAGTAGCAGTAGTAATAATAATTATATATATATATACAAAATATTTTAGAAGATGAACAAACTGAAGCATGAGCTACCATTGTAGATATTTCAGAAAGTGCTAAAGTTTATTATCACTAAACATATAAAAGTTTTCCAAATTAGAATACTGAATTGGGTACATGCAAAAGAGATTTAGACTCAGAGGAATATCTATGTGTCTGGAAGTTTTGTGAGCTGCCAAGGTCTTTCTCCACTTTTGAGTAGAGTAAACCAGTATCACTGAGAAAGACACAATTATTTGAAATGGTATTTATGGCATATATTGGATTAAAGTCCTCAAAGGTATGTAGAAATAACAACTTTATTTATCTATAAATTAATTTATAAATTAATTTAATGTCTATTTCCAGCCTCCTTGACCTTAGATTGTGTATGGCATTTCCCTGGCCAAGGCTTCAAGAGCATAGTAGCATCTGGTCCTCAGGTCATCTTCTCACCTAGGCATCGTCTGAAATCGTCTGAAATGACCTTGGTCTTACTGGTCTCTCATCACTGTTCATACAGATTGATGCTGGGTTGTCTCATGTCCCCAAATGCAAAGCCACATTGCATTCAGCTGTCTCTTACGTATTAGCATGGCTCTCTAGGGGGCACAGAGGTCATTCGGCTGCTCCTGAGCCCTGCTAGACCATCAGAGACTCCCTGGGCTCAATGCCATTCCCACATGAGCAGGAGACCTTCTTAATCCAGAGTTACTTTGAGACATGAAAAGACTGAGCCTCCCTAAGGATTGAACACTTCATGTTCTCAGATTCTGCTTCTTCATCCAAACTGAACTCAAGGTACCTGAAGCTCTAAGACTTTCTCTTCCTGTACACACTGTGCAGCTACATCTCTTCTGGTCTTGCTCCCTCTCTTGGGTTAGTTACACCAAGGGAAAAAGCTTTGGTCCCTGTCTTCTCAGATACCGCAAACCTGTCTGGGGTTTTGCTGTCATTCCTCCCCAGGGTTTGGCCCCTGGGAGGGGACAGGGCATAGGAATTATCTTACTCAGGGATGCACAATGTCTCTATTTCTTCCCTCCCTCCACCAAAGACCTTCACTGGAATCCTGAGGATTCAGAAAGCTTTGTTCTTGATGCAATTGGTTCTCTTTGGGGTTGCCAGGGAAAAGCAATCTATTCACCCCTGTTTTAAATGGGGAGTCTCTTTCAATATAGAGGAAATCAAATGGTGGCTGTGGTTGATGACATATGTCACAGGTGCAGAGCACTATCCTCAATTGCAGAGGGCAGGTGGGTAGTTTGGAAGATTTCCAAGAGAACTCAGTCTTTACCTAATCTGACTCATGGGCGTTCCACCAATTCACTCATTCACTTGTACATCCATTAAGCATCTATTGAACACTTATAATGTACTGAGCACTGAGGAACAAACCTGAATAAGATATGGTCCTTGCTTTCATAGTTCAGCTGGAGAGGAAGAGAACAAAAATGCAAACAGATAATTACAATATAAAAATGTAAATTTCATAATAGAGGGATGTCTGAAGAACTAAGAAAGCACAGTGGAGGGAACTACAAATTCTGCCTAGGGCAGTTGGGGAAGGTTTCACAAACAATCATTGCAGTTATTTTGACCAAAAGAATATTGAAAAAGTGTGTGTGTGTGTGTGTGTGTGTGTGTGTGTGTGTGTGTAAGGGGAGGAGTATTTCAATGTATCCTAATTTGCTTAAAAAAATACACAATATATGGTCCTATTTCTAAAAAATGGAGTGAGCTCCTCTGATGTCCTAAATGCTTTATACCTTCCCTTTTTTGAAGACGTATTCATCCTTCTAATGGGCAGTATGCTTTCAGAAGGGCTTCATCAGTGTGATCAATGGACAGGCTACGTGGTATATTAACAGATATAATATGTCAATAACTACAATTCTATTTTTGACATGAATTAGCTATTTTCTTCTTAAGTTTCTCTCTGGCACAGTTCAGTTCCCTCTACTAAATCTAGTAAGTTTTTATAGCAGTGATTATCTGAGACCAGAATAGATGGTCTCGGAAGTAATTTAACTCTTCAAAGTGGTTCAAAGGAACTAAAAAAGCTGGAAAAGCAGTGCTCTCATGTAAAGTAAGTGAGGAGAGAGACAAAATGAGATGAGCTGAAAGCCTAGGCTTTATCTTACAGGAATGAATAATTAGTTACTCAAAGATTAAAGACTAATGGATTTGGGACTGGTACTTAAAAGTATGTTTCACTTTCTAATGTTCTCTGAAATGAAACCTAATGAAGCAGATTTCACAGCAGTTTCCAAAACCCATACAAAAGACAGATCCTAAGAAGTGTAGCAGAAATCAAATGAAAACATCAAAATTTATAAATATGTTTTGAGAACTTTCATTTCATATTTATCCCTTTAAATTTAAATTTCATGAGGACCCATGGAGTACTATTCAGCCATAAAAAGGAATGAAATAATGGTCTTTGCAGCAACTCGGATGGAGCTGGAGGCCATTATTCTAAGTGAAGTACTCAGGAACAGAAAACCAAATATCGTATGTTCTCACTTATAAGTGGGAGCTAAGCTATGAGAACGTGAAAGCATAAGAATGATATAATGGACTTTGGGGGTCTGGGTAGGAATGGAGTGAGGGATAAAAGACTACATATTGGGTATAGTTTACATTGCTCAGGTGTCAGGTGCACCAAAATCTCAGAAAGCACTGCTACAGAACTTATCCATGTAACCAAAAACCACCTATACCCCCAAAACTATTGAAATAAAAATAAATAAATAAATGAAAATAAATTTCATGAGGATGTAGTAAGCTGAGAATTGCATACCGAATGCCACAAGCAAGTCTATTTTTTAAGAGTACAAAAAAAAAAAGCAGGCATATACACATATTCAGAAACAGATGAACAAAAAGGAGGCTAGTGACTCAACGTTTTTGACACTTAACAGTGGGTTGACTTGACTTTAGTTCCAGGAACGGGCAAAGGTTCAAGTTGGATCTCATTTTATTCAAACTGGTTTTCCCACCATCTTTAGTTACATCGTGACAGTACTCCCACTACTATGCCTCAAATACCAAACACTATGCCAATACTTTTATTGGATTAAAGAAAAGAAACCGCAAGTAAACATGTCTGATACCCCCAAAGATCACATATCTTTTTTTTTCACCAGTTATTTTTGCTGTCTTATTTTCTTGTAGGTGCTTTTGCTGATATGGGCCTGAATGTAGACAAGACCACAACACTTTGCAGCTGGCTATTTTTGTAGAGGAGGAATCTGTAAAGGGCAAGTAGGCTCAGTTCATTGCCCAGACGATCTCCAAATAGGTCCAAACCTGTTTAGCTGCAAATACAATAGCAGTTCTTTCATGCATTATTTAGTACAAAACATCTAGCTGTTGTTATTTAAAGTGGACTACAATTTTCAGAACTTTCACAATCCAAGAAATGCCTCAGTTTACCTGTCATATAAAGAAATTAATGTCACTTCATCCTGTCTGAGAGCATTAAGGTATTCTACAGACTATGAGATGTCTGGATCCACCAGGCAAAAAAGACTCATAGAGTTAAAAGCTATCAACTGCTCTTCTCTCCATAGTAGCAGGTTTGTCATTGTAACAAGTACAAGGTTTGGCAAACCTCATAAAGCAAATGGGTTTGTTCCCATAATCCTAGGCCTCTGGGCTTGGTTTCTGATTAGAAATGGTATGCTGGCACACTTCTTACACAGGAAAAGACAAAATGTGGCTGTTATGAAAATACTAGGGAGAGTATTAATTTTTGTCCTCAATAATATCATATAAGGTACCTTAGATATTTCTGCTGGTTTATCACTGTGCACTGCACTGAATAGTATGAATCCAGCAACAACAACTACAACAAAAAACATGAGACACAGGATTTAATCAATGGCAGTTCCAAAGATTTTCTGTGTGGGGTCAAAGAACAGTATTCTGCCAGTAGCTTGCCATTTCCTACAGTTATGCCAAAAAGCCAAATAGGTTTATGTGTAGGTAGAAGAGTAAAAGAGTTTAGTCTAACAATGAGCTTTAGTTTAAGAATTGGGACCAATTACATGAAATTCTTCTCTTCTCAATAAGCATTCTAGAACTACCATTTGATCCAGCAATCCCACTTCTGGGTATCTACCCAGAGGAAAAGAAGTCATTATACAAAAAAGATACTAGCACACACATGTTTATAGCAGCACAATTCGCAACTGCAAATATGTGGAACCAGCCCAAATGCCCATCAATAAACAAGTGGATAATGAAACCGTGATATATATATATATATATATATATATATATATATATATATAGGTGTACATCATATATATATATATATATATATATATATATATATGATGAAATTCTACTCAGCCATAAAAGCAAATAAATTAACATTTGCGGCAACTTGGATGGGATTGGAGACCATTATTGTAAGTGAAGTAACTCAGAAAAGGAAAACCAAACATCACATGTTTTCACTCATAAGTGGGAGCATCCTATGAGGATGCAAAGGCATAAGAATGATACAGTGGACTTTGGGGACTCGGGGAAAGGATGGGAAGTGGGTGAGGGATAAAAGACTACAAATTGGGTTCAGTTTATACTGCTAAGGTGATGGGTGCACCCAAATCTCGCAGATCACCACTAAAGAACTTACTCATGTAACCTGATGCCACTTGTTCCCCCAAAAAACTACGGAAATAAAAAAAATAAATAAAAGTATGCTAGAGATTATTACGTTACTTAAAAGTGAGGCACCATAGCATGGAATGGGTCCTGCCAAACTCTGGAGAGATTGTACGAGCAATGCTTCCCACTGGGCTGTTAATGATCCATAGCTGGCCAGCTACAGTCCCTTGCTTATCTGTATCTGTACACTTTAAACACATAAGAAAATCATCTAAGAAATATTCCGATTGTTGCTTTAATTAGTTCTTGTTTCAAGACAATCTATTTCTTGTGGATCACCTACATGGTAATCAGAAGGACAAACACATCATTATCTCTACCAATCACATTACCTTCAAATATGACCTTTGCTGATCAGGTTGTTAAAAATTATACTAAGAGCAGTAATTCTGTAATAGTTCTTATCTCACAAGAGGAAAAATAACCAAAATGCTGTAAATGCCAATGAATCCCCAAGGAAATATCGGAGCTTCTTCTACAGATATTTTCATAAAGGAAACAAAGAAGACGACTTGTGTATTAGTCTGTTCTCATGCTGCTAATAAAGACATACCCAAGACTTGGTAATTTATAAAGGAAAGAGCTTTAATTGACTCACAGTTCAGCATGGCTGGGGAGGCTTCAGGAAACTCACAATCATGGCAGAAGGAAAAGCAAACCTGTCGTTTTTCACATGGCGGCAGCAAGGAGGAGTGCTGGGCAAAAGATGAAAAACCCCTTATAAAACCATCAGATCTTGTGAGAACTCACTGTCACGAGAAGAGTATCAGGGTAACCGCCCCCATGATTAAATTACCTTCCACTGTGTCCCTCCTACGACGTGCAGGGATTATGGGAACTACAACTCAAGATGAGATTTGGGTGGGGACACAGCCGCATCATATCAACTTGTTATGGTGGAATAGTCCTAAGATGGGAGATATTCTACTAAGAAATGTCAATGAAAATCTTGCAAAGAAAATGCAATAATATATTACCTAAATTAGCTATAAAGTGTATGTTCTAATCACTTCCTCCCCAACTCCCATTGATTTTTTTTGTATAGGAGTATAATAAACAATAAAACAGTATAGTTATTTAATGAAGTAAATGCATAAAATAATATAGAAAACAATTGCCCAGAAATCTTTAGTAAAGGAAAATCTATTGAGTGATATTAAAATTGTTTTTATTAAAGCATGTGAAAATGTTGGAAAGGGGAGATAATAACAATAATCAGTAACAATAAATGGAAAGGTTGAGATAGGCACAGTGCATTTTCTTTCCCAGTATAAAAGAATCAAAGTAAATGGAATAACTTACCAACCCTATAAAGCTTTGAAACTCAAGTTGCTATCAAACCCAGAGAGATTCTTTTTGTATTATCTGGATGAAAGGTTGAAAATTGAGTCAGTTGTTTGAAGTGATTTAGCTACTTGGCACCAAATATCCAGAGCCGATACACAGATAGAAACTAAAATTCTGCAAGTGTACTCACAGAAAAGGTGATTCAGAGGACCCTTCACCTGCTAAAGTATATAACCAGGTTTTCTTATTTCTAAATGACTAAATACAAAGAGGATTCTACCTCCTACTTTTCAGTTAAAAGACATAAGGAACATAGGAATATGGACAAACCATTAGCTTTATTCTTGCTAGCTATTGATTTTCTTTTTCACTCAGCCAACTATTTTCAAATCATGTGAAAATTGTTCCACTAATGTGATCTGAAATAAGAACACACCCACACAAACGCCAAAAGCTGAAGGCACAGGTGAAAGATATATTAGTAGAAAGAATACTCCAATAAAACCAAGGGCAAGGGTTGGGCTGACTAAAAGTCAAATTAACCTTTCCAGAAATATGGAGGCTACTTAATTGACCTGGAGGACTATCATTCTATTTACTTGTCTTTTGTTGGAACCATTCCTAAATCATCCCAGAGGGATAAGTTGTAACACTGTCCAAAAACAAAAATCTCAGCATCTCCCCAAGAGACCTGCTCATAAATGACACTCCATTCCATGAAGCGGCTTATTAGTGATGGCCTTTCGGGCCTTCATTGTGCCTAGAACCTTAGGGACAGTTATTGAGTCTAAGGTGTTTATTGTTACCTTAGAACTGTAAGAAAAATATGTGAAGCCCTTCACCTACAGCCAAGTGAGAGACAATATACTTCTCAGCCTGTTTTCTAGATTCAAGATTCAAGCTGCGGTATAAACAGTGGAACAGTAGAAAATTGCAAAATCACTCTAATGGGAATATTTTCTACTGCATTTAGGAGCATAAAGTCAGGAATTTAAAAGCCAGATATTTTTCTGTTTCTTTATGTAAATGGAAATTAATATAGCTGTGCTAGATAAACTTTCTGACATTCTTACTGCATGTGAAACAGGATCCAAAAAAATGAATTGGAATGTTTTTCTTGAGCTCTTTACCTGTGTTGTCCAATATGGTAGCCACTAGCTACAGGTAACTATTTAAATTTAAATTAGTTAGAATTTATGACATTAAAAATTTAGTTCTTCAGTTTTACTAGCCAAATTTCAAATGCTCAGTAGCCACATGTGGTTAGTGGCCACCGTATTGAATAGCATAAAGTATTGATTATTTCTGTCGTTGAAGGAAGTTCTATTGGACAGTGCTGCTCCATAGCATAACTTATTATTTCTAATACATTATATTTGCATAAAGCGACTTCATCAGTTACTTAATATTACTATTTATATTTTCTAGGCAAAAAAATTGCAATTCAAAGAGGTTAAATGACTTTTCAAGCCAAAACAGTGAGCAGGGTCTTACAGAAACTGACTTTCATGAAATTTTAAGCGAGGTCATCTGAATTCTATCAATGTACTTTCACAGAAACTCTGCAGTGATAAGCACTTAAAACAGATCACAAATAAATTTATTCCTCACCTTAGTCACCCAAATAATCTAAATTCTCCATCTAGGATTTTGTAAATGAGATTGTCCGAGGTAAAAGGAGTCTATCATATGGTTATAAGAATCCATCAAAATCTCCTCTCTTTGCTTTTAAATTGCTTTGAGTTGCATCCTGTTTCTTATTTCATCCTTGGATCCTTCTGACTTGTATCACACTTGACATCTCTACCAATCCTTAATTTTTCTCTTTGATTTCTTTTTATCAATATTTTACCCAGATGTTCCAGGCCCTTTTCTGGGCCTAACACACATTGACTAAATTTGCCCTACAGAGCTTGAAGATTTCTCTCAGTCCCGGACTCTAATGGGAGTAGATGACCATGGTGAGGGAAACAGCAGTGTTCAGGATCACTTGGCTCAGATTGGGATCTTGCAAGTACATAAGCAATGGGACAACCATTAAATTATAAATATAGCCCATGTGCTGGGGCACTGCAGGTTCAATAACAGTTTTGGATTTCTGAGAATTCATATGGTCACAAAAACTACACTGGTAAAGAAGATGTGTAGCAACCAATAGCATAAATGATTTGAACACATTATCTCTGTTTTGCTAACTTGATGAATATGGTCAACACTGGTATATTCAATAAGGTCATCGCCCTAAAAATTTGCAATCTTTGATAAATTCTTCAAAGACCTAAACTTTTATATCCTTCTTCATCTCCTGTTTACTTGTTCTGTTAATTATTGAGAGACTGGTGTTGAAATCTCCAGCTACATTGTAGATTTGTCTGTTTTTCTTTGCAATTTTATAGGTTTTGCCTCATGCATTTTGAAGCTTTGTTATTAGATGCATAAATATTTACAATATGTGTATCCCCTTGATTAGCAGTTGTCATTATCATAATAAAATAAACTTCATTATCCATGTAATATTCTTTGTGCCGAAATGTATTTTTCTGGTATTAAGATAGCCATTCTAGCTTTCTTTGGACTAATTTTAGGATAGTATCTTTTTCCAGTCTCTTACTTTTAACCTATTAACTTCTTTACATTTTAAGTAGAATTTTTGTGGGAAGCATATAGCTGGGTCTTGCTTTTTGTCCAATCTGATACTCTCTAACTTTTAATTGGTGTGTCTATTTATATTTAATGTTATTGTTGGTATGGTTGAATTTAAACGTACCATCTGCTATTGGTTTTGTTTGTTATCTAAGCTTTTTATTATTTTTATATGTATTTTTCACATATACTTTTTACATCCAAAGTAACTGCTATTAAATTTCCTTGGGAGCTCTGCCTATTCTTCTGAATATTCCAGAATATAAATGTATTCCTTTAAAGATTTTTTGGCACAAACTTCCAGCTAAGCATGGTAGCGCAAACACACCCACTTGCTCTCTATTCTCTAGTGAAACCCTTCAAAAATGACAACGGATTTAAGAAAAATTTTTTGAAAACCAATTATAGATTTGCATGCATTTTTAGGACATAATACAGAAAAATCCTGTATATCCTTCACCCCGTTTCCCTCAATAATAGTAATGTTTTGCATGACTGAAATTGGCGTTAATATAATCCACTAATCTTTTACAGATTCACCAATTTTGTATGCACTCATTAGTTTGTGTATTTAGTTCTATGCAATGTTATCATAGGTGAAGATTTGTGTGAGTACCACCACAGTGAAGATATGGAGGACTTCCATCACAAGGATGCTTTGTGCTAACCTTCTATAGTCACGGCCACTTCCCTCCCCTGACAATCTCTGACAATCACTAATTTGTTCTCCATCTCTATAATCTTGTCATTTCAAGAAGATTATACAAATGAAATAATATGGTATATAACTTTTTGAGATTGGCTTTTTCACTCAACAAGTGAAGAGATCCATCCAAGTTTTAACATGTACCAACAGTTCATTCCTTTTTAATGCTGAATAGTATTCCAAGGCATATATGTAGCGTAGATGTTTAACTTTTCACCCATTGAAGGAATGTTTGGGTTGTTTTCAGGAGAGAGTTTTTTGTTTTGTTTTGTTTTTTTGCTAAAGACTCTGCAAAGAGAATAAAAAGATAAGCCACAGTCTCAGAGAAAATATTTTCCAACCACATGTCCAAAAAAGAACTCGTATCTAAAATATACAAATAAATCAACAGTAAAAAATGAGCAAAACAGTTAGAAAATGGGTGGAAGATATGAACAAACATTTTACCGGAGAAGATACATGGTTGACAAATGAATATATAAAAAGATGTTCAACATCATTCTTTTTTAGAAAATACAAAATAAAGCCACAGTGAGATATCACTATATACTTATCAGAATGACTAAAACAAAAAATGTTGACCATGACAAATGCCGGTCAGGATGTAGAGAAACTGGTTTGCCATTCGTCACGCATGGGAATGCAAAATGGCACAGCTTCTCTGAAAAAGATTATGGCAGTTCCTTAAAAAGCTAAACATGTGCTTACCATATGACCTAGCAATTACACTTTTGGGCATTTATCCCAGAGAAATGAAAACTTAAGTTCACATAAAAACCTGTACATTAATTTTTATAGCAGCCTTATTCATAGTAGCCAAAAATAAATGAAATTTTAAAGGGCATAAACCCAAAGCACAAAGAACACAAGTGGATTTACTAGGAAGTTAATGAAGCTGAAGCTTTAGGGCCCCTCACTGTTCATGTGGGTGCCTTCCAAAGGCTCAGGAAAGGACCCTAAAAATGTATTCAAACTGTTGTATATTTTTATAAGATTTGCAAAGGTAAGACTTTTTAACCATAACTAATTAATATTGTTGTGTATTTCCACTCAGACATCTCCTTTATCACAGATCACCTTGCATTTCATGGGGACTGTGATCACTTTTGAGCTCTGGGTAAGGAAAGTTTATTTGGGTATACATTGAGCCTTGGTTTAGAAGGATATATTTATGAGTGCAATCACTCTGTATATAAGTATGTTGCAAACAATCCTAATAGAGGTCATGGGTTCCAGGACTATTTCTGCTACCCATTTTACCAACACACTGAGCATCACAATGCAAATACATACTCAGGCTCAGAGATTGTTTTGTGATATGATAGTTCCCTATGGTATCAGCCTTCAGTATATGCAAGTAGTACACGAGAAATAACAGTCAGATTTCTTCACTTGTAAAATCAAACTTCTTTTCTATCCCTTTTCCATCCTTTTAACATTTTTTTTGCAGGACAAGTCTTCTGGCAATAAATTCCTTCAGTTATTGTTTATTAGAGAAAGTTTTTATTTCTCCTTCACTTTTGAAAGATAATTTCAATGGGTATAAATTCAAGGTTAGTGTTTTTTGCTGTTGTTATTGTTCAACATCTTGAATATTTCAGGCCAGCCACGGTGGCTCACACCTGTAATTCCAGCACTTTGAAAGGCCAAGGTGGCAGATCACTTGAGTCCCTGAGTTTGAGACCAGCCTGGCCAACAAGGTGAAACCCCTTCTCTACTAAAAATACAAAAAGTTAGTCAGATGTGGTGGCACACATCTGTAATCCCAGACACTCAGAAGGTTGAGGCATGAGGATTGCTTGAACCCGGGAGGCAGAGGTTCCAACGAGCCGAAATTGCACCATTACACTCCAACCTGGGTGACAGAGTGAGACTCTGTCTCAAAAAACAACAACAACAACAACAAACCAACCAAACAAACAAAAAGAATATTTCAATCTATTCTCTTCCAGCTTATACTGGTTTTAAGGGCAAGTCCACTATAATTTTTATTCCTATTCCTCTGTAGATGAGGTGACTTTTTTCCTTCTGGCATGTTTTTGCTTTTGGCTTTTTGCTTTTTGCTTTTTTTGTTTTGTTTTGTTTTTGGAGACAGAGTCTTACTCTGTCACCCAGGCTGGAGTGCAGTGGTACAAACATGGCTCACTGCAGCCTTGAACTTTTTGGCTCAGATGATCCTACTGCCTCAGCCTCCCAAGTAGCTGGGATTACAGGTGCATGCCACCATGCCTGGCTAATTTTTTAATTTTTTGTAGAGACGGTGTCTCGCTATGTTGCCCAGGCTGGTCTCAAACTCCTGGGTTCACGTAATCCACCTGTCTCGGCCTCCCAAAGTGCTGGGATTATAGGTGTGAGCCACAGCACCCAGTGTCCTCTGGCTTCTCTCAAGAATTTCTCTTTGTCTTCTGTTTTCTGCATTTTGAATAATATGCCTAGGTATAGATATTTTGGTACTTATCCTGCTACATGTTCTCTAAATTCTCTGGATCTGTAGCTTGGTGTTGGTCATTAATTTTGGAAAATTCTTGGCCATTATTACTTCAAATATTTCTTCTGCTCCATTCTCTCTTTCTTCTTCCTCTGGTATTCCAATTACATGTATGCTATGCCTTTTGAAATTATCCTACAGTTCTTGGATATTCTGTTCTATTTTTAAAAATTCTTTTGTTTCCTTGCATTTCTGTTTGAGAAGTTTCTGTTAATCTAACTTAGGCTCACTGATTCTTCTCTCAGCTATTTCCAGTCTACCAATAAGCCTCTCAAAGGTATCCTTCATTTATCTTCGTGTTTTTTCTTTTTAGTATTTTTTATTCTTTCTTAGAGTTTACATTTCTCCACTTAAATTACCCATCTGTTCTTGCATGTTATCTATTTTTTACATTAGTACCCTCAGATTTTAATCATAGCTATTTTAAATTCCCTGTCTGTTGATTTCAATGTCTGCGTCATATCTGAGCCTGGTTTTGAGGCTGCTTTATCTTTCTAGATTGTGCGTTTTCTTGCATTTGGTTTGCCTTACAATTTTTTTGTGTGTGTGTGGAAAGCCAGATGTGTCATACTGGGTAATAGGGACAGAGGTATATTGATCTCTAGTGTGAGGTTTTATGCTAATCTGCTAGGTGCTGGGCTGTGTTTAATATCTGAGGTAATTAAGGTGCCAGAGGCTTCAAATTCCTCTAGTGTACTTTTTTTGGTCTCTTCTTCAGTTTTGGCTTCCCGGAGTACTCCTGCTCAGAGAGAGTTTGTGTGTTTCAACCCTAAGGTCATGACTCCTAAGAGTTTCTCATTCCTAGGCAAATGCACACTCAGCCTCTAGCAATTTGTCAGAATTGCCATCTAAGCGTTCTTACCAGTTTGTGAACTCCGGAGGCAGCTGCTTCCAGTGAGCAGATCTCAGCTGGACTCATTTCTGGATTCCAGAATTTTGCAGGGATAATGGGAACAGAGTTTGTTCCTCACGTCTCTGATGGGTCCAAGAAAAGTTGATAATTTTCAGTTTTTCAGTTTGATCTTGTTGTAAGGATGGAAATGACAGCTTCCAAGCTCTTTACACATCAGAGCTGAAACTGGAAGTCTCTTGGCAGAGGAGATATTTCGATAGATACTGCCAAATTGCCATTCAAAACAATTGCAACAGTTTACATTCCCATAAATAATATATGCAATGACTTAAATACAATTAGTTTTAAATAGCTTGAAACAACTAAGAACACTTGCTAGTATTTGACCTTGAGACTGTGGGACAAACCCTAATAGCATGAATATCAGAGAAAGTCTTAAAACTAAGAGGGAGGAATCAGGAGGGGAGGTTGTGTTCTAATGTATTATAAATTTAGCATTCCTCCACTTATGCTCTTTCTTAGTTTCAAAAAAAAAAAGAAGTAATGAGTGAAAACACTGATGGTGCTAATGAATTGGTGGGTTTGCATGTACCTAGCCTCACACATATAAAATGCGTCAGAATTTTCCATGAGTCAGGAATCACAATTGAAATTCCTGACCTTGGTCTGGCTCCAGGAGGGAACGTAGCTTCTTCGCTATTGTATGCATGCAGCTGACTTCTTCTATACAGGAAGTAATCCTTGATGGTTTCAAACTGTGCCTCTTCTCTCTTTTTTAAAACAAAAATGTGCTCCATTAAAATTTCTCTTAATCTCTTTGATTACAGCCAGAGAAATAATAAGTGCTTTTTCCCTTACCTGTCCTTGTAGAGATGATGATGCAGCAGTGAGTTGATTTTTTTTTTTCCCACATGAATGTTATTTTTCCATAAGTCCTTTTTCTGTGAGTGGAAAATTCACTTCAAAATCCAGTAAATGGTTTTTTAAAGTCAGCAAGGGGCAAAACCCTAACAAACCAATGATCTTTCTATTGACCACAATCCTTCAACTTTTATTCTTACCTTGTTGGAAATTTTATCCTGGAATTTGATAATCTTTAGTATAAAGTAAAATAATTGAAAAAGAAAGGTCTGATACATATTTGAGGGTCAAAATGTTCAAAAAAAAATAAGTCAAATAGTTTGGTGTAATAGAGCCATCTTAACTCAAGCTTTAGTTACCCCAAAAGTGACTGAAGAGAAGACTGTCTTAAATGGGCTATTTCATTATTGTTAAAAGCTACAGTTTCATTTGTTCACTCACTCTGGTATAAATATCTACTAATGGTAAATGAACTCTCTGTTCTAAAGAATGTAAAAAGGCTCTCCATCCTTGATAACAATAAGCTATGGACAGGAAATGAAATATGAAGCAAAGCCAAAACTCTTCTTTCAGCTTTGTTTTGTTAAGCTCTGTTCTCATAAGATATTGTCAGTCACAATGAAATGTGACTTTACTAAATGTTATCATTTAATAACATAGAGGATATAAAAATAAAACTTCACCCCCAGGTGCTGAGATTGGGACAAACTGAAGAAGTTATTTCCACATTTACATGATATTATTGCTATAAACAGTATTGAAAACTGTCTAATATTCAAGTTTCTTTTTAAAAACAATTCAAGTTCAATCCCTCTGACCATAGAATTATATCTGTTTTGTAGTTTAAAGCATCATCCAATACAAATTCAAACTTTCATCTGCATTCACTGATCCAATTCTTTAGACACTATTTTTTTTTTACTAAAAACAATTTAAGAACATAAAAATTTGAAGTAAATATGAATTATTATTTTTTAAAGAGTCCATGTAGTCACAAAAAGTAAACTCAGTGATCCAAATGAAAGCTTATAGATGAACAGAAGGCCCTTTGCTCTCAAATCCCATTGCTTCTGTTTTAACAGTGTTTCTGAGTAGGAGAATGTACTAAAATCGCCCACTTTACAGCTCACTTTCCAAACCAGTAGTTTGGGATTAGAGGGATTTTTTTCTATGTGCAGAGAGACAACAAAAATTTAAAAACTTTTACATTCAGTCATCAGGGATTACCTTTGTTCTATTACTTTTCCTCAAGTCAAAAAGTAGTTTCTCATAAGGTTCTTATGCTACTAAATACTAGGCTTCAAGGTGTGTTTATCTCATCAAAACTACACACCTATAATTTATGTGTCTCTCCTTTTTTCTTGGTTTACATAGAAAACATTGTTCCAGAGAAAGCTCTCAATTCTAAAAACTTTAAAACTTTGTTATCAGCAGAAAAAGAATATCAGGAATAATGGTGCCATTTGGATGCATAGTCCTGTCAGATGAGCAAGAGACTTGATGATGAAAACCTAGTCAATTTCATGATGATCTGAGGGCTACCAATTGGTTTCTGAATTTATAAACTGAAGATGAATTACTTTCAACAAGTGGTATGTCAACACTTTAACTGTGGGCTAGATGAGAGATTCAAAAATTTTATTCTGAGTTAATTAAAAATAAGAGTAGAGGATGAGATATAATGGGGAAAGAGAAGTAGAAAATAGAGTTGATTTTTTACTTTTGGAAGGATCCACTCTCAGATGCAATAGTATAGAAATAATTACAGTGACAACCATCACATATGCCATACACTGGTGGTGCCTTCTCAAGCACTTCTGTAATAGGGTACCAACTCTTTTTGGAGGCCCATTGCTTCCTCTCTTTCTTCTCCATCAAGTTGCCTACATTGCAACTTCTCCAAGGCTGTGTTGTTTTTCATAACCTATGTTTTGTTTCCTTTATCCTCTCATTAGTGATTTTGCTCTTTTTGAGCTACTATAGTGGTATGCTGCAACAATTTGGAGTCAGATTCACCTAAAGAAATTTATGCATTTCAGTTACCTATATGTTGAAGATGTATTATTCCTAGCCTGTTTAATGTTATCAAATACAACATCTTCTGTTGCAATGAAATAGGTTTCAGTGTAGAATAATGGATAAGAGCTCAGGTTCCAATGTGAGAAAGTTGGGGTCATATCTCATGCCTACCACTTAATAGGTGAGTGTTCTTAGGCAATGTACACTTATTCTCTAAGTCCCTATTTTCTCATTGGTAAATGAATTTAATGATAGAACTAATGGAACTTGCTTCATGGGTTTTGGGTCGATATTAAATGAACTCCTCCATGAATAGTGCATAGCATAAAGCATGGGGTATAATAGGCAGTCAATGAATGCTATCATTCAAAAAAATATCGAACATGACATTGCAAATCCATTCTAAATGGAAAGAGATGTAATACAGTATCCTCATCTTGTTGAAAGCAATTCTTTTCTATTGTGGTGAGGAGTTTAATTGATAGGCATCTTAGAACTCATGTGCTGAGTGTGCAGCTTTCTGGATGCCAACACCAAATTAGAGGGCACAGAATAGTAGCCTACTCTAATTCTAATAGGTGATAGAACCTAAACATAATCCATTTGGTTTATGGCATCAGATAAACTTGTGGTATTACTATCATCAGTCGTTACTAATTAATTCGAATATTAAAGCAGGTTTACGTCCCAAGAAGAGTTCCTGTGCTAAGACTTTTACCAAATAAGGTCCAAAAACAAACGGTCCATTGAGTGATGCTGTTTCTAACAGGCTGACTTAATAAAACAGATCTTTCAGAAACTTCTAGAATTACTGAGACTTGGTCTTTTGGCTACATATCCTAACTCAGAGAAGTTTTTTTTAAAAGTGAAAGGATCAACAATTATTTTCTAGTCAGTTACTCTTTGCTAGTTTTGAGTGAACTTGAATTTTTAAAAACCATATGACTTGAGATTTAAAAGATGTATGTTAAGTGATATAAGTATTCCTCAAGCTATTAGGCTCAGTGCTCAAGTTTTGTTCTTTGCGAGCTTTTAAAGCTGTATGATGTGGTCATGCAGGGTCAAAGTAAATCGGTCACTTTTTCATAATAATAGTTCATTTGTTTGTTATCCTATGTTTATGGTTACCCAACGATGCTCTGACCCGTTCTTTGACATTTACTCCTGAGGGTCAGCAGATGACATAAAAAGAAACACGAAGTTGTAAATCGACTCTTTGTTAATAAATCTGGTTGAAATTTTGATAGAAAGTGGCAGTTAAAAACAACTGTTCAAAATGGTTTGTGAATGATGCATGGTTTCAATAATCTATTCTTTCCCTTTTCTCCTTTACCATGATTATCAAGATTTGACTATAAATAACTCTCCAGATGCAGAGGCTAAAAACTGCCAATCAACATTCTCTGCAGTATCTTTTATGAGTTCCTGGATGAGTGCCTTCCCGTTTTTTCTGGTAATGAAATGTGTCTGGCATGTCTTCTGCTGGGTACTTCAATATTAACCCTTTTTCTTCAGGATATTCTAATTTAATGTGTACAAAGTTGTAGATGCTCGTGGACCTGTACAAGAAAGCTATACCAGATATTGATATTATCACCAAGAAATTTCTTTAAAGTGAAGTACATTCCAAGATGGTGTTCCCAAAAATGATGGTGTTGCAACTCAAAGAAGGCAAAAGAAGCAATCATTTTTTACCTCTAGGCTCTCCCATGAAAATCCCTACAGTGTCCTGATGCCATATACCTCATATTGAAGAATCCAAGGGCAGCATTAAGTTATTCCCTGCTGTATTGCTCTGTCTTGCTTCTTGGTGGACAAGGGAGCTCTCTAAGCTTGAATTTTCCCCTTTCCCAAGACTAAAAATAGACAATGGGCCACCTACATGGGTCATTGTTGTAGGATCTTGACTGAGTAAGATTAAATTTGTAATAGTCTTAAAGATATTAGCTCAAATTATTTCAATCTTAATTTCTATTTAATAAAAAGTCTTTGGTTCAGGCAGTTAAATCATTTCTGCAGGTGTGTTTCTCTACAATTATTTAGTCTTACTGCCTAGTTTCTATAAGGTTGGGTTATAAATTGCACTACTGGAGATTTTGTCGATCTCAAAGCATTTTCTAAATTAGGTCTGTGATCAAAATAAGAAATAATTGAGAAGAAACAATTTCTCCAAAGAATAGTTAAGAATATTAGTCCTTTGCGGCTAATACCCAGAATCTACAATGAACTCAAACAAATTTACAAGAAAAAAACAAACAACCCCATCAAAAAGTGGGCGAAGGATATGAACAGACACTTCTTAAAAGAAGACATTTATGCAGCCAAAAAACACATGAAAAAATGCTCATCATCACTGGCCATCAGAGAAATGCAAATCAAAACCACAATGAGATACCATCTCACACCAGTTAGAATGGCGATCATTAAAAAGTCAGGAAACAACAGGTGCTGGAGAGGATGTGGAGAAATAGGAACACTTTTACACTGTTGGTGGGACTGTAAACTAGTTCAACCATTGTGGAAGTCAGTGTGGCGATTCCTCAGGGATCTAGAACTAGAAATACCATTTGACCCAGCCATCCTATTACTGGGTATATACCCAAAGGATTATAAATCATGCTGCTATAAAGACACATGCACACGTATGTTTATAGCGGCACTATTCACAATAGCAAAGACTTGGAACCAACCTAAATGTCCAACAGCGATAGACTGGATTAAGAAAATGTGGCACATGTACACCATGGAATACTATGCAGCCATAAAAAATGATGAGTTCATGTCCTTTGTAGGGCCATGGATGAAGCTGGAAACCATCATTCTCAGCAAACTATCTCAAGGACAAAAAACCAAACACCACATGTTGTCACTCATAGGTGGGAATTGAACAATGAGAACACATGGACACAGGAAGGGGAACGTCACACACCGGGGACTGTTGTGGGGTGGGGGGAGGGGGGAGGGATAGCATTAGGAGATATACCTAATGCTAAATGATGAGTTAATGGGTGCAGCATACCAGCATGGCACATGTATACATATGTAACAAACCTGCACGTTGTGCACATATACACTAAAACTTAAAGTATAATAATAATAAAATTTTAAAAAAAAGAATATTAGTCCTTTGCTCCTTGGGCTGGCCTCATGCGCATGCAAATTGTATGATCATACAGTGCTTAGGAGACCTTGTACCTGGCTTCATGCCTTTCTATGCCATTTTAAAATTCTTGATAATTTTATCTTTGAACTTGTGATTTGTAAGTAAGTGAAATGGGACAATGGAGCATGTGCACAAGCAGAGAAGACACGTACAATGCATGATGGCTGTGATGCCTCATTACCCCATGAGCCACGTAGTATTCACCATGGCCCATAAGCAGAACATTCCAGTGGACCCACGATACATGGGAGTTCACTAAAACTCAAAGCAAGCAACATTAAGCATGTTAGGTCTACCACTGAGTAAGTAGCGGGAGAAGTGGTCTGATAACTGTAAGAGACCACTTTTCTTTTGAATGAGAACTCGCTTTGAATGAGAACTTTCTTGGAATGCAAACAGAAGGAAATAAGAGTTCTAAAAAACAGGAACAGCAAGGAACTCTCTCATATCCATAACTCATGTTACTTCCCTGTATTAGCCAACCACATATGCTAGAAATTGTGACATAAAGCAGAGAGAAAGATAAGTTGATCTACAGTTAACTTTCCTTTTAGTTTTTTCTTACCCATCAGTAAGTCAGAGGTAGAGAATGCTGGTAGAATGTATGCATATGAGGAAGAGAGGTAAGAACAGTTGAGTTAGTATTCTACAGCATTTCCACTGTTCTAGTCAGAGCAAAATATATGTGCATGTATGAGTACAAAATACAAATTGTGTGATTTTGATGACTCTACATTGGGTTAATGGCTTTTAAATTTGTGTTCAAGACTGGCATTGCACAATATAAAGATGAATGGTAAGAATCCTGCTAATAATTTAAAATTTTATTTTTTCTTATTTAGAACAGAATTATAGTAACAAAAAAACCATGACAAGTCAAGAGAAAGACTGTGAAAGAAAGGAAAAAACTATTTTAGTACCTTTAACAGCATGTTATTTTCTGCTTTTTGAATAGGAGGTTCTGCATTTTCATTTTGTTCTGGGCACTGCAAATTATATAGCTGGCCCTGGTTGCACCACAGCTGTTTGCTCCTTGACCTTGCTAAATCACTAAGAGATGGGGTTTGGGAAGAATGGAGGGGCGGGTGAGGCAGTGAGGCATACTTCAAGCCCCTTCCCTGCAAAGCCCTAGGGATTCTCTTCTGGATTGCTTTAATAAAGTTCTTTCTTGCTTTATTGTGAAATTATATTAATAATAGTAGTTTCTATTAGTTTTCCAACCAAAGAAAGGACCCTGTATTCTTCCTTATTTCTAATTTACTGAATACGCACTACCCTTTGTTAAACTCAAGTTATCTTTGCTATTGTTACTTTCTATAAGCAAGTTCAAACCACCCATGATTTGACACTGTGGAATACTTTCTTCTCTTCATTTTGTTTGTTTGTTTGTTTGTTTTTGAGACAGATTCTTGCTCTGTTGCCCAGGCTGGAGTGCAGTGGCACAATCTCGGCTCACTGCAACCTCTACCTCCTGGGTTGAAGCAATTCTCTTGCCTCAGCCTCCTGACTAGCTGGGATTACAGGCCTGTGCCACCATGCCTGGCTAATTTTTTTATTTTTAGTAGAGACGGGGTTTCACCATGTTGGCCAGGCTGGTCTCGAACTTCTGACTTCAAGTGATTCACCTGCCTCAGCCTCCCAAAGTGCTGGGATTACAGGTGTGAGCCACCATGCCTGGCCATTTCTCTTCATTTTCTTTTTTCAGTTTGTATTCGACCATCTAATTTCAAAACCATTTCCTTTTCATTACATTTTTAACCTTATAATTTAAGGTCACTAAAAGTGTTTTACATATATCCTGCAAAGTTTGATCTTTTTCTTCTCCCTTTTTTCTTATGTCTGATTTCTTATTTATTCTTAGGTCCACAGAAATGTAGGTAAGACCTAGGCCTTTATAGATGTCCTGTTGGTTACTTCTAAGGAAGAAAAGAATCATGTTGCTAGTTCTCTTTAAAGGTCTCCCAAGAGGCTATAAGCAACTTGCCAAAATGTCAGTAATGTTTTACCTCCGCCTTCACCTCTAGCTGTCATTCATCACCTCTAAGCAAATCTTTTGATCTTAGGAAAACCTCCACCTTGCCTTTTTAGTTTCTTTGATTTCTTACCTCACACTATCTAATTTCTGAATTCTCAGTATCAAAAGTGGTGAGACCTAAATCCTGTTCTGATTTGTTTGATCTATATCTTACAGGAGCTTTAAAATTTCAAGACCATCTTCATTCTGGCCTCTGCATACATGCCTCACCCCATTTCTTCCTTGCCCTTAGCTTTTTAGGAATACCAAGCTTCTTGTATTTATTCAAATGTGCCTTGTGTTTCAGTCCTCCTCACTTTTTCTCTTGTTAGTCCTTCTGTCTAGAATATCCTTTATTATCTTCTTTACTTAAATAATTACTTTTCAAGCTTAAAGTATCAGCACAGGCATTACCTCCACTGCAAGTCTTTCCCATTCCTTCATAAGACAAGTTAGGGTCCATCCAGTTAGGGCCCATATTACCGTGGGTATCACTCTATCTCAACACATTGTATATTGTACTAAAAACATCTGTTTATGTGATTGCCTTCAGACCATACTATGATGTCCTTGAGGGCAGGGATGTATCTTTTTATTTGTTGCATTATACAGCCCTGGACACATAGCAGTATTCAACACATATGTTTTTCCCTAAATTAAGACAAATTGAATTAGATGTGCTTTAATATAATATGTGATCTCTCTTCTGGACATTATGTGGTCCCAGCCCAGAGAATATACAGACAATTGATCCTTGAACAGTGTGGGGTTTGTGCAGTTGAAAATCCAAGTAAAGCTTTTAACTCCCTTAAAACTACCATCAGCTCACTGTCGACCAAAAGCCTTACTGATAACATAAACAGACAATTAATACATATTTTGTATGTTATATGTGTTATATACTGTATGTAAGCTAGAGGAAAAAAGAAAATCATAAGGAAGGGAAAATATATTTACTATTAATTAAATGAAAGTAGATCAACAATGGTCTTCATTCTCATTGCCTTCAGATTTGGTAGACTGAGGAAGGGGGGGGTTGGGTTGGTCTTGCTATCTCAGGGGTGGCAGAGGCCGAGGGAAATCCATGTATAAGTGTACCAGCACAGTTCAAACCCATGTTGTTCAAAGATGTGTGTGTTGTATAAATACATATGTATATATAAATTATGTGCTCCAGCATTATTCTCTAGATTTTTTTTTTTTTTTTTTTTGACAGAGTCTCGCTTTGAAGCCCAGGCTGATGTTGTGCAATCTTGGCTTACTGCAACCTCCACCTCCGGGGTTCAAGCGATTTTTCTGCCTCAGCCTCCCGAGTAGCTGGGATTACAGGTGTGCACCACTATGCCTGACTAATTTTTTGCATTTTTAATAGAGACAGGGTTTCACCATGTTGGCCAGGCTGGTCTCGAACTCCTGGCCTCAAGTGATCTGCCCACCTTGGCCTCCCAAAGTGCTAGGATTACAAGCATGAGCCACCGCGCCCGGCTAGCATTTTTAAAAAGTCATAGAGTGTTAGAGTTAAAAAGAACCCCAGAGTATCCCACTCAATTTAAGAATCTCCTTTGCAGAGTTTTGGCCAGTTGTTATCCATTTTATTTAATAATTTAATTTCATTTTATTCTTTTAACCTGGGTTGGGGGAGGGACCTGATGAGGAACAGATAGTTTCACAGACCCTTTTACTCAAAGCCAATTGCTAATATAAATTCTCTTCTCCAGAAGCCTATTGTAATCAGGGATAAGTTGAGTCATAGGTAGCGGAAAGGTCATCAAAAACTTTTGCTATCCCTAGGTTTGGGCAATCCTTTCTGAAGAATTTCACAAGAAGATTCTACCAAATTTTCAGAAATTTAAGAGTTCTGTTATGAGCTCAGCTAAAGATAAGCCATTCAGAGAGTAGTTTTGAGTCCTTTTCATGAGCTTTAGCTAGAATTTTGATTTCTTGGTACTTTTTGATTCATTTCATTCTTGGGAAAGCTAAGTGCATGGATTGTCATTTTCGTCAGTGTCTTGCGTCAGTTACAAGATTGACATCTATTCTTTTTACCTTGGGACAAGAACACTGGATTCCAAGAAGCAACTTCCAGGTTTTTCAAGTTTTTCAGTATCAGTATTTCCTTATATATGGGTTCTGTCGACCTTGCCGTAGACACACAGATATATGTAGGAGGTTAGCCCGCTGGTGGTGATGAAAGCCAGCCTTTACAGTCAACTGGAGACTGGTCACTTGTCCACATGCCTAAGGGATCTGACCTGATGAACAGGGCCTACCTGAGGAACCTGACATGTGGGTTCTGTACTTTCTGCTGCCAGCTCTTTATGAGGTTCAAGGGTCTTTAACTTTGTCTCTGTACTAACTCCTTGTACTGCTGAAAATAGACAATGCCTATCTAACTTTGCCAGGTTATTTTGAGAGTCAAAGGAAAAAATATGTGCAGAGTTAAAAGTGCCGTGGAAGTGAAAAAGTGGTGTGTTCTTTCTTCTATTCCTATTGGGAGTTGACTGCTTATCTCATTTTGCATAATAAACTGGCCCAGATTGGGTGGAGCAGATAGAAAGGAAGAGGTGTCTAGCAAGAAAAGATGGGCTTAACAGTGTTTGCTTTTTTCTCCATGTACTGATTGAGACTATTTCTTAATCAGAGAAAATCTGTTTGGGATCCAGAATGGTTTTCTCTGAAAAGAAGATGAATTGCTAAGTTATAAAACTAGGGCAATGGGATGGAGAGACTTCTCACCCATGATTTGATACTGTGGATTACTTACTTCTCTTCATTTTCTTAAGAGCCATAATTGCCCTGCAATGGATCATGGATCCCAGGCTGCTTCTGGACAGGTACTATTGGGCCAACACTCAGACTTACGTTCAGTACCCCCATTTGTGTCCTGTGGCATTGTGCCCAATGTAGCAACTAGAGTGATAAATGACTTCCTGCGCCTAAGGTCACCAAACAAGCAAATGCTCCCCAGGGTCATTAGATGGCTTTGTGTTCTTCTCCTAAATTGTTCCATCAGTGAGCCAGGATGGTGGAGGACTTGATTTTTTTTAATTTTATTTTTGATGCTCCTTCTAGGCTCCAGACTCACTGGAGACATCCTGACACATAATGCTTCGCCCAGCACAATGCGATGCCCTTTACCTAGTAAAAGGGTGAGTCCCGTAAAGGTGCTGCCTTCCCCCCAGAACAAACAAGGGAAATGCATCAGGAGAGCTCAGCTGCAGACAGAATGCACATCATGAAGCAGGAGCCACCCTGGGATTCCTCAGATGAAAGCCAATTTCAATGAACATTGTGTTTCAAAGCCCGCTTCCTCTTGCTCGGTAAGAGCTGCAGAAGGAACATCCCACTTGAGTCTGCTGACACAAAAGAATGCTGTGGCTGGGAGATCTTATCGAGCCTTCCTGTGCCACAGCAACAGAGCTCCAGTTGTGTCTTGTAAGAATTGGTCATTGTTTCATGGGGACGACTGGCTCCTTTGGGTGGGATCTGATGGCATCTCATGGAGTTGAGGTAGGTGGTGCTGGGAGGTCAGCCAGCCACATGACCTGGCTTGCTGGCTTCTCGGAAGTCAGATAGAAGAGCAAACTTCACCCAGTTTGCTGGATGCCGAATAGTTAAACATTTTAAGTTTAACCATTAAAATATGTATTTTCTGTTTCCTTAATAATATCTTCAACTGTACAAGTTAAGAACAAAAATTAGAAATGATGTTCAGGTTTTCTCAGTTGGTATAAGCTGTTTATTGTTCTCTTTTAACCAACAGTTATTTGATTCTAACAAAACTGAGGAAAATCAAGTAGTGTTTTGAAAAATATAAATTTAATTATTTAAAACTATCTATGGAGAATGTAGATGCTAATACGTAAACATTTTAGTGTTGATGACATAAGTCTCAAAAATATTTATTTGCTTCGTGAAGATGAACTTCCAGTTTACAATCATCACATTTGTATATAATAGTGTAAGTTAATAACATCAACTTAATTAAATTTGGCTAATTCTAGATAGTGTCTTCTTTTCCTAGAAAGCTCGTGGCCTTTTCCAGAGAGGGAAAATTGATGGTTACTTGTTCAGTTATACGGAGAGTAGAATTTGAATTTTCTTCTCTTTCCTCTTTCTCTTCCTAAAGGTCTGCTGCAGTAATGAATACATATAGAAATATATATAACTGTCGGTAAGACATGTCAGGGAAAAGGGGGGCCGTGAGTTTCCTAAAGGAACTTAAAGAAATTTTTTTTAGATTGAGGGGGTACATGTGTAGCTTTGTTACATGGCTGTATTGAGTGATGCTGAGGTTTGGGCTTCTGTTCGAACAATCACCCAAATAGTGAACACAGTATTCAATAGGCAGCTGTTAAAGTCTTGCTTTGCTTCCTCCCCTCTTCCCCCACTTTTGGAGTCCCCAGTGTCTATTGTTTTCATCTTTATGTCCATGTGTACTCAATATTTAGCTCCCACTTGTGAGAACATGCAATATTTGATTTTCTGCTTCTGCGCTAATTCACTTAGGATAATGGCCTCCAGCTGCATCCACATCTCTGCAAAGGACATGATTCCATTTATTTTTATGGTTGCATAGTATTCCATGGTGTGTATGTATCACATTTTCTTTGACCAGTCCACCATTAATGGACACCTAGGTTGATCCCATGTCTTTGCTCTTGTGACTAGCGTTGTAATAAACATATGAGTGCAGGTGTATTTTGGTAGAATGATTTATTTTCCTTTGGGTATATATCCAGAATGGGATTGCTGGGTCAAAGGGTAGTTCTATTTTTAGTTTAAAGAAATATTTTAAATCCCTCTTTCCCATATCTCCCTGTAGAATTTTCTAAAATGCTGTTTGTTCCATGTATTCTGATATTCAGAAAAAACAATTATTTTGCTTTAACTTTGTACAAAGTTCTGAGGATCAAGATATTACCAAAACACCATCTCTGTTCTAAATATACATTTTAAAATTATCATGCATAATTAGTTATGTGTAAATGTTTCTGCCCTCACTGAACTGTGAGCACCTTGAAGAAGGGAGCTAGACCATATTCATCTTCCTGTCTCCAGTGCTGACCACAATGTCCTGCACATAGAAGTGCTTAGTGAATATTTATTGACGGACAGGTGGATGGATGGGTGAGCAGATGGATGAATGGATGGCCATGCTATAGCCTAGCACATTTACAAGTAGGGATTTAATTCAGGCTATCCACATGGTGCTTGGCATGACTACACCTGTTAATCCTCTGGGCATTTATTATCCCACTCTTTTGTTTGTTTGTTTGTTTGTTTGTTTGTTTTTTTGAGATGGAGTTTCACTCTTGTTGCCCAGGCTGGAGTGCAATGGCACTATCTCAGCTCACTGCAACCTCTGCCTCCTGGTTTCAAGCGATCCTCCCACCTCAGCCTCCTGAGTAGCTGGGATTACAGGCACGCGCCACCATGCCCAGCTAATTTGTTGTTGTTGTTGTTGTTGTTGTTGTTGTTGTTGTTGAGATGGCGTCTTGCTCTGTCACCTAGGCTGGAGTGCAATGGTGCCACCTCCGCCTTCCAGGTTCAAGCGATTCTTCCACCTCAGCCTCTGGAGTAGCTGGAATTACGGTGCACGCCACCACGCCTGGCTAATTTTTTTTGTAGTTTTGTAGAGACGGGGTTTCACCATGTTGGCCAGGCTGGTCTTGAACTCCTGATCTCGGGTGATGTGCCCGCCTCAGCCTGCCAAAATGCTGGGATTGCAGGTGTGAGCCACCGCGCCTGGCCTGTTACTCCACTCTTAATTACACAGAATGCAGATATTTTCAAGATCACCTTGTCCAACTCCTTCAGTTTACAGTTGACGAAATGAGATTCAGAGAGAGAATTTGATTTATCCATAGTCACATAGCTTATAATTAAGTGGCAGCTCTTGGTTAACATCCAGACCTCTTGATTTTCAGTCAAATGCCAACTACATGATGTTGCTTTCCATGACTCATATTTGGAGGTTTTCAGGCACCCTATGGAGCAGTCTGTCCCTCCTGGCTCATCTGGGGCAATATGAGAGCAAATGGGGCTAGAACAAAACTGGATGAAAGGAGAAACTCTGGGGCTGCTGAATTCACATGCCGATGGTGCTGGGGAAAGGTATGAACAAGAATGACTCACGGTTATTCAGGCTGATGTCATTCCATGACTCCCTCAGAAGATGCCACACTCAAAATTCAGCAGATGGCATGCCATCCCTTCCCTAGGTTTCCTGGCTAACCTCTGGAGATGGTGATGTCCAGCCCTACTCCACTTACCAAAATCTCTGTTTTATGTAAAGTCCAGCCTTTGGAAACCCTTTCCAAAGAAGCTTTTTTCCCCACCACTTAATGGTGAGGCTGATGTAATGGTACTATCTCTAGACCTTCCTGATATAAGGAAATGCTCCTAATGCATTATTTCTGATGGTCTGGATTTTGGTTTCTCTAAGTTATGCCCAGTTACAATGCATCTAAATGCATATGATGGATCTATACTTAACCAGAATGTTGTTTATTAATAATTTAACCTTGGGCCAGGAGTGGCGGCTCACGCCTGTAATCCCAGCACTTTGGGAGGCCGAGGCGGGTGGATCACGAGGTCAGGAGTTTGAGACCAGCCTGGCTAACATAGTGAAATCCCGTCTCTACTAAAAATACAAAAAAGTAGCCAGGCGTGGTGGCGGGCTCCTGTAATTCCAGCTAGCCAGGAGGCTGAGGCAGGAGAATTGCTTGAACCCAGGAGGCGGAGGTTGCAGTGAGCTGAGATCAGGCCATTGCACTCCAGCCCAGGCGACAGAGTGAGACTCCATCTCAAAAAAAAAAAAAAAAAAAAAAAAAAAAAGAATTTAACCTTGTAGAGTAAACTATTTTAGAATGAGCACATAACAGAATAGAGGAATCTCAAAATAATTATGCTGAGTGAAAGAAGCCAGACCAAAAAAAGAGTACATACAGTATGATTCTGTTTATATAAAACTCTGGAAAATGCAAACTAATCTAGAGGAAGAAAAAGCACAGCAGTGGTTGTCTGGGGAGATGGGGAAGGAGTGGAAAGGACAGAGGGATAGAAAGGGGAGCAAGCAAACTTTGGAGGGTGATGAATATGTTCACTGTCTTGATTAGGGGATCTGCATATGTCGAAATTTATCACACTGTACAACTTAAATATGTGCAGTTTGTTGTATGTCAATTATACCTCAAAAAGCTGTTTTTCTCAAAGAATGTAATCTTTTAACGTTCAACTAAAATACTGTATTATTAAGTTTTCAATAAGAGAAGCAAAAACACTAGGATGCCTGTGTGTATGTATGTATATGTATTTATACAGTTCCAGGGATTTGACATTACATAATAGTGTGGTGTGGTTAAGTGGTTAAGTCATGTCTGTAAAGCTGTTGTCTTCATATCCAATGCTGGAGCTTGAATTCCAATGACAGGTTGTCAGGAAAGGAAGATGGATATAAAGTGGGGAAGAACCAGAGCAGGCTAGAACCCCAGACACAGTGGGGGCTCACAAGGACAGACTGAAACTTGCACCAGTTCTGAATGCCTCTAACCTTGGTTGTATAACGTCCTTCAGAGGCAGAGCCCTTCATAACAGAGCTCAGTAAAGGTGTGTACCTGGCCCAGGAGTTGGAGAAGCTTCAGGAGGATCCATCCAGGGGAAGGTGGAACAGTTGCAGGCCCAGCTGCTGTCTCATGCAAGAGGTGATCCAGCAGCGAAGAGACATATATAAGGTAGCAAATGGCTGCTGCTTTACTCCCCTCTCCAAATTTTGCCCGAGAATCTCTCCTGTGACCCACCCTAACCAGAAACACACAAAAAAGGGAATTCTGGGAAACAGAGTTCAGTCTAGTTGGGTTCGCTCTTTACAAAGCCACACCTTGACAACTTGGCCTCCTACTCTCTCCTTAACTCAAACTTAATTTCCAATTACAGATAATAACAAAGTTGTGCCTGCCTCTAACATGATATGTCTGTCCCAAGAACAACCAAAATACACTTTTCTGTAAGAGAGAATCCAACATTCTTGTTATGATTTTGGGTGATATTCATTTTTCTTTTAACAGATTCACAACAGATTCTCACCTCTCCTTTGATATCCTACAACTTATACATTGAGATATTAAGTTAAATAGTATTAACACATTTTATGTTAGATGATAAGGGAATGAGACAGAAGACAAATACAAAGTAATTGGTTAAAGAAATATATATACATATATTTATATGTATGTTTGCATATAGTCCTATAAAAATGAAGAAATACTCATAATTATTACAGTACTTGTATCTGTCACTGGTCACATGACCACAGCTGGTATTTAGAACTACATTCTTCCACTACCTACTTCATGTTCCCTTTGTTCTCAGTAAGTACTTTAACTGGTCTTGGGTTTTTGCCTGGTGATATAAACCAAATCTTTGTTCCTGAATGTTCTAGGACATTAGCAGTCTTGTTAAGTTGAACTGATGTAGTTTTCTATTCACTTTAATCACAGGATATGGTAGTACTAACAGGAAACCTAGAACTTTAGCTTTCAAGACATGCTCCTGATTCTCTTTGTGTAGAAGCAGCCTAGATTGAATCACTGCCTTCTTTGCCTGTTGATTCAATGGCATGAGTCAAAGCGGTCAGGTGGCACTCCAGATCAACCGAGTCATCATATGTCCCCTGACAGAAGAACTCCTCCTTTTGGAACTAAGACCTCTTTACCACCCGAGCCTGATGTCACAGGGACTGGAAGCAATCGTTTGTTAGTGAACTGCTAGGGATAATAGTGAGAAGATCCTGTCCTATTTCCACCCCTTGATCCCCGTACGCATGAGTTCTGGCTAAGGAAGAAACAGAAATATATGTTGGATGCTGATCTAGAGCATACTTTGCATCCTAAAAGACCATACATGAGTCTCCAAAAGGACATTCCACCATTCTATCAAGCCAGCTGCTTCAGGGTGACGGGGAACACGGTAAGATCAGTGGGTTGCATGAGTCCATTGCTGTACCTCATTTGCTGTGACACAAATTTGTTGGTCAAAAGTGATGCTGTGTGAAATACCGTGATAGTGAATAAGTTATTCTGTACATGGTTTTTGTAGTGGTTTTAGCAGGAGCATGTGGGCAGGGAAGTCAAATGCATATCCACAACAAGTGTCTATTCCAGTAAGAGCCAAACACTGCCACTTCCATGAGGGAAGTGATCTAATGTAATCAGCCTAGTAGCTGGGAATGGTGCCATGTCAGGAGCTCACTGTCAATCTCTGCTGTTAACAGATCAGGCACTCAGTTTTGGCACCACTCAGTGGTGGCTATAGCTAGATAGGCCTTGGTAAGTAGAAGTTCATGTCGATGAGCCCACGCATAACTGCCATTTTTTGCCACCATTGCCTTTTTTTTGTTTTTTTCATTTTCCAGTTGGGTAATGACAGGAGTTGGTTGGGAAGAAAGGTGACGAATGTCCACAGAATGGCTCATTCTGTTCACCTGATGAATAAAATCCTCCTCTGTTGAGTTTACCCTTTGGCGAGCATTCACATGGAACACAGATATTTTTACATACTATGCCCATTTGAAGAGGTCCATCAACCTACCTTTTCACCAGATTTCCTTGTCACCAATTTCTCAATCATGTTCCTTCCAATTCTCTGACCATACAACCAAATAGCCCATGAGTTAGTGTTGACTTGTACTTCTGGACATTTATTCTTTGAAGCAAAATGAATGACCAGGAGCATTGCTTGAAGTTCTGCAAACTAGGCCCAAGATTTTTATCCCTTTATCAGCTTGTCATAGGAAGCTCTCCAAGGGTCATAGGTGTAAGTTGAGAGAAAGAAGGCAATGTAATAGGAGTAAGGGTCACGGATATGTAGGCCACTTGCTCATGCAACGTATTTGTGCTTTCAGGCCCTGCTGAGGCCCAATTTCGTATCTACCACTTCCATTTAATCAGAGAGTCCTTCTGTGCATACTCAACTTTATGGCCTGGTGACTCAGACAACACTAGTAATGGGCAGCTCAGGTCATATGGTAACTTGGTAGCCCATCGTCAAACATTCAGTCTCTACCAAGGCCCGGTAATAACATAAAAGCTATTTCATAAAAGAAGAATCATTACCTATCAAGAATGGCAGGGCTTTCTTCCAAAATTCTAAGGGTCTTGTCTGTGCTGTACCTATAGGAGCCTGGCAAAGGCTTTAAACAGCCTTTCTTTCTGTTACTGGCATTTCAAGCACCATTGGCTCTTCTGGATCATGTGGTCTAAGTGGCAGAGCTGCTTGCAGAGCAGTCTGGACTTACGGAGCCTTCTCTTGTTCTGGTCTCTATTTGTGGGGTGCCTCAACATGCCTCAGACTTGATATTTGTGGGGTTTATTTCCTACCCTTGGTGTGCAAATGTCTTACCACTATATCTAGAGCAGTTTGTACTTTTTAATTACCAGAGAAGGAATCAGAAAAGCTGAAGGAGGATACATGGGAAGATGAAACAGCTGCAAGCCTGGCCACTGCCCACACCAAGGAAGTAAGCCAGCAGATAAGCCACAGTGTTTAGGGGGCGGCTGAAATGTGGCTGCTGCTTCCCTTCCACCCTCCTTTCTCCCACAAGAACCTCTCCACATAGCTCACCTTACCCGGAAAGATACAAGAACAGGAATTCTGTGAAATGTAGTTCATCCTAGCCAAGCTGACACATTACACACTACAGATTCAACTTATGATCTATTATTATAGGATGGAGAATCCAGTTTTTTTTTTTTTTTTTAAAAGTAGATGGCCTATCTTGGCATGATCTTCTTTCCTGAAGAATTCATCTAACAAAATTGTTTCTTACCTACAAGGCTTTGATTCCATAGAATTTGTGTGTATATTCTAGCTCTGGGGAGATGATCAAAAGGGAGCTGTTTCCAGAAACATATTATTTTTTAATAAATAAATTCTTAACAGTGTGAAAATATAGTCACAGTTTGAGTGTATTATTTATCAATTGCTTTTCCAGAGAGACTAAAATTTGCTTAGGTTTGAGGTTTTTTTTTTAATATTTAATCTTCAAAGTATTAGCATTTACTTTTAAGTTAAAAAGTGTGCTGTGGGCAAACAGCAATGTGATATGCTTTTGCATTGTACCAAAAAGAACATCTCAGCATTTGCTCTCCAGGCTTCTTGGAATGCAGTTCATTGTGGTGCTGTAGGTGACCATAGTGTTTCCAGAATTGATTGTCCAGGAAGTGCAGGGCATCCCAGTGTGTGTACCTGTTCCTCTGCAGAAAGCACTAATTTTCTTTTGTTTCTTTGTTTTGTTTCTGTAAACGATCTAAGAGAAGACTGATGTCAACTTTTGTCTCGTAATACACGAATCTATGAGTTTCTCTCAGAAAATGGTAAGATCATTGCTCTGTGCAAGAAAGGAGGGTGTATGTAAGGAGTATGTGACAAGCTTTGCAGGGACAGAATTCACAACAGAGAGCAGCTAAAGGAAGAGAAAGTACAAGTGACACTAAAGGGAAGGTGATTTTCAAATCCACCCTTGCTTATCTCAAACCAGTGCATGATTTCCTGATGAAGCCATTTGTCCACCCTACAGTGCTGTTGTTTCTAAAAATTCCTACCACAGAATAACAACTGTCAACACCTGCCTCAGACACAGCAGTAGGGAAGACTGCAAGTGGGAAAGAGATTTAAACACACCAACCTTTTTAGGAACAAAATCACTCATATCAGCTGATTTGCTGAATTAAAGGATTTTTTAAAGTATATGGTATTCTTTGACATAGTATTGGCTGAATAATCATTTAACAAATGTCACTGGTGGATGAATTAAGTAAGAAAGGTGTCACGTTGGCTCTTCATACAGACATTTGGCGAGTAATTGGCACTAAAAGGATTCTGATTTCTTCCCCTGCCATTTTGATCTTTCAAGTTTTAAAATAGCAAATAACATTGGTCCTTAGGGTTGGTCCATGTTAGAATCACAATGGACAGAGACCCTGAAAAACTGTACAAAAGAGGGAGGAACAGAACAGAATGGAAAAAAGTTATGGAAATTTTCCACCCATGGATGGGACACACCCTCATGCAAACAAAGCTCTGCGGCGAAGACTATATTTCATAAAAATGTGATAAAACACTTGCTGAGCCCTGAGGGGATGAACAATGGTTCTTTTTATTTTATTTTTTTTAATCTTCCAAAATTCAGTCTCACATGCTGAGCAGTTGAAGGGAAAGGCCTTTTGTCATATCTGTTTCCAAACATCTATTTCCTTTCTGGAGCCCCAGAAGTTTGAGTTGCTGTCACAGTGAGGAGCTCTCTTGTGTCAGCCACTCTGATTCTATGTCCTTGTCCTAACTAGGTTGTCTGCCAACGCTAACTGGCCAGCTCTGACAGGAGGTGCGTGGCCCAGGAGGAGCCATCAGGCCAGTTCTCTGGGATACTGCTGTGTCTCCAGCTCTGCAGTTTGCTCTTCGTCACTCAGCGGCAGACGGAGAGGCAGACACGAGCCCCTTGTGAGCCCTCCTCCTTACCGTCATCTCACAATGCTCTGAAATAAGGAGGCAAATGGCTGAGGTCCCCTCAGTTGTGAGTATCTTGCTTCCTTCCCCAATGCCTCTTCAAACCACTTTGTCAAAAACAACAACAACAACAAAACAAAAACAAAAACAAACAGATTCTTGTGTTCATGATACTAAAACAAAATTGCGTAAGGTCTGTTGCTTAAGATTAAGCACTGGCCGGGCACGGTGGCTCACGCCTGTAATCCCAGCACTTTGGGAGGCTGAGGCGGGCGGATCACGAGGTCAAGAGATCGAGACCATCCTGGCTAACACTGTGAAACCCTGTCTCTACTAAAAATACAAAAAATTAGCCGGGCGCGGTGGCAGGCGCCTGTAGTCCCAGCTACTCGGGAGACTGAGGCGGGAGAATGGCGTGAACCCGGGAGGCGGAGCTTGCAGTGAACTGAGATCACGCCACTCCACTCCAGCCTGGGTAACAGAGCAAGACTCCGTCTCAAAAAAAAAAAAAAAAAAAGATTAAGCACTCAAAAAATGTCAAAGTTGGTCTTAAAAATCTGGCTGTGGTTAATGGGATCAGCTGCATTTTTCTTTAAAATGATGTAACCCATCTCCTCCATTTTACTTTTGCATTTGACTTTCCAACTTCCACGCGAAGGAACAGCATGTGGTTTACTTGTGGTCATATGTTACATGTTGCTTTGGTGCTTTACAACTTTCAAAAAGCTTTTATACAACAGTGATATCATCAGTTCCTCAGATAACCCTGTGATGTGGGTAGGTTGATGGATACTCTATCATCATTTCCCATATGAGGAAAGAAGAGTAAATAAGTTACACAACATGGACGAGGTCACCCTGCACTTCAGAGGTGGAACCAAATTCCAACAGAAGCATTGAATTTCTAGACGAGTTTTTGTTTGTTTTTTATCTTTTCCATCACACCAAGCCACCTCTGTGAAGGAAAATTGTATGCATCTCCCTAATCCAACATTTTTCATGTTAATTATCCACTAAATTACAGCCACAATTTGGTAGTCTCAGTAGCTATTCTGGTTTGAGGACAACTTTTTCCAAATTTCCATATTTTTTCTACTACTTTATCATTTTCTTCTCTACTTGGAATGCCATACTTAACATTCACAACAACACCCTCTTTTATCTTTCTTCTTTCTTCCCTTTCTCTGTTTTTTTCTTTTTCTCCCTTTGTCTCTCCTCTTTTTCTCTCTGCCTTTCTCTGTCTCCTTTTTGTGTGTTTATTTTTGTTTTAGTTTTAGAGACAGGGTCTTGCTATGCTGCTTGGGCTGGTCTCAAACTCCTGGGCTCAAGCAATCCTTCTGCCTTAGCCTCTCAAAGTGCTAGATTATAGGCATGAGCTGTCATGCCCAGCCTAGTTTTGTTTGTTGATTGCATACTGAAAGTAACACATGACTAGAATATAAGAGAACTGAGTTTGAGATATTATAATTTCACATAACCTCTATAGGTCTCTGTTGTTTTATCTCTAAGATTGTTTTTTGTAAAATAATGATTTTCTACACAAGTGAAGAAGAGGGAAGGGAAAATGGGATTTTTGTGCTAATCAAAAATAATATGTGGTTAAAAAAATTGAGGGCTACCTAATTTGTAGGTTTTCTTATTTTAAGTAATAGATGATAGGATCAAATCCAGGTCTTCTGTCTACAAGTCAAATATTTAGGAAGCTGCTGGGTGCAGTGACTTGCATCTGGAGAGGCTGAGGCAGGAGGATCACTTAAGTCCAGGAGTTTGAGGCTACAGTGAGCTACAATTGCTCCACTGCACTCCAGCCTGGGTGACAGAAGACTCCATCTCTAAAACAAAATAAAACAAAACCAAAAACAAACAAACAAAAAAAATTATTTAGTGATTTTATTTTTTAGTGACTTTGTTAGCCTTACCAATAAGTTACTTTTACTTTTTTTTTTTTTTTTTTTTTTTGAGACAGAGTCTCGCTCTGTCCCAGGCTGGAGTGCCGTGGTGTGGTCTTGGCTCACTGCAACCTCTGCCTCCCGTGTTCAAGCGATTCTCCTACCTCAGCCTCCCGAGTAGCTGGGATTACAGGTGGGTGCCACCACTCCTGGCTAATTTTTGTATTTTTAGTAGAGATGGGGTTTCACCACGTTGGCCAGGCCGGTCTCGAACTGCTGACCTCGCGATCCTCCCACCTCAGCCTCCCAAAGTGCTGGGATTACAGGCATGAGCCACCACGCCCAGCACCAGTAAGTTATTTTTAATATGAAATTCCAAGACAGGATATACAAAATTTAGGAAAGAAAGAAGCCAGAATTTTAACAAGCTACTCCTGTCTTCACTATTATTAATACCAGATAATTTCTCATATTGATGGCATTTTTTTCTTAGAAACTCTAATCTAACAGTCAACAAAAAAACTACAATAAGCAAAAGAGGATATGAGACGATTATTCTAGCATTCTATTTTTCTGGTTCTCTTTGTCAAGCTAAGCGTTATGAGGTAATGGGGGTGTTTGTTCTGACTGGAAATGTGTTGCATTTAGATATTATATACAAAGGTTTTTCCTGGAATAACATCGTTATTTAGCTAAAAAGCTATAGCTCCATAGACTTGTGTGCTCTGAACACAGCTGCATAATTAGTAATCATCATTAATCATTTCTACTTCTGTACTTTTATCACCAACAAAATTATAGCAACCTATATTTTTAGTAAATTTTAATTGCAAGTTTAATTTGATATTTATTTATCACTATAAGAAGCAGTTTGCTGAACTGATTACGCAAATTTAAAATGATGTTTCTGAAGATAGAAATAAAACTTCCCACCAGGAATAAACAGACTTTTCAAAAGAAGAATATCTGCCTCTTGGCAAAAAAAAAAAAAAAAATAGAAAAAAAGAAAGGCTTTTAAGTTTTTTCCACCTTTAATGTGAAAATGAGTATTCATACGGGATGGCTTTAGACTACCTATTAGAAAATGCATATCAAGTAAGAGATGTATAATTTATAGAGTTGATTGCTTTGAGCAGAAAAGCTTAAAAAGGAGTTTTTGCAACTCAGGTTGTTCTCAAGAGGCAAACGTATGCTCATTATTCAGAATTGAAACCTGCCTGTGAAATACACAACAAAAAGGAAAAGAAACTTAGAGAAATGTTTGAGAGGTAAAATGTTTTACCACTCTTGGAAAAATTTTCTTGCTTCTTTTCTGTAAGAAGGAATAAGATAGTTGTTAACACTCTTGAAAACTATCTTAGAGAGTGAGGCTTGAACAGTTGAGGTTTTCTCATGGGACTGTGCACTGATGTCTTGTGGTGCTGTATCAGTATCTCCAGGCTTTCTTAGGTGGACAGTTGAATGGATGTGTCAACAGAAGCTGAGAAATGTTCTCTCAGCCAGGCTTAAGACATGAAAAGAAATGGCTTTCTTCATTTACAAAATTGAGCCACGAATAGACTCAAGAACAAAAGCCTAACAAGGAAGATGAATAACATAGAATTATCACTGTCACTTACATTATGTCCAGAATAACTGGATTACAAAAGGCAAGTCATGTTGTCAACAGCCCGAGATATGTGAGGAAACTCTCTGATGAAGGCCTATGCCCAAATGTCCTGAAATGGAAATCTGAGACCTGTGAGTACAAAAGTGCCCTGAATGTTCTTAACTGGCAGGGTGAAGGCAAGGGGACGGGGCAGTTTCTAAAGCAGCTAGAACCCTTCAATCACATGCAAGGAACTGGTAATCTGAAAAAACAAACCACCAAGAAAGAGTACAGATAAATGTCATAGCAAATCAAATGGAACATGATAAGCCAAGCTCTATACTCCTATTAGAACAGGAAATTCCAAGGAGAGATACCTTGACTTTTAAATAGTCTGCAGACACAAGCAATGCATTCTTCACAGGCATCTTATTTCCTGTTTTTGTTTTGTTTTGTTTTTGACTTTTTAGTATTTATTTTAACGTTTTTGAAAGAGATACATTTTTTCCAATTTAAAAAGAAAGAGACATGACCATCAAGAGTAGGTTAACATATAGCAGAATACCATATAAATGAATTAGCTGCTAGCTACAAGCAGCAACTTGGATGAGTCTTAAAAACATAACATTGGGGCTGGGCACGGTGGCTCATGCCTGTAATCCCAGCACTTTGGGAGGCCGAGGCGGGCAGATCACGAAGTCAGGAGATTGAGACCCTCCTGGCTAACACGGTGAAACCCCGTCTCTACTAAAAATACAAAAACAAAATTAGCTGGGCGTGGTGGTGGGCGCCTGTAGTCCCAGCTACTCGGAAGGCTGAGGCAGGAGAATCACTTGAACCCAGGAGGCAGAGCTTGCAGTGAGCCAAGATCACGCCACTGCACTCCAGCCTGGGCAACAGAGGGAGACTCTGTCTCAAAAAACAAACAAACATAACATTGGACAAAAACACATCACAGAACAGTATGTATAATATAGTACCATCTGTACAAAGGTCAAAGCAGGTAAAATTAAACAATATATTATCAGGAATCTATAAATAGGTAGTAAAGCTATAAAGAAAATCAAGGAACAAGTACCATAAATTTCAGTATTGCCCTTAGTGGCAGGGAGAAGGAGATGTGATCAAGAAGGGCACAAAGGTGTCGAATACTGGCAGTGTTTTGTTACTTAACGCTGCTGGTAGGAGCCTGAGTATTCATTTTATTATCTTTACACCAATTATAAATGCTGTCATCTACTTCTTTAAATGTATGATTTGTAAGTTTGTTTCCTCAGAAAAGATGAGTCAAGTTTCAAAATTTTATTTCATTTATTGAGATCCAAGTATCCCTATTTTCTGAGGGTGGCCTTTATCCAGAGACACCTATGAAGAAACCCAACATGCAGAGTTTCCAGATCCATAGACAATGCTGCCAAAGTGTAAAAAATAAATAAAATAAGATAAAAATCCGAAAAAAATTATTTTTTTTAAAGTTGGTATCCATATATATGAACTGACACTCAAGGCCTTTTACAACCTGAACCCAATCTTTCTTTCTAAGCAGATGATATCCCAGAACTTCCCAGTGGGACCTTTTCCTTGTTAAATGTTATTCCCTGGCCAAGCCTTACATTTCCCATGTTTGTGCTGTGATTATCTCATTCCATTTACCTGCATTTCCCACCCTCTTGCTGATTGGCCATCTTAGTTTGATCTTTTCTGGGAAGCCACCTCCATAACCTTTGTCTGAAGTGCTCTGGCTCTCTTGAGCTCTCAACAACTGCCAATTTAATTCTCCTAGCAGTTAACCTTGGGTGCCCTGTAACAACTGCATTTTCACCAACCAAACCCCTTTCCCTCCTGGGCAGAGAGCTTGACTTTATTTTCTGTCTTCCCTTGCAGGTAGATGTGATTGAGTTCTATCTACCAGAAGCATATGCCTCCTGGAAGCCTGGTTCTAACACCTCCCACAAAATCCTTCAAGCACTTTTTTCTGTTCCAAGGTTTGCTTATGGGGGACCCAGTGAAGTGCTTCAGAGCCCTAGAGATTTGCTGAGTCATATGAGGGGTCAGCAAACTTTTCCTGTAAAGGGTCAGATAATAAACATTTTAAGCTTTGTAGACTGTATAAAGTCTCTGTTTCTTCTCCCCCTCCTCCTCCTCTTTCTCCTTCAGCTTCTTTCCTTTAAATATGTACAAAACCTTTCTTCTTTTCCAAAATCTGTCTATATTTGACCTGTGAGCTGTAGTGTGCTGAGTCCTGCATTAGTAGGAAAGATCTTGAGTTTCAGAATGACGATGTAAAGCAGAGACCCTCCTCCCCGCACCCATTCTCTGCAACCGACACTTGGATTACTTTTCTTTTACTCTTTGTCTTTCTCTGAAGTATAGATGTATGGTTGGCTTTCTGAGGTCAAATATAATTAAGAGGTAGCCAACCATTTGGCAAATTTGAACCAAGAAGAGTTCTGATATAAAGAATGTAGGACCCATTCACTCCCAATTAGTCTCTTCACTGAAAGGTGGCTTACACCAGGTATATCTCATTTGCTAATTTGCTTAGTCCATGTCTAGGGAACCATTGTGATCAAGCCAATATACCCAGGCCAGAGCAGCCTGCTTTAGAATCAAAGCTTTAGGCTAGGCGTGGTGGCTCACATCTGTAATTCCAGCACTTTGGGAGGCCGAGGCGGACAGATCACTTGAGGTCAGGAGTTCGAGACCAGCCTGGCCAACATGGTGAAACCCCGTCTCCATTAAAAATACAAAAATTAGCCGGGCATGGTGGCGGGCCCTGTAATCCCAGCTACAGCTACTTGGGAGGCTGAGGCAGGAGAATCACTTGAACCCAGGAGGAGGAGGTTGTAGTGAGCTGAGATTGCATCACTGCACTCTAGCCTTGACAACAGAGTAAGACTCCACCACAAAAAAAAAAAAAAAAAAAAAAGAATCAAAGCTTTAAAATCCAGCAGAAGTAAAATTTCCAAGTGGGAGGGAAGAGGATCAACAGGAGAATCTGCAAGAGTAAAAGAGGAAGAAGATGTGTGCTGCATGGCACAAAATGAATCTGCAAAGCATCTGGGAACTGCAGGTATGTCTGACTCATAATATTAATGCTTTGCTTAGGACCCCTAATCTCCCTCCTTCTCTTCAATTTTCTGAAATAACCCACATCTGTGAAGTGTTTTCCTTTGCTTATATTTTCAGACCCTACTGATGCCTGGAACTCACTGGAGTCAGCATGTCCAGGCAGTCATTGTAGCAAGTCAGAGTGGTGTGATGAAATGCTTCAGGAGAAAAACATTTCACCACAGCCTGGTTCACTCAGATACCTTGCCAGGTACTGTGGTTCTCATGTGAAGAAATTACCCTTTACCTCTTTCAAGGTGTTTCCCCCTAAAACAGCAGATTCATTTGGACACTGAGTAACTCGCTATTTTTTTTTCTTAGGCCAACATTTGTTTTGTTCCTTGAAGCTGCAGGTTCAAACTCAAGTGTGGTTTTTCTTTCTATAACACACTCAATCTTCAATGACTTACTCACGTGCCAAGTTTGAGAGACACAAAAGGAATACCGGTGCTAAGCAAAAAGCCAACAGACTCTTGCTCTTGTTCTTGTAACATACTTCTAGAACCAAAGGAATGGGGTCTCCTTTTAATTGTGATGTAAAAAGTAGAAGAAAAGAGAGTTAGCTTTTCTATAGTTGATTTAGAAAAAGGGTCTCTGAAATTACATTCATATAATATATACTTTCACTGGAGTAAGCCGTATAGTAGATCTTCATTCTCAGCAATCACAATGTACTCCAAGTGACTTATTTATATGTGAGTTTTGACTCCACCTGCCTTTGTTAATTATTTGGTAAGCTACTATTAATAAGGTATTCATAGCTCATTTGCTAACTCTTCCAGGGAACCAACATCTCACTCGGGCCTCTGATATTGTAACTGTGGGCCTTTAAGAAACAACGGAAAACCCAACTGAATAAAAACTGACCTCCTTTGTGGCTGCCCTGATGGAAGGGGCTCAGGAGCAACAGCCTTCATGGTGCCCACCCTCTGGGCCAGAACAACGGATGCCCCACAACTGAGTTTAGTGCCTCCAAGAACCACAGGTGAGGGTTCTGGGGGTAGGGAGAGTGGGAGAAATTTCACCATCCCACAGATGAATGAACACTGGTCTAGTGTGTTTAGGGCAGTGTACCTTGACCCAAAGGGATTGCATGGAATACACTTTATGTTTAATCTCCTAACACCTTTTTGCTAATGCAATTACTTGAAATATAACTCAATAGAAAGACACAACCCTCCTGAAGTGTCTTGAAATGCTTATTGTACAGGAAGGTTTCTGCTTATTTGCTTAATTTTTAAGGATTTGTAGCTTGATTTTTCCCCCGAAAATGGATGAAAGGATGAGCAGTGTTAAATTTTGAATATCTTAAGAAGTCGTGGCCCTTGTTAAATTTTGTTTGAGAGAATTCATAGAAAGTTACTGTGAAACAACCATATTCTTAGAAAGCTTCTCATTTAAGACTCAATTGGGTCAGAGCTTAGGTTATTCTGAGAGCTGAATACATTTGTTCTCTCTCTGAATCACAGATTCTGACATGTTATTTTAGAAGTTCTTGGTCTTTTTCTAAAAATTGACAGGCATATGGAAAAGTTAATAATTCAGTAAGTAAAATATGCTTATATCTGCAAACAACAGAGATTAAAAAAAGGTGCCCTATTTTTATTGTTAATCTTTCTAAGAGTTTTGAAAATGCAAACCCAAACTTGACATAGAAAAGGTACAAAAGATCTTGGCCCTTAAATTTTCTCTGCTGTTTTTCATTTCATGCAATGTTTTAATTTTCCTTGAGATGAAACCACTTAGATACCAGCTTTAGATCACTATGTCCTATACTATAGGATGTATAGAATTTTAAAAGGTAAGAACATTCTTGGGAAAATGTGGCTTCTATGAAATATAGTCACAAACATAAATAATGGCTATTTCTACATTATTTCTCTTCATTTTTTATTCATATTACATTAATTATATTCTTATAATTATTTCAGTATTCCTTTTTTTTTTTTTTTTTTTTGAGATGGAGTCTCACTCTGTCACACAGGCTGGAGTGCAGTGGCACAATCTCTGCTCACTGCGACCTCTGCCTCCCGGTTTCAAGCAATTCTCCTGCCTCAGACTCCCGAGTAGCTGGGATTACAGGCCCCCGCCACCACACCCAGCTAATTTTTGTATTTTTAGTAGAGGCGGGGTTTCACCATGTTGGCAAGGGTGGTCTCAAACTCCTGACCTCAGGTCATCCACCCACCTCAGCCTCCCAAATTATTGGGATTACAGGCATGAGCCACCACACCTGGCCCCATTTATTTCTTTAAATTTATCTGATTTAAGACAAATTTGGGGATGATTTTCTTGTAAATGAAACTAATGTCTTTCATGAATGAGTAGTTGCAAACCAGATCTGATATCATTTAAGGCGATATGAGGAGGACTTAGCTAGTCACTAAGTTTCTCTATTTATTTTCTACACTTCCTTTCAATGATATTTCAGTTTATATTTGGAAAATAGCTTCCAAACTATAAAAATTGCCTCACAGTCCATAAAACAATATGCCACCTTCAAGCTAAAGATGAATACTTTTTTTTTTAGAGCATGAAAAGTTCTATTCCTTGGGTTGCTGTTCCATCTGTCCATAACTTTACAGAAAGTTAACTACCAGGAGCTCAAACTTAAGCAGATCATATGTGAGGTCATACATAAATTCATGGAAAAAAAGGAAGCCCTTCTTGCTGACAGATTTTGCTGTGAGCAATGGGATAGGGGCAGTTGTTTTCCTCCTGGGGCCTTAGTTTCTTTAACCTTGAATCTTCTTTTTCCTATTTCTGCATGACTGCCTTCATCTTTTCTTGGGATCTCAGCTTAAAGGTCACCCTAGAGTGATCTTTTCAGAGTAGGTGCCCTATTATATAATTGTCTCTGTAGCACCCGATCTAAGTTTAAGGTGCCCTATAATCGTCTACATAGCACTTATCATGAACTGATACTCTTGGTTTTTGTTTGTTTCATGTCAACCTCCTTGTAGTTGCAGAGCATGAACTCTGTCTTATTTGTTCTGTAATCTGGCACCTAGAGTGGTGCTTGGCAGGTCTTATGAGTTGAATTGTGCCTCCCAAAAAGATATGTTGATGTTCTGATCCACAATACATCAGCATGTGACATTATTTGGAATAGGGTTGTTGCAAATGTAATTGTTGGGATCGCAAGGAATAAGGTGTATCCTTAATCCCAAAAGACAGCTGCCCTTAGAAGAGAAAATAACACACAGAGAGGACACTGTCTGAAGACACAGACACGCAGAGAAGATGGCCATGTAAACAAGAGGCAGAGACTGAAGTTTTGTGCTGGAAATCAAGGAATGCCCAGGGCTACTAGAAGTGGATGAGACAAGCAAGGCTCCTCTCCCACAGGCTTGGGAGGGAGCACGGCCCCACCAACATGCAATTCCCTTTTCAAATGCTGAGGGCTGACACGCTACTCCCTCAACCAGGGGCCAAATATTTGCCTTAAAAATGAAACTAAAGTAAAAACAAGATTTTTGTAATAAAAACCGGCTGTATAGCAAACAGGATGAAATGTATCATTCTATTCCAGTTCTCTAGTTGGGCTTGAAATAATATTGTAATAAATTCATTAAAAGTACTAGTAGGAGGAAAATTTTTTACCATGATTTTGTGGTACAGTGGCTCCTGGCCACTGTAAATTTGCAAGTTTAAGCAAGGATCATTCAATAATTTTAAAATACTTTCCTCCCCCAGCTTTTTTTTGCAGCAGTAAGAGCATACCTCTGAGGCACTGTGAAGAATCTGATAGTCGAACTGAATGAAGCCAAGTCCAGTCTTTACGGAAAAATTTACACAACACTTCCAGGTGGGCAGATTCAAAGACAGGATGAATCATGGTTCAGTGCAGTGGTTCCTGGCTGTAATCCTAGCACTTTGGGAGGCCGAGGCAGGGGGACTGCTTAAGACCAGGAATTCAAGACAAATCTGGGGAACATAGTGAGACCCCGTCTCTACAAAAAATTTTAAAAAATTAGCCAGGTGTGGTGGCCCGTTCCTGTGGTCCCAGCTACTCAAGAGGCTGAGGCGGGAGGGTCACTTGAGCCCAGGAGTTTGAGGTTACAGCAAGCTATGATCGCACATCACTGCACACTAGCCTGGGTGACAGAGCGAGACCCTGTGACCCCCTTCCTCCCTGAAAAAAAAAAAAAAAATAGGATGAATCAGTGTCAAAATTATGAAGAAAAATATTCTGGGTTCTTAATTCTCAAGGTCTGCATGACCAAAATGGTAAGAGCTCAGAGGGTACAAATTCAAAATGTATTCATTGCTAGAATTGATCTTTAGTGACTGCATTTGAAAAATCTGAAACCACTTGAAAAACAATTGTATATGTGCATATACGTACATGCGTGCGTATGTGTGTGTGTGACCTGAAAAATTTCATTATGAGGTCCTTTATATGGCTACTGTAGCAAGTCCTTCAGTTTATACCAAATGTCTCCTCATAAATCAGTAAACCTCTTCATTTGTTCCTTGATAATGTAAGAGCAATTTCTTTAGAAGGCATATACTGTCCTATAACTGCAGCTTTCTCTTTGTCTCATCTGTACACAATACATAGAATTAAGCACAAAGAAGCAAATGGATGTACCAAAAACAAAGAGCAAACTTTGCAGGGAGTTACGTGCAGGGTCTGAGAGCATTTCCTGTCTCATAGATAGGAAGCATTTGCATCACGGCTTGTCATCTGCGCTGTCGGGCCCAGTGTCTCCTAACTTCCTGAAATAAAACCAGACTAAGCAAAACAATAAAAGTGACAATTTCTCTGTGTTTTGGAATTCCAAACTCCTATTACTGGAACATTAAATCTTTCAACCCTACTGGCTAATGTGCCTTCCAAAATTAACAGTGTTTTTGTAATGGTTTGTTTTTAAAATATAATGCTGCAATATACATTCCATATATTATAACAACTTCTTATTATTATTATTTTGAGATGGAGTTTCACTCTTGTTGCCCAGGTTGGAGTGCAATGGCGTGATCTTGGCTCACTGCAACCTCCACCTCCCAGGTTCAAGTAATTCTCCTGCCTCAGCCTCCTGAGTAACTGAGATCACAGGTGCCCACCACAATGCCCGGCTAATTTTCTATGTTTTTATTAGAGACAGGGTTTCACCATGTTGGCCAGGCTTGTCTCGAACTCCTGACCTGAGGTGATCCGCCCACCTTGACCTCCCAAAGTGCTGGGATTACAGGCATGAGCCACCGCACCCAGCCTATAACACTTATTTTAAACATTATTCCCAAATTCTGCTAATCTTTGTGTCAAGAGAAAAATACTGGCTTATTAAAATTTACTTTTCCTTTTACTCTTCTAAATGGCTTGAACAAAACTCATTCTCCCTTGAATGTTAATTGGGTTTCAGGTGTGGGCAGATGACAGAGAAATACATAATATAAAAACAATCCTTAGTTTTGTCTGTAAATTTATCTTTCTTGCCCTTCAAGTGTACTTGATGGTCCAGTGGTTTCCAACTGTGATACAAAATTTTCATTTGCCTTTATAAGAAATCATCTCGTATAAAGAAGTGGTCATATTTTATCAGCATCATCACCAACAAACACATCACCATCACCACTTTTTAATTTGTAGAAAATCCGGTCTTATCTGCCAAGTTGGCAAGATATCAAAAGAGCGTGTTTTAAGGTGGTTCAGTTCTGGATGAGTTTGGGAAGTTCATGGTCGAGTCTGGGGAGAACTTCTATGTCATAAACCTCCACATCACATAGGTTAACAGAGTAATAGAATTGTGTAGGTACAGAGACCTGATGAAACCTACTGACACCTCTGCTTTTCAAACCAAGAGAGTGCCCCTTCTAGGGTGCCCTTGGGAATGTGCAGCCATGAATTAGGTGTGCCTGGAGTAAAGGAACACACAAGACTGCGAGATGGGATGAGGTGAGTGTGAGTGAGTGCATGGAGAGAGGTTTAGGTAGGACATAATATCTATGTTTTAAATATCAAAACAAACTCAGATGATGGAAACGAATATAAATTTTTCATAAAATTTTAGGGAACAACTAACTTATTTTCTGTTTAGAGCAAGCATTCAGACCTGTAGAGAGTACAAATTCATTCAGCCCAGAAGAAACGCTTAAGGAGAGTGATCTGATCCCATGCTTTCATTATGCTGCAAGGAAATAGAAGTGATTTACCAGCCCACTAGAATCCTGGTTTTCTGACTGCCAGGCCTCAGCTCCAATTCATAGCTCTTTAAGAAAAGAGGAAATGCAGAATTAACTTCTATTAAATTTCATCCATGGGCCAGACAGGATGACGACTGCCAGGCATTGTCATCGTCACAAGCGGTGGTTACGAGCTCAGGCTCCCAGGCACACTTCTTCAGTGGGAAATTGGTTCCACCTCTTACCTGTGTGACTTTAGGCAGGTCATTTTTAAGTCAACTGATTCCTAGTTTCTTCACTATAAAATGAGGATCATAAATGAAACTTCTTTACTGACAAGAATTAGATGAGACAATCTTTGCAAAATACTTAATGGTGCTTGGCGTGCAAATGTTAGTTCAGTGAAGACTGAATAGAAAAAAAGAGAAAAAAAATCCTTTGTCTGTGGGAGGGGTGAGGAAGAGGCAGTGGGGGTCGATTTTATGGCTGTTTTACAGATGAGAAAAATTGGGATTGAGTAAAATTCACTCATTTGCCAGCAAGTTGCAAAACCAGTATGTGAAGTTGTGTCTGTTTGAACCCCCACTTCAGATTGTGTCTGCGACACCGCAACGCCTTCCTGTTAAGAGAGCCGAGAGCTGGAAACTATGCTGAGGCCATCCCCTTTGGGAGCTGGCTGCCGCACTCACTGCACTCATGCTGAGTTCTGAAAGCCCTCTGGCAGCTCCCCAGCAATTCCAGCAATCTGCAAAGTTCTGAACTGGGTGCTGCCCAGGTGGCAGAAGTCAGTGAGCATATCCAGGTGACAGTGCAAATATGATTGTAGGTAGGAGTCCGGAATGTGACCTTGACTTCTTTTAGCCATTTCCCAGTCCGTTCTCAAGGGCAGATGCTGCGTCCTCTCTCAATGCAGGGCTGACTCACTCCATGCCCAACACTGTAAGAGCTTGCTCTCTGTCTCAGCTCTGCCAATAACGTGACCTTAGGCAGCTCACTTTACTTCTTCAAGGCAGGCTTAGGATAGATCCTCAAGCCACACCCCTGGCCAACAACTCGGATTCTACAGAGTGAGACACTGAAATATTTATATTTCTTTATGGTAACCTTTTCATTGAAGTAAACCTTACATCAGGAAAAAATGTGCAAGCCCTGTAAATATACAGATTAATTTTCACAAAGTGAACACAGTCTCACATTAAATAATAAAGCAATCCAGCCCAGAAGACACCCTCTGGGCCCCCTACTAGGCACCACTCTACCAAGATAACCACTCTATTTTGACTTTTAACATCATAGCTTACGTTTGCCAATTCTGAAATTTTAGATAAATGGAATCACACAGCATGTATTCTTTTGTACGTGGCTTCTCTCACTCAGTAGTGTGCTTGTGAAATTCATCCATGTTATTGCAGGTAGTTCTAGTTTGTTTTCATTGCTATATAGTAAGGGATCAATCTCCGGTTTTATAAATAAAGTTTTATTGAAACACTGCCAGGCTAATTTGTCTCAGTATTATCTACAGCTGCTTTCACACTACAGTGGTAGAGTTTAGCTGCCACAGAGATTACATGGCTGGCAAAGTTAGAAATATTTACTATCTGGCCCTTTACAGAACAAAGTTTGCTGAACCCCACTGTATGGTATCCAATCATATGAGCCCACTCTTTCTTTCTTTTTTCTATTCTTTATTCATTGATGGACATTCGGGTTTTTTACAGTTTTGAGTTATTACAAATAGTGCTGCTGTGAACATTCTCGTAGTGTCTTTTGGTGACATTTCTGTTGGATTTATGGAATGTGTATTTTTTAAAATCTTGGACTGATGCTTATGCCAGGTTTGGGAACTCCTGCTTTACAGACGTAATCTAACCCAAAATGTTTAAATTGTCTTGCTCCAAGTCATGCAGAAAATAATTGGCAGACCTGGGATTGATAACCAAGCCCTGTTCTTGGAACAATTCTATGTTTCCACTGCTCTTCCCATAGTTATTATCTTTAGAAGAACATTGTTAGAAAGCTCTTTACTTATCCAAGTTCTTTCACAAATATGACTCTTTTCTACGGTATTTGGCTGTACATTTTCAAGAACAGAAAACTCACTGCCTTATGATAATTTTAGAGAGAAGAGATTATGTAATCACTTAACCCAGTCTTCTCACATTATAAATTAGTAAATTGATGTTTGGAGATACTAATAATTCACTCAAAATAGGCATTTTGAGCCTTGACTTTTATCCTGTACTACAAAATGATTTTGAACCTGCATTTTTTGTCTTTGCAATTTGTACTACTTCAGTCAATTAACTTAATTAACTAGTATCTATTTAACTATTTAAACATTATGAAAGTGCCTGAAGTAAAACCAATAGTCTCTCTTTCACCTTCCAACTGTATAGCCTCTTTCTCCTAGGCGACTACTGTTAACAATGTTTTTCAATCATCCATATATAAACATATGAAAATGCATTTAACTGCTATGAGTCCAAACTTTGATAAGGAAAAAATAAAATTTAATTCTTCTTTAACTCAAATTAATATCTAGTTGGAGGCTCCATGTCATTAGTTAAGTGAAGACTCAATCTTAGTTAATTTGGAATACCCTCCCTTTCCCTGTAGCTGTACCTCATTTCAGAGGGGTTAACGTAATGCCAAGAATTTGGTGTGTGTTGGGGGCTGGGGGTTCAGCATGGGAAGCATGTAGACCTTGGTAGCCATAGTGATATTGAGACATGTTCCCTCCTATCTGGGCCTTGGCCACTGGTCCCCACAAATGTCATGGCCCATGCTGCCAGATGCTGTGAGGTCTGGTGGTTTATGTGCCATGCTTGGGCCATGGCAATCTCTGCCAGGCTCACCATATGGCCTGGCTCACCACAGCCATTCCTCTGTGGCAGCTTCCCTGGCCTCCACCTGGAAATGGAGGTCCAGCTCTCTGGTTTTATTTATTTTTATTTTTATTTTTTTGAGACAGTCTCTTTCTGTCACCTAGATTGTTTGTCATCCTCTATTCTTGATATTACAACACAAATGCAGTGGCACAATCTCAGCTCACTGAAAGTTCTGCCTCCAAGGTTCAAGTGATTTTCATGCCTCAGCCTCCCAGGTAGCTGGGACCACAGGCGTGCACCACCATGCCTGGCTAGTCTGTGCATTTTTAGTAGAGAAGGGGCTTCATCATGTTGGCAGGCTGGTCTCAAACTTCTGACTTCAGGTGATCCGCCTGCCTCAGCCTCCCAAAGTGCTGGGATTGCAGGCATGATCCACCGCATCCAGCGAACATATTTTTTCTTAACACCCCCTCACTCCTACTCACACACACAGGTTTTGGGTTACTATAAATAACACCATAAATGTCTTCTCAAACATCTTTTCTTATGTTTATTGCACCTTTACATTTCCTCTGCTGCGAATTGCCTCTTCCCGTTTGTCGTTTTCTAATTAATGTGTAAGAGCTCTTTGTGTATTAGAAATATTAAGCCATTGTCCTATATGTGTTGTAAATATTTTCTCTTAGAAGCTCATTTGTTCTCTGCTTTATACTACACAGAAATTATACATTTTTATTGAACTGACTCTGCCTTTATTTCCTTTATAAGCTACACAGTACTCTATACTATGAATAGTTTCTTTAAAATGTATTCAGTTATTTACCTAACTAAGCTCCCTATCTTGCTATAGAAAGCTTTTCTCATTCCACAGCTATAAAATGTTTTCTAAATTTTTTAAAAATATATTCTATAGTTTTCCTTATTTCATATTTGGCTCCTTAATATTCAGGAATTTATTTTGGGCTATGTTACAAGATGGGAGTTGAAGGCTATTTTCTTGCATATACATAGTCAATTATCCAACCCCATTATTATATGTATTTTGTATTATATGCAAAATGAATATTATACACCTTTTCCCAAATGATTTCTGCTCTCAGATATAGTCAGACCTACTTCTGGATTCTATTGTTTTCCATTGATCTATCTGTTTTTCTATCAGTACCATTCTGCTTTGATTGCAGTAGCTTTATAGTAAGTTTTGATATCTGTTAAGGGAATTACACCTCCTTTTCCATTTCTGAAACAGGACTATAAAGCTCACGAGACACCTTTCTTCTCTAGATATTTCTAATTTTCCACTAGGCCAGGGTGCTGCCTTCTTATAAGCTGATTTTCTTATGAATTAAGAAGCATTACAATTTTTTAAGTAAATGAAGCTTTTCATGTCTGAGAAGTTATACAAGCTGACATCCTTCAAATTTTGTCAAATAATATTATTAATGAGTTGGCCATAATTTTGGATTCGAATTAGCATTTTCTTCAACTTTAGTCATTGTCTGAACAATAGGAAAATCAGAAAATTAAGGGAGAAAGCACAGTAAATTTTATGATTAATGAAGATCACTATTTTGCTTGAATAGAAATAATTTGGTTTAACAATAATTTAATGCAATTTTGTAATCTTAATGCTCAAGTAGCTGGTCTTCTAGTGCTGTGTTTTTCTTTGGTGGGGGTCCCCTGTCCCCCATCTTTATTTCTAATTTGCATCTAGCTTTAATTTTTAAGGGTTATAAAGGTTTAGACAGCATCGTATTTTTTTATTCCAAGCTTCATTATGGATGTGAAAAGAGCTGAAGTTTATTATTTGTTTAATGCCAAGATACTAACTAATTTTCCACTAAACTCCATGGACAATTTGGTTCTTATGCTTTTTGACTAATTTATCTTTGTTTGTAAATGCAGCTATGTAGAAAGACTTCTCTGGATAAAATATTAATCAATCTAAATAGAACCATTCGGCATATAGTATATTACTCAATTTATAATCTGGAATTAGCACCACAATGATTCATGCACTGTAATATCCACTACTGTACTCCCTCCTACACACTGAAAAGCTTTATATTTTGGGAAGAATTTGCCTTAATAACCACCACAGTGGGATTTTGCCCTCATTTCCTGTGTATTTATTCTGGGTGGTGTTTGCAAGATGATGAGGATCTATTTTGGTGGGGTTCTTTTCCTCGAGGAGGAAGTAAGAGCACTGCGCCTGTCTCCAGCTCCATGACTGCTAGACAGATCAGACTGGGGCTCTGCCAGCCAGGCTCCAGGAAGGCTTCTCCCTTCTGATGGAACAACCAAACAATTGTTACTATTTACATGGCCCAAATGGAGAAGTATTCTTAGAACAATAAGAAAAGGGAAAGTCAGCCACCAGCAGGAAAGAAGGCCTTTAAGCAACATCAAACTCAGAATGTGACTGTCCTTTCAATGTAAACAGTTTGCACAGCACTTCTCTAAATAACAATACAAGGAGTGCTGGCCATGTGCAGGGCCCCTACATACACTATTATTTCTAATTCCATAACAGCCGGAGCAGATGTGTATTAACCCAATTGGACATCCGTGAAGACACCAAGGCCCAGAGAGATCATAAGAACCTATAGAAGTTTCCATGACTGGTGGATGTGACAGTCAAGCCGCAGTTTGTATAATACACAGCCATAATCTTATCTACCACTTTTAAAAATTAAACATAGATGAAATGTTTACAGTTCTTTGTGAGTGAATCTATAATTTTGCTTAAAAAAAGCACAAGGCAGTGCTGAGGGCTCCATTAACAGTTTGAAATATATTCTTTGTCTTCTGAGTTTCTCTGAATATTACAGAGGCAATGGGAACTTGAGGGAAATTTGCTCACTGCTGTGTGTGACAGCATACCAGCTTCCTTTATCACATAAAAAAGGATTCCCCTGGATCTCGCTCATTCTGCAAACAATGCACAGGGCGAACTCTTATTCTGCTTACAGTAACTTTAAATTTTGAAGGCAAGTGTGTAAATTAAGGATCTAAGCCAGGTGTGATGGAGCGCACCTGTGGTCCCCACTACTCAGAAAGCTGAGGTGGGAGGATCATCTGAGCCGGGGAGGTCTAGGCTGCAGTGAGCTGTGATTGCACCACTGCACTCCAGCCTGGGTGACAGAGCAAGACCCTGTTTAAACAAAAAAAAAAAAGAAAAAGAGGAAGAAGAAGAAGAAGGCGATTAAACATCTACATTAACATGATCATCATACTAAGTTTCAGTAGAGCTTGGGTTATCCACTGCATGAGCATGAGTGTGACGTGCGATGTATGCATCTGAAAAATCATTCTCTATCACTAAATATTTGGTCTCTTTTCCATTAGCATTTAACTTTTCATTGATTGGTTCTATTAAATGCTAGATCAATGAAGCAATTCTTTACCTTAATTGCATGTCATTTAAAATAGGTGAGAGAAGAAAATAATGACTCTACAAGTGAGATGTCCATTGGATTGGTTTTGAATATGTAATCATGTATGAGAACAAGTCAATAATTATTGACTTAAGGACTATAATGGACCATGAAAAGTTACTAGTTTTCTAGTTGTTTCTAGGTGTGATGATGCAAATAATTTTTTAGTTTTCTATTAACTTTTTCTTAGGTTTTCCAGGGCCCAGCCTGGGCCTACTCTATGCTTAGGTAGAGTATAGAGTACTATACTAAGGTACACTAAGATGTTTATTATTTGAAGCTCTCCTTCTCACTGCCCAGCATGCCAATCTCATTTCAAGGTTTCCTGTTGTCAGGTTCTCCTGTATTGGCCTGCCACCAGCCACAGGAATATCCAGCATGCACACAAGAGAGGACCTCATGCTCCCACGAGCTTCTGTTGATAACACTTTCATAGATAGGGTCACAATTCATTAGTTTCCATCACAGAAAGCAGGATTCTGGGCAAATCAGTCAGAAGACAAGTATGCTGTAAAGTTAGGATGACAAGAGTGGGGGTCTGGCATCTGGAACTCTGTTCAGGGCACCCAACATGAGGAAGATGAATTAGAATGGAAGAAGAATGCTATGAACTACATTGTGTTATCCCCTCCCCCAAAAATTAATATGCTGAATCTCTTCCACTCAATGTGATTGTGTCTGGAGATGGAGTCTCTGGGGAGGTTAGGTTTAGATGAGATCTTGAGGGCCCTCGTGATGGATTAGTGGTTATAGGAAGAGACACCAGAGAGCCTGCTTCCTCTCTCTTGCGGTCATGTGAGGACACAGCAAGAAATTGGCTGTCTGAAAGCCAGGAAGAGAGCCCTCACTGGGGAACTGAATCAGATGGCACCTTGACCTTGGACTTCCCAGCTTCCAAAACTGGGAGAAATAAATTTCTGTTGTTTAAGCCACCCAGTCTATGGTGTTTTGTTAATGGCAGCCTAAGCCGACTAATATAAAGAATGGTAAGAAGGGAAGCATTAAAAGAGAAATCTTCTCCAAAAGGGAGGTAGAGGGTTTCCTCATCCCTTTGCCTAAGGTCACCTGAAGCTTACACTGTGTTAAAATGATCAATCTATAGGACACCAGGCCTTAAGATGGCTGCCATGCCTGCAGTCTTTTCCAGAGAGAAACACTGTATTCACAGCCCCTGCTGAGGAAGATCTCTAGGAAGTCCTTTTTTTTTTTTTTTTTTTTTTTTTTTTTTTGAGGCAGGGTCTCACTCTGTCACCCAGGCTGCTGCACAATGTCGTGATCATGGCTCACTGCCTCCCAGGCTCAAACCGTCCTCCCACTTCGGCCTCCCAAGTAACTGGGACCACAGGCGTGTACCACCATGCCCTGCTAAAGTTTTTGGTTTTTTAAGTAGAGACGGGGTTTCGCCATATTGCCCATGTTGTTCACAAACTTGTGAGCTCAAAGCAATCATCCCACCTCTGCCTCCCAATCTAGGAAGTTCTTTAAGTGTAGGTGGACATGTTTTGCTCCACATCAGTCTGCCACCCACAGACAGCTGGACTAAGGTTCATACCTAACCCAAAGGCAGCTAAACTAGTCAGACCAACAGCCTGTGAGGTGGTCTGACGCCAGAAGCTCTGCCCTTTATGAATCATGGTGATTAAGTTGACCAACCCAATCCTCTCTCTTGAGACTTCAAAGTTACCTAGTAAAAATGAGCTATATGGTAGCAGAAGAATATAGGCACACAGAGAGATGCGAAGGCAGACAGAATACTCAAGAAGCTGGAAAGGGAACAACCAGTCATTAGAACTGTGTGGAATCCTGAATCACTTTTCAGAACATAAATTGAGTTCTAGTCTCCATGGGAAGCTACGGTTTTGTGATTCCTTGTTGTGAGCCTTTTTCTGGACTCTGGTTTAGATTGTAAGCTTTAGAAGAGGAAATCTAGTACAAAATTCTTTCTTACTTTATTTCCACAGGTGTTATTCCACAGGGCATAACACTCTGGCTTCATCTCTTGAGGTAGCATGAGTAAGTCTCTTTCCAGCAAACAAAAAGGCCACATAAACGATGATCTAAAATAGCTTATCTGTATATCTGTATGTTTTTTTCTATATAAGATGTTAGGTTACATAAAAGTTTAGGAAGTGGGACTTAATAGGTTGTCTTGGAACTTTTCTAGCTTAAGCTCCAATAATAAGAAAAGTAGAAAATAAGTATTCCTACATTTTTAAGGAGATATGCTAGACAACTCTATGTAAGAAAAATAATAATTTCTGTTACATGAATGAATTAATGAAATACCTGAAAAGAAATAAATTTCAAGTGTTTGCAGAAATATCTGAGAAGGAATTTCAAGAGTTTGTAGTATTTCAATTTTTTTTCTAGTTTTTATTTTCTCTGCTTCCTAATTTTTGATTTTTATTTCCCCTTAGTAAAAAGTAGCCATTCTCAAAATGTGGTCTGCAGACCCTTAAAAGTCCCCAGGATCCTTTCAGAAGGTCTGAGAGGTGAAAAGTATTTTCATATAGTATACGTTCCTTTTTTCATTGTTCGACATTTTCACTGAGGTTGGTAAAAAGGTAATGGTGGGTGCCTTGCTCTGACTCAAAACAGTGGCACCTAACTATAGTAGTTAGTCATTGCACCACCTATTCATATTTGAAAAAAAAAAAAAGGCTAGCTTCACTGAAGAATGTCCTAGATGAAGCAATAAAAATTTTATTACATCTCGATCTTTAAAATAATGTTCTTGTGGTATAATGAGGAGTACTGTATTAGTCCATTCTTTCATTACTATAAAGACATACCTGAGACTGGGAAATTTTTAAAGAAAAGAGGTTTAATAAATTTAATTGGCTCATGGTTCTGCAGGCTGTACAGGAAGCATGATGCTGGCATCTGCTCTGCTTGGGAGGCCTCAGGAAATTTACAGTCATGGCACCACGCAAGGCAAAGGTGGGGCAGGCGCGTCACATGGCCAGAGCAGGAGCGAGAGAGCAAGGGGGGAGGTGCTACATATTTTTAAATGAACAGACCTCACAAGAACTCACTATTGTGAGGACAGTACCAAGAGGATGGTGCTAAACCATTCATGAGAAACCTCCTCCATGATCCAATCACCTCCCACCAGGCCCCACCTCTAACACTGGGGATTACATTTCAATATGAGATTTGGGCAGGGACACACATCCAAACTATGTCAAGTACACAGAAAGCCCCTCTGCTGCCTACTGAAGTACGGTGGTTGTCTCAAGGAAAAGCACTTATGCAACTGAGTGGTGGGCTGAACCAGCCACTTTTTTCATGAAATACTATTTTTATTTGAAAGAACAACTGACAGAAAACTGTAGTTCTTCAAACATTGGTATTGACAGACATTTTTTTAAAAAATGAACAAAGTGGGTCTGTCATTTTAAAAAAAGATTTGGCAGTATTTGTTGGGAATAATGAAATCTGAGCTTTCAAGTGAAAATTAGAATTTGGAAAACTTGTAGCTGCCATAACGAACTTGACAGCTTTGAAAACTTCAACACTTTTTTGTTGTTGTTCTGGTGAGATCGGTGATGATATTAACAGATGTGATTTTTGATATTGCATAGTGACATAGATCAACATTAACAAGATCTGCATATCTTATGGAACCAAATTTTCCAGATGACCAATACTTAATATTACAAAAGTCATGAGTCAAATGTCTGTCTCAAGCACCAAATAGATCAATGAATTTTTTTAGACCAGTGAATTTTGATGTAACAGAGTATGAAATTTTTATTGATACAGTTTCAGATATCATGTTGTAACAAACCTGTAAGAAGCTATCACTTGCTGAGTTTTAGTATAGTATCAAAGAAGAACATCCATAATTAATTATTTGAAAATGCTGTTAAATACTGTTTTCTTTTCCATCTACACATTTGTGTGAAACAAGATTTTCTCCATATACTTAAACCAAAGCAAAATAATACAATAAATTGAGCGCAGAAAGAGAAATTAAAATCTGGCTATCTTCTTTTAAGCCAGGTATAAAAGAGATCTGCAAAAATGTAAAATAAAAGCATATTTCTATTTTTGCTTTGGAAAATATAATTACTTTTCAGAAAATGTGTTATTTATGTTGACATGTAATGAGTTTTATTATTATTTTAAATGCATTAAAATATTTGTAAACTTTTCAGTTTTAATTTATATTATGGTAAATAGCAATAGACCTAATCCATGTAAGCGAAACCTCTTTGAGTTTCTCAACAATTCTTTTTTTTTTTTTTTGAGTTAGAGTATCGCTCTTGTTGCCGAGGCTGGAGTGCAATGGCGCAAGCTCCGCTCACTGCAACCTCCGCCTCCCAGATTCAAGTGATTCTCCTGCCTCAGCCTCCCAAGTAGCTGGGACTACAGGCACGTGCCACCATGCCTGGCTAATTTTTTTGTGTTTTTAGTAGAGACAGGGTTTTGCCATGTTGGCCAGGCTGGTCTCGAACACCTGACCTCAGGTGATCCATCCACCTTGGCCTCCCAAAGTGCTGGGATTACAGGCGTGAGCCACCGCACCCAGACAACAATTCTTAAAAGTGTAAAGGTGGCCTGAGACCAAAACATATGAGTTACTGCTTTTATCCCTTTAACCTACCTTAAAAAGGTAGGTAAACAAAGAAAGATTATATGCATATTAACACACAAGGGAAAAAAAATACAGATACCAAAGGGAATTCTTGTTATAGAATTGAGAAGCAAAGTTCCAAATAACATGTATGAAAAATATTTTACTAGCATACTGATTTCATTTTAGCTAGGAATCCAGCATAGCATATGAATGCAGCGTCAGCTATTAGATTATATTTAAACTAAGACAATAATTGCATAATTGATAAGAAACATGCAAAACAACTCATCTAATTTGAATCAAATGAGAGACTATTCATATTTTGAAAATGTATTTATTGTCTAATGCCAGCAGATTTAGTTATAAAAAGACTTGAAACTAAACAAAGATCTTATTTGCATGCTCATATTCCTGTACAATATTCAGATAACAAAAGCAAAGCTAAATTTTTAGAAGTTGTACAAGAAAGTGCTCACAATTTATTCAATACATTTGATAGTATAAGAAAGGCTATATTTTGGTGAAGGTGGTAACAAGTTTCAGTCAAATTCTGCCCATTATAATTAATTTCAACATGATTGTTTCAGTTATTCTGCTTCTGGAATTTGTTCTGTCAATACCTGAAATAGGCTGTTAGTTTTGACTTAAAATATTTCCAGTCAAGATTTTTGTATATTCATTTTAGTCAATATCTGATCTATAGCTTTTGGGGGGTTTTTGGTGCAACATTGACTAATGTTTTTCGCCAAGTAAGAAATAGGTATTTTTTTACAGAATACAGATTCTCTCAGACCTGTCGTGCTGACCTGCTGTTTTTATAATTATACTTCTTATACAAGTAGAAAGTTAAATTTACAAACTACCTACCTAAACCAAATTCAGTAAAATTAAAGTTAACTAGCATAGTTGAATGTGATCACATAGCTTTGCAGAAATTAAGTCACTGCTAGTAGCAAGCACAGGGCTCCCACAACTGCAGTGCACCTCCTTTGGGTGAGTACGTGGATGCCACTTCTGAACTGTCTGATGATTGTATCCACCCACGACTTTTTGTTTTAACAACCAAATTGCAGCAAAATCTTCCTGTCTACACGATACTGTGATATTGTTCTTCACTGATGTACCTATTAGTATTACTATGGTATTTTTATGTTTCCCTCCTCACCCTCAAGGTGATAGTATTAGGAGTTGGGGCCTTAGGGAGGTAATTAGGCTCTGCTCTCATGAATGGGGTTAGTGCCCTTATAAAAGAGCCCCCAGAGAGACCTCTTGATTCTTCCATCACTTGAGGACATCAAATCTGCCTCGATTTTGGACTTCCCAGCCTGCAGAACTGTGGGAAATAAAATTCTGTTCTTTATAAGCACCCAGTTTATGGCATTTTGTTATAGTGACCCAAACAGACTAGACAAGTATCCAAAGCTCTAGAATTCCATGGGTACTGAAAATGCCTGTGATCAGGCCTATTTTGACCGCAATAGTTGTCTAGATCATCTAGATAATCCCAAACTTGATCATATCAATTATTTTTATTGTCTTTAGAAATGAAAACACAAAACAAGAATTTTGTAGCGAACTTGAGTGACTTTAAGTGTTGTCTTCGGAGTCCAGTTTACGAAACAATGGTTCTGATTAGGAAGACTCAAGGCTGCAGGAAAGATCCTGCCTTCAGGTGAGGGTCTCATAGGTGGTTTTATTCCTGAAGTTGAGTATTTGCAAGCTTTTCAAAGCTTTCAGAGCTATCATAATCAAAGGGCCACAAGATGGAGAAGCCATTTTTTGAAAAAACATGCTTTATGTTAGGAAAATAAAATTTTATGCATTAATCTCCACTTCCTGAGAAAGGGCTGTACATGTCTTTCCATTAAAAATAGCAAGTTTTCATGTCAAGAGCACTTTTATTTGCAAACCTCATAGTAAATTAGAGCAAATTCTGGCAACATCTGCCTCATTCTTAAAATCTAAAGCAGGAATTAGCAAGCTATACCACCTGTGAGTCAAATCAGCCCACTGCCTGCTTTTTTGTAGATGTAAGCTAAGAATATTTTCAGCATTTTTAAAGTATTGTTTAAAAAGAAAAAAGAAAAAAACCCATATGAAACAGAGGACTTATGTGGTTTGCAAATTATAAAATAGTTAATATCTGGCTCTTTATAGAAAAAGTTTGCTGACCTCTGCTCTAAAGAATTGCTTCTTTTTAGAAAGCAATATTAGTTTTATCTTGAGAAAAAGGTAGATAATATTCACATTCTATCTGTCCTCTTTCTTCTTCACCCTGTTTTATTCTTTGTTTACCTTTTCTAGCTATCAAAGAAAGGCTTTTATCATGCTACTAGATTTGTTGTCTAAGTTCTATCATTCAGTCCTTTATTTTAAAAACAGGTGAGAAGGCAATTTATATTAATCCTCTTTAAAAAAAAGACACTAATATGAAATAGTCTGCTTTTTGACTTGTTTTTCTGTGGGTCAGTAATTTTTTTAAAAAAGAGAATGTGACCTATTTTACCTTAAATGCCTACATTAAAGTAAAGCTATTTCTTAATGTCTTTGATTTGCATTCTTATTTATTTATTTATTTATTTTACTTTATTGTTTGGAGACAGGGTCTCACTCTGTCTCTCAGGCTTGAGTACAGAGGCACAACCAGGGCTCACTGCAGGCTCTGCCTCCCAGGTTCACGTGATCCTCCCACCTCAGCCTCCTTGAGTAGCTGGGCCCATGAGCGCGTGCCACCATACCTGGCTAATTTTTTTTTTTTTGTAGAGACGGAGTCTCCCTCTCAGGCTGGTCTTGAACTCCCAAGCTCAAGTGATCCTCCTGCTTCAGCCTCCCAAAGTGCTGGGATTACAGATGTGGGCCACCGCACCCAGCCCTTTTCTTTAGTAATAATACTAATAAAGTAGGTCACTAACGTGGGAATAACTTGAAAAATGTGGGAATAACTTGAAGAATGTTTAACCTGAGTTCAGAGCATCCCAGATGGAATATATAATTGTTAAACTCAGGAAAGGACAACTGAACATTAACCTCATTTTCTAAATTTCTTTTCCCAGGAATTAAAGCATGAATAATATTTGTTTGGTAAGATCTAAATGGCTTAGTAATCTCTAAGCCTGCAGAGAAATTCACTTTCAGAATTGCAAAATGGTTTATAAGGTTCATTAATAGTCAATTTTAAGTATGATTAAGTGCTTAGACTATTGTTAAGTACCCAAGAATTACTTCTTGTTGATTAACTATTACGATCTCCTTTACCTGACTCAGAGAATGCATTTAAGTAGCCAAAGAAATGTGATAATTACTCATTAAGGAAACAAAATGTGGTGGGTATCTGGATTCCTTTTAATCTTCAGTGGTTTATTTAAGAAAGAACATTGGAAACTAATTCCACAGGGAAAATGCTGTTGCTGAAGAAGGCGTTGGGACACAGATTGCTGACAACAGGATTTGGTTTTGAGAACTGAATTTGAAAGACCAAAATGAGTTATGTTTTCTTCCCTGAAGGCAGATGGGTACTTGTGAAGAACTTCCTTCAGTAAGAAAGTTAGGATCCCTGCCACGTTCTCCACCTCCTCACAGTTTCCTCCCTTCTGGAGCTCTCCACGGGAAGCAGGCACGAGTCACCAGAAGAGGGAGGCTCTTGGTGGGGCACTCTTGGTGGTCCGAGGACTCAATCAGGGTCCTAGAGGGTGAGCCCATCTTAACCAGAGATGGCAGAACTTGACCCAAGAAGGCCTTGTGGTCATCGGGGCTGTACGCAGCACACCCCTGGCACATTCTGTGCCTCTCTTCTTTTGACTCTATTTGTTGCCAGCAAACAGCGACGTCAGGACTTTGGGGAAGGTTGTGTCCTTCAGGCCTTTGTTAAAACTTTGTAAAGTTGTAGATGGCACTGCCTTCCCAGGCACCAGCAGAATCCTACTCATACCCTACTAATCCTTGTTTGCAAATGCAGGGCATGATCAGTCAGGCCCCCCTTGGCATGGTGCTGCAGGCTGCCCTTACCAGAGTCAGGGGCCACCGCCAGCTTTGCTGCTATCCTGGATTTTTAAATACTGCCCTGACCTCCCACTCTGAGCTCCATTCTTTCCCCGATTCCTCAGGCAGCTTGGACTCGAGCCTGACTTGTCCAGTTCCTAGCCTTTTATTCTTCCAAGGGTGCACCAGGGCAGCTGGAATCTCTGGATCTTAAAGCACCTCCTCTTCCACATCCCCCCAACACCCCACGTGCAGGACCACACCTCCACCTTTGCCCCTGCTGGACTTTGACTTCTGGGCACACCCGGAGCAGCCAGACAGCTTGCAGTCTGAGCTTTGGCCTGCATTTTAGAATTCAACGTCGTCGCCTCTTCAGGCTTAATGTTTCTACATTTGCTGCTTTAATTTCCCCTCCAGCTCTGAGCTCTAGCTCTGCCTTGGCTTGCCTATTACCTTGGCCACACGGCCAAGCTGGCAGGTTCCCCGAAGCCAGTCTATTCATGCCCATTCCTCAAGTTTGCTGTAGCTATTTGTGTGCTCCAGCTTCCAAGAAGTCTCCAGACATAGGACAAAGGCTGAAATGAAAGAGTAACAGGAAGTCAGTTATCTTAGCAGGTTCCCCTGTGAATGCTGGTGAGGGGTTGCTGAAAGGAACTTCTCAGATCAACACTGACAAGGATTCTCAAGGGAAGGCTTGGTGATGGAGTGAGACAGATATTTAATTTAGATATAGAGATATAGAGGACAAGCCTAAATTAAAACATCAACTCTTTTACTAGCTCCTTTCATAGATGAGAAAATGGGGGACCAAAAATATTAACTGCCTTGGCCACTATCACTCTGATTAAAACAGAGCAATGTTGGAACCAGCGTCTTGCTTGCTGGATGGGTACAGTTCTATCTACCCTTATTTATTCAACAAGTATTCATTGAGTGTCTACTCCAGGCCATGCCACCACAATTTAACAGTTCTTGGCTGTATAATAAATAGGTGCTAGAAAACATACGAAGTAAATATAATAAAAGGTAGCCGTTGTAAGGGACATTAATCTAGTTAAAAAATAATATCTTTAGAATTTTAAATTAATGTTATTTATGCTGGTGTGATGCTAGAAGTATATGTAATAAGTTTTTATGGAAATTCATAAATAAGAGCTACCAAATTGTGCTGTGATTCTCAGGAAGGTTTCTTATGTTGGATGGTACAGAAATCAAACTGGAAGGCAAGATAAAATTTAGATTTTGAAAAGAGAGGGAAGGTTTTTCAGGAGGAGAAATGGAAGTTTTGTGTTGAGGATTTAAAAGAGAAGATTGTGTAGTTAATGTGGGAACAAATTATAGAAAGCTTTGAGAAAAAGCCAACCAAAAATGTTCATGGGGGCTCGGGCGTGGTGGCTGACACCTGTAACCCCAGTACTTTGGGAGGCCCAGGCAGGCGGGTCACTTGAGGTCGGGAGCTTGAGACCAGCTTGTCTAACATGGTGAAACCCTGTCTCTACTAAAAATACAAAATTATCCGGGCATGGTGGTACATGCATGTAATCCCAGCTACTCAGGAGGCTGAGGCAGGAGAGTTGCTTGAACCTAGGAGGCAGAGGTTGCAGTGAGCCAAGATCCTGCCACTGAACTCCAGCCTGGGTGACAGAGCAAAACCTCGTCTTAAAAACAAAACAAAATAAAAAAAGCAAAAGTGTTCACGTGGCACTGGAGGGCCACTGAAGTATTAGCAGGGGAGTGCCATGAGGAAGCTAGGCTTTAGGAAGACTGCTCCAGCAATGCTAGATTGGGGCAAGGGTGGAGGGCAAGGAGGAAGAAGGTGAATGCCTAGAATTGGTACAATAAGTTATTTGATATCAGGCTATTAAAATAATCTTCAATTAAAGGAGATTCTTAAAGAAAATCAAATATGCCATTTTCAAGTACTTATAATAATGTGATCTTATGATTAAAACACAACTGTCATCTTCGGTCCTGATAAATGTGCTATAGCAAAGAATTTAGATTGTATATTCCTACCATGAGTCTTACATGGAAATGGATGAAGGTAATGCTTAAAAATAATTTGTTCTCAGATTAAGCAAACCACCTCCCCTCCCCAACAAAATGGTTTTGAAATCTATAATTTCTATTAACATCTCTTTCATAGTTAGTACAAAAATAAACAAAGCTAGTTCATGCTCACATAACTAAAAATTATCCATGAATGAGCATGTGTTAATCAACCAGAAGTTTGAAGGTACAAATAACATCAAAAATCATTAAAAAATTAAAAAAACAAAATTCACTCCCAATCCCATTACTCAAACACCAACTGTTGTTTTTCATCTTCCCATGTTCTTTTTACCAGGTTTTGTTCATATGTTGCTGCGTCACTTTTTATGATGGTGAAACTGTGTTTACTCATAACAATAGAGATAGTGAAATTGACAATCTTTGTCCCTAACATAAGAATAGTTACCCTACTTTTTTTTTTTCTGAGACAGGGTGTCATGCTGTCACCCAGGCTGGAGTGCAGTGGCACGATCTCGGCTCACTGCATCCTCCGCCTGCCGGGCTCAAGTGATCCTGCCGCCTCAGCCTCCTGAGTAGTTGGGTTTACAGGTGTATTCCCCCTCGCCTGGCTCATTTTTGTATTTTTTGTACAGATGGGGTCTCACCATGTTGCCCAAGCTGGTCTCAAACTCCTGGGCTCAATTAATCCCCATCCTCTACCTCCCAAAGTGCTGGGATTACAGGTGTGAGCCACTGCCCCCCGGCCAACCCTACTATTCTCAAATGAGATTTGCACCTTGGCAGATGGCAGTATGAAGTAGAGTTTTCACTGCTTTCAGGCTCTTCAAAGTAAGGACCATACTATGGCATCTTCTTGAGGAAGCTTGATTAAATCCAGCAAAGTGCCCTGCAGTTAACTGTCTTCTGCTTCAACTGGCTGAGTAAATAACAAAGGGTGACAACTGCAGTACTTTCTTTGTGCGTGTGCTTGTGTGTCTGTGTTTTTGTTGACAAGTTAGACACTAATCTCTCTAGTGAGTTGAACATTAAGCAGGTTGTATGTCTTCTGGAAAAATATCTGCATAAGGATTTTAAAGAAATTAAGCCCTGGCTATTTATTTGTAATATGTTTCTGAGATTTAGTCATTCTTGTTGAAAAGGAATGTTTTAACATTTACTCCATTAATATTTGAGTACTGTTATATTCAGTCTAGTTATATAGATTGTGCGTCCAGATTCACTTGTCACTTAATGAGTTGTCCCCAGTGAACCAGATTTGCCTGCCTAGAGGCAATGGTCTGGGAGGCACTGAATTTATTCAGAGGATTTTGGTTTGTTTGCTTTAAGAACACTTGTTAGCAAAACCTAAAACTTGAAAATTATCCAAATCCACTACCAGAATATAGCTACAACAGCTCCAATCTAGTGATAAAAGTAGAAAAAGTTTTGATTCCCAATGACCTTGATTTATATAAATTTGCATGTACATGATAATCTTTGCTTGTGAGTTGTAGAAGCAAACATGAAATGAGGTGATATTACTTTTGGGAGTTGAATACATGCTATGAAAATAAAACCAAATTCAAATAAAGCCAAAATGTTAAAATGTTTGATATTTCATCACAGCAGGGGTCTCATACCACCGTATCTGTCATGAAGTTTATCCCACTGCAAAAAATAAATAAATAACATTTTGTAATATTTTTTAAAAACTAAAATATATTTTCATAGTTCAGGTTTTTATTCCATGAACTGATGTTCCATGTGATATCTATTCCACAAGACCCAAACCAAAAATTATCTGTGCAGGAAGATGTTGTTACAGTTAATGGTCTCCACTAAGGATTAAAATACTCACTGTTTCAAAGTTTTATGGAGAGATCAACATTTTACATAAAAACATTTTTCACCATAAATTTTTCTTGTGCCTTGCTTTTTTAAAAAAATTAAATACCCTCTGACTCTGAAAAATGTTTCTTAAAAAAATAATAATTAATGGGAATAATAAAATAAATTTATATTGGGAAACTTTTCACAAAGGCTGTCTCAGTATTTTCTCATAAAATCTTGCTTGGCAGCCATTACTGTCATTCATTGATGGGTCAGGACACTGAAGCCTGAATGAATTAAAAGTCTTTTTGATTCTGATACCAAGTCAATAAAAAACCCATGATTTAGTTTCCCAGGACATTGTTCTTTTTATTAGCTTTGTAGAACAAGTATTGATTGTAATAAAACAACAATTGAAAGTCCCCAAACAAGGTTCCTCAAAAATGGTTTTATTGCTTCTGCCAAAGTACTGTGTCGTAGTCAAATGTGTAGCTGTATGCTCAATGTGCTTACCCTGCATTGGTACACCGGCAGCTTTGCTTAGCACAGTTCTAAAGCCCTCTCTTTCTATTTTTCTTTTTTCATATATATATATATATATATATTTATTTATTTATTTTTTTTTTTTTTTTTTTTTTTAAATTTTTTTTGTTGAGATGGAGTCTCACTCTGTCACCCAGGCTGGAGTGCAGTGGCACGATCTCGGCTCACTGCAACCTCCGCCTCCCCGGTTCAAGCAATTCTCCTGCCTCAGCCTCCCGAGTAGCTGGGACTACAGGCATGCGTTGCTACGCCCGGCTAATTTTTTGTATTTTAGTAGAGACAGGGTTTCACTGTGTTGCCCAGGCTGATCGCAAACTCCTGAGCTTAGGCAATCCGCCCCCCTCGGCCTCCCAAAGTGCTGGGATTACAGGCATAAGCCACCGCGCCCAGCCTCTTCTTTATTTTTTCGAAACAAGGTCTCACTCTGCCGCCCAATCTGGAGTGCAGTGGTGTCATCTCGGTACCCTCTCTTAGAAGTGGGAACAAGTGCCCTCTCTCTTCTCCTATGTCCACTCTCCCCTCTTCCAGTGTCCTCCTCCTCACCCAGATACTGCCACATCTAATGAGTTTACAATTATTTTTAAATTTCTTTCCATGAGATGATATCTGCATACCAGCTGGGGATAGAATGTAATCCGTCCTGCAGAAGTTAAACCATGTGTCATGTGAAGAGCAGGAGATGGTAAGTCAGGGACATTTGATGGAAAACCTCTCGGAAATGTCAACCTCAGTATCACATGTTCATCTAACTTCAGATTTCAGAGTTCGTGATATTTGTGCTAGAGCCAGTCATTGGAGTCAGTTCAAGTTTGGAGAAAATTTTCTTCCAAATTAACAAGAGAGAAGGAAGAAGGAGAGAAGAAGAAAGAGGAAGGAAGAAAGGAAGGTGGAAGGAAGGAAGGAAAGAAGAAAGGGGGAAGAAAAATAAAGGAAAGAAAAAGGGGCAAGGATTTTTGTATATGCATGTGTTCCTGCTCTTAGAAGAAAAAAAGTTTAACTAAGTTACTTCATTTAGCCAATGATGATCATTTTTCTTTTTTTCTTTTTCTTTTCTTTTTTTTTTTTTTTTTGAGACGGAGTTTTGCTCTTATTGCCCAGGCTAGAGTGCAGTGGCGCAATCTCAGCTCACTGCAACCTCCGCCTTCCAGTTTCAAGTGATTCTCCTGCCTCAGCCTCCCAAGTTGCTGGGATTACAGATGCCCGCCACCACGCCCAGCTAATTTTTTTTGTATTTTTAGTAGAGACGGGGTTTCACCAAGTTGGTCAGTCTGGTCTCAAACTGCTGACCTCGTGATCCATCTGCCTTGGCCTCCCAAAGTGCTGGGATTACAGGCATGAGCCACCGTGCCCGGCCAATGAAGATAATTTTTCTTAGAGAATCAATAAATTTCATCTAGCCAGTGGTCTCATTTCTGCAGATGCATATTAGAGGTTATTAATAGGGGAATAATGATGTGATCAAACAATCAGACAAAAATATAGTATATTCAGGTTGAAGAACAACACAATTGCTCCTGAGAACTCACCTTGAATAGCTGCAGCATATGGTTGTAGGAGTGGTTGGGGTCCACACACTTTAGGTTTTGTCTGTGATTAGGAAGGAACATTAAGTAGACCTGATCCCCTAGCATTCTCGTCTCAGTAGGCATCACCACCAGCTTCTCAGGTGCAAGCCTGAAACCCATCTGTACTTTACACCTTTCTTCTCTTTACACCAACAAAGAGAGGAAAGAGAAAGAAATCTCTTCCTGACTAATTAGAAGGCAGGTTCACCCTTCTTCATGGTGGCTGTCTTATGTTAGACACTCATTAGGTTTTGACAGTATTATAGCGACAGCGGCTTGATTCTTCCTTTCTAATCCTGCTAGGGTGATCTTCCCAAAACACAAGCACATTCAATTCCCTGTGTTTAAGGAGCTTAAACTCCTCGGATGCCCTGCCCTTGCCTCAGAATAAAATTGAAACCCAGCATACGGAGACTTTAATGAGTCAAACCCTATTTAACTCTCTTGTCTCCACTGTTCATTCCTTTGCCACTGGAACTCCATCCACTTTTCGGATAAAATGATAGGCACGTCAGGCTGGGCGCAGTAGCTCACGCATGTAATCCCAGCACTTTGGGAGGCCGAGGCCAGCCGATCACCAGGTTAGGAGATTGAGACCATCCTGGCCAATATGGTGAAACCCTGTCTTTAATAAAATAAAAAAAAAACAGCTGGGCATGGTGGTGCACACCTGTATTTCCGGCTACTCAGGAGGCTGAGGCAGGGGAATTGCTTGAACCAGGAAGGAGAAGGTTGCAGTGACCTGAGATCGTGCCACTGCACTCCAGCCTGGCAACAGAGCAAGACTCCATCTCAAAAAACAAACAAACAAACAAAAAAGTGCAGTTCCAGAAAAGAGCACATTGTCTTGTGATGTCATGGCTATGCACGGCAGCTCCCTTTGCTGGGTCATCCTCCACTGCTGTTTCTTTTTTTTTTTTTTTTTTTTTGAGACGGAGTCTCGCTCTGTCGCCCAGGCTGGAGTGCAGTGGCGGGATCTCGGCTCACTGCAAGCTCCGCCTCCCGGGTTCACGCCATTCTCCTGCCTCAGCCTCCCAAGTAGCTGGGACTACAGGCGCCCGCCACTACGCCCGGCTAATTTTTTGTATTTTTAGTAGAGACGGGGTTTCACCGTTTTAGCCGGGATGGCCTCGATCTCCTGACCTCGTGATCCGCCCGCCTCGGCCTCCCAAAGTGCTGGGATTACAGGCGTGAGCCACCGCGCCCGGCCCTCCACTGCTGTTTCACCTATTCACCTAGCTGGCTTGGTGCAGGCCTCATCCCTTTCAGGAAGTCTTGCCTGCCCCAGCCTGTTTTAAGTATCTGTTTTTAGTACCCCCAGTATGTTTTAAGGATCTCTCGGAGGCTACACCCATCTTACACTGACCTCTTAACATGCTGCCAACCAGATGTTGTCTATTTTCCTGTCTCCACCCTCAATTTTGAAATCCTTCCCGGCAGGCACCTAACACATTCCTGGCACAGAAGAGGTGCTCAGTACAGTAAATCCTTGCGAAATGATTTAAAGAATTAACGAACTAATAACATGGTAACCGAAAGAAATGAAGGGGCAACATGAACCTGAAGTTTGGAGTGGGCAGTAGTGGCAGTGAGAAAGTTGTTTCTCTGTAGTTTTACCTGAATTGGGTCAAATGAAAAAAATCCGGGAGAACTGGGTTCTAATCAAACTTTAACACTAATTAACTGTCTGCCTCTGTGCAAGTTATGTAACTTCTCTCCACCTGAGCTGACTTTTCTATAAATAACATGAACTCCATAGGTTTTCTGTGAGGGTAAATAAAATATTGTATATACAGTGTCTATAATATTTTTCTAGAACATATTAAGAATATAACAAGAGTTTAATAATTAAGAGTCTAATAAATATTAACTTCAGCCCCTTAAAGTTTAAAGTTTAATATTATCTAAACCTGATGAAATCAACCAATTCAAAGCAACAAAATCAAAGAGCTTTAGACTAGTAATTTCAAATAGAGAGTTACTGATTAAGAAAACAAAAACCTTCTGGCACAGAAGATGAGGAGTAAGAAAAAAGAAGGCTGGGCACTGTGGCTCATGCCTGTAATCCCAGCCCTTTGGAAGGCTGAGGCAGGCAGATCACTTGAGGTCAGGAGTCCTAGGCTAGCCTGGCCAACATGGTGAAACCCTGTCTCTACTAAAAATATAAAAATTAGCTGGGCATGGTGGTGGATGCCTATAATCCCACCCACTTGGGAGGCTGAGGCAGGATAATCACTTGAACCCGGGAGGAGGAGGTTGCAGTAGCCAAGATTGTGTCATTGCATTCCTGCCTTGGTGACAGAGTGAGACCCTGTCTCAAAAAAAAAAAAAAAAAAAAAAAAAAGGCAGATTTAAGCTCCAAAATGGGCTGGACGTGGTGGCTCATGCCTGTAATCCCAGCAGGCTGAGGATTGGAGGCTGAGGCAGGAAGATTACTTGAGCCCGGGAGTTCGAGACTAGACTGGGCACCATGGCAAGACCCTTGTCTCTGGAAAAAAAAAAAAAGAAAAGAAAAGAAAAAAAAGCTCCAAACTGGTGGGGAAAATCAAATTCACAATAGTAATAATGTCTCCACCATTCCCTATGTCTTTTTGCTTCTTTTCTTCCTGTAATACTTCACTTTATAATATTTCCTAGAGAAAGATTTATACACATATCTTAAGTGTACAGTTTGATGAGTTTTGACAAATGTATATACCAATGTAACCAACAGCCTTGTCATGACAGAATAGTTCAATGGCTTCAAAAAAGTTTCCTTGCACCCTTTTCCGGTGAGTTCCTTCATAGACAACAACTGTTCTGATTTATATAACAATATATTAACGGTGCCTTTTCTTAAACTTCATATACAGTAAATGAAATCATGTGTTCACCTTCATACAGCATTAGTCTGTGAGATTCATCCATATGTATGTATGAGTAGTTCTTCATTTTTTTGTGGCTGGGTAGTATTCTTTTTTTTTTCCTTTTTTATTTAAAAAAATTCTGGGGGTACCTAGTAGATGTATATATTTATGGGGTACATGAGATGTTTTGATACAGGCACGCAATATTCTTTTGTATGAATGTCACTGTTTATCCCTTCTCCTGTTAATGGACATCTGGGCTTTTTTCCCCAGCTTAGGATTATAAATGTTCTTGTACGAGTCTTCTTGTAGATCTATATTTTTGTTTCTCTTGGTAAATACATAGGAGTAGAATTGCTGAGTCCTGACATGTTTAGTTTTATTAAAAACTAACAAACAGTTCTCCAAAGTGACTGTATCATTATATACTTCCACCAGCAATGAATGAGAGGTGTAGTTCCCTCCTAAATGTTTGCCAATATTTGGGGTTGTCAGCTTTCTAGAAAAGACTGTTAACATTTTGCATTTCCACTAAACTGTATGGGTTACTCCACATTCCTCACCAGCGCTTGATACTAGCAGTCTTTTTAACCTTAGTCATTCTAGTGAGTGTGTAGTAGGATCTTGCTGTGGTTTTAATTTGCATTTCCCTGTTGACTAGAGATGTTGAGTACGTTTTCATATGCTTATTTGCCATCCGTATGTCTCCTTGTGTGAAGAGTTTGTTCAAATCTTTTTGCCAAATTTTTCATTGTGCTTGCCTTCTTACTATGGAATTGTAAGTTTTTTTATAGATCCTGGACACAAGCCCTTTGACAGACATATGCTTTGCAAATATTTTCTCTCCATCTACAACTTGCCTTTTTACATTCTTCATTGTATCTTTCTAAAAGTATAGGCTTTTAATTTTGCAAAAGTCCATTTTGTCAATGTTGTCTTACGATCAGTGCTTTTCATGTCCTCCTTAAGAAAACTCTGATTAACTGAATGTCACGAAGACTTTCTCCTATGTTTTTATCTATAAGTTTTATTGTCTTAGCTTTTTTTATTTAGGTTTATGATTCATTTTGAGTTACTTTTTGCTTACAGTATGAGGTAAGGGTCAAGGTTAATTTTTTATTAATCCATAGAGATGTATAATTATTTCAGCACTTGTAAAAGACTATCCCTCCCACACTGCATTACTTGGCACCTTTATTGCAAACTAATCAATCATATAAGTGTGGGTCTATTTCCAGATTTTCTATTCTGTTCTATTCATCTATTTGTCTAGCTTTATACCAATAACACACTGTATTGAATAATGTAGTTTTATCATAACTTCTGAAATTACGTATTGTGATAATGTGAAATATCTATTTGGTTTCAGATCTATTTCCTCCTAAAATTTTTAGAATCTCCAAAGCGATGTCCTTTTGTACACTAATGAGTTGACTGATGACTGACAGCCCCTATGTAGCTTCAAGATGGAGACTGGTCACTGGCAAGACCAAGAAATCATTATAGGATTGGGATGGTTACAAGAAAGACCAAGAAATCATTATAGGATTGGGACTTTCAGCCTACCCCATAACCTCTGGGGAAAAGAAAGGGGCTGACAGTTAAGTTGATCACCAATGGCTTAGTTTAATCAATCATGCCTATGTAATAAAACCTCTGTAAAAGCCCAAAAAGGCAGTGTTCAGAGAGCTTCTGGATAGCTGAACACGTGGAGGTTCCTGGGAGGGCATGGAAGCTCCATGCCCCCTCCTCCATACTTCATATGCATCTCTTCATCTATATCCTTTGTAATGTCCTTTGTAATAAACTGATAAACAAATATTTCCCTGAGTTCTTTGAGTCACACTAGAAAATTAACTGAATCCAAGGGGTGGAGGATGGGAACTCCAATTTCTATTTGATGGGTCAAAAGCACAGGTAAAACACCTGGGGTGTGTGATTAGCATTGAAAATGGGACTCAGTCTTGAGGGACCTAATTCTCAATCTGTGTGATCTGATGCTACCTTCAGGTAAGTAGTATTAGAACTGAATTGAATTAGAGGACACCCAGCTGGTGTACACTGCAGAATTGATTGCTTGCTTGTTGGTGGGAAGAAATCACATATTTGGCCACAGAAGTCTTCTGTGTTGACTGTTATGGTGGGTGAGCAGCGGAGAAACAGTTCATGTTTTTCCACTTGGAGATATATATCCTCTAATTTTGATTTTTTTTTTTTTTTGAGATAATCTCGCTCTGTCCCCCAGACTGGAGTGCAGTGGCACAGTCTCAGCTCACTGCAGCCTCTGCCTTCCAGGTTCAAGCAATTCTTCTGCCTCTGCCACCTGAGTAGCTGGGATTACAGGTGTGTGCCACCACACTTGGTTAATTTTTGTATTTTTAATAGAGACAGGGTTTCACCGTGTTGGCCAAGCTGGTCTCAAACTCCTGGCCTCAAATGATCCACCTACCTTGGCCTCTCAAAGTGTGGGGATTACAGACGTAAGCCACCATGCCCGGCTATGTCCTCCAGCTTTGTTCTTCATTTAAAAAATTATTATTGCTATTCTTTGCCTTTGGTTCTCCTTGTAAATTTCATAAGCAGCTTGTTAATTTTTTCAAACAAGCCTATTAGGATTTTTATTGGTATAACATTGAATCTTTAAATCAATTTAGGAAGAATTGCTGTCTTAACAATGTTGAATCTTCTAATCCACAAATATGTATGTCTATATTTATGTCTGCTTTTGCTTTTCTCAGCAAGATTTTGTGGTTTTCAGTGTAAAGTTCTTACCATCTTTTGATAAATTCATGTCTTAGTCCATTTAGGCTCTTATCACAAAATTCCACAAACTGAGTAGCTTGTAAACCACAGAAATTTATTTCTCAGACTCCTGGAGGCTGGGAAGTTCAAGATCAAGGTGCCAGAAATGTCTAGTTCCTTGTAGACAGTGACTTCTTGCTGCATTCTTACATAATGGAAGAGGTAAACAAGCTTTCTTGGGCCTCTTTTATAAGAACACTAGTCCTATTCATAAGGGCTCCACCCTCATGATCTAGTCACCTCCTCAAGGCCTCACCTCTTAACGCTGTCGCATTGGAAATTAAGTTTCAACATACAAATTTGTGGCAGGGAAGGAGGACACAAACATTCAGACCGTAACAATCCCCAAGTATTTTTATGCTATTATAAATGGAATTTTTTTAAGTTTTCTAATTGTTCACTGTTAGTCTACAGAAATATAAATTTTGTTTATTGACCTTGTGTCTTACCATTTTGCATTCACTTATTAGTTCTAGTAACTTTTTGTAGATTCTTTAAAATTTTCTATGTACAAAATCGTTTTATATGTAAACAAATAGAATTTTACTTCTTTTCCAGTTTATATGTTTTTTATTACTTTTTTTGTATATTACATTGGTGAAGACTCCAGTGAAATATTGAGTAACTCCGTAAAAAGTAGATATCTTTCCCTCATTTTTGATCTTAGGAGAAAGTATTCTGTCTTCCAATATTCAGCATAATGTTATCCATTAAGTATTCATAGGTATTCTTAAATCAGATTTAGGAGAAAATCACCTTTTATTCCTACCTTGCTACCTTGCTAAGAGTTTCTATTATAAATGAGTGTTGAATTTTTATAAAATGCTTTTTTTTTCTACGTCAATTGAAATAATCATTTTTCTGGTCTTTGCTCTGTTAATGTGGTGAAATACATTGATTTATTTTCCATTGTTAAACCCTACTTGTTTAATGTGTTGCCCTTTTTATACGTATTACTGGATTTGATTTGCCAAAATTTTGATAGGGAATTTACCACTTATGTTTATTTGGTGTATCAACATAATGTCATTTCTCGTGATGTTTTTGTTTTAGTATCAGGATAATGCTAGCTGCATTTAACGAATTAATTATTCCCTCTTCCTTTGTTTTCTGAAAGAGTTTGTTTTGAACTATTTCATTTCTTAAACATTTAATGAAAATCACCGGTGAAGACCTCTGAGCCTGGAGTTATCTCTGTTCAAAGCTCCTTAATTATGAACTGCGTTTCTATAATTAATATAAGGATATTTAAGTTCTTAATTTTGGGGGGTTCTGATTTGGTAATCTGTTTTTCTTAAGAAATTTGTCTATTTTATCTAAATTGTCAAATTTGTTGGCAAAAGCTACACGTAGCATTCTCTTATGATCTTTTTAATGTTTGTAGAATCTGAAGTGATGCCCCGTTTTCTGATATTGGTAATTTTGCACTTGTGTCTTTTGGCTAGAGTTTTAAGAATTTTATTAACATTTTAAAAGAACAAGTTTTTGTTTTTGTCTGTCTCTATTGCTTGTCCAATTTTCCTTTCATTGATTTCTGCTACCTTTATTATTTTCTCCCTTCTACTTATTTGGGCTTAATTTTTGTGCTTCTTTTTGTAATTTCATAAGGTTGAAATGTCAATCATTGATTTTAGATATTTTTGTTTTTCTTTAATTTATACATCTCATATGTATAAATTAATACCTCTTCATAAAAGAAAAAGATCTAAGAAGAAAGAAAAAGATCTACCTATAGATTTGTCTCAATCACTGTTTTAGCTGCATCCCCCAAATTTTGGTGTGTTGCATTTTTATCACTCAGTTCAAAATATTTCCTAACTTCTTCTTGCAATTTTTTTCTTTAACTCATTAGTTACTTAGGAGATGTTGTTTAATTTCCAAATGTTTGGGGTTTTCCTAGATATCTTGTTTCTATTTGTTTCAAATTTAAACCCATCATGATCAAAGAGCATACTAAGTATGATTTCATTATTTTAGAATCCTTCACTGAAACTTGTTTTATGGCTGAATATATTATCCATCTTGGCAAATATACCACATTGCTTTTGAAAAAAATGCATCTTTTGTATTCTTTCAAATGTTGGGTGTAGGATTCTATAAATATCGAGTAGATCAAGATGGCTGATAATTTTGTAAAGAGCTATGTGTTTCTGATTTAATTTGTCTAGCTGTTCTTTTATCTTTGGGAGAATGGCATTAAAATCTCTAATTATAACTTAGAAATGGCAATTTTTGTTTCCAGTATTTTTAAGTTCTGTTATTAGGCACATAAACATTTATTACTGTTATGTATTTCTAGTGGATTGCCAAATTTATTATTATAGAATGTCCCTCTTTATCTCTGGTGATACTTTTATCTTTAAAATTTTGTTTATATCTTATTTTAATATAGCTACACCAGTCTTCTTACACCTTCTGTTTTCATGGTAAGTCTTTTTCCACCCATATACTTTCCATCTATTTTTCTCTATATATTTAAAGTGCAACTCTTATAAATGGCATATATTTTGGTCTTGCTTTTTATCCATACTATCGCTATATTCTAAATGGAGTGTTTAGATTACATTGGAGTGTTTAGATTAAATGCATTCATGTATTTATTGATATATTTATGATTGGGCCTACGATTTTATTATTTTGTATTTGTTCCTTCTATATTGTGTTTCTTTGTTCCTGTTACCTATTTTTTTAGATACTTGGAATTAAAGTTTATTCTTCCTATTAGCTTTTTAGCTATACTTCTTGGCATTATTTATGTAGGTGATTGCTTTAGGAATTGGACTTCTTACAGTCCACTTACATTTATGCATTATGGTTTCATACAAAATGTAGAAGACTTACAACTCCGTAAGATCCATATTGACTTCCCCCTAATCCTTTATCCTTAGTTGTTACATGTATCACATCTGGATATCTTAGAAACCCCACAAGATAATGATATAGATTGCTTTAAACAGTTATATTGACTATACAAAATTAAGATAAAAAAGCAAAAAAAAAAAAGCATTTTCTAGCCAGACACGGTGGCTCATGCCTGTAATCCCAGCACTTTGGGACGCCAAGGCAGGAGGATCACCTGAGGTTGGGAGTCCAAGACCAGCCTGACCAACATGGAGAAACCCTGTCTCTACTAAAAATACAAAATTAGCCAGGCATGGTGCCTCATGTCTGTAATCCCAGTTACTCAGGAGGCTGAGGCAGGAGAATTGCTTGAGCCTGGGAGGCAGAGAGGTTGTGGCGAGCCAAGATTGTGCCATTGCACTCCAGCCTGGGCAACAAAACTCCGTTTCAAAAAAAAAAAAAAAAAGAGAAAAAAAAAAAGCATTTTCTGTTCACCCAGATGGTTATTAGTTCTAGTGCTCTTCACTCTTATTCATGGTTCTGAGTTTCCATCTCTTTTTATTTCTCTTCAACCTCAAGAACTACCTTTAGCATTTCTCATAGTGTTGGCCTGCTTGCATCAAATCGTCTTAGTTTTCTTTCATCTGAGAATGTTTTTCTTTCTCCTTCATTTCTGAAGGGTATAGAATTCCCAGTTGACAGCTTTCTTTTTCTTGAAGCACTTTGAAGATGTTGTTCTACCCTGCTGGCCTCTGTGGTTTCTCATAAGATCAGCTATTAACTGAATTACTGTTCTCTTATATATATGTGTCATTTTATTGCTTGCCACTTTCTAGATTTGTTCTTTAATTTTGGCTTTCAGTATGTGACTCTGATGATACCTGTTTCTGCAAGATAGGCTTTGGCAAAAATCAAAATTTTAGGTCAAATAACAGCCTCACTGATTCCTTTACTGGCTAGAACGTAAAATGTGTAGAACCACGTCAGGTTTCCAAGGAGAATCTTATCAAATCTTTAAAGAGCATGCAATTTAAATGCTATTGAGATTGACCAGAGCAAAATTCTTTGTATGAAGCAAGTATAATATTAATAACAAAATATGATTTAAAATTTACATAAAAAAGAAAACTACAGAAGAATCTCAAATATGATGACAGTCAGAATCAAATAACACATTTATAAAAATAATACACTGGCCAAGTGCAATGGGTCATGCCTGTAACCCCAGCACACTGGGAGGCCAAGGCAGGAGGATTGCTTGAGGCCAGGAGATTGAGATCAGCCTGGGCAATGTAACAAAACTCCATCTCTAAAAAAAAAAAAAAAAAAAAAATTAGCCAGGCATGATTGCATGCACCTGTAGTCCTAGCTACTTGGGAGGCTGAGGCAGGAAGCTAGCTTGAGATAAAGGCTGCAGTGAGCTATGATCATGCCACTACACTCTAGTCTGGGCAACAGAGAGCAAGACCCAGTCTCAAATAATAATAATAATAAAAATAATATACCATAATCAAGTGGGGTTTACTCTGTAAATCTAAGAATACTTGGCATCATGAAGTCAATTGATACAATTTGTCAAATTTAAGGAGATTTAAAGAGAAAATTCACAAATCATCTCTGCAAATACTAAAAAGATATTTGATACAACAGAATGCCCATTCTTGATTTTTAAAATTCAATAAAATAGAACTTGAAAAGTATTTTGCTAACATGAAAAAGATATATAAATAGAAATCCCAGAACAACACAAGGATGCCCACTATACCACTGGTATTTAATGTTTCATTGGAGGTGTTAACTCTCGCCATTAGATAACAGAAGAAAATCGGTAGTGTAAGAACTGAAAAGGAAGAGGAAAACTAACTCTTAATCCACCTGACAAAGGCCTAATATCCAGAATCTACAAGGAGCTTAAGCAAACTTAGAAGAAAACAAACAACCCCATTAAAAAATACGTGAAAGATATGAACAGACACTTCTCAAAAAAAGACATACATGTGGCCAAGAAATCTGTGAAAAATAGCCCAACGTCACTGATCATTAGAGAAATGCAAATCAAAACCACAATGAGATACCAACTTGTGCCAGTCAGAATGGTGATTATTAAAAAGTCAAGAAACAACAGATGCTGGTGATGTTCCAGAGAAATAGGAACACTTTTACACTGTTGGTGGGAATGTAAATTAGTTCAACCATTGTGGAAGGCAGTGTGGTGATTCTTCAAAGATTTAGAACCAGAAATGCCATTTGACCCAGCAGTCTCATTACTGGGTATGTATCCAAAGGAATATAAATTATTCTGTTCTAAAGACACATGCACATGTATGTTCACTGCAGCACTATTCACAACAGCAAAGATATAGAATCAACCCAAATCCCCATCAATGATAGACTGGATTAAAAAAAATGTGGTACATATGCACCGTGGAATACTATGCAGCCATAAAAAGGAATGAGATCATGCCCTTTGCAGGGACATGGATGAAGCTGGGAGCCATTATCCTCAGAAAACTAACACAGAAACAGAAAACCAAATGCCACATGTTCTCACTTATAAGTAGGAGCTGAACAATGAGAATACATGGACACAGGGAGGGGAACAACACTTACTGGGGCCTGTTGGGGCAGGGTGGGGCTGGGGGAGAGCATTAGGGAAAAGAGCTAATGCATGCTGGGCTTAATACCTGGGTGATGGGTTCATAAGTGCAGCAAACCACCATGGCACACATTTAGCCTATTTAACAAACCTGCACATCCTGCATATATACCCTGGAACTTAAAACACACACACACACACACACACACAGAATAAAAATTTTTTTTAAAGAAAAGAACAAAATAAAAAATGAATGCAGGAAAAAAAATTAATATAGATATAAAACTATTTGCAAATCGTATAATATTTGATTTGTCTTATAAAACACATAAGAGAATTGAATAAAACTGCAATATTTGTAAAGTAGCAAGATTTAAATTAATATGAAAAAGTAGGTAGCCTTCACATTTGCAAACGATATACAGAAAAACAGATAATCTTGCTATTTATAATTGCAATAAGCAAGATAAAATAGCTAGAAGTAAGCTTAACATGAAATGGGCAACACCTGTACCTAAGAAAAACTTTAAAATACTGTTGAAGGAGAAGAAAAGTATACTTAGACAAATGAAACAATGTATCTCATGTTTCTTAATGCAAAGACTCAACATCATTACAATGTTCATTCTACTTAATGAAGCTAACAAAATCCAAGCAAGAATAGCCAACAAACCTTGAAAATCTCCAGATATTGCATATAAGACTTCATTGATTAAAACACTTTAATATTGACCTATGAATGGAGACACCAGTGGACAGAGTAGAAATTCCAAAAACAGGGACAAACACATGTAGGAAATTGAACTGGAAAAGATGGCATCTCAAATCATCTTTAATAAATTGCATGAAGACAATTGAGTAAAAGGCAATGCTGGATCCATAGTTCATAACATACATCACGATAAATACCAAATGGATAAAAAATTTAAATGGAAAAAATAAAATCAAATAAATATTTAAGAAAATATAGATACATTTTATTATAGAACTACAGTTGGGAAGATCTATCTACCTATCATTCCACTTTCAAAACCTAAAGAGAAAATAATGATTAAATCAAATGCATAAAAAGAAAAACCTTAAACATGGCAAACAACAACAACAAAAACACAAACACAGACAAAATCCAAAGACAAAAGAAAAACTAGTCAAAACATTGCAATTTGTAAACAAACGCTGATCTCCTAAGTACCTAATAGCTCCCAGAAATCAAGATTTTTAAAACCTACAGTAATAGGAATGGGGAAAGGACATGACACAAAAGTTCACAAATGGCCCTTAAAGGTATGACAATATTCTGTTTTACTCATGATAAGAAATCAGGCTGGCATGGTGGCTCACCCCTATAATCCCAGCACTTTGGGAGGCTGAGGTGGGCGGATCATTTGAGGCCGGGAGTTCGAGACCAGACAGGCCAGCATGGTGAAACCCCATCTCTACTAAAAATACAAAAATTAGCTGGCCATGGTGGCACACATACAAGGCCTGTAATCTCAGCTACTGGGGAGGCTGAGGCATGAGAATCATTTGAACCTGGGAGGTTGAGTTTGCAGTGAGCCAAGACAGTGCCACTGCACTCCAGCCTGGGCAACAGAGAGAGACCCTGTCTCAAAAAAAAAAAAAAGAAAAAAAGAAAAAAGAAAAAAGAAAAAAAAAGAAATCAAATATTAAAACCACACTAAGAAAACACTTGTCATCTGCTGGATTGGCAAAATCCAGAAGTGTGATACACTTCCTTGGGCAAGGCTGTGTAGGAACAGGTACCCTCAAACATTTATTGGTGGGGGAATAAAATGCTACAACGTTCCAGGAAGAGAGACTGGCAATAGCTATCAACATTACAGATGCATTTACCCTTTAATCCCCCAACATCATGTCTCAGTATCTAGCCATTAGTTACACCTGTACACATAAAAAATAGCACATGAAAAAGGATGCTTCTGGCAGCATTGTTTGCAATAAAAGAGACTGAAAACTACTCAAGAGTCCAACAACTAGGAGACTGGTTGCATAAAATCTAATACATTCAGGTATTAGAATAATCTGCAGCTGTCAAAAAGAGTGAGAAGGATGTCACATATGGACATGGAGAAAGCTCTATGATATATTAAGTGAAAAGAAAGGCAAGGTGTGGAACAGAAAAACCATATCTTTTGTATAAGAGAGAAATAGAAGAATATTCATATGTGTATAACAAAATAGTGTAAAGATAAACAGAAACTCAAATAATAATGTAGAGTGGGCAAAGGAGGAATTTGGTGGATAGAACAGAGAAGGGCAAAATGTCCCAGTGTACCTTCTTAGACAGATTTTTATTTTTATTATTTTTTTTTAGAGTCTTGCTCTGTTGCCCAGACTAGAGTGCAGTGGCATGATTTCAGCTCACTGCAACCTCCACCTCCAGGGTTCAAACGACTCTCCTGTCTCAGCCTCCCGAGTAGCTTAGACTATAGGTGCATGCCACCACAGCCAGCTAATTTTTGTATTTTTAGTAGAGATGGGGTTTCATTATGTTGGCCAGGCTGGTCTTGAACTCATGACCTTAAGTGATCCTCCTGCCTCGGCCTCCCAAAGTGCTGAGATTACAGGCGTGAGCCACCACGCCCGGCCTTAGAGAGTTTTGATTTTTCTTTTTTTCTTTTTTTTTTTAAGACAGAGTCTTACTCTGTTACCCAGGTTGGAGTACAGTGGTGCAATCTCAGCCCACTGCAACCTCCACTTCCTGGGTTCAAGTGATTCTCTTGCCTCAGCCTACTGTGTAGCTGGGATTACAGGTGTGCACCACCATGCCACCATGCCACCATGCCCAGCTAATTTTTGTATTTTTAGTAGCAGAGACAGGGTTTTCCCATGTTAATCAGGCTGGTCTCCAACTCCTGACCTCAGGTGATCTGTCCACCTTGGCCTCCCAAAGTGTTGGGATTACAGGCGTGAGCCACTGCACCTGGCCAGTTTTGAGTTTTGAGCCATGTTCAAAAAATTTTTTTGAAGGGAAAATAAGATATGGGAAATTTTCCAAGAATGTTGTTATTTAGTAAAATAACGCATGGCTTCTGTCTTGCTAGTTGTGGTCTTGGGGGTGGTCACATGTGGGAGAGACTTATCTGGCCAGGAAGACGGGGCAGAGTATAGGGCGTCAGTGCTCACAGAGGCGGCAGCCAGGCCTTAAGCCATCCAGAACGGTCAGGACATTAGCACAGTTTATCTTGGCCCCACGCACGGCCTGATTCCACTCATTGTCTTGGCTCCCTGTGGTAGCTAGCAGGTCATGGGGCTGCCTTGGGAAAAAAAAGTAATGGGCTATCCAGGCAGGTTCCACTCCCCGTAATCTGTCCCTGAGGAAGGTCCCGAGAAACATTAGCAAGACTTTTCTTTGAAATGCCTTTCTATAATTACTTTTTCTGTCTCAGGAAGACAGTTTCATTGCACCTAATCTAAATTTAGGTTTCCTGATTCCATTCCATTCCTCATGGAAACAGTTTGGACGATCCAAATAACGACCGCCTTCACTGATGTTTTAAGGAGGTGAAATTCATACATGATTCCCCTCACCAGAGCTTAAGCTAGCTAAGGGTGAACAGCCTCGAGTGTTTCCCCTGGTAGCCCTGGGGAAACTGGAGCTGTGGACTTGTTCACACTGTTGCTCAAGTTTCCTGACCTTCTGGGGCAATGAGACAAAAAAAAAAAAAAATGACTAGTTCTAGCATTGTCCTTTTAGCTTTGCCTCTAGCATCCTTTAAAAGACCATATTCTCCACAATTCACAGAAATGGAGGACAGCATTAATGTTGACAAAAAGTACAGGTAACTGTCCCAGGGCCCCGACAGATGCCCCTAGGGCCAGATGAAAGTGCTATCTGCCTTAATTCAAACTGTGCAGCGGGGAGATCAAAGACTGAAGGACAGTCACCCCACATTCTGTCCTCTCAGGAATATGCAGCAAACAGTAATGAAAATATATGCCTAACCCAGGTGTATAAGATCCCTCTGCCTTCCAGCTGGCGTGTCCTCTAACTCCTTGCTACTGAAAGCATGGTCTATACATAGACCCTAGGATCAGCCGCACCAGGGAGCTTGTTAAAAATGCAGAGTGTCAGGCCCTACCCCAGATATGCTGAACCAGAATCTGCATTTTAACAAGATCCCCAGGTGACTCACAATCACATTCAAGTTCACAGAAAGCTGCTCTGACCTGTGGGTGCAGGCAGAATGTTACGTCATTCTGGTCTGTGCTCTTCCTTTTACCTGCCCTTCTCTCACGATTGAAACATCTTCCAGGTACGGAGTCTTAGTCCACCCTATAGGTGCATGGGAACCACGGAAGCAAAGGGGTGGGAAGAATCTCCCTTTCCTGGCCATCCTCTCCTCTCCATGTCCACAAAGCAAAACCACCAGTCAGCAGCTCAAAGCAACTATCCCTATTTTGGAAACTGGGGACACGTTTAGGAGCACTTCCTAAACTAGGAGAGGGTAAGTTAAAGCTCTCACCCATTTGAACTCTACCCATCTCAAGATTCCTCTTCTACAGTTCCATCCACCTCCCAGGCATGGGGGCGGCCTTCCTCCCCCCACTCAAAAAGAGCTCTGACGTCTCACTCTTCCTACCATCCTCCCTTCACCCTTGCAATGAGCCATATCTGTGAATTTCTTTCTCAAGTTCTAGGTTTCAGTTAGGCAGGGACTGGTGCTGGTGACTCTAGGGCCCCTTGTTGGTGGTGGAGATGGCACTTCCTGATCTGATTTGCTGCTCAACTTTCGCACCAGTGTGAGTTGCAGATGGATGAGTTCTTCTAACTGGGGGACTTATTAAAATAGTTTCTCATGGAGAGGCAGTTCAGTGTAGTGGATAGAGCAGAGTATGGAGCCAGAATCCTTGAATCAAATCCCAAATCGACCTACAATAGCACCAGGTAGGCACTGGATAAGTATCTGCTATCCTTATATAGGTGCAAATAATGTCTGGAAATATTTCAGAATGCTGCAGGCTTGTGAATTGAAAGAGCAATTTGAAGTGATTATCTGAGAGCTTCATACAGGCTCACTGCAGGGAAAAGTAACATTTATGCTTAGGAGCCCCAAGACCATTTGCAATAGGTAGAGAGGAATCAATGTTTCTTGTTGCTTCTTCCTCAAACTTCATCTCCTGACTTCACAGGTAGGCTTATCACTCCCAGCTTGAATTGCTTATGGACATTGTTTCCCGTTGCTTCTATTCTGTTGTTTTACTTGTCTATCCCAGTGCTCTTTTCCTATTGCAGAAGTTTGTCTAGTGGGCACCTTTACTAACCTCCTTCTTAAAAATGATGTTGGAATACAGAAGTTAACATGAAATAATTTCCACATAATTGTATAACTATAAGGAGTAGAACTCAGGAATCAGAGGAGCTATATACAGATAGACAGGGAATTTCTTTTTTTAAAGGTACACTAATTGTAATACGATCTTTTTTTAATTCAGGAGTACTTAGAATAGATTTCAGCAAATTTGGATCTTTGAGAACAATACTCCTCAAGTTACTAGGTCTTCTGTGTGGTGAGTCAGCCCAGGGGTGACATCCTGCACTGTGTAATTGCTGGCATGGCTTTGGGAACCATTGCCAGGCTGGTTAACTTAGTTTAGGTATTAAGAAGATATGAATTCTAGTTTGACTTGTGCCAAAGCATACAGAAAAGAATAAAAGAAGGTGTTTTTTAAATTTATTTTTGTTTTATTTTATTTTTTACAGAGCCTTGCTTTGTCACCCAGGCTGCTGGAGTACAGTGGCACTATCTCTGCTCACTGCAACCTCCGGCTCCTGGGTTCAAGCGATTCTCCTGTATCAACCTCCTGAGTAGCTGAGATTATAAGCGTGCATCAGCATACCTGGCTAATTTTTGTATTTTTAGTAGAGACAGGGTTTCACCATGTTGGCCAGGCTGGTCTCGAACTCCTGGCCTCAAGTGATCCGCCTGCCTCAGCCTCCCAAATTGCTGGGATTACAGGCGTGAGCCACTATGCCCGGCTGGAAGGAGCTCTTTACTGTCACATCGGTTGCAATTTTTGTGTGGGTTTAGAGCATTTCTAGATTTTCTATGAAATTTGGAAAGTTATTTTTACTTTCTTTAAAATGGTAGAGATGTCTAATGAAGTGAATCTAAAGAAATAGAGAAAAGGACCGTTTGCACAATATAACTATAAAAATTCCAATTTGAAGAAACCAAAAGATCATCTACTACAACAATTTGTAAAATGTTGGCATCCCTTCAGTAGTATCCTTGTTAGAGATTGCTTTATCATATAGCGGGGAAATATACAGCTGTAGGAACCAAATAGACCAGGGTTTAAATATCAGTCCCATCACTTCCTGGCTATTTTAGCTAAGTCAAATTGCTTAATTTCTACTAGCCTCAGTTTTCTTATCAACGAAATGGTGCATAAAAGCTACCCTGTATGTGGCTGGTAAAAATTAAATGAGATTTTATATATATATAAAGCACTTAGCACTATGCCTATGTATACTATAAAAAATGTCATACACACCGGGCACAGTGGTCATGCCTGTAATCCTACCTACTACTTTGGGAGGCTGAGGCAGGAGGATCACTTGAGGCCAGGAGTTCAAGGCCAGCCTGGGCAATATGGTAAGACCCTGTCTCTACAAAAAATTTAAAATTTAGCCAGGCATGGTGGCCCCTGCCTATGGTGTCAGCTGCTCAGGCGGCTGTGGCAAGAGGATCGCTTGAGCTCGGAGGTTGAGGCTGCAATGAGCTGTGATTGCACCACTGCACTCCAGCCTGGGTGACAAAGTGAGACCCTGTCTCAAAAAAAAAAAAAAAAAAACAAATCATACAAAGCACTTAATAAAACTTAAAAGCAAAACCATACAAAACTCTCTGTTCTGTGAGCTTTTTAACTTGCCTACCTACTTTGAAGTGTTGTCATTAGGGATAGAATTATATATTTAAAGCACCTATCACATGGTAGAGACTCATTAAGTTAGAAGGGCCATTATTATTTCTTTCAGATGATCATTCTACATCATTCATTCATTCACCAAATATTTAGGTGGAATTGACTGTGTGCCAGTGGTTTGAGGGAACTCAATGAGTGAGACACTTGTGTTCCTTGTTCAAGTCTGGAGGTGATTGGCTTGAGGTGGTTTGAGTGTGACAGGCAGAGAGAAGCAGAAGTTTGGGGCTAAGTGACAGGTAGGTGTTGGTGCCATTGACTAATCTAGGGCAGGTTGGAGGAAAATAAGACTTTGGGGCAGAAGAGGATGAAGAAGAAATCAAGGGTTCTATTTTTCCTGTGTTAAGTTCAAGATGCTCATGAAACATTCAAGTGGAAGGTCATGGAGGTAGTTGAATATATAAGGCAAGAGAGATTTGACTGGAGAAAACAATGGTTTCATTATGACATATACATGGCATTTAAAGCAACAGAGCTTGATGAGGTGCTGAAGAAAAAGTGTGTAAAAGAGAAGAGAGGTCCAAACTGAAATCTGAGGAGCCTCAACATTCAGAACTCAACTGGGCGCTGTGGCTCAAGCCTGTAATCCCAGCACTTTGGGAGGACGAGGCAGGCAGAACACCTGAGGTGAGAAGTTTGAGACCAGCCTGGCCAACATGGCCAAACCTTGTCTCTACTGAAAATATAAAAATTAGCCAGGCATGGTGGCGAGCGCCTGTAATCCCACCTACTCTGGAGGCTGAGGCAGAAGAATCTCTTGAACCTGGAAGGCGGAGGTTGCAGTGAGCCGAGATCACACCACTGCCCTCCAGCCTGGGCGACAGAACAAGACTCCGTGTCAGAAAAAAAAAAAGAAAAGAAAAGAAAAAGAAAAAGAAAAGAACTCGGTGGAGCACAAGTAGCTGAGTAATGCCCCAGAAGCCGGCATCATTGTTGGACAGCTCAGATGTTCAGGATGTTTCATTTTGAGCCTACCTCATTGGAATTTCAAAATATTGGCCTCTTTGGAGCAATACAGAGCAAGTCTGTTCCTTCAAGTAGATGAAAAGCTCCCTGCATGTCTTCCATTGGACTTCTCCCCTTTAGCTTAAAAATATCCACAGTCCTGAAACATGGCTCAGAAGCAGATATTACCCAAACCCTACTCTTAAAGCTCGGCCAGCCAGCCACATGCAGGACCCTGAAGCAAATAAGAGGGTAAGTACAAGGAAAACAGATGAATCACTTTGAAAACCCACTGCTGTTGTCTGAATGAAGCATGACTGTGGCTACAACAAACAGCAGTTGTATAAAGCAAGGTCTTTCAGAGAAAACCGTAAGACAAAGAGAGCACATTCTACAGTCAGTTGTGCTTCAAGCAGTATCTTTAAAATTATGGAGTAGGAAGGCATGTGCTAGTGATGTCAAAGCAACTGCAAACCAGCAGGACTTCAACTAGAATTTAGTCAGATGTTCATGTTTCCTCCTGGAGTTCATTATTCCAGATAATTCATTTGTCTTTGCTCAATTTTTGTTTTTTGTTTTTGTTTTTGTTTTAAAAGACAGGGTCTCAGGCCAGGCGTGATGGCTCATGGCTGTAATACCAGCACTTTGGGAGGCTGAGGCAGGCAGGTCATTTGAGGTAGGGAGTTTCAGACCAGCCCAGCCAACATGGTGAAACCCCATTTCTACTAAAAATACAAAAATTAGCCGGGCGTGGTGGTGAGCACCTGTAATCCCAGCTATTCAGGAGGCTGAGGCAGGAGAATCGCTTGAATCCAGGAGGTGGAGGTTGCAGTGCGCCAAGATCGCACCACTGCACTCCAGCCTGGGTGACAGAGTGAGATTCCGTCTCAAAAAAACAAAAAAAAGACAGGGTCTCACTTTGTCACCCAGGCTGGAGTGCAGTGGCTTTTTTTTTGTTTTTAGACGGAGTTTCGCTCTTGTCACTCAGGCTGGAGTGCAATGGCACGAACTTGGCTCACTGCAACCTCTGACTCTCGGGTTCAAACAATTCTCCTGCCTCAGCCTCCCAAGTAGCTGGGATTACAGATGCCCACCAGCTTATTAAGCACACACAGCTTATTTTTGTAGGGATGGAGTTTAATCATTTTGGCCAGGCTGGTCTCGAATTCCTGACCTCAGGTGATCCATCTGCCTCGGCCTCCTAAAGTGCTGGGATTACAGGCATGAGCCACTGCTCCCAGCCTAGTGCAGTGGCTTGATCATAGCTCACTGATGCCTCGACCTCCTAGGCTCAAGCAGTCCTCCCACCTCAGTCTCCTAAGTAGCTGGGACTCAAGGTGCATGCCACCACGTCCAGCTCAGTTTGGTTTTGATTTCCATTTCACAACTCTGATATAGTGCGTTTGTTACTCAGCTATGTAACTTTATATTTGAATATCCATTAATTGACTTTGACATCACCCCAAGCTTTGCCCTCCACTCTTAATTTAGGATCCAATATTTACCTACTACTTTAGTTCTTACCTAGGTTTTGGTCCTGCTGTATCCTGACATATCTAGGGAAAGCCACATGCAAAAACGAATACTGCAGGTAAACACTCCAGCCATTATCCAAAGGTCATATTTTACAGATGTGCTCTGTGTGGAACTGGAAATTGATCTGCATTCATTTTTCAGACACCTCTGCATATATAACAGTGTTGGTACCTAGTAATTTCCCGAGCAAGAGACAGCTGATAATCAAAGTGTTTGGACTGCTCCTGCCTGACAGAACTGTGAGATATGGTCTCCACATCTAGGTACTAAGTATCTGACCAGATAGATTGTTGAGGTAGTTCTACTCAGGGTACTATGATGCAGGTCTGGAATTTACTTCTCTTTGTGATGTTAACCATCACCCAACCATGGGACCACTGGTGTGAGTCTTTCCACCTTTCTAAGGTTCACTCCCTCATTAGCATCTCATCCTAAGGACACCTTCTACCTCCTTGTCCTCTAAGCAATGCTTTTCAAACCCTACAGACCAGTGCCTGCATCAGAATAATGAGGAAGGGCTTTTGGAATACTATGCAGCCATGTCCCTCTGCAGGGACATGGATGAAGCTGGAAACCGTCATTCTCAGCAAACTAACATAAGAACAGAAAACCAAACACCACATGTCCTCACTCATAAGTGGGAGTTGAACAATGAGAATACATGGACACGGGGTAGGGGCATCACACACTGAAGCCTGTCGGCGGGTTGGGGGCTGGGGGAGGGAAGACATTAGGAGAAATAACTAATGTAGATGACAGGGTTGATGGCTGCAGCAAACCACCATGGCACGTGCATACCTATGTAACAAACCTGCACGTTCTGCACATGTACCCCAGAACTTAAAGACTTAAAGTATATATATATATATATACACATATATATATACATATATATGTATATATACATCTATACATATATATGTATATATATACATATAGTATATATAGTATATATATACACATATAGTATATATATAGTATATATATACACATATAGTATATATATAGTATATATATACACATATAGTATATATATAGTATATATATATACATATAGTATATATATAGTATATATATATACATATAGTATATATATAGTATATATATATACATATAGTATATATATGATATGAATATTATATTCTTCAGGAGATTTTGATTCAATAGGCCTCAGATGAGGCTAAAACCCTACCTTTTCTAATGTTCCTTGTATGATTCTGATGAGTAACCAGGTTGGGAATCACACTTACAGAAAGTCCAAGTCAGGAACAGGAGGTTATGACTTCCTGGGCCACTTCTTCTCTCTGGTCTCACTCTATCTGGTTAGCTTCATCCAGTAAGCCCTTTGGTCAGTTTGTTCCCATTCTGACCATTATGATTCCTCATAATGGTTCTGTTCTAATTCTCCTGACTTAATGGACTCATTGGTCATTCCAGATGCTCTGATCCTAATAATCCTTTTGATACTCTGTTCTAATTTACTAAGAAGAGTCACCAATTTTGTTTCTGTGGTTTGGTATGAAATAAGGTGGCAGAAACAGCACTCTCCAAATATCCATGCACTCCTGACATTTTTCAGCAGCCCACATTACTAATTCTGGCTGAGGGATTGGGAGCAGAAGAGACACGTGTCATCTCTGAGTTGAGGCTGTTAAGAGCTGGTGCAACTTTCCATTCTTCTCTTCCCCTCTAGCAGTGACCTGAGAAGCTACGTATTGACACGGCGCTACCACGGGTGGAGGAGCCTGCATTGCTGAATCACAGGATGAAGGCGAATCCCTGCCAGCCTCCATCCATCTCTGGGTGAGCAATAAATAAACTGCTTGCTGAGCTACAGAAATTTCAGGGTTGATTTGTTACCACAGCATGGCCTACCCTGTCCAGGACTAAACAAAACTGATTTCTTGGTAAAATGCTGCCAAGATAACGAAGCCGACCCATCACGACCCAATTTCCTAATTTCTTCTTCTCTTTCCTTTCCAAATAGCACATAGCGGACACCCATTGGAAACCGCAAAGACAAAATAATGCTAGTTACAAGGGATGAAACAGCTCATTAGTGAAAGAAAAAGTAGCTCCACTTAAACTGTGATTGACCTTCCAGGAAAGTCATTTTCAATCATATTTAAATCCTTTAACATTTCCCGCCTCTTGTTCATTCTATACCAAAGGTGGCAGACTCTTATGTGAGGGTAAAATGCATGGAGTAAGCAGTTCTAAAACAATGGGTAATGTGGGGCTTTGCACTTAAGAACAGAGCAAATAGAAAAGGGCTTGGCCATCTGAAGATATTCAAATCAGTAAAAGTAATAGCTCTGGCTAATTAAGAGACTGCAGCCCCAATCAGCCTGCCACCAGAAGCTATGAACTGAAGCTAGACATACCACTGGAACTCCATCAGGTCTAAAAATCATTTTTGAATTTTCGTATATACATGTCAAAATACTGTGCAGCCATTCAAAAATATGAAGCATGCTGGATGCAGTAGCTCATGCCTATAATCCCAACACTTGGAGAAGCTGAGGCAGGAGGATTTCTTTTCTTTTCTTTGTTTTTTTTTTGAGATGGAGTCTCACTCCATTGCCTAGGCTGGAGTGCAGTGGCACCATCTCAGCTCACTGCAGCCTCCACCTCCCCAGTTCAAGCGATTCTCCTACCTCAGGCTCCCAAGTAGCTGGGATTATAGGTGCGTGCCACCACACCCAGTTAATTTTTGTATTTTTAGTAGAGACGGGGTGTCACCATGTTGGCCAGGCTGGTCTCGAACTCCTTGCCTTAGGTGATCCACCCACCTCGGCCTCCTAGAGTGCTGGGATTACAGGCTTGAGCCACCACGTCCGGCCTGCCTTCCTGCTTAATACCCACAGAATGAGCACTCTCCAGAGGAGTCAACAATGCCTGTTTGGTAGGGAGTATTTCTTTAGCCCAAGAGTTCAAGAACGGCCCTGGCAACATAGTGAAACTCCATCTCTATAAAAAATTTAAAAAGTTAGCTGGGCATGGTGATGCACGCTTTTAGTCTTAGCTACTTAGGTGGCTGAGGTGGCAGGATCTTTTGAGCCTGGGAGGTTGGGGGCAGTAAGCCATGATCTCAACATTTCACTCCAGCCTAGGCAATAGAGTGTGACCCTGTCTCCAAAATAAATAAATAATAAGTAATAAATAAAAATATGACATAGAAGAATAGTAACTGGGAAGAAAAATTATTTACAATATATTTGTAAGTAATATATTGTATTTGTAAGTACAATATATTACTTACAAATAAATACAATGTTACTTACTTGTAAATTAACTTGTAAATTACTCATAAATTGTAAAGTAAATACAATATTACTTACAAATAAATACAAATAAATACAATGTATGTATTTGTAAGTACAATGCAAAAAAATACAATATATTTATGTGTTTTTAAAATTAAAAAACAATTATAATATCTAATTTATTAAAATAAAATGTGTAGAAAAAAGACTAGAAGTAGGGTTCATGTACCTAATTAACGGTTGATATCTGTAGGTTGCAGGCTTTTCCCACTCTCCTAAAATAAACATGTATTGTTTTGTAGTCATCAGGAAAGAAATGTTATCTTAAAAATTCGTATCTTGGAATAAAGGGCAAATATATCACTATGTTAACTACAAAAATTACTGATTTTTAAATTCTAACTATATAATGTGTACTGTGATATCTTGTGTGTTTGGTGTGCTTTAAATCAATGGTTGTACTAAATTACACAGAAACTAACCTCCAACTGCCACTCATCTACAAGTTCTAGTTAAGTTGAAACATATATCTATTACCCTTTATATATTTCAGAAGAAAATTTTGCTCATTTTAGTGATCATCATAATTATATGGCAAAAGAGAACAAACCACATCTTAAAAACATAACAGCACAGGGGCAAGTGGTAACAGACAGTGGAAAACATCCTGTAATTACAGCTGCCAAAAGAATGCAAATAATTAAGAAAACTTTTTGTTCTCCAAGTTTTTGTTCCACTGTTTATTCTTTGGAATGACTTGGTATTTGGTGAGTTCCCAACAGGCTTGAGACTGGTTCATTAAGCTCTAATCTGATTAGGACTTTTTGTTTCTTTGTTCTCTGTGTCCTCAGGTGGCAATTTTGGCAGAACATCATAAATTTTTGCCCTGCATCTAGGTACAGTAACATAACTTTGCCTATGTATTACATAATAAGAATACAATTCTCGGGCATCAATCCTAAAAAGGCAACTCTAGTTAATCAAGTCTACTTCTGTCCAAATAATCTTCAACATATGGATTTTACTTGTAATACACATGTGTATCACTGCACTAGATACACATTTATGTATGGCTAGCCAGGCATATATATTTTCCCAGAGCAATTCCCAGATGAACATTTTACTTTTTAAAAATGTTTTAAAAAACTTTTTGAAAAGTTTTCCTAAATCTTATTTCTCTAAATAAAGGTTGACTTAATGTATTTGAATCAGGTGGCAAGACGGGTGAAAAACATGGCAAGGAAGGTTATTTGTCAGAAAAAGAAACTGCAATATAAGACCAGTTGGATAAGAAGAATTACAAGACCATCAGGAGAAGGCTTTAAATTAAATATGAAATACAGCTAGGGCCCAGTAAAGTCTTCAATATTGAAGAGCTAGTATGAGTCACCTTGCTATGCCAGGGGGCAGAAAGATTGTTGGGGGGAAATGGCCACTAGACGCTATCTACAGTCACTGCCGGATTATCCTGGAGGCACAGATAAATAAATAAATACACATCAGAAAATTTTCACTTCAATAAATTCACCCAGACTTTTATAACCAATAAATCATCTAGAAAGAAAAGCCATTCTGCTACCAGCATACTTATGAACTTTATGTTAGTTCAAAAAATAAAATGGTATTTGTATTTATGTATGGAGGAGCTCAGGGACTCTAAAAGTCTTATTCTGGTCCTGGCAACAATTCAGGTGAATAGGGAATGAAAATGAAGATCCATGTCAGGGCAGGTCCTGGATGAGATTTCAGAAAGTTTTGGACTAGACAAAGGTCCTAATAGAGGTGGGTGGGCTTAAGGTTCTGGGCAGCTCTGGAATGGTGGCTGTGTGCACTCTAGCAGGGTAGAAGTAGTGGTCTTCATACGCTTTCCTGACAGCATGCCATCATCTGGATATGCAGTCCTCAGCTCTTGGAGCAGCAGGTGGTTTAGGGGAGACCTATGCTTCCTGCAGGAGGCATTTGAATGGCAATCAGTTTTGTAACATGTGCATTGTTTAAGGTGTTTCATTCCTCACACATGAGTATGGAAAAAGAGTAGTCTAGAAACTGTACTGAGTATAGAAAATGTATGGAGAGTATAGTAAATGTATTAAGTATAGAAAATGTATTGAGTATAGAAAATGTATTCAGAGTATAGAAAATGTACTGAGTATAGAAAATATATTGAGAGTATAGAAATGTATTAATTAGAGTATAGAAAATGTATTTAGTAGAGTATAGAAAATGTAATGAGTATAGAGTATAGAAAATGTATTGAGTAGAGTATAGAAAATGTATTGAGTACAGAAAATGTATTGAGAGTATAGAAAATGTATGGAGTAGAGTACAGAAAATGTATTGAGTAGAGTATAGAAAATGTATTGAGTAGAGTCTAGAAACATATTGAGTATAGAAAATATATTGAGTAGAGCATAGAAAATGTATTGAGTATAGAAAATGTATTGAGTAGAGTACAGAAAATGTATGCCAAGGCCAGTCTCAGTGGTTTTTGCTTGTAATCCCAGCACTTTGGGAGGCCAAGGTGGGAGCCTTACTTGAGGCCTGGAGTTTGAGACCAGCCTGGGTAACATAGTGAGGCTCTGTCTCTAAAACATTTTTAAAATTAGCAGTGCATGGTGGCGTGCACCTGTAGTCCCAGCTACTCAGGAGGCTGAGGCAGGAGGATTGCTTGAGCCCAGGAGTTCGAGGCTGCAGTGAGCCATGATCATACCACTTTACTCCAACCTGGGTGACAGAGTGAGACCCTGTGAAAGAAAGAAAGAAAAAGAAGGAAGGAAGGAATGAAGGAAGGAGAGGGGAGGGGAAGGGAGGGAAGGAAGGGAGGGAAGAGAGAGAGAGAGAAAGAAAGAAAGACAGGGAGAAAGAAAGGGAGAGAGAAAGAATGGGAAAGAGAAGAGAAAGAGGGAGGAAGAGAGAGAGAGAAGAAGGAAGGAAGGAGAGAAAGAAAGCAAGAAAGCAAGCAAGAAAGAAAGAAGGAAAATGTCAGACTTGTTGTCAACCTATGAGTGACAGGCAGCATCATACAACAAAAATAGACATGATGACAGAATCTCAAATTTGATCTAAAGCAGATCGTCTCAAGTTCTGTAACGGCATCAAAATGAACTGTCCTCAATTGAAAAGAGCCAGTACATCCTATTTTAAAATCTACAGAAATGCACCTGTGTTTCCCATCACTGTACCAGGACTCCAGTTTCCAAGTTTGCAATGCAGTGAGAAAAAAAAAAACGCCCTAAAATCCTTCTCTATCTTAAGCTTCAAACTACTGCAGACTTGAAGCGAAGATAAAAGAAAGGCTTCTAACCTCCATTTTTTTACTTTTTGGTGCTTAACAGGCAATCCTAACATTAACAGGTTTAGTTCCATGAAACACCTTCTGGGCCAAAAGATAAGACTTCCTTCCCCCATAAATCACATTTTCTCAAATATTTTTCAAAGCTGAGGTGTAAGCCTTTTAATAGAATTATGCAAATTTTGCCCCAACTCTAAATGTTTTAGGAACTAAATAACCACTTTGAAGAATCACAGTTTTGCAGTGTCCACATTGGAAAATAAATGCTAGAAACTGCAGGCAATGAAAGGGACGGCGGTGGCGCCCCAAAAGTGGGAATTTGTCCTTAACGTTATTTTGCACAAACCTAAAGCAACCTCTGCTACTGAAAGGTCAGTTTTGACTCTCTGGGATGAAAATGCTGACCAGTCGTTAGGGGATTATCTGCTTGGCAGAGTAGAAGAAGTCCAGATCAAATGCATCTCATTCCTGATTTGAACTGGCTGAAGGACTAAAAACATCTCAGGCACAAGTCAGGGCAATGAACAGTGAGGCTAGAGACTTGTATAACTCCTAAAACTGAGATGCCAAAGGACATCTGAAAAAGGGCTATGGTTCATTGTGAAGAAATACGATATTTCCTAGTTGGTTTTTTTTTTTTAAATAATGGAAGTCATTTTCTTTTAAATGGTACTTAGAAAAAGATTATTATGAACAATATCTTCCAGTCCGACACATGCTTAGCACTGCAGACTGGGTAAGACACCCTGTTTAATGGAAGATTAGTATTGTCATATACATAAGCTAGAACATGGAAAAGCACACAAACTGTTCTGATTCTGCAACTCTTGGGCCTTCTGCATGTGGGTAAAGAAAAGCAGTTATGTGGAACTTCCAGAAGCACTGTCTTATCACTAAGGGCACTCTTTAGGACTAAACGGCTAATAAAAAAACAGTGATTTTTTTTTTTTTGGACTTAGGTAAGGTAGAAACAAGAAAACGTTTTCTTGTTGCGAACTCATAGACCCTGCGGCACGGCTTTAAAACAGTTAGGAGTGTCCCTGCTCCCTCTGTGGGCTGGTTCTTTTCTCAGCTGTTCCCTTTTCTGGGAGAATGGTCTCTTCTCCCTAAAAACAGTGCTTGAAGGTGGCATGTGTGGCAAAGCAGGCTCGGGACAAAGGAAGAGCACAAAAGAAGGAGTGCGGCATATGGGAACCTTTGCCAAGTTATTATTTTTATTCCAGTTTAGCTTTTTAAGGGTCGCTAGCTAAGGCTGACATTTATTGCCATCATGCTATTTCCTAAGAATAAGGCCTCAGCTGAAAATCTGACCCCAATCAACTTTCAAAAATGCACTGATATATTTTAAAACACACACAATAATGACAAAACCCCCAAATTGCAGCCTGTCCTCTCTCTTTGTATGATGCCTATCTGCCTTGGCACTGTCCAGACTGTATGCCCTTAGAAGCAGCTCCTTGCCTGCAGCTGTGAGGTGTCTTGTTTGCCATCGACCACCTGTGCTATGTGCACACTCAGCTGGCATTTCTGCCAAGAAGCTAAAGTCAGGAACACCAGCAATTTCAAATATGTAATCAGGTTTCAAATTAAAGTCCTTGTGCTTCTGGTATATGGGAGTGTTCCCAGAAAGAGTGGGGGTTCTGCTGTCACTCTTCTAGCTGCTGTGTAATTTTTTTTTTTTGCAAGGCACTTGGTATGTATCTGGCTTTAAAACTGACATTGCCAGGCATCAGAAGTTGAGAAGTTTCGTCCTTGATTTATTTGTTCTCGTTTGTGTTCAATTATGATTAGAAGTCACCTCTACACAGCTGCTCTACAATTTGTACTGCATTTGCTTCTGGGATTTCTAACCGCACTGTTCAGTGGAATAACATTAACAATATGAAAATGAAGTCCGTTTTTATAGTGCAGTGGATAGTGTTTTATTAAAAATGGCTAACAGCTGTAATTTGTAGGTAGTTAACTCATGTGAAGTTTAACTTTAGCATGTATTTTTCCCTAGGAAAATATTTTATATAAACAGAAAGACAAATGTGAAAAAGTAAATCAAACCCAAAACACACCTACCAAAGTAATTCTGATCACAATAGCGACATCTCTGCTGCTGCTATGTTTCTGGAAAAAAAAAAGGGGGCTCCCCACTTTAGTCTGGAATGATAGTAAGTAATAAAAAGAAAATATATAGCTGTCGATGTTTTTGTTTTCTTTTCTTTTCCCCACAATAACAAGGACTTCATAGACACAGATAAGCTACATGTTCTTTTCCAAAAATTTCCTGCAACAGAGTTTTCTGACAGGGTCATATTACAATTCTAAATGTGAATAACACAGCAAAAAGAAAAAAAAAGGGTATTTTTTGGCTGGTACTCATGGGTATTAGTTTGCACTCTTGCAAGCTAACTGAATATCCACAGACCTTGTGTAGAGTCCAGAGGATGGCTTTGATGCTCTTTCTGCTACAGGCTGGTTTGGGTGCCTGAGTTAGAAGTGTTAAAAGGGCACAGAAAACAGATCTCCTGATTGGCTTCTTTTTCTGAGCACCATTACCTAGGGCACAATTGTGAAAGAAGATATCAGGAATGATAAGAAGACAGGATCATACCTCAGGGAAAAAAGAGACCAGTCATAACTACAGATGGTGCCTCTAATGTAAAGGTGGCTACAAATGTGTGTGAAGAAGTGGATAGTATTCTCGTTTTGCAGTGCCTAGAGTTTAAAATTTAGTATAGTAGGGTCTATGGATATTCCATTAGCTTTCAAGAGTACAAACTAATACCCATGTGTACCAGCCAAAAAAAATCCTTTTTTTTTTTTTTTTGCTTTTTGCTGTGTTATTCATATTTAGAATTGCAATCTAATCCCTTCTGAAAACTCTGTTGCAGTAAACTGTTTTCCATTATTCTTATCATCTTCTAACATGCCATTTGATATGTTAGAAATATTAAATGTTAGCCTGTTCTTTATTTCCTGCACACTCTTCCTCCCCAACCAGAATGTAAGTGCCGGGGAAGCTTTGTTTGCTTTATTTACTCCTCTGGCCCTAACCCTAGATCAGTGCCAGGCACATAGTTGTCTGTTGACTTAGTAATGAGTAATCCATTTTAGTCCTGTGTTTCTATGAAGCTGATTGATAATAAGCTTATAGCTTCTGAAATTATATTATATTATTCTATATTTATTGAACACCAAAGGCAAAATCTCTATCTTTTTATTTCAAGGTACAGTGCAGACTGCTAACACTTGGAGAATTTTAATGTTATTACTTGAAGTGAGTTGAGGCTCCTAATTGGAGAATGACTGGTTGGTTATCAATTTAACTGCTTGTGAGATTGTTAGTTTTTTGAGTAGAGGTCAGGAATAACACTGCAAGAGAATATGTTTTCCAAACTCCTCCTATAAATGCACCATCCAATTAAAGAAAGCTGAGATAACATTACTTCAAGGCACTTTCAAAAAAATGATGTCAAATTTTGCACACAAGTGGAGTGCTGCTTTTATTTCACATACGTGCTCATATCTGTTTTTAATAGAATGTTGATAGAGAAATCTTGTTACTGCTGGAAAGAAATGAAGAACAAATGTTCTCTTACAACTTGCAAATTTCAACCAGTAAGTTCTGGGTTTCTTGGACTAGTGAGCATAAGTATCAGCTAGTGTGTTTTCTAAAAAAAGGTTTGTTTCTGGGCCCATATTCTGGGAGCTTCTGATTCAGTAGGTAAAAGCAGGGTGCAGCAATCAGAAATGTTTATAATTATGCCATGGGATTTGGATGCAGGTGGTCTGCAGACTTCACTTTGAGAATAATAAAAAATAAGAACCCTGATTTGTGAAAGGTCCTATAGGATCTTGGTTTCCTCTTGAGCGCAACTGTTACTAAATTATAATTCAGGTACCCAGCTGCCAGGTGAATGGCTTTATGTTTTGATTATAAGAAAAGTCAAATGGCCAAGAAACTCTTAGAACACGCTTTACAGTTCTAAAAATGTTTATCTTTTCTATTCTTTAATTGACTGAGGCTTCTGTTTAGGTTAATGCCACAAATGTTGATGCCACAAGAGTGAAGTACAGAAAGAAAGTTCATAAAAATATTTATTTGGCATCTGGCAAACTATAAAATATTTTCTCACATGTTACCTAATTTGATTCTCATGGTAGCTCTGTCGGGGAGTCAGGGCAGGTATGTGTTAATTTTGCCTATGAGCAAACAGAGGTCTGAAGAGGTTCTAACTTGCCCAATACCAGATAGTAGAAATAAACAGCAGAGAAGCCACTCCTCCTGGGACTGCTCATGCCTAGGTTATGCAGTGTTGGTTCAACTACCTTTCATGGTCCCCTAATATATCCAAATATATTCCTTAATGTCTTTCTCTCCTGACTCTTTCATCTCTAGAGACATTGCATAGGGAACATTTAACACTGTGCTCAGGAGGAAAAGGAGGAGGGTTGGATGCTATTGTGTGTTCAGGATTAAATGAGATAATATATGTGAAAGTCTTTGTAGTTATAAAATATTATACATATACAAGCATATATTATTATTGCATTGTATATTGCATATTAGATTATTGCTTATCCTTTTCAGAGCATGACTGCATCATATAGGAAACTCTTGGCCAGGCACAGTGGCTCATGCCTGTAATCCCAGCACTTTGGGAGGCCAAGGTGGGCGGATTACTTGAGGCCGGGAGTTCAAAACCGTGTCTCTACTAAAAATAGAAAAATTAGCTGGGTGTGTTGGCACACGCCTGTAATCTCAGCTATTCGGGAGGCTGAGGCACGAGAATCGCTTGAACTGGGGACATGGAGGTTGCAGTGAGCCAAGATTGCACCACTGCACTGCAGCATGGGTGACAGAGCAAGACTCTGTCTCAAAACATAATAATAACAATAAGAGAAATTCTTGAAACTTAGAGTTTCTGAGAAAAAGAGTTACCAACAATAAATTTAATAATACATTTTTAAAAATTGAGGAAGGAATACATGCAGAAATAAATAATAATTTAAAAGATAATGAGAAACTAATTAGAATAAGCTGAAACATGATTGAAGTTCGGTTGTGGGAGGAGATAAATGACTCATACTGAAAACTACCTAAAATAGCACATACAAAAGCGTTTATAAGCTTAGAATTTCTTATTTTATTTTCTCAGAATATTTCTGGTAGTTAAATTTGAGGCTTCCTGCGATGTGGGCATCTCAGAGGAACCATATAGATTGGCGCTTGTACTACAAAATATCCTAAGTTGACTGGGTTTAAATGTGGTTTTTTAAATTTACTTTTATTGTCATTTTCCCCACTTACCCTGACTTGAAGCTCATGAAAGTAGTTTTTATATCCTGAAGTCAAGGAGGCATTGTTCAGCCGCATCATTTGCCTACTTCTCATAGCTTGAAAGGGGAATAAAAGGCAGATTGCCTCACCACCTTGCTATTTTAGTCTCCTGATGTCTTGTGGTCTCGGCACCTCTCCCTGCTTGTAATTCCATATTGCTAGTTGTAATCAAATCCTACCTTGGAAAGGTCAGACTTGAGCAGGAAGAGTGCAGTCATTCCAACAGCTGTCGCTCTGGGCTCTCCCGCTGTGTCACAGTGTGAGGCGTGTGCACCACTGCACTCCAGCCTGGGTAACAGAGGGAGACTCCATGTGAAAAATAAATAAATAAATAGAATAAAATAAATGAAATAAAATTTCTTTGGAATGGCTACTTTCTCGTCTTCTTGAGCTTCATGAGGGGCTTAAAAGCAAAGATTATTTTTCTGTGACATTTAATGGCAAATACAGATAGAAAGAAATACGTTTAGGATGTTCCAGGGGTTCGAAAAACATGTTCATCCAGGCCCACTAATTTGGTCTTTTTCTTCTTATTATTCTTATTCTCACTCTTCTTTTGTTTTGGACACGGGGTATGACTCTGTCACCCAGGCTGGAGTGCAGTGGAGTCATCACAGCTCACTGCTGCCGTGGCCTCCTGGGTTCAAGGGATCCTCCCACCACAGCCTCCCAAGTAGCTGCAACTACAGGTACACGTCCCCACACCTGGCTAATTTTTGATTTTGTCTTTGGGTAGAGATGGGGTTTTGCCATGCTGTCCAGCATGGTCTCAAACTCCTGGACTCAAGCAATCAACCTGCCTTGCTCAGCCTCATACAGTGCTGGGATTAAAGGTGTGAGCTACCATGCCCAGCCTAATCTGGTCTTTAAAACCAGAAAGTTATCAAAATATTTCAAATTCCTTATGGACGCAGAACTTCAAGCTGAAACATCCTTTCTAGGCTCTCGTTTACACTCCATTTTACTTCCATATTTGAATAATGTTTTTTTTTTTCTTCCTTTTTTTTTTTTTTACCCTTTTTGTGTCACAGTATAAATAATCTTTAGAAGGATAAGCCTCTGCTGACAATAGAGCTCTATTTACTAAGTATCTACTATATACCACACCCTGGAGCAGGACCACCAACATTATCTCATTTGGAATTCTTAATCGCTAGAGATGTTGTTTACCATCTTGCAGATAAGGAAATGAAGATCAGAAAAAGTAGGTAATTTGCTTAAAGCTACAGGAATGAGACACAAAAATGTGAAGTCAGGTCTATCTTACTCCAAAGCCTGTGCACCATGTTTGAGTGTAAGCATATGTGTGATTTGTTTTAAAGAGATAATACGCCTCTATTTGTTCCAGCTTCTCTACTTGCTAATTGACCACATGCAAGTCACTCGACATCTTACAAGGTCAGTTTCTTTGACTGGAGAATGGGAATGACAATTCTTTTTTTTTTTTTTTTTTTTTTTTTGTCAGACGGAATCTCTCTCTGTCACCCAGGCTGGAGTACAATGGCGCGATCTTGGCTCACTGCAACCTCTGCCTCCTGGGTTCAAGCAATACTCCTGCCTCAGCCTCCCGAGTAGCTGGGACTACAGGCATGCGCCACCATGCCCGGCTAATTTTTTGTATTTTTAGTAGAAATGGGGTTTCACCATGCTGGCCAGGCTGGTCTCAAACTCCTAACCTCGTGATCCGCCCGCCTCGGCCTCCCAAAGTGCTGGGATTACAGGCGTGAGCCACCGCGCCCGGCAGGAATGACAATTCTTATTCCTTGCACTTTATAGGATTATTGAAGAAGTAAAACGAGAAGACATAAATGGTGGCTTCTAAGAGCACCCAAACACTTTCAAATCACAGGTGTGCATTAGTGAAGGTTAGGTTTGGCTGCCCATGGTAGAAAATCCAAAATGACTGCAGCTTACACAAAAAAGAAATCTACTTCTCTCTCAAGCTGGGCACAGTGGCTCACGCCTATAATCCCAGCACTTTGAGAGGCTGAGGTGGGCACTTGAAGCCAGAAATTCGAGACCAGCCCGGCCAACATGGTGAAACCCCATCTCTTCTAAAAACACAAAAATGTTGCTGGGCATGGTGGGACACGCCTGTAATCCCAGCTACTCAGGAGGCTGAAGCAGGAGAGTAATTTGAACCCTGGGAGGTGGGAGTTGCAGTGAGCTGAGATCATGCCACTGCCCTCCAGCCTGGGCAACAGAGCAAGACTCTGTCTCAAAAAAAAAAAAAAAAAAAAAAAAAAGAAATCTACTTTTCTCTCACATGAAAGATGACCTGAAGAAAGCAGTCCAGGGAAAGTGGGCAGATTCCTACCCATCTGGTCCTGAGAAACCTTCAGTCAGGCCACTGTCTTTGTCCATAGGTCACCTCGTGGTACCAGGTGGCCCCAGTGAAATGGTCTACTGTATTCAGCACATAAAGAGAAAAGTCAAGAGAAGAATGCACTTCCTAGGCTGAAGCGGGTGGATCACTTGAGTTGAGGAGTTTGAGACCAGCCTGGCCAATGTGGCAAAACCCCATCTCTGCTAAAAATACAAAACTTAGCCAGGCATAGTGGCGCACCGCCTGTATTCCCAGCTACTCGGGAGGCCGAGGCAGGAGAACTGCTTGAACCCGGGAGGCAGAGGTTGCAGTGAGCCGAGATCCCACCACTAGACTCCAGGCTGGGTGACAGAGTAAGAACTGTCTAAAAATAAATAAATAAATAAATAAATAAATAAATAAATGAATAAATATTTTTTAAAAAATGCACTTCCTTCCTAGAAATTGTACACAAAATAGTTCAACATTTCCTTTTTTCCCATAATCTTAGGCTACCTACTGAGGCATATAGAGACATGAAAATTATCCTCAGATGAGAGGATTAATAAGGCTTTAAATGCAATGTGTCATTTTTCCTCTATCAGCATAAAGTATGCTTTCAGAGAATTTCTGAAAGAGGATACATGTCAGATATTATCCTCATTTCACAGGTTGTGTAAGTGAAACAGAATGGTCATAGGGCTTGTTTCAAGTCACACAGTTAGTGGATGAAAAACATTACAACGAAGACATTTGATAGTTATATGATAGTTATAGCTCCTACACAATTTTTTTTTCACAAAACAACTATGCAGAAAACATAAAATTAACCCAATCAACAGGAGAAAAATCAAACATCCTGAAAACTGACTTGAATTTGGCTTTGGGTAAACATAATTGAAACCAAGGTTGTTTCCAATAAACTGGAATGCTACAACCCAAAGTCTTGACAAATTGGAGGTAGAGAGAAATAAAAATTCTAGCTATATACTCACTCACCTTGTCTTTCGTTTTCATTTTTATTTTAACAACAACAACAACAAAAAGCTGTGTAGCCTCTGACTATTGACTGTGGTGCAATCCCCAGCTCCTTACCATTAGTGATTGGCACCTGACCAATGAATGGCATGGCAGCAAGCAACCTCATGATTTTGAGATACATGTAGAAGCAACCTCAAATTCGCATAGCCTATATATGGCTATAGCACATTATTTTAAACCTAAAAAGCGCACTATAATATCATAAACATTGTACACAGAATTTAGGCTACATTTTTACATCGAATAAAACATCGTACACAGAAATTAGGCTAAAAACACAAACTCGGGCCAGATGTGGTGTCTCACGTCTGTAATCCCAGCACTTTGGGAGGCCGAGACAGGCAGATCGCTTGAGCCCAGGAGTTCGAGACCAGCCTGGGCAACGTGGCAAAACCCCATCTCTACAAAAAATACAAAAATTAGCTGGGCGTGGTGGTGATGGCCTATAGTCCCAGCTACTTGGGGGGCTGAGGTAGGAAGATCTCTTGAGCCTGGGAAGTTGAGGCTGCAGTAAGCCGTGTTTGCACCATTGCACTCCAGCCTGAGTGACAGAGTGAGATCTTGTCTCAAAAACAAACAAAAACACACAAACTCCAAGAGTATGGCGGATGCCTAGGCTGCATCTCCTAGACAGCCAGAGGTCACCATCACTCCCCTACCTGGAGATGACTTCAAAGCAACTTGAACGCTGTCTGCATAGCTTCCTCCCATGCCTCATCTGGACCTCCTTAACACTGGCTTCCCTAGCTGTGGTCTTAAAAGCCACACAGACCCATCTCTACCTCCACCTCTCCCTTGCCTGTTGTCAGTTTTCTCCTGGCTTTTCTTACCACCTGGTGCTTGCTATACATGTGTTTCTTCCTTTATTGTCTGTTCCCAACTAGAACGTAAGTTCCATGAGGACAGGATGTTGACTTGTTGATTGCTATATCCCAACTTCTTAGAATAGGGCCTGGCATATTTGTAAAATAAATAAAATAATAAATACTGAGAAGTTTAGACATTATGATGGACCACAGAAAATAGTTGGTTTGGGCAGGTGATTCCATAATGTGCCCCTTAAATTGTACCATGGACATCTCTGACTAAGCTTAAGAAAGCCTTCAGTCAGACCTTAGTAAATCTTAAACTTTTCTTTTTTATTAAAATGAAGAACATTGATAAAATCAGTCATTTCCTTCAAGGCTTCTGACTGATTTCCATTAAGGTTGCTGCCTCTACAATATTTCTTTGAGTGACTGGTAATGACCTCCTTATAAACTCTCAGACAATAGAGAATGCTGTATGCATCCATATTCATTTATTCATTCATTTAATTATGCAACAAATATTTTTTGAGTAGTTACTATGAACTAGGCAACATTCTAGACCCTAAGGGTATAGCAGGAATCAGATAGTCCCTGCCTTCATGAAGCTTATATTCTAACAGGGAGAGAGACAGACAATTGGGAAATAAGCAAATTGATATATATTTTGAAGGATAAGAAATGCTATGGATACTGTCACATTGGAGATTGAAAAAAAAAAAGAAAATTTAAAAAAAGAAATGACGTGGAAAAAAACAGAGCAGAGTAAGAGAGCTGCGTGTGGTGACCTGGGGAGATTTAGGGAAAGGCATTTGAAGAAATAAGGCAGTTAGGTACTGCAGAAATGGTGGAGAGTGTGTGTCTTGGAGGGAGGAAGCTCCGGGCACAGGAGATCCAACAAGAAGGCCCTGAGATGGTGGCATGCTGGGGGTGTTCTGAGACTAGCAAAGGGGCAGTGTGTGGGAGCTGCCTGGGAGAAGGTTGTAAACCTGGGGCCAGTGTGTGTGGAGAGCAGTGAGTGCAGAAGGAAGCGGGTGCTTGATAAATTAGAGACAAATAACAAGGGAGCAGCCCTTTTAGGGTCTTGGAGGCCACAGTGGAATTCTTTAATCAGAGTGAGGAGGGTTCTAAGAAAAGGAGCAGCATAATCTGATTTACTTTTTGAAAGATCACTCTAGTACCTGGGTAACAATAGGCTATGGGGGTGACAGCCTCTGGAGAAAGACAAGGCTGGGCACAGTGGCTTATACCTGTAATTCCAACATATTGGGAGGCTGAGGCAGGAGAATTAATTGAGGCCAAGAGTTCAAGACTAGCCTGGGCAACATAGTGAGACCCCATCTCTATTAAAAAGTTTTAAAAATGAGCCGGGTGTGGTGACATGTGCCTGTATTTACTTGGGAAGCTGAGATGGGAAGGATCCCTGAGCCCAGGAGGTCAAGGCTGCAATGAGCCATGATCTCGGCATTGCACTACAGCCTGGGCAACAGAGCAAGACCCTGTCTCTAAAAATAATTAATGCTGCTATTGAGAGAAATGGAGAGAAAGAGGGAAGTCACGGATGGATCCAAGCAACTGGCTTAGGACATAGTTACCATGCACTGAAATGAGGAAATGGGAGGAGTGTGGGGGTTGAGGAAATTGGGGTTTGGGGCACACAGTTATAAAGAGCCAAACTCATTCAACGTTTTTAAGCAGCAAAGGAATGGAGCAGCATTCAGAACTGTTGCAAGAAAGCCAGAGAGCCAGCCTTGGAGGCCATGCACCCAGGAGCACAGCCCAGAAGTCTCCATGGCCGCTTCCCCTGACACTGCACGGCCACTGGGCAGAGGCAGCCAAAGTCTAGGCTGACACTGGAAAACAAACACCAGAACCACCGCCCCTGCTGCCAGAAGCTCCAGTTGTCACTGTCACCTCCCAAGTAAAAAATATAAATAAAGGACTCTGTATGGTTTCTACTTTTCAGTTCCCTCTTCTGATATGGAGTACCTGATGGGCAGAGCCTGGTGTGGGGCTGCAGAGGAGCCTGGCTCACCAGGCCTCTGCTTTCCACTGCCAGGGTTTGAGAGCAGAGCCCCAAACAGTTATTCAAAATGGCTTTGCAAACATGGTAACCTTCACAGATATTCTTGCAATCACGGTTTTTGCCTGTTACTACTCAGTGAACAATTCAATGTTTTTTAAAAAAAGAATTTGATTTTTTTCCCCTCTATATCCATCTCTAGACTGACCAGGTTTCTTGTAGACTAGGTGCGCAGTCTTTCGCCAGACTGCGTAAAGGCCTGAAGCAGGGTAATAAAACTGACTTCCCTGTTTGAGAAATAGTTCTGGGAGAAAATGTGAAGATACTTGAAATCTGTAGATAAATTCAAGAAAAAAATTAATGATAGTCTTTAAGCATAGGAGGGAATATACAGCAAGTAAATGATAAATGGATAACTAACACTGCTTAGGTCGATATGAAAAAAATTGGAAATTTGGAAAATCCTGGTCTAGTGTTCCTTAAGAATAATCATCACTAGATTAATTAGAAAATATTAATAAGGAATTATTAACTATTTGTTGCTACATTTATTGAGGGGTTAGCAGTTGCAATGAACTGAAGGTTTTTGTCCCTCCAAAATTTATATATTGAAATCGTAATCCCCAAGGTGATTAGGCAACAGGGCGTTTGGGAGGTGATTAGGACGTGAGGGCAGAGCCCACAGGAATGGGACTAGTGCTCTTGCAAAAAAGGCCTAGAGAAACCCCTGGCACCTCCTGCCGGTAAGAAAGTGCTGTCTGTGAGGAAGTGAGCCCTCATCAGACACTGAATCTGCCATCACCTTGATCTTGGACTTCTCAGTCTCCAGAACTGTGAGAAATAAATCTCTATTGTCTACAAGCCGCCCAGTTTGGGTTTTTTGTTATAGCAGAATGGACTAAAACACCAGTGCTAAATAATGCTGTGTTCAATGCTGATTTTCAACATCTCATTTGATTCTCACAATAACCCCAACAGGCAGGACTAGGCTCAGAGAATGTAACTACTTTGTCTTGCTAGTAAATGGTGGGGGTCCAATGTCCTAAGCTCTTGGCTTCAAAACTATATGCCCCAAGTTAATCTCTAGCGAGATATAATGTCTAGTAAGGAGGAAAGGAGAGGACCTGGGTGATCCACAAACTTAACAATCTGCCCTGAGTAATCTCATTAAATGTGTATTTTAACTTTGTTTTTAAAGTGTCATTAACGTGTTCTGCTAAATCTTCACTGCTGGGAATTCATCCTTATTTACCTACAAAAACACACATATAGGTACAAAGCTACATTTTCCAGTTTTCGTTGTGAGAAGAAAAAACCTGGAACTCTAACATCATCATTTAGGAATTTTTATCAAGTTTCATGAATTATGAAATATCTATATGATAGAATACCATGCATCTTTTAAAGGTATGGGAGTATCTTTAAGATATACTTTCAAGTTAAAAATATCCAGATGAAAAATAGTGGATATAGTGATTCCATTTGTGAATAAATACACACAGATTTTTATGCTTGTAGATACATTAAAAAATTCTAGAAAGATATACAAATACTTGTGGGAGAAAGGGGAAGTTTTATAAAGGTCAAGGAAGACCTTTACTGCTCAGTTACTATCTGTTCGTATGGTTTCAGTTTTCTACCTTGCGTATAGATAGGTAACTTTTTATTCTTATTTATAATGAGTGTTTTTAATCAACTCTGTATGTTTGAAAGATTGTTGAGCCTTTTGAAAAAATTCATTTAGGTCTTTATATACTTCATTTTAAAAATTATAAAGCTGGCCAGGTTTGGTAGCTCATGTCTATAATCCCAGGACTTTGGAAGCCCAAGACAGAAGGATTACTTGAGACCATGAGTTCAAGGCTAGCCTGGGCAACATAGTGAGACCCTGTCTCTAAAAAAAAAAAAAAAAAAAAAAAAAAAAAAGATGAAAAATTAGCCACATGTAGTGGCACTTGCTTTAAATTTAATTAATTTTAAAATTTAAAATTAGCCATATGTAGTGGCACTTGCTACTCCAGCCAGAGTGACAGAGCAAGATCCTGCCTCATAAATATATAAGTAAATAAATAGCTATGTAAAACTTTGTGTTAATACCAAATATTTTTTGTTAGTCTGATTCTTAAGTATTTATTGCTAAACTACATGTTACTTTGCAGACATTTACTACAAATGGTCAGTTTCCCTTTAAATTAAAAAATACACAGATCTATACATTCACAGCATGAATAATCAAATGGAAATTTAATAATCATAGCTAAGGCTTAATTTGGTGCTTCCTCAGTGCCAGGCTTTGTGAAAAGCATCTCATTCACGTTATCTCCCTAAATCTTCACACCTCTGCAACCTTGATGCTTGCCCTGCCCATTTTGCAGAGAACAGAGGGAAATGATTTGCCCGAGGGCATGTATCTGGGGAGCCATGAAAGCAGAGGAGCCCAGAGACTCTGAACCCAGATGTAGGAGCCCAAGTATTACACATGACTCCTCACTGCCTCCATATTCAAATAAGTTTGACTCTGGAAATATGATTGTGACATTCCCAGAGACATTTGGCTCACACCTCCTTATACATATGTAGTGCAATGTAAAGCTTTAAAACACTAATGATTACTTAACACTAGTATCTGGGAATGTTAGGGCTATATTTTCTGATCTATATAATATTAATTTTGCCAACAGTACTTGGTATTCATGGTATGATTACTGATCGATAGGTTGAATTTTTCATATACCATAGGTAACTAGAGTACACTGGCTAATTATACTTGGTGGCTATATCAGTGGTAAATAGAAAGCTCTTTTGTTTTCATCTTTATTACTAAGAATATATCTGAAATCTATTAGTACTCATTTTCTTAGTAGAATAGCAAAGACATTTTCTTTTGATGAAAGAATTTCTTATGGAATCGTTATAGCTATCAATGACCATAATCTAAAAATAGATTAAGCTGAATTTCTATTAGAAGTGCACTATATCCTCAAAAAAAAGTTCTTTTTTGTATACTAAGTCAGTAATATGTGTTTGTTTTAGGTAATTTTCTCATATTTTCTTAAAAAATAGAATTTTTACAATGATTCTAGCTAATTGGATTCCAGTTTGCTAAGGTTCAACTACATACTAAGATTTCAACAAATTCCACAAATGGGTAATTTGTAAATTGCTGGGTTTGGGGAAAAGTTCTGCAGTGAAAGACACTAAATGCAGTGCAAAAACTGAAAGCATTGTTTGTAAGAAGGAAGATGCTGTGGTTTTACAGATTATATATTCCTGACACACCTGAAGCCTCTCTCCCATGTCCTACCCCGAAACTCCCTTGGAGTTGTGATTCTTGTTCCTCGTGCACCCCCTTTAACTCCTCCTTTAAGATGATTCATGGCCAGGTGTGGTGGTTGATGTCTGTAATCCCAACACTTTGAGAGGCCAAGGTGGGTGGATCACTTGGGGTCAGGAGTTTGAGACCAGCCTGGCCAACATGGCAAAACCCAGTATCTACTAAAAATACAAAAACTAACTGGACTTCGTGGTGTGCACCTGTAATCCCAGCTACTCGGGAGGCTGAGGCACAAGAATCACTTGAACCCGGGAGGCAGAGGTTGCAGTGAGCCGAGATCACGCTACTGCATTCCAGCCTAAGTGACAGAGCAATGTCTCAAAAAAGAAAAGAAGAAGAAGAAAAAAAGAAAACAAAAAACAAAAGACCATTCATATGAGAGAGAGAGGCTCTTAATCAAATTTCTTACCTAATATAGAAATGTCTTGAATGCATTCCTGAAAGACAACAATCCAGTAGGAATGTTAATTCTTTTCATTATACAAAATGCCTTATGTCACTGAATATTTCTTATGTCAGACAATTATAACTACTATAGTCCTTCAGCCACGAAACAGTCAATTATTGACACTACTTCTGGCAGCTGGAGCAACTCAGATTATAAATGCTAGTTCCTCTGCAGACTTCCCAAGACTTGTTGACCTAAAACCTTGCCTTATCCAGTTAGGGGGTTGTTGAAAATAATAAAGCCAAAGACCGTGCAATGCTCCTTATCATCTCTAGACAAAATATCTCTTGGAATGCATAGCCTGCCTTGTCTTACATGATAAAGCATCCCAGACTAAATTTATATTTCACATGGATGGAAGTAGTGCATTTTCCATTAGGAAATGGAACAGTAAGGATGGATTGTTCTCAGGTACCCACATCCAGGGACACTATCCAAGAAGCCACACAAAACACGTTTTAAACAGACAATATTCCTTTTCTCCTTGTAGGGTGCTTAGCAGAATCCTCAGCTCACAAGATGAATAAATGCAGACTAAATGATGCACAAATAATCTTCACACACAACCATCAACACATGGAAAGACTGCAGGACGGCCAGATCCCAAGCTAACAAACAGGTAAAATTTGCATAATTAGGTCTTCAGGTGTCTTTAGTTATGAAATGTGTCTGATTCACTTGGTGATTCTGGGCGTCTTAAGCTGGGTCTGTTAGAAGCCAACCTGGCTCACGTTCTGCCAATCCGCTGGGTGTTTGCTGTGCTGGGTATCATTAACCAACCAGTTTGATAGGAGTGCTTTGTTTTCTGCACTGATGAAATTTGTTTTCTGAGCTGCCTGAACAAACAGGTTATTTAAGCCATTGTGTGGAGAAGGTTGGAGGTGGTTTTTAGAGAAGACAGATCTCTCTTCCAAGGAAGGATTATTATGTGGTTGCAGTAAGAGATGAGAAATTATTCTCTTGATGTCCACATGTCATTGAGGCCACAGCAGGACAGGGAGGCAACCCTTCATATTGATGTGAATGGTGGAGTGTAACTCATCCAACCAGTTTCCCCTGAGGAATTTCTCAGCCAAACAATTCCTAACCTCTCTCCTCCCTTATGTATCCCTAATAGATTGGAGTGGGGGAGGGGTGGCGCTGACACTGAAACCTTCAGTGCTTGTTAGGAACACATCTAAAATATTTTATTTGAGGGCAGTAAAATGAAGAAACCAGGTTGCCTGGTGGGAAAACCATCAGCTTTTGAATCATCAAATTTTGAATCAAATCCCAGCTCTGCCAGCATTAGCTTCATAACCTTAGACCCTCTCTGCATCTCAATCATCAACTGTAAAGACTGCTGTGAAGTTTAATAAGACACCTAGAATAGTGTCTAGTGGTGTCCAAAGTGTGGCCTGGCCTAGGACCAGTATCTGCATCACCTGGAAACTTCTTAGAATTGCAAATTCCCAGTCCCATCACAGACCTAATGAATTAAACTGGGATGGAGAGAAGGTAGCAGCAACCTGGTTTTAACAAGCCATCCAGGTGATTCTGATTCACAAGAAAATTTAAGAACCCCTGGCCGGGTTTACAAAAGTCCCTCAATAAATGGCAGCTGTTCTATCATATTAGTGTAGTGTTTTACAGCTTACTGATTTGCTTTTTCATTCACACTACCATCTACTTTGCTCAGGTTTACATTCCCTTTGACCCAGTAATTCCACTTTGCAGAATTTTCCTAAGGAAATAATTAGAGATGTTCAGAAAGATTTATATGAAGAATTAATCATGCACGTGAAAATTTAGAAACTAATGTCAAATGAACAATATGAAACTGGTTTAATAAATTATGGCACACCTATATGATGGAACACAGTGCAGCATTTTAAAAGCATATTGTAGATCAGTGTATGTCAGAGCAAGCTCTGAGAATCACCTCCATCAGAATCTTCTGGGGTGCTTCTTCAAAAGGCAGATATCAGATTTATGAGTCATCATCTGCGGTTATGAATGAGGATCTCTGCGAGTGAGAGACTTCAGAATCTTTATTTCCCACATGCTCCCAGGTGAGTGGTATGCACCCAAAAGTTTTCAAATAATGTTTTAGATTAATAATAATATATGGAAGATATTCATGGTGTATTATTGAGTGAATGAAAGTGTGTTTTAAAGCAATATTTACAATATCTCAATAACATATGCACCATAGCCGTATATGTAAAAAGACCAAACTACATATGCTAAAATGCTAAGTAATTATTTCTGGACAGTAAGATGGCAATTCTGGTGATTTGTTTTCTTCTGTTCTCGATGTTTTGCATTTTCTGTAATGTATAGCTTTTCCATGAGAAAAGTAAAACCACATAATAGTGCATGTGTCATTAAACTATGGAGTGGGAGCTTCACATTTTATTAATTTTTTTAAATTTTTGATTTCAGTAGAGATGAAGTCTCACTAGGTTGTTCTCAAACTCCTGGCCTCAAGGGATCAATCCCAAAGTGCTGGGATTACAGGCGTGAGCCACCATGCCTGGACTGCTTGAGGAGTGAAGGCTAAGATAAATCCAGAATTAAGCTGTGTATTAGTCTGTTTTCACACTGCTATAGAGAACTGCCAGAGACTGGGTAACTTATAAAGGAAAAAAGTTTAATTGACCCACAATTCTGCGTAGCTGGGAAGGCCTCAGGAAACTGACAATCATGGCAGAAGGGGAAACAAGCCTGTCTTACATGGTGGTAGGCAACAGAGAGCATGTGAGAGTGCAGGAAAAACTATCATTTATAAAACCACCAGATCTCGTGAGAATTCACTCACTATCATGAGAACAGCATGGGGGATACTACCCCCATAATCCAATCACTTCCTTCCCTCAACACGTGGGGATTACAATTCAAGATGAGATTTGGGTGGGGACACAAAGTCTAACCATATCAGGCTGTAAACAAGTCCTCCTCACCTCTGCCCAGGGGATGCTGAGGCAGTCAGCCATTCATTAGGCAATGCAGGTGACTGGGCATGCTGCTGACCCCATCTGTAGTCCCTGGATAATCACTGGGGGCAGAAAGAAAGGAAATCAGAGCACTATTGACCTGGCACAGAAGTTATGGAGCCTTCTGTGGACTTCTTTTATAACAGGAGAGTTGCCCATCTTTCATGGGTGAATCCCCTTAAAATGCATAACAATTTAATCTTGGAGTTTGTGTTTTGTAAGTGAAGTCCAGAAGGACAATGGAACAGGGGGTGAGGAGCTTCCTCATCCACTCTCATTATCTCCCACCCCTCCACTCTCTGCTCCCCAACCCCCTTCCAGTGACTACAGCCATTTGGGCAGGCAGGGGCCTGGGCCTGCAGGGGGCGTGGAAGCTGGGTGCACACACCCCATGCACCAAGTGGCTGGGCAGGCCTGAGCTACCTGAGACCATCTGCACTCACCCTGTGAATACCCCTGTATCAAAGAGAGCATGAAATTAAATAGCAAGTAAGAGACCCCATGACAGGCCAAAAGAGAAAGAAAGGAAATCTTCCACACCTCCCCCCCACCACCACCCCTGCTTTTTGAAGGGACTTTGAGGGTTTTTTGTGTGTGTGTTTTCACTTGGGCTCTGCAAATTAAGGTAGCAGTCCAGATGAGGACTTAGGGATCGATGCACACATATCAAAGAAATGAAAAGAGGGCTTATTGGAAGAGGTTCCTCCCTTGGTAATCATTTCTGGTCTGTCTGAGAAAACTAATGTACTCCAGAAGGGTGTATCCCTGAAGGCACTACAATGTAGAATAAATTGTGTGGTTAAGTCAGGAGTATTTTCTCAGAAGGGTGTCTCTAGTGATTATAGACCAGGACACAGCCCTACTTAATTATATGCAGTATAAATAATCATTCTAAATAGTCTTTTCATATATACATGAAAGAGTATTTCATATGTGTGTATATACACATATATATGAAGCCAGGACTAATTAGAGAAAGTATCAGGAGTGTGACAGACAAGTTCTTCAGCTTTTGTTAAACAAGATTGAGGGGGAAAACATAATTATCAAAAAGAGCTGAGTTCACCTTTCTTTCTAGAAATTATCTTTCCAATAGCTTTCTCTTGTTCTCACTTTGAGAAAAGAGTTAAAAATAAAAATGAAAATAATGAATTTCGCTTTGTAGAAAGCACACTCCAGCACTTTGTTCATTAGCATCTGGAAAGTCCAGGGCACTCATGCACAAACAAATTACAATGCAAATGCTTATTAATGAAAAATCTACAATATGCATGTTTATAAAAATCAATTACACTTCACACCAATTTCTAAATTACTCCCACAGAGTTAAAAACCATTTTAAGTTTCTAATAAATAAAAACTCAATTTTACTGCTCCGTGGAAGTGAGAACAATTCATTAAACTCCTGAGTCCTGCTGGTTGTCTTGGTGAGGGCCAAAGAGAGTTTAGTAATTACTCACATGTGGAAAAACGGGTGTGTATGTGTTTGAAGGAGGCCTCTTTTGGACCCAAACCTTGGCCTGGTTTCCCCAAATCTCATGGACTTCTTGTCTTACTCTAACAAGAGAATTAGCCAGGGTCCTCTTTCCTATTTAGTATAGATACAGATATTAATAAAATGTGTCCAGTTGCAAAGAAAATGGTGTAGATTAAGGAGCTGGCTTAAGGCATAGCTCTGCTTCCTCTCAGGGTTAAGACACAGCTCCGTGGCTGGATCTGGCTGAAAGACTGGTGGAATAAGATTTCCAGACAGTTCTTCCCTTGGACCCAGGCAAATGGTATCCTAGCCTGAGGTGCCTGCTTTTGTTTTAAGAGGAGAGAGACCCATGAAGCCAAAGAGACATGCCCACCTGGAACCAAGGCACCCCCTTCTAGTCCTTGCTTTGGGTACCTTGAACTCTGAACTTTCTCTCCCAAATACCCTAGCCCTTCCACAGCCTGTGTGGGCTACTCTTCAAGTCACAGCATTACAGCTGTTAACTGCACTCCTAACCTGAGAAAGTCCAAAAGGCAACTCTTTGCAGGCTCCCGGGTTGCAGCTGCAATGTTCACATACACATGAGTGTGCATGGGGGTCAAGTTGCAGGACTGAGCAGCAGCTAAGAACATAAAAGGGGCAAACTATGAGTTGGAAGGGTGGAGGCCTCCATCTGTATTCTTGCACCGGCTGCAAATGTCAGAGATGGATCTGCTGCCAGGAGACCACATGTGCAAGGGCCTGAGTAACCTCCTAGGCAGAAAACATCTTAAAGGAAGAGGGAATGAAGGGATGATTGTGAGGGCAGCATAGGGTTTACCCCTTAAATTTCTCATTCATAATGATGTGAAACTCAGCCCACTTGAAGCTAAAACTTATTGAATAGCATTTGGTTTAACATAAGAAATGTTCACTAGGCCGGGCTCAGTGGCTCACATCTATAATCCCAGAACTTTGGGAGGCCGAGGTGGGCAGATGGCTTGAGGTCAGGAGTTCGAGACCAGCCTGGCCAACATGGTGAAACCCTGTCTCTACTGAAAAATAAAAAAAAAATTAGCTGGGTATGGTGGCGGGTGCCTGTAATCCCAGCTACTCAGGAGGCTGAGGCAGGAAAATTGCTTGAACCTGGGAGGCCGAAGTTATAGTGAGCTGGGATCGCACCGCTGCACTCCAGCCTATGCAACAGAGCGAGACTCCATCAGAAAGAAAGAAAAGGAAAGAAAGAAAGAGAGAGAAAAAGAAAGAGAAAGAAAGAAAGAAAGAAGAAAGAAAAAAATGTTCACTATACTGCCAAAGTTCCCTGGCCTTTTACATATAATTAAATCTTCTGGAGATTGCTCCCTGTGAGATATTGAATATCCAGCCATTTAAACCTATGATGTGGCCAACCAATGCTGCCAGAGAGGACAGATGCCACGCTAAGACTAAGAGTGAGTCCACTATCAGCTGTCTCCTCAGTGCTGCTTTTCTTGCTAAGCACAAGGATATCTCTCTGCTTGCCTGAAGTTTCACCTGTCATTCTTTGGGCTGAACTGATAGCAGCTAAAACATGGGACCCCAAATTTCAAGCTTTGGTTAAGCTGAGAGCAGAGATGTTCTTCTCAAAGGCAGTGTGGAGGCAGACATAGGCATGGAGAAAGAAGAGTGCACAACTTCATGAAAGCACTCAGTACCTGAAGGGCACTCAAACAAAACGACAGGAAAATCCCAGAAATGAGACAGGAGGGGCAGAGACAACCAGGCCCCATCCATAGACTTGCCCACCGCAGACCCTGTGAATCTGTGTAATTTCAGTTTAGGTTCAGTTGCTTTAATTGGCTGAGAAATGAGGCTCTCTATATGGAAGGAACCACAAACAAACATTTTTTAGTTCATTAAAATTTTCACCATATTGAAATAGGCTCGTTTTTGGTTTCTTTCCTTTTAAAAACGTATGTGGTGTTTGGGAGCTATGTCTCAGAGTCATCTATGTGATAACGTCACTTTTATGTTAACAGTCATTTGGTACCAGGAGTATTTTTTGAATAATTTCTTTGTTGAGATATAATTCATATACCATAACATTTACCCCTTTAAAGTGTAAAATTTAGTCTTTTTTAGTATAGCCACAAAGTTATGCAACTTTCCACACATCTAGTTCTTAAAATGTTTATCATCACCCTAAAAGTCCCATTATCCATTAGCCCTCACTCGCCGTTCTCCCTCTCCTCTCAGCCACTGGGAACCCGTAATCTACCTTCCATCTCTATGGATTTGCCTGACCTGGACACCTCATACAAATGGAATCATACAATATGTGGCCTTTTGTGTCTGACGTTTCACTTAGAATAATGTTTCCAGGGTTCATTCATTGTTTATAGCATGAATCAGTTCTTCATTCCTTATTATGCTGCATAATATTCCATTGTATGAGTGTATCACGTTTGTTAATCCATTCATCAGCTGACGCACATGTGGGTTGTTTCCACTTTTTGGCTATTATGAATCATGCTGCTATTAATATTCATATGGGTATTTGTGTGGACATATGTTTTTAATTTTCTTGGGTATATATTAAAAAGTGGAATAGCTGGGTCATGAGTGTATTTTTTTTTTGTATCTTTTAAAATCTCAAAAAGGGGAAGATGATGTTTCAAATGATCATCTGAATGCTGGGTTTCCACCTTCCACCAGGAAGTCATATGGTGTGAGTATGATCTCTCCTTCTCTTGGCTAATGAAAAGTTCTACATCCTGTAGAAACCACTGGTTGTTGAAACAAATCTGAACAGATCTTTCTCTCTCTCTCTCTTTTAATTTTCTCTCATTTTTTATTTTTAGCAAATTATCCCGGATCCTGAAATATATCTTTTGATAGAAATGACTCTGGTACTTTCCGCAACTTACTTTCTATGGAGCACTTTCCTGAAACAAGATTTGTGTTTAAATATTCCTCCTTCTACAAAGTATTAAACAGTAGTAAGTTCTGCAACGTTGACAATGGAAACCTGGCAATGTGCCCTTGTTTGACTATTAAGGAATTGCTTCCAAGTACCACAGGGCCTTGAAGACCAAAATAACACAATTACCTGGAAGGTGAACAATGGCAACTTATCAGGTGTGGTAAACACTTTTTTCCCAAGAAGATCCTTTATTCCTTCTGAATGCACATCAAGAAGGAGTGAATACATAAATCACATATTTGTTAATAAGATGTGCATTGCATTTTTGTCCATGTAAGCAGCTGACTTGATTGTACACCAACTAGTTGAAAATGAAAAATTAAGTCACAGGGGCCACTTAGCATCAAGTCACTTAAAAATAATAATTTCATGTTATTTTTGGTAGACTTTTCTCCCCTTAAACTTGTTTGTAGACATAGCTACAGTTTGAAGAAGAGAATGCTTCCTCAGAAATGTGCTACATTGATAAGATTCTGCCATAAAGAGGCAGAATCTATTTTTGACTTTTGAATTTGACTATTGTAACTGGTATTTTTCACTTTCCGTGTGTGTCATCATAGGTTTTTTCCCTGTAGATGTTTTAATCCTTTCTGGTTTTTCCTTGTTTTTTTCATGTTTGACCTCCTAAGTCCTGAATCACCAATTTCACCACTTGTGATTGTTTTCAAACTAATGTATTTCACACTTGCGTTTCGGGGATACATCCATCAGGAGAAATATTCTAGTGCCAGTACAAAGTCATCTTTCTAATTTGTTAATGCATGTCTGAAAAATACAGAGAGTGTGAGATGAGCATAAAAATAACTTGAAACAGAAGGCTGAGAAGCAAAAGGGAGAGAAAATACACATAATAAGTAGTTTGTTGATTCTTTTCCTCATAAACTAACCCACATGTCACTGCCTGCTATGGGGCTTGTCTAGTGCCTGCACTTTCACGCTTACACCAGCGGAGTTCCAGGCCACTGATTCTCAGGATTCATGCTTGTCAGTATTCATGCTTGTCATGCATGCAGCATGTTCATTTCCTGGCAACCCTTCTAAGAGATGGAATATTGTAGCCTCATTCTAATCACAAGTTTCCTCGGAAAAATTCCTTGGATGCTGTGCAAACCACTCAAATTCAATCTTTCAACAGAGATCACTGAAATGTATGACATCTGCAATTATGATTTGTATTTGTGGTCCTTGTAATTTGTGTGAATATCAAGCATCCAACATGTCAGAAACAGTTTGCTGTGTAAACAAAGGCACCAATGAGACGTAGGCTTGGGCTGCATACAGAGCTTTGCACATGCCACTCCGCGTAGCAGAGAAGAATAGGATGACACAGTCTGTGTTTTTCTCAGTTCAGCTAAGCAGACATTACTAGGCACAGTGAGCTCAAGACATGGAGGGATTATAAGAATAACTTGTTTCTGAGAAGCACAGGAGATAAACTAAAAAAAAAGGTCTGTTATAATAGAGCAGTAGATACATAAATAGCTGCTGTGGTGGTATAACCTGTGCATATACATTATTAGAAAATGAGGAATTTATTATGTGGAAATAATCCCAGAGGATTTCATTACAGGGTTAATTGCTAAGCAGACTACTGTAGGAACTATACGATTTTGTTTGTTGAAGTAAAGAGAGAATGTCTTTTGAACTGTGGATGAAGAGTAAAAGCAGAAGGGTAGAAAGTAGCCAGGCATTGTGGCTTGCACCTGTAGTCCCAGCTACTTGGGAACTAAGGCGGGAGGATCGCTTGAGCCCAGGAGTTTGATTCTGCAGTGAGTTATGATTGCACCTATGCACTCCAGCCTGGAGACAGAGTCTCCAGTGCAGTCAAGTGCAGTGGTGTGGTCTCGGCTCACTGCAACCTCTGCCTCCCAGGTTCAAGCGATTCTCGTGTGTCAGCCTCCTGAGTAGCTGGGACTACAGGTGCACACCACCATGCCCGGCTAGTTTTTGTATTTTTAGTAGAGACGGGGTTTCACCATGTCGGTCAGGCTGGTCTTGAATTCCTGACCTCAGGTGATCTGCCTCCCAAAGTGCTGCGATCACAGGCGTGAGCCACTGCACCTGGCTGAGATCCTGTCACTTAGAGGAAAAAAAAAAAAAAAAAAAGGAAAGTAGAAGGCCCTGGCAATGTAGTTTGAAATTTAAAACTCATCTATTCTACAAGTCTCCTCTAGTTAAAGGAGTTCATGTGACTTAATTCTGGCCAAAATGTCAGCAGAATCCTGCTAGGTGTCAAAGTGAGACAACTTTGCTATTCCCATGCAGAGGCAGGTGTGGCTGGCCCTGACCTTCCTCGGCTCATTCCTGCCTGGAAGGGCATGGCAATGGGGTCTGAAGCTGCGGTGGCTCTCCCAATGTGAGGGAAAGGCCAGAGAATCCTGCAACGCTGCTCCCAACATGTGGGTTCTCTTTCTGAATGTGAGAAAACGAACCTTTCTTACTTATAAGTCAATTTTTTTTTATTTTTGGAAGCCAACCAAATTCCTAATTGATATTCTTAGGTGGGTTTTTGGCCAGGAATAAGCTGCTTATATTATAGCTGTATTTGGTAAAAACAAATTTTAAAATAAAAAGTGCACATGATCATAGAATTACTTCATGAGAAAGCCATGCTTTATATCTTTCAAGTGTATTCGCTTGAAGAATCACAATAAAATAATTATATATCTCCATTTCATAATTTGTGGCTAAAAGTAGATTTCCTGATCTTTCAGCCATATTTGGTCCATTAAGCTTCACTATCTCAGACAAGCACATCTAAAACCCTCTGCATGGCTATGAATTTAATGTCAGCTAGGATTTCAAAAGACAGGTACATTTACAGTGTCATTTATTTTCCTTTAGTTTCTCTTCCAACCCCATGAAGTAACCTATTTCTGCTGGCTTTTTTTTTTTTTTTTCATATTTAGAAGATTATTTTATCCACTCCAAAATCTAAGCTTTTTACGGTGCCTTCTCAAATTTTATGAAATAAAAGTGGTTTACAAATTCATACTCCCTAAGCCCTTCAAGAATTGCTTTCCACCAATTCTAGTAACTATCAACACTGGGCAGGGAGAAGGAAAGCATTATCTTGAAGGCTGGCAACTTTTGTCAGAGCAGACATCGACTATGAAAACCACAAGGAGGCTGGGTGCTCCTGCCTGTAATCCCAGCACTTTGGGAGGCCAAGGCAGGCGGATCACTTGAGGTCAGGAGTTTGAGACCAGCCTGGTCAACACGGTGAAACCCTGTATTTTTAGTCTCTACTAAAAATACAAAAATTAGCCAGGCATGGTGGCAGGTGGCAGGTGTCTGTAATTCCAGCTACTTGGGAGGCTGAGGTGGAAGGATTGCTTGAACCCAGGAGGCAGAGTTTGCAGTGAGCTGAGATCAAGCCACTGCACTCCAGCCTGGGCAGCACAGTGAGACTCCATCTAAAAAAAAAAAAAAAAAGAAAAGAAAAAGAGAGAGAGAGAAAACCATGGGGAACCATTTGAGCTAACGGATCCCATCACTTGTTGGTTCTCAAAAGCTTTGGGGGCACTTTTTAAAAATAAAAAGTCTGAGATTCATCTCCAGATATTCTGACCCAATATATCAGGAATAAAGGCCAGAAATATGTATTTTTATTTTATTTATTCTTTTATTTAAGACAGGATCTTGCTCTGTCACACAGGCTGGAGAGCAGTGGTGCAATCATGGCTCACTGAAGCCTCGACTTCCCAGGCTCAGGTGATCCTCCCACCTGAGCCTCCCAAGTATCTGGGACCACAATCACACACTACCATGCCCAGCAACTTTTTTACTTTTTATAGAGCTGGAATCTCACTATATTGCACAGCCTGGTCTTGAACTCCTACTCAGAAGGCTGAGGCAGGAGAACTGCTTGAACCTGGGAGGTGGAGGTTGCAGTAGGCTCAAGTGATCCTCCTGCCTCAGCCTCCCAAAGTTCTGAGGTTATAGGCATGATCCACCATGCCCAGCAAAATACATATTTTTTAATCTTTACAAATACTCATCCAGGTTTGAGGACCACTTACCAACTCTAGTGCTTCCCCGAATGTGCACACAGCACAGCTAAGGATCTTGTTAAAATGCAGATTCTGTTTCAGTAGACCTCAGGTTGGCCTAACAAGTTCCCAGGTGATGCCCATTCTGACAGTTTCTGAAGCACACTTAAAACAACGAGGATCTAAGCTGCACCCCACCTCTATACTTTTGTGCTACAGAGAAGAAAACTGAGACTGGGAGAAGTTAAATGAGTAGTCCAGATCATACAGGCATGCAGTGGCAGCATGAGGATCAGAAACCAGGTCTTTTAATTCCCAGTCCAGGCTCCTCTGCGATTTTACACTGACTCCAGCAAAGAGCAGCCTGTGAGACCTCTTGGTGTTGATGAGGACTGACGAACATGAAGCTGCTTTGGTTCACTCTTTTGTTTTATTATGGGCCCTTTGAATAGCTCATGATCTCATTTTCCACCCCTCTTCAACTTCTCTCTCCACCTCATATCTAACCAGTGGTGTGCTGGTAAGTGCTTAACTACTGACTTTCTGGAGGAAAAAGAAAAAAAAGATCTGATCTGTGATGTTTGCTGACCTCCATGGTATAAATACTCCCACTACGGTTAACGTGAAGCTGGAAAGAGATACACACAAACAGCTCTCATGAAGTAGTGGAGGCCAGCTCCTGCACACCATTGCATCGACGTGTGCATTGCATTGCACACATTGCATCCTCTGCCCCAGAGCTGAAGCCACAGGTCAGGACAATAGCCGGGTTCCAGCCTGACTGCAACGAGTTGGTACTTGGCTAGAAGAAATAACACTACTGCTTTTTAAGCAAGCCAACCTCTAGTGTAACTGGTAAGAGATACTGATTGTGTATGTTTTAGGAATGCTAATGCAAAGAAGAGAGGAAAGATAATGGAAAAAGCATCTGCTCATAAAATAACTGAAACCTTTAGAGACCAAAAACAAGCAAACAAAAATCAACAGATAAATCCCGAAGTGGACAAGTATATAGAGAGATGCCTTTACTTAGTCAAAATACAATCAAAGAACACTGGATCAATTTGGAATTCAAGTCAACAGTATTGGCTGGTTGCTTCCTGTGTTTGGGACATTTAGTGAGGCTCTTGCGCCACAGGTTTTCATTCCATGGGGTCTTACTGTAATTTTTTTTTTCTTCTCCTAGTAGAAACTACTTCTGCCAGGAGATTCACTGGGGAAGATAAGACAAACAGTCTCCTATGCCAGTGCAGAAGTGACTGCATTCCATTTGCCACTGTCCACCAGGTATTAGGTTGGTACAAAGCAATTGTGGTTAATGGGGAAAACTGCAGTTACTTTTATACCAACCTAATAATTAATATTTTTAAAAGAAAAGTTTTGCTATCAAAAGAGATTCATTATAGTCAGCAAATTATACACTTCTAGAGAGAGACTACACACAGTCATGCACAGCAGATGACATTGTACTGAACAATAACTAAAGTCTATACAACAAAAAGTTTACATTGTTTAGACATGTCACACAAAGTAGTGCAAACAGCACTATTACTCTTATTTGTTAAAAATGGTTATACATTGCATAGAAGTGTTATTTTCCCATGTAATTAATGAACAATGAAAGTGAAGTACAAGAAAAATAAGAACAATAAATATGGATTTTCAACATGGAGGAAATTCAGATATCATAAATATTTCTATCAAAAATGACCTTGTTATACAAAAATTAGCCAAGTGTGGTGGCACACACCTGTAGTTCCAGCTACTTGGGGGGCTGAAGTGGGAGGATCACTTGAGCCTAGGAGGTCAAGTCTGCAGTGAGCCATATTTGAGCCACTGCACCCCAGTCTGGGTGACAAACTGAGATCCTGTCTCAAAAACAAACAGACAAAAAATGGCCTTGTGTTTCCCTTAGTTTTCTATTCTCACCTGGTCTCTTTCCCTATTAAAAATTCCTTTTACCAATAAGAAACATTCTCCTCACCCACCACCTAAATGTTTTTACCACTCACTAACTCTCTTGGGGAAAGAGAAGAGTAATTCTTTCCCATTATCTAATTTAGTAAATGGTGCCTAGGATCAGAAACCAGGCTGCTGCAATAAGGTGGATTGTTTTTCTCTTGTTATCAATCCCTGTTGTTCATTGTGACAAGCCAAAAAGGTAATGAAAATCCAAAGATAAATTTTGTTTGAACTACATTTAGCAAAACTAAGTTAACAGATTTAGAAGCAGATAACCATTATGAAATAATCTTATAAGACATATAAGCAAAACCAAATATGAGGGCCGAGGCGGTCGCTCATGCCTATAATCCCCGCACTTTGGGAGGCCGAGGCAGGTGGGTCACTTGAGGACAGGAGTTCAAAACTAGCCTGGCCAACATGGTGAATTCCTGTCTCTACTAAAAATACAAAAGTTAGCTGGATGTGGTGGCACACGCCTGTAATCCCAGCTACTCAGGAGGCTGAGGCAGGAGAATCACTTAAACCTGGGAGGCGGAGGTTGCAGTGACCCAAAATCATGCCACTGCACTCCAGTCTGGGCGACAGAGCAAGACTCGGTCTCAAAACAAAAAACAAAAACAAAATAAACAAAAAATATGAATGAGTTCCAATATCTTCACATAGGGATATCAAGATACTAAATTGAAAATTCCTTAAAGGTTTGTCTTTAACTTACCGGGTAAGTCCTAGACCAGTGGTCCCCAACCTTTTTGGCATCACGGACCAGTTTCATGGAAGGCAATTTTTCCACAGATGGGACTGGGGTGGGGTGGGATGTGGGGGATGATTTCAGGTTGAAACTGTTCCACCTCAGATCATGAGGCATTGATTCTTGTGAGGAATGCGCAAGCTAGATCCTTCACCTGCACAGTTCACAGTAGGGTTTGCACTCCTTTGAGAAGCTAATGCTACCACTGATCTGATAAGAGGCGGAGCTCAGGCTGTAATGCTTGCCCCCTGCTCACTTCCTGCTGTGTGGCTTGGTTTCTAACAGGCCACAGACTGGTACCGGTCAGCGGCCTGGGGATTGAGGACCCCTGTCCTAGATGTTTGATATGGTGCCTACAGAATGCTAGTGTAATTCAAGAGTCGATTTTAAGCAATATTTCTTTGCCACTATAGGCAAGATCCTGAGCAAGGCATTACAACTACATGTAATTCAGGAAATATAAAATAACCTATTCTTTTTTTTTTTTTTTTTTTTTTGAGACATAGTCCAACTCTGTCACCCAGGTCAGAGTGCAATGGCATGATCTCGGCTCACTGCAGCCTCCACCTCCCAGGTTCAAGCGATTCTTCTGCCTCAGGCTCTCAGGTAGCTGGATTTACAGGCGCACGCCACCATGCCTGGCTAATTTTTTGTGTTTTTAGTAGAGACGGGGTTTTGCCATGTTGGCCAGGTTGGTCTCGAACTCCTGGCCTCAAGTGATCCACCCGTCTCGGCTTCAACCTATTCTTTTTGAACACCAGAAATACGCTAAGGATTCATTTTGAGCCATAATCTAACTTTGAATCTAAGGTACGACGACCCAGTTGGCTTAGAATATAGCTCTAATAAAGTATTGTTCTTTTATGCATCCCTGACAGTGAAAAAGTTTGTGAATATCTTGAGCACTAGAGAGATAAATGAAAATGTGAGTGTACAAAATCCAACCTCAAAATGAGAACACAGCCCTGAGCACAGGTCCTGAACAAAAAGCAGAACATCTTTTTGTCAGCCTCACACCTCCTCTAAACCCCAATTTAGAATAGGTTTGGTATGAAGATCAAAATAGATTAACTGTATGGAGAATCTGTAAACCCAAAATAGATTAACTGTATGGAGAATCTGTAAACCCAAAACACCATAAAGGTGTAAAGTGGTATAATTATTATTACTATATGTTTTTACACACCAAAAACCACAGAGTCGGCTTCTGTACAGCTCACAGTGTGAAAAGGTGTGTTTCTTCTTCCAGAAAACATTAAAATTGGTCAATATATGACTTTTTAATCTTCTTATGGTTAATCCAAGTGAATTGTAATTTTCCTCCATGGTAAGGGTTATATTTTCCCCTTTATTTCTGGAATCTTTTTGCTTTTCCTTTCTTCTTTTTCTCTGTCTCTGTATATGTCTCTGTCTTTTTGTTTTTTAAACAAACACCCTCCTTTCCGCAGAAAGCCTAAGGGCCATTATTATTGTTGTTCAAGGGGAAAAGTGGCTCCCAAATGTCAGGCTCAATTCTCTGGCTTTCTTCCTCTTCCAATCTTTGTCCCAAGATGCCTCACTGCATTGTTACTGTTCCAAAGTAAAACCAATCAGTTCTTTAAAAATCTTCTGAATGCCCATAATTTCATGTACTTAGTTTACTATCAGTCACTACATGATACACTTTTAATTTGGCAAATTTAATGTGACAAATTAATTGGACAAATTTAATGTGATGGTCAAATCATCTTGAGCTACGCAATTCAAAATAATAATTTGGATAGGCCTTAGTTTACTTTTCCCCATTTTTCTCTAACAGTGTTCAACAGTTTCGTATCTGCCAAACCTGAGAAAATTCTTCATAAAATTTCAGAGCTTTTGAGCCTCTTTGAAGTGGCAATATCCACAGGGGACCCGATGTGCTCAGCTAACTTGGTAACCTGACCCTATATCCCTGCATACCCAGACCTCTCTATTCGTTTCTCCCGGGCGAATCCCACCTCAGCCCCCAACTCTGAGTAGCTCAGACTACAAGCACAAGCCACCATGCCTGACTGATTTTTGTATTTTTGCAGAGACAGAGTTTTGCCATTTTGCCCAAGCTGGTCTCAAACTCCTGGGCTCAAGTGATCCAGCCTCAGCCTCCCAAAGTGCTGGGATTACAGGCATGAGCCATTGCACCTGGCCTGTTGGCCAACTCTTAATAGCAATTCTTCTATGCTATAGTGAAATAATTAGAAAAGACTACATCCCTAAATATTTTAGGATGCATTAATCACTGTCTTTAACTAATAAATTAATTGAATGCAAAGAGTCCATTCTAAAATATCGGGGAATTTTATCCTTCAACACAGACTTTCTACAGTAGTTTTCAAACAGATTTTGAAGTCTTACGTTACAAATTAGAAAGTAGAAACACATTTCTAATCTGATATTAAAACATTTACAGAGGAAATAATTGAAAATGTCTTACCAGATCACTGTCAGAATTGGCAGTACTAGGCAGTCCTCCTGATTTTCATTCCAGAATTATAATGATAAGAAGGTAGATATTTTTAAGAGAACTAAACAGTAAGTTAATCAGCTATAGTATTCTCAGTTTTTTCCCTGAAGTTTTTTCTCATTATCTCATTTACTTTGGGGACCAATAACTTGTCCCCTTTTTGCAAACATGGGCAGAAACAATGAGTACTTTTTCATTTTGCCTCTAATGCTAAACAGTAACTCCTTGAGGCTAGAACTACAGATCCGTTCTCTCTCTAATCCCCAGTTCCTACCACAGTGACTGGTAATAACTTTCAGTAATTATGTGCACGATGCACATTTCCTTGTTAACTAAATATTTTACTTATTTCGATTGTAACCTGTAACTTTTATAGAATCCTTGCAAGGTGACCAGAAAGCTCTTTTTTGAGGAGCATAATTCTTGTTTGCGCTATTTTTTTACTCATGTCTTTTCCTAGTGATGATATTGTCTCTCCAGCACTCTCTCTCCTCCCCTCAACCCGTCCTTCTCCATCCCTGTTTCTGTAATCTCTTTATCCTAATTATAAGCTACTTAATATAGAAAGAAAATAATTGTAACAAAGGGAAAAGTTCCTTAAATGCATTACCTTTTTTCTGAAATTTGCAACAATGGCAGGATTCTTAGTAGGGCTAGCAAGCACCACTTACAGTTCTTAGGCAAAAAACCGAAGCCAAAGGACATCATCTGTCATGGAGAAAGACCCAATAGGGGAGAATATTTCCAAAATTCACATCATCAACAGCAGTATGAAATGAGAGTGATGCTAAGAGTCTGACATATACCAGCATGTAAGGGCCAGTCGCACTAGTGGGTGTCAGAGGTTACTTCTTCATTCATAGCTAAAAAGTGGAAGATGATTCATATGTCTTTGCTACTGATGTAAACAAAACACGGTGGGTGGACAGCACCCCCTGAGGGAGATGGAGATGCTGGTGAGTGGGTCGATAAGGAAGTCACTCTGCCAGCCGCCTCCTTCTTCCCAAATGTGCACAAACTCCACCTTGTAAGGTGTCCAAGGACAATGACTTATTCCACAGCAGGTGCAAACACTCAAGATTTCAGTGAGTGTCAACCTCAAATAGCTTAGGTGCTGAATCTAAATTCCACAATCTGTCGACCTGACATCGTCCTCTCTTCAGGTGTTTATATGGCCCTGGAAAAAGAAATAGTTCCATTACATAAAAGGAATTACAAAAATAATGCACCCAAACTCCAGAGAGTACTTACAGTCTTGCATCATTTTGCAATAGTTTCAGTTTCAGATCTGCATAGAATGTTGACCAGGGATAAGGTTTAACAAATCTTAAGTATGAGCATTTTGGGTCTTTTATTTCCTTAATTTCATTGAAAATAGCTGTGTCATTGACACTTTTTAGGCATATCATTATATGTATGCTCAGAGTTCACTTCCAAGAGAGTAAAATATGGCAAAGGATCATTTTAATCCAGTTGTTATCTTTTTATTTATACCCAAATTTTGTATATCTTATATGACAATTGATTTCTACTTTATCTGGTTGTATGATGAGGATGAGTTATTTTTTAAAAACACAACTGTTACTTATAACTTAAACCCAATTTGGGCTTCATAAGAATTGTCCTTCTTTCAGGCTAATATTTATGCTAACAATTGTCACAACCATAATGGAGGAAAAAAATATTTTAAGGACAAGAATGTCACTTGAGAATAAGTGAACACCCCCTGTGACCTGGCATTTCTTGGAAGAAAGGAAGGTGCTGTGACATGCCCCTGTCATTCTGAGGTCCTCTGGAAAGGGCTGTCGTTCACAGTTGCCTGGGCAAGGCTGAGCAGGACGCACGTTTGGTGACTCAAAACATGCCGTTAAGAGTAACTAGGGTGGAACGATGCATAGCCACCATTTCAATTATGTTGGGCTATCAAAACTTTCTTAGGCAAAAGATTAAACATGTTTTTCACCAATTGTAATGGTGCTTATTTCGTTGTGTTTTGTTTTTTAAATGAGCTATTGTTAGTGCCTGTTTCTCAGAAACATAACTTACTGTAAGAATCCACACACAGGCTTAGTCACACAGCCCACCCCTCCTTTGTGCGTTTCAGATGAACAAGGGGCGTGTCTGCAGAGCATTTGCCACTGACTCATTGCACTCCCCACACAGTGAGCGATGAGCAGTAAGTGACCAGGAAGATGACAGAATCCCATCATTGTTTTGGTATTTAGAAACTAGTAAACAGTGAAATCTTGTTTTAGCTACAAATAAAAACAAAAATATTCCATTCCTTTCTCTTCTCGAGGGTGTGCATAGGTGGAAGTGAATGTGCTCTTGTATGAGGACACATACACCTCGTTATTCAAATAGGTATGAGGAGACTCCAGAGAGCTGTGTTCTTAAGATCTATGTAGGAATAAGTAGTAGTTGCCAGATAGGGTTATTACCAAGGAAACCTAAGGCTGAAGTATATAAAAATCTGCCCACTGATGACTTTGTTTGACTTTCGGTTTTCTCATTTTAATTACAGGATGCTCTGCAGCCTTACCATCCCTTAGTCTTTCCTCTACAAATATAGTATTCATAGTAATTCACTTAGTTTTCTATGACATTGAAATGAAAATTATAGGTATAAAAATTAGGTTTACAAAAATCATTTGGAATTCTTCTGCACTGAGGATTTGTCTACTCTCTCCTATTTGTTCAGTTCTTTAATCACTTATTTTCATCAGTATGGGCATGTGGATATTTATCTTAAGCTTTGAGTTATAGTCCAACAGCGCACTGTTGATCGATTGATTGATTTGCTTAAATTGTTTCAGTTTTGGCCATTGGGAACTTTTTCAGCCGTGTGTCTTTTTGACATATTCCCATCACTGTGGATTTTTTTTTAATTTTTTTATTTTTTGCTCTCATTTGAGTGCCTCCTTGCCTTCTGGAACTACAAGATGCTGCAGGCTTATCTTAGGTATTCCCTTCCCCGTCCTAAAATCAGCCATGTCTCCAAGTAACCATTGGAGAATGGTATTAGAAATCAAGATTGGGGCCGGGTGTAGTGGCTCACGCCTGTAATCCCAACACTTTGGGAGGCTGAGGCAGGCAGATCACCTGAGGTCAGGAGTTCGAGACCAGCCTGGCCAACATGGTGAAACCCTGTCTCTACTAGAAATACAAAAAATTAGCCGGGCTTGGTGGTGGGCGCCTTGAATCCCAGCTACTTGGGAGACTGAGGCAGGGAATCACTTCAACCCGGGAGGTGGAGGTTGCAGTGAGCCGAGATCACACCATTGCACTCCAGCCTGGGGGACAGAGCGAGACTCCATCTCAAAAAAATAAATAAATAAAAGAAATCAAGATCTTCTTGCTACTGGAATGTTGACAGAACAGGGAAATATATACGTGTGTTCTAATAATTATATGTACACATATCTATAAGTATTTATATATGTAATTATTCGTATCTATATTAAGCTAAATGTGAGTGCATACAGTTGTCTCAACTCTAATCCTATACCACATGGATCATTCTAGCCTCTTTCCTGTCTTTGTATGTCACCTTCCACTCCAACAGTGAGAAACCTGGCTCCCACCATCCACCATCCACTCATTTATTTGCTCAATACCAGTACACATGAATAACGCCCTCAAAATCAAACTATACTCCTGAGATGCAACTTTATTGACGAGAATACAGTGCTTACATACAGTTTATTTTGCCTTTGGTCTTGTAGTCTCCATTCATTTCTAAAGTTGTTTAGGTCAGCAACTTTCCTCCCACCTCCTTCAGGGAAATTATTTTATACATCTGTAAGACACTTAGATTGTTTTGTCATAGCCTGCACTCCATTCTGGGATCCCCTAATATCCTAAGTGATTTTTCAAAAATTTGTATACATTAGGGTGCACAAAAAGCAATTTTTTGTGCTGTAACGTTCTACTCACCACTCAAGGACTCTGGTGTAACTCCCCACCCTGTTAAGTATGGGCTCCACATAGTGACTTCCTTTCCAAAAAATACAGTATGAAAAGGGTGGGGCGGAGGGCAACTTTACAACAGAGAAAGCTGACAGACATCACCCCAGCCAGGTGATCAAGGTTAACGTCACCAGTGATGTCGTGTTGATAGCAAGTACCCTTGATGTGATGTGGTGAGGATGACACTTTACCTCTGTGATCTCCTCAAAACCCATAACCCCAGTCTAATCATGAGGAAAACACTCTAGAAACACCAACTGAGAGATATTTTACAAAATACATGACCAAGCTTGCTCAAAACTGTCACCATCATCAAAAATAAGGAAAGTCTGAGAAATTGTCACAATCTAGACGAGCTTAAGGAGACAAGATAACTCAATTTTTTAATTTGTTTGTTTATTTATTTATTTATTTATTTACTTTTGAGTTGGAGCCTCAATTTATCACCCAGGCTGGAGTGCGGTGGCACAATCTCGGCTCACTGCAACCTCTGCCTCCCAGGTTCCAACGATTCTCCCACCTCAGCCTCCTGAGTAGCTGGGATTACAGGCGCGCAGCACAATGCTCGCGAATTTTTGTATTTTTAGTAGAGAAGGGGTTTCGCTATGTTGACCAGGCTGGTCTCAAGCTCCTGACGTCAAGTGATCTGCCTGCCTCAGCCTCCCAAAGTGCTGGGATTACAGGCATGAGCTGCCACACCCAGCCAGATAACTCAGTTTAATGTGATATCCTGGATAGGCTCCTGGAACAGAAAAGAGACGTGAGGTAAAAACTACGGGTATCTGGCCAGGCGTGGTGGCTCACGCCTGTAATCCCAGCACTTTGGGAGGCTGAGATGGGCAGGTCAACTGAGGTCAGGAGTTTGAGACCAGCCTAGCCAACATGGTGAAACCCCATTTCTACTAAAAATACAAAAATTCGCGTGGCATGGTGATGGGCACCTGTAATCCCAGCTATTTGGGAGGCTGAGGCAGGAGAATCACTTGAACCCGGGAGGTGGAGGTTGCAATGAGCTGAGATCACACCATTGCACTCCAGCCTGGGCGACAGAGTGAGACTCCATCTCAAAAACAAAACAAAACAAAAACAAAAAACTATGGGTATCTGAATACGGTATGGACTTTAGTTAATAATGTATTAATATTGGCTCATTGGTTTTGACAAATGTACCACACTCATGTTAACAATAGGAGAAACTGGGCGTGGGGTGCATTATAGTTATCTTACTTTTCTGTAAACCTAAAAGTATTATAAAGTTAAAAGTTTATTTTAAAAAATAAAGCAGAAAAAATTAGAGCTGATGCCTTAAGGAGAATGGCATTTGCAAATCTGGGGAAAAAAAGAGATTTAGGGATTTTGCTTCATTTGAGTTATAAAACATATTTTTCCTACTAAGAAATCTTCTAGGGTTTTTGATTTTTTTTTGTTAATTTAAAACTGGGGCACTGCATATGAATCTAGCAAGTAGAAATGACCCAGAGGAGCTCATCTCTAAAGATGCATTTAGATTTTTCTTGCATCAAGAATGAGCTGATGACCCCAAAACCTTATTCTAAATGTTAACGAGCATCTATTTAACTGAAAATTGCTATATTCTGAAATACTGTCTGGGTCTCATACTGAGTAATTGGGATATAAGCTCATATCTATTTTTCTTTCGAATTATTCCTTTAAAACGTATCAGACTATGTTATTGGAAGAGAAAAACTGGATTACTCAACCTGATTGTGTCCTCAAAACCTACACAGAAGGGTTTTTGTTTTTATTGTGCTAAAGTATGTATAACATAAAATTTGCTATTTTAATCATTTTTAAGTGCACAATTCAGTGGCATTAAGTACATTCACAATGTTGTATAACCATCATCACTATTTTCAAAACTTTTCTATCAGAACAGAAACTCTATCCAGGATATTCACATTTTGTATAGCCAGTGGTGGACACTGAAGCTGTTTCCACCTTTTGAATATCCTACACAATAGGTTTTCTACGTGTGTTTTCTTAAAAAGAAGAAGAAAAAAAAAAAGGCTGAGAGCAGTGCCTCATGCCTGTGATCCCTGCACTTTGGAAGGCTGAGGCAGGCCGATCACTTGAGCCCAGTAGTTTCAGACCAGCCTGGGCAATATAGTGAGACTCTTGTCTCTACAAAAAAAAAAAAAAAAAATTAATTAACCAAGCATGGCATGTCTATAGTTCCAGCTACTCAGGAAGCTGAAGTGGGAAGATCACTTGAGCCCAGGAGGCAGAGGTTGCAGTGAACCAAAATTGCGCCACTGTACTCCAGCCTGGGCAATAGAGTGAAAATGTTGAACTTCCCTGGAATGCAAAACTTGGCTTAATTGTTGTTAGCATCAGTGCCTACCATTTGATGTCAAATGGTAAGTAAACATGCTGGAAATGAATCCATGAATTTTGTGGCTCTAGAGGCCTCAGACCGAAGTCATAGCTGAACAGGTAACAAATCTTTCAGACTCTTGCTTCTATTGTTTGTTCATTTATGCTTATTTTTGTTTTTGCACAACACTTCTAAATGTTATGCCCTTATATTCCCTTTTCTTTATCCCTGTTGTAGTGACTCTACTATTGTTAATAAACCCTGATCATTCAAGTGATTTATGTTGACTATTAACTAGTATACCAATTACTGTCATTGTTTATAAAAATCAAGTTCTGCTACTGGCACAATTTAACCAGGCTCTATATATGATAGGAACGTGAGCTTGAGGAGTCACAATTGCTGGAATTTGCTTGGGGAATTTGCCTGCCCCAAATGAAGCTCCTCTTTTCCCTTAACCTAGCTTCTCAAGATTCTCTCCCTTAGTTGAAGATATTACTCGTTACCTAATCATCCAAGAAAGACCTCAGAGAATTACTCTTGACTCCGTCCTCCTTCTTACTCCCTATTATAAATCCCACATAGTTTGCCTTGTGTAAATATTTTTCAAATTACCCACCCCCCATTCCCTTTCCTGCTTCCACAGCTGTGATGGAATCCCTCAACTTTCTTTTCAATATTTCCTGTAGATTTAGACAAGAAGGAACCTGCCCCTGGGTGTGGGGCTATAGAGGGAATGGCATTTCACAAATACTTGCACACACACACACACACACACACAAATGGTTGAAGAACACATGGTTCCTCTGTCATTCAGGACCTGATGCTTAGCATTAGAAGAGTCAACTCAATCCCAAACATCCACTCTCATGACTAACAGTATTCAAACCCCAGGGAAACACATCTCCATTTGTCTTCTCCACATCTCTTCCCTTAACGATTCTCCAAACAGGATGGGCACGGTGGCTCACACCTGTAATCCCAGCACTTTGGGAGGCCAAGGCAGGCGGATTACGAGGTCAAGAGATGGAGACCATCCTGGCCAACATGGTGAAACCCTGTCTCTACTAAAAATACAAAAATTAGCTGGGCGTAGTGGCGCGTGCTTGTAGTCCCAGCTACTCAGGAGGCTGAGGCAGGAGAATCTCTTGAACCGGGGAGGCGGAGGTTGCAGTGAGCCGAGATCGCGCCACTGCACTTCAGCCTTTAGCCTCTTGACAGAGAGAGACTCTGTTTCAAAATAAAAAAAAGGAAAGAAAAGAAAACCATTCTCCAAACAAAAGGCAACTATCTGAAAGCTATTAAATTGTAGGTTGGGTCATTACCTACATAAGAGAAAAACACTGCTTCCTTCACATTGCAGAGGAATTTCAGCAGGCAGGTGTTTCGGGAACTGGAAAGACAAATTAATGAACTTGCTGTTATAGATTAAATGGTGTTCTCCCCAAATGTTTATGTTGAAGCCCTAACCCTCAGTACCTCAGCATGTGACCATATTTGAAGAAAGGGTCTTTAAAGATGTAATTAAGTTAAAATGAGATCATTCAAGCTGGCCCTAGTCTCATAAGACTGATTTTTTATAAGACGTTCGGACACAGACACACATAGAGGGAAGACCATATGAAGACACAAGGAGAAGACAGACACCTACAAGCCAAAAAGAGAGGCTTCAGAAGAAACCAACTCTGACAACACTTTGATCTTGCCACCCAGTCATTTTGTTATGGCAGGCTTAGGAAACTAATACACTTGCCAAACTCTTCCTCTCAGAGAGCATAACAAAATATTGGTTCCCAATTGTGCCAGTTTCCTGTTTCTCTTTGTATTCTAATTTATGGTTCCTAGTAGCACCTCCACATTCTGGCCCTGGTCCTGTACCTGAAAAAGCTCCACCCTGGCCCTCCTCTGGCCGTGCCTTTCCTCACAGGCCTAGTAGTACAGAGGGCCAAGGTATGCCTACCTGAAGCCCATCTCTCTTCCCACTCTAGATTTCCCTGCACAAGTAGTCCTGGGCCCATTGCCAGGACCTGTACGGGCCTCGTCCCTGAATCCTTTCTCCTAACGATTGATTATGCCACCACTCTGCACACCACTAAGTCTGAGAGATGGCCCAGAGCAGCTGTTTGTGTGTGATATGGTCAGAGCTTGAACATGCAGACTGGGATATCCATATGCAAGTATGCAAGATCCCACAAGACATGGGGGTGGAGCTGAAGGTGGCAAGAGAAGGGGGTGTGAAAAGTAGGAGTGAGAGCTGGGGGCTGGAGGACAGATTTACTTACACTTTTTTACTTATTCCTTCTGACATGGTTCTCTGAGAAGACCAAGAGTTCTAAATTTGAACGTGACTTTCCAGATCAACAACGTATATTCACAAGATTAGGAAATAGAAAATGTTTGATGTTATTGTTTGTTAATATGATTTACACCTTCTAAATATTTAGACACATGTTGTGTGGGTCTTCACATATTGCTTCAGGCCCCACAAATATTAAGAGCAGGCTTGGTGGTTCTAGAGGAACTCTTGAATTAGAGCAGTATTTTCTATAGTTGCTCATGGAGAATGGGGAACATTTTGCAATACTAAACAATTCATATTACTCTTATATTTGTATCTACATAGGTCTAGACATAATATGTGAAGTATGATACCAATTTTAGTATCAGCAATAGGTGAATATTAAAATTAAAATTGCAAATAGTTGTGTTTTGTAAATATCATAAAGGCTTTTTAAAAACTCAACAAAAATTTTAGCTAGTTGAAATAATTTTGATTTAAATTCTTATTAGATATTTATTATAATTTGTATTTTACTTTTAATTTTAATTATTTTAAATATTTCAGATGAAAAATATATTTTAGGAGCACATATAATTTTATTTTCCTTACTGCGATTTTGTATTTTTTGACAAAAATACATTACATTTTGTACACATTGATTATAATTACACTTTCTGTTTTATTCCTATAGAAAAAGAAAAAAAATGGCATTATGATACAAACAGAAAATGTAACAGTGGAGTGCAGAAAATACAAAAAAAAGGAAAAAATAAATAGAAAATCTTCAAAGAGGCAATCTGTTTAAATCTTCAAGAACTGGAAACAGTAAAAGTGAACAGGTTTTTATTGAGCATGTCAATAAAATGTTTGCATAAGACTTTACAAGTGCTTTATTTCATGAGGTTTTTATTATTGATCAAAGCAACGAAAATGAACGGGAAATTCATTCTCATCAAATCTACAACTTGGGAGGAGGTCCGATGAAATCCCTGGAAGCTCACATTTTTTATAAATGAAGAGTTAATTACCGGTGGGAACAATGAGAACCTCTGTGGTTCTTCCTGATGCTTGGATCCTCCCAGACCTCTGTTTCCAGTCTCCTTCTCCACAACCTGGCCTATGCGATGCAAGTGGTCTAACTGATCTCCGCCTAGGGAAGGATCCTTCGGCAACTTGCCGACAAGAGAAGCAGCGATGCCCGAGGCAGGTCCAAAGGAGCACTGACTGCGTGGGATTGATTACACTGGAGGAACAAAAGGTCCTGTGGCTACACAAGTTTGAAAAGCAGAAGGTACAATCATTGTATTTCTGGCAGACTTTTCAAAGACTTTAATATATGAATCCCTCATATGAATCTCCTGGAGGATTATATAATAGGCAGATCTCCCAGCCATTTTCACTGAACAGTTCTTAGAATTGGTATCCTTGAAAAATTTCACCTAACCACTCAATATGGTAGCCACTAGTCCTGGGTGGCTATTGAGCACCTGAAATTTGCCTAGTCTGAATTAAGACACATTCTAAGAATAAAGCACACTGTATTTCAAAGGCAGTACAAAAATAAAAAAGAATGTAAGCTGTCTCAATAATAATTTTTGTATTGAATACGTGTTGAAATGATGTTATTTTTGATATATTGAGTGAAATAAATTGTATTGCTAAAATGAATTTTACTTGTTTTGTTTTACTTGTGCAATGAGGTTACTAGATAATATAAAATTCTGTCTGTGGTTTGCATTATTTTTCTAGGATGATAATGAGCTAGAGGACAGCATGTATGTAAGACCTTCAGGATTTAGAGTCTGGCTATCTCTCCAGCTCTCTGTCTAAATACTGTCTTGCTTTGGGTTCCCATCTCTCCAGATCGCTTAAAGAAACCCCTCCCTGTCCCTGCCAACAACCACCACAGCAGACAGCCTGACATCTCTATCTCTTGCTCATTTCAACTTATGGGATGACATCTGGCCAACACTTATTCAGCCTTCAGGTATTAAGCAACAATCACCCACACAGGAAGCCTATCTGGAAATCCAGGCACACCTATCCCCTGGCCTGATTAGGTGGCCTTTCTCCATGCATCTATCATTTCCTGTGTACACCTCTATCCTAAACTCACTATATGGTTTTATAAGCATCTGCTTATGTATCTCTCTTCTAATACATTGTGAGCATCTTGAGGGCAGAGATAGGTCTTACCTTTTTTTTTCTTCAACAGAGTCTTGCTCTGTCGCTCAGGCTGGAGTGCAGTGGTGCGATTCCAGCTCACTGCAACCTCCACTTCCCAGGTTCAAGTAATTCTTGGGCCTCAACCTCCCAAGTAGCTGGGATTACAGGCGTGCACCACCATGCCCAACTAATTTTTGTATTTTCAGTAGAAATGGGGTTTCACCATGTTGGCCAGGCTGGTCTCGAACTCCTGGCCTCAAGTCATCCACCTGCCTTGGCCTCCCAAAGTGCAGGGATTACGGGCGTGAACCACTGCCCACACAAGTTCTTACTTATTTTTATATCTCTAGCACTAATCACAGTGCCTGGTGTATTAGGCCCTCAATACATATTTAGTAAATGATTTAAGAATGAAGTAGACACGGTTCCCACCTTAAAAGAGCAAAGCTAGAAGAGGAGGCAGATATGTAAATAGATAGTTAAAATGTGTTGCTTTAAATAGTGTTAAAAAATGGTGTTATTTTGAGTTGTATGAAAACTCTGAGCAGAGAATCTAACAGGGCTGGCTCTGTGGGCATACGACCCATGCTGTGGCACAGACCCTGCACTTACAAGAGCCTAGTGCTTAGTTTAATACTCTGTGGTCACTATCTTGATATTCTTAATAATTTTTCAACACGCAGTTGCACATTTTCATTTTGCTCCAGGCCTTTCAAATTCTGTAGCTGATCCTGCACTAACCCATGTGGGACTAGGATGGGGTTGGAAAGTTGAGGAAGAGTGTCTGAAAGAACTAAATGAAGCTGGGCTGGGAAACGGGATGGGGAAACCCATCAAAGCAAAAGGAACTGTCTGCACAAAGGCTCAGAAGTTCAAGAGTACATGGCTGGCAGCACACCCAGGCTGCAGGACAGCAGACCGGAAGGAGCAGCAGTAGAGTGAATGCGCTGCTCCAGAGTGGACTTTACACTGAAGACCATGAAGAAGCTTTGTGTGGATTCAGGTGGAAGAGTCGTATGTTTAGATTTGCATTTTAGAAAACTTACTCTAGGGAGAGGGTTAGAATATTTTGGTGGTGTTGGTAAGGGAAAAGAGGTGTACAGATTAAAGAGCTGAAGCAGGATTACCAGGGAAGAGGCTACTGAGTAGACTAGATGAGGTGAAGCCAGCATGAGCTGAGAATGTGTTGTGGGACAGAAGAGAGACCTAGGCTGGGTGTGGTGGCTCATGCCTGTAATCTCAGTACTTTGGGTGGATGGCTTGAACTCAGGAGTTTGAGACCAGCTTGGGTAACATGGTGAGACCCTGTCTCTAATATATATATATGTATATACCAAAAAAAAAAAATAAATAAATAAAACGCCTGGCTGGGTGCAGTGGCACACACCTGTAATCCCATCTACTCAGGAGACTGAGGTGGGAGGATCAGCTAAGCCCAGGAGGTTGAGGCTGCAGTGAGCTCTGATTGCACCACTGCACTCTAGAGCTTGAGCAACAGAGTAAGAACTTCAAAAAGAAGAAAGAAAGAAGGAAAGAAAGAAAGAAAGAAAGAGAGAGAGAAAGAAAGAAAGAGAGAAAGAAAGAAAGAAAGAAAGAGGGAGAGGGAGGAAGGAAGGAAGGAAGGAAGGAAGGAAGGAAGGAAGGAAGGAAGGAAAGGAGACCTGAAAGAAGCAGAATCAATGGGATTTGACAGTCCATAGAATGTGGGAGCTAAGGTAGGAAGGCAGGTCAAGGATGCCTCCCAGATTCCAGTGAGTCAATGTTTTGTGTTTCTTCTCTATGTATAGATTGTTTTGTTTGTGTGCTTTCTCACCAATGAAGCGTGAACAAACTCCACACATCTACATGATTACTTTTTATTTCTGAGCTATTATGTCATCCAAACGTGGTCTTTGTGTTGTCTCTAGAAGTTGAATGTTTCTATTAATGGCAATGTGGCCGTGGTCTTTTAGAAAACAGGCTGGTTCTTGCTTTTTTGGCAGAGTTATTGGAAGGGCAATCGCAGCCCTCATCCTCTTGATGTAGGGTGAATGCCCAGTGGGTGCCCTCTGCTTCTCAGTTAACATCTCACAACAACATCCTGTCACTGAGATTGTTTTTTCCATATTTGGAGACAAGAAAACAATGACTCAGGTTAAGTAAAAGTTAATAGCAGAGTGCGGTGGCTCATGCCTGTAATCCAAGTACTTTGGGAGACCGAGGCAGGAGGATCGCCTGAAGCTTAGAGTTTGAGAGTAACCTGGGCAACATAGTGAAATCCTCATCTCTATAAGAAAAATTTTTTTAAAATTAGCCAGGTGTGGTGTCACATGCCTGTAGACCCAGCTACTGGGGAGGCTGAGGCAAGAGGATCGCTTGAGTTTAGGAATTTCAGCCTATAGTGAGCTATGCTCACTCCACTGCACTCCAGCCTAGGTGATAGAGTGAGGCCTTGGCTCTAAAAAAAAGAATAAACAAAGAATAAAAAGAGATAATAAGTAGAAAAGAAAAGATTCAAAGCCCTTTTTTCTGCTGTCATGTTCTACACTCTTTCTATCAAATAACACTTGCCTCAAGGGACTAACCAAAGAAAAATTGAACATACAGATGATCTTCACCTCAATATTCCTAAGCTTTCTTCCTTTGCCCATCATTTTTATGGTGGAGATGGCTGAAAAAGAATATAAACTGTAAATAATATGAGTAAGAGGGGAGAGAATCACAAGAGTAGAAGAGTTATAATATTCATTAAATGACTACAGAGGCAGGGAAAACCCGAGTGTGATGACATTAACATGGTCATGAAAAAGTCATAGAGAATCACAGTTACACAACACTATAGGTGAATGCACCTGCTTGATCTCTCTTGTCATATCACCTCCCCCATTCTCTTTTCTTCATAGCATTTATACTGTTTTATAGCATCCTCTGAGATTATCCTAATTATCCTGTGTTTATTAATATTTACTAATAATTATTTAGCTCCTGCATTCGAATTTTCAATTCCTTTGGGCAAGGATCATGGTGTTTTGTTCAATGCTGCATCCCCAGAGCCTAGAAAAACATTGGTGCATAGTAATTACTCAATAAATATTTGTTGAATGAATGAATGTCATCAAAAAGCAGCCAGAGGAAAATGACTTTTAAGCAACATGGTATAAACAAAAAAACTAGCTGAACTTGTTTTACTTATCAACATTGGTTATGAAAGGTTGTATATAACCAATACTTACAGGGTAATTTCTTTTCCTACAACTGATACAACTGATATTTCCTAAAAATATAAAAGGAAGTCTCAAAAATCCCTGAAAGATATGCAAGTAATCTCAGGGGGAAAAAAGTTACAAAGATTACTTCATTATAAGGCACTAAAAAGGAAACTTATAAAAGCCACGCTGTATTTTCCTGTTAGGGCAGTGTTAAATAAATTACTCAGCAAATTCTCAAGTTGTGTAAGAATAGTGCTTTGGCCCAAAATTTAGGAGCCAGTAAGTCAAACTGGAAATAAGACCATTTTTTTTTTAATGGACAATGAGCACTCACTCTCTGAAATTCTCATCTTTTATCTTACTGTAGTTTTTTTAAATACTTATGTCATTTTTACCAAATAGTAGAATTATTTTTATACATTGGAAACTGAAAAGCTGATCTTGTGCCTTTCTTATATAAATAACCTTTTTGAATAAAAAGATAAACATGAATGAATAAAGAAGTAGACTCCAAGTTTTAAACAGTCTACTTACAAAGAGTGTTTTAAAGCATCACCATTTTGTAAGTTGGGAACTGTCTGTATTTTTTATTTTATTTTATTTTATTTTATTTTATTTTATTTTATTTTTTTTGAGACAGAGTCTTGCTCTGTCATCCAGGCCGGCGTGCAATAGAGTCATCTTGGCTCACTGCAACATCCAACCCCTGGGTTCAAGTGATCCTTCTGCCTCAGCCTCCCAAGTAGCTGGGGTTACAGGTGTGTGCCACCACGCCTGGCTAATTTTTGTATTTTTAGTAGAGACAGAATTTCACCATGTTGGCTAGAATGTTCTTGAACTCCTAACCTCAAGTGATCCACCCGCCTCGGCCTCCCAAAGTGCTGGGATTACAGGCGTGAGCCACCGCTCCTGGCTAGTATTTATACGTAGTAAACAATATCTTATAGGCCTTTCATCACAGACCAACTTTTCTTAAACTCATCAGTATTTAAAACGTCTGCTTCTTAGGAATTCCTTCTTGTATGAAACTATGTCTTCTAAACATTCTTTTGGCAATTCTTTAAACAAATAATAACTGATACCTACGACAATTGCCAAATTCTTCTTGTTTCTAAATTCTCCTTTGCAGTTTAATAAAAACAGTCATATTCTCTCCTGCAAAGTTCCTGTATCTCTTCTCCCTTTCCTTTTGGGGATCATAAACCATAAGTAGCCATCTTTCATAGCTTTTACTTACACATTTTCCCTACACTTTCACTTGTGTTTTACAGTCAGAAAAGAAGAGCAACGGTTAACGCAGACACAAGAGTGTGCAAGCCAGCCCCAGTCCTTCCTCACCTCCCACCCAACAGCATCAGCCTTGCCCTGTCTTCCCCAGACATGGCCACAAATCTATCTAATCACTTATTCTCAGTTTCCTCTTCCTGAACCCTCCCAACACCAAAAGTGGCAGCTCTGACAGAAAAATACCAAACCCACTTCCATCTGAGTTCCCTAGGTTTGGTGTAGTCAAAACAACTGCTTCGCCAGTTGACTCATCTCACAGGTCACTCACCAACTCATGGTCGTCATCATTATCTATAGACCATGGAACATTCTATCCATCTGGTTAGAAAAGTGACTAATAGTGTTGGGATTTTTTTCGCCACAAAAACAAGCATTCCGTCTCTTTCATTTTGGTGTGGAATGTGAGGCCTCCATTGCTGAGTACTTTCACCACTGTGATTGAGGAAATTTTCATTTGGTAAGAAATTGAGCTCATGATGAAGACGTGTTTACTAATAGCTGTCTGTACTTCTGTTTTATTTTTACCGTACTTGGGAATTGTATTGCCTCTAGGTTTATCTATCTTGAATTCTAAGCATAACTGGGAAATGAGTTAAAAATTCCATATAAAGATTTGGCTTTTCTTTGACCAATAATGCAGTGGAATGCAGAAGTGGGAGGTACAGGTAGAAAGAGAGAGAGGAAATGCATTTTCCCTGGTGCAGAGTAACCTTCTGGTTCTGTTAAAGTTAAAAAAAAATTACTAGCTATTCTGTGTTAAAAGTAGCCTTAAATTTTTTAAATTACTATGATATTGAGGCTGAGCACAGTGGCTCATGCCTGTAATCCCAGCACTTTGGGAGGCCAAGGCAGGCGGATCACCTGAGGTCAGGAGTTCGATACCAGCCTGGCCAACGTGGTGAAACCCCATCTCTACTAAAAATACAAAAATTAGCCAAGTATGGTGGCAGGTGCCTGTAATCCCAGCTAGTTGGGAGGCCGAGGCGGAAGAATCTCTTGAACCTGGGAGGCGGAGTTTGCAGTGAGCCGAGATCGCACCACTGTACTCCAGCCTGGGGGACTGAGCAAGACTCTGTCTCAAAAATAAATAAATAAATAAATAAATAAATACATAAATAAATAAATAAAATAAATCACTGTGATATTGGACAAACATTATCATAAAAATTTATTTTTTAATAAAGAACAAAACCACATTATCATATAAGTCTGGCAAATCTGCTTTGATTTTTTCTAGATTGAGTTATTGGATCTCTGTTAAACTGTTATTAGATAGAACAAATATATGCATTATACTATTATCTTCTTTTCCCCTGGGCCCTTCTATTTAATTAGGACAAGGTAACTTGAAAACATGTAAAGTACTGTCATCAAAAACATATATCTACTGAATGCCTCCCCTTACCCTCATTGGCCAAGTGTCATATTAGGTATACTGAAGATACAAAGATCCTTGCCTTCTGGGACTTTACATTTTAGTGTCAGAGACAGAAGAGATGTATGAGAAAATAAACACAGAAGAAAGAGCAGATGCTATGAATCCCCATGACACATCTGTTTTCAAATGAGAAACAGCATAAACAATGTGAAGGCTGAATTCCACACATCATTCTCGGGTCCAATTTATTTGCCAACTCTAGGAAAGATAAACTCAGATATTATTGTGATATTCACACAACTATCACCATGAAGAACAGATTTTCTGATTCAAGGAGAAGGAAAAAAACAGCTTTCTCTTCTTGAGAACTGAATTATTCTTCCCTCTTAACACTTCTGTGAATTTTTCCTGCTAAATATAACAGCCAAAACAAGGGGCCTGAAGCCCAATTTGGTTGCATTGCAAGACAAATAACATCCATACTAATAACAGCAGCTATAATGTATTGAACCCCTATTGTAATAGGCTCCATGTTAAGCATATTTACATATATCTTCTCATTCAAACATCATAACAATCCTGGAAGAAACGTGCTATGATGCCCTTTGAGTAAAAGACCAGAAGGATTAAGTAAAATGACCAAGTATTATGCATAAACCATGGCTGGGCAGGATTTGCACCCAGGTCCATCCATCTAAAAACCCGTTTCTTTTCATTACCTCAGAAGAGAAGTGGTTATTCCATTTCCCTAGGATGAGTAATTCCTCTGTGAAGGAAATACCAACATTCTTTCAATGCTTATCTACAGAGGAGGGTGGAGGAGGAACGGATAAGGTGGAAAAAGTCAGTGAGGATTAGGAATGACATCCCAAGGCTGAATCACTTATCCATTTATTTAATCAAACAAGTTTATATTGAAGGCCAAATAGGTGCTGGATACAGGAGACTGGACTGTAAAATAGAGATGCATCATGCCACTCAGGGAGCTACAGTCTCATGGAGAAGACAGACCAAGAAGACAAGCACGTCAAATAAGGAAACAAACAGGGCACCCAAATAGGGAATCATGGGAGGTGGTGGTGGCCCGCTTTGAATACCACTGTTGCTGTTTACTTTCCAGCTTTCTCTAAGGAAGTGACATATAAGCTGAGCCTGAAAGATGAAGAGGAGCAGATTGTATGCAGAGCAGAGGGAAGAGCAAGCTGATGGAGGTGACTAATCAGAGGGCCTGATGGTCAAGTGCTCAAGGTGGAGTTAAAGGAAACCCTGCTTTCTTGACATCACCAGCTGCTCAGAAGCCTTCAGCAGGCATCCTAGACCTTCTCCTTCTCTAAGGGATGGGCCTCACCTACTTTCTTCAGCTGAGACCTGGCACAGACCCTTGGAGCTTCTAAGGACCCCATTGTAGCCTTGGGGTGGAGGCCCATGGCACCACTGCCCTCTCCCTGGGATAAAGGTCCTGGGGCCACTTCTCAGGGCTGTGTCCCTCTATCAGGAGGTAATTGTCTCTCCCAAATCACCTTCTTCTTCTTCCTTTTTCTTCACCCCATTAAAAAAAGGGTACAGAATACCTTTCTTTTTTCTTTTTTTTTCTTTTTTTTTTGAGACAGTCTGTCACTCCATCACCCAGGCTGGAGTGTGGTGGCGTGATCTCTGCTCACTGCAACCTCTGCCTCCCAGGTTCAAGCAATTCTCATGCCTCAGCCTTCCAAGCAGTTGGAATTACAAGTGCGCATCACCACACCCGGCTAATTTTTGTATTTTTAGTAGAGATGGGGTTTCGCCATGTTGACCGAGGTCTCGAACTCCTGACCTAAAGTGATCAGCCTGCCTTGGCCTCCCAAAGTGCTGGGAATACAGGAGTTAGTCACTGTGCCTGGCCCCTTTCCTTTTGTTCTGTAAGAGCTCAGCCAACATCTAACATGTATGCATTCGGTCATTCATAGACAAGAATTTCAGCTTGGAACCAAAATGCTTGGATTTATATGTCAGCTATTTGCCTCTACAGCTCAGTCTACTTACTGGCTCTGCGACCTCGGGCAAGTTGCTTAATTGCTGTATGCTTCAGCTTAATCATTTGTAAAACAAGTTTCCACTCTTTAGGTTTTCCAAAGAAATCAGATGTGTAAATCTATAGAAGACGTTTAAAGAACTGTTCCTGGCAACTTAAAAATGTTTGTTATTGTTACCCTTTTTTCCTTATTATTATTATATGGCCAGTGACCTAGTCTAGGCAGTGGTTATATCAAGACAAATCAAACAGTTTCTAGCTAAAGTCCCCGGACTGGCAGGGCAGGGGTGGGGGTTCAACCCAGTTATCCCTAATCAGTGTGACCCATGCTATAGTGAAGGTGTGCGAAGTCATGGAAACACAGAAGAGGGGGCAGTTTCTTGTGTTGAAAGGATGAGTTGAAGTTTTTCCAGGTGAAGTATGGGGAAAGGGAAAACAGGAGGCAGAGAAGGCCTTCTAGGCAGCAAGAATGCACTGTGCAAAGGCTGAGGCATGTGAAGAAACAAGATGTGGGGTGACTGAAGGAGCCATGTGGGCTTGGTGAAGAAAAAAAAGGTGGTGTCCAGATTCCTATGCCAGGGAATCTGAGTCCCAAAAGTGAAGGAGAGACATAAATGTCTGAGCAGGTTAGAAACAGAATGAGGGCTGGGGCGTGGTGGCTTACGCCTGTAATCCAAGCACTTTGGGAAGCTGAGATGGGCAGATCACCTGAAGTCAGGAGTTCAAGACCAGCCTGGCCAACATGGTGAAACCCCCATCTCTCTACTAAAAATACAAAAATTAGCTGAGTGTGGTGATGCACACCTGGGATCCCAGCTACTCAGGAGGCTGAGACAGGAGAATTGCTTGAATCTGGGAGGTGGAGGTTGCAGTTAGCTGAGACTGCACCACTGCACCCCAGCCTGGGCAACAGAGCAAGACTCTGTCTCAGAAAAAAAAAAAAGAAAAGAAAAGAAAAGGAAAGGAAAAAAGGAAAGGAGAGGAAAAAAGGAAATAAAAGAAACGAAAAGAAACAGAATGTACCTCTGAGTTCTGTCCACAGGAGGCTGGGAGAGGAACAACTCACTACAGCTACATCAATTCAGCTACATTGTATCCCTAGTGTTATGTGTATATATAATGCTATGTATATGTATATATAATGCTATGGCCTAGCCTTGCCTGAGGATGTCCTCACCAATTTTAACATTGTTTCTATTTGAAATATATATTTTTTTAATTTCCAAACAGCCTACCGGCAACCAAACTCTTGGAAAACAGCTTGTTCTTAAAATGAGGTTCTCCAGCAGTGTAATGTGGTCATGAACCTCTAGATTTTAGTTAAAAAACAGGCCAGATGCGGTGGCTCATGCTTGTAATCCCAGCACTTTGGGAGGCCGAGGCGGGAGAATCATTTGAGCCCAGGAATTCGAGACCAGCCTAGGCAACATAGTGCGACCTCATCTCTAAAAAAAATTTTACAATTACCTAGGTATGGTGGCACATGCCTGTGGTCCCAGCTACTGAGGAGGCTGAGGTTGCAGGATTGCTTGAGTCTAGGAGGTCGAGGTTGCAGTGGGCTGTGATCATACCACTGCACTCCAGCCTGGGTGACAGAGGGAGACCTTGTGTCCAAAAACAAACAAAAAACCCCAAAACCATAACCTCTGAAGGATTGAGGGGAAAAAATCAAAGCAACATTGTCTTATTCTGATGTGATCAGTAGGTTAATCAGAAACCTTGTCCTAAAATCTGTGTTATTTTAGATTCCTTTCCATCTTTCATCCTCAAATTGTGAAATTAGCATGATACAGTTATTCATTCTGAGAGCTGTCCGCGGAACATGTATTGATTGAGCCTGTGTGCCACGCATTCTGCTAAGCCCTTTATGCATATTATTTAGTCTTTACAACCCTCTAAAGTTGGTATTCTTTTTTTTTTTTTTTTTTGATACAGGGTCTCACTTTGTCACCCCACCTGGAGTGTAGTGGCGCAATCTCAGTTCACTGCAGCCTCCGCCTCCCAAGTCAAGCGACTCTCCTGCCTCAGCCTCCTGAGTAGCTGGGATTACAGGCATGCACCACCACACCTGGCTAATTTTTGTATTTTTAGTAGACGCAGGGTTTCGCTATGTTGTCTAGGCTGTTCGCAAACTCCTGACTTCAAGTGATCCACCTACCTCACCCTCCCAAAATGCTGGGATTACTGGCGCCTTGCCTAAAGTTGGTATTCTAATTTTCAAATAAGGAAATTGGAGCTCAGAAGGTTATCCGATTTTACCAGGGACACACAGTTGACAAGCAGCAGAATCAGAGATGGAACTCAGATCTGTGCATGTCCAAAGTTAGTGCACTCAACCACTTCCCTGTATGCTTCTATGGATCAATCAACATTGAAACAATTTTTTCTTGGTCTCCAGCCTTTAAAAACAAGTCTCTTTAAGCTGAGTAACTGACTTAAAGTAATAGGTGCATGGAATCGGTGCTATTTGTCCAAACTGCTCCCATCTCTTCCACACTGATCTTGTTCAAGTTCTCAAACATGACAATATTTTCTGGATGCTTTTCAAATATATCATTTTACATGTTCGAAATCTCTTAATACCACTCAGGAGTGAGTAAATATTAGCAGCCATTAGTTATGGAGTAGTAAACTGAGCTAGAAATAAGATGAATGACAAGTTCTAGAACGTAACAGCGGTGGGAGGTGTCTCAGCAAAGCAGCAATGGAGCCAATAAAGGTTTATGGACTCATAAGTCCACAGTAAGAAATGTCCTACATGCAGTGTAGGACTCAGGAAGTTGAGACCTCAGAGTGCTTGCTTGGTTTTGAACTCCATATCACGGAACCATAAATACATACATAGTCATATGCATGAGTCCTCAGGTTCTAGTAACTGATTCACAAACTCTTCCTGGAAGTCCTTTGGTAATAAATATCAGAATTACGAGCAATGTGTTTTCTAAGTCAGAACAACACACTGTATCCAATTAGTCTCAGCGAAGTCCCAGTAAAGGAATTTCATCCAATCTGACTCAGAACAACACGGTGGTGACATCAGGTCCAATACAGACCCTGCAGAGAAAATGAATGGGTGGGGATAGACTGAGCACATGTGCACTTTTCTGGGTCCCTCCTCTGCGGCGCAGGCCACAGGCAGTCCTTTCTAGTAAAGCCTGTGTGAAACCCTGGTGGTGAAGGAGTCTTATCTTGACAGCTTCCGCTGTATCACAACATTCACAACAGTATGTCAGTAAAAGGCAAAAAGAAACAACCCAATTATATTGAACCACAGATGTGTAGATGTGTACACAGATGTTCCCCCCCATCCCCACTCCAAAAAAGGAAGTTCCCCGGATGTCTTGCTCCGTAGCAATTGTCACATGCATTTTAAAGAAATTCAGCATCTTTGTGTCACATTCTCAAGATAGTTTCAAATTAACGTTTGACTACTTGAGAGGCTGAAGTGGGAGGATTGATTGAGGCTAGGAGTTCAAAGCCAGCCTGGGCAACATAGTGAGACCCCCATTTCCAAAAAAAAAATAAAAGAGTAAAAAAACAGTTATCTTCGGCATTGGAGTCAATGGGGTGTATGGCTAAATATCAGAAACACCACACTTCCTTAGCTAACTTTACTTAGAGATATTTGTTCTGATTCAAGCTTTGTTCTTTTATTCCCTTTTATTTATGAATTTATGAAGAGCACAGATACCATTTACATATTTGTTTTTAATGTATTTTCAAAATTCTGACTGAAAAGTAAAAACCCCTTGCCTCCAATTTGCTTCAGTTTGTTGGGCAAAAATAGGTCTCCTTTTCATCACTGCTTACACAAACCATTTTATTAATAATTTATCACAATGTTCCACAGCAGAGATAAAGCAGACACCCACATGATCATTATGTGTTCATAATGTGGGCTCTGCAGTGTCTTAAATTTCCCTGCACCTGCTGTTACCTGCTCGCTCCCTTCTCTCTAAGGTTTGCATTTGCTGTGATGCTGATAAGCTTTAGCGCCACACTTTTCACTGCCTGGATAGGTAACTGTTGACTAGGAAAAGCAGACACAGGTTGCATCATGTGTTGCCACGATCTTATTTTCACCCTCCTTGAACTAACTGCAGTCAAGAGAATTTGCCCTACAGATGGGTGAGAGTTTTCACAGTGCCCTGGGATCCTCCAATTCTTGGGTCCTTAGTCTTCCTCGCCAGCCTCCCCACTCCCCTCACACACAGTTCTTTCTTTGCTCTGCTTCTGAAGACATTTGAACCTGTTCTAAATCCCTCCCCTTCCTTCCATAAAGAGAGCTTCCTTAGATCATTTTTCTCAGCCTTTCTCTGCTTGCTGAATTTAAACCTTGGCACAAAGGTCACAGGCAGACAGAAGGCACTTTGCTGAATAACTTGTGTTTGAACTTCTAGAACAGTTACTTTGGGTTTTTTTAAGGTACTCATGTCATGTTTGGCAGTGAAACGTTCAGTGTTGCAAAAAATAAAAATGTCAACTTGCAAAATCTTTCTCCTTCAACTCTACATCCGTAGAGAAAAATAAAAGATGTATAATGCCTTTCACCCAAGAATGCTGAAATCATTAATAAGCATCAAGTAAATTATTCTGAGATGTAATTGATGACAAAGATCGAAATCTTCGAACCAAAGGTTTCACAAGTACTATTATTTACAATGAAAAATGTGAGACCTGCATACCAGCCCTGTACACGATAGCATTTGGTAAATAACGACTGACTGTTGATGATATTCACAGAAAGTCAGTGACTGACTAGCAAAGAAGGGAGTGACATGTACCAATGTACCAGAAGAAGGAAGCAAGGCTTAATCTACGTCAGGCCTTTTTGCTATTTCTCGTAGACCCCAGGGAATACATATGTCCTTCCTCTGGTCTGTGCAGTGATGCTGCACAATTAGAGGAAACGCTGAGCATCGGAAGCCAGGCTTTCTCCCAACAAACCCAGAACCCCCAACAACACACCGCCTAGTCCCAGCTTCTCAGAAGCACATGCTATGAAGCTCTCTATGCTGCTGAACATTCCCAGGATGACAGAAACACAGAACCTGGGGAGGGTCCCTGGTTCTCTGGGGAGGTGTCTCTTCTCTTCAGTCCCCTTCTTCTAATGGGGTTAGGATAAATGAAGGGGACTGGTGAATTGCTCTACAGCCTATTTGCCATGTTAACAAAGTAGGCTACCTAGCCCCTCAGAGCTTGTAAGCTGAGAATAGTGTTTTCCTGATTTGGCTGATATAAAGGTCTGCATAACAGTAACAAGTTGTGTGGATCCCTCCAGATTCACACTTTACCCTTCTTTCCCCATTCCCTTCCCTTCCCTTCCCTTCCCTTCCTCTTTCTTTCTTTCTTTCCTTCCTTCCTTCCTTACTTCTTTTTAGTCTTTCTTTTTTAATTGAGATAAGGTTTCACTATGTTGCCCAGGCTGGTCTCACACTCCTGAGCTCAAGTGATCCTCCCACCTTGACCTCCCAAAGTGCTGAGATTGCAGGTGTGAGCCACCATGTCTGCTCCCCCCACCCCCCCCTTTTTTTTTTAGAAACAAGGTCTCACTCTGTCTCCCATTCAGAGCAAGTACAATGGCACAATGCTAGCTCACTGAGCCTCAAATTCCTGGGCTCAATCAATTATCCTGCCTCAGCCTTCCAAGTAGCTGAGACTACAAATGTGTACCACCACACTAGTTAATTTTCAAATTATTTTTTGGAGAGGTGGAGTCTCACTGTGTTGCCTAGGCTGGTCTCACACTCCTGGCTTCAAGTGATCCTCCCACTTTGGCTTCCCAAAGTACTGGGATTACAGGTGTGAGCCACCTCACTTGGTTGTTTTACCCTTTTTGATAAGTGCTATGTCTTGGGAGGTTGACCCATATGAATGGCTTCAACAAGTTCTCTTGCCACCTGACTTTCTATGGGATATGCCCATGGAGGCACCAGAGGATGATCAGAGTTGAGAGAAGAGGGAGATTCAGAAATTTACTCTCCAAGCTCCTTCCTTGCCAGGTTAAATGTATCTCCCAAAAGTTCATGTGTTGGAAATTTAATTATCAATGTAACAATATTAAAAGGTGGAACTTTTAATAGTTGATTGGGTCATGAGGGCAGAGCCCTTATGAATGGATTAATGCTGTTAATGCAGGAATTAGCTAGTTCTACTGAGACCAGATTATTACAAAAACAAGCTTGACTCAGTCTTGTGATCTCTTTTGCACATGCTCACTTGCCCTTTTGCTTTTGTGGCATGTTACAATGTGGTACTAAAGCCCTTGCCAGAAGCTGCTGCCATGCCCTTGGATTTCCCAGCCTCCAGAACCATGAGCCAAATAAATGTCTTTTCTTTATGAACTACTCAGTCTCAAGTATTCTGTTATAGCAACAGAAAACAAAGACAGAAAACAGGTACCAAGAAGTGAAGTTGTTGCTAGAATAAATATCTGAAAATGTGGAAGTGGCTATGGGATTGGGTAATGGGTAGATGCTGAAAGAATCTGGAGAAACAGGCAGTGGGTCAGCTGCTTCATGCACAGAAGCCTACAAAAGAAGCCTTCTTCTTCTTCTTTTTTTTTTTTTTTTGAGACCGAGTTTTGCTCTTGTTGCCCAGGCTGGATGCAATGGCACAATCTTGGCTTACCACAACCTCTGCCTTCTGGGTTCAACCAATTCTCCTGCCTCAGCCTCCCAAGTAGCTGGGATTACAGGCATGTGCCACCATGCTTGGCTAATTTTGTATTTTTAGTAGAGACTGGGTTTCTCCACATTGATCAGGCTTGTCTTGAACTCCTGACCTCAGGTGATCCACCCGCCTTGGCCTCCCAAAGTGTTGGGATTACAGACGTGAGCCACTGTGCCCAGCCCACAGGCAGCCTTCTTCTAAACAGCTACCCTCACTCCTGTCAGCACTAGGGTCCCACTCCTCCTCGCCCTGGGGTGCTATGCCATCCTTTGTGGTTTCCTTAAACCCTACCCACACTTTGTAAACCGTTTCTTTGTTGAATTCTCATCAAATTACCAAGAGGAAATATGGAATATCTTTTCTACCAGGACTTTGAATGATGCATATGTGAAACAGCTGGCTATATACTAGAGGCTCAGGAAATGGCAATGATGTTACTGACTCTGTAATTTAGGTTAGCTTCATAATGTATTTTAAGCAGCCCTGTTTCTTCTTTGCAAAAGGAAATATCCTGCAAAAAATATAGTTCTGCATCTGTATCTACAAAGTAGTTTGAAAGTGGAATTCATGAATGAATTCAGTCAAATAGCCACTATACTGAAGAGGGTAGATTGTTCATATATAGCCAACTTTCATCAGGCTAGATATGACCTCAAAAACTGAAATCAGATTTGGAAAAATCAGAGGCCTTGGGACCATGAATCAGTCTTGCTTCCTAGAGGATGGGTACAGGCTTACCTCCTGGAAAAAAGAACATTTATTCTAACAATCTGTTAGCAGGCCTGCAGTGGTTCTCAAAGTGCAGGTCCCAGCATCATCTGGGAACACATTAGAAACGGAAACTCTCTAGCCCCATCCCCAAGCCTGCAGAATCAGAAGCTCATGGGTTGCAGCCCAGTAATATGTGTTTTAACAGACCCTCCAGAGGACTCTGATGCACACTAAAATTTCAGAACTACTTCACCTGAGGGGTTTCTGGAAGTAGACAAAAGCCAACTTTCAGGAGTCTAGGTAAGCATTTGGCATCAGATGACCTAACAAGCAGTAAAGAATTCAAGAGCTGGTCAATTCGTAAACAAAGAACTTTGTTTGCTTTGGGGAAACTCTGTCATTAGGGAATAGGAACAGGACCTCTGTGTATGGTTCAGAGAAGGACTCTAGTACCTGCAGGGTGAGTGGAGAGCAGGTACAATCAAAGCAACACCCCAATATTACAGGGACTGAAGGCTAAGTGGATTCGGAAGCAAGGCATTATGCACTGGAAATAAATGAAGAACCCTTATGGGGACTGGGGCCCTCATCAGTCTGGGTGTCTGGAATAGCTACAAGCCCAGTTAACAGAATCAGAACTCAGGATTAGTGCTGAAGAAGCATTTTGAGTAGTTCAATGCTTGGGATGTGAGTGTTTGACCACAGCTTTTAAAGTCCCTGGTGCCTCAAATTAGGACTAGTCCTAAGGGCCACAATGTAGCTGTTTCTTTTGGTGACAACCACACATTTTGGCTGTGGGAAGGTGGTGGGTACAAAGCCTCTAGATTTTCAGGCAGGGCGTGACCACCACCTCTTCACACTGGATACTTGCTGGCCAGCTGGTTTCCTGATTCAGCTCATTATTTTTCAAATTACCTGATGTGTGTAGACCTCTGGTTTTCAGTCTTCAGTATATAGCAATGTTATGATTTAAATGTATCCCCCGAAAGTTTATGTGCTGGAAACTTGTCAATGTAACAATATTAAGAGGTGGAGCCTTTAAGAGTTGATTGGGTCATGAGGGCAGAGCCCTTATGAAAGGATTAATGCCATTAATGAAAGAATTAGTTAGTTCTACTGAGACCAGATTGTTACAAAAGCAAGCTTGGCTCACTCTTGTGATCTCTTTTGCACATGCTCACTTGCCCTTTTGCTTCTGTGGCATGTTATGATGTGGTACTAAAGCCCTTGCCAGAAGCTGCCACCATGCTCTTGGGCTTCCCAGCCTCCAGAACCATGAGCCAAATAAACGTCTTTTCTTTATAAATTACTCAGTCTCAAGTATTCTGTTATAGCAACAGAAAACAAAGACAGAAAATTGCTACCAAGAAGTGAAATTGTTGCTAGAATAAATGTCAGAAAATGTGGAAATAGCTTTGGAACTGGGTAATAGGTAGACACTGAAAGAATTTGGAGAAATAGGCTAGAAAAAAAGCCTGTATTTCTGTGAATGCAGCATTAAGGACAGTTCTGGTGAGAGCTGAGAAGAGAAGATTAGGGATAATCTGAAACTCTTAAGTGATTGCTTAAGTGGTCACAATTGGACTGTCAGTAGAAAAATGGACAGTAAAGGCAATCCTGATGAGGTCTCAGAGGGCACTGGGAAATAACATATCAGAAATTGGAGTAAAGGTCATCTTTGTTAAAACATAGCAAAGAATTTGGCTGCACTGTGTCCATGCCTGAGGGCTTTACGGAAGGCAGATTTTAAGAGTGACAATCTAGGCTATCTGGCAGAAGAAATATCTAAGCAGCAAAGCACTCAAGCTGCTGCACAGCTACTTTTAACTGCTTATAGTAAGATGCTAGAGAAAACAAATTATTTAAGGATGGAATTTATAATTAAAAGGGAAGCAGAGCAGAAAAACTTGGAAAATTCTCAGCCTGGCCATGTAAAAAACTATAAAGCATGCCAGGATGTGGCCAGGCAACCATTTACTGAAGAGATTAGTACAGATAGAAGGAAACCATGGGCTGTTCCTCAAGACAATGGGAAAAAAGACCCCAGAGGCATTTCAGAGATCTCCAAGGCTGCCCCTCCTATCACAGGCTGAGCTCTAGGAGGGCAAAATGGTTTTAGGGGATAGACCCAGGACACCCTTCATTGGATTACTGCCCAGGGCTGTCTCAGGTCTCTGCTCTCTGCATCCCAGCACGGCACCCCTTGGCTGTGCTAGCCATGGCTTGAGGAGGCCCAGGTGTGGCTCAGGCCACAGCTTCAGAAGATGCAAACAGCAAATTTTGGTGGCATCCACATGATGTTAAGTCTGCAGGCATGGAGAATGCAAGAGCTGTGAGAACATGGCTTCCTCTATCTAGATTTAAAAGGTTGTCACAATCACCCAGGAGGCTGGGATTACAGGGATGAGCCATTGCGCCTGGCTGAGGAAAACTTTCTAAGACAGATGGGAGAGTAACATTATTTGTGAAGATGTTGTCTTTGATGAACGGTTGGCATGGACTGTGAAACTGATGAACTTAATTTTTACCAACTATGAACACCCATAATCCACATTCACCTGATTCTAATTAGTTATGTTTAACTTTGGGGCTGGGTGCTGTGGCTCATGCCTGTCATCCCAGCACTTTGGGAGGCCGAGGTGGGCAGATTAACTGAGGTCAGGAGTTCGAGACCAGCCTGGCCAACATGATAAAACCTCATCTCTACTGAAAATACAAAAATTAGCCAGGCATACTGGCATGCGCCTGTAATCCCAGCTATTCGGGAGGCTGAGGCAGGAGAATCGCTTGAACCCAGGAAGCGGAGGTTGCGGCGAGCTGAGATCGCGCCACTGCACCAAGACTCCATCTCAAAAAAATTAAATAAATAAGTAAATAAATTTGGTCAACATACACACATGCACACACACACAGACTTCTGTTTTGGAACTTATGACAAATGATAGCTTTTTAAAATTTTTTTCCCTACTTTTTAACTTTCTTCTTAACAGTTTTGGTTTCCGATAAACAAATCAGGAGGTTGAAAGATTTGGATCGGCCACAGAAATTACATTCCATTTCTAGAGCCATTTCACCAGCTGCACCTGCAAGTCATATTAACTAGCAAATGGCAAAACTGGTAATGAAACTCCATGCACATAAAAAAACTGACATCTGATGCTGATAGCATTCTCTTAATAAATCACCTCTCTCAGGCCGGGCATTTACTACAAAAGGATTGCAAGACCCAGAGAATGACAACATCTATTATAGGTTGAACTGAATCAGGGTACTAAAGAGCTAAAAAGGGTAGCTCCTCTGCAATGAAGCCAATGAAATGGTTGAAGAGGCAAGAGAATCTGCTCTTCTTATAAAGAGATGCCCTAGATCAATCAATTAGCCTGTTCCTACCAGTTACTTTTATGATAGATGCTATGCATTGCCTTGCTCTTTACCCACTCCAGGCCCCTGTGAAAGTTGCAAGGCCAGAAAGCTGATACCACATCTGCCAATCGTCTGCAGTGCAGCTCTCCATGTGCTTTGGGCACTTCCAGTTAGATGCATGCACACAAAACTTTGATCTAGAACTGAGTCACATGGGGATAAAGGCAGGGTACAGGCACTCACTTTGCTGGTGTAGACTGTAGCAGAGAGGCGTGGATTTGCACCTGGAAGGTAAGGTGGCGATTTCTTTATTTCATAGCTTCCTGATCAATATCTGTCACCTCTACGCACCATCCTTAATGGTCTGGTTCTGCAGTGTGGTTTGAGGCTCATTTCTGGCAAATCAGCCTGAACCCATTTCCTCAGATCTCTCAATAGTTTGGGAATTATTTATACTTCCTAGGACATACCATTCTGCTTATGCTAGCTGGAGAAGATTCTATTCTCTGCAATAAAAATATTGATCAAGATATTGAATAACCCAAATTAAGCTTTCTTGAAGCCTGTAACTTTGAAACCTGTTACAACTAGAGAAGTGAATAGTCCTACATTTCTTCTGAAATTCCCTACAGTCCATGAGAAGAGAAGGAGACCAGGGAAAGAAAAGAGTCACAAATAGTTGGAAATGGTAATGCTTGGATTGTTGGATCGCCAAAGGCCATTTTATATCTTCTGAATTTTCTGCCTAAAGATTATTGGTTTAATATCTATCTTCCCTCTTAGACTGTAAACTCTGTAAGAATGGAGGCCATATTTGTTTAATCAACACTAAATATGATACCTAGCATACATCTGGCTTATAGTAAATGCACAATAAACAATGTGTAACTGTCTAAAGTAGTAGAAGTGTGTTTGTTCAATAATGTCAATTGTTACTATTTATCCAGCTAATCACTAAGAGACTAGTCATTTTACATATAGTCACTCACTCCTTTATAGAGTAGGTTTTATTACCTTCATTTTTCACACAAAGAGACTGAGTCTCAACAAAGTCAAGTAAGAATCATAGCTACTGGTTGAGTTTTTATTCAAATTCAAGAAGTCTGATTTCAAAATCCATGATGCAGTTCCTATTACACGCCACATATTCAGTTTTAGGGATTCAGTGCCTTTCCAGGCAACTATGAATTGCCTCATAGTGGCTTCATCATCTAGGTCCTGGCATAGGTCCTGGGTCCTCTGTAGAACCCACAGCTTCTACACCTTCATCGGTCCACAGGAAAAGCTTTCAGAAATATTACTGGCATTTGGCTGCATCCAAGTGTGAAGATATCCCTCATGTCAGGTGCTTCTCCTTCGCATTCATAACCTCATACCTGGAAACCTATACCTGTCCTTCTTGAGGCTAAAAACCAGGTTGTCTTTACCCTTGAAATTCCTTGGTGTTTCTGTCAAACAAATTCTGAGGATACCAACAGTAATTTTCCATGCAGGAATTCTTTCATAGAAAACTTATTTTGCTCAAGAATTGTTTCTGCAGTGCAGTCATATTCACCTTGAGAGCACTTTCAGACTTAAAAACTCTTTTTAAAGTCAATGCAACACAAAAGGAACTTGCTTGATGCTGTCACTTTCTTATTCATTCATCTATTCATGCATTTACTCAACAAATATTTATACAGCCTCCAATACTTGTCAGATATTGTTCTGGAAGTTCCACTTAAATGTAGTAATTTAATCCTTCAAATTACTACAATAAAACTATGAAGACTGAGACACACTATTTTGTAGTAGGCATTTTGGATGGTTACATCTTTGGAAGCCTGAATCCTGCTTGTTTGCAGTTCATTTCTTGTAGGAACATTTGGATTAAGCTTAATCGTAGAAATCTGTGTGCACCACTAATTTGCCTGTGACTTATTACCATCCTCTTTTATATGAAAGTGTCCCTTGACTACGTATCAAGTCACGCTCGTTCAAAAACATGCCCACAGTATCTGACATAAAATCTAACATTTTAAGTATAATATTATTACCTCTTTGTTTTCTGAAGCTTCATAAGCCCTGATGCCAAATACATTAACAAATTTTATGTAAACCGAATGTTTATTCTCTCCTGTTCATCAAAGCACAGGCACTGATACAAAGAAGAAAGGAAAATGCCAACTTACAGATTTTATTTTTTATTTATTTATTTTTCTTTTCTTTTATTTATTTATTTTTTGTGAGACAGAGTCTCGCTCCGTTGCCCAGGCTGGAGTGCAGTGGCATGATCTGGGCTCACTGTAACCTCCACCTCCCTGGTTCAAGCAATTCCCTGCCTCAGCCTCCCGAGTAGCTGGGATTACAGGCGTGTGCCAGTGCGCCTGGCTAATTTTTGTATTTTCAGTAGAGATGGGGTTTCACCATCTTGGCCAGGCTGGTCTTGAACTCCTGACGTCGTGATCCACCCAGCTCGGCCTCCGAAAGTGCTGGGATTACAGGCGTTAGCCACCGCACCTGGCCAGAAGAGTTTAAATGAGATATTTTTGCTGGGACCATTTTAAAAAAGATCAGCTTTCTTTGACCTTTTCACCCAGCTGTCTACCTGAGATGGAAACATAGACTCTGGCTGATGACTCATTACAGATTCAAGTCCAGGTGGAGATCAAACTCAAGCAAAGGATCATTGTAGTTATACCTGAAGGAAAAGTCACAGTGGTTCAAGGTCTATTAGAAAGGTTATAACTTGCCCATAAAAATTTAGCTTGGGGCTGAAATATGGCATATGAGTTTCCAGTCCGTAAGTTCTTTAAAATCTGAAAACTCAATTAGATACTTCCAAATTAAATGACTGTTAATAGGCAGAGAATTGCATTTTGATGTTTAAAAATTTCTTGCCCGAACACTTCGGAGACATTTTAATGTTTAAAAATATGGTGTAGCAATTAAAGCCCAGTAAGAAATCTAAAATGTCAGTTCAACCCAGCTTCTTACTTGCACCGTATTACCACTTCCTTGACTATGAGAGATACTTCTTAATATTTCTGGGCTGGCATTGTCTAAATGAAAAACTGTGATAATATTTACCTCTTCCCAGAAAGTGTCAGGTAACCAATTTAATGACTCTACTTCTCTTTTCAAGTTCAACTAATGTATGAAGGAAGAGACCAATACAGAATCTCTTTTCACCTCCCAGGTCCTCTGTGGTAACTGAGTGTAGACCCAGCCAACCTCTCAGAAAATAGGAAGCCTCTGCGCTACTCTCATTCCTGCATATTTAAAGCCAGAAAGGAATTTTTCCTTTTGCTAATTCCCAGCAGAGACAGGTTCGTGCCTTAGAAAGAATAAAGGATTTAAGAGTTGTATCGACTTGGGTTTGAAGTTGAGCTCCCACTTTCTAGATGTGTGTACTGTTTTCATGTTTGCAAAGTAGGGTTTTTGTTTGTGAGGGATGAATAAGTACATGAGACATGCCCAGTGCTCAGTAGACAGTCAATGGCAGCTGCAACAGTGAACCCCCAGTGGAAGAGTTCAACTCCGTAACAACCCACTGGCCAGCCTTGCAGGTCTCCTCCAGGCCTTGGGGAAGCCTCTCAACCCAGAAAGGCCAAATTCATGCAGGTAGGTGACTTTGCTCACCCTCATGCCGAGAAGCAAAATAATTGATTTAGATTGGAGAAATATACTCAGACATTGCTTCAGAGAAGATGTTCCAAGAATGAAGGGTATTTTCATTTTCTGGCAGTATAATGGCGTGATTTCCCAACCAGGAGCATGGCTTTTCTTTTCCTAAATAATTAGCTTCATAATAATTTCTAATATGAATTTGCTTATTTAATGGGAATACAATGCGCAATTCTGTATTTCTTATTAATACTCTAAGGAACAATAATAGTCAAAGCTTGGAAAGCTTATTAAGACTAATACCCAGTTGTGGTTAAATGCATTAAAAAGCCTTAGTAAAGAATCTGCACTATTGATCCCATTCACAGTCTCAGCTTTTGCAGAGGGTCCATTAAGGCACAGCATGTTATCAATGCAAATTAGTCCCCAGTGTGCAGCTCTTCTCCACTTTAAAAGGAGGAGGCCTGAAACTGAGGCTGAAATATTTTGGAAATTGCTAAATAATTATAGCTTTTTTCTTTCTCTTCTTTCCATATTTTATATAATTCACTTTTATAGAGTTTTCAATGTTCAGTGTCTCATGTGCAAACAACAATTATCCAAATTGATTAATAGGAATATAATGAAATGTACTTTTTCATATATCTTAAAAAATTGTTTTATCTTCCTCCCTATGGGCCTAATGTGAATGAATAACAGACACTAGACGAAGTTATATACTAAGAAAATTTGTATTACTGGATCTTCATGGCCCAACATTCTATTTATCAAGAAAACAAAATGTGCAGTAGACTGTTCATCTGTACAAGAACCAGCCTATCTAATTAATTATTCGTTTCATTCCCCAATGAGTAGCCTATCAGAAATATATATGCATATATGTATATTATATATTTTTACTAGATATATATTTATATAAATATATATTTATATATACTAGATATATAGAATATATATATTCTATATATATATTCTATATATAGATATATATATTCTATATATATATCTATATATAGATATATATATTCTATATATATATTCTATATATAGATATATATAGACTAGACATATCTATATATATCTATTCTATATATATAGGTATATATAGAATATATATATACCTATATATATTCTCTCTATATATATACTCTCTATATATATACAGAGAGAGAAAGAGATAGAGTTTATATATATACATAGAGAGTATATATATATATATATATATATATATATATATATATACACACATACAGAGAGAGAGAGAGTTTTCAATGTTCAGTGCCTCATGTGCAAACAACAATTTTCCAAATCATATATATATATATGAGACATGGGACAGGGTCTTGCTCTGTCACCCAGGCTGAAATGCAGTGGCACCATCATAGCTGACTGCAGCCTAGAACCTCTGGGCTCAAGGGATCCTCCCTCAGCCTCCCAAGTAGCTAGGACTACGGGAACATGCCACCAGGTCTGGCTTATTTTTTGTTAATTGTAGAGCTTTTTTTTTTTTTTTTTTTGCTTGAGAGCATTAGATAAGCTTTTTTCCTTAATAGCTTTTTTATTGAGATAAAATTCACATAATATAAAATTAATTATTGTAAAGTATAAAATTCAGTGGCATTCACTATATCCACAGTGTTAGGCAATCAACCCTTCTAACTGGTTTCAAAATATTTTCATCACCCCAAAGAAAACCCTCTTACACATTAAGCAGTCACCCCTTATTCCCTGCACCCTCATCTTCAGTCCCTGGTAATCACCAAAGTTTGATTGTTTTAGAGCTATTTACAACAAACTAGAGGAAGAATTTCCAGTCGGGCATGGTGGCTCACACCTGTAATCTCAGCAGTTTGGGGGGCCGAGGCAGGTGGATCACCTGAGGCCAGGAGTTCGAAACCACCCTGGCCAACATGGTGAAACCCCATCTCTACTAAAAATATAAAATTAGCTGGGCGTGGTGGCATGCGCCTGTGTTCGAAACCACCCTGGCCAACATGGTGAAACCCCATCTCTACTAAAAATATAAAATTAGCTGGGCGTGGTGGCATGCGCCTGTAATCCCAGCTACTTAGGGGGCTGAGACAGGAGAATCCCTTGAACCTGGAAGGCAGACTTTGCAGTGAGCCAAGATCACGCTATTGCACTCCAGCCTGGGCAACAAGAGCGAAACTCCACCTCAAAAACAAAGCAAAACAAACAATACAACAAACTAGAGGAAGAATCTCCTATGTCTTTTCCCTAGGAACAGTAGTAATGAACTGACACAACTGATAAACATGGAGATTTTTAGGCATCTGCTCAAGGATTCCAGTACGGTCAGTCCTAAAGGCCATTTCTCCAGACCTCTCAACACACTGAGAAGTTTTGTCTACTCCTAGTAGGGTGACTGAGGTGTGGAAAACAGAAGGCCCCTTTGAAATGCTTCCTCTGATGGAAATGGGAAGACAGGGTGCACAGGAGTCAGGCTGGGTCAAAAGAGGGTTTGGAGGGTGATACGATATGTCTATTTGCTGGAGCAAAGGTGCGTGCAGAGAGGAAGCAACCCCTGGAGTATTGTCCTGGGAAAGAAGGGAGGAAGGAAGGAAGGAGGGAGGGAGGGAGGGAGGGAAGGAAGGAAGAAAGGAAGGAAGGAGGGAAGGAAGGAGGAAAGGAGGGAGGGAGGGAGGGAGGGAAGGAAGGAAGGAAGGAAGGAAGGAAGGAAGAAAGGAAGGAAGGAAGGAAGGGATGGTAGGCATTCAGTGTCCCTGAGATCAACTTTGACAAAAGAAGGAACAGCTGGTTCCTCATTTTTATCAGGGGAAGAAGGAGAAGATAGGTACAAATGCAGGCAATTGGTGGATTTGGAGGTAAAGTGTTTCTTGATTGATGGTTGAAACACCTTTCAGACTGCTTTCTCTCTGGAGTATAAGACATGATTCATTGCTGAGAGTGGGTGGTGGGTATGTGGGAGTGTGTGTGGTTCCTTAGAAGAAAGAGAAAAAGACAGGTAGCTGCAGAGAATGAGAACAAGTTTTCTAGAGAAGCTGAGCGAGTTTGCAGGGCAGTGCTGAGGGCATGATTGGGAGTGATCACCATGAATGTGTGGTGATTCCAATTCAGCTCATTGTGGAATTTGCTCAGTAGGTTCCTGCCCTCAGTGAGGTCGTGGCAAAGCAGGAGTGAGACTCACTCATGGGTCAGATTTTGCCAGGAAGAGAGAGAGCAAGGGCTTGAAGGTTTTTACAAGAGAAATAAATTCAGTTCTCTCAAGTATACGAGAACTTACAGAGAAAAGATTATCATCATGGCTAAGAATGATAGGAAGTGTTCTTTCCCATTCTCACTTCTTTCACTACTCCATTCCCTGCCCAGACCCATCACAAATATTCCTTCATTTCAGGTAAATTTTAATGACTTTTTTTTATTTTCTATTTTTTGTGATGGAGTTTCACTCTTATTGTGCAGGCTGGAGTGCAATGGCGCAATCTCAGCTCACTGCAACCTCCGCCTCCAGGGTTCAAGTGATTCTCCTGCCTCAGCCTCCTGAGTAGCTGAGATTACAGATGCCCACCACCATGCCTGGCTAATTTTTGTACTTTAGTAGGGATGGGGGTTTTCACCATGTTGGCCAAGCTGGTCTTGAACTCCTGACCCCAGGTGATCCACCCACCTAGGCCTCCCAAAGAGTTGGGATTACAGGCGTGAGCCCCCGTGCCCAGCCTAACCTTTAAAAAATGTACTTATCGGCTGGACATGGTGGCTCACGCCTGTAATCCCAACACTTGGGGAGGCCGAGGTGGGCAGATCACCTGAGGTCATGAGTTCGAGACCAGCCTCGCCAACACAGTGAAACACTGTCTCTACTAAAAATACAAAAAATTAGCCGGATGTGCTGGTGCATGCCTGTAATCCCAGCTACATCGGAGGCTGAGGCAGGAGAAGTGAGCCGAGGTTGTGCCACTGCACTCAAGCCTGGGTGACAGAGTGAGACTCCATCTCAAAAAAAGAAAAAAAAAGAAAAAAGAAAAGAAAAGAAGAAAAAGTACTTATCGTGAAAAGACAATGTATATAAAAGCTAATATAATTTGACAACAAAAACATGAAGCATGCTCAGCCTCGTTAGCAAAGAAATCAAAATGTATTTTCTAAAATACAACTAGTTTGCTTGTTTCTTATAAAGGAGATGTGTTGTTTTTACCTGCCCAGGCTTCCTTTTACTCTTTTTGTAACTGAATGATATAGGACAGAAACAAAAGAAAGTCAAACTGAGTAAGGGTTATTCATCCCTCCACTCCCTGATTGTGGGTCATCTCCAATTCCTTAAAGAGAAACTGTCACTAGAACACTGTGTCACTTTGAATATCTGTGTACCCTCTTCTGATTTGCCACAGCAAGACAAGCAAGTAGAATAAAAGAACACGGATGTTAGGGACAAACAGATCAGGTTTCAAAACCAGTTCTCCCATTTACAAGTTTGTGATCTTGGGCAAGATGTTTAACCTTTCTTAACCAGTTGCTGCATTTGGTGAGACAGCTATATGACCACCTGCCTCCTTGACAGCAGAGTGCGGATTAAACACAGTAATATGTAAAATCTGTTTTATCCAATAAGCCCTTGTTACATGGTGAATATTCTGATATTACTGTTATTTTTTTCTAAATTAAGCATCAAAATATTCTTTTAAAACTAAGTTGGGTATTAAAAGGACAGGAAAAGCACAATCACTCGTTTTCATGAGAATTGTTAGGCTAATTTCCTAGTTAGTCATGATAGAGTAAAAAGCAATAATTGGGGTCAGATCAGAATTGGATAACTGCCCCCAAGTGGACCAGTGGCATTTAGGCTTAGTGACCCCATCCTCTAAAAGTAAAGAAAACACAGCTTCCTCCTCTAAAGCAGGTGCTTAAATGCCTTATGGGCTTATGAAGCCCTGGGATAGAAAAAAAGAGTTTGAAAGAGAGAGATTAATCTTCCTAGCCCATCACTTTCATCGGTCTCTTCCAAGACTTTGGGAGAAACCCTGGCAATGTGTTCACATGGTTATATGCTTTATAAAAGTTGCAGTAATAATATACTTTTGCTATAGTTTGTTAAAACTCTTACATCTAATCCAGGTAGAAATTTCCTATATCAGAGTTCCGTAGTTCAGTGAAGCTGGAGCAGCTACATATGTTTTTGAGATGCGGCTGAAGGGAAGTTTAGTTGAGGACACATTTATTTGGTTTTACTGGTATATGTTTCTATAGTTCATGATCACTTCCACGTGGTTAATGCCAGTTGTCCTAGTGTAGGAGTGGCTCCTAGGCAGGCTCTGACTATCCACTGGGCCCACCCAGCCAGCACTGAGACATGAAAGTGCTGGGCCAGAGGCTGCCTCACTGCGAATGTTCCTAGTAGTGCTTGGCACCACAAGGTTACCAACCACGGAGGACACACAAGGTTTGAGACATATGGAGCCAGGGCTAGTCCATGGAAAATTTCTCCCGATTATCAGATGTTTAAAATTTTAGGCGGGGCACAGTGGCTCACAGTGTCCTGCATGAGCTGACTGTAGGGACTACTGACTATCACGCTCGTAATCCCAACACTTTGGGAGACCGAGCCAGGCAGATCATTTGAGCCCAGGAGTTTGAGACCAGGTGGTGCAACAAGGTGAGGCCCTGTCTCTACAGAAAAATACAAAAATTAGCCAGGTCTAGTGGTGCCTGCCTTATAGGCCCTGCTACTCAGGAGGTTGAGGTGAGAAGATTGCTTGAGCCTGGGAAGTTGAGGCTGCAGTGAGCTATTATCACACCACTGCACTCCAGCCTGGACAACAGAGAGAAACCCTAGCTCAAAGAAAAAAAAAAAAAAAAAGATTAAGCGGAAGATCCCGTTCTCATGATGTCTAGTCTAATTGGAAATTCTCTCTTCTTAGGAACATACTTGATAATGACATATATTTAATAACTGAAACATATTTCTTTGCTTTTCTTATTTATTTATTTCTGAGATGGGGTTTCACTCTGTTACCTAGGCTGGAGTGCAGTGGCATGATCTCAGCTCACTGCTCCCTCAACTTCCTGGGCCCAGGCAATTCTCCCACCTCAGCCTCCTGAGTAGCTGGGACCATAGGCACATACCACCAAACCCATCTAAGTTTTGTATTTTTTTAATAGAGATGAGGTTTCACTATGTTGCCCAGATTGATCTCGAACTCCTGGGCTCAAGCTATACTCCTAGGCTCAAGCTATCCTCCTGCCTTCGCCTCCTAAAGTACTGGGATTACAGGTATGAGCCACTGTACCTGGCCATTTGCTTTTCTTTGCTTAATGGTTATCACGTAAAATAGAAGTTATCAGAATTTCTTCTTTTGTGGAGCACAAACCTTTAGCAATACTACAAACAAAATATATATCTCTGTGAGTTGAATATTTTATTCTTTCCAATTATCAACAATAAATAATAAATATAAGTCAAGCGTACTATAAGATTGAATTACATTTCTATTTTCTTCATGGAAAATGATTTTTTAAAGCCAACACGTTAACAGAAAAATCAAAGTATGCTGCCAAAATATGTAAGTAAGAAAGTATTGTAGAGGTGAATCAAGCCGTTAGTTAATAATAAATATTACGGTTTTTCTGGATTTTGTGATGTTTGTAGTATTTGTCATATTTTTAAATTGTAATATGTTGAGATTTCTTTTCTAACTCTAAATAAATGTTTACTTTTATAACGACTTTTATATACTTATCTTAGTCCATTTTCACACTGCAATAAAAAACTGCCTGAGGCTGGGTCATTTATAAAGGAAAGTGGTTTAATTGACTCACAGTTCCACGTGGCTGGGGAGGCATCAGGAAATTTACAGTCATGGTGAAAGGCAAAGGGGAAGTGAGGCCGTCTTACATGGTGGCAGGAGAGAAAAAGAGCAAAGCGACAACTGCCAAACATTTTTAAACCACCAGATCTCATGAGAACTCACTCACTATCATGAGACCAGCGTGTGGGAAACCGCCCCCATGATCCAGTCACCTCCCAGGAAGTCCCTACCCTGACACAAGGGGACTACAGTTCAAGATGAAATTTAGATGGGGACACAGAATCAAACCGTATCAATACTTTTTCTTTTTTCTTTTATTTCTTAATTGATGTATAATGATTGTACACATTTATGGGGTACATAGTGCTGTACATGTAATGTTTAGTGATCAGATCTCAAACGTTTATTATTTTTTGTGTTGAGAACATTTGATATCCTCCTAGCCATTTGACACTACATATTATTACTAATTATAGTCATCCTACAGTGAAATAAAACACTGGAACTTGTTTCTCCTATCTAGCTGTAACTTTGTATCCTTTCAAAAATCTCTCATCATCCTCCTTCCTCTTACCCTTCCCAGCCTCAGGTATCTTCTATACTACTTTTTACTTCTATGAAATCAACTTTTTATATACTTTTTATTAAAGAAGTTCTACAAAATTGCATAAACATAGGCCCTACAAAACCTGGATCCATCTGTAATATCAGGCATCCCTTTGGAAGAATATTTTTGCCGCAATGTCCTCTAGAAGGGTAAGTAAGATTACATTTAATACTTTAATCTCTGGCAACGTTTACTTCCAAAACAATGTGCAAACAGGTTATGAGATCACTTTCTGAAGAAGTCACCACCCATGGGTACAACCAGTGAAGCAGACGCAGGCAAAATCGGCCATGAAACTAGGAGCAGGTGCTATCTCCGGTATCCAGATGGGTGGGCATCTGCCCTGAGGGCCCAGTGATCCACAGTTAACATCATTTTCTTTACTTCCCCTAAACTAAGTCTCCTAGAAGCTACATTTAGGACCTAAAAAAAAAAAAAAAAAAAAAAAAAAAAAGTGAAACAAGTCCACTTCTCTGAAATATGCTCTTTACATGAAAACAAAGAGCCACAGTTACCCACCAGCAGCTATTATTCATTTATAGGTAAGTAGATAAGTAGGTAGGTAGGTAGGTAGGTAGATAAGTAAGTAGGTAGATAGATGATAGATAGATAGATAGATAGATAGATAGATAGATAGATAGACAGATAGACAGATAGTACTAGAGAAAACATGCGCAGATGTTAAATCTCCTCCTCTTATATGCAATTCAACATTTTCCCAAACTGATTCCACAGCTCTTCCGATTCGTGCTGTGTGTCCAGAATACTCTGTCCTGCATGAGCTGACTTTAGGGACTACAGATATGCACTTCTATGCTCTGCTCTGGAAACACAAACAAGTGCTATTAGCCTTTAATTGCTTCAGTAAGTGACAAAAAGCCTGCAGGACTGAGTTGTGGTGGTAGAAGTTATTTTCACTCACATCACACAACAAGCAATAGCTTTTGAAGGAAGAATGTGAAAAGCTTCATGAGAGAGGATGGGTGTGGAAAAATGAGGGGCAAGGGGGATGACAGTGGCAGAGTGGAGAGGGATCGTGAGACAGCGGCATGGCCAAGTTGGGGCAAGCTCAGTGAGAAGCGGCTAAAGTGCCTGGGGAGGGTGGCCACCATTTGCCTCTCTCACAAGTTTGGGCCTGAATGCACCTGCATCTGGATTTTCTGTGATCCCCCAGAAGGAGCAGCTCAATCCTATATAATCATCCAGAGAATTTCCCAAGGCTGAGGCGGGGCAGTGCAGCTGGAATCTGTGTCTCTGTGTCAACACTCTTCAATCCAGGAGTTTTAATTGTCTAAAGCGTCTCTATGTGGCCCTAGAATCGGTTGTCTTTTCTGCTCTTGAGTCCATTTGGGGCCTTCTCCTTAGAGAGCCACCAAGGAAAAATCAGAAAAGGTGACAAGAGGCCAGGCACAGCAGCTCATGCCTGTAATCCCAGCACTTTGGGAGTCTGAGGCGGGCGGGTCACTTGAGGCCAGAAAGTCAAGACCAGTCTGGCCAACATGTTGAAACCCCATCTCTACTAAAAATACAAAAACGAGCCAGAAGTGGTGGTGCATGCCTGTAATCCCAGCTACTCAGGAGACTGAGGCACGAGAATCACTTGAACCTGTGAGGCGAAGCTTGCAATGAACTGAGATTGCGCCACTGCACTGCGGCCTGTGCAACACAGAGAGACCCTGGAAAGAAGGAAAGAAAGAAAGAAAGAAAGAAAGAAAGAAAGAAAGAAAGAAAGAAAGAAAGAAAGAAAGAAAGAAAGAAAGAAAGAAAGAAAGAAAGAAAGAAAGAAAGAAAGAAAGAAAGGAAAGAAAGGAAAGAAAGAAAGAAAGAAAAAAAGAAAGAAAGAAAGAAGGAAAGAAAGAAAGAAAGAAAGAAAGAAAGAAAGAAAGGAAAGAAAGGAAAGAAAGAAAGAAAGAAAAAAAGAAAGAAAGAAAGAAGGAAAGAAAGAAAGAAAGAAAGAAGAAAGAAAGAAAATAAAAGAAAGAAAGGAAGGAGGGAAGGAAGGAAGGAAAGAAAGCGGGGGAGAGGGAGGGAGGAAGGAAGAAAGGAAAGAAAAAGAAAGAAAAGAAAAGGTGACAAGGTCTGCTTCTGCTTATAAATCTGACCCTACCAAGTGCAGAGGAGAGGTGGGAAGTGGGAAGGAGGTGCTGTTTGTCTGAGCAGGGCACAGAGGAGGTTGGAGAAGGTGAGAAAAAGAAAGAAATGGAAGGCATTCAATGCATCAGCCTTCTCATAGCCCCCACTGAAGCCAGCCTTAGGATTAAGCTGATGTTGTAACCTTCCATGTGTTCTCTTTATTAGTACTAGAGAGAAAAATTCTGACTTCATTTTAATTTTTTATAAATCCATTCAGTGTTAGTGCAATTATTCTATGTTAACATCTTATGTCTGGTCTCCTAGAGTTGAGAAGCAGGAGAAGAAAAGACATGAGGCCCTAGCCTTCCCCAGGTTGGTCCTGGTCCTGCCTTGATCCCTGGAACACTCCTGGAGTAACCTACAGAGAAAGAGAGGAAACTGTCACTAAACCAATCCTCTCCCAATTTCGGATCAACTTCTGGAACCAATAGTTTGTTGCATGATCGTAGGAAATTTGACTTACGGATAAAATAAATGAGTATAGGAAGTAGCTTTTAAACTGTTGTTGTTTTTTTTGTTTTGTTTTGTTTTGTTTTTTTTAATATGGTACACATAAAGTCTTCTATGACCTTGGAAATTTTAGCCTGACTCCATTCTGGCAAAAGAAAACTTACTGTGTGAGAAAGGTTTTTTCAAGGCAAAAACATCATTCTGATGTTTGGGTTAGTCATCCAATTGCTAATATTTGTATAATTAACTCATTTAATTTGCCACTGAAAAGCTACCTTTGTTTACCTGCTGCCATGATGCTGGGCTAAGTCTCATGTTGTAATATCATAATCTTCTAGGTGCAACACAGAGAGTGGCTTCTCTACTGGGTGGTCATTGTAGAGGATTAGCATCTATCCCTCCTCAGGTACATAGTGTAAGATGATCATGGCATTTCCTTTTCCCCTCCACTGACTCATTCAAAAATGGGCAAGTCTCGACTGTTTGAGCTGGTGGAAATGTGGAGTCTTACCCAGGGCTTCTGGTAAAGAACCAATCTCTCCCTCCCCTGGTGATAGTGAACACAACTACTTTTGGCAGCTGGTATTAAGTCAGAGCCCCATCAAAATTTAGTTGCCATACTCAAATTAGAATAATTCAAGAATGATTTAATAATAAAAGGCATTCAAGGGCATGAGCAGGGTACAGTGAAAGCACATAGGACAAAGCAGCACACTAGGACACGGAGCAGGAGAACCATCATCACATCTGTGTCCAAAACCACAATGAGCAGGGTTACCAGAACCCCAGAGAAAGTCGCATAGAGAGGGCCACTGGAGGGGAGCTGTGAACTTGGGTTATGAAAAGTGGTCAATCCAGCCTGACTGCGCAGGGAAGAAGCCAGATGAATAAGTGCCCCAAATTTATTCTCTTATTTCTGTTCAAGTTCCGCAAGCAATCCCCATTAGCTGAATCCAAACAGAAGCCAGGGTGTAAGGGATCTTATTCATGTAAGCCATACAAGTCACAGAGCAGAGAAAGAAGTCCAGAGAGGAGCCTGAAGGAATAACTGAGTGTTCAAGACACCAGCCTCTTATGACTTCAGGAGGAGTCACCTGAGTGTGAAACTGACACTGTAGAAGTCAGAGCAGAGTACCTGGGTACATGAAGACAAGGAACACTAAAGTCTGCCCTATCTTGGACTTCCTGCTACGTAAGTAACACAAGTCTTTCAAGTCTATTATTCAAGTCAGTTTAACTCAGAAAATCTTTAACCTACATTGGCAATTATCTTAATGCTTTTCAAACAGCAAGTGGTAACTCATTAGTGGGTTGTGAAATTATTCCAGTAAGTTAAAACCAGCACTTTTTTTAAATTGAAAGAAAAAAAAGAGTAGAATAGAACATATAAGAGTACATCACACAATAAAAGAATAAGTATCTCTTCCTGAAAATTTTGGTTATGTGTACATGGATATACAAGAAGCTACAGTTCTCTTTATAGTAATAAAATATTTTTCTTTTATTTTTATTTTTTAATGTTTCATGTATATTCAAAGTTGTGCCACTTCCTATGCAAACAAATGCCCCACTCCTAATTTCTGAAGATACTGTAAGAATGACTTGAGAGATTTTTGCACATCCAGACGCCAAGCTGCAGTGCACCTAGGATGCCATGTGGAAGCCAGAGCCGCACCTCCCGCGTGGCCATTCAGGCCAGCCGGGTATCTCACATGAGAACCGCACTCATGGCTGGGCGTGGTTGCTCACGCCTGTAATCCCAGCACTTTGGGAGGCCAAGATGGGTGGATCACCTGAGGTCAGGAGTTTGAGACCAGCCTGGCCAACATGGGGAAATCCTGTCTCTACTAAAAATACAAAAATTAGCCTGACATGATGGCACGCGCCTGTAATCCCAGCTACTCAGGAGGCTGAGGCAGGAGAATCACTTGAATTCAGGAGGCAGAGGTTGCAGTGAGCCGAGATCTCACCACTCCACTGCACTTCAGCCTGGGTGACTGAGTGAGACTTGATCTCAAAAAAAAAAAAAAAAAGAACTAAAGAACTACAGCCAGGCCAGCACCAGCAGCTCAGCTGCCAGCAGCGGCATCCCCCTTTGCAGCTGGCCCTCCTGCTGCTGGGCCCAGGCAGCCAGGTCTGATGGCCCGGATAGCAACCACTGGAGCTGGCGTGGGGTACACGGTGGGTCATACCATCACTGGGGGCTTCAATGAAGGAAGTAATGCTGAGCCTGCAAGTCCTGACATCACCTACCAGGAGCCCCAGGGAACCCAGATGTCACAGCGGCAGCAGCCTTGCTTCTATGAGATAAAACCGTTTTTGGAGTGTGCCCGGAACCGGGTGACATAAAGCTCCGTGAGGGTTTCAGTGAGGTGCTGAAACAGTGCAGACCTGCAAATGGATTGGCCCAATCGAGAAGTTCAAATTGGAGAAATGGAAAATCAGCTCTCATAACCAAGTTAATTTAGTATAAAAATATAATTAATAATGAAGAGATAAAGAGTAACCATCAGTTAAACCTCTCAGGTGTCATTCATAGCTTTCTTCCTTCAGAATTAAAATGGAAGACGCTGTTCTTACTATGTAGAATTTCATTAAGATGGTGAGGAATTTAGGGCTGGGCCAATGTTTGTGTGGCCTCCTTAAACTAGCTGTTATGATTTTATTCTGTTAAACTAGCTGTTATTATTTTATTTGTGTGTTACTTAGAATAAAGTGATCGTCTTCCAAAAATAAGAATGACTTGAGTTCCAAGCCTTATGCTAATAGTAACTGATTTCTTTTATCCTGATTCTAAAGTTTTCTCTAATGAGACTCTTGAGTGTTTTCATTACAGGTCTCATTCACTGGCCCTTATTGTAAAACTCTTCCTGGCTGAGCGTGGTGGCTCTTGTCTGTATTCCTAACACTTTCGGAGGCCACGGTGGGAGAATTGCTTGAGGCCGGGGGTTTGAGACTAGCCTGAGCAACATAGGGAAATCCCATCTCTACAAAAATGAAAAGAATTAGCCATGTGTAGTGGCATGCACCTGTGGTCCCAGCTACTTGGGAGGCTGAGGTGGGAGGGTCACTTGGGCCTGGAGGTGGAGGCTGCAATGAGCTATGATTGTGCTACTGCACTCCAGCCTGGGCGACAGAGTGAGACCTTCCTTCTCAAACAAAACAAAACAAAAACAAAACCTCCTGTCAACCAAGCTTGCTATCTTAGGGACCAGGAGTTAATTAATCTGACAGTTCTAAAAAATACAAACTACCCCCAATAGCGACTAGTAAACACTGAACAGAATTTTGCACTCACCTTTGAAAGATTATATTGCAGGAACTTACCAGTTCCTCTTCATCTTATTGTCAGATCATGATCCTACTGCCTGGTGACATAAAACCTTTCAAATTGAAGGGGGTATGGATGGTATATAAATGCTAATGCCCTTAGGAATGCTTTCAGATGCAAGTAACAGAAAGGTAACAAATACATTTAAATAGCTAACAAGCTGTCCAGAGGTGGGCTGTTCCAGTTCCATTTAGGGAACAGGAGCTCAAAATGACATCAAGGATTCAGGCTCTTTTTATATTTTTACTCTGCCATCTTTAGTACATTGGCTTATTATCCAGTCATCTTGTCACTTCTTGGTTACAGAAAGATCAATGCAGCTCCAAGCAAGTTATCCTTACTTAGTTACTTCTAAGACAAGAAGAAAGCTTTGGGGTGCAAAGGACTTTTCATAAATCTCTATATTTCTAACCAGGAAGAAAATCTGTCAATGCTGCTTCTTGGTTAGCGGAGGGAAAAAAAAAATATTTCCGAGATACCTCCCACCCCCTGCCAACACATTTTACGTTACATCTTTTCAGCCAGAAATTGGCCCCCCTGCCAAATGTTAGAACAAACAATAGCAAGGGGGAACTGAATGACCGTGACTGGCTAAGATCTATGAGATTCATTCCCTGGAGTTCACCACCTGCCTTGAGTTTTAGAGATCCTAACAAAATCAGGATTCTGTGGTTTGCAAGGAGAAAGTGGTTATTGGATGAGCAAGCAACAGTGCCTTTCATAATACCTTTCCCCTCTCATTCTGCTAGCAAAATTGGACTGCCTCATCAGAGGAGGCAGAATGATTTTTGTCGTGTTGTAATGTCAGCTCATTGGAAAGGCTCTCAGGAAAATAGGTCACCAGTGCACTTTCTCTGCACTAGGTAATAGGAAAAAATAAAGAGAAAAAACTGAGGTGGCAGGGACAAGTGACTTGATAGTTTTAAACCTTTGCTTCAGCAGGAGAGGCTTTAACTAAAGACTTTTTATGCCAAATGCCTACTAGAGTGAGACTAATGATGTACCAACCTCTAAACATTCAGGTTTATGAGTCAATTAGAACAAATGGCTAAGGACATTTCGGATTTTGCTTGAATTTCCTGCACATGCATGTGCCACAAAATCTTAACAATTCCAAATGGCCCTATTATGTGACCATGTATGCATCTCTGTTTAAACAGATATGAAGTAATGACTAAATTAGTTACTTACTTGGTTGGCATTCATCTGAATGTGTCTTTCCAATAGATCACTACTTTATTCAGAATTAAATACCATAAATTCAAAACTGCTCACTTGCATAGTGTAAAGTTTGCTTAGATGCTTTTATCGAGACTAGCTCTTTGTCTTTTGATGGATCAAAGCTATTTTATTCAAACTGAATACCAGCTGCAAACAGTGGCTCATGCCTGTAATCCCAACACTTTTGGAGGCCAAGGCAGGAGGATTGCTTGAGGTAGGAGAACCTGAGCCACATAGTAAGTCCCTGACTCTACAGAATAAAAATAAATAAATAAATATCTGAATACCAGTTTGATCAGTGTTTTGCTAAAATGTTTTAATTATTAGATACATGTTCTAACCTAAATATAACTTTCTAACAGGTATTGCTGCATTGCCAAGAACTCAGAGAAGTTACTCTATGGAGTACTATTAGCATAACTCATGTAATGTTTAAACTTGCCTTGGACTGAGATGTTCATGCTGGCAGATATTGTGTAGTGATAACAGCCAATAGATACAGATCACTTACTTGAGGAGGCATTGTACCAGGCATTTTCCAGACATGTGCTCATTTAATTCTTACAAGTCTGGGAAATAGGCATTACTTTCAGCATTGTTATGTATGAGGTTAACTTTTTAGAAAGATTATTTAAATATTCTGTGGTCATTTTTATCATAAATTTAAAAATACTGTATTGTTAATTGTCAAATATTTTGAAGCCATCATTATAAAGCTGTTAGACTGAATCAGGTATTTTAAATTTGTTGTAGTCCATGGAGATTACAGTTATAATTTATTTAGTTTGTTTAGACTATTAAAGTTCTTTGATTACAAACAAGAGAAACAGATTCGAGATAACATAAGTAAACTGAAACATATTGGAAGGGAGTAGCTTACAGAATCAAAGGTGAACAACTGGATCATGGGAAGAATAAGAAATAGAGTAATTTCCAGCATCCAGATGGCAGGCATGAGTGGGCCCATTTCTTCAGGAACATGCCAGAGGGATGATCAGCTCCAATCTCTTCCTGATCGCCTGGCTCGCAACTGGAATTTGTGAGGTTGAATCTGATTGGCCTCACTTGGGCCACATGACACTGTTTTTCAGGGGAGGACACGAATCTTGATTATTGGCACAAACTAGGAAAGGGGTAATTCCCCAAGGAAAAAGAAAGGTGCTGCTTCCAGAAAAGAGTGGGTGCTGGGACTGGGAAAAACACCAGATGTCCATTACAATATGTGACAGAGTTGTGATTCAAACCTCAAACCACTGGCTGGGTGTGGTGGCTTATGTCTGTAATCCCAGCACTTTGGGAGGCCAAGGTAGGTAGATCACTTGAATCCAGGAGTTCAAGACCAGCTTGGGCAACATGGTGAAACCCTGTCTCTATTAAAAAAATAAAATAAAATAAAACTTCAAATCACTCCAAAATTCTTTTCTCTTAATAATTTTCTTATTTTTAAAATCATTCATAGGCAAAATAATCCTAATGGAGCAAAATGAGATAAATATACAATAATTATTATATATAGCTTGGCAGTGCTATATGCAAATTCAGTGATAGCAGTGCTCACAGCAAGGTCTTGGGGGAATTCAATGGCAGGTCCTGCTGATGGTTTTGTCATCTTCTCTGCTGGTCTCCATTATGCCACAACCCATTTGGGAAACCGTTTAGCAGCCAGACTGGCGCAATCAACCAAATCTGGGATCAATGAGCTGTCTCATTTCTTAGCCCAATTGCGGAAGTGTGTACTTCCTATTTTTAGTGGGCTGACTCCAGAAAATTAACATTATTGCTACTATTAATATCATCCAGAAGTTTCCTTAGTGGTTCACTGTTTCAATATTAGCCCTTGGAAACAAAATACCACCTTATATTTTAAAATTTCCAAGTTCCTTTTTGAAGACAAGACTTATTTTTGCACGGAATTCCCATAGTTTCTATGAATGTCTGAAGAGACAACTTAGGTTATAAAATTTTGCTTTCGGCCAGGCACGGTGGCTCACACCTGTAATCCCAGCACTTTGGGAGGACGAAGTGGGTGGATCACAAGGTCAAGAGATCGAGACCATCCTGGCCAATACAGTGAAATCCCGTCTCTACCAAAAATACAAAAATTAGCTGGGTGTGGTGATGCATGCCTGTAGTTCCAGCTACTCGGGAGGCTGAGGCAGGAGAATCGCTTGAACTCAGGAGACGGAGGTTACAGTGAGCTGAGATCGCGCCACTGCACTACTCCAGCCTGGCAACAGAGTGAGGCTCCGTCTCAAAAAAAAATTTTTGCTTTTTAAGCTACAGACATGTTTCAATTTGTAAAGTAGCCACCTGAAAAGCCCTATAATATTTGAAAATTCTCTCCATTCAATATCTTTGTTCTTTGGAGCTGTAAGGTGTATTATTTTGAAATGCCTGAAGACTTCATTTAGAACCATGAAATCAGGCTTCCTATTTTCTCAGAATATTGTCTGTGCTTTGGTCCAACTTGGTCCTGGTGAATAAAATCAAACAACTAAGTTCTAGCAAAAAAGAAAGAAAAGAAGGAAGGGGAAAAATAATCTGAAAATTATTCTTCTCTACCATCCATTGAACCTGTTAAGACACAGGGTGGGGTATATGTCTACACACACAGTCTTAATTGATGGACAAGATAATTACTGCTAGAAATAAATGAAGAAAATGAAGAGACAAAGGGGTAAAAAGAGCCATGGCATTGCTCCAATGAAGCAGACTCAAGTAGTGCTGTATTGAAGCATTTAATTATCCAGTTGCTAGTTTTACAGGGGCCTCTGAAGGCTCAGTTAGACTTAACAAACTGAAGGGCTAAGAATATTGCTGTAGATCTAGGTTACAGGGGTTTGAATCTGAGTTCTATTGTTTAATAGCTATTGAACAAAATCAAATTATACCATGTTACCTCTGTGGGCCTTAGTTTTCTCATATGTAAAATGGGGATAATAAAGCCACCTACTACATAGGAGTGTGTGTGTGTGTGTGTGTGTGTGGGTGTGTGTGTGTGAGAGAGAGAGAGAGAGAGAGAGACAGTGAGAGAGAGAGAGAAAAAAAATACTTCTAGGGTACTTGGAATGGTACCTGGATGTTATATTATTGTATCTGTAGGTAGGATATTGTGGAACCATGAAAACTGTGTCATAGAAACAGTTATCTACTGGCATGTAGAAAGATTTATTATAAAATCGCATATAGAGCATGAATCTAATTTTATTTGTTATATATATTCATTAAAAAAAGTTTAAACCATGTAGTATTAACAGTGGTTATCTCTGAGTGGTAGGGTTATCTTGAGTGATAGTATTATGAGTGATATTTATTTTATTCATTGTGCTCCTTCATAGTTTCCAAATTTGAACAAATGAACCTAATTGACTTTATAACCAGGAAAAAAACTATACATATAACAAGCATTTAAAAAATTGATTCTCTCTAAGTAAAAAAAATTGAAATCAAGTGGAAAAAGGCCGTCCCATTTTGATGGATCACGGTCAAAGATAAAACAGTCTCATTGCAGAGGAGCAAAAAAACTCTAAGGCTCAATCCAAGGTATCTGAAGAGAAAAGAGAACAATATGGGATTCAGATTAAAATGTGTATGATCTTAACCGCAAAACAAAAAATGTGTGACCTTACATAAGCAAATCAATATCCATGACCGTCAGCTCCTCATTTCTAAGTTCAGGCTAGTTGGTGGCTGAATTGAATGGGCAATGTATGAAGTATATAAAGAGTTAAGCACACAGAAAGCATTCAGTAATAATACCTCTATCTTATAACAGTCCATTTTGTATCTTCACTACTCACTAAATAAAAAATATAAGAAAATTATATATAGCTTCCTGCCATAAACTGGAAATTAAGTAAGGTCATAAATGTAATAAATAAATAAACAATCTTTATTACATTTATTAGTATTTGAGTCCAGAGTTCAAGAATGGGCTCCATTTTTTTAAAGAAACTATCTCTAGCTGGTCTCTATTTATTTATTTATTTTTATTTTTTGTTATACTTTAAGTTCTAGGGTACATGTGCACACCTTGCAGGTTTGTTACATACGTATACATGTGCCATGTTGGTGTGCTGCACCCATTAACTCGTCATTTACATTGGGTATTTCTCCTAATGCTCTCCCTCCCGCAGCCCTCCACCCCGTGACAGGCCCTGGGGTGTGATGTTCCCCTTCCTGTGTCCAAGTGTTCTCATTGTTCAATTCCCACCTATGAGTGAGAAAATGCGGTGTTTGGTTTTTTGTTCCTGTGTTAGTTTGCTCAGAATGATGGTTTCTACCTTCATCCATGTCCCTGCAAAGGACATGAACTCATCCTTTTTTATGGCTGCATAGTATTCCATGGTGTATATGTGCCACATTTTCTTAATCCAGTCTATCATTGATGGACATTTGAGTTCGTTCCAAGTGTTTGAGTTCATCTCAAAACGTATGTCCTCTGGGACAAGACCTACCAGGCGTATGTATGGCTGTAGCAAGCTCCCTAGCAAATCCCTGGAAGCTGAAGAGGTAGTTGTTGCTCCCACTGGCTTTCTTCCCATCTTCATTTGACTCACTTGCTCAGCTTCCATCAAAGGGTCACAAGGACCCCCTTAGGTTGGACAGGCTGCCCTTTGGGGCACTTTCCTCCAAATCAGGCATTTACCCAGACTCTGCAATTCTTTAGGATATTATAGTCTGCCCAGCCAAGAGGTATCGGTAGTTTTTTGTTTTGTTTTTCTTTATTAGACAGGGTCTTTGTTTGTTGCCCAGGCTGGAATGCAGTGGCACAATCCTAGCTCACTGCAGCCACAAACTCCTGAGCTCAAGGGATTCTCTTCACTCAGCCTTCCAATTAGCTAAGACTACAAGTGTATGCCACCATGCCTGGCTTTTTTCTTTGCTTTTTTTTTTTTTTTTTTTTTCCTTCCTTCCTTCCTTCCTTTCTTCCTTCCTTCCTTCCTTCCTTCCTTCCTTCCTTCCTTCCTTCCTTCCTTCCTTCCTTCTTTCTTTCTTTTTTCTTTCTTTCTTTCTTTCTTTCCTCTTTTTTTTTTTTTTTTTTGCCTAGGCCGGTCTTGAACTCCTGGCCTCAAGCAATCCTGGCACTTCAGCATCCCAAAGTGCTGGGATTACAGACCTGAGCCACCTTACTCAGCCTTTCTGTTGTTTTGTTGTTGTTGTTGTTATTAACCCTTTTGTGTTTGCATAGTTTTTTGAGTGCCTTGAGGGAAAGATACTTGATAAAATACAAGGTGTTACACAAACATCCACATAGCACAGTAACTTTATAAGAGCTGTTAAACAGAAAAAAAAAATCTGTGCCACTGAACCTCCTTTCTATCTGGCAAGGGCAAACTCAAAAGCACAGATGGGTCAGGAAAGTAACATGAGGGAAGGTGGTCAGTTGAATAGTGTTCGGGTGAGTCTGAGTCCATGACCCATCTAAAACGGGTGGCATCCAGCCACCCTCCCACGGGGCAATGCTGCCCAGGGCTGCCAAATCTCCCAGGTGCCAAAAATCAGATTTTTATATGCAAATTTTCACTTCAACAAATCCAATTTTTGGTTGCTGTTTAAACCCTGTGAGAGCCAAACCCAAACAAATCTATGGGCCAGAGGTAGGTGGTTGGAGGAAGACAGAGACAGGCACATGATATTTTGCATTTGGTTAAAGTGACTCTACTTTTGAATTAATTTTTACTTCTAGCCTATTGAAATCAATCAGAACTGACTGAGTATAATGTTTACCAGTGCCTCACCTAGTCTGTGCTTGGCAACAGCTTCATCCTTAAGATGAAGATGAGATGTGGGCAATAACAGCCTAGTCTTATTCTAGATACTCTTAGTCCTCATACACATAAACTTACAAGCATAGCCCAAAACACTCAGAAGCATCTGGAAAGCGCAGTTCCTATGTCTGCATCACCTGTTGGAGTATTGTTTTTCCTGGACTTTTTTTCAGAAAATAGCTTCGATGTAACATAGAGATTCAAGAGGACTAGTGAATATATCTGCTTCTGACCAAAGTCTCTTTGGGCAGTGCAGTGTCTGATTTTGATTCTGATAATGCAGCAATTTCTCAAGTATGGCAGAGCATGTAAAAGGCTCTAGATATTTAAGCTTGAAATGCCAAAAAGAAATACATGAAACTAGCCTGGGTTGAATAGTATATGGGAAGAGAAAATTAGTGGGCACACCAGCAATATATTACTTTTTTAGAGACAGGTCTTTCTGTGTTGCTCAGGTTAGATGCAGTGGCTATTCAGAGGCACAATCATGGGAAGAAGATCTTTTTCCTCAAGTCAGGTTAGTTAAAGCCACTCTCAGTAGAAACACTGTGGTCCCAAAAAAGGCACTGATGTCAGAGAGTAAATAGGGTCCTTGGAAGGATAATGACACTCCTGACCTAAGCCTTCATTGGCTGTTGTGGAAACCGTCAATATTACTGCTGATTATATTTTATTATTTTATTTTATTTTTGAGACAGAGTCTAGCTCTGTTGCCTAGGCTGGAGTTCAGCAACACTAACTTGGCTCACTGTAACATCTGCCTCCTGGGTTCAAGCAATCCTCACACATCAGCCTCCTGAGTAGCTGGGATTACAGGTGTGCACCACCATGCCCAGCTAATTTTCTGCATTTTTATAGAGATGGGGTTTCACTACGTTGGTTAGACTGGTCTCAAACTCCTGTGCTCAAATGATCCGCCCACCTTGGCCTCCCAAAGTGCTGGGTTTACAGGTGTGAGCCACTGCACACGGTCTACTGCTGATTTTAAAAAGTAAACATTCACAGTAGAACTGTTCCATTATGACATGGCTGATTGATACTTATAGGTATCTACTCTAAGACCAAACAATTCTCTGTGTGTGTTTGCATTACTGGTTTTAAGTCATATTTTTCAAACTGCAGGTCACCACCTATTAGTGGGTCATAAATCAATTTTGTGAATTACAGCCATCACTTAAAAAAATAACATAGAGGAGTTTCTTTTTTTAAGTATCAGAGCACATTACACACACATAGTAAGAAAAAATATTTTTAGTGAAACTTTTATTCAGATACACACACATATATTCTGGATCACAATGAGAAACACATATTCCTTACTGTGGGTCATGGCGAAAGACATTTGAAAAACCCTGGATCATAAGGTAAATTGATATTCCTGTTCCTACTAAAAGCCAGTTGTAAAGGGGAGTTTTCAGTAGTTTTTTATCAAGAGCTAATCTATGCACTCTTTCAATTTGATCTACCCCAATGTTTATGTTTGTTAGGATCAGTGTTGTATTTTTGAAGATGAACACTTGGCAACATTCACTCAGAAAAATACACATATATTTAGTACATAATAACTGTATTTAGTGAAAGACAACTCCCAAATTAAAAAAAAAGAAAGCAAAATCAAAAATAAACTAACAAAATAAAATCAACTGGAAGAATAAATCCAACAAAGGAGATGAACCAGTGGCTTAAAAGAATCTATCATCAAATTTTACTTTCTCTATGTCAGTAACCCAGACCAGTGGCATAAATTCAAAGGCCTGACCTGCCATTTCTCCACCTGAGCAATGGTTTCTAAATAATATCCTGATGACAGTCAATTTGATTTTGAAAAAAACAAACCAAATACATATTCTGTTTAATAATCTTGTTCATCCACCCCAACCATTCCTTATCTAAATGACTCTTTAAAACACACACACACACATACGCATACACACACATATATACACACACACAGAGCCTACAGGTATACATAAATGATTAGGTAAAGCAAAGGGAAACTTGATATAGCCAATCCTCTCTGGGATCCAATTTATTTATCAGCCCACCAAGGTCATAATAGTTATCAAATATTCTGTTTGTTTGGTAATTAGAATACTATGTAGTTAATTAACAAAGCTACCATTAGAGGACATTTCTCACTGCTTTTCATGTTTATTGCATCACGACAGAATAAGAAGATGGTGATGGTACTGTTTCAAGAGTCCAGTTTGCTAAGGCGTACCTGAGATGAGCCTGATATTTATTTTTCTAATGTGGCATACCCACAGGCAATACAGTGTAGAGCTTAGGGCTGTAAGGGACCCACAGGTCATACAGCTTGAACTCTTCATCTTTCTGATGAGAAAAACATGTGGTAATGTCGGCTGGGTGCGGTGGCTCACACCTGCAATCCCAGCACTTTGGGAGGCTGAGGTGGGCAGATCACAAAGTTGGGAGTTCAAGGGCAGCCTATCCAACATGGTGAAGCCCCGTCTCTACTAAAGATACAAAAACTTAGCCAGGCGTGATGGTGGGCGCCTGTAATCCCAGCTACTTGGGAGGCTGAGGCAGGAGAATCACTTGAACCCGGGAGGCGGAGGTTGCAGTGAGCTGAAACAGCACCACTGCACTCCAGCCTGGGGCACAGGGCAAGACTCTGTCTCAAAGAAAAAAAAAAAAATTACGTGGTAAAGTGACCCGCTGCATCCATCAGTAGTGCATTTGCTGTTGCTCTGTAATAACACCCATGTTTGTGTGAGCCTGAACCCCTGTGTTCCATAGAGTCTGCAATTCTACTTTTTGGAGAGAGAGAATGGGCAAAATCTAAGCAGCTGGGACTGCCTTCCACCAGACCTGCTGTATCCAGCCTGCGGAACTGAGCAGCCATCTTGCTGCTTCATGCAGCACATGCTCTGTTGTACAAGCAAAACCGAATGCAGCGAGGCAGGTGAACCACATAGATGGTCTCTGATACACTTCACTTTCTACATTAATCCAAGGACAGTCTGAATCTCCACTCCTGCATCTTAAAGATAAGCTATATAAGTACTGTGTGTGCCTAAATAGGCACGTGCATTCTTTTATACATGAAACATTTATGATGTACTGTGCACGCGCTATGCACCAGGCACAGTGCCAGACCCTTCAGAGAGAACAATAGCAGTGAAAAACAGTAGAATGTTATAAGTGACACCCTTAAGGTACACACATACCATAGTAACTTAAGGGTGTTAGTACAGTATAAAATAGTATAAAATACTGTTTCATGATTTTAGTATTTTAGCATTTAGGATTTTAGTATAAAAATTTATAAAATACATAATATAAACAGTATAAATATTGTAGAGTATAATCATACATACATAAAATTAAATTATACTTATTGTATCCATGTACGTAGGTCTTGAAGTAGGATTCAAAGACTTCAGAGTCACACCAAAATTATTGCCAGCCACCTGAACTTTCACCAGCTAGCCCATATTTTCCAGTTGCAAAAAAAAAAAAAAAAAAAAAAAAAAAAAGTGTCACTAGAAGCAACTTGGAAGAATTTAGAAATCTAAACCGGGCTTTGTGCCCCAGTTTTACTGTCTACTAGCTGAGTGACCTTGGGTACATTCCTCAATCTCCCTGATCAGCAATTGCTCTTCTCTTAAGCAAGCAGTAGATGGTATCTACCTTATATGCTTGTCAAGAAGACTAAGAGGATGCTTGAGTGCAGAATGGCAGCGTAGCTAAAAAGCAGGTTACTTCATCTCTCTGTGCTTCACTGCCTTTCTTGTAAAATTAGGATAATAGTAGAATCCATGTCATCCAATTGCTGTGCAAATTAAATGAGATAATGACACATCTAATGCCAAATAAATTGTAGTCATTATACGAAAGTGTTATGTTAACTATAAAATGCTAGATAAAAGTGAAATACTACTATTAAAGTTGAGCTCAGTCAAAAGAAGAATAGGAACAAAAATCATTCCAAGGTGCTACATATCCATGTGGTGCCTCAAATCTCAAGTTTTCAGGCTCAGCACTCTTTTGGAGGTTTAAATACAGTAGCTGCTTTTGCTACGGTTGTAATGTCATACAGCTCCCTGCTGAAGGTATCTTCCTTTTTGTAGTCTCTCCCCTCATCTTCTCTATTTCTTTCTAAATCACTTCTCAAAGCATAATTCTTTAAGGCTCAGTGTAACTATTTATGTTAGTCCTGTGCATATACAGAAAGAGCAGGTGAGGTAATGACAAGGCTGTCCATCTTAGAAGATGGATGATGTTTATTCTTCCTATTCTTTAAAGCAGTAAATTTTTCATCTTTAAAATGTTGCATCCTCAAAATGAGTTAGGGCAGCATGAGAATAACTTGGAAACTGAAAGCTTATCTGGGTAGAAGGGATGCAATTACCTACAGAATTTCAAATTATAAAAAGAAGGCTCCATATATTTTTCTTGGATTTTTGTTTGTTTGTTTATCTCTGAGCGCTGGAGAATTCCTGCTTTAGTGAGGATTGAAAATTGAGTGTTAGGCTATCTTTAGACTCATTTGAAAAAAATTGTTCAATTTAGGTAAATAATTCATTGGCAGCTGGACATAGTGGCTCACGCCTGTAATCCTAGCACTTTGGAAGGCTGAGGCGGGCAGATTGCTTGAGGCCAAGAGTTCAAGTCCAGCCTGGCAACATTGCGAAACCTCGTCTCCACAGAAAATACAAAAAAATTAGCCTGGTGTTGTGGTGAACGCCCACAGTCCCAGCTACAGAGGCGCTGAGGTGGGAGGATCATCTGAGCCCAGGAAGTTGATGCTGCAGTGAGCTGAGATCATGCCACTGCACTCCAGCCTAGGCGTCAGAGTGAGAGCCTGGCTCAAATAAATAAATAAATAAATAATAATCCATTGGCTATTTTATTTGATTTTACCCATTCAAATAAACATTTAAAAAATAACCAGTTTTTTTTTTTTTTTTTTTTTTGCCAGAATTCATTTTGTTCCTGTTTATACAATAGTTTGTATATGTAGACAAAACTTAATACCTTGTTTGGTAGAAGAAAATGGGCATAACTAGAACATCAGCATTCCTCAATTCCAAACTTGTTCAGTCAATAGTAAGCAAGAGTGTATGAAGATGCACAGGTATTTAGCTTAAACTTTCATAAAGAAAAAGACTACCCATGCTTTTAAATTACTGGCCTTATGATTTTTGAAATACAAGAAGAAAAAAAAAAACAAAAAAGAAGAAGAGAAGGAGGAGGAGAAGAAGGAAGAAGGAAAAGGTTATTTCAAAGCATGGAAAGAAGCAAATGAGAGTCAGGTAAAAATTTCAACTTCAGTAATCCTAATATGCACTTCTGTGCCTGTTGCATAGTTGGAAGACAATTACTTTGGCTTTCACACTTTCCAGTGAAAAGGGCTATTCTGACTTAGCCGTCCTGGAAACACCTGCATCTGTTGTGTAATATTAATGAACTTGAATTTGGAGTGCTAGCACTGTACCTCTCTCTATGAATAATAGGGCACACATAAATGATTAAAACAAGGGAAACAGAAACCTCCCCAGGATCAAATTCATTTATCAGCCCACCAAGGTCACTGACCTCAATAACCCAGGGCCTAGCTACTAAAATGATTAATTGATCTATTCTTTCATTTCACTTATTTAATTTGAAGAGGGCTGAAGTGAAAATATTTTCAATGAATTGACCTGTAAGCAATTGTATTTAGCTTGCTGCATCATCCAAAACACATATTAGTGGCAGTGAGAAGCATGAATACATGCTATTAAACAGATAAAGGTGAACAAAGAAACCACAGTGAGACAGGAGAATAGGGTGTGGAGGCCGGGAAACTAAGGCCGATTTGTGCTGACTTCCTATAACTGAATCAAAAGGAAAACCCCACCTCTACACACTGAAGTAACAAAAGGATCAGAGGCTACTCCCTTTGCACTGTGTGGCAGATGATAAATGGAAAGTACCTCTGATCGGCCCCCTCGCATAACCAGTCAGACTGGTTGTGGGCCTAGTCTTCATTTGCCTAAGAGTGTAACTTTGTTACTTCACTTCAGCCTCTGATTGGTCGCCTTCTGCAACCAATCAGACTGGTTGTGGGCCATTCCTTCATTCACATGGGGTGTGACCAAGTAACCAATGGGGAAATTCTAGAGGGTATTTTTAAACCCCAGAAAATTCTGTAACAAGCGCTCATCAGCTGCTTGCTTCTGTGGCTCCCTCTCTGTGGAATGTACTTTTGTTTCAATAAATCTGTGCTTTCGCTGCTTCATTCTTTCATTTCTTTGTGCGTTTTGTCCAATTATTTGTTCAAAATGTCAAGAGCCTGGAAGACTTGTAGTCAAGACCCTCCATCAGTAACAATAGATTTTCTTATGCATCTTCCTGTTACTTAACTTGTTATCCCTGGTTTAGAACTCTCCTTATAATTCTCCATACTATTATAACCTCAAAAGGTGTACTGATAAATGAATTGAAAGAATATCCTGGCAGATATAGAGATTAAATTGGATTTCTATAAAGAAAATATTTAAGAAATTTTAAAAATGTGTTTATATTTACAGTCATTGTGGGGTGGAGGGTGGGGGTAGGGAACTTGAGCAGAAGGTCATTTTGTTTTTGTATACAGCTGACAACTTTCATCAGATATTGGTATGGCAAAGATAAGCCTGGAATTCTGTTTAGAGTAACGGTATAAAAACCTGCAGTGATCACAAAGTCATAAAATTAGGAGCATGTAGGCTTATGGTTAAGGAGAAGACATGATTAAGATAAGCTTTAGAGAAGAGGCTATGAGGAGGAAGCAAATTTACTTAATTTTTAAAATTTCATAAATAAGTAAATTGATAAATAAACAAATAAAAAAGGTGTCCTTCACTTTAGTCAACCAGTATGCTCAAAAGGACTTTCAAATTCAATTTTCTTTTTGACATTTGAGACATTCCTATTTCATGGAAAAACCTTGAATTATCATCCCATATATTCAAATATTTTTTATCAAGTTGAGTTTTATTTTGGGTTTTCTTCAAGTGAGGAACCCCTAATACAAGTTATATTTTACATTATAAATGTTTGTATATTCTAGTTTAATTTGCAGTGAACATTTGCCCTAAATGAGAACTTAAAATGTATACTAAATGTAGCATTAAAAACAGTTGTTTGCATTTTATGTCACAGCCCATCCTTGACAAAGACACCTGCATGAAAAGCAGCAAATTTGGATAGCAATACCAGTAACCAGCTATAAAGTTCTGTAAGTTAGTTCCTTTTGTGAATTCTCTGATTGATTGATTGATTTTGAGACAGAGTCTCGCTCTGTAGCCCAGGCTGGAGTGCAGTGGGGCAATCTCAGCTCACTGCAACCTCCGCCTCCCAGGTTCAAGTGATTCTCCTGCCTCAGCCTCCCAAGTAGCTGGGATTACAGGGGTACACCACCATGCCTGGCTAATTTTTGTATTTTTTAGTAGAGACAGGGTTTCCCCATGTTGGTCAAGCTGGTCTCGAACTCTTGACCTCAGGTCATCCACCCGCCTCTGCCTCCCAAAATTTTGGGATTATAGGCGTGAGCCACTGTGCCCAGCCCCCTCATTTATATTAGAAAATTATATCACAGGCTGAGTGTGGTGGCTCACACCTGTAATCCCAGCACTTTGGGAGGCCAAGGCGGGTGGATCACAAGGTCAAGAGATCGAGACCATCCTGGCCAACATGGTGAAACCCCTTCTCTACTAAAAATATAAAAAGTAGCCGGGTGTGGTAGCACGTGCCTGTAATCTCAGCTACTCAGGAGGCTGAGGCAGGAGAATCACTTGAACCCAGGAGGGGAGGTTGCAGTGAGCCAGGATTACGCCACTGCACTCCAGCCTGGCAACAGAGTAAGTAGTGTAGGTACATAAAATTAGTAATTACCAACAAATTATATAATTTTCAAAAAATAAGAATATGCATGGCATATTATAGAAGTGTTGAGAAAAATACAATAATAAGGCATTTTAGGACAAAATGAAAATATGGTTAATTTAGATTTTTAGATCTAATAAAACAAAGGCAGATGGTAGGGTATGATTCCAAAAATTGCTTCTCTTTCAAGTAGTTACACCTGTGGATACAATGTCTATCACCATAACTTCGACTCCTGAGCAAAATGAGAGTGATCATAAGTGGAATCCCTAGTAGGTATATCAATCAGGGCCCCAACAGGAAGCAAGTGGCATACTCCAGGAGGGTTGAGTAAAGGGACTGTTGATAGGGTATAGGCAGATGTGGGAAAACCACAAAGAAGAGTGACATGCTGGGGCTAGTCACAGCAGATGTTACAACCCTGAGGTGTAAAGGAGCAAGAGGAGAGAGTGTGGAAAGGGTCACCTTGAGAGGAGTTATGGTCTTTGCTCGCAATCATGCAGCCAGCCCAAGCCAACTCTGTAGGCAGGAAGCAGGGGAATGTGGGACCAGACCGCACTGTGATCTTCCTTCTGACCTCCTGCAGGGGCTCTCCATTGGACAAAGCCAACCAGAAACCAGAGGGCAAGTGAGATTGTTAAAGTAATTACACAAGTCTGCCTCCAAGACAGACAACTTTGGTCCAGAAGGCAGCAAAGAGGCAAGGGCGGAAGGGCGGAAATGGAAGCTATTTGGCACCATGAACACGGCATGTACTGGTCCATATAATGTCTTTTATCCCACTTTTACTGCTAATTATCACATTAAAAAAAAACCTTGCCCTGGCATAGTGGCTCATGCCTGTATTACCAGCATTTTGCAGGGCTAAGGGAGAAGGACTGCTTGAAGCCAGGAGTTTGAGACCATCCTGGGCAACATAGCGAGACTTTCCATCATCATAGAAAATTGTCCACTTTAATTTGCTTCAGATAAAATGAAGCCTAATAATAATAATAATAAGTCAAACTTCCTCAAAAACATTGCAATGAAGAATTCTTTGGGCACATTCTGATCACGTTTGGAAATAAAGAAAAATACTTATGAAGATAATTAATTCATTGCCTTTTGGATGTGACTACAGGCAGAGAAGACAACATAGCATAGAGAAGGAGCATGGACAAGAGAAGCTTTCGAAATGCATTTGAAGGACTTGAATTAAATATCATTTGGGAAGGAAAAGAAGTTGTTTGATTTGGTTTTGCAATTGGACTGAATGGATGGAAGAAACCCTCATCATATGTGATAGGTAATGCTACCAATGTTACCTGCAATAGGACAGCTTCACTACTTCCTGATCCTGAAACACAACAGAAATCTGATCCTAGCTTTGTAAATATCTTTACCACAAGTAGGTTACCATTCATAGACACCAACACTCAGTGCCAGGCACCATCCTAGGAGCCATGGATACCATAACCAATAAGATAGACACTGTCAAAGCCTTGGTATAAGGTTTGTTCAGACAAATCCTATGCAGAAATTCACTATATTTACATAAAAGATAGAAAGTGAATAATGACAGGCTGGGCGCGGTGGTTCATGCCTGTAATTCCAGCACTTTGGGAGGCTGAGGTGGGCAGATCACCTGAGGTCAGGAGTTTGAGACCAGCCTGACCAACATGGAGAAACCCCATCTCTACTAAAAATACAAAATTAGCTTGGCGTGGTGGCACATGCCTGTAATCCTAGCTACTCAGGAGGCTGAGGCAGGAGAATCGCTTGAACCCGGGAGACAGAGTTTGCGATGAGCCGAGATTGCACCATTGCACTCCAGCATGGGCAACAAGAGTGAAACTCTGTCTCAAAAAAAAAAAAGGAAGAAAGAAAGAAAGTGAATAATGATAAAAGTCTAGCAAGTAGAGCTGCTATGGTTTCATTAGTTGCATGGAGCCTGGAGCCCTCTTGGCTTCCCCATTCCTTCTGCCCTTTAGACCTAGCACAGTAGTACGAAATCACTGTCATGAGCTTCCCGTGATATATCATCCTCAGGGTTGTGGGATCTCAGTGTCTCCTGGAAGGACTAGGCTCAAATAATCTCAGAAAAATGTTTGCCTATAATTCTCATTTAAAGCTTTTAGAGAATTATTTATGTCACTAAGCTTTGGAATACTTTAGCTTTATCATTCATCCATTCAATCATTGAGTGCCTTCTATATGTAAACACTAAGAACATAGTGGTGAAAAAGACAAGAGTCCCTGCCCTTTTGGAATGTCCATGCTGGCCGGGAATATAGACTTTAGACATGTAATAACACAATTAGTTATTTAATTGTTGTTGTGACAAGTGCTATGAAGGGAAAGTACAGGATTTTTTGTGGGGCTGTGAAAGTTTTTGTGAGGAGGTGGCATTTGTGCTTTATTGGTTGATCAGTAGACATTAATTAGTCCAGAGATTGCAAACTCAAATTCCTTTAAGAGATCAGGCAGGTAACACAAATGTGTGCATCTGGCAGGGGTAAGACAACAAGAAATATTAGAACTGAAGGCCCACTGGAGGAAGTCTACTGGCCTTAAGGCATTCAAATTCAAACTTCAGTCATCTCTTGGCTGGCCAAAGAAAAGAAGTGTGCAGCCAAAGACAGCAGAAGGGCTGGCAGTCTGCTGCGATGATTCAGGCAGGAGGACAGCAGGAGCAATGGCCCTGAGGCAGGAAGAAGCCCATCTGTTTCGATGAACTAAGAGAGCAACTGCAGGTGAAGTCTGGAGCCCTCAGGAGCAAGAGTGGTTTCCCCAGGCAGGTGAGGGGAGGACCATGTCACTCAAGGCCTCCAGGGCAGGTGAGGGCTTTGGTCTTTATCTCAAGTCCCCTCGGATGCACTGAAGGGTTTTAAGCAGAAAAGTGAATTAATTGGACTGGCATTTTTGAAAGCTCACTGAGCAGCAATGTTGGAAAAGTTGGAAGCAAATAAATCGATTGGGAAGCTGTGGTGGCTCCTCATCTCTTCTTCAGTTTTTCACCTACATTATTTACATAACTGTCTTGACGTAGTCTCAACCCTGTATTTCTCACTCCAGAAAACCAAGCTGAATATTTTCCTCTTAGTTCCTGACTCTAAGGAAGGAAGTAGAGTCCGGGGGTCTGTGGCCTGGAGTGAGAAGAAGTGCAGTGCAAACTCAGTACCCCATACACGGAACCTTCTATCTCCTGGCTACTATTAAGTGCTGTAGTGTCGCAATGATCGTGTAAATCCTAAGTATTATGGGAGCATCAAGAACAGTTTCCAACCTGCTGGAGGTGGGAAGTCAGCTAAGACTTCACCTACAAACCTAAAAACTTGTGGACTTTATCATTTTGTTTAGCATTTTAAAAAGCAATTCTTGCTTAAAATAATTCTTAATTAGCTGGGTGTGGTGGCGTGTGAGCCTGTAGTCCCAGCTACTCGGGAGGCAGAGGCAGGAGAATCACTTGAACCTGGGAGATGGAGGTTGCAGTGAGTCAAGATCAAGCCAGCTTGGGTAACAGAGTGAGACTCCATCTCAAAAAAATTAAATAAATAAAATAAAATCATTCTTATTGTTTAGGGATTATCTTGTTCAGACTTTTGTCAATTAACATAAATGTACACGATTATATTACTTGTGTGTATAAAAAACTCACATGGTTAGCTTGTCCACTCTCCTGGGAGCACCATACTTGTTTCTTCAAGAACTAAAGAAAAGGGAAGTGCTGCCCCAGAGGCTGACTGTGAGTCAGCACGTCTCCCTGATGGTTATATAAACATGAAAGTTGAAGTTAGGAAAAAATTGAGTAAGCTAGACACATTTGCTTCTCCTTTTAAAAATGGAAATGACAAGCTCTTGCCACTTTCATATGCAGCCGGACATGGTGTATTTGTGTTTCTGAGGTTATTGTACAAGACGAATTGGGTGAGTGATTTGAAGTTAAAATTAGCTCATTTTTGTCAACTTATTTATTTACTGGTATATTTAGGCTCGAAATTAATTTCTTCCCTTTTTTTTGTCTCCCTACAACTTTGTATAAAACAGGTTCATATGACATTAATCCTACAAATAAACCATTTGGATTAGAAGTCATTTCCTTCATGAAAATTACCTTTCTTGACATAGTAATCATTACTTTTTATGATGTCTGTAAATCTAGATTAAAAATTCTCTAGGCTGGAAATAAGATTTAATTTTAGAGCTATTTTGTCCTTGATTATTGACACAGAATCTTGTGGTGTTGAGCAAGGCAGAGGCTGTGTGCTGCAATCTCTGTTGAGGAGGGAAACTCCCAGTGCTCTGCATAGTGAACTGATCACATAGAAGTTTCTTTAGCATGGGAATGTGCTTCCATGTTTCCCTGAAGAGCAAAGTACAGCGGTAGAATGGCAGATCCGTCCAGAAGTCAGTCCAAAAAGATAGATACCATCATGCTGACTGATTCTTTTTCACAATGCTGCTGTGATGCCTCAGACACAAGCCCAAGCATCTACCAAGCTGCTTCTTCCCTCCAAGTGACAAAAAGAAAAGAAAAGAAAATGACAGGTACCATCAGCCCACTTTTTACCCTGATCTATGCGGTCCTTAGCAACCAGAGTATCTACACTGAGGCACGTTGCTGTGGTTGTCATAACTTTGAAGAAAACAAATCTTCAAAGATCTTTTTTATCTTTTCCAGGAAGATATGTCAATCCTTTGATGGTAAAAAGCATTAAAACTCAAAATTGAGAGGCAAAATATATCATATCCCACTAAAAACTCCTTGAGCCAGATAACTGCCAGCATGTACAGTTAGAAGGGTAATAATAGCTAGTGACTGCTGTGTGGAATGTGTTAAGACTTCTAAATATATTATTTCATTTAATTCTTGCAACTATTTATAGTAAAAAATAAGAGGACTGATGTTAAACATGTTAGTTTTGCCTGCACTAAAAGCTTAAAAGAATTAATAATGAGATACGGAACTATCATACACAAAGCATTCAGAAAAGCATTTGTAAATGAATATCTTAAAGGTATCCTTCAACTGACACTTGTTCTGATATGGCTACTTAGTTGTCTCTAAAGCAAAAAGTACATGTCGAGAGGTACTAAGTAAGATAAGAGTTCTCCTTCCCAGTTCTTGCAGGCCTGTGTACTTAATTTGACAAACACATTGTTCCAAAAGTAAGCCATGGGAGCTGGGCATCATGGCATACACCTGTAGTCCCAGCTACTCAGGAGGCTGAAGTGGGATGATCCCTTGAGCCCAGGAGTTCGAGGCTGCAGTGAGCCATGATCATGCCTCTGCACTCCAGCCTGAGTGACAGAGCAAGACCCTGTCTCTAAAACAAAACAAAAGTAAGCCATGGGAGGCAGATGTAGTAGAATGGGAAAAATGGAAATACTAGCTTTGAAGCCTACACTGACCTTCTACTCATGAGTCCCAGCCAGCAGCTGGGCATTTGGGTGCAGGAGAGAGGGACAAGAATACTTCCCCCAGTAAGAGCAAAATGGAATGCTACAATCATAGCCCAGTGGGCAGAGATGGAAGGCAGAGCTTCAGGCACCCAGACAGTATATGTGGGTGTACGGCCTTTCAGAATGTGGCTTATGGCAGTCGGGTGTTAAAGGCTCACCACAGGCACAGCAGGTCCAACCTAGGGAAGGCCAAGGCTGTCAAGGTATTCCCTGCCCTAAAAAGACTTCGCTCAATGTCTCTCTGAACGTAGGCATCTAAACTGGTAAAGTTCAGACTCCTTAGTGCTTGACACTATGGTACTCTTGGGATCTTGCTAAAATGGTGTTGTGAGTTGAATAGTGTGCCCCCAAATATCATGTCTACCTGGAACCTTAGAATGTAACCTTATTTGGAAAACGGGTTTTTGCAGAAGTAATTAGTTAAGATGAAGTCATCTTGGATTAGGGTGGGCCCTACATCCGATTTCACCGGCGTCCTTAGAAAAAGAAGAAAGGACACACCAAGGTACACAGATGTACAGGGAGGAAGGCCCTGTGAAGACAAAGGTGAAGACTGAAGTGATGTAGCTATGAGCCAAGGAGTGCCAAGGGTTGTCGGGAGCCACCAGAAGCTGTTGGAGGAGACCAGGGTGGATTCCTCTCTAGAGCCGTCAGAGGAAGCATGGCCCTGCCCAACGCCTTGATACCAGGCTTTCAGCCTTCCAGCACCATAAGAGAATACGTTTCTGTTATTTTCAGCCACTTTGTTAAAACAGCCCTAGGGAACTAATACAACTGGTGAAATTAAAGAACTCTCAGGATCTCACTCTAGAGCTTACTTCTCACAGCTCCACATCACAGCCAAATAGCCTTTTTAACGATCCAGATTCCATATCTTGTCAATCAGTTAAAAAATAATAATAATTAAAAAAAGGTCCAGAAAGTGCTCAGCACTTTCCCAGGGGTACTATCCCACCACCTGGAGTGCCCCATCTCTACCCACCCACCACTACATGTCCAGAGCTCCCTCCTTCTGAGCCCGGTGCAGAAGGCATCCCACAGAACACTACCTGATCCCCCAAATCAGACATAATCTTACTGTCTTCAGAAATCTCGCAGCACTTTCTTTGTATTTCACATTGCCCATTTCTACTTCGAATTAGTCATGTTTATCTGTAGCTTAATCTGGGAGAGTGGTCAGATCTTATACATTTTTATATTGACCACAGTACCTGGGATCAGTGCCTTAAATGAAGTTGTTACCTAGTACATGCTATTGAGGCAATCAATGTCTATTTTGCTGGCTTTCCTGTTCCTTGAGAATGAATAAGTAACCATAATCTAATTGTTTATATATATATATATATATATATATCCACACACACACAACAGTTTATTAGGGAACAATGGCAAAAGTGGAGAAAGCAGACCTTTATACTACAAAGTCTAAATGGAAATACACACACACACCACAAACACACACACACACACCCGAAATACACAGTACATGTGTTTAAATTGATATAAAATATATCCCTAAATAATATGGTTCTTACTAAAAGGTAACAATACATCAATTTTTTATTAACCACAGTACTGCTTTCCTGAAAATCTCAAAGGACTAAGAGGAATTAGGTGAATAGAAGGTTTGAAGACAGTAATTTCAGACTCCCACTGGAGTGGGCGTGCTGAGAGGCAAGGCAGCCTGATTCCCTCTTGCAGTGTAAACATGTCCATATCACCCTATCATGAAATTCACTGCTGCATGGCTCCAGTCATTCCTGCCCTACTGAGAGCAGCAGAGTGAGAGATCACGAGGAGCCCGCTCTCTACTTCACCCGTGTCCTGGGGCCTCCATGGGAGCCACACAGGGACTGCCTCCCTCTCTCATTTCCTTGCCTGACACACTCTACTTTTTCTTTGTTTTTTTTTCTTTCTTCTTTTTTTTTTTTTTTTTTTTTGAGATGGAGTCTTGTTCTGTTGCCCAGGCTGGAGGGCAGTGGCATGATCTCAGCTCACTGCAACCTCCGCCTCCTGGGTTCAAGCAATTCTCCTGCCTCAGCCTCCCAAGTAGCTGGGACTACAGGTGCACACCACCACGCCTGGCTAATTGTTTTTTTTTGTATTTTAGTAGAGAAAGGGTTTCACCATGTTGCCCAGGCTGGTCTCGAACTCCTGAGCTCAGGCAATCTGCCTGCCTTGGCCTCCCAAAGTGCTGGGATTACAGGCATGAGCCACGGCACTGGGCCCACACTTCTACTTTCAATGGAGAGAAACGTCTAGGCAAAGGGACATTCAGATATAAGTCAGGAGAAACTCACCACATCATCAGCCTAGCTAATCATCAAGTCTAACTAGTAGGCTCAATTTATCTGGTTTCTGTGATTCAGATAAAGTTCCCTGTATGATTGTGCAAGATGGATTTTCATTCTGGAAATGACAATTTAGTTGTTGCGGGATGTGTTGTCAAAGTCCACCAGCTTTTGCCCTTGGGAGTGTCAGATGCCCTTGAGAAGCTATGGCCTATGGCACAGGTAATGAAGGCTCCTGTAGCTACTCAGAAAGCAGAGCCTACCCTGCTGCTAGGGAGAGAACCAGGGCAGCGTGAGAGCTTTAAAAGCCCCCTCAGGTCCTCCTGTTCTACGACTCAACCAACCAATGAAAGAGATTGCCTTCAGAGGGAGCTGGGTCAGTTGACCCTGGCTGATGCAGAAGCTCATTTTTACCCTGGCTGATGTAGAAGGCTCTGAAGGAGAAATGAACAGATCTTCATTGCTTCGTACAAGGAAAATTTTGCCTATTGTCTAAAGGCCAGAAAGTCAAAGCATACATGGGAACACAGATAATTTAAATGAGATAATCTAAAGTATAAGTCTAATTAAATTAAATAAACCCAATCCCACGCACTTTCATCCTAAAACTCTATATCCATTAAATCCAATTACTTCCCCCTGTGGCTTTGGCTTTAAATGGATGTTAGCAATGATCACACTGGATGCCTGCTCTCTGCCAACCTCCAACAGCTTTTATGGCAAAGGTGCAGTTATTAAGTGATTGCAGCTGCCAAATGCAAGTGCCCCGGTTCCACAGGACAAGGTACAGGGGCAGGCTATAAATAAGGACACCATCTAAATGAATGCCTTTTAGAACAGAGTTTCTTTGTTCTTTTTGCACTCTTATTTCCCTTGTCCCTCACCCTCCAGAAAAGTTGTATTCCTTGGGCTCTCCAAGAAGTTCACAACTTTCTCTCATAAATTATTTACATTTATCCTCCACCAACATCAGAATCTAGCAATCGAACTCACACACTCATTACATGAAATTGAAGAGAGACGGCAGTCATTAGACACAAAGGTCTCACTACAGCTCTCCTCGCAGCTGAAGGTGTTCAATGAACCTGCCCTCCATCAAATGGAACCTGGTGGAATCATTATCCGAGGCAGTCACTGTCCGCAAAAGCCAAACCAGTCTCATCCTTGCCTGCTCTCGCTCTCATGAAAGTTATTAACTTAGCCGGGTGTGGTGGCAGGTGCCTGTAATTCCAGCTACTCTGGAGGCTGAGGTAGGAGAATTGTTTGAACCCAGGAGGCGGAGGTTGCAGTGAGCCGAGATTGCCCCACTGCACTCCAGCCTGGACAATGGAGTGAGACTCTGTCTCAAAAAAAAAAAAAAAAAAGAAGAAAGAAAGTTATTAGTTTTATCAAGTTATTAGCTTTATTTTATTAAAGGATATAAACATATGTGGCAAGACAGAGGTTTCACAGCTTCAACTGGTTCTGTGGGCATAGATTTGCTGCAGACTAAAGTCCCCAAAATCAATTAAATGTAACCTAACTACAAAGATATCACAGCTGATGTTGTTACACTTGTTGGATTTCATAGAAGCCAAATCCTGTAAAGCTTTGAGGTTAGAAATTTTACGAACAAATTGCTTTCTCTAAGCAATTTTGCTGACTGAATTTCCTGTTGAATTCTGCTAGTGAAAAATATGAATATATAAATTTGGGGGCTGGGTGCAGTGGTTCATGCCTGTAATCCCAGCACTTTGGAAAGCCAAGGTGGTCAGGAGTTCGAGACCACCCCGGGCAACATGGAGAAACCCCATCTCTACTAAAAATACAAAAATTAGCCAGGCGTGATGATGGGCACCTGTAATCCCAGCTACTCAGGAGGCCGAGGCAGGAGAATCGCTTGAACCTGGGAGGTGGAAATCACAGTGAGCCAAGATCACACCACTGCACTCCAGTCTGGGCAACAGAGCTAGACTTTGTCTCAAAAAAAGCAAAAACAAAAACAGAAACAAAAACAAAAACAAAAACAAGTGTGTGGAGGGGATTGTTATTACTGTGTCACCGCAGTGTGATGGAAAATCTGGAATTTTACTTGTGTCACCTAAGTTGTGGAATGTAGTCAAATCTCCCAAAAATCTCAAGACAAGAATAATGCCTGTACGAGCTCTTCAACTATTAGGATACTGTCAAATCAAATAGTTTTCTTTGTTGATGGTGGTGGATGGTTTTCATAGAATTGACTTTTATAAGTCTTATATCATAAAGCAAGTGATGGTTCTCACTTTTGGCTACACTTTGAATCACTGGGAGATTGGAAAAATATGATGCCTTGGCCCCACCCCAGACCAATTAATTTGAACTCTCTCTAGTGGTGGGGTCTGGGTGTTGGAATTTCTCAAAGGTCCCCAGATGACTATAATACTCAGCCTGGGTTAAAAACTACCAGTCTGGGCCGGGTTTGGTGGCTCAAGCCTGTAATCCCAGCACTTTGGGAGGCCAAGGCAGGTAGATTATGAGGTGAGGAGATCGAGACCATCCTGGCTAACACAGTGAAACCCCATCTCTACTAAAAATACAAAAGAATTAGCCGGGCGTGGTGGCGGGTGCCTGTAGTCCCAGCTACTCAGGAGGCTGAGGCAGGAGAATGGCATGAACCCAGGAGGTGGAGCTTGCAGTGAGCTAAGATGGTGCCACTGCACTCCAGCCTGGGTAACAGAGCAAGACTGCGTCTCAAAAAAAAAAAAAAAAAAATTACCAGTCTGTAGCCTGAAATGCAAATTTAAGAGGGGTTATATGTGAAAAACAGGAAAAAAAGCATAATTAACTGAACTGACCTCTATTTTAGGTACTTCAAATAAATTCCTAGATATCCAAGTCCCCAAATCAATATTTTTGGGAACAAAAAGAGAGCCAAAGCATTTTATTTGTGCAGACTATGTGGTGGCAGAGTAAACTCTTTATGGAGCTAAGTGAGGCCTTCTATTCCAAGAAGACAATAGGCATTCCCTTATTCAGTTTTCTCCTTCTAATGTTTGTTAGAGCTCAACAGATCAGTGGGAATTAGGAGACTCTGGTGAGGTGGTTAAGACCATCCCTTGACTTGAGATGGCTCCACTTGCAGAAGCTCCACCATTTTGGGCAAGGTCATAGTTACAAATGAGGGCTTCATCTGCTTCCAGGAAAGGGTTGAATAGCATCCACAGGATTTAGCTAATGAGTTGCTGTTATTTCATATTTTAAGAGAACTCCTTTTAAAATTAATCTTATTAATCACTACAGTTATAAAAGTTGATTTTGAGAAATGATAAGACAACTAAAAGTTTAAGTAACATTATTGATGTAAGTGTAACATCTCATTGTAATAGTATAGTCAGCCCTCTGTATCCAGAAGTTTTGCATCCAAAGATTCAACCAACTAAAGATCAAAACTATTTTAAAAACAATAACAACAATAAAAAGTAACAATACAACAAAAAATACAAATAAAAAATATGAAAACTATTTACATAGCATTTACATTATATTAGGTATAATCTAGAGACTATTTAAAGTGTATTGGAGGATGGTGTATGTTATATGCAAATACTATGCCATTTTATATAAGGGACTTGAGCATCTGCAGATTTTGGTTTGGGAGGAGGCCCTAGAACCAATTTCCTCACTGATACCAAGGGACTACTGTATTTTCTTGAGCAACTCCAACTTTACTGAATGGCACTCTCACATAGGCAATAGGCCCTATTCAGGCCCAAAATCCAAAAGGCATTGACTCTCTAACTCTAGGGTGCATCAGAATCACCTGTTGAATTTGAAGCTGCGTTTTAGAGGTATACCCCAGGTATCCTTGATGGAGTAGACAGTCCTCAGATTCCTGTTTTAGAAATCCATAAAGGAACATTGGGCATTTTGAGCACAAGGTCAACGACTACAATATCAGTTACCTCTGTAAATGATTTCCTAAAAATGAATAGAATTCTTTGTCAGGACTTTATTATTAATATTAATAATATGGCCAGGTGCGGCGGCTCATGCCTATAATCCCAGCACTTTGGGAGGCAAAGGTGGATAGATCACCTGAGGTCAGTAGTTTGAGACCAGCCTGACCAACTTGGTGAAACCCCATCTCTACTAAAATAATAATAACAATAATAATAATACATTTCTGAGGCATCATAGCCCAGCTTAAGTCTCTAAGGGAAACAGTAGGAAAACCATTATCTTCAACCGAGGAATGCCTACAAGCCCCTTCCTTCATTACTATAAGTTCCTTTCTGTGTTGTCCATCTCCCCATCAATCCCCCAGTCAAGTGTTCCATGTCTGCCTCCTTTGGCTATTAGATAAGAAATTATAACAATATGCAGTATCATTAGAGTTTTCCTTTAACTGTTTCATTAACTGACATATGAGTCACAAACACATTGTTAGACTTTTTGTAATTTGCATTTAAAAACCCATGTCTACATATACAGTAGTTTAATGAAGTTTTTTTTTTTAATTATTATCATGGTTGCCTTGAAGTGTTGCTTTTGTGGAGCCAAGTAGAGTGCACTTTCTGATGGCTTGAACGTATGGACACTAATACAAATGTTCGTGCATTGATTGCTTGTCAAGTTAGAGATTTGACTAAATGTTTCATCTGACATCTGAAGGGACTCTATAGACCAGGAACTGCAGAAGTCCGGGACCTGACTGTAGAAAAGATCAGGAGGTAAAGAAAAGCTCATGGTGATAAAGAAAGAAGTTACTTGTGAAGTCGAGAGACCTAAACAGGATGTTAAGGGTGCTCCAGAAACCAAAAAAGCTGTTTTTTCCTAATGAAGAGGGAATAAAATGGGGTCCATGAAAGCCACTCAGGGGTCACTAGCAGGACAGGAGGAAGCCTGTTTCCCTCAGCACGTCCCTGACAAGTGGATCTGAGGGAAAGAGGTTTGGAAGATCAAGAAATAAAGAAAGAGTTGATCTACAGATAGAGATGTGAGAGAAAGGGAGAGTGAGAGAAGGACAGTTGGTTGATAAAATAAAGATTCTAGAGCGAGACAGCTAAACCGATTACATTTTATTCTGGGCACTAACAGTCATATGATGCAGGGACTTGAAATAAGGCATGAAAAGCTTAAGCAATTTGCCCAAGGTCCTACTGAGCTGCAATTCTAATAAGCCAGGCAATCTGACTCCAGAGACTACTTGCGTAGCCACTCTGCTTTAGGACTGAGGAAAAGATAGCTCACAGAGCAGTAATGCACTATTATGTGCCATATTATGGTACCCTTGCTATCAAACTTATCATCATACCAGGGCACAAATAAAAGGAGGGGATTTAAAAATAGTGATAGGCTAGTTTTTTAAAAATGTATAGATTGGTAGGATCTAGCAGCTATTAATTAAACAAACAAAATAAAACAAAACAAAAAGCCTTCTTCCTGCATCCCAATAATTTCAAAGAAGGGAACAGGCCAAGGTGGTGGCTCACGCCTGTAGTGCCAACACTTTGGGAGGCTGAGGAGGGTGGATCGCTTGAGTTCAGGAGTTGGAGACCAGCCTGGGCAACATGGCGAAACCTTGTTTCTATAAAAAATGCAAAAAAAAAAAAATTAGCTGGGCATGGTGGCCCATACCTGCAAGGGTTGCTTGAGCCTGGGAGGTGGAGATTGCAGTGAGCCAAGATCTCACCACTGCACTCCAGCCTGGGCAACAGAGTGAGACCTTGTCTTAAAAAATAAAAAAATAAGGTAACAGATATCAAACCACGAAGTGATGATGCTTTGTTTACCCAGACATCATCAAGACAGTTAAAACTGGACAGTTAAACATTTATCATATTCTATGATGAATGAATACTAACAGACCATGTTTGTTTATTCTAAATCAGTAACCCATGGAGCTGATTTATGTGATTTTTTTTCTTAACATTTTATTATAGAAATTTTCAAATATACAGCAAGTTTAAAATAATTTTTCATCAAACCTCTGGTATACTCAGCATCTAGGTTTCCAATGCTGATTTATCCAGCACAGACCTTGGGAACAGCATGATTGATCCTCAGCTTCATCTCTGAGTCATCTCACTGTGCCCAGCATGATGCTTGTTATTAGTTGAGTCATTTGGATGGACGCTGACAATTTACTATGCCTTAGGCAGAGAGATAAGTGATGAGCAACTGATCAAGTATAGAATCCAAAGAAACAATACAAAGAATCCTTTGAATGCTGTGCATGTTATTACTAGTAAGCTCTCTATGCATACTTATGATCAACAGTCACCTGGTGGTACAAGTTTTGAAAAGAGATCAAGGTTATAACATTTGCACATCAAGCTAAGATTTGTTAGAACTCTTTTTCTCCTTTACTTTCACTCTTGCTCTTGCTTTTAGGTCACACTGGGTAATGGAATGGAACTCACATGGTGGATAAAGGGACAATAGCTTACACATGTATTGGCCAAATAATCCCAGTGCACTTGAACTTTTATTTCAATAATACTGTATTAATCCATTCTGACTTTGCTATAAAGAAATGCCTGAGACTGGGTAATTTATAAAGAAAAGAGGTTTAATTGGCTCATGTTTCCATAAGCTGTACAGGAAGCATGGCAGCATCTGGTTGGCTTCTGGGGAGGCCTCAGGAAACTTACAATCATGGTGGAAAGCAAACGGGGAGTCAGCACTTCATATGGCTGGAGCAAAAGGAAGAGAGAGCAGGGGGGAGGTGCCACACACTCTTAAACAACCAGATCTCATGAGAACTCTATCATAAGAACAGCATCAAAAGGAGAAATCTGCTCCCATGATTCAATCACCTCCCACCAAGCCCCACCTCCAACACTGGGGATTACAATTTGACATGAGATTTGGGTGGGACACAGACCCAAACCATATCAAACATTCCACACTTGTAGCAGCCATTTGAACATAGAGGCCATATTTATAGACATCTCAGCCTCCTCTCTTTGGAGGTTGACATGATCGACCTCACTGGGTTACTAGATATATTGCCAGGATGACACATACTGTGGACCATGGTTCTGAGAGCCGTTGCCTGTCATTCAGTGTGATTATTGGCTAGGCATAGATAAAGATTGTTATAAGCTGAATTGTGCCCCCCTCACCAAAAATATGTGTTGAAGTCCTAACCCCTCATTCCTTAGAATGTGGCCTTATTTGGAAATAGAGTCTTTGTAGATTTAAACAAGTTAAGATGAGGTCAATTGAGTGGATTCTAATCCGATATGACTGGTATCCTTATAAAAAGGGGAAATTGGGATGCAAACACAGACCAGCAGATAAGGAGAATGCCATGGGAAGGTAAAGGCAGAGATCGGGGGATGCATCGGCAACTACCAGAAGTTAGGAGCGGCTTGGAACAGATTCTCCCTTACAGCCTCCGAAGGAACCAACCCAGCTGACACCTTGATCTCAGATTCCTAGCCTCCAGAAGTGTGAATCAATACATTTTTCTTGTTTAAACCACCCAATCTGTGATACTTTTTTGTTGTTGTTACAGTAGCCCTAGCAAACAAATATGGGGATGTTGGCAGGAGCTCGAAGAAAATCACCTTTGAGGATATCACATATGAGGCTAAAAGCAGCAGTGAGGAAAATAATCAATTAGAGAAAATCTAATTGTACAAATTTCCTTCCAACTGATGAACCCGCATTCTGAAGATCGCCTTTAGAATGAAAAATGTTAAAAATATATTTTAAAGTGAGCTTTAGAGACCATATGCAATAAGTGCGTTTTTTTGTTTGTTTGTTTGTTTTACCTCTTTAGCATTTGAATGTGGCTTATTTCTGTTTTAGCTGAACAGGTGAATATGCAATGTTTTCTCTGCTGGGAGGATTAACCTATCAGATCTGAGAAGGCTCCAGATCTGGATGGAGGCAAGAGGTAACAGGTGTCTCACAGATGTTTGTCTCTTTTATTCTTCACGTTCTTTGTTTCCTTCAACAAATATTGATTGAAGGCTTGTTAAGTGCCTGGCACTTTTCTAGGTGCTGGGGATAGGAGACAACATCCTCTCTCTTACAGCCTACGTTCTGGCCAGGTAGACAAGCAATGACAAATATACAATGATAGACAGTGGTAAATGCTATGAAGAAGTTAATCAGGGTAAGGTGATGGAGACAGGGTCTGCTCTTTTATAAACAGGATAGTGAGAAATGGCCCCTCAAAAGAGGAGATGTTCAGTGAGAAGAAAATGAGGAAGCAAGGATGGTCAAGAATCTAAAGGAAAAGTATGTTACTCAGGGGAAATAATATAGAAAAAGAACATAATATAGAAGAGAACTTCTGTGATTAGGGAACAACAGCAAGTCCAGTGTGACTAGAGTTGAGTGAGCTGGACAGGGGAGGTAAGAGATGAATTCAGAGAAACTGACAGGGGCCTGATCATGCAGGAGTTTGGAATTTGTTCTGAGTATGATGTGAAACCATTAGAGGGCTTTATTTGTTTTACAAGTTTATTTTTATTGAGACAGAGTTTCGCTCTTTTTGCCCAGACTGGAGTGCAATGGCGCAATCTCGGCTCACTGCAACCTCCGCCTCCCAGGTTCAAGCGATTCTCCTACCTCAGCCTACCAAGTAGCTGGGATTACAAGTACCCGCCATCATGCCTGGCTAATTTTTGTATTTTTAGTAGAGACGGGGTTTCACCATGTTGATCAGGCTGGTCTCGAACTACTGACCTCAAGTGATCCACCCGCCTCAGCCTCCCAAAGTGCTGGGATTACAGGCGTGAGCCACCGTGCCTGGCCTGTTTTACAATTTTAAAAGATTGCTCTAGCTGCTTATCCAAATAATTTATTTCAAGTTACAAGTTATCAGTTTAGAGGTTTTTTTCAATATTCTAGGTGAGAGATGATGGATTCTGGCACTAGGGTAGTAGAAGTGTAGGTGGTTGACTGAAGTCAAGGTAATTTAAAAAGCCAACAGGAGTTGTTTATAAATTGGATGAGGAGAATGATGAGGAAAAGATAAGAGTCAAGGATAACAACTAAGTTTGCAGTTGAGCAACTAGGTGAATAGTGGTGGCATTTACTGACATGGGAAGGCCTGAAGGAGAAGCAGACCCAAGAAAATGGAATTAGGGTTTATTTTGGAAAGAAAGGCTCTAGAAGCTTTCCTGTATTCATGGAAAACTCCACCCAAGATGCATCTAAAAGGACCAGCACTAGCAAACAGACAGGCTACCCCAAGAGACTGGAGCCACGTCCCAAAACTTTCAAGTCTTCTCATTAGCTCCTCCAAGCTTTTTATTTTTTGCTGCTTCTAAATTGCTAAAAGTGGGTAATTATTTGCAAATGTTAAAGTGCATCCCAAGAATAAGAATTACTACTCCATACACCAAACTCTTCAAACTACTCATCCATTGGACCATAAACTACATTACCTAAGCATCAGGCTTATACTGAGTAATCTACAAAGCAGTAGAGTCTATTCTTTACAGACTCTCATATGCATTTATCTTATTTAATCTTCACAAGAATCCAGTGTGAATAGACAGATGGAGAAACTGAGGCCAGGGAGTTAAGTCACTTCTCAAATTCACATAGACCCACAGATAGATATCCTGTGGAGCTAATGAAAGTCAAACATCAGGGCTGTCTTCTTGCATGGGCTTCTTCTAAGATCCTGGAAAGGGAAGAGGCCCACCAATGTGTTCATATCATCATAAAGTTTTCATAAAATCTGGAAGAGTGAGACATTCTATTCTCAATTTATGATTAAATCACGATTGGTAAATATTACTTTTCTTTCCACTCCGATTTCCCCCGCATCAGATTTCTCTTCATGTTGATGGCCTTGAGCATTTTAAGGAGCCAGCCAATAAAGTGTTAATTTGAAGGTAAGGTAGTTTTATAAGATCCATTTAAGTGGCCCAAAGTCACGTATATGTATAGTTACAAAATTGTAAGCCTTTCTTGTATAGGGCTGGCTTTGAAGAATGTACTTCCCAACACTCTATCCACTGTGACCCTTTCTGTGCCAACTCCTCTGGCTTCTACACAAGATTGTAGGGCTACAGGTAGTCCTATAGCATCTGGCACCAGAAGTGTAAGGATATGGGTAGTGGCAAAGAAACAAGGTTTTACTGACTTCTCATTCCATGCCATTTCCTGTAAAAAAAATTACCAAATCGTTATCTTTTGAAGAGGCATTAAGGAGTATGCAGCCAAAAATGTTGGGAAAGAGTATTATAGAAGTATGTCACTGGGCGCAGTGGCTCATACCTATAATTCCAGCACTTTGGGAGGCTGAGGTGGGTGGCTCACTTGAGGTCAGGAGTTCAAAACCAGCCTGGCCAACATGGTGAAACCCTGTCTCTACTAAAAATACAAAAACTAGCAGGGTGTGGTGGCACATACCTGTAATCCCAGCTACTCGGGAGGCTGAGGCGGTAGGATCGCTTGAACCCGGGAGGCAGAGGTTGCAGTGAGCCGAGATAGCACTACTGCACTCCAGCCTGGGTGACAAGAGTGAAACTCCGTCACAAAAATAAATAATAAATAATAATAATAAATATAAATATAAAAAACCAATTAAAAATAAAAAAAGAAGTATGTCAGGCAGTTGCCTAATAAAAGTGTTGTGTTGTTTTTATGGATTTTGTGATATACATGCCGTTTGCCAACTTTAAAAAAATTGTATTTCTTTTCTCATTTTAAATAGATATTCCATTTCAAATCTAATTTTTATTTCTAATTTATGTTCTTTTTCTTAAAGAAGACCTTCCCCAAGTGGTATAATCCCTCACAATACTTGCAAAGAAACGAAGTATTCTACCTCCTACTTGGACAAACCTTGCAGCCTTTCAGATCTACCCAGTCCATTTATATCATGTTAGAACCAGAAATTACAATGAAGAATCTGAGTGGTAATTTCCACTAAGAGTAGGCCTTTTCTTTTTCTTAATGATTTATCCATGTTGAACATTTTGATGCCATAAAAAGATTGAGAAATTCTCCCTTCCCTACCCACAAACCACCACCCCAGTAGTTTTCCCTTTCACAAACGCCTCTTCATTTCCTGATTCTGGCCTGTACTTGAAGCAAAGGTACCTGAGTCCAGCCAGAAACGCTGTTATTACAATAGTTTTGGCCTAATAGGGGCAGGAAATACCAACACCCTTATGTGAGCTCTTCCCCAATGGAGAGCCAACCTAAATGCATACACTTAGGGCCCTTGCATAATTCAGACGATGCTCAGATAAGAGCTGGACATTTGGAAACACTTTTCCTCCTAAGCGTCTGAGGTCACTGGGTAGATAAGGAATTCTCATGATGAAATTATGAAATAAGAGACTGTAGTAACATTTTTTTAAATGTGAGTCCCTGAAGAACAACACAACAAATAATATTCTCTTAGAAATATTGTTCCAAATACTGACTTTGTCAAACATACAGAAAAAAATTAAGGTATTCAGCAAAAACAGAAAAGATTCAGGTCGCCTTACTTAAGAAAAAGCATCAGATTTATGGCCGGGCGCAGTGGATCATGCCTGTAATCCCAGCACTTTGGGAGGCCGAGGCAGGCGGATCACGAGGTCAGGAGATCGAGACCATCCTGGCTAACACGGTGAAACCCCGTCTCTACTAAAAATACAAAAAATTAGCCGGGCATGGTGGCGGGTGGCTGTAGTCCCAGCTACTCGGGAGGCTGAGGCAGGAGAATGGCGTGAACCAGGGAGGACGAGCTTGCAGTGAGCCGAGATCGCGCCACTGCACTCCAGCCTGGGCAAAAGAGCGAGACTCCGTCTCAAAAAAAAAAAAAAAGAAAAAAGAAAAAGCATCAGATTTATTATCCAGTCCTTACATAATTATGTTTACTTCTGTCCCTGTCTCCCAAGTAAGACAAAATAGAGTTCCTTTTTCTGGTTATTATTATAAAGAAGAAATCAAAAAGGGGGAGAGAGAGAGAGAGAAATTACCCATGCAAACTACCTGATCCCCACTCAAAGACCATGAGCCAATTCATAAAGTACATACAACATCCCACAATGCTATGCACCTTTCTTTCAGTTAACCATGTTAATGACAAACTGAAGTCCCCAGTATCTGTGTTATAAAGTCTGAAACTTAATCCTGCTTTTCAACATTACCTTAAATACCCAATGATGCAGGTGTTTAATAAGCTCCCTCTTACTTCCACCTTAGGCAATTTTGAAATCTTGATTGTTGTTTGCACTATTTGACATAGTTGTTTTGTAGTTCTGTTTACTGTACTAGTAAATATCATTCTGGTGAAACAAACATTTCAGAATTTGAATTGGCCTTATTGTGACCTGCCTAATGAATCACGCTGGGTTCCCAGCATTGACACATGGCTATTTCCCTCATTAATTGGGGAACCCTGTTTACACGAATTCAAGTACATGCCTGGGCTGGGCTGTTGGAACTGCTTCAGGGAAGAGCACTAAGGCAAGACTTGTAGGTAGTTTAGACTCCCTCCTAGAAGTCTAAATGGTAGTTGGGGGAAGGAGTATGGTATAGGATTTTCAAAACCACTCCCTCCACAGGAAGGCAGTGCCTTTTCTCCTTGTATGATTAGTTCTGAGTATAATTTCATGACTTCTACTTGCTTAACTCCCAAATATTTTGGAGGTGATGTATCTACCATTGGGGATGGTCACAGAGCAGACAGTGGGATTGGCCAGAGGGATGCCTGGTGACCAGAGGTGACCCAGATATTGTCCCTCTTCTGCAAAGTTCCTTGTGCAGAGTAAGAACCCAGCTCCATGTCTGTGAAAAGATGATTGATTGAATAAATGAAGGAACACACTAAAGAATGAGCAGAAATAGAATAAGGAGTTAAACTTTGTGGGCAATGAGGCCCTGCCAATTCCAGAGGCTCACTTAGACAAGAGCCTGCTAATCCTAGTGGCATCTTGGTGTGTGATCAGGCCCCAACAAACAAGCCAGGTCAGAAGCAAAGAAGGGCATTTCTCTTCTTGATTATATTATGGTTAAATCAATACAACTATCATTGACCATCAGTTCTACTGAACATTATATGATTCATTTCATAATTTATGACCCCTGGCTGCTGTTCCTCCACCTTCCCGCTACCTAGCTTTCATCCTTTTGACGATTCATTCCAATCTCCTCCCAAGTTAAAAGGGTTAGGGAGGGGTTTTTAAACCAGTTTTTATCTTCATTAGAAACTCTTATGAAAATGAGACCAGGAAATGGAGGGGGTAGGGTATCAGGGGAAATTCAGCCAGATATCGGGCAAAATTCACCCCCGATATTTCATGTAGGTTCTTTTCTATTTTCCCTAAGCATCGGCTGGTTTGAGAAATAAAGGGACAGAGTACAAAAGAGAGAAATTTTAAAGCTGGGCATCCGAGGGAGACATCACATGTCAGTAGGTTCCATGATGCCCCCTGAGCCGTAAAACCAGCAAGTTTTTATTAGTGATTTTCAAAAGGGGAGGGAGTGTACGAATAGGGTGTGGGTCACAGAGATCACGTGCTTTACAAGGTAATAGAATATCACAAGGCAAATGGAGGCAGGGCGAGATCGCAGGACCACAGGACTGGAGCGAAATTAAAATTGCTAATGAAGTTTCGGGCACCATTGTCATTGATAACATCTTATCAGGAGACAGGGTTTGAGAGCAACCCGTCTGACCAAAATTTATTAGGTGGGAATTTCCTTGTCCTAATAAGCCTGGGAGTGCTATGGGAGACTGGGGCTTATTTCATCCCTACAGTCTCGACCATAGAAGACGGCCACACTCAAGGGGGCCATTTGAAAGGCCCACCCTCAGGGATGCATTCTCTTTCTCAGGGATGTTCCTTGCTGAGAAAAAGAATTCAGTGATATTTCTCCCATTTGCTATTGAAAGAAGAGAAATATGGCTCTGTCCCACCCAGCTCACCAGCGGTCAGAGTTTAAGGTCATCTCTTTTATTCCCTGAACACTGCTGTTATCCTGTTCTTTTTTCAAGGTGCCCAGATTTCATATTGTTCAAACACACATGCTCTACAATTTGTGCAGTTAATGCAACTGTCACGGGGTCCTCAGGCAACATACATCCTCCTCAGCTGACAGGACTAAGAGATTAAAGTAAAGACAGGCATAGGAAATCACAAGGGTTGATTGGGGAAGTGATAAGTGTCCATGAAATCTTCACAATTTATGTTTAGAGATTGCAGTAAAGACAGGCATAAGAAATTATAAAAGTATTAATATGGGGAACTAATAAATGTCCATGAAATCTTCACAATCCACGTTCTTCTGCCATGGCTTCTAGCCAGTCCCTCCGTTTGGGGTCCCTGACTTCCTGCAACAGTAGGGAAAGGCAGTGGTAAAGAAAAGAGGTTGTAAAGCAATTTTGATGTAGCTGTGAATTTCGGGTTGTCATAGGGCAACTTCTCTCTAGATGCCAAGTTAATTTAAAATAGAAGAAGTGGCCAGGTATGATGGCTCACACCTGAACTCCCAGGAACTTGGGAGGCAGAAGAATACCTGAGCTCAGGAGTTCAAGACCAGCTTAGGTAACATGGCAAAAGCTCGTCTCTGCAAAAAATACAAAAATTAGCCAGCTGTAGTGTCATGCACCTGTAGTCCTAGCTACTCTGGGAGGCTGAGGTAGAATGATTGCTTGAGCCCAGGAGGCAGAGGTTCCATCAAGCCATGATTGCACCACTGTGCTCCTGCCTGGGTGATAGAGCAAGACCGTGTCTCAAAAAGGAAAGAAAAAGAAAATAGAAGAAGTAAGGAATATACAATTCATTTACCTTCTTTAATAAACCTAGAGTTTATCCATCAGTCAGGCTCAACTTGGTTATAATCTCAATCCTACTAAACCTGTTGGTGGGATGGGATTGGGGGATGATGGGAGGAAAATGGAACTCACTTTATTACAAATGAATAACAAAACCACACCAAAGAGGTGGGGAAGAAAAGAATTAACCTGAATTAGGAAATAGAATTTTGTCTATATACTAAATGGTTAAAGACAAAAGAACTGTACATAAACATTATACTTGGCTGGGCGTGATGGCTCATGCCTGTAATCCCAGCACTTTGGGAGGCTGAGGTGGGCAGATCACTTGAGGTCAGGAGTTTGAGACCAGCCTGACCAACATGAGGAAACTCCATCTCTACTAAAAAATACAAAATTAGCTGGGTGTGGTGGTGGGCGCCTGTAATCCCAGCTACTTGGGAGGCTGAGGCAGGAGAATCACTTGAACCTGGGAGGCAGAGGTTACAGTGAGCTGAGATCGAGGCATTGCACTCCAGCCTGGATGACAAGAGTGAAACTCCATCTCAAAAATTAAATACATAAATAAATATTATACTCTAGTAAATTTGTGTCTTTCATGGGTATGAGTTAGCAGTTCTGAAACTATTTTATATCTATACTAGGATTGAACAAAAGTAAACCTATTGTAGATAAAGAAGACCAGGTTTCTCACTGTGACACAAAGGAGTTACAAATTAGGAAAGAGGAGAGGAGGCTAGAATGAACCCTGTAGATCAGAAACAGGTATCAGGATCAGGATGAACTGGTGGATTTTAGTGTGTGTGAGTATGCACAGATGGACTATTGTAGCAGTGATGACCTATGGCCCAACTCCCTTACTCCACATCTTTTTTGGAGGACTCATCTAGACTCCTCAGACAGAGAAGAAAAACCTATTTTGTCAATGTTTTTAAAGGAAGTAGATACCAGGCTCACACGGAGAAATGCTATTCCAGGTGGGGCCGGCGAGGCACAGGGACTGGAACAGAACTGCACAAAGGAAGAGGGAAGCTGGAAAATACCAATCACAGATAGGAAGGACTCTGTTCCCAAGATATCTTCATCCAGCAATCACGATCTAGGCACTGCAAGCTGCATTTACTGCATTTCAACTCTCACAAACTGTCATAAGTTTAGAGACTACAGCTTAATTTTAGGACATACTCTTGGTCTGTCAAACTTGTGTAAAGAGAAAAGGTCTCCTATTTAAAATTCGTGGGAGAAGAGCAAACCTCAACGTTTAGGTCACATTTAAGCCATTTTTGAATTAATGAATGATCAAGATGAAAAGCACAGCTATTCGAAGCAGATCTCAAAAAAGGAAGGGTCTCCTGTTTAAAATTTGTGGGAGAAGAGCAAACCTCAATGTTTAGGCCACAATTTAAGCCATTTTTGAATTAATGAATGATCAAGATGAAAAGCAGAGCTATTCAGAAGCAGATCTCAGAGATTCCTCACACGGAAACTCACAAGCAAGCAAGTTACTTTCTCCAGGGAACTTTCCCATCTATTAGCCACTTGAACATCTTAAATGAGAGATTAGTCAAACAAAGAGCCTCAATACCACATGGAGTGACTCACTCCTGGTTCCACGGAGTCTCTGAGGGGCTGACAAGCAATCCACTCCTCTGTTCCAAAGAAGAACTTATTTATGTGTGAGTTCAAGAAGAGAAGATAACTTCACATCAAACTGAGACTCGAATTAGAGAATGGGCAGATACCCAAAGACCTATGTTGATGGAGAGTGTGATGGCAGCTACTCCCTGCAACTGGAGAACCATTATTTCTCTGACCTAGGATTTTCTCATTTCTGACTTACCACTGTGAGAAGTTCCTACTTTACAAAGTCTCCCTGTCCTGTAACTTCTCAATCTGACTTACAGCTCCAAAAGACCACAAGGTTGTAAATCAGACTTCAATGTGTTTCTTCCCTTTGCCTGACTGTGGTTAAGCTGTCTGAGAGGTTGACAACAGAAATATAATGGGAATTCAAAAGATATAATCACATCTAAATTGCAGGGTCAAAGACTTAGCCAGGAGCTAAAGTGATTGTGCACAGCCCTGTTTTAGATCTCAAAGCTGCAGACCTAGGGAGCGCATCACTACTTACAAAGTTTACCCTACAGTACAGCTGGGAGTTCAGATTTTTGAAATGTATTGATGAATTAATTTCAATGAAATACATGGAAATTTATTGAGTATAGAATAATTGCTAAACTTAAAATCTAGGATTCATTCACCCAAAAATATTGACTGATTATAATGTATCAGACTCTGTCTAGTTGCTAGGGAAAGAGAGACAAATCAAAAGGTGAGCCTTGTTTCCAACAAGCTTATGAATTGGAAGAGGACACATAAATAAAATGAACCAATGATCTGATACAACACAACATGTGAGAAGGACGCAGAGCAGCTTAAAGGGAGAGCTTTTAACCCTGGGGGTGTCAGGAGTGGTTAAGAAAGGGCCCTGCAGAAACTGACATCTGAGCTGGTTCTCAGGGAGAAATAGCAGTCACCAGGCAGCCTTTGGGGGAGGGAGAGTGGAGGGAGGGGAAGCCACAAGGCTTTCTTGGAAGCAAAGAAAACAGCAGGTGCAAAAGAGGCATGAAATAGTATCTTGTCCTATAAACTTGCAGTCAGTGTTACTGACGAGTTGGATGGGAAAGCAACAACAGGCAGCAAAGAGATGCCTGGGATAATGGGAGTAGGTGCAGCTGGAGGGCTAGGAGCTGGCCAGGGCCCCCTGTGTCACACCAACTCTCATGCTCAACCTTGATTCAGCAGGCAGTGGGAGGCCAGGAAGAGGCTTTCAGAAGAGCTATGATCAGACTTGCGTTTTGGAGGGATATCTCTGGGTGAAAAACAAAACGAAAGAAACTATGCTGATAGCGCGTAGCTTTTATAGTCTGGTTAGAAATGTCTCTCACCAGTATTTTTTTAGTCCTCTAAGTCATATTTAAGAGCATTAGCCTGTCTTCTGATCCTTTGTGACCTATGCCAATTGCTATATGATGTCTTTTATTCCCCCAAACACAATCAGCAGCACTGACATGGAGTGGAAGGGGGAGGTTTTAGGCTGCCACCAGCTCCAACCCCTTTTTACTTGCTTCTTCAGCTACCCCAAGTAATCATTTCTTCTAAATAAAGCTATTGTGCTTGCTCTTCAGGGGCAGCTTCAAGACAAAGTTCTGAGCCCCCTTTCCAGCCATGAGCAGCTCTAAGTCCCTTCAGCAGAGTATACAAATCCGGGAGCATCCACTGACTATCAGCAAACGACTCTTAGACTTACAGATAATTGTTAGGTTCTTCAAGAAAGCAGAGGTTTCATAACGTTCTTGTGTAAGGCCCTAAAGGAAACTTCTCATCAGAACCCCACTAGTCTACAATGATTGGGAGAGGCCTCTGCAGGTAGAACCTATGAAGAAAGTCTCCATTCTTCAACAATTAGGACCATTACTCCTGAAATTGGCAACAAATGGTTTGGCCATTGGCTATATCCTCAGCTGAATTCCACAAGAGTCATTTCAGGTATGAGCTGCCACATAATCATATTCTATCTGAAAAGCCTAAAGTATAAAACACAGTGTTGATGATTATCTGAAAAACTAGAATGAATTTCCTGTAGTGCTTTCAAAACATAAAACTAATAGCTATTCATAAATGCCTTTCTTTGTTATATACCTTTTATTTGTTTATTTATTTTTGAGACAGAGTCTTACTCTGTCACCCAGGCTGGAGTGTGGTGGCGAGGTCTCTGCTTACTGCAACCACTGCCCCCTGGGTTCAAGTGATTCTCGTGCCTCAGCCTCCCAAGTAGCTAGGATTACAGACGTGAGCCTCCACACTTGGCTAATTTTTGTATTTTTAGTAGAGATGGGGTTTTACCATGTTGGCCAGGCTGGTCTCGAACTCCTGACCTCAAGTGATCCACCCGCCTCAGCCTCCCAAAGTGTGAGGATTACAGGCATGAGCCACCGTGCCCAGCCTGTTATATACCTTTAAAATAATTTTGGTTAGCTATAATATCACTTCTATTTATTTTTTGAGACTGTAAATACCTTATGTCTGTTTACCTTTTCTTTTCTTCTTTCTTATTTATTTTTTCACTTTTATTTTCTGCTTAGCTGTTACCATATGGTAGATTATTAATAAAAAGTTAAAATGACTTTCTTTTTTGAAAAAATTAGTAACAATTAGGCAAAGTAAACAGGTCCCCTCCCTTTTTCTCATTTCACTCATAAGGTTGTAGATTTAGCAAATAAAAATACAGGCCCAGTTAAATTTTAATTTCAGACAAATGACAAATAATATTTTGGTATAAAATATATATCCCATGCAATGTTTAGGACATACTTACATTTTTAAAAATTCTTGTTATTTACCTGAAATTCAAATTTAACTGGAGATTCTATATTTTATTTTGTAACTTATTGAAAAGGACCTTAGCTTTATTATTATTTTCATTTTTTATTCTCAATGACTCTATGTATAAGATGGAAAAGGACCTTTGTTTTATTTCACAATATTTTGGTTAGAGTATCTGGCCGGAAAAAAAAATTTCTACTCAGCTTTATAGAATAAAGTATGGAAATTTTTTATTAAAAATAATGACAGTGGAATATTTGGTGGCCATTGCAAAAGATGTTTTGTGGTAAGTGTATCTTAAAATAGAAAAATGCACATTAAGTAAACAGAGGAGAATGCACATATATAATATGTGCTATTATTGTATATAATAGTATATAGACTATATATGTAGTACTATTACTACTATATATACTATATTATAATTATATACTATATTATGCTATATAGTAATACTATTATTATTCCTAGTATAAAGATGAAAATTTTAAAGCCCCAAGAAGATTTTTGTGCCTGCTAAATATTATATATTTATACATATAAACAGTATGTTACCAAAAAGCAACACAAAGAAAAAAGACTAGAAGAAAATATAAGCTGTAACACTTATTATTTTGTATAGGCATATAATGATTTTCAAAATCTTCTTCTTATGTTTTCTATATTTTCCATAAGGCATCCATTGCTTTTCAAATATAACAATAATACAATTTAAATGAAAAAATTGTCTAATTGGAAAACTCATTTCACATATTTTAATGCCATTGGTCCCTGTCCACACCACACATTATGAAGATAGTTTCCTGGGGTTGTGTCATTCCAAGCTGTTTCTTTTTTTTTTTTTTTTTTTTTTTTTTTTTTTTTTTTGAGATAGAGTCTCATTCTGCTGCCCAGGCTGAAGTGCAGTGACTTGATTTCAGACACTGCAACCTCTGTCTCCTGGGTTCAAGAGATTCTCCTGCCTCAGCCTCCCAAGTAGCTGGGATTACAGGTGACTGCCACCAGGCCTGGCTAATTTTTGTATTTTTAATAGAGACTGGGTTTCATCTTGTTGCCCAGGCTGGTCTCGAACTCCTGACCTCAAGTGATCCACTCGGCCTCCCAAAGTGCTGGGATTACAGGTATGAGCCACTGCACCCAGCCTCATTCTGAGTTTTGACTCCGCCAGATCTTCACTGGGCAGATATAGGCCTCTGTCTTTTACTTTTTTTTTTTTCTTTTTTGATGGGGTCTCACTGTCGCTTAGGCTAGAGTGCAGTGGGCATGATCACAGCTCACTGCAGCTTCAACTTTCTGGACTCGAGTGATCCTCCCACCTCAGCCTCCCAAGTAGATAGGACCACAGGCATGTGCCACTATGCCCAGGTAGCTTTTTTATCTTTAGTAGAGATAAGGTCTCACTATGTTGCCCAGGCTGGTCTCAAACTCCTGGGCCCGAGTGATCCTCCTGCCTCGGCCTCCCAAAGTGCTGGGATTACAGGAACGATCCACTTTGCCCGGTCTGGGCCTCTATCTTTTAAATTGAGGCTCTCTCTTTGTAATCAATCAGCTAATTCAATTCCATGCTCTTAGTGGTCACTACACATTCCAAAGTTCTCTCAAACAAGACCTGCTGCAGGAGATGAAAAAGAAAACCTATCAGCCTAAAAAGAAAAACAACAACAACAACGATGGAGTTCTTGTGGCTTTTTGTAGACATTCCATTAGATAGAGCAATGCTGGCTTTACAGCCAGCAAGGAAAAGTACAAGCAATTTATTCATGCCTCTAGCTCATCTCCTCAGCGTGTTCTGAAGAATCATTCAGCCTTCAGAGACTCATAGACTCATCCACGGTGAGGTCATTATGTTGATGTTGGCGCACAGGGAGCCGATTTTGTCAGCATGTATTGGAGAAAGGGCCTCAGAAGGGCATGGGGCAGGCTCCAAGCTTAACCATGAGCGGAGATGGTTTCAGTGGCTCTTATGTCATCGCTAATAAGAGAGTTATTTTTACAGGAGACTGTCACTAGCAAAACGTAAGCTGCCTTTTACTTTAAAGGAAAGGTGCCAGCTTCTAAGCTCATCCTTTAATTACCTTGTACGTAACAGAAGAGGTTGTTAGTGTAGTGAACACGCCAGAACAGGGGTGTGGAAGCCAAGTGTTCTCTATTCCAGCTATGGAAAGTTCAATGGCAGGTGTGGTCCGAAGCCAACCAGAGGACGCAGGAGATTGGAGAAGAGCTCTCCTTCCGTTCAGGCTCACGGCAAAGCACGTTGCCTTCTTTCTTTTGCAAAATAACCACAGGATACTTCTCAGAGAGATGCTACGGAGATGCTTCAGCCTTGAACACCAGTGAGTCACGGTTTGTACAACTCAAGGGTGCTGCCAGCCCGCCTCTGCTCTCCCTCACGGTTTTTGTTTTCTTGGTATGATAATTAGTTGTTGGCTCCATGAATGTGTCTCCCAAGGAAGAAAAATGTGGGCACCTGTTATTTCTGGAATGAGTGTTCTATGCGTTCTATTGAGGTGAGCTATTCACTCAGAGTCCAAGAGGCGGCTGGCATATGGTCACCTAACACAGAGCTCCACTGCGCTCACACTACGTGTTCACCAGACCAAGAGGAGGGAATGTGATTTTCACCTCCCACCTCCTGTCTTCTGTTGAGTTAAACAGAGTACAGGCTCTCTGGGTGGGTTGGGGGAGACTGGGGGAAGGACTTTTAGAGTTAGCAAAACCTTTAAAAAAAATACCAACGCCTGGGCCTTACTCCAGAGCCATGAGGCCAGCTGGGGCACTGGTGTTCTTTCTAAGTTCCCTAAGTACTTTCAATGAACAGCCAAGGTTGAGAAGCACTGAACTTGTCCATCAAGGTCCTTCCAAATGAAACAGAGCCCGGAGAGGCTGACAAATTGCCCCAGGGCTCCATGGCTTGTTAGCTAGTGTGCGTTTATCTGTGTGTCTGTCTTCTCACAGACTATGAAATCCTTGAGCACCTGAACCATGATGTTGATATTGAAATTCACAGGGCCTCCAGCTATAAATGTTTGATGAGGGCAAAAAGCTAGGAAGGAAAGGAGAACCAACATCTCTCTTTCCCTTGCTCCGCAAAATCTCCCCAAGGACAATTATTGCTAACATAAACTTACTGTGAACTTTTTTAACCCCAAAACTTGTCATTAAATATCAGATTCCCAAAACATATGACCCATTCATTTCTGGAAAAATTGCATGAGTCAGAAAGGCCCCCAAATCCCAAGCCCAAAGACTTTACCCTAATTAATCCAGCTGTTTTAAGCTAAGCGCTTGACCTTGCTCACTACCTCATGCCTCACTAAGCTCTCATTTTGAGGAGTCTCATTTATTCCCTAGTTACACTTGACACTTTCAAATTAATAGGCTGCTCAAAATGGCGTGTCTTCCTTTGGTATTAAGACTCCGAAGTGAAGGAAAGAATTATGGGAAGTGCATGCTGTGACGAAGGAGACAGAGGCCTAGAACCTGAGGTATTGCCGGGGCCTCGGCACAGAGTTCTAGAATGTTATGTGACTTTTCTGGTTCTATCCACCATCAAGTAAGCATCTTTCACCTGCTAGTCAGGTGGAATTCAAGTCAAATCCAGCCAATGTAGTGTGGTGTAGGGGCTCAGAATCAGAGCCATAGAACTGTTTGCAGCAGATAACTCAGTGCCCGGCCCGTGTCCCCTCGCCCTGGCCACTCAGTGCATGCAGACCACCATTCCAAATGCCCAACTCTCCACATCTGCATTCCTTCACCTGAGAGCTGCCTCTGGACCCAGTGTCCCCACCCAGGCAGCAGACTGGAAGTGCCAGACAATGAATATCCCCACCCCACCCCTACCGTGGCCTTCAAACCAGAACTAAACAGGAACTGGGTTTCCTGTGCCCTTTCCTTGCTGGTGTTTCGTAAGCTAATCCCCCAAATAATTGAATCCTTGTGTAATGATCTGCTCTGGGGAAACCCAAGGAAGACACAGTGGTCCGTCAATATACAGACATTTGATTTTTGATATTTTGTTTATTTTTGAGACAGAGTCTCACTCTATTGCCCCAAGCTGGAATGCAGTGGTGCAATTACAGCTCACTGCAGCCTTAACCTCCCAGCCTCAAGTGATCCTCCCACCTCAGCCTCCTGAGCAGCTGGGACTACACCTGTGTGCCACTACACCTGGCTAATGTTTTTATTTTTTGTAGACACAGGACCTCCCTAGGTTGCAAGGGCTGTTCTCAAACTCCTGGCTTCAAGCCATCCTCCTGCCTCAGCCTCTCAAAGTGTTGGGATTACAGACATTACAGGGATGAGCCACAATGCCCAGCCTGATAGTTGATTTTAGAAAAGCCAGTTAATCTCTCTGACAGTGGCTGTCCTAGAGTATAAAATAAGGAAAGAATTTTGAAGTCCCACGTCTTCATAACAGCACGCAAAGGGCTGCATCACGTGGCTGCCAATGACCTCCCTCACTGACCCGCCTTTCTCCCTGGCCTCGCCTCCAAGTGTGCCTCTCCCCTACACTCCTCTCCAGCCACAGGAGTTCCTTTGAATTCTTGGAACATGCCCCATTCCCACTTGCCTTTGGGACTCACTCACGCTGTCCGTCTGCCTGGAACACGCTTCCTCCTTCTGCTTGCTTGGCTCAGTCTTACATATCCTCCAGCTCTCAGCTTAAATATCAGTTCCTGTAGGGAAGCCTTTTCTGTCACCCAGTCTAGGATTGCACTCATTATATGCTCCCAAATATAGTGCTCCCTTCATGGTGCTTGGTATGCCTAGTGCAATTCTCGTTTACTTTCCTGAGTCCATCTCATTCTCCAAGAATTGTCACCACTGGTCTTTATACTCCTGGAAGGCATGAACCCAATTTATTGTCTTGCTCTCTGCTGCATCTCTGATAGCCAGCCCAATGCCTTGCCATAATTGTTGAAACAAAATGCATGTTTATCTATTGAAAAAAAAATTTTTTTTTGAGATGGAGTTTCACTCTTGTTGCCCAGGCCAGAGTGCAATGGTGCCATCTCGGCTCACCACAACCTCCGCTTCCCAGGTTCAAGGGATTCTCCTGCCTCAGCCCCCTGAGTAGCTGGGATTACAGGCATGTGCCACCACACCCAGCTAATTTTGTATTTTTAGTAGAGACGGGATTTCACCATGTTGGTCAGGCTGGTCTTGAACTCCCAACCTCAGGTGATCCTCCTGCCTCGGCCTCCCAAAGTGCTGAGATTACAGGCGTGAGCCACCTCGCCCAGCCTATTGAAAATTTGAGTTGGAGAATAAAAGGATTTTGGAATAAAAATTAAAACAAAGCTTCCCATCATAGGATCCGCCTTATGTAGCTTGTACCTGTGGCAAAATACGGAGTTGTCTTCTATCAGTTCTTCTGCTTGAAGCCCAGGGAAAAGAGTGTATGTAAAAGATGTGCTTCCCTGTGGCTGAGAGCAGCTTTATCTTTTTATCCTAGTCTGGGCTATCATTTTTATTTTTATTTTTATTTTTATTATATTAGAGATGGAGTTTCACTACGTTAATGTTGTCCAGGTTGGCCTCGAACCCCTGGCTCAAGTAATCCTCCTGCCTCAGCCTCCTGAGTAGCTGGGACTACAGGGATGTGCCACCACACCCGGCTTATCATTTCTAACATGAAAATTTAAAAGTTAAACTTTAAATTTAACTGCGTTAAAGTAATCTAACCCAGTAACATAAAAATGTGAAGTTGGGCTGGGCACAGTGGCTTATGCCTGCAATCCCAGCACTTTGGAAGGCTGAGGCGAGCAGATAGCTTGAGCCTGGCAGTTCAAGACCAGCCTGAGCAACATGGCAAAACCCTGTCTCTACCAAAAAAAAAAAAAAAAAAAATACAAAAATTAGCCTGGTGTGGTGATGCACACCTGTGGTCCTAACTACTCCGGAGGCCAAAGTGGGAGTATCACTTGAGCACTGGAGACAGAGGTTGTAGTGAGCCAGATTGCACCACTGCACTCCAGCCTGGGTGACAGAATGAGACCTTGTCTCAAAAATTGAAAAAAGAAATGTGGAGCTGGAATTTGGAGAAGAAAGGTTAGTAGTTGGCCAAGCACAGTGGCTAATGCCTGTAATCCCAGCACTTTAGGAAGCTGAGGCAGGAGGATCACCTGAGGCCAAGAGTTTGAGACAAGCCTGGGCAACACAGCGAGACCCTACAAAAAATTTGAAAAATTAGCCAGGTGTGTTGGTGTGCACCTGTAGTCCTAGTTGCTCAGGAGCCCAGCAGGTCAAGACTGCAGTGGGCCATAATTTCACCACTACACTCCAGCCTGAGTGACAGTGCCCAAGACCCCATCCCTCATAAAAGAAATAAAAATTAAAAATTAAAATTAAATTTAAAGGCTGGGTGCTGTGGCTCACGTCTATAATCCCAGCCCTTTGGGAGGCCGAGGTGGGCGGATCATTTAAGGTCAGGAGTTCAAGACCAGCCTGGCCAACATGGTGAAACCCTGTCTCTACTAAAAATACAAAAAAATGAGCCAGACACGGTGGCACGTGCCTGTAATCCCAGCTACTTGGGAGGCTGAGGCAGGAGAATCGTTTGAACCCAGAAGGTGGAGGTTGCAGTGAGCAGAGATCGCACCGCTGCACTCCAGCCTGGGTAACAGAGTGAGACCCTGTCTCTAAATAAATAAATAAATAAATACATTTTCTTAAAAGGGAAAAAAAATATTTTTAAACTCTTTAATGAACAGTTACTAGCAAACATTGTATGTAAGCAATGTTTGCAAGCAGAAGCTACCATTTGTCAGCTATTAAGGTCAATGCAACCTTCCTAGGTGTTGGCCTTTCTGACATTCACTCCTTTACACTTAAGGGTGTAATGGGCTTTATCTCAATAATCCCTAGATCCTCTGAGGACAGGGCTATGTTCATTTTTAAATTTTTTTATGTTTATTTTTATAATTTTTTAAATTTTGAGATGGGAGTCTTGCTACGTTGCCCAGGCTGGTCTCGAACTCCTGGCCTGAAGTGATCTGTCCTCTTTGGCCTCCCAAAGTGCTGGGATTACAGGCATGAGCCACCATGCCCAGCCAACGGATGAGGCTATGTTCAAAGTCACTCTCTCAGCCTTTTCTGACCACCAATAGACCCAAAGTCCACATTTCTTAGCACGGCATAGATGCCTTCTGGGGCCTAATTTTGCCTACCTTTCTCTCCCAGCTCGTCTTCCTCCATAGTCTGCCTCAGACTTTCCTTGTGTATTTATTTGCAGGCATAATGTCATTTCACGTCTCTGTGACGTTGCCCTTCCTATTCACCCAACCACAGAACTCTTCCCCACCCTTCCGTCAATTTTGCTTGCCAACTCCCATTCATCCTCTGAGACTCAACCCAAGCCCCAGGGCAGGCTTCTCTGAACGTCCAGATTTGGAAGCTCCTCTCTGGTTCCCACTGCCTCTGCTTTCTCATCAGCACAACATTCATGTGTTGAAAACATTTATTTGCTACGCCCCACCTACTCCATCCTGAACCACTCTCTAAGCTTTTAGAGGACAGGATCCATGTCTTCATCTCATTAATGCCAAGCACAGTGCCTGTTACTATTCAATAAATGCTTGCTCAAATATATTATTTTGGTATTATCTAGCCCTGCTTGACTACCAGCAGACACACTTTCAATAAGTAACTGATGATTAATTTACTAAGAGATCATAATAAAAAAGTTTTTGCCAAATGCTCTTTATTTTAAGTGCGTTCAATAAATTTGCACAGATTGGAAAAAGGAAATGTCTTGGCTTAAAAAATTTTCTCTATGATGTGCACTGGTCTTTCATTTTGAATGCCGTTTTCGCAGACAGCAGGCCTGATATGGAATACCTGGGCGAAGGGCACGCTTTCCAGGCATTGCACTACAAATCCTAACTTCTTTCTCACGTATGCGAATGTGTGGCAAGTATGTATGTTGATAATTCCTAAGAAGTCTGTATTCTATTTTAATCAAACTGAATAGGAGTAGTCCTTTGTTAAAATGAATGAAATCTGCAGTTAGGCACTGGAATTCATTTCCAAGGGAGGGGTTCTCCAAGAAGCCTTGCTCCAACTCCACCCTGGCGCCTGCCCTAAGAGCGCCTGCCCAAGGCCAATGTGTCCACACCCCGGCCAGGAAAGGGTTGGGTCCCCTTCAAGGTTCAGCTGCAGCCCCTGGGGACAGGAGGCTACGACACCATTGGGCTAGTCCCAGGCTCTCTGCACAGCTTGAGGTTGGGTTTCTGGATCTCTGACGTTTTCAAACCTGGCACACTCTCCACATCCCCTGTAAACCGTAATACTACTATTTAGTGAGCTGTGATCAGACAGTTGCTGCACATTTGCATAATACCTACCCTCCTTGCACAGGTGGAGTAACTGAAACAATTTTTGAAATGATTTTCCCAAAGATGGTGCGTAGCCATCCTGGGGTAACACCCGGAGGAGCTGATTCCAGACCTGCACAGGTGATGAGCGATGTATTAAAGCTGTGCTAATCATTATAGATTTTAAGTTTTTCACATATATCACCTCGTTTTATACCCACCAAACCCCTATTAAGAAAAAGGTGTCCTCCTCTTACTGATGAGCAAATTGAGACAGAGAGACAAAGTGAAGGCTGGAGAGGGGCATGGCCAGTAACCATGTAGTGGGGTGGGGACAGAAACCCATGTCTTGTCTTGATTCAGAACTCTGTCTACCCCTTCTCTCTCTCTCTGTCTCTCTCACTCTCTCTCTCTCTCTCGCTCTCTCTCACGCACACGTGCAGACACACACATAGAAATGCTTCGCTCCTGGGGAAAAAGGGAAGGGACAGGTAGGAAGAGAATCTGTGAAGAACCAGAAGTGTGATTTACATAAGACAAGTTTTTCATAAATATGCCAGGCACCATAAGAAATAAATTATAAAATCAGGCCGGATGCAGCAGCTCATGCCTGTAATCCCAGCACTTTGAGAGGTCAAGGTGCGCAGATCAATTGAGGCCAGGAGTTTGAGACCAGCCTGGCCAACATGGTGAAACCCTGTCTCTGCTAAAAATACAAAAATCAGGCCGGGCTTGGTGGCTCATGCCTGTAATCCCAGCTACTCAGCAGGCTGAGGCAGGAGAATTACTTGAACCTGGGTGGCAGAGGTTGCAGTGAGCTGAAATGGTGCCACTGCACTCCAGCCTGTGGGACAGAGTGCGACTCTGTCTCAAAAAAGAAAAGAAAATAAAGAAATTATAAAATCACTCACTGATATTTGCATTACCAACTGAAGAGTCTGATAGGCCCCTAAGTTGGCTCACCGTAAAGATGGCTGAGTTTTCCCTTCGTTTCTATCCTAGTTTGCTCTGAAGTACAGACTACAAATATGATAAGACAAATGTGTTTGCAATTTTAAGCCATGCACAATGGTTTGCACCCGTAATCCCAGCTACGTGGGGGTCCAGGAGTTCCAGGCTATGTGAGCTATGATCCTGCCACTGCACTCCAGCCTGGGTGACAGAGCAAGACCCTGTCTCTTAATAAATAAAATAAAATATGTTTGCAATTTTAGCTCCATGAATAAAAGCATTCAAACTGAATTCTCCACTAACACCAGAAATTTGGCCTTAAATGAAGACTTACTGTCTCTTGCTGTGAAGTATGATATAATGTCTTAGATATATGAAGATCTCAAATGTCCACTTAGTTGAAGGCCCAACCGTTATTGTACTGTAGTAATAAGAGTGAGGCTGAGGAAAGAGTTTGAAGATAGCTCTTGTGAAATGAGCTACTGGTCTCATGAGACCTTTGCAGGAAGTGAAGTTCATAAGGAATGACTAAACCCTGCATAGAAAATGTTACCTTCATCCATGAAACAACATGGTTGGTTCTTATCACTCGCCCTAATGTGATAGCTGTTCATCCTGGATTAACATCACGTTGATTAATGGTGCCAGTTAAAAGTCAAGGCATGCTGAGTGTTGACCCCATGGAAGAATGCAAAGCTATGTATATTTAATAAGGGGCATTAGAAAGGGCGCAGGACACTGAAAAGAGTTTTCTTGACACTCTTGGTAATTAAGGATTTACATCAGCAGGAGGTCAAGTCATGACAATTTCAGTCTTAATTTGTCAATAGGCAATCACAAATTGTAGTCACTGACTGCTTCACCACCAACTTCCTAGGTGGCAGTTGGCACATCCCTTTTCAGTATTAGAGAAACTGCCAATCAGGCTGGAATGACGTAGTACTCTATTTTCAAAGAAGAACATAATACATAGAAAAAAATTAGGTCAATATTTAGCTTCAGCATCTTCTGGCAGAAAATAATCTTAAACATAGAGGGGATGTATATTTACCTTAACCAAAGGCTCGTCATGTGTCATTTGCTGTTACAAATCGATCAGCCTTTATGTGCCATAAAGTAGCTCAGGGTCTTTGTCCCTGCCATCACCCTGTGGGAGCTTTTCCCCAGTTATCCACATGGCTCATGCCATGGTCCTTCAGGCCTTCACTCAAAGTCATCTTTCCAGAGGAGCCTTCTCTCCACCAACTGTAGCACTACCCATGCTGCTTTCTCATTTTCTTTTCTCCATAACCTACTCTGCTTATTTTGTTTCTTATCTTGCTCTCCTCACTAAACCATAAGCACCACGAGAGCAGGGATTTTTATCTTTGTTCCCCACTACTAAATTTCTGCTCATAGATGAATTCCTAATACATAGTTAGTCATTCAGTAAATATGTGTTGGACAGATGGATGGATGGATGGATGGATGGATGGATGGATGGATGGATGGATGATCACTGAAGCCAGGAATACTCTCAGTTGGCTGGAATCTGACACTACAGATCCAGCAGCAAATAAAGGACAAGCATATTTCTCAATTCTTCTTTCTCTGCTTGCTGGCATCTATTAAACCATCCTCTGCACAAGCCAATCCTACCATTTCAATCCTGAATCCCTGTGTTGGTCATATCACTACATGGTAATTTCTTCACTTATCTAGGACAGCCATATGGTGATGATCCTTTGGGGAAATCCTTAAAGAATAGCATTATCTGATTTGGTAAAAGAGATTAAAGTGGTTACCAAAGATGTGTCTACATGCAATCTTAAGCCTTTACATGTGGTTGAACATAGTATCTGCCCTGCTGGGCCAAACTCTGCAGGTGGGTTAACAGTTCAATTATCAGTGGCACTTTTTATGTACTTAAGAACTATTCAAATTGGGCCATTCTGGCCAGGTGTGGTGACTCATGCCTGTAATCCCAGCATTTTGGGAGGCTGAGGTGGGTGGATCACTTGAGGTCAGGAGTTTGAGACCAGCCTGGCTAACATGGCAAAACCCCATCTCTACTAAAAATACAAAAATTAGCTGGGTGTGGTGGTGCGTGCCTATAGTCCCAGCTACTCAGGAGGCTGAGGCATGAGAATCACTTGAACCTGGGAGGAAGAGGTTGCAGTCAGCCAAAATTGCGCCACCACACTCCAGCCTGGGCTACAGAGCAAGACTCTGTCAAAAAAAAAAAAAGGCCCATTCTAAATATATTTGATACTAGTTCTTTCTGTATGTACGTACCTAGGGACAGTGTGGCCACCAATGTCCTCACTCACAGGGGAATTCCCAATTGGTTGTATTGGGTCTTACTTTGAACAGAGGTTCCTGCAGGACACCACTCATCCTCATAAGATGTTCATGACCCCCTCACTCTATTGGAAGTGAGGTAGACTATGGACTTGCAGGAGTTTAGCACCCAAACATGGAAAGCAATCACAGGCAATGAGTAGGTGGGGAAAGAATGAGCAATTATTCAAAGGTTGTCAGAGAGTGGCTCCTGTAGGCCCTTATTAGACAAAAGCCTGTGTCAAATCTGCTTCTGCTCAGCTCCCTGGTTCTGGAGTTGGAGCATCCCTCTTTTGCTCCCCATCCTTCTCCAGCTCTGTCCTCTGCAGTCCCAGTGACCCACCAGCCCTCTCCTCTCCCTTCTCCCGACCCAGTTTTTTTTGTTTGTTTGTTTTTGTTTTTGTTTTTTCTCTTTTGAGAAGGAGTTTCACTCTTGTTGCCCAAGCTAGAGTGCAATGGCGCAATCTCGGCTCACCGCAACCTCCGCCTCCTGGGTTCAAGTGATTCTCCTGCCTCAGCCTCCCAAAGTAGCTGGGATTACAGGCATGTGCCACCACGCCTGGCTAATTTTTTGTATTTTTATTAGAGAGGGGTTTCTCCGTGTTGGGCAGGCTGGTCTTGAACTCCTGACCTCAGGTGATCTGCCCGCCTTGGTCTCCCGAAGTGCTGGGATTATAATAAGCGTGAGCCATCATGCCTGGCCAGGCCCAATTTTATTTAAACTATGAGGTAAATTCTGCTCCATGAACCCTAAATGTTCCCGCTTAGGATGGTGTTTTCTTCTTCTTCTTTTTTTAAATTATTTTATTAAGGAGCAACCCAGTTAGCTGATAGGACAGTGTTTTCTATGAGCCTTTGTTTCTGCTTCACTGTAGCTGCAGGAAGAGGAAATGGCACACCTAGAAAATGCACAAATTAATATTTCAAAATATAGTACTTCCCCATGCTTAATAAAATCATCCACATCCTTTACTCTGAGAACCATTTCTTCCTTGAGTTCTGCTCACTCTGCTCCAATACATGCCGGTCATTTACTCCATAGAATCACTTTGTCTGCAACATTCATTTGTCTCCATGTACTTGATCACCCCTGGCCTTGCTATAGTTTTTGTTTATTCCTTTTTAATATATTTTTAATTAAGGTTTTGTTTAGTGTTTCTAACTATGTTATCAGCTCCTTCAGAACAAAGAACATCTCTAAAAATACTTTAGAAGCTACTGTGCCTTATACACAGTAAAAATATGCTGATTGATTGAGTCCCATTCTGGAAGAATCTGTGAGGTATACCTGACTAAGGGATGAGAAAAACTAATCAAAATGGATTACATGGTGGTTAATTTTATGTGTCACGCGACTGGGCCACGGGGTGCCAGATATTTGATCGAATATTACTCTAAGTGTGTACATGAAGGTGTCTCTGATTGAATAAGGTATATTACCCTCTCCAGCGTGGGCGGGCCTCATCCAATCAGCTGAAAGCCTGAAAAGTACAAAAAAGGCTGAAGCGCTTGCAAGTAAGAGGGAATTTCCTCCTGCCTGCCTGTTTTCAGAACTGAACTGGGGCCGAATGCAATGGCTCCCACCCATAATCCCAGCAATTTGGGAGGCCTAGGCAGGCGTATCACTTGAGCCCAGGAGTTCAAGACCAGCCTGGCCAACAGGGTGAAACCCTATGTCTATATAAAAAGAAATTAAAAAAAAAAAAACTGAACTGGAACAGTCTTTTCCTGGGTCTTGAGCCTGCCGGCATTCAGACTGGAACTCTACCATCAGCTCTCCTAGGTCTGCAGTTTGCCAGCTGTAGATCTAGAGTCTTGTAAGCCTCCATAATTGGGTGAGCCAATTCCGTATAATAAATCTATATCTATGTCTATGTCCATATCTTTATCTACGTTTTTCTCCTATTAGTTCTCTTTCTCTGGAGAACCCTAACTTACACAAAAGTTTATATTTAGAAGAACTTTCCTATCCTGAGTATTATCTTTGTTGCTTTTTTTAAAAAACATTTATATATTATTCTTTTTTTTCCTTCGAGCACACCCTGATATTATTTTGTTTTATTTTGTAATGTTTTTATTGTTTTTTAAAATTTTTCTGGGTACATAACAGGTGTATATATTTATGGGGTACATTAGATGTTTTGATACAGGCATGCAATGTGAAGTAAGCCTGAGTATTATCTTTGGAGGTCCGGATACAAAATGTAAGGTAGGAATTACACAACCTAAAGAAACAAAGAGGCAAAGTTCGAGAAGAAAGTTGACACTGATGATGATTTTGTTTTTTTGAGACGGGTTTTCATTCCTGTCACCCAGGCTGAAGTGCAGTGGTAGGATCTCGACTCACTGCAACCTCCACCTCCTGGGTTCAAGTGATTCTCTGGCCTCAGCCTCCTGAGTAGCTGCGATTGCAGGCATGCACCACCACACTCATTTTTGTATTTTTAATAGAAATGGGGTTTCACTATAGTAGCCAGGCTGGTCTCGAACTCTTGGCCTCAAGTGATCCTCCCACCTTGGCCTCCCAAAGTGCTGGGATTAGAGGTGTGAGCCACCGTGTCGAGCCTGATGATGATGATAATAAAGATTTGACAATTCGCTATGTTCCAGATATTGTTCTAAATCCTTTACACGTTTGAGCTCATTTAATCCATACGATAAATAGTCTATATGATCTACATTCATGTTGAGAACGTTCATGTGTAGCATAACTGAATGTACCTACTATGAATAATGTTGAGCAAAATAAAAATTGAAAGATAAACTTTTCGAGTGTAATTTTCCTATTAAAGGCCTTAATACTCACCTGGGGGAAAGAGCCTATTGCATGATATTAAAGGCATTTGCATTTTGTTGTAGTGTTCTAAAGCTCTCCATTGCTGAAGAAAAGGATTTCCACTCAATGAAATCATGACGCAGAAGATTATGCAGTTTGAGTCTCAAGATGTAAAAGGTCTGAAGAGACTGCATATAGGTAGGAACTAACTGAAAAATAAGAAGAAGGCCTGTGCTATGATATACGTTGATACAGTGGCAGTCAGGTTATTTCTTTTCCTTTGTTCCTTTGTTCCTTTGTGTGTGTGCCCTGAATGATACAACTTATTTTCAATAGAAATAAATCATGCATCTTCAAATTGGATGTGGCTAACTGGGTGTAGAGGGTTTTGGTCCATGAGTAGCACACAGTCTAACATCTGCTGTTACACTTTGTTTACTTAGAATATAAATTAAATTCCTGAGCTGGTACACAAGCCAGTGTATAGACAGCAGGCTAAATTTGTTACGGTTGAAAAAAGTGAAACATGGTGTATCTTCAAAACAGTTATTAAGATGTAAATTTGGGTAGAATAAAGCCTAGTGTATTGATTAGTAAATGTTGTTATTTAATCTGATTTTTTCAGTAAATTTCAGTTGATGCAGTTTAAGGGCTCAATGGAATAAAAAGAAATTGAAGGAAGTAGTACTAAATTCTCAGCCTACTTTGGTTGTTAATTTCCTTTTAGCTCAGGGAAAATATAATAACCTCTAGGTGGTTCATTTTATTCTATATTTGAAAAATAGAGGCCCTGCATGATAGCTTATGCCCATAATCCCAGCACTTTGAGAGGCTGAAGCAGGAGGATCACTTGAAGCCAGCAATTCAAGACCAGCCTGGGCAACATAGCAAGATCTCATCTCTATTAAAAAGTAAAAAACAAAATTCTCTAACAATTCAAGCATTTTTAAAAAGTTAAAAATAAAAGAAACAAATAAAAAAATTAGCTTTGTGTGGTGGCACACATTTATGGTCCCAGCTACTCCAGAGGCTGAGGAGAGAGGGTAGCAGGAACCCAGGAGTCTGAGGCTGCAGTGAGCTAGGACCATGCCACTGCCCTTCAGCCTGGGCAACAGAACGAGACTCTGTCTTTTTTTTTTTTTTTTTTTGAGATGGAGTTTCGCTCTTTTAGCCTGGGCTGGAGTGCAATGGTGTGATCTTGGCTCACTGCAACCTCTGCCTCTGGGGCTTAAGCGATTCTCATGCCTCAGCCTCCCGAGTAACTAGGGCTACAGGCTTGCGCCACCACACCCGGCTAATTTTTTGTATTTTTAGTAGAGACGGGGTTTCACCACATTGTCCGGGCTGGTCTCGAACTCCTGACCTCAGGTGATCTACCTGCCTCGGCCTCCCGAAGTGCTGGGATTACAGGCATGAGCCACCACGCCTGGCCTACCCTGTCTTATAGTAATAGCATTATGGTGAATTATGGTGTTTCATTTTCCAAGTGAGGCTTTGGTGATTAGATCATTTGATAAAGCCATGGAGTTCATTAGGATGAGTGTACCTCCAAAACCCATCTGAACCCCCTTGCCTTCACTGAATATGTACCCCAACATATTCACACTGATCACCACAAGGTAGGCTGATAAAAGAGCATAAACAGAGTGGCATGTGGTTGATGCTCATAAAATAGTTGTTAAATGAATTTTGTTCATTTTATTTTTTGAGACAGGCTCTCACTTTGTCGCCCAGGCTGAATGCAGTGGCGTGATCATAGCTTACTGCAGCCTTGATCTCCTGGGCTCAAGCAATCCTGCTTCCTCAGCCTTCCAAGTAGCTAGGACTATAGGCACACACTACCCGACTAATTTTGTTTCTTTGTTTTGTAGAGACAGGATGTTGTCATGTTGCTCAGGCTGGTCTCCAACTCCTGGCCTTAAGTAATGGCCCTGCCTTGGCCTCCCAAAGTGCTGGAATTACAGGGGTAAACCACCATGTCCATGAATGTTGGTTAAAATTACAATCTCAAATGTCACATTTTTAGCTGGGTGTGGTGGCACGCACCCTTAGTCCCAGCCTCTCAGGAGGCTGAGGCAGGAGAATCACTTGAACCCGGGAAGCGGAGGTTGCATTGAGCTGAAATCATGCCACTGTGCTCCAGCCTGGGCAACAAAGCAAGACCCTGTCTCAAAAAAAAAAAAAAAAAAAAAAAAATTAACATTACATTTGGCAGTAGTCAGTGATAACCGTCATTGCTTTTTAGCTAAATTTGGTTCTTTTACGTTATAGAATATATCTGAGTATAAAACAATAGGAATCTGAATGAAACTAAAAATAGTCATTTAACATGTGTAACTGATCTGAATGGTTCCATGACACTTGAAGTGTGATAAATGCTGTTCAATTACCAGACACACACACACACACACACACACACACACACACACACAGGCTTCCAGGCCTAGAGGGAACCCACATCCAGGCTTCACTACATAGCAGAGCTGCCCATTTTGTACCACCTGGGACCTAGACTTGAGAAAACCACAGCCTGTTTGAAATTGGCTCCCAAGAGCCTAACAATTTCTTTGTTTCTGCTGTCTTTTTGGTGGGGAACTTAAAAGAAAAAGCTGTTAGTTATCCCTGGAGGCAATGGAGAGCCTAGAAGAGGACTCAAAAGGCTCCATCCAGCCCACAGATGGCTTTTTTATAGCGTTTAAAGTTTTAAAAATTGGGACATTTTACGCAAATATATGGTTTTGCAACTTCTCTTGAAATGTCAGAGAATCTGGCATCCCTGGACCAATATTCCATTAGGCAATACTTGGAGCTGTTTTGCAGCCACCCTTTTCAAAGGTCCCCATTTACCTCGGTTTCTTACAGTGCCTAACTGTCTCATTCATTTCCTTTACTCATCGGCCTTTAACAAGTGTTTTGTTTTGTTTTGTTTTGTTTTGTTTTGTTTTCGAAACTGAGTCTCACTCTGTCTCCCAGGCTGGAGTCCAGTTGCGCGATCTCGGCTCACTGCAACCTCCGCCTCCCAGGTTCAAGTGATTCCACTGCCTCAGCCTCCTGAGTAGCTGGGATTACAGGCACCTGACACCACACCCGGCTAATTTTTGTATTTGTAGTAGAGATGGGGTTTCACCATGTTGGTCAGGCTGGACAAGTTTTAAATTGCTGACCCAAGCCTAGACATTGGCAGTGAGAGTGGGAGTTCCATAACAGTGAGAAAAACCTCAAAAGTGTCAATTAATTTATCAGTGTGATTGTAGCATCAGTTCCTACAATGTCTAGTATATTTGCACTCACAACTGCCCTCTCTTTCAATTTCCCATAGCAAGAAGCAAATAATTGCATATAATTTATTATGGGTTTGGCATTGTTTCAAAATTCATATATTAACTCATTTCAGTCTCCAGAACAACCCTATAAAGTAGGTACTTTTTTAATCTCCATTTTCAGATGAGGAAACTCAGGGGCAAAAGTTAAGTAACTTGACCAAGATCACATTGCTAGTAAGTAGCAGGGCCGGGAATTGATTCTGTACAGTCTGACTCTAGAGTCTTGGCTTTTAGCCACAACAGTATGCTTCCATGTTACATATGCATTCAGGGTTAAAAATTCAATTATTGGCCAGGCATGCTAACCCATGCCTGTAATTCCAGTACTTTCGGAGGCCGAGGTGGGAGGATCGCTTGAACCCTGGAGTTTGAGACCAGTCTGGGCAACATAGTGAGACTCTGGCTCTACAAAAAAAAAAAAAAAAAAAAAAATTAATTTAATTTAAAATATCTCTCCATGTCTATGAAAAGTACTCCGGATACCCAAAGCTGAACTGGTTTCTCCTCCTCAGGGCTCCCAGACACTCTGTGCTTACTGCCACCACAACACTCATCACATAACCCTGAAATTGCCAGCCAGACTTGCAGTCTAACTCTTAAGCAAGGAGAATGTCTTATTCACCAGCATGTGGTATGTAGCACACATCCAGTGTTTATTGAATGACAAAGTAAAGTGTGTGCTTTTTCACTCTTGTATTGCTACCCTCTTGGACCAAATGGTCATCATGTCAAAATTGGACCAATTAACAGGATATTGAATGGTCTCATTGCCTCTGGACTTTCATCTTTCCAAAGCAAATTCTCCGCAAATGCAGATAATAATAGCTTGTTCTCAAAGATGTAAACATGTAATGAAAAAATGCTTATAGAGTGCCTAACCCAGGTGAGTGCCTGGCACTTAAAAGTAATTAGCAATACAGTGCTTACTCTTGTAGGTAATACTGGAATATTTCATTCAATATCTTTTTTATGGAGTCACCCCCAGACCCAACTTAAACTCCTGCCTGCAGCCCTGTACATGTGACTCCTTTCTCATCTTCAACCTGTGTTCCTCCATCTGGCATAAATGAGACAGTGCCAAAAGCCACAGAATAAGTGGGTTTTGGCTCCCCAGGAGGAGAAGTTATACTTAAGGACTTGGGGTGCACTGTGAAGGGGGAACATTATTCTATGTTAATGCTTATGAGCATACATTACGGAGTCTACTGCAAAATTTCCAATAATTTTTCAAAAGATAAAACATAAGACTTAAAGCATTCTTACTTGCAGATGACTACTCCAGGTTAATACCCTCAGACTTCTCTGGAAACTAGGTCAACTGCCCTATGAAAGTACTGTCTGGCACCCAACAGATGCTCAAAACCCTTACTGCCTGCCAAGCTCTGTGTCACTGGTTTCAATGAGAACTTCCTCTATGCATGTTTTCAAGTAAGAATAAGAACAATAATAATAGCAATAGCCAACCCTTACTGATCTTCTCCAGTGTACCACGCTCCCTGCTAGGCAACTTATATATGTTATGTCTTAATTTTCTAACAATTCAGAGACATAGGTACAACTATTATCTCCTCTTTATAGATGGAAAACAGGCTTGGAAGGCTCAAATAACATCCCAATTCACATAGCATAGCTGTCTTCTGGTGAAGAGAGATTCAGACCCCAGACTGAATCTTTTTGCCATTAGGCCACATTGCCTCCAGTCCTATAACCCACTGTTTCATTATTATTCTTTTTATTAAAAAGAAGTTTGTCTCTGCCATGAGGAAAGGATATTTCACTATTATTCTCCTGTTTATTTAAATATACATGTTGAATCCTTGAGATAAAGAGGTGAAACCCTCATGTCCTTAATTTAGACTATTTCTCCTTCCTCACCCACACATTGATGATGTACATCTAGTAGACTAAGTAAATACGGCTTAGCATATATACCATTAAAAACAGAAGAAAGTTTTAGTTCAGATCCTTCCTTTTTCCTGAAGACTTCATGTTTGTGCACTATCTAGAATGCCTTGCAAGAAAACATAAATTTATTTATTATTTTTATTATATAAATTATCATTTTTATATAAAATAAAAATTGTATATAAAATAAAAATTATCATTTTTATTATATGAAAATAATATATTTATTATTTTATTATTTTATTTATTATTATTTTTGAGACAGGGGCTTGCTCTGTTGCCCAGGCTGAAATGCAGTGGCACCATCTCAGCTTACTGTAACCTCTGCCTCTGGGGTTCAAGTGATTCTCCTGCTTCAGCCTCCCAAGTAGCTGGGACTACAGGCATGCACAACCATGCCTGGATAATTTTTTGTATTTTTAGTAAAGACAGGGTTTCGCCAGGTTGGCCATGCTGGTCTCGAACTTCTGACCTTGTAATCCACCTGGCTTGGCCTCCCAAAATACTGAGATTACAGGCGTGAGTCACCGCGCCTAGCCCAAAACATAAATTTATATTACATTTTAAAAGGCTTTCAATAGTCCATTTCATTATAAAAATGGTACACACTGGGTAAAAATAAGAGTATTCCAGCATAAATACACTTTAAGCCCTTTCAGAAAGGCTGAAATATTGGCACTCTGTTCCACTAAAGCTGACAAGGAATACTAAGCAGCACTCTCTAGCAAAACCCTATACTAAATATTAAAAAAGTATTATAAAGTGATAGGCTAGATAAGCAATAAGTATGTTTAAATATAGATAAATAAATAAAAGAATTTTATAAGAACATTTGATCTCCACCCACACCATTCAATAGCTTCTGTCCAATTGTGAAGTCTGTACCTCAGTGACAGGAGAGTGTGAAAAGTAAAGCGAAATCAAATAGGAAACACAGTCACTTCAATGGGCTTAACTATTTACAATATCTGACTTTTCACAATTCAAACAATTCTGGGTTTCCTACAACTTTCCAAAGTAACCAGCTTCTATTCAGAATGTGCTATTTTATATACATATATACATATATATATATATATATATATATATATATTTTTTTTTTTTTTTTTTTTTTTTTTTTTGAGACAGAGTCTTGCTTTGTCTCCCAGGCTGGAGTACAGTGGTGCAATCTCGGCTCACTGCAACCTCTGTCTCCCCGGTTCAAGTGATTCTCCTGCCTCAGCCTCCTGAGTAGCTGGGATTACAGGTGTGTGCCACCACGCCCAGCTAATTTTTGTATTTTTAGTAGAGACAGGGTTTCACCATGTTGGCCAGGATGGTCTTGAACTCCTGACCTCGTGATCCACCTGCCTCGGCCTCCCAAAGTGCTGGGATTACAGGCGTGAGCCGCTGCACCCAGCCAGAATATGCTGAATATGGAATTATTTTTCTGGTTCCATATGGAAAAGTTTAAATTTTTTATTCAATTTTTTGTAGGTCTCTTTACTTTAGGAACTGATGGAAAGTTTCATGAAAATCTTATGATGCAACTTCAAATTTTTCTAATCATTAGCAGATCCTTTTTAGATAAGTTTATCTCTTGATTAAGAAGTTTACTTTATAGGGAGAGGCTACTTGACTGATATTGCAATCAGTAATGGAAAAGAAAAAGTAAAAGAACAGTCACGAAAAAGAGTAGCTACAATCTCTTATGCAGATTTTGTATGTTTAGACTACTATAAAAATAAGCACTGAAAAATTAGTCAGAACCTAAAGAAGTGTGATAGACACTTAGTCCTGAACTCAGTGCCTAAGGAATAATTGAATTCCCAACAAATACTGGTTGTTCTATGGATTCATGAGTACGTTTTACCATATTTTCTATTTTATTCTGTGTAGATTTCATGTATATCTGTGATTGGCTAAATTTAGAATGGAAATATCATTCACTATGATGTAACCTTGAGCAAGTCGGTCTCTCTCTGTGGGCCTCAATTCCATCATCTATAGAATGAAGGATTTGGGTGAGAATATCTTCAAGTTCCTTCCAGCTCTGCTACATTCTACAATTCTAGATACTGGTTATGGTCAAATACTGCTCTTTGTAAATTTCCTAGCACAAGGCATGGTGCCTAAAATTTATGAAATACACAATCAAGGATAAATGAATAGAAGCTTTCAAAGGAGGAAGTAAAATACCTGGTGAAAATGAGACGGTTTAGGTGCCTAGCTAAGCTATAGGATGTTAAATGTTTTTCAGCTTTACTGTAAGACATGCTTGTTGTGGTAAATGCATTATAGAAACTTAGAAAAAGAATGAGGCTGGACATGGTGGCTCACGTCTGTAACCCCAGTACTTTGGGAGGCTGAGGTGGGAAGATCACTTGCACCCAAGACTTTGAGACCAGCCTGGGCAACATAGGGAGATTCTGTCTCTACAAAAATTTGTGTTTTTTTAATCAGCCCGACATAGTGTCTGTAGTCCCAGCTACTCAGGAGATTGAGGTGGGAGGATCTTTTGAGCCCAGGAGGTTGAGACTGGAGTGAGCCATAATTGCACCACTGCACTCCAGCCTGGGAAACAGAGGGAGGCGCTGTCTAAAAAAAGGAAGAAAGAAAGATAGAGATAGAGATAGAGATAGAGAAAGAGACAGAGAGAGAGAGAGAGACAGAGAGAGAGAAAGAGAGAAAGAGAGAGAAAGAAAGAAAAGAAAGGAAGAAGAAAAGAAATAGACTTCCCCATCTACCTCCTCCTGTAGTAACTAGTTTTATATTTGGTGATATATAACCTTCCATTTCTTTCTCTATGCTCATACAAAATAAAATGTTGTGTTTTTTTTGGGGGGGGGGGTGTTTTTTGTTTGTTTGGTTTAGTTTGGTTTTTGTTTTGTTTTTTTGAGACAGGATCTGTGTGTGTTGCCAAGGCTGGAGTGCAGTGGTGCAATTACAGCTCACTGCAACCTTGGTCTCCCAGGCTCAAGTGAGCCTCCCATCTCAGCCTCCTGAGTAGCTGGCACCACAAGCGCACTCTACCATGACTAGCTAATTATTGCATTTGGTGTAAAGATGGGGTTTCACCAATGTGGCCCAGGCTACTCTGAAACCCCTGGGCTCAAGTGATCCACCCACCTCGGCCTCCCAAAGTGCTAGGATTATAGGCATGAGCCACTGTGCCTGGCAACAAAATGTTTTTTCTTTAGAAAACATTAGGATATGTTTTTAAGTTGACAACATATTATGAAAATGTTTAAATTCATACTTTTTGATAGCTGCAAGATATTCTTTAGTATAGTTATACAATGTGTTAAACCATGACCTTATTTTCCCAAATTCTTGCTGTTCCAACCAATCCTATAGTAAGTATTCTTATACTATATTATTCCTAGTATTTCTATAGAGTCATGCATACTGGTGTTTATATTTTCAATTTATTCTTGAAAGTAAAGTTACCAGGTCAGTGGATAGGCACATTGTAATTTTATATAATATTGTTTGATTATTTTCAAAAATATTTCTACTACCTCCAACTATATGCAGAAATACTGCAGAGTTTTGCATGTTTTGAATGCATAACTATTTAATATTTTCCAGTCCAATAAGTGAAAAATGGTATCTCACCATTTTAAATTGCATTTTACTAACCACCAGAAATTTTAGTATCTCTGTATATATTTATTTGCGTACGTTTTTGTTATTCTGCATTATGCCTTTACTGATTTGCTTTTTATATCTTAAGCATATTTTCTATTAAGCTAGCTGTCTTTTTCTTATACATTTATAGGAGTTTTTTTGTATGGTAGTTATATCGATCCTCTGTCCCATGGGTTGGCAGAGATTTTGAAAACTTTTCCCAATTATTACTTACTGAAAAAGCAATATAACAATATTCACTTTTGACGTGGAGATTAAGAGTGCCTTAGTACCAGAAATAGTTCCACATGATAAAATGACTGCTATGGACTGAATTATGTCCCCAAAATTCATATGTTAAAGCCCTAACCCTGAAATGTGGTGGTACTTAGAAATGAGGACTTTGAGAATTAGGCTTAGATGAGGTCCTGAAGGTGGGGTCTTTAAACTAGGATTAGTGCCCTTATAAGAAGAAACACACACTCTCTCTCCCTGCCATGTGAGGACACAGTGAGAAGACAGCCAAATACAAGCCAGGAAGAAAGCCCTTACCAGAAGCCAACCATGCTGACACCTTGAAATTGGATTTCAGCCTCCAAAAACTGTAAGAAAATAAATTTCTGCTCTTTAAACTATCCATGCTATAGTATTTTGTTATGGTAGCACAAGCTTACTAAGACAATAAGATTCAAAACTCAGTGATTATATTGCCTACAAGAGAGCAGCACCTCTCAGCTTCTTCACCAATTATTTATTTCAATTTGAATGCTTTCAATCTAAACTATTAGCCATTTACTAACCCAGTATGTCTTTTGGCATCCTCGTACTCTCATGTGTTGAGCATGAACCGTGTTCCCAGGAATGAGGAATGGGGTATGGGGGAGATATAGATGAGTGGATAGGTAGACAGATAGATAGATGATAGATAGATAGATAGATAGATAGATAGATAGATAGACAGATGGACAGATAGATAGGATAGGATAGATATAATCTGCGTAATTAACTACCTTAAACTTTTTTTTTCTTTTTGAGACAGAATCTCTCTCTGTCACCCAGGCTGGAGTGCAGTGGCCCAATCTTGGCTCACTGCAACCTCCGGCTCCCAGGTTCAAGTGATTCTCCTGCCTCAGTCTCCCAAGTAGTTGTGATTACTGGTGCCTGCCACCACCCCCTGCTAATTTTTGTATTTTTAGTAGAGATAGGGTTTCACCATGTTGTCCAGGCTGGTCTTGAACTCCTGACCTCAGGTGATCCACACGCCTCGGCCTCCCAAAGTGCTGGGATTACAGGTGTGAGCTGCCGTGCCCAGCCTCAAACTTGGTAACCTAAAACAACACCAAGTTATTAGGCTCACAGAATCTATTTCTACTTCACAAAGTCTGGAACTCCAGGTGAAAAATCTCAAACAGTTGGGATGACTCAAATATTTCAAGGCTAGAATCATTGGAAGGTTTTCTACTCATGTATCTGGTGCCTGGGCTGGCATGACTCAAAAGTTGGATTCAGCAGAGACTGCCAACCCATCAACCAAATGCCTACTCCTGACCTCTTCATGTGACTTGGGCTTCCTCACATCATGGTGGTTTCTGGATAGCCAAACTTCTTACATAGTAACTCAGGACTCTAAGTGAGAATGTTTTAGTGAATAAGGCACAAACAACATGGCATTTTGTAACCTAGCCTCAGAAGTCACACAGCATCACTTCCACTGTACTGGATTAGTTGAAGTGGATAAGCCCACACAGATTCAAGGGGAGAAGACACAAACTTCTGTCAATGGGAGCAGAATTAAAGAATTTACAGCCATGTTTTAAAACTGTCACATATAAATATGTGAATAGACATAGTTATACGTTCACATATGTGTGTATATTAAATCCTTTTGAAATTCCCTTTAATTCTCACAACAAACTAATTATTAAGAAGTATTTTATGATTTTGTTTATTTTAGCTTGCTCAGGATCACATAGCTAGTAAGCAGGAGAGGTAGGTTTCAAATCCATTTATACTAAACAATATTGACTTGAGGAGAGAGACCCCATTAGTTCTAATGCTCTTTATTGCCACTCTAATAAATTTTGAGTTCATACTATATTTAGGGTATCTAATTTCCCTTGAAAACAAAGTGGGCCAGATGAGATGAAATTGTGCTCAATTTAAATAAGCTTATTTTACAAAACAGATAAACCTCAGGTAGACTTTGAGAGAGTTTCAAATAGAGGACAATCATGTTCAGGAACCAATTCACCTGAAGGCGCAGAATTTTCTAGAATAGCAGCATGTGAGGCTCCTGGGTGGGTTCTTTGTCTCTTTGCTGGGGTGGCTGCTGCTACTAGACGTATCTGCCCAGCTCACGCTCCCTTCTCTGCAAGCCTCAGCTGATTCGAATTATCAGAGAAATTGACTCAGCTCTTTGTTTCATGGTGCACATGGAGAGATAGCCAAAGATCATGCCTGCAGAGTGGAGAAAACAGGACTCCAGCTACTAATTTCTCCCTAGCTTCTTTCAATCAATACCAATCACAATAGCCTATTCCATCATGTACATATAGCCTGGTGAGACGGTTGACAGGAGCAACCTGCCCACGTCATGTTTCATTTGTGCTGTACATAGAGAAGTAATTGACGAACACCTTTTGGACAAGTCAAGTTAAAAATATAACCTTCTGCCCTATCAGTTAAGAGATCATTTGAACCTAATCTCAAAGGTTGAATGTTGAAAGAAAAAAGAGAGGAGTAACTAATAACACCCCCAAAAACGCATCTTACAAAAAGGCTATAAAATTCACTCTATCTGTAGTTTCTACTTCATTTCTCAAGGTCATTCTCAAGGCAGTCCAATTCATAGATGATAACGACCTTAGCAGGATGTTCTGCTGACCTACTCTATTCAAACTGCATGTGTACCTATATGTGTGTGTTTCTGCACGAGAATGCACGTCCGTATGTTTTCTAGGTCTCTAGCAGTGAGATTTACACAATGACAAAGTCTTGCTGATTTACACAATGACAGTCTTGCTGCAACACTGAAAATTCCCTGACTGACGAGACAAGAAATCACTATAATAAGGAAGGTCAGATCAAAAGGGAGTTTAAAGGAATAGATTTTCTTTAAAATAAACAATCTTTGCAGGTTCTAATTCCTTTGTATGATTTAAGCAAGGGAATAGAAATAACTGTGCAGATGTGAAATCTGGGAAAGCTGTAAAATTCATTGTTGATGTTGAATGAATTATCACTAATATTCAAATGAGCAATTACTAACAAATTGATTTGTCCCCTTGGGCTACATGTTGTCACATTGCCATAAGAAAGAGAGGATTTCTTTATAGCTTTGTGTCAGAAAAGGTTGTCATAAACATCTTTGACACCATTTTACCATATAGAGCCAAGGAGGGAAAAAAGAGAGAGTGTGTGTGTGGGTGCCTGCGTGGGTGAAGGGGCCCAGGTGAAAAGCGAGTAACAGAGACATAGGGAGGTGGCATGCATTTTTAATCAGCTGCTACTGTTTCTCTTGAACTGAGGAACTAAATTTTCTAATTACATCAAAAATGTTTCAGGTAAGAGAGATAAATAAAATCCAGTTTTAGATGATCTGGCTAAAACCATATTTCTGGAAAAAAATGGAATGCCTTACATATGGATTAAGTAGTATCATTAGATGAAATTTGCCAGGACAAATGCAGTTTGTTTCATTGGTTTGTTCTTTTTCTTGTAAGTGTAATGACCAGAACATACCTCATATTCAATAAGGTGTCAAATCAATTAACGCTGGAAATATTGCTTGACTTTTTGCCAATTAAAAATAATAAAATAGTTGATAAATGCTGACTCTGTAAGAAAACTGTATATCTATAAATTGCCCTGTTTTTGCTAACATAGTGAAAATGGAAACAAACCACAAGTATGGAACACTTTAAGTCTTATTTAGTCTCTTATAGACAAAAAGGAGCATAATCCTTTGCTTCTTGCATCTTTTTGCAAAATTCCATGAATCAATTCTGGTATTGATTTTTTTTTTTTTTTTTTTTTTTAACAGATGGAGCCTCCAGGGTGGAGTTCAGTTCAGTGGCACGATCATAGCTCACTGCATCCTTGAACTCCTGGGGCTCAATTGATCCTCCTGCTTCAGCTGCTTAAGTAGCTGGGAAGGCAGGTATGCATCATTATGTCTTGCTAATTTTTAAAAATTTTGTAGAGATAGAGTCTCACTATGTTGCCCAGGCTGGTCTTGAAACTCCTGTTCTCAAGCAATCTTCCCACTTCAGCCTCCCAAAGTGCTGGGATTATAGGCATGAGCCACCATGTCTGGCCTTTTGATTATTTTTGTTTCTATGTAATTATTTCTGTCAAAGAAAACTATATAATGAACTGTTTTAGGGTTTTCATAATGTAACATTTCCTCTGATATATGCATCCATTAAGTGAAAAAAGATCTAATTTGGTAAAACCAAAAAATTTCAAATTTTTTTAAAAAGGGACTTTTGGCCAGGCTTGGTGGCTCACACCTATAATCCCGGAACTTTAGGAGGCCAAGGCGGGCAGATCGCTTGAGCTCAGGAGTTTGAGACCAGCCTGGGCAACATGGTGGAACCCCATCTCTACAAAAACTACAAAAGTTAGCTGGGCATGGTGACACGCACCTGTAATCTCAGCTACTCGGGAGGCAGAGGTGGAATGATCGCTTGAGCCCAGGAGGTTGAGGCTGCAGTGAGTCATGATCACACCACTGCATTCCAGCCTGGGTGACAGAGAGAGACCCTTTCTCAAAAAAGCAAATAAAATAAAATTAAAAAGGGTCTTTTGCATGTACAAAAACAAACCCATAATCCCCAGCAGGGTTTCCTAATTCTTCATTAAATACATCACTACCACTGTGGCTGGAGTTTTAAGCATATGATCGAGTCACTCAGGCCAAAAAGGAATGTAAAACATTTCTCATGAGGTGATGTATTTTTATCCCTTTCTCCTTAGGGACATTTGTCACTAAACAGATACTTTATTGTTTGTTATCTTTTGTGTATTCTGGGGTGCTATCGAAAAAAATTACATTCCATTCAACAACTAAATGTATCACACAAAAACACTTTAATCTATGGGAAGATAGACTTTCTAAAAAGTATTACAGTGGCATATGCCTCTTGCTTTAGTGAAACAAAGAAATGTAGAGTTATTTATTACTTTGCAAAACCCTTTCAAATATAATTTGGTACTGACAATTCCTTTAGGAGGTAGGTGAAGAAGCATTTTATTATTATTATTTTACAGATGAAGAAACTGAGGCTTAGTGCGTTGAGGGAACTTGTTGAAGGTTGCACAATTAGGGAATGGAAGTGAGGTAGAAGATGTTCCAAATCAATACAGCAGTCTTTCCACCGCAGGTACATATTGGTAGTTAGTCCTACCTAGCTACTTTATTTTATTCTTTGTGTGACAGCCTAAACAATATTGTTGGGAGGAAAAGTAGGTATACCACAAAAAAATCAAATAGAGGTTCAAGGGATTCTTTTTGTTTGTTTGTTTATTTATTTATTTATTTTGAGAGAGTCTTGCTCTGTTGCCCAGGCTAAAGTGCAGTGGAACAACCATGTCTCACTGCAGCCTCAACTTCCCAGGGTCAAGCAATCCTTCCACCTAAGCCTCCTAAACAGCTGGACCACAGGCATGCATCACCACACCACCTATTTTTTTTCCTTTTTGTAGAAATGGGGCTTTGCTATGTTGCCAGGCTGGTCTCAAACTCCTGGGCTCAAGTTATCCTCCTACCTCGGCCTCCCAAATTGTTGGCATTATAGGCATGAGCCACTGTGCCTGGCCCAAGGGATTATTTTTAACATTGGGATTTTCCATCAAAAAGAAGTGTCATCCCAGGGCTACAGTGTCATTGAGGCTTAAAGAGGAAATGGTGAGGAGTGAGGTCGTTTGCTCTTACTGGAGCTCAGCATATTGGCTATCATGGGAGAGAGCTTAATGACTGAAGAATCTTAAAGGTATTTAATGATTCCTGCAAATGGTCTGGTGCCAGGGTCACTGATGTCAGCTATACTTACTTTTGTATTTAATTCGTTTGAAAACCATTTGTTGAGTGCTAGCATGGCCCAGGCACTCCGCTGTGTGCTGGTGCTACAAAAATAAATAAGTGTGTTTTATGGGAACAAGAAGTGAGTTAATTAATTAAATTAAGTTTGATTTATAAACAAGATGTTGCATGAGTCCAGAGTTTTTTTTTTTATTATTATAAGCAGGAGCCTGTGCTCCTTTATAGGTATCAACAGTGGACCTGTCAAAGGAAACATTTAGTAAACAGTAGTCACTCTGGGCTTACCTGAGGGCAGCTTTACTTATGAAAATAGAGGTCAGAGTGAGATGAAAGATGCCTTCTTTTCCTGAATAACCAACACAGTGCAGTTAATGCATTTCTCTATTATTGCACCAATCAAAAGATAATCCAAAATAATTGGCTGTCAGATATAGTCAGAATCCCTGCCCTATACTTCTCTTCCTTCATCTGACTGACCTACTCATTCTTTAAGGCCATGCACTAACATCATCCCTTTAGGTAAATTTCCTGGACCTCTCTTACCCATCCAGCCCCACCCTTCCCCCCTCCAAATTAAGGCAGGGTTGATGCATACACACCACACACACACACACACACACACACACACACACACACACAGAGTAGTACACTCTTATCCATGGGGGATACATTCCAAGACCCCCCCCATGGATGCGTGAAACTTCAGATAGTACCAAACTCCATATACATTATGTTTTTTCCTGTACATACATACCTATAATAAAGTTTAATTTATAAATCAAGCACAGTAAGAGATTAACAACAATAGTAGAATAATTTTAACAATGTACGATAATAAAAATGATGTGACTGTGGTCTCTCTCTGTGTCTCTAAAAGTATCGTATTGTACTCACTGATTTTCAGACCATTGTTGACCTTAGGTAACTGAAACTGTGGAAGGTAAAACCTCAGATAAGGGAGGACTACTGTATATAGTATTCTTACCACACTGTATATTTCTCTACTAGGCTGTGAGTTCCTTGGTGACAAAAACCAGTGACACTTACATGCACTGGACCTTCCATAGGATCTAGCATAGACCAAGTGACAGTGGCAGCATCTTCAAGAGGTGGCATGGAGTGAGGGAAAAGATAGCATTTAGCTTGTCTTCTCCTCCCTCATAATCTCTATTAACCACCCGCCTGCACCCCAAATGAACATACATCCTACATGAAACCAGGGTATTAGTCCGTTCTCACACTGCTAATAAAGACATAGTGAGATGGGTAATTTATACAGGAAAGAGGTTTAATTGACTCACAGTTCAGCATGGCTGGGGAGGCCTCAGGAAACTTACAATCAGAGCAGAAGGGGAAGCAAACACATTCTTCTTCACATGGCATCAGGAAGGGGAAGTGCTGAGCAAAAGGGAGAAAAGCCCCTTATAAAACCATCAGATCTCATGAGAAATCACTCACTGTGGGAACTACAATTCAAGACGAGATTTGGGTGGGGACACAGCCAAATGATATCAACCAGTATGCATGCTAGGCCAATGTGGGATTAAGCAAAGCCCCAGCACCTCCTTCCTAGCAGAGTGCTTAAAGGTCCCCTCCTGTATATTACTCAAATTCAATAAATGTCTGTTAAAACACTTTTGGGGGAGTGGCAATGGGACGAAAAAGAAAGAACTTGAATGACCATCATTTTTTAAAATGAGGTCCATTGAGGTATAATTTACATGCAGCAAAAGTTTCCCTTTTCCTATATAAAATTTGATGAGTTCTGACAAATGCATAGTTATGTAACCACCACCATCATCATGATAGAGAACACTTCCATCGTCTCAAAATAATTCCCTTTGAACTACCATAATTTTAAATGAACTCTTTAGAAGAACCACAAAAACTTATCAATGTTGTAGATTACATAACATATACTTGCATCTTGGACAACTTAACATATCTCTCCAAAATGAATAGTTGTTTTCCCTTGGTTATCATGCCATCATTTAGTTGTATTGCATTTTCTTTTTGGAAACCTCAAGGCATTTAGCAAACAGGATTTCATGTTTATTCCCAAAAACTCTGGCCCAACTGTAGAGATTTATAGTCCAATTCAATGAAACCCATGCATTTCTTTCCCAGTTTAACCTGATGTTTCTCTTCTTACCAGAGACTTCCATGTAAATACTTTAACAATGTTAGGTGTGTTATATATAATGAGGTCATAATCAGTTTCAAATTAGCATTGCGCCTTTCACTTATTTATCAATTATATTCCCTTGTGATGATTATGAAAAGGCTCCACATCCTGAGGACACTTGTCAGAGTTAGATTTATTAATGGAATGAAATAGCAAATAATGAATGACTAAATAAATGAATGAGTGAATGAATGAATGAGTGGCTGCCTCCATTTTATGGATGAGGCAGTGTCCGAAAGGCACAGTGAGGTCAGGTGATGGCAGAAAGCCACACACCGATGTTGGTGGCTTTCTGCCAGGTCAGATGCCAAGTTTATTTTCTTTGCTTTCTTGCTTTACTATCAACTAATCTTTAAAATCATTCCCATAAAATATCAACATTAAAGAATAAAAATGGAAAAATAAGCCACATACAATTAAATGGCTTTTTTAAAAGGAGCTCAGTGTGCAAAGGATAACATGAGTAAGGATTTTTTGGGAAATTTTTCACCTAATAGGAAGAATGCTTTACTCTTTTATTTATCAAACCTTCCTCATCATTAAATGGATTCAGTAGTACTTTTTGGTAATAACTCGTGTGTGTGTGTATGTGTGTAATAAAGTACTTTGTATATGTTCATTGTGTTCTTTTTTTAATAAGCTGTTTTAATGAAAAAGACACAATTACCGTCACCATTGCCCACTATATAATGACAAGTAGGGGAGGGGAGGCTAAAAGAGCTTCTACATAGTGAGAGATCTTCCATTGTTATACCTACGCTTGCACTTTATTTCATTTTCTTCCACGTTTGGACAGGTCGAGATTAAATGTGATTACATTTCCGTTGAGAGGCTTTTATTCAGCAACAGGATTCAAAAGAATGTCAATGAGCATAAAATAAAAACGGTGTGCAATTTATATGAAACTCTGATTTAAATGGTCCTAACCAAAAAAAAAAAAAAAGAAAGAAAGAAAAGAAGCTATTTAAAGTAACCCTCCCAAGGGGAGTCAACTGCTCTTCAGTGTGCCCTGAGCCGGCTGTGCCTTCTCTCCATCCGCTGCTCAGATATTCATGAACCGTTGCTTCTTCCAGCCTCGCCTTCTCGCTCCCTCTGCCTTTCTGGCGCTGTTCTCCCTCCCTCCCTCTGGCTTCTGCTCTTTCTTACTCCTTCTCTCAGCTGCTTAACTACAGCTCCCACTGGAACTTGCACAATCAAAAACAACTCTCCTCTCTCAAGCCGCCTCCAGGAGCGCATCACCTGGAGAAGAGCGACTCGCTCCCCGCGCCGGCCGCGGAAGAGCAGCCAGGTAGCTGGGGGCGGGGAGGCGTACCCTTCTCCCGCTCGGTAAGAGCCACAGCATCTCCCCGGAGATTGGCCGTATCCCACCGTCCGGCCCCCAGGGTCCTGCAGCGGTGATGCATATGTTTCGGAGCAATGATGGAAGGAGAAAAGCCGCTGTCGGTGGCAACTGAAAGTGGGGAGAGGTTGCTGCAGTAGCTGGTGCTGCAGAATGCGCGAGTGAAGAACTGAGCCCCGCTAGATTCTCCATCCCGCTCAGTCTTCATTAACTGTCTGCAGGAGGTAAACCGGGGAAACAGATATGCACTAACCAGGCGGGTGCCAACCTGGATCTATAACTGTGAATTCCCCACGGTGGAAAATGGTAAACAAAGACATGAATGGATTCCCAGTCAAGAAATGCTCAGCCTTCCAATTTTTTAAGAAGCGGGTAAGGACAGGTTTTGCTTATTTCTTTTGTTTTCTGTGCTTCTCTTAAATGCTTTTGAATGTTTGCCTGAAGTAAGCCTGAGGTTTTGTTGCTAAACCCTTAATGTAAGCCGTGCTTCTGATGGCAGTGGTAAAGCTGAGAACTATACCTGACTTGATTAGAATTTGTTGGAGGAGGGGCAGGGGGCTATGAAGAGTTGCATTGGGAGGAGGGGGTTGGGCTGAGATGCCTTAAACGGGTTTGAGCTGGGAATGGGGATTTTTCTCTCTCAAGCCACAACAAAGATTACAAGGCAGTCGCAAAGAGAACTGGCTTGAGTACAATTATGGCTAGTAATTTAGTCAGGGGCTAATTTAGCAGCTTCCTCTCATCTTTGAAGGGTTCAACTTTTCTACACCTTTCATCCACTCAGTCTCAAGTGATGCATTATCATCTTCGTTCGTCAGAAGCAGCAGCTTCTGGTTTCCCAAATCCATTCAGCCAATAATTTGCTGTGTCTCTATCTGTGGTATAAATAGCAAAGGAGTAGAATGACCTTTTACAGAAATGATGGAATCCAGCATTTAAAATTGTCTATTTTAAGTTGCCTCAATTTTTGCTTTTGCTTAGAATAACTGCCTTTTTTTTTTTTTTTTTTTTTTTTTTTTTGGGAGAGAGCAGTGGGAGGTCTGTATTTGAGTGATAATTCAGGGTTATGTTGCTGTATGCATTTATTTCTTAAACTCCTTATTCTTCAACTCAAAGTATGAATAATGTTGCATTGGTTGTAGGTGAGAAAAAAGGATTTTTTTGCATGTATATTTCACAATAAACTCAGTTCACTGGGATGGCCACACTGGTGGTCTGTGTAAATCTGCAAATTTATACACAAGCGGGAGGTAAGAAATGAATGATTGTTAAAGGAATGACACTGACACTCTTAAGGACAGTGTTTCCTAAGCAACGTAAGAGAAGGAACATCCTCCAGTCCCCAGTTGCCCCATCCTATTTAATACCCTAGGGCAATTCCACCAAAATGGTTCTCTCCATTCATTCCTCCTTCCTTTCATTCAGGTCCTTTCTGTGCCACTCCTGAAACACAGCCCTTCAGTTAACTCATCCGCAGAACACAGTGAATTTCAGGGTGGGCTGGACTATCTCCCTGCACCAAATGGGCAAGCTGGGAAGGCAAGGCTAGAAATGCAGGCAACATGTCAGGCCCAGCTAGAGGGCCAGCGAAGGCTCCCAAGCACCCTTGACTGAGTTCTCATCAGTAAAGCAAAATCTTTCTCCAAGTCTGTGGGCCAAAGCATATGCATTCAAACCAAAATGAAACCAACCTGTCCTGGCCCCTGCTCTTGGAGTGGGAGTACCATGTGAAATCTCACTAGTGAGCTGCAAGCTAAGTGAAAGCAAGTCAGTGCAACTTCACAGAGCTCCACAAGGCTTCTTAGTTTTTCTCTGTAGCTAAAATATTTCTTTCCAAGGGAAGAGCCCTTTATGAAAATTAATTTTCTTTCTTTCTTTTTCTTTTTTTTAGAGACGGGGTCTTGCTATATTGCCCAGGGTGGTCTTGACCTTTTGGGCTCAAGTGGTCCTCCTGCCTCAGCCTCCCAAATTGCTGGGATTACAGATGTCCACCACCAGGCCCAGCCCTAATTTTCAATAATAAACAAATGTTTTGCTAATTTTAAAAATGCCATAGCCCATTATCCAGTATTTAAACTCTATTGCCTTTTAATTACTGTATTTATTTCATGGTATTGGGGATATTCTAAAACTCCTCAGTCAGATGTTCTTAAGCAATGTAGATTTAAGTTACATAAATTTTAAATTGTCTTTTATTTTCTTTGTTATCAAAATGTACTAATAGAAATACTAATTTGCCATTTGGTTTTGTTTTGCTTAAAAGCAAGTTTACCAATAGACTTCAGTTGGTGACTCTGCAGACCTTGAATTTTGCAGAGAACCACCCAGGGTACTGATGTCTTATCTGAGTACATGCAGAAAGAAGTTTCTACCAAGATAACTGGCAGGCAGCTTCATCTAACTTCTAACCTGGGTCTATCAGTTGCTGGAGACAGGATCAGACATCTCTCCTGCCCCTGCGCTCTCCTTACTCCTCAAGGACAGTTAACTAAGTAGAAGGTGACCTTGTATCAAGTCATTGAATGCCCCAGGGATAAATTCTTTGATTTTTGTCTACTTTGGTTTATTCCACAAATTCTGTATTCTAAATGTTTATTTCTGCTTGTACATGACTTTGCTTTTTTTGTTTGTTTGTTTTTAGTTAAACAATATGTAAATACATCTATAAAACATTAAAACAATAATAAGGTATATCCCACCTCCTCTCCAATCTTTCTCCCTTTCCCAGATGTAGTAACTGTTACCATACTGATGTTTATACTTTCCAAACTTTTACTTCACATACACATTCATATACTACAATGCCTTTGTTTGCAGTTCAGAATAATTCATTTTCTTATATTCTATTGTTGAAGTTCCACACATTTCTGCATATTTTATTTTTAACCTAGCTAGACAGTCTTACAAAGTGAACCTTTGTCCATAGCCCACATTAAACTATGAATAGATTTTGGAAAAAAAAAAAAAAAAACCATAGGGTCTATTAGGGCTAATTAAAAAGAATGATTTTTGATTGCAGGAGGCTTAAACAGTGCTTCCTATGCTTCTGAGACATTCCAGAGGGAGCATAAGAAACTGAAGGAGAATATAGGTTATCTGCCCTTGTAGCTGTCTGTCAGTCACTATTTATTAGAGCTGACTATGTTCTGGGTAGGAATGCTTTACATGTATTAGCTCATTTAATATTCACAGTAACCCTATAAGGTAAGAAACATTATTAAATGTGCAAAGTGTGACTTAGAGAGATTAAACCATTCGCCCAAGGTCACATAACTAAAAAGTAGCAGAGCTAAAATTTAAACCTTGTTCAACTCAAAGCTTGTATACGTAATCCAGACTTTTTGATTTCAGACCACTCTCCCCTTCTTTTCTTTTAGTTTCCACAACAGACTCTTCTGTCCCCCTACCCCCCTCCCCCAACCAAGTGAAATCTTTATGCCACTACCAAAAACCTATAAAAGCGGCCAAGCCTCTTCCAGCTCCTTTCTAGTCCTTAATACTGACAGTAATGAGAGGCTGCCCTGGGGAACCCAGATTCTAGGAACATAATCTGAAGAAAGACAGTCCGGATGCTAGTTCTACAAAATCCTTTGGATTTATGCTTCTCATCCTCATATTTTAAAAGCTCAACTAAAGCAGCTTAATTTCATTTAGCAGAGAATTGCTGAACTAAACTGGATAAGAGTTCTACTTTCATTCTTTAAGTGTTCATGATAAATTAGCATTAGATGTATATGGATTATATTTTACTCTTAAGAGTCTCCAAAAATTCATTTAAGATGAATGGAAAAATGTCCTTATCAGTTTTATTCTCCCAATCCAAGAGTTTTAAAAGTTGTCAGTCCAGCTAAAGGTAATCCATTTTCATGGATTTAAAGATTTGTTCTGTTTGTGGCTCAGATTCTTACATAATGATTTAGAAAACGCAAACAAATGACATTGTCTCCAACTCGATAATCCTTTTTGGAAATACACAAGGTATGTGAAAAAAACTTCCATAGCCATGATTACATTACCTTTTGTAAAATTCGAAAGGCTATCTAACGCTGCAGAATTTTGGATGTGGAATGAACCTCAGAAATTCTCCCTCTGACTTCCCTCTTTCAAAGATGAGGAAACTGAGTACCTGTGGTAAATCACCTGTCAAATTAGAATGAGGTTAAGCCAGGACTCATGTTTTGGGTTTTCACTTCCAGATCTCGTGTGCTTTCCTTTTTGCTAAGTTCTCAACATCAAACTAGTCAAGTCTTTCATGCCTCATTCATTCATTTTTCAACAAATAGAGTAGGAACAAAATAACCATGTTTTATCTTCATGAAACTAACGGCATAGTGACTACCAACTTTGACAAGACCGTTCCATTTTGACTCTGTATTTTTGTTGTTGTTATTTTTGTTTGTTTGTTTGGTTGGTTGGTTGTTTGCAGAGACAAGGTCTCACTATGTTGCCCTGGCTGGTCTCGAGTTTCTGGGCTCAAGGGAGCGTCCCAAAGTGTTGACATTTCAGGTGTGAGCCACCCACTGTGCCCAGCCTTGACTCTCTATTTTATGATTATATGCATTTGAACAATTCCTTGCATTATTCTTTAATAACAGTAGCTTTTCTAATAACTATGACTTAAATGGCATTAATATTGCTGGGCATGGTTCTAAGAGCTTTAAGTACATTACACATTTAAATCATCATACACAGGCTGGGCGCGTTGGCTCACGCCTGTAATGCCAGAACTTTGGGAGGGTTAGGCAGGCAGATCACTTAAAGTCAGGAGTTCGAGACCAACCTGGCCAACGTGGTGAAACCCTGTCTCTACTAAAAATACAAAAATGAACCAGGTGTGATGGCAGGCGCCCATAATCCCAGCTACTCAGGAGGCTGAAGCAGGAGAATCGCTTGAACCAGGGAGGCGGAGGTTGTAGTGAGCTGAGGTCTCGCCACTGCACTCCAGCTGGGATGACAGAGTGAGACTCCATCTCAAGGAAAAAAAAAAATTATCATATATAAAAATACCTGAGATAGGTACTTTTATTATTGTGATTTCATAGATGAAGAAACTGAGGTGTACAGAAGTTGAAGAACTTGCCCCAAGTCACATAGCTAGTTAGTGACAGGATCAGGGTTTGGATCCCAGCACCAGGCTCCAGAGTCTGTGTCCTTAATCTCTATACATCCCGAATGCCTGTCAACATTAAATAATCCAGGGTGAAGTTCAGAGAAGTGAAATGATATGACTTCTCTGGCCTCCTCCTTTCTCTAATAACTGCAGGAACAAAGGAAAGGTTTTTAGTCTGGTTACAATGTTTACTCTAGCAGAGCTGAGAAGTTAAATTAAGCTCCTCTGAAGTGCTTATTCTTCACAACTATTTCATAAACAGCATCCCTTTACATTTGTTTTCCTTTTACTGTTCTATTTTGCCTGCTTAAAGTATCCAAATTGGAATAACAAAGGCCCTTTTCTTATGGGAAACTTTCGATGTCTTCTCAGAGGGATAACATTATTGAGCAGCACCGTTCAAAGCACTTTACTCAGGTAACTCTCACAATCCTTCATTATGCCCATTTTATAGCCAAGGAAACTGAGGGTCAGAGGTTAACTGATTTGTTAAAAATCGTAGACCTAGGAAGAGGTATAGCCAGAATTCAAATTCAGGTAGTTCGTTTACCAGCAGCAGTCTTTCCATTTGCGTCACTGGAGTGCACTGCGATGATGCCAATACTGTTGCAGGATTGGCTCTACTGAATTGGAAACTACTTGTGAAGACAACCCAAAGAGGTGTTTTGTTGTTGTTGTTGTTGATGTTGTTATAGCCTTAGCTATGAAGAGGTAGATTCTCCAAGTCACTACTGAGAGCGGTAGGAATGCTTTCTAACAAATCTGAAGTCTGCTTTAGATTTTTTCAAGATATGTTTGATCATGCTTCCCGGAACACGGCGGAGACTCCAGTGGCTGCTACTGTGCTTTCTTCGGAATGGCTAAAATCTAAGCTGTTTGAGTTCCTCTTGAGCCTGCGCCCACAACACAGCACATGGTCCCAGTGACACTGCATTGTTACATTAGTACTGCTTATTCCTCTGTAGCTCCCACAGGGCAGGAAGGTTTTTTGTTTTGTTGTTTTTTCATACAGTCTCACTCTGTCACCCAGGCTGGAGTGCAGTGGCACCATCTCATCTCACTGCAACCTCTGGCTCCTAGGTTCAAGCAATTCTCCTGCCTCAGCCTCCTGAGTAGCAGGGATTACAGGTGTGCACCACCATGCACAGCTAATTTTTTTGTATTTTTTTTTTTAGTAGAGACAGGGTTTCACCATGTTGGCCAGGCTGGTTTCCAACTCCTGACCTCAGGTGATCCACAAGCCTTGGCCTCCCAAAGTGCTGGGATTACAAGCATGAGCCACCACAACTGGCTGGAAGGTCTTTAAGGACAGAAAACCAGTTACCTTGTTCACTGTATCCCCTACTTGTCAAAACATATTTGTTGAATAAAAGAATGCATAAAATAAAAGAACAAATCCTTCTATTACTTGCCCCTAAGTCATTGCCCTCTTCTCCTTCCTCCTCCGTCTTCCTTTAAACAGGCTTTGGTGGCTCAGAAATCTAATGCATTTTATTTCTCTCTATGTTTAGATATGGATTAGATATAAATTAAGACTGAAATGTAACCTAAATCTGGCTCAAAGACAAGCTGTCACTTCCCCTTCAGAGCTGGTGGGTACTTAGGGAAGCTTGACCTCAGCTTATTTGCTGATCCAATGCCCATAACACACCTTCTCTTCTATGATACTTTTCTTGTCAGGCCAAACAAGACAGACGTAGCAGTGATTCACTAATCTCCTTTTATTTTGCATTAATATGAATTACTAACTTCAGTAATATATAGTAGGCTGGGCACAGTGGCTCACACCTTTAATCCCAGCATTTTGGGAGGCCAAGGCAGGCAGATCACCTGAGGTCAGGAGTTTGAGGCCAGCCTGGCCAACATGGTGAAATCCCGTCTCTACTAAAAATACAAAAATTAGCTGGGAGTGGTGGTGGGCACCTGTAATCCCAGCTTCTCAGGAGGCCTAGGCAGGAGAGTCACTTGAACCTGGGAGGCGGAGGTGGCAGTGAGCCAAGATCACGCCATTGTACTCCAGGCTGGATAACACAGTGAGACAGCATCTCAAAAAACAAACAAACAAACAAAAACTATATAGTATCTGCATTATGTATCCTCCCAACTAGAATCCTAAAAATGTCTTTCAATTATTACTTATCCTCACTTTTCAGCATGGTCTTAGGAGCCACAGAGTGTGAGTAAGACGGATGCCTTTGGCACTTTGACCACTAAGTCTTAGAGAGTTTGGATGAGGGAGTTCAGCAGTCTAGGTTTGGCAGTGCTGGGGAATTAGTCTCAGTACTGCAGAATGTGGATGATGAGCCATTTTCGTTAGATAGATATTTTGCCTCCCCAGCAGCTCTCAAGAAAATCCTGAGATAGGCTCTTAGCTACAGTGCTTGGGAGGGATTTTGAATGGAAAGTGTAGCTGAGTTCCTTGAAATTCTGCACCATTTTTTAAAGGGCTGGTGCTGAAATGCGGGTGCCATATGTAACACTGGAGTAAGAGATATTCTGAGCTCACCCATATTTTATGATCTGTAAGTGCTTAACAAGGTAAAGCAAAACCAAAATGAGGGGGCAGGAGTGAGGAACGTGGGGGGTGGAGCCATCAAAATGCATGTTGGAGATTTCCGAATATGAAAGCATAAAGGCAGGAACAGTAATGGGAATTGGATCAATAGAAAAGTTTAATTAGTAATTTAGGTCAAGCTAAAGATAGTTCGCTAGAGCAAATATTGTAGAAGCATATTTTTAAAGTGTGATTTTTTTTTACATACTAGTTAATTTTTTTTAGAAATAAGTCCAAAAATAAAGGTAAATATCAACATTCCTAACATTGGCAGAAAAGACTCCTGACTTATGAGTGGGATGCTGTTTCCTGCCTGCTAAGGAAAGCTAGGATTCCTAGCTTGTCAGCTTGTTTGAGCGTGAAATCATTGGCTCCTCACCAACCTGGGGATGAAGATTTTTATCCATTCTATGGGGCTCAAGAAAGTTCAGCTCGCAGGGTAAAAAGAGTCTTCGAAGAGCTTTAACTGAAGGGATACGCAGTGTCTCTATAGAGATCCACATCCTCTGTAATGGGAAAGCAGGTGGTTCTGGACCTCACTCTCAGTGAATCCTTCTGGCCCAGAAATGAGGACAGCAGCAGTGACCTACCCTGGTCCTTGGTCTAAGAGCAGGCTTACCCAGCAAGTGGCCAGGTTTCTCTGGCAAACTGCACAGTGATGCTGGCAAATTTATAAAAGACCATGTGGGAAAGTGGAGGAGAAGGAGGTGGAGGAGGTGAAGGAGGTGCAGGAGGAGGAGGACAGGAAAAGCAGACAGTAAGGCAAGTTCGGTGCTGCGTTGGCCTCCTCCTGCAGCTGCCATGGCATGTGGAGAAAGGATTATTATTATAGTTTGTTTACTCTCACATCTATTTCTCTGCAGCATTCTGAAATGACATTGTAAGTATTTACAACAAAGGGAAATGAAAATCAAAGATGTAACTAGAGCAGTAGAGGAATCTTCTATTTGGTAGTTCGAGGTGCCAAAATATTACTCTAATTGCTTTCTAGAGCCTGCTGTGACGTTTTTCGGAGAAGAATTCACTTAGCTACTTCTGTAACATTAGGGTAACCTTGGCCTCTTTTTCCCTCCTAGGTCAGGGCATTCACCCAAAACGCCATTTGCTTCGGGAAATGACTGGTCATGTGGTTCTTCCACTTTCTCTCTCCTGTCTCTCTCTCTTTCTCTCTCTCTGTTGTCTCTGGAGGATAAGCTCACAGCAAGGCAAAAGAGAAAAGCATGAAGTGAAATATTCCTAGGCTTGCCGGGCACGGTAGCAAACGCCTGTAATCCTAGCACTTTGGAAGGCTGAGGCGGGTGGATCACCTGAGGTCAGGAGTTTGAGACCAGCCTGGCCAACACGGTGAAATCTTGTCTCTACTAAAAATACAAAAATTAGCAGGGTGTGGTGGCGTGCACCTGTAATCCCAGCTACTCAGGAGGCTGAGGCAGGAGGATCACTTGAACCCGGGGGGTGGAGGTTGCAGTGAGCTGAGAGGGCACCACTTCACGCCAGGCTGGGTGACAGAGAGAGACTCTGTCTCAAAAAAAAGAGAAGAAACATTCCTAGGATTGTGCCCATAGAAAACAAAGGATTCTCGTTCTAACCCAGTGGCTTAAGGAACATCTTGCTATCTCTGAGTTTGTTAGAGTGACATCAGCCAGTTTGAAAGACCTTGGTAGCTCAAAGATTTTAGTCTCTAGAAATAGCAAGGTGAAAAAAGAAAAGTCCCCCAAATTGTTAAAACATATTTAGACTCAAGTCCCTGTAGGACAAAAATTAAAATATGCCAGAGGGGAAAAATGAAAGTTAATAGTTTGAGAATTAAAAATAAATCGGAATATGTATTTATAATGTTTATTACTCAGAAATGTGATCTTTCCCATAGAATGATCTTTCCGAAAGCAGCTGAATTTTCTTTGAACTCTGAATCTTTCTGGGCCAGTATTTATTTAGGTTGTACTGTAAAAAAAATTACAGGAAAAAAACGATGAGTACATAGCTTCCGGTGTGGTTTAAAAGATTGGGGTAAGGCTGTGGAGGGGTAGTATAAAAATAAAGACATTAAAAAAGAATCCTCTTCACAGCCTCACATAGCTTCTCTGAAACCTAGAATATACACGTGCTGGGTGCAGGACCTTGTCTGCCTTGTTCACAGTTCTGTCTGTGTGCCTGGTGTGTAGTAGACGCTCAATAATATATGCTTGATGAATCAATAAAAACAATTTAATCAAGGGTCTTGGGGAAGAGCTACCATGTGTAATTATGATATCATTACTTGGTGGAATAGAGAGAGTATTGATGAAGAGAAGAATTTAAAGAAAATCTTGGAGTGATTTTAACTGCTTCCAGGTATTCACGGGTTCCACATCTGTGGATTCAACCAACTGCAGGTCAAATATTTGGGAAAAAAAGAGGATGGTTTCATCTGTACTGAACACGTACATACCTTTCTTCTTGTCATTCTTCCCTAAGCAATACAGTATAACAACTATTTACATAGCATTTATGTTGTATTTGCTATTATAAGCAATCTAGAGATCATTTTAAATGTTAGGGAGGGTATGCATTGGCTATATGCAAATGCGATGCCATTTTATATCAGGGGGTTGAGCATCTATGGATTTTAGGATCTGCAGGGGTCCTGGAATCAATCCCCCGCAGAGACTGAGGGACAATTGTAGTAACAATCTGTAAATGAATTTCTACAACGAACGTCAATATAATTGCTTTCTCCTTCAACCACTTGCCTTCAAAGATTAAATGTTACGTAGAAACAACCAGGACTTGGCACTCATTGTATACAGGGCCTTAGTTATCAGCTTTGGCAAAACAGTCATATCTAATTTATTTGTCTATTAGTCAGCTTTTACGTAAAAGGGCCCACACCTTCTCTACGTTGTCACTAATAAGTTGGTGAAGCCATTGCTAATTATTATTCATCTGGTGCAAAGCAAACACATTAAATCAGGCAATTGAGATTAACCCTTCAGAACTGATCTCTATCAGATGGAATTTCAGAATGTATAATTTTTTTTTCATCTAGTACCTTGGCAGTTATGTCTTGCATTATACATTTCATTCTTTTACAAAACTCAGAGCAATGCAAATTTCTAATGTGTCTTCATTTCTAAAGTTAATATCCTTTGAAATAACAGATTCAGAATTTATTTCAGAATTAGTGTTGAAATTCCGCCCCCCCCCCCTTTTATTTCTTTGTATTCTCATCATCAACAGCCAACATGAATTGAGCACTTTGATGTGTCAGGTTTTAAGGTGGGAAAGAGAAAATAAGAAATCATAAGCTTCCAGGTCGAGCTCAGTGGCTAACATCTGTAATCCCAGCACTTTGGGAGGCTGAGGCGAGCGGATTCGAGACCAGCTGGGGAACATGGCAAAACCCCATCTCTACAAAAAAATTAAAAAATTAGCCAGGTGTGGTGGTGAGTGCCTGTAGTCCCAGCTACTCAGGAGGCTGAGGTGCCAGGATCACTTGAACCCAGAAGGTGGAGGTTGCAGTAAGCCATGATGCCACCACTGTACTCCAGCCTGGGAGATAGAGTGAGACCCTGTCTCTAAAGGAAAAAAGAAATCACAAGCTTCCTTCACTCCCCAACTCCCTTCCCCAGAAACTTGGATTGTGTCCCTCCATAACATGCTCATTATAGCTCCTTGTGTGTTTTTTCTTTTTTTTTGAAACGGAGTCTCACTCTGTTGCTCAGGCTGGAGTGCAGTGTTGCGATCTTGGCTCACTGCAACCTCCGCCTCCCGGGTTCAAGCAATTCTTCTGCCTCAGCCTCCTGAGTAGCTGGCATTACAGGCATGCACCATCATGCCCAGCTAATTTTTGTATTTTTAGTAGAGATGGGGTTTCACCATGTTGGCCAGGCAGGTCTCGAACTCTTGACCTCAGGTGATCCACCCACCTCGGCCTCCCAAAGTGCTGAGATTACAGGCACTTTGAGCCACCGCGCCCGGCCTTGTGCTATTTTTTATGGCACCTGTCAGTTTGCAATTGCATATTGGTAAAGCTTTTTAATGAATGCCTTCAGCATTAATTAATGTCCTCCTGGACTATGAGCTCTATGAGGACAAGGACCTTCCTTCTCTTTTACATACAATTAAACCCTCAGGACCTGGCCCCTGGGGGGTTATCAATAAGTATATGTTGAAACAGAAAGCCAAAAGATGGTGAAATGCCTAAGGTCTATGGAGGAGAAAGAGGGGAGTTAATCTGAAAACTCATATAGAAATTGAAAGTTCTTTGCATTTTATTCTGTTTGGTTTATGTTAAAGTTCCATCATGTGCTAGACATGATGGCTCATCCCTGTAATTCCAGCACTTTGGGAGGCTGAGGTGGGAGGATCACTTGAGTCCAGGAGGTGGAGGCTGCAGTGAGCCATAGTCACACCACTGTACTCTAGCCTGGGCAACAGAACAAAACCCCATCTCTGAAAAAACAGCAAAATACATTGAATAAATTTTTTTAAATTCCATCATCTGAGACACATCTGTATTGTAAATAACATTTTTTTTTTTTTTTTGAGACAGGGTCTCGCTCTGTCACCCAGACTTGGGTGCAGTGGTGCGATCATGGCTCACTGCAATCTCTGCTTCCTGGGTTCAAGTGATTCTTTTGCCTCAGCCACCCAAGTAGCTGGGACTATAAACACACACCACCACGCTGGGCTAATTTTTGTATTTTTAGTAGAAACCGGGTTTTCTTTCCCTTTTTTTTTTTTTTTTTTTTTTTGAGATGAAGTATCACTCTGTTGCCCAGGCTGGCTGGAGTGCAGTGGGCGCGATTTTGGTTCACTGCAACCTCCGCCTCTGGGGTTCAAGTGATTCTTGTGCCTCAGCCTCCAGAGTAGGTGGGCCTACAAGCACCAGCCACCATGCCCAGCTAATTTTTGTATTTTTAGTGGAGATGGGGGTTTCACCATGTTGACCAGGCTGGTCTCAAACTCCTGACCTCAGGTGAGCCACCCGTCTTGGCCTCCCAAAGTGTTTTGGGATTGCAGGTGTGAGCAACCGTGCCTGGTTAAATATCATCTCTTCTGAAGTCATTGTCTTCTCTATCATTCACTGTTCCCTGTAAAGGGATCCATGTAGTAAAGTGCTCTTAATAATTTAGTAGTAGGTTAAAGATTTTTCTTTTCTGAAGGAAATCACATTTAGCATGATATAATCTCTTAGGTTTGCCTCAGTTGCCAGGAAACTCAAAGGTAAATTTAAATATAAATTTCAGTGAACAAATTGGACAAATCTTTAGAAATAACTTCTTAGTCACTGAACTTGGTTTTAATCTTGTGTTTTTATTTTCACTCTCCTCTTATGTGTTTTTCATTGTAAACTGCCTTGTTTTTTTTTCTCTTTGTTCTTTCCTTTTCTTTCTCTTTCTCTCTCTCTCTCTCTGAGACAGGATCTTGCTCTGTCCCCCAGACTGGAGAGTAGTGGTGCGATGATTGCTCACTTTAACCTTGAACTTCAAGACTCAAGTGATCCTCCCTATTGCCCAGGCTGGAATGCAGTGGTGCAATCTCCACTCACTGCAACCTCCGCCTCCCAGATTCAAGCAATTCTCCTGCCTCAGTCTGCCACCACACCCGGCTAACTTTTATATCTTTAGTAGAGACGTGGTTTCACCTTGTTGGCCTTGCTGGTCTCAAACTCCTGACCTCGAGTGATCCTCCCACCTCAGCCTCCCAAAGTGCTGGGATTGCAGGCGTGAGCATCCGCACCCAGCCTGTATTTCTTTCAAATTGTGTCCAACTCTACTAAATTTATGTTACTATTATTGCAAAGCAAACTACCCAGAATTTGATGAGCAAAAGCTACTGTCATTTATTTACTCATGATTCTGTGGATTAGGAATTCAGTGTCACTCATTTGGAGGGTTCTGCTCCCTGTGACGTTGGCTGAGTCTTTCCTTGGCTGCATTCAGCTGGTGGTTGAGCTGAGCCAGAAAGTCCGAGAAAGCTTCTTGTTTGGTGTCAGTGCATCTCTATTGGCCTCTTTCTCTCTCCACATAGCTTGGGCATCCTCACAGTAACATGTTCTTAAGATAGACTTAGATGGCTGCCGGCTTCTAACAGGGAGTGCTTCAAGAGAGCCTGTGGAAGCTGACGATCTCATAAGGCCGAGTCCTGGGTGTCATATAGTGTGACTTCTGCTGCATTTTATTAATCAAAAACAAAACAAAACAAAACGTCATTGGGCCAGCCCAGATTCAAGGGGAAGGAAAATAAACTTCACCTCTCAATATGAAGAGTGGCAAAGAGAAACTGTGTCAAAGTTTCTTTCTTTTCTTTTCTTTTCTTTTTTTTTTTCTTGGAGACAGAATCGTGCTGTGTCGCTCAGGCTGGAGTCCAGTGGCTGGATCATAGCTCACTGCAGCCTCAACCTCCTTGGCTCAAGTCATGGTCCCACCTCAGCCTCTCGAGTAGCTAGGACAACAGGCACCCAGCACTACTACACCTGGCTAAAACTTTCTATTTCACTAAAATATAAAATAATTTTTCAAACTGTATCCAACTGTACTGAATTTATCTATGATCTTTTTTTTAAATCTGAACATTTACAGGAGAAGAACATTAAGGACTCCTAATACGAGATCAGACAAACAGTGTTGGCCTCTTAACTAAATTGTTTCCGAGCATGGTAACATCGGGCAAGGCATTTAATATTCTAAGCCTTAACTATCTTTTTTTTTCTTTTTTCTTTTTGAGACAGAGTCTTGCTCTGTCACCCAGGCTGGAGTGCAGTGGCGCCATCTTGGCTCACTGCAAGCTCCGCCTCCCAGGTTCACGCCATTCTCCTGCCTCAGCCTCCTGAGTAGCTGGGATTACAGGCGCCTGCCACCACGCCCCGCTAATTTTCGGTATTTTTAGTAGAGATGGGTGTCACCGTGTTAGCCAGGATGGACTCGATCTCCTGACCTCGTGATCCGCCCACCTCAGCCTCCCAAAGTGCTGGGATTATAGGCGTGAGCCACTGTGCCTGGCCTCTAAGCCTTAACTTTCTAAGGCTTATCTGTAAAATGGATTTAATAATAATACCTCAGGCTGGGCACGGTGGCTCATGCCTGTAATCCTGACACTTTGGGAGGCTGAAGTGGGTGGATCACTTGAGGTTAGAATTTCGAGATCAGCCTGGTCAACATGGTGAAACCCTTTCTCGACTAAAAACATAAAAATTAGCCAGGCATGATAGCGCACACCTGTAGTCTCAGCTAGTGGGGAGGCTGAGGCAGGAGAATTGCTTGAACCCGGGAGGTGGAGGTTGCAGTGAGCCAAGATCACCCCACTACACTCCAGCCTGGGCGACAGAGTGAGACTCTGTCTCAAAATAATAAAATAATAATAATAATAACAATAATACCTCAAAGAACTGTTATGAGGATTAAATGACCTAACGCATGTAAAGTATTTAGCCCCAATGCCTGGTACGCACTAAGCACTCAAAATATGTTAGATATTATCAAGACAGACCTCAAAATTATGACCTACCTCTATAGCTTACTTTTCTGAACGTTTTGTTGTGGTGTAAGTTGTGATTTTACTGATGAGTCGGTCTGAAGACAAGCTGCTATGAAACCTCTGTGCTCTGGGATTTTATTGATTAAAGGTCATTTCTCAAAAGACCTGCACATCATCAACAGGTTGATTCTCTCATTTAGTTATTTAGTTGTTTCTATAGGCTTAGGAAGTAGTGAACATAATTAATTTATCTTCTATAGATAGTTGTCCCTGGAGCACTGCAATGGTCTAACTTCAGTGTTAAAAAGGTATTTCATTTGCGCAGGATCTCATTAAATCAAATGACACCAAATTACTCTGCTTTTTTAGTTACATATGCACAAGGCACTGAGGGACAAAAAGATATGGAAATACTTATGTCCAATGTATAATTAGTTATTGATGAGTTTTGACCTAATTTAATCAATTTAATGTGAAATTTTGTTTTCTAATCTGTCTTACATAAAGACTTAAAGTCCATTTGAAATTCAAAATCATAATCCATGTAACTCATCAACACTCTGAATGATCTTTAGAATCTCTTTATTATTCCCCATTCACTAAAATATTTCTCATTAAGGCCTCAAAAACTTGGAGGGCATTCCATCCTTCTGTTTTCTTTACTATCAAGCTCTTTTGTTTCGTATTTCTTTTGCCTTCTTGACACTTATCCATCCATATCTTAACTTTCCCTTTCAGTTTACCAGAGCAGTGGTGGCTCATGCCAATAATCCCAGTGCTTTGGGAGGTAAAGATGGGAGGATTGCTTGAGCCCAGGAGTTCAAGACCAGCCTGGGCAACACAGCAAGACCCTCAGGTCTCCAGGAAATAATAATAAAAAAAATAGCCAGGCTGGTGGCACATGCCTGTATTCCCAGTTACTCGGGAGGCTGAGGTGGGAAGATCGCTTGAGCCCAGAAGGTTGAGGTTGCAGTGAGCCATGATCACACCACTACACTCCAGCCTGGACAACAGAGTAAGACCCTGTCTCAAAAAGAAAAGAGAAGAGAAGGGAAGAGAAGAGAAGAGAAGAGAAGAGAAGAGAAGAGAAGAGAAGAGAAGAGAAGAAAAGAGAAAAGAGAAGAGAAGAAAAGGTGGTCCTTCCTGTGGACCGCTCCTCCTTGGAATACTCAGTTGTGGCTTCTGTGGCCCAGCACTCCAGCCTCTCCTCCTACTTGTGGGTGATTTCTTAGTTTCCTTTCAGGCCTTCCTGCTCTGTCTTACCAATAATGTGGGGATGGCTCAAACTCAGTCCTTGGCTCACCAGCCTCTGAACATCTTTTTGCCCTTTCCCTCTTACTGTAGTTCTCCATCTTTCTCACTTTCCCATCCACTCTCCCTCCTCCTCCACACACAGGTTCATTCATTCCTGTGCTTTAAATGTAATCTGTTATTCAGAAACTTAGTTGCCTGAATGCCAGACCTCTGTTCCCAATTGTTTACTAAACATTCCCATTGAAATGTCTCACACACATCTTGAGCTAGTCCTGTTCAAAACCCAACTCTTGATTTTTCTTCCTATTTTTCTCTATTTCAGTAAATGATACTACTACATAACTCATTTGTGAGAGTGAGAAATCTAGAAATTATTTCTCTTTCTTTTCTCCCAACGTCAGTGCAATTCATCAGCATATTCTACTGTGTTTACTTCCAAAATACATTTCTTGGCCAGGCGCGGTGGCTCACGCCTGTAATCCTACCACTTTGGGAGGCCGAGGCGGGTAGATCACCCGAGGTCAGGAGTTCAAGACCAGCCTAGCCAAGATGGTGAAACCCCCCTCTCTACTAAAAATACAAAAATTAGCCGGGTGTGGTGGCGCATGCCTGTAATCCCAGCTACTCGGGAGGCTGAGGCAGGAGAATTGCTTGAACCCAGGAGGTGGAGGTTGTAGTGAGCCGAGATCATGCCATTGCACTCCAGCCTGGGCAACAGAGCGAGACTCCATCTCCAAAAAAAAAAAAAAAAACCAAACATTTATTTTTAACTCCTTTCTCTTTATCTCCAGGGCCTATCCCTTGGTGCAAGCCACCACCATCTTTCTTTCTTTTTTTTTTTTTTTTTGAGACAGAGTCTTGCGCTGTTGCCCAGGCTGGAGTGCAGTGGCGCGATCTCGGCTCACTGCAACCTCCGCCTCCCGGGTTCATGCCATTCTCCTGCCACAGCCTCCCGAGTAGCTAGGACTACAGGCGCCCGCCACACGCCTGGCTAATTTTTTTGAATTTTTAGTAGAGTTGGGGTTTCACCATGTTAGCCAGGATGGTCTTAATCTTCTGACCTCGTGATCTGCCCGTCTCGGCCTCCCAAAGTGCTGGGATTACAGGCGTGAGCCATTGCGCCCCGCCTGCCACCACCATCTTTCACCTTAACTCATCTCTTAACTCATCTCTCCCCATCTTCTTTCTCCCTGCCTTTCCCTCCTTAACATCCCCATGAAAAAATTACAGCACTTTAGACAAATTAACATCTTTCTCATAGTAATAAGGTTTTCCTGAGGGAAGAAGGCATTGAGAGAGAAAAGTACTTCCCTAGAGTCACATAGAGAAATGGCAAATATGATGTTAGAAGCCAGGTTCCTTTTTTAGTGGCAATAAACTCTCTTATTTTCTCAGTTATCTGCTGTGTGTTTTTTTTCTCTCTCTCTTTTTGACTTACTTTCTTTTTTTGAATTAAAAAAGCATTTTATTTTGTGAAGAATTGAGGTATTTGGACCTTCTTGAGTATAGGTGATGCTAACATGCTTTAGTTTAAATTTCATTATCCGACTCCTCCAAACTCAGGGCAAAAAAAAAAAAAAAGTCACAGGGATTGGAAAAGCTACCAGAGGCTCTAAAAACCTGTCAGAAGGAAATGCCTAAACTAGAATGAACAGGCATATCCAAACATTGAGTATTTCCACATTGGAAATCTTTTTTTTTAAGTGGTTTACTAAGCCAGAGTTTAATAATTATGCTAATGAGCATACTTGTTATGAGTTTTACTGTATGTCAGCCAACCACTCTGCATAGTTTTCAAAGTCCTCCCTGTTCTGCACACATCAGCATACCTTACCTCACTCCCTTCACTTCTTGGCATAACTCCCCACCTCTGATCTCTCAGGAAGCTTGTTTTGCTCACAATTTCACCCTTACTCCACACTTAGCTAAATTCTGCATATGTTTCCAGAGCCAGCTTTTGTTCCATGTGATCTATGACACTTACTCAGCTATTATTTTTTTTGTTTTGTTTGTTTTGTTTGAGATAAGGTCTAGCTCTGCTGCCGAGACTAGAAGGCAGTGGCACAATCACAGCTCACTGCATCCTCGACCTCACTGGCTCAAGCGATCCTTGCACCTCAGCCTCCAGAGTAGCTGGAACTATAGGCATGAGCTGCCATGCCTGGCTTTTTTTTTTTTTTTTGTAATTTTTTTGTAAGGATGAGGTTTCCCTGGGTTATCCTGGCTGCCAGCTACTGTGAATTGCACAGATTGCTTTCTTTAAATGCAATTAAATTAAGAGCTGAGAGCTGGGTGCTGTGGCTCACACCTGTAATCCCAGCACTTTGGCAGGTCGAGGCAGGTGGATCACGAGGTCAGGAGATTGAGACCATTCTGGCCAGCATGGTGAAACCCCTGCTCTACTAAAAATACAAAAATTAGCTGGGCATGGTAGTGCATGCCTGTAATCCCAGCTACTCAGGAGGCTGAGGCAGGAGAATCACATGAACCAAGGAGGTAGAGGTTGCAGTGAGCCGAGATTGAGCCACTGCACTCCAGCCTGGGCGACGGAGAGAGACTCCATCTCAAATAAATAAATAAATAAATAAATAAATAAATAAGAGCTGAATGCTATCAAGAAGCAGCTTCTTCACTCCTTCTGGAATCTCTGCCTGGTTCAGCCCGCCTGCCTCCACTCCTGCCTCCACCATGTCCATCAGGGTGACCCAGAAGTCCTACAAGTTGTCCATCTCTGGCCCCCGGGCCTTCAGCAGCCGCTCCTACACGAGTGGGCCCAGTACCTGCATCAGCTCCTCAAGCTCCTCCTGAGTGGGCAGCAGCAGCTTCCAGGGTAGCCTGGGTGGAGGCTATGGTGGGGCCAGCGGCATGGGAGGCATCACTGCCGTCACAGTCAACCAGAGCCTGCTGAGCCCACTTAATCTGGAGGTGGATCCCAACATCCAGGCCTGCGCACCCAAAAGAAGGGGAAGATCAAGACCCTCAGCAACAAGTTTGCCTCCTTCATAGGCAAGGTACGGTTCCTGGAGCAGCAGAACAAGATGCTAGAGACCAAGTGGAGCCTCCTGCAGCAGCAGAAGACAGCTTGGAGCAACATGGACAACATGTTCGAGAGCTACTTCAACAACCTTAGGCGGCAGCTGGAGACTCGGGGCCAGGAGAAGCTGAAGCTGGAGGCAGAGCTTGGCAACATGCAGGGGCTGGTGAGGATGAGATCAATAAGCTTACAGAGATGGAGAATGAATCTGTCCTCATCAAGAAGGATGTGGATGAAGCTTACATGAACAAGGTAGAGCTGGAGTCTCACCTGGAAGGGCTGACTGACGAGATCAACTTCCTGAGGCAGCTGTATGAAGAGATCGGGAGCTGCAGTCCCAGATCTCGGATACGTCTGTGATGCTGTCCATGGACAACAGCCGCTCCCCGGACATGGACGGCATCATCACTGAGGTCAAGGCGCAGTACGAGGAGATCACCAACCGCAGCCGGAGTGAGGCTGAGAGCATGTACCAGATCAAATATGAGGAGCTGCAGATGCTGGCTGGGAAGCACGGGGATGACCTGCAGCATACAAAGACTGAGATCTAGGCCGGGCGCAGTGGCTCACGCCTGTAATCCCAGCACTTTGGGAGGCCGAGGCAGGCTGATCACGAGGTCAGAAGTTCAAGACCAGCCTGACCAACAGGGTGAAACCCTGTCTCTACTAAAAATACAAAAATTAGCCTGGGGTGGTGGTGCACGCCTGTAATTGCAGCTACTCAGGAGACTGAGGCAGGAGAATCCCTTGAACCTGGGAGGCGGAGCTTGCAGTGAGCCGAGATCGTGCCACTGCACTCCAGCCTGGGCGACAGAGTGAGACTCTGTCTCAAAAACAAGACAGAGATCTCCAAGATGAACCGGAACATCAGCTGGCTCCAGGCTGAGACTGAGGGTCTCAAAGGCCAGAGGGCTTCCCTGGAGACTGCCATCGCAGATGCCGAGCAGCATGGGGAGCTGGCTGTTAAGGATGCCAACGCCAAGCTGTCTGAGCTGGAGGCCGCCCTGCAGCGGGCCTAGCAGGACATGGCGCGATAGCTGCGTGTGTACCAGGAGCTGATGAACGTCAAGCTGGCCCTGGACATTGAGATCGCAACCTACAGGAAGCTGCTGGAGGGCTAGAAATGCCGGCTGGAGTCTGGGATACAGAATGTGAGTATCCATACGAAGACCACCAGCGGCTATGCAGGTGGTCTGTGCTCAGCCTATGGGGGCCTCACAAGTCCCAGCCTCAGCTACGGCCTGAACTCTAGCTCCTTCAGCCACATCAGCTCCACCAGGGCTGTGGTTGTGAAGAAGATCGAGACCCGCAATGGGAAGCTGGTGTCCAAGTCCTCTGATGTCCTGCCCGAGTGAACAGCCATGGCAGCCCCTCCCAGCCTGCCCCTCTTGCGGCTGCCCCAGAGCCCAGGAGGGAGGCCCCTGTGCAGGGTAGGACAGGGAACAGGAGACCCACCTGAGGCTCAGTCCTAGCCCTCAGCCCACGTGCGGGGAAGTTTACTGCTTGGGGACCCCCCCTTGCCCATGCCTCCAGCTACAAAACAATTCAACTGTTTTTTTTTTTTTTTTTTTTTTGGTCCAAAATAAAACCTCAGCTAGCTCTGCCAAAAAAAAAAGAGCTGAATGCTTTTTCAACTCTTAGTAAATACTAATTTCTACAATAATTATCCTTTACTGATTGATTATAATGAACAAGTAGCATTTCCAAAACACTTAATTGACAAAATGGGCCAGGCATGGTGTGGTTCACGCCTGTAATCTCAGCACTTTAGGAGGCTGAGGCAAGAGGGTTGCTTGAGTCCGGGAGTTCAAGACCAGCTTGGGCAACAAAGTGAGATCCTGGTGTTGGCAGTGTAGTGGTGAGCATAGCTGCCTTCCAAAGTGAGATCCTGTCTCTACAAAAAATGAAAAAGTTAGCTGAGCACAGCAGCATATGCCTGTAGTCCTAACTACTTGGAAGGCTGAAGTGAGAGGATTGCTTGAACCAGAAGTTGGATGCTGCAGTGAGCTAAAATTGCCCCACTGCACTCCAGCCCGGCCAACACAGCAATATCTCGCCTATAAAAACAATAATATGATAAACAAAATGAAAAATTTACAAAATGTCCAATGATCATCTCTCCCTTGTGACTCACAACTCAGGAATGCTGGTGTCCTTAGCCTTGCTTTGCCAGTGAGGATACTGGTCATGAGGAAGCATAAGTAACTTCCCCATGGTCACACAGATAAGAAGACTCACGTCGACTGATGACATTTGAGATTCTCTTCCCATTACATCACATGACTTCTCTGGCAACTACTGTGGTTTTTCGCTGAGCATTCTATGCTGACCATCTGTTACAGCAGGAACTTGAGAAAATTGAAGTGAACTTCTTTGTTCTCATGCTTACATTCAGATTCTTCATCCTAGGAGTAAAAGAGAATCCACTTTTAATTCTACCTTCTAAATTGCCATGGGTTCCCACTCCCATGTCCTTACTGACTGTCTGCATTGCCATTTCCCAAGCTCAGGCCACCTTGAACCTTACCTGGAGAACTGCTACCATCTTTTTAATGGCCTCTTGCTACTGTCCTGCTCCTGGCCTCCTGCAACTATTCCCCATAGAATCCTCCAGGTTGCCATCTATAGGGCTTTTTTTTTTTTTTTCTGAGATGGAGTCTCACTCTGTTGTCTAGGCTAGAGTGCAGTGGCACGATCTCAGCTCACTGCAACCTCCGGGTCCCAGGTTCAAGCGATCCTCCTGCCTCAGTCCCCCAGTAGCTGGGATTACAGGCACGCACCACCATGCCCAGCTAATTTTTGTATTTTTAGTAGAGACAAGGTTTCGCCATGATGGCCAGGCTTGTCTCGAACTCCTGACCTCAGGTTATCCACCTGCCTTGGCGTCCCAAAGTGCTGGGATTACAGGTTTGAGCCACCACACCTGGTCCTAGAAGGGCTTTCTAAAATACAAGTGGGACCTTGATATCCCTGTGCTTAAAATATGTCAGTGGTTTATTGTGACTCTCAAAACAGAGCCCTAATTCCTTACCCTTATATTTATATAGCTGAGATGGGGCCCTGGCTCAGCTCTCTGCCCCCTCGTCTCTTCTTCTTTCTCCTGCTTCTCCTTCCTCATCCATTGGACTCCATTCTCCAACCATGCAGAATAGCTTACTCTTCCCCAACTGCACTATCCAGCTACCCAGCCAAGGGCTCTTAACCCAGCATCCAGACATCCCTTGGGGGGCAGGAGAATGTCAATGGAGGAAATTCAGAACTTGGATGAAAAAAAAAATTACATATTCATTTTCACTCATCTCTAGCTGAAATCTAGTCTCTCCAATTATAAATGTAGCCAAAAACCACAATCGTTTTACCAGGACCTGCAATTTTGTCACTAATAAAAATCATAGATATTTTCATGTCATATGACAGTTGTTCAAGGCACCATATCGTTTATGCTCATCATTACTGAGAAATTTACAGTAATTATTAGCTTTCCTCTAGACTTTGTTATCTAACACATTAATAAAGATTCACTGGCTGGGCGTGGTAGCTCACGCCTGTATTCCCAGCACTTTGGGAGGCCAAGGGGGGAGGATCAGGAGTTCGAGACCAGCCTGGTCAACATGGTGAAACCCCGTCTCTACTAAAAATACAAAAATTAGCTGGTTGGGGGGGTGGTGCACATCTGTAATCCCAGCTACTCAGGAGGCTGAGCCAGGAGAATCACTTGAACCCTGGAGGCGAGGGTTGCAGTGAGCCGAGATAATGCCATTGCACTCCAGCCTGGGTAACAAAGTGAGCCTCCATTTCAAAAATGAAATAAAATAAACACAAATTTATAAGTAAAATACTTGGTCACAAAAGGACAAATGCTGTATAATTCAATTTACATGAGGTACTTAGAGTAGTCCCATTTATAGACAGAAAGTAGAATGGTCCTTGCCAGGGACTAGGGAAGAAGGGGGATGAGGAATTACTATTTCATGGGTATGGAGCTTCAGTTTGGGAAGATGAAAACAGTTTTGGAGACTGGATAGCGGTGATGGTTGCTCAACAACGTCATTGTACTAATGTGACCAAACTGCACACTTAAAAATGGCTAAAGTGGTAAATTTTATGTGATGTATATTTCATCACAATGAAAAAAAATACAGCACAGTATATTAGATGGGAAACGTGCTGAAGAAAAATAAAGACAGGAAGGTGAGTAGGAAGGACCAAGGGATCAGAGGCCAAGATAGGCTTCACTGCCAAAGGGTTCTTTGCTGTTGTTTTTGCTCAGGACCTGAGCTATCTGCACAGCCACATGTTCAGAAAAACTTGCAACATGACCTGAATCTTCATCTGATTGTCAGTGGGCGCAAAAGTGAACCTTTTCTCATGTGTGTTGCTAAAATCCTAAAAACCGAATGCCTTTCATTCACCTAGCACCTTCTGGATGTACACAGGTGAAATCCTCAAGAGGAATAATGGGATGTCAAATTGTTACTGGGATGTGGCCATTTATCTTTCCATTTGTCTGCATTTTAGTTTGACATGAGCACTTTTCTGCCATGCGTCATCAAGGAATTATGAGGCCATTTGAGGAGGTGAAATGACTAGTTTTTGTAAATCAGATAATTATATCTGATTTATGTCTTCAGTGTCTCCATAAATCATCTTAATATTCAGGCTTCCTTGAGTTTGGCCTTATACTATTAACTTTTTCCTAACTCACGAAAGATAACCAATGTGGATTCCAAGTCTGCTTCCTTTTAGTAAGTGGTCTGATTTCTGTTCTTTTTGACATTTAAGTAGAAGATAGAAGTTCTTATTAAAGTAAATATTATCAAATCTTGAGGTTTAAAGGTTTGATATCAAAGTTTTATCTACACAATGTCAAAACCTGTTTGTAAAGTGAAACTTCTATCTAATCAAGGCTGTATGAATGTCAATCATACAGCCTAGGTGTTTTTGCTTGTTTTTCTTTTTAATAGTAGTTTGGCAAATAAATAAACACTGATCTAACTCTCTCATTTGCCTCTAACCTTAAGTTTTTACCATTTGGGGACATTGACCAGCAAAGCCTCTTGAAATATTAAGGCTAATACTCCTTTGCAATGTTATCTTGGTAAGTTGTAACTATTTAAGACATTTTTTGAAATATACAAATTGTTTTCAATGTAATAGTGAGATTTGTACAGCTTATTAGAAACTGGCAAATTATGAGCCATTTTACATTATCTAGATCCTAAAGTACAGATTGCAGGAGCTTAATTCTTCAGAACTTAAAAATATTCTCTCCCTCTTCGTGTCTTTTATGGCACACAGATGAAAACAGGGAGTTTATCTGAAAGCACAGTCTGGAAACAAGAGAGTTATCCAATTATGAAGATGATATACGATTTAGGGAATCACCTTCCGTGCCCATGGTGCTGTCATTTAATTTCCCTCTTTTGTCTTTTTTTATTCTGTCAAGTGAGAACTCTGACATTTTGATCATTGGGAAGATGTATCAGTAGTACTTCCAACCTTCTTTAAAAGACGGAAATATTTAAGTGACTGTTCAAGTCAGAATTCTTGATAGAGTAAGTGACTAGCTTAAGTGTTTTAAGGTCAGTCATGTCTACTGCCAAAAGCTTTTTACAGCCATTTCTTTCCTATTCAAATGCATTTTGGATCCTTTTCATCTTTTTCTCTCACTTTTCTGTATCTACTTAATCTAATGTTTGTAAAATAATTCCTTCTCCTAGAACATATAACCTATTCCTGGGCTTCATTTTCTTTTTTTTTGAGACAGTCTCACTTTGTCACCCAGGCTGGAGTGCAGTGGCGCAATCTCGGCTCACTGCAGCCTCTGCCTCCTGGGTTCAAGCTATTCTCCTGCGTCAGCCTCCCGAGTAGCTGGGATTACAGGCGCCAGCCACCACCCCCAGCTAGTTTTTGTATTTTTAGCAGAGACGGGGTTTCACCATGTTGGCCAGGCTGGTCTTGAACTCCTGACTTCAGGTGATCCACCCGCCTCGGCCTCCCAGAGTTTTGGGATTACAGGCATGAGCCACCGCGCCCGGCCCCCTGGGCTTCATTTCAAAACAAATTCCATTTGTGCAGAGTAATGAAGTCTTTGAGGTTTCACTAAAGGAACTTCTCTGGGTGTCACTTTCCTCATCTGTAAAACGAGTCTCACTTTCTTTGTCTATAAAATGGCAAAAGTTTGCTTCACCTCTAAGAGTGTACAATTTCTACAAAATGATTTGTTGTCTTGCCATAATATGTGTCAAAAAACAAAATTTCAAAAAATCTAGTGTTTTTTTTTTTTTTGAGAGAGAGTCTTGCTCTGTCACCCAGGTTGGAGTGCAACGGTGTGATCTCAGTTCACTGTAACCTCCGCCTCCTGGGTTCAAGGCTTGTCCCTCAGCCTCCTGAATAGCTGGGATTAAAAGCACGTGCCACCATGCCTGGCTATTTTTTGTATGTGTATTTTTAGTAGAGACGGAGTTTCACCATGTTGGTCAGGCTGGTCTCGAACTCCTGACCTCAAGTGATCTGCCTGTCTTGGCCTCCCAAAGTTGTTGGATTACAGGCGTGACCCATCGTGCCTGGCCACAAATGTAGTTTAAAGATTTCAGTTGGCTTTATTGCAATTTTAGAATCAGGCAACAGTTCATCCCATAAAATAGAATAAGTGTTCCAATCAGCTAAGCAAAGGGGATTAGCTTTATATAGACAGAGGAGGCCTGAAGAAAGAAACAAAGAACAAAGAGTTATTCGTCATTTTAAGGCTACTTTCCTTGTGAGGCAGAACAGGGAGACAGAACAATAGAAAAACAACTGATTAACATTAGGTGTCTTTAGGCCACTTTTCTTGCATAAGGATCAAAGCAAAGAAGGCTTTATTATCATGCCAACTGAAGACTGAAACTGGGCTGTGTGGGATATTGGCTGTTATCTCTCTTTGGATTTCTCGTAAGGTCAGATAACAACTTAGTTTGGGTTTGCTGATGTGGAACTGTAGCATAGGTGACTCCATTTTGATTTTTAGTCCGGTCTGTTGGGGCCTAGTGCAGGAGCTTAGTTCAACAGCCTCCTGTAATTTTTATTTTAAGTGTGTAACTAATGCCTACATCCACCGCTCTGCTACAGTAAGGAGGCCTGATTGATTCTCCTCTGGACTCCTTCAGAGGGCTCCTAACAGGGCGCTTCACTGCCTACCTTTCACTCCAAATCATCCCACACGTGGCTGAGCTGCAGCTCAGTATCTAATATGCAAGTCCTATTAAGATGTAGATTAGAGGCATGGACCTGGTTTGCTCACTGAATTCATTGCAAACCCTTAATGTGGCACCCAAGGCCCTCAGCAACAAGCCCTCAAGCAACCTTTCCTGCCTTCTCATCATCTTCTTCCCTACCTGCCTCTCAAATCACTCATCCATTCACTTCAATATATTTTTTGAGGACTGAATATGTGCTGAGCCCTCTGCTAGGTGCTAGAAACAATGATGGGCCAAACCAGATAAGTTCCAGGCAGGGCCCTGCACATGTAAAGCCCTGGGTGGGAAGACATGAGTAGTTTATAGGAGGTGGCCCAGAGACTTCTGTGGCTCAAGCAGAGAGCCTGAAAATAGGGAATATGTTTGAACAGCAAAGTAGAAAATAAACTAGCTAGGACTTCGCAGGCCTCCTTAAGAAGTTCTGTCATTATCTGAGGCACAATGAGAAGCTCCATGTATTGAACAGAGCTGCAGCGCCCTGCCATTTTCCTCCCCTAAGTTATTGCTTCTACGGGTCCTTCACTGTGAACTACACTCTTCATTTTTTCTGTCTCTGCTTGCTCAACTCACAACCATTATTTGGAACATTAATTTCAAGTGCCATCTCTTCCATGGAAAATGTCCTCCTCATCCCAAACCAAATGGAGCTTGTATTGCTGTCATTTGTCTTTGTTTTTTTTTTTTGACAGAAAATCACAGATTTATTGAAACAAAAGTACACTCCACAGAGTGGGAGTAGGCTCCAACAAGTCTTTTTCTTTTCTTTTCTTTTCTTTTCTTTTTTTTTTAGAGGCAGGGTCTTGCTGTGTCACTCAGGCTGGAGTGTAGTGGCAAGATCATAGCTCAGTGCAGCCTCGAACTCCTGCGCTCAAACAATCCTCCCACCTCAGCCTCCTGAGTAGCTAGGACTACAGATGTATGCCAACATGCATAGCTAATTTTTTTTTTTTTTTTTTTTTTTTGAGAAGGAGCTTTGCTCTTGTTGCCCAGGCTGGAGTGCAATGGCGTGGTCTCGGCTCACTGTAACCTCCCCCTCACGGGTTCAAACAATCCTCCTGCCTCAGCCTCCTGAGTAGTGGGATTACAAGTGCCTGCCACCACGCCCAGCTAATTTTTGTATTTTTTTAGTAGAGATGGGGTTTCACCATGTTGGTAAGGCTGGTCTTGAACTCTTGATCTCATGTGATCCACCCGCCTCAGCCTCCCAAAGTGCTGGGATTACAAGCATGAACCACTGCACCAGGCCACATAGCTACTTTTTTATTTTTTGTAGAGACAGAGGTCTCACTGTGTCGCCCAGGCTGGTCTTGAACTCCTGTGCTCAAGTGATCCGCTCGCCTCAGCCTCTGTATGTCTTTTTCTCTGCTACATATGAGACCTATAGGGTCTGATGTGGTAGCCACCAGCTACATGTGACTATTGAGCACCTGAATTGTGGCTAGTCTGAATCGAGATGTACTTTAGATGTAAAATACATACCAGATTTTAAACACAGTATGGAAAAAAAAAGAGAATATAAAATATTTCATTAATAATTTTATATTAAGTACAATTTAGAATGATAATGTTGGGGGTACATTGAGTTAAATAAAGTATATGTTTGAAATTAATTTCATGTTTCTTTTTACTTCACTTAATGTGTCCATTAGAACATTTACATTGTGTCTGTGGTTTATATTCTATTCCTATTGGACTGCACTCCTCTAGACTATACACTTCCTGAGTAGTAAAGGCTTATCCAATTATTCATCTGTTTATCCCCCAGGGAACACTAGCTTGTTCATAGTGGAAGAATCAATGAATATTGTTTAAATTCATTGCCAATTAAAAGAAATACTTTGCAATTTTAGTACACTACCTCCTTTCCACCTGAAATGTGCAGCCGAACTCCACAGTGAAAATGGGTAGACAAGGGAGACAGAGTTTTTTCCAGCCCCTATGAAGGCTAAAGGTATGGAACATGTGGTGTGGTCATGGAGGACACAGCAAGCCAAGACTGCTGATTCAGACAGGTTTCTCTATTTCCAAAACAAGAACTTTTATTGCAGAGTATGGAGGGAGCATTAGGACAGGAGGATCTTTGTGGTTTCTCACTGTATCTGTGGAAAAAATCTGAGGTTAAGGTTTAAATTAAACTGACATTTAAAAGAGCCTTTGTAGGCTCTTACTATGTGTATGTTAGCATCTGTTGCTATAGCTAAACTGACACTGATTATTATGAATGATGCTTTATGAGTGATGGAATAAAAATGTGGTTTCCTGCTTATGGACATTTCCTGGTGTTGGTTTCATCCTCTTTAATGATGAGATCAAGACCAGGGAAAATTACTAAGAGTATAGAAAACGTATCACAAAGAAAATATTATTAGGATACCAAGCATTTCTGAGATGGAAAAAAAAGTATTTAGAACTTCCGAATACCGCCTCTGTAATTTTATGAATTGTTTTGTTTCTGCTGGCTTCTGGTTTTGCAATCAGTTCTCCTTATGATTCACAGAGGCTCCCTCATGACTACCTTCACATGTGTTCCCCTTTTTGTTCAGAGACCTCTGAGGATGAACCAATGTATTTCTCATCATAAAATGGTTGAAGACATCTCTTTGCCCATTAGAAAGCCTAATTTCAAGGATTTTATGTTTTACCCTTGGAAAAGATGTTTAGTTTTAAACAGGCTTTTTCTCCAGGCGTATTTTCTACTGATCTCACAAAAGAGCTTCTGCTTCAACCAGACCTGTCTCCTCACTGTTCCTTGAAATGCCACTAGTTCTCTGTGTTTATTGCAACCTCTATCCTGCTACTGACCAAGGGTTCTCTCTGAATGTTTTACATTCAGACTCCACTTAAAAACTTGTCAGATTGCTACTGAAGTTTAAGTATGGAAAGAATTCTTGTAGTAGCCCTTCCCATAGGGCAATATCTCTTTTTACCATAACCAAGTTGCTCCTGTTTTAGCTTAGGCTAAACTTAATTTGCCTTCATTTTCCCCAGCTGTAAGAAGGGTCTTGGTAAACACTAACCTTCCGGTCTGAGTCATGTTTAGCCCTCATGATCTGAAGACATCCCAAGAGATCTCTTGTCTTAGTTTATGTTCCTTATCATTTTATCTATTAGAGTCACATCTTAGGTTAGGTAAGGAGATGGCATCTTTGTGTAAGACAAAATAACAAACATGAAAAGCTATGTTTACTCATTTCTGCTTGCCAACAAAGTAACTTCACAAAGCTCCTGACTCTGTGACAACATACAGCTCTCCAAAAGATACTTTAACAACAAAACAAAATAGAGCACAGGGTCCCCTATGTCTCTTGCATAGTACAAAATTACTTTCCATAAAAAAACTCTAATACATGTAAATACAAAAACACACAATTCATCTTAAAATGTACAAATTGATATTCTAACTTTATTAAGTCATTATCACATTTTCCAATCTACAACTCACTTTAATACTATTAAATATATACTATTATACACAACCTATACTATCCTTATAGTAGTCTTATTAAAATATTATATTAAATATAAAAAACCAAATCACAGTAAATAAAAAATAAATACAATCCAAAACGTATTTTCCAATAAATAGACAAATATACACACTAGGCCCAATACTCATTCCTTACTCCTACAACTCAAAATTACCAATCTTCCTTAAAAAAAAAAAAAAAGCCTTCTTATCTATATAAACAATCATTAATCTTATAAATACAACCAGACAATTAATTTATAACAAAAAAATTTATAGGACAAAATAACAAACATAAAAAAATTATATTTATTCATTTCTACTTGCCAACATAATTTTACAAAACTCCTGACTCTATAACATATAATTCTCCAAGGCTGGGAGTGGTGGCTCATGCCTGTAATCCCAGCTATCTGGGAGCCCGAGGCAGGTGGATCATTTGAGGTCACAAATTTGAGACCAGTCTGGCCAACATGGTGAAACCCCATCTCTACCAAAAACACAAAAATTAGCTGGGCATGGTGACATGTGCCTGAAGTCCCAGCTACTTGGGAGGCTGAGGCTAGAAAATTGCTTGAACCCAGAAGGTGGGGGTAGCAGTGAGCCAAGATGGTACCACTGTGACACTCCGTCTCAAAAAACAAAACAAAAAAAGACTTCTCCAAGAAAATACTGTAGAGACAAAACAAAATAAGACATACAACTCCCAAATGCCCCCAACCTCTCTTTACCTAAATCACTATATTCCTTAAAAAATAAAAAGCCCTAGTCCTTGTCTTTTTCTACACACAAAATAATGTCTAACAAAATTAATAATTATACTTCTATAACCTATAACCAGATAACTAAATATACTCTTTTTTAAAAATTTGTGTTTTTAGGCCAGGCACAGTGGCTCACGCCTGTAATCTCAGCACTTTGGGAGGCTGAGGCGGGCGGATCACAAGGTCAGGAGATTGAGACCATCCTGGCTAACACGGGGAAGCCCCGTCTCTACTAAAAAATACAAAAAAATTAGCCGGGCATCGTGTCCCAGCCTGTAGTCCCAGCTAATCTGGAGGCTGAGGCAGGAGAATGGCTTGAACCCGGGAGGCGGAGCTTGCAGTGAGCCGAGATCGCGCCACTGCACTCAGCGAGACTCCGTCTCAAAAAAAAAAAAAAAAAAAAATATTGTATTTTGTTTTTAGACAAGGTCTTGCTCTGTGCTCTGTCACCCACGCTGGAGTGCAGTGGCAATCACGGCTTACTGCAGCCTTAATCTCCCAGGCTCAGGAGGTCCTCCTACCTCAGCCTCCCAAGCAGTTGGGACTACAGGTGTGCACCACCATGCCCAGCTAATTATTTTATTTTTTGTAGAGACAGGCCTCCTAAAGTGTTGGGATTACAGGCATGAGCCACGAGGCGCAGCCCAAATATACTCTTACGTTCAAACCTTAATATAATTCTACTTTAATATAACTTCTAAACAAATCTAATACAATTTTATACATACTAAACCTCCACCACCTGTATATAAATAGATTAAAATATTAGCCAAAACAGGTTACTAACGAAACCTCTCTACAAACTACTTCCAGACTGTAGTCATCAGTCTACAGCCTGCAATAAGACTTCTAAAGAAAACTCACTTTAATTCTTTAAAAACTTATTTTTGTTTGGTTTGGTTTTAGTCAACACTTTTCACAAGAAAATTACTGGTGAAGTGGGACAGTCCACCTTGGAAGGCAAACTCTTCAGCAACTCCGTCCTCTCAGCCAATACCAGTCAGTTGTTCCTAACATTTGTTTCCCAGCAAATTTTATCTTTTTATCCCTTAAAAAAAATACTGACCTTTAGCACAAGTTAATGGTCTCTTATTTTACAGACATCTTTATCCTTACAGAATAGATGTGTTACAAGGAAACGAAAACTGAAAGAAAAAAAAACCCCATCAAAAAGTCAACAAAGGACATGAATAGACAATTCTCAAAAGGAGATATACAAACAGCCAGCAAACATATGAAAAAAATGCTCAGCATCACTAATTATCAGGGAAATGCAAATTAAAACCACAATTAGATACCACTTTACTCCTGCAAGAATGGCCATTATGAAAAAGTAAAAAAAAAAAAAAATTGATGCTGGTGCGGATGTGGTGAAAAGGGACCACCTTTTTTTTTTTTTTTTTTTGAGGCAGAGTCTCACTCTGTCGCCCAGGCTGGAGTGCAGTGGCAGGATCTCAGCTCGCTGCAACCTCTGCCTCCCTGGTTCAAGTGATTTTCCTTCCTCAGCCTCCTGAGTAGCTGGGACTACAGGCATGCACCACCATGCTTGGCTAATTTTTTGTATTTTTAGTAAAGATGGGGTTTCAACATGTTAGCCAGGCTGGTCTCGAACTCCTGACCTCAGGCAATCTGCCGACCTCAGGCAATCTGCCCACCTCGGCCTCCCAAAGTGCTGGGATTACAGGCGTGAGCCACCGAGCCCAGCCAAAAGGGAGCACTTTTACACTGCTGGTGGGAATGTAAACTAGTGCAACCACTATGGAAAACAGTAGAGAAATTCCTTAAAGAACTATAAGTAGAACTACCATTTGATTCAGCAATCCCACTACTGGGTCTCTACCCAAAAGAAAAGAAGTCATTACACGAAAAAGACACATGAACATGCATATTTATAGCAGCACAATTCGCAATTGTAAAGATACAGAACCATCCTAACTGCCCATCAGCCAATGAGTGGATAAAAAAAATGTGATATATACACACCAAGGAATACTACTCAGCCATAACAAAGAACAAAATAATGTCTTTTGCCACAACTTGGGTGTAGCTGGAGGCCATTATTCTAAGTGAAATAACTCGGGAATGGAAAACCAAATATTGGCTGGGTGTGGTGGCTCATGCCTGTAATCTCAGAACTTTGGGAGGCCAAGGCAGGCAGATCACCTGAGGTCAGGAGTTAGAGACCAAACTGGCCTGTTGGTGAAACCCTGTCTCAACTAAAAATACAAAAATTAACTAGGTGTAGTGGTGTGCACCTGTAGTCCCAGCTACTTAGGAGGTTGAGGCAGGAGAATCGCTTGAACCTAGGAGGTGGGGTGGCAGTGAACTGAGATCATTCCATTGTACTCCAGCCTGGGCGATAGAGTGAGACTCTATCTCAAAAAAAAAAAAGAAAGAAAGAAAGAAAGAAAAAGCCAAATATCATATGTTCTCACTTCTAAGTGTGAGCTAAGCTCTGAGTATGTAAAGGCATAAGACTGATGTGATGGGCCGGCTGCAGTGGCTCAGGCCTTTAATCCCAGCACTTTGAGAGGCCAAGGAGGTGGGCAGATGGCTTGAGGTCTGGTGTTCGAGACCACCCTGTTCAACATGGTGAAACCCTGTCTCTACTAAAAATACAAAAATTGCCAGGCGTGGTGGTGTGCACCTGTAGTCCCAGCTACCTGGGAGGCTGAGACAGGAGAATTGCTTGAACCTGGGAGGCAGAGGTTGCAGTGAGCTGAGATTGAGCCACTGCACTGCAGCCTGGGTGACAGAGTGAGACTCCATCTCGAAAACAAACAAATAAACAAAAAGAATATTTGAACATATAAAGGAATGGATTGGCACTGATAAAATAGCATAATACCCCAGATGAACACCAAACTGGAAATAAAATTGTAAAGAGATAAAGAGCTATAAGGAAGGGACTCATTTAATGCCTGAAACCCAAAATGCATTATTTTGGCACTTAAAAGAGTGAAAGATTGGTCAGGCTTTTTTTTTTTTTTTTTTTTTTTTTTTTTTTTTGGTGGTGGCAGGGGACAGCGTCTTGTTCTGTTGCCCAGGCTGGAGTGCAGTGCTGCGATCATGGCTCATTGCAGCCTCAACTTCACTGCAGCCTTGACCTTCTGGGCTCAAGAGATCCTCCCACCTCGGCCTCCTGAGTACCTGGGACTGCAGGTGTTTGCCACCATGCCTGGCTAATTTTTATTTTTTGTAGAGACAAGGTCTCACTGTATTGCCCAAGCTGATCTCAAACTCCCAGGCTCAAATGATCCTCCCACCTTGGCCTCCCAATGTGCTGGGATTACAGGCGTGAGTCACTGTGCCCGGCCAGACTTCTTTGATGTGTCCTCTGTAGGGCAGCTGCCTTCTTCATATGTATATGTATTTATGTTTGTTTTTTTTTTAAGGCAGAGTTTCACTCTGCCACTGAGGCTGCAGTCCAGTGGCGTGATCTTCGCTCACTGCAACCTCCACCCTCTGGGTTCAAGCAATTCTCTCACCTCAGCCTCCTGAGTAACTGGGATTACAGGCACGTGCCACCACGCCCAGCTAATTTTTGTATTTTTAGTAGAGACGGGGTTTCACCATGTTGGCCAGGCTGATCTTGAACTCCTGACCTCAAGTGATCTACCCGCCTCAGCCTCCCAAAGTGCTAGGATTACAGGTGTGAGCCACCGCACCCAGCCTGTATATATGTATGTTTAAGGCTAGTTAGGTGAAGCAGCGGGAGTGGAGAAGGAACAAAGAAATCTGTAATTGGTTGTGATCAATCAGTTGTAAACACCATTGCACTTGGACCGGCTCAGCTGCCTTCTTTAAACAAAAGACACATTTAAGTTTTGGTACATGGGAAGCCCAAATATGTCTTCCCATTACCGCCATCCATTGGCTCATCTTTCACATAGCAGCTATTCAAATATTCAAAAACTGTTGTCCTGGCCTTTCTGAGTTTTTATCTCTATCTTTCTAGTGTGATCTCTGTATCAGTTAGGGTTCTCCAGAGAAATAGAATCATTAGATGATATATATGAAGAGATTTATTTCAATGAATTGGCTCATGCAGCTGTGGAGATGGCAAGTCTGAAATCTGTGGGGCAGGCCAGAAGTCTTAGGCTGCAGTCTTGAGGCATAATTTATTATTCCTCAGGAAAACCTCAGCTTTACTCTTAATGCTTTTCAATTGATTAGATAAGGACCACCCAAATTACCAAAGATAAACTCTTTTATTTTATTTTTTTTTTTGAGATGGAGTCTCACTCTGTTGCCCAGGCTGGAGTGCGGTGGTGTGATCTCAGCTCACTGCAACCTCCGCCTCCCAGGTTCAAGTGATTCTCCTGCCTCAGACTCCCGAGTAGCTGGAATTACAGGTGTGCGCCACCATGCCCAGCTAATTTTTTGTATTTTTAGCAGAGAGGGGGTTTCACCATGTTGGCCAGGCTGGTCTCGAACTCCTGACCTCAAGTGATCCGCCCTCCTTGGCCTCCCAAGTGCTGGGACTACAGGCATGAGCCAGCATGCTCACTGATAAACTCTTTTAGAAGTTAACTGATTGTAAAGCTGACACACAAATTAACCATTTCAATCTCCTTCACTGTTCTATCTGCTCTTAGAGCGTTCCTAGTTTGTCAATACCCCTATTACAATCAGAAGAACACATGCCACTGCACTCCAGCTTGAGTGACAGAGTGAGACCCTGTCTCAAAATAAATAAATAAATAAAATTAAATAAAATCAGAACAAGTCTAGAGCCAGTACTCCAGATCTGACTCAACACGACAGAGGTCAGGGTATCACCTCTGTTTTTCTGGCCTCAATGCTTCTACTGATATAACCTACCCAAGTAGTCCAGAGAATGGATTATACATTTCCTATAAGGCTTAGAGGGAATTTAAAACTCCAGGAATTTTCCACTTGAACTGCTTTTAAACCAGTCTCTCTCATCCCACAAGGAGAAAATTGAGTGGGCCTATCATGGCTCAAATGCAAACAAACATAAGTATATAGTTAAGTATATAAGTATATAGTTAAACCTTATTAGGCACGTGAGCAACTCTCCTAGTCCAGTTCTGGTTATAGCATATCAGAATTGGACCAGGCTTGGTGGCTTGTGCCTGATCCCGGAGGCCGAGACGGGAGGATCATTTAAGACCACGAATTTGAAACCACCCTGGGCAACATAGTGAGACCCCCATCTCTACAAAAAATTTAAAAGTTAGCTGGGTGTGGTGGTGCACCTGTAGTCCCAGCTACTCAATAGGCTAAGATGGGAGGGTCATTTGAGCCATGGGATTCAAGGCTGCAGTGAGCTGTGATTACGCCACTGCACTCCTGCCTGGGAGACCGACTGAGAATCTGTCTCTAAAAAAAAAAAAAAAGAACAAATTGGTAGCCAGTTTTATCTTTGGAAAGCTAACTGTGAATAATTACAACATTAAGTAACTCATATATGTATTTTTCTTTTAAATGCTTGCAGAGGATTCAGATGCCTCTCTTTTACTACCACCTACTCATCCTTACCACTTGTTACATAGATATACTCAGTACTCTTAATGGATGAGAAAATAGATTTAGAGATTAAATTAGTTGCTCAAGACCACACATCTAATAGGTGGTAGAAACAACACTTGAAATCAGATCTTCTAACAGTACTAAAATACTAAGATAAACACTAAAATGACCAAAAACTAAGCTATGAACGGGTAGGTGGATAAGAAAGTTGGAATGGGGACTTTAAAACATGGTTATAATCCAGATTCCAGGAAGCTTGAGCAGATGAGGGTGTGAAATTTCCAAAGATTGGATCTGGTATTTTGTTTCTGGTTTTTTTGGAGATGGAGTTTCGCTCGTCACCCAGGCTGGAGTGCAATGGTGCGATCTTGGCTCACTGCAACCTCTGCCTTTCGGGTTTAAGTGATTCTCCTGCCTCAGCCCTCAAGTAGCTGGGGTTACTGGTGCACACCACCACGCCCAGCTAATTTTTTTGTATTTTTAGTAGAGATGGGGTTTCACCATGTTGGCCAGGCTGGCCTTGAACTCCTGACCTAAAGTGATCCGCCTGCCTTGGCCTCCCAAAGTGCTGGGATTACAGGTGTGAGCCACTGCACCTGGCCTGGATCTGCTATTTCATTCAGACCTCGCAGGGTGACAGGCACACACTTTCAATTAATACAACAAATATGTGTTGAACAGTGTCATGCATGCAAGATACTGTGCTTGGCATTACAAGCAACATAAAGATGTCCAGTGAAATATTTATCCATAAAGAATCCATAAAGAATTTACAATCTAGGGAGGAACACAAATGAAGAAGCTAAATTGGCCAGGCGAGGTGGCTCATGCCTGTAATCTCAGTACATTGGGAAGCCAAGGTGGGAGAATCGCTTGAGCCCGGTAGTTTGAGACTAGCCTGGGCAATATAGTGAGACCTTGTCTCTACAAAAAAATTAAAAAATATATATATTTTAAAAATAAGCTAAATTACCACCACAAAGCATCTATTCACTCCTTTACTCATCTATTTATTCAACAAATACTTAGGAATTTCTGTTTGCCTTCAAGACAGCCGTGAGTAAGATAGGTAATCAAATGGTACTAGGAACTATACCCTATGTGGAAGATATGTCCTTATACAGAGAAAAGGCACTTTGAAGATGGAATGGGCCAGGAAGAAACAACTTTTTTTTTTTTTTTTTTTTTGAGACAGTGTCTCATTCTGCCTGTTGCCCAGGCTGGAGTGCAATGGCATGATCGTGGCTCACTGCAGCCTCAACCTCCTGGGCTCAAGCAACCCTTCCACCTCAGCCTTCTGAGTGTCTGGGACTACAGGTGTGCATCACTATTCTCAGCTATATTTTTTTATCTTATTGTAGAGATGAGATCTCACTATGTTGCCCCGGCTGGTCTCGACCTCTTGGCCTCAAGAAATCCCTCCACCTCAACCTCCCAAAGTATTGGGATTAGATTGCAGGCATAAGCCACCACACCCAGCTTTTCCCAACAGTAGGCTTTCTAAGCAAAGCTAAGTGTTTATATTTTACTTAACCAGACTGTAATATAGTGCTTACTGCACACCTGCTCATTTCAAATTCGTATGTAGAACCAATACCTGATTCTTTTTGAGTGCTGGTTTTATAATAAAAGAATGGCAAAAAGCATAATAATCAGAAGTTCCTATAAATCACCTATCCTTGTAAAATTTCATGTATGAAATTCTCCCATATAGCAGAATGACTTGCTATTTTTGGGGGGGAGGGGATTAATGAGGGCCATATTAATGTAATGCATTTTGGGTTATATACTACATTTCCACTTTCTTTCTTTAACAAGTCAGTTCATTGATATCTATTAAAAGAATACAGCATATCTGTAGGGTGTGGTATCACCAAGGATAATGTTGCAAGAATGTTTCTTTGATTTTTACTCTTGCCTTTATTTTATTTATTTATTTATTTATTTATTTATTTTGAGACAGGATCTCACTCTATTGCCCACGTTGGAGTGCAGTGGCACCATCTCAGCTCACTGCAATCTCTACCTCCCGGGTTCAAGTGATTCTTTGCCTCAGCCTCCTGAGTAGCTGGAACTACAGGCACGCACCACCACGTCCAGCTAATTTTTGTATTTTTAATAAAGACGGGGTTTCACCATGTTGGCCAGGCTAGTCTTGAACTCCTGACCTCAAGTGATCCACCCATGTAGGCTTCCCAAAGTGCTGAGACTACATGCATGAGCCACTGCTCCCAGCCAGTAACCTTGAACTTCTGAGTTTAAGTGATCTTCCTGCTTCAACCTCCTTAGTAGCTAGGACTCCAGGTGCATGCCACCACATCCAGTTAATTTTTTCTGTAGAAAGGAAGTCTCACTACCTTGCCTACACTTTTTAAATTATTTTGATTATTTAAATGTAGCTGTCCTGAAATGCATCCTTTTTCCTTCTCCATTTACACAGATTCATGTTAACAGTCATTTTCCTCTGTCTCAATTGTACGGAGGTCACAGCCAGTTTTCTTTTCCTCTTTGGTTTTTTTTTTCTTGTGCTTCTGATTCTATGGTTGAAAACTGAGCCTTTTTTAATTCCAGCAATTTCCATAGGATCTTTGAACATTTCCAATTTATTCTCAATACATTCTTTTATCTTCCATAATTTCAGAACCTCACACAATCCTTGGACATAATAGGTACTTCATAGATATCTTTTTGTTAGCTTTGACTGTCCTCCTGTTTTCAGGGAACAATTAAACCTTAACATTTTCTTCATTTATAAAACATGAAGTGAGAAAAAAAAATAGAATACAGAAATAGAAACCATTACCAATACAGCACAAGCATAATTTGGAGGAAAGCTGTTTTTGTATAAAACTGAAATTGAGTGTACTGTGCAATTTCTTTTATAAGAGGACTCAACGAACAAGCAGTAACATCAGAGAGTGGTAATAAGACCCCAGTTTGGATGTTAATCATCTTACCTTTCATTTACCACTTTCAATTTAATTAAGCAATGTACAGCGCTCTAATAATGAGACTTTCATTCAGTCTTTATCTTTGTGTTTTAAATAGATTTTTAAACAACTGCCCTTAAGGGCATAAAATTATCTTAAAAGCCTTGTGGATTTTTTGCGTTTGTTTATTTATCTAATGGAAGAAATGCAAAGTTATGGAAGAATGTGACTGGAATGTCAGGCAGGGAAGGGCAAATGTCATTTGATCATTTGTTCATTCAACAAACTTGTGCTGAGTGCTGCACACCATAGAAACAGAGAGTTCCAAGTCACAGTAGCAGGACTTCAGGGAACGAAGAGCTTTGAATCTGTGACACAGTCGGAAAGGACTTCTTGGATGCTCCAAGATCATCATTTTACGGATAAGCGCCTTCAAGTTCACATGAATTCAGTGTCTTGCTCAAGGTAGTTACGAAGCTAGAACTGGAATCCAATTCTCTTAATTCAGTTTATTATTCATTTCTGTAGAAAACCCTTTTTATATCTTAGATTTTCTTCTTTGTTCAGTAAATTGTGAGGAAATCCAAATCACTTGTAAATTGACTGCTTAACCTCAGAATAATAGAAAAAACAATATTATACTTGCTGTTTAGTAACCCTTTCTGCTCCACACTTAACCTTATTCTTACCCATAGAAACCTATTTAATTCATAATATACCTAGGTTATTACGGAGTTTAAGAGCTATATGGTGTTATTTTAGATGTGGGGGACTTAGGGGAGTGGAGAAAGGAAGAAAGGAAGATGTCTTTGAGGAACAATACTGTAGAGAGCTCCAAGTGAGGCTGTAGGATGGCATTTCCACTCTGTCTTATTTTATAGTGATACCTCCTCCCATTGCCCAAAAAACCCAGGTCTGCCCACCTCTCACACCTGCCTGGGTCTGCCCACCTCTCACACCTCCAGGACCCTGGTCATTTCGTGCTCCATTTAGCCTTCCCTGCCCTTCATCTAGGTCACATAGAGCTTGAAAATAAAATTTAAAAATGTTAAAAGCCACTGGTAAGACTACATTTTAATTTTTATTTCCTTTTTTTGTTGGTTCGGTTTTTGTTTGTTGGTTGGTTTGTTTTTTCAAGACAGAATCTTGCTGTGTCACCCAGGCTGGAGTGCAGTGGTACGATCTCAGCTCACCACAACTTCCACCTCCCAGGTTCAAGCAATTCTTCTGCCTCAGCCTCCCGAGTAGCTGGGATTAAAGGCACCCACTACCACACCAGCTAATTTTTGTAGTTTTAGTAGAGATGCCTGCCTTGGCCTCCTCCCAAAGTGCTGGGGTTACAGGCGTGAGCCACTGCACCTCACCCTGGGTTTTTTGGTTCTGGTTTTTGTTTTTGTTTTTGTGGTTTTTTTTGAGACAAGAGTCTCTTGCCAGGCTGGAGTGCAGTGGCACAATCACAGTTCACTGCAGCCTCAACCTCCTGGGCTCAAGCACTCCTCCCACCTCAGCATCCTGAGTAGCTGGGATTACAGGCACACACCACCATGCTTGGCTAATTTGTATTTTTTGTAGTGTTGGGGTTTTACCATGTTGCCCAGGCTAGTCTAGAACACCTGAGCTCAAACTATCCACCCACCTCAGCCTTCCAAAGTGCTGGGATTATAGGTGTGAGCCACCATGCACAGCTGAGCCTGCATTTTTAAAGCTGTCCTGTGTTACCCGGGTTTGGAGACCCCTGGAATAAGCACTGTCTCCAGAAGGGGCCTCAATCTGTGGGGTCCATCTAATCTGTGGACAGTGCTTATTCCTCTAACCTAGGATGCTTTTCCCCTGGGCCCAATTCATTTAGAAGATAGCAAATCTGATCAGATCATGCTAACATTTAGAATCCTTCAGCGTACCCTCCCTGTGAGTTAAGGATGACATTTCAGTATCCAAACATTCAAGTCATTTGATGTCTGACCCACTTAGCTTTTTGGCTTTCTGGCTTGCCACACATACTCACCCCAAGGTTGGCCCTCTCTATGAGCATGCTTTGAAACATGCTTTCCTCTCTCTCCAAAATGCTGCATTTCACCTATCCCCATCACAGCCCGGTCCTACTTCTCCCCAGAGATGAACTCATGCTCGCTTTAACACTGTCTTCCAATTGTTGATTTCCTTGTTGGGCTTTCCTGCAAGGCTCTGAGTTCCTAAAGACAGAATTGCCTCTTATTTGTCATTCCCTGTGCCTTGAAAAATACCTAGCATGGAGCCAATCAGCAACCATTTCTTCAGCATTGCCTGTATGTTGGGAGTTGTGCTAAGCTCTGGGGATGTAATAGTGAGTCTCTTTCCTTGTGAGCTTCAACACAAAGTGAACACAGACAGAAAATAGAGCAGGAATAAGCTAGGAAGAGGGAACACACAGAAGAAATTATAAATGTCCCACTACTGAATATATGAGAGAAAATAATATCTCAGTCCTTATGAAACTCACATTCTAATAAGGGAAATACACAAGCAAAGCAATGAATGTGTGCTCCCACTTAAACAAATGAATACCCAAATGGATGAAAGAATGGGTAAGAAGCCAGACAATGGCTTTCCCAAGTTTGTGACTTAGAGCAGGAGTTTCCAGGTGGACAAGGCTGGTCAAGGGAATCAAAGATTCAGGAGAACAATCTTTAAGAGAACTGCAAAGTAAATGATATAATGGAGGTCTGGATGCATTCCGGGCACAATAGAAGATAGGCGTCCAGACCCTAGGAGACTTGGTCTCCCAGGCCAAGATATTTAGATTTTACCATTTAGATGAGCGTTTTTCAATTTGTGTGGCACCCATTAGTGGTTCATGAAATCAGTTCAATAGATTGCAATCAGCATTTTGAAAGAATAGAATAGGAGATGTCAGTGCATTTCATGTAAAAAGGATAGGTTTTAGTGGGGAACCAATTGTTTCAGTCATATGGGCTTTCTTATAATACATCAATCCTGATGAAACAGGTTTGAAAGCCACTGCTGCTAGAGATGAGGAACCAAACTGAGGAGTTTAAAGCTAGGTAGCAACAAGACAGCTTTTGCATTTGGAAAGAAGCTGTGGTATCAGTGAGGTTAAGATTAAAAAGGGAGGCTGGACACAGTGGGTCACACCTGTAATCCCAACACTTTGGGAGGCCAAGGTGGGCAGATCACTTGAGGCCAGGAGTTTAAGACCAGTGTGGGCAACATAGTGACACTCCACCTCTACAATCGACTGATCAATCAATTTAAATAACAAATTATTTTATTTTATTTACTTATTTTTTTAAGAGATGAGGTGAGCCAATGCACCCAGCCACAGATTATTTTTATTTTTTAAAAAAAGATGGCCAGGCGCTGTGGCTCACGCCTGTAATACCAGCACTTTGGGAGGCCAAGGTGGGTGGATACCTTGAACCTTGAACCTGAGTTCAAGACTAACTTGGTCAACACGGTGAAACCCCGTCTCTACTAAAATACAAAAATTAGCAGGGCATGGTGGTGCAGGCCTGTAATCCCAGTTACTTGGAGGCTGAGGTGAAAGATTCACTTGAACCTGGAAGGCAGAGGCTGCAGTGAGCCAAGATTGCGCCACTGCACTCCAGCCTGGGTGACAGAGTGAGACTCCATCTCAAAAGAAAAGAAAAGAAAAGAAAAGAAAAGAAAAGACTAAAAGGGCAATACCATTTAAGGAATGGCTTTAGGAATCGAGAAGATACAAGCTGAGTCTCTCTTATCCAAAATGCTTGGAACCAGAAGTATTTCAGATTTGGGTTTTTTTTTTTTTTTCAGATTTTGGAATACTTGCATTATAATTACTGGTTGAGCATCTTTAATCTGAAAATCCAAAAAGCTCCAATGAGTATTTTCTTTGAACATCTTGTCCACACTCAAAGAGCTTCAGATGTCGAAGCATTTCAGATTTTGGATTTTTAGATTTAAGATGCTCAACCTGTACTTGGATGGAGAAGAGGATATAGTCTTGAGAGCTAAAAGTAGATTTGATTATTGTTTCCTCCTTTCCATTCCCAAAGCTACTATTCTTGTTTGGCCCTTACCTTTCTTTTCTAATCCATTCCTGACTCTCATCTAGCTCCTTTGATCTTGACCATCTTAAATCCGTCCTTCATACTGTATTGAAAAACACATTTGAGGCTGGGCACGGTGGCTCACGCCTATAATCCTAGGGCTTTGGGAGGCCGAGGTGGTGGATCACCTGAGATTGGGAGTTCAAGATCAGCCTGGATAACATGGTGAAACCCCATCTCTACTAAAAATACAAAAAATTAGCCGGGTGTGGTGGCAGGCACCTGTAATCCCAGCTACTTGGGAGGCTGAGGCAGGAGAATCTCTTGAACCTGGGAGGCGGAGGTTGCAGTGAGCCAAGATCGCACCACTGCACTCCAGCCTGGGTTACAGAGTGAGACTCTGTCTCAAAAAAAAAGAAAAAGAAAAACACATTTGACCATCCTACTCTCCTGCTTAAAATACTTCAGTGAGCTGGGTGCAGCGGCTCATGCTTGTAACCCCAGCTCTTCGGAAGGCTAAGGCAGGAGAATCACTGGAGCCCAGGAGGTCAAGATCAGCCTGGGCAACACAGCGAGACCCCATCCCTAAATAGTAAGTAAATAAATAAATAAAAATAAATACTTCAGGGTCCCCTCATTGCCCCATGACCTAAACTTTCTATCCAGCTTTAGTTCTTGCCTCTCCTTTTTGGAGCTTGTTTTCTATTCATCTCAGCAGATTCTTGCCTCTGTATTTGGGCTTCTGCCATCCCCTCTACTAGAAATATCTTTCCCATTTCTCTTCACCTGGCTTCCTTTAACTCAGCTTTTTTTTTTTTTTTTTTTTTTTTTTTTTTGAGACGGAGTCTCGCTCTGTCGCCCAGGCTGGAGTGCAGTGGCGGGATCTCGGCTCACTGCAAGCTCCGCCTCCCGGGTTCACGCCATTCTCCTGCCTCAGCCTCCCAAGTAGCTGGGACTACAGGCGCCCACCACTACGCCCGGCTAATTTTTTGTATTTTTTTTAGTAGAGACGGGGTTTCACCGTTTTAGCCGGGATGGTTTCGATCTCCTGACCTCGTGATCCGCCCACCTCGGCCTCCCAAAGTGTAACTCAGCTTTTAAGATTCAACTTAACCATCACTTCCACCAGAAAGCCTTCCCTGATTTTTCCTGACTGGACCAAGTACCCTCCATCTTTTCTCCAATGGCCCTTTGTATAAAACTCTTTCCATGGAATGAAGCCATAACCACAATAGCAAATATTTGTGAAGGATTCACCTGGTGTCAAGCACTGGGCTTACCTGCATCATCTCATTTAGTCCTCACAAAACCCTTGTAAAGTAGGCATAATTATTATCTCCATTTTACAAGGGCAGAAACTGAGCTCTGGGGAGGGTAGACCTGCTGTGATAAACCGCAGTCTCATGTATCAGCCCCTCTGAAATGCAAGCATCCTCTTTCGATGGTCAACATTAAATTTCTTTCTGTCCCAACCACATAATGCCAGGCAAATAGTTGTTGAACCTTTGTGAAAGCTTTTAAATGCTGCAGAGTATATGCAAATGAAGTAAGCACAGAGAAATGTCTATTGGATTTGACAATGAGGTTTATTGGCATCTTTGTGCAAGCTTCATTTTATGAAATGAGACTTTTGTTATTATGTTCTTCGCTTTAGTCCTTGCAAATATTAAGCAATCCATAAATACCATTTAATGAACAAATTGCCATTTAATGAGCAAATGGGTTGAGGAGAAAATGTGAGATGAGGAAATGGAGATTATTTTTTCATGAAGCTCGGCTAAGAGAGAAGAGTTGGGTGGTGGTGAAAGGTGGCTGCGGGAAAAAGGAAGAGTTTGTGGGTGTAAAGAGGATGTTTTGCTTGCAGTCTGTTCGCTAGCTTTTAGAGATATTGCAAGAACAAGGTGTTTAATATGCTGAGAGACAGTAGCCTAGAGAGAGAGAGACAGTTAAAAAAACAACAACAACACTGGAATGAGGCCAGGCGCAGTGGCTCACGCCTGTAATCCCAGCACTCTGGGAGGCCAAGGTGGGCAGATAACCTGAGGTCAGAAGTTTGAGACCAGCCTGGTCAACATGGTGAAACCCCATCTCTACTAAAAATACAAAAAAAAAAAAAAAAAATTAGCTGGTCATGGTGGTGCACACTTGTGATCCCAGTTACTCAGGAGACTGAGGCAGGAGAATTCCTTGAACCCAGGAACGGGAGGTTGCGGTGAGCTGAGATCATACTACTGCACTCCAGCCTGGGCAACAGAGCAAGAGTCCGTCTCAAGAAAAAAAAAAAAAAGGCTGGGCACGGTGGCTCATGCCTGTAATCCCAGCACTTTGGGAGGTCGAGGCAGGCAGATTGCCTGAGGTCAGGAGTTCGAGACCAGCCTGGTCAACATGGTGAAACCCTGTCTCTACTAAAAATACAAAACTCAGCTGGGTGTGGTGGTGTGTGCCTGTAGTCCTAGTTACTCGGGAGGCTGAGGCAGGAGAATTGCTTGAACCTGGGAGGTGGAGGTTGCAGTGAGCCAAGATCGCATCACTGCACTCCAGCCTAGGCAACAGAGCAAGACTCCATCTCAAAAAAACAAACAAACAGAAAAACACTGGAATGAGAACTTACATGAATACAAAGAAGGAAACAACAGATACTGGGGTCTACTGGAGGGTGAAGAGTGGGAGGAGGGAGAAGAGCACAAAAGATAACTATTGGGTACTAGGCTTAATTCCTGGGTGATGAAATAATCTGTACAACAAATCCCGGTGTCATGAGCTTACCTGTGTAACAAACCTTCACATGTACCCTTGAACCTAAAATAAACAAACAAAAAAAACACTGGAAAAGGGGATTTCTTGGAGGAAAGAGGGGAGGAAGTTGTTTCCAAAGCTCAGTGGATTTTGACGGACAGGATAGCCAGGTTCTTCTCCACTGATTACACCAGCATTTCTATTTTCCCTGAGCCTTAATTTCCAAAAGCAAATAACATACACTGTCCCGTAGAGATAGTACCTAAAATAATTTTCCTACTTTCTCTTTTTAAAACAATTTTTTATATCTAAAAAAAGTACATATCGAGGAAAGACAAATTCAAACGAAAAGAATGAGTCCCACAATTTTTTTTTTTTTTTGAGACAGTTTCACTCTGCAGACTGGAGTCTAGTGGTGCAATCTCGGCTCACTGCAACCTCCGCCACCTAGGTTCAAGTGATTCTCCTGCCTCAGTCTCCCAAGTAGCTGGAATTACAGGCATGTGCCCCCGCGCCCGACTAATTTTTGTATTTTTAGTAGAGATGGAGTTTCACTATATGTTGGCCAGACTGGTCTCAAACTCCTGACCTTAGGTGATCTGCCTGCCTCGGCCTCCCAAAGCACTGGGACGACAGGCATGAGCCACCGCACCTGGCAGAGTCCCACAATTTAAAGAAATGAGAAAAACTTCACCTGTATTTCCAAAGAAAAACGTACGTTGATGAATTCCTGCACTTTATCTATTTAACACTTGGCAGTGTAGGGTGGGGTGGGGTGGGACAGGGTGGGGTGGATTCCTCAATGGGGAGGATGAGGAGGGAGACTTTATACTTACTGAGCTAGAAGAACAGGCAAGCACTGTCCTCTGAAGAGACGGAGCTGGGGTGCTGCCTGCTGTGAGCAGCAACATTAAATAGGGTACATGGACGCATTGCGTCTCCGTTTTCCCACTTCCCCAGAGTCCTCCCCACCACTCCATCCTCCGGACTAGGCCTGGAGACACAGGTTGGCCCCTGAGAATCTAGAAGAGGATGCAACTAGGTCAAGGTGAGAGGAAAGGACTGGGAGATCCCAAGGACAACAGCATAGAAGGTCAGGGAATTCTAAAAGTCACTCCATCTTCTCAGGGTGCCTGCTCCAGGATAGGTCTTGCGTGTTAAAGAGAAATATTTAAATAGAAAATCTGTATTACCTTGATGGAGGATGTTAGCAAAACTTGTTGAGATCTATAAGTAAATATTAAAAGCAATCAAGAGATTCCTATTTTTATTACCTAGTTTGTTTGTAAGCCCATACACTAGCCTCTGGAATTTTTTTTTTTCCTAAGGCCTAAGAAGCTATTCTCATGCTTATGATCCAGTTGGAAAGGTGACATAGGCTTAATATCAAGACCAGTTAGCATAAAAGTCCTGTTGTTTTATACAAGCAATAAACACTACAAACACTAGAGAAAAGACAGTAATAGGCCTGGTGCGGTGGCTCACGCCTGTAATCCCAACAGGCTTGGGATTGGGAGGCCAAGGTGGATGGATCACCTGAGGTCAGGAGTTCGAGATCAGCCTGACGAACATGGAGAAACCCTGTCTCTACTAAAAATACAAAACTAGCTGGATGTGGTGACACACGTCTGTAATCCCAGCTACTCGGGAGGCTGAAGCAGGAGAATTGCTTGAACCCGGGAGGCGGAGGTTGCAGTGAGCTGAGATCGCGCCATTGCGCTCCAGCCTGGTCAACAAAAGTACAACTCCGTCTCAAAAAAAAAAAAGAGAGAGAGAAAAGACAGATACATGATGATGACATATAGCTGGGGTGAAGATATCTGATTAATATTACTGAATATTACAGCACTGTTATATTTTAGGAGACATGCTATGAAGCAGCTTCAGGCTCCAGTATCAGTGTGAGATGAATTTGCTTCCAGGAGCCTTCTCCTAAATTACACTCATGCCGTAACTAACCTGCTAGCATGCACCCTCTGGGAGAGGCATAGGCATGCAGGTCTCTTACTTTCTCTCTCTCTTTTTTTTTTTTTTTGAGACAGAGTCTCACTCTTTCATCCAGGCTGGAGTGCAGTGGCACGATCTTGGCTCACTGCCACCTCCGGCTCCTGGGTTCAAGGGATTCTCCTGCCTCAGCCTCCCTAGTAGCTGGGATTACAGGTGGACGCCACCATGGTGGCTAATTTTTGTGTTTTCAGTAGAAACGGGGTTTCACCATGTTGGCCAGCCTGGTCTTTAACACCTGGCCTCAAATGATCCACCTGCCTCGGCCTCCACCTCACCTGGCCTCCCTTTTTATAATCTATTGACCTATCCAAGTAATTTCACTAGAAAACTGGGCTGACTCTCTCGAAATTGAAAGTTATTGAGGCGTCAAGTAAGCAAAGTCAGTTCTCTATAATTAAAAAAAAAAAATGCCTGTTTGGAAATTACAGAAGGCAACTTCAAGCTCTCTTGGCTTTTTAAGAGAGTCAGCTCTTCCCCCTAAAAGGACGGGGGCCAATGAGAGTAGGTGTTGCCACCTGAGTTCACACCTAAGTACCTAAACTCTCTATAATTTTCCTGTATCGGTTGATATCATTATCAGCTAAACTATTTTAAATTAATAGTAATATCTGTTTGCTCTTAGATAATAGGAAAAAACCACAAGTGGAAAATCCCTAGAAGCCAGCCAATCTCTTTAATCACATCTGGCAATTTTCTAGACTGAGGGATTGCTTTTGGATGGCTTTTTTTTTTTTTTTTTCCAAGTAAAGACATTAATAAAACCAAGGTGGACTGGATTTAGCAAAGAATTTGGTTGAATATTTTGTTTACCCACTGTTCACTCAGTTTCTGTCTAGTTAAATGAAGGGCCTTACTGGTTCACCCCGGTATCTGTAGAGGTAGTTGCTTCTAAAAGTCTGGTGTGGTTTGGAGAACAGTCTCCTATAAACCCCAAGTGAGGGAATTTTTTTTTTTTTTTTTTTTGAGACAGAGTCTCGCTCTGTCGCCCAGGCTGGAGTGCAGTGGCGCGATCTCAGCTCACTGCAAGCTCCGCCTCCCGGGTTCACGCCATTCTCCTGCCTCAGCCTCCCGAGTAGCTGGGACTACAGGCACCCTCCACTACGCCCGGCAATTTTTTTTGTATTTTTAGTAGAGACGGGGTTTCACCGTGTTAGCCAGGATGGTCTCGATCTACTGACCTCGTGATCCGCCCGCCTCCTCCCAAAGTACTGGGATTACAGGCATGAGCCACAGCGCCCGGCCTGGGAATTCTTGATTTATTCAGGATAAAGAGGATGTCTCACCCCGTCTATGTTTGTTTACAATGCGCTTCACAAACAGTTGTGTAGCTCTGAATAAAACTAGGGCCCAGGTGGCCCAGGAGGCCCAGGAGCCCAGGCTGCCGCTGGCATCCGGGCATTCGTGTTTCTCGCACACACAGCTGCTGCAGCTCTCCTCCAGCCATTGTTATGAAGGGCTCCCAAAGCCACTCACAGTCAGCTACTCCCTCCAGTAAAGCAATCCGCAGCCTGAGGAAACACAATGGGCCAGTTGTAGCTTGAATTCCCCGAGGGGCCGTGGGAGGATTTCTCTACTCAGCAGTTTTGAAGGGCACCTTGCCTAACTCCTGTGCATTCACTGGGTCGGTCCAGCCACTCTCTCAAGAGCAAGCAAACATCGTAAACTCTGTCCTTAATTGGGCCTGTAAAAATCACTTGTGAGGCTTCAAAGCTGGTGAAAAGTGTCAAGGAGTCATAAAGAAGGGACACGTTGAAGCCAGTATAAGGACTAAGCCAATGGAGACAAAACCTTTTTAAGACAAAGCATGCAGTAAAATTCAGCAACAGTCCGGTTAGAAATGTGTTGCTGGATTCATTTTTGTAAGTAACACTTTTTCTCTGATGCTTCTGGAGAAAGGGAGTATTTCTCCATATCCCTTGCTACATTCTGTGTGGACAGAGAGGGAGTATCCGATAGTATCCTGGCTCATACTGTTTAAAATTGAGCCCTCCACCCGCAATGATCCTGATCATTCATATGCTTTATTTTCCTTCTTACTTATAGTTTACTTATTTTATTAAATAAATAGTATGTCCCTTTAATAATTTTATTCTGGCCAGGTGTAATGGCTCATGTCTGTAATCCCAGAGCTTTGGGATGCCAAGGCAGGAGGATCACTTGAGACCAGGAGTTCAAGACCAGCCTGGGCAACATAATGAGACACCGTCTCTCCAAAAAATAAATAGCCGAACGTGGTGGCGCGCATCTGTAGTCCCAGGTAACTGGGAGGCTGAGGCGAGAGGATAGCTTGAGCCTAGGAGCTCTTGGTTGAAGTGAGCTATGATCGTGCCACAGCCCTCCAACAAAGGGAATAGAGTGAGACTGTATCTCTGTAAAAAAAACCAACCAAACAAACAGAAAAGTCACTATGAACATATTCAGACTGTAACATATTAAAAAAAAGAAAAAGAAAATATAAAAATAAAAAACAAAAAGAAATAAAAATAACATGAAAAAAGAATATTTAAAAAAAATTTTATTTTGTTGGCCATAACTCAAGCTCTAGAGTGCGGGTGTTCAGGGAGTCAGGGGAGATATACATTTCAAGATACAAAGATTCTTAGTCCAGGCATACAACTTACAAATATATTTGAATAGATTTATCATCTGTTTAAATCCTGTTCACAGTAACCCTAAAGTTAAATCTACTTGGCAAAAGAGACATTGAAAGTAAGCCAGAGTAAAAAGATTGATTTTAAACTACAACGTTGGAGACAAAGCAAGAACAGTTACCAGACTTCAAGCCCAAAACTATCTGAATAAGAATAATAAAAAACATTATCCATCTCTAATGAAATTGAACACTTTTTAGACTGATCAAAAACACATTTAGTACTAACATTAAGAAGATACATTCTATTGGAGTCTCAAACTTTTAAAGTTTCATTTAGACTTCCATTAATGAATCAGCGAAACATTCTTAATATACCTACTAACATGCTTAAGGGGCCCTATAGTGACAGAAATATTTAAGGAAACCCAAAATTTTAACTTTAGGATAGTAAACTCAAAAAGATATTTTATTTTTTTTGAGACAGAGTCTCCTTCTTTCACCCAGGCTGGAATGCAGTGCCATGATCTCAGGCTCACTGCAACCTCTGCCTCCGAGGTTCAAGCCGTTCTTCTGCTTCAGCCTCTGGAGCAGCTGGGGTTACGGGTGTGCACCACCACGCCCAGCTAATTTTTGTATTTTTAGGAGAGTCAGGGTTTCACCATGTTGGTCAGGCTGGTCTTGAACTCCTGAGATCAGGTGATCCACACGCCTCAGCCTCCCAAACCCAAAGTGCTGGGATTACAGGTGTGAGCCACCACAACCGGCCTCACAAAGATATTTTAAATGGCTATTGAAAAGAGTACATATAGGCCAGGTGCAGTTGCTCACGCCTGTATTACCAGCCCTTTGGGAGGCTGAGGTGGGTGGATCACCCGAGATCAGGAGTTCAAGACCGGCCTGGCCAACATAGCAAAACCCCGTCTCTACTAAAAATACAAAAATTAGCTGGGCGTGGGGGCACGGTGCCTGTAATTCCAGCCACTCAGGAGGCTGAGGGAGGAGAATCACTTGAACCAGGGAGGAGGAGGCTGCAGTGAGCTGAGATCGCGCCACTGCACTCCAGCCTGGGTGACAATCAGAGACTCCATCTTAATAAATATAAATAAATGAATAAAGAAATAAATAAATAAAGCAATTAAAAGACACTTGTGGCTGGATGTGGTAGCTCACGCCTGTAATCCCAGCATTTTGGGAGGCTGAGCTGGGAGGGGAACACTTGAGCCCAGGAGTTCTAACCAGCTTGGCTTGACCAACATGGTGAGACTCTATTTTTTAAAGAAATGTATATATATATATACATTTATGATTCTGATAAAATATTATTCTTTTAAAAGTTAAAGTACGAAGAGTTGTAAAAACAGATAAAACACCCATGATACTAACAATAAACACAGCAGTTTCTATTTTGCCTCTTAACTCTCCTACTTTATGTCTATAGTGTTTCTGTGTATATATATATGTATATATATATATGTATATATATAAAATATATATGTATATGTATATATGTATATGTATAAATATATATGTATATATATAAAATATATATGTGTATATAAAATATATATGTATATATAAAATATATATGTGTATATATATATTTTTTTTGTTTGTTTGTTTGTTTGTTTTTTGAGACAGAGTTTTCACTCTTGTTGCCCAGGCTGGAGTGCAATGGCATGATCTTGGTTCACCACAACCTCCACCTCCAGGGGTCAAGCGATTCTCCTGCCTCAGCCTCCTGAGTAGCTGGGATTACAGGTGCCCAACACTACACCCAGCTAATTTTTGTGTTTTTTGTAGAGATGGGGTTTTGTCATGTTGACCAGGCTGGTCTTGAACTCCTGGGCTCAGGTGATCTGCCTGCCTCGACCTCCCAAAGTGCTGGGATTACAGGCGTGAGCCACTGCACCCGGCCTATAGTTAGTACATATGTTTTTACATTTGTGATTATAGCAATTAAACAGTTTTGTATTTGGCTTTTCTCATATAATTATGTTCTAAATATTTTTCATATTTTCACAGTCTTCATAATACTTAATTTTAGTGATAGCAAAATATTCTATCAAGTAATATAATAAATTGCTTAAACATTATTGCTATTGCAATTTTAGTTTATCCTCAGTGTTTTTTAAAAAGTTAATTGCAGGCTGGGCATGGTGGCTCACACTTGTAATCCCAACACTTTGGGAAGCCAAAGTGGGAGGATCGCCTAAGGCCAGGAGTTTAAGACCAGTCTGGGCAATATAGCAAGACCCTGTCTCTACAAAACAATTTAAAAATAATTAGCCAGTCATGGTGGTGCACGCCTGTAGTCCCAGCTACTTGGGAGGGCTGAGGTGGGAGGATCGCTTGAGCCTAGGAGGTTAAGGCTGCAGTGAGCTGTCATCGTGCCAATGCACTCCAATCTGGGGAACAAAACAAGACCCTTTAACAACAACAACAACAAAAATAATAATAATAATAATTGTAGCATCACTAACTAAAATTCAGTACTGTGATTTTACTTCTTTGTCCTTTTGCTATAGGCTAATTTCACTAATTGGTTGAATATAAAAGAATCCTCAGGAGTTTTGAAGAGCATGAAAGTGAAATAGTAAATCAAAATAAATTTCAAGCACCAGTGACCATAAGTCTTAACAACACTTCAGTGCTTCTTAGAAAATTGCATGCTCATGGCCAGGCGCAGTGGCTCAAGCCTGTAATACCAGCACTATGGGAGGCCAAGGTGGGCGGATCATGAGGTCAGGAGATCGAGACCATCCTGGCTAACACGATGAAACCCGGTCTCTACTAAAAATACAAAAAATTAGCCAGGCATGGTGGCAGGTGCCTGTAGTCCCAGCTACTCGGGAGGCTGAGGCAGGAGAATGGCGTGAACCCAGGAGGCAGAGCTTGCAGTGAGCTGAGATCGCGCCACTGTACTCCAGCCAGGGGCAACAGAGCGAGACTCTGTCTCAAAAAAAAAAAAAAAGAAAGAAAAGAAAATTGCATGTTTATAAACTCTGGATTCAAGGTGCCTGGATCCCGCCTTTACTCCATAACAACACTGTGCCCTGGGGAAATTTGCTTCACATCTCTATGCGTTTGTTTTTCCATCTGTATAATGGGATTGAAAATAGTACCTTTCTTATAAAACTTTTCTGAGGACTAATTAATTAATTTTTTATTCTTCATTTACTTATTTATTTTCTTTTGTAGAGATGGGGTTTTGCTATGTTGGCTAGGCTGGTCCCAAAATCCTGGCCTCAAGTGACCTGCCTGCCTTAGCCTCCCAAAGTTTAAAGTGCTGGGATTACAGGTGTGAGCCACCTCACCCTGCCTGTTCTGAGGATTAAAAACTATACACATCAAACACTTTAAAAAGTGCCTTGATTTTTGAAATGCTGTATAAATACCATGCCTGTTAATATTAGAATAGCTTTATACTTCTTTCTGTATCTTATAGGGATTTTACAAGCAAGCAAGACAAGTGGTGAGTTTTAGAACTTTAAAAACAAACTTGAGCTAATTTCTTAGCCAGAAGCAATTTCTTTTATAATCAAAGTTGTGCAGTAGTATATATGGGCCGGATTCAGTGGCTCATGCCTGTAATCCCAACACTTTGGGAGGCGGGAGGATCACTTGAGCCCAGGAGTTTGATACCAGCCTGCGCAACTTAGTGAGACCTCATCTCTACAAAAAAAAAAAAAAATTAGTAGTGTGATGGTGCGAGCCTGTGGTCTCAGCTACTCCAGAGGCTGAGGTGAGAGGATTGCTTGAGCCCAGCAGTTCAAGACTGCAGTGAGCCATGATTAGGCCACTGCATTCCATCCTGGGTGACAGAGGAAGATCCTGTCTCAATAACAATAATAATAGTGAATATGTATTTGCTTAGCAATGGATTAGATTGTAAACTATGAGATTAGTATTTTCCCTTGTAAGAATAACTAGTAATTCACCTTAGAAATGTGTGAACTAAATTTCTGTCATCATAATCATAATAATAAGGGTCAAAGTAAAATAGTCACTATCTATTGGGCACCAAACATGTGCCAGGCAAAGTACTTGAACATTGTAAAACATGGTAGCATTTTCACAGCTTGGGAGGAAATATTATTACCTGAATCTTACAAATGAGGAGACAGGCTGGGCACAGTGACTTATACCTGTGATCCCAACACTTTAAGAGGCAAAAGGATCTTTTTCTTTAAAAAAAAAAAAAAGTTATTTTTTTCGTAGAGACAAAGTTTCGCTATTTTGCCCAGGCTGGTCTCAAACTCCTGGGCTAAAGCAGTCCTCCTGCCTTGGCCTCCCAAAGTGCTATTTAGATATAAACCATCTCGCCTGGCCAGGGTAATTGTTTTTGTTTGTTTTTGGGTTTTGAGGGTTTGTTGTTGTTGTGTTGTTGTTGTGGTTGGAGACAGTCTTGCTCTGTCACCCAGGCTGGAGTGCAGCGGGGCTATCTCAGCTCACTGCAACCTCCGCTTCCCAGGTTCAAGCGATTCTCCCAAGCAGCTGAGATTATAGGCGTGTACCACCAGGCCTGGCTAATTTTGGTATTTTTAGTAGAGATGGGGTTTCATCATGTTGGCAGGCTGGTCCAGGAGGATCTTTTAACACCAAGACCAGCCTGGGCAACAGAGTGAAACCCCCCTATCTCTAAAAAGAAAAAAATTCTAACCCCACTGGAAGCAGGAGGAAAAAGAAAAGAAAAAAATAATGTGAAAAAAAAATGCGGAGACAGACTCAGCAAGATGAAATGACCAGCCATGTAATGCATACTCTAGGAAAGAGACTGAACAGCATTGACCAATTCGAATTGTGTTGAGTTTGAAAGATAGACAGGTTGTGAGACCGAGTTCTCCTTTCATGAGCTCCCATCCCACCAGATTTCCCACCAAATCCCCAATAAACATCAAAGGGAGTCAAACACATTTGTTTTTTCTTTCCTTTTGCACATTGCAGGTACGAAGGTGGATCAAGAGCCCAATGGTCAGTGTGGACAAGCATCAGAGTCCCAGCCTGAAGTACACCGGCTCCTCCATGGTGCACATCCCTCCAGGGGAGCCAGACTTCGAGTCTTCCTTGTGTCAAACATGCCTGGGTGAACATGCTTTCCAAAGAGGGGTTCTCCCTCAGGAGAACGAGTCATGTTCATGGGAAACTCAATCTGGGTGTGAAGTAAGTTCATGTTCGCTCTGGATCTATTCTCCTGGAAAAATTCTGGGCCTTTGTTTTTCTTGTATTTCTGCCAGAGTATACCCAAAAAATAATTTTTTAATGCATATTTATAAAGCTTCTGAGGAAGACCTAGAATTGTGGTCTTTGTTAGCTCATTATGTTATTTTTTTAAAGTAGGCTTTATATTTTAGAGCAGCTTTAAGTTCACAGCAACATTGAGCAGAAGGTACAGAGATTACCCATATACGCTTGTCCCCATGCACGTATAACCTACTTTGCCATCAACATTCCCTAGCAGAGTTTTATGTTAGAGTTCACTCTTGGTGTTATACATTCTATGGGTTTGGACTAATGTATAATAACATGCATCCACCATTACAGTATCATACAGTTAAGTTTCACTGCCCTAAAAATCCTCTGCCCTCCACTATTCATCCCCTCCTTACCCTGACCCCTAGCAACCACTGATCTTTTTACTGTCTCCATAGATTTGCCTTTTCCAGAATGTCATCTAGCTGAATCATGCAGTATGTTGTATTAATGTTTTACGTGGGTCCAAGACTGATACAGCAATGTGTTGGTAAACTGGCAATTCCTCAGAAGTGGTTTGATCACACAGGAGATCAAGTCTTAGATGATACAACGATTGTAATAGTCATCTACATGTTCGTAGCTTCCATTGAAATATTTAGTTCAACACGATTTGATCCATTTACAGAGCACTATGTATACTTTTCATTATTTTTCTCAAGCTCATATATACTCACATTTTTACTAAGACTTATTTTCCCTGCTACTCCAAGAGTTGTTTTTTAAAAATTTTGTTAATCCAAGAAAACCAGATAACTGATTCATCTTGCAGTTTCTAAGATTTCAAAAATTTAAGATTATATTTTTAACTTATAACTTAATTAGGCCCATATTTATTTTGATTTTTAAAACCATTATATAAAATGCTTATATTATTTTTACCATCATACTGACATAAAAATACAATATTTAGAAGACAGAACATGTTATTACAAAGTACAGTTAATTGTAAGTGATCTTCCAAGTCAGTGCATCATAGAATGATAAACGTTAATAACCGCTCACCTTTTTTATTTTTAGCAAGGTAACCATTTTCCAGAGATAAAATAATCATTTAGCTGCTAAAAGACTGAAGACATTAAATCTGAGTTCCTTTTCACTCTGAGTTATCACGCAATGTCGCTGAATCTGTTTCATAATTTGTCTACTTTCTTTCTTTCTTTTTTTTTTTTTTTTGAGTTTCACTCTTGTTGCCCAGACTGGAGTGCAATGGCACGATCTCGGCTCACTGCAACCTCCGCTTCCTGAGTTCAAGTAATTCTTCTGCCTCAGTCTCCCGAGTAGCTGGGATTACAGGCACCCAACACCACGCCTGGCTAATTTTTGTATTTTTAATAGAAACAGGGTTTCTCTATGTTGGTCAGGCTGGTGTCAAACTCCCAACCTCAGGTAATCCACCTGCGTCGGCTTTCCAAATTGCTGGGATTACAGGCATGAGCCACTACGCCGGCCCTTTTTTTGGGGGGGGTGGGGGTCGGGGACAGGGAGACAGGGGGACAGAGTCTTGCTCTGTAACCCTGACTTGAGTGCAGTAGTGCAATCATAACTCACTGTTACCTCAAACTCCTAGGTTCAAGTGATCCTCCCACCTCAACCCTCCCAAGTAAATAAGACCACAGGCATACGCCAACAAACCTGGCTAATTAAAAAAAAAAAATTTTTTTTGTAGAAACAGGGTGTTGTCATACTGACCAGGCTGGTCTTGAACTCCTGGCTTCAAGTGATCCTCCCAAAATGCTGGGATTATAGGTATGAGGCACAATGCCCAGCCTACTTGTCTACTTTCTACGGTTATTGGAAAAATCAAATGAGATTGATATGAAATGTTTCATAATCTATAGAATGCCATGCAAATATAAATCATTATTGCTCATGTTTGCTGATTTACATATTAGCTAAGCCTGTGACTCTGTAACACTATATTAGACTTCCATAACTGGGTTAGCACTTTGCTGATCCATGAACATTTGTCATGGTGCATTTGCTTTTTAGCCAGATGTTGGTTCAACTCTAGGTTTGTCATGAAAAACAATAAAGACGCTAAATGCAAGAGCATCTATTTATCGCTCCTGATGCAAGGGATAGAGTCAACTTTTTATCTAAACGGCCAGATAGTAAATATTTTAGCCTTTGCCTAAAATACAGTCTCTAACTTCTATTTAGCTCTGCCCTTCTAGGGAAAGCAGCCATAGATAATATGTAAATGAATGGACACAGCTCTCCCAGGTTGGAGTGCAGTGACGAGATCTCAGCTCACTGCAACCTCCACCTCCCAGGTTCAAGCAATTCTCCTGCCTCAGCCTCCTGAGTAGCCGGGATTACAGGCATCTGACACCACACCCGGGTAATTTTTTTTTTTTTTTTTAGTAGAGATGGGGTTTCACCATGTTGGCCAGGCTGGTCTTGAACTCCGGACCTCAAGTGATCTGCCTGCCTCAGCCTCCCAAAATGCTGGTATTACAGGCCTGAGCCACTGCGCCCAGCCTGAGTTTGCCAATTTCTTAGACTCTAAAGAACTATTTATGACTTAGAAGCAGAGAGAGGGTTCTACATATCCTATACAGAGCACACATGCCTAGTGCTAAATGTTTACTTGAGGGCCTACTCTATGTCCCATTTGATAGGAGCTGGGTTTAAATCAATGCAACAGTGAAATTCCACACAAAAGGAAACAATAAACAAAGCTGAAAGGAATTTAAAGCAACATTGTGATTTACCCTTTTCCTTTATCTTAGATAGCAGGTAAATCATTCTCCAATTTGCAATCGATTACCTGGTTCCCAGACTTTGCTGGCTTTTTCCTAAGGTTATCACAAATCAAAATGACACATACTTTATTTTATTACTTTTTTTTTGAGACAAGGTTTTGCTCTACTGCCCAGGCTAGAGTGTAGTGGTGCAATCATGGCTCACTGCAGCCTCGACCTCCAGGGCTCAAGCAGTGGTCCCACCTCAGCCTCCCAAGTAGCTGGGACTACACGCCCCATGCACCACTATGCCCAGCTAATTTTATTTTATTTTATTTTATTTTTTGTGGAGACAGGTTGGTATCAAACTTCTGGGTTCAAGAGATCTGCCCCCGCTTGGGTGTTCGGATTACAGGCCTAAGCCTTTTTATTTATTTTATTTTATTTTTGAGATGGAGTCTCGCCCTGTCACCCAGGCTGGAAAGCGCAGTGGCGCGATCTCGGCTTACTAGAATCTCTGCCTCCCAGGTTCAAGTGATTCTCCTGCCTCAGCCTCCTAAGTAGCTGGGATTACAGGCACCCGCCACCACGCCTGGCGAATTTTTGTGTTTTTAGTAGAGACAGAGTTTCACCATGTTGGCAAGGCTATTCTCAAACTCCTGACCTCAGGTGATTCGCCTGCCTCGGCCTCCCAAAGTGCTGGCATTACAGGTGTGAGCCACCATGCCAGGTGGGTTTTTTTTATTATTATTATTTTAATCGTTAAAATATGCATCAGCAGGGCACAGTGGCTCATGCCTGTAACCCCAGGGAAGCCAAGGGGGGTGGATGGCTTGAGCCCAGGAGTTTGAGACCAACTCGTCTCTACAAATAAATAAAATAAAATTAGCTGAGCATGGTGGTGGATTCCTGTGTTCCTAGCCACTTGGGAGGCTGAGGTAGGAGCATTGCTTGAGCCCAGGAATGAGGAGGGTGCAGTGAACCAAGATGGCACCACAGCACTCCAGCCTGGGTAACAGAGCCAGACCCTGTCTCAAAAAAAAAAAAAATCTATATTTTGTGTTTTTATAGGGATGAAATTATGAAATGATGAAATAAATCATTGAAAAGGCAACTCTGTCCTTTTAGAAAGTGAAGTTGCAAGGTGAGAAGGTGGAGAGGCTGTGAGATGCAGAAGCCGGTAGTAAAGACCCCAGGTTGTTCTCCTGACATCTCCCGATGCAGATTATTTTAGGCAAATCATTAATTCATTTGTCCTGCTCAGTGTTCTCTCCTATAAAAATTGAGGTAATATGTACTCACCGTCAGGTTTCTTTCCAGTAGTTTTGTAGTAGTTAGTAGATGAGATTGTATTTTAAAAACTCTTTTGTAAACGTAAATTGATGTGCATGTGCTGGAGTCAGGTGACCCATATTCTTGTGCCAGCTCTGCCACAGGTCAATGGAGGAATTCAGGCAAGCCACAAAACCTCTCAAACATCATATGATAGGCCTCAGCTAGTTAACCCTGAATCCCTTTTTCGTCTGAGATCCTATGCTTGGCATTTAATGACCTATAAGTGAAAATAAACAAGAAAAAAAGGGAGGTAAAAGGAAAAGTACAATAAAATTAAACTCTGTATTCTATATGTAAAGATAAAATATAGAAAACGAGGTAAGAATGTTTTAAATAAAATAAGAAGGCAAATTAAGTGCAAGTCTTTTATGAACTAATTGTGGGTTTTTTGTTTTGTTTTGTTTGTTGGGTTTTTTTGAGATGAAGTTTAGCTGTTGTTGCCCAGGCTGGGGTGCAATGGCACGATCTCAGCTCACAGTAACCCCTGCCTCCTGGGTTCAAGTGATTCTCCTGCCTCAGCCTTGCGAATAGCTGGCATTACAGGCATGCGCCACCATGCCTGGACAGGGTTTCTCCATGTTGGTCAGGCTGGTCTTGAACTCCCAACCTCAGGTGATCTGCCTGCCTCGGCCTCCCAAAGTGCGGGGATTACAGGCATGAGCCACCACGCCCAGCGAAGCCTACAGCACCTGGTATTCCCAAACAGTCTCCCATCCAAGTACCAGCCAGGTCCGATCCTGCTTAGCTTCTGAGATCAGGCGTGTTCAGGGTGGTATGGCCGTAGACACGGGCTGTGGGTTGCTTTGTTGTTGTTGTTGTTTTGTTCAACTTTAAAACTAGCACATTATAAATGCTATGTTTAATGGTCACAAATTGCTAAGAGTTACATTGCACTTAGTTTGTACCAGGCCTTGCCAATAGCCCAGTTAGTGGCCTTGAAACATGTTTTACCCATGGAAGAAACAAGGGTATTCATAATGCCAATGAATCACCCAGAAGAACAGCAATATTGTGATATCCCGAGGAGTGCTGTCTGAAATGGACTGCTTATAAATTAAACAAATCTTCCTGGGAATGAGGTGGGAAAGATGATAACTTAGAGCTGTGTAAGCTGTTACTAAATAATGCATGCTACTGGAACACATGTTGTAGTATTCAGCCTGAAACTAACTTATAGGCCACAAAGAGATGGAGACCAAAAGTAGTTTTTCGAGAGGTGTATGCTGACTAAACGTATTCACAAACTCTACTCTGTATTGTATCTCCCACGGCACCTTTAGTATCTAGATCAACCAAGCTGGAAGGAAAGGAAAGTTTTGAAGTGGAGGTGGAGAAGGAAATCTGGTGTTAAGGAAAACATAGGATCGTATCAAGATGGCAGCCTGACCATGTAATGTCATCTCTACTTTCTGCCTTAAATGACACACACACACATACACACACACACACAGACACACACACACTTTAGCTTATAATTGTGCTAGAAGACAAAGTATACCATTGTGTAGATAAGGGATAATTAAGTATCTCTGAAAAAGAGAAGGCAGGTAGGATGATAAGTTTGATGTGGAAACCATAGTCCAAAATGATCACAGCAAAAGCTGGGGACATTGTAAACTATGTTTGTAAAAGGATCTGGCAATTTGGAAAATAATAATGTTCCAGATAAAGTCTAATACAAGGAAAGTAGTTTTAGCAATATAAATATCGACAAAATACAAAAAAAAAAAAAGGAAAAAGGACCAAAGAGGAATATTTCATGTTGAAGAAAAATATCTACCAAGAAGATAAAACATTCACAAATCTTCATGCACTTAACATAACATGGAAATATTTAAAGAAATAACTAACAAATAGAAAGAAAAATGGGCAAATTCTGTCAGAGAGGGACATTTTTCTCATACTTCCTAGTAATAGCCAACTCAAGAAGACTGAAGGCAGGGCACAGTGGCTCACGCCTGTAATCCCAGCACTTTTGGAGGTCGAGGAGGGCAGATCACCTGAGGTCAGGAGTTCAAGACCAGCCCGGTCAACATGGTGAAACCCTGTCTCTACTAAAAATACAAAAATTAGCCAGGTGTGGTGGCGGGCGCCTGTAATCCCAGCTACTTGGAAGACTGAGGCAGGAGAATCGCTTGAACCTGGGAGGTGGTGGAGGTTGTAGTGACCCAGGATCATGCCATTGTACTCCAGCCTAGGTGACAAGAGCGAGGCTCCATCTCAAAAAAAAAAAAAAAAAAAAAAAATCAAAATCTCTTGCCTTTGTTTGTTTTTGAGACAGAGTCTCACTCTGTCACCCAGGCTAGAGTGCAGTGACGTGATGTTGGCTCACTGCAACTTGAACTCCTGGCCTCAAGTGATCCACCCACCTCAGCCTCCCAAAGTGCTGGGATTATAGGCATGAACCACTGAGCCCAGCTGGGAATCTCTTACCTTTTAATTTAGCAAATCCATGTCTCCACATCTACCCCAGATAATTACTTGCTTATGTGATAACTGAGATAGGTACAGTAATATCCATTGCAATGTTGGAAATGGTGAAAAAATGGAAACATCAGGAGATAACAAAATTATAAACTTGTAGAGCATTATTAATTATGACATATCCATACCATAGAACACTATACAGTGATTAAAAACAAAGAGATTTGTAGCCGGGCACGGTGGCTCACGCCTGTAATCCCAGCACTTTGGGAGGCCGAGGCAGGTGGATCACCTAAGGTCAGAGTTTGAGACCAGCCTGGCCAACATGGTGAAACCCTGTCTCTACTAAAAATACAAAAAATTAGCCAGGCGTGGTGGCGCATGCCTGCAATCTCAGCTACTCGGGAGGTTGAGGCTGGAGAATTGCTTGAACCCGGGAGGCGGAGGTTGCAGTGAGCCGAGATGGCGCCACTGCACTCTAACCTGGGCAACAAGAGCAAAACTCTGTCTCAAAAAAGAAAAAAAAAATGAGATTTGTATATATTGACATATCCCATGGTATATTATGCTAGAAAAGCAAGTTGAAGATGAACATGTATATACCATTATCACATTTTTTAAACTTTGTATTTCTTTCTTCTTGTCTGTATATATGTGTGTTTATCTATGAGTGTGAGTATATATGTGTGGGTAAATGTAAATTAAAAGACGTGGAAGTATGTATATCAAATGACAATGGTGATTACCACCTTCCAGGGATTAGAACTGGCCAGTGATTAGGTGGAGGAGATGAGTCAAGGAGGACATTAGCTTTCTTTATATCGTTTAAATGTTTCAATCCCATATTAATCTATTACTTGTGCGTTTGGGGAAAACACCATACTCACCAGGAGCCTCACTCGTAGAAAGTGAACAGGTACAACTCCACCCTATTGATAGGAAGCCAGGCAGCATCACAAATATGATTTTGCACCATGAGACCATTCCATTGCTACAAATAAAGGCACTTGGAGGAAAATGGAAAACACAATATTTATGCTCCCACAGCACTTTGTACTTCTGCCTGTCAATCAGTTTGCTCTGCCCTGTGTGATATGTGTGTGCGTGTCCATGTATTCTCTAAGCTCCTTGCAGTTGTGAATCGAATGTGTTCATTTTCTTATCTCCTCCCGGGACCTTGCATACATGTGCTAAAGTTAGTGTGCTCTTTTTTCTTTTTGCCTTTATTAGCTAAAATTGATACTTTGTTGATGCATTTTTTTTTTTTTGAAAAAAAAAAAAAGGAGAGACTAGGACAGAAAAGGAGAGACTAGGACAGAAAACTCTGTAGCCCATGCTGGCTGTAAATCACGCACATTCCAGAGGCGCTGCATGCCAGGGACTGATTCTCATTAAGTTTGCCCTCTCATATGGGATACATTTGGCTGAGCAAGGATTTCCTCAGAGTCCGCTGTCCGTCTTTCAATTGAAGGCAGCTTGAAAGGTGCTTAGTCAGCGACCAAATGCTGAAGCCAAGGCACTGTGTGCTGTTTTAAAGGCCTAGTGAAGCCAGAGTCCTCTGGAAGGATCCATGCGATTTGAAGTTATTAGCCACGGTGCTGCAAACAGAAGAATTAACACTGAGTTGTTGACATAATTAAATATAAGGTTACTGCCTCTTCTTCCTCCTTTACAAAGGAGGAAGACAATAAATTACAAAGACAATAATAGAGGGGCACTGTAGAAAAAAATTTTTTATTTTTTTGAGACAAGGTCTCACTCTGTTGCCCAGGCTGGAGTGCAGTGGCACAATCAGGGCTCACTGCAGCCTCGATTTCCTGGGCTCAAGCAATCCTCAGCCCTCCAAGTAGCTGGGACTACAGGCTTTCACCACCATGCCCAGCTAATTGTTTTTTTTCTTTTTTAAATTTTAGTAGAGACAAGGTCTCGCTGTTGCTCAGTCTGGTTTCGAACTCCTGAGCTCAGCTGGGCGCGGTGGCTCATGTCTGTAATCCCAGCTCTCAGGGAGGCAAGAGGCGAGACGATAGCTTGAGCCCAGGAGTTCGAGACCTGCCTGGGCAATATAGCGAGACCCCGTTCTCCACAAAAAGAAAAAAAAAAAAAGAAAAACAAAAGACGAACTCCTGAGCTCAAGTGATGCTCTGCTTCAGCCTAGAAAGCACTTTTAATTAAGCTGGCTTCATACAATTCTGGGATGGATTCTGACCCATGTCTCTTGTTCAGCATTTCAAATGTCTTACTCCATCTGTTAGGCTCAAGAAGGTGTGTTGTTACTTTTATATTTCTTCTCAAAATTGTTGAGCTGTCCCTTTGAAGCCCAGAAGGCTTGGAAGTAAAATGATCAGCTAGGAATAGTTTCCATACTGACATACTTTTATATTGTCTTGAGTTTTTCTGATCTTTCTTAAAAAGATGCTATAAAAAATATACTTAAATCAGCCAGATGGCTTTATAGATTTCTGGTTTCTTTTAATTTATATCAAAAAAAATTTTATATAGGCTTATGGGGATTAAAATAACAGTACTTCAAATTGCTCATTTCTCCCAGTTTTTTGCTCTTGGCATGATGTATTATGGTCTCTGGAGAGAGGTGTCTGGTGATTCCTAAGCTTATCACCCACAATAGTCCTTATTTTTCACTAAATTTTCAACCATGTTATCCTTGAGAAAGCACGTAAAACAAATGATCAGACTAAATAAACTTAGATGAATTATTTCTATGTAGATTTAAATTACCTTACAATCCTGTCTGCGGCTTTTTTTTTTTTTTTTTTTTTTTTGAGGTGGAATCTCACTCTGTTGCCCAGGCTGGAGAGCAGTGGCGCAATCAATTTTTTTTTAAATCTGAGTCTCGGTTGTTAAATTTACAAAAATGAACCAGATTTGTTTCTTGTGCTAACAGAGAGAGAATGTCTACGTTAGCTGAAAGCTAAAATCAGCACACTCTCCCAAAAAGATCCTGATCAAGCCCTTGTTCCCAAGAGAAGAATTTCATGTGAAAGAGTTCGATTATAACTGGCTTACTGTCTGTGCAACGCGCACATTGTGTGAGCAGCCAGAGAGCCTGATAACCAGGAAGCTAAATCCTTCTCCTCCAGGAGTACTTCCATGTTTCCAATCCTGTTTCCTGGGGCTCCTAGAGCCAGGAGGTCACCCCTGTTCGAGTCACTGCTGACCTCTCTTCCAGGGGTGAGGATCAAGAATCTAAAGATTTATATCTCAGGATTTAGAGTGTGGAAAGAGATAGCATGGACTCCCTTTCTCTTCTCTAAGAATCAACCAAACAATAGCTTTACCTATCACGAAGTACATAGTTCTGCTGTATTTAGAAACATAATTTAGCTGGGCATGGTGGCTCACGCCTGTTATCGCAACACTTTGGGAGACAGAGGTGGGAGGATCGCTTGAGCCCAGAAGTTCAAGACCAGCCTGGGTCACGTAGAAAGACTCCCATCACTACAGAAAATTTTAAAAATTAGCCAGGCGTGATGGCACCCACCTGTAGTCCCAGCTACTCGGGAGGCTGAGATGGAAGGATTGCTTGAGCCTGGGAGATTGAGGATGCAGTGAACAATGATTGCACCACTGCACTCCAGCCTGGGTGACAGAGTAAAACCTCATCTCTAAATAAATAAATTTTAAACAGAGAGACACAATTCAAGTCACAAAAATTAAGTTTCAGGGTCAGGACTTGTGGGTAAAGCAAGTTTCTGGCTGCACTCGTAGCTCACTTGATTTTTATTTCATAAGCTCTCCAGGGAATCATAGCCCACCAGTGTGCCGCGTTCCCAGTGATGAGTCTGGAAGGGAATAAGGGACTTCATCCAGGCTATTTAGGACATAAAATATTCTAGGAAAACTACTCCCTGTCCTCTCCTGGAAATCTCTAGCCAGCAGTTACACTTACCCTTGGGGTTGAGCATATTTTGTTGGCTTTTGTTGTATGTAACCAAATCTTTCCTGCTTCTAATTAAATTTATTCCTTTAGTAAAATCCTTCCCAGAAACCATATGGCTATTTTCCACTAAAATAATATCCTGTTTTAGTAGTTTTGAGACTTTTAAAATTTTAAAAGAAGACTTTGTATGAACTACTAAAAATCTATAAGCAGGAACAAAATTTAAGGGATAAGCAAAGTTTAACTGCATGCCAATTCATTTTTTTTGCAGTTATTTCTCTTTTTCCTCAAAGTTTATCATTATACATATATTTTTCTTGGGTTGTTAATTGAAATGATAGAATTTAATTTACCAAGTAACATCCCTGTAGTGAAAACTACTCTACAAAGAACAAATTAAACAAAAATATGAAGATTCTAAGGGCTGGGTGCAATGGCTCACACCTGTAATCCCAGAACTTTGGGAGCCCAAGGCAGGATGATTGCTTGAGCCCAGGAACCCAAAACTAGCCTGGGCAACATAGTGAGACCCTGTCTCTACAAAAAATACGATGAAATAAATTAGCCGTGTATAGTAGTGCACACCTATAGTCCCAGCTACCTGAGAGGCTGAGGCAGGACAGCTTGAGCCCAGGAGGTCAAGTCTGCAGTGAGCCATGATCTTGCCACTGCACTGCAGCCTGAACAACAGAGTGAGACCCTGTTTCAAACAAAAATGTTTAAGGGTTAAAAAAAATGGGGGAAAGATTTAGTGATAATTTCTTAAAACCATATAATTTAATCCTAAAGTTTACCTTTGGGGACCTGAAAAGACTCTTCTTACAAATCTTCTACAGAAAAGGGAAATACAAACCATTAATATCACCTTGATATTTCTTATTCACATATAGTAAATTGCTTCTGGTTCATTCTACTTACACAAAGAGCCTTGGATAAACACCTAAATGTGCTGAGACACACATTTGTCCATAGTGTTCAGGATAAATAAATCTTTCTATTTTTACTTGTCATTGATGTTAGATCCCCTTGTCTTTTTGACCTAGTAAATAAATCAAACTATTTTTAGGCAAGATTCAAGCAAAACTCAATTTGTGTGACATCATCTCTTGAAAAAATCATCACAATCAACTGAAATGCACTGGTATTATATAAGTGACTCAGCTCTGTTCCGTAAGAAAACCACGCTTTTCTTATCGACCTTGAGTAGCAGACAGTGATATAAGAGCATATTAAAATCCTCTTTAAGGTCAAGCCAAATTCCACAGCTTGCTATCTATCATTTTAGTTTGCTTTTCCAATGTTCATTGGCCTTGAGAGTTGTAAATACACAAGTCTGTCCTCGATTCACTTTTCTCTTTTACTCTAGTGAGTATTTCCTGTTGTTTTCCTTTTGACTTGATTTTAAAATGACCATTTCAGGGGATTCATCTAGATTTCTATGTGAGAAAAAAAATTCAGGAACTTGGCATCTCTGGCTGGGTTTGATGAGTAGCAGATAGGTAGCTCTCTAGTTAAGTAACGTGGGGAGCAGAGGTTATAGGTCTTTGTAGATTAGAAAACGTTAAATGCATTAACTTGGTGGTAACAAAAAAGAAAGAAAGAAATTGATGACCATTACGGTTCTCTTCTTGGCTTAGAATTGCATGTATCAGCAGCCCTGAGTTATTTTTAAAACAAGCAAATCTGACACCAGCATGAAAGCAGACCTTTCAGGTAGTGACCACCTATGTAACAGGGTTACGGATACCAGAATGCTGAATCCTCTCCCAGCACACAGCAAAGCCTTGGTTTATTCTCTCAGCTGGTGTTTATTGAGAGTTTCTATCATAAGCTTGGCAGTAAGCACCCTAGGCTGTGTTTCCAGGACAGGGGGAAAATCCAAGCAACCACGCAGTTACAACACACTGTGACAAGTGCTAGAAGAGGGGGAGATAGAGACTACACATAAGAGGGTTCCCATAGCTGACGATGTAGGGGCCAGTGAAGGCTTCTCAGCAGAAGAGAAATCTAAGCTAAGAAGTGAAGGATGAGTAAGTTAGTAAGGTAAGGAAGGGCGGGGAAGAGAAGCCCAGACAGATGGGACAAATAACCAAAGGCCTGGAGGCCTGGAATGACATGGTAAATTTGGAGCAAGGAAAATATAGCTCAACTGGGGAACAGAATTCGGGTTATTAAGGGTTTTCACAAGGCATTTAAAACAATTTCTATATATCATCTTCAGGAGATGAGGATCTGTTTCATGTTTCAATCACAAAAGTGGTATCAGTAGGAATAAAGAATAGACGAGAGAGAGTTGAATTCCAGAGATTTTTTCTGCAGGAGGTTTATGGTTTTGGATTAAGGTTTCTGACTTTGACCTTGTTAAGGATAAATATGCTTGAGATTTCGTACAATACGCTTGATTCTTCTTCTGCAAAAAAGACGAGGATTCCAGGTTTGGGAAAGCATAATATTAACTCAGGAGCTCTCATTACTGACATGAGAAAAATGATTAAAAAGAGGAGCCTGAAACCACGAACAATCTTGGTTATTTACCAAGTTTGTTCTTGTGGAGGAAAAAAATAAAATTAAGATTTGAGAGAACTGAAAAGCTTCAGAGAATAGTAGTTGAAGGGAGAGGGGGATAAAAAGAAAGGGAGAGGAAGCACTTTGGATGTGAGGCAATGGATTATAAACTGTAGTTCATTTTGTAGTTCATTTAACTTCAGAACTCTTAATCTCTTGATGAGGGAGAGCCTACCTGGATCAGAGTTAGGGAGTTCTCTATGTTGAGATTGGTTGTATATGAGGAGACAAAACCTGTAAATAAGGCCGAGGCAGGTAGTTTGAGACCAGCCTGGCCAACATGGTGAAACCCTGTCTCTACTAAAAATATAAAAACTATCTGGGCGTCGTGGCACATGACTGTAATCCCAGCTACTGGGGAGGCTGAGGCAGGAGAACCACTTGAACCCAGGAGGCCCAGGTTGCAGTGAGCTGGGATTTCACTACTGTACTCCAGCCTGGGCGACAGAGGGACTCTCCATCTAAAAAAAAAAAAAAAAAAAAAAAAAGGCGGAGGAGAGCAGGTGTTTCTAAGATGCTTCTGCATGTGTGTCATCTGTCTCTGTATGGGAAGATGACATTATTGACCTTGTATCAATGTTAACTGTGGTTTGAGCTACATTTTGCTAGCATTAAAGACTGGATTTGTACTGATCTGTTTGTACTCCCTTGCCTAATTTGGCTGAAGACTACTAATAGAACAGATTTTCAGTAAACTTGGGAAGTTAATCTAGCTGACCTTCCTTGGGCTTTAACAAGGGCCCTTTGCCTTTTGGCACATTGCTTTAATCAACTACACTAATCAGACCCAAGGCTCATGATACACACGAGGGAAAAAAATAGCTTATGTGAACAAGTGTTTTTTTCTGAGTGATTTTTAGCCACTGAAGAATGCAAAAGTTCCAATTTTCTTCATAATTGAAATCATAACAGCTGTGAGAACTTGGCCGTTTATCAAAGATGCAAGCAGAAGTCATAGGCTTTATTTCATGGATTAAATCTAAAAGCTGTATATATTTTCATGATGTTGCATAATGGATTGGTAATGGTTATTATGAATGATAATACTTATTTAGACAAGTCAGAGAGACCAAGTACAAAAGATGTTTAAAGCAAAAATGGCATAGACTGTTTTGCAAATGCACAGGCTGAAATTATCTATAATTTTAGTGAATGGCATAAATTGTATGACATAGAGTTGGCTCTGGCTTCCATTTTCATGGCAAGGCCAGCTTGTAAATCAGTGACAATGACTCATGGGTCTCAGGCATGGTACATCAATCTAGCACCTGCTTTCCCAATCGGTCGAGTTACATTCATATCCAAACACGAATAACCGTATTATTAACCTCAGCCACCAAAATTAATCTTTCAGTATTGAGAGGATGTGCAAGTTCAAACTCATAGGGTTTATTTCCTCCTTGTGACATATACTGTGCACTTAATTTGTAAAAACAGTGCTATTCCTTCCTGTTCAGCATCTCAGAAGTGGTGAATGCCATTTTGAGTTCTGTGTTTGTGGCTTTGTGGAGGGCCATATATAGGTAAATTTTACGGGAGGCCCCCACAGGTGTGACTTTGAACTGAGGCCATGTGACAAGCAGCAGCCTGCTACTCTAACCTCATCCTGGGGAAATCCAGGCTTCACAGTTGCTACACAGGATGTTTCATCAAAAGAGGGATTTTCCCCCTCTGCTCTGGAAGACTTTGTTTCCTTCCCCTTCCTCAACTTTACCAAAGTATTCTGAAAATAGTTAACAATTTTTCCTGTCTTGGGTGACTTTATTGGGGGTGGAATGGTGGTGGGGAAGGATAAGGAATGGGTTAAGGGGAAGTTGAGCACTGGGGCATAGAAGGGACAGTAAGAACAAGACCCGTCAATACTTTGTCAGCCCATCATGTCTCTGGGCATATTACTTGCTATTACCTAATATTAAAAAAAAAAATAAATCACTGGCCCTACTATGCATCAAGCATGGTTTTGGTGTTAGATCTTAGTTCAAAGTCCAGCTTTGACATTTGCCAGCTGTGTCTTTAAGTTTCCCATTTATAAAATGAATCATAATACGAACTTGGCCAGGCACAGTGGCTCCCAGCACTTAGGGAGTTGGAGGCGAGTGGGTCACCTGAGGTCAGGAGTTTGAGACCAGCCTAGCCAACATGGCGAAACCCTGTCTCTACTAAAAATACAAAAATTAGCTGGGTGTGGTGGCAGGCACCTGTAATCCCAGCTACTCAGGAGGCTGAGGCAGGAGAATTGCTTGAACCCGGTAGGTGGAGTTTGCAGTGAGCCGAGATCACACCACTGCACTCCAGCCTGGGGTATAGAGCAAGACTCTGTGTCAAATAAATAAATAAATACAAATACAAATACAAACTTAACAGGGTTGCTGAGAGGTTCAAGTGAGAGAATGTATGAACATTTACTTCGTTTATCTCTGCTTCTGTCCTCCCCCATCTTCACCCTTTTTTCCCAAGCCTAAAAGGAATCAAACAAGGGCCAGGTGTGGTGGTTCACACCTGTAATCCCAGCACTTTGGGAGGTTGAGGTGGGCAGATCACCTGAGGTCAGGAGTTCGAGACCAGCCCTAACAACATGGTGAAACCCCTTCTCTACTAAAAAAAAAAAAATACAAAAATTAGCCAGGCGGGGTGGCACATGCCTGTAATCCCAGCTACTTGGGAGGCTGCGGCAGGAGAATCACTTGAACCTGGGAGGCAGAGGTTGCAGTGAGCCGAGATAGTGCTATTGTACTCCAGCCTGGGCAACAAGAGTGAAACTCCATCTCAAAAAAAAAAGAAAAAAAAGAAAAGAAACAAGCCTCAACCATGAAGATCATATGATGATTCTGAACTATGTATAAGGTGTCCAATCTACTACTACCCTTTACGTGGTCATTTGTGTTCATTGGACACCATCACCAAACTTATTAATCCAAGCCTGTTCATTAAATATTTTTGTTCAGCAAAAAGAAGTAAAAAAGGAAGTAGAGATTTCAAAGCAACTACATCATTAGATGAGCTTGTGCCAGTGTAACTCTTATAGAACAAGTGAGAACAAGTCAAGGTACTTATTTCTTTGCTTAGTTGTTAAGACTTGTTTTTGTATTTCTTTTACCTTCTTTTGATACAGATGAGGTCTCACTATGTTGCCTGGGCTGGTCTGGAACTCCTGGGCTCAAGCTATCCACTTGCCTCAACCTCCCAAAGTTCTGGGATTATAGGCATGAGCCACTAGTCCTGGCCATTTTTAAATATTTTTTGTAGAGACAAGGTCTACGCTATGTTGCCCAGGCTGGTCCCAAAATCCTGGGCTCAATAATCCACCCACTTTGGCCTCCCAAAGCACTGGGATAACAGGCATTAGCCACCATGCCCAGCCCATTTTCATATTTCTTTAGCTAAACTAGCAGGAAAAGTGAAGTAAAAATCTTCAAGTTTGCCCTTCTCTAGGACAGAATTTTTAGATTTTTAGCCCTGATTCTGAAGGTTTTATTTCCCCTGAATATCTATTGTTGACAAAACCTTAAAGATGCTATTTGTCTAATCTAGACTGTAACCTGAAATATTCTCACAGAAAAATAATTCTGGCATTTTCTCCCATTGAACTGCAGCCCTCTCTAAGGCATCTCAAGCAACTGTCTTTATCTTTAATTCTAAGACATAGTCACTGCCTGGAAAGCTAAACTATTACAGCCTACAGTGTAAATAAACCACAGGGCTTGGCATGGTGCCTCACACCTTTAGTCCACGATATTCTGAGGCAAGAGGATCCCTTGAGTACAGGAGTTCCAGACCAGCATGGGCAACATAGCAAGACCTCATCTCTAAACAAAAAACAAACTACAGGTCCTAGAGGTTTTTAAAACTATTGTTTAAGGCAGGGCATGGTGGCTCACGCCTGTAATCCCAGCACTTTGGGAGGCCAAGGCGGGTGGATCACCTGAGGTCAGGAGTTCAAGACCAGCCTGGCCAACATGGCGAAACCCCGTCTCTACTAAAAATACAAAAATTAGCTGGGCATGGTGGTGGGTGCCTGTAATCCTAGCCACTCAGGGGGCTGAGGCAGGAGAATCACTTGAACCTGGGAGGCAGAGGTTGCAGTGAGCCAAGATTGCGCCATTGCACTCCAGCCTGGGCAACAAGAGTGAAACTCCATCTCAAAAAATAAATAAGATTCCCGGGCAAGATGGCCGAATAGGAACAGCTCTGGTCTGCAGCTCCCAGCAAGACCAATGCAGAAGGCGAGTGATTTCTGCATTTCCAACTGAGGTACCTGGTTCATCTCACTGGTACTGGTTAGACAGTGGATGCAGCCCATGGAGGGCGAGCAGAAGCAGGTGGGGGGCGTTGCCTTACCCGGGAAGTGCAAGGGGGTCGGGGAACTCTCTCCCGTAGCCAAGGGAAGCCATGAGGGACTATGCCGTGAGGGACGGTGCTATCCAGCCCAGATACTATGCTTTTCCCAATCCTTTATACCCAAAGGATTATAAATCATTCTACTATAAAGACACGTGCACACATAGGTTTATTGCAGCACTATTCACAATAGCAAAGACTTGGAACCAACCCAAATGCCCATCAATGTTAGACTGGATAAAGAAAATGTGGCACATATACATCATGGAATACTATGCAGCCATAAAAAAAGGAGTTCTTATCCTTTGCAGGGACATGGATGAAGCTAGAAATGATCATTCTCAGCAAACTAACACAGGAACAGAAAACCAAACACTGCATGTTCTCACTCATAAATGGTAGTTGAACAATGAGAACATATGGGTACAGGGAGAGGAACATCACACACCAGGGCCTGTCAGGGGGTGGGGTGGGAGGGATGGCATTAGGAGAAATACCTAATGTAGATGATGGGTTGATGGGTGCAGCAAATCACCATGGCATGTGTATGCCTGTGTAACAAACCTGCATGTTCTGCACATGTATCCCAGGACTTGAAGTATAATTTTAAAAATAAATAAAATAAATAAATGAATATTATTAAAATAAATAAATAAAACTATTGTTTAGAGTTTTCTGAACTTTGGTTTTATTATTTTTCAACTTTGTCACATCAAGACTTAATTCTCCATCTATATAGATAAAAATGCAATGGAGCTTAAAAACCACAAACAACAATTATCCATAGATTGATGAGCAACATCTAGAGCTTCCTGGGAATAAGTCAGGCAGTATAATTCATTAGTGCAGAGTTAATGAATCATGCAGGTTGGAAAATTGGTAACAATTTAATTTCATCAAGGATAATACTTTAAAACTGCACGTTATGGCCGGGCGCGGTGGCTCGTGCCTGTAATCCCAGCACTTTCGGAGGCCAAGGCAAGCAGATCACCTGAGGCCAGGAGTTCGAGACCAGCCTGACCAACATGGAGAAACCCCGTCTCTACTGAAAATACAAACTTAGCCGAGCATGTTGCCACATGCCTGTAATCCCAGCTACTTAGGAGGCTGAGGCAGGGGAATCGCTTGAACCCAGGAGGCGGAGGTTGCAGTGAACCGAGATCGTGCCATTGCACTCCAGCCTGGGCAACAAGAGGGAAACTCCATCTAAAACAAATAATAATAAATAAATAGATAAATAAATAAAAAATAAATACAACTGGAATTTACAATGAAAATGTTTCCAAAGGACATAATGAATTGTCCCCATTATACTTTCACCATTTATGTTTAATATACTTCCATCTCAGACAATTTAGAAATAAAACTGAACCATCAGTATATTAAAGATGGAATATATTTTTTATTTTCTTATTAATTCATTATCATTGATTCTATATTTTCTATAACCAAAGGCATAAGCTAAATAGGTAAAAGTATTGACAAAATTTTAAAGTATTTTTATTTGGAAGACATGAGAATCATTCTAAGATGTGTTTTGGGTGTTTTGTTTGTTTTTTAACCATTAGTTGAAATATCTATTTTTATTTTCTTATTAATTCATTATCATTGATTCTATATTTTCTATAACCAAAGGCATAAGCTAAATAGGTAAAAGTATTGACAACATTTTAAAGTATTTTTATTTGGAAGACATGAGAATCATTCTAAGATGTGTTTTGGGTGTTTTGTTTGTTTTTTAACCATTAGTTGAAATATCTATTCAGATTGTCAGTACAATCTAGTTCACACTCAAGGACAGATTACTGTTTTGAAAATTTAAAAAATTCTAGGATGGGCACAGTGGCTCACGCCTGTAATCCCAACACTTGGGGAAGCCAAGGAGGGAGGATTGTTTGAGGCCAGGAGTTCGAGACCAGCCTGGGCAACATAGCAAGACCCCATTTCTAAAAAAAAAAAAAATTAAATTTAAATTAAAAAAATTTAAAATTCTAAATGTCTGAAGGACTATAAAGCAACTGTGGGTAAATTTCCCATGTTCAAAACAGCTCTGCTACTGGCCCAAGTTGCCCATTTCCCTCACTCTTATTCCTAATTCTTTTTTTTTTTTGAGACGGAGTCTCACTCTGTTGCCCAAGCTGGAGTGCAATGGCGCGATCTCAGCTCGCTGCAACCTCCGCCTCCCAGGTTCAAGCGATTCTCCTTCCTGAACCTCCCGAGTAGCTGGGATTACAGGCACGTGCCACCACACTTGGCTAATTTTTTGTTTTTTAGTAGAGACAGGGTTTTGCCACGTTGGCCAGGCTGGTCTCGAACTCCTGACCTCAGGTGATCTGCCCACCTTGGCCTCCCAAAGTGCTGGGATTACAGGCGTGAGCCACCGCGCCCAGCCTTATTCCTAATTTCAAAATTCCTAGTTGCTCCCTTTCTTCCCTCTGCGGTTCATGAGCACCAGCACGTTGGTCATTGCTTCCACTTGCTCAATCCCTTCATGCAGTTTTAACCTCACTTGTCTCTGGCCTATCTTGTTTCTCACTTAGCCACATTAATCCCTTCTCTCCCTTTCCTCTGGGACTCCTGACAGTAAACACCATTCGGTCATTAAGCTTTCCTCAAAATCCTCCCTCTGCCCTCCCATCTTGTGACACAGGATTGTAACTTCATATAATAAAACAAGGCTGGGCACGGTGGCTCATGCCTGTAATCCCAGCACTTTGGGAGGCCGAGGTGGGCGGATCACGAGGTCAGGAGATCGAGACCATCCTGGCTAACGCGGTGAAACGCCGTCTCTACTAAAAATACAAAAAATTAGCCGGGTGTGGTGGCGGGCGCCTGTAGTCCCAGCTACTCGGGAGGCTGAGGCAGGAGAATGGCCTGAACCCGGGAGGCGGAGCTTGCAGCGAGCCGAGATTGTCCCACTGCACTCCAGCCTGGGTGACAGAGCGAGACTCCATCTCAAAAAATAAATAAATAAATAAACAAGTTTGTTGGCTACATGTGATTTCAATCTAGGAAGACAGACTTCGTAGAGCCTGCATTTGGGTGTGCACTCTTACAAATTCCGAGGAGGGAGAGGCTCAGCATTCCCCAGATAGATCAGACCAAAAGCATCTTTGGGCTGGGCAGGGTGGTTCACACCAGCATTTTGGGAGGCCGAGGTGGCAGGATCACCTGAGGCCTAGAGTTTGAGACCAGCCTGGAAAACAAAGCGAGACTCCATCTCTAAAAAGAAAAAAACATCTTCAGAGCCTGGGTCCATTGACCCACACCTGCAATCCCAGCACTTTGGGAGGCCAAGGCAGCAGATCACTTGAGCTCAGGAGTTCAAGAGAAGCCTGGGCAACATGGTGAAACCCTATCTCTACAGAAAATATAAAAAATAGCCGGATGTGGTAGTGGATGCCTGTAGTCCCAGCTACTCAGGAGGCTTAGGTGGTCGAATTGCTTGAGCCAGGGAGTCTGAGACTGCAGTGAGCCGAGATCATGCCACTGCACTCCAGTCTGAGTGACAGAACTGGACCCTGTCTCAAAAAAAAAAAAAAAAAAAGAAAAAAAGAAAAGAAACATCTTCAGGAAAGTGCTGCCTTAATTGAGATTTGATTTTCTACTAAAGATGAAACATTTTCTCTGATGCCCTCAAGCAGAAAGGGCTTCTTCTCCAGTCTTGTCTGGCTCAGAGCCAAGAGTTCGGCGGGCACTAACTTGACTTTCAAGAACTTCGCCAACTTTGCTCAACCACACCCACCCTTCCTCTGCCCTCACTGTCATCATCTACTAACCTCGAAGACACTTCCTTTAATCTTGGTGCCTGATGTAATCGTTTTTCTCTCTACTTGTTCACAAACAACCATTCTGGGGAATTTCAATATTTGTTCTCATTATTCAGCTAACAAGAATAACAGTACTAGGAATAATGACAACTAATATATCATTTTTGAATGTCTACTGTGCACCAATAAGTATCTTCAGCACTTGACATGCATTATCTCATTTAATTTCCACAACTACTGTATGTAAGAGATAGCATTATTTCCAATTTGCTGATGAGGAAAATACATTATTTAACAAGTCCAGGAATATACAGGATATTCAGCGGCAGAGCCAGGATTCCGAACAATATTTAACTGGCCAAAATGCCTTTCCCTACATTATATTTTTAGACTCTTTCACTATACATCTCTAGCTCCATTCCTCCATAAATCTACTGACATGGTTATTTATTGGATCTTACAATTATCCTAAATTCCTCCTCCTGTAGGTGTTTAAACTCTCCAGTTCCCTCTTTTTTTTTTTTTTTTTTTTTTGAGATGGAGTCTCACTCTGTCGCCCAGGCTGGAGTGCAGTGGCGTGATCTCAGCTCACTGCAATCTCTGCCTCCCAGGTTCAAGCGATTCTCCTGCCTCAGCCTCCCCAGTAGCTGGGACTATAGGCGTCGGTCACCATCCCTGTCTAATTTTGGTATTTTTGGTAAAGACAGGGTTTCACCATGTTGGCCAGGCTGGTCTTGAACTCCTGGCCTCAAGTGATCCGCACATCATGGCCCCCCAACGTGCTGGGATTACAGGCGTGAGCCACTGCGCCTGGCCTGCAGTTCCCTCCTGACTAGGGCTTTCTGTGCCCTGATGTCCTCGCTTCCCATCCCTGTCATGCTCTCCTCCCTCTCATGACCTTCAATCATTTCTCTTATCCACTGCCTCACCATCATGGTCTGCTGAAGCTGCATGTCTGCCTTCATCTACTTGAGAGTCCTGCAGTGTGTTTAATGTGGGGCAGACCCAACATGCTGTGCATAATTTGCAGATAGGTTAGAGCAAAGATAACACTGGCTTAATTTGCTTGCAAGATGATAAGACACATTTACAAATGAGAGGTCATCTTTGAGTGCAACCTTGTCCCCTCAATGATCCAATGCCATCAAGCAACATGCAGGGGCCACCTTCAAATGTCTGCTGTCATCCCTTGTTCTTTGGTCATCCATTCTTTTGGCGCTACAGTATTTTCTGTAAAATCACAAGCTGATGGGATGTTAGAACTAAAAAGGGCCGTAAAATGTGCGTAGCCCAATCTCTTAATTTTACAGATAAAGAATTGAGACCTAGAAGAGCCCATAGGCTGATACTATCTACATCAGTTGCTGAAAGGTTAGACAGAGGTAGCAGAATTTGCTGACGCCCTTTCAAAAAGGGATTTATTTCACAAATATATCTCTGACTGCGTCTTATCTGCCAGGTTGTCATGGTTTTAGATCCAGGTCAGCTAGTGAGCACTTTGTGCACATAATGGATTTCTCTTGATCACTCACCAGTTGAGAAGGTGGTGTATTATCAGAGGGAAGTGGGGCCAGCTGCTTTTCATAGCAGCACAATGAGGTTCTTTCTGTTGGGTGGGACACTTTGTCCAGACTTCCTTTGCACCAGATGGCTGTCCTTCAAATGCCCAAAAGCTCCTGGGATCATTAGGATTCCAGATGTGCTTGCTACTGTTGGTCTGAGGTAATGTGACAGCAGCTCTCTTCTTGCCAAGTATGCGTTCAGCTGTTAGACTGTTCTGAAATGCTGTTTAGCATGCTTCTAATATATTTGACCATTTTCATCTTCAATTCTGATTCACAAAATAGGCATTATGAAGTATTTTAGAATATTTACAGTTTAATAGTTAAACCCTACGATATGGATAGTGTGTTCTGAAAAATAGATTGGTGGCCGTCTGAGACGATCTAATTCTCAAGTCCCACAGTTCATGGCATCTCCTTTCTTAATACTTTGAACTTGTTCTGAATCCGATTATACTCTCCATTTTGCAGAGTAACTCATTTTCTGTTAGTCGGTAGAATGCACTTTGATATTAGGAAAAAATTGTTTTTACTTTAATGTGTTCCACATTGGAGACCCTTATTAAGGCTGGTATGCCTTATTTCCCAGTTGTACTAATTAAAAGCACTAATTATTTCCATGCTTGTATGTTGGAACCATCTTTTGATGCATGAAAGTTTCGAGAGAATTAAAAAAAAAAACACTGACTTTGGGAATCATGTGAGAGAATTAATATTCTTTAGTTCCAATTAAAAAAAGTTTTATGTCAGTTCATTAGACTTTAGCCCCTACTTCTTTGATTTCAAGTCTGTCCTGAATTTCTGCCATGTGGAGAGCAGTTGCCAGAATCCCCTTTCTTTATACAGCAGTTACTGTAATTAATGCTGAAAAGGGACTTACCTCATTCCTGATGCTAATAGGCCTCTTAAAAGCACTTTTTATATCTAATCCTTGTCATTTATGAGGGAGTTGAACTAGATTTCCAAGATCCTTCCTACATCTAAAGTCATTGATTCTCCACGACCTTATGGTCACTTTTCTAATGCATAAATCAACCCATTTCTTGCTCTCTTGAGAAATAATCCAGGTGTATTTAGTCAGGAAATCGGTTGTTTACTTTTCTGATGCAAAAGGTGGGAAAATGGAAGAAAAGATTATCTTTCCAGCTGGAAGTCAATCTTTTCCCAGAGATACAGATAATCTCTTTTAAAAATTTCTGAACTCTGGAACAATTATACTCTAAAAAAAGAATTATTAAGTCATACAAACTGAGGGAATCATAATATTGGGGAATAAGATGTTTTTTACACACTTTTTCTGGTATAAAATTTTGTGACTCATATGAATTATTTAGAGTATATTATTCTCAAGGACAAGTTTATTCTAATTTAAATCCTATGGGCTTGCAAATAAATAACTTACTTGTTCTCTTCAGTATACTATTGCTTGAGAGAAGAGAATATTTTGGTGGAAAGCTATTTCAGTGAAGCCAGACTATGCAATAGGACGGAAAAAACAAAGCTACAAAAGAAAAGCACTTTCCTAAAAAACTGTATGTAACTGAAATTGAGTTTATTTTATGAAAATATTATTTATTTATTAGTTTTTCAGACAGAGCCTCACTGTCACTCAGGCTGGAGTGCAGTGGCACGATCTTGGCTCACTGCAACCTCTGCCTTCCCGGGTTCAAGCGATTCTCCTCCCTCTGCCTCCTGAGTAGCTGGGATCACAGGCGCATGCCACCACGCCTGGCTAATTTTTTGTATTTTTCATAAAGATGGGGTTTCACCATGTTGGCCAGGCTGGTCTCAAACTCCTGACCTCAAGTGATCTGCCTGCCTTGGCCTCCCAAAGTGCTGGGATTACAGGCATGAGCCACTGTGTCCAGCGTTATTTTATGAAAATAAACCAGTGAAAATTAATTTCAGGCCAGGCACAGTGGCTCATGACTGTAATCTTAGCACGTTGGGAGGCCAGAGTGGGTAGATCACCTGGGCTCAGGAGTTTGAGACCAGCCTGGGCAACATGGTGAAATCCTGTCTCTACCAAAAATGCAAAAAAATTAGCCGGGCATGGTGGCATGTGCCAGCAGTCCTAGCTGTTTGGGAGGCTAAGGTAGGAGGATCGCTTGAGCCCCAGAGGCAGAGGTTGCAGTGAGCTGAGATCGCGCCACTGCATTCCAAACTGGGTGACGGAGTGAGACCCCATCTCAAAAAAAAAAAAAAGAAAAAGAAAAAGAAAATTAATTTCAAAAGTGGAATGTATTCACCCAACAATGTGTTCATTTATAAATAATACAGCAGCAACCTTGGGGATGATTGTTGTGGATGTTTTGATGTTTGGATATAATGTTAGTGGGAGACACAGGAAAATTTAAAATAGCAGTGATGGCTTCTATCTGAATCCCATTAACACTTGCGAGTTCATAGCCTCTTGATTTTTTGAGAAGGGGAGAATTGGAGCTCAACAGGTAGCAAACCATTTCATTCTGCAATTAGTCTGTCTAAAGAAAAAGGCTTTAACATTCAATGCTAGAATAAGGCTATTTTAGACATTTGAATTGCTGGCAAGACACCCCAAATTAGTCATCCCTTAATGGTTGTGTGTGGGTCTGTGTGTGTGTGTGTTTAAAATTCATTATTTACTTATTTATTTTTGAGATAGAGTCTCGGTCTGTCATCCAGGCTGGAGTGCAGTGGGGAGATTGTTGTTCTTTGCAGCCTCAACCTCAAAGACTCAGGTGATCCTCCCATCTCAGCCTCCCAAGTAGCTGGGGCTACAGGCACGTGTCACCATGCCCAGCTAATTTTTGTATTTTTTGTAGAGACGGAGTTTCGCCATCTTGCCCAGGCTGGTCTTGAACTCCTGGGCTCAAGCAATTCGCCCACCTCAGCTTCCCAAAAGTGCTTACAGGCGTGATCTACCAGCCTCCCTTAATGTTTTTTAAAACCACTTATTTAGGGCTATTGGTGAAAACAACAAATGAAGCATAGAGGCAATTACAGGAAGAGAAAGTACCCAATATTATGTAAAATGTGTTAGTACTGAGTCATATGTAAATTTGTGTTTAACTTCCTCACTCTTAAATTCTAGTTCCTGGAATCCCCCTCCTTCATAACTGACTCACAGTCTATTTTGGGACAAACCTGCCAATACTACAATCCCTTTACTGTACATTAAAATATATACAGAAAAGTCAAGAACTAATAGAATCATCAAACAATACCAACTAAGGGACCTCACCCACCTGTGAGGATGGAGCATGTGGCCTCAAAATCAGGGCTGACCTAAACTCTCCATGGTTGGAGTCACGTTTCCTAAGGCTGTGTTTGAAAAAAAAAATTAGTTAATTAGAAATACCTTGTTCACAGTTTAATGCTTGATCTTGTTCCTTATCTAAAATATCTATGGCCAGGTGCGGCGGCTCACACCTATAATCCCAGCACTTTGGGAGACCGAGGAGAGAGGATCACCTGAGGTCAGGAGTTTGAGACCAGCCTGGCCAAAATGGTGAAACCCCTTCTCTACCAAAAATACAAAAAAAATTAGCCAGGCATGGTGGTGCATGCCTGTAGTCCCAGCTACTCGAGAGGCTGAGGCAGGAGAATCACTTGAACCCTGGAGGTGGAGGTTGCAGTGAGCCGAGCTCGTGCCATTGCCCTGCAGCCTGGGCAACAGGAGGGAAACTGTCTCAAAAATAAATAAATAAATAAATAAATAAATAAATAAATAAATAAATAAAAATATCTATTTTTTCCACTTCCTCCTTGTCAAAACTTCTCTAAATTTTTAATAATAAATTTTATTATTTTAAAGTAATCTCATTATTTTTTTCTAAACAGGGTTTGAAGTTACATTTTCATCTTGATTCTAGTTGCTTCCTCCCCCCGCTTTCTTTACTATGTTCCAGTAATTTGATTTCAGAGTTGGCATTAACTCCCTGAATTCAGGAAGATATTCCCCAAGGACCTGAATCTTAGCCCTGGAAGCGATGTGAAAGCTTACATAGCACATCTCTCACCTTCAGTCAGAGCCATACAAAGAAGCTGCTATCTTATTATTCATGGCTTTAGAAAAGACTGCTCAACCTCCACCTGCATCTTATTTTGACATTTAGTTAGCTTTACTGTGTCGAACAAAGCCATTATGCTACACACCAAGCCTGTTTCCCTTGTTTTATACTCAGCGATGATAACCAACCCTGTCTGTATATAAAGCTCTCTATAAATTCATAGACTGTCTTCTTCAATTGTCATTTGGTCTTCTCTTCAAGAAAATTAATTATGTCTTGTTTGCCTCTCCTCATTGGTCTTTTTTTCCAATACTTGACTCATTTTGCCATCCTTGGAGCTGTCTTCTAAATAATTTCCAAGTTTTCCAATTAGTCTTATTTATTTATCTATTTATAAGATGGAGTTTCACTCTTGTTGCCCAGAATGGAGTGCAATGGCGCAATCTCAACTCACTGCAACCTCCACCTCCCAGGTTCAAGCCATTCTCCTGCCTCAGCCTCCTGAGTAGCTGGGATTACAGGCATGCATCACCACACCTGGCTAATTTTGTATTTTTAGTGGAGATGGGGTTTCACCATGTTGGCCAGACTGGTCTCAAACTCTTGACCTCAGGTGATCCACCCGCCCCGGCCTCCCAAATACTGGGATTACAGGCATGAGCCACCACACCCGGCCCTCCAATTAGTCTTTAAACGTGAATTCCAGAAGTTCACATTTCTGAGCACCATTAATTTGAGATCACTTAACAGCTCCTTCACATCATACTCTCATTACACTTACTATTTTTAAGTTGGTCTTTTTGTCTCTCCTTCTAGTTACAAGCTAGAAATGTATTGGTTTTTTATTTGTATTTTATTTTCTCTTTTTTGAAATAGAGCCTTGCTCTCTTGCCCAGGCTGGAGTGCAGTGGCACGATCTTGGCTCACTGCAGCCTCTGTCTCTGGGGTTCAAGCGATTCTCCTGCCTCAGCCTCCTGAGTAGTTGGGATTACAGGCACATGCCACCACACCAGGCTAATTTTTTGTATTTTTAGTAGAGATGGGGTTTCACCATGTTGGCCAGGCTAATCTTGAACTTCTGATCACTCAGGTGATCTGCCTGCCTCGGCCTCCTAGAGTGATGGAATCACAGGCGTGAGCCACCACTCTTGGCCAGAAATACATTGGTTTTTTAAAATGTTCTATTATTAAAACAATTTTTTCTTGCTTAAATTTGGACTTGTTTTGAATACAACTGCTTGGTTTCAGAAAAGGGTGTCTATAAAGAATAAAGGTTATTTTACTATGACACTGATGTATTTCTCTAAATTCAAAGATGAATTTCTAGAAATTTATAACTACAACTAAAATAGGTTTTTGTTCCTCTATTTAATATTTTTTTCTAATATTTTTCCTCTGTTTAATCTTGGATGGATTTTCCAGTTCTGTGTTTTTCCAGCAAATTTCTGGCCAAAAAAAAAAAGAATCAGAATCTAGTAGAATAACCATGCCAATTTAGTTTGGCATCAGTGTGATTAGGAATAAATTTAGAGTCTTTAGGAATGTTTTGGCCTATTTCTGCATGAATTATATTTAAATCCCATATTTATTGCTTTTTTCTTCTTTTTCTTTTTGGAAAGCAGGGTGAAAATGATTACAACATATGCAAGTATGCAATTTCGAGTTCGTTAATACCTCTATGAGGGTTCAGGCCTTCAAAATGGTAGCTGAAGATAACCGTGTCTGGCATATTCAGTATTGGTCTTTGACAAGTTCAACATAGTGCTGCCCTGGCATGTGGATTTTCATTTACTTTGGGAGAAAGTTATTGGGGAAACTAGTCAATAGAAATAATGATTGATGCTCATGGGACCTAAAGGAGAATCCTCAGAAGGGAACTTTGACACTACCTGTTCCTCTTTACCCAGTGACGCAACATGAACCATCTCTTGAACTAGTATGAGAGAGCTTTATTTTTGCAAAAGTCCAGAGAAACTCTACCAGAACACCAAATTAGAATTGAAGACTATAAGTGGGATACAAATGCATTCAAGTTCATCAATAGTTTTACACTGAAAGAAGTATGAGAAAGCGGGCTCAAATGCACATCTTTCTTTTTTAATAATAATACAACGTTTTGTAATCATGAAACTCATCTCTCTACTCCATTTCCTAAACTTTCACAAAGCTATTCTTTTTATACTAAAGTATAGAGATAGAGGGTTAAAAAATGAAAACATAAAGTATGTAGATAGATAAACTTAGAGATATAGATGCTAGATAAATTTTAAATTATGAATATAATATTAAAATATTATTAAAAATTGAAGAAATAGAAAACAAGAGCATCCGTACTCCCACTACATGAACACAATAAACATTGTTTCCTACATTGACTTATCTGTTCTATACACAGCTGAAATACATTTTTTTTTTTTTTTGAGGTGGAGTCTCACTCTGTCGCCCAGGCTGGAGTGCAGTGGTGCCATCTCGGCTCACTGCAACCTCTGCCTCCCGGGTTCAAGTAATTTTCCCTGCCTCATTCTCCCAGGTAGCTGGGATTACCGGCCCCCACAACCACACCCAGCTAATTTTTGTATTTTTAGCAGAGACGAGTTTTCGCCATGTTGGCCAGGCTGGTCTCGAACTCCTGGACTCAATTGATCTGCCCACCTCGGCCTCCCAAAGTGCTGGGATTACAGGTGTCAGCCACCGCACCCAGCCTGAAATATAATTTTTATTGTGATTTATTTACTTCTTTCCTTCCTTCCCTCCCTCCCTCCCTCTTCTTTCTTTTCTTTTTCTTTCTCTTTCTTTCTTTCTTTCTTTCTTTCTTTCTTTCTTTCTTTCTTTCTTTCTTTCTTTCTTTCTTTCTTTCTCTTTCTTTCTTTTTCTTCTTTCTTTTTTTGAGACAGAGTCTTGCTCTATCGCCCAGGCTAGAGTACAGTGGTGAGATCCTGGCTCACTGCAACCTCTGCCTCCCAGGTTCAAGTGATTCTCCTGCCTCAACCTCCCGAATAGCTGGGATTACAGGCACTTGCCACCATGCCTGGCTAATTTTTGTAATTTACTAGAGATGGGGTTTCACCATCTTGGCCAGGCTGGTCCGAACTCTCGACCTCGTGCTCCACCTGCCTCAGCCTCCCAAAGTGTTGGGATTATAGGCGTGAGCCACCGTGCCCAGCTCTATCGTGATTTCTTTTATTTAACTTAATATAGGTAATGTTTCTCCATAGTATTTTTTTTTTTTTTTTGAGATGAAGTCTCACTCTGTCACCCAGGCTGGAGTGCAGTGGCAAAATCTTGGCTTACTGCAACCTCCACCTCCCAGGTTCAAGCAATTCTCCTGCCTCAACCTCCTGGGTAGCTGGATTACAGGCTTCTGCCACCACGCCTGGCTAATTTTTGTATTTTTAGTAGAGACAGGGTTTCACCATGTTGGCCAGGCTGGTCTTCAACTCCTGACCTCAGGTGATCTACCTGCCTTGGCCTCCCAAAGTGCTGGGATTACAGGTGTGAGCCACCACACCTGGCCTTCCATACTATTAAAAACACTTTATAGATACCATGTAAATAGTGGATATGCCATACTTTACTCAACCATTTCTGCATTAAGTACCAGTGTTTTGCAATTATAAATAGTGTCAAGATGGCTTTGTGCATATAGATTTATGAATTATTTATTTGAGATAAATTACCTAAAGTGAGACAACTGGGATAAAAATATTGAGCATTTAAAGCTCCTAAAATATTTTGTGATAGCTTTCAGAAAATGTTTTAAAAATGAAAATACAGTGAGCAACCTATGAGAATACCAGCATTACCGAACCCTTGCCAGCATTGAATATTGCCATTTAAAAAATTAGTTCTGTGTAATTATTATGAATATCATTTTATTTTCACACTGCATATTCTAACCAAATAGCATTATTGCTAACTCTCTTTTTACAGGGTGGAGAAAGAAATATATGTATTATTTAATATATGTGGACAAAGCATTTTCCACTTTAGGTTTTCAATGAGTAGCTTGGATCATTGAGGAATGTAGTAATAAGCCACTACACAGTCCCAAGTTATCTTTTGGGATTTTGGTTTATTTTTTTTAATACAGATTCTCACTCTGTCACGGAGACTGGCATGCAGTAATGCAATCACAGTTTACTGCAGCCTTAACCTCCCCAGCTCAAGCAATCCTTCCACCTTAACCTCTTGAGTAGCTGGGACCACAGGCGTGTACCACTACTCCTGGCTAATTTATTTCATTTCATTTCATTTTTTTGAGTCAGCGTCTTTCTCTGTTCCCCAGGCTGGAGTGCAGTGGTGTGATCTTGGCTCACTACAGCCTCTGCCTCCCAGGTTCAAGTGATTCTCCTGCCTTAGCCTCCCGAGTAGCTGGAATTACAGGCACGTGCCACCACGCCCAGCTGATTTTTGTATTTTTAGTAGAGACAGGGTTTCACCATGTTGGCCAGGCTGGTCTGGAACTCCTGACTTCAAGTGATTTGCCTGCCTCGGCCTCCGAAAGTGCTGGGATTACAGGCATGAGCCACTGCTCTCAGCCTAATTTATTTTATTTGTAGAGATGGATGATACGATTAGGCTTTTTGTTCCCACCTGAACAGAAAGCCTAATCTCCTCCTGAATTGTAATCCCCATAATCCCCACATGGCAAGGAGAGACCAGGTGGAGGTAACTGAATCATGGGGGGGCGGTTTTCCCTCTGCTCTTTTGATGATAGTGAGTGAATTCTCACCACAGCTGATGGTTATGTAAGAGGCTCTTTCCCCTTTCTCGGCACTTCTTCCGGCCGCCTTGTGAGGAAGGCATCTTGCTTCCCCTTTGCCTCCTGACATGATTGTGAATTTCCTGAGGCCTCTCCAGCCATGATGAACTGTGAGTCAATTAAAACTCTTTCCTTTATAAATTACCCAGTCTCAGGCTGTTCTTTATAGCAGTATGAAAGCTGACTAACACAATGGGGTCTGACTATGTTGCCCAGACTGGTCTCAAACTCTTGGGCTCACGTAATCCTACTGCCTCAGCCTCCCAAAATGCTGGAATTACAGGTGTGAGGTGCCGTGTGCGGCTCTAAATTTTGATCTGCCTCAATAATCTTTGAGGCTGATTTTTCATAGCATCAAGGGGTAAAGCCTAACTCTTCTCCAGGAGAGTTACATAAACTGCTGTGTTCTGAGCTGCTGTGCTCCAGTCTTTCTCAGCATCTAATTATTGTAAGGTCAAGTCCTGTTAATTACCACCCAGCTGTATATCAAATTCTTATGCCTTGAGCTGATTTATTTTATTTTTTGCATATAGGCTTTTTAATGGCTTTAAGTTGAGAACAAAGTGTTAATAAAAGAAAGATTAAGCTTAGAAAGAAATTCCAAAAATTCTAAACAAGATGTTTTCTTTTTAAGGAAAAAAAAAGATGTTTTCTTTTCTTTTTACCTGATTTTTCCATTCCTGACCCTGGGGCCTCATTCTGACTATTCTCTACAGAAAATAAAGACCAGAGATGTACATGTGAGCACCTGGGCACACACACAAACAAAGAGGAACTCACCGCAGATATATTCATGTATATGCATGCGCATTTTCTGAAAGAACCCACCTGAAACTGCTGGTGGTGGTTAATGAAGCATGGGGGCAGATCTTTTCTTCCCTGGCCACTTCTTTGATAATCAGGAATTACCTTTCCCCTCAAAAATTGATTTTGTATAAAAATGGATCACTTCCATGAGTGTTCAGAAAATATATTCATTCATTTCCTTTAAGACATTAAGCACATGTGACCAATCTAAATGGAATTGTCACGTTTGTGTGGTTATGGAGTAAATGGAACAAGGATGAGATGACTTTAGCAGCTGTTTAAGTAATAAACTGTTTAGATCCATTTTCCTTTATGCATCTGGGTGCTACAGGCTTATTCTTTTTTAATTTCTTAAAATTCTTTATTTTTATTTCAAATACCTTTGCCACCTAATCCAGGATACAGGCTTATTCTTGTTAAGTTTAACGGGAAGGGAAAGGGACGTTTACAGACCAAGTCAAGATGACGAACAAGAACAATATATGTGCGACAAAGCCTTGCTGTAAATCTCCTCCCTAGTATCTCTCTTCTGCAGGCCCAGTAATTTGTAGCAAGAACAACTACAAGACCCGCGCTGGGCGCGGTGGCTCACGCCTGTAATCCCAGCACTTTGGGAGGCCAAGGCGGGCGGATCACGAGGTCAGGAGATCGAGACCACGGTGAAACCCCGTCTCTACTAAAAATACAAAACATTAGCTGGGCGCAGTGGCGGGCGCCAGTAGTCCCAGCTACTCAGGAGGCTGAGGCAGGAGAATGGCGTGAACCCGGAAGGCGGAGCTTGCAGTGAACGGAGATCGCGCCACTGCAGTCCCACCTGGGTGAAAGAGCGAGACTCCGTCTCAAAAAAAAAAAAAAAAAAAAGAACAACTACAAGACCTGAATTTTCTTTCCTTTTATAAACAGCATTTGAAATTCTCCATGGGGGATCTTGGGGTACATTAAAAATAAGGTATCATAAGCAAACACCCGTATCTGTTTACATAGGATCCACTTCTGCCTTTGCGCAGAGCCCAGTAATAACTTGATATACAAGTAAAAAGCATGTCTATCATTCATTCACTCAACAAGTCTCCACTGATCGACTACTATGGCCAATATTCCTATACTGTTATGCTAAGGCACAAAAAATTGGCTTCTGAATAACTCAGGACACAGTCCCTTCTTCTACAGTTTACAGTCTGGGGATATCTAAGTTATAAATAATAAGCATTAGAAATACTTGTTTATTCAAGAAGTATATTCTTTTGCCTTCTCTATGCCCCTCTTACCTTTTTTCAATGTTATGTTCTAGAAATGAAAATTTACTTCTAACTAATATTAACCATAGCTTTGTGGAAAGGTTTCCTATTTTATCATCTCTATTTTCCCACAAAAAAATTCATAATAAAAACAGTACTATGTACTATCTGGGAAGAAAGCAAATACTGATGCTATCAAGAATGAATTCCGGTCAGGTGCAGTGGCTTATGCCAGTAATCCCAGCACTTTGGGAGGCCGAGGCGGGTGGATCACCTGAGGTCAGGAGTTCGAGACCAGCCTGGCCAACATGGTGAAAACCCATCTCTACAAAAATACAAAAATTAGCTGGGCATGCTGGCAGGCACCTGTAATCCCAGCTACTCGGGAGGCTGAGGCAGGGAGAATTGCTTGAGCCCGGGAGGTGGAGGTTGCAGTGAGCTGAGATCGTGCCACTGCATTCTAGCCTGGGTGACAGACCAAGACTCTCCGTCTCCAAAAAAAAAAAAAAAAAAAAAAAAAAGAATGAATTCCATTCAGTCTTCTATTTCAAAGAGGTTACTAAGGCAGTAATAAATACTAGAGTTAAAAGAAATATATTTAAAGTATAATTTTCAAATAAGATTTATTACTCATTTACTATATGTGTTTTAGTTGTTACCTGGTTCATTTTGCTTTTAGTACGTGCGTATTTGGAGTCAATGTGATGAAGTGATTAAAAGCTAACTGCATTTACTTTTCCCAGTTATTTCAGTTTCCTCAACTGTAAAATGGGGATGGTGACAATTATACCTTCCTCATAGGGATGTTGTGAGCATAAAGTGAGCAAGTAAATGTAAAGCACTTTAGGACAACATGCTTTTCCTTCTTGGCTTTAGGTGTAATCTTTTGTCTCAGCCAGCTTCAGTTTGTATATCTGCCTTAAAAGCTTTTCCAGCAATGCCCTCCACTTTTCTGTCCTGAGTGAGTGTCAGGCACCTTGCATTAGTCCTTCAGATAGCTCCAGATAGTTTAGAAAAGACATACATGCCACAGCCAGGCACGGTGGCCCACGCCTGTAATCCCAGCACTTTGGGAGGCCAAGCGGGTGGATCACCTGAGGTCAGGAGTTCAAGACTAGCCTGGCCAAGATGGTGAAACCCTATCTCTACTAAAAATACAAAAATTAGCCAGGCATGGTAGTGGACGCCTGTAATCCCAGCTACTCAGGAGGCTGAGGCAGGAGAATCACTTGAATCTGGGAGGCGGAGGTTGCAGTGAGTTGAGATTGTGCCACTGTACTCCAGCCTGGGTGACAGAGTGAGTGAGACTCCATCTCAAAAAAATAAATAAATAAAGACATACATGCCAGAGCCAGGGACCAGGGACCAGCCATGGAGGCTAACTCCTAAGACTACCACTAAGCTGGGCAGGAGGTGGGGAAAGAGCAAGTGAAAACACCACAACGCTTTCCTACTTATTTTAAAATGTCTTCTTAGGGGCTGAGTGAGGTGGCTCCCACCTGTAATCCCAGCATTCTGGGAGGCCAAAGTGTGAGGATGGCTTGAGGCCAGGAGTTCAAGGCCAGCCTGGGCAAAATAGCAAGACCCCATCTCTACAAAAAATAAAAACAAATTAGCCAAGCATGGTGGCATGAGCCTGCAGTCCCAGCTACTCAGGAGGCTGAAGTGGGAGGATCACTTGAGCCCAGGAGCTGGAGTCTAGGCTGGACAACATAACAAGACCTCATCTCTTATTTTTTATTTATTTATTTTTATTTTTATTTTTTTTTTTGAGACAGGGTCTCACTCTGTCACCCAGGCTTGAGTGCAGTGGCACAATCATGGCTCACTGCAGCCTCAACTTCCGAGGCTTAGGCGATCCTCCCACCTCAGCTTCCCAGGTAGCTGGGACTACAGGTGCGTACCACCACACCTAGCTAACTATTTGTACTTTTTTTGTAGAGACAAGGTTTCACCATGTTGCCCAGACTGGTCTCAAACTCCAGGCAATCCACAGCCTTGGCCTCCCAAAGTGTTAGGATTATAGCATGCGCCACTGCACTCGGCCCCGTCTCTATTTAAAAAAACAAAAACAAAATAAAAATCTTTAAAAGTAAAAGAAAAAAAAACACCTTTTTGGATGAGGGGGGGCAGGATTCAGCATTTGCTTGGTTGCTATAAACTTTTGACTGTTTTCCAGATTTTAACAGATTTGGTTTAACAGTTTATGCTTACTTTCTGATGTTTTGGTTGGGGTATAGGAGTTTGGAGCTTCCTATTGCACCATTTTGTTGATATCACCTTCCTTGATAAGATTGTTCTCTTTTTTCTTCTTCCTTCCTTCCTTCTTTCCTTTCTTTCTTTTTGAGACAGGGTCTCGCTCTGTCACCCAGGCTAGAGTGCAGTGGCAAGTGGCAGGATTTTGGCTCACTGCAGCCTCAGCCTCCCCGGGCTTAGGTGATTGATCCTCCCACTTCAGCCTCCCGAGTAATTGGGACTACAGGCATGTGCCACTGTGCACAGCTAATTTGGGTGTTTTTTTGTTTTTTTTTGTTTTTTTTGTTTTTGTTTTTTTGGTAGAGATGGAGTTTTGCCATGTTGCCCAGCCTGGTCTCAAACTCCTGGGCTCAAGCCATCCTCCCACCTCAGCCTCCCAAAGTACTGGGATTACAGGTCACCATGCCTGGCCCACTTTCTTTTTACTTATTTATTTTTTTCTTTTACTCCTGGAAAGCAGGAATAAAAGACTGGATAAGATTTTAAAGGCTAACTTGTCCATGACTCCCCTTCCCCACAGAAATGGGACTACTGAGAGCACTCAGTCCTTCTGAGGATCAGCTGAGATAATGACACAATAAATCTGCCTGGCCCATTGTAAATACTCCATTAAAAATATTATTAGTAATTATTATTCTGAACTTTAGTGTGAATTGAAATGCTTGATATTCCAGATCTAGGGAAACCTCAATAGCAGATTGCAGTGGCATTTACTTCCTCTTTTTAGAGACAGTTAATGGTAGCATCATTCTTCCTCAGTGGTACCCTCCTGCCCTCAAATATCTTAAATGTCTGTTTGATCCTTGGCCAGAGTCTGGATCCACAATTATATTTCTTTTCTTTTTTTTTTTTTTTTCCGAGATGGAGTCTCGCTCTGTCACCCAGGCTGGAGTGCAGTGGTCCGATCTCAGCTCACTGCAGCCTTTGCCTCCCTGGTTCCAGTGATTCTCCTGCCTCAGCCTCCTGAGTAGCTGGGATCACAGGCATGCACCACCACACCAGGCTCATTTTCTGTATCTTTAGTAGAGACAGCGTTTCACCATGTTGGCCAGGCTGGTCTCACACTCCTGACCTCAAGTGATCCACCTGCCTCGGCCTCCCAAAGTGCTGGGATTATCAGCCATGAGCCACCGCATCGGCCTACAATTACATTTTGTAAATATTATAAGATTTCTTTCTTTTTTCTTTTTTTTTTTTTTTGAGATGGAGTCTCCAGGCTGGAATGCAGTGTCACCATCTCAGCTCACTGCAACCTCCACCTCCCAGGTTCAAGCGATTCTCCTGCCTCAGTCCCCAAGTGGCTGCGATTACAGGCATGTGCTACCACGCCTGGCTAATTTTTTGTGTTTTTATAGAGATGGGGTTTCACCATGTTAGCCAGGATAGTCTCGATCTCCTGACCTGGTGATCCACCTGCCTCGACCTGCCAAAGTGCTGGGATTACAGGCGTGAGACACTGCGCCTGGCCATATTATAAAATTTCTAAGGCTAGACCTGGAAAAAGAAACAATAAAATACAAATTCAATTCACGTAAAGAGAAAGGACACTTGCAGTATATTGCAGTATTTCCCATTGCCCTGTAAAAATAAATAGAATAGAAAATATAGACTGAAAGAAAAGGCAAAAATAAAGCTGCATATGATGCCCTGCCAGAGCACCTAGAGAAAACACATGGAAATGCTGTGGAAAATACCTGCAAAGGGAAGCAACTAATACAGGATCTTCTTGAAACACTCAAAGACTCACATTATTATTCTTAACTTCCCAGAAGTTAAGAACTCAAGTGATCTGGCTGGGATCAGAACCTGCACCTCTTAAAGTTGAATACTCACTAAATCTATCCACTTCTCCACATGTTATATAGATGTTTTTCATTCCCTGGACATTCTCCCACTTATTTCTTCATAGTCCTAATGACCTGCCCACTGAATACCAAAGAGATGTTGGATAAAGAATCATTGTCGAGATGTATGATTAACTTGCCTAAATGCTAACCCAGTTTTGCAGTGAAAACCCTGTATCTCTGCCATCCAAAACTTTGTAAAAGCTGTATTCATGGTGTTTTTGCTTATGCAGAAAAATGCATTTCATATTTGTCAGGTATTGTTTTTAACATGTGTTTCATATCAAATACAAGAAAAGCCAAATGTAATCTTAAAAAAAATATTGGCAAGGTCTGCCAAGAGTGAGTCTTCCAATACATCTGGGAACCTCCGTAAAAAATTAACTCAACATTCTGGACTCTTGGGATGGCCAGATTATTAACTGGTTTAGCAGAAGCACTTTCTGTGCAAGCCAAGGCATATAAGAAATATTTAAACCTGTAGACCATTAAATACTGTACAGTTAGCCTACTGCATGAGAAAAACAGCAAATGTGTTAATGGAGATGTCTAGTTCCATTCATAACAAAGAAAAGAAACCATGCGTTTGTTAACAATTACACGTAGCAGTCTAGATTCTATGGCTAAAGTGTTAATGGAAGATTGAATATCAGACTTTTTTGCTAAAACAAAGTTAAACATTACAAATTATAGCATAAAGCAAATTATAATCCCATTGGCCTTGAATTTGACTTAGTTCCTGTATAGGAAAGAGTAGGAACATTTTTCCCAGAACCTCGCATAAAATCCAAATCCCGATTTCTATTTTTTCCTCTCATGTCAGGTACCTTTTTGGAGGTAAGTCCAAGGAGAAAAACACTAAGGAATATAGTGTCATTTGCAATGAGAGATATTTACAACATTTCTCTTTTCCCCATACAGCCTAGGAGTGGATGTTTGTTCATTGTTTAACCTAGGCCTAAGAATCATTTCTTATATTATCCCTTTTTTTTTTTTGAGACGGAGTTTTGCTCTTGTTGCCCAGGCTTGAGTGCAATGGCACGATCTCGGCTCACCGCAACCTCCACCTCCCGGGTTCAAGCGATTCTCCTTCCTCAGCCCCCCGAGAAGCTGGGATTACAGGCACGCACCACCACGCCCGGCTAATTTTGTATTTTCAGTAGAGATGAGGTTTCTCCATGTTAGTCAGGCTGGTCTCGAACTCCCAACCTCAGGTGATCCGCCCACCTCAGCCTCCCAAAGTGCTGGGATTACAGGCGTGAGCCACTGCGCCCGGCTCTTATATCATCCTTATACAGCACAATGACCCTAAAATAGCTATATTTGGGTTCTTGCCTGTACCCAGTGGATAAACACTGCTCAATTTGTATTACTTTCATTTGGCAGAAGTTGGTTTAAGCAAATTAGAGATTCCTGGGGAGCTTGAAAATACATTGATAACCCAGTCTCCCTACTCCCTTTGGATAGGAACTTAGCACTGTTATTTCATTTTTTAAGTTCCTAATTATAATGGGTAGCTATGATTGAAACTACTGGAAAGAAATATGCTTTTGATGAGTGCAAGAAAACCTGGTCATAGTTTTTGAACAAATCCAAATATTGTATTGAATAGAAGTTAAATATTTGAAAAGAGTTTTGAAGATTATTTTTTCCCAGCCCCATACTATGTTATAGTCATAGACAATAATCTGAAAGATGAAAACAGCCAGTCATTAGAAATTTTTTCTAAAGCCAGGTGTGGTGGCTCACGCCTGTAATCCCAGCACTTTGCGAGGATGAGGTGGGTGGATCACCTGAGGTCAGGAGTTTGAGACTAACCTGGCCAACATGAGGAAACCCCATCTCTACTAAAAATACAAAAATTAGCCAGGCGTGGTGGTGGGCGCCTGTAATCCCAGCTACTTGGGAGGCTGAGGCAGGAGAATTGCTTGAACCTGGGAGGCAGAGGTTCCAGTGAGCTGAGATTGCGCCATTGCACTCCAGCCTGGGCAACAAGAGTGAAACTCCGTCTCAAAAAAAAAAAAAAAGCAATTTTTTCTAATGAGTACATTTGGTAGTAGACCACAGCCTAAACAGGTTTCTACATCTTTATGCAAAGAAAAAAACGGCATTGAAATGCAATGTCAGAAGTCACAGCCTGGCTGCTAGGTTGGGAATAGCTTCTTTCATTCACCTCCAGGCATTTAAAGAGGCACCCCCTACTCTGAGGTAACCCCACCATGGCATGTTATTGCCCCAACACCAGGAATTCAGGAGGATTAAAGCACTAGAAGAAATGAAGATACATGTGTTAAAACACAACATTTTGGCAGAATAATTATCTCCTTTAATTCTAGTAGCTCAAGTACAGTGGGATTTATGATTCACATTTTTTATTATTTAGGGATAAGTAACGAAGATTTATTGAATGCCAGCCGGGCGTGGTAGCTCACACCTGTAATCCTAGCACTTTGGGAGGCCAAGCTGGGTGGATCACTTGAGGCCAGGAGATTGAGACCAACCTGGCCGACATGGTGAAACCCTGTCTCTACAAAAAACACAAAAATTAGCCAGGTGTGGTGGCCCACACCTGTAATCCCAGCTACTCAGGAGGCTGAGGTACGAGAATTGCTTGAACCCAACAGTCAGAGGCTGCAGTGAGCACAGACTGTGCCTCTGCACTCCAGCCTAGGCGAGAGACTGAGACTCCCTCTCAAGAAAAAAAAAAAAAAATTATATGTGCCAAGCACCCGTTTAGGACTCATGAAATTTACAAGAGATCATAAACAAAGCAAATTAGAAAATTACTTATTAGGAGGTAAGTGTCATGGAGAAAAATAAAGCAGGAAATGGGAACAAAGTTTCCATTTAAACAAAATGACAAGCAAGCCTTCACTGAGAAGGTGCCAGCTGAGCAGATACCTGAAGGAGATGAGAACTGTGTGGAAGGCTAGGCAAAGAACATTCCAGGGTGAGGGCTCAGTGAGTACAACCCCAGGAAAGAAGTCTTTTTACTTTTGCCATAATTATTTGCATATAGATTATTCAATTGATAAAGCAAACTTTTTCTTTTTCATTTTTTGAGGCGGAGTCTCACTCGGACACCCAGGCTGGAGATCAGTGGCACAGTCTTGGCTCACTGCAACCTCCACCTCCCAGGTTCAAGCAGTTCTCCCATCTCAGCCTCCCAAGTAGCTGGGATTACAGGAGCCCACTACCACGCCCAGCTAATATTTGTGTTTTTAGTAAAGACAGGGTTTCACCATGTTGGCCAGGCTGGTTTCGAACTCTTGACCTCAGATGATCTGCCTGCCTCGGCCTCCCAAAGTGCTGGGATTACAGGCATGAGCCACTGCGCCTGGCCTGAGCAAACTTTTTTTAATAAAATTTTTTTTTTTTTTTTTGAGCCGGAGTCTCACTCTGTTGATCAGGCTGGAGTGCTGTGGCATGATCTTGGCTCACTGCAACCTCTGCCTCCCGGGTTCAAGTGATTCTCCTGCCTCAGCCTCCAGAGTAGCCGAAACTACAGGCGTGGGCCACCATGCCTGACTAATTTTTGTATTTTTAGTAGAGATGGCGTTTTGCCATGTTGGCCAGGCTTCTATCAAAAAATTATATCTCTCCCGAGAGGAGTATATGACTCCATCTAAGTCATTATACTCCTGTTGACATGTTGATGGTACAAAATGGATAATAATAACCTTTACCAATTATTAAAACTTAGAGGCCCTAACCCTAACCCTAAACTGAACTCTAACTTTGCCAATTTTTCCAATAAGGAGACTACAGCTAAAAGATATTAACTAATATCCCAGGGGCACATACATAGTCAAGTAAATTTTAAGTTTTACTTAAATTTTCTCTAGGTCTGTCTGACACCAGAGCTCATGCTCTAAACTGCTATATCTAACTATTTCTACCAACTCCGCTCTAAAATAAATGCAAGGAGGCCTCTCTTAACCACAGTAGATGTACTGTAAATAACATATATAACTTCTATCTGTGTAGCCTTCTGTAAGCCACTTGGCCTCCCTCAGAGTCTGTTTTCCCATCTATTAAATAAGGGAGCTGAACTAAGTCATCTGTTAAATATCTTCTAGCCACAAAATACTATGATTCTGTGATAGATTAACTTTGGCTACTTTAACATAATTTGACTCCTACAAATCAATGATGTGGTCAATAAACATGCATTGATTACCTTTTCTCTGGATCAGGCAAAATCTACAAAACACCATGCCACAAATAATTTTTACTTAATAATTTAATTATATGTGTTTTTCTTTTCTTTTCTTTTCTTTTTTTTTTTTTTTTTTTTTTTTTTTTTGAGACGGAGTCTCGCTCTGTCGCCCAGGCTGGACTGCAGTGGCGGGATCTCGGCTCACTGCAAGCTCCGCCTCCCGGGTTAACGCCATTCTCCTGCCTCAGCCTCCCAAGTAGCTGGGACTACAGGCGCCCGCCCCTACGCCCGGCTAATTTTTTGTATTTTTAGTAGAGACGGGGTTTCACCGTTTTAGCCGGGATGGTCTCGATCTCCTGACCTCGTGATCCGCCCGCCTCGGCCTCCCAAAGTGCTGGGACTACAGGCGTGAGCCACCGCGCCCGGCCTCTTTTTTTTTTTTTTTGAGACAGAGTTTCGATCTTGTTGCCCAGGCTGGAGTGCAATGACGCAATTTCAGCTCACCGCAACCTCTGCCTCCCTCATTCAAGCGATTCTCCTGCCTCTGCCTCCCTAGTAGCTGGGATTACAGGCATGCGCCACTACGCCCGGCTATTTTTATATTTTTAGTAGAGACAGGATTTCTCCATGTTGGTCAGGCTGGTCTCGAACTCCCAACCTCAGGTGATCTGCTCGCCTCAGCCTCCCAAAGTTCTGGGATTACAGGCGTGAGATACCGCGGCTGGCCAATTATATGTTTTGATATAGAATGCAAACAATCTAGATATCTTGGCCTGGCATAGAATCTCAGGTCGAAACTCCAATGCCTGCAGAGCCAGGAGGGAAATTTAAATAGGCGAAGTGGAAACGGGTGTTTGGACATGGCTCTGTGTCAACTCAAAACAGCCATTTTAGGGCCAGGCACGGTGGCTCATGCCTGTAATCTCAGCACTTTGGGAGGCCAAGGCGGGTGGATCACTTGAAGTCAGGTGTTCAAGACCAGCCTGGCCAACATGATGAAACCCCATCTCTACTAAAAATGCAAAACAAAATAAAAAACCAGAACAGAAAAGAAAATTAGCTGGGCATGGTGGCACGCACCTGTAATCTCAGCTACTCAGGAGGCTAAGGCACAAGAATTGCTTGAACCTGGGAGACCGAGGCTGCAGTGAGCTGAGACCATGCCACTGCACTCCAGCCTGGGCGACAGAGCAAGACTCTGTCACAAAAACAAAAACAAAAACAAAAAAACAGCCATTTTAGTACATTGAAAAGCTGTGTTCCATTGTAACCTAAATGTGTTATGTGTTTTAACTGAAAAATGCAGATGTGCCATCATTGATTCTGGTGATATTATTGAAAAAATTAGGTAAGATGGACTCCCTTAAAGAATCTAAAATGACCACTTATCGCCTCACTCCTTACTCATGTGTCCGTACTTATTGCCTCCATAGCACCCACCTCAACTACCAGCATCAGAAAACAAGTTCTGACCGGGTGCAGTGGCTCACACCTGTAAGAGTGGCTCACACTTTGGGAGGCCAAGGTGGGTGGATCATTTCAGGTTGGAAGTTTGAGACCAGCCTGGCCAATATGGTGAAACCCTGTCTCTACTAAAAATACAAAAATTAGCCAGGCGTGGTGGTGGGTGCCTGTAATCCCAGTTCCTTGGGAGGCTGAGGCAGGAGAATCACTTGAACCGGGGAGGTGGAGGTTGCAGTGAGCCAAGATCACCACTGCACTCCAGCCTGGGCAACAGAGCCAGACTCTCTCAAAAAAAAAAAAAAAAGAAAAAAAGAAAGAAAAGAAAACAAGTTCCATGAGGGCAAGATCTGTCTGTCTGTTCACACCTATGCCCATGGCTCCTAGCACTGTGCCTATTGTATAATAAGTTATCCACAAATATTTATTAAATGAATAACTGAATAAATTTCAAGATTGAGGATAAATTTGAGTTTTAAGAAACCCGTATCCGTTCTCAATTGACATCTTAAAATGTAACTCAAGACATGGACTCCAGCCCTTAATTGGTCCCTAACACAAGTTACGTTACCCTCTGGACCTCGATTGTCTCAACCATAATGCAAGGGGGGAATTAATAAAAGACCCCCTTCAGGTCCCCAAATCTCTGATCCTCTGAACTCTACTAGTTGTGTAGAATATAGAAAACATTTGATTTAATAGACATTTGACCTGAATATCTTGACCTTGTGTAGACCAGAGTTTAAATTCAAGTGCTTGCTGAGCCAGGCAGGAAACATAAATAAGTGAAGTGGGTTGGGTGGTGAATTGCCTTAAGCTGTTTGCAATTACAAAGGCCAAACTGAAAAATATCAAAATAAAAAAGAATGCAAATGAAATAAAACCACAAAAGGAGGAACATCTGACTAGTTGTTTGGAATCACAATCTCTTGTGGGGTCAAGTATTGTTCCTAGGCCTCATGTTATATAAATGTGATTAATGTTAAGCAATTGAAGAAGGATAAATCATTAGCTTGCAGAGATCAAGATGATAAGACTCCTGATCTCTGACCCTGCATTAATCTCTTGACCAGACTCCTGCTATCCTGGTCCAAACCATCATCTTTATGAGCGTGGCGGTTGATGTACCAAATTTGCAAACTATGGGCATGTTTGCTGTAGTGAGATAATGTGGCCACATTCCATCTTGACCGGTGTGGTGTGAAGTGGAGGACTGTAGCCCAGGGACAAAGGCATGAGAAACCCATTCGACTGTGTGAGTGAAGCCCACCACCCAGGATCCAAAGGCAGTAGTGGTCCGGTGGGTCAGAGATGGAGCAACTGCTCTCAGGAAGCCCTCAGCCAAGCACAGGAACAAGGGCCCACACGCATTCTGCAGGCCTGCCACACTAGTCTGAGCACAGAATGCTGTGCTTCCTCCTGTTGCTGGAGCTCGTGGACAGCTTTGACCCTCTATGACCATCTGCCTGGTCACCAAATTCCAAAGCCATGAAATGTTTTGGATTCCCCCATCTTCCCTAGTTTTCAGTCATTCTTCAAGTCTTGCAAAGCATTCTTCTAGCTGCCCTCCACACCCATCCCTGCCTTTTCACTTTCAGAGCTCCCATGTGAGTTCGTGCTCTGTCAACTCCCTGTTGTTATAGCAGTCCCCTGATCCCCTCAGCTCCTGTATTCTTCAATTCTGGTCTTTCCTGCAAACTGCCAAGCCTTCTGAATTTCCATGGCATGAAGAACACATTGACATTTAAAGCCTTCCACCATGTGGCTTCCAATGATTTCGCCCATGAGTCTTGCACTCCCATGGAATTGCTCAACCAAGTGTTGCCCAAATGTGCCTTGTTGAGTTTTGTTCCCACACCTTTGTTTGTGCTGTCCCACCCAGAGAGGACACCCTTCTACCGCCTCCTCACCAATCCAAATGGTGCCAGTGTTTTTAAAAGCCTGTTCAGGTTCTACTTCCTCCCTGAAGCCTTGCTCAACAACTTTGCCCATATTATTGCTTCCTTCTTTAAACTCTGACAAAACATTAGCTCTACCGCATACTTCACATTTAGAGGTACATGATATCGGGTTCCAGATCTGTTTTGTTGATGTCTATGTTCTGCTCCTCAATCCAAATACAATGTCTAGGGAGCAATGAGTTAGCAACTAGGGTAGTAGTTTCTTAAAACAAATGCTCAGTAAATACTGTTGAATGTGATAAGCCCATCTAAGACAGTCAATGGAAGAAGACTCTTTTATCTCATAGATACAAAGAACTGAATTCAAAATTACTATTTGCAAGACGGTATTATATCCTATGATACCAGCCAGGGGCCATTTCCTAAAGCCTCACTAAAGCAATTTGAGAAGCAAGCTTTCACTTCCCTAGAGATAAAGTATTTTTGCTACTTTTGGTCATGCAACTTGAGAGATGAGAAAAACAACTTCCCTGCCTAATAGGAAACAAGCATTTTGAGAATTTCTTTTGTATCTTAGGAAGAACTAATGACTTTAGCACAAACTGCTAAAGTGATCCATGGAAAGCCATATGCAAATTATTATAAACCAAAAAGGAATCAGAGACAAACCCATATTTTATATTTTAGTTCTCTATCTTCATCAGAGGTGATTTTAACATTTCAACCTGAGAAAACTGATTTTTTTATAAAAAGAAAAAAAGTTTTAAAAAATTTATGCATACGTGAATATATTTATTTTGTTGAAGAAATGTTCTTTTTTTGTTTTTAGAGATGGAGTCTTGCTCTGTCACCCAGGCTAGAGTGCAGTGGCGCGATCTCAACTCACTGCAACCTCCGCCTCCTGGGTTCAAGCGATTCTCCTGCCTCATCCTCCCAAGTAGCTGGGATTACAGACATGCACCACCACGCCTGGCTAATTTTGTATTTTTAGTAGAGACGTAGTTTCTCCATGTTGGTCAGGCTGGTCTCGAACTCCCAGCCTCAGGTGATCCACCTGCCTCAGCCTCCCAAAGTGCTGGGATTACAGGCGTGAGCCACCACGCCTGGCCTAATTTTTATATTTTTAGTAGAGACGGGGTTTTGCCATTTTGGCCAGGCTGGTCTGGAACTCCTGACCTCAGGTGATCCGCCCACCTCGGCCTCCCACAGTGCTGGGATTACAGGCATGAGCCACCGCGCGCATGTGCTCACTGCCTGGAGTAATATTCTTTAAATAAGGATGAACTAGAATGGAGACAGAGGACCATAACTGCTTTTTTTCCCTACCAATTCCACCACAATTCAACTTTCCATTAACTGGAAACAATTCATGGAATTCAGACTACATCTTATTTCTGACATCAGTAGAACTATTAATAACTTACTCTCGGCCAGGCGCCGTGGCTCATGCCTGTAATCCCAGCACTTTAGGAGGCTGAGGTGAGCAGATCTCTTGAGGTCAGGTGTTCGAGACCAGCCTGGCCAACATGGTGAAACCCTGTCTCTACTAAACATACAAAAATTAGCCAGGCATGGTGGCAGGCGCCTATAATCCCAGCTACTCAGGAGGCTGAGGCACGAGAATTGCTTGAACCCAGGAGGCGGAGGTTGTAGTCAGCCAGCCACTGTACTCCAGCCTGGGCAACAAAGCTCTCTCAAAAAAAAAAAAAGAAAGAAAGAAAGAAAACTTACTCTCATGTTTATTTTCCAGATTCTCTGCAAAACTTCTGGACAACTGACATCTCCCTAAATGTGATATTCTCATACACCCCCATCTTCTGATGTTTAAATTGTAACCTATGACAATACTTCTAGATGTCAAAACAATAGTGATTAAACATTCAACGGTTACCTTCTAAATATGATCTTTCTTCCACTTACCTAACCCAATACTTTCAAGTCTATCAGACAAGAAAAATCTCTTTCTACCTCCTAGGACTCATAGAAAATAAGTTGAAAAATAGTAAGACTTCTGTTAGAAAAATAATTTTTAAAGATGTCCCCCCACCCAAAACTTCTAGAAGCCATGAGGATTTAAACAAGTGAAGCCAAGGTCCACTGATTTTTAGGGGGCTTACAGTTTGAAATGGTATCTTTTAAATTCAAATTTTATTCAAATTATTCTGTCTGCAGAATACTGCACATATTCTGTTTTTCAGAATGTACATGCTGTCATTTATTAAATAACTAAACTTTAATTACTTTCATTAATTTTTTTTTTTTTTGAGACAGCGTATCCCTCTGTCACCCAGGCTAGAGTACGGTGACTCACTGCAACATCCGCCTCCCAGGTTCAAGGGATTCTCCTGCCTCAGCCTCCTGAGTAGCTGGGATTATAGGCATGCGCCACCACACCCAGCTAATTTTTGTATATTTAGTAGAGACGGGGTTTCACCATGCTGGCTAGGCTGGTCTCGAACGCCTGACCTCAGTTGATCCGCCTGCCTCGGCCTCCCAAATTGCTGAGATTACAGGCGTGAGCCTTAATTTTAATAAACATAATTATTGTTGAAATTGTTAGTTGTGATAATGGCATGGTGGTTAGGCAAAAAAAAGTTGTCAGAAACACATTCTGAAGAAATTATAAACCTTGAGTGGTGGCTAACACCTAATCTTAGCACTTTAGGAGGCCGAGGTGGGAGGATTGCTTGAAGCTGGGAGTTTGAAACCAGCCTGGGAAAACAAGTGAGACCCCGTCTCTACAAAAAAAAAAATTTTTTTTAATAACTTACAGATAATTGTTATGATGTCTGAGACTTGATTTAAAATATTCCAGCCAAAAAGTAAGGCAAGATAGGTAAAAATAAGATTAGCAAAATATTGATAATTGTTAAAGTTGGTTGATAGGTACATAGAGGTTTATTATACAGTTTACTGTTGTGTATGCTTTAAGCTTTCTATAATAAAATATTTTAAAATTGCATACTGTTATTTTGCTGTTCTTATTATATCACGTTTTTGCCCCTCCTCAATCATACTCCCATGGCATATATCCTATTGGAGAAATTCTCCTTGAATCCTTATTCCAGGGAAAGAAAGAAAGAACCAAAGAGCCCATGTGGATTCAGCCAGGAGCCAAACTCCAGGCGCTGGTCACTTCTTTAGCTTCCAACTTCCTGCTAAGCCACAGGTGTTTCATGAGGACATTTTATTTATTTATTATTTATTTATTTATTTATTTATTTATTTTGAGACAGAGTTTTGCTCTTGTCACCCAGGCTGGAATGCTAAGCCACAGGTGTTTCATGAGGACATTTTATTTATTTATTTATTTATTTATTTTGAGACAGAGTTTTGCTCTTGTCACCCAGGCTGGAATGCAATGGCATGATCTCAGCTCATTGCAACCTCCGTCTCCCAGGTTCAAGTGATTCTTCTGCCTCAGCCTTCAGAGTAGCTAGGATTACAGGTGTGCGCCACCACACCCGGCTAATTTTGTATTTTTAGGAGAGACAGGGTTTCACCATGTTGGCCAGGCTGGTCTCAAACTCCTGACCTCAGGAGATCTGCCTGCCTCAACCTCCCAAAGTGCTGGGATTATAGGCGTGACCCCCCATACCCGGCCAAGACTTTATCTGATAATAAATTTTCTCGCTTCTGCAAAGTACCTAAAGCTATAGGAGTTATAGAGCATTGCCTGTAAACAGTTGCAGTATATATAGTTCAAGGATTTCTATAAACTTGTGCTTAAAATTTACTATATGAGCTCTCCGGGTAATTTGCCGCGGATGCTTTGGTTCTTGAGAACCATAAAGAATGGTGTGATACTTGTATGATAATGACACAGAGAACAAGAATTCTTGAAGACCCTGACTTCATCAGGAGCAGCTTCAACGTGGGGAAGATTTTATTGAACAAATAGTGATAATCATTCACAAGTAAATGAGATCTGTAAGAATGGCATTTGCTTCATACGAAAGCCTCAAGGAAACAAGGTAACTGGAGCTTAATGCAGAAAGAAAGCTCGCATATGGCAATTTTCCCAAATAGGTATATAGTTACTGTAGAAAATCAATTAAAACTTTTTGGCATTAAAAAATATTAAAAGTGGCTAAGTCATAAAGCATTCTTTACTCCCATGGTATGTTAGATTTATAGGTGCTTGGGAACATTTTAATTACTTGTATGTGGAAATAATGCTGGCTGTCCTTCCTGAAAGCTGTCCCTCAAAACCAACTCCTTAGTTTTGTGACTATTATCTAACCCTGGCCTGGGAGCTCCCTGAGGACTAGTTCACTTACTGGAAAGGATGTCTTCTGGGGCAGAGTGACCTCAGTAAAAAGACTTAAAATAAGCTCCTCGAGAGCAGTGAAAGGGAAGAGGGCTGGTTAACTTGGAAATGGAAAGCTAAGGTGAGACATAATAGCTACTTTCAAATATTTGAGATATTATTTCATAAAAGAGAGAGTAGACCTGTTCTTTGTAATTTAAGAGTGAGTTAAAAACAGGAATCACCGGGCGCGGTGGCTCACGCCTGTAATCGCAGCACTTTGGGAGGCTGAAGCGGGTGGATCACGAGGTCAGGAGATCAAGACCAGCCTGGCTAACATGATGAAACCCCGTCTCTATTAAAAATACAAAAAATTAGCCGGGCGTGGTGGCAGGCGCCTGTAGTCCCAGCTACTCGGGAGGCTGAGGCAGGAGAATGGCGTGAACCCGGGAGGCGGAGCTCGCAGTGAGCCGAGATCGCACCACTGCACTCCAGCCTGGGCGACAGAGAGAGACTCCGTCCCCCCCAAAAAAAACAAAAAACAAAAAACAAAAAAACAGGAACCAAAGTTTCAAGGACCCAGATTTCAATTCAACCTGTGAAGAGCTTTCTAACAATTGAAGTAGTACTTCAGTGGAGTAGATAAATCCTGAGAAGGGATTCATACTGAGGCTGCTTAGTCAGGTAGGAGGGATTTTTTTTTTTTTTTTTTTTTTTCCTTGTAGACGGAATCTCGCTCTCTCGCCAGGCTGGAGTGCAGTGGAGCCATCTCGGCTCACTGCAACCTCAGTCTCCCGGGTTCAAGTGATTCAGTAGGAGGGATATTTTACAGTGCTGCTCAAAATGTAGTCCAGGAAATGTTACTGCTCCACACATTCTTTTTCTTGTTCTTCTTCTTTCTTTTATTTTCTTTTTAATTTATTTTACGTGCAAAGAGCTAGCATGGTTTCTTTCACTGGGTGGATGATTTTGGTAATCTATTCAAGGAAGATCACTTAGCCCAACGTAATGAAGTCTACCTCTTACTTTGCATACTGATGGAAAAATTGGCTGCACATAATCTGGGTCAAACCATGCTGGTTGGAGCAGAAGCAACAAGAGCGAGAACCCTGGCCAAATTTTCACTAATGGCTCTTGTAGAGCTGCTATTGATGCATCTTGCTTTCAGGATTTCAATGAGGCAAAGAGGCAAGAGGCCTGTCCTTTTTTCTTGAGATTTAAATTTTAATGGCATTTTTTCCTTCAGTCTTACATCTACAATCATGTTTCCTATAAATGAAAAATGTATTACAATTACAAAAAAAAATTCCACTTATAAAATATAGACCACTTACATATTTATGTATCAAATGTCTTCTGTTCCTTTCTGATATACTGACAAAATAGGATGGCAATCTATTCTAGATTTTGTGTTATTGTGGAAAGAACACATAACATGAGATCTATCCTTTTAACAATTTTTTTTTTTTTTTGAGACAGAGTCTCCCTGTCGCCCAGGCTGGAGTGCAGTGGCACAATCTTGGCTCACTGCAACCTCTGCCTCCCAGGTTCAAGCGATTCTCCTGCCTCAGGCTCCTGAGTAGCTGGGATTACAGGCGTGTGCCCCCACACCTGGCTAATTTTTGTATTCTTAGTAGAGACGGGGTTTCACCATGTTGGCCAGGCTGGTCTCAAACTCCTGACCTCAGGCGACCCACCCGCCTCAGTCTCCCAAAGTGTGGGATTACAGGCGTGAGCCACCATGCCTGGCCCTTTTAAAATTTTTTTTTTTTTTTTTTTTTTTGAGACGGAGTCTTGCTCTGTCGCCCAGGCAGGAGTGCCGTGACACAATCTCGGCTCACCTCAACTTCTACCTCCCAGATTTTGCCTCAGCCTCCCGAGTAGCTGGGATTATAGGTGCCCGCCACCATGCCCGGCTAATTTTTGTATTTTTAATAGAGATGGGGTTTCACCATGTTTGCCAGGCTGGTCTCGAACTCCTGACCTCGTGATCCACCCGCCTCGGCCTCCCAAAGTGCTGGGATTACAGGTGTGAGCCACTGCACCTGGCCTTAACAATTTTTCAAGTGCACAATATAGTAATGTTCTCTAGGCACCATGTTGTACAGCAGATCTCTAGAAATTAGTCGTCTTGCCTAAATTAAATTTTATACCCATTGAATAGCAACTCAAGCATTTTCCCATTTGCCCCTCCCTGCAGCCCCTGGAAACCACCATTCTATTCTCTGCTTCTATGTGTTTAGCTATTTTACATACCTTATGTAAGCGGAATCGTGCAATATTTGTTCTTCTGTGACTGGCTAATTTCACTTAGCATAACATCTTCCAGTTTCATCCACGTTGTCACATATGGTATGATTTCTTTCTGAGGCCAAATAATATTCCATTGTATGTATTTACCACATTTCTTTATCAATTTATCCGTCAGTAGACATTTAGGTTGCTTCCTCATCTTGGCTGTTGTGAATAAAGTTGTAATGAACATGGAAGTGAAAATACCTCTTTGAGATCCCAATTTCTCTGATTTCCACATATTCTTTGATACTGGTCCACAAGAGAAGGAGCTTGTACCAGATGGTAAATTCATGCACTGCTTCCTTCGTCAATAGAGCTTCACAGGCCTGGCACGGTGGCTCATGCCTGTAATCCCAGCACTTTGGGAGGCCAATGTGGGCGGATTACCTGAGGTCAGAAGTTCAAGACCAGTCTGACCAACATGGCAAAACCCCATCTCTACTAAAAATACAAAAATTAGCCAGGCGTGGTGGAGCACGTCTGTAATCCCAGCTACTATTGAGGCTGAAGCAGGAGAATCACTTGAACCCAGGAGGCAGAGGTTGCAGTGAGCCGAGATGACACCATTGCACTCTAGCCTGGGCAACAAAGCGAGACTCCATCTCAACAAAGAAAAACAAAAGCCTTGTTATAAAGAGAAAATGTCGGTGAAACTAAACAATGACCTTAGTGTCATTCTTGAGTATTTTGATTATTGTTGCAATGGAAGGAATTTATCCACTAAGTAGTTGATGAAACTATAGAATATTTGCAGTAATCAAATGATCACATTACAAAATATATATAAATGGAAAAGCAGTTTTAACACTAAGATCTATATTTAACTTCATGAGAATATATTTGATTGTTTGTTTGTTTGTTTTTTTGAGACAGAGGCTCGCTTTGTCGTCCAGGCTAGAGTGCAGTGGCACGATCTCAGCTCACTGCGGCCTCTGCCTCCCGGGTTCAAGCGATTCTCCTGCCTCAGGTTCCTGAGTAGCTGGGATTACAGGCATGCGCTGCCATGCCTGACTAATTTTTGTATTTTTAGTAGAGACGGGATTTCAGCATGTTGGCCAGGTTGGTCTCGAACTCCTGACCTCAGCTGATCCGCCCGCCTCGGCCTCCCAAAGTGCTGGGATTACAGGGGTGAGCCACCACGCCTGGCCTGAGAATATATTTGAAAGCTAATATCACAGTAGTATAAAGCTGTCAAAAACATGGATCACTGCTGCTCTGTGGAACTTGTTATATGAAATCTATTAATTGTATCTGAGTACAACCACTATGGAAAACAGTATGCAGATTCCTTAAAGAACTAAAAGTAGATTTACCATTTGACCCAGCAATTCCACTACTGTGTATCTATCGAGAGGAAAAGAAATCATATACGAAAAAAACACGTGTGTGTGTATATATATATACACACACATACATGTATGTATATGCATATATACACATACATGTATGCGTATGCATACACACATACATATATATACATGCGTGTATGTGTGTATATGTATGTGTGTGTGTATATCTATATATACACATATATATGTGTATATATATATATACGCATACATGGAATACTACCCAGCCAAAAAAGAACAAAATAATAGCATTTGCAGCAACCTGGATGGAATTGGAGACCATTATTCTAAGTGAAGTAACTCAGGAATGGAAAACCAAATATCATATGTTCTCACTCATAAGTGGGAGCTAAGCCATGAGGACGCAAAGGCATAAAGAGGATACAATGGACTCTGGGGACTCAAGGGGAAGGGTGACAGTGGGGCAAGAGATAAAAGACTACACACTGGGTACAGTGTACACTGCTTGGGTGTTGGGTGCACCAAAATCTCGGAGATTACCACTAAAGAACTTATCCATGTAACCATACACCATCTGTTCCCCAAAAATCTATTGAAATTTTTTTAAAAATGAAAAAATACCTGACAGAAAATGCTCAATAAATATTATTTATCATTAAAAACATGTATCTGCACTAAGAAGAGCCTCTAAGTGGACTAAATAATACATATTGCATATGTACATGTGCTGCTATTTGAGAATATAAAGATCCTGTTATGATTATAAAATAAGAATGCAGGCCAGGTGCGGTGGTTCACGCTTATAATCCCAGCACTTTGAGAGGCCGAGGTGGGCGGATCATTTGAGGTCAGGAGTTCGAGACCAGCCTGGGCAACATGGTGAAACCCCGTCTCTGCTAAAAATGCAAAAATTAGCCAGGCGTGGTGGCACACGCCTATAATCCCAGCTACTCAGGAGGCTGAGGCAGGAGAATCGCTTGAACCCAGGAGGCAGAAGTTGCAGTGAGCTGAGATTGCACCACTGCACTCCAACCTGAGCAACAGAATAAGACTGTCTCAAACAAACAAAAAAAGCATTTAAAGTGCTACTGAATTAAAAGTAGCTTTTAATTAATATGTATTTTCCCAAGCAATATGTACTAAAAGTATCATTTCTGTTATGTGGAGATTCAAACACTTTTTATGTATTGAGTGTCTACACTGATAAATTTGCTAATAATCCAGGGCCTCTTCATACGGCTGTGCAGTTTGTGCACTGCACATAGCACTGGGTGAGCTCCAGCGCCCATGTGCTAACCCAGCCATCAGCCCAGTGAAACTGCTTCATGTGTAAGGGGACCAACTGTCCCGGTTTGCCCAGGACTAAAAGGCTTCCCAGGATATGGGACTTTCAGTGCTATACCCAGCACGGTCCTGAGAAAACCACCCTAATTAGAGCACAGACATGCCATATGTACTAGTTTCAGCCTTGGAATCCTTTCTCTAGAACTATAAGCCTAAAATAGCTGAAATGATGAAGCCATTTTTATATCACTTCTTTTCTCTTTATGTTTTAAAGGTGAGAGAGCCATGTAATCATGCCAACATCCTGACCAAGCCCGATCCAAGAACCTTCTGGACTAATGATGATCCAGGTATTATTGGAAAAATACAACCTGTTTCCTGTTATGTACAGGATACATTCTGTAGTAAAGCTCTACACAAAGGCAAGGTTTGGGGGGAAATATTTTTTTGTTTGTTTGTTTTTTGTTTTTTGTTTTTCTTGAGACAGAGTCTTGCTCTGTTGCCCAGGTTGGAGGGCAGTGGCGCAATCTCAGCTCACTGCAAGCTCCGCCTCCCAGGTTCACGCCATTCTCCTGCCTCAGCCTCCCGAGTAGCTGGGACTGTAGGCGCCCGCCACCATGCCCAGCTAATTTTTTTGTATTTTTAGTAGAGATGGTGTTTCACCGTGTCAGCCAGGATGGTCTCGATCTCCTGACCTTGTGATTCGCCCGCCTCGGCCTCCCAAAGTGCTGGGATTACAGGCGTGAGCCACCGCGCCCGGCCTTGTTTATTTATTCTTACCTAACCCAACACTCGAATACACTGCAATTAATTTTTTTTTTGTTTTTTTTTTTTTTCTGGAGACGGAGTCTTGCTCTGTCGCCCAGGCTGGAGTGCGGTGGTACGATCTCGGCTCACTGCAACCTCCACCTCCAGGGTTCAAGCGATTCTCCTGCTTCAGCCCCCCAAGTAGCTGGGACTACAGGCATGAGCCACCATGCCTGGATAATTTTTGTATTTTTAATGGAGACAGGGTTTCACCATGTTAGCCAGGCTGGTCTCGAACTCCTGACCTCAGGCAATCTGCTGAGCTCGGCTTCCCAAAGTGCTAGGATTACAGGTGTGAGCCACCATACCTAGCCTTGCAATCAATTTTACCCTAAAAGTCCTTTTGTTATGTCTTCTTTTCAGTATCTAAAACGTATATACTAGATCCCTTTGTCGTTTATAAGTGTGATGATTGGGTTTTCATGTTCCTGTGTGAGATATGCCTCCTTCAAGCCTTGTTATGATGTCTGCACATTACCTGCCTGTCATTTAAAAAAAAAAAAAAAAAAAAAAAATATATATATATATATATATATATATATATATATATATATATATATCATCAGGTACAGCTTTGTGGATTGTGAAGCATATTTAAGTGTTGGGAGGAATGAGGAATGAGTCTATTTGCTGGAGTAGAAGACAGAGGAGTTGAATAAAGTGGGCAAACACATGAGTCCAAGTTTGTTTTCTAGGGCAAGGAAGAGATTTGAAAACCTAGGGTGAATCATACTTCAGAATACTTATGGGAGGGCATGTATACTTGCACTATGATATTAGGGCTGTACATCTAATCAGAATCAGAAGAATGCCACTTTATGAGATCGGAGAATATGCTTCAGGTTATATGATTAGAAATTACGCTTAGACAAAGAGTAGGGTATGTTCTCATAGCAAATAGAAGACATTTAAAAATTCTTTTTCACAAACACACATGAGCCGTGAGGCCTAATTGCACAAAGTAGACACTAGAAATAAAAGGGAAGGTGAAGCAAAAAGGAGCTAAAACAATTAAGAGAGTGATAATAGAGCTTTCACCTTTTCTAATGAAATAGGTCTAATGAAATAGAAAACTCACGCTGATATCTGATATTTGTATTATGCCTCACGCTTTTACAAGGAGTATTCACAGAAATCTAATGTAGTGTTTGCCGCAATCCCTTGAAATAGGAGAGACAGCCCTTTCCTTGTTATGCCTCTATTAGAAATGAAATAATAAGCTGAATAGGTTAGCTGACATATCCAAAGCTCGCAGCCAGAAAATACCAAGGCTAGGAGAATGGAGAGTGGACTGCCCAGTTCTATAGCACGCTTCTTAGGAAGAAGCAGCTCTCCTAGCAGAAACAGCTTGGGCTAAATCTGTGCTATAATCTGTTCTTCATAAAAGGGAGTCAGAGGCTGTGCCTATTAGCAGAAACAGGAGGACTTGAGAAGGAAAGTGAGAAACTTTCTGATGGCTTTTTTTTTTTTCAAAGACCAGACTTACGGTCTAAACATTATCAATTTCATCTGTCAAAAAATTGTTTTCTGTCTTGTTTTATTATATCTTTTGAAGAAAGAAGAAAAAACATAAAAGTGAATTAGCCTATTTATGCCATCATTTCAGTCCATCAGCAGTATACCACCACAATAAACAAGCCATCTGCTGGCTAATACTGCTAGTAAGATCTACAGCACATGTGTTATGAAGAAGCAATGTAGAATGAAACATTACCAAAGGAACATAAATGATTCTTGATGTTATGTAAAGAAAATGGAAAGGGAGGGAAATCTGTACAGGACAGGTCTAGAAAATGGTGCTTGACCAGCAGCCCTCAGGACTGCTCTATCTGTGAAGCAGCTATTCTTTATTCCTTTACTTTCTTAATAAACTTGCTTTCACTGAAAGAGAGAAAGAGAGAAACAGAGAAAGAAAGAAAGAAAGAAAAAGAAAGAAAGAAAGAAAAGGAGGGAGGGAGGGAAGGAAGGAAGGAAGAAAGAAAAGAAAGAAAGAAAAAGAAAATGTTGCTTGGACAATTTTTGAAGCCTAAATAAATTATGTTACGGGCTGGGTGTGGTGGCTCATGCCTGCAATCCCAGCACTTTGGGGGGCCAAGGTGGGTGGATCACCTGAGGTCAGGAGTTAGAGACCAGCCTGGCCAACATGGTGAAACCCCTTCTCTACTAAAAATACACAAATTAGCCGGGAGGTGTGGCACGTGCCTGTAATCCCAGCTACTTGGGAGACTGAGGCGGGAGAATCACTTGAACCCAGGAAGCAGAGGTTGCAGTAAGCCAAGATTGTGCCATTGCATTCCAGCCTGGGCAAAAAGAGTGAAATTCCATCTCAAAAAAAAAAAAAAAAGTTACAAGAAAAACTAATGCAGAACACATAGAGAAATAGGAATAGAAATATTTCAGACTTACTCTTTTTTTTTTTTTTTTTTCCTGAGATGGAGTCTTGCTCTGTCGCCCAGGCTGGAGTGCAGTGGTGCAATAGACATACTCATTTTTAAAACGTTTTTATTACTTTTCCTTCATCAGTAGTGTTACAAAGAATGGAGTGTCCCTCCTACAAGAGCTCATCTCATGAAGATCCTTCCCAGTCACCAACTTAACCAACTCATAAAGTAGGATCTATGTCTAGAGTAATTATTTATTTATTTATTTATTTATTTATTTATTTATTTATTTATTTTTTGCCTAGTTGGTCAGTCCATTACTAAGAGTGTTTTAAAATCTCCACCTCTAGTGGTAGAATTGTCTTTTGGTTCTTTTAATTCAGTCAATTTTTGCTTTATGTATTTTGAACCTCTGTTATTAGGCACATATACTTTTTTTTTTTTTTCTGAGGTGGAGTTTTGCTCTTGTTGCCCAGGCTGGAGTGCAATGGCATGATCTCGGCTCGGCTCACTGCAACCTCTGCCTCCTGGGTTCAAGCAATTCTCCTGCCTCAGCCTCCTGAGTAACTGGGATTACAGGCACATGCCATCACTCCCAGCTAATTCTTGTATTTTTAGTAGAGACGGGGTTTTGCCACGTTGTTCAGGCTGGTCTCTAACTCCTGACCTCAGGTGATCCACCCACCTCAGCCTCCCAAAGTGCTGGGATTACAGGCATGAGCCACCGTGCCCAACCACACACACATCTTTATGATTATTATTATTTCCTAATGAACTGATCATTTTATCATTAGGAAATTTCCTTCTTTATCTCTGGTAAAAGTCTTTGTTTTAAGTCTATTTCTTCTGATAGATACAGCCAGTCCAATCTTCTAAAGCCTACTTTTCACATGGCATATTTTTCTTTCCATTTTCTTTCAACCTGTGTCTTATAGTTAAGGTGCTTATCTTATAGACATCATGTGGTTAGATTTTCCTCTTAAAATCCTATCTAATGATCTCTGTTTTTTTTACTTGTGATGTTTAGCCCCTTTATACTTAATGTAATGACACAGTTAGATTTAACTTTACTGTTTTGCTATTTGTTTTCTATATGTCCCTTCTCTTCTTTGTTTGCTTATTCTTCCTTTCCTGACTTCTCTAGGATTATTTGAATAGGTTTTAGAATTTAATATTAATTTACCTGTTGACTTTCTAGTTATCCTCTTTGCATCACATTTTCAGTGGTGCTCTGAAGATTACAATAAATGACTTTATTTTTATTTTTATTTTTTTGAGACAGAGTCTCACTCTGTTGCCCAGGCTGGGGTGCAGTGGCACAATCTTGGCTCTCTGTGACCTCCACCTTCTGGGTTCAAGTAATTCTCCTGTCTCAGCCTCCCAGGTAGTGGGATTACAGGCACGTGCCACCACGCCTGGCTAATTTTTGTATTTTTAGTAGAGACGGGGTTTCAGTATGTTGGCCAGGCTGGCCTCGATCTCTTGACCTCAAGTGATCTGCCCACCTCGGCCTCCCAAAGAGCTGGCATTACAGGCATGAGCCACTGTACCCAGCTGAGAATAAATGACTTTAAATTTTCATAGACCATCGTCAAAATTTGCAAACAATGTAGGTGCATCTACCCCACTCTACCCTCATCTTTTATATTATAGCTGTCATATGTATTATCTATATATGTACTAAACCCTACAGTACAGTGCATTTTTTAAAAAATAAGGGGAAAATTATCTTTTGTTTTTATCCAGATATTTGCCATTTCTGATGTTCTTCATTTCTTCCTGAAAATCTGTTTCTCTCTGGTATCATTTCCCTTTAGCCTGGAAATTTTCCTTTAGGATTTCTTTTTTTTCATGTTTTTATTATTTTTTTGAGATAGAATCTTGCTCTGCCACCCAGGCTGCAGTGCAGTGGCGAGACCTCAGCTCACTGCAACTTCCACCTCCCGGGTATAAGCAATTCTCCTGTCTCCTGTCTCAGCCTCCCAAGTAGCTGGGATTACAGGTGCATGCCACCATGCCTGGCTAATTGTATTTTTAATAGAGACAGGGTTTCACCATGTTGGCCAGGCTGGTCTTGAACTCCTGACCTCAAGTGATCCACTCACCTCAGCCTCCCAAAGTGCTGGGATTACAGGAGTGAGCCACCGCGCCTGGCCAGGATTTCTTATAAGTCTTCTGGCAGTGAAATATCTTAGTTTTCTTTTATCTACATGATATGTCTTTATAAATGGAAATACCTTTATTTCATTCTTGAAGGATATTTTTGCTAGATATGGAATTCTGCGTGGCTACTTTGTTTTTCTTTCTTTCATAACTTTAAAGATATTGGTTCTTGTCTTCTGGCCTGTAGAGTTTCTGATGAGAAGTCAACAATGTTTACATTATTGCTATGCTGAATGTAACGTGTAGTCTTTTACTGGCTGCTGTAATTTTATTTTTATTTTTATTTTTATTTTTTATCAGTTTGACTATGATGTGCCTAGAGTAGAATCTATATTCTTTAAGATGTAGATCTCTCAGGTTTAGGAAGTTAAATATTCTTCTAGTTCGCTAGTAGTTTTCTCACAGTTTGAAACTAGGTGACGCAATTGTTTCTCCCGTGGTTTCTACACTGCAGCATGCCCTTTCTTCTCCAGCACATCAGCACTTGGAAACTCTTTCTAACTGCCTTGAATTCTGATAAGTGCAAACACAAGCTTGAGCAGCTCCATAGCCATCCATCCACAACACCAAATCTTATGAGCCTGTAAATGGATTCTTTACAAAGGCCATGTTCTAGTCATGGTTGCAGTACGAGTTTTATTACTGTAACTTTTACAAATTCCTGAAATGATTTTAATAATACAAGAAATAATAGGTCGGGTGTGGTGGCTCACACCTGTAATCCCAGCACTTTGGGAGGCTGAGGCAGGTGGATCACCTGAGATCAGGAGTTCAAGACCAGCCTGGCCAACATGGTGAAACCCCGTCTCTACTAAAAATACAAAAATTAGCTAGGCCTGGTGGTGTCTGCCTGTAATCCCAGCTACTCAGGAGGCTGAGGCAGAAGAATTGCTTGAACCCAGGAGGCAGAGGTTGCAATGAGCCGAGATTGGGCCACTGTACTCCAGCCTGGGCAACAGAGCGAGACTCTATCTCCAAAAAAGAAAAAGAAATAAGGCTGGGTGTGGTGGCTCACGCCTGTAATCCCAGCACCTTGGGAGGCCGAGACGGGCGGATCATGAGGTCAGGAGATGGAGACCATCCTGGCTAACACGGTGAAACCCTGTCTCTACTAAAAATACAAAAAATTAGCTGGGCATGGTGACGGGCACCTGTAGTCCCAGTTATGCAGGAGGCTGAGGCAGGAGAATGGCGTGAACCCAGGAGGCAGAGGTTGCAGTGAGCTGAGATCGCGCCACTGCACTCCAGCCTGGGGGACAGAGTGAGACTCCATCTCAAAAAAAAAAAAAGAAGAAAAGAAAAAGAAATAATACAAAAAATGACAATGTTTTTGTCATTTTTTATGGAAAATATATTCCAGTGAATGGAGTATTTTCATTCAAAATCAGTCATCATCAGAGAGTATTTTATTTATTTAATGTAGTGTGTAATCTGTTTTTTGTTTTGTTTTTGAGACAAGGTCTCACTCTGTCACCCAGGCTGGAGTGCAGTGGCATGATCTCAGCTCACTGTAGCCTCAGCCTACTGGGCTCAAGCGATCCTCCTGCCTCAGCCCCACAAGAAGCTGGGACTATAAGCACATGCCACCACACCCAGCTAATTTCTTGTATTCTTGTAGAGACGGGGTTTCTCCATGTTGCCCAGGCTGGTCTTGAACTCCTGAGCCCAAGTGATCCACCTGCCTTGGCCTCCCAAAGTGCTTGGATTACAGGTGTGAGCCAGCATCTGGCCTGATACACAGTTTAAATAGAGTTAAATATTAGGGGTAGTTAGTCCACATTGCTTGATAGAAATAGAAGTTAAATAAAAACATGATTTTGTGAAGAATTAAGGAATTATTCAAGGTAGTTTCATTACGTGAAATCTGGTAGAATTGCCTAGATTTTGACATTCACTCTTTTTGTGTGAGTGCCAGACGACAGGACTAGCGTGCTCAGTTGCTATGTGTAGATAGATACTGGTATACAGTTGGAAAAACAAAAGTCATTTTTTAAGTCTTTCTTTTTTATCATTATAACATAAAAGTGGCATATGCTCATCATAGGGAAAAAATGAAAAATAGAGAAAGGAAGAAAATTGATCACCCGTCATCTTACTGCTCACACTTTTGTTCACAGGGCTTAGAATTTCTCATGCATTCCCAGCATTTGTTCAGACAGTAAGCAAACAGGCTGCACAAGTTTAGGTTCTTTCCTGTTATCTTTGTTTTTAGCCTTTGAAACCTGAGTTGTTTGTTTTTGTACACCTTTGTTTTTCAATCGCTGGTCCTGCAGTGGCCTATAATTTCCTCTTGAATGAGAATTTCAAGGTAGAATGAGTTTCTTCATACTTTCAAAATGTGTGTTTTTCCCCAGTACTATTATTGGCAACACAGATAATGTTCTTTGCTTAGAGAAAACCAGATAATGAAGTGGTTAAACAACAAGATTGATTTGCAAGCCATTATTTTAGCTAGACACTGGTTTTGCCAGGTAAGAAACATAATTCTTTGATGTTCCCCTGGCCTTTTACTTGATGTCCCTTTTTAACAAGACAATTCTACCACTGGGGTTTTTTAAATGTCTAGATTTCTTTCAAACAAAAATTAAAGAGCAAGAATCATTACTGTATAAATTTTTCCCAGAGGAGAAAATTTAATTTTTCCTTATATTTCCAGGATTATGCGTTGTTCATATATATATATATTTTTTTCTACATTTATTTTTCTTTCTTTTTTTAACTTTTGTTTTAGGTTTGGTGGTACATTTGAAGGTTTGTACATAAGTAAACTCTCTTTCTTTTTTTTTTTTTTTTTTTGAGAGAGAGTCTTGCCCTGTCGCCCAGTCTGGAGTGCAGTGACGCAATCTCAGCTCACTGCAACCTCCGCCTTTCAGGTTCAAGCCATTCTTCTGTCTCAGCCTCCTGAGTAGCTGGGATTACAGGCACCCGCCACCACGCCTGGCTAATTTTTGTATTTTTAGTAGAGATCCGGTTTCACCATGTTGGCCAGACTGGCCTAGAACTCCTGAGCTCAAGTGATCTGCCTGCCTTGGCCTCCCAAAGTGCTGAGATTACAGGCGTGAGCCACCATGCCGGGCCAGCATAGGTAAGCTCTTGTCACAGGGGTTTGTTGTGCAGACTGTTTCATCACCCAGGTATTAAGTCCATTATCCAATAGTTATCTTTTCTGCTCCTCTTCACCCTCCCATCCTCTATCATCAAGTAAACCATAGTGTCTGTTGTTTCCGTCTTTGTGTTTCTAAGTTCTCATCATTTAGCTCCTATATGTTTTCTCATAGTTCATCACATTAAAAAAATCAGCTCAAGCTGGGTGTGGTGGCTTGCACGTATGGTCCCAGCTACTAAGGAAGATGAGGCAGAAGGATGGCTTGAGCCCAAGAGTTGGAGGCTGCGGTGAGCCATGATCATGCCATTGCACTCCAGCCTGGGTGACGGAGCGACACCTTGTCTTCAAAATAAGTAAATACAAGAATAAATAAATAAATAAAAATTAGCTCAAATTTCTGGGGACTTAGGAATCACTACTGGTAGCTCATGCCTATAATTCCAGCTACTCAGGAGGCTGAGGCAGGAGGATCACTTGAGGCCAGGAGTAAGACCCTGTTTTCAAAAAAAAAAAAAAAAAAAATAGAAAAAGAGAAAAAGAAGAAAAAAAATCACTATAAAGTGGTATATCCATATTTACTCAGGAGCAGTAATAGTTTATGTACCAAATGTAGAAATAAAATGATTCATAATTTGAAAACATATGGACTACAGAAATATTTTAGTATTTCAGAGAATATATAAAATGATATCATTGGATTAATACAAGCAGAGGAAGGACTTCAGTACATGAATTTTTTAAAGTAAAGAAAACAATTTCTAGATTTTTTCTCTTGAAAAGCAAAATACTCATATTTATAGCTAGAAAACAATTGCTTGTCTGCCGAAGTATGGCATTATCTAACAAAAGAGAAAAATGTGATAAAAGTTAAACATCATCTGCTTACACAAGAATTTTCCATCTGATACATGTTGGCCAGTATATTCATGGTAGACTTTGCCTCCTGATATTACAGATAAATTATCTAGTAAAAATCTGTGGACACATGAAAATCCTGTGGGTTGACTAACCTTGTTTACTCAGGTCATAACTACAAAGCGGTAGCTATCTCAGTAATAAAATCGTCTTACACACAGTGAAGAATTCCAAAGTCTCATAGTGTCATCAGTGGGAGCAGAGATGAAGCTAGGATTTGAAAAGAACAAGGACACAGTCATAAGAACCTAAATTATCCTTTGGCCTATATCTTGTATACCCTCCACCTCATTAAACAAAAATTCTGTGCAAAGATTGGCTTCCCTAGAGGCCACTTATGTTTCTTGTGGATGTTCACCCATAAATTTGGTCCCCCTGTTAACTGACATTTGGACTATTTTTGCTATTTTATTTTATTTTATTTTATTTTATATTTTATTTTATTTTATTTTATATTTTATTTTATTTTAATTTAATTTTATTTTATTTTATTTTATTTTATTCTTTGAGATGGAGTCTTGCTTTGTCGCCCAGGCAGTGCTCTCAGTGGCGCGATCTCAGTTCACTGCAACCTCCACCTCCCGGGTTCAAGTGATTCTCCTGCCTCTGCCTCCCAAGTAGCTGATATTACGGGCATCCGCCACCATGCCTGGCTAATTTTTGTATTTTTAGTAGAGATTAAGTTTCACCATGTTGGCCAGGCTGGTCTCAAACTCCTGACCTCAAGTGATCCACTGGCTTCAGCCTCCCAAAGTGCTGGGATTACAGGTGTGAACCACCACGCCCGGCCTACTTTTGCTTTTTATGTGTTGAAGCTTGATAAATAATGACCTCAACATAACAATAGCTGCTGATATTCTTGACCTATTAACTGAACTACAGATGGCTGGTCATAACTTTTTATGCCATCAAATGAAGGGCCCCCTTAAGACAATAAAAACATAACACCTTTGGGTAGACAGAAATGAGAAAAAAAATGTACAGACAAGTAGTACCACATCTCAAGTTAGAGTCTCCAACTTGCCAGCTATCTTCCACTACTCCCCAAAATAATTTCCTGTACATTAGGGTTTTTGTTGCTGTTGCTGTTGTTGGTTGTTTGAGACAGGGTCTTATTTTGTCACCCAGGCTGGAGTGCGGTAGTGCGATCACGGCTTACTGTGGCCTTGACCTCCCAGGTTCAAGCGATCCTCTTATCTCAGCCCCCCAAGTAGCTGGGACTACAGGCATAAGCTACCACGCCCAGCTAATTTTTTTGTTTTTTGTAGAGATGGGGTTTCACCATGTTGTCCAGGCTGGTCCCAAACTCCTAAGCTCAAGTGATCTGTCCGCCTCAGCCTCCTGAAGTGCTGGGATTATAGGCGTGAGTCACTGCACCCAGCCTTATACATTCAGTTTTTAACAAACTTTCTTGTCCATGGTATATGCACAATCAAATGTGTTGAAAAAATGAATACAATTAACACTGCCCAAAATTAAGGTAGATAGAGATTCATTCTGAAAGTCTTTTTGAAGACTTAATCCATCAGAAAGAGACCCACTCACTCTGTCACTCATACGTGGTTTTTGGCATCCCGTACTTCAACTCGAAGTTTTAAAAATCAATTTCTCTATCTTAGAACAGGTAACCACAATCATTCTCAGCTTCCTGAACCACATCTCTTTTAGTCAACTGACCTCACATCAGAGTTGGCCAGCAGGCCATGCACAGAGCAGCAGGAAACTGCCCGGTAGTGTACAATCTGTTGTGGTTGTGTCGTGAATTCTTGAGTCAGGCCTTCTGAGTTTGCCACAGATTTCAATGCTTACTACCTGTGTGACTTTGGGCAAATTATTATTATTTTATTATTATTATTTTAATTTTTTTTAGGGTAAATTATTATTTTTTCTTTGTTTTCTTTGTTTGAGACAGAGTCTCACTCTGTTGCCCAGGCTGGACTTGAACTCCTGGGCTCAAGTGATCCTCTTGGCCAGGCACGGTGGCTCATACCTGTAATCCCAGCACTTTGGGAGGCCAAGGCAGGTAGCTCACTTGAGCTCAGGAGTTCAAGACCAGCCTGGATAACATAGTGAGACCCCATCTCTTTTTAAATTTAAAAAAAATAAGTGATCCTCCCGCCTCACCCTCCAGAGTAGCTGGGATTACAGTCACGTGCCTGGCTGGGCAAATTATTTAACCCTCTGTCCTTTCATTTCTTATACATGCAAAAATGAAATAGTAATAATAGATTATAGAATTTTGTGGGGATTAAAAAAGATAATGCAGTAAAGGTATTTATAACTGTGTTAACATATAATTAGTGGTCAATTTATGTTAGCTCTTTTTACCTGGAGAAAGAATTATGTCATTTACATGGGATTACATTTATCTAGGATTACACTTTCATGGGATTTACTAACTATGGTTTGAAAGAAGAATGCATTTTGTTTTATCATTACTGTTACTATTTTATACATTACTGGACCCCAAACTTGTTTTTTCTGCTGAACCATGAAGCTTATAATTTGCTGTATTCCATTATCTGGAGCCCCAGACACAAAACTGATAAGCTTCCTGGAAATAGACATATGGCTAGACTTAAAATCCTCAAATTGGAGCGAACCTTAGTTGCCTAGTCATTTAGATAAAATATTGCATTCTTAAGCTAAGATCTAGAAAGCAAAAAGCACTTTGTTTTGCATGACTTAAACCATCTACAATGGTTTAGATGGTTCCAAGTTCAAGGATGGGTTATTTATTCCAGTGAGTAGGGAAATGTTATTTCTAAACTCTCTGTGTAAAGATACTTAGAGTCATGCTCATCTAGCATCTGAGTTATGTTTGGCAGTGAAAAGTTTGTCAGATCCTATCCTCACAACTGTCCTAGTGCCAAATGTGTGAATGTGTGACTATAGGCTCAGTTTAGCTCAACACAGAGAGGCCCCTCACTCTGCCTTGGATTGTGTAAATGAAGGGTTTAGCTTTCTGAAGCTTTCCAATTGGAGCAAAATCTGTTTCTGCGTTTGTGGAACTTACAATTTTCTCTTTCTCTTTGTTCTGACCAAAATTGCTTGTTATTTCTGCTGTTTTACTAAAGGCTAAACTAACAGTGTTTCACAATAGCTCGTTTTTCTAATTCCTCAGGATTCTTTTAAAACTATTTTCAGGCAGTATTTTCATGTGCTTATTTTATCCAAATCATTTATGTCCAAGATCTTTCATTTCCATAGTCCTAAAAGGCATTTTATGATAGCTAAAATGATACCAGGAAATTTTCTCACTTAAAAAATACAAGGAAAATATGAAATGCAACTTCATATTTTAATAAATCTGCTCTCATTATTTTGAATCAAACTAATATGGCAGCAGATCAAAAAGTCTAGTGGATTTTAACTGTAGCAAAAGTTAAAATGTCCTAAATTTTATTAAGTTAGGCATGCTGAAATATTCAGCCTTTAATGGCTTGCTTTTTGCCCAAGAAGTTTATCTCATAATACAGGATACATAATACTGTGGAAAGAAAAACTTGTAGGCCGGGTGCAGTGGTTCACGCCTGTAATCCCAGCACTTTGGGAGGCCGAGGCGGGCGCATCACTTGAGGTAAGGACTTCAAGACCAGCCTGGCCGACATGGTGAAACCTCGTCTCTACCAAAAAGTATAAAAATTAGCCAGGTATGGTGGTGTGCGCCTGTAATCCCAGCTACTCAGGAGACTGAGGCAGGAGAATCACTTGAACCCGGGAGGCGGCGGAGGTTGCAGCGAGCCGAGATCGTGCCACTGCACTCCAGCCTGGGTAACGGAGCGAGACTCCGTCTCAAAAAAAAAAAAAAAAGAAAAACTTTTGACAAATTGAATTTAACAGCTTATTTGAGCAAAGAATGATTCTCCAATCAAGCAGCCCTCAGAACCAAAGGAGGCTCAGAGAGTTCCACTGGGCAAATAGGTGGACAGGGAGCATTTATAGACAGAACTGGAAGTGAGGTACACAAACAGCTTGACTGGTTAAAGCTCCAAATTTGCCTTATTTGGGCATCGTCTGATCAGTTGGCATCCTGTGATTGGCTGAAGCTCAGTTGCTGTGATTAGCTGAAGTTTGGTTGCTGTGATTGGCTGAGACTCAGCTAGTTGTAACAAAAATATATATAGCATGTCGTTATAACATTGATGAGAAAAAAAAAAAAAGATTTCCAGCTGGGGCCACAGTCTGTGTAAAGTTCACACTTTCTCTTCATGTCTTTGTAGGTTTTCTCCATGTAACTCCACTTTCCTCCCACATCCCAAAGATATGCATGTTGAGGTTCATTGGCGTGTTCACGTTGTCCCAGTCTGAGTGAGCATGAGTGTGGGTGTGAGTGTGAGTGTGCCTTGAGGATGGGACGGACTCCTGTCCAAGGTTGGTGTCACCTTGTTCCCTGAGCTGCCAGGATAAGCTTGGGTTGTCTACCACCTCAAGTGGAATCATTGGGTAAATAGTTATCTTAGTTTTTATTAATTTTTCCCCTCCCCTCCCCTCCCCTTCCCTCCCCTCTCCTCCCTTCTCCCCTCCCCTCTCCTCCCTTCTCCCCTCCCCTCTCCTCTCCTTTCTTTTCTTTTTTAACTGTTCCTTGCAGAGCAAGGCTAGCTTAGGCACTGTACCCAGAGTCAGCTATTAATCGCTCCAGCCAGGTGACTGAGTGAGAAGATCTCACTCAAAAAAAGAAAATCTAAAACAACAGCAACTTCAGTGTGCAGGAAGGAACATAAGAAAATAAAGAGAGAACAGAACAAAGAAGAAAAACAACAGCAACTCACTCTAAGTACTGTGGAAACAAACTGGAAGTGGGGCTAGAAAAAAAACAAAGGGAGAAGATCCCTGTAGTCCCAGCTACTTGGGAGGCTGAGATGAGATCACCTGGGCAAGACCGGGAATTTATTTCAATGTTCAGTATTTGAAGTGTTTTGGTCTTTATTTAGAAGTTATGTGATGTTTTTATGTCCATAAGTATGCAATAGGAAGTTAATTCCTCATTATATCAATTAGCTTATGGTGAAATTGGTTTCCTTATACTTTATTTCACTTAAAGTTACAATATCTAAGAACCTAGCTACCATTTTTAGTGAGGACTTATAACGTACTCCTAAATTAGGTTTTCAGTTTGTGAACATACTAAGCTGAGCTGCAATCAGGTAGAGATTCAAGGAACAGAGGTGACTTCAGGTCAAATTTAGTTTAAAATATGTAAGACATGATATCAGCTTATATGCCTGACTTAGAGAAAATAAATGGAAAAGAAGATTTTTGAACATATGCCCTTAATAACAAGTGTTTTATCTGGTTAAATGTAAACACAATTTTTAACATCTGAAGAAAAATTATTTTATGACTTTAAAATTGTACATAGTAAGGAAAATAGGCCCATAACTAATAATGAAAACAGGCTATTCCAGGAATGAAATGGCCCTCAAAGAGGTGCAGGTGAAGGGTAGGAAATAAGGGGTTAATAGTGGGTGGACCAGGAGGGCGCAGTGGCTCCCGCCTGTAATCCCAGCACTTTGGGAGGCCAAGGCAGGCGGGTCATTTGAGGTCGAGTTTCAGACCAGCCTGGCCAACATGGTGAAAATACAACAGTACAAAAATTAGCCAGGCATGGTGGTGCATGCCTGTAATCCCAGCTACTCGGGAGGCTGAGGTGGGGGAATCGCTTGAACCCGGGAGGCAGAGTTTGCAGTGAGCCAAGATCGTGCCACTGCACTCAAAAGAATGGGGGGAGGGGGGATGGATGGAGGTGGGAGGGAGGTAGGAAGACGAAGGTAAAACCAGGGATGCCAGAGGCAAGAATAGTACTATATTTTAGAGCAGAGGGTCCCCAGCGAATTCAAGAGAGTTGATTGAAGTTGATTCTATCTTACTCTAAAACTCCTTTATTTTGTTAAGGTGTAAATTGACAGTAGAAAGAAAATGCAAAGGATTTAGGAAAAGATTAGCTCAGGCTGGGCTGGAGTCGTTAAAGTAGATGTCAGTGAACAATGCAGCTCACGAAATCCTGACCTTTCCTCTTAAATGAGCGTGGCAGTCAGCATTTCCCACTGATTAAAATTTTGGCTCTTAGGCCGGGCATGGTGACCCACGCCTGTAATCCCAGCACTTTGGGAGGCTGAGGCGGGTGGATCACTTGAGGTCAGGAGTTGGAGACCAGCCCGGCCAACATGGCAAAACCCCATCTCTATAAAAATACAAAAATCAGGGCCGGGCGCGGTGGCTCACGCCTGTAATCCCAGCACTTTAGGACGCCAAGGCGGGCGGATCACGAGGTCAGGAGATTGAGACCATTCTGGCCAACATGGTGAAACCCCGTCTCTACTAAAAATACAAAAATTAGCTGGGCATGGTGGCGGGCCCCGTCCCAGCTACTTGGGAGGCTGAGGCAGGAGCATCCCTTGAAACCCGGAGGTGGAGGTTTCAGTGAGCCGAGGTCACACCACTGCACTGCAGCCTGGTGACAGAGCGAGACTCTGTCTCAAAAAAAAAAAAAAAAAATCAGCCGGGCGTGGTGGCGCATGCCTGTAGTCCCAGCTACTCAGGAGGCTGAGGCAGGAGAATCCATTGAACCCAGGAGGCAGAGGTTGCAGTGAGCCGAGATCACGCCACTGCACTCCAGCCTGGGCGACAGAGTGAGACTTCGTCTCAAAAAAAAAAAAACAAAAACAAAAAAACAAAACACCAAACACTATGCATAGTGTCTGCCACTTAGTATAATCGTTCAAGAAATGTCAGCTATTATAATAGGTGGACTTAACTGTGGAACTTAAAGAGAACATGTTCATTTCGCTGATAGGTATGTCCTTAGCACCACTGTAGTACCCGCCTTGAGAATGTGTAGAAGAGCTACTCCTTAAAAAACCTTCATGAGGATATTTGATCACAGCCTAACGAAGAACTTTAACGATTGATGCTAGTTGACAGTGGTAGAGATGGTTTGGGAAGTAGAGGTGATTCCAGCGAAAGATTAGAGAAAGACCTTAATAAATGGTTGTCAGGAATATTGTATGGGGGAAGGGGGATGTTCCTGTTTCTTAAGATTTTTTTGCCCTTGGTAAAAAGTCTGCTCATGATTTTATGAATAGCATAAAATGAGGCTAGTGGTGAAATACCCCAACTTTCGTGTAGACAGTAACTTTGAACTTTAAAACAAAGAGGGAGAAAAGCATTGAATATGCTGACTATGAACTGTCCTTTATACACATAAACACATGAATACAATAGTGCTAAGGTGAGCAGTGCACAGCATAGCTGTTGGGTTATTTTTAGAAATGGCAAAAATAAAGCCACATGCTTTTACCCAGTCTCTTTGTGAGACAAATAATCAGAAAGCAGTCTGCGAAAATCAGAAAGGATTGCTCTTCGACAAAAACATAATTGGCACATATGAGGAAGATAAGCACTCAGATTCAGTAGTATCATGTTCTAACAAGGCAACCTGTTTTAGACACTTACTATTATTCCTAGAAGTAATCCAGCTAAGTCTAGTGTGTCTGTTACCATCGTATGCCTCTTTCACATCTTATGTAAATGTACTTTCTAATATTTGTAATGTATGTAATATTAATTCTTTAACATTATTTTTAAGAAGAGATAGAAAAGGAATAGCAGTCCTGAGGGATTTTGCAAGGTCCCTTTCAACCTTTTAAAAACCTATAATCCTCAAGAAAATCAAAGCCCTAAGAAAAGATAATGGGAGGTGGGAAGAGAACAGTGACAAGGGGTGTTAAAAACTGTGTATGCCAGGAAGCTTGGCGTGGTGGCTCATGCCTATAATCCCAGTACTTTGGGAGGCTGAGGTGGGTGGATTACTTGAGGCCAGGAGTTCAAGACCAGTGTAGCCAATATGGCGAAACCCTGTCTCTACTAAAAATACAAAAATTAGCCATGCCTGGTGGTGTGCACCTGTAATCCCAGCTACTTGGGAGGCTGAGGCAGGAGAATCACTTGAACCCAGGAGGCGGAGTTTGCAGTGAGCCGAGATCATGCCACTGAACTCTAGCCTGGGTGATACAGCCAGACTCTATCTCAAAAAAAAAAAAAAAAGGAAGGAAGGAAGGAACTATGTATGACAGGGCCCCATTTCTGCTCTTTGATTGTTGTTTTCCCACTATAGAAGGAAAAGTCAAAGGGCCATCAGTTATGAATATAGGAGCAGATTGTAGATATAAAAACAGTACTTAGGGCCAGGTGCAGTGGCTCACGCCTGTAATTCCAGCACTTTGGGAGGCCAAGGCGGGCCGATCACTTGAGGTCAGGAGTTTAAGACCAGCCTGGCCAACATGGTGAAACCATGTCTCTACTAAAAATACAAAAATTAGCCGGGCATGGTGGCGCGTGCTTGTAATCCCAGCTACTCAGGAGGCTGAGGCAAGAGAATCACTTGAATCCGGAAGGCGGAGGTTGCAGTGAGCTGAGATGGTGCCATTGCACTCCAGCCTGGGTGACAGAGTGAGACTCCGTCTCAAAACAAACAAACAAAAAACAACCAAAAAAAACAGTACTTACAATGTGGTAAAGAGAGAAAAGGGAATACTTCTGCTTTTAAAAAGGAAAGTCAGGGCTTATTAAATACCTTGCTAAACTGGATTTATGTCAGTATATAATAAGGTATATAAACAACACGATTTGAAGAATGAACTTTAACTAGGTCTATTGTGATGATCTGTGCTTGTGCTCTAAGGAATTAGATTTTTAAGCAACACTTTATGAGTTGTGAAATAGAATAATTGTAGATACTAATTGATGGAAATAGTCTTATCTATTTGGCACAATCATTTGCTCTAAATAAGTAGAGAGTACGATGTAATTTTAAGCAAAATTGTATAAACAAATAATAAGTAATATTATAGTAGTAGCTTCTTGAAGTAACCATGTTTATGTAGTTTATAAGGTCAGACATTATGTATGATCCCCATCTTTTGCTCACATCTGTTTCATTTATTCTCTGTAATTTTCTTGTGGTCTTATACAAAAGCTTATTTTCATTCTTTTAGATTCCATTTGTATCTTCTGTGAAATGATGATTAGGGAACAAAGTTGGTGTTATCAGACACACAAAAATATATGTGTATATTTATATATACACACATGCACACGCACACGCACACACACACACACACACACACCTGTATAAAAGAGGTAGTTAATATGCAGTATCTGAAATGCTTGGCCCCAAACCATCAAACAATCCTCTGGGGATAACTAATCTTATTTGTTAAAGGGATTCTATAATCACAACTGAGAAACAAATAGTTTTATAAAAAGTGTCTGTAAAAAAAAATTGTCTGGGTTGCGTGAGTGGCTCACACCTGTATCCCAGCATTTTGGGAGACCAAGGTGGGAGGATCACTTGAGCCCAGGAGCTTGAGACCAGCCTGGGCAACATAGGAGATCCCTGTCTCAAAAAAAAAAAAAAAAAAAAAGAAAAAGAAATAGCTAGGCATGGTGGCATGTGCCTGTAGCCCCAGATACTCAGGAGGCTGAAGTGGGAGGATGACTTGAGCCCGGGAGGTTGAGGCTGCAGTGAGCCATGATCACACCACTGCACTCCAGCCTGGGTGACAAAGCAAGACCCTGACTCAAAAAAAAAAGTTGGCCAGGCGTGGTGGCTCTGAAATCTACTGTGTGCTAAGAAAATGAAGGTGTGGAATCCTCAGGAAATAAAAATCTTAGTGTTTATTGCTTAGTATGAAGTTGGTGGATTATTGTTTTCATGTCTCTGTGTGAGGTGAAGCCTGTGTGTCATACCCTCATGCTATGGGTAACACCGCTGAATTACTGATGCTATCATACATGTATATATCTCTATATATAAAATCACAAAATCACACAAGTGGACAGCTGCAGCACTGTGGTCTCTTTCTGGCAGGTCCCTGAAGGACAGTGCTGAAAAGATACCCGCACAGTGAGCAGAACCTCGAGCACCTGGTTGTTCATTTTGCTTGTAAGGAGAAATGGCCAGATATGCGATTATATACCAATTTATGGGCTGTGGCCAATAGTTTGGCTGGATGGTCAGAGACTTGGAAGGAACATGATTGGAAAATTGGTGACAAAGAAATTTGGGGAAGTGATCTGTGAATAGACCTCTCTGAATGAGCAAAAAAAAAAAGGTAAAGATATTTGTGTCCACATGAATTCTCAGCAAAGGGTGACCTCAGTAGAGGGGTATTTTAACAATCAAGTGGATAAGATGACCCATTCTGTGGATACCAAACAGCCCCTTTCCCCAACTACTCTTGCATCCAGTGAGCTCATAAACAAAGTAGCCATGGTGGCAAGGATGGAGGTTATGCATGGACTCAGCAACATGGACGTCCACTCACTAAGGCCAACCTGGCTACAGCCACTGCTGAGTGCCCAATCTGCCAGCAACAGAAATGAACACTGAGCCTCTGATATGGCACCTTTCCTCGGGGTGATCTGCCAGCCACCTGGTCGCAGGCTGATTATATTGGACAGCTTCCATCATGGAAGAAGCAGTGTTTTGTCCTTACTGCAGTAGACACTTATTCTGAATATGGATTTGCCTTCCTTGAACACAATGCTTCTGCCACAACTACCATCCATGGACTCCCAGAATGCCCTATCCCCTGTCATGGTATTCCACACAGACACAGCACTGCTTCTGATCAAGGAATACATTTTATAGCCAAAGAGAGGCAGCAATGGGCCCATGCTCCTGGAATTCACTGGTCTTAACCATGTTTCCCATCATCCTGGAGCAGCTGGGTTAATAGAATGAATGGTGTAATGGCCTTTTGAAGTTACGGTGATGATTTTTTTGCATGGCTGGTGCAAGGTTCTCCAGAAAGTTGTATATGCTCTGAATCAACATCCAGTATATGGTGCTGCTTCTCCCATAGCCAGGATCCACAGGTCCAGAAATGGAAGGGGTGGAAGGGGTGGAAATGGGAGTGGCACCACTCACTATTCCCCCTAGTGACCCATTGGAAACATTTTTGCTTTCTGTTCCCACGACTTTATGATCTGCAGGCCTGGAGGTCTTAGTTCCAGAGGGAGGAGTGCTTCCGGAGACACAACAATGATTCCATTGAACTGGAAGTTAAGACTACCACCCAGCCACTTTGGGATCCTCATGCCTCTGAATCAAAAAGCTAAGAAGGGAGTTATGATGTTGGCTGGAGTAACTGATTCAAAATACTAGGGAGAAATTGGACTACTATTCCACAATGGAGATAAAGAAGTGTATGTCTGCCAGGAACGGTGGCTCACACCTGAAATCCCAGAACTTTGGGAGGCCGAGGCGAGCAGATCATTTGAGGTTAGGAGTTCGAGACCAGCTTGACCTACATACTGAAACCCCGTCTGTACTAAAATACAAAAATTAGCCGGGCATAGTGGTGGGTGCCTGTAATCCCAGCTACTCGGGAGGCTGAGGCAGGAGAATTGCTTGAACCCAGGAGGCAGAGGTTGCAGCAAGCCGAGATCACACCCATGCACTCCAGCCTGGGCGACACAGTGAGACTGCGTCTCAAAAAAAAAACCAAAAAAAAAACCCAGAAGTGTATGTCTGAAATACAGGAGATCCCTTAGGATGTCTCTTAGTATTACCATGTCCTGTGATTAAGGTCAATGAGAAATTACAACAACTCAATCTGAGTAAGTCTGTGAATGGCCCAGACTCTTCAGAAATGTAGGTTTGGGTCACCTGCCACATAAAGAACCACAATCAACTGAGGTTCTTGTTGAAGGTAAAGGAAATATAGAATGGGTGGTAAAGGAAGGTAGTTATAAATACCAGCTATGATCACGTGACCAGTTACAGAACCAAGCACTGCAACTGTGATGAGTATTTCCTCCCTGTTTTGTTAAGAATATGTTGTGCGTCTATGTACATATATTAATATCTTTGTTTTCATTCTTCTCTTATGTCTTTATCATGTAACACATTTATTGACTTTATATCAGTATTTACAAGATTTATTGACTTTATGTCAGTATTTAAGTATTGTTAATTTTATATCATAGTATTTAAGTTATGGGATATCAGCAGAAGAGTAAACATCACCCAAGGACTTTACCTTCTCTTCTGGGGAAGGGACTGGTATGTTTTCTGTTGTACACAGAACAGGTGCATTATATTAGGTAGAATTATCACTTTGCTATTGTCTTTATTTGGAGATTAAGTGTGATACAAAGAGATGTGTAATGGCTGCCAAGTTGAAAGGTGAGAACGTGTGATGGTTAATTTTAAGTGTCAACTTGACTGGATTAAGGAATACGTAGAGAACTGGCAAAGCATTATTTTGGGGTGTGGCCTTAAGGGTGCCTCCAAAGGAGACTGATGTGTGAGTCTGGGTGGACTAAGTAGAAAAGACCCGCCCCCACTAATGCGGGGACAGGGGGGTGTGGGGGGTAGTGTCCAATCGCTTGGGAGCCTAGATAGAACCGTGGGTAGGTCACTCACTCTCCTGGAACTGGGATACATGCTTCTTCTCCGGCCTTCGGACATCAGGTTCTCCAGCCTTTGGCCTTTGGACGCTAGGACTTACACCAGCAGCCCCCGGATTCTCAGTTCTTCAGATTTGGACTGAGCCATGCTAGTGGCATCCCAGGGTCTCCAGCTTGCAGACAGCCTGCCATGGGATTTCTCAGCTTTCATAATTGTATGAGCCAATTCCCCTAATAAATCTCCTCTCTTCTCTTTCTCTTTCTCCATCTCTTTCTCTGTCTCCCTCTAGATATATCCTATTGGTTTTGTCTCTCCAGAAAACTAATACACACACACACACACACACACACACACACACACTCATAGAGATATGAAAGTGTAGTTTCATATCTTAACTTGGCACTAAGCATTTGTACCACTTGCATATGTGCTGTGGCTTTTGTCATTTCTGACAACCTGATGGCCATTCTGCTATGGCTTTAAAACTACTTTGTCCAGGCTGGGACTGCACAATAGGGGCCCTTTTATCAAGTCCTTATCATTGTGTAGAGAAGGCTATTTTGGGAGGATATAAAGGGATATAAAGTAGAAGGGGGTTGTGCTAAATGTTCATTCAGGCTTTCTGGCAATACAAAAATTATGGAGAACTTCATGGCTGCAAGACAGAAAGAAAACAGTCTATGAGGTGACTGTGTCATCCCCTGGCAGGAAGAAAAGTTCTAAAGTTCTTGAGGAAAGTTGGTTGGATGACAAGAGTAAAACAGGTTACAATGGCATACTTTTCTATAAGCCAAATTCATATGATATCGTCCATAGAGGGGGTTTAATGCAAACCATTATGAAAGCATTTTATTTCTCAAGCACTTCCTGTGGGCTAGGCCCTCTCCTGGGCACCAGGGATGATGTGGCAAATAATATAGATAATTATTCCGGCCAGGGTCGGTGGCTTATGCCTATAATCCCAGCACTTTGGGAGGCTTAGGTGTGCGGATCACTGGAGCCCAGGAGTTCGAGACCAGCCTGGCTAACACCGCAAGACCTCATCTCTACAAATAATATAAAATATAAGCCAGGCATGGTGGCACACACCTGTGGTCCCAACTACTAGAGAGGCTGAGGTGGGAAGATTGCTTGAGCCCGGGAGGCAGAGGTTGTGGTGAGCCGTGATTACAGCCCTGCACTCCAGACTGCGGGACAGAACAAGACCCTGTCTTAAACAAACAAACATGATATCCCTATCTCATAGAGACTACTTTCTAGTTGGGTAAATCAACAATAAACCCAGAAAAAGTCACATAATAAAACTAATATGCAGATAATTGAAATAGAGTGAATGACAAAGAAAGGTCAGCTGCTGGCTACTTTTGGTCCACTGCGTCACTGTGATTTTTTTTTTTTTTTTTTTTTTTTTGAGATGGAGTCTCACTCTGTCACCCAGGCTGGAGTGCAGTGATGTGATCTCGGCTCACTGCGGCCTCTGCCTCCTGCGTTCAAGCAACTCTCCTGCCTCAGCCTCCCAAGTAGCTGGGACTACAGGCGCGCACCACCACGCCCAGCTAATTTTTGTATATATTTTTTTTAAGTAGGGACGGGGTTTCACCATGTTGGCCAGAATGGTCTTGATCTCCTGACCTCGTGATCTGCCCGCCTCAGCCTCCCAAAGTTCTGATATTACAGGCGTGAGCTACTGCTCCCGGCCTGTAAGTGATATTTACTGGGAGATCCGAATGACAAGAAGGAGCCAGCCATGTGAGCCTGAGGAGGAAAGCATTCCAGGTGAAGGGCACAGCAAAGACAAAGTCCCTCGGGCAGACACTAGCTTGGCCTGCAAAGGGAACAGAGAGCACCACAGTGGTACAAACCTGGAGGGAGGGAGAAGGTAGGAGGAGAGGTCAGAGGGGCAGGCAGCGACCTGATTAGAGAATGTTAGGCAGGTGAGAGACACAAATTGTGCTGCCTGGCCTTCAGGGAACTCAAGGTCCAGAGAAACACCTGAGATTTAAATAACTAAGCACACAAATTCCTGACCGAAGGATCCAATGCCGGGGGTGGGGGGTGGGGGTGGGGTGGGGACAGGTTCTTCTAAAGGATCAGCTGGGTGTGGGACATTATTATAGGAAACCATGCCAGGAGAGTAGTTCTGGGCCTCCAGAAGTTCCTTCTGGGTTTATTTTTTTTCCCAGACATCATAGAACTGTACAAAATCAGAGCTGCAGAAGACTTTCCAGCACATTCCTCACTTGAAAAACTAGATAATCTAAATGATCAAACGTGCCCAAGGCTGTACTTTAATGACATTAAGGCATAGCGGGGCCTGAGGAAAATCAGAAATGTCTATAAGCTCACCTTTGCTTTTGGGAACGTGCAGTTCCATTTTACAAAATATAGACCACACCCTCCCTGAGTACAGCAACGCTGCCCATCATGACATCCTTGTTAGATTCAGGGCTTAAGACAGTGCCTGTCAAGAACCCATTCACATTAATGGGTACAAAGTACAGCTAGATAGATGGAATAAGTTCTAGCATTCGATATGGCAGTAGGGAAATCAGAGTTAACAATAAGTTATTGTATATTGCCAAACAGTTAAAAGGGAAGAATTAGCATGTTCTCAACACAAAGAAAAAATAAATGTTTGAGATGACGGATATCCCAATTATCCTAATTTCATCATTACACATTGTATACATGTTTCAAAATACCATGTTACCCCAAAATATGTTCATCAACTTATATCAATACAATAAATCAGTAAATGAAAGAGGTGCACCACAGAGATCTGAATGATTAAAACTAACAGAGGCTAGGTTCAGCTGGATCTTGTTCCTCTTCTCATTCCTGCAGGATAAGCTTATTGACCTAGAAAAAGCACGATAAGTATGACTGGCCTCTGATCTTCTTTCAATGACTCCACCCTCTCAATAGGTCTATATTTGCCTTCTGTTGTTTCCTCGAGCAAGTAAAAACTTTCTTGAGTTAGTTTTGGTTTGCTCTCCACTTTTTTCACACTAAACTTCAGTCTTTGCTGCAAACACTTGGTAAACAAGTCTTTATTCAGTAATCATGGCATTTCGTTTCTTGATACAGCACATTCAGGAGCACTGTCTGTGAGGGAGACTGAATGGAGGAGGGGGAGGTTGGATTATCATTCAGGCCTTTCACGGAATTCCTGTCACATAGGCCTCGCCTTGGCCCAGCAGATTAAGTGGCCCATGCTGTGCAAGTGCCTTACTCACAGCCCATAATTACTTGATGTATTGTTTTGATTTGTTGGAACCCTTTGCACTGTGCGACAGTGTTGTTTGTACTTGTGATGTGCGTAGGGTGGGGCTGGCAAATATACACAGATCATATTTTCTACTTAAAACTCCAACATGAGAGAGGCGCTTACTAAATTCTTTATTTCCTTTTTTTTTTTTTTAGACGGAGTCTCGCTGTGTTGCCCGGGCTGGAGTGCAGTGGCATAATCCCAGCTCACTGCAACCTCTGCCTTCCAGGTTCAAGTGATTTCTGGCTAATTTTTGTATTTTTAGTAGAGACGGGGTTTCACCATGTTGGCCTGCTGGTTTCGAACTCCTGACCTCAAGTGACCCACCCACCTTGGCCTCCCAAAGTGCTAGGATTACAGGCATAAACCATCACACCTGGCCTATTTCCATTATTTTTCACAACTTATATGAGGCAGGTATAACTCTCCCCGCTATACAGCTGACAAGATTAAGGGTTAGAGAATACCTTGTCTAAAATCTCACAGGTATGGCTAGGCACAGTGGCTCACACTTGTAATCCCAGCACTTTGGGAGGCTGAGGAGGACAGATCACTTGAGCTCAGGAGTTTGAGATCAGCCTGACCAACATGGTAAAACCCTGTCTCTACTAAAAATACAAAAATTAGTCGGGCGTGGTGGCAGGTGCCTGTAATCCCAGCTACTTGAGAGTCTGAGGCATGAGAATCACTTGAACCTGGGAGGCGGAGGTTGCAGTAAGCCAAGATTGCGCCACTGCACTTCAGCCTGGGTGATGAAGTGAGACTCCATATCAAAACAAAACAAAACAAAAAAAACTCACAGGTAGCAAGCCTCAGTTGTCGCCAACTAGACTGACATCCCCATAACTGGTTTTTCCATTGCTGGTTACTATTACATGTATCTTTTGTTGTTACAACTGGCACACAGAGTTTACAGGAAACAGTCCTTAAGTCCTTAGGGGTGGCCCGAGCTTCTGTTGCCTCCTTCTAGATTGATTATAGGCTCAGAAATGGGAGAGACTTGGGCCGGGCATGGTGGCTTATGCCTGTAATCCCAGCACTTTGGGAGGCTGAGGCAGGTGGATCACTTGAGGTCAGGAATCCGAGACCAGTCTGATCAACATGGTGAATCCCCATCTCTACTAAAAGTACTCAAATTAACTGGGAGTAGTGGCACGTGCCTGTAATCCCAGCTACTCAGGAGGCTGAGGCGGGAGAATTGCTTGAACCAGGGAAGCAGAGGGTGCAGTGAGCTGAGATCACGCCACTGCACTCCAGTCTGGGCGACAGAGTAAGACTCCTCCGTCTCAAAAAAAGAAAAAGAAAGAAAGAAAACAAACGGGAGAGACTTGGAGAGAGATTTATACTGAGCAAATCAAAGCTTTCAGGTTTCACTTTAGTTTGACAAAAGATGTCCACCAGAAATCCAGACTCCTTATTTACTATTGGCCCTTTGTAAATAAAGTGGGGGTGAAAGAGAGCCCTTTATATTGCCTTCGTGTCAGTTACACCTTTAATATGTGTGTCTTAGGAAGGATTCTGGCTGCTGGACTTGTGGGGGAAGTAGATGCCCACGTAGTTTTACCTTGGAGAGAATGGAGAGGAGGCCGACCAGGCCAGATATTGCGGGAGGCCTCTCACCCCAAAGCTCTCAGACCTGTTTCTTGTTTGAATGCTTGACATTTTATCATTGCAAATTAAATTTTTTGAGTTGACAAGTGGCCTTTTAAAATGCAAATGCCTAACAGTAAAGGCATGCCAAAAATATAAGGCCAGAGTCCTTTTTTTTTTTTTTTTGAGATAGGATCTCACTTTGTTGCCCCGGCGAGAGTGCAGTGGCAAGATCTTGGCTCACTGAAACCTCCAACACCCTGGGCTCAAGCGATTCTCCCACCTTAGCCTCCCATGTAGCTGGGACTACAGGCGTGCCACCATGTATGGATAATTTTTGTATTTTTTGTAGAGACAGGGTCTCACTATGTTGCCCAGGCTGGTCTCAAACTCCTGAGCTCAAGTGATCCTCCTGCTTCAACCTCCCAAAGTGCTGGGATTAGAGGTGTGAGCCCCTGCACCTGGCCACCACAGTCCTCTTGAGTTTACCAATAGTATTAAATATTGACTTACAAATTTTTCCAATTTACTCTTCTGTCCAGACCAATGTATCATTTTTCATAATCTTATGTAAAGTTCTGTGGACACCATTTTCCAGGTCAATCCTGAGAACCAAAAATAAAGTTGTCACATACATACAATTCCTTACCTATCATATTGCATTCTAGCTGATGTTTTGTTTTTTTAATCATTGATTGGATTATACTAAATCAGACATTGACAACATTGCCAAGATGGAGATGGGTAAGTTTTCAGCCTGAGAAAGATCTGTTTGTTTCTTGCTATGTAGATTCTCATTCCTCAGGTGAGGCGCAGTGGCTTATACTTATAATCCCAGCACTTTGGGAAGCTGAGGCAGGAGGATCATTTGAGCCCAGGAGTTTGAGACCAGCCTGGGCAACACAGTGAGACCATGTGTCTACAAAAGATAAAAACATTAACCAGGCATGGTGGCATGTGCCTGTGGTCCCAGCTACTCAGGAGTCCGAGGTGGGAGGATTACTTGAACCCAGGAGGTTGAGGCTGCAGTGAGCTGTGACTGTACCACTGTACTCTAGCCTGGACAACAGAGTGAAACTCTATGTCAAAAACAAAAACAAACAAACAAAAAAAGCTTCTCATTCCTCCCATGTCAAGTATTCCCACTGGCTTCTCTTTAATTTATCCCCTGAATGACATAAAAAATTTACTACCAAATCTTGTTCCTACCCTCCCGTCAATTTTCCTATGGGCTCACTTTTTAGAAGGAATGGGTGTAGAATATTATCACCTCTGTCTTGGAAAAAATATAAACCCTGCGATAAATGAAATAATTAGTTTTGTGGGTTTTAATAACTTTTAACACTATGATTAGAGATAGTGTTCTCTTAGTTATCTACTGTATCACATCTTTTTGCATGTCAAATTTGACAATTATGAATATGGAAGGTAATAATTACTATACAACCTGTGTCTATAAATAGACATTTAAATAACCACCATTGCCAGTGACTTGTCTATAATAGCTATAATGAATAAACTCATTTGTCATCATCATTTTCTGTAAAAAAAAAAAAAAAAAAAGACATGCCTTTGCTGACAACCTTCAACAAAAACTGATCCATTCAGTTTCTCTCTAGAGTAATAATTATGTTTTCTATAATTATAATAATTATGTTTTCTGGTATTTCTATGAGCTTTTTTGAGGGTGTTCCAGGGAAAGGTTTCTGTGAGCATCAAACAATGAATCAAAAAGTATGGGAACTTAAACTCTTCATAGGATTGTTCTAAAATTGATGGTACTTTGAACAATATGAAACAATTATATTGCCTTGTTATCAATGGAAGATAACATACCCGGGGAATCATGACAATTACAGCTGATACATTTAAGAAGTGTCTTAAGAGTGAATATGGTTAAGTCCTTATAAAAAATATTTTTCAAAATATTTTCTCTAATATGTTGAGAAATATCAATAATTTATAAGCCTTTTAAAATTAAATGGAAAAAGTCATATCTTTGTGAAGCTCTCAGGTTTTAGCATTTATAGTCCATCAGACTATAGAGTGACAAATAAAGAAATAAAAAAATAAAATAGAAGAGTGAAAAAATTTTTTCTGAAGCATTAAAATGCACATGCACTGGGAAACGTTTAGTTTCAGTGCAAACTTTTCATCCTGGTCAGTCATTCCTACTTGAGGGTTTTGACTGCAGTTTTCCCAGCACCGAGACATAAATGTGAGACAATTCGCTTGGAGGAGTGGGGAGGTAATTAGCCTATCTCCTATCAAGCCGTCTATATTTTCTATGACTGCACAAGGTGTTGTAGAGAAATTCCCTGGACCAATAGAACCTCAGGAGACAAGTGGGGGAAGCCGCGTATACGCGTATATGGAGCAAGTTCTCCCAGAGAACTCGATCGCCCTCTAGGTTGCATTTACAAACAGTTCGGGAGGCTACTCGGACCACTTCGCCACCAGGGAGTATGAGGAAAGGGGCCGGATTCCTCCCAGTAGGAGGACTATCTGGACCAAAGAAAGAGGCTGGCGACAGGAAGGAAGAACAGATCAAGAGTTTGAATAGCAGCTACAGGGCAACCTAATGCCTGTGCAGTGTTAACAGGCGCGCGTCACACACAGCTCCCCCGTCTCCCCCTCCCCTCAAGCACCCCTCCGCCGTGTGTCACCTTCCTGTTCGGAAGTCTTAGTAGGTTGCTGGGACAGAACAGGGGGCGCCTGCTCCACCCATCACGTATCCGGTTGGAAGAAAAGCCAGTCTCAACAACTTGATTCTCTCGGTTAAATGATAAGTTTAGCCGACCATCCGTCTCCAAGTGCTGAACATTAGGGTAGGGGAGGAAGGAGCACATCAGACGTTCCCTTTCTTTTCCAACCACAAATCATACGGTTGCATCTATTCTCTATTCCGCGTAGAACCCTCCGACCTGAATGCCACGTTCCTCCCGGAATGCATGCCACAGAGCCTCTGAGAAAATAAATCCTGTGCATGTGTTTTGAATTTTTTCCGGACTGATTTGTGAGGATAATCAGTTAAGTTACATTTCTTGTGTGCGTGCTGGGGGTGTAATAAAGCTAGGACACTGATGACTGTAATTTTCTGAGTGATGTCGCAATGGGGAGAATAAATGGCCCAGTGTTGAACTTTGCAGCTTGCTCCCTTCCTGTACTTAAATTGCCTTGATATAAAGTGGGGTTCATAACAGAACAGGGATAGCCGTCTCTGGCTCGTGCTCTCATGTCATCTCAGAGTTCCAGCTTATCAGAGGCATGTAGCAGGGAGGCTTATTCCAGCCATAACTGGGCTCTACCTCCAGCCTCCAGAAGTAATCCCCAACCTGCATATCCTTGGGCAACCCGAAGAATGAAAGAAGAAGCTATAAAACCCCCTTTGAAAGGTTCGTACTTACCGTACTATATTTTGCAGATGCCTCAAAGGATTTGGGGTTACTTGGCATGGGGAAGGCACATAAGGTGGGGTGTAGGAGAGGGTCTCTGGTTGTAGGTTTCTTAATTTAATGTTTGAAAACAAACATGCAAAAGTCTGTGTGCAGGTTGATGTTTCTGGGCAGCCTGAGCAAAATTTGCTCTCTCAAGAGGGAAAGGAACCAGGTGGGAGCAGAGCTAGGCTGGGCTAGGCTAGTTGAATGGTGGGACATGACATACGGGTGGCACTGGCAATAACAAAGTCACATTCTATGAAGATTCCCTGCAAGAGGAAGCAGACATGGGCCAGTTACTGTGATTTGAAATTGCCTAAACATTGCTTTAGGTTGGCATGTCAATTTCAGGTACTAGTGTTTTTTTTGTTTTTGTTTTTGTTTTGTTTTTGTTTGTTTGTTTGTTTTGAGACGGAGTCTCGCTCTGTTGCCAGGCTGGAGTGCAGTGGCGTGATCTCGGCTCACTGCAACCTCCGCCTCCCGGGTTCAAGCGATTCTCCTGCCTCAGCCTCCCGAGTAACTGGGACTACAGGCGCACGCCACCACGCCTGGCTAATTTTTCTATTTTCAGTAGAGACGGGGTTTCACCATGTTAGCCAGGATGGTCTCGATCTCTTGACCTCGTGATCCGCCCGCCTTGGCCTCCCAAAGTGCTGGGATTACAGGCGTGAGCCACTGCGCCCGGCCCCAGTAAATGCTTTTTATAAGTGTGGGCACTGAGCAAACTTTCCCAGCCAGACTCCAGGAGAGAGAATGTGTTTCCCTTCTCTCGGTTTGGGGCTGTTGCAACAAAGCAAACCAAGGAGTTGAGACTAGAGCTCACTTTAGGGCAAGTGGGGGTGGTTTTGCCTGCAAAACAAACCCCTGCCCAAGACCAAGGAAAAGGCGTTTCACATGCTATTCCTGGTTTGACAGCTGGTATTTCGGGACTGTGCCAGATCCAGTAGGCAACTTTAAAATGGCAGAGCCTTTGGTAGCAAGAGGTCATGGCAGGGCAGCCACCGCAGACAGCAACAGCGAGCGCCAGGTACCTGGCCCTGCGAATAGTGGTAACTTGTAACTGCCCGCTCCGGGCCCAGTCGCCGTGCTCGCGGCTTCCCGGCCAGCACTGGCTCACGTCCCCGCGCCGGCGGTCAGGCTGCGGCTCCCAGACATCCCCCAGCCGCGGGGTTACTGGAAGGCACCGGCATCGCTGTTCTGCAGAGCCCGGGCCGCCGCCTCGAGCTTCCCTCTCTTCCCTGCCTTCTGCAGCGGAGTCACCCGGCTAATCTTTCAGGATAAAGTCACAGTTTATGTGGGACTCACATAAAGAGCGAGCGAGGTGGCAAAACTAAGAAGCCCTGGGGCAGCCTTGAGTTAAACCCAGGGAGGGTAGGGACGATTTTAAGACCATGTATCATGACCTGCAGGGTTTTCAGGTGGGACAGCGGGAGAGGAGCAGGCCCCACAGAGGAATCGAGGATGCCCGGTTCACGCCAGGTCTGCCCCCGGGCAAAGCTACCCCTCCCTTCGCTTGTTACCTCCTCACGTGTTCTTGGCATGGCAGAGATTAAAAATGCAAGGAAAAAAATTACATGCGGAACGGACAAAATGTTCTCAGAGATTACTTCAGAAAAAAAAAAGTGAAATGCAGATTGTACTTCTTCCTTTAGTGCAGAGACGACTTTTATTTCCGCCCCCTCCCCTCCACATTCCTGACCTCTCCCTCCCCCTTTTCCCTCTTTCTTTCCTTCCTTCCTCCTCTTCCAAGTTCTGGGATTTTTCAGCCTTGCTTGGTTTTGGCCAAAAGCACAAAAAAGGCGTTTTCGGAAGCGACCCGACCGTGCACAAGGGCCATTTGTTTGTTTTGGGACTCGGGGCAGGAAATCTTGCCCGGCCTGAGTCACGGCGGCTCCTTCAAGGAAACGTCAGTGCTCGCCGGTCGCTCTCGTCTGCCGCGCGCCCCGCCGCCCGCTGCCCATGGGGGAGATGCAGGGCGCGCTGGCCAGAGCCCGGCTCGAGTCCCTGCTGCGGCCCCGCCACAAAAAGAGGGCCGAGGCGCAGAAAAGGAGCGAGTCCTTCCTGCTGAGCGGACTGGGTAAGCGCCGCCGCCGGCCCCGCTGGGGGCTTGGCTCACTTCCCCAGAGCGGCTTGGAGGCAGGGGCCGGCTTTCGTCGGAGTTCTCGGGGCCGGGGTCCCGGCGGCGGGAACGGGAGGACCTGGCGGGCGAGGTCGCGCGCGCAGGCCTGCGCCCCAGGGATAAACCCCGGAGGGTGGCGCGCACCGCCGGCTCGGGTTGGGGAGGAGGGTGGGAGTCCGGCCGCAGGACGGCGCCTGGCCGGGGAGAGGGTATCTGCAGGGACAGTGAGCGAAGCCACCGTGGCCGCCGCGCACCCGCCGGGAAGCGCTTCGGCGCTGCGAACCCGGCTTTCTCCGGCGGCGGAATAAATGAGAGAGGTGGAAAACTACCCCGGGCTCTCCGGCCCTCCCCGCGCCCTCCGCCGGCGCGTTCTCTCTCTCCTGCCCCAGGAGCCGATGGAGACTGATAACGGCCCTGCGCCAGGCCGTCCCCGGGCGGTCCTCGCGCCCCCGCCCGGGGCTCGCCCTCTCAATGGGGACAGAACCGCCCGCCGCAGGCAGCGTAGCCGCCAGCAAACCGCGAGGCGGCCGGGGCGGGGCGAGGGGCGAGGCGAAGGGCGGGGCCACTTCTCACTGTCGCGCAGGCCCCGCCCCCGCGGCGGTGCCTTTTTTATAAGGCCGAGCGCGCGGCCTGGCGCAGCATACGCCGAGCCGGTCTTTGAGCGCTAACGTCTTTCTGTCTCCCCGCGGTGGTGATGACGGTGAAAACTGAGGCTGCTAAGGGCACCCTCACTTACTCCAGGATGAGGGGCATGGTGGCAATTCTCATCGGTGAGTGCAGGAATCTTGCGGGACTTCTGCTCCAGGAGACGCAAAGTGGAAATTTTTTGAAAGTCCCGGATCAGATTAGTGTGTGTGGCGCCGGACGTTATGAAGCCGTCTAAACGTTTCTTTATTTCTCCTCCTTCATCCACAGCTTTCATGAAGCAGAGGAGGATGGGTCTGAACGACTTTATTCAGAAGATTGCCAATAACTCCTATGCATGCAAACAGTAAGTTTGACCGGATTTGAGGAAATAACTAGTATAGTTTGAATTTGCCAGCGGTAAACATTCTCATCACGGCGTTTATCGGGAAGGCGAAGACTTCTTCTGGGGTGGGGATCTCATTTCTCCTTAAATTCTAATATATTTGACACATTTTAAACATTAAAGTTAATTTGCTGATTTGGCTTGAACTGGAGATGTAAGATAAATGGTTCGTGTTGGCCGAATTCACGGCCTTTCTCCATGAGCAACAATCCTTATTTCTGTATTTAATGGGGTTTATTATTTTCTTTAACTGACTAATGTATTGGGGTATTTTCAGTTTAAACAGTGAATTATCCGGGTAGAAGTCGGTAGAGCCAGAAACTCACTTTTGATGTTGGTGTGCCCCCTAGTGGCGAGCTGGATTCTAAATCGTGCCCTTTATTCCCTGCAGCCCTGAAGTTCAGTCCATCTTGAAGATCTCCCAACCTCAGGAGCCTGAGCTTATGAATGCCAACCCTTCTCCTCCAGTAAGTTTTTGTATGTGCCGTGCATCTGTGGAGAACTGTAAGGGAGTCAGTTAGTATTCCTACATTAATGGATTAAAATAGCATTTCTAGAAATTAGTATCAAGGCAGGAATGCTTCATTATGGCATAACAAGTGATATAAATATTTAAGTATTGAGTCAGAGTATTATTTTATTTTTTTCCTGGGCATATTTTACCTCCAAAGTGGTTATTTTAAAAGGCATATTTCATAAAAAGGTTTTATCTGTCTGAAACAACATGACTGTGTGCAGTTTCCATACTCATTTGAAATGTGATGAAATGTAGTTTTGAATGTTTATAGATGTATGGTCATTTGCATCAGTCATTTGTAGATGTAACATTTTCTACATCGTTTATGTTATAGATGTCTTCCTTTGAAGCAATGGTATTAAAAGAAATTCTTTTTTTTTTTTTCTAGCCAAGTCCTTCTCAGCAAATCAACCTTGGCCCGTCGTCCAATCCTCATGCTAAACCATCTGACTTTCACTTCTTGAAAGTGATCGGAAAGGGCAGTTTTGGAAAGGTAATTTCAAATCTGAAGATCTTTTGGTACACTTCCTTCATGTCCTCTTTTGTATTCTCCCTGGATGAGGATAGAAAAATGATTTTTTTAAATTGAAATTTCAGGTTCTTCTAGCAAGACACAAGGCAGAAGAAGTGTTCTATGCAGTCAAAGTTTTACAGAAGAAAGCAATCCTGAAAAAGAAAGAGGTATGAGATGTGCTTGATGGGGCTGGCATTGGCGGTAGACACTCCTTGAATAATCTTGATTCTGGAATGTTGGTGCCAAGTTGAAACATGCCACTAAATCTGAATCGTCATTTTCCTAGGAGAAGCATATTATGTCGGAGCGGAATGTTCTGTTGAAGAATGTGAAGCACCCTTTCCTGGTGGGCCTTCACTTCTCTTTCCAGACTGCTGACAAATTGTACTTTGTCCTAGACTACATTAATGGTGGAGAGGTGAGCAGGGGGGATAGAAGTCAACTCTTAGTGTCTCTGCACAGCCTGCTTTGTTTTAGTTTGAGAAAAAAGTTTTCAAAGATTTTTGGTGGGGAGAATGTTACCAGAATTAGCATTTCCTTCAACCTGTCAGGTTTATAGTTAATAGATTACTTGGGGCCACTTCCTGCAGTTGTTCTTTTGCTGTGTATGTCAAAACTAATTAAATTCATTTGCAACCCAGAATGACTTTGTTCTGTCTCCTGCAGTTGTTCTACCATCTCCAGAGGGAACGCTGCTTCCTGGAACCACGGGCTCGTTTCTATGCTGCTGAAATAGCCAGTGCCTTGGGCTACCTGCATTCACTGAACATCGTTTATAGGTAAGCCTGAGAGCTCTTCAGGCTACCAGTTTTGGTATAAAGGAGACGTAGCACTGGCTGTTTCATAGGGCCTTAAAATAATTTGTGTTTATTTGCAACTTGGTTGCCTAAAACCAGATCCCCTAGCACGTGAGCTGGCTTGACTTAAGTGCCAAGGGGGAACCAGCCAAGTAGGATTGTGCCTAATCCAGAATAGATGAGCAGAACAAGGGCTCCCTTTTTTCTTCACTACACAACTACAGTGAACCTAAAATGCCTCTAATACCTTTAGCAATTATCTTTAAGAGGATATCTTATGAAGTGAAATTAACTTGTGCAACTACTTTTCTATTCACTTTTTTACAGAGACTTAAAACCAGAGAATATTTTGCTAGATTCACAGGGACACATTGTCCTTACTGACTTCGGACTCTGCAAGGAGAACATTGAACACAACAGCACAACATCCACCTTCTGTGGCACGCCGGAGGTAGGCGCTGTCTTGGTTTGGTGCCTGGTTTACCCCCGCCTTCCAAGAGAGAGATGTACAATCATGCACTTAACTACCAAAAAGAGTAAACTCCTCTCAGAGACTTCTTAATACAGTTCAGTGCAAATAAAATACATTTGCTGTTTGATGTAGCATGAGAAATCCCAAGTCCTTCTGTTCCTTTACTGAAAAGTAGCTGTTTGTAAGTAAGATCTGCATCATAAAAACTTTCTAAATCCCTAAGTAAGAGATATCAAGTGCCCAGCAGTTTCCTAAATGTCAGTACACATAGGTAGCCAGTCACCCTCAAAAAGTCCAGCAGTTTTATCAGGAAGGAATCTAAAGATATCTATCTTCCAAGCTGGCTCTGGGTCTCTCAGCTTTTTCAAACTAAATGTGTGGTCGTGGGATTGCTTGCTTTCGCAGGTTCTAAACGCTGTTTCCCTGGTCTGTTTTTCAGTATCTCGCACCTGAGGTGCTTCATAAGCAGCCTTATGACAGGACTGTGGACTGGTGGTGCCTGGGAGCTGTCTTGTATGAGATGCTGTATGGCCTGGTGAGTGGCACATTGGGAACCATGGAACACTGCCTGCTCCCTACAATATTGCCTTCACACAGCCCATGCTTGGCCATGGTGTCTTGCCCTTACCAGTACGCTTATCAAAAGCAGCTAAGAGGCATATTGGTTATTTTATAGTTCATAAGAATAATCACTTACCTGGTTCTTTTGTGCATTTCACATTTTACTAGATAGGACCACATTGAACCTGTGTGGTGGTGAAAAACTACCACTTATTAACATCTACCCCCTCACCCTCCACACACACACACACAAACACACACACGGGTTGCAAAGTAGACACTTAAATAGCAAGGGAAAAGAAAGCATTGAGGTGGGGAGAGTTTCTCAAATCGAGCCTAATATTTATTGCCGTTTATATCTTTTTCTCTACTGGTAATGTGTGCCATATGAAACTTCCAATTAAGTCTAAAGTAATTTTCCCCTTCTTTCAGCCGCCTTTTTATAGCCGAAACACAGCTGAAATGTACGACAACATTCTGAACAAGCCTCTCCAGCTGAAACCAAATATTACAAATTCCGCAAGACACCTCCTGGAGGGCCTCCTGCAGAAGGACAGGACAAAGCGGCTCGGGGCCAAGGATGACTTCGTGAGTGATGTTTTCCTGTCCTCCTGGGCCGGCCGGGACGTGCACTAGACCTCCCTGCCCTTATTGAATGCACCTGTCTAAATTAATCTTGGGTTTCTTATCAACAGATGGAGATTAAGAGTCATGTCTTCTTCTCCTTAATTAACTGGGATGATCTCATTAATAAGAAGATTACTCCCCCTTTTAACCCAAATGTGGTGAGTATCTGTCTCTCTTCTAAGTATAGAGAAGCCCAAAGGGCATTTATTTTAATTCAGAATTGTCTGGGGGAGGGTTGGAAGGAATACATTGGCAGATGTTTTCTCCATAAACCTGTTATTTTACCTACATAAAAAGCACATTTTTGTGTCCCAACAAGGCTCCCATAATTTTTAGACACATTTATCAATTCGAAGCACCAAAAGGCAACAAGTGAACATTATTCTTATGTTTAACTGTGTGTAGCCTTTTGAGATTTTGTGCTTGAAGTGGGTGATTATGGAAGTTGATATAAGACTTAAACTTGGTATTTAAAGCCTGGTCAAGATTTCCCTGTCCTGTGTCTAGTGTGAGTTCTTGACAAGAGTGTTTTTCCCTTCCCGTCACAGAGTGGGCCCAACGACCTACGGCACTTTGACCCCGAGTTTACCGAAGAGCCTGTCCCCAACTCCATTGGCAAGTCCCCTGACAGCGTCCTCGTCACAGCCAGCGTCAAGGAAGCTGCCGAGGCTTTCCTAGGCTTTTCCTATGCGCCTCCCACGGACTCTTTCCTCTGAACCCTGTTAGGGCTTGGTTTTAAAGGATTTTATGTGTGTTTCCGAATGTTTTAGTTAGCCTTTTGGTGGAGCCGCCAGCTGACAGGACATCTTACAAGAGAATTTGCACATCTCTGGAAGCTTAGCAATCTTATTGCACACTGTTCGCTGGAAGCTTTTTGAAGAGCACATTCTCCTCAGTGAGCTCATGAGGTTTTCATTTTTATTCTTCCTTCCAACGTGGTGCTATCTCTGAAACGAGCGTTAGAGTGCCGCCTTAGACGGAGGCAGGAGTTTCGTTAGAAAGCGGACGCTGTTCTAAAAAAGGTCTCCTGCAGATCTGTCTGGGCTGTGATGACGAATATTATGAAATGTGCCTTTTCTGAAGAGATTGTGTTAGCTCCAAAGCTTTTCCTATCGCAGTGTTTCAGTTCTTTATTTTCCCTTGTGGATATGCTGTGTGAACCGTCGTGTGAGTGTGGTATGCCTGATCACAGATGGATTTTGTTATAAGCATCAATGTGACACTTGCAGGACACTACAACGTGGGACATTGTTTGTTTCTTCCATATTTGGAAGATAAATTTATGTGTAGACTTTTTTGTAAGATACGGTTAATAACTAAAATTTATTGAAATGGTCTTGCAATGACTCGTATTCAGATGCTTAAAGAAAGCATTGCTGCTACAAATATTTCTATTTTTAGAAAGGGTTTTTATGGACCAATGCCCCAGTTGTCAGTCAGAGCCGTTGGTGTTTTTCATTGTTTAAAATGTCACCTGTAAAATGGGCATTATTTATGTTTTTTTTTTTGCATTCCTGATAATTGTATGTATTGTATAAAGAACGTCTGTACATTGGGTTATAACACTAGTATATTTAAACTTACAGGCTTATTTGTAATGTAAACCACCATTTTAATGTACTGTAATTAACATGGTTATAATACGTACAATCCTTCCCTCATCCCATCACACAACTTTTTTTGTGTGTGATAAACTGATTTTGGTTTGCAATAAAACCTTGAAAAATATTTACATATATTGTGTCATGTGTTATTTTGTATATTTTGGTTAAGGGGGTAATCATGGGTTAGTTTAAAATTGAAAACCATGAAAATCCTGCTGTAATTTCCTGCTTAGTGGTTTGCTCCCAACAGCAGTGGTTTCTGACTCCAGGGGAGTATAGGATGGTCTTAAAGCCAACCTACGTTCCAGGCCTTTTTAGCAGCATTTTATGGTGTCTGTCATTCATAAATCCATCCAAGGAAATCCTTTGCAATTTACTCATCTTGCAAGGATTGCTATGAAGTAATGCTTCCTGTATTTATTGCCTGTCCTGTGAAGTTGGACTATTTGTCCTGACATTTGGCTTGTCTTCAGTTACAGGTAATTCTTTCCAGAAATATTTGAAAGCCTACTCTGGGCTCTATTGCGAGTGCTCAGGATATCGTAGTGGACAAAGCAGACAACTTCGCCCTTCCAGAGCCTGATGAAGAAGGCCGACCTAAAGCAGTTAGTTGAGATGGAAATTGAGAAATAGTCTGTGAAGTTTAGGAGAATGCCACACAAGAGGGTGAGAATTTTTTTTTTTTTTTTTTTTTTTTTTGAGACACGGTCTTACTCTGTCGCCCAGGCTGGAGTGCAGTGGTGTGATCTTGGTTCACTGCAGCCTCCGCCTCCTGGGTTCATGTGATCCCCCCATCTCAGCCTCCTGAGTAGCTGGGACTACAGGCATGCACCACCATGCCTGGCTAATTTTTGTATTTTAGTAGAGATGGGATTTCACCATGTGGGCCAGGCTGGTCTCGAATCCCTGGCCTCAAGTGATCTGTCTGCCTCGGCTTCCCTAAGTGCTGGGGAGAATGTTTTAAATAAGTGGATATGTTCCCAAAAAGCTGACCTGGCTGGGACATCTGGTTTCTGAGAGTACCTGGAGTTGACCCAGGTCTAGAGTGAGCTCAGTAAAGGGACCCTGAAGGAGCTCATCCCTAGCTTGGACTGAAGCTTCTTGAGCCAGTGTCTACCTAGCACCCTAAGGGCCCAGCAGGCTCTGGGGCTGTGTGGCAGAGCCCACTCCTAGAGCTCACCCCACTGTGATATTACCTGTGGGAGAAAGCGAGGTGGCACCATCCTTGGAGATCTTGAGTCCAAAGGTTTGGACTTTTTCACTCTTCTAGGTCTTCCACACAAATACTTAACAAATAATCAGGGAATCCCCAAACAGTTGATGTTGCTGCTGCCTTAATTGCAAAAGCACCCTGTAGGCCTGCTGCACCCCCGCTACCCTGACCTTCCAGTTCGCACAGGGATTTCCCCAAGGGAAAGCTGTGAGCTTTTTTCCTCTTATCCTTGCTCTTGGGTCTCACCTCACTTTGCCTCAGTCCCCCTCTCCTACCCCACAAGGTTTCCAAGGGCCAAACAGGTGTTCAGAGATAACCGAGTTCTTCTCCCTCATGATCTAATGAAGGAAGAAGATGAAAACGAGTCGATAGCTTTTTGCTCAAGGTGGGCCACCGGTCATGCTCTGCTGTTGACTTACTGCTCTACAGGCATTAGCTACGTGTTCAATTCCCTACCGGGCCCAGTTGACAAATAAAGAGTCCAAAGCAAGGCCAGGCACGGTGGCTCACGCTTGTAATCCCAGCACTTTGGGAGGCCGAGGCGGGCAGATCACGAGGTCAGGAGATCGAGACCATCCTGGCTAACATGGTGAAACCCCGTCTCTACTAAAAATACAAAAAAATTAGCCGGGCGTGGTGGTGGGCGCCTGTAGTCCCAGCTACTCGGGAGGCTGAGGCAGGAGAATGGCGTGAACCAGGGAGGCGGAGCTTGCAGTGAGCCGAGATCGCACCACTGCACTCCAGCCTGGGCGACAGAGCAAGACTCTGTCTCAAAAAACAAAACAAAAAAAAAGCATGTATTTTCCTATTAAAGATTGATGCCGGCTCTAACATAGAGACTCATTGCATATTCCCCCTCATTCTCATTCTCAATAACAGTTATGAATTCCTCCTCGAACAAAAAGTGCTTAAATCTCATTTTCATCTGAACACAGTTCAGGTGGGCTTAGGAATCTGCAATCTAATTATAGATAACTCAGATGGGCCAGTCACGAGTTACAAAGCTTTTTTTTATGTTTTGAAGGTAGAATTCTGGTTTACTGGATTATAGTCCATCACTTCACATAGAAGATCTGAATTGTGTTTCTCCAGAATTGAAAGGTGCCAGAGGAGACCCAAACATTGTCACCCAGATGGGAGATAAGATCAAGCACAAGTGGGTGGGAAGAGAACAAGGCAAGAACAGGGAAGTCAAGAAAGAACAAGAGATCAATAAACAAATGACAAATATTTACTAAGCACTGTACTGTCAAATAATGTGTGTGCAGAGGTATCTTTTACCTAAGGGAGTGGGGCATATCCCTGCCAGCACATTCCCTGAGCCCCAGCCAGCCTGCCTTTGAGCACGACAATTGATTGGAAAAGGGATAATTGTCTTCTCCATAGCTCTCCAGCTGTAGGTCTACTCAAATATGGGTTTGGGGGAACCAATTCAGCTAAGATTCTCATAAGCTAAAATGTGTCTAAAACCACTGCTACCAAAAAGAATAAGTCAGTCACTGCCCTTACAGAATTTGCCATCCACCTGGGGAGACAGGCACCTACCCTTAACATGTGACAGGCAGTGAACAAGGGGTAAAGGGAACTTCAGACGTCCAGCGGCTCTCTGCGGGGTCGGGTGCCTAGAGCAGGCTTCATAGACGGGAAGCTCTAAGATTCTTCCTAACCAATTCTAGGAACTCTAATAGGATACAGGCCCTGAGGACCGGATTATAATCGTAATAGCTAATTCTACTGAGCTCTTATTATGTGTCAGACAATGTTCTAAGTTTGTTTTTTTTGTTTGTTTGTTTTTGAGACACGATCTCTATTGTCTGGGCTGGAGAAAAGTGGTACAATCATGGCTCACTGCAGCCTCAACCTCCTGGACTCAGGTGATCCTCCCACCTCAGCCAACCAAGTAAACAACGTTTTGTTTCTTAATAAGTCTTTTTCGGAGACGTGGTTTCACCATGATGCCCAGGCTGGTCCTGAGCTCCCTAAGTGCTAGGATTACAGGCATGAGCCACCATACCTGGCTGTTCTAAGTATTCTGTAGTCAAGCTGTTTACTCTTCATAACAATGCTGTGATGTCAAAAGTGAAGAAACTCGTACAGAACGGTCATTAGCTGGTCAGTAAGTGGTGAGATCGAAAGTCAAATCATGTCAATCTGGCCCAAAAGCCTATGCTTGTAGCCATTACTTTATCCGGCCTCAGAGGTGACAGAAGAGTATAAAAGCAAACAGCTGTGTACTTGTTAGTCATCCATTTATTAATTCACCAGACTTTTACAAAGATACCTTCTAGATGTCATGCTAGGCAAAAAGAGGGGGATGGAGAGGGAGAGGGAGAGAGAGGGAAAATTTGTAATTACAGACACTATCAGTGACTGATGAAGATAAGAAGCAGCTGCAAAAATATACATTGCAGTGGGAGTATAACTTGGTGCACCATTTTGGAAAACTGCTTGGCAGTATCTACTAAAGATGAAGATATCTATAACTTGTGGCCCAATCGTTCTCTTCCACAGTATAGACCCCAAAGACTGCACACATATGCAATACAAAATTTGCAATAGTGTTCCCAGTAATACTATTTATGACAGCCCCAAAATGGGAACCATTCAAAATGTCCACCTATAGGAAAATGAATAAAGAATTTAGTGTGGTTTCATATACTGAAATACTACCCAATGAAAATGAGTGAATAATTGCTATATACAACAAGGAATAGATCTCATAAACAAAACCCAGACTGTATGATTTGATTTATATAAAATGTAAAAGCAGGCAAACAGCATGAATTGATTTGGAAGTTAAGATGTGATCACCTTTGGGGAGGAAGGCAGAGCTCATAGTTGAGAGGGTGCATAAGGAAGACATCCTACCAGGTGCTGTTAATTTCTTGATCTGATCTTGAGCTTGATCTTGATTTCATCAAGCTATACACTTATGATACATGCATTTTTCTCTGTATGTGTTATATAACAAAAATGTGCATTATAAATATGTGGTATGATGAAAACAGGTGTTTGCGTACATAGGAGTGACACCTTACTCAACTTGGGGGGCAGGAAATGGGAGTACATTTTTAGGTAGTTTAGGAAAAAGGTGCTTAGGGAGATCTGGAGAATCCAGGTAGGCTGTCTTGGAGAACTGGATCTTGAAAATGAGGCAGAAAGGCCATTCCACATTCAGGCTTGTAGTGGGGGCCGGACTTGCATAAGGATAATGAATGGGACAGTGGCAATAGAAAGGGACCAGACAGACCTAGGGCAGAATCTCAGCTCTATTGACCAGCTTTCTTTCTTTTCTTTGAGACGGGATTTTTCAGTAGAGGCAGGGTTTCGCCATATTGGCCAGGCTGGTCTCAAACTCCTGACCTCAGGTGATCCACCCGCCTCAGCCTCCCAAAGTGCTGAGATTACAGGCATGAACTACCGTGCCCGGCTGAAAAAATTTTAAGTAGGGAGATGGACCATGTCTTTCATGTTCTTAATAATCCCACGGGGGAGACGTTTAGCTTTCATCAGATAGCAAAGGAAGCATTTGAAGGTTTTCCATGAGGAAAGTGAAGTGATTCAGAGTGTTTTACTGGCTATCACTAAGAGGTGTGAGAGCGAGAAAGCTTTGAAATTAATATAAAAGCCCCTTAGGAGACTTCTGACAGTCATCCCAGTGGTGGTGGTGAGTAAAGGACAGAGGAGATGTTTCCACGTTCCCACGTCAATGAGACTTAGTGAGTTACGATGGTGGAAGACGGATGAATGCAAAGCAAAGCACATTTCATGTAATTTACTTCTTTAATGTACTTGACAACTTATTGAAGCAGTTGTCACAGCTGCAATAATAGTTTCTAGGACAAAGGCCGCCCACCAGTTTCTTCAACATCCCCAGTATATAACGAATCAGCCAGTCAATAATCAATCAATTTAATTGGCAAGGCAAGACGTTATGCCCTGTAGTCAATCTCTAACCTATCCTGTTAAGTAATTTCTCTCCTCATCCTTCAAAAAGCCCCTAAAATCCAGCCTGGGCAACAAGAGCAAAACTCCATCTCAAAAAAAAAAAAAAAAAAAAAAAAAAGAAAAAGAAAGAAAGAAAGAAAGAAAGAAAGAAAAAGCCTCTAAAATCCTATGTAACATTCCTCGAGCTTTGTACTAGGGGTATAGCAATGTTAACACTTTTCCTGGTGTTAATCAGAACAATACTTCTATTAACAAAAACAACAAACCTGCACATATATTCCCTGAATCTAAAATAAAAATTGAAAAAAAAAAAAAACTACAAAAAACAAAATAGAAAATAAAAATGCAATCATCCAAATAAATTAAGCCAAATTTGAAAGTATTTAAATGTTTTTCTCATACTGCATGAAAAGTGTTAATTATTCAAACCAAAAATTAGCTTATTGCTTACACTTCACTGTAGCTTGCAAGTGATCTTTTCTAGTCTTTTTTTTCTTCTTTACATTTTTAATAATTTTGGTACTGCTGCTCCTTGTGAAGCAGGGTTAATTCATAGGCAGTGTGCCTGCAATCAGCCCTTTCCTAGTCTAATTTGGCCACTGCAAACAAATGTACATGAGAACACATTTAGTTTACATATAGTTTACATATGTTTTCTCTGCTTTCCACATGTTTTCTGTGAAAGACTTTATCAGCAAAATTATGAGCAATCATTAGAGGTTTTTGTTTGTTTGTTTTTGTTTTGAGACAGGGTCACCCAGGCTGGAGTACAGTGATGCAATCACAGCTCCCTGCATCCTCTGCCTCCCTGGCTTAAAAAAATCCTCCCACCTCAGCCTCTGGAGTAGTTAGGACTACAGGCATCCATCACCATGCCCCGCTAATTGTTTTTTATTATTTGTAGAGATGGGGTCTTGCTATGTTGCCCAGGCTAATCTCAAACTCCTGGGCTCAAGTAATCCACCCACCTTGGACTCTCAAGGTCCTGGGATTACAGGCGTGAGCCACCTCAGCTGGCCACTCCTTAAAGTTTACTCAGTGTGTGCCTATAACACTGTGTTCAGACAGATATCTTTGTGTATTTGGATGCCTTGGAAACCATGGACTCTGATGGGCAGGGTTCTGTGTTTCTTCTTTTCTGGGTCCTCTGTCCTGTGCTCCACCTAGTAGTGTATCACAGGCGGCATGATGGCAGTGTTATAATGACAACATGCCAAGTACAGACTGTTCACAAGGAAATATACAAGTAGACAAGCACTTCGTGGGAGCAGTAGACCAAGGGTCATCAGCATAAGGATGCAAGTCACTTGACATACACATACATAAAATAGATGAGTGACTGCCAATTTGTTCACGACACCTAGATGATTCCAACACCATTCTGCTCACTCTTCTTTTCTTGCTACTTTTGATAGACTCTTTTTTTTTTTTTTTTTAGATGGTGTCTCGCTCTGTTGCCCAGGCTTGAGCGCAATCTCTGCTCACTGCAGCCTCCACCCCCCAGGTTCAAGCGATTCTCCTGCCTCAGCCTCCTGAGTAGCTGAGATCACAGGTTTGTGCCACCACACCTGGCTAATTTTTGTATTTTTAGTAGAGACGGGGTTTGGCCAGGTTGACCAGGCTGGTCTTCAACTCCTGACCTCAGGTGATCAACCCGTCTCAGCCTCCCAAAGTGGTAGGATTACAGACACGAGCCACCGCGCCTGGCCTGAAAGTCATAGACTCTTAATGTAGCATTCCACAGGCCAAATTCATTGTCCTCCCTAACCCGAATGAACCCATTTGATTCCAAGAGTGTTACAGTTTTGCCAGCAAAGCTCAGCACATATCTGTCTGTTTCAGCAATCATTAGATAAGTTTATTTAATTAAATCAATTAAAATTTGGCTCAAAATGATCTGGGGTCCAAACTGAAAACTGTGATTATATTTTCCTCTGAAAGATTATTAAAAAAAGAGACAAACAGAAATGATCTGATATTTGAATTAAATCACATGCTACCTAACAATGAACACTTTGGGGTAAATTTAGAGAAAATACAATATTTCAAATCAAACATATATGACAGTTATTTTAAAATAAGGTAAATAAAACAATAATGAAATAAGGAAAAATAAAGAATGTGAATAAAATAATGTTTCCTTAAATTTTCCTTTTATTTATGTATGGATAACATGCTCATGTTTAAAATAAATAAAACAAAATATAATAGGTCAAAAAATGGGTAATAATTTTACAATCTCCCCTTTCAGCCATTCCCAGCTCAATTTCTTCTGGCTGGAGATAACCAATATTAAGCTTTTCTGGTATAAACTTTCAGAAATTTGGTATGCAAGTACAAGCATGAAGGCTTCCAGTAACACAGATGTTTCTAAATTAGAATTTAAGGGAATCACTTCTCAGGCTTTTGGCTGAGATTAAGGTAAAATTTTAAAGGAGGGAGAAGAGGAGGGGTCTCGCTGATTTTTTAAAAAAAGTTATCCCCATTGTTCATATTTTTTAAAAGTCCAGAAGCTCACTTGTGTGATTCCAGTGCTTAAAGATTTTTGGAGCAACATTACCCTTACAATGCACGCTGAGTTTTTCATCTGCTGCTGAATGCAGACCCAGGGATTTGCTTTCCTGCTACAGGAAAACAACAATAACAACAACAACAAACAAACAAAAACAAAGCAAACAACAACCACAAAATAAAATTGGTAGATGCATTGAGACACAGCATTGACTTTCAAGGTTGCCCTTTGCAACTACGTACAATTTTTGCCTCACCCCACACAGTCTTTAGAATCTGACATCTCACCTTTCAAAATGCAACTTCATCCTAGCTACAATCTTTGTAAAACAGAGTAGAAACCATCTTGAGTTTCCTGTTACTAAATAGTTCTTCTATGCCTAGGGCATACCTGAATGTTTTCCCAAAACCTTCCTGATTAGGGGGTACTTTCCCTTCCAGCCATTCCTGTGAGTCACTCTCACTATGAACTATCCTGTCCTTCCAATTCCATAGAGTCATAAAAACGCCAGAATAGGAAAGATCTCTAAGTCCAGGGGTCATAAACTTAATGGCTTCAGGAGCCAGTCCTATAAATCACATTAGAATATGGTAATCAGAGCCATGGGCAATGCATTTTCTCTTAAATGCCCTGAAATTAAAATAATAATGAAACCCAAAAACAAAACCACTGTCTGGCCAAGTAAAATGAGTCTGTAGCCAGAAACATCTGCAAAATTTCTAGTCTCATCTCATATGCAATTATGTAAAATTCAGTGAGCCCCCCTCCCCCACCACCCCAGGTTTTGCATTCTCATTCTTTCCTTATCTTTTGGGCAGTAATTTGGCATTGGACGTCGCAAAGTCCATCCCTCCAAGATGGTGGTCAATAAAGACTGTCTGCAGCTTCTAACCATATCCACACACCTGGTGGGCCCAACTTCCATCACAATCCCATTCCCACTTTGGGAAAGAAAGCAGACAGGCTCTTAGTCATTAACGAGGAGCATTTGATAGGCCCTTTTTAAACAGACCATTCACTCACTCACAAGGGAAAATGGATCACACATTGTTTATAATAATCTGAAGAATTTTCTGTCATTCTGTAAAAGGACAAGGCATCAGCTTGGCTAATTATCCAGAGTTACAATGAACAGGACACCAAGGAAAGGTATGGTGAGGGAGGCAGCATGGTGAATAAGGAGAACCTCTGACTTTTGAAAACTGGCTCCACTTCTTAGTCTCTTCTTTCCCAAATTGGGACTAAAAGCGCTTGTTTTGTACTGCTGAGGATCTGAGGTAACTTACATGCCAGGGACTCAGAAACAATGTTTTGTAACTTCGTAAGTAAGAAAGTAACAATGCTTTTAGCACTTGACCCCAGAGCTGGAGTCTGGGACTATTGGGACCTTCTTTGTGCTTCATGACTTAAAATATTGTTTCCTGTGAATTTCTCCTGTTGGGCATCTTTAAAAGCACGGAGAACAGCCATGTACCCTCAGACCCCTGGACATGCATACTTTTCCAGCTTCCACAGGCAGATCAAGAAGATTAAGATATTTAAGTAAATAATCCCATGTCCCGGTTTTACAGCGCTTAAGACGTGAAGCCCACAGGAATCTTTTTTTTTTTTTTTTTTTTTTTTTTTTTGAGACAGAGTCTCGCTCTGTTGCCCAGGCTGGAGTGCAGTGGCATGATCTTGGCTCACTGCAAGCTCCGCCTCCTGGGTTCACGCCAGGAGTTCACATGGGTTCACACCAGGAGTTCACACCTGGGTTCACGCCTACCTCAGCCTCCCGAGTAGCTGGGACTACAGGTGGCCGCCACCACGCCCGGCTAATTTTTTGTATTTTTAGTAGAGACGGGGTTTCACCGTGTTAGCCAGGATGGTCTCGATCTCCTGACCTCGTGATCCACCCGCCTCGGCCTCCCAAAGTGCCAGGATTACAGGCGATGAGCCACCGTGCCCGGCCAGGAATCTTTTAAAACTTTTTCTAACAGTATCCTTTTGAGAGTTTTGTTATTTGGTAGAAATGAGTTTTTATATACATCTCAAGGTGCTCAACTGTCCCTTGGTACCCGGGGGCAGGATTGGTTCCGGGGTCCCCGCAGATACCAAACCCTGTGAATGCTCAAGTCGCTTAAATAAAATGGCTTAGTAGGCCAGGAGCGGTGGCTCACGCCTGTAATCCCAGCACTTTGGGAGGCCAAGGCGGGTGGATCACGAGGTCAGGAGTTTGAGACCAGCCTGACCAACATGGTGAAACCCCGTCTCTACTAAAAATACAAAAATTAGCCGGGTGTGGTGGTGCGTGCCTATAATCCCAGCCACTCGGGAGGCTGAGGCAGGAGAATCGCTTGAACCTGGGGGAGCGGAGATTGCAGTGAGCCGAGATCAAGCCACCGCACTCCAGTCTGGGTGACACAAGGAGACCCTATCTCAAAAAAAAAAAAAAAAAAGGCTTAGTATTTGTGTATAACCTATGCACACCCTCTCGTATACTTTAAGTCATCTCTAGATTATTTATAATACATAATACAATGTAAATGCTATGTAAATAGTTGTTCTACTGTATTTTAAAATTTGTATTTTTTTTACTGTTGTATTTTTTTTATTGCCTTTGGGTTTTTGTTTGTTTGTTTGTTTTTTGTTTTTTTTGAGACGGAGTCTTGCTCTGTCACCCAGGCTGGAGTGCAGTGGCACGATCTTGGCTCACTGCAAGCTCCGCCTCCTGGGTTCACGCCATTCTCCTGCCTCAGCCTCTCGAGTAGCTGGGACTACAGGCGCCCGCCACCACGCCCGGCTAATTTTTTGTATTTTTAGTAGAGACCAGGTTTCACCGTGTTAGCCAGGATGGCCTCGATCTCCTGACCTCGTGATCCACTCACCTCAGCCTCCCAAAGTGCTGGGATTACAGGCGTGAGCCACCGTGCCTGGCCTTTGGGTTTTCAATAAATATTTTTCTTTCTTTCTTTCCTTCCTTCCTTCCTTCCCTCCTTCCCTCCCTCCCTCCCTCCCTCCCTCCTTCCTTCCTTCCTTCCTTCCTTCCTTCCTTCCTTCCTTCCTTCCTTCCTTCCTTCCTTCCTTTCTTCCTTCCTCCCTCCCTCTCTCTCTCTCTCTTTCTTTTTGATGGAGTCTTGCTCTGTTGCCCAGGCTGGAGTCCAATGGCGTAATCTTGGCTCACTGCAAACTCTGCCTCCCAGGTTCAAGTAATTCTCCTGCTTCAGCCACCCGAGTTGCTGGGATTACAGGACCTGACACCATGCCCAGCTAATTTTTGTATTTTTGGTAGAGACAGGGTTTCTACTAAAATAAAAAATAGCCTAAAAGCACATTTGATTTTTGTGCCAGGCAGGTCTCAAAATCCTGACCTCAGGTGATCCACCCCCCTCAGCCTCCCAAAGTGCTGGGATTACAAGCACCTTGAGATGTGAGCCAACATGTCTGGCCTCAAAAAATATTTTCAATTCATGGTTGGTTGAATCCATGGATGTGGACCCTGTGGATACAGAGGGACGACTGCAACCGTTTATTTAAATTGATTTTGAAAATGTTTCACATTGGCTGGTCACGGTGGCTCCCGCCTGGAATCCCAGCACTTTGGGAGGCCGAGGTGGGAGGATAGCTTGAGCTTGGGAGTTTGAGACCAGCCTGGGCAACATGGTGAAATCCCATCTCTACCAAAAATACAAAAATTAGCCAGGCTGGCGATGCCCTTGTGTTCCCAGCTACTCAGGAGGCTGAGGTAAGAGGATCGCTTGAGCCTCGGGTGTTGAGTCTGCAGTGACCCTATCTCAATAAATAAATAAGTGAATAAATAAATAACCTACATTCACAGAACACTTCTCTCATGTTGACTCATTTTATCTTCTTATCAGACTAGTAAGACAAAGAGGGTAAAATATTTCTATTCAATATGTTAATACCGAGGCTCTGAAAAGTTCAAATGACTCGACACCTATGGAGAGGGCGGAAGGGCCAGAGTTGGAATCCACTGTTTCTGACACCAGAGCCTTCACTTCTTCCCAGGCCTCCTTTGAACATCATGGCATATTTACTGAGCGTGAGCAAAGGAGCCACTGCCAGGAATATATAGGCCAGCTATTTTAGTCTCCCTTCCACTGGGATTACTTTTTTTTTTTTTTTGAGATGGAGTCTCACTCTGTCACCCAGGCTGGAGTGCAATGGCACGATCTCGGCTCACTGCAACTTCCGCCTCCCAGGTTCAAGCGATTCTTGTGCCTCAGCCTCTTGAGTAGCTGGGATTACAGGCAAGCGCCACCACACCCGGCTAATTTTTGTATTTTTAGTAGAGATGGGGTTTCACCATGTTGGCCAGGCTGGTCTCGAACGCCTGACCTTGTGATCCGCCTGCCTCGGCCTCCCAAAGTGCTGGGATTACAGGCTTGAGCCACTGCGCCCAGCAAGGGATTGCTTTTTTATGAGGCAAAATCTTGAAACTGTAGAAAAGAACCAAAGGTTACCAGTTAATAACTTTGGAACATTTAGTTCAAATATGAATGGGCTGTTTTAAAGTGAATATTTGATTAAAATGTATTACAAATCTGAGAGGCAGCGGCATATATTTAATGGTATCTAAGTCCTGTGTTTAAGGGATAATAATACATACTGTACATTCCTCACAGAGCTATTGTGAGAATCAAATGAAAAATAGGAACTTTTACATATAAAGAATTACTGTCTAACTTGTTTTATTGTCTGACATCAGGGTAGCAATTTGTGGAATATCAACCTCAGTCTGCAGCGCCACCCAGTGGACACAATGATACATGATACTGCATTTTCTCGGTTTCAGATATAAATATTACCTGTATTATTTACCTGTCTGGTACACACATTCAGTATACTATTTCTTTCACTATTTTTATTTATAAAACTTTTTTGTATGAAGTTTTGCTGATAAGTTTTATTTTCACAAGTCATGACCAAAAAAAGGCCAAATTTTAGAGCAAGAACCCATATTTTACCTGGAATGATCTATCCTACACAGACGTCCTTGTCAGAATTTTAACCTGGTGCTTATTTTGTAAACCAGCAGTGATGTTAACACAGGAGAAAAAGGTGAGGGACTTTGTTGGAGAGCTATTTCCTTCTTTATTTCCCCATAACTTGTACTTAAAATTCAGCTTATACCTGAAACTTGTTATAGTTCACTCATTCATATACATATCATTGCTTCAATAAAAATCTATTGAGTATTTCTCAATGTTAGGCACCACGCTTAGTGCTAGGGATACAATGATGAACAAAAAGGAATGTGGTCCTTGTCTTCATGAGTTTTGCAAACCAGGCAGATAGATTAAAAAATAATTAGGTGACTATACAAATGTTGGTGCCTCACTTAGCTCAGAAAATGAGAATATTTTATTTTTTTGCTACTCAACAAGATTAGAGTTTGTCCTAATGTATATCTGAACATTTGGAGGCAGTGGGTTTACAATGTAAAACTTTGAAGCTCTTTTATTTTGTTTACTCTTTGAGACAGGGTCTCCTTCTTTCACCCAGACTGGGGTACAGTGGCATGGTTACAGCTCGCTGCAGCCTCCATCTTATGGAATCAAGTGATCCTCCTACCTCAGCCACCTGAGTAGCTGGGACTACAGGTGCGTGCCACCACACCAGGCTAATTTTTAAAATTTTTTTGTAGAGACAAGATTTCACTATTTTGCCCAGGCTGGTCTTGAACTCCTGAGCTCAAGTGATCCTCCTACCTTGGCTTCTCAAAATGCTAGGATTCCAGGTGTGAGCCACCACAGCTAGCCTGAAACTCTTTTGTTTAAACCTGAAAACACGAAGAAGAGAGACTTCTTCCATGTTACAGCATAACCATACGAAATAGTGAAATTTAGAGTCAGAAACAACAGGATTTGAATGCCACAGTCCCTTACTGCTCTCATGACCTTCAGCAAATGATTGTATCTCCCTGATACAATTATTTGTATCAGGTGCAAATGTAGAAGATGCAAGTGTAAATGTAGTTTCCAAAAAATCAAGTGTGCTGTTAGGCTGACTGTTTTTTATTTTCTGTAAAATAGAAATTATATCTAACTTAAAGAGGGAAAGTCTTGACTATTTAAATGTGTGATATACAAGTTATTAATAAATAGTTTGCCTAAATGATCAAAGGCCACGATTTTAAATATATTACTCAAGTTACACTGACTCCCTGAAATGATACTTAAAGTTTAAAACATGAGAAAAACACATAAAAGTGGACCAAAAAATAAATAAATAAATAAATAGTAGTTTTGAGAACATAGCACATAATACTATTATGTTTGGAGGCCAATACAAGGTATTCACATTTCAAGGACAAGCAGTGACTATCTAAACTCTCATTTAATAGCCCAAAGCATTGGGCTAAGGCAGATGTTATAAATCCAATTGGCTAAATAAGGGTGTTTTTTGTTTTTGCTTTTTTTTTTTTTTTGGCAGGGTCTCACTCTGTCACCCAGGCTGGAGTGCAGTGGCACAATCATGGCTCTCTGCAGCCTTGACCTCCCAGACTCAAGTGAACCCCCCGCCTCAGCCCACCAAGAAACTGCGACTTCAGGTGCATGCCACCACACCTGGAAAATTTTTGTATTTTCTTTTGGAAATTGGGTTCCACCATGTTGCCCAGGCTGGTCTTGAACTCCTGGGCTCAAGTGATCCACCTGCCTCAGCCCCCAAAGAGCTGGGATTACAGGCATGAGCCATCATGCCTGGCCAGAAGTAAAGATTAATTGGCTATCTTAGGTCTCATGACTAGTTAACAGGACAAATGGAGCTAAAACCCATGACTCTTAATCCTCTGAGTTGTGTCTTTTTAGTTAGACACCATCTAAAAGAAAGGGTATTTCTGATTATCTAAGCGATATTAACAGAAGTGTTTCATCAGTACTTTTGGAAGTCTTGCCATGCAGTCCTTCAGATAATTCCCCTATTACATGTATACAGAGGGAATGTATCAAATGGTGTGCCAGTTTTCTGTTCTACTAAACACATACACATTTGTAACCACAACTCAAAATATCTCAGAAGGGAGGGAAAGAATAAACAGCTAGTGGCCGGGTGCGGTGGCTCACGCCTGTAATCCCAGCACTTTGGGAGGCCCAGGCGGGTGGATCATGAGGTCAGGAGATCGAGACCATCCTGGCTAACAAGGTGAAACCCCGTCTCTACTAAAAATACAAAAAATTAGCCGGGCGCGGTGGCGGGCGCCTGTAGTCCCAGCTACTCGGGAGGCTGAGGCAGGAGAATGGCGTGAACCCGGGAAGCGGAGCTTGCAGTGAGCCGAGATTGCGCCACTGCAGTCCACAGTCCGGCCTGGGCGACAGAGCGAGACTCCGTCTCAAAAACAAAAAAGAATAAACAGCTAGTGTTTGTGGAAACCTGCCTATGTTTAGGCACTGTGGATACATTACATTATTTAATCAGATAAGTTTTGTTGTCTAGGAGCTGTAGAAGGGACACTGAGACTAGCAAGGACAAATAATTTTTCCATTGAGCTAGTGAATGGCACAGACAGGATTCAATTCAGGTCTTACTGACCCTGGAGGCCCTCATATTTCCATCACTTCCCAGGCAGAAGAATGATTGACGGAATGGAACATGCTCTTCCCAGACCTGAATATATGTCATTCTTTACAATATCCAGTCAACTGGGAGTAATAAACTTTATCTGGCATCAGAAAATTGAAGGCTGCTAATGTCAATCTCTTTATTTTTACCGAGGAAGTTAGGAAGGTTAAAATCCTTCTCAGGATATTACTAGAATCAAAGCAAGCCTGTTAATTTTTTTTTTTTTTTTTTTTTTGAGACAGAGTCTCACTCTGTCTCCCAGGCTGGGGTGCAGTGGTGCGATCTTGGCTCACTGCAACCTCTGCCTCACGGGTTCCAGCAATTCTCCTGCCTCAGCCTTCCAAGTAAGTGGGATTACAGGTGCGCGCCACCACGCCCAGCTAATTTTTTGTATTTTTAGTAGAGACAGGGTTTCACCATGTTGGCCAAGCTGGTCTCGAACTCCTGACCTCAAGTGACCCACCCGCCTTGGTCTCCCAAAGTGCTGGGATTACAGGCATGAGCCATTGTGCCCGGCCAAAGCAGGTCTGTTAAACTAAGTGCACATTATTTTATACTGTCTGCTTTGAGGGAAATACATGTTTACTAAGCTTTTATTACTATTTCTTTATTTTAAAGCTTATTGTGACCAAGTCATTTTTCTCTCTGCATCAAAGACTTCTGAGAAGGGCCCACTGGGCATTTCCTTCTTGGCTGATATTCTCATTGTTTAATATGATCTGGAAAGAATGAACATTGGAAGGCAAAGCTAATCTGGGCAAGAGGTGTCACTCAACCTGGAGATTAATTTTCCAGATGACTTTGCAGCTGAGCTGGCATTCCTGTGTGACAGTGGAAGATTGAAAGCAGGTAATAAGGTTAGTGCAAGGACCACGGCTGCAAGAACACAGGCACACTGTAAAGCAGGAATAGCGCATGGCACTTGCATTCACACACGTGCACATCCTGAGCTCTAACAGCAACTGGGACTTGTCAAAAGGAGCTGCCCTGCATCGATTCTGCGCCTGCTCAGCCTGTAATTCCTGAGTCTATGTGCCCTTTCAAATGAAAATGCTGTGAAATGGCCCATAAAAGACCACCAGTCTCTGAATTTGCTAGGTGAGGCCTGGTGGGGGCCAGGTTGATTGGCCAGGGTTCTGCAATCAGGGCTGTGTTCTGGAAGAAACTTCTTACTGTGCTGTGCTACGTGAAGCCGGGAGCAAACCCAAGAAGTCCTGTGCTGGGGCCAAGGTCAGAGTCAGAACCAGATAGATAGAAACAACCTTGATCCTGAACATATTTGTTAAGCTCTTTCCTGTCTCAGCGATTTTCCACATGCTGTTCTCTGTTCCTGAGAGGCTGCCTCACCTACTCTTCATGTTTTTGGTGATGATGTGCCCCCTTTCACCCTATTGTGTTAGTCTTTTTTCACACTGCTGATAAAGACATACCCAAGACTGGGAAGAAAAAGAGGTTTAATTGGACTTACAGTTACACATAGCTGGGGAGGCCTCAGAATTATGGCGGGAGGCAAAAGGCATTTCTTACATGGTGGTGGCAAGAGAAAATAAGGAAGAAGCAAAAGTGGAAACCCCTGATAAACCCATCAGATATTGTGAGACTTATTCACTATCACGAGAATAGCACAGGAAAGACCAGCCCCCATAATTCAGTTATCTCCCCCTAGGTCTCTCCCACAACACGTGGGAATTCTGGGAGATAAAATTTGAGTTGAGATTTGAATGGGGACACAGCCAAACCATATCATTCTGCCCTTGGCGCCCTTCAAATCTCATGTCCTCACATTTCAAAATCAATCATGCCTTCCCAACAGTCCCCCAAAGTCTTAACTCATTTTAGCATTAACCCAAAAGTCCACAGTCCAAAGTCTCATCTGAGACAATGCAAGTCCTTTCCACTTATGAGCCTGTAAAATAAAAGAAACAAGCTAGTTACTTCCTAGATACAATGGGAATACAGGTATTTGGCAAATACAACCATTTCAAATGAGAGAAATTCGCCAAAAAAAAAGGTGTTACAGGGCCCATGCAAATCCAACATTCAGCAGGGCAGTCAAATTTTAAAGCTCCAAAATGATCTCCTTTGACTCCAGGTCTCATATCCAGGTCATGCTGATGCAAGAGGTGGGTTCCCATGGTCTTGGGCAGCTCTGTCCCTGTGGCTTTGCAGGGTGCAGCTTCCCCCCGCAACTTTCACTGGCTGGCGTTGAGTGCTTGTGGCTTTTCCAGGTGCACAGTGCAAGCTGTTGGTGGATCTACCATTCTGGGGTCTGGAGAAGAGGTGGCCCTCTTCTCAGAGATCCACTAGGCAGTGCCCCAGTAGGGACTCTGTGTGGGGGCTCTGACTCCACATTTTCTTTCTGCACTGCCCTAGCAGAGGTTCTCCATGAGGGCCCTGCCCCTGCAGCAAACTTCTGCCTGGGCATCCAGGTGTTTCCATACATGTTCTGAAACCTAGGTGGAGGTTCCCAAACCTCAATTCTTGACCTCTGTGCATCAGCAGGCTTACCACCATGTGGAAGCTGACAAGGCTTGGGGCTTTCACCCTCTAAACCCACAGCCCTATCTGTACATTGGCCCCTTTCAGCCATGGCTGGAGTGGCTGAGACACAGGACACCAAGTCCCTAGGCTGCACACAGCACGGAGGTCTTGGGCCCAGCCCACAAAACCACGTTTTCCTCCTGGGCCTCTAGGCCTGTGATGGGAGGGGCTGCTGTGAAGGTTTCTGACATGGCCTGGAGACATTTTCCCCACGGTCCTGGGGATTAACATTAGGCACCTTGCTACTTATGCAAATTTCTGCAGCCGGCTTGAATTTCTCCCCAGAAAATACGTTTTTTTTTTCTATCACATAGTCAGATTGCAAATTTTCCAAACTTTTATGCTCTGCTTCCCTTATAAACTGAATGCCTTTAACAGCAACCAAGTCACATCATGAATGCTTTACTGCTTAGAAATTTCTTCCGCCAGACACCCTAAATTATCTCTCTCAAGTTCAAAGTTCCACAAATCTCTAGGGCAGGGGCAAAATGCTGCCAGTCTCTTTGCTAAAACATAACAAGAGTCATCTTTACTCCAGTTCCCAACAAGTTCCTCATCTCCATCTGAGACCACGTCAGCCTGGATTTTATTGTCCATGTCACTGTCAGCATTTTGGCCAAAGTCATTCAACAAGTCTCTAGGAAGTTCCAAACTTTCCCACATTTTCCTGTCTTCTTCTGAGCCCTTTGAACTGTTCCAATCTCTGCCTGTTACCCAGTTCCAAAGTCACTTCCACATTTTCAGGTATCTTTTCAGCAATGTCCTACTCTACTGGTACCAATTTACTGTATTAGTCTGTTTTCACACTGCTGATAAGACATACAGGAGACTGGGAAGAAAAAGAGGTTTAATTGGACTTACAGTTCTACATGGCTGGGGAGGCCCCAGAATCATGGCAGGAGGTGAAAGGCACTTCTTACATGGTGGCAGCAAGAGAAAGTGAGGAAGAAGCTAAAGCGGAAATCCCTGCTAAACCCATCAGATCTTATGAAACTTATTCACTATCACGAGAACAGCACAAGAAAGACCAGCCCCCATGATTCAATTACCTCCCCCTAGGTCTACCCCACAGCGCAGTCTGGGAGATTCAATTCAAGTTGAGATTTGAATGGGGACACAGCCAAACCATATCACCTACCTAAAGTAGCTCCCTTATAAATCATTCTGTCTTTCCAACATGTTTATTTCTTTTATCACACTACACTCTGCAATTATTCACTTATTTATTATTTATCTCATCTTAGAATATCAGCTCCATGTGGGCAGAGTCCTTATTTATGTGTTCTCTCTCTAGCACCTATATGCCTAGCATATAGTAAGTGCTCAATGCATGTTTGTTGAATGCACAAATAACTAATTCACTTGTACAATACATTCCAGACATTTTATTTTATTTATTTTTTTGAGACAGAGTCTCCTTGTGTCACCCAGGCTGGAGTGTGGTGGCAGGATCTCAGCTCACTGCAACCTCTGCCTCCTGGATTCAAGCAATTCTTGTGTGTCAGCCTCCCAAGTAGCTGGGATTACAGGCACCAGCCACCACACCTGGCTAATTTTTGTATTTTAAGTAGAGACGAGGCTTCCCCATGTTGGCCAGGCTGGTCTTGAACTCCTGACCTCAAGTGATCCACCCACGTCAGCCTCCCAAAGTGCTGGGATTACAGGTGTGAGCCACCGCACCCGCCCAATTCCAGATATTTTAAAAATCATCTCTGCATTTGAAAGGAGAGATGCTAATACCTGGATCCATGTTAGCTGATCAGGTAGTCAAAACAAACAAGCAAACAAACAAAAAACATTGATCACCTGACATTAAACCTGACATTAAAACTTCAGACCAGGCCAGGTGCAGTGGCTCACACCTGTAATCCCAGCACCTTGAGAGGCCCAGGCAAGCGGATCACTTGAGGTCAGGAGTTCAAGACCAGCCTGGCCAACATGGTGAAATCCCATCTCTACTAAAAATATAAAAATTAGCGAGACATGGTGGCAGGTGCCTGTAGTCCCAGCTATTTGGGAGACTGAGGCAGGAGAATGGCTTGAACCTGGGAGATGGAGGTTGCAGTGAGCTGAGATCGCACCATTGTATTGCAGCCTGGGTGACAGAGCGAGACTTCGTCTCAATAAATAAATAAATAAATAAATAAAATTTAAAAAGAGCTATAACATGTATACAACAGAGTCAGAATTCAAAAAGATTTTTGAAAGAATGAAACCAGATGAAAACTGACAATAAAGTTTCAGATCAAAGTCCAAAGAGTCAACTTCACCACTATAGAATTGCAAAGATTGAGCTTAACAGCACATGCAAACATTATACCACTTAATTGATTGCAAACTCAATGTGAGTCAAGTGCAAATGTTTCCAAAAATCACATTTAAGAGCACATTTCCAAAAATGTGCTCTTAGGCTGACTAGTAGAAGTACTGTGTCCAGAAGAAAAACAGCTCCATCCTTTATTGATGAAGCAATGCCAGGAGAACAAGATTTAGTTTCTGGCAGGATCTTTGAAGAAAGCCATTCCAGTTAACATGAGTAGAATGAGAAAGGTATTGATCAATTTCCATAAGCAAAAACTATGGATGTCTAGCCTGAGAAAGAGGACTTTTGGGGTGAAATTTAGCTTGAGAGAGGAATGAAGAGGGTATACAGAAACAGAGCGTGGGGTAGCTGTTCATAAATATTTCATGTGAAAGAGGGATCTGCCTTATCCTGCTGTGTTATGTGGCAGGATGAAACTACAGCTGGGTCGAAATCAAAGCCATGCAGATCTTGAAGCAATTGGAGGAGGAAATCTGTAGCACTCCCAATGTCAAACAAAGGAGTGAGTTCTTGACAGGTGGAGTGAGCAGGTTATGGCTCTGTAATGACTCTTGGGGCCAGGTTATACTGGGAATTCCTGTATCAGGTAGGGGCCTGGGCAGGTAATCCCTACATTTTCTTTGAGTTCTAAATATTTTATGCTTTCAAAGGTCTCTCAGAGATCTGGGGAATAAAATAAAATTTGCAAGTGTATTTGGGAGTATATAAAAGTGCTTTACAGGCATAACCTACTATTTTTTTCTTTTGCTTTTGTCTTTTTTTTTTTTTTTTGACATGGGGTCTGGCTCTGTCCTCCAAGCTGCAGTGCAGTATCATAATCTTGGCTCACTGCAACTGCCACCTCCTGGGCTCAAGAGATCCTCCCTCAGCCTCCTGAGTAGCTGGGACTATAGGCGTGCACCACCATGTGTGGCTAATTTTTGTATTATTTTGGTAGGGATGGGGTTTGCCATGCCTTGAACTGGTCTTGAACTCCTGAGCTCAAGCAATTCACCTGCCTCGGCTTCTCAAAGTCCTGGGATTACAGGCGTGAGCCACTGCTCCCGGCCATAACCTATTATTTTCATCTACCATTAAAATGTTACTCCATATACTTTATCACTTAAACATGAGTTTTAGTTCTTTGAAATAGCTAAGAAAGATATCTAAAGTAGGATTATAATAAGAAAATGGAAAAACTTTTCAATTGATGTTTTTAAATAATCACAGTAAATGATGCCACATTCGTAGTTCACTTGCTTGGAGAGGCTACTTCCAGGGGAGACAAGGAGGCCAAACCCTGCTCTGTTGAAGATCTGACAAGAGTACTGTTCATTTCAGCAGCTGATGTTTCACAGCGGAATCCTCAGGAAAATTAGGACTGAGTTATTTGGGGAAAGCCTCATAACATCCATTTTAAACCAGAATGACAACAACTGCCAGACCAGCCTGGGACACATCCTGGAAATAGATATTCCCACAGCCTTCCTTACTCCAGTCCTCCAACCCCACCAAATTCACAAGTGGGAGGGTAGAGGGTCTCATTATACAGGAGAACTTTCCAGTAGTGTGAATTGTGGGTTAATAAACTCTGGAATGTGTTCTGGGGGATGGATGAAGATAAACTCCTTCCTTGGACGGGATCATTAAAATAAATAGGATAGATTCTCATTTGTCGGGGGTGATTTAAGGCAGGCATGGAGGGCTGGACCACTTAGCACCCAGGACGCTCCTACTACTCACACCCATATCAGGGTTGCTCAGGGAAAAGTTACCAAAACCAAGGATCACCCTGCTGTGGTCAAATAAATCACTGCCGACGCAAAGCAGCGTTGATGCTGACATGAGGCAGCTGCTAGACTCAGGTGGAGATCAAGCCCTCTGCATTTTATAGCAGGTGAGTACATGGCAAGTACATCACAGTCTTTCTGGAAGCAGTTCATGCCAGCCCTTGCACAATCCTAAAACTACAGACCAAATGTGCTAAGGTACAACCAAATTCTAGCTAGAAAAAACAAAATGAATTGGCTGGTAACTCTTAGCTGATGGGAACTGATGTGGTTTGTCTGTGTCCCCGCCCAGATCTCATCTTGAATTGTGGTTCCCATAATCCCCATGCGTTGAGGAGGGAGGGACCTTGTGTGCGGTAGCTGAATCATGGGGGTGGTTACCTCCAAGCTGTTCTCCTGATAGTGAGAAGGTTCTCCCAAGATCCGAAGGTTTTATAAGGAACTTTTCCCCGCTTTTACTCCGCACTTCTTCCTGCTGCCATGTGAAGAACAGCATGTTTGCTTCCCCTTCCGCCATGATTGTAGGTTTCCTGGGGCCTCCCCAGCCCTGCAGAACTGTGATTCAATTAGACCTCTTCCCTTTACAAATTTACAAATTACCCAGCCTTGGGTATGTGAAGAACAGCGTGTTTGCTTCCCCTTCCCCCATGATTGTAGGTTTCCTGGGGCCTCCCCAGCCCTGCAGAACTGTGATTCAATTAGACCTCTTCCTTTTACAAATTTACAAATTACCCAGTCTTGGGTATGTCCTTATAGCAGCGTGAGAATGGACTAATATAGGGCCCACTCTCCAAATCCAAATCTTCCAAATCCCAGTTTTCTAGGAGTGAACTCCCAGGAATCTAGGATAATCTCTTAGGGTCATGGAGGGGCAGGGCTACCAGATCCTGGACACAGCATTATCGTTTCCAGACCCCCTGAAGCGACTGGCCATTGTCCCTCAAGTTCAGTTTTTCTGAGGCCTATTGTGAATGGATTATGTCTGCTTCACACTGAAGGCCCCGGATTTTGGCTTCTTCCACTCTCTTTTCTCCCAGGGGCCCTTCAGGAAATCTGGCATCCTCAGTTGTCTGTAATTCTACTCTTTAACTTGCAACAGTCTTATTTTAAGGCATTCAATTAAATGGATATAAGTCTTGTGTTTTCTTTGACGTCAAACCTTTTAACTTTTTTATAGATATATGGACTATTATTTTATTTTGCTTTCCTCCATTTCCAAAAATAGGTAGAGGTTTGATTTTGAACTTTCTGTGGCTTAGAAATACAAATGTAAGCAGCATCTAAAATTGTGTTATCTCCATTACATTTGGCACGAATTTTGAGGTCACGTAACCAGTAAAAATGTTATTAGTTTAACTTTTTCAAAAGAAGCGTATTATTGGTCCATTATTCCGGTGAGTAATGCAGAGGCATTTTCTAAACTGTTTTTTTTTTTTTAATCCAAGAATGCTGAGTCAATATGGCATCAGTTTACATTTGTTGGTGCTATTATCGTTCCTATTTTACAGCTTGGAAAAGGGAAGATTAAATGTCCTAGAGATAAAGAGCAAATCATCTTCCAAGCCAGATGAGGCCATTGCTGTGGCTCTCAGCAGCTCTATATTACCAACAAGGGCATGCTTCCCCTTTTCCTGGCTACAAATGAACTCCTGCTATTGGTGCAGAACCTGCAGAATGTCAGCTGCTGGGCACGCCCTCTAAGCAAGAAAAGGTCTGAGCTTTAATCCTTCATCACTACAGATTTGCTCTAATTCTAAAATGCATACTCACACTGCTCTGCCTGTGGAGTAGCCATTCTCTATTCCTTTAGCTTCTTAATAAAAAAAAAATAAAATAAAATGTGTACTCACAGGGACAAGAAGCAGAGGGGAGGGAAAGCCTAATCTATTCACTTCCAAGAGTCATTTAACACAACCAGCCCTGAAGACAAAACATTTATTAGGTCTAGTGGCTCTGATTGTGACACCGGCAGCAACGAAAAAGAGCAAAGAAAGAAATTGTCACCTTTCAGGGAAAGCTTGTGGATAATCTACAGCATGTCTTACCACCCCCTGGACTAGGGTCCCTTCCCAGCGGGGCTAGACGTCGGCTGTTGGTGTATGGGTAAGAAATAAAGACAACTTTCATTCTTACTGTCTACGAAACACAGAGCTAGTAATCGGCTGGAGAAAAAGTAAACAAGCAAATAACATTTATTATCTCCCAGAGGAAAATATGTTGACATTCATCTCCAGCTCAGTGTTTTGGATTGAAGTACTTTGTTCTTTCCCCTTTATGATACAAATCAAAAATTAATTATGTGCTTAAAAGATGTATTGATAGATTGATTGATTGAGACTGGGTATCACTCTGTTACCCAGGCTAGAATGTAGCGGCACAATCATAGCTCACTGCAGCCTCGAACTCCCAGGCTCAAGTGATCCTTCCTTCTCAGCCTCCCAAGTAGTGGTACTACAGGTGTCACCATGCCCAGCTATTATTTCTTATTTTTGGTAAAGGTGGGGTTGCACCATGTTGCCCAGGCTGGTCTTGAACTCCTGGCCTCAAACAATCCTCCTGCCTCAGCCTCCCAAAGTGCTGGGATTACAAGCATGAGCCACCATGCCCGGCCTAGAAAATTTATATCTATAGCATAAAAATACTTTAATGTGATTTTTCACTACCAGTCTTTAATCATATAGATAACATGCAAACATATTTTTCTTATAGAAAATTAGGATCACAAGTAAAGCTAAATTCCCTTTGATCATATCTCTAATCTAGTTTCTTTTCCCTCAAAGTAACAAATGGTTATCAATTTTTTGTTAATGTTGGTTGCAGTGGCTCATGCTTGTAATCCCAGCATTTAGGGAGGCAGAGGCAGGAGGACTGCTTGAGTCCAGGAGTTTAAGAGCTGCCTGGACAATATAAGGAGACCTGATTCTCCACAAAAAGGAAAAACAAAAACAAAAAAAGTGTAATTTTTTGTTTATGCTTTCAGATATTTTTCTAAGCACTGCATCTATTTATGTAGAGTCAAAAAATACATAGTATTATTTCATGTAAATTTTCCACATAAATATTATTATAGCATGTATACCAATTTGCTTTTTACTTCACAATGTGACATGAAGCTTACTTTTTACAATTTCAGTATAGACAATCACATAGGTGTCTTAGTTTGTTTTGCACTGCTATAACAGAATACCACAGACGGGGTAATTTACAAAGAAAATTGATATATATCTTATAGTTCTAGCAGCTGGAAAGTCCAAGAGTATGCTAACGGCTTTCTGGTTATATTATAACATGATGGGAGGCATTGCACAGTAAGACAGAACATGTGTGTCAGCTCAGCTCCCTCTTCTTCTTTTCTTTTTTTTTTTTTTTTTTTTTTTTGAGACGGAGTCTCGCTCTGTCGCCCAGGCTGGAGTACAATGGTGCAATCTCAGCTCACTGCAACCTCCACCTCCCGATTCTCCTGCCTCAGTCAAGCGATTCTCCTGCCTCAGTCTCCCAAGTAGCTGGGATTACGGGTGCATGCCACCACACCTGACTAATTTTTGTATTTTAGTAGAGACGGGGTTTCGCCACATTGGCCAGACTGGTCTCAAATTCCTGACCTCAGGTGATCCACCAGCCTCAGCCTCCCAGAGTGCTGGGATTATAGGCATGAGCCACCACGCCTGGCCCCTCTTCCTCTTTTCATAAAGCCATCAGTCCCATCATGGGACCCCCACTCTGATGACCTTAACTAATCTAATCCTGATTACCTCCTAAAGGCCCTACCTCTAACCAACATATGAATATTGGAATCAAGTTTTCAATACTTGAAATTTGAGGGACCCATTCAACCATAGGGACCCATTCAAACCATAGCAGTAAGAAATATGTCACTGTGTTTTAGCTAAACACTGATTTATAGACATTTAAGCTGTTACATTTTTCTCTATTATAAACATTGCTGCAAAGGACATCGTTGTACACGGGTGTTCCTCTGTTTCTCTGAGGTGAAGGTTAGAGAGGGAACTGCTAAGTCGTAAGGTATGAATATTCAAAATGTTAATAGTAATAATAATGGTAGTTAATAGTTACTGAGGAAATACTACCTACTTGTGATTCTAAGTGCTTTACATTCACAAACTCTATCAGGAGAGTATTTTATCTTAGACCATTTTACAGATGAGAATACTGAGACACAGTGAGGGTGAGTACCTCACTCCGGGTCACATAACTAGCAACTGGCAGAGCCAGTATTTAGGCCCCAAGCAATTCTAAGACTCGGCTCTTTCTTATCCACAACACTACTGCCTATAGTCCTCATTCTCTTCTAACTGATTCATATTTGCTACTTACAAGGGGAAATCTACTTACTTGGGGGCTAATCAATCTTACAAAATTGTATGTGCGTTTTTAAAATTTTTAGTTTGAAAAGTTGTTTTCATACTAATGATTGATCATAGCCTGGCCTTAGCAGAACAATTCATATAGCTTGGCAAAAGAAGACAAATTGTTCTATTGTCACCCATGTGAAATAGAATGAGGTAAAAATATGAAAACTTCAAAAACTTTTCAGAGAAGGGAACCCAAGGCCAGTTGGGCTCTGAGCAAGTCTTTTCTCACTAGAGAGCTTGATCCCCAGTCTTTAAAACCAGGTACTTAATCTATAATATCTGCTCAAACCCATTTTTAATCAAGCTTTTCTGCTTATCCTCTGGGCAGTCCTTGGAAAACTGAAAGAGAGAAGAATCTTCTTTGTATGGCTGTTGTGTGCACCATTCTGATTTATTTTATTTAACATTTTTGAAACAATCTCAAACTTAAAGGAAAGTTGCAAGTCAGTACCAAAAATTTTTTTTCGGAATTACTTGAGAGCGAGTGACTGGCATGTTGGCCCATCTCCACCAAATACTTTAGTGTACATTTCCTACAAACAAACCAATTCTCCTTCATAACCATGATAGAACATCAAAATCAGAAAATTAATGCCAATACATTACTATCATCTAATCTTAAGACCTCAAGCAAGTTTTGCCATTTGTCCCTATGTCTTTTTTTTTTTTTTTGAGACGGTGTCTCACTCTGTCACCAGGCTTGAGTGCAGTGGCGCAATCTCGGCTCACTGCAACCTCTGCCTCCCGGGTTCAAGTGATTCTCCTGCTTCAGCCTCCTGAGTAGCTGGGACTACAAGCACGCACCACCACGCCCAGCTAATTTTTGTATTTTTAGTAGAGACTGGGTTTCACCATGTTGGCTAGGATGGTCTCTCGATCTCTTGACCTTGTGATCCACCCACCTCAGCCTCCCAAAGTGCTGGGATTACAGGTGTGAGCCACCGCACCTGGCCCCTGTCCCAACGTCTTTTACAGCAAAAGGATCTGGTTCAGAATCATGTCTTGCATTTAGTTGTTGGTGTCTTGAGTATCCTTCAATCTGGAACAATTCCTCAGACTTTTCTTGCCTTTCATGATCTTGATGTGTAAGATTTCAGGCCAAATTATTTTTTTATTTTTTGGCTTCCTTTTCTGTGGCGTGAGAGGCCAGTTGTTTTGTAAATATGTGTGAGTTTGATGCTTTTTCTTTTCTCTTTTTTTTTTTTTTTGAGACAGAGTCTCACTCTGTCTCCCAGGCTGGAGTGCAGTGGCGCGATCTCAGCTCACTGCAACCTCCGCCTCCTGGGTTCAAGCAATTCTCCTGCCTCAGCCTCCTGAGTAGCTGTGCGCCACCATGCCAGGCTAATTTTTGTATTTTTAGTAGAGATGGGGTTTCACCATGTTGGTTAGGCTTGTCTCAAACTCCTGACCTTGTGATCCGTCTGCCTCAACTTCTCAAAGTGCTGGGATTACAGGTGTGAGCCACTGGGCCCGGCCCAAGTCTGATGCTTTTTCTTAATTAAATTCAGATTATACCTCTTTGGCAGAAATATCATATAAATGATATTATATCTCATCATATTCTATTTGGTGACACACAATTTCAAATAGCTTCATTACTAATAATGTCATCTTTGCTCACTTATTAAGGTAGGTCTGCTAGGGTTCTCCACTATAAAGTTATTATTTTGTATTCCCTATAATTGATAAGTATTGGGGGTACAGAGTTTCAGATTATGTAAACGTCCCATTCCTCATCATACTTTCAATTTATTCTTTCCTCACTCCTTTATTTCAGTTTGTAATTATTGTTTTATTTTATTTAGTATGTTGTAGCCTTTCATTATCATTATTTATTCCTCTTTTTTTTTTTTTTTTTTTTTTTTGAGAGGGAGTCTGGCTCTGTCACCTAGGCTGGAGTGCAGTGGCGTGATCTCTGCTCACTGCAACCTCCACCTCCCGGGTTCCAGCGATTCTCCTGCCTCAGCCTCCTGAGTAGCTGAGGCTACAGGCATGCACCACCATGCCTGGCTAATTTTTTATATTTTTAATAGAGATGGGGTTTCACCATGTTGCCCAGGCAGGTCTCGAATGATCCACCCGCCTTGGCCTCGCAAAGTGCTGGGATTACAGGCTTGAGCCATCACGCCCGGCCATCATTATTTATTCTGATGATCACGTTGTCCCAAATTTGATATGTGTGAGTCCCTTCAATCTGATTTCTAGGTACTTTTGATAGGTCTCCATATTCTCTGAGCTTGCTTTGCCTTCTGGCAAAAAAAAAAAAAAAAAAAAAAAAAAAAAAAAAAAAAAAAAAAAGATATGTTGATCTAGACCTGGAAGCCACCATTTTTCCAAGGAGCGCTGGTTCCTTTTAGTGGAGAGTGGTATCTAGACACTAAGATTGAGTGCTAGGTGTGCTCATTCCTTCGCTGGGTCTTAGGATGTCAGTGCTCCCAGGATGACTGTCTCTCTTTCTCTCTCTCTCTTTCTCTCTCTCTCTCTCTATATATATATTCTGATACGGAGTCTCACTCTGTTGCCCAGGCTGGCGTGCAGTGGTGCATGGTCTCAGCTAATTGCTACCTCTGCCTCCCAGGTTCAAGCAATTCTCTTGCCTCAGCCTCTTGAGTAGCTGGGATTACAGGCATGTGCCACCACGCCTGGCTAATTTTTGTATTTTTAGTAGAGACGGGGTTTCACCATGTTGGTCAGACTGGTCTCTAACTCCTGACCTCGTGATCTGCCTGCCTCGGCCTCCCAAAGTGCTGGAATTACATGCGTGAGACACTGCGCCTGGCTCCTCTATATTTTATTTATCTATCTACATGAAAATTATGAATTTACACCGACATTTCTAATTCCAGTTGAATTCATTCTTGTTTTCTCCCAGTCCATAATTATAACTGCTTTTCCAGCAGTGAGAAACCTGCTCTTTTTATCGCTCCCAAATTTATTCATTTGCCAACTCCCTGGATGTAACCTAGGTCCTGTTGCTCCTGCTGTCCCCGTCCCAGGACACCTTCTAATCTCACACAGGCCCTAACACACACACCAAGTGGCCACTTGCTCATAGGGACACCCTGCACACATGGTCACACCCTGGGCACATAGGCTCTGACACCCTGCTGTGCATCCCTCCCCCAACCTGTGTAGACACCTGCCTTTTTTAACCTCACCTGATAGCTTTAGACCAAATTATTGGTCTAAATAATTGGACCAATTTGACCAAACAGAGAAGAGAAGGAGGAAGAGGAAGGGTGAGTGTGTCATGTTAAGAATAACTTGGTTTGTCTATTTTGATTTTTGGTTATTCTTTCTCTTTAAATTTTTTTTTTGGTTATATGAAAAAAGCTGCATTTATTGATTGATTGATTGATTATTTTTTGAGACAGAGCTTTGCTCTGTCACCCAGGCTGGAGTGTCATGGCATGAACTTGGCTCACTGCAACCTCCACACCCTGATGTAGCTGGGATTACAGGCATGTGCCACCACGCCAGGCTAATTTTTGTATTCTTAGTAGAGACAGGGTTTCACCATGTTGGCCAGGCTGGTCTCGAACTACTGATCTCAGGTCGTCCACCCGCCTCGGCCTCCCAAACTGTTGGCATTACAGGCATGAGCCACTGAACCCAGCCAAAAAGCTGCATTTAAATTAGCCACAGCAGCAAATGATCTCTGATAGTTTGAATTAATTCGGTTACATAAATTAATTCTTACATTTTTTGGAGTCATGGATATTTTTTATTTTTGAGATGGAGTTTCGCTCTTCTTGCCCAGGCTGGAGCACAGTGGCACAATCTCAGCTCACTGCAACTTCCACCTCCCAGGTTCAAGTGATTCTCCTGCCTCAGCCTCCCAAGTAGCTGGGATTACAGGTGCCTGCCACCATGCCTGGTTAATTTTTGTATTTTTAGTAGAGATGGAGTTTCGCCATGTTGGCCAGGCTGGTCTCGAACTCCTGATCTCACTGCCCGCCTTGGCCTCCCAAAGTTTTGGGATTACAGGCATGAGCCAATGTGCCCAGCCCAATCTTTTAAAATAGTAATAATAATAACAGTCCCAGGCAGTCCAAACAATCAGAATTCAGTCTATTTTTATCACTGTGGGTTTTCAGAACCTTGCTTCCTAATGTCTTATCCTAAACACTTTAGTTTTCCCATGGCAGTAACTTAATCTCCTTTCACCCTGCTTGGTTCCCAGCATTTCCAGGCTTCATTCCGGTCCAAGTATTTATACATGCCACCCCAGCTTGTTTTCCAGAACTCTGCCTTTGTGTCCCACTGCATAAATACTCTTGTGAAGCCATGAATCTCAGAACGTACAGTTGGAATGGTTTATGGAGTGTCTGAGAAATTTAGGTCACTCAATTCCATGATTCACTAGGGAAAGTCAGTAATTCACAGTTTATAAGCTAGAAAGAGTCTATGACATACTGGTTGCCTTTTTTCTCCTCACAGAGAGTCTGTTTTATTAGCTCAAAAAATATATGCCCATGATCCCTGGTACAAAGACATCTGGTCTCTCTGGAGTGTTGCCTGCATCACGGAGAAGAGCTGTGGCCTGGCAGTTCCCCATTCCCAGCATAATGTCCTTGTTATCTTTCAATGCAAAAAAAAAAAAAAAAAAAAAAAAAAGGAAAAGAAAAGAAAAAGAAAACCTTCCAGAAAACCAAAAAGAACAAAAATTCCAATCAAGAGCATCATATGAACTGAGTCTATGCCAAAACTGAGAAAACAAATTGGAATTGTTACTCTAAGTCACCAGTAACTGAATGTTCAGCTTGAGAGGATGTGGCAATCAGTTCAGTCAGGGCTGCTCATCACTGTGATCTCTCAGGTTTGTAAGTCTAATAGCCAGTTGCAGATGCAAAAATGGAATTAGATTTTTTTTTTTTTTGAGACTGAGTCTTGCTCTATTGCCCAGGCTGAGGTGCAGTGGCATGATCTCGGCTCACTGCAACTTCTGCCTCCTGGGTTCAAGCCATTCTTCTGCCTCAGCCTCCTGAGTAGCTGGGATTACAGGCGTCTGCCATGATTACCAGCTAATTTTTGTATTTTTACTAGAGATGAGGTTTCACCATGTTGGCCAGGATAGTCTTGAACTCCTGGCCTCAAGTGATCTGCCTGCCTTGGCCTCCCAAAGTGCTGGGATTACAGGTGTGAGCCACCATGCCCGGCTTTTTTTTTTTTTGAGAGACGGAATCTCACTTTGTCACCCAAGCTGGAGTGCAGTGGGGTTATCTTGGCTGGAATTAACATTTTTCTTCCATTATGGAGATATTTCTTTCTGCTGGAAAACACTAAGTGGGGCAGAATCCCGTATATTTTCAAAGAACTTGCTGATAAATTTTCTTCAAATGCGAAGTGCTTAGAGGAAGAATGATTCCAATGAAAATAACTGGAGCATACACAAGCTGTGGAAGTGTGGCATCTGAGCACAGCAAAGGCGTGCAGCTGTTTGCTGAATTTGCTCTACAAGGCCAGTAGATAGCTCTAGGCAAGGATAAATGTGGGTGCTCTGTGTTGTTCAGTAGAATTGCAAAGCACTGGGTAAGAGAAGACCTTTCAGAGAATGTACTTTGGAAACATTTACTTTGATCAACAATTACTCTATGAAGGGATGAGAAAGAGTGTATTAGTTCATTTTCACGCTGCTGATAAAGACATACTCGAGACTGGGCATGTATTAAAAAAAAAGAGGTTTGCATAAATGTCTTCTTTTGAGAAGTGTCTATTCATATCCTTCGTCCACTTTTTGATGGGGTTGTTTATTTTTTTTCTTGTAAATTTGTTTGAGTTCTTTGTAGATTCTGGATATTAGCCCTTTGTCAGATAGGCAGATTGCAAAAATTTTCTCCCATTCTGTAGGTTGCGTGTTCACTCTGATAGTAGTTTCTTTTGCTGTGCAGAAGCTCTTTAGATTAATTAGATCCCATTTGTTGATTTTGGCTTTTGTTGCTATTGCTTTTGGTGTTTTAGACATGAAGTCCTTGCCCATGCAACAGACACATGAAAAAATGCTCATCATCATTGACCAGCAGAGAAATGCAAATCAAAACCACAATAAGATATCATCTCATAGCAGTTAGAACGGCGATCATTAAAAAGTTAGGAAACAACAGGTGCTGGAGAGGATGTGGAGAAATAGGAACAGTTTTACACTGTTGGTGGGACTGTAAACTAGTTCAACCATTGTGGAAGACAGTGTGGCGATTCCTCAGGGATCTAGAACTAGAAATACCATTTGACCCAGCCATCCCATTACTGGGTATATACCCAAAGGAATATAAATCATGCTGCTATAAAGACACATGCACACGTATGTTTATTGCGGCACTATTCACAATAGCAAAGACTTGGAACCAACCCAAATGTCCAATAATGATAGACTGAATTAAGAAAATGTGGCACATATACACCATGGAATACTATGCAGCCATAAAAAATGATGAGTTCATGTCCTTTATAGGGACATGGATGAAGCTGGAAACCATCATTCTCAGCAAACTATCTCAAGGACAAAAAAACCAAACACTGCATGTTCTCACTCATAGGTGGGAATTGAACAATGAGAACACTTGGACACAGGAAGGGAAATGTCACACACCGGGGCCTGCTGTGGAGTGGGGGGAGGGGGGAGGGATAGCATTAGGAGATATACCTAATGTAAATGACGAGTTAATGGGTGCAGCACACCAACATGGCACATGTATAGATATGTAATAAACCTGCACGTTGTGCACATGTACCCTAGAACTTAAAGTATAATAAAAACTATATATATATAAAACAAATTACAGCCATTGGCATATAGAATATACACATCAAATAACAAAAAAAGTGTAACTTAGGCAGGATATTTTAAAAAATTGTTTTTAACAGTGGAATTCACCACGCATGAATAAAGACCAAAATATTAAATTTAAATCAAAAAACAAATCATAATAAAAAGTATATTTTTGTTTCACATAATGAGTTGATTAAACAAGAATACATTTGAAATTAAAAAAAAAAAAGGTTTAATGGACTCACGGTTCCACATGGCTGGGGAGGCCTCACGATCATGGCAGAAAGTGAAAGACACATCTTATACTGGCAGCAGGCAAGAGAGAGAATGAGAACCAAGTGAAAGAGGTCTCCCCTTATAAAACCATCAGATTTCGTGAGACTTGTTCACTACCAGGAGAACAGGATGGGGGAAACTGCCCCCATGGTTCAGCTATCTCCCACTGGCTTCCTTCCACAACATGTGGGAATTATGGGAGCTACAATTCAGGATGAGATTTGGGTGGGGACACAGCCAAACCATATCAAAGAGTGTCCCTTTCCATGTTTTGGGGAGCAAGAAGGAGAAATGCGAAGAAGGGAGCACTGATCAGGTCAGGGCTGGATGAAGGAAATGTCACCCTGGGGTGAGAAAAGTGCCTGGCCCTCAGGGATGTTGAGGGTAATTTTGTGCCACCAAGTGAGAACAGTCACAGGGTCTTTGAGCTAAGATTACTTTTTAAATTGGCTTCTTCACCTCAAAGGGAATTCCATTAAATTCAATTCTTCCAGTGCTTCCTGATGTGAGATATGAGTTCTAAATTTTTCTTCAAAGAATCAATATGTCAGTATGTTCAATTCTTTGCCTTCTACTTTTAAACTTAACTTCCTCATAAAGCAACCTTTTTCGATTACCTGCCCCACCCTGACTCATTCTGATTACCTACTCCACCCTGACTCATTCCAATTACCTGCTCTGTCATAACCATTTTTCCCACCAAATCATTCACCCTGTCACTCTCTTTAAATTAGTCAATCGGAATTAGTTTAGCCTGTGCGGTCTAACCCTAGCCAATAGGGGAACGACACAGCAGCAGGGACCACTTGCGTCAGGGATAAGAACCCCTTCCCCTCCCTTGTCGAGGTGTGCGCTCACTATTGCTCCATCTGTAAAGGCGCACCCTTCTACAGAAGTACGTTGCCTTGCTGAGAATTAAAATGAAAATTTTATATTTGAGCGCTATTTAGTTTGTGGCACCGAAACTTTATTTATAACACTGAGTATCTGCTCCCCTTGGGAGACCCTAAAAGACTATTTACTGTTTCCATGGCTTCCTTCTGTAACAGGCCAGTGCATTTTCATGATCCCCCCTCTACTTGCAGCTTCTGAGGACTTTTCTTCAATCCCTTTGACAAGTTTTTAGTATTACTGCAGTAGCAAAGTAGACAGCTAATTTCCCACGAGATTATTTAACTGTTCTAAGAGGATTTCACTCCTTGCATTTTGATGAGACCACATAATTCGTGTAAATCCTCTTAGATTTCCCTTTTAGGCCATTGCTGTTGTACTACCAGCCAGGACAGGAGGCAGCCTCTATGTGCAGGAGATAAACAGCAAGAGATTGAAGTCGGAATGTCTGCCAAGATGGCTCCTGAAATGGCATTTGCCTCCTTCTGTAAACAGTGCTAGGTATTTTGTACATAGTAAGTCCACGGCAATGATTTTCAGTTTATTTATTGAAGAATACTGTCTTTAAATTGGACCAAAGGTAAAATTGAGAACTTGCTGATAAATTTTCTTCAAATTTATCCACAATTAAATACAGGTGTGGTGAAGGAGATCATTAAAGCCAGTCTCCTGATTTCATGTGTACAAGGCTGTTCGTCAAAACCTAAACATTTATAGAACCCTTGCATCTTGCCTTGAGACACAATGATGTAGCTCTGGCATATCATAAATATTCTTTAACGTTCTTTTCATTGATTAATGAAGTCAATGAATATCTCATCAAAACTAAGGATTCAAGTAAACAGTTTTTGGCAAGACCAAAATAATTCTCTGTTCCAAATGTGTTATTTACAAGACCTATCCTTTTTTGTTTATAAATGGATCTCCTGACTTACACATTTTCATTTTCTGATGAATTTATAAAATAATAAGGTCAGATGTGATAAAATATTTCAGAAATTTAATCCACTCTGCTGCACACACAGATTGCAAGGAGTCTAATCCTACCAACTGGCTGGCAGGAAGTGACCCAGTGCAAGAGCTCAAAATGTTTGTTGCTCAGCTGAGTCTACCACAGTCTAAAATCAGCATTAGTATGCCTGGACTGGGGAGGAGTTGGATGTTGCCTTTCTACAAAAAGGTGTCGGCATAGTATCCCAGCTGGGACAAGGGGAAGAAAACAAATGTTTATTGCCTGTTATATACTAGGCATTGTTATAGTGTTAAGACATTTCAACTCACAAAAACCTTGAAGGATATGCTTTCTATTTATTTTTATTTATTTATTTTTTTTAGTGATGGGATTGCTTTGTTGCCCAGGCTGGAGTGCAGTGGCTATTCACAGGCCCAATCTCACTACTGATCAGCACGGGAATTTTGACCTGCTCCATTTCTGACCTGGGCCGGTTCACCCCTCCTTAGGCAAGCTGGTGGTCCCTTGCTCCCAGGAGGTCACCAAATTGATGCTGACCTTAGTGCAGACACTGATTGGCATAGCGCACTACAGCCCAGACCTCCTTGTCTCAAGCGATCCTCCCACCTCAGCCTCCTGAGTATCTGGGACTACAGGCTTGCACCACCACACCCAGCTGTTTCCTCTATTTTATAGATGAGAAAATGTAGGCTAAGGTAAGTTAAGTAACTTGCCCAAGGTCGCAAAACTAATAAATACATGACTTATCCAGGATTGAAACCCAGAAATATTTAGGTTTAGAAATTGTGCTCCTCCCAAGCAGAAACAAAGTACTCCAAAGCAACCCCTCTTTCCTCCTTAAATAACACTCCTATTATAGAATGTGTTGCTAAAGTGATTATTATTATTTGGACAGTTACACTGAGCAACTTGGGATAGACCTGTTTCTCTGAGGCTCTACATATTAAAAAAAAATCTCTGGCAGCTCTAAGACAGAATATAAGCTATGCAGAAGCATTATATAAAAGATTAGCCATCTAGGTCTTTCTAATACCTTTTTGACTGAGTTCATTGGTATCAAATCTGATCTCCTTTAATAAATCGCCAGACACTACAACATGAAGTATATCTAAAAGAGAAAAATGAAGGCAAGAGATGAGGTATTCGATAAAAAAGGCAATTTTTAGAAACCTGTAAATTAAGAAACACAAACCAACCGAGCTATTTCCCTTAAGCAGTTGTTTAGTCTTGTGATAGCAGTTGGCTGATGAATGACCTTAGTAATGTTTTTAAAGAATCAGAAATGTGCTGAGCTAGCTTTACAGGTGAACTAGATATGGTCAAACATGGTTCTAATTCTTAGCTGACTCAGGGAGATTCTACATTGGACCAGTTGTTATAAATGAGATCACTTTATATTATCACTTAGTGCAAATCTTCATACTGCAAGCTCCCTAGCTTTTTCTTGGAGTTCTCCTCTCCAAACATTTTTGAAGAATTCCCAGGTCTTGTGTGTATCTGTGAGTCAAGCCAGGAATTCTTTGCCTCCTGCTGTGAAATGGACAATTACAATTTCCTATTAAGGCCAGACTCCTTAAAGCAGATGCAAGTTGTGGGAAATTTCCTATTGTCCTCAGCATTTTTTTTTTTTTTTTTTTTTTTTTTTGCTAGGCGTGGTGGCTCAGGCCTGAAATCCTGGCTACTCAGGAAGCTGAGGTAGGAGGATCACTTATACCCAGGAGTTTGAGGCTACAGTGAGCTCTAATTGCACCACTGCTCTTGGGCAAGTCTGTCTCTTAAAAAATTTTTGTTTTCGGCCGGGCGCGGTGGCTCACGCCTGTAATCCCAGCACTTTGGGAGGCCGAGGCGGGCGGATCACGAGGTCAGGAGATCGAGACCATCCCGGCTAAAACGGTGAAACCCCGTCTCTACTAAAAATACAAAAAATTAGCCGGGCGTAGTGGCGGGCGCCTGTAGTCCCAGCTACTTGGGAGGCTGAGGCAGGAGAATGGCATGAACCCGGGAGGCGGAGCTTGCAGTGAGCCGAGATCCCGCCACTGCACTCCAGCCTGGGCGACAGAGCGAGACTCCGTCTCAAAAAAAAAAAAAAAAAAAAAAAAATTTTTGTTTTCAACTTACTGTAAATTGCGCGAGTCACACATACAAACACACACACACACATACATACTTACATGTTTCTCTCAATCTAGATCTAGAGGGACCTATTGGTAGAGAGATAGATAGGAATGTATGTATGTATGAATGTGTAAAACCACAACAAAAATCAAGATATGTAATGTTTCAGTGCCTTTGAAGCCTCGCTGGGTTCCTCCCACTCTCTGTGAGCCTGAGTTTAGGTCACCTAGACTGGATCTGCCCCACACACTTGCCGCCTCCTACCTAATGTCCTTATTTGTATTGTTCTGCATAGGGCACTCATGATTTCCAACTTGGTCAATGAAAATCAGTATTTGTTGTGTCAGACAGCTCCTCCTTTCTTCATTCTTCTTTTTCACTGTATCAGCAATAATTGTCATTATAGTTTTAAGCAAATTTACAAAAGAAATGTTATTCAATTTAGAGTGTTTAAAATATTATTTGAATTCTACACAACTTCTGACAAAGGGAGTCCTGTAGAAACAGGATACATGTGTTCTGACCTTTGATGTGATCATGATGGGTGCCTTGTGATGAGAATTGCACTGTGAACTGAGTACAGATTGCTCTTGCGGAGGATGGAGGTGTCTCAGGCCAGGGGCTGATGGCTCAGGCCCTGTCTCAGGATGGGACCATGGGTGAGTTACCAGAGCTTAGAGCTAGGCTCTCAGTCTCATGGGCTCCTTTTCCAAATTCAAGTAACTACCTTAGGTTGAAACATTTTTGGTTAATTAGACTGATGTTCTGTCAAGCTACTGGCATCTCTCTATTTTTGAAACTATAACTGTATTAGTCCATTCTCTCACTGCTATAAAAAACCACCTGAAATTGGGTAATTTATAAAGAAAAGAGGTTTAATTGAGTTACAATTCCACAGGCTGTACAGGAGGCATGGCTGGGGAGGCCTCAGGAAACTTACAATTATGACAGAAGGGTGAAGGGGAAGCAAGCATGTCTTCACATGGCGGCAGGAGAGAGAGAGCGAAGGGGGAAGTGCCACACACTTTGAAACAACCGGATCTCATGAGAACTCACTCACTATCACAAAAACAGCAAGGAGGAAATCCATCTCCACAATCCAATCACTTCCCACCAGACCCCTCCCCCAGCAGGGGGAATTACAATTCAACGTGAGATTTGGGTGGGGACACAGAGCCAAACCATATCGATAACCTTTAGTTTTTTTGGTTGGAATTTGGTTAATTTAGCCATTCATGACATAGTATTGCTTCAGATAAGGATTTCTCCAACTCTGCACTGTGAACATTTGGGGCTGGATGATTGTTATAGGAGGTATCTTGTGCATTTTGGGATGTTTGGCAGCATCTCTGGCCTCTATCCATTAGACGCCAGTAACTTCTCCAACTGTGACAACCAGAAATGTCTCCAAACTTGCCAAATATTCCTTGGGAGACAAAATTCCCTCCAGCTTGAGATCACCGCTTTACATGGCTAGCTTTGACCAGTTCTCCATCCATCCAGTTTCATTTTGGACAGTCTATATCTTTTAGTCTGAGAGGCAGAAATGAGGGCTGTCCTCTTATGCTCTGTGAACTGGTCTCTCATTATTTGCCACTTGAATTCAAGGTGGAAAAGAACATTAAGTGACCACCACCAACAAAAACATAGATCTTTTAAGTGTTTGTATCTGGATCTGTGATATATACCCAGATATCACAGATCCTTTGTCCATTTTGTGTTGCCATAATTACCTGAGGCTGGACAATTTATAAGGAAAAGAGGTTTAATTGGCCCAAAGAAGCATGGCACCAGCATCTGCCTCTGGTGTGGGTCTCAAGTTGCTTCCACTCATGGTGGAAGGTGAAGGGGAGCTGGCACGTGCAGAGATCACATGGGGAGACAGGAAGCAAGACAGGGAGGAGGTGCCAGGCTCTTTTTAACACCCAACCCTCTTGGGAACTAATAGAGCAAGAACTCACTCACCTCTTCCCACAGAGGAAGCATTAATCTGTTCATGAAGGAGCCACCCCCCAGCAATTTGGGAGGCCGAGGTGGGTGGATCATGAGGTCAGGAGATTGAGACCATCCTGGCTAACACGGTGAAACCCCATCTCTACTAAAAAATACAAAAAATTAGCTGGGCGTGGTGGCGAGAGCCTGTAGTCCCAGCTGATCGGGAGGCTGAGGCAGGAGAATTACTTGAACCCGGGAGGCAGAGCTTGCAGTAAGCCAAGATCGCACCGCTGCACTCCAGCCTGGGCGACAGAGTGAGACTCTGTCTCAAAAAAAATAAATAAATAAAATAAAAATAAAATGGAGGAGCCACCCTCATGACCCAAATGCCTCCCATTAGGACCCACTTCAAACACTGGGGATCACATTTCAAAATGAGGTTTAGAGGGGACAAATAGCCAAAGTCTAGCAACCTTATAAATGAAAAACAATAATAAATAATTATATGTGATTTCCTTTAAACACACACACACACACACTGCTTTGACAAAAAGTAAATCAACCAAATATTTCTTAAATTGAGAGTGATTTCCAAATGACAAATATAACTAGTAGTGACAGTAATCCTTGTTTAGCTTCTTATACTTTCAACACTCAACAAAGTGATACTGTTTTTTGAGGTCACTTTGACTTTAAACTTTGTAACAAACTGAACTAAAATTTATGTGTAAGTTTTCATCTGCTCCTAAAAATACAGCACTTAGACATTTCTGTTGGATTTTGAGTCCTCATAGAACAAGTAAAAGAAGCATCAAGACCACTGCATGGTAGGAAGAACCAATTTTACAGACAAGTTACCTCCTCTGCATAATTTGAGCTGGCAGATGAGCCATCTCTACCCTAATAGTTTTCCTCTAGCTGCCTAAAATTAAATCTTTCCTGCTTTGTTCCTGTAGGTTAACCAGAGAACTCTTTTAAAATATAAATACTACTTAGAGAAATAAAAATGTAAGAGATAAGGTCAGGTGCAGCGGCTCATGCCTGTAATCCCAGCACTTTGGGAGGCCGACGCAGGCAGATCACTTGAGGCCAGGAGTTCGAGACCAGCCTGGCCAACATTGCAAAACCCCGTCTTTACTAAAAATACAGAAATTAGTCGGGTGTGGTGGCACACGCCTGTAGTCTCAGCTACTCAAGAGGCCAAGGCAGGAGAAGTGCTTGAACCTGGGAGGCGGAGGTTGCAGTGAGCTGAGATGGCACCACTGCACTCCAGTCTGGGTGGCAGAGTGAGACTCTGTCTTAAAAAAAAAAAAAAAAAAGACATTGAAGATCCATCTCCCTTTTGGTTTTGGTAAACATGGTTTATAAGCAAGCATTCTCTTTGACAAACTTGGAATAGTTTTACTTCAGTGCATCTAGCTTTGTGTTTTATTGGATTTACCTTTGTATCGTAATATATTTTTACATTGATTCTTCAAGCCCAAGGTGCTAAAAAAAGCAAAAACAAAAAATATGTTTGAATTGGTCTCTGAGGAAACTATTTGCAATGATAGATAGAGCCCATTTCTCATATCAGAGTTCAGAAGCCTAATTTTCTGTCCCCATATGTATATGGAGATTCCATCATCTGAAATACATAGTTTCAAAAATATTTACATAATGAAATTTAATATCTAGGTTGTTTTGTGTTATGTGTGGACATTTTTACAGCTTTATAAAGATATATCTCACATACCATAAAACTCCATAAAACTCATGGTTTTAAAGTGTATAATTCAAAGGTTTTCAATGTATTCACAGAGGCATGAATATATTGATGCCAGTATCACCATAATCTAATTTTAGAAAATGTTTATCACTGCAAAAAGGAACCTTGTACTCGAGAGCAGTCACTCCTCATCCCCACCCCCACAGCCTCTGACAACCACTAATCTAATTTTTGTCTTCATGGATTTACTTATTCTGGGCATCTCCAATAAATGAAATTATGCAATATGTGGGCTTCTTTTACTTAATATGTTTTCAAGGTTCATCCATGTTGTATAATACATCAGTACTTCATTCCTTTATGGCAAAATAATATTCCATTGTGGAATATGGTATGAAAGCACATTTTTTTTTTTTTTTTTTTGAGACGAGGTTCTCTGTTGCCCAGGCTGGAGTGCAGTGGTGTGATCTTGGCTCATCTCAGCATCTATCTCCTGGGTTCAAGTGATTCTCCTGCCTCAGCCTCCCGAGTACCTGGGATTACAGGCCTGCACTACCACACCCAGCTAATTTTTGTATTTTTAGTAGAGATGGGGTTTCACCATGTTGGTCAGGCTGGTCTTGAACTCCTGACCTCAGGTGATCCACTCACTTCGGCCTCCCAAAATGCTGGGATTACAGGCATGAGCCACCACGCCTGGCCAGCTGTGAATTTTTAATAGATTTATGTGTCTGCTTTAAATTAAAATAAGAATAATCAATTAATTTTAAAGTTTTAATTGTATTAAATGATCTCACCAGCAATTACTTTAAACTATTAGCTTATTTCGAACCTTTCCAATGCACTTTTACTGGGGCATGCAGATGTTTTGGAATGTAAGAAGGCTCATACGAAGCATTTGAAAAAAGCTGTCAATTATATTTATTGTAAAGTAGTACTGCTTTAAGTCTCTTGAAGGAATCTCAAGAAGATTCTTATTCACATTGAAATAATAAATATACATTCTACAGCTTACTCAAACTCCCCCTATCTTAAAGACTGAAAAACTAAGGAAATATGTAGAATTTGCAAAATAACTGTCTTCCATTTATAGTGATCACAGATAATATAATAATATCTTAGCAAATTTTATGACAACATATAAATGAGTTTTAAAAACCTTGACAGTCAATAAGATGAAGGTCATTTATAAATATGGAAGGTAGACCCTCTATAATTTGATGAAGAGGTTCTAAAAATCTCTCTTCTCTTACGTATATTTCACATTGACTTTCCTAAAATGGTCACCATTCATCTTTTCTTTAAAACAATGTACCAAGGTCTGGCACAGTGGCTCACACCTATAATGCCAGTATTTTAGGAGGCCGAGGTAGGAAGATCACTTTACTTAAAGCCAGAAATTCAATCAAGACTAGGCTGGGCAACACAGGGAGATCCTGTCTCGACAAAATAAATACATAAATTAAAAAAATAATGTATTAAAGATTCCTGGTAAAAGTAAACAATTTATCTGTGAGATATAATATGCAACACTATTATCATAATTTATAGGGAATTAATTTATCATATTAGGTAATCACCTGAAGAACTGGCTCAAAGAATGGGTAAACTTTGATGAGGTTTAGAAGATTGGAGAGTTTAGAAAGTCATAGTGAAGAATCTGGGATAAGCAGATGTCAACAAGAGAATCCTTAGCAACGCAGAGGGAGTAGAGGGGAAGCAAGGGAAGACAGATGGAGGAGCCGTGCTGTACCCACATTTGACCCGATCTAGTTTCAAGAATGCAGTCAGTCTCTTTAGAAACTAAATGAAAACCCACATTCAGTACTTTCTTTTTAATTATTTATTTTTAAGTATATAAGCACTAAATGAATATATTTTCATTATAAAAAGTCAAGCAGTTCAGATGAATTTAAAATTATTCTTAATGATGATCCCTAATCCTAATCTCTCATCAGAGATGGTTACTACTAGCTTGGCATTTATCATTTAGGGTGCATCACATTTATGTTTATATTTCTATCATCTGTAGTATATTATGTTTATCTATAGTTATATGTATATGTAGTTTTTGTTTGTTTTGTTTTGAGACAGTTGCACTCTGTCACCCAGGCTGGAGTGCAGTGGCAGGATCTCGGCTCCTCCCGGGTTCAAGCAATTCTCCTGCCTCAGTCTCCCTGGTAGCTGATATTACAGGCACCTGCCACCATGCCCAGCTGATTTTTTTTTTTATTTTGTATTTTTAGTAGAGGCAGGGTTTCACCATGTTGGCCAGACTGGTCTCGAACTCCTGACCTCAGGTGGATCACCTTAGCCTTCCAAAGTGCTGGAATTACAGGCATGAGCCACCGTGCCAGGCCAAGTACTACATTTTAAAATTGCACTCTATAATGTTATGAAATTTTTACTACCACCAATAGTGTATGAGAAAGTCCCTTTACAAGTATACTTTCTAACAATTAATATTATCAAATTTTGAATTTTTTTTAATATTATGGGTGACACAGGCATGGTATTTTATTTCATTTCATAGAACTTTTCATAAAAATTTATGTTTGGTATCACTCTGATAAGCGGCAAGGTTGAGCATCTTTTATATGTTTGTTCAGCATTTATACCACCTCTTCTGTGAATTGTCTATTCTTATTCTCGTTTTTCTCTTATTTATGGATTATGAGTTCTTTGCTGATTTTGATATTAATCCATTGCCATGCATGGTCGTTCACACCTGTAATCTCAGCACTTTGGGAGGCCAAGGTGGGAGTCCAGGAGTTCGAGACAAGCCTAAGCAACATAACAAGACCCTATGTCTACAAAAATTAGCCAGATATGGTGGCACACACCTGTTGTCCCAGCTACTCCAGAGGCTGAGGTTAGGAGGATCACTTGAGCCTTGGAGTTCAAGGCTGCAGTAAATCATAATTGCACCGCTGCACTGCAGCCTGGGTGACAGAGGGAGACCCTGTCTCTAAATAAATAAATAAATAACATTGATTGTTATATATGTTACAAATATTTCCTCCCAGTCTTCTAGTTGTCTTTTAAACTTATTTGCAATGATGTTATGTAAAAGTTCAGAAATTTGATAAAATGGCATTTATTCACCATTTTTTAAGGCGTTAGCATTTTTATAATGTTTTAGAAGGTCTACTCTTAAGTATATTCTCCTTTTTGTTTTCTTTTAATAGGTTTGTTAAGTCTTTTGATTCGTTTGGAATTTTTGTAAATGCTGTGAAATATAGATCTATTTTTTTCAACACGGATTGGCAAATATCTGCTTTTAGAAAATTTATTTAGTTTCCTTTTGCTTAATTTTCCTTAAAGGAGAGGAAGGACTTTTTCCTCCGAATATCAGATCAATTAATCTTGAGGAAGTGCTGAGCCTGGCCTGGCTGGATCACATGTCCACCTGGGTGGCCAGGACAGCACAATTCCATGATTGGCAGCTGCCCCAAAGCTCATAGAATCAGTGTATGGGAGAAGTCCTCAAAATAAGGAACAATACTGTTCCCAAAGTCAGATAGGAAAAAACACTGAGTGGGGCTGGGCACAATGGAACATGCCTGTAATCTCAGAACTTTAGGAGGCCAAGACAGGAGGCTCAGTTGAGGCCAGGAGTTCAAGACCAGCCTTGGCAAACATACCAAGACCCCATCTGTACAAGAAAAAAAAAAAAGTCGGTCAGATAAAAATAATAAATGTTCACCATAGCCCTAAACAATCTCTTTTATCTTCTTGATAGCTTTCTTTCTGATCTTTTTGTTTGCTTCCATATAGATGAAGATAGTAATAATTTTAATAGGTAGCACTTACAGAGCACTTCTCTGTGCTGGGTTGTGCTCGCTGTTTTGCAGGAGTTCTTTTTAAAGATATGCCTTTGATGAAAAAAACTTCATCAAGCATTTTGAATACAGTTTAGATGTGAGAGAGAAGCTTGGGTTTTAAATTTTTTAAGTTCAAACATCCATTTTTCTAGTTAAAAAGAATGTACCAATCTAATACGCATGAGAGATGCTAATCAGAAAACGTGAAGGGCACAAGCCCACTCTTTGAGATTTTCACTGAAGAAAGTGAACATGTTAAAAAAATTCACTTTATTATTAATTTGCAAAACATATTATTAGTGATAAGCAAACGTTGGCACCCAGGTTAAAAGTTTAGCAAAATGATGTTTACAAAAACTGTGTAATGAAACAGAAAAAAGCTTAATGACAACATGCTGAAATTGTTAAAATTCTGAAGTTTGAATTCTGATTCTGTCACCTTGAAGCTGTGAGACTTTTGACTAAGTTACTTCATGTTCCCCGGTTTGCTCAACAGTAAAATAGGGGTGATAACAGTTCCTACCTCACAGGGGTGCTATAGGAATCTCAAGTGAGATAATGCACATGAAGCGCTTAGCCCTGCATCCAGCACGTTGTCAGCCATTGCTATTACAACCACCTTCATCATCTGTGAGTACAGCAAGCAAAACACTGCTTGGAAAAAAAATCAGAAGGAAATGAACCCATTGGAGACTGGCCAAAGAAGTACTCCTAAAAGCATAGCAAAAGGAATTCCAGAAGTTTACAATAACACAAGGAAGAAATTTACAGTTTGAAAATATAAATATCAGTTTAATAGTTAAGCTAAGTTTTAAATGTAATGCCTTATTTATTAAAGCCTTAAATTTAAGCCTGAAAGTTAGCGACATCTGCTGGAAGAAAGGTGAATTATTCAACTCACGTACCAAGCACCTGTCCTAATTCATTCAATTCAATACTTTATTGAGCAGGAATTTGGTATCAAATGCTTTCCTAGATTCTGTGGACAAAGTGATTAATTCCCATGCTCAAGGAATTTAGTCTTTCAGCTCAGGTATAAGCCACCTGTGCTTAAGAAGAAAAAAAGTGGACATTATCACCATGGATCTTTCAATTCTGTTAAAAAAATTAGATCTGTCGGCTGGGTACAGTGGCTAACACCTGTAATCCCAGCACTTTGGGAGGCTAAGGTGGGTGGATCACGAGGTCAGGAGTTCGAGACCAGCCTGGCCAACATGGTGAAACCCCATTTCTACTAAAAATACAAATATTAGCCAGGCATGGTGGCAGGCTCCTGTAATCCCAGCTGCTCGGGAGGCTGAGGCAGGAGAATCACTTGAAACTGGAAAGTGGAGGTTGCAGTAATCTGAGATCATGCCACTGCACTCCAGCCTGGACAACAAGAGTGAAACTCCATCATAAAAAAAATTAGATCTACAACCAAGAATAAATTAAGTAGCAATACAAAGCTGGTATATGACCAAATGTTAAAATAAAAACTATCAATAGTAGAGCCATAAGAGTTTAGGGAGAGACAGGATATAGCAACTAAGGTAACACCTGGAAAGTCATTCAAAGGTGTGATTCCAGAATTTCTTTTAATGACCAGGGGGAGCTCTGAATGTTTTTGAGCAGGGAACTGATGATAGAACTAGTACAGTCATGTCTCGCTTAACCAAAGGAACATGTTTTGAGAAATGTGTCATTAGGTGATTTCATAGTTGTTTGAACATTATAGAGTGCACTTATACAGACTGATGGTATGGCCTGTTACACACCTGGATTATATGGTATAGCCTATTCCTCCTAGGCTACAAACCTGTACAGCATGTTACTATACTGAATACTGTAGGCAATTGTAACACAATGGTAAGTATCTGTGTGTCTACACATATCTAAACATAGAAAAAGTACAGCAAAAATACAGAAGAAAAGATAAAAATGATGGTACACTATATAGGGCCCTTACACGAATGGAGCTGGCAGGACTGGAAGTTGCTCTGGGTGAATCAGTGAGTGAGTGGTGAGTGAAGGTGAAAGCCTAGGAATGACATTACCATGCACTAATGTAGACATTATAAACACTGTACACTTAGGCTATACTACATTTATAAAAATATATTTTTCTTCTTTTTTTTTTTTTTTTTTTTTTTGAGACACAGTCTTGTTCTGTTGCCCACCAGGCTGGAGTGCAGTGGCCCTATATCAGCTTACTGCAAACTCCACCTCCTGGGTTCAAGCGATTCTTGTGCCTCAGGCTCCCGAGTAGCTGGGATTACAGAGGTGCACCACCACACCCGGCTAATTTTTGTATTCTTATTATTTATTTATTTATTTATTTATTTATTTTGAGATGGAGTCTTGCACTGTCATCCGGGCTGGAGTACAATGGCACAATCTCAGCTCACTGCAACCTCCGCCTCCCAGGTTCAAGCAATTCTCCTGCCTCAGCCTCCCGAGTAGCTGGGATTACAGGCGCTCGCCACCAAGCCCAGCTAATGTTTTTGTATTTTTGGTAGAGATGGGGTTTCACTATGTTGGCCAGGCTAGTCTCGAACTCCTGACCTTGTGAGCCACCCACCTTGGCCTCCCAAAGTGCTGGGATTACAGGCGTGAGTCACCGCACCTGGCCAATTTCTGTATTTTTAGTAGAAATGGGGTTTCACTGTGTTGGCCAGGCTGGTCTCAAACTCCTGACCTGAGGTGATCCGCCTGCCTTGGCCTCCCAAAGTGCTGGGATTACAGATATGAGCCACTGCACCTGGCCAGAATATATTTTTCTTTCTTCAATTATTTATTATTATTATTATTTCTTCAGTAATAAGTTAACATTAGCTTACTCATTTTTATTTCATAAAAGTTTTAGACTTTTTTGTAGGTAACGCAGCATAAAACACAAACGCATTGTATAGTAGTATAAAAATAGTTTCTTTCTTTGTATTTTTATTCTATAAGCTTTTTCTATTTTGAAATTGTTTTATTTTTATTTTTTACTCTTTAAACATTTTATTAAGCATTAAGACATGAACACACACAATAGCCTAGGCCTAGACAGGGTCAGGATCATTGATGTCACTGTCTTTCATCTCCACATCTTGTCCCACTGGAAGGTCTTCAGGAGCAATAACATGCATGGAGCTACCTTTTCTTTTCTTTTTTTTTTTTTTGAGACAGAGTCTTGCTCTGCTGCCCAGGCCGGACTACAATGGCATGATCTTGGCTCACTGCAACCTCCACCTCCCGGGTTCAAGCAATTCTCCTGCCTCAGCCTCCCAAGTAGCTGGGATTACAGGCGTGTGTCATCACACCCAGCTAAATTTTTATATTTTTAATAGAGGCAGGGTTTCACCATGTTGGCCAGGCTGGTCTCAAACTCCTGACCTCAGGTGATCCACCCACCTCGGCCTCCCAAACTGCTGGGATTACAGGCGTGAGCCACTGCGCCTGGCCTGGAGCTGCCATTTCTTATACCAGTGCCTTCTTCTATAATACCTCCTAAAGGACTTGCCTGAAGCTGTTTTATAGTTAACTTTTTTTAAAGTAAGAGTACATTCTAAAATAACAATAAAAAGTATAGTATAATGAATACATAAACCAGTAACATAGTCATTTGTTATCCTTATCAATCATTATGTACTGAATGTACATAATTGTTGGTACTATATTCTATATGACTGACAGCTCAGTAGGTGTGGTTTTTTTGTTTGTTTGTTTGTTTGTTTTTTTGAGATGGAGTCTCACTCTGCCGCCCGGGCTGGAGTGCAGTGGCACGATCTCCACCCACTGCCAGCTCCGCCTCCCGGGTTCAAGCCATTCTCCTGCCTCAGCCTCCCGGGTAGCTGGGACCACAGGCGCCTGCCACCACGCCTGGCTAATTTTTTGTATTTTTAGTGGAGACGGGGTTTCACTGTGTTAGCCAGGATGGTCTCGATCTGCCCGCCTTGGCCTCCCAAAGTGCTGGGATTACAGGCGTGAGCCACCGCGCCGGGCCTCAGTAGGCGTGTTTATACCAGCATAACCACAAACATGTGAGTAATGTGTTGTGCTACAATGTCACTAGGTAATAGGAATTGTTCAGCTCCATTATAATCTTAGGGAACCACTGTTGCATATGAGGTCCGTCATTGACCAAAACAATGCAATATGGCACATGACGCTGTTCTAGGACAATTAGCCTTCTGGCAATCTATAGGATGGATTAGTTTGGGGATAGACTGGAGAAGAGAGACTAATTGGGATGCTGTAATTATGAACAGCTGTGATGATAAGGACCTGGACATAACTGACTCCAAAGTAGTCAGGATCAAAAGTCAACTTGGCAAAAGATATTCTATCAGACTTCTACTTTGTGACATCCACACGAAGATAACAATACATGTTTCTGTAAAATGGACAAATGAGTATGTGTGCCCACAACCAACATTTGCTCCTGCTCTCTGGCAATCTCAGTCATTTCTTTGTGTTTAACTTAGGATGTTATGAAATCACACTTTTAAATATTTCATTTCCACCTGTTGAAAAATTGTCCTTCTAAATATGAAATGAGTTGAAGATATCACAAATATTTGACAAATAACAAGCACTTGTATCTAGTTCCAATCTCACATGGAAGAGAGGTTCAGAACAGAATTTTGATCCCTGTTATAGATTGAATATTTTTTCCCCTCAAAATTCACATGTTGAAATCTAATCTCCAGTGTGATGGTACTTGGAGGTGGGACTTTGGGAGGTAATTAGGTCACAAGGGTGGAGCCCTCATGAAGGGGATTAGTGACCTTATAAGGAAAGGCCAATGACCTACCTTTTTTCTTTCCATAATTTGATGATACAGGAAGTCAGTGTCTGCAACCAGGAAGAAGATCCTCACTAGAACCTGCATCTGCTGGCACTCTGATCTTGAACTTCCAGTCACCAGAACTGAGAAAGAAACATCTGTTGTTTATAAGTCATTCAGCTGATGGCATTTTGTTATAGTAGCTTGAGTGGCTAAGACAACACCCATGCCACAAATGCAATGGACTCATTTACTCAGTCTGCAGAAACATGAACTGAAATGCTCAAGGAATGTAGTTGTTCTAATTGGTTCAACAGTCTGCTTAAATGTGAGCCAAACCTTTCACTTTTTAAACTTATATCATTAATAATTTTCCAAAAGATACTTTTCCTAAATATAGTTTTATGTCCTTGTTATAAAGAAAAGTATACTTTTCTCTTCCCTCAATTTGTTAACTAGCAATACCTCAGGTTATAATAGAGTTGACCATATAACCTATTGTGATGGTTAATTTTAGGTGTTAACTTGACTGGATTAAGGAATGCCTAGAAACTTGCTAAAGTATTATTTATGGGTGTGTCTGTGAGGGAGTTTCCAGAGTAGATTAGCAAGTGAGTCTGAGTGCACTAGGTGGGGAAGACCCACCTTCCATGCGGGCCGGCACCATCCAATCTGCTGGGGGCCCAGAAAGAACAAAACAGGGAAAGGTGAGTATGTCCATCCATTCCATCTGCTGCTGGAGTTGGGATACACTCTTCTTTTCTCCTGTCCTTGGATAACAGCTCCAGGTTCTCTGGCCTTTGGATTTCAGGACTTATACCAGTGACCCCCACAACCCTCAGGTTCTCAGGCCTTTGGCCTTGGACAGAAAGTTACACTATCAGCTTCTTATTTTTGAGGCCTTTGAACTTGGACTGAGCCATATTATCAGAGTCTGGAGACTCTGAGCATCCCAGAGTCTCCAGATTGCAGATGGCCTGCAGTTGGACTTACACTCCATAATTGCATGCACCAATCTCCCCAATAAATCCCCTGTGATAGATCTATATTTTTATTTTTATTTTATTTTTATTTTTGAGATAGGGTCTCACTTTGTAGCCCAGGCTGGAGGGCAGTGGCACCATCTTGGCTCACTGCAACTTCTGCCTCCTGGGTTGGAGCGATTCTCCTGTCTCAGCCTCCCAAGAAACTGGGATTACAGGTGTGCACCACCCCGCCTGGCTAATTTTTGTATTTTTAGTAGATAAGGGGTTCACCATGTTGGCCAGGCTGGTCTCAAACTCCTGACCTGAAGTGATCCACCCGTCTGGGCCTCCCAACGTGCTGGGACTACAGGTGTGAGCCACTGTATCTGGCCATACATCTATCTATATCATCAGTCTACGTCTATAACTATATATTTACATCCTATTGGTTCTGTCCCTCTTGGAGAATCCTAACACACCTATTGTTCAAATTGGGACAATTTTGAGAGTGAAAGGAGGTGGGACAAATGGATGAACTGCAAGAGTCCTCAGATCAGTGGGCATGATAGGATTCCCTTGGGGCTCCTCTGATTACATCCACTATAAAGTGCCATATGGGCATCACATCCTCCATTGGTTTGGTTTCTCCTTCCGTTCAATTTGGCCCACTGTTCTTCTAACTGCTTTCCTCTGGCTTTGAGGATTTGCTGTAATACACAACTTCCTGAGCTTAGAAATCTCAAACTGGCCCCTTGACTTTGTATACATCATCAAATCTATGTCAACCATAGAAGAGGAATCTGTTCCTTACTCAGCTGCCTCAAAAAAAAAAATCATCATGGGAATCAAATGAGATAACAATAGCATGAAAGTGTTTGAAACCATAAAGTGTTATACAAATAAAGAGATGCTGGTAAGGGCAGTAGAGAAAATGTGAGGGTAGGTATGGTTTTCTTGAGTTGCTGTTTAGGTGAGGCAGTTCAGCCTGTTTGTAGGGTGATAGGAGGGAGCTTCTCTGCATTATTCAAGCCAGTGGTGCTCTTAGGATAGTGCGTTAATTATACACTTCCAATTTGCCAGAGGCAGAGGCATATTCAGGCTCAGTTCACAGAGTCTGCTGTAAGGATGCATTGAGAAGCGAGGGAGATGGGAGGCCTATGAGCAGCTGCACAGCCAGGTTTCCCAGAGAAAGAAGTCATCATGGAGCACACAACAGAGCTCTAGAGGTCTGCCAGCCTCTCTGGAGCCAGATGCAACCCCAGGAGACGTCCCTGTGGCAGCCAGTGTCAGCTGCTTCCTTCCCCAGCGTTTTGCTTCAGCCCTCACTCCTCAGCCACTTCCACTGCTCCTGTGGTTAGTGACCGCCTCTGCCTCCTCCACTACCCGTGAGTCTTGTTTATTCACAGATTCTGTGCCTCTTGGTCTCTGCTTACAGCAATTCTTTGTGTGCTTAACTTCTGTGTCACTGTGACATTTCTAAATGTCTCTCATTCAGGCGCCTCAAAGGAAGGGCTCTGGTGGGTTATGTCGCCATCTATTACAGAATACTCCTTGGCTAGAGCTCTGGTACCAAGTACTTTTGGAGATTATTGGCTAGATAATAGATAGCTGACTCCTGGTATGTCAGTCATACAAAAAAAAAGGGTTACTTATGTGTTAAAAATCTTCAGCTATTTGCTTTAAGGGTGGTCTTGTACAATGGAACTCTAAGCAGTACTATTTCATGTTACATTAATTCATTTTCCTTTAAGACTGTAGTTATATTACTTTATCTCATTTATTTTAAACTTGTAAGCCTTTCATATTTTTAGGTCTTAGCAATTTCATACTCTCAACGTGCACCTAAAATGATCAGTGTATCATCTTTGAATATGACCATCGTTTCTTTATAAAAAAATCTAATTATAATTGATCTTCTACTATACTAAACATTTTATTTATATTCATCTCTCATTTAATTTTCACAACCTAAGTAGAAGGTAGGTATCATTAACCTCATATTGCAGATGAAGAAAGTGAGTCTTACAAAAATTAAATAACTTAAGATTATAGAGTTAGGATTTCAACTCAATTCTGATTCCACAGCTCATGACATTTCCTTTTTTATCATGGTAACTTTCAGGTTTTATACCCCAGTCTCTTTTTTGTTTTTGTTTCTGTTTTTGTTTTATTTTTTATTTTATTTTATTTTATTTTTTGAGATGGAATTTCCTTCTTGTTGCCCAGGCTGAAGGGCAGTGGTGCAATCTAGGCTCACCGCAACCTCTGCCTTCTGGGTTCAAGCGATTCTCCTGTCTCAGCCTCCCAAGTAGCTGGGATTACAGGCATGGGCTGCCATGCCCGGCTAATTTTTTGTATTTTTAGTAGAGACAGGGTTTCTCCATGCTGGTCAGGCTGGTCTCGAACTCCTGACCTCAGGTGATCCGCCTGCCTCAGCCCCCCAAAGTGCTGGGATTACAAGTATGATCCGATCCGCTGTGCCCGGCTTCCAGTCTCTTTTATTTATCTTTATTTTTCTCTCATGTCTCCTGAGATCTGTGTTTTGTTTTGTTTTGTATTATGATGTCAGAATATATGCAGTGCTGTAATTCTATACAAAAAGTTTCTGAGGTCGGGCACATGTGGCTCATGCCTGTAATCTCAGTACTTTGAGAGGCTGGGGCCGGAGGATCACTTGAGGCCTCAAGTTTGAGACCAGCCTGGACAACATAGCATATAAATAACAACAACAGCAAAATAACCTGAGATCTTGTCTCAGTTTAATACTGTGATAGTTAATCTATGTGATTTTGGCATTTCACTTTTATTTCTCAATTACAATTTTAGTGCAAAAATATAAATTAATTATCTATTTTATCTCCTCCTGTACCACAACCTTTAGCTTATTTCCTCTTTACCCTATAGGGACAGCTTGGTGAATACTTCCAGGGAAAATTCTGCTTAAATTCCGCTGGTGGCATGCCCATAAGCATTTCCAGATCTGAAGGCGCTTGCGCCTTTCCTAGTACTCTACTGTCCACAGGGCCACAGAGTCTCAACTGCTGGATATTGTCCAAGTCCTCTTCATTGCAGCTGTGATGGCTACACGGCCAGGCCTGGCTCGGAGGCACAAAGCCGGTTTTTTGTGTGACCACAGAAAGGTCATCCCAACACTGAATTTTATCACCCCTTGGGGAGATGCTAACATAGGAGTCAAAATAGCGAAGGTTTAAGGTGAGAGGCGCGCTCCCGGTTACAGGTATCCGTGGTCATTCTTCTGAATCTCTAGAAATCGGACTCAGGCGCTCCTCTCTTTGGGGCTCCTCGCAGGCGACTGCATTTGCTGCGCGGCGCGGCCAGGCGGGTCCTTAGCGCCGGCACCGTCGCCCTCGGCATCCCACAGCGCGCAGCGCAGCCACCGCTCTTCTCTCCCACCTGCTCCGTGCAGAAGGGAAGAAGAGCCAGTCGAGCTGGAGGTCCAGCCAGCCCTTGGCCTCCAAGAAGGAAAAGGACGGCGCTGAGAAGCGAGGTGGGGGCAGCTCCACGTCCGAAGGAGCCCAGCACGTGCTAACACCTAAGACCCTGGGCAACCGAAAGGAAGCAAACCCCAGGATGCTGCCACGACCCGGAAAACCACCACAGCTCCAGGAGGGAAAGCAAAGGGCCGGCCCAAAACACTGGGAAGGAGGAAGAGGGAGCATCTCTCGGGAGTCCTCCCGGGAGGAGCCACTTCCTTCTGGGACCGGACAGTTTTGCTCACCCCCATTGCCCCTGTCCTTCCCCCAGGCCACCGTCACCTGCACCGCCCACCTGCGTCCTCACCACCGCGGCAGGGCCCCTGTTGGCCCAGTGACAGCAGTGTTCCTCTGGCTTCAGTTCCCAGCCACGCACACACTTGCCCTCCTGGACGAGGGTAACAGCCCACTTCACGCTGCTGCACCTGCTGCGGCCCCACTCCCTTGTTGGTGGGGACTTTGCTTTCTGGGTTTCTGCTTTGGGGGCTCCTTCTCGGCTCCTCCACTGTTTCCTCTGACTTCCCAGAGGGCTCCCCGGCCATAAAAGAGGCCCAAGCCCCATCTCATTCTGGCATGTCCCACTCTATTGTCCTGGAGGCAGCACCTGTGGCCATTGGAGGGGGGTGCTCCCAGAATGCCCCCAGCCAACCTGTGTCTTTGTCACCACGTGGGGCTCACACATCCATCTTTCATCTTCCCCCACCTTTCCTAGTTCCTGCACCAGGTTGGACAGCTCCCTTTGTAGTACAGGAAGGCAGGCAGGGTTTGAGACCCCTACCCCATTTTCACAGGGGCCCCAGCTCCCTTGCCCTCAGCCTGGGCTCTGAGTACACATTGCAGTGATGGAGATGTAGAGTCACGGGTTGTTCAGGTGAGGCCCAGGTTCCCTGGGCAGCCACCTGAGGCCGCCTGGGGTTGCTCACCCAACCCTACCTGTTCCCACCACTCGGTCTATTTCCCCCTCCTCAGACAGGACACTAATAACAAGGAGCTTGCCCTGCAGGCTCCCAACCCTCCCGCTCTTCCCTACCCCACAGGGTTCTGGTTCCATCATTTCCTCTGTTCACAAACTATCACTGGACAGTTGTGTTGTCTCTTGTACAATGTTCCATTCTTCAACATCTATCATTGCTGCTGCTCCCAGCACCAAATGTTCACCCTCTGCCTCCTGCTCTGCACACATTCCCCTCCCTCAAGATAGCCTCCATGAGACAGGGGGTCTGCAGCTTGGCAGGCTGGCTGGGTTACTGACTATCCCAGTCCCAGGGAAGATAGGGCCCTGTCTCTAGGATGCTGCAGCAGAGTGAGGAGGGGCACTCAAATTGACCCTAAAGGGTGGAGGGGCCACCTTCTCCCCCTGTTTGGTTGGGGAATGGGTAGTTATTATTTGTCTCAGCTTGGGGCTCTGCCTCTAGCTTCCTACTTGCAGTTACTTAAGTTAAAAAAGAAAATCCTGTTCTAAAAAAAAAAAAAGAAAGAAAAAGAAATCTAATTCAAACTGGCCTGAATGGGACAAAAAAGAAAATAAAAAGAGAATTTTTGCTCATGTAATAAGCCATCAGATGGCTTTGCATCAGAGGCTTAAAGAATGTTCTAAAGTCAGTCTCTCTCTAACACTCAGCTCTGCTTCTGGCAGTGTGGGCTTCATTCTTTTTTTTTTTTTTTTTTTTTTTTTTTTTTTTTGAGACAGAGTCTTGCTCTGTCACTCCGGCTGGAGTGCAGTGCAGTGCAGTGGTGCAATCTTGGTTCACTGAAGCCTCCTCCTCCCAGGTTCAAGCAATTCTCGTGCCTCAGCCTCCCGAATAGCTGGGATTACAGGCGTACACCACCACGCCAGGCTAATTTTTGTATTTTTAGTAGAGACGGGGTTTCAACATTTTGGCCAGGCTGGTCTCGAACTCCTGACCTCAGGTGATCCACCTGCCTCGGCCTCCCAAAGTGCTGGGATTACAGGCGTGAGCCACTGTGCCCAGCTTGGGCTTCACTCTTAAGCAAAGTATCTCCATGTGTGATGAGATTCAGGCTCAGATGTTCTTGGCTGTAGGTCCAGAGAAAGGAGATAACTTCTCTTCTCCAAAATTGAAACAAAAGTCTGGTTTTGATTGGTCTGAATCACTTGCCTAACAGTGAGCAAATTGCTGCAGTTAGATGTTTGGGCTGTTTTGATAGGTGGATTCTGGCACTTCTCTATGCCTCTCTTCTTGTTTTGGAGCATGTTTTAAAGGGGAGAAATGTGCCAAAGAAAACCAGGGGCTTTCTGAAAAGAGGGGAAAAATTCTGCAGCTTTTTCTATTTGAGACTTTAAGTTATCTCTCAGGGTGGACACAAGGCCTTTGTACACATGGCCCCCACATGGGAAGAAATCTTGAGGGGAAATTATGACCTGGCTCACATGTAGGACCTGGAGATTTGTGGTTAAGCATTGGCAGCCCCTCTGGACTTCAGGATACGTTGAGGGACAGTGGCTGAGCTGGGGGTTTTATGTTGGAGCCTGTAATGGGTTGAATTGTGTCCCTTTGTCTTAGTCTGTTTTCTGCTGCTGGAACAGAATACCACAGACTGAGCAAATTGTAAAGAAAGTTTATTCAGCTCACAGTCCTGGAAGCTGGGAAGTCCACAGCATGGCACTGGCATTTGGCAAGGGTCACCCCATGGTGGAGGGGTGGAAGGCAGAAGCGAGCACAGGAGAGACAGAGGGGAAACTGAGCAGAAATCATTTTATCAGGAGCTCCCTCCTGCCCATCAAAACAGCCCAAACATCTAACTGCAGCAATTAACTAACTCACTCCTGTGATAGCAGCATTACTGCATCATGAGGTATATTAGTCCGTTCTCACGCTGCTATAAGGAACTGCCCCAGACTGGGTAATTTATAAAGGAAAGAGGGTTAATTGACTTACAGTTCAGCATGGTTTGGGGAGGCCTCAGGAAACTTACAGTCATGGCAGGAAGTGAAGGGGAAGTAAGGCACCTTTTCATGAGGTGGCAGGAAGGAGAAGTGCTGAGTGAGTGGGGAAGAGCCCCTGATAAAACCATCAGATCTGGGGAGAACGAACTCACTATCACGAGAACAGCATGGGGGAAACCACCCCTATGATTCAATTACCTCTACCTGGTCTCTCCCTTGACATGTGGGGATTATGGGGATTATAATTCAAGATGAGATTTGGGTGGTGACACGAAGCCTCACCATATCATGAGAACAGGGCCCTCATAACCTAATCACTTCTTAAAGGTCCCATGTCTTAATACTGTCATAATGAAAATTAAGCTACCAACACATAAACTTTGGGGCACATATTTAAACCATAGCACCCTTCCCCAGAATTCACATGTTTAAATCCTAACCGCAGTACCACAGAATGTGACCTTATTTAGAATAGAGCAGTTGCAGATGTCATTAGTTGAAGTCATACTGGAGTAGCGGGGACCTCTAACCCAATCTGACTGGTATTCTTATAAAAAGAGAAATGCGGAATGAGATATGCACACAGGAAGACTGCCATGTGAATACTGTAATTATGCAGTCATAAGCCAGGGAGCTACCAGGCCTGTAACAGATCCTTCCCTAGAGCATGCAGGCCCTGCTAACACCTTGATTTCTGACTCCTGACCTCCAAAACGATGAGACAATAAATTTCTGTTGTTCTAAGCCATGCAGTTTGTGGTAATTTGTTATGGCAGCCCCGAAAAACTAATACAGAGTCTAGAGTTGGTATGTGACTGTGACCTGCGAGAGACTGAGCTTTAGCCATCACTAGGCATCATTGCATTGGGAGATAAAAGTCCTGTGATTAAATGCAAGATAGGCTGGGCATAGTGGCTCACACTTGTAATCTTAGCACTCTGGGAAGCTGAGGCCAAGGCAGGAGGATCTTTTGAGGCCAGGAGTTCAAGACAAGCCTGGACAACATAGTGAGACCCCCGTCTCTACAAAAAAGAATTAGCGAGGCATGGTGGTGTGCAACTATAGTCCCAGCTACTCAGGAGGCTGAAGTGAGAGAATCACTTAAGCCCAGGAGTTTGAGTCTGCAGTCAGTGAGCTATGTTCACTCCACTGCACTTCAGCCTGGGTGACAGAGCAAGACTGTCTTGAATGAATGAATGAATGCAGGATTGGTGCTCAACAGGGACACCATGTGGCAGTTTTAAAAGAGCCTTTAGTGCCTGTGGGCTGACCAGCGCCACCTAGTGTTTGAAAGATGGATGACTTTTATAATTTAGGAGGAAAGGAGGGGAGGTGATTATATAGGATTGTATGGATCTCAAATCATTAATTGGAGAATTGCATATCTTTATCAAATAATTTTTTTTGAGGAAAAGTCTTGCTCTGTTTCCCAGGCTGGAGTGCAATGGCACGATCTCTGCTCACTGCAACTTCCACCTCCAGGGTTCAAGTGATCCTCCTGCCTCAGCGTCCTGAGTATCTGGGATTACAGGTGTGCGCCACCACACCTGGCTAATTTTTGTATTTTTAGTAGAGACGGGGTTTCACCACATTGGCCAGGCTGGTCTTGAACTGCTGACCTCAAGTAATCCACCTGCCTCAGCCTCCCAAAGTGCTGGGATTACGGGCATGAGCCATTGCGCCTGGCCTCGTTATCAAGTAAATTTTAAATATCCAATATGAAACATTGTTCAAGGTTCTGAGAATACATCTTTAAATAAGATAGATGAAGTTTCTGCTCTGGTGAAGCTTGAGAAATAGGACCCTGTTTCCCCAGTAAGCTGTATAATAGGTCATGTGCTACATGAGCCCTTCCAACTCCATATAGATCATGGGCCAAGGGAATTGTAATAGGCTAGAAAGCCTGAATCAGATTTGAATTTGTTGCAGTTTCTAAAAGTAAAGGCATCAATGTAATGTTTGTCATTTCTCAATGTAGGATGAAGTAAGGAGTTTTCATTCCTGGTTCACACCTTATTATTATTATAATCAATAAACATTTTTAAAGTTTTTGATCTGATTAGGTTATCTCTAACTAGTCTAGCCTAGTGGTTCTCAGTAAGAAGCAGCAAAATTTTCTGTGGTTTTTTTTTTTTTTTTTTTGAGAGGGAGTCTCACTCTGTAGCCCAGGCTGGAGTGCAGTGGCACGATCTCGGCTCACTGCAACCTCTGCCTCCCAGGTTCAAGGGATTCTTCCAAGTAGCTGGGATTATAGACACTCACCACCATGTCCAGCTAATTTTGTATTTTTAGTAGAGACAGGGTTTTGCCATGTTGGCCACACTTGTCTCAAACTCCTGACCTCAGGTGACTGGCCCACCTTGGCCTCCCAAAGTGCTACTAAAAATACAAAAATTAGCTGCACGTGGTGGCGGGCACAGTGGCATGCACCTGCAGTCCCAACTACTTGGGAGACTGAGGCAGGAGAATCTCTTTAGCTCAGAAGGCAGAGGTTGCAGTGACCTGAGATCACACCACTGCACCCCAGCCTGGGTGACAGAGCGAGACTCTGTCTCCAAAAAAAAAAAAAAAAAAAAATCTTTTATACCATATTTTTATTGTGTCTTTTCTATGTTTAGATATGTGTAGATGCACAAATACTTACCTTTATGTTACAATTGCCTGCAGTATTCATTACAGTAACATGCTGTACAAATTGTAGCTGTGGAGCAATAGACTACCACACACATCTAGTAGACCATCTAGGATTGTTTAAGTACATTCTATGATGTTTGCACAATGATGAAATCGCCTAATGACACATTTCTCTTAACGCTTCCTGTCGTTAAGCAATGCATGACTGTATTAAAAACTACTGATGCCTTGGTGGCGCATGCCTGTAATCCCAGCTACTCAAGAGGCTGAGGTAGGGATAATTGCTTGAACTGGTACCAGGGAGGTGGAGGTTGCAGTGAGCCGAGATCACGCCACTGCACTCCAGCCTGGGCCACAAAGAGAGACTCCGTCTCAAAAAAAAAAAAACAAACCTACTGATGCCTAGGTCTCATTCCCGCCCCCCACTTCACTCCATCCCAAGGTTCTCATTTAATTAGACTGGAGTGTGGCTTGTGCATCAGAATTTTGAAAGCTCTCCAGCTGATGCTAACTTTTAGCAACATTTGAGAACCATTATTCTAAGCCATGAAAATTCATTCAGTATTTTTCAGTTGTGGTTGACAAGATCAGAATTTGGTGTTAGGAAAATTAATTTGGCAACGATATCAAGAGTGGACTGAAGCCCAAAGAAGTCTCAGAGAGAAGTCACATAGGAGACTAATGCAGTAGAATAAAGTGAGATAATAAGGGCCTAAGGAGAAGATAGGTGTACTTGAGAATGCACATGTATTATATAAGTAACAGAACTTCAGTGCTGATTTCAGAGAAGCAAGTTTGATCATCTAATGACCTTGTTGACCAAACAATACTAAAATAACCTGTGCATCTAAATAAGGAGCTGCCTTTCCAATTGATAAGCTGATGCATCTCTGTTGTAAAAAAATATTTTATCAGTATTAATGCATATGTTAAATTTGACATTTCATAATGCAATTCATAGAATCTGCTGTTTGTTTACTATTCCAGAATTTTATTGCTGAGTTCTCAATTTAAATCTACAGGTATTTCTATTATCAGTGATGTGAATTATGATATAATAACTCTTGATAATTGATATGGTTTGTCTGTGTCCCTACCCAAATCTCATCTTGAATTCCCATGTGTTGTGGGAGGGACCCAAGAGAAAGTGATTGAATCATGAGGGCAGGTCTTTCCCATGCTGTTCTCATGACAGCAAATAAGGCTCATGAGATCTGATAGTTTTATAAAGGGGAGTTTCCCTACACAAGCTCCCTTCTCTTGTCTGCCACCATGTGAGATGTGCCTTTCACCTTCCCCCAGGATTGTGAGGCCTCCCTGGCCACGTGGAACTGTGAGTCCATTAAACCCTTTTCCTGTATAAATTACCCAGTCTCGGGTGTGTCTTTATTAGCAGTGTGAAAATGGACTAATACAATAATCAACAAAATGAGAATTATAGACATAAACTAAATATTTTAATATAATGATAGGCTAATTGCATTATAGCCATTGTTTTTCTTGCTATTGGTTTTTTGTTTGTTTGTTTTTGTTTTTGTTTTTGTTTAAGATAGGGTCTTGCTCTGGGCTCAGGTGATTCTCCTGCCTTAGCCTTCTGAATAGCTGGGGACCGCAGGCATGCACCACTGCACCCACCAATTTTTTTTTTTTTTTTTGGTAGAGACAGGGTTTCCCCATGTTGCTCAGGCTGGTCTTGAGCTCCTGGGTTCAAGCGATCCTCCTGCCTTGGCCTCCCAAAGTGCTGGAAGAAATTTTATAATTATAAAAATTAACAAGTTAAATTGATTTAAAATTGAAAAAATATTGGGAGGAGAAAATGGGAATTTGTTATTTAGTGGGTATAGAATTTTCTGGGGTTCAAATACCCTTTAGAGGTTTCCCATTGGTTACTTTGTGTACACCCTATGTAAATGAAGTAGTGCCCTGTGATCAGTCTGTTTGGTTGTGGACAGTGACCAATCAATCAGAGACTGAAGTGAAGTTACAAAGTTATACTCCTATGCAAATGAAGACCTGGCCCGGCGACCAGGCTGATTGGTTGTAGGAGGGGACCAGTCAGAGGTATTTTCAGTTTTTTATCTGCCACACAGAAAAGATGGGGGTTGCAAAGGGAGTAGCCTTTGGCTCTTTTGTTACTTGGGCATGGAAAGTTGGAGTTTTCCTTTTGATTTAGCTCTAGGAAGTCGGCGCAAATCAGCCTTACGTTCCCTGCCTCCAGACCCTTTTCTCCTGCCTCAGAAGGTAGAATGCTAAGCTGGTCCCCAAGGTTGCTGCCCCTTGACGTACACAACCTGTGTAATTCCCTCCTTTTGAGTATGAGACTGAACTGTAAATATAATAGAATAGTCACTCCTATGGCTAGATTACTGTAGTTGACTTTAAGAAAGGGAGGTTATATTCAGTTGGCCTGACCTAATCAGATGTGCCCTTGAAAAGGGACTGAGCTCTTCCTGGAGACAGAGATTTTAAATGTAAGAAGCCTCTAGCACAAGGAAGATTCTCTATTGCTGCCTTTAAAGACAAAGGGTACTACATGACAAGGGACTCAGAATGGCCCCTCAGAGCTAAGTATCGCCCTGGCTGACAACCAGCAAAAGAACAGGGACCACAGTCCTAAAACTACAAGGAAGTGAGTTCTGCCCATATCCTGAGTGAGATGAAAGAGGACCCTGAACTCCAGGTAAGGATGAAGCTGGTCCATCCTTGATTTCAGTCTTGTGAGAACCTGAGCAGACAACCCAGCTGCAAAGTGCCTGGACTTTTGACCTACACAGAACGGTGAACTGGTAAGTGGGTATTGTTTTAAGTCACTAAACTTGTGGTAATTTGTCATGCAGCAATAGAAAGTTAATTGAGCAATTAGTTTTCATAAGACTTCAATAATAGTCGTGTGTCTTTGAAATTAAAATCTGATTTGAAAAAAACATGAATGCTGCAGAGACTATATAAGGAAAAATATTGGCTGTAACTCAGTGTGTATACACATGACTCAGATTTTAGCAAAACAACATCTAGCACAAAAAGATCATCCAAAAATGTTTTGAGTGTGATATGGGAAATTTTACTCCCTTAGCAGAAACCGTAGCATAATTTTATATGAACATTTATACAGAAACTGAATGTTAATGAAATACAAAACCAAGTGATTCAAGTTATAGAAGATGGGATAAATAAAATAATTTTGGAGAGTTAGGAAATGCTAATTACTTAGTCATTTTAGATAAAACTCCTGATGTAAGTAAGCCATATAATTCAGATAATTATGTCTGGATTTGTAGATTCCCAAAATGCAAACATTTCTAGACTTGAACATTTGGGGGAATTTTGTCCAGTAGATTATAGGGCTGCTAATATGATGCTTTGATACTCTCATAATTGCTTCAAGTTTGGTGATTCACTAGAAGGACTTACAGGCTCAATAGCAGGTTATATTCATGGAGAAGATATCTCACAGCAATGAATACAGAGCAAAACAGCAGGAAAAATATATGTCCTGGTGAAATACAGATAGGCTAGAAAGGGCTTCTGAGTCCTTTCTCATATGAAGCTACAGAGAATGTGCTTTTTCACTCTTAATGAGCTTCATTGACATGTGTGGAGTATATATGCCCCGGAAAGCCATTCAGATCTCAGGGTTGGAAGCTTTTATGGGGTGCTGACCCTACAGGCATATCCTGCAATCAAACCAGCCATTGTAACTGAGACTCAGAACCTTGGCAATGAGAATGGGGGCACCTTATCTATCTTGATGTTTGTGCAAAGCAACCTGACAAGCTGGTATAGCATGGTCCACTGCTCTAGGTGTAAACAACAAAATCATCAATCACTAACATAAAGAACATTCTAAGGGCCACATTCCCAGGGGTTGGCCAAAGGCCAATCTTGGTTCCAGACTCCCTTGAAGGCATGCAAAGAGTAAGCAACCAGATCTGTGATCTCTCTCTCTCTCTGTCCCTCCCTCTGTCAATAGCCCTCTGAATCTGTGGGTTCCACATCCATGGATTCAGTCAACTTAGGATCAGAATTTTTTTTTAGTTGCATCTGTACTGAATATGTACAGACTTCTTGTCGTTATTTCCTAACAATTCAGTATAAAAACAACTGCTTACGTAGTATTACATTGTATTAGGTATTATAAGTAATCAAGAGATGATTTAAAACACACAGGAGGATATGCACAGGTTATATGTAAATTTATATCAGGGACTTGAGCTCGGTGGATTTTGGTATCCACAGGAGGTCCTGAAACCAATCCCCCATGGAGAATGAGGGACAACTATGTGTATATATACATTGAAAACAATGCCAGAAATGCAAATAGAAAAACAACAGTTTTCAGTAGGAGATCTTTAAAAAGTATTAATTTTAGTCTACAATGAAATGATGGAATATATGTAAAAACATTTAACAGGGATACATTTAAAAACTTTAAAACACAATTGGAAAGTTAATACAAAATCTCAAGTAGAAGTATGCAATTGCTTTTAGAAAATATTAATGTATTAATAGGCACTAGAATACAAGCAAAAATTATACTTCTGAAAAAAAAGTCACCAAATTCATTTTGTCAGTATTAATGGGACATGATATTTTAAGTGAAATTAATGTTATAAACAAAAGAATTCAGTGTACATAATGCCTTTGAAATCATCAAAGGCAAGAAGAAAGTCTTTGAGGAAAAACAAATTGTGTTTATGATATCTAATTGACACCAAATGGCAGTCTATTGATATTAATGCCAACTTGTCTACATAGAAAATACTAGAACTATTATGATTTTTCTCAACACAAAGTCTGTTCCACCTATGAGCCAAAGCTAAAAGTCAATATCAATTCTTTGTTTACGTTAGATATAACAGCACTATTTTTAAAAGAAAACGTGGCTGGACGTGGTGGCTCACGCCTATAATCCCAGCACTTTGGGAGGCCGAGGCCGGTGGATCACAACGTCAGGAGTTCCAGACCAGCCTGGCCAACATGGTGAAACCCTGCCTCTACTAAAAGTACAAAACTTAGCTGGGCAGGGTGGTGTGCACCTGTAATCCCAGCTACTTGGGAGGCTGAGGCAGGAGAATTGCTTGAACCTGGGAGGTGGAGGTTGCAGTGAGCCAAGATTGTGCCATTGCACTCCAGCCTGGGCAACAGAGCAAGACTTCATTTCAAAAAAAAAAAAGAAAAGAAAATGTTACTATATCAAAAGAACATCCTGGTCTCTTCAATGCAAGATGACCAGTGTTATCTGCAGAACTACTATAACTATGTAACTCAAATGACACATTTACAATTTAAATTGACTGTTGACCATAGTAAGGAATTCCATATTGATGGGCACCAACACAGAAGCTTTTCCTAAAACCTATGATAAATCTCATTGGAGTGCAGCATAATTTTGAGGGACAATTTCCTAGATGGATTTTTTAAAACTTTCTTTTAATTTTACAGAATAGATGTAACTTAGCCAAAATTGGTCACCAGTGGAGAATGTGGCTTCTCAAAATTAAAACTTATCAAAAGTGACATAATGTCTATAGTGTCACAAGAATGCCCAATCCAGTAACCATTTTTGAAGGAAAAAGTTATTGGAGCAAGTAAACTGAAACTATCAAAATGAATTTCCTTCCTATAAAAGAAATATATATAATAATTTTATAAGAAATTGTTATAGTCCAATGACTTTGGGTGCCCCATTACTCCAATTAAAATGTAGACTTTTATGTCAGTTGACTTGGTTTGCATAAAATATACAAGATGACACCATATTTCTGTAACTATTATCATCCCTTCCTCCAAGCGCATGCCCATATCCATGGCAGCTACAGCTTAATTCCTTGATGTGCCTAATCTTCCAAACAAAATGGTGAAGCTTTCTTCAGCAAAATTCCTAGAAAACGAAGAAGTTTAAGAGTAGTTTTGTGCTTATTTAGAGCTAGAGGACAGTGCAGAAAAACATATCTCCCAGAAATCTAAGCCTTATTTATTATTATTATTTTTTTAGACAGAGTCTCACTCTGTCACCAGGCTGGAGTGGAGTGGCGCGATCTCGGCTCACTGCAACCTCCACCTCTCGGGTTCAAGTGATTCCCCTACTTCAGCCTCCTGAGAGCCTTACTTTTTTCTAACAAATATCAGTAGGGGTGGAAAAGTTGCTTTCCTTCCTTCTAGTCTAACATAACAAGCACTACAGATTATCCAGTAACAAAAATATTTAGCACCTCTCCTGACAAAAATAACAGCCAGAGATAGGAATATGGTAACTGGAGAAGGGTGCCATCAATGAAACAGAAATTTCAAAGAATTCCTGGGAAATAGACATCATATGGGCATATATTGATGAAGTGTTCTGTGAAGAGAAGCCACAAACCAAAATAGCTGAGAGAGGGACATGTACACAGACTGGAGCTTTTTTCCTAATGGTGCGCCAGGGATACCCGCAGTTCCCAGCCTCTGTGGACAGCTTTAGGTGTAGCCACAAGGTCATGAAAGAACCCAGCACTCGGTGGTTACCCCAACTCACGCTCCCACTACCCTGAAAGACTAAATTTACTAATGTACAATTGCCAGACTGTATTTAACAATATAATTCAGACCCACAACCTGCAGCAATGTGCCCAGGAAACCAGCCCCCTTATCTACAATAAACAGCCCAGGAAGCCAGTTTGCTACCTCTGGTAACCGTCCAGGAAGCTAAACAAGAACTTCTGCCACAACTGGCACAAAATGTCCAGGACTTGGTTAGTAACTGGCAGCCTCCCTAATTTTTGTTCTCACTTCCAACTTAGGACCAACCTGAGAAAGCCAATTATATGCCCCCAGCCAATCACACGGGATGCCCCACTTCTCAATAGACACTTTCAGCTTCCCCCTGCCAACAGCCTGCAGTCAGGGCACACCTGAAGCCTTGTGTTTCCCCTCACTATGAAGCTTTTCTGCTCCTCTGCCTGCCTTGTAGTCTCTGCCAAACATAGGTGATGGTGGCTGACTTCCTTGCTACAGCAAGCTCTGGATAAATAGCTTCTGCTTTTCTCATTTAGTTGGTCTTTGTTTATTTCCACAACCCAGGCTGGGTGCAGTGGCTCACACCTGTAATCCCAACACTTTGGGAGGCCAAAGGGGGAGGATCCCTTGAGTCCTGGAGTTCAAGACCAGCCTGGGCAATGTAGGGGTACTCCACCTCTACAAAACAAACAAACAAAAAATTAGCTGGGTGTGGTGGCATGCACCTGTGCTCCCAGCTGCTTGGGAGGCTGAGGCAGAAGAATTGTTCGAGCCTGGGAGTTTGAGCCTGCAGTGAGCCATAATCCCGCCACTGCATTTCAGCCTGGGTAACAGAGCGAAAACCTGTCTCAAAAAAATAAAAAACAAAATAAAACAAAAATAAATAAAAATTAAAACATAGTTCCACAACCCCAAAACAGATCTCAAAGATAAGTGGGTTTCTGCTCTAGAGAGCTCCCACATGGAGGCCAACAGATGCAGATGAAAGCCCAAGGTAACTTCCAACTTGACCACAGGGCCCGGTGGGAATAAAAGTCAAGTTTGCTTCTCCTGAAAATGAAATGCAGCAAAGGCCTCCACTTCAGGAAAGTCTTTCCTTGGCAACAGTGAGGATTTGTTATGGCCTGCTCACTACCCATAAAGGCATCATAGGGTCTGTCTGACTGTCTGCCCAGCTTCTCCTCTCACACAGCTCTGGAGCTGGCTTCTCACTGAGACTGTTCTGTTCTATGATTTATAATTTACATTAAAAAATTTATTGGTATATAATAGCTGTACAGATTTTGGGGGCACATGTGATGTTTTGATACATGTATACAATGTGTAATGATCAAATCAGGGTAATCAGGATAGCTATCACTTCAATTATTTGTATTTTCTTTGTGTTGGGGACATAACAATTCTTATTTTTAGCTATTTCGAAATATACAATAAATTACTGTTAACTATAATTTCCCTACTGTACTATCAATTACCAGACTTATTCCTTCTATCTAAATATATTTTGGTACCCCTTAATCAACTTCTCTTTATCCCCCTCCCTCCCTCTTTCCTTCCCAGCTTCTGGTAACCACCATTTTACTCTCTACCTCCATGAGATCCAGAATTTAGCTCCCACATGTTAATGAGGATATGCGATATTTGTCTTTCTGTGCCTGGCTTATTTCACTTAACATAATGACCTCCAGTTCTATTCATGTTGTTGCAAATGACAGGATTTTGTTCTTTTTCGTGGCTGAATAATATTCCACTGTCTTTATCCATTCATCTGTTGATGGACACTTGGGTTGATTCCATATCTTGGCTATTGTGAGTAGGGCTGCAATAAACATGCAAGTGTCCACGGGTCTGAGAAGCTCGCCGGGCAGCAATCTCGGCTAGGAACCCGACATCAAGCTGATGGATGAGATGGTGATAATCATGGGGGGGCAAGATGGAGGCCACAACTTTCAAGCGGTTCATGGAGATGTGTGTCTGCGGCTACCTGGCTGTGCGGTGAGATATCTCTTTGATATACTGATTTCCTTTCTTTTGGATATATATTCAGCAGTGGGATTGATGGATCATATGGTAGGTATAGTTTTAGTTCTTTGAGGAACCTCCATACTGTTTCCCATAATAGCTGCACTACTTTACAACCCCACCAACAGTGTACAAGTGTTCGCCTGTCTCCACATTCTCACCAGCATTTGTCATTTTTTGTCTTTTTGATAATAGCCATTCTAACTAGAATGAGATGATATCTCACTGTGCTTTTGATTTGAGTTTTCCTGATGATTAGTGACACTGAGCATTTTTTATATACTTGGACATTTCTATGACTTCTTTTGAGAAATGTCTATTCATGTATTTTGCCCATTTTAATAAGATTATTATTATTATTATTTTGCTATTGAGTTGTTGAGTTGTTGGAATTCCTTATATATTCCAGTTATTAATTTCTTTTTTTTTTTTTTTGACGGAGTCTTGCTTTGTTGCCCAGGCTGGAGTGCAGTGGTGCGATCTCCGCTTACTGCAAGCTCCACCTCCCGGGTTCACGCCATTCTCTCGCCTCAGCCTCCTGAGTAGCTGGGACTACAGGCACCCGCCACCACGCCCAGCTAATTTTTTTGTATTTTTAGTAGAGACGGGGTTTCACCATGTTAGCCAGGATGGTCTCGATCTCCTGACCTCGTGATCCGCCTGCCTCGGCCTCCCAAAGTGCTGGGATTACAGGCGTGAGCCACCCTGCCCGGCCCAGTTATTAATTTCTTGTCAGATGAATAGTTTGCAAATATTTTCTTACTTAAACTTGGACAGTGTGATATATATATGAAGTGTGAAGGCCCTAGGATAGGTTATTTGACATCTGAAGCATGTTTTCCCTAATCAAGAATACATGCTCCAGAAGTGGTTAGCATTTGAAACACTCTAATCAGGCAGCCTCCCTGCAGAGGCTACTCCTACAGGCTTCGGTGATTTCCATCTGCACTATAAGGATTGTTTACCAGCATAAGAGCTGTTAGAATTCATTTTTTAATTGTTGAAATGAATGGTGTTCAAGTTATGTGATTTGCTAAAAAATATTATGCAAGAATGGTTGCCCTTGCATGAGCTGGGATATCAGAATCCAATGAGTGCAGCTTCCCATACCTTTCAAATTTCTTGTTCTAGGGCTCCAAAGAAAACCTGATCATGCTACTTTAAAATCACACTAGGTTAGTTAAATCTTCCTACTAAAATATTGTTACATTCAATGAAGTTTTTATGCAAGGTAGTCACAGAGCTTGTAAAAACAGATTATATAGCTGTTATTGGGCCAGCTTGCTAAAAGCTATTTGTTTGAGCCATAATTCAACCTGAAACTTGCTTTCATCATAACATATACCTGATAGTAAGGTTGTGTGGGAACACCTCTCACTCTCTACTACCTTTAGTCACTGGAGACTACTGACGTGTCCCAGCAATGATCTGTTTCTAATGGTTGGACTAGCTTAAGCCAGTTTAAATCCAGGGAAAAGGCTTGTTTTGGAAATGTATCTACACAGTGTCTGAGAAAATCTATGCTACTTATTTGTATTGATGAAGCACTTTCTTTTTCCTTTCCTTTCTCAGTAGTTTATAATAAGAATTTTCTTAACTTTTGAAAATGAATGGATAACCAGGGTCACCAGGCAATCGAAGAAAACACATTCAATTCAGTAATTCTTTTGGCATTACTATGAGGATTAAGTCAGATAATGTGTGTTAAATGCTTAGTATTTATCACTTAGCACGTATTCTATAAGTGATAATTATTACTTTAGATAATTAAATGTAAAATCTGAGAAAAAGTCAATAGAGCCCCTAAAGTTTCATTTTTTTCAATAATTCTCACACAAACTCAATAAATTTTAGAAAATTCCTCCTATCTGGTAGGCACTGGGAGTATAGTTGTGAAGAACTGGCAAAGACCCCACCTTGATGAAGTAGACATCTTAGGGCAGAGGCATACCACCAACAAATAAATCCATAATATCATGGAGTGACTGGTGCTCCAAATTAACATAGGGCTCAGCTGGTTCAGGGATGGAGTGTAATGGGATGGAGTGAGGAAGGGGATGGCTGCCTTTGTTAGCATGTTTCGGGGAGCCCTGGATGTAGAAGTCACATTTAAGCAGAGGTTCTGAGTGATATGAGGAAGCAAGTCATTGCAACATCTGGGAAGAGCGCTCCAGGTGGGTAAAACAGCAAGTGCGAATACTCTAAAGTGGGAATGTTCAGGCAGAGTTAGAAGTCTTGTGAGACTGGGCACAGTGTGGAAGAAGAAGGTCCAAGGAAATAAGGTCATTCCTGCCCGGTTTCTGTGCAGCCTGGAGGCCATTCTAAGGACTTTGGATGGAATCTGAAATATGAGATGGAGACATTGAGGAGTTAGAAGAGAGAAGGCTCATGATCTGGTTGACACTTATAAAAAGTGAATTAGAAGACATTTCAGTAGTCCTGGGAAAGAAGATGGCAGCTTGCCTAGGGTATTAGCGATGGTGGAGATGAAAAAGGTCAGACGAGGGCTGTATTTTGAATGCAGAGCTGTTGAGTTGTCTATGGACTGACTTTGAGACGTGAGACAAAAAGAGAAGCTAAAGATGGCTTCAACCTGAGTAATGCGATGAAAGGCCATGTGGTTTGCTAAGGATCATCCTTAGTGGGATGAGAGCACCAAGGAGCAGGCTGGGAGGACTTGAAGGCGTGTGATCGTTAAACACTAGTGTTAGATGTGTTGCAGCAGTTCTCTGTAATTAGTCTAAAAGCCCTCATGTAAGAAAAGTGACCATTCAGATTTAACAAGATTGGGATTCAGAAAAGGAGACAATGACTAGAAAATTGGATTCTAATAGAGTTAAGACAGAAACATCTGGTAACAGTTTCCTCACATCTCTGGCACTGGGGAATAGGGGTTATTAATTGAATTGCACTGTGTGTTCATTGTGATTTGTAGCATATGTATGTGACTGAGACACAGATATTAATATGGAAGAATTTCCTCCTCCTCATGACCTTCTGAGGACTTCAAGGGGCCTGCTTTACTCTTGGGCCTTTTTGGTATTGATTAGGGTAATTGATAAAGAGAAGATTTGGCAGCAGCTGAGAAAAGATAGGCAAATTTACACCGGAAAGGGCATGATCCTACAGAAAAAAATTGTAAAGTGAAGAAAGGGGAACAAGAGGCTGACGGGAGACAAGAAACAGTGTGGGAACGTCACAGTGAATTCCGGCTCAGGGACTATGTGATCCGGGAATGGCTCGGCCATTTGTCTTCTATAATAATATTCACATTCTAGAAGCTGTTTTTAGTAATTAAATGCTGCATTTTTAAAAGCATTATCCATTTTTTATTTGCTTATAGACATATGTTTCAAATCTTGGCACCATAATAAATTGGATTTGTAGAAACATGTGAACATTCAAGATAGAAATACTGCTTTAAAAAGGGTTATAACTTGAAATGACCCTCAATTAAACATATTTTAAGATCTTAAATAATTTCAAGAAGTAAAAATTAAAACTTTAGTAAAATTTCAGACTTTCCATTATGTTTTGCTATTGTAAGATTATGAAAACAAACAGATTAATATCTTAGAAATCAGAAGTGTTCCAAAATAACCAAGAAGCTTTCTTTCATGTCTACCTTAGGAAGAAATATTAATAATAATAACAACTAATATTCACTGAGCACATATTGTGTGCCAAGCACTGTCCTGAGTATGTCTATTTTATGGATGAGAAAGCAAAGGTACAGAGAGCTTATGAAGGTCACACAGGTAGGAAACAGCACAGCCATGCATATCCGTGCTCTTAGTCTCTGCAGCAAATTGTGAAATTCTTTCAGGAAGCCAATTTGAATAAAATTCATAAGAATTTTAGTTCTTAAAGAATTTTAGTTTCTCTTTTGCTTTAGTTAAAATCTCACTAGGTTAGTTAAATTCTGCTACTAAAATATTGTTACATTCAATGAACTTTTTATGCAAGGTAGTCAAACTAAAACAAAAGCTAAAACAAAGCCTCCGCTCTCCATCCATCACTTCATTTTATAAGCTATTATAGCAACTTCACCAGCAGATGGCAATGTTGGCTTGGAAAAGTCTGGTGAGCCCACTGCAAATGATTCAAGGGCCAGAATTTTCTGGCACTGGAGAAAAAAGGAGCTGCTTAAGGCTTTTTGAAAGAAGATTTTTGTTTTTGTTTATATAATGATACTGTTGCTTTATTATTTTATGACTTCTCTCTAACCTTCAAGCATTAGCGTTAGACTTGTAGCGAAGGAAAATTCTAGAAACCTTAAAATCACAAGATTTCTGAAACAACACTTTGATTGGACTCATTTTATCAGAGACAAAAAATGTCTGCATGACAACAGACATTAAGTATGCTTACTTGCCTTTTTTTTTTTTTTCTTTCTTTTTTGAGACAGAATCTCGCTCTGATCCCCGCTGCCCCGCCACCCGGGTGGAGTGCAGTGGTGCGATCTGGGCTTACTGCAACCTCCGCCTCCTGGGTTCAAGCAATTCTCCTGCCTCAACCTCTTGAGTAGCTGGGATTACAGGTGTGCACCACCACACCCAGCTAATTTTTTATATTTTTGGTAGAGACAGGGTTTTGCCATGTTGGCCAGGCTGGTCTCGAACTCCTGACCTCAAATGATCCGCCCGCCTCGGCCTCCCAAAGTGCTGGGATTACCGGTGTGAGCCACCGCACCTGCCCTCTTACTTGTTTTTCAAAAATGAAGACAACATTTTAAATTGTAGTTACTTAAAAAGAGATGCAAAACATGTTTTCCCCAGGACTGAAGTACTATAAGATCATAAGATTTAAAAGCTAAAAGGTAATTATAATTTTAAGCTCATTAATTATATTGCAGTTTCACTGAAGTCGTATAAACACCATAAAATAAGATAAATAAGATCATTTAATAGAAAAAAAATCCCTTAAATCATTTGTCTTATGTAATGTAAATGTCGTTTGTAAATATTTACTTGCCTGATTTTCCCAAGGTATTTGATTTTCTCGCTCACTCTATGTTTTCCATAGTAGTAGCTAAAATCACTTTTGTAATGAACTAATGTCAGCAATGCCATAAATGCTGAATATTTCAGGGAGTCCTTATATTAAAATTAAAAGAAACTTCTCTAAGCAACTTTGTTGGGGCTCAAGTACTAATTTATATGGAATTACCTGCTGTTAGTGCCTGTCACGAGTTTTAAAATCATGAACAAGTTTAGACAGAGAATATCTCCTTCAACTTACTAATCTCTTATAAACTGATTATACTCATTTTGAGATTAATCATTCTGAGGTTTTCATTACTTGTATTGGTGCCGCAAAATGGTAAACTTGTACTGAGACTTATTAGTTCCAAACACAAATAATAAGAACCAGTAGACAATTTTCCAAAGTGGATGGCAGAAAGTTTGGCTCTGTGTGACTTAATTTGTTCATTTACTCATTCATTCCTAATTTATTTTTTTCAATAAACGCATACCAAGCACTAAGATATTAGGGCTATAGGGTTGATGAAAACTGTCAAAGTCCTGCCTTGAAGGAACTTACATTCTAAGAGGCTTATAATAAAAGCTCATGTTTATTAACTGTAAGACATACTTACTGTTATAGTGACATTATACTGACTACTGTAAGCAATACTCTTATTTAATCTTCATAATAAATGCATGAGTTTGGGGCTGGGTGTGGTGGCTCACGCCTGTAATCCCAGCACTTTGGGAGGCCGAGGCCAGCAGATCACCTGAGGCCAGGAGTTAGAGACCAGCCTGCGCAACATGGCAAAACCCTGTCTCTACTAAAAAATACAAAAATTACCCGGGCATGGTGGCATGTGCCTGTAGTCCCAGCTACTCAGGAGGCTGAGACAGGAGAATTGCTTGAACCCAGGAGGCAGAGGTTGCAGTGAGCTGAGATTGTACCACTGCACTCCAGCCTGGGAGATAGAGCGAGACTCCATCTCAAAACAAAAAAAAAAAAAAAAAAGAAAAAAAAGCATATGAGTTTGGTTCTAATTTACATCAAATGAATAAATATCAAGTAACTTGATATCTTATAGCATGATAGTTTTACCTTGGAAATGGGTGTAAAATTTATTTTTTGGTTGCCAAAAAATGCCATTTGGATAATAAGGGATTGTCTATGGTTTAGATGAAACTGATTTGATCCATCAAAAAGATTTACTGAACAATTACTATGTGTCTAGTACTCTGCTATAAATTAGGTAAGAAATGGAAAATTATTCCCTTCCTATAAGCCACATATATTCTAGTTACATAGCTGTATTCATTTTTATTCCATTATTTAAGATGGCAACCCGTGAGGAGTCTCTGACCCATCCTCTTCCTACTTCTTATTAAAATTCTTGGGAAAAGAGTATCCAACAGAGCCAGTTACACAGGAGGGTTGACAAGTGGCAGGCATGGGAGCAATGGTGCATGGACTCAGGGTTTCAATCTGAGACCTCCTATTGAAAAAAAATAAATAAATAAAAAATAAAATTCTGAGGAAAAGAGAAATATATAAAAACTTGCAGCACTGAAAATCAAGACTGGTAATATTCTAGACCCTAAGAGAAATGTTTCTTAACTCTCAGGAATGGCCTGGGTTGAAATGCCCAGCCTGTGCTGTGACACAGGAAACTGAACAGCCTTAATACCTCCCAAACCGTCTACCCCTGCTCCAGAAATGCAAGGACTGGACTGGAAGGAAAAATGAAAACAAAAAAACTCAGGCATCTCTTCCTCCCTGCTGTGACTGCAACTCCCAGAAGACAATTGAACTAGTAGAGAATGCATTGAATCTTGGGCTATGTAATCTCCTAAGTAAAGTACTCTAAGCAGAAAGTGCCAGCTCTGTAAGGAATCACTTTTCATATTCTCTTTGTGTTCAGTGTCAGAGAAATAGTAGAAGAGGTAAAATACAATCCCATTGGTTCCACAGAACAAAGCTAGATGTAAGCAATTGGTTAGCTGCTAGAATTTGGGCTAGGAGCTGAGTATACTAACCTATTAAACAGTTATAGACCTAAAGAGAACATTTAACCCGCATCCAATTGTCAGACAGTAAAACCAAAAACATCATCCACGCTCTGGCAAATTCCAGGTCTGTTAGGTAACCCCTCATGGGACTATGAATAGGCAAAGAAATAAGAAAACATAGTGTATCCATTAGCAGACGATGCATAGCAAGGCATAGGTTTTTCCCCAAGGCCTATCTCATGATCTTAGGGACATACAACAATAAATATTTATTCTTATAAATGTTTGAGTCAGGTAGGGATTGGTTGATCTAGGCTGGCTTAGTTGAGTATATTTCTCCATAGAGGTGAATACTTTCTAACAGTAATCTGTGATACTACACATAAACAAAAAGCATGGGAGATTTTGAAAATGTATTACCGAACCAAAGAAGAGATTCCAGATATTGGAACCCCCCCGCCCCCACCAAAAGCAAGCAAACAAACAAAACCCTCTAAAAAAATATATAAAAATGATTATAGAATCCAGAAGAAAAATTGAGAGGTTAAAAAAATGCTTTGAAATTTTCGAGAGGATTCAAAATGATATTCCTATGTAAAATAAGACCAGCAAGTTATAAGACAAAAGACTGAACAGATTTCAAAAGTGCACTAAGACAATGAAAGTAGAAAGATTATGAAATATTTTAAATGAATTTCAAAATGCAGAAATCAAATTAAAAATCCACATTTGAAGCAATAAAGAGCAGACTTGAAATTGGATAAAAATCAGTTATGATGTATAAAAGCCTTTTCATAATGAAGAGAAGATATTAGAGAATAGACATCTGTGATATGAAGTTAAGAGTTCCCCAAGAAAAACTCAAGCAGTTGAAACAGCAAAAACTATACACATTATTGAGGAAAAAAGTTATCTGAGTTGTGTCAATGCCCTCTAGCCAAAGGCTACCGGGAGCACACTGGTAACTAAACAAGGGTGGTTTTATTGACTTTTCATAACAAAGGAGAAGTGAAATACCATACCATGCTGTGTATGGGGAACTGTGGGGCATGTCAGTAGAGGGTGTGAGAGGACTTACATGATTTTGGCTTGTGTTAGGTGATTCTGGGGAGAGTTCAAACAAGTAAGATTTTTCCCCAAGGTTGGTCTCATGATTGGGTATGTATTAGTTTCTCAGGGCTGCTGTAACAAAGTACTACAAACTGAGTGGCTTCAACAACAGAGATTTATTCTCTTAGAGTTCTGGAGGCTGGAAGCCCGAGATCAAGGTGTGGGCAGGGCCATGCCTCTGAAAGTGGTAGGAGAATATCCATCCTAAGCCTCTCTCCCGGCTTCTGGTAGTTCCTTGGTTTGTGTAGCATAACTCCAGCCTTCACATGGTGTTCTTTCTGTGCGTATATGTCTGTGTCCAAATTTACCCTCCCTATAATTATGGACACCAGCCATACCGATTTAGGGACCCATCCTATAGACGAACCCATCTCAACTTAACTATTTCTGGTGCAATGACTCTATTTTGAAACAAGGTCACATTCTGCAGTCCTGAGGGTTAGGACTTCAATATATAAACTTGAGGATGAGGGGAAGGGACAGAATTCAGTGTATAACAGGTATCCTAGTGACCTTATCAAGAAAGAGAGAATAGAATGATGTCAAAGCTGTAATTGGTAAAGAAGTTGTCACTTAGCTTAGGGAGATATTCTTTCACTTTCAGGTTAGGGAGAGATTTGGTCATTTTTGTGGTTTGGAGAACGTTTCTGGTTTTGTCGGTGTTCAGGCATGATTACAGTAGAGTGGCCTTGTTATTGTCCTGATCCGTCTTGGTCACAGAATGATGTCTATGTCTAGTGTCAATGTTCTGTGAAATTGTTTTTGTTCAACAGAAGAGGACAAAACTTAGCCATGAGTACCATCCGTGAGTACTCGCAAAGCCAAGACCTAATTGATGGGACAGGGCCAGCTTCCTGCTCTCAGGGTTGCTTTTTACATTCTCAGTCACCTATTTTGATCCAGGGCAGATGAAGTCCAAATCACAGGACATGAATATATGGTTTCTAGGCTGAAATTTTGCTGATTAGGAGGCTTTCCAGAGAACATAGTCTCTATTTCTGTATTTGAACTCTTTAAGACTCCAAATTTCACCCTTTTAGAACTCTCTTTTTTGTTTCCTGTTATCTCAGTAATTGAAAAAAATAAAAATAAAATATAACTCTCCTTTGAGCAGTGTGAAGTTCTTTTTCGTTTCTCCAAAACAAATACCAACCTTACCCTGGTTTCAGAATCACCAATAGAAAGATAAACTAGAAAATGTACTTTCAAAATATATGAGGTGGTCAATCCCTATGTTTCACAGAGAGAGAAAGCCCGATTCCTTTCCATGGAGAGTCAAGGGCAGGGAGCTGCCCTTAGCTGTGCTTAGATGGATATATGGAGCTGCGGAAAGCTGGTTTCATTAAAGAAGTTCTGAATTACAGTGACAGCGAGGACTGTTTCTTTCTTGTGTTTCAGCAAGGGGGAAGGGATAGATTCTGAGTTTGGTCATTGCTGAGAAACTTTTAAATCAAAGCTGTGCAAAGCTCCAGATTTATCAATGGCCAAAGGACATATAAATCTATTCTAAATCAGGGTTTGGGGAATGAATTCTATTTTATTACTAGGTGCTGAATCAGCTGCCTTATCACATTTCTGCTATAGATTGGATAGAAATATTTCTGAAAAAGTCATCTAGTTTGATCAAGAGATTTAAAAACATGGAACATATTATGAACAATCGCAATGTTTAGGATTAAAGGAAACTTATTGTTTCTAGAGTAAATTTTATTGCTTTGTAGATGTATATCTCATATCCTCTTAAAGTATGTAACTAGTGTGGACTTTACTAAGCTTTAAAATTCAGTTCCCAGGCCTCTTCACTTATGTTGTAGTCCTTTCACATTACTGCTAAGAACCTGGCACCACTTTAGTAAAATGTAAAATGATGGCTTGTCTATCTGTTTAATCCCAACCCTCCTCCACTCCCTCTTCCCCAGGCCTCTAAAGAAGTTCTGTAAAAGGGCTTAGAGAAACCAAACTGCTTCTTAATCCTCTAATATGTATTAAAATACTTCTGTGCTTAATGAGTTTAAATTCCAAAAAACAAAATAAGGTTCTACAAGTCTTAACTTTAGGCACCTCCTTCTCTTCTGGGCAAACTTTTAACTTCTTCTTTTTTTTTTTTTTTTTTTTTTGAGATGGGGTCTCACTCTGCAAGGCTGGAGTGAAGTGGCACAATCATGGCTCACTGCAACCTCCACCTCACAGGCTCCAGCAGTCCTCCCACCTCAGCCTCCCAAGTAGCTGAGACTACAGGCACCCACCACCACACCCAGCTAAAGCTTCTTATCAGTAATTGACACATGGTCAATTCTGATTCTGGGACCAGGATGCACATTCGTTTTGCCATTGGCCTGAGTCAAATACAATTGGGATAGTTAATATTCTGTACGAAATTTTAAAAATCATACGCTATTAATAGCCTAAACCTACACATCAGCAATTTTGTACTTGCTATGTTTTGGATAGCCTCAGCACTGAAGTAGTGTGGTGCAGCTGAAAGACTATGTCTTTGGTTTCAGTAGGCTTTCCTCCTTCACAGACCCTGTGGCCTTAAATAGCTCTTTACATACTCATGTTTCTGTCCTTTAAAGTGAGGGTGAAAAGGTAGTTTGTTAGAAGCCAATGAGATAATGGATGCCAGACATCAAATATTAGTGTTCTTCTTTTCATTTTCTTCCATTATATAATTATGAGTGCGGTATATTAGTCTTATCACAGAAAACACATATAATGCTCATTGCACTAAGCATTGTGACACACACACACACACACACGTATATAAAATTCATTTAAGTAGTCAGAGGTCATACAAAGGAAGAGGATTGAAGAACTCTTTAATTCTCCCTTTCACCAGCTCTCTTCTGCTCTTTCCATCTGCCTCTCTGATATGGTTTGGCTGTGTCCCCACCCAAATCTCATCTTAAATTCCCACATGTTGTGGGAGGAACCCAGTGGGAGGTGATTCAGTCATGGGGGTGGGTCTTTCCTGTGCTGTTCCCGTGATATTGAGTAAGTCTCACGAGATCTGATGGTTTGAAAAAGGGGAGTTTCCCTGCACAAGCCTTTTCTCTTGTCTGCCACCGTGAGAGACATGACTTTCACCTTCCATCATAATTGTGAGGCCTCCCCAGCCATATGGAACTGTAAGTCCAATAAACCTCTTTCTTTTGTAAGTTGCCCAGTCTCAGGTATGTCTTTATCAGCACCATGAAAATGGACTAACATACTCTCCATCTTTCTGTCTTAGCTTTTCTCTGTTTTCATGCCTTCCCCTTTCTGCTGGAGCTTCCCAACCCTTAGTCTCAACATGGGTCCTTCTGGTCCTATGCATTCTAGGGCCTTGACTCATTCTACTGTGAAGTGGTTCTTAAATCTTGGACCTTATGGATTATACATCTTTTTTTTTTTTTTAATAGAGTGGACCATAAAAAGTTGTCTAGTTTCTTTTAAAAAATTTCAAATAGAGAAATTACAAAAAACAAAAAACTAAGCAACTACTCTCTATCACCACTTTCATGTTTTCTGTTTGTTTGTTTGTTTGCTTCTTTGTTTTTGTTTTGTTTTGAGACAGAGTCTCACTCTGTCGCCCAGGCTGGAGTGCAATGGCGCAATCTCAGCTCACTGCAACCTCCAACTCCTGGGTTCAAGCGATTCTCATGTCTCAGCCTCCCGAGTAGCTGGGACTACAGGCGACTGCCACCATGCCCATCTATTATTTGTATTTTTAGTAGAGATGGGGTTTCACCATATTGGTCAAGCTGGTCTTGAACTCCTGACCTCAAGTGATCAGCCTGTCTAGGCCTCCCAAAGTCCTGGGATTACAGACATGAGCCACTGTGCCTGGCCCAAATTCATGTTTTTAAAAAAGGATTCATATTTTAATATCAAAAAATAGTTGGAAGAACCTAATCTCAAAATAAAAGGAAGTCCTTTACATTGAATGATTTACCATTATAAAAAATTCTCTGGATAGCTTTTCTTTTTCTCAGTCTCTTTTAATCTGGTAAAAATTTGAATCCAGAGGCTGGCTTTAAAAATTACTTTCTGTTTTTCTTTATCTTTCTCTTCTTCTTCCTTTTTGTCTTTTTCCCTCACCCCTCTTATCAAAATGTATTTTCCTTGTGCTCTACTTCTTGAAAGCCTGCCTAGTGACAAGAATTAATTTAAAAAGCCAAATTTATGGTGAAAAATAGCTCAAGATGTTACTGTTCCTTTCTAAGTGTTTCTATCTGTTGACTTTTAAGCTCAAATAATAAAGATATTTTGTAAGCTCATGTCACTCAAAATTTCAGAGGTCAGATAGGATTGGTTTGATTTGTAAGTTTTTAAAGATGTTATTAAAGACCCAGCATATCTGCCTCCTCTCATTGTTCTAATCACATAAATCTGGCTCTCCCTCATGCTCATAAGATTGTGGCAAACAGTATCTGAGGGATGTTTCCTCAACCACATCCAGAGAGAAAGCCTGTCCATGGTTATATTTATCGTTATATTTTGATGCTGGCCTTTCTGGTAGCAGAACTGTTTTGAAAGCCATAGTGAGCCAAACAGATCTTTCAGCAGGCAGCTGCCTGTACCACCAGAAGTCCCACTTGCAGGGGGAACATTAAGAATTGACTGTTTTGTAATTGGCCAGAGTCCCATCCTTCCAAGACTTCTTTCTGTCAACATATAATTATTGAGTTCCTGCGCTAAGTCTTCAATGAAGCATGAGGGGAAGGACGAGTTAAACTGTATGCTGTATTTCCTCTCCATTATCAATGCTGAATTTTAAACCAAACCACCAAAATGCCTATTATTTAAATTACAAATGCTATTTTATCCTGGGGAGCAGAATAAATTATTGGAATATTTATTCGCATTTTAAAAAAATTTTGTAGGGAACCTGAAGAATGGGATTGTTTTTTCCTCCTTTCACACCCTAAGAAATTAGATTCTGACTCTGTGCTCCCTGACGTCAGGATATTTTTATTGTTGAACTAAAAACAGAAGGTGGAACATGCTCAGAGTAAGCCCTTCCCTGCCTCACCAATCCTCCAGCTTGGCTTTTGTTCCAGGAATAGAGGACCATCAAGGGAGGCCTGTACTGTGGGTGGAGGAGCCAGAACTGACCAGACAAGGATGCAGGAGTATTGGTTCCAGAACCTGAGGAGAAACTGGCATTTAGGGGGTTCATGCTGAGTGGGTCCTTGTGCCCCAAGAGGACCTAAGACCTTCCTTATGAGGTGGCTCGTAACTGATAAAGGAACTGAATACTAATAATGAGTATTAATACTAATGTCAAGGGGAGTGTACTTATGTCAAGGGGAGTGTTTCCTGATGTTTCCTCCCACATGGAGGGAACTCCATGAGTCAAACACCTAATCTCTCTCCACCCATAACTGTTGGTCCTCCCAGGCAAGGAGAAGCCACTGCTCTGATGAATAGGTTGGCGGAAGGAACCAGGTCTGCACATCCCAGGTCTATTCCATTCTTCCTTGATCTCTTCTGCTATCAATTCTCCAGGCTCTGCCCTAAGGAACAAGGACTGCAGTTGCAGCCTTGGCTGGGCAGGTGAACCAGTCTATCTCTGGGGTTTGGTATTAGCAAACCATTCAGTCATCCTCCCCAGCCTAGTTTTCTCAGTATCTAAAGTGATATTTTGATCTCTACCTGCACTGTTCCCGCACCTGTCTCTCAATGGGTCCTTAACTCAAGTAGCAGAGAAAAGGAAGTGCCATGTATTGACCCCTTCAGACACCAACAACTAAGGATCATGGCCTTGGACACTGAGGTAACAATTCTTCCTGCCCACTTTGAATAAACCATTCAAGCATTCATTTATTTATTCAACAAATATGAATTGACTGCCCGAGATGTGCTAGGCATAGTTCTCAGCAGTGGAAATATGCCAGATGGGTGTCTCAACCCCAGCAATGATATAGTGAAGACAAGATGCCTTTTATGTGTTTGGGGGGCATCATGTAAGTCCTCAGATCCCTAATGACACTCCCAAAACATGACTGATGTATGTAATTTAGAATAAATAATACAATCGTTTGCACATATAAGTACTGTAGATCAAATTCATAACCACTACTAATAATTTAAATTTACTTAGAAAGGGTAGCTGTTCATTGAGGGAGCTAGAGGGCAGGATAGGAAGGGAAAAGATAGGACCTTTCCTTGAACTATATAGCGGTTATACGAACAACGTAAAAATTGATAATCTTTTCACCCACATCTATTCTATCACATGGAGAAAAAAATTCTAACCTCAAGTAAACTGGGTTCAAAATGAGAAAAGTAAAATGTTAAAAACAAAAAAGGCTAAGATACATCACTCTTTTCTCTTCATACAAAAATTTTTAAAGTTATTGAACAGAAAAATAAATTCATATATGTTGATTCAACACTTGTCAGATTTAAAGTAGTCTTTAAATAACTGGATGGCCAAAATACCATATTTCTAAGAAGGCTGTGTATTAGTGTGTTCTCACACTGCTAATAAAGACATACCCAAGACTGGGTAATTTATAAAGGAAAGAGGTTTAATGGACTCACAGTTCCACGTGGCTGGGGAAGCCTCACAATCATGGCAGAAGGCGAATGAGGAGCAAAGTCATGTCTTAATGGTGGCAGGCAAGAGGACATGTGCCAGGGACCTCCCTTTTATAAAACCATCAGTTCTCATGAGACTTATTCACTATCATGAGAAAAGTATGGGAAATACCTGCTCCCATGATACAATTACCCCCTACCGCATCCCTTCCACAACATTTGGGAATTATGGGAGCTACAATTCAAGATGAGATTTGGGCAGGGACACAGCTAAACCATATCAGGAATATTAATCTGACAGAATAACAAAAACCCCATAATCTCCTTCAAGATCTTTAAATGATCTATTGCAGTCCCCATACCTTGCTTATTTCGAAAACTCTAAAGGAAAAAGATTTTGAACCACAAACTAATAAAGATTATTATTATTCTCATTTATATTCCTTTTTTTTAGAAACAGGGTCTTGCTCTGTTGCCCAGGCTGGAGTGCAGTGGGACAATCAGAGTTCACTGTAAACCTTGAACTTCTGGGCTCAAGTGATCCTCCCACCTCAGCCTCCAGAGTAGCTGGGACTACAGGCATGCACCACCATGCCCTCCTAATTTTTTTAATTTTTTGTAGAGATGGGGTCTCATTGTGTTGGCCAGACTGGTCTTGAACTCCTAGCCTGTATTAGTCAGGGTTCTCTAGAGGGACAGGACTGATAGGATAGATGTATATACGAAAGAGAGTTTATTAAGGAGTATCAACTCACACAGTCACGAGGTGAAGTTCCACAATAGGCCGTCTGCAAGCTGAGGAGCAGAGAAGCCAGTCCGAGTCCCCAAATCTCAAAAGCAGGGAAGCTAACAGTGCAGCCTTCAGTCTGTGGCAAAGGCCCGAGAGCCCCTGGCAAACCACTGGTGTAGGTCCAAGAGTCCAAAAGCTGAAGAACCTGGAGTCCAGTGATCGAGGGTATGAAGCATCCAGCACTGGAGAAAAATGGAGGCCAGAAGATTTAGCCAGTCTAGTCTTTCCATGTTCTTCTGCCTGCTTTTATTCTAGCTGTGCTGGCAGCTGATTGCATTGTGCCCACCCAGATTGAGGGTGGGTCTGCCTCTCCCAGTCCACTGACTCAAATGTTAATCTCCTTTGGCAACACCCTCACAGACACACCCAGTAACAATACTTTGCATCATTCAATCCAATCAAGTTGACACTTAATATTAACCATCACATGGCCTCAAGTAATTCTCCTGCCTCTGCCTCCCCAGGTGCTGAGATTACAGGTGTGAGCCACCACGCCTAGCTCATTTTTAATTTTTGTCTGTGACTAAAGCCATGTACCAGAAGCATTTAAAAATTATCCATTTTCTTCTTATTTACCATGTTTGCCAAATCCAAATGTGAAATGCAAGAAATAGCTTTAGTTTAGTTAAGATTTTTAAAATACGTGTAAGAAAAAGACATGTTACCATGCCAAATTTCTACCATGCTCTAATCACAGAAAGTTGGATTTAATTTACATAATAGCTATTGCAAAACTTGTTCCTTGGCAAGTAGCTCTGGCTCTCAGCAAAGTCATGAAGTGGGTAAATTCTCTTTTGGTCCACCTAATTCAAACTTCTTTTTTTGGGGGGTGGGGAACAGAGTTTTGCTCTTGCTGCACAAGCTGGAGTGCAATGGTGCAATCTCAGCTCACTGCAACCTCAGCCTCCCAGGTTCAAGCGATTCTCCTGCCTCAGCCTCCTAAATAGCTGGGATTACAGGCACCTGCCACTACACCTGGCTAATTTTTGTATTTTTTAGTAGAGACAGGGTTTCACCATGTTGGCCATGATTGTCTCAAATTCCTGACCTCAAGTGATCTGCCCGCTTTGGCCTCCCAATGTGCTGGGATTACAGGCGTGAGCCACTGCGTCCGGCCTCCAATTCACACTTCTTAATGCCCAGGCCTCACTCCACCCACTATTCCACTGTGGTCTTCTGATTTCCCTACTAGAAAATTTCAAATTTCGGTAGATAGCTCTCTTAAAAAAAATTAATTTTAAGAATATGCAGATAAGAAATACAAGTGAGCAAAATGAGATATGAGAAGGCTTCAATATAATTCTGCATATACATCTGAATTATGATGTCACATTGGGCTATACTTTGTTTACATGTCTGACTCTCACACCGGATTAATAATTCTGTAGCATAGACTCACTCTTGTTCACATTTGAATCTCCCCTCCCTAGCACAGGCCGTGACACACAATAGGTGATCAATTTATTTTTGTTAATAATGAATGAAGGTTTATCACATTTGGCAACATATTTGTTGTCCCTATTCATCTAAATTGCTACCTCTAATTCCCATTTCATCTTTTCTCAAAAGGCATTTTGAAATTGGATGAGTGAGCAGAATAGAAATGTGACTTCCATGGAGGGCAAGCAGAAAACAACTTTATTATTTCTCTTCATTGCCCTTTCAAACCTGTTCTATAAAGGTATTTTTTTCTCTGCTTGTTGGATAAAATCCAAAACAGGCCTCAAGAATCTTATAATAACTCTCAGAAGATAAAAAAGACCTTCAGTTCCTTCTAGTCATATCAGCTTTATTTCAATAATCGATATATCTAGTTCCATGTAGAGCAATAAATCCAAACTTAAGTTAAGACTTCTTCCTTACCCAGTTCAGGCCTCCTCTGGGCTGGAAACTTGCAGTGGGAAAGAGGAATGTGGTAGTTTCCTTTCGATTTCCTTGATTTTCTCCTCTTTCCCAGCTGAGCTGAGGCCCTAATTGAGGATGGGGTATGGAGGCTCCAAGCTGACTTTTTTCCTTTGAGTGCACTTGTGGGTTCTTCAGAGGTCTCTGTGAGACTTCACATTGCCCAGTTTTCTCATGAGGGACTCATTCTCTAGCTGAACTGTTGTAACAACCCTCACCTTCAGCACCTGACCCTTGTTCCCTTGCCCTGATACTGATGGGATCCCCTCACTCAGCTGCTCTCCTATGTAGGATTCCTTCCAGATGGATCCAGTTACAATCCTCATTGCCCATGTGGTTCATGGCAATCTCAAGCTTTTCTGCCCTCATACATGGCATCAGCTTAGCCTTTTAGCTTTGGCTCCATGCGTAAGAGCCAAACACATTACCAACTCTAAGCCACACTCATCAACCTTTCCAAGTGTGTCTCCGAAGCCCTTCTCACTACACTTGGGGTAAAGGTCCCCGAGTCTCTCCCCTCCGCAATGTCTGGGGTTAGGGGGAGAAAAAGACATCAGCTTGCCAATAATTTTTTCAACATGCATTCTTACTCAATCTCAACCTCTTAACCCTTTGGTGGATGTTAGGATGGCAGAGGTTTTTGATCACCTTCTTTGCTAGCTCCGTATAGGAGGCTAAGCACTTCACTTGGGAATATGGGAACATTTACCATCTATGATTTTTGACTCAACCTTTGGAGACAGCAGTCAATATCAAGAGCAAAGGTGTCCTATATTAATATCCTATGCAAACACAAAAGGCAGGGTTCATAGTAGCCTATTGTTTCGAACCCAGACTCTTTTAAAAATATAGTGGTTAGGTTTTAGTGCAAAATGCTGAATGAGTATATGTTACAAATAAAGAAATATAGGGTGAAAACAACCACAGCAGGCAATGAATGGACTGGAGATTTTGACTGGTTTCTAGAATACGGAAAGAAGATCGTGTAGTATTGAATAAGAAGACAAGCAACCTGAGTGCCTTCAAAAGAAGGCTACAGTGGAGGTGGCAGCTGTTCTCCTGTGCAAGCTCCAGGGACCCCTAAGCTCAGGATTGGCCAAAACAAAAGCAAGAGTAGGCAGCAGGCATTTAAGGCATTAAATGCTAGTGGCTACCTTGACATCTATCTTTTCTAACCCTACATTTATCAAGGAACCAGTTCTACCGTGCTTAGTCCCCGGTGTGGGGACAAAAATGACTCCATTTTGGGTGCTAATCCACCATGTTGACTTCTGACAAGCCCTAGTCCCATGAATGCCTCCTGCTTCCTACTTTATTTACTGCCCTTAGTGTAAGAAGAGGTCAAAAATGATGCTGTCACACAAGTTATGGGCTATGACGCACATGGCATTCCTGCCTGTTCTGGAGGGTTGTCTTTAATTATCTTGCTGCAACATGTCCACTCTTTCCCTATTGTATATGAGCTTTGGGTCTGGGAGGTAACTGTGTGGAAATCTATGTGTCTTGTGACCACCCAAGATCACGCTTATATCTATAAGTTTCTGCAATAAACCACCCTTTACCGACAAACTGAATTTGTCTAGTTTTGTTCTTTGATGTATTGACTCCTTTGGCATCTGGGGACCGCTTTGCATATATGGCCCTTTTAGGAACATCAGGGAAAAACCCCACAGAGGTGTGGTTTCTAAAGAAAGTCAATGACCTATGACTCTGGGGCTTAGGGCCGCAGGAGTGGATGTTGGCACACCAGAGTAAAGCTCTAGCCTTTTTGACAACAAAATTGGTCTACATGTTCCCTACAGGGCTTCCACCCCAAAGTAGATAGACCCTGTGATTCAGTGCATGTGCATGCATGCATAAGCACACACACACACACACACACACACACACACACACACACACACACACCCCACCCCCATGACAACTTGCCTGTTTCAGGAAAAGCTGTGTTGGGAGAACAGACCTATGCAGTTGCTTTGGGAAGCATAACAACCACATGCATCAGTCAGTCTAGCCCTTCATGTAGATATAAGAGACCATCAAGGATCAGCAGACCATTGCCAAAGGGGTCAGGGTAAACACCAGAGGCTACAAATGGTGGAGGTTGGGAGCAAAAAGTACTTGGGACTCATGCCACCCACATCCTGTAGAGAGAGGCATGCTTGATTCGGGGAGCTGCTGAACACAAGGGTCTCCTGCTGGAGACCCTGAATTCCTGTTGCACTCCCTGTGTGTAAAGTGAGCCCAACAATGGCCTTGAATGTGAGAAATAAACATTTTGACCTCAAGTACTAAGAAGTCTGAGCTTAGGCACCAATCACCCCTGGAAAATACCAGCTTTCAGCATCTGGAGAATTGGACAGTGCCTACTACTGTGAGAAGCTGAATTCTGGTAGAAGCCATCCCAGTGGATGCAGGGCAGCACTTGAGCACATGGGAAAACTCAGGCTCTTTCTCTGGGAAACATGAGCCATCAGTCTCAACAAGCTTGTTGCCAGGTAACCAAGAGCAATTTCCCAAAATTAGTGATTGAAAGAGAAGGACCAATAGGAATAAACAGAATGACTAAATCTAGAGAAATCAAAGTTTATCCAGGGAGCCAAAGAGAATTTTTTTTAAGTCTAGAGAAGACATTGTGTATACCACACTCCCACAATGACATCTGCCCACCTACCTGCCTTAAGAGTAGAAGGGCAGGCCAGGCGCGGTGGCTCATGCCTGTAATCCCAGCACTTTGGGAGGCCGAGGAGGGTGGATCACCTGAGGTTAGGAATTCAAGACCAGCCTGATCAACACGGTGAAACTCTGTCTCTACTAAAAATGCAAAATTAGCCAGGTATGGTAGTGCATGCCTGTAGTCCCAGCTACTTGGGAGGCTGAGGCAGAAGAATCGCTTGAACCCGAGAGGCGGAGGTGGCAGTGAGCCGAGATCATGCCACTGTGCTCCAGCCTGGGTGACAGAGTGAGACTCCATCTAAAAAAAAAAAAAAAAAAAAGTAGAAGGGCAGAATTGTCAAAGCAGCCACACTTGAATGGTAGATCTTACCCAGCACCAAACTTCACTAATAATTCAAAGACTACAGGCAAGAACCAGACCATGGACAGATGTGGCATTTCTTTTGAGAGGAGCAGGAATCTGTCAGACTCCAGTTTAAAAAACAATATCTCTGTCTCCCTTATGAGTATACATTTTGTTTTCAGATTAACAATTGTCTTCTGAACAATTGTATGTGAAATAATTGTTTTCAAAGTGTCAGTTGAAGAATCATGAGGGAGGTTCATAAATTTGGAAAGAAAAGCCATATTTCTCATAAAGGGTTGCAGCCTGCAGGTGGCCATTCTGACAGGCTGGGAAGGAAACACACTTCAAGAGAGGGGTGAAGGGAACAGGAATTTATGCCGAGTCAGTTGGCTAAGTATACATATTCAACAGGTTAAAGGAGGAGCTATGGATATTCAAGAAGAGAAGGCACAGGTGTGTGTAGTGGGAAGGCTGACACGCATGCAGCATGCATCCCATGTTCACTTTGGGGTGGACACTTAACATTTAAATATATTACAATTAGACCCTATCCATCAAAAGGTGAAGCAGAGGACAGGAAGGCCCTCTGTGTGCAGCCTCTGCTATCCACTCCATGGCCAGTGGTCTCTTATCAGGAAGGAATGTTGATCAGTTGTTCTGTCAAAACCACAACAGGGAGGGGCAGCATCAGGTGGTTGGTTTCAAAAGGACTGGTTTCTGTTTACCCCTTAGGGAAGAAAGCCTAGCAGTAGTCAGTGGAGGAGGAGCTCTAATGAGGCGTGTCCAGCATCACATTCTGTCACGACCGAGGACTTGGTTTTTAAGGTTTTTCTGGGGTCCCCTTGGCCAAGAAGGTGTCTGTTCAGTTAGCTGGGGGACTTAGAGTTTTATTTTTATTTCTCAAAGGAAGATATTTAGTTGTGTGCCATCCATTCACCAACCAGTCATGTTACATAACTCCATAAATTCTAGGCTAACTTACAATAAGCAATCTTGACTTGATTCTTCTTCTTCCTTATGAAACGGCACTATTGTCTCGTGTAAATGCACAGGGTTTGTCATCTCACATCAAGAAGATTAAGGACACAGACACAAACAAGGAGTGATTTTAGGAGTGGAGATTTAATAGGAAAAAGAAAGAGAAAGGAGAACAGCTCTCTCTCTTGCAAGAGAGAGGGTCTCCCGAATGAGAATTCGAGCCTGGAATGGGAGTGCACCGGATTTTACAGACAGGCTTGAGGAGGTGGTGTCTGATTTACATAGGGCCCACAGAATGGTTGGACCAGGTGTAACGTTTATATAGCACAGGGGGAAGGCTGGCCATCCCACCTTAATCTTATTATGCAAATGGGCTTTCCACTTGGCTGGGGCCAAGTTGTCTTCTCCTTACTGTACACGTGGCTGGCAAAGAGAAAGAAAGATGGAGCCGCCAGTTTGAACATGCCTAGTCCCAGGTAGCCTTTTCCTACTTGTACAGCTGCCAGCATTCACCTGTGCAAGCTTCCACTTTGCTTGTCTATGTCTGCAGCTCGATTTTACAGGCTGTTCTTTGTTAGAAAAGAAAATGATTTGGAGCCTGTTTTTCATTAAAAAGAAAACCTTACTGAGGACTTCCTTACCCTCACTATCTGCCTAAATAATTTTTTTTAACTCCTATATCACTTATATTCTTTTTTTTTTTTTTTTTTTTTTGGCAGAGTCTCACTCTGTTGCCTAGGCTGGAGTTTAATGGTGCAATCTTGGCTCACTGCAACCTCTGCCTTCCAGGTTCAAGTGAGTCTCCTGCCTCAGCCTTCTGAGTAGGTGGGACTGCAGACATGTGCCACCATGACTGGCTAATTTTGTAGTAGAGATGAGGTTTCACCATGTTGGCCAGACTGATCTGGAACTCCTGACCTCAAGTGTTCCACCCACCTTGGTGGGATTATAGACGTGAGCCACCACACCCAGCCCCTTATATTTATTTTAGATTCTGCTGAGGAATAGCCTCAATATTTTATTTTCAGAAGGATGAATGACAGAAAACCTCTGAGCTAATGTGATATTGTGATATAATAAGAATTTATATTTTGTTCATTGTCTTTGGGTCCTGGCATAGAGCTTCTAAAATCTTTGTAATTTCCTAAGTGATAGGGCTGATGAAGGAGAATCTTTTGTTATTTATCACAAGCCCCTTTCAATTACATCTGAGTTTATGTTAATGGGGTAAGTTTTGGAAAGCTTCTGAGGGTGGGGCTTGGTTTGTCAAGGGAACCAACCATGTGATTAGAGGGTTGAAACTTGCAGCCCCACTCCCTGACCTTTAGGGAGGCGAGGGACTGGAGAGTGACTGAATCACCAATGGCCAAGGGTTTAGCCAGTGCTGCCTATGTAAAGAAGCCTCCATAAAAACCCAGAAGGATGGGGTCTGGAATGTTCCCAGGTTGTGGAATACATGGAGGTGCTGGGAGAATGGCATGTCTGGAGAGGCGTGAAAGCTGTGTGCCACTTTCCACATAACTTGCTTGTCCTATACTTCTCTTTCCTCTGTCCTATACTCTTCCTGAGTTGTATCTTTTTAATAAACCAGTAATCTAATAAGTAAATTGCTTTCCTGAGTTCTGTGAGCCATTCTAGCAAATAATTGAACCTGAGGAGGGGGGTTGTGGGAACCTCCAATTTATGGACCTGGACTTGAGACAGGCAGGAAGTGGGGGCGGTGTTGTGGGACTGGACTCTTAACCTATGAAGTCTGCACCAATTCCAGGAAGATAGGGTCAGAACTGAATTGTAGGACACCCAATTAGTGTCTCTAAAATATTAGAGAATTGCTTGATGTGGGGAAAAAAACCCACACATCTGATGTCAGGAGTGAAGAAAGAGTAGTAGTAGAGTAGTAGAGGAAAAACAGATTTCCCATTCAGCAATGCATGCCTGAAAATGCCTTTATTTTGCCTTCATGCTGGAGTAATGGTGTGGGTTGTTATATAACTCTAGGTTGTCTTAACTGATGACAGTAAATATCATTAACATATTTAGAAGGAGGTCTAGTCAAGGTCAATCATGCCCCTGGCCAATGTCCCCCCAGGGGAGATAGGCCTCATTCCTGCTGTTAACCTTTCCCTTCTTGGTTATCCTTCTTCATCTTATCATGGATAACCTATCTATGCTGCTATCTATGGTCAACCTTTTCCCTTGGATGCCAGATCCTGTTTCTTCTTATTTATTAAAGGTCATTGCTCCAGCTATTGTCCCCTTTCTCTCCTGTATCACATTATTTTTTGCTCCTTCTCTCCTGGATTATTAATGCCTGCACACAAATGTGCAATGACTTCTCCCGTCTTAAAGAATCTCTCTTTTGATCCTGCACCCTTGACCAACACTGCCCCATGGTCTGTGTTTCTCGTAGTAGAAAAACTCCTCCAGAGAGTTGTCCATAGCTTCTGACTCTAGTTGCTCTCCTCTCATTCTCTATGGAACCCACTCTAAACAGGCTTCTACTGCTAGCATTCCACTGAAACTGTTCTTGCCAAAGTCATAATTATTCCATGTCACTAAATTCAGTGGTGAATGATCAGTCCTTATCTTTCATGACTCATCAGCAAACTATAGTTTTAACATTGCTTACCACTTCCTCTCCCTTGAAATATGTCCATTACTAGACTTCCAGGATATCACACTACTGTATTGTCATTTTCTCCTTACTTCAAAAAAAGAGGAAATCTTATGGGGCATGGATTAAAGGGTAGAAAAGTTTAAAAATGAAAACTAGGTGCATAGGTTAGGGATGAGGGAGGCGACTGGGAGACATGGGGTACAGTATATACACTCTATGGTGGCCCTTCCATGATTCCTACCTCCTGGTGTTCATACCCCTGTATAATCCCTTCTTCTTGAGTGTGGGCAGAACCTGTGACTTCTTCTTTGATGTACTTATTTATAATTGACAAATAAAATTGTATATATTTATCATGTACAACATGATGTTCTGAAATATTTAAACACTGTGGAATGTCCAAGTCAACCTATGTACTACCTCACATACTTAAGTTTTTCTGTTGACATTTAAAATGTACTCTCAGTCTTTTTTTTTTTTTTTTTTTTTTGAGATTGAGTTTTGCTCTTATTGCCCAGGCTGGAGTATAGAGGCACGATCTTGACTCACTGCAACCTCCACCTCCCGGGTTCAAGCGATTCTCCTGCCTCAGCCTCCTGAGTGGCTGGGATTAAAAGTGCCTGCCATCACGCCAGGCTAATTTTTGTATTTTTAGTAGAGACAGGGTTTCACCATGTTGGCCAGTCTTGTCTCGAACTCCTGACCGCAGGTGATCCACCTGCCTCATCCTCCCAAAGTGCTGGGGTTACAGGCATGAGCCATCATGCCCGGCCCACTCTCAGTAATTTTTAGGAGTACAATACATTGGTATTAACTATAGCCACTGTGTTGTATGAGAGCTCTCTTGAACATGACTTTCTTCTATTTAATGGATTGTGACAAAGATGATAGAATGTCACTTTTGTGATTATATTACATTATACAAGACCCTTTCTCACTAGAAGACAAGAACTAAGGATTCCCTTTCCTGAGCTGGCTTTGAAGAAGTGGACAGCCATGTTGATAGGCCCATCTGGGGGTGGCCTCCAGGAGCTGAGGGCAGCTGCTAGTCAATAATCTCCAATGAACTAGGGCCATTGTAGCTGTAGGGAAATAAATTCTGCCAAGCTTGGAAGCAGATTCTTCCCCAGTTAGGCCTTTATATGAAACTGCAGCCCAGGTTATATCTTCATTGCAGCCTTTTGGGACCCTCAGCAGAGGACCCAGCTAACAGAAACCATGAGACAATAAGTGTGTGTGTGTGTGTGTGTGTGCGCGCGCACATGTTTTTAAGCTGCTAAGTTTGTCATAATTCGTTATGCAGCAATAGATAACTAACATATGGAGGATCAACCCAAAATCTGTTCAAGGGGAGTTCCAGAAATAGAAAATAAGAAAATAAAGGAGATAAAATAGTAAATTAAATTATACAATAACATTTCTAAAGTGTAAAGAAAAATCTAACAACTCATATTGAAACGTATTGAGAAAGATTAGTAGATGGGGAAAGATTAATATCAAGATATGAAATTTCAGAATACCATAGATAAATAAAATGGCTTAAGAGATTTTGAGAGTCAGAGCAGGGAAGGTATATCATTTTTCTAAAAGGAATGAAAATCAGGTGGGCATCCAATTTCCTGTCCTTATGGCTAGATGCTTGGTTTCAAAGTTCTGAGGAAAAGTTATTTTCAACTTAGAGTTATATGCCAACCCACATCATTACTCAAACATGAAGACAATATAAAGGTATTCTCAGACATGCATAGCTCAGAAGGTCTTCTACCAATCACTCTTCTAAAAAAGTATTGAGCATCTACTTCATCAAAACTTAAAATGAATCCAAAGAAGAAGGTATAAGAACAAGAAAGGGGAGACAAACCCATGAAGATTATGCAGCAAATCTAAAAAGCAACCTGCTCAAATTAAACAAGAAGTCAAAGATCAGTGGATTCACCTTGACAAATATCACTAAGAAGCTAAATGACATTAGTGAAAAGGTAAAGCCCTATGCTTCTCCTAGGAAAAAACAAAGGCAATTAGAAACTATAAGAAAAACAAACTTATCTAAAAGAAAGTCAGGGTTCAAATATAAAGCAATCTATTATAAAATGTGGCATAATTTTGTGCAATTGATATAGTATAAGAAAATATATTGTTGACTTTAAAATTTGGACATATTTTTTCTTCTAGTGTCACAGCTTTTAGTCACAAGTGAGTACATTTCCTTATTTATCCAACAGCGTTACTTTAGTTCTGCAGTGAATCCTAGATTTATAATCATACTATTGTAAATGCTGCATGGTGAATCCTGGTTTTAAAAATAAATATATATACATGACATGAATAAATTAATTAGAGCTAGAGAGACTAAACCCATAAAGGCTATAAACATTGAGAATATAAAAATAAATTTAGTTATAGAAGTCAGGAGGTGGTATAGTGAGAACTGGAGGCATGTTGAAAAATCCCACAGAAGAATAAAAAATAACTCCAATGAGTTAGGTGGAGAGAAGTGGGCTGATGAGGTTTGTGTAAGTGAAGGATTCAGTGGGAACAGAAATCTAGGCTTCAGTCCGCTCACCCACCCCTGTGTGTGAGGGGGCCAGCTTAAGGCTTCCTTTTCTAATTTCTACTAGGACTGGGTGAGGAGTGGAGGGGCAGCCATTCTGCATGAACCCGGAATGCAATCTTCCGTGATTCTGCCATCTTCCACCCCCAAACACTCAAGATATGTTGGGGAAAGCGTTGCTTCTCTAGGTGTGGAAATCACAGAAGCCCCATTCCCTTCTTAGTTCCAGAGGAGAGCTCTTGAAAACCTCCCTCCCCTACAGCTGCGTGGGTCTTTTCAACCCTGAGCACTCACTCATTCTCTGTCCCTCTCAGGCAGCACAATTCCCCTCCAACAGCCCAGGCCTAGGCAAAACAAAAGCCAGGAGGAGGGGTGTCTTCTGGGTGCCTGGCAACGGATACTTCCTGCAGAGCCACACAAAGCGTCCCTCATGCTGGCTGGGAACACAAAGGCCAGGCTATCTTCTGGGAGGGAGGAGAGGAAAACGTACTGTAGCAGCAAGACCTAAACGCAAACTGATATTTTCAAACAGAGATCTCGCATCTTTCCCTCCCACCTCCCAAAGGATCTTTGAGTCTCTGAAAAGAAAATGTATTCCCCACCCTGATGTCCCTCCAAGAGGGCCAGGCCCCGGTTTCCCAGGATGCTCACCCCCACCACCTGAAGCCACCTGTTGGTTGGTGAGGGATCTTCTCCAGATGTCCTCAGGACCAGGCATGGGAGACAGGGTCTGCAATAAGTGAGCCGAGTCCCAGATTGGGGAGGCAACCCCTAAGCTCACTGTGCATCTCAGTCTTGGAATCTTCCTAGTCTGGTCAAGTGCCTAAAAAGCCCCAGCTTTTGGGGAGCAGTGTTTGGTTTAAAGGCATCAGGAGAGGAAAAACGTCAATTTTTGACCAAAATAAATCTGGTCCTCTAACTAGGCCAGTACCCTCTTCCTTCTCACCATTCTCCTTCCCATTTTAGGACTTCTGTAGTTTGGAGTAAAAGGGAAAACTAAAGGAGCCAGCAAAGCCTCATTTGGAGTGTTATTTGGAGTGTTTCCACTCCCTGCCCCTCCCTGATTTTCCAGGATCACCATAAACACACCTCATCTCCCCAGTCTAGCTGCCGGTTCATCAGTGGATGCAGTCTACCATCAGAAGAGCAAAAACAAGGCCATTGTGCTTCTGTAAACCTTCAGTGGCTTGCTCTGAATCTTCCTACTAAACTGGGCTCCTGGTCTCCATTGGAACCACTGGAGGCCTCCTCCACGGTGCAGTTGCTTCACTTGGATTCCAGGCCACTTTTTCAAGGACCAAGTGGGATTCACATCTGGGCCAGACCAGAGGGTACCCAGCCTTAAATGCTCAGCTTCCAGGCCTATGGAAGGATGTCCACATCAAGCTCCCCAAGGCCTGCACAAGGGCAGTCAGGGCTTTTTGTTGCTGTGGTAAATTCCCATCTATCACAGCAAGCAAGACATGGACTACTGAAGTTAACCCATCCATGTCTAGCTCCTGTATTCATGGAAGTGAGTAATAGCTTCCTTGCCCTGCTCTTCCCACTCTCCTTCACCTGCTTTGTTGGAAAGGAGAGCCATGGGGGTGGAGAGGGAATATATAGAGTTGAGGGAGGGTGAGTGTGCAGTAGAGCGAGACACTCAGTGTTGATGAGCCCATGCCTGCTTTACACAAGCCTGGTCTACAGCTCCCAGGCCAGTTCCTTCAGTACCAAAGACTTGAATCCGAGTGTAAATACAGACCCCATCCTTTCTGAAAACCTTTTAGGTAGATGCTTAGGGAGGTGACCTTAAGTGTCTTCTGGTTTTCAGTGGACCCTAAATCCTCTTCTATTTCTAAAGTTCTCAGAGAGTCAGGTGCAGTGTCTGAGAAAGATCGTCCTAAGCAAAGACACTCAAACTGTGTCTCTGCAGAATCCATACATTGAAGTCTGATGCCCAGTACCTCAGAATGTGACCTTATTGGACATAGAATCTATATAGACACAATTAGTTAAGAAGAGGGAATCACTGGGTTAGGGTGGGTCTCTCATCCAATATGACGGACGTTCTTAAGTAGAAATTTGGAGATAGATACATGCAGGGAGAACACCATGGGAAGGTTGGAATTATGCTGCCACAAGCCAAGGAACTACCTGAAGACAGGAGAGATCTGGAAGCCTTCCTTAGCACCCTCCAAGGGAGTGTGGCTCTGCTGACACCTGGATCTTGGAATTGTAGCCCTAGAACTGTGAGACAATAAATGTCTATTTTATAAGCTGCTCAGTTTGTAGTGCTTTGTTACAACAGTCCTAAGGAAACTAATCTATCTGAGATATTTCATCAGTTGGCATCATTTCTGGACCTAATTATCTGTCACTGTGGTACCATCTACTTAATATTCACACTTCCCCCAGCCTGGAACCTGCAGTGGCTTATTTTCTGATTGATTTCCACCTTGGGCTTCCCTGACCACCAATTCCTGCTGCTTGGCCTGCAACTTCAACAGCGTGCCCACGTTGAAAGACACTGGGGCTACCCTTGCATTCCTGGAGAAGAGTTCATTTTTTAAGAGACATTCAGAATCTGAGATAGTGGCCTTAAAGGTCGCCCCTGTGTCATTTCCTTTTCACGATGCTCTCCTGGGATAAATAGCAACATCACTCCAATAAACTCAAGTAAAGTTGTCTTTGGGTTTTCTGACATGTTTGTTAATATCTCACTCAGTGCTTGCCCAGGAGTCCTAAAGCATTTTACAGGTTTTTAAAAAGTGTTGTTTCAAAATCCACTGGTTTGTCCCAACTCAACACTTAAGAAAATCCTAACTCAGCCCTGTCAATCAATTCTCCAAAAGAGTTAAGGCCTTGTCAAAACAATCTATGGCATACAATTTTATGGATTTTGACCAGCCACGAATTGCCCAAGAATACACATAAATCCTGGAACTATTCCTCTTGTGTAGTTGTTATGAATTTTGTTCCACATCATGTGGTATAAGAAATGTCACATTTCTTGAATTCCTATAAATCAACCACATAAACTCTGGTTGACAGCAAATTCAATCTCAGCCATCTGGGGCTCTATTTCTTCCAGGTTTGCGGAATGATGTGGAGGTTTCACATGGTTCACAATGTTGAGAAGCAGCCTCTGGTCATGGATCTACAGTGGTCACGGTGGAGCTGTCTACATTACATATTTCATGGTCCCTTTATGGGGTGGTTTTGTTTCTTTGGTGCCATACTTGGGCCCGGGGATTTTTGCTGAGGTGGTAGTCATGTGCTTTGTGTCCAAGCCCCTCTAGTGCATCAGATAGCCATGGTAACCCAGGCCCTGGCACCTCCAGGGCCCCATGGGGAACACGGTTGGAGTCCTTGGAGATTGTGGTACCACAAAACCCTTAGTCTTCTACCTAAATCCTCAAAGCCCCGTTTGTCAAGGGGTTGCTTCTGACTCTTTAGCTCTAACACTGGATTGAATCGTTGTATTAGTCTGTTCTCATGCTGCTAATAAAGACATACCCAAGACTGTGTAATTTATAAAGGAAAAAGTTTTAATTGACTCACAGTTCAGCATGGCTGGGGTGGCCTCAGGAAACTTACGAACATGATGGAAGGGGAAGCAAACATGTTCTTCTTCACATGGCAGCAGCAAGGAGAAGTGCTGAGCAAAAGGGGGAAAAGCCTCTTATAAAACCATCAGATCTCGTGAGAACTCACTCACTCTCACAAGAACAGCATGGGAAAAACCCACCGTCATGATTCAATTACCTCTCACTGGGTCCCTCCCATGGCATGCGAGGATTATGGGAGCTACAATTCAAGATGAGATTTGGGTAGGGACACAGCCAAACCATATCAATCATGTCCCTCAGAATTCATGTATTCCCTAAAACTTCAGAATAAAACCATATTTATAAATTGAGTCTTTGCAGATGTAATTAGGTAAAATGTCATACAGCAGGCAGGTGGGCTCTACTCCAGTGTGACTGGCATCCTTATGAGAAGAGGAGGAGAAACAGACATAAGGAGAGAAAGCCAAGTGACAACGAAGGTAGCAATTGAAGGGATGTGTCTACAAGCCAGGAAATGCCAAGGACAGCCAGCAAACACCAGAAGCGGAAAAGGCAAGGAAGGGGTCTTCCCTGGGATTTTCAGAGAGAGCAGGGACCTTCTGACATCTTTAATCTATACTTCCAGCCTCCGGAATCATGACAGAATACATTGCAGTTGTTTTAAGACACCCAGAGTGTGGTGCGTTGTTATGCAGCCCTTGGAAACTAACACAAACCCAAGCACTGGCCTCTCTTCCCCCCGTCAGTCGGACAATCCAGAGCAATCCCACTCCATCAGTCTGGACTTTGGCAAAACAAAAGCCAGGAGGAGATGTGTTTTCTCAGCACCAGGTCACTGCTGCTTCCCATCTGCTGCTCAATGCCCCGAGGCAGGGCACACTAAGCCCTGGTTTCCCCGTGAGCCCGGGAGGGCAGCACACTCAATGTCTACATAAACTATCCATGTGGAATTTATACGATATTCATGAAGTTGATGAGGGAAAAATGTTCTTCGATGAGTCTTTATATTCAAATGTTTCAATCTCCAGATATATTTGAACCACATATGTCTGGTGCTGTCACCCACTCATGAAAGACCTGAAATCAGAAATTAAGCAAAAAATATTGCTTTGGCTACTGAAAAGTGCAAGTATGGGTCTGTGTGTTTTACTCACCAGGGGAAGGGCTGACACCCCTTCCTCAGGCACAGAGCCTACCTAATTATACAGGTGATTTTGATTTATCTGTCTTTCTTTAAAGGCCTTATGTTCCTACCTAGGTTTCAAGTGGGGACTGGGGAGTAGACAACATGGAGTGCAGGAAAAAGAGGGGTGAAAAGCTGCAGTCTGTGGGGCCCTTCTGTGAGTCAGCGGGCTGACCAGCAGGAATGACTTACAGAGGGGGAGAGAGGGCCTGCCCGGAGGTCCTTCAAGGCAGGGCAGCTGCTCAACTCTCTGAGCTTTTGTCCTGAGGACCTGCACCGATCCTTGCCTTACCTCCATTTGCTTTGGCAAATCTACATCCAATGTAGACACAGAGAACAACTTACAGCAGCTCTCAGTTCAGAGACCCAGGGCTGGCCTCATGTTACCTTCCCTGCAGCCACTAGCCTGCCTCCACGTCCAGGAGCCAGCTCCTCTCACCGCTGGGCTCCCAGCAGCGGTTCCCTGGGCGAAACCTTGACCCTGATTCTTGAACCCTTCTTCTCTAAAGTCCCAAAGAATGAAACATTTCTCTCCCTTCCCACCCAGTTTCTTCCCCCAACCTTGAAATTTTCATTTGTGCTTTTCAGATCTGCCCCTTCTCAGGAAGATCATGGCAATTGCCACTTGCTGCATGGAGCTGCATCCCCAGTCCAGAGGGGATGGCCTTCTTATTTGGTGCCAGCAAGACGACGGTGTCTACTATGTGCAGCAGAGTAGACAGAGTATACTGAGTAGTCTCCTGTGATAGACACCATTGTCTTACTGGCACTATAGTACATTATTGTAGTTCCCCAGGCCAGAGTGATTTAGTCTGGTATCACACCACCTGCAAGACATCGATGGACTAGTTCAGATTGAGCCTGGTCAAATCTAGTCCAGTTTTTTTGTTTTTTTAAATACACTTTATTTTTTTGGAGTAGTTTTAGGTTCACAACAAAATCTAGCTAAAAGTACAAAGATTTTCCATATACCACCCACCCCAACTACACATGCACAATCTCTTTTATTAATCTCCCCCACCGGAGAAGTCCTTTTTTTTTCGAGATGGAGTTTCGCTCTTGTCGCCCAGGCTTGAGTGCAATAGTGCAATCTCGGCTTACCGCAAACTCCGCCTCCCGGGTTCAAGCGATTCTCCTGCCTCAGCCTCCCCGGTAGCTGGGATTACAGGCATGCGCCACCATGCCCGGCTAATTTTGTATTTTTTGGTAGAAATGGGGTTTCTCCATGTTGGTCAGGCTGGTCTCGAACTCCCGACCTCAGGTGATCTGCCCGCCTCAGCCTCCCAAAGTGCTGGGATTATAGGCGTGAGCCACCACTCCCAGTCGTCCATTTGTTAACATTAGTGAGCCCACATTGATGCATCATTATCATCCAGAGTCCAGAGCTCACATTAGGGTTCACCCTTGGTGTTGTATATTTTGTGGATTTTGACAAATGTTTAAACACATGTATCCACCATTATAGTATCATCCAGAGTAGTTTCACTGCCCTAAAAATCCCCTGTGATCTGCCTTTCCATCCCACCCTCCTCCCTTGTCCCAGCAACCACTCATCCTTTTAACCTCTCCATAGTTTTACTTGATCCAGAATGTCATCTTTGGAACCATACAGTATGTAGCCTTTCCGGATTTGCTTCTTTCACTTAGCAATATGCACGTAGGGTCCCTCCATGTTTTTCATAGATTGATAGATCTAGTTGCTTTTTCACCATTTTTCAGTATAAGTTGGGGATTGGGCCTGTTTGCTCCTCCTGCAAACTTCAGATCTCAAATTCTAATTCATAGAGAGTCTCCCTCCCTCCCTCCCTCCATCCCTTCCTTCCTTCCTTCCAGCTATAATCTATTTATTTTAGAGTAAGAATTCAAAAATGAGAATACTGTCACAGAAGATGCACATGTATGTTTTTATCTGAACTTAAAAATTTGCTGGTGGAAAATAAGTATTATTTGACATTTGGTTTGACACTGAGGCCGATTAGCATATGTAGCAGATGTTATCTACAGATTGGATCTGTAGTTCCTTGCTTTGACGCATATAATAAAGGAATATGCATTATACAGTACCTTGGAAAATATAGACTCTGCAACTATTTTAACTTATGGTAAAATATTTAGATGCCATCTTTAAAATGTGTGAAGAGGTGTGGAGTTTTTAAAGAGTTTTTTGGGGCCGGGCGCGGTGGCTCATGCCTGTAATACCAACACTTTGGGAGGCTGAGTGGGGCGGATCATGAGGTCAGGAGATCAAGACCATCCTGGCTAACACGGTGAAACCCCATCTCTACTAAAAATACAAAAAAATTAGCCGGGCATGGTGTTGGGCGCCTGTAGTCCCAGCTACTCGGGAGGTTGAGGCAGGAGAATGGCGTGAACCCAGGAGGCGGAGCTTGCAGTGAGCCGAGATCGCGCCACTGCACTCCAGCCTGGGCGACAGAGCAAGACTCCGTCTCAAAAAAAAAAAAAGAGTTTTTTGGCCAGGTGTGGTGGCTCACGCTTGTAATCTCAGCATTTTGGGAGGCCGAGGTGGGTGGATCACTTGAGGCCAGGAGTTTGAGACCAGCCTGGCCAACATTGTGAAACCCTGTGTCTACTAAAAATACAAAAATTAGCCGGGGGTGGTGGTGTGTGCCTGTAATCCCAGCTACTCAGGAGGCTGAGGTAGGAGAATTGCTTGAACCAAGGAGGCGGAGGTTGCTGTGAGCCAAGACTACACCACTGTTCTCCAGCCTGGGCAACAGAGTGAGACTCCATCTCTAAAAGAAAAAAAAAGAGAGAAAAAAGAGAGTTTTTCAAGTTCTTTCATGGTGTAAATGAGCACAATGTTGAGGACTGTATTAGTCAGTGTTCTTTAGAGGGACAGAACTAATGGAATAGATATATATAAAGGGGAGTTTATTAAGTATTAACTCACATGATCACAAGGTCCCACAATAGGCTGCCTGCAGGCTGAGGAGCAAGGAGAGCCAATCCAAGTTCCAAAACTAAAGACTGGAGTCCAACGTTTGAGGGCAGGAAGCATCCAGCATGGGAGAAAGATGTAGGCTGGGAGGCTAGGCCAGTCTCTCTTTTCACATTTTTCTGCTTGCTTATATTCTTGCTGCATTGGCAGCTGATTGGATTGTGCTCACCCAGATTAAGGGTGGGTCTGCCTTTCCCAGCCCACTGACTCAAATGTTTCTCTCCTTTGGCGACACCCTCACAGACACACCCAGGATCAATACTTTGTATCCTTCAATCCAATCAAGTTGACATGCAATATTAACCATCACAAGGACCATCAGCCAGAAGCAACTGAGAGAAGGAGCAAAGGTGACTGTATTTGACACATCAGTTACTCTTCAGGACATCATTGTATGACAACACAATATACTCACTACTCAGAGTAATCCAGAAGATATTCATTCTGGTTCCTACCATATGTTAACTAAGGCATATTAATTAGAATAGTTAAAATAAAATTTCAGAGTGGTCATCAAAAAATTAACTCATTATCTAGTTCCCTGATGGTGGCAAATGTGAATATACTATACATTTTTAACTGCCTACTATGGTGTATAAATGTTTTGCCATGTACAGAAAAAAATGGAAAGTATCATTGAGGATAAGGAATGATAAGATTATATTTTATATTTAGTGGTGTTTGATACTCATCTTTGTCCTATTTTTTTTTTTTTTTTGAGATGGAGTCTCGCTCTGTCTCACCCAGTCTGGAGTGCAGTGGCATGATCTCGGCTCACTTCAGCCTCCGCCTCCCGGGTACAAGCGATTCTTCTGTCTCAGCCCTCCGAGTAGGTGGATCTACAGGTGTGTGTCACCACTCCTGGTTAATTTTGTATTTTTAGTAGAGACAGAGTTTCACCATGTTGGCCAGGCTGGTATTGAACTCCTGACCTCAGGTGATCCGCCCACTTAGGCTTTTGAAAGTGCTGGGATTACAGGCGTGAGCCACCGTGCCCGGCCTTTGTCCTATTCTTCACCAACCCCTCGAACTTGGACAAGCAGATTCCCTTGTCGGTCCTTTCTCAGGGTGGGGCAATGTGAGAATTGCATCTGTAGGGCCCAGGCCACAGCAGCACCTGTTCAGGTTCTGCAGCACCAGTGATACAGACTTAACTAATGTTTTTTGATAATTTTAAAAATTAAAGATAACATGAAAGTAGTAATTCTACTACCTAATAATTAGCGGTTTGCTTTGTAAACTAAAGCCACTGAGTAAGTCACCATGTGGCCAACCACTTAACCATGGAGGGGGCTCAATTTCTCTACCTGTCAAAAGGGGGCGCTGAACTAGAGTCTCTGAGGTCACTTTCAATCCTTACATGTTGTGATTCCTAGTGATGTCATTATAAAGCTGAAGAGAAGAAATGATCAGGAATCATTTTATTTATTCAATTATGACTGCACATCAGAAAAAAAATATTTCAAAGCCCTAGGGTGGTTAGGCTGTGGGTAGAAGACTTTAGAAAAATGCAAATCTCCTCTTCCCAGAAATAGTCTTCTGGAATCCAATCAAGAAAGGTATCTGAATGTTGCGCTTCCGAAAAGTGCTCACTCTTTGATTAACATGTTTACTAACTCCTTTTCCTTAGGTTTCTTAGACTTACCAATCTTTGAACCCGAATTTTCTCTTCTTTCACTCTCAAATGTTTAATTAAGGGGTAGAAGGATCATTCTGAGAAGAGGAAAGTGCAGTTTGCATGAGATCAAATTATTATCCATTAAGTAGATCTAGAGTTGATTGGGTTGTGGAAGGGCTTAAAATGAATTGTGATGAAGGTGAAGTTTGGGGAGAGGCTAGACTCTGACTGCTGGTGAGTTTGTTGGTGGAGCACTCGGAACAGGGTCTGGGGGAGGCCACTGCCACTGCCGAGCTGTCCAGCATGGTGGATGGGTCCCAGTTCTTTTACCTTTTTCAGAAGGCAGATATAAGGTGTTGCTTACGCCTGTCTAGCAGACATTCAGAAAGCAATAAAAAGAACCGTTTTCATCCAGCCAGTGAGTCCTAGATAGGAGCTCCAACAGTGAGGAATTTAAAAGGCTCACCTGCACATCAGAGCTTCCAGAACCCCAGAATCAGTAAGTTGTTTTGAGAACAGATTGTGAGAATACATTCATTTCCAAGTGCCCAGGATAACAGAAAATTTTTTTTTCTTCTACCACTTTACTTCTCATCAGTAAATACCATAGATTAATGATGACTGAAGCGGCAAAGTACCTCAGCCTGTCTAGGCCACTCTATGTTGCTCTGAAGTGGGGCAAGACTCTGGAATTAGGAAAAAGTGCTTAATTGCCACTTACAAGTACCTGTAAAGTTAGAGCAGCCAGGAAAGGGATGGAAGTACTAAAAACTGCCTCATGACATTTTCCTTTTTTTCTGTAGAAATTTTTAAGTGTTCCATTTCTTGTGAACCATCACAGGATAATGACAGCTCTAGATATTAAAAATTCCATTAAAATTTCTTCCCCGAGTGAATACCCTTCCATGTCCAGGGTAACCCCTAGTGGTGTATTCTGTGACACAGACTCTGCCTCCAATGTCAGCACAAAACAGAATAAAATAAGAATTCTGGACATAGTGAAAATATGAACCTGAAGAGGTCATTTATAACAAAAAACAAAAAAATCCAAGTGTCCTTGCTAAACAGAATTTGGGATCTGGGAAGCTGTGAAAAGTTGGTTGTTGGATGTGATGTGATAAGAAAGCAGTCTTAGATCAAAGACTTCAGTCTTTAAGATTCACATTTAGAAAGGAAGAATCTTAGAGTCAAAGAAAGGTCAGGCACGAGTGTAATGAATATAGTCAGGCTGGAAGAGTGTCTGGTCCTTCGATAAGAATGCCTCACTTATCTTCCTCTTTGTATCACCCTGCATTGCACCAGGCACATGGTAAGCATCCAATATTTGGACGGAGGGATAAGTTTCTAAATGAACGCCTGTGCTCCCTTCGCTCTAGGGCCCAAACACACCTGGGCAGGCGTAGATAGAGTGCAAACAAGCAGCTAATAAGTCACAAAAACTGCACAAAGCAGTTGACAGGAGCAGCTCTGAGGATTCAAGTGACTCTCTCTTTCCCTAATAGACTCTGTTACCAACTTGCAGGCTCCCTCTTCTGTCCATTGCACTGGAAGCCTGCTCTTCCCTCCATCTATCAAAAGGGGGCAGCAGACAAGAGAAAATTCAGGTTCGTGGCCTACTGTGAGCTGAGCAACCCCACTCCCACGAAGGACTTAACGCAGATTTCCCAAACTGTGTTCGTTTAAACGTTAGCAGGTTTTTTTTGGGGGGGGGGCAGGGGGGACAGGGAAATTAAGAATCCAAAATTTAAAAGTGCGAGGAAATCTACGCTAAAACTGTTTACACATGTATACAGCAAAATTTCTTAGACATGAAACTTTTTTTATGTCCTGAGAACAGCATATAATGTGAAGAATTTCTCAAAACTTTTTGAATGATGAAACAGCCTCCTCATTTTTTAATTCCACAGAATATCTATTAACATCTCAGTGGTCATACAAGCTCTGCAGAAGATGAGTTTGGAAGCTCTGTCCTAGCAAGTCCCGTCCTATTTTCATGCTGAAGCTGATTCTCTCAGCTTTCCAGTATCGGCTCTCTTTCCCAACAGGGAGAGAAGGATCGCAACTTTGACAAATGCCATTTCATGGAGTAGCCTCTCTGAAGATGGAGCTTGAAGAATGGAAATATACCTCAATCCTTTACACTTGCACTTTCTTCTCCTGGCAGCTATCTCACCACTCCTGGGAGGTAAGGGCAGCCCCCAGATTTTCACCTGGGAGTTAAAAGATCTCACCAGGGGGCTCCAGTTGTGTATGGGCCTCTATGAAATGCTGAGTCAGGCCATGCTATTGTAACTAGAGATGCCTGGACCTTTCTGGTTTTTCACCACTGTTTCAGTTGCCAGTCTCCTGTCATATGCTGCTTCTATCCTTATTTAGAAAGGGAGAGCATGGTTTGAATGGATAAACAAATGGACTAAGCATTAACTTGATTCTCTTCTACAGTTGCTGTTGCTGTTGCCTTGGTGAACGGTTCATATTTATATAGCACCTTAATAGTTTTTAAGATGTTTTCAAATACTTCAACTGATTTTCTCTTAACTAAAATCCTTTGAGAGAGTTTATGTTAGGGAATCTTTGCACTCTGGGTAACACTAGCTAAAAATGAATTTGTTGCTTGGCCTTTGGTTCATAGAACTGAAATAAGAAGAACTGTCTCGGGGAAAAAACAGAATAGCTCAGGAGAAACATGACATAGAAACTGATAAATAGATGGTCTTTTTTGAGTTCTGCCATTGGGAATGGCTGTTCTATTCGGGTGTAGTCTAATGCTACCTCTCAAGACTAACATTTTAGGGATAGAGTATCTAATTGTCATTGCAGGTAGAGAGTGGTAAACATTAATTGACAAGTACATCAAATCCGCATGCAATATGCAATCCCCCCTGCCCTGACCCTGATAAAAAAATTACAGGAATATTGCCAAGAGGAGAAAGCTTTGCTTCTGGGCAAGCAGTTGACAGCTTTGTATGAGGCAAGTATATGTCTCCCTGTGTTAGAGATGATGAAACTGGACCTAAAGGGATTATAAGACTTGCCCAAAGTCATGGATAATAAAGTTCCAACATTAGAATTTATATTCTCTTACTCCTGAACCAATATTTTTTCTCTTTCTCTTTTTTTTTTTTTTTTTTTTGACACAGGGTCTCACTCTGTTGCCCAGGCTGGAGTGCAGTGGTGCAATCTCGGCTCACTGCAACCTCTGTCTCCCAGGCTCAAGTGATCCTCCCACCTCAGCCTCCTGAGTAGCTGGAAATACAGGCATGCACCACCACAACTGGCTAATTTTTGTATTTTTTGTAGAGATGGGGTTTCACTATGTTGTCCAGGCTGATCTTGAACTCCTGGGCTCAAGTGATCCACTTACCTCAACCTCCTAAAATGCTGGGATTACAGGTGTGAGCCACTGTGCCCTGTCCCAGCATTTTTTCTATTATTACTATATACTTCTATGGAGTCCCTTGGATGCAGCAACAGCTATCATTTATTGCAGATGACTATGGTCAGATACTGTTCTAATTACTTTCTATATATTAATTCATTTAATCATCACAAGAAGCTTATGAGATGGCTGCTATTGTTGTCCTTATCTATTAGAAAAAAGGAAACTGAGGCATTAAAGAGGTTCTAGAGCTTGTAAGTGGTACAGCCAGAATTAGAACCAAGACTAGGCCTAGAACCTACTTTCAAAAGGATGCTGCAATGAAACAACATAAGGTTGATCAGAAGTTTGATTGTGTATACCCTTTTCTTCTTCCTCCTTTTCTCCTGGATTTCTTTAAATACATATTTAGTGAGCAACTCAAGGTTTCAGACACCATGCCAAACTCTGAAGGAGTATGAACAAGGTGATCACGACCTTGTGCTCATGGTGTTGACACACTAATAGGGAAAACAGATTAGTGAATTATCACAGCACTCTCTGTTTAATGCTCCGTCTGTGAGAGCAATATGTGCCCTGGGAGCAGAGAGGAGAGCACTTGGCCCAGCCCCGGGGGAGGGAAGGTCAGAGAAGACAGAAGTGCCTTGCAAATGGGGATGGATAGGGAGTGAGCGGGGATAGAAAAGAGGATATCAGTCAGTCCCTCAGCATAGAAGGGCAAGTGTAAAACACAGCCAGGGCCGGATGTGGTGGCTTATGCCTGTAGTCTTAGCATTCTGGGAGGCCGAGATGGGTGAATCACCTGAGGTCAGGAGTTCGAGACCAGCCTGGCCAACATGGTGAAACCCCGTCTCTATTAAAAATACAAAAAATTAGCCAGGTGTGGATGCGGTGGTGGGCACCTGTAATCCCAGCTACTTGGGAGGCTGAGGCAGAAGAATTGCTTGAATCCCAGACGCAGGGGTTGCAGTGAGCTGAGATTCCGCCATTGCACTCCAGCCTGGGCAACAAGAGTGAAACTTCGTCAAAAAACAAACAAACAAAAAACACCACAGCTAGGCCTCACAGAAAACCCAAAGCCAAGACCCTTGTCGTGGGGCCATAGAGTCCTGCTTCTGCTTCATTCTGTGAGTTTCCATTGTCCAGCACTCACGCTTCTTTTATTATGCATGTCCCTTTTGCTCCTGCTATTACAACTTCAGCTTTGGCCTGCTAGGGCCCAGACCTGAAGCCCCAGCTCATATGATCTATTGACACAAACATTCACTATGATGCCGGATACAGCAGCGTGGCCCTCTCAACTTCCATCCTGCCTTCCCTCCCACTGGAGAGATTGATTAGAAAGCTACATTTCCCAGGTTTCCTTGCAGTAGGGGTGTAGATATCAGTTAGATGCACCTGCACGAAGATGAATATGAAGGGAGTGTGTTTGTTTTCTTTTTGTTTTCCTCTTTGGGGAGTTTCTGCTATCCTAGGGAATCAGGCAGATACGAGATTTTCCTGAGGTGACATTCCAGTATCTATAGCTTCCTAGAGAATGCAGGTATGGGAGCAGAAATGGTCTGCTCTCTGGGTTTAAACAATGCATTCCTGAACTCATGGCTCCATTGGGCAGCTCAGATGTAGGAGCCCAGCTGATGAGTCAGCTCTGTATTATTCTGGGAGTCATTCCTGAATGCTTGGAATCTTTCAGGCTTTCCAGTGAAAATATAAGCACCCAATTCTCTGTGCTAAATTTCTTCCTACTTGAAGTTCCTGCACTGAACTACAATTGATATAACAACCCCTAACCTAATCAGAGAGAAAAAGGATCTGAAAGAGAGGACCCTAGCCTGTCCTATCGGCTCCCTGAGCATGAGACATCTACTCCTGGTTAATTTAATTTTGCTGGAGGCTGGTGGGGGACAGGAGCGGGTGGGGAGATGGGAACCACAATAAAGTGTGAGACAAGACTGTCTAAAAGAATATCAGGTCAAGGAGGCGATGATTGGCATCTCCACCATATAGTTCATGATGGGACCAGATTGCAGAGGTCGAGTCAGGAAGTGGCAAGAGATGGACCTGGAGGGATCAGCCCATGCAAGACCCTGTGGGGCATTTTAAGCCTCATGAAGAAATTTAGATCAACCCTAAGAACAACTAGAAGTTGGAGAAAAGTTTAAAACAACTGAAAGCCATTTAAGTATTTAGATTTTAGAAAAAATCTTGGCACCACTGTGGAGAATGGGCTTAGGAAAGCAAGAATGCCCACAGGAAGACCTGTTAGAGGCTATTGCAGCTCTTCCCGTGGGAGATTATAAGGTGGCCCGGATTTAGAGGGTGGTAATGGGGATGAGGAGGACTGAATGGAGGTACAAGGTTTTTAGTAAACATGGTCATCTGGAAAGAACTATACTTCTCCAACATATTCATAGGGGCAGAACCAAGTTTTGTGGGGCCTGATGTTTATAAAATTTGGGGGCTCTGTTTTAAAAAATAAGAATACAGGCCAGGTGCAGTGGCTCACACCTGTAATCCCAGCTTTTTGGGAGGCCGAGGCGGGCGGATCACGAGGTCAGGAGATCGAGACCATCCTGGCTAACATGGTGAAACCCTGTCTCTACTAAAAATACAAAAATTTGGCCGGGCATGGTGGCGGGTGACTGCAGTCCCAGCTACTTGGGAGGCTGAGGCAGGAAAATGGCGTGAACCTGGGAGCTGGCAGTAAGCCAAGATTACACCACTGCACTCCAGCCTGGGCGACAGAGTGAGACTCTGTCTCAAAAAAAAAAAAAAAAAAAGGTGAATATTTATTTTGATAAATTACAATTTTTAAAAAATTTAGACAGGGTCTATCTAGCTCTGCCACCCAGGCTGAGGTACAGTGGTGTGATCTCAGCTCAGTGGCATGAGCTCAGCTCACTGAAAACTCTGCCTCCCAGGCTCAGGCAATCCTACCTCAGCCTCCCAAGCAGCTGGGACTACAGACATGTGCCACCATGCCTAGCTAATTTTTGTATTTTTTGTAGAGAAAGAGTTTCACCATATTGTCCAGGCTGGTTTCAAACTCCTGGGCTCAAACGATCTGTCCGTCTTGGTCTCCCAAAGTGCTGGGATTACAGGCATGAGCTATCATGCCTGGCAGTAAATTACAAATGATAAAAAGCTGCCAAGCATTACAAAAATTGCATAATCCAGGAATTACCTGATACACTTCCATAATACTTTTTTCCCTTCATTTTTTGATTGCACACATTTTGATCTTTTTTTTGTAACACAATTTTTTTGTGACATTACTTTCTATATAAAGAAAATAAAAGAACCCAGTCTGTCCTCTAGCATGGCCCTCTGCCATGGCCCTGGGAGCTGTAGGACAAGTTCACACTGAGAGATAGCCTCTAGCCCTGTGCTTTTCCATCTTTGTGCCACGTGAGTGATAATGTGGGATATGCACGGCATGAGATGGCATAGTGAGGAGCAAGAGAATTCCTGGAAGTCTTTTCTATTCCAAGAGAGCTAGTGAGGGCTTAACTCTATATTAGTTAAGTGCTTGTGAACTATCCATGAGAAACCAAAACCAGGCCCAGTACAGTGGCTCACGCTTGTAATTCCAGCACTTTGGGAGGCCGAGGCAGGTGGATCACTTGAGGTCAGGAGTTTGAGAATGGCCTGGCCAACATGGTGAAACCTCATCTCTACTAAAAATACAAAAAAAAAAAAAAATTAGCTGGGCATGGTGGTGTGCACCTGTAATCTCAGCTACTCAGGAGGCTGAGGGAGGAGAACCACTTGAACCCGGGAGGCAGAGGTTGCAGTGAGCCAAGATTGTGCCACTGCACTCCAGCCTGAGTGACAGAGTGAGACTCTGTCTAAAAAAAAAAATACAAAAAAAAATTTTTTTTCTAACTTCACTGATCTTAAGTCAGATCCCAAATATTCCATGGCCACCCTTATGTCACATGACACAAAGGAAACAAGATGTTGCTGGCCAGGTGCAAAGCATTAGTGGTCTTAACTGATTGCAGTTATTTCATTTTAGCAAATTTTACAAAACATATCATTATATAAATGCATTGCTGGGTGCCTCCCAGGGTCTTGGAAGGGCTGGTGTGGGTGAGGGGCCCTGCAGCTTAAACTTCATTAGCTTCCTGATTAATCTGCTTCTGCACACATGAAAAAGGACTTATCTAGTTGAGTCTGGTGTCATTCCTAGTTCTTGGTTTAAAGCAACAGAAACCAACTCCAACTTGGAAACTGTAGTCAAGAATAACTCCCCAAATCCTGCTTTGAGCTAATCTAGCCACCCCTGAGCACATACCTAACAGTGTATATCTAGCAACTCTGACATTAAATATTTTGGCCAGAGCCACTGCCACCATCCTCACTGGAAGGTGGGGCCTGTAGATCCTGCTACTTTGTGCTACAGCTTCTGATGCAAAATCCAGGGTGCATGAACTGCTTGGCAGAGCCTGGTCCTAAGAGAAAAGGGAGTATCAGGCCTTTCCAGCTTCTGTTTAGGAGACAGGTTCTTCCTTGCAGAGGGGGATTCCCAACACAGGAAGGATCTTCTGATCCTGGGCAGCCTAGAAGAAAATAAAAGCCCGTGACAAGCTCTAACATGTCCACCTGAGCTGAAATATAATGAGTTCATCTTCAGAAGCTGAGCACAAGGTTTCGCATTTCAGTAAGCTTTCTGCTCCAGATTTTCCCTGAGTTATTCAGATTATTTAAACTTGGAAAGTAGTCATTTTCTGTGCAGTGCCCTCCTTATTGTCTGGCAAACAAGGGACATGTAATGAAAGCAGACCAGAGTTCCCAACCCAATAACTACTGCTTGTTGTCATGTATGATCAAGCAACTTTTTCTGACTTCATGGTATCAAAGGCAGGTTAATCTCAAGGAAAGGTTTAATCATTGAACAGCTTTTTGTTAATGCCCTCCATCCAAGGGTCATGGCAATCGGACTGAGAGAGATTTTTAAGTTAAAAATACTTTATTTGGAAAAATAGCTAATCAAAGGAAGAACAGTGCTCATTCCACGTAGCTGGGCAGTACAAAGACAGACATGGGCCAAACTAATAGATATGACATTGGTGTGATTTAAAGGGAGATGATAATTTGAACAGCCCCATCAGTTGCCCAAATGTACCTTTGAGCAAATTAGAAAAAGCTGCCCTTTCTTCAGGTTAGTATTGTCATATTCTGGAAGATTTGCTTTATAAATAAGCAAACTTCTGCTGTCTGCAAATGAGAATGACCCACTTAGAGTTGTACTGTGTCCAAATTGCACAATGGTATATGGCAGCCCTAAGTATGAAGAAGTTTTCTTCAAATTTATATTTATTATATATACAATCTGATAGAAGCATTAAGCAAACAACTTTTAAGACAGTACTTTTTACACATGATTTACCACCTCAACCTATTAGTTATTTTCAGTTGTTCCAAGTTTCCTTCCAGTCTCTACCAATAGGCGCATATATTTTAAGAAAGTATTGTAATAGTAATGAGTATGCAACTTTCTGTATGCCACTTTGATTCTCCCACTTAAAATAATTGGAAAAACATTTTCTTGCATTGCTACATTGTCTTTCTTTTAATGATTTATCACATGTTATAGCAAGTGAACATACCATAATAAATTTAACCACACTTACTTTGTAATTTGAGGAACTTTAATCAACATGTTATGAGTGATAATATTCTACACCTAAGGAAAGAAGTCATAATGAAAACTTTCAGATAGAGAAGTTATTTAGATAGTATAAACAGTGAAATAATAAACATCCTTCCAAACAATCATACCAAGATGAATATTTTATTGCAATTAGGCTAAACAAGAAGTGAATTTGTATTTGGAATTTTTTTGTTTGCATAAAGACCATATTTTCCCATTTGTGTTTACACTGTAATGAACCATTGTAGAAGGTGCATTCCACATCAATGTGCACTGCAGGGTGCACTGCAGGGAAACAATACGGTGTAGTGAAAAGCATTTGGGTTTTGGAATCAAATGGACTTGAACTGCTGTGCTCTGAAATGTTATGTTCTGCATAAAAAGACTTGTGCAAGAGTGCTCATAACAGTTTTATGTGTAATAGCAAAGAATTGGAAACAGCCCAGATGTCCATCAATAGGAAAATGGATAAACTGTGGTGTATTCACCCATATAACACTATTCAGCAATAAACAAAATGAACTACTAATATACATAAAAACATGGATGGATATCAAAACTATGCTCAGTGAAAGACTCCTTACACAAGGCTGCATTCTCTGTGGTTCCATTATATGAATTAAGGTTTAGAACAAGCAAAGGTAATCTATGTGGAAAAATATCAGAAAATTGGTTGCTTCTGGAGCTTTTTTGTCTTGAAAAAAAGAACCTAGTATTGAACTCTATTTAATAATATGCATTCTGAAGTATTTCAACTTACTTTGATATGTATAAAAACTAATACGGATCGACTGATGGATGGAAGAATTGTTATATATAGATGTGAATGAGCAAGCATGGTAAAATGTCGAGTGTAGGTTTTCCTGTGGGATTCAAATTTTTATAATTCAACATTGGAAAATGTTTTGATCTTAGAAATGTTTCATAAACTTCTCGGTTTCAGTTTCTGCAAAATGGAAGTAACGGTATTTACTTCACAAGGTTTTTGTGAAGCTTTTAAAAAATTGCCATGAAAATAGGCATGCTCTATGGTAGATGTTTACGAGCCCTGTGAAGCTGCTTGTCTTTCATCCCCTCTTCCCCGCTGTGCCAGTTTATAAGTCAGGATAGGTGTTTTTGGATTTGGTAGCATTGCCTATGAGCAGTGGTCCAAAGTGGTATGTAGCAAAATTATTGGGGTTATGAAGAATGAACTGTCTGCTGTCTGCTGATTATGAATTCCTTGAGTGGAGGAACAGATTTTAATAATGGAAGTGGCTCAAACTCCAGGGAAGATGGATAGCCTGTGGTTATACTTGGTCTAAAGGAATTGGCAGAAACAGAGAGGAAGGACAAAATGTCATAGGCAATCATCATATGGATTTTAATATTTAAAAACTAAATAGTTATTTAGTCACTAAAAGCTCTATTTGTGAGCACTCATTTATCTAACAAATATTTATTAAGTGTCTACTGCATGCCTGGCATTGTGTTAGGAGCTGGACGAATGTGCAAGATAGAAATAGGTGCCTGCCCTCTTGGAGCATACATTCTAGTGTTGCTAAAGTTTATTGGATTTACAGGGATCAGTCTGTCAGCCAGCAAATACTTACTGAGTATTTGCTGAGTGCCAGACACGCAGAATACTATAATAAACTAAACAAACATAGTCCATACTCTCATAGAGTTTGCAATCTAGCAGAAAAGGCAGATTTAATTGAATCACCGCATTTAACTGTATTAAATACATTATGGTGTGCAAAAGGCTGGGAAGGAGAAGTACAGGGTTCGTAACAGAATTGAGGCAGAGTTTCCCCCCTCTAGTCTGGGTGAAAAAAATTTTCTCCCCTAAACTTTTCTCTGAGTTAAGAGATTGAGGTAAGTACAAACAGAGCTTGAGATAGCCAGTGGCCCCGGTCAGGTCACCAGCAGAATAAAGAACAGAATTAGGAGCACCAGGAGGTGATGTTGTCAGTTGCATTGCTGAGCATTCTTTTTGACTCCTGGTTGGCTTACTATGCCTGTGGATCTCCTGTATGGTTTGGCTACACAAAACAGAGTGAGAACTGTTGAACTGCTTTTAACCATAGTAAAGTATTCTGGAATTAGTTTTGTCTTCTGTCTAGTCAAGCACTATAGCAAACACTCTAACACTCCCATGGGGCCAAGAAGCTGCTAGAAACACAGGTTGTGGGATCACGAAACAAAGCAATGATACAACTAACCCATTGCAAGAACATTTTCCCCCTAATGAGGTCATTGGTTCTGAGCAGAAAGAAGTTAGAAGCCAAGAGAATATAGAGAACTTATGGGAAACATATGTGTCTCACAGATAGAAACTGGGACTCCTATATAATTATAATGCACCCTGGGAACAAATAAAATGAGTTGTTTCAAACCATGGTTGCGTTACACATTCTTTAGTGGGGACACTGATGTGTGGGATTCTGAACTTCTCACCCTCTTAATCATAAGGGGCCTGGATTATGCCTGGAGGACTTCCATTTTCTAGCACTATCAGCAGACATACAACGGGTACATAATAAAGACTAGTTGAATTATTATAGGTTTGTTTCCATTTGCTACCTGTTTCCCTGAAAGATAAGAAAAATATAGAATTATTTAATGACAAGCAAAGGAAATGTACAAATAAGTGAATTTAGAACTTTGAAGTGATTCAGTTAAAATGTTGAAAAGAAGTAACAAAAATTTAGCTTCTGCTTATACAAGCACAAATTTGTTTTTCTGTCCAGAGAAATGCCTATGACTAAAAGCCATATTTCACGGCATCTTCTTAAAGTCGAGTAGGTCTGAAACCATAGGAAGCCAAGAAAATTAGAGAAGGACAAGGCTGGGAAGTTAGAATATAGGAGAGTTACAGCTTTAGACCTCCTGGATTCATAATCTCAGCTCTACCACTGATTAGCTGTGAGACTGTAGCCAAGTTACCCAACCTCCATTTCCTCTTCTATAATGTTGGTACCTGCCTCAAAGTCATCATCTGCGTTATTGCGCTTAGCACAATTTCTGGCACATAAGTGCTCCACACATGTTAGTTTTTATTCCAAATGATTTTTAAGATGATCTCAATTTCCTCTATAAGGCTTTTTTTTTTAATAAACATGATTTGTTGAATGAATAACTGAAGGTAAAATGTCATAACCCTGTAAGACTTTTTTATAAATATGTTCACAAATCAGAAAAAGATCCTCTCTCATGACCTGATTTTGTTTGAGATTACATGTCCACCACACGCACACAATGGGCCACTTAGTCTGGCCTCTCTGAGTGAGGAGTATCCTCCTCCTACCTACGCAAACATGAAACCTAACAGAGGATTCAGTGTTAATTTGTCTCTTAAAGACAATTCTGCATTAAGAAATGGATTACTTTGCTATAACCTCAGCATATAAAAAGTCTAAAGAATCTGTGCATTCTGAGTTTGTGTATTTTTGGTCTCAGGCTGTGATTTATCTGAAAGGCCTTGGAGAGAAAGATATAGGCCTTTACCTAGACCAAAATCAGGTTGAAACAATAAAGGTATTTTATGCTTTGTGTAAGCTGGTAAATACCATGACTTTTGGAATAACAGTCTTGCTGAAAAATTGACACACTTTTCCTTCTGGTATGTCTTTGCATAAATTGTTCCTCTTTCTGCAAGATTAACTGATACCATCTGTGAGTATTCTATCCCCACTCTCAGCTTGCATTTAAATCTGCATGTTTCCTTTCTCTGCCTCTTTTCAAAGGTGCTAGAATACAAGAGCTACCCTTAGCTAATGGCCAAACACTCCGTCTGAGTTCCCTTTCTTTTAACCCCTTGCTTCCAACTCTGCATCTAAAGGCAAAAACAATCCTCTGACTCACGGCCCTCCCCCTGCCTGTGATAGGCTGCTTGGAATAGCAACAGCCTGTGTCACCGAAAAGGGCAAAGCCTTCGGAAATAGAAACAAAGTTGGTCACAAATCACATTAGCTTTGCCCGAAGTTTTTCCCCACACTCTTCTTTAGCATGCTATTATGGGGAAAGTGACCACTCCTGGGAGCGGGGGTGGTCGGGGCGGTTTGGTGGCGGGGAAGCGGCTGTAACTTCTACGTGACCATGGTACCTGTTGAAAACACCGAGGGCCCCAGTCTGCTGAACCAGAAGGGGACAGCCGTGGAGACGGAGGGCAGCGGCAGCCGGCATCCTCCCTGGGCGAGAGGTAAAGTGAGCCTGCAGTGCTCGGGTGACCGCAGAGAAGCAAGCTGTACTCATCTCCCGAGTGTACTGTCTCTTGAGTCCCGTGTGTGTGTGTGTGTGTGTGTGTGTGTGTGTGTGTGTGTGTGTGTATGCGCGCGCGCGCATGTGGGCGCGCTGGATGAGTGGAGAGAAGGGGACAGGGTCTGGTGGGACGTGGGACAGCTCGGAGCTGTAATGTTGTGAAGATCGAAGTCTTGGTGGAACCTTATGTGCCAAGAAAATACAGGTTACACATCCACCACTGGTATGATGGGTCCCCTTGATTGTGTTTACATAATACAATGTATGGATGTTTTTCATATTGGAACGGTCCACTGGCAAAGATAGTCTCATTTGTAAACACACACAAGCACACGCTTGCTTACACTTTTTCATTTATTGTCACAAATGGACACTGTGTAACCAGTTGACATTATAACCACTGTTTTAAAAATCAGTATTTTAAACAGGCTTCATAAAATTATTAGTTATGTAATCAATGAGAACACAAACTTCCTTTTTAAATTCCCAGCACGTTTGTGATGAATTTGAGCGTTATTCAGAGCCTGAAACGCTTGCTTTGCTGGGTTCTGCCTTCTTTAAAACTGGCCTTGCAAACTGAGGTTTGTTTGCTATGATGACCTTCTGAAGGTGAAATTTGGAAAAGTTTTAATTCATTTAATGATCTTTGATAAATCAGAGGCTGGTCTTCACTTCCACATTTACAATTCCCACAAATACATTGTACGCTTTTTGCTGCCTCTTCCTGCTCATTTAGTTTGTGCTGCAAGGAATAGAAAGTAATTGTAATATGAAATGACAACAAACACAAAAAATCTTCTCTTTCCTACTACTTTCCTCAGCTGTGTATTCTTAATCAGATATTACATTCCCAAGCAGCATATAGAAATTTCATGCAAAATCCAATACACTAAATGATACAAAAGACATCTGCCTTTCTCTTGGGAATGGTCCTAATACTGACGTTTGCCTTGTGGGTTTGTCTGATCTTGGGGAATCGAACCTGTGACCCCTAACATCGAGGCATGAAGCGGCCCTCTTCAGGAGTGGAGAAGCCCTCCATCTTCCATGTCCTGATCTCTTCTCTTGCTTTCACACTTCTCGTCAAGAATGAGGCCGGGCGTGGTGGCTCATGCCTGTAATCTCAGCACTTTGGGAGGCCAAGGTGGGCAGATCACTTGAGGCCAGGAGTTCAAGACAAGCCTGGCCAACAGAGCGGAAACCCTATCTCTACTAAAAATACAGAAAAATAAAAAAATTAGCTGAGCATAGTGGCACATGCCTGTAATCTCAGCTACTCAGGAGGCTGAGGTACAAGAATCACTTGGAGGTTACAGTGAGCTGAGATCATGACACTGCACTCCAGCCTGGGTGACAGAGTGAAACTCTGTCTAACATAATAATAATAATAATAATAAAAGAATATCTGGGGTCATCTTTCAATATGGCCTGTCCTCTCCTATGCAGAAGTACCCTTTTCCCTAAGCGCTTGCTACTCATTGGCCCACAAGTTCCCTAAGAGCAGGCAAGGGAAACTTATATTTGGAGATAAAGGGAAAGAGTTGCAAAGTTCTTTTCTCCAAATTCCTGGGAACATGAGCTGCAGTCTAGACTGCAGAGCAAGCTGAGGTGGTGATGTTAACAAAAGGGCTCACTAAATACAGTCAGTGATAATGTCACAAAGAAGATGAAAAGAAACTGCCTAGGAAGAGCCTTTGTAGTAACCATTAAAAATGGACTGTTTATTTTGATATGGCTTTGAAGGTACAATGTGCTCTTAATAGCTTATATTGTACAAATTCACAATTATCCAGAAGAAAGATAATGTGTATTTACATTTGCAATAGTTGGTTACATGCACAAAATTCAACTTAAAGTGCAACTGTTTATGTTGTAAAGAAATAATAAATGAATAAGTACCATAAATTATCTTTCAAATTTAATTTTAAATTAACTTTCATTTTGTAGAAGAGAAAGCCTGAATGTTTCCTTAAAATGTCAGATGAATACAACTTTGATTTGTGCTATACATAATCTGCATTTAGATGAATGCAAACCTTTTATTTTCTACTTTTGTAAATTTTCTTAACTTATCTTAAACATCTTTTGGCACCCAAAAGCAATTATACATACATATGTATAAATGAATGCATAGTGCAGACTTGCTGTATGGTTTTCTTAAGTTACTTAAAGTCTCCATTCATTAATATTGGGATTGTATCTTCATCTATTTTATGAAGGTGTTGAGATTTAATGAGGTAATATTTGTCAAATACTCCTTTTGGCTTCTTCATATTTTCAACTTCCATAGTTTTCATTTAAGACATTCAGAGTATTTAAATTATGCTCAACAATTATCACAATATGTCTGCATTTGAAGGTAGCAAGCTTTTCTACATTCCTAGATGGAAAAATCAAAGCACAAAGAGGAATGAGTTATATAACTCAGGACAAGGTAATTAAATCATGTGAGATACTGAAAAACAAAACAAAACCAACCCCCTAAGGTCTGCAGTTGAACTCCCTTGATGCTATTGTGCACAGTGAAAAATTTTGGTAGGTCTTTCTTGACTAACCCTCTTTAACTGAAAAGAATGCTTTGTTCCAATGACTAGAAGCTAATGAACTTAATTCATTTTCAATAAGCTATGACTCAAAGTGGTTACATTTTTAGTAAATTTTTTCAGCTTTCATGGACATGTTCCAATCCATCTTAATATAGGACAGGATTAAGCTCAGTTTGAAATTCTGGTGCCTAGAGTTGACAACAGATATAAATGAAGTGAGATATTAGACGGATGGAGCAACTCACACAAGGGAAATCTGAGGTCAAAAGATGTGTGATCGGCCCACGGTCACACAGAGGATGGTGCAGAACTGACCCTGGTGGCCTCTGGCCCAGGAGATTCAATACTGACTTCTACTTCAGCTCCCAGGCTTCCTTTATTTCATGATCCAAACAATTGGCTGGGGACAGAGTCCTCTTAAGTTTCCCTTCACCCCCAACTGTCCAAAGGTTCAGAAAACAAGAACAATATTTACTGTATGAGTGCAGGTTGTCAGCACTGCAGAACTCTCTGGCACTGGGACCCAGAACATGAAGAACGGGACTCACGAACTCAGCTGAAAGGACTGTCCTTTATCCCCTCTGAAGATGCCACAGTCTGGAATTTAAGAAATACACGCTTCTGCTCAGCAGATGAACATTCTAAGGCAGTTGTTCTCAAAACGCTTTTAAAGCTGTGAACTCCTTTTTCCTAAATGGAAGCTGGGCAGGTGGTGAGTATGTAAGATGTAACTGTAACTAAGTTCCTACTGAGTGCTGTTCTCCCGGGTTTAGCTTAAAATGGGCCCCCTGGAATTTCGTCAGGCCTGGCTTTCTCAGGCTTCGTCAGTCAGCTCTAGGGGAAGTCAACTTGTAAAAGAGACGGAGACTTGGAAACAAACTCATCCTTAGGGAAGAGGGAGTCAGGCCAACCAGCTTGGGCAGATGTCAGAGCTTTGGTTGTGAGAAGACAGATTCTAGTAAGAGGCCAGTTACCTTGGGCAGACCCAGGCATCTCAGAGTTTTTGATGCTGGGCCATTCCCATTTTTCCACACTTTCTATATATTAAAAACAATTAAGCATCAAAACCCGTGACAAAAATTATAGTGCTTTAAAAACATATGTATTTAACAAGTCAACATCTGATAACAATGATTGTGTCTACTGTGATACGTATTTCCAAGGAAATAACAGGTTTTTTTGTTGTTGTTGTTTTGTTTTTTCTGAGATGAAGTCTCGCTCTGTCACCTAGGCTGGAGTAAGATGGCGCGATCTTGGCTCACTGCAACCTCTGCCTCCCAGTTTCAAGTGATTTTTGTGCCTCAGCATCCTGAGCAGCTGGCTAATTTTTGTATTTTTAGTAGAGATGGGGTTTTACCATGCTGGCCAGGCTGGTCTCCAACTCCTAACCTCAGGTGATCCGCCTACCTTGGCCTCCCAAACTGCTGGGATTACGGGTGTGATCCACAGTGCCTGGCTGGAAATGACAGGATTTTTAGACGTGTTCATTTATGGAGGACCACTTGCTCTTCTGTGTGGTCATGAGACCAGATTTAAACATAAATATCTCCCCTTTCAGTCCAGTCAGCGTATCTCTGTGACTGTACATTTAACCTCACTTGGAAATCACATCAAAAGTCTAGATTTGAGGCTTTTCACCACTGTGAGCACTGGGCAAATGGCTCCTCTGGGATCTCTTGGGAAGGGAAAAGGCTGCGAACATGGTGGGAGATGTTTCTCTGCAAACTCTGGGTGCTATGCATCGTACGCGGCAGTGGTCTTGCTCCTCTCTAAGGATGTGTCACCCAGAGAGAGCAGAGAGGTTGCCACAGACCCCCTCCCAGGCTCTGAAGCAGCAGCAGACACACGCTGCAGGAAGCCTGCCCTGCCAGGGCCTGGCAGAGCCAGACCAAGCCAGCCTGAGAGCAGCCGGCCAAGAGGTTGGGCCCATCTGAGCAGGCTGAGATTAGCTGGTGCACACCAGCATGCCTGAACCAGTTTTTACAGCCATTCTGATAGGTCGGTGCCTCTGTCCTAGTTGTTAAATATTCTCAACATCACCGTTCTCTCTGTCAGATTACCAACAGTTGCTGAAGCAGCTGAGAGCCCAGGAATAGGCCTGGTGGTAGCTGATAGGACCTGAATATGAGCCCACAGGGTATCTTTCCTGTGAATTCTCAAGAGGGTGGTCTTTAGTGGTCTAGAGCTTACACTAGTTGGTAGAGACAGAACTCAAAATACACTGAATCTACCTTGGAGCAGCCGAAGGAAGCTGAGATTTGCATGTGTAGATAAAAGATGAATCCACCAACTTGAAATTGCAATTTTTAATTGCTGTAGGTATGTAGGATTTTATTATTCATTCAAGAATAGTTCATTTTAGAATCACGGTTTCATAGGGAGCATTTTCTCGGTACTATCTAGCCTTTGGGTTAAAAAAGTTCTGAGAGCTCTAAAGGGCCCTCCATTACTATGCAACAGTTGAAACAGCTATTTACTCAGTGTATGAGCAAGAACGGGTTATATAAGATTTTAAAATTGAATAGAGTCAGAGCTCCTTCATTCAGTATTTTTTCTCATGAACAGTCTCCCCCAGAAGGATGAGTTATTGAAAAAATTAATGCAATGGAAGCCACTTAAAAGATACCAAGTTATGGTGATGAGAAAGGAAAAGTTGGAATTGGCTCCTTCCCAAGAGGCTATTTGACCAAATATCAAATGCGGATGATTTTTCATCCCTTCTTCCCTTCAAAAGTACTCAATATCAGTTAATGTCACTGAACGTGACATCCCCCAAAATACTTCCCAGCTGAAACTGAGTCAAATATATTACCTTTAGAGTAAATCATAAATTCAAATTTTTTTTCTGTATTATTTTGTTTTGCCTTTGCACACTGGTATCATTTTTCTTCCCATGTTGTAGCACACTTATTTTATGCATTTGCTAAATGACTATGCCCCAGTAATACTAATCATTCTTTTTAAAAATGTAAGACAGAGTTTTGCTCTGTCATCCAGGCTGGAGTATAGCCTCAGCTCACCGCAACCTCCACCTCCTGGGTTCAAGCAGTTTTCGTGCCTCAGCCACCCAAGAAGCTGGGATTACAGGCACTCACCACCACACCCGGCTAATTTTTGTATATATATATTTTTTTTTAGTAGAGACGGTTTCACCATGTTGCCCAGGCTGGTCTCGAACTCCTGGCCTCAAGCAATTCACCCGCCTCAGCCTCCCAAAGTGCTGGGATTATAGGCGTGAGGCACCGCTGCCCACCTAATTATTCTAAACAACTTAGTAGAAATAATAGTAAGACTAAAATAATTTATTACATCATTCTAGTTTTAGGAGATTTCATTATTTTTGAACAATGATTTATTTTATACTGTTTTGCCAAAATTCCACGGAGAAAAATGCAATTCTTGTTTGACTTTTAGGAATATATTTTTTAAGTAAAGCAAGTGTAATTTAATTTTAAACTGTTAAATTGTGATTGCCTTGGAAGTAGCTGCTTCTCAGACAACTCATGACTCAGGTCTGCCTGGCATCACTGGGCTCTGGAGCTGTTAGCAGTGCCCATTATTATTTTATACAAAATGTCTTGCTCCCACACACATTTCCACACTTTATGGAAGTTAGAGTTGGGAGTTATGAGTAATACTAATTAAAAAACCATGACAGCTCAGCTTCAGATGTGCAAAGTTTTTCAAGAACAGGGGAAATGGAAGTTGTAATTAGGGTCAATTTGTGTGGTGAGAGAGCATCCTCACACTAATGAAATGTTTTATTTATATTGGGAAACTAAGCTGCAGAAACCTTCAGACAAAATCACAGGAGGAATTTTTCATGCTGCAAGCCCAATTATGTAGGTACTGCCAATTTTGAAAGCAAAGGAATTCAAGAATTTATGAAAGACACAATTGTTATGCTGGAAATAAGGTATTATTTTATTTCTGTTGCTATCAGTAAAAGACTGTTTCAAAGCTTTACCTCCGTATTATGAAGATTTTACCTTCTAGATTCAGATTAAAGGAGCTTTTGTTAAATGATTCTTGTGGGCCAAGTGGTTCTACTACTGTAATCCCTTCAGATCTTTACAGCAACCCCATGAGGCACCCCAGTTCACAGATAAGGAAACTGAGGCTAAGAACAACAGCTAACATTTACCAATCATTTACTACCAGGTACCAGGGTCTCTTCTGTCTCATTCATTCTTACAACTCTATGAAGGAGGTAATATTATTATCTTTATCTTGTGAATGAGGACACAGAGAGAAACAAACCTTAAGGGACTTATCAAAGTCTAGCCGGTAACTAATTAGGACTCTGATTCCACACTGTTCTTCACCTTCAAGCCCAGGTTCCTCCTGGAAAGAAGCAAAGGGACTTGTCTTGGGTAGCACAGATATTAGAGGACAGCACAGTGATCTGAACCTTACTTTCCTAAATCCAGTCCAGGTTTGCTCTCTTGACCCATATTACCAGCCAGCAATAATGCTTCTACTTTCCAATCTGTGAATTTGGATTCCAGTTACACTCATTTCAGGACTTGTTTGCATTCTGTTTTAGTTAATTCCCTAACTTTTTATGTAACTTGTATTTTTCTATAAGATTATAAGTTTCTCGATAAAATATATATTTCATGCACCTATCAGAGCTCTGAGCTGACTGACAGTGCTTGGAAAGTTCTGTGCAATTCATAATAGGTAGGAATCATGCCTTTTTCTCTGTATTTCCAGCCTACACATGAGGGATCACATCCATGTGGCACAAGTACCACCTTCTAGTGCCATTAAATCCAGATGTAACCTAGGAAACATCTCAACACGATGCTGCCAGCAACCATGAAGGCTGATTGCAATAGCCGTCAATGAAACTTGCCTGCCAGACAGTGCTGGCACATAGTTCATGCTTAATTGTTGAAGGAGTCAATGAGTAAAGAAGCGATTGCTGAACTAAAGAGCATTTTACTTCTGCAAATACATATTGGGCACCTACTACATGAGAGGCACAGTGCTGGATGCTTCAGGGTTAAAAAAAAATGTATCTAAGACATTATTCTTTTTTTTTTTTTTTTTTTTTAGACGGAGTTTCACTCTTGTTGTCCAGGCTGGAGTGTAGTGGCGCTATCTCGGCTCACTGCAACCTTCACCTCCTGGGTTCAAGCGATTCTCCTGCCTCAGCCTCCCAAGTAGCTGGGATTACAGATGCCTGCCACCACATCCTGCTAATTTTTGTATTTTTAGTAGAGATGGGGTTTCATCATGTTGGCCAGGCTGGTCTCAAACTCCTGACCTCAAGTGATCCACCCACCTCGGCCTCCCAAAGTGTTGGGATTACAGGCGTGAAGCCACTGTGCCCAGGCCTTTATTCTTGTCTGTAGGTTTTACCAACTTATCAAAAAAATAAAAATCGAACTAACTGCAAGATAACCATTCAGCAAATACTGAGTGGATAGTAGGAATCAGATATGATGCCAGACCCTGGAGTCTGGTGAGAAACGAAAGGCATCCTCACAGTGCAGGTGCTTACTGCCAATTAGTGGAGAGCGATGAGGGATCAGGAATCCTTTGATGGAGGAGATGGCTTGATATTATACATGTATTATGTGTAATATCTATGATAGCAAAGGGGGAAGTTCAGCCAGTCCCTGGAGACTCCTGGAAGACAGGATGGCTAAGTTGAGCCGAGCACGTGTAACTGAGGCCAGTAGTTTTACGGAGCATTCTAAGGAGGGAAAATAGCTTGAACATGTTTGGAGAAGAGAGAATGGCACGTTCAGGGAGCTTCCAATACTTCGGAATTCTGGGAGCACAGAGTTCAAAGCAGGGAAAGAGGATGACAAAGGAATCTGAAGCTGGCAGCAGGCACAGCTTCCTTAGCTTACAAAAGATGTCACAAAACTTTTGTGAACTAAGTACCATGAAAACAGGAATTCTTGGGAAGGAGACCATATTAATTTAGAGACATCAAGAAAATTTCTTTTCTTTTTTTTTTTTTTTTTTGGGACAGAGTCTCGCTCTGTCGCCAGGCTAGGGTGCAGTGGTGTGATCTCGGCTCACTGCAACCTCTGCCTCCCGGGTTCAAGCGATTCTTCTGCCTCAGCCTCCCAAGCAGCTGGGACTACAGGCACATGCCACCACACCTTGCTAATTTTTGTATTTTTACTAGAGACGGGGTTTTACCATGTTAGCCAGATGGTCTTGATCTCTTGCCCTGGTGATCCGCCCATCTCGGCCTCCCAAAGTGCTGGGATTGCACGTGTGAGCCACTGCACCTGGCCTGAGAAATCAAGAAAATTTCTAAAAGTGACGGTAGTGGTGACAGAAGTGGGAGTTTTAGAAATCCTCATTTACATGTCTCCAAATTCTACAGCTTTATGGTGTCACCATTCTTTTAATTTTAAAATAAAAATAGTTGCAGGCCCCTTATGGTTAAATCCACATGCCTCCTTCCTCCCCACCAGCCTCCCATCCAAACACACACAGTACACTTCAGGAGTTTCGTGGTTCTGATCACCCTCCTGCACCAACTTCCTGCTTTTTCTGGGTCCTTGCCCTCCACTTCCAGCAACTGGTCTTTTCTCTTATCCCTGCTCCAATCCATTCTTAGATGACAGCAGCCCCCTTTCCTTCATATTCTTGAATCCCATTCATATAAGCTCTTTGTAGATTTTTACTAAGAATTTGAAGAGTGCTGTAGTGCAATTGAATATTAGGTAGGCCCATCCTGAAAATTCTCTTGTCAAATCCACCATAAGGAGTTTCTTTTTTGGGGTGTGTGTGTGTGTTTGGTTTTTGTTTTGTTTTGTTTTGTTTTGTTTTGTTTTGAGACAGAGTGTTACTCTGTCGCCCAGGCTGGGGTGCAGTGGCAGAATCACAGCTCACTGCAGGCTTGATGTTTTAGGTTCAAGCAATTCTCCTGCCTCAGCCACCCAAGTAGCTGGGATTACAGGTGCACGCCACCACACTCAGCTAATTTTTTTGTATTTTTAATAGAGACAGAGTCTTACTATGTTGCTCAGGCTGGTCTCAGACTCCTGGGCTCAAGCAGTCCTCCCACTTCTGCCTCCCAAAGTGCTGGGATTACAGGTGTGAGCCACCTAACCCAGCCAGGAGTTTCTTATAAATCAACTTTTAAAAAATCCTCAGGCTTCTTGTCATACTGAGCTCTTGGTGTCTCTCCCTTTCCCCATTCCCCACAACTCGACAACTTGTCCTGACCTTTTCTTCTACTTTTTTTTTTTTTCTATTTCTGGGCTCTCTTAGCCTTTCATTCTCTCTTTCTCTTTCTCTGTCTCACTCTCTTTCTCATCAAAATCCCTCCTTTGTATTCGATAGAGCACTTTAGCCTTTTCTCTCTCCCTCTCGCTCTCTCCCATAGGCCACCTGTCCATTATCAACATGATAACGGTGAGCTTAACCCTTAGTGTTCAGGTGGCCATTCAGGTATTAATTTTAGTAAATTGCTCTTCCTAAAAGGACCTTCATCCACAGCCTTCACAATATAGTTTATGTTCTTCCCATTTCATTTCCCTAATTAAATAATTTAAAAAGCACTACTGGTGATTCTCAACCATTATTGAGTGCAGCAACTCCTTTTAAAATATAAAAACAACTTCAAATCCTCACAAAATTGTCTTCGCAGTTTTATATTTATTGATTAGAAAATATAGAGTGAGAGAAAGTTGCTATGTACTCACTAGCACACTGAATTTTTTAAAAAACAACTTTCCATCCCATTTATATACATTTGAAATTGAGAAGTACAGATACATCTTTTACTATTTTTTCAACATTAAATAATCTTCAGTGGACTGGGGATCCTTTCGGAGATGTCGGTTTTCAAATGTCCATGGCTCACCAAGGCTCACACACATTGAGCATCCCCTTCCTGGAGACGCCAGGGGACTCTAGGAAAGACAGCTGCGGGTTTATTCTCCAGGTTCCCTCCCTCTTTACCATCTATCATCGAAAGTCTCCACAAAAATGCAGACAGAAGTGCAAAATCACCACAGCATTGAAAGCCCGAATATTTGTCAATGAGTTAGGATTTAACAGTAAATAAAATGGGGAGCCTAATGTATAAGATTGGGCCGTAAAATGTTGGATTCCCGTAGACTGCCGCTGTGCATCCTCATTTGACAGAGATGGAACCTTCACCAAGCAAGGAAGGGAAAGAGCTCCTCAGACCCTCAGAGCTGCTTTCTCTGAGGGTCAGAATTTCTTGCCCTAACACCTGATTCTTCCAATCCCATCCCCCATCCTGTCATTATCACTTCCCTTTCTTTCTCTCTCTCTCTCTTTTTTTTTGTTTGACACAACTTTCTTTGTTGCCCTGGCTGAAGGGCAGAGGTAAAATCATAGCTTACTGCAGCCTTGAACTTCTGGCCACAAGCAATCCTCCTGCCTTGCCTCCCAAAGCACTGGGATTACAGGTGTGAGCCACTGTGCCTTGTCATTTCTCTTTCTGTATCTCTTCAGGGACTCCAATTTCCATGATTTCAACAACTCTGGGCTGGATAGGCAAGACAGTGACTCACTGCATTTTGAAATATGAAACTAGTGTTAAGAAGAGACAAAGCCTTTCAGAGCCACTGGAGCAATGCACTCTAGAAGTTTGTTTTGCACCCACTGTTTTTGACAAGTAAAGAAATACAGACTGCTTTAAATAATCCAGGAATGATCTCCCTCATTTGTAATCAGGGGACCAAAAAGTGGAAGAAAAAAAAATTAAAAAGTTCCTTTCTTGGTTCAATGGAACCACACCAGAAAAATAACATACAGACATCAGAAAGTTGGCCAGCAGCTGTGCACATCAATTGCACCTCCAGTGCAAAAGACCTGAGAGGAGTTTCTAACTGCAACCAGGTGGCTAGAATAAGGTGTGTCAGACACTGAATATACCACAGCCATTCCAACTCCCCTCTGATTTTCTACTTTTCCTACATGGGTAACTAAAAGATTCAGACATGCACTTGTCAATCTCTCTCACAGCCAAGTTTGACCAGTCACCCACTGGCTCTGGTCAATGAGATATTAAGTAAGTCTTCCAGGTTGCTTCTTGAAAGTTTTCCTCCTGATAAAAGGAGAGAGCCACAGGAGGATAAATCCTTGTCCCAAGCCTCCTTCTATTGTCTCCTGCCTATGGATGTGGTTGTGAGGGAACGTAATTCCTGGAGCTGCGGCAGCCACCTTGCACATATGGTGACAAGCCAGGGGACAACAGACAATCCTTTGAGGAAACGGGAACAGGAGGATGGGTACAGTGTGAGTCTTTGGAGACACCAAACCCAACTTGGTCTTTTAGTTAATTAAGCAATAAATGCCACTATGATGTAAGCTTCTGTTTATCAGGGCTTGGGGTTCTTGCAGTCTGTGTTAGGCTGTTCTTGCATTGCTATAAAGAAATACCTGAGACCTGGCGTGGTGGCTCACACCTGTAATCCCAGCACTTTGGGAGGCTGAGGTGGGAGGATCACTTGAGCTCCGAAGTTCGAGACCAGCCTGAGCAACATGATGAAACCCCATCTCTATCAAAAATACAAAAATTGGCCAGGTGTGGTGGCATGCACCTGTAGTCCCAGCTACTCGGAAGGCTGAGGTGGGAGGATCACTTGAGCCTGGGAGGTGTGGAGGTTGCAGTGAGCTGAGATCGCACCACTGCACTCCAGCCTGGGTGACAGAGTGAGACCCTGTCTCAAAAAAAACAAAAAACAAAAAACAAAAAAAAAAAAACAAAAAACAACAACCTGAGATTGGATAATTTATTTTTAAAAAAGAGGCTTTACTGGCTTACCATTCTGCAGGTTATTCAGGAAGCATAGTGACATCTGCTTCTGGGGAGGCCTCGAGAAGCCTCCAATCATGGCAGAAGTCAAAGGGGGAGCAGGTACATCACATTGTGAAAACTGGAGTGAGAGAGAGAGAGTGGGGTGGAGGGAGAGGGGCCACACACTTTTAAACCACCAGATCTTATCTGAATTCAGAGTCAGAACTCACTTATCACCAAGCAGATGGCCCAAGCCATTCATAAGGGCCCCCATGACCCAAACACTTCCCACCAGGCCCCACCTCCAACATTCGGGATTAGAATTCAATATGAGAGTTGGTGGGAATATACATTAAAACAATATCACAGTCTTGGAATGGGACATCAATTGTGATTAAAAAAAAACTGTATCACAGTCAAAAATATCATAACTGATTTAGGGGCTAGGTTATGCTGCAAATTTAGGGGCTAGGTTATTTGCAATGCTGCAAATCTGGTTATTGGCAAGTATGTTTCAAATACAGAGGAAAAGGATGCATTCTAAGATTTCTATTTATAGGAAACATAAATAAATTATGGAAAGCATCTGATTTCTGTTCTCAATATAGTTTTTTAAGATAGACTCTGTGGCAAAAGATGTAAACCACATCTGATGATAAGAATAAACTGAGGTGAAGATAGAGCTTGCTGAGAACTGAGATGCAAATAGATCAATGACGTGTAGAGTGGAAGGGAATGAAACTGCAACAGCAGAATCATCATCTGAAATCTGTGATGTGGAGGATGAATATGAGAAGTTCTTCTAGGATGCAGATGAAAAGGATGAGAAGCTAGAGATGAAAGAGGAAATGAATATATTAAACTAACATATAAATAACTGTGTCTAAACAAATAGACAAAAATATTAGAGGAAATCTTTCCTGAATGGAAAAAGAACTCAACAAGTAGCAGAAAAATTTAGAAGAAAATGCACCAGACTTATCCTGATGAAAGTTTTGAATTGAAGAAAGGAAGAAAGGAGGCTGGGTGCGATAGCTCACGCCTGTAATCCCAGCACTTTGGGAGGCCGAGGTGGGTGGATCACCAGAGGTCAGGAGTCCAAGACCAGCCTGGCCAACATGGTGAAACCCTGTCTCTACTAAAAGTATAAAAATTAGCCAGGCGTGGTGATAGGCACCTGTAATCCCAGCTACTCAGAAGGCTGAGGCAGGAGAATTGCTTGAACCCAGGGACAGAGGTTGCAGTGAGCTGAGATTGTGCCACTGCACTCCAGCCTGGGCGAAAGAGCGAGAATTTGTAAAAAAAAAAAAAAAAAAAAAAAAAAGGAAAGAAAGGAAGAAAGGATAAAAGGAAGAGCAGAAAGAAGCCAGGTGCGGTGGCTCACGTCTATAATCCCAGCACTTTGGGAGGCCAGAAGCAGGTGGATCACTTGAGGCCAGGTGTGCAAGATCAGCCTTGCCAACATGGTGAAGCCCTGTCTCTACTAAAAATACAAAAATAGGGGGTGTGGTGGCCCACACCTGTAATCCCAGCTATTCGGATGGCTGAGAAAGTAGAATCACTTGAACCTGGGAGGCAGAGGTTGCAGTGAGCCGAGATCGCACCACTACACTCCAGCCTGGGCACCAGAGAGAGACTCCATCTCAAAAAAAAAAAAAAAAAAAAAAAAAAGGCAGAAAGAAAAAGAATGAAAGTAATACACATAATCAGGCAGAAAAAGTGAACCACAAATCAAAGCACAGGGGAGTACTAACATGCAAATTTAAACAGTGTCTCCTCTTATTAACTCCTCAGCCAATAGGAGTGGAAGAATATTAGTTTCAGGAAAGGATGTCTGTGAAATTGCTACTAAATCAAACCCGGGGTTGGAAAACTAACAAAGAAAGATCGCAACATTTCTATATTTTTTCCGTAGAAAATTCAAATAATAATAGGTGTTGAGAGAGGCCAAAGTTCCTTTTTGTCTGAGTTTCACTGTGTGCTGAGGAGAGGATCAGGGTGCAGGGGAGGGGTGGGAGATAGTGGCTAGATAAGCCTTGTACCCAGTATTTGTCAATACAGGCATGGCCATGCAGGGTCCAATGCCAAGGAGCAGCATGTTGGACATTTGGTGGGCTGGAAACACCACACCAGAACTCTCCCTGGGACATGCCCTCTGGGAGGTTATAGGAGGTGAGCCTTCTGCTAAGTTCCTGCATCTCCTTCCTGGGGCATCCTGTAACCTCTACTGAGCACTGGCACCCATGATACAGACACTCCTGCTCCCAACATGCTCCCAGTCTAAGGCAGGATACAAACCTAGTGAAATATAATCCAGGGTGCTGTAAAACCTTGGATGTAAAGGCAAGAGAGAGAAGGGAGAGTAAAGCTAACCTGGCCGGGTGTAGTGGCTCATGCCTGTAATCCCACTTTGGGATGCCGAGACAGGCAGATCACGGGGTCACGAGATCGAGACCATCCAGGCCAACATGGTGAAATCCCGTCTCTACTAAAAATACAAAAATTACCCAGGTATGGTGGTGCACGCCTATAGTCCCAGCTACTCCGGACGCTGAGGCAGGAGAATCGCTTGAACCTGGGAGGTGGAGAGTGAGCCGAGATCATGCCACTGCACTCCAGCCTGGCGACAGAGCCAGACTCCGTCTGAAAAAAAAAACAAAAACAAAAGCCAAAAAAAATGCTAACCCAAGAGGGTAAGCCTATGGAGGAGGGGATATTGGAGCTGGCCCTTTAAAAATGAATAGGAGGAGGCCAAGGAAGGAGCATCACTTGAACCTGGGAGGCAGAGGTTGCAGTGAGCCGAAATCGCGCCACTGCACTCCAGCCTGGGCGACAGAGTGACACTTCTTCTCAAAAAAAAAAAAAAAAAAAAAAAAAAAATTGAATCGAGTTTCCCTGGGCTGTGAAGGAAGGCAAACGACCCTGTGGTGAAGGGAATAGCCTGAGTCTCAGCACAGACCTGGGAAAGAACACAGAAGATTCTGGAAACAGCTAGTGGTGTAGATGGGCTGGAGAGTTGGTGCCTGGAGAATGTTATGGAACCTGAAGACCTGGTCCACTGAAACAGGGCTGCTAAATACTCTGTCTGAACAACTAGAGAACAATTCCATGCATAGGGCTGAAGTTTAATAAAATATAAATATAGTTGTGACAATAAAACACTTTATGGTCCCTGAAATGGTGCTATATCAGCTAGCTAAACATAGCGCTAAAACCTTCATAGAAATGCTAATGGATTGCTATTCAGTTGCTAAATATTTATATGAAGATAAAGTTCTAGATGCTAACCATTATATAACACTACAGATTAACCATAGTCTGTTGATACAATTGTGGGGAGTAGAGGTGTAAGGATCAGTATTCTGGAGTGTTGTTTTCATTCATTCATTCATTCACTCGACAAACATTGAGTATTTACTTTGTGCCAGAAGGCTAGCGGTGAAAGGACAGGTCTCAGAAAGGCAGGGTTCTTGCCTTCAAGGAACTTCCAGTCTAATAGTGAAGACACACAGGTCAATCAAAGAGTGCCTTAAAATGAGATGGACTCTGAACACACATTCTGTGCATAGTGGGCACACACGAGCCGGGGGCAAGATAATGCTGAGGACTGAGAAGTGGACTTCAGAAATGAGGTGGTAGTAGAGATGACTATTGAAAGATGAGTTGGGAACAAAGGCGTTCAGGGAGAAAGAGCACAGGAAGGGCAGGCCATAGCTGCAAGGCCATTTTTGGACAACTGCAAGTTTTTCTTGAACAAAATATGAAGTGGGGGTGGGGGTGTCTTTTAAATTTGTAAAGTATTCACAGTTGGTCAAGCTATATAATTACCTGGCTGCCTGCCAAAAAAAGAAAAAAAGAAACCACCTGTGTGTGCATGCTTTTCAGCTGGCTGTAGGATTTAGTCAGCTGGCAAGTGTTTATTGCGTGCCCATTATGTCCATATGCAATAAAAGGCATATGGGGAAGAAAGAGAAGAAGAAAGCAGGCAGAAACTCAAATATTGTGAAAAATGGATTGTTTCGTGTTGAGTGCCAGCTACAGTTGTGGTTTCATCTGACTCACTGACCAGCAGACAATGCAGCTATTGTGGTGGTGGCTGGTGCTACAGTCTCGTGGCACCCTTGGTGCTCTTGTGCTGCAGGTCTCAGCACCTGTTTGCATAAAGCTGCTTGATTGAATCACAGCTTTGATAGGAACAGTTTTACTTTATCACCTTAATAAAGAATTGTCATTGCATCAAAAGGCAAACTGGAGATCTTCCTCCTACTGCTGCTGCTGAACTTCTAGCAACGCAGTGTGGAGACAGAAAGGTGTGATGCCTTTCCTCACTCATCAGGGTCACAGCTAACACTCCTATCACAGGAGACAGAGTGACAAGAGAAAAGCATAACAAATTTAGTTAATCAAAGTTTGATGTGACATGGGAGGCTTTCAAAATGAAGATCTAAAGACTCAGGGAAAAATGTCTGATTTTATGCTTAGGTTTGATGAAGAAAGGATGGGCGTGTAGAAATGTGATTGAACAAAAGGGTATGAGTCAATAGTAATAAACTGAAACAGAAACCCAGCAAGGCCTGTCCAGATTTTTTGGGCCTCACTGTGTGGCATTTCTTCCTCCTGGGCAGAGGGCAGGACTCCCATGAAATAAGGTTTTCAAGGGAAAAGGGAGAGAGTGACCTTTTTAGGTTTTATGATTTGCTTTGGGGCGGAGTGGTTCTGGTTTCTGAGACCCACCTTGGGGAAAGGAATTCTGTTTTCCATGACTTGCTTCAGGGGAAAATGCGAGAGGGTCAGAAAGACCTTGTTTCTGGCTGATATCCTACAGCCAGCTGAAAAGCATGCACACACAGTTTTTTTTTTTTTTTTTTTTTTTGTCAGGCAGCCAGCGGCCTTTCCTATGTTCCCATGTCTAGTTCAAAGTACTCAGCACACCAATGTGCCGTACTTTGGGGTATCTTATTCCGAGCCCCAACAGCAGGAAGAAGACAGGATAGGCATAACAAAACTGCCTATGGGGTACCACTTACAAGCCTCCAGGTAGTTTCCACTTCTGTAATGTCCACAAAAAGCCAAGAATTCCCCATGGCACTTTTTGGGAGAACTGGGGTGTAAAGGAAGGGCCCCTGTGAAGCAAAGCCATGAGCAAAATGACTGGGAATGCTCTACTTCATCATTATTAAAGGCAGACTGACTTGAAAGCTGGGTATTTTTTGGAAAAGTGCTAATTGTGAATCCTCATCTTACTCTGTCCTTCACCACTGACAACTTCTCCTCAGTCCACGTGGCTGCCCAAACTCTCACCTCTGTGTGTAGACAAACACAAACCCCACCTTCCTGCCAGTGCTTTAACCCACATTCTGATCTCTTGCTTCCTGTTCACTGCCAGATTTCTTAGAAAAAGGTATCTCTACTTTCCAGCATCCATAGGATAGCATCTTGCTCTTGTCATGGCTAACCAACACACAAGAAAAACCCACTCCTTATGCCTCTCTTTGTAAAGTAGCACCAGGAAAACTTCCTGTGATGGAAGTCTTGAAGTATCAGAGTCACAATCTCAGAAGCGCTAAGGACTAGCCTTATACAGTGAATTAGAATTCAAAACCCCAAATGGAAAGGCTGAGGATCAAACAGCAGTCCTAAATATGAGTAGTAAGGGAAGGGGAAAAGCTAGTTTGGGGCAGTATCCCTTAAAGCATATAATAGGGAAGATATTAAAATTCAGACAACTGAGACCACAGCTAAATTCTGTAACATATAACTCCATGTTGGTAAGCCGTCCATGTGGGACTAGGGTTCTAGAATGATCTTGTACAAGGTTTTAACCTCTTAAAGGCAAATTGCCCAGAGACAGGAAGATAGAAAGATGGATAGCAAGAAAGAGATATATGTTATCATATAGAAAATTGTAAAAGGTTTTTATGATTCATATAAAAATAATTCCTTAATGTCTCTGAAGAATTATACTCCATGGGTTTCAAGGGGAACGTTGACAAACTGGGATGGCTTCCAGACCCTTTGCACATATTCCCATTTGTCAGTGTGCTATGAGTCCCGGCCCGAGAAACCAGGCAAATGATCTAAGTCCAGAAAGCAGCAGAAGAGGTTGGGTCCCTCTTCTGTCAGGAGCTCTTTCCTCCAGACAGAGAAGCTAGCACTTAGCAAACCACTTCAGGCTCTCTAAGGTAAGATAATGGAGCACAGAAGGAAGGGACTCCTGCATCTCAAGGCATCTTTCTCATTGTAGGGACACAGTATTTTCCATCTCATGAAAGAGGAAAACAAGAAAGGAAGAGGAGAAGCACAGGGTGGCAAGGACAATCTTCTTCTGCTATTAAAGCAGTTATGGCATTGATTCCCCTGCATCCTTAACTCCGCAGCCCCAGGTGCCCTCTGTCACACCACATGCCCTTCCCAGGTCCTTCACTCAGTCTGGCCTCCCAGGTGGTCCATTCTCCAAATTCACTTATTTCTCCAATCAGAATATCAGAGACCAGTCCTCAATTGCCAAAACACATACACTAATCAACACAGCAAACATAGAAAAAATGAACAATGACAAGCAGAGATAAGAATAATACAATATTCTTATCCAAATGTGAAGATTTGACCTAATTCTCCTTGTGGTAGAGGAATTCATTGTTGAGGATTTTAAGATCACATAGGAAAAGGAATATGGAAACCGTGGACATGAATGAACCTATAAGAGAGTACTTTAAAGTCATTTTGCATGCCAAAAAAGTCAAACAGCACACAAAATTAATAAATAATAGGTAATAAAGATATCATCAGAATGTTAAGTTTTTTGGCCCCATTATACTTGGAACACAATGAAAAGTCATCACTGTGACCGACAAGGCCCTACTTGAAGTGCCCCCTCTGTACTTACCCAAATTCACTTTAAGCCCTTTCCGTCCTACCTCTCCAGGCTCACAATGTGCCCCACATGTTATATGCTGGCCATCTGACAGTTCCTAAAACATAATGAGAACTTTCCTGTCCTAAGGCCTTGGAAATTACTTTCTCCTGGGCCTGAAATACTCTTCCCTCTGTTGCTTTTTTGTTTTGTTTTGTTTCTATTTTGACAAGTTGCAAACATATAACAAACATCTGTGTTCCTACCACCAAAAATTAAGTTATTTATATATATAATATATGTAATATATTATATAAATATATATTTATATATAAATAATATATAATTTATATATATAGATATAAATTATATATATATAATATATATATATAGCAGTGAAACAGAACAAATGTGGTATCAGAGCCACAATCTCAGAAGCATTAAGGACTAGCCTTATACAGTGAATTAGAATTCAAAACCCCGAATGGACAGGCTGAGGATCAAACAGTAGTCCTAAGTATCAGTAGTAAAGGAAGTGGGAAAGCTAGTTTGGGGCAGTGTCCCTTAAAGCATATAATAGGGAAGATATTAAAATTCAGGCAACTGAGACCACAGCTAAATTCTGTAGCATATAACTCCATGTTGGTATATATGCTATATATATATAGCAGTGAAACAGAACAAATATATATATATATATATAAAAATATATATATATATATTTATATATATATATATATATATAAATATATATATATATATATATTTCTCCCTGTACCCAGGTAAATGCCTGCCATGTAACAGTGCCAAATATTTTGTTTTCTGATTAGCTAGATAAATTGCTGATTTAATTTCAGTTTACTGGGTTTTGTTCAAAATGCTCATAAATTTGCTTTATTTCTTGTGGATTATTGCACCTTTATTTGCTCCTCCATCTAAATATTCAGTGCTTTTTTCCCCTTATTTTTGGGGCTGCCAATTCCCATAGCCTACTAGGATCCTGGAGATGGAAAATACCTTGAGTATTTGTGGTAGAGCTTTAGATCACCTTTATTTGACCTGCTTATTTCACTAGAGCTGAATAGCATTTTTAACTATACCCTCCCCCAACCCCGAAAAGGCAGCCTTAGCTCAGCCTATGAAAACCGTGTGTGTAATCACATTTCTAACATTTGACTTACACCTCAGTTCTGATTCTTCTCCATCTCCTTTGCTGGCACTAGTCTTCTAAATATTGGCATTGCCTAGGTCCCAGTCTTGATCATGCTTTTCCTTTTCCCCTATTTTATCTTCCTAAGTGATCTCACCCATTCCTGTGGCTTTAAATACCAAATGTGTGCTGCTGGCTTCCAAATACATATGTCCAGGCTTGACCTATCTTTAAGCTCCAAATCTGTATACCCAATCCCCTACTTAACATTTTTACCTGAATGTCTTACAGATAAAATAAATAAACCATTTTACTAAGTCCAAAATGAAACTTTTGATTTTTGCCCCTCCTCTTATCACCACTCACAACCAGTTCTATTCCTAATCTTCCCTATGTTGGTATGTTGCGCTACACAGTATATAGTACAATGCCCTCTACATCTCTCAATGGGTGTTGGCCCCATATAGTACTGTATTGAGTATATCAAATATTGTAAAATCACCCACCCACCTGCTCAAGCCACAGAGCCATCCTGGGTTCTGACCCATTTTTTATCCCCCATCTCCAATTCTTGAACAAGTGTAATGTTTTTTTTGTTTGTTGTTTGTTTTTTGTTTTTTGTTTTTTTGTGAGATGGAGTCTTGCTCTGTTGCCCGGGGTGGAGTGCAGTGGCATGATCTCAGCTCACTGCAACCTCTGCCTCCTGGGTTCAAGTGATTCTCCTGCCTCAGCCTCCTGAGTAGCTGGGACTACAAGGCATGAACCATCATGCCCAGCTATTTTTGTACTTTTAATAGTGATGGGGTTTTGCCATGTTGGCCAGGCTGGTCTTGAACACCTGACCTCAGGAGATCCACCCACCTCAGCCTCCCAAAGTGCTGGGATTACAGGCGTGAGCCACCACATCCAGCCCTGAACAAGTGTAGTGGTTTTTAGCTCCAAAATAAGTCTTGAATCTGCCTACTTATCTCCAGTTCCACTCTTAACACCCAAGTCTAAGCTACCATTATCTCTTGTCCAAACCAAGGCAACAAACTCCTCCCTGCTACCAGTCTTGCCAGTCTTGCATTTTGAAGAACTAATCTCTACATAGCAGTGAAGGTGGACTTTATAAATAAGAAACCTATAGCGTCAATGCCCTCTACACCTCTCAGTGGGTGTTGGCTCCATTATACTTGGAACACAATGAAAAGTCATCACTGTGACCGACAAGGCCCTACTTGAAGTGCCCCCTCTGTACTTATCCAAATTCATTTTAAGCCCTTTCCGTCCTACCGCTCCAGGCTCACAATGTGCCCCACATGTTATATGTTGGCCATCTGACAGTTCCTAAAACATAATGAGAACTTTCCTGTCCTAAGGCCTTGGAAATTACTTTCTCCTGGGCCTGAAATACTCTTCCCTCTGTTGCTTTTTTGTTTTGTTTTATTTCTATTTTGACAAGTTGCAAACATATAACAAACATCTGTGTTCCTACCACCAAAAATTAATAGTTACTAACTTTTTGACATTTTTCCTTGGATTTGAACATTAACGAAAGAACAATATAAAGGTAAATTCTCCTTGTTCTGCCTGTGTTCCATCCCCCTTTCTCCTTACTCAGAATGAGTAAGGGATATTGCTGGTTCCTTACACTACATACATTTCTTCCTTCCTTCTGTTTAGCAAAACCTTGACTTTGTTAAGGCATTCACACACTGCCCACTCCCACCTCCACCCTCTGCCCCAACACCCTCATGTGTTCAGCAGAGGCCATTTGCAGCACGACTGTGGCCCAGGAGATAAGAGGGCAAGTTTCCTGGAGGCTGTGTTTCATTTTGACCCAGGCTATCCAGCAAGGAGGCTGTAGCACTTCTAGAGGCTCCTATCCTCTCTCTCCTGCCCTCAAAGATTTGCCTTTAGAGAACTGGAATGGGACCAAAGAGTCAGGCTCTTTGAATTTCTGATCCACTGCCAAGTCATGAACCAAATGATGTTCTTGTTTGTTCAGTCTTCATCATGTGTCATCTGCTTATCTCAACATCACTGTCTGATCTAAACCAAAAACATCAACATCATAAATAGAAGGAAACTGGACTTCCTACATGTCTCCATGCCTATCCTCCCAAAAAAGAAAGAAAAATGATTTCTCCTTCTATATCAAATCATTTTTTGGTTAGTGTATTATTTTATCATAATTGTGTGTTCGTTTAAACCCAGTGCTATGAAAGACTTCTACAAGGTTAAATCTCCGCTCAAATACAAAATGTTTAAAATCTCAACTGAGAACTGACCTCCCTGTCTCTTCTCTCTGCTTGCAGGCTGCGGCATGTTTACCTTCCTGTCATCTGTCACTGCTGCTGTCAGTGGCCTCCTGGTGGGTTATGAACTTGGGATCATCTCTGGGGCTCTTCTTCAGATCAAAACCTTATTAGCCCTGAGCTGCCATGAGCAGGAAATGGTTGTGAGCTCCCTCGTCATTGGAGCCCTCCTTGCCTCACTCACCGGAGGGGTCCTGATAGACAGATATGGAAGAAGGACAGCAATCATCTTGTCATCCTGCCTGCTTGGACTCGGAAGCTTAGTCTTGATCCTCAGTTTATCCTACACGGTTCTTATAGTGGGACGCATTGCCATAGGGGTCTCCATCTCCCTCTCTTCCATTGCCACTTGTGTTTACATCGCAGAGATTGCTCCTCAACACAGAAGAGGCCTTCTTGTGTCACTGAATGAGCTGATGATTGTCATCGGCATTCTTTCTGCCTATATTTCAAATTACGCATTTGCCAATGTTTTCCATGGCTGGAAGTACATGTTTGGTCTTGTGATTCCCTTGGGAGTTTTGCAAGCAATTGCAATGTATTTTCTTCCTCCAAGCCCTCGGTTTCTGGTGATGAAAGGACAAGAGGGAGCTGCTAGCAAGGTTCTTGGAAGGTTAAGAGCACTCTCAGATACAACTGAGGAACTCACTGTGATCAAATCCTCCCTGAAAGATGAATATCAGTACAGTTTTTGGGATCTGTTTCGTTCAAAAGACAACATGCGGACCCGAATAATGATAGGACTAACACTAGTATTTTTTGTACAAATCACTGGCCAACCAAACATATTGTTCTATGCATCAACTGTTTTGAAGTCAGTTGGATTTCAAAGCAATGAGGCAGCTAGCCTCGCCTCCACTGGGGTTGGAGTCGTCAAGGTCATTAGCACCATCCCTGCCACTCTTCTTGTAGACCATGTCGGCAGCAAAACATTCCTCTGCATTGGCTCCTCTGTGATGGCAGCTTCGTTGGTGACCATGGGCATCGTAAATCTCAACATCCACATGAACTTCACCCATATCTGCAGAAGCCACAATTCTATCAACCAGTCCTTGGATGAGTCTGTGATTTATGGACCAGGAAACCTGTCAACCAACAACAATACTCTCAGAGACCACTTCAAAGGGATTTCTTCCCATAGCAGAAGCTCACTCATGCCCCTGAGAAATGATGTGGATAAGAGAGGGGAGACGACCTCAGCATCCTTGCTAAATGCTGGATTAAGCCACACTGAATACCAGATAGTCACAGACCCTGGGGACGTCCCAGCTTTTTTGAAATGGCTGTCCTTAGCCAGCTTGCTTGTTTATGTTGCTGCTTTTTCAATTGGTCTAGGACCAAGTAAGTACTTTATTCTTTAATGTATTGCTTTTGACCAGTCAGAGCATCCTACTGCTATAGTACCTCATGAACATAAGTGCTAGAAGGAAGACAAGGATAACATTGGTCATCTGATGTTCCTTCTAATGCAGAAAGTATGCTTGGCTTATATCTGCTTCTGAAAAGTACAGGGCTAGTATTCAACTGAAAGATAAGTTTCCCATTATCTGTCACATGAGGATACTTTAATTCCCATTAATTGAGGATGAACCAGACCTGGAAAGATATTTATTGCCCAAGGGAATTACATTGCTTTATGAAAGCAAAATTTGCTTTCATAAAATGGGTAACATTTTCCTCTATATCATCTCTGAGTTTCTTCCTATGTAGAAGGAAAAAAATCAAGGGTTTAGATTTTCTTAAAGACACAATAGTGGATGCATTCCAGTGATAGTAAAGAAGGAAGACATTATGAGCTGAGAAGGAGGATGTATTATTATTACTATTTTGAGTACATCTTATTCACTAGAGTAGCCTCCCATGGCACTTTACTCTTGTCCATTAAACAGAAGCATGAAAGTCTAGTTGCTATCATTCAACATAATACAATTTACAAGGACATAGCTATGAGGTTTTATTTTATATAACTAGTCTGCTCTAATGACAAAGTATAAACACCTCTCTTGGGCAAACTCTTTTAGAGATGGATTTACTAGAATAGGCTGTTTGTTGTAGTTCTCTTGTCTATTAGCCTCACATCTAAAGCCTGAATGTCTCTGTAGGGAGGCTGTGAAGGGTCTTTTGTACGCCTCACTAGAAAAAAAAGGAGGACTTAAAAGCTTAAAGGTAGCCTCTATTACCCCCACCTCCTACCCCATTCCTCTCTCTCTCTTTCTCTTTTATTCCTCTCCTTCCTTTCTCTTTCTTTCTAAGTCTCTCCCTCTCTATCACAAAGTTGGTTTTGAAACTTGTTGAAAAGGATCAAGGAGGCAAACAAATTGGCTCAAATAATGGGAAACATTGGAGGTTCAGGCCAATAAGAAGGTATAGGCTATGCTGAAGAAGGAATTTCATGGGGAGATGTAGGGCTCTGGTTCTAGGTACTGGACAGGGTTTCTGGAAAGAAGGCCATGTAGGGGCTTGCTTTAGTCATCCACTGCTAACTCATTAACTATTAATTCAAGCAATATGTATTGAGTGATGAATTTTTTTCATAACCAGGAACTATGCCAAATATTGGGGAAAGGATAATGACCAAGACAGACACTGTCCCTATCTTCAGGGAGATTGTAGGTGAATGGACTGAGCTATACTCTCTGTATCTGCCTCCTTCTGGTCAGCAACCAGCAGGTTTGGCCTGCTTAATCTCAATTAATAACTAGACTTGCACATGGCTGATATGTCCTCTCCTGCTCTAACTCCACCTCCTCATTTTTCAGCTTCTAATTCCACTTCTAAGGGCACTCAGTTTCTAGATATTGATTTGTTCAAATTCCAAAGAGAGAGAGAGAAGGGTTAGGTGAAATCTGATTGACGCTGCTCTTTGCTGTGCCAAGTCAGAGATGGAAGTTCAGGCCTAAACAGCTGTGGCAAGATTGGGTCATGGTCCAAGACATGGAAGACCAAGACATGGCCCTTCCTCTGCACTGTGAGTAGACATATTTCCCGCTATAAGACTGCTTGGGCAGATAGAGTAAACATTACAATACCACCAGCCTCTGATGACTCAGACCTGCTCCTGAACCTTAAACCTGCTTTTTAAGACTTAACAATGATAATTACCATTAATGAACAGTTTCCCGGAAACAGATTTCTACCATTACTTTGGGGTTCAATTATCTTGAGTGTATACCTATGAGATACTCATATGGCTACTATGACACTTTAAGCTAATGAAATTTGAGCTAACCTCTTATTTTCATTTTTATTATTTTCTTTATTTTATTTTTATTACATTTTTATTTCAAGAAACTCTTCAAAGCAGAAGGACGAGATATAGGTGCAGTCTTGTACCAAGGAACACCTTAGATTTGGGTGTGAAACTTCTCTATGTTAACAAGTACAATAAGCTTTGCTCATTTGATAAACTTCAGGTGGTAGTTACTGTTCCATTGGTTTCTTCTGCTAGCATCTCTTGTCCTTCTTGTATATTCAACATAAAACTAAAAGTATTTCCTTTGTACATCAATTTTCTTGGTCCAATTTTTTGAAATGTCAAGATTAGCTAAGAGTCTAAGAAAAAGCCACAAAAAAAGGAAGGGATACCCTCTTCTTTCTAATTCAGAAAACCTCTCAGGTTAAAAGGGTATATGTCATGGCACATATTATGATATGAGATCAATATGAGAGACATTGATCTTAGGCCTCCTGAACCAACCTACTCATGGTTAGAGTCCTTTCAATTTCATGCCACCCATCTCTCTTTAGTTTTGGGGTAATTTTGAAAAATGCAGCAAATCTTCCAGTCTCTAACACATCATTTGATACCTTATTGTATTAGAGCAAGAGTTCTCCTTTTCAGAAAACCAAATTTGATTTTAGAAAAAATTACTGGAGGCTGGGAGTGGTGGCTCATGCCTGTAATCCCAACACTTTGGGAGGCCGAGGCTGGTGGAGTACTTGAAGTTAGGAGTTCAAGACCAGCCTGGCCAACATGGTGAAAACCCCGTCTCTACTAAAAATACAAAAAACAGCTAGGCATTGTGGCACACAGTTGTAATCCCAGCTACCCAGGAGGCTGAGGCAGGAGAATCTCTTGAACCTGGGAGGCAGAGGTTGCAGTGAGCATTGCACTCCAGCCTAGGCAACAGAGTGAGACCCTGTCTCCAAAAAAAGAAAACAAAACAACAAAAGAGAAAACATTCTGTCGGCTGGTTGTCTTTCAATAACATTCTATGCTAATTTTTTTAAAATATGGTTTAAGCTTTAGATTCCACTAATATTTATTGACACCTAGTATGTCAAATACTGTGCTAGGCAGCTTTTACGTACTTTGCAGTACTTCATTTTACCTTCAAAACAAGCCTGATAAGAAAGGATATTCACTGCATTTTACAAATGAAGATACTGAGTCTCAGAGAAATTAAGTGACTTGCTGAAATAAATGAAAACATGTTTTATCTTCTGAAATTCAACATTAATCTCAAGTCTAAGACAGGAATAGGCAGTCCTGTGTTGATCTTAAGGGTAAATGTTAATTATTTTTAGTTCATTCTTCTCCTTGAAAGTCCACTAGGAGGAAGAATGAATAAAAATAGTGTACCATTGTCCATCCATCAGGATACTAATGGACCATTGTGCATTTTGCAAAATAGAGAAATAGTCTCTGCTTTTCTGAAGCTCTGCTAAGTAAGTGAACATGTACTTTTTATAAGGCTGAGATATAGGATGAAAGAGAAGAAGGGTAATAACAAGAAGAGAGTTTTTGCTGTGCATTTACTTTCATAACTGAACGTATTGAGAAAATGCTGAATGTAGAATTCAAGCTCAGCAGATGTAACAAGGCCCAAAATAACAATGGCTTAAACAAATTAGAAGTTTCTTTCTCTCTTACTTAATAGCTGGAGTTGGGTAGTTCTGGGTGTTGTGGAGGTGCCCAGGGTCAGACACCTGAAGTCTATAGTTTTTCTATACATTATTCAATTCTGGTTTCTAGTCTATCATGATGACCATTTATATAAGATACATTTAAAAATCTCACGCATATTAAGATGCATTTAAAAATCTCATCATCATTTACTAAGAGCTAATGGTCCCTTGGAAATAAGTAAAAATGCACGAGTGCAGTCAACTAAAGGGAGATTGGGTATAGTAGGGCCTGGGTAATCTGTAGACAGCCTGAGCAATTGCAGCAGGGAATTAGGACTGCTGTGAATGATACGGCAAATCATTTCCTATAGGGATTTGGTATCGCACAATTGTAGGAGAAGCTGAGAACACAAAGGTCTAGAAGGGGACAATTGGGGAAAAAGGAAAAATTTATTAATCAAGGCACAGAGGGAAGCTGGTGAAGAAGTATGTGGAAGACTGCGGTCTTGGCATCTGGTGGTGGCCTTCTGAAGCTTCTGCTTGGCAGCAGGGCAGGCCGGAGGAAAAGCTGGACTCAAAGCAGAGGGAAGCAGAGACGACTCACTGAATCCGGTAGACAAACTGGAATCCATGGGAGGAAACTGCAGCACTCATGTCTTTCGCCACATCACTCCAGTGAGGCAGGCGACCTGCAGAAAAACTGCTGCCTTCTCCCAGAGCCCAGTCTAGTGCTTGGAGAAGTTGTAGGAGGAGATCTGGCCAAACTCGCTGGGCCCTCACTCCAACAAGGGGAACCAGTGATCGGCAGCAGGGTGCACGAGCTGCGGTGGTGGCTAGGGCCCGGCACCAATGCCTCAAGCACAGCACTGTAGGGTCACTTTGGCCTTCCAAATCATGCAAATTTCTCTTCTTTCCAACCCTAATCCAGAGCTACCCAGGGGAAGGGAATTCTGGGAAATGTCCTTCTAGCTTAGCTAAGTAACACAGCACAAAATCATCACAGTAACAGACTCTGGCCTAAGAGAGAATACACGTGACTGTGGGGGAAAAAATTTCAAAAGGTCAAGGGCCCTAAATTCAGTCCATTGCTGTGATAAACTTTAAAAATCAAAATGTTAATTATTCAAATATATGACTAGCTTCCATTCCATCTAAAATAAGAGGTGAGGTCATTTCATTAAGGTCTCCTCGCCTTCTGTTTCTTTAGCTATAAAACTGAAAAACACATTTGCTAATGCATTATAAAGGCTTTCATGCTTGTTTTCTCAGGAACGTTAATTATCTCCCTTGAGCTGATGACTCTCGCTTATTTCCAGTTCCATCGTCTCACATGATTTCTAGCTCCTTTTTTCCCAATGAGTACTAAACCTTTCCCCCTCCATGCTTCACTGTCAGCCAAACACAACAACCCCAAAGCTGAATTCCTTTTCCTCTTGTACCAGGGTTCTTTACCACTTCCATTCCCTTTCTAGAGGGCAGTCACTCTTCCTGCCACTCGGAGCGATGCTCTGGGGCTTTTTCTCAGTTCAGTCAATCATCACAACGGCTGTTGCTTTTATGGTTTCCTTCCTATATCTGCCATCCTATGCTACCTCTTATCATCTCGTTGTCAGATTACTGGGATACCCTTCCAGAAGTCATTGTCTATTCCAGGCCCTTCTCACACCCATCCATCCTCCAGACCACTGTCAACCTAAAATGAGTGACCAACTCTCCGAAGCAAAGAGTTTAATACGGAATAGCGGGGGTGTTGCAAACCTGTGATATGCATGCTGTGATGGTTCATAGACATATCTGGGGGTTGGGGCAAAGGGGGAGCTTTGAAAGACAAAAAGAATTCCACATAGACTGTAACCAAAGGTTACAAAGACCAAAGGTAACATGAGTTTGTTACAGGAGTTGGCATTAGCTTATTGGTTGGTTGAGACAGACTAACTAGGCAAGTGTCCTTGTGTAAACAGATTATTTGGAATACTGCCGTCTTGAGGGATTTCCTTGCAATAAGTCCTGTTACAGGAAAATCATGTAGTACGTGCAGAAATCTCTTGTGATAAGAGCTCCTTCTTTCTTGCCCTCCTGACTCCATTTTGTTTGTGTTTTGACATAAGTGACTCCATTTTGGTATTGGCAACTTTCACACCAGTATTCCTTAAATACCATTTTCCTCATGTCATCAATGTTTACAAATCTTCAAAGCTTTCCTCTTTTCTTCCACGACATACAGGTCAAATGGCTTTCCAGATGAAAAGGAGATTAGAAATGATCTGGGGCAACATTTTTCTTTTCTTTTCTTTTCTTTTCTTTTCTTTTCTTTTCTTTTCTTTTCTTTTCTTTTCTTTTTTGAGATGGAGTTTCACTCTTGTCACCTAGGCTGGAGTGCAACGGTGTGATCTCGGCTCACTGCAACCTCTGCCTCCCGGGTTCAAGAGATTCTCCTGCCTCAGCCTCCCAAGTAGCTGGGATTATAGGCACCTGCCACCATGCCCAGCTAATTTTTGTATTTTTAGTAGAGACGGGGTTTCGCCATGTTGGCCAGGCTGGTCTTGAACTCCTGACCTCAAGTGATCTACCCACCTCAGCCTCCCAAAGTGCTGGGATTACAGGCATGAGCCATTCAATAGAAAACAAGTAAAAGAAATTCTGGGAGATTGAGGGCACACAGATTTGGGAATAGAACCCTAGGTACCTGAAAGCTAATCCATGTTCTTTCTGCTTCTATATCACCTATGTTTGAGGCAAAACCTCTGGTTTTTCAAGACCCTCCATTATCTCACCCAGCTCTATCAGGGTGTCTGCAGGACCATAGGGCCACGATTTACTTGTAGTCTTAAGTCTTGTGCTCCAGGGCCACCATAGACTCCACATAACGGACAAAGTGAATGATGCTCCCTGGGGTTGTGCAATGAGGCAATACTTTATCAGTGTGGGTTTATTCCCCACTGCTCCACACCCAAGTCAATACACACAAAGCACTTGTTGTGGCCCCTTCCTTCCGCCTCTGCTCTATCCAGATCCTTCCTCTTTTTGAAGTTAAATGAAAGCTTTATCTCCTCTTTGAATCCACTCCATTTTTTAGAGGTCTTTATTTGTATGAACTACTAGTGTGTTTCTAGAGTAATTCAGTTCTGGGCTACCAAACGTATAAATTTAAAATCAGAAAACCTCTGTTCTAATCCCAGCTCTTCTACTTACTGGTGGTGTGACCTTTACGTGATTTTTCTTCTCTGAGCTATTTCTAATCTATGTAATGGGCATAGTAATATCTGTCCTATCTCCTAGAGTACAGGTGCACATCAGATGATCTAATGTATATGAGAGTGCTTTAGATGCTGTAAAGTATGAGAGTATGATATAATGTAAGTTACAATGTGAGAACACATCTTAGTCCTTAGCAATAGGGTATTACTTCTGTATGTTTATTTTGGTTTATTAACCAGAATGTAGTTATAGACTGTAAGCATTTTGAAGGAAGAAACATCTCATATTTTTTCTTTCTGTCCCTGTAAGTGAGCACAGCATGAGTCTGTTTAAAAATCATGCTGGTTTATTTACCTTTGTGTTTTTAAGCAGGAAGAAGGAAAAGGACTTAAAAATACGATGCAGACATAGGAAAAATGTCAAATTGGGCTTCTTTACTTGTGTAAAGATCTGGCTAGTGGGCAGGCTAGGAACTAAGTAAGCTAGAAATACTAGGCTGCCAAAAAAACTCCTGTTCCTGCCAGACACCATCACGAGGCTTTTTGCAGAACAATCCATCACTTGGGCATGATTTTTAAAAAATATCTTTCTGATTTTGGCTGTAAGAAAAGATGCAGGAGATTTAGTAGTGTTAAGAAACAATTAGCGGGAGATATTTAGGCATTTCTTTGTTAAGGCATACATAGTTATTCGAGAATTTTGGACACAATATCTAAAAGTTGTTCTGGATGCTTTTTGGATCCTCTGCTTTTTGCTACAACATGGAGAAGAGGGGCTTCGGAGAACTGCTTAGACCAGAAGCAATGCCAACGAGTTGGAGAATCTCAGGGTTGAAGGAAGTTTGGATCTAGGAAAAGGAAATACTTCTTACATCTCATGGACTGTCCAATTTACAACTGCAGGTGCAAGGACTGGCCTGGGTAATCACACGTGAGGCTTGGAGTCATGCTGTCAGAGGCAGGAATCCAAATCACATCTAAAGAGAACAGTCATTTCACATTCTTATCTTGAGGCTATGGATTCTCCTCGTGTTTTTAAAAGAGACCCAAATAATTCTCCATTTTTTTTCTTGCTAAGAGTCAATCCTTTACATCCATATTCACATTTTAGTTTCTTTTTCTTTTCTAAAGAAAATATCCTGTAGTAATTTCATTTCAATCCCCAATTGTATTCTAGAGCATTGGTATAAACTATATAAACTAGTTGGAGTTTAAAGAAGATTTTTATTAGGAACAAGCTTTTCATACCAGATCTTGAATGCATTACCAAACTTATTAAGCTGATGTGATTAGTGCTCAGGTATTTAGAGAGTTTATTGCTTGTAATACAAATAAATCCTTTGTGTAAATAGAGGTATGAAGGAAAAGTACTTGCTGTTCTAAAGTAACATTGAAAGCAAGATTAAACCATCCTTATTAGACCTTCTTAAATATGGATTGGCTTAGAACAACATTCCTTAATTGTGTTAGATCACAGCATGATTTTCTTCTGCCAGGAAAGTGTTTCTATTCTTAGGTTAAAGTGGATGCCCCACGTCATTTTACTTTCTGGTCCCCTGTTCCCCTAACTGTAAAATAATTGGGTTGCCCCAGAATTTAGAATCCAGGAGGGGTACTCATGTAATCTTACATACTTTTTTTTTTTTTTTTTTGAGATGGAATCTCACTCTGTTGCCCAGGCTGGAGTGCAGTGGCTCGATCTCGGCTCACTGCAATCTCCGCCTCCTGAGTCCAAGCGATTCTCCTGCCTCAGCCTCCTGAGTAGCTGGGATTACAGTTGTGCACTACCACCAGGCCTGGTTAATTTTTGTAGTTTTAGTAGAGACGGGGTTTTACCATATTGGCCAGGCTGGTCTTGAACACCTGACCTCAAGTGATCCACCTGCCTTGGCCTCCCAAAGTGCTGGAATTATAGGCATGAGCCATTGCGCCCAACATCTTATGTACTTCTAGAATGCATTTAAAATATTATTCTAAGAAGGGGTCCATAGGCTTCACCAGCCTACCGAAGAGGTTCATGGCCCCAGAGAGGCTAAGAGCCCCTCCCTTCCATTTTTCTGTAGCTAATATTAAAACCCGTATGTCAAACAAAATCAGGATATATACTTATTAAACACTCTGTTGTCCATAACTTATCTTTCACTTCAAATATGTTCAAAATCTTACCTCGACTCCCCACTGTTTCTGGGGTGCTCTTGATCATCACTTCAGCTCCCTTTAATAACAGAATTTTTCTAACATGGTTCAAGCTTTCACAACGTAGAATCACAGATTCTTGACATTGTGAAGACACAGAACAACGTGAAGATTTTTATATTCATGCTTCACAAGTAAAGTCAAGATGAGCCAAAACCCAAGGCATAATGTTATTATTTCATGAGTTCATCTGAGGTGACACTTGTGTAGAAACCCAGCCCTCCTTAAAATAGCCACTGAAACTCCGGAAAATATATGTGACTGTTTTTTTTATAATAATTATTAGGGCTTTTTATCCAAAAATTAATATGCCCATAAATTAATTAATTAACCTCTTCTTTCATCTCATGATGAATAAGTTTTCACTTTGAGCAGATGGAAGGCATGTTTCCCAAGGTCACATACGAAGTTAGGTGATAAAGCTGCGACTGTCATCCTTCAGCTACCTTTGTATTCACATATTCAAGTGACAGATGACACCAAATAACCTCCCCTGATCTCTTCTACCAACTCTGAGGACTCAAATGGGCAGAAATTCCAGCCAGAAAACATCTTGGAGTGAGGAAGAGGAGAAGATAGAGAAGTGGTAGGGATTCATTGATTCACTCACACATCCAGCACATGTGTCTTGCTCACCCACAACATGGCAGGCACAGTACCAGGTGCTGGAGATCCACATCTTATTTTCACGAACCAGTGATAGGGACAGACGAAAAGAAAAAAAAAATGAACACACCTATGATACAGTTTCAGGAGACAGAAGTGTTAAAATTTAGGTGGAGGTAAGAGTGATAAAGAAAAATAAAAGAGGGTAAGTGAAAGGGCATGCTTGGAGGAGGGTTATTTCCGATATGATAGTGACAGAAGACATTTCTGAGGTGGTAACATTTGGGCCAACGTTTGTATGAAGAAGGCAGTGTGACAATCTTGGAGGAGGGGGTCTTGAAGCAGGGCTAATGGCAGGTCAGATGGCTTTGAGGACATGAGCTTGAAGGGTGAGGAGAGCTGCAAGAAAGCCATTGTGTTTGAATGTGGACCAGGCTTTGGTATTGGACTGCCTGGCCTTGAATCCAGCACCACCATGCAGGACTTAGGGCAAGTCCATTGATCTCTCTAGCTTTCAGTTTTATCTAGAAAACAGGGCAATTGTATCCACTTGATGGCCTGTCGAGTTAAATGAAGGAATCTGTATAAAGTGCCCCTAGTTCAGTGCATGGTTTGTGGCATGGACTTAGTACACTTAGTCATTAGTGTTATTAAATGTCTGGCTGTGGTCTAGACATGAGGTGAACAGTTCTGATAATGCCAGCACTGACTTCAACAGGCATTTTGCTTAAGTCACTCTGGGACACATAGGATGTGCTTAAAGCCCTTTATTGATTTACGATGCTGTGGTCTTCTTTCCCTCCCTCTACACATAAATCCAGCTGAGTCAGGACCACAGAGACCGGATTGTGGCTTTGAGAAACATAGTTCAATCCTAGGTCACCTGCAGTCCAGAGGGCTTCCTAGGAAACCAGACAGGTTTTACAGAGAATCATGAAGCTTTGGTGAAAGATGAAAGGTGAGATATAGGCTGAGAAACATACAAATGTCCACTCTTCTTTTTTTTTTTTTTCTTTTGAGACAGAGTCTCGCTCTGTCGCCCAGGCTGGATGGAGTGCAGTGGCGCGATCTCGGCTCACTGCAAGCTCCGCCTTCCGGGTTCACGCCATTCTCCTGCCTCAGCGTCCCGAGTAGCTGGGACTACAGGCGCCCGCCACCACGCCTGGCTAATTTTTTTTGTATTTTTAGTAGAGACAGGGTTTCATCGTGTTCGCCAAGGTGGTCTCGATCTCCTGACCTTGTGATCCGCCCTCCTCGGCCTCCCAAAGTGCTGGGATTACAGGCGTGAGTCACCGTGCCCGGCCTAAATGTCCACTCTTCTAAGTTGGTGCAACGAATTTAGACTATATATCCTGTGCAAACATCAACTCTGCCCTGTTCACATTGGCTTCTCCAGGCCTAACATGGCACCTGGCCTACAACTGGGGCTCAATAAATATTTGTTGGATGAATCAAAAAATTCTTTCTAGAACTCTTTCAGCTTCCATAATTAAGGGGGAGCTCCCTAGTCTGGGACTGGATATCTTGATGTCCTCTGGTATGACTCTGACCCAATATCCAGGGAATGAGAGGTGAATGTGGCTTGTGTGGAACCTCACACACATTTGGCCAAAAATTATTTCTGAGTAAAGCTACTAAATTGAGTATGCAAGGCCATCTGCAATATTTGGTGACTGAAAAAGTTTCATGTTTTAGATTCACTAAAATGAAGGCCATTTAAAAAAATGTACAGTGTTAGACAAAATTTATTTTAAGTTTTTCCATGTTTTTCTCCAAATATGAGACCCAGCTTCCTCTGAGAAAAAGATTGAGAATAGCCCATCCAAGGTAGGATAATTATTCCTACCTTGGTTTCATGTAATTGAATGTATTTAAACTTTTTACCAAAAAGATTGGAGGAAATTCCTTCATGGTTTTCCTAAGAGAAATATGTGACAATCTAAACCTGGAATTTGGGAGGGAAGTGTTTTTGCTTACCTAATTAAACATTAGAGGTTATAGAAATATTTCAATAGATTATCTCAGCCTTAAGAATCACATTAAATCTCTCAGATGTGAATGGGCAATCTAAAGTTGATAATAGTACTAAAAGATCTTTGTAGAAAAATCATACCATAGCCACAAGTAATCAAACTGTTGATAACCATAAGGGGCTGAGATTTTACCCCATTTGCAAGCTAACAAGTTAGCCTGTCACAGTTTAATGATGTTGACAAAAAACACAAGACTCCTTGGTCAGAGACAAAGGGCAGTTTATTATCCATAGCAAAGCAATAGCTAGAATATCAACAAGTTAACCTGTCACAGTTTAATGATGTTGACAAAAAACACAAGATTCCTTGGTCAGAGACAAAGGGCAGTTTATTATCTATAGCAAAGCAATAGCCAGAATATCAACACTTGCCCAGGTTCTCCTAGCCCCAGTACAGGTCAACATGAAGGGGGCCAGATGACACCTGCACATAATTTTTTTTTTTGAGGGAACACCCCAGCCTAGCAAACCCACATTTTTCATAATAGAGAGTAAGCTACCCGGATGTCTTCCCTGGATGGAGACATTATCTTATTTATTTATTTATTTATTTATTTTTTCTTTTGTTATTTTTTCTAGGAGATGTTATCTTTATCGGACAGTCAACAAACTTGCCCTCTGCTCCAGAGGGTGACACTATCTCTATCTCCAAGACTATTTATTATGCAGCCTACAACAAGGCTATTATACAAACAGCCTTGGAAAGACAGCCTAGAGCAAAGACAGTCAGTGCCTTTTCCCATAAGACATGAAGAAATGTGAGAGACCTACGGAGAACTGGCTCCCAACCCAAATATCCTAAAACTCAAATGTCTTTCTTTCTATTCGAAACAACAAACTAGAATTTTGAAAAACTCAAAGACCATAGAGCCTAGCTTTTTGCTCTGTTTGGTTTTATGGAGCTGAACCAGCCTATTGGAGGGTGGGTATCAATGTTGGAAGCATGAGTCATCTGCCGTAAAATTTAAACTTAGATTTAAACAAATAACTCTGGCTCTTAAAAATTTTGTTCATTGGATATTTGCACAGCTAAAGATTATGACAGCTCCAAGGATGTGGAGCAGCAGGTTCTAATTTGGAAGTTTACCTAGTGGCTTCATTTCAAGACCTACTGGGTTTAAGGCAAAGAGGCTGACATTGCAGAAGCACAGGTGTTTCAAAAAAGATTCTGGTATTCTTCAGATTTCCTCCAAGGCTCCAGGTCCCTAACACGCAGAACCACCACAGTCAAAGGCTTTTTCTCTGCTCATCTTCCTCTTCCACCATTCTTATGGGATAATTACATATCTTCAGAGAAAAGGCAATTTCAGACATTGTTATTTTTTGAACAGGAGAGGGTTATTTATTTTTTAAATATATATTTATTTCCAACTTTTAAGTTCAGGGGTACATGTGCAGGATGTGGAGGTTTGTTACATAGGTAAACGTGTGCCATGGTCGTTTGCTGCACAGATCAACCCACCACCTAGGTATTAAGCCCAGCATCCATTTGCTATTCTTCCTGATGCTCTCCTTCCCCCCACACACTCCTTCGATAGGCCCCAGTGTGTGTGTTGGTCCCCATCCCCCACATGCTTCCAACAGTGTAAAAGTGTTAACAGGAGAGTTTTGTTATTAAATGTAGCCATTATACAATAATAGTCATGTGAGTTTATGTTGTGCATCTACCTTTAAGATCTTTCAAATCTTGTTTTTCCCTTTAAATCTTAAATTTCAGTTATCACCAATATTTACACAAACACTGTTCCTTTTTCTCAACTAATTAAGTCAAAGGTCATTTAGGGTGATGGGAATGGTGAATTATTATATGGAAAACAGCATTCATGTGGTTCTGTATTAACTTTGCATCCAAACAACCAGGAAAAACTTAAAGAACTAGATGCACTTAGCTAATTAAATCCTGTTTTCCCCTCGGAGTTAGATGATGCAGCAGCAGTATCTAATAGAACTAGAGTTTAAAACTACATTTTTGTAGCATAACCACAGCAAGAAGTACAGCAAAATGACACCATCAGTCCTGTCACCATGGGCAACTGCTCACATAATACGTCAGTGTTTAACTTATCTCTCAGTCTATACTCCAATTACAGTTCTATGACCTTGAAAATGATAAATATTGGACTGTAAAAGATGTTAAAGTGTCAGGCTAAGGCTTTAATACTATCTTAATAAACACAAGTATTCACGTGTTACTTTACTGTTTTCCATGACTCAGTGTTAAGGATTTTTCAAGGATAATTTGCAACATTTAAAACTATAATACATTTCTAATTAAAGTATCAATAATGAAAAATGTACAACATCAAATATGATCTCCGAAGCCATGACATTCAAGTTGTAGTACAAACTAGAAAAGACTAATTTCTTGCAGCTCCTTCCTTTTTGGCTTGGTATTTTGAACTTTTAGTTCAGTGGTCTGCATATTGGGGTATGCATGCTCCGGGGTAGGGGTTCCCAACTCCTGGACCATGGACTGGACCAGTACAGGTCTGTGGCCTGTTAGGAACCCGGCTGCACAGCAGGAGGTGAGCTATGGGTGAGCAAGTGAAGCTGAGCTCTACCTCCTGTCTAATCAGCTGCAGCATTAAGGTCTCATAGGTGGGCAAACCCTAGTGTCTGCCCATGCGAGGGATGTAGGTTGCATGCTCCTTATGAGAATCTAATGATAAACGTCACGTACTTGAATCATCCCGAAACCATACCTCCTGCCCCCGTCTGTGGAAAAATTGTCTTCCACAAAACCAGTCCCTGGTGCCAAAAAGGTTGGGGACCACTGCTCTAGGGAGTTTACTTTCTGAAGCGCACTCCTTCCATGATAATTCAAAGCAAATCAATTTCCAGAGATTCAGGTTCAAAAAAATCTGTTTCTTGATATTTCTCCTTCCCCATCTCCCCAGTTATAGCTGTTCTCCCACTTAAAAGAAAGCACACTTGTTACTACCAGAAATATTATTTTGATACATGTTCAAAATTGTAAAAACCTAAGAATGCTAGTTAAAAACACAACTGGAAATATTGGTGTAGCTGTTCAAAAATGAGTCTAAAGCCTAGATAATCATCATTTTATAAGTCAAGCTATTTCCAATAATTTGCTTTCAACAAAAAATAAAGGATAATCTAATCAAGTTATCAGCACTATATTATTACAAATAACTTCTGTTTTACTTAAAGAATTAAGTGACATTGCTATTAACAAAATTTTTTCAACTCCCCATATTTTAATTAATCTTGAGAACAATCATTTTCATCCATTTAAAAAGTAGAAATGTATCATGTTATTCTAGAAATAAGTGACATTCAACCACAGATACAAAATAAAGAAAAAAACTCCCCATCCATCTCATTGAGAGGTATTTCCAATATATTTTCATTTTTCCTGTTTAACAATCATTTCTAAAATATGTAAGATATTTCTATAATTTTGATCCATTTATAGTAATTATTATGCTAATAGCTTAATTCACACAGATTCTTAGAAGCTCTTAGAGTAAATAAAAAAATTTCAATTTAAAGTCATATTTTAAAACATTATTATTATTATTAATATTATTGTTTGAGACAGAATTTCACTCTTGTCACCCAGGCTGGAGTGCAATGATGCAACCTCCACCTCCACCTCCACCTCCAGGGTTCAAGCAATTCTTGTGCCTCAGTCTCCCAAGTAGCTAGGATTACAGGCATGAGCCACCATGCCCGGCCTAAGGTCATAGTTTTTTTGAGAGATGTATGATGGGATGATCAATAAAAGACTTTCCAGCTTAAAAATGCAGTACAGTAGAGTAAAATACTAAGTTCAAGTGAAAAAGAAACAATGTAAACTTTCTATTAAATACCTTGTTCTTATACTATTTATTTATTTACTTTCTAAGAGACAGGGTCTTGCTCTGTTGCCTAGGCTGGAGTGTAATGGTGTGATTGATCATAGCTCACTGCATCCTCAAACTTCTGGGTTCAAGCCATCGTCCTGCCTATGCCTCCTGAGTAGCTAGGACTACAGGCATGCACCACCATTCCTGGCTATATTTTTAAAAATTTTTTGTAGAGACAGAGCCTAGTTATGTTGCCCAGGCTTTTCCCAAACTTCTGGCCTCAAGGGATCCTCCTTCCTCAGCCTCCCAAAGCAATGGAATTGTAGGAGTGGGCCACTGCGCTGGCCTGTTCCTAAATTTTTTAAATGGATGACAATGGCTATCAAATAGGTATGGTATTTGAGTTCCACAGGAAACATTTAAAAGAGTAATATAACTATTCTACTTTAAATGTTAGAATTTAAATACAATATAAATTGCATCCTTTGCTATTATTTAAATTTATGGTGAAAAAATGTTAGCTGTTGGCTTATAAATTAAAGAAAATAGTTATTAAAATTCCAGGCCACACAAGCAAGAGAGTTTGAAGACCACTGCCATAGTTCTCTCTTATCCCCAATTGGTGCCTGCTCACAAAAGAGTTCCATTTTTAACTCCAGCATTCATTATTGAGGCTTATTCCATTTAGTCCAATTTCCCTTAGTATATTTTTTTGAAAAATCATTTCAGTTGGTTTTGACTAGAAATCTTTAGGACAGAAAGATTAGAGAACATTGAGCCTTTATTTAATTGCCTTTTTTAGTTTGTAATTTAAGTAATCCAAGATAATATTCTTGAAAAAGTATTTCTTTTACAAAAGGCCATGAGTGGATATGACTCAGGGAGACTGAGAATACAAAAAAGAACAAGAAATTAAAGCAACCACATCACTGCCAATGTTGGGGATGCTATCCTATAGTGGGGTTTATTTATTTATTATTTATTTATTTTGGGGGAGGCAGCCTAGCTCTGTCTCCCAGGTTGGAGTGCCGTGGTGTGATCTCGGCTCACTGCAACTTCCACCTCCTGGGCTCAAGCGATTCTCCTGCCTTAGCTTCCCAAGTAGCTGGGGCTACAGGCTTGTCTACCACGCTTGTCTAATTTTTTGTATTTTTAGTAGAGATGAGGTTTCACAATGCTGGCCAGGCTGGTCTCAAACTCCTGAGCTTAGGTGATCTGCCCACCTCGGGCTCCCAAAGTGCTGGAATTACAGGAATGAGCCACTGCCCCTGGCCTATTTTTGTTTTATTTATTTATTTTTTTGAGACAGGGTCTCACTCTGACACTTGGGCTGTAGTGCAGTGGCGTGATCATGGCTCACTGCAGCCTCGATCTCCTGTTAATAACTTAATTCAGAAAAACTCTTGGAAGCTCTTAGAGTAAATAAAAAGAAATTTCAATTTAAGATCATATTTTTAATTTGATTTTAAAATTCAAAGATCACTCACTGCAGGCTCAATCTTCCTGCCTCAGCCTCCTGGGTAGCTGAGACTACAGGCACACATCACCACACCTGGCTAATTTTTGTATTTTTTTATAGAGACGGGGTTTCACTACATTGCCCAGGCTGGTCTCAAACTCCTGGGCTCAAGCGATCCACCTGCCTCGACCTCCCAAAGTGCTAGGATTACAGGAGTGAACCATCACACCTGGTCGTATACTTATTTTTAAAGAACCCAATTTTTCCACTTGGGCAACTTATGAGGCCAGAATTTAAACATCTGCTTGGAAGGGATGGGCACAGTCCCTCTCAAATTCACATTTGAATTACTCCTTTGCAGTCAGAGAGGTAGGTGTGCCGCTTACAAAGGCAATAAAAACCAAGGATTTTTCACTCCTACAAAGTATAGGGCATGGCTCCTTTGCAAATCAAGTTGTTGAAAACTCTGCAGTCTGAGTGTAGAGCTTCCTCCAAATTGTTAGGAGTTCTCTGGCAAGATTTTCAAGACCTCTGTGAGCCTTTCAAACCCTGGGCTAGCATGCCAGGTGGTTTAGGAAGGACTCAAGCCAAACAGAAAGTGTGCCTGGAGAGCTGTAGAATTTAAATCTGAAGGCATAGAAGGTTAAATGACAGTTTCTGTGGGAAAAACTGGGGCAGGAACCTGAAATAGGTAGGAGGGGGAAACACACAAGTGTCAGGGCTGCCATTTCCATTGAATACCCCTATGAATCCAAGTCCATGTCCTCAACCGGAGACAGAGAGACTTCAACGAACTTGCCCTTCATGATCTTTTTATGACACTCTGTGTAGCCATAAGCACGCTGTCTGTGGATTTCATCTGGATCAGGCAAGTTCTGATAGGCAGCCTTGATGATTTAATACCATGTGAAATATGAGTTTCATCTCTGTAAACAATCACCACACCTCCGCCCCCCCACAAGTCCAAAACTTCCTCCATTATTGCAACATAGACAAGACCTTCAAGATTCATGCAGACCCTGACATTTGTAAGAGTACGAATTGCTGAGGCGGTCCTCAAACGATGGGATTGAAAGTGGAGTAATAGGAGTCAAGGAGAATAATTTTCGTGCCTGCTGAACTCCAGTGGCTGCGCTCACTGTAGAAGAGTTCACTGTGTCTCTGTTACAAGTGCTCTGTGGATTCCTGATGCACAAATAGGACAATGTGCATCCCCTTTTGGCCTGTCATCGGGGTAGGGAATAAAGAAGATTCCCAGAGAGAGCCACTACTTTTTTGCTGTGGTAGTGAAAGGGAGCCCTCCCCTGTGGCAATAATTTAATTTTCCTTGGGGAGAAATTGGGCCATCTCATTGGGAAAAGGAATTAGTGATTTTAAGAAAACTCCCACCTGTTATTATAAACATAAACACATCAAATCCCCATGTAATGATTCATACCTCCTATGAATGAATAAGAGTTTCAGTCCTTACTTATGAACTGAAACTGAGTTTCTCCACTGCTTCTGCTTTAGGTATTGAAAGCATCTTTCCAGAGAACATCAAGATTGGTGAGATTCTGGCACTGTCTTGCTTCTAGGTCAGCCATGGAAAGACTCTGACCCTTTCAGTGAGTCTATCTTGCTGCACATGATACTTTCAGATTTGTATTTCCCTTTCTCTGGAGCTGAAAACCTGTGATTTTACAATCTGGAATCATTGTTTAAATAATATTCTCTCTTTATTGGGGTGAGGGACAAGGTCTCACTCTGTTGCTCAGGCTAGAGTGCAGTGGTATGATCATAGCTTAGGGCAGCCTTGATCTCCTGGGCTCATGTGATCCTCCTGCCTCAGCCTCCCAAGTAGTTGGGACTACGGGCATGTGCCACCACACCTGGCTTATTTTATTTTATTTTATTTTATTTTATTTATTATTTTAAGTAGAGACAAGATTTCGCTATGTTGTGCAGGCTGGTCTGTAACTACTGAGCTCAAGCAATCCTCTCACCTCAGCCTCCCAAAGTGCTGGGATTACAGGCTCAATATTCTTATTTTTAACTTGACAGGCTCCACATTGGGAGGTTGAGCCATCCTTGTCAAATTGTCAAAACATTTGTCAATTTTTGTGACATCCAGTTTGTCAATATTAGATAAACCAAGCCATCAATTCTTTAATTCCTTCATTCAATCAAAAAAGAAGTAGACTCTTTCAGCAACAATACAGTTATTTTTGGAAGCATCAGGTGTAGGGCTTGCTTGACAAGTTTCCTTTCGAACAGAGACTGAGGGAAGCCTCTTTTTCAATATTCAACTCACTGCTCACTGACTGGTGAAACTACTGGAGGACTTGGCTTAGCTGCTATATTGAATGAATATCTAGGACAGGCTTGCAATGTGGATCTCGAGTTTTTCTAGACAAGCCCCTGGCAGTTCAGACTGAGCACATAAAACTGGTGTTTTGTGCAACTGTCCCATCTTCTTGTTGGCGAGGTCCACTTTCTATCACAGCAGGATCAACTCATTTTCATTTGAGGCCAAGGTGGTTCTGATGAGCCCAGCAATGATTCTCCCCAAATCTCACTAAATAATCAAGGCCACCATGATGAAAGATGAGGAGGGGAAGAAGGAGGTTTGAAAGGTGACGAGGTGAAGATGGAAGCTGGAAGAAGAAACCCTGAGCTATCTCCTCTACTAAAAGAAAATGAGAGTGCCCTTTACCCCACCTCCTCCTCATGGCTGTTAAAGCAAATGGTTGTAGGGACCCTCAGCTTCACCTGGCCAGCATCGAATACCCATGCCAGGAAAGGGTATAGGGAGGTTGGTCCGTGGCATATATTATTTAGCTTCAAAATCGGATTTATATAATTTTATCTTGCATTTGTCCGAGGACAGGTCTTCATTACAAAGGCTTCACCAGAATTATGCAGATATCAGTCTACTCAGAGCTGGATCTTCAGTCTTGCAAAGCTCAAGACAGGGTTACCTGAGCACTAAACTGGTCTCATTAAAAGTAAAGCGATTCCACCAACGATATAATCTGCAAGAATCTAGTGAAGGTCTTTTAGCATGGAGAGGGGCAGGGGAAGACAGGTGAGGTGAGAGTGTGGCAGACATGCGGTTTCCTAGTTTTGAATTCCCCATTAATAAGAACAACAATAATAATTACGCTACTTTTTATTATAATTATCTTCCATGCATGAAAGGTAACCCTGTATAGATTCACTTGGAGAATGTAAGAAAAAAATAGATTTTTTCCAGTCTTCTGCAATCCAATTTAGTTTTTTCTTCTTTTAAAGCAGCAAATTTACAGCCAGCAGATGTTTTTTCTACAGGGCATAATCTTGTCAGGAGAGGCAAATTTTAAGTTAGAGGCATGGCTGACTGCTGGATTCTGGCATAGGCAGCCCAGGTGGTTGCTGGCCAGAGCGGCCTCTCCCTGGCTTCTAGTTTCTTCTTCCCATCCCCTCTTCTGGGATAAAATTATGTAATTGGTTGATAAATCAGAGCTGGTCTTCTGAAACACAGTGAATCAGCCAACAGTGAGCCTGAGCTGGGGCAGGGCCAAAGGCCTTCTTTCCACTGAATCAAAGATGCTTACACTTGACATGTATTTATTAATTAATAAATATTTATTGAGTCACTATCAATAAAGCACAATGACAAAAAAGCATGAATTCCAGAGACTACTAGGGATAATGCCACGTTTGTCACTTAAGTGCTCTGTGACCTTGGCAAGTAACTCTTCTAAGCCTCAGTTTCCTCTTTGATAAAAGAGGTTTCGTAATAGTTCCCACCTTGTAGGGGTTTGTGAGGATCAAATGAGATGAGGTTGTAAAAATGTTTGTAAAAGCCCACAGTAAGAACTTCTGGCTGTTTTTTATTAGGCAAACTGGGCTTGATAGGCTGTGAGCAGAAGACAAGTTAATTTGCTCCTTTATTGCCCCATCTGATCCCATCAGGCAAGCCCCATAATGTTCCCTGTCACTCTCAGATAATAAAAAGTCCTCTGATGAGTTTTGGTGCCAATAAGACTCTCCTTCTAGAAATTCAAATGTTTAGTCTGGTACAATAATCAAATCTTGGAGCTCTATTTAATTTAGAACTTCTCTCCATCCAGCTTGCTTCAGGCCAGGACGCCCAAGTCAGAGAAGGGAGAGTAGCCGGCTTCCTCATGCCCACCTGGCTCCATTTCCTACCCACTCATTAGCTGTGATTTCTGACTCCTCCAAGGTCAGGGGGAGAGAGCTGAGGAAACAGCCCAGTCCTACAGCAGGTACACCTGGGCTCTGGCACTGAGGCTTCTGTGCTTGGCAGATGTCCAGAGCTGGCTCTCTTGTTGCTGCCAGGCAGGTGGCCCCACCTCTGCCCCTGCGGTTTGCATTTCTTGGGCCTGTGACAGATACCAGCACCTCATGCCCCTCACCCTATGCATGGGGACCATGGCCCAGCTCTCCTAATGTTTCTGTGAATCCTTTCTTCCTTGGCTGGAGGTGAGGAGGCAGCACGTCCCTTTACTGTCCTGTTCTGCTGAGGTAGGAAATGGTGCTTCCCAACCACAAATCCCGGCAGGATGAGGGCAGGGAGAGATCAGGGTGCTGGCACTCAGATTCAATGGGTTTTTGCTAAATGTGCTGTCCGCCACCCACTCTTGCCTTTCTTCTAGTGCCCTGGCTGGTGCTCAGCGAGATCTTTCCTGGTGGGATCAGAGGACGAGCCATGGCTTTAACTTCTAGCATGAACTGGGGCATCAATCTCCTCATCTCGCTGACATTTTTGACTGTAACTGGTAAGAAGTCTTTGTTTTCCTCTAATGTCTTTGGTCCTCGTAGGACAAATGTTAGGGAATCACACCCACCTAAAGACCATTTTTTCGTGGAAATTTTCAAACACACTTAGAAGGAGAACGGCCATGACCCTGAAGTACCCATGACCCAATTTACAGTTTTGAATGTAAATCTATTTATAACCCCACCTGCTCTTCCCCTACCCAATTATTTTGAGTCACATCCCATATGCAATGTTGTTTTTTCTGAAAAATTTCAGCATAGACCTTTGACATTCAAAAACATATAACTACAATGTCATTATCACACTTAAAAATATAATCATCCCATAGTATCAAACACCTAGTCTGTGTTCATGTTTTAATTGTCTTATAATTGCTTTTTATACATGATTTGAATCATGACCCAAATACATAACTTACAAGTCACTGAAATATGTCATAATTTGTAGGTTTTGTCTCCATCTCCTCCATCTCCTCACCCCCACTATACCTTATATTTTTAAAGAAATTAAAAATCTATTAAAAAACAAATGATTTATTTCATAGAATTTTCCAGTCTGAATTTTGTTGATTATAGTCATGTCACGTGCCCCTCTCTGTTTCTCTGTTTTTTTTTTTGTTTTTTTTTTTTTTTTCCGATAGTCTCTCTCTGTTGCCCAGGCTGGAGTGCAGTGGCATGAGGCATGATCTCGGCTCACTGTAACCTCCGGCCCCTGGGTTGAAATGATTCTCTTGCCTCAGCCTCTGGAGCAGCTGGGATTACAGGCACACAGCATCACACCCAGCTAATTTTTGTATTTTTAGTAGAGACAGGGATTTCACCATGTTGGCCAGACTGGTCTTAAACTCCTGACCGCAAGTGATCCACCCACCTCAGCTTCCCAAAGTGCTGGGATTACAGGCACGAGCCACCACGCCTAGCCCTCCTCTCTGTCTTTTATGTTTCTTGTAAATTGCTATTAGATTTAGATAGAGGCTTGAGGAGAAAGAGAAACCAATCCACAATAACAAAAGTCATGTTTAGGTGTCAGGCAGAATTGCTTGTAATAATAACAAACTTTTATTTTCAAAAGGGATCTCATCAAATTTAAGGATAGAGAGCAGCAGAAGGGAGATTCTTTTTTTTTTTTTTTTTTTTTTTTTTTTTTTTTTAAGACAGAGTCTCACTCTCTTGCCCAGGCTGGAGTGCAGTGGTGTGATCTCGGCTCACCACAACCTCCATCTCCCAGGTTCAAGTGATTCTCTTGCCTCAGCCTCCCAAGTAGCTGGGACTACAGGTGCGCACCACCAAGCCTGGCTAATTTTTTTGTATTTTTAGTAGAGATGGGGTTTCACTTTGTTGACTCAGGCTGGTCTCGAACTCCTGACCTCGTGATCCACCTGCCTCAGCCTCCCGAAGTGCTGGGATTACAGGCGTAAGCCACTGTGCCTGGCAGGGAGATTCTGTAATAAGGTCAGGCTCATTGTTACTTTCCACTGAAGCCTGAAATTCAACTGCATTGTATAGAAAATTTGAGGATCCCTATGTCGGAAATAAGGCAAGGCATAAAAAAATGTTACAAGCAAAACAAAAAATGGCTGTTTGTGTGTTCCATTCAGCAGCCCTATCTAAAGGAACCACAAATTAGATTTATATATTATAATAAAATAACCCAATATTAGGGATCAAATCAGAAACAGAAGCATTCGCCTTGTTTTCCTAGCTCCAACTTGTAAACATGAAGAAAGTAAGAAGGGAAACCCTTTGGGGATTACAAAGAATGATAGAGCTAAAATAAATAAATAAAGCCTAAATTTATTTTTTTAAAAACGATAGAGGCTTGAGGAGATTTACATGTCATTTTTTGGTGAACTCTGTGGCAGCTGCTGCCGTGTGAACTGCCAACAGGAGGCACATGAGGTCTGGTTGTCTCGCTGTTTGTCATTGTTGGCCTCCTTTGATGATCATTTCCCAGACCTACTCATTATGTCATTCCTTCTCCATTTTTATCTGAAATACCTCTCTAAAGAGAAATTTCTTCTCATTAGCTATTTGGCTATCCTGAAGTGTGGATCATATAAGAAAGGTAAAATACGTGCTTGAAACTTTCTCTTTATTTTCTAGTTTTCAAAATAATGTGGCAGTTCCCCAGTATCCACGAAAACTGACCAATGAGTCGGTTTCTCTTTATTTCATATATAGATGAGGAACATGCAGCATGACTACAATCAAGAAAATCCAGACTGTGGGAAGTTCTATGAAACAAATAACCTAATTTCTTCATTTCATATATATTGTCTTTATAGATACAATTTTCAAAAATGGATGTTTGCTGAAAAGCATGCATATATATAAACACATATATACACATATACACACACATACATACATATATATTTAGTATATCCACTTTTGGAAATTAACCTTTGGGGTTACTATTTAAGCGTGGTTTGGGTTTTTATATAAAATTTTCAAATGTTCCTATCCTACCTTTTGAGAAGTAGCTCAAGATTAAAGGAAACAAAGAAACTGGTCCTACTCAGATCACACACATAAACACATGCCCTCAACCTTCACATGTGCACACACGTACTCAACACACACACACCCTCCATCTGCTATTTGATGTGGAGAAAGAGAAATATAAAAGAAAAAATGGAATTGATGAGGGATGGAAAAGATGACACACATCTCTGGGAGGGCTATAGCTAATACACTGGAGGAGCTAGTGAAGCTTTAGAAGTTCCGTATGGGCTTTTAGAACAAATGTAGGAAAACAGATCCACTTAAAAACAAAAAGCCTAGAATGCTCTAAAACCTTTAGATGACATTTAATTGGAATGCTTGACATTTCCTACTTATTTTCAAAAATAAATTTTCCAAGTGTAGGACACAGGGATCTAAAAGACGTGAGGTTCTACTTGGCAGTAAGCCCTTAAACACCAACATTTTTTATGCAATTTCAGCTGTATCAATAAAAGCAGACTGTTCCAGATAGACAAATGTACTCTGCAGTGATCATGACACAATTGTAGCATTGCATTCAGCTCTGAGTAAAACATCTCGAGAGGGCCATTTAAAAATTGCAGTGTGTTCGCTGAAGGAGGGCAACCTGAATGGCGAGGGCAGTAACCTATGCTGTGGGAAGAATGGTTGAAGAGCTCAGGATGTTTGACTTGGACAAGGGGATTCTCAGAGGAGGGCTGAGGTGCATTCAAATATTTGAATGGCTGTCACGGAGAAGGGGTGGGGAGAGCTGATTCACTGTGTGTCCTTCCACAGGACAAAGCACAGCCTCTGAAAGGCAGATTTAGGATCTAAGCAAGGAATAACTTTTTAGCAGACGCAACTATTTCACAGGGCAGTAAGAGGCTTCGTGAAATGGTGAGCTCCCTGTTACTCAAAGTGCTCAAACAAAACTGGGGACAATTTGATGAGACAGCCTTTAGGGTTTTGACAATTTCTATATTCTGGTTTTAAGCTCCAGAGAAGGAAGGACACCCAATTCTACAAGGACTTTATTAAGCAATCAGTTGGGCCATACCCTGTGCCAGCTAGAAAAGCAGAGAGAGACAGGAGTTTAATTAAAATTGCCAAAAGAACTGCAGTGCGGTTCCTCCTTCCTGCTTCTCCCAACCTCAGCACAACTCACCGACAAGTAGTTACTATGCTTCGATTCTTTCATGCTGCATTTACAAACACTGCCTCAGTACACAAGTGCTCAGTCAGTTTTCCTGCCTGACCAACTGTGGTTTGTGGCTGCAGCTGTTAAAGGCTATTTGTAAAATCTTGTTGTTCGTAGTTGACTACTCCTTGCCACACTAGACATTCTGCTGCTGAGTCAGGGGCCGCCACAATGCAAATGGCAGCCTCAAGTGCACTGTGGGGGCCACTGCTGACCACTGAATGTGCCTTGACTTGGTCCATGACTACAAAGGGACTGTATCTTTGGCTGGAAGCGGTCAGAGGAAAAACTAGGTTTGCAGATGAGAGTCATCAGAATCTTGAGGATCCTGCTTCTTGTGATGCATCTTGGCAAGTTGATGGCTTTTACTGGATCCATGATCACTTTTTTCTCTGAACCCAGGAAGAAACATTACAAATACACTGCAAGCTATTAAAAATGATGAAATATTGCCAGCATGAAATGATTTATTCACATCAGAGCAAAGAAGGGTGAGCTCATTCCAAGAAAAATCCATCTGTACAAATGTCATTAAAAATGTCCACCATTGGGAATGATAGCAAGAGGGGGAAAAAATTGTCCACCGAACAGAAACTAAACTGCTACCATGGCGATTCCCAAGAGGGGAACTGTGGAGAGGGAGAAGAGAGATTTTACCTTCTACATCATATGTTTCCATGTTATTTGAGGTTCCTTTTTTGCATGTGCTTTTTTATATTAATAAAGACACATTGCCATTTTGAAACAGAAAGACATGCCCACCAAGAAGATGACATTGGGTGTAAATTGTGATAGTTACAAGACTGCTATTTTCTTCAACAGAGAAAACTAAGGTAGTCTGTAAAAGTAACACCTTCAGAGCTGGCTACATTTTAAATTTGTGATTTCTATTTTCCTGGATACTGCTGGCATGTTTGAAAATACATATGGTGCTATGTATGCCCTAAGTGGCTGTTCACAAATGGGATCAAAGCTACACAAAACACATTTCTAATCAATTTCTTTTGTCCTTTATAGATCTTATTGGCCTGCCATGGGTGTGCTTTATATATACAATCATGAGTCTAGCATCCCTGCTTTTTGTTGTTATGTTTATACCTGAGACAAAGGGATGCTCTTTGGAACAAATATCAATGGAGCTAGCAAAAGTGTAAGTATTACATGCATTGGTTTCTGAACAATACTCTTTGGTCAAAAGTGCAGCTTTTATATACAGCAAAGGAATAATATCTGAAATTATTAGATATTATTAGATTAGGACATTCCCTTTAGCGTAAGACTATGTCTCAGTGCATAATTCCAATTTCCCTGCTTTGTCTTTAATTTGGGTGATTCAGCTAAGGAAGAATAACCATTTCTTCCCAATGAATGAAGCTTTTTTTTTTTTTTTCAAACTACAAAGTGAATGTATTTGATTGGCAAGTGCAAATTTTCACTTATCAATGAAATATTGTACTGAATTTGAATAAAATCTTTACAATTGGAATGTTTTTTAACGTTAGCCTTTTATAATTATCATCAAACTGTAATGCTATTATTCATTACTATGACCAACCAATATGTACGTACAAGGTTACAAGTTTTTTCCTTTTATACGAAACAAAAACAAAAATACATCATTGTAATTAAAAAGCATTAAACCATATTTTCCTTTTTTGTAATGTAATAATTTTTACTAGAACAAAGTTTAATATTTTCACTGTCTGCATTTCTTTTCGGAAAAAGAAACTGTTACTATTGTTGTTTTACCTGATTTTTTCCTGAAACTAATTTTGTTGTACAGAGGATGTGAATCTTCTGTGCTACTGATTAAAACTATCTCATTTAAAAAACAGTTTATTTCCATAGGTTTTTGGGGAACAGGTGATATTTGGTTACAGAGTAAGTTCTTTAGTGGCGATCGTGAGATTTTGGTGCACCCATCACCGGAGCAGTATACATTGAACTCAATTTGTAGTCTTTTATCCCCCACCACCCCCCAATGCTTCCCCCACCCAGTCCCCAACCAACGGGTGAACATTTTAAAGCTCTACTCAATCACCATCTCAGAACTTCTTCCGCCTCTCTAGCTCCCCCCAACAGGTTTTCTTTGTTTGGGGTTTGGGGTGGGTCCCGGAAGTGTAGATATACCATGTTCACACTGGGCTAGGAACTTGGGTCTCAGCCTTTCCATCTCTATCAGACTTAGAGCTCCTTCTCTGTGCCCTAAACACTTGCTAAGGCTAAGATTAGCAGAAAAACTCTCAGGCTTAACCATCTACCGTTGTTCTAAATATTGCACATTTAAGGTAATTTTAAGAAAGATAAGTTTCTTATATGAATAGGCTTTTAGAAAACTGGTTTAAAAAATTTCACAAGGAGAGATTGTTTAAACAATTTAACTTAGAAGTGAAACATTTAATTTAGAAGTGAGTGGCAGAAAATTCCCTTTCCTTTTTTAGTAGCTCTAATTGCCAAAACCATGTCCTGGGGGAAGAGGTGAGACATAGGGGCTAAGAATGAAGCAGAACTTGTTACTCTTCCTAGGATTACGTCGTTCCATTTAGAAATGCAGGGATACTTATTGTTGGGTTTTAATATAATGGGAGGAAACTACATTTTCACAATTTGTGATTTTCTTTTAAAAATACTTTGAAAACAGTAGAGAAAAATGTATGATTACAGATATTGTGGGCATAGCGATTCTTCAGCTTTTACTTGAAGGAAGAATAAACCTGATAGGTGAATTGTTAGTAGGTATATGTGTGCATGTGTATTTATATTGAACTAACCATTAATCCTGGCTTATTGGGGGTATAGTAAGTAGGATTGTGGAAAATTTTCACTTTGTGCTTTATACACTTTTAGATGGTCTAAATTTTAAAATATTTTACTTTAGAAAAAGCAGAAAAAAATTCTCCCAGTTTAAGCTTAAGGTAAATATCAAATTATAAGGCTAATTTTTTTTGATACAGATGAGGCCCTGTTTTCAAAAAAATAAAATGAAAATGATTCATTTACAATGGGAAATAAAATTGTGAGGAAGGCTGGCTATATCCTTGGACTAACTAACGCATTGCCTGGCTCTATCCAAGTGGAGGTTAAAATGATTGGATTTCTTGGTGAGCATTAGACTCTGAATAAGGCTATCAATTACAAACACGATTTAAATAATCAATGGCCTCAGACTTTGATAAGCCAATGTATCCACCTGTAAACTGGCAACATTCCTCATGGATTCAGGTTTTTCCATAACTGAGATGCCAGGACACCGATGACTTCCAAATCTATTGGTATTCCTCCATTTCTCATCCTTCCTTATGCCTGTTTCACATCAATTATCCATTGCTGCATAACAAGGCATCCCAAATGTTGCAGCTGAAAACAACTATTTCCCATGATTCTTTGGTTTGGCTGGGTGGTGCCTCTGCTTGCTTTGCCTGGGCTCACTCACATGTCTCCCTGGGCAGGAGGGCCCACAATCACATGGGACTTGATCACATAGGTGGCAGTAGGTGCTGGCTGTCAATGGGGAGCTTCAGTCCTCCCCAGTGGCTTCTCATCCTTGAGGAGGCAAAGTGGCTTCCTCACATGTCAAACTCAGGGCAACTTTCCAAGGTAGTGAAGGCAGAAAGAAGCTGCAAGTCTCTCTGAGGTTTACATCAGGAAGACACACATCACTTTGACCACTTTCTATTGTCAGCACAAGTCCTGAGGCCAGCCTAGATACAACAGGTGAAGAAAGAGACCTAACCTCTTGATGAGATGAAGGGCAAAGAATTTCTGACCACATTTAATCTATCAAACCTATTCTTTCTTGAAGTTCTTTTAGCTCATGTGAAACAATCTTCTTTCCTGGAGGGCCTCCTAGCTCACGGCTCTAATCTCCTGATTTCTCCTTCTGTTCCTACATTTTAGCTAACTTTGAAGATTCAGCTCTACATCCTTATGCTTTCAGACCCAACTCAAGTACTCATCCTCGAAGCCCTGAGTAGCTCTAGCCCTGGAGAGTAATCCTTTGTCCTAGATTTTCAATATCTTCTAGCCCTCTTTACTTCTATACTGCATTGGCTAGAACTCTTGTGGTTTCATCTTGTTAATTAATAAAGTTTTAGTTTCCAGGAATGCTCTGTCCATTATCTTTCTTATGTAACTCCTACAATGCCTACCTAGCTTAATATTGATTTCTGGTAGATGATTAAAAAGTATCCACTGTTCAATTTTATAACTTGTTTTGTTGGCTTCATGGTAAATCCACTTTGTGTATATGCACCTTTGAACTACTCATCTACTAACTCAGGGAGCAAAATTCCTTTAAACATTTTGTGGCTGGGTGTAGTGGCTCACCTCTGTAATCCCAGCACTCTGGGAGGACAGGGCAGGCAGAACGCTTGAACCCAGGAGTTTGAGACCAGCCTGAAAACATGGCGAAACCCCATCTCTACCAAAAACACAAAATATTAGCTGGGCATGGTGGCTTGCGCCTGTAGTCCCAGCCACTCAGGAAGCTGAGGTAGGAGGATCATCTGAGCCTGGGAAGTCGAGGCTGCAGTGAGCTGTGATTGCACCACTGCATTCAGCCTGGGTGACAGAGTGAGACCCTGTCTCAAAAGCACACACACACAAAAAGTAAAATTTTGTGAATTATTGTGAACAAAAATAACTGAAAAATTGAGGCAGGGAGAAAGTAGCAATTAATTAATTGAATGAAACTATATAGGCCTCCCTTACTATCACAACCCATTGTACTCTCTTAAAAAAGTCAAACTTGAAAGCAGAATGTTCTGTATAAGATTAAGAACTTTCAAATCCTTTTTTTCATATAGGGTTGCCAGATTGTATCAAATTGCAAACCAAACGAAAATTCAATGACAGAACTTAAGAAAATCTAATCTTTCTTTCTAGTAGGCTTCCAGAATAAGATATTCCTTAAGAACATATGATGTGGGTATCTAAAACCCAACAGAACTTATTAATTCAGAATTTGGGGTGGGGAAAGAATCTGTCTAAATTATTAAAATTCTGACTTAGGAAATGTTTTTGAAAGAATCACATTTCTGTTACTTTTGAGTCATGCAGTTACTCAAACTTAAATCCAGACCCTCTCCAAGAAAGTTATAAATTGCAAATTAGGAGAGGACCAAAAGCCAAAGGTACTGTTGACCTCTAAACAGACTATAGGAGAACTGCAAGGTTTGTAATGAAGAACAAAAATAAAGGCAATTATGAAAGATGAGATGGCAAAACAATTTTACATTTTAAAGTCATTACAGCAGTAGTAATCCCTACTAGCTATAAACCATGAGGAAGCCCAATACTGAGGACAAAAAGGAAAAGGTGCTTTCAGAATTTTTTTTTCAACATTTATTTTAGAATCAGAGGCTACATGTGCAGGTTTGTTACAAAGGTTTACTGCATGATGCTGAGGTTTGGAGTATGAATGACTCTGTCACCCAGGTAGTGAACATAGTACCCAATAGGTAGTTTTCTAGCCCTTGCCCACCTCCATCTCTCTCCTCTCCAGTCGTCTCAGTGTCTATTTTTGCCTCTTTATGTCCATGAGTACCCAATGTTTAGCTCCCACTTATAAGTGAGAACAAACAGTACTTGCTTTTCTGTTTCTACATTAGTTCACTTAAGAAAATGGCCTCCAGCTCCATCCGTATTGCTACAAATGATTTCGTTCTTTTTGACGGCTGTGTAGTATTCCATGGTGTATATATACCACATTTTCTTTATCCAATCCACTGCTCATGGACACCTGGGTTGATTCCACATGTTTGCTATTATGAATAGTGATGCAATGAACGTATGGGTTCATGTGTCCTTTTGGTAAAATGATTCATTTTCCTTTGGGTATATACTCAGTAATAAGATTGCTGCGTCACATGGTAGGTTAACTTTTTTTTGAGATGGAGTCTCGCTCTGTTGCCCCTAGGCTGGAGTGCAGTGACATGAGCTCAGCTCACTGTAAGCTCCGCCTCCCAGGTTAACACCATTCTCCTGCCTCAGCCTCCCAAGTAGCTGGGACTACAGGCGCCTGCTGCCACGCCCGGCTTTTTTTTTTTTTTTTTTTTTTTTTGTATTTTTAGTAGAGACGGGGTTTCACCGTGTTAGCCAGGATTGTCTCGATCTCCTGACCTCGTGATCTGCCCGCCTTTGCCTCCTGGTTAACTTCTATTCATGCAATACTAGTGAGCCAGAGGCTTTTCTGAGCTGAACCAACAGGTTGGCAAAAGCTTTTAAAATGACAATGTGAGCAGCCTGGCTTATGTAAATTGACCAAAGTATCTAAAGGGTATACGTTAAACAAGGTTTCCAACAGAGAAATGTCAGAGACAAAAAAATACAGTAAGTTATCAAATTAGTTAAGGAAATGCGAGGTGGTAGAAAGCCCATGGAACCTGCTTGTGCACAGAAGCTGAGGTGAACTTGAAGAATGAGGAAGGACACTGCTGAGTTAAGAGAGCCTTCATGAATTTACAAGTTAATAAAACAATGAATCAACTTTTGTCACCAAGGTAACCGTCCTGATGTAGAAATCCCAATGTCTATTTCTAAGAAAGGAAACTACAGTATCAAGTTAACTTCAAACATGATACTACACATTGCTTAGCATTTTCCTCTACATTTGGAGCTGGGTTCTACCCCTATTTCTAAAAAGCTGAAAAAACGAATATTCTTCCAAGGATGTTAAGTTTCTTATAAAATAAACAGTGACTCAGCTGAGAGGTCAGAAAAGATTTCTGCAATAATGTAATTTGAAAAGATTTTATTTTGAACTTCTGCCTTGCAAGCTACAAACTCAAAATGGGATGTGATGTTTGCCATATTTGCTGTTTCAGCTGTGATTTACTTTTCCCCCCAGCTTAAGTGGGCACAAATGGAGAAAGCAAACAAGTTAATGTTTTGTAAATATTTCAGTTCTGAGGCAAACTTACTTTTCACTTTTAGCAGTTAATTTGATGTGGTCATTTCTTCATTCATCCATCCATCCAATTCATTTATTCAACAAATATTTATCGAGCATCTACTATGTGCCAGGCACTGATCTAGGTTCTACAATAACATTATCAGCGAGTACAATCACCATGAGATTTCCAGTATACTGATTAGATAGTAAGTGACTAAAGGACTACTTTCAACTGGGCGGATCTGAGAAGGCTATTCTGAGAGGTAACATTTAAGATAAAACCTGGGTAATAAAGAGCCAACCTTGGAAGATAGGGGAGTAAATCCAGACAGAAAAAACAGGTAGTGCAAAGGCTAAGTCAGAAACACACTTGACTTGTTCCAGAAATGGAAAGAAGGCTGTAATCTTTGACAATGAGTTAGGAAGTAGGTAGAGACTAGTGTGCAGGGCTTTGCAGGCTGAGTGAAGAGTTTGGTTTCATTCTAATTGCAGTGGAAGCTACTGAAGGATTTTAAGCAGGGCAGTGACATGATCTGATTTACACTTTAAAGTGTGCCATAGTAAGTGTCTGCAGCCATCCAGCTGAAGGAGGCTGGGAAAGCATGCGATTCTAGTGCTGGGTCTCTTTTTCCATCATGACCACGGACCTTAAGTGGCCTTCAATCACATGTGGCAATCACACATATCCCTAGTCAATTAACTTTGCTTCTCTCCTAGACACATGTTCCAGATCACTTTCTCTCTGGAAACCTCCTCATTTCCTCATTCCTCACTGATGGCCTTGCTTCTGACTTCACTGAGAAAATGGACATAATCAGGGGGAAACTTCCACCCCTTCCACATACACAACCATTCCTCCAGGGCCTATGTAGGAATGCAGTCCTTCCTATGAGAGCCCCCTTCACCCCCTCTCTCCTCTCTCCCTTCTCCGGCACATTCTCCAGCAATTCTCCCAGCTCACTGCTGCATCATCTGCATCTTTACCTACTCCTCATCAGCACAGAAACCTGCTATGATTCTTTCTCCATCTTTTTAAAAACAAAACAAAACAAAAGGTCTTTTTGTGCCACTTTTCTCTCCAGCTTTTGCCCTATTTCTTGGGTACTATGTATAGCCAAGTTTTTCTAAAGCGTTGTCTATATTCGCTGTCATCACTTGTGCTTCTGCTCTTCCCATTCTCACGAAGCTGCTCCAGTGAGACTGTTATGGCCACTCCGCTCCTGAAATTACTTTTTAACATCCCAATTACCTCCATGTTGGTTAACTCTGTGGTCAATTCTCACTCCTCATCTTAGATTATCCCCAGCATTTGACTGGAGATAGTGCTCTTGGCTGGGGATAGTCCTTCCTGAAATGCTTGCCTCACATCCTTCTGCGACCCGTCCCCTGGTTATCTCTTACCTATGGTCTCTATTCCTCTGCTTCCTCTCTTAAAGTTGGTGTGCCCTGGGGCTTAGTCCCCTGACCACTTCTCTATCACCCTCACCAGCCAGTTGATCTCAGTCAATGTTAGTTTCTTTTTTGTTTGTTTGTTTGAGATGGAGTCTCGCTCTGTCGCCCAGGTTGGAGTGCCATCTCGGCTCAATGCAAGCTCTGCCTCCCAGGTTCACGCCATTCTCCTGCCTCAGCCTCCCGAGTAGCTGGGACTACAGGTGCCCGCCACCACGCCTGGCTAATTTTTTTGTATTTTTAGTAGAGACGGGGTTTCACCATGTTAGCCAGGATGGTCTCGATCTCCTGACCTCGTGATCCACCCACCTCGGCCTCCTAAAGTGCTGGGATTACAGGCGTGAGCCACCGCGTCCAGCCAGTTTTACAGTTTTTATCTCATTGATATGCCAGGGTCTGAAATTTATGTCTCTAGCTATCTCTCTAGAATTCAAGGCTTGTTTATTCAACTGCTTACTCTACATGTCTTTCCAAATGTCTAACAGATACCTAATACCTCACATGCCCTAAATTGAACCTGTGATGTTCTCAAACCTATTCTACTCACTGCCTTACCCACCTCAGTTGATGTCAATGTTATCCGACTACTTTGGCCACAAACTTTGGAGTCTTTCCTCTTTCTCACATACTCCACATTCAGTCTATCAGGAAGTTGTGTTGGCTCTTACTTCAAAATATATCCAGAGCCTGAACACCTTCACGGCTGCCCTGGTCTGAGTCACCATGATCTCCATCCTGAATTACTGCAATACCCACTTACTGGTCCCCATTTCTGCCTTTGTCCCCTCCCATCAGTTCTCTACACAGTGGCCAGAATGACCCCTTAAAATGCAATCAAGGTATTCTTTTGCTCCAATCCTCCAGTGGCTCTCCAGCAAGAGCAGAAGCCTTCCAATGCCCTTCCAGCCCTGCACAGCCTGCTAATCTCCCCTTCTTCTCTCACAGCCACACAGGCCAGAGGCTGCATCCCAGACACATCAAGCATGCTCAAGGCTCCAGATCGTGGCACTTGTTTTCTCTGCCTCGAATTCTCTTATCCTAGATATCCACCTGTCTTGCTGCTTCACCTCCAACAGACTTTTCCTGTCCCTCTATTTCAAATCCCAATTGTGTAGCCAACTCTGCACCCACTTTCCAATCCTTCAGTTTTAACCAAAGCAGAAACACTACATTTTACTTGGTCTACTGTCTATCTCTTCCTGCTATATTTAAATTCCATGAAGCCAGGGAATTTTGTTCACTGTTGTTTCCCAACACTTGGAACAATTCCTTGGCATATAATCGAAGCTCGGCATTGAATAGATGAAAAAACATGAATGAAATGGATACAAGAATAAGGTAATGAAGTAGTCAGGATGACACTGCAAGTTTTAGCTGAGAAACTGGACAGATGGTGAGATGCAGAAGCCTGAGAGAGGACTAGGTTTCAGGGCTCAGGACAGAATAGAGCTCGGATTTGGAGATATTGTGAGATGTCCATTAGACATCAAATAGACACATTAGTAGTAGGCAGTTGGATACGTAAGTCTGAAATTTGGAGACTCTAGGGGTTAGAGTCAAATGTGGGTGGCCATCAGCTTATAAGTGGTATTTAAGTCCTGAAGCCAGATAAGCTTATCTGGTCAGAGAACAGAGAGAGAAGGGACTAGGCCCAGTTTTGTGCCAAACTTAGAGACCGAGCAAAGAAGAGAGTGTTAAAAGGGACTGAAAAGAAGCCAACAGTGAGGCTGGAGGAAAGCCAGAAGTGTTGTAGGAAGGTGGGACTGGAGAGGCCAAGCACAAAGACAGATGTAAGCACAGGCTCAGCGGAATGAGAGGACAGAAGCTGACTGATGTGGTTGGAGGACAAAATGGAAGTGAAGTGAAGAAGCAACAGTCCACTCCTTACATCAATTTTGCTGTGAAGGGGAACAGAAAAGCAGGATGGTCATGCCCTAGACTCATTTCCAATCACTGCTTCATTCACAAGCATTCCACTCACCCTCTAACCACTCATCTCTCCAGCCCACTTCCTCAAGTACTGGCACTTCAACAAGTCTTCAGCCCCACGACGACCTGGAGGCCCATGCTCTCCCTTCCTTCCTTACCCTGCTTCCTACTTTCCATGGCCCACCAAGGCCACTTCTTCGCATTTCCCCTTCTCCCTTTACTCTCTTCTCTCTCCCTCCATCACTCAGGCAAACCTTAACTCTGACCAAGTCAACTCTTAGTTTATTTTAACCCTGCATTCAAGGAGCTAAACCTGGCTGAATCAAACACACAACTATGCTGATAAGCCTTGTTTTCACCTTATGAACATACATCTCAAGTAGATCTTGAGGAATACCCTGCAATATACCACATTTCCCTGGTGAGTTGACGTTCCTACTTTCGAAGATGATTACTTCACACCAATACTTTTCCCAAGCCTCCAGGACCCCCTCCCACTTCTTCACTCTAATTATTTTGCTTTTTAGTTCACTGAGAAAATAAATTGAGACCACCTTGTCCTCCTGCCACAAGATCTTCTAACCTACCTACATCTATGCCCACACACACTGCCTTGTTGCAAAGGCCAATGCTTCCATTTGTACACTGACTGCATCAATTTCCCCCTCCTATGGGATTATCATCACGCACACACGCACAAAGCTGCAGTATTTCCCATCCTGAAAAAATACCTTCCTCAGATTTCCCTCCAGATACCAACCGTTTCCCTGCCCCAACTTCTCAGGTCTCTGGGATTCTCTGCAGGAGTTCCCTCCCTAACTTCATTCCATTTTCTGATCATTGTCACTGCTTTAGAGAGATGCCACCTGTATAATACAGTCTGTCCTCTCCCACCCAACTAAACCCTTTTTTCTCCTTCCCCGTTTATTTCTCATTTGCACTTTTACTACTTCAAGTTATAAGCTCGTCTCCCCTCTAAAATCTAAGTAAGCTCCTTGAAAACAGAAGTCTTTATCTACTCAACCCATACTACCTACATATTGTGGCCACTCAAATCATTGGTTAAATTACAGAAAAAGGTATTTGAAAAGGGAGGTTCAAAGGCAGCTCTTCATTTTTAGTAAAGGTAAAATACAATAGCATCTTTTTATGCTGATGGGAAGAATCCTGTAGAAAAATTTGTTAATGCAGGAGTAAGGGATAACGTAGAAGATAGAAGAGATATAAATATAGGCACATTGCTGGAGTTTGAGAAATGGAAAAAAATAAGGTCTGGGATGAAACCTCCACTGGTTCTCTGTATGTAATACTATCCTTGGAATCCTTCCCCACAGAGCTGACTGCTGGGATTGTATTCTGAGAAGACACCGTTACCCCTTGCATGAGATTGACCAAAGTCTGTGGCATACTGAATTTCATGATGCAGCAGGATTCCTAATAAAAATGTGTATTTATTTTTGCATAGCTAAAACATTAAAGCCCCAGGGTGGTTTAAAAAATAATAGCCTACACATTTTTTTCATGTAAACTAAGAATGACATTTTCATTAGTGCCTCTTTCTCTTTCAGGAACTATGTGAAAAACAACATTTGTTTTATGAGTCATCACCAAGAAGAATTAGTGCCAAAACAGCCTCAAAAAAGAAAACCCCAGGAGCAGCTCTTGGAGTGTAACAAGCTGTGTGGTAGGGGCCAATCCAGGCAGCTTTCTCCAGAGACCTAATGGCCTCAACACCTTCTGAACGTGGATAGTGCCAGAACACTTAGGAGGGTGTCTTTGGACCAATGCATAGTTGCGACTCCTGTGCTCTCTTTTCAGTGTCATGGAACTGGTTTTGAAGAGACACTCTGAAATGATAAAGACAGCCTTTAATCCCCCTCCTCCCCAGAAGGAACCTCAAAAGGTAGATGAGGTACAAGGTCCTAAGTGATCTCTTTTTCTGAGCAGGATATCAGGTTAAAAAAAAAAAGTTACTGGCTGGTTTAATACTTTCTACCTTCTTCACAGAGCAGCCTTTGAATAGACTATGTCCTAGTGAAGACATCAACCTCCGCCTTAAGCTATGTATGTATGGAGGCCAGTCGCAGCTTTATTATGCAGACACACAAGTGGTCTGGACATGAGGGTACAGTTTCTGCCTACCAAGACACTACTTGCACTGGATCTTACGCAAAAAAGAACCAGAACACACAGTGTGGACAACTGCCCATATATTCTATCTAGATTAGGAGAGGGTCCTGGCTAGGATTTTAGTGGTAATTCCTAGTTACATTCAACAAGTATAAAGATTATAGAGCTTATTTTATGAACTATAAACTATAATTTAATGCAAAATATCCTTTTATGAATTTCATGTTAATATTGTGAAATATTAAAATAATTCCACAATAGTTGAGAAAAATGAGCATTTTTTTCCATTTTTAAAAAATGCATAGAAAAGACAATTTTAAAATCCTGGGACCATATTTATTTAGAAGTAGCTGTTAGTAAAACATTAGAAAAGGAGTCAGGCCATTAGGTTATTTATCCAAATCTCTAAGCAATTAGGTTGAAGTTATTAAGTCAAGCCTAGAAAAGCTGCCTCCTTGTAAGGCTTTCATGACAATGTATAGTAATCCACAGTGTCCAATTCTTCACACTCCTCAGGAATATCACTACCTCAGGTTACGGTACACAGGCTATAATTGATGATGATGTTCAGATAACTGAAGACACAATAAATGACATTCAGACATCAGGACAATTCCCTCATGTTCTTTTCTATGATGGCCACCTGTACCAGCAACGTGGGTTTCACCCACACAACGATGAACTGTTCTCTTACTTCTCCAGTTGATTTTAAAGACTTGTTAAGAGGTCTTACTAATAAAATTTGGGTATGATAGAAAATCCACAATCAAATCTTGAACCAAATAACATATTAAATTACTAATATTTAAGTGATGGAAGACACACAAAAAACTTAAAAGCACGAACAACCTAACTTGAAAAAGAATTTTAAAATATGATTAACCTGAAGAAAAGAGAATCCTAAGAGCCAAAGCTCCTTTTTATTTAGCTTGGAATTTTCCTATTGGTTCCTAACAAACTGTCCCAATGTCATATAAGGAAACATGATCTATTACATTCCTTTATAACAATGTGGAGAGACTATAAACCTATGTAAGTAGTAAAACTATATCAGAGACTCAGGAGACTGACTAAAAGGCCTGGATCTGCAGTGTATTATCTGTATAAAAATTGGCAGGGGGAAGCTAAAAGGAAAGGAGATTGGAGATCTCAATTCTATCATGGTGTATTTCATACGCAAATCAGAGCATGCATTGTTTTTTGTTTTTGGAAAGAGAAGGGAAGTGTGTTCTGCCCCATGTTTCCTTCCGTGTTTATAGTTCAAACTCTATATATACTTCAGGTATTTTTTGTTTAGCCCTTCATTATAAATGGGCAGGAAATTGTTTATCAACCTAGCCAGTTTATTACTAGTGACCTTGACTTCAGTATCTTGAGCATTCTTTTATATTTTTCTTTTATTATCCTGAGTCTGTAACTAAACAATTTTGTCTTCAAATTTTTATCCAATATCCATTGCACCACACCAAATCAAGCTTCTTGATTTTCAAAAATAAAAAGGGGGAAATACTTACAACTTGTACATATATATTCACAGTTTTTATTTATAAAAAAAATTTACAGTACTTATGGAGAGCCAGCAGAAGACATCAGAGCACTCACTTCTTCCCATCTTTGTTAAGGTTAGCGAATTACCCATGGACACTGTTAGGTGAGGCTCATTCGGCAGCCCTGAAAACAAACCTGGTCACACTGTCTTTACCCTCTCCCTTCAGATAAAGCACTTCGATTATCTATTGATCTGCCCAGTTTTCAAGTCATGCGAATACTAAAAAGGTTACATCATCTGGATCTGTACCTTGGCTATATAAGCATGTTTTCCCCCTATTCTATGTTTCTTTTTTTGGTGAACATTGAAAAACAGGAGGTGACTTATTACTGTTAATTAAAACTAAATGAAAAATGTCAAGTCTTTAAAACAGTGAGCTTGTAACTCTTTCATGTAATTTTATTCTCTATGAATTTGGCTATCCTACTGAATCTTAAAATAAAGGAAATAAACACTTTTTTTTTAAAAAAAAGGAAAAATACAAGTCTAAAAATCTCAATGAAATATTTCACAAGAAGGAAAAATGTAAGTTAGCCTTTGCTTTCCACTTTGGAATAAGCAGGAGGTTAGGGAAGGCATTGAGAAGAAAAAAGATAAAAATAATATGTGTTGTTCAGTGCAGTGCCTAAGCTAGGTTTTCAAGATTTTATAATACAGTAAGGAAAATGTACTATATATGGAGATTAGGATGTTGCAATTTTTCCACAAAGGTTTAAAAACATTTTGGAAATACAAGTTTTTGTGGAACATTGTGTTGGAATATTGTCCCCATTAAGTTTCTCCTGAGAAGCTAATTGGACTCTCCACTCAGCTTTATTTCTAGGTATAATCACTGTTGGTTACACTAAACTCCTAAACCTAAATGACAGGGCACAACTACAGCTTGATCCTGTATTACCACATCAGGGCTCCTGGGTGAGCCAGAGACACTGTTTCATAAATGCATATTTATTATAACTTTAAGAGTAGCAATCTCATATACTGAATAGTCACTCTTTAACTCCATTAAATAAGATACAGCAAGGGGAAGGACAGTATCACACAAAATGGCTTTCAAATTCAAGTGGGGCTATTTGATAATTACACTGTGGCACAGAGGCAGCTTATGGGCACTTCTTGTTAAAACATCTCCATGTTACCAACTTCTGACAAGACTCTTAGTATAGGCTTGGGCATCAACCCAAGATTAAAGTCAAGAACCTCAATCACTTCTCTACAACTACAGGTGTTGAGTCTTTCCAGAAAAACAAAGGTCCAAATGAGGCACCATTCATCACAGCTTCTTTCTCATTTCCATCTAGTGGGTAAGAGGTTTCTCTTCTTAAAACTACAATTTCTTAACCTTTACAAGTTATTTAACATTTTCTATCATATTAAATTAGCAACATAAAACATTATCCTTTATCTATAAACTTCTAGTCTGGTTCCCTAGAGTTTATATACACGTTTTTATTTCTAATCTGCAAGAAAAAAAATTCCTATTTGTTATTTGGTAACAGAGCATTAAAAGATACTATACACATGTGGTGCATATATATATATATATATACACACACACACACACACACACACAAAATACACTTCAAAAAGAAGCCAACACACTTTAGCCAAAGTCTTAAGCTTGCATAGATTTTAAAAAAAAGAAGTATGAATACAATTTTTGTTAAAATAGAAAATGGGGAATAAAAGTTATAGAATGAAGAGAGATCTTTTCCAAACTTTTATTTGTGCACATTCAATTGAAAAAGATAACTTTTACAGGTTCTTTGGTGCCCATATTCAGCATACAAAAATGTAAAAGACTATTCACAAATAAAACACATTAGCTCAAAATGGAAAAAAATAACAATGACGACAATAAAACAATCTAAGGTAGTGCACACTGTGACAGCTCTGCTTATGGGGACATGAGAATTACTGCGAAAATAAATAGAATGTCCTTTTGTAAAAGCAGCAATATCATGTCTTGTAAACTTCCTTTTATATTACAGCAAGGTTTGGAATAAAATCCAAAGGGACTGGAGCTTACACTGTAGCCGTGAATGAATAAAAGAGTCTATTTCCTCAATTATTGTTGGTCCAGTTTTCCTTTTGAGTCCAATGTGCAGCAGGTTTAAAAGGTGCTCAGTTAGAGATTCTAACCAATTAAGTGGTGAATTATAAAATTTCTTTCCTGCTTTCAAACACAAATGGGTAAATCTGTTCCACAGCAGTAGCAACAGCCTTTACATTGGGCCCTGTAATAAACACAATGGAGGAAGGAGTGAGAAGAGTTGGAAAAGGGAGCACTAGGAAAAACTGATTTTCCAGAATTAAAAATATTCAAGTGGTATAGAATATCAAGTTAACTGTTAAAAAAAAGAAAACTAGACATATAATTATACACATAGCCATAATAAGTAAAAGTAATACAGATTTTGTTCTGGGCAATTAAAGGACATATGAAACACAAAATGAGGTTATTCACTTTGTTTTAGGGCATACAAACTATCATGGACTAATATAAAAAGCACTGTAATATAATATGTACATGAAAGGAAGGAGTAACAAATGGGACTAAATAACAGCTATCCTTTAAGTCACTATCATCTGGCTTCTGGTTAGGCTACAACAGAGGCTCAGGGATATGGAGGAACACAGCAGAGTGAAACAAAGCTGCTACCAAAATGTTGGGAAACCAGAATGCTGGTTTAAAAATCCCCACAGATTTACCACCACTGGGTATCCACATATTTATTACCAATCTGGTCATTTCACCCTCAGAGCGTATACAAGTCAATAGAAAACAAAAAAAGCACAAGGCTACGAGGTGACCATGCATTATGCTAATTCTTGAACAACTTTATAAAAATGTAATCTTTCATTTAAATCGCTAAAAAGAAACATAAAAAAGGACAATGAAAACTATTCTCATAAAATTTTGAATAAAAATGGCTTCACCAATACACACTTAACCTCTTTTGAAAGACCCAGGAAACTAACAAATCCACCCACTGTAAACTCTCTGAAAGTCCTAACCACACATCCTATCTTGGTCAGGTCCTTCCTGACTCACTTTACCCCCACCTTGCTATGCTTTGTTCATGGGAACCAATTCAGTAACATTTCATAGGCTATTCCTGATCTAAGTAAATAATGCATACTGCTTAACCAGGTGAATTGTCTTCAGTTTGTTATTGTTTTGTTTAATATCTAGTAACTCAGTAAATACAGAGTTTTACATATGCATTGTTTTATTATATACTTAGTAGAGATTGTTCAATAGGCTTTGTGGCTTCTCAGACATCCATGCTCCAAAGTGTAGAAACAGAGAGCTGAAAGAAGGGAACAAACAGACTCGTCTCCTATCATCCCATATTTAAGATGCAGGTGGGATCTTGGGAATACGTTTTGAAAGTCCCCAAGGAAGATGGAAAAACCCATGGGATGAGTCAAAACTAAAGTTTATTTGTTGAGAGACTAAATTATTTTCCTCTGTGGATTGAAGAAAGAAAAAACAAAGCTCAAGGACATTAAAGACATTTTCTTTAATTCTTTTTTGCCTAAGGTTGGGCCTGACTCCCAAGCAATGCCTCTGTACAATTTATAATCATAGTACCATTAAAATGTCACACAGCATGCTAATGCTACTCTCTGACATGAATGCCTAGTTTTCTGAAACCACCCTTTCTCCAAATAAAGATTAAAAGATATAGCAAGACAAACATAACAAACAGGTACCAATTATATTTAATATTTTGCTTATGTAAAACCTCTGTGAAATTTATGAGTTTCTCATGAGAATTTTAAATGTAAGATATCATGAATTTACAAAAAAAAAATCATACTATGGATACATATACCAGAAAATATATGTGTGTATATATATATATATATATATATATATATATATATATATATTTTTTTTTTTTTTTTTTTTTTAGACAGAGTCTCACTCTGTTGCCAGTCTGGAGTGCAGTGGTGCGATCTCAGCTCGCTGCAACCTCCGCCTCCTGGGTTCAAATGATTCTCTTGCCTTAGCCTCCCGAATAGCTGGGACTACAGGCGTTCACCACCACGCCCAGCTAATATTTTGTATTTTTAGTAGAGACGGGGTTTCACCATGTTGGCCAGGATGGTCTTGATCTCTTGACCTTGTGATAAGCCCGCCTCAGCCTTCCAAGTGCTGGGCTTACAGGCATGAACCAATGCACCTGGCCTACCAGAATATTTTTAAAGCTCCAACTGGAAACTACTCAAATGCCCAATAAGAACGAATGATCTACATACAGCTACATAGAATATAATATAGATGAAACTCACTAAGATAATGCTGAGTGAAAAAAGACACAAAATAGTAAGTGTAACATTTATAAATAGTACAAAAGTAGGCAAAATGCATCTAGTGTTAAAAGTCAGGAGACTGGTTCCTCTAAAGGGCAGAAGTGACTGAAAGGAACAAATCACACATTATTTCTATCTTGGTATGAGCATCTTGTATCATTCAATCCATAATTGATAAGTGTGGTTTCAATATCATAGAATACCTGTTACTGTGATACTTCCTGTTGAAAAAATCTGTAATGTAGCTCTTAGAGATTTTATCCGATAGCACACAGCAGGATGAAGTTCAGGTTCGTAACTACACAAAATAAGCCACAATTAATATAAATATTTATACCCTGACTAGTAATTTCAAATTTGGTAATTTCTCAAGATAAATTGCTTCAAAGACTTACCTGGCATGAGGTCTATTGTTCTTTGTGAATTCTGGCAAACGGATTTCAAATGGCATGTTACACACTGCCAGAACGTTAACAACCTTAAAATCTGTAAATATTACCTTTAGGAGAGAAGTAAAATTCAATAAATTTATTTTGAAACAAACAAACAAAAAATCTGCTCATAATGGCAATCCTTAAAAACAAGAGCAAACAAGATAAAACAAAAACATTTTAAGTGTATGTTTAGTACTGTAAGTTGTGTAGCATGGAAAGCTTTAATTCAGTTTTTTAAAAAGCTCAAAAACTCCATTAAAAAAATTAAAAACTGAGGTATTTGCATGATCAAAACAGTATGGGTCTTTCTAATCATATGTTTAATTTTTTAATACTTTAAGTGAAATATTTAAAACTACTGAGAAAGGAGAGAGAATAGTGAGGGAAAAAAAATTTAAGTCCAGGTCATCCTGCTAGAGTAAAAATGGAAAAGATGTCACTTTAAAGTCAGTAAATACAGAGTGTACACTGGGCTCCAAAAGTCAGATGTTTTTCTCATATGCAATAAGGCAAAATGACATTTCTGTGAGATTAGCTAGATGTTTATTTTCTTTCTGGGGATAGAGTGATAAATTTGTTTCTAACTAATTGGGATTTCTCTCAACACTTCTAATGTTACACTAAGAAAAGAAGTTCCAAGGCTGAAAATAATGCTGTTAACATTAATAACTTTGGCCACTCCAACCAACATCTTCGTTTCATCTCATTATCTTTTCAAACATTCCTCCTAAAACCACAATTTTGGGTGAGCGAACTATCCTTCAACTCAGCCTTGCACACAGCAGTTGCGCAAAGCCAGGAAACCGCAAAGTGGCAGCACTCTCAAATCACAGTACAACTCAAGCCTCTCTCTACTGCCACCCTTCTCAAGCACCAACCCCCACTCCCCACCAGCCGTTCAGTCTCTTCCTATCACCCTCTACTTCAGAGAGACTGAGTCATCAGAGGGAAAGGTAACTTCCTATCCCCACTTCTACAAACTTGTCTCAATCCCAAACAGCCTTGCCCTCATCTTCAGGGACCATTCTCATCTTTATCTTTCATTTATTCATCATTTGCAAGTGACCTAGCAAGTCCATAATATGTAATCGTTTTATTCAAAGGTATACCTCTATCAAGTTATAGTGATGAGGCTGACATGCCAGTGACAGTCACGTTACAAGTGTGAGAGCCTGCCAGCTGGTGTGTCCATGTCAACGGCCTCTGCCATTCTCTATTCACCATTCTGACCTGGCATTCTTGAGATGACCAAAAACCATTTTGTTTGTGTACGTCAGAGGTGAAAACACTTAAAAAAGAGTTGAAAAGGAAATTAACTTGTGAGGAAACAAGTCTCTTTATGGGAAAGGAATTAGGGAAAAAGCTAGGATCCTTTACAAATACCCACATAGCCAAATTTTGCTACTAATTTTCACACTGAAGGGCAGTATTAAAAAACCTAGAAAAAGTTTAATCATAAGAATAGTACGCATAGTGATTTCTTGAGTCTATTACAATTTTTAATTCTATAAAAATAAGTCCTTGAATATTTGTAGTTTAGATACTATTTGAAAACGTTACCTGAAAACCTAGTTTCTGCAGACTACGGGCTAAGCGTCTGGCACCAAATTTAGCTTCTTCTTCACTACGGTTTTAAGGAAAGAAAAAGATTATCAGTTACACAGGAAATAAATGTTATACTGAGGAACATAACAAACTTTACATATGATTTTGCTGTTAAGTCTAGGAAAATGTCCTTTCCATGAGGGAAAAAGTAAAAAATAAAAACAAAAAACCCAAGTAGCATTTACCTTGTTGCTCCAGTGCAAATAATTTTTCCTGAGGACCAAATTGTAGCTGTAATTCTAGGTTTTCTAAGCTTCATTAATACTTTCTGGGGGGAAAAAAAATCTGATTACCTCATAAGCATTATTTTTCACATAAGGTTCTGTTCTATATAGTCATATTAATGTCCAAATACTACTCTCCAAGCTTATCCAAGACTGCAATAACTGCTCTCCAAATCTACCATTCTGAAATCAAGTACAATACCAAACACAAAGAACATATTAATCCAAAAAGACATTTGATTAATTAAAAATACAAGGTGTATAGAAATCTCTCACTCTATATACTTGAAATCAATGTACTCCAAGTATATAAACAATTCAACTCTCATTCCACCCCAGTCATATAACTGGAACTTGCATGGTTCTTCACACACACCAAATCTGTTCATGCTTCAGAAGCTTTGCAGTAGCTGTTGCTTTCATTTGGAATATTATCCCCTCAATATTCTCACTTCATTCAGGTCTCTTACCAGATGTCACCTCCTGAAGAGAGGCCCTCCCTAATCATTTCCCTGAAACACCCATCCCTTCATTGCTTTCTAATTCCTAATTCTGCTTTCTGCTGCTTCATGGTACCCATCACTACTTTATATTGCATCCTAGAGTTGAGATGCTTATTACATACTCAAGTTCAACATCGGCATCTTGAATAAAGGAGAAATGTTGGAGCTGGAGATGTAATTGGAAATTCATTTAAAGCTATGGGTTACAATGAAATAACTACAGAGTGTGTATAAATAGGTCAAGGACTAAGCTCCAAGAAAATATGCAAATTTAAATTTTCATTCCAACTTTTCATTAATGGAAATATTTGTTAGATGCTCATTCTATGTAAGAAAGACATAAATGCTCACTGACTAACATAAATGAATCAGATGTTTCTGCTTAAAATTTTTGTTACATTTTGTGTTCTTCATTCTCTGTCATATGCCATATTATCAAACTAGAAAGCTATTAAATCTGGGCAGACTCAAAATTCACCAAAGATCAAGATAAAATTTGAACTAAAATACATTATAAAATTTCATATACAAGTGACTGAGAAACACTTGACTGAGTTTATCCTACATTTAATTGTCTCTCACCATCACCAGCTTGTCTATCAACTCAGAATTTTCAATTAACCTGCCTTAAAAAAACTACTTCCTTTCCATATGTCATGCTGAAGTACCAAAGCAGTGTTAGGCATATTCCTCTCTAAACTTTTGAGCAGACATATTTATTACTTTTCTAAAGGAAGGATGGGATTGCTGACAAACTTGAAAATCTTTGTGAGTCACTGAAATTTTTAATTGAATTTAATTCATCTTTACTTAGTTTCTAGTACTAAGAATTAATGACGGCCAGGCACGGTGGCTCACGCCTATAATCCCAGTACTTTGGAAGGCTGAGGTGGGTGGATCACAAGGTCAAGAGATTGAGACCATCCTGGCCAACACGGTGAAACCCCGTCTCTACTAAAAATACAAAAATTAGCTGAGCGTGGTGGTGTGCACCTGTAATCCTAGCTACTTGGGAGGCTGAGACAGGAGAATTGCTTGAACCTGGGAGGCAGAGGTTGCAGTGAGCTGTGATCATGCCACTGCATTGCACTCCAGCCTGGCGGAAGAGTGAGACTCCGTCTCAAAAAAAAAAAAAAAAAAAAAAAATTAATTAATTAATGGCAATTTACATAGGTATCCTGGCATCTAATTTTTAAAGCTAAATAGAGCCTTGAGATACATTCTTAATTTTCATAACAAATGTGTAAAATACATATTCCTCTCGTCAATCTTTGGTTTATAATGACATCCAATGTCTTTTATAATGTTAATCTCAAAACACTAAGGTTTTATTATTACTTATTAATATTCAGGCTTTAAAATATTACAGGTTTAACAAAAACTAAAATTTAAGATGTCCAGGTTAAGATATAAATCATATTATTTTCAGCAGTTTGTTATGAAAGAAAACCATCTACCTTTGTTAAAGAATATGACAATTAAAATATTATAAAAATTATAATATATATTAAGGCATCATTCAAATATAATTCAAATATAATCATATTTGAATAGGTACATGTGCGAATATAAAGGTCCCTTTCTTCAGTTAAAATAAATTGAGAGAGCAATAAAATGTCTCTGTAACCAATGAGTTCTTTGCTGATTCAGGTACCAGCACTCTATGTACAAAAGCTTGCACCTCCATGAGAGGAGGGATTGCTTTTACAGGGCTCACTTCTGTATCCAGGACAACCAGCACATGGTAAGGTGCTCATAAACTATCTGTAGAATGAATACATTTTAGTATTAGTCATAGAACTATAAAATTAGGCTATGTAGTACAAATACGAAAACTCAGATACTTACTCCAACATCACGTTTATAAATTACATTTGCTCCTTCCAAAGCAATCTTCCTTAAGTTTAAATGACATCTTGTTCTAAAAACACAGACTACATTTGTAATTAGAATGTCCAATGCAACATCACTGTCTGCATCCATTGGGGTGGTTTTAAAATTTAGCTTTCCACCACGAAGATCACATCCTGAGAAATAAAACAAAATAAAGTCATTAAACTTAAATGTTGTTAATTCACTTTTCACAATTTTGAAATTGAAATGTAAAAAATGAATCTATATTATTTATTTTTCAAATGTTACTAGAATCAAATCATGTCCCTGGCCGGGCACAGTGGCTCATGTCTGTAATCCCAGCACTTTGGGAGGCCAAGGTGGTTGGATCATCTGAGGTCAGGAGTTCAAAACCAGACTGGCCAACATAGTGAAACCTGGTCTCTACTAAAAATACAAAAATTAGCCGGGCATGATGGTGCATGTCTGTAATCCCAGCTACTAGGGAGGCTGAGGTGGGAGAATCACTTGAACCTGGGAGGCGGAGGTTGCAGTGAGCCGAGATCGTACCACTGCATTCCAGCCTGTGAGACAGAGTGAGACTCTGTCAAAACAAACAAACCAAATCATGTCCTTTCTTTTCCCCACTAAAAATGTCATTTTTAAAAAAGCTAACATGACATCTAATATATTTCAAAATCTAGGCCTAACTTTCATTCCTTAAACTAAAAAGTAACTTTTACTTGACAGGAGCTTGCCAGACTTATCTCCTGCTATTCACCTCTACAAACACTACGTTCCAGGTGTACCACAGTAATGACAAATCCCCAAATGCACCACGTTCAAGGGTTGGACTCTGGTTCCAATGTCTAACCATTAGTGGCATATAACCCTTCTCATGCAACTTGCTGGTACTATAAAAAATATGACATACTTCTATTTCAAGCAGAGTAACTGACTTAAGTTTAAAGCAGCAAAAATATGAATAACATTTACTAACAGACTTTTCTCATTACTAACCATTCATTCATTATTTTCTTTCTGAACACCTATACACTGAAGATAATGGAGGGAAAAAAATGATTAAGGCAAAGTCTTTTGTCCTCAAGGAGTTTGCAAACTTGGGTGTACAGGAGGAGCTCTACCAAGTAATTTGCATAATACCATTTTTATCAAGATCAGAATCTTCCAACATGTATTTGCCGAGACTCCTATGATTTATACAAACAAACAAGCCCCAGTTTTTACTAAGTACGTGACTCATGACCCAGCTAAAAAATTCTCTCTTTGCATTTTCACACTTCAAAAAATAAACAATGGCAATTTGACTTAACTCACAAAAAGATCAGAAAATGATAAAAACATACTATAGTTGTTTTTAAAATTCCTTGCAGCCACAATGTAAAAAACTAGTATTCTTTATAATAAGGATTCAAATTATTATATAACTAAAACAGTGAAGGGGCCAAGAGTCTAAATAAAGAAGGTCTTGTTTCTCTGCCTTTAAGTTTCTGATAGAACACAGTGGCAAACCAGACCAAGACTTCTGACACCTCTATAAGACCATATGGCATTCAATTCTGTGTATCAATTGTACCTCAACTTCATTATATTTTTTCACTCTTGTATTCCCATATTCCCCTCAATCTGTGTATCTTTTTGTTTTTCTGTTATTTGTGCATGTTTGAGCTACCTCAAATAATTTTTACGTATGAGGAGTGAGGCAGGGGTGACAATAGGAACTGATGGATAGATATATAAGCAGACAGATTAAAAAGCAGAGGCACAGGGCCAGTTTATTACCATTGGTCTTAAGCACGTGCAATGTCTGACTCACCACTTAATAGCTATCAGAACTTGGGCAAGTTATGTAACCTGTGTCTCAGTGTTCTCATATTGTAACATGGAATAGACCATGCCTACCACACAGCAGTGTTGTGAAAATTATATAATGTATGAAAAGTACTTAGCATATATATCTAGGATATTGTAACAGTAAATGACAGTAATTATTGATGAAATAAGTTCAAATCAACAGGCAGAGGATTTCTTAGCACTACTTCCCATGATTACATTAGAGCCCAGTTACTGAGCCATCTGGACAGCAGCAGGTTTTCTGCTAGGCTCCTGGCTGCTTACCCCAACATCCATTCCACCTTGCCTTCATAATGATCAGAGCTCAGATGTTTAGCTGGGTACAATGTGGCAGAAATAAAATACTATAGATGTCAGCCTCCCTGGCAACAACTGGTATAGCCAACTGGCCACCTGAATATGTTCTGGTCAATGAGACATAAAATAAAATGGTTATGTATCCTCTGGGAAGTCTACTTAGAGCAACCAACTAAGCCAGCAAGGGCTCCTTTGCCTTTCTGCCCTTTTTCATTCTTGCTGTCTAGAGGTTGGATATGAGAGCTAGAGCTCAAGTAGCCAATTTTGCACCACGAGACAATGAGGATGAGGATGGTAGAACAACAAGATAGAAGCAGCCTGGCCCCTGACGCTGTGAATCTCCTTATTATCCCTGTTCTTCTTAATTCTAGACCTCATGAGTATGAGAGAAAAATCAGTTTCCCTCATGTTGGATTTCTGTGATATACAGCCAAACCTAATCCTAACTGTTGCACATCCCTTGAGGATAAGCTACCACAAGGCAACTACTGAAGAAGAAACTTCATGCGAATCAACTATCAAATTTACTATTTTACTTGTTTTTATATCAAACAGGAGAAAACAAATTGACTCAGATTTACTACTTTGAGTTCTACTCTACTCTGAATTTACTACTTTGAGTTCTGCCTGAGGGGACAACACTAAGGACAATATAAGTAAAACTAAGTCAAGAAAAAAAGGGGTAAAGAAAATCTGTGTGAATGCAAAAAAGAAGCCTTGAAATTCAAAATTGGTGATTTTTCATCATTTCAGCAACTTAAATTTTAAAAATAAGGTCATGGGAATAGTTCATAAGTTACTAAGTATTCATATTTTTATAATATGAGTAACCTGAAAAGCAGGCTCAGAAAAGATTGCTTTAATAAGAAGTTTTCAATTAAAGATGCAATATAAAAAGTCAGTACTTTTTTAAAAGAGGCAACCTACATAAAAGATCACATTTTTCGAAGCATGAAAAAAGGTCCACTTGCAATCAGTTCATCTGTCTTGTAGAACGAGAGCACAGAACTGGATATTAACAAAGATTTACTTTCTAAAGCTAAACATATTATATCCCTTTTCAATAGGATAATTAGAATGACAGTCCAACGAAACAGACAAATCTCAATTTCTTTTTTTTCTTTTTTTTTTTTTTTGAGACCAAGTCTCGCTTTGTTGCCCAGGCTGGAGGGCTGTGACGCGATCTTGGCTCACGGCAACCTCCGCCTCCTGGATTCAAGCAATTCTCTGCTTCAGCCTCAGGCACCCACCACCATGCTCAGCTAATTTTTGTATTTTTAGTAGAGACAGGGTTTCACCATCTTGGCCAGGTTGCTCTTGAACTCTTGACTTCGTGAGCCACTGCCTCGGCCTCCCAAAGTGCTGGGATTACAGGTGTGGGCCACCGCGCCAGGCCGACAAATAGCTCAGTTTCTACAAAGCATCTGATTGCCTAACATGTCCCTTGTATTTTTAAGTGTAGTGACATAATTTATCGATGGGTTAAACAGGTCTAACTAAATATTAGTAGTTCAAAGGCTTAGGTTATTCTTGAAAACACAGACTCACCACTTTGTTTAAATTAAAACAAGAAAAACAATAAAACAGCTAAAGGAAAGATGGAAACTAATTCCCAGAAGGGAACAAATATTCCAAGTTGTTTATGACTATGATGGTACCTACAGTTAAACACCAGAATCACCTATTTCCCCTACTAAATTCTAAGCTTCTTGAGGTGAAAGACTCTTTTATAGGTCTATATATTCCCATGACTCAACATCGTATCTGAAACATTGTAAATGTTCAATTATTTGGTGTATGAACGCTATGAAATCGAACATTTCAAACTCTTAACTATATTAAATTTCTCATCTACCTAGAATTCCAAATTATTTCGTTTAATTCTAAGCATGAAAAAAAAACTGTTAGCAAGGCTGAAACTATTTCCAAAGCCACCTATTTTCACTGAATGCAAAAGAGTTAACGATCTTTTTTTCCTACAAGCCCTTTGACACAACATTCATGAAAATGCATATACAGTACATTTCATTATATTTCATGGTGGTTTATACATGATTTTTTTAACTGGTTGTATAGATTCCAAGGGGAATGTGTTTAAGCAACTCCACCAAAAATACAGCATTTGAAAGTGACATTTAAACTCACAAGGCTATTAAGCCTGCTAATCATGGCACTACCATATATTTAAGATATACAAAAAGGCAAAAAGAACACAATGAACATCTACGTACCTATCATTCAGCTTAAAAAATAAACATTACAATACAACTGATGCCTCCCCATGCTGTTCTTCCAAATCACATCCTCCTCACCTTTCCCTCCAGAGAAAGCCTCTACTTTCAATTGCAGTCTTATCATTCTCATATATTTCTCTTAAACTTGTTATACACAGTGTTATATTCCTAAATCCAATTAATTCTTGATTTTTAAAAGATTATTGATGAATCTGGTTTGCTAATACTTCATTTAGTTATTGGGTAGAATTAGCCTATACTCTTCCTTTCTTGTATTGTCCTTATCTGGTTTGAGCATCAAGATTATACTAGACTCATTAGACAATTTAAGGTGGCTTATTTCTTTTTTCTTTTTTAATTCTCAGGAAGACAGGTTAGAAGACGTTACCTGAAGATTATCTGGAACTGTTTCTTGTTTGATAAATTTTTAAGACAATTTCTAATTTTTAAATTAGATTGAATTTAAACTTTTAAATTCAATTTCTTTAAGAGTTTTAAAATAATTCATGTCTCTGTTTTCTTCAAGTCTATTTTGCTTAATTAAATTTTCCATTTCTTCTAAATTTTAAAATTTACTGGGCATACAATTCTTCATGGTTGTCTTAATAATCTTTTAAAGTCTCTGTTGTAGCCTACTTACCCTTTTTTCACTGTAGTATCATTTATTCCTGCTTTTTATTGCTCTCGTCAATCTTGCTTTTTTTCCACTTTGGTTTCTTCTCAGAACAAACTATCAGTAGCTGATCCTCTCTAGTGAATTTTTTGCCCATGTCCATTGTTTCCTTCCTTCCACAGATTTAATATATTCTTTTTCTAATTTCTTAAATGAAAGTATTTAAGTTGAATACTTAATACTTTAGTTTTTAACTGTCTTTTCTTGTATAAACATTTAAGACAATTATAACCCAGTGTCTTAGGTGTGACTGAAGTTGGATATGTGTTTTCATTATCCCTTAATTCTAATGATATTAAAATTCATTTTTTCTTAGACTAATCATTTATTTAGCAGTTCTTTGCATTTACTAGTAATTGAGGAAATGCTAACTTAAAAGAATAAGATGACACTTACTTATATTGGCAAATATCAAACGATGTTGAAAGTGTGAGTAAATCTGTGTTCTCTTACAGTCTGGTACAAAAACTTTCTATAGGAGATACTCTGGCTGTGTGTATTCAGATAATTTAAAATGTAAATATATGTGGAACTATAGTCAACCAGTAACAATAAGAAATAACTGAACTCGTCTGGGCACGGTGGCTTACGCCTATAATCCCAGCACTTTGGGAGGGCAAGGTGAGTGGATCACGAGGTCAGGAGTTTGAGACCAGCCTGACCAACACGGTGAAACCCCGTCTAAAAATACAAAAATCAGCCGGGCGTGGTGGTGCACGCCTGTAATCCCAGCTACTCAGGAGGCTGAGGAAGGAGAATTGCTTGAACCCAGGAGGCGGAGGTTGCAGTGAGCTGAGATCGCGCCACTGCACTCCAACCTGGGTGACAGAGCAAGACTCCATCTCAAAAAAGAAATAACTGAACTGACCAAAGTATAATAAGATGATATATGGCAATTTTATTTATAACAGAAACAACCTGCACATCCAATGAAAAGGAACTAGTTAAATACAGTACAGTCTTATATAATAGACTACTAAATGGAGTTTATAAATTATAAAGCTAGACAGATGTAGAGATGTAGACAGAGGTCCATAATGTTTGCCAGAGTAGAAAAAATTATATGTCTAATTATGAGTTCATTTTGGCTTATGTATCTACATATGCACTTACATAGTTATATCTGCCAAAATGTTAACAACTGTTCTATTCAGAGAATTGGCACAGCAGGGTGACTTTTTTTTTTTTTTTTGGTAAAGTCTGGATGCTTTAAAATAAAAAAACAAATATATATATATATGTTAGGTTTAATATAAGAAAAATAGTTGTTCCCATTCTGATTTAAATACAAATACCAATTATTTGCCCACTGCCCAAGGCCTAATATTAAGACATAGCTTGATCAGGTGTTTTGTCCTGTTTCTCAAGGAAATGGCTTAGTGTGATTTGTCAAATATCTTCTCATAAAAAAAGCAAACTTCAAAACTGTAGCCCTTCAGGAAGTGGCATATTTCTAGCTTTCTATTAAAATACATCATAGAAGTTAAAGCACATTCTTCCTCACTCAAAGATTTTGTGTACAAGAACACATCATCTGTATTTTTGGTCCTCTTTCTAGTGGTATTCAAAAACATTACTCCAGCAACTACAATGAATTGAAACCTTAAATGGAAAACATCGCCACCTTCTGGCTTTTACGACAAATTGCATCAAAGACTACTGCATTTAAAATTTTCCACACCAGGAAAGATATTTAAACTGAAAGGCCACAATAAACCCTGTCATAAAAACGAAGCAAAAATAAATCTAAAATCTAATTGAAAGCCAAGAGAATAAATAAACCTGAGAATACAGAAAAGAAGAATCTAGCTACTTAAAGTATACTCAAGTTGAAGCTGAGGATACAGGGGAATGGGCCCTAAGGTTCTAACCACAAAATTACCATCTATGATCTAAGAAATGGCAGAAGCAGGGGAGGACTGATAATAGACCGATTTGCAAACACAATAGGAACCCACATGGTCTCCTAGAGATAGCTCTTTTCTAAAAGAAAGACAGGCCATTCAAAGTAACCTCACATCCTTTATAAAGCTCCCCAAATAGTAGATTAGGAAATAGACATTTTGTGTCCCAATCCCAACACATTACTTGACAGTCTCTCAACACATGCCTAGAATCAGGATGAAGAAAAGCTAACATTTGCCTTTTAGAACGATGTTCTTTCGTATCTGTTTGATAGTATAAAATAAGCCTTATAAAAGGGGGCTCTGACCTAGTGTTCCCATTTAGCTATGTGACACTGGGCCACTTACCTAACCGCTCTCTAAATCCTCATTTTCTCATCTATAAATTGGTGATAATACCACCTGTACCTCACAGGGTGCTTTTAAGGATTAAATATTATTATCCATGCCAAGTATATAGCATACAGTATGTGTTCATTAAATGGTGGCTATTACTGACAGATGGATTCACCAATAGTTGAATATTAATTGTATTATTTAATGAATTGATGCAAAACTTGAGAACAGTTACAGATGAGGGGAAAAAAACAAACAAACAAACAAACAAACAAACACCAAGATCATAATAGGTTAGGCAAGGGTCAGCACACTACAGCCAATGGGCCAGTGCCTGTTTTGCAAAAGTTTTATTGGAACACAGCCATGCCCGTGTGTTTCCATAATGACTACGCAGCACAACTGAGTAGTTGTGACAAGAACCAAATGAACCACAAGCCTAAAATATTTACTCTCTGGCCCTTTAAGAAAAAGTTTGCTGATTACTGGACAAGCCCAAAGAGGCACTACCAACAAAATAAAATTTATCACTGATAAATGTAAGGCCCTTATTTTTAATTAAAATGACAAAATGTCTGTATAACATGGTCCTTGATTAGATCCCGGTTTTAACAAATCAGTATAAAAGATATTTGAGAGAAATTTGAGTGATTTGAGTGGATCTGAATAGATCTGAGTGACATGAAATTATGAAATTACTGTTAATTTTGTTAGAAGAGAAAATAGAGTGGTTATGTAGACAGACTTTTTTTAGAGATGTAGACTCAAATACTTGGGGGAATGTCTTGTCTGCAATTTAACTTTAAAATCTTTCACTGTTTGAACTCAGTAACAAATACATTGAGATACAATTTCAGATGACTCTTGATGTCTGGAATCTTGCCACCAAACAAATTTGGATAATCTATTCTAAGATAAAGCACAGACTTGTATAGTAGTTATCACAGTATTTTAGCACCAAAAAATGCTGTATTACTGCTTTACCTTTTAACGATTATTAGATCAAGATGACAGAGATTACATCCAACTAAAAAGCTTTTGCACAGCCCAGGAAACTATTAACAGGGTGAAAAGCCAACCCACAGAACAGGAGAAAATATGTGCAAATTATATATCTGATAAGAGATTAATATCCAGAATATATATATGAAATTCAACCAACTCAGCAAAAGAAATAATCTGATTAAAAAATAAGCAAAACACCTTAACAGACACTTCTCAAAAGAAGACATACCAATGGCCAACAGGTATATGAAAAAATGTTCAACATCACGTATCATAAGGAAAATGCAAATCAAAACCACAATGAGATACCACCTCACTCCAGGTAGAATGGCTATTATAAAAAAACAAACAACAACAACAACAACAACAACACCTATGTATTGGTGAGGATGTGAAGGAAAGGGAATACTTTACACACTGTTGGTAGGATAGTAAACTCACATAGCCATTATAGAAAACAGTATAGAAGTTCCTCAAAAAATTAAAAATAGAACTACCACATGATCCAGCAATCCCACTGCTGAATACATATCCAAAGAAAATGAAATCAGGATGTTGAAGAGATTTCTATACTTCGCTATTTACTGCAGCACTATTTATAATAGCCAAGATATGGAATCAATCTAAGTGTCCAACAGTGGAAGAATGGATAAAGAAAATGTGAATATTATTCAGCTGTAAGAAATCTTGTCATTTGTGACGTTAGTGAACCTGGAGGACATCATGTTAAATAAACCAAGCCAGACACAGAAAGACAAATTCCTCATGATCTCACTTGTATGTGGAATCTTAAAAAAAAAAAAAAGTGTTATCATCGAAGCAGAAAGAAGAGCGATTAACAGAGACTGAGGAGAAGAGGATGAGAATGAACGGAGGTTGGTCAATTGATTTAAAATTACAATTGGATTGGAGGAATAAGTTATGGTGTTCTGTTGCACAGTAGGGTGACCATGGTGAACAGTAAAGTATATCATAAAATAGCTAGAAGAGAGGCTTTTGACTGTTCTTACCACAAAGAAATGATAAATTCATGAGGTGACAGATGCCCTACCCTGATTTGATCACTATACAACAAATCTGTACCTCATAAATATGTATAATATGTACAATCATGTGTCAATTAAAAAATAAAAAACCAGCCTGGGCAACACAGATAGACTCAATTTCTACAACAAATTTTAAAATTAGCCAGGTATGGTGGTGCATGCCTGTGGTTCCAGCTACTTGGGAGGCTGAGGTGCACTGAACCTGGGAGGTTGAGGCTGCAATGAGCTATCATGGCACCACGGCATTCCAGCCTGGGTGACAGAGTGAGACCCTGTCTCAAAAAAAAAAAAGCAAAAACAAAACAAAAACAAACCTTGGTGACAGATATATGAGTGTTCATTATGCTACTCTCTCCACATTTCTGCCTAAAAGTTTCCATAATAATTTCTAACAGCTGTTTAAGATTAGGACTTTATTTAATAATAGGTTATATTAAGACAACATGGGGTTCAAAATGTACTGTATTACTTAAACAAACACATATACACATAAACTTAGGTTAGATAAGAATGTCCAGACCAAAGAGAGTAATAGCCTTTGCTATTGAAATATCTACAGTATCCAGAATTTATCAAATTATTATTTAAAGATACTAAAGATATTATTTCCAAATATCCAAAGCAAAGTACGATGGTGTGAGATATAAAAACAGTGAGCTGTGTGAAGAAAATCTTAGGACATTTAGCATAAGAATGGAAAAAGAGTAGTTGTTCTCAACTGAATAAAAAAGAAAATTGACAGAGTCAATTGAGGTCACATGAAAGATCTCATGAAGCCACACAAAAAACCAGATACTTAACACTGCAAAGTGGTGGGCTCCCCAGAAGATTCGTGTCCAAAAAGGGAAGGCAGAGCTAGATAATTAACCAACAGTTAGGAGTGGCACAAAACAAGTCTTCTATTAGGTGAAAGATGAGACTAGACTGATGGTTTTTAAGATTCCCATCTAATTCTAAAATCCCAGGAGCCTAACATATTAGATGAAGATACATTCTAGACAAATGTAGGAATTATACAGTAAATTTCCATTTTAATTCTAGAATTATTCTGTTAGTTTAGATAAATTATCATCAATTCTGAACTCACCACTTCCCCTTCAGCATGCATTTGTGTTCAAAGGGGCAGTAATGGGAGAGAGTTAGATGCACTAAGGTCTAACAGTTGAAAACCTTGAACTTGTTTGGCAGGGTGACATTCTATCATGAGGACATTTTAGGAGTCAGTCCACAGGGTTGGCATTTTTATAGTCTAGCCACATGAAGAAAATTTTACCAAGTTTGCCTGGCCATAAAAAACCTTGAATCTTCCAAAGAAAAAGACTGTATATTTTACCACCCGTAAAACATTTAACAAATGCTTAAGTGAAAGCAAAAGTATTTGATGTACAAAAAGCATCATTACATTCAGTTAAACAGAAAGTTAAACTATCTTCATTACATATGACTACCTACTATCTATGAGACTCAATCTAGATATTCAGTCTGAAGACTGTTAAGCAGGTAGCATTCATGTGAATAATTTTGTATCAAAGTGAATTATGGTTAAAAAAATCTATATTAAGAAAGCTACAAGGTACTATTTTTTAATGGAAATTAGTCAACAACTCTGAGGTTGCCAGCATCTATTTACTAAAAAAAAAAAAAAAAAAAAAAAGTGTATTTTATGGTTCAGTCAATGACATTATTTGTAATGGTGTCTAAAAGGTGATGGGGAAAGATTTAAATGATACTGATTTTCTGAATGACTGCTTAAGAAAAGATAAGTTCAATGGTTTACATTCTCATGCAAAAATTCTGGTTGAAAAAATGAAATATTTTGCAATATAAGAAGATATAATTGAAAACCTGTCTCATCTTAATAATGTTTAAACAGTAACCTAGTTAAGATTCTCACTGTTTCGACGAATACTAAAATATATCTATAAAGTAAGAAAACTTGGATACTGACCAGGAGTGGTGCCTCACGCCTGTAATCTCAGCACTCTGGGAGGCCAAGATGGGTGGATCATTTGAGGTCAGGAGTTGGAGACCAGCCTGGTGAAACCTCGCTCCTACCAAAAATACAAAAATTAGCCAGGCATGGCAGTGGGCGCCTGTAGTCCCAGCTACTGCGGAGGCTGAGGCAAGAGAACTGCTTGAACCCAAGGGCAGAGGCTGCAGTGAGCAGAGATTGTGCCACTGCACTCCAGCGTGGGCGAGAGCGGACTCCATCTCAAAAGAAACAAAACAAAACAAAAAACTTGGATGCTAAGACAGTAGACATCAATTGTAATGGAAGCTACACGACAGTGGACTAGTTCTGAACTGCTCCTGTTCTCATTTGTAAAACACAATACCATTTACCTCTCATGATTGTTTTGAAGAATAAAAAAACTCACAAATTTTGATATGCTCTATTAAAGCAATGTATTAGTGAATGCTAACAATAATATTAACTAATATACTATTGTGGATAAAGGAAAAAAGTGTATTTTACTGACTACAACCTTACATTTGGAAATTCAAACGCAAAGATGAGAAATTTGGCATATGATTCCTTACTATATAAAAGCAAGTTTTATTTTGGATAGATTTCTTAATATTTCAGATAAACTGTCTAAGTATACAAGATTTAAGGAAGATAGCATGTCATTTTCTGATTATATAAGAAATACTCAAATAGTCACCTGGCCAGGTGGATCACGAGGTCAAGAGATCGAGATCATCCTGGCTAACATGGTGAAACCCCGTCCCTACTAAAAATACAAAAATTAGCTGGGCGTGGTGGCACGCGCCTGTAGTCCCAGCTACTTGGGGGAGGCTGAGGCAGATGCAGGCTGCAGTGAGCCGAGACTGCATCACCACATTCCAGCCTGGTGACAAAGCAAGACTCTGTCTCAAAAAAAAAAAAAAAAGAAAATAGTCACCCATAATCCTAACAGTGATAACTGCTTTTTTCCTGTGCTCATATAAGCACATGGTCCTAGGCTCTAAATCCATATATTTGTCTGTGCACATGAAACAAGATTGGGATCGCACATGCTGTCTTACCTAGTCAGCAAAGGATTTTATAAAAATCTTGGACAACCTGAGATATGAAAAGCAGCAATACTGAATTAATTGATTTTCCTTGAATACTAATGAGGGTGAACTTTTCAAACACAGTCATGTGCTGCCTAACAATGTTTTGGTCCAGGGGTCCATAATATTATAATACCGTAGTTCTACTACACCTTTCCTATGTTTAGATACCCAAATACTTATGATTATGTTACAACTGCCTACAGTACTCAGTAAAGAAACATGCTGTATAGGTTCACTGCCTACAAGCAATAGGCTATACTACATAGCCCAGGTGTGTAGTAGATTCTACCGTCTGGGTTTATATAATTATACTCTATGATGTTCACGTGATGACAAACTCACTTCTCAGGACACATCCTTGTCATTAAGCGATGCATGACTATATTACTAACCATTTGTATTTCTTTAAAGTTAGCTGCCTCCTATCTTCTGTTCATTTTCCTTCTAAGATTTCTTATTGATTTATGGAAGCTCTAATATATAAAGAATATTAACCTTTTGCCCGCTTAATCTAATTCATTCTGCTGAAAATGATTTATGCCCACTTCTACATGTGATCCACTCCCACTTGTTCTACAGCTGAGCATCACCTTCATTCAATCAATTCTATAACAATGAACTGGAAATCTAAGCATTAAGACCCATACTAGGGGATAGGGACCTGGTAGTGAACAGACTCGGTTCAGGAAACAGCAGATGTTCTCAGCTAAGAGTAGGAACTGCTCAGGCCTGAAGGAAGAATCAGCATGGCTACGGTGAGAAAAGTGAAAAGGAAAGTGGCATAAGACTAGGCTAGAAATGCAGGGAGGGGTCAAATCATGCCTTCTATGCCACGTTCAGAATTTTCATGTTTATCTCAAAAGTAGTGGTTAGCTAAAAAAGAAGCAAGAACTGACATCACGTATTTGCATTATAAAAATGTATCACCACCACTCTGCAATGGGAGGATGGACTGAAAGAGAAGAATGGGTAGCACAGCAGTCCAGGCAAGATGACAGGACGGACCACAGTGGTAGTACTGTGGTTTGAAAATGCAAAGTAGTAGACACAAGACAGGCAGTTTTAAGAGATAGAGTGAACAGAATTTTCTGATTGATATGGGGATGGAAAAAAGGGAGATGGAGAATGACTGCAGGTTTGTGGCCTAAGATACTATTTACTAAGATAGGAAACACTGGAGAAAGGGCAGGTTTGCAGGGCAGATGAGAAAGGTAGGAGGGGTTAACAATTCGGTTTTGGACATTTTGAACTGAAGGAACTTGTGAGACATCCAAGAGGAGATACGGAGCAGTTAATCAGCTAAAAGTCCATTGCTCAGGACAGGTCTAGGTTAAGACTGGAAATGAAAATTTGGAAATCCTAGTACAGAAGGTAATTAAAACCATCATGGGTGAAATTTAAAAATCAAAGGAACTCAGAAATCTGATCCTCAATATTAAGCCAGAGTGTCCCTATTCTGAGTCCCATTTGGTCAATGGTAATGTTACTATACATACTTATATCACAGTTTTCCACACTACAAACTATGGTAAAATGTTTCCTATTTATAGTCTCCTTGGTAGACAATAAGCTCCTCAGAAGCATGATCAAATCTTCTTTATTTCTGTACCCCAGCCTTGGCGTAGTTCCCAATGCGCCATACACATTCAATAAAATGTCTGCAGAGTTTAACTGTAAGCTTGAGGTTATTAAAAAGCAATGTTTACTTACACACCCACACGACACACACACACATGCACACACACTCTCTCTCTGTTTCTTTCTGTCTCTCTCTGTCTCTGAAGTTGAAGAGCTCAGCAGAATGCTTGGGTTAAATCTAGACTCTACCACTTATTAGCCATATGACTGTGGGTAAGTTAACACCTTTGTGCCTCAATATCCTCCTCTGTAAAATAAGGCAGATAAACAGAACCCATCATAGTGTTGTGAAAATTAAATTTCATATAAAGCGCTTGGCACAGTACTTGCACATGACAAGCATTCAAATGTAGCTGTTCTTATTGTTACTATTATTATATCTCCTTTCTTCATATGGATGGAGAAATGTTCAAAAATGGAAAGGATTTCTAGTTACTCACTGTAGTCCTCAAGCTTTGGAACACAAAAGCAAATCATATTCCTTCAAGTTTAAAAGTAAGTGGTAAAAATAAAGAATACAACTTTGATGTATCTGTTAAGTGAAATGAGTACTGAAAAAAGCACTAAATTTAACAGTGAATTAAAAAAAAAAACCCACAAAACTCCAACAATAACAAAACCATCAAATCAAAGCAAATAGTTGTTGATCATGGGGTTCTTTTTTGGTGGTGCTGAGGGGAGTGGGGACAGGGAAGGTGGCAAATGAAACAGGAAAAGACTGACCAAATCTACTACATGTTACGAAATAGGTATTATGCTAGATTTTACTTCATTAGGTACCTGCAAAAAAGCAGGAAAATTAGAAGCATAATGGGTTTGGATATTAAATTGTGATACAAGTTTATGATGTTCATTTCATTTAAATTGTAAGGTATTTGTTTTCTTGAGCAGGTCTTATATGTGCCCCTACTTCCCATATTACGGACTATAATTTTAAAAGCTAAAAAGTTTCATCTCTTTACTGAGAAGTTTGATATTTGTCCTAAGCTACTGTAAGTGACTATAATTTGTAAGACTAATTTAGCCATTAAATTAATGCTAACAAAACAGCATAATTTTTAAAAGATTATTAGTTTCATTTACAAGTGTAAATGTTAATTCACTAGGGTAGCTAAAAGACTGAATAAATCTTCTCATAAGTTGGTGTCAGAATTGGCATGCATCAAGATCAAGCCTCTCTATATTCTGATTTATTTCAAGGGTGTGAATGCAGGGCTCAAACTTGAAGCACTGATAACTCATCAAGAATTTAATCAAGAGAAAGTACTGCATGGGGAAAATACAACGGGTGAAACTTCCTATTTTCATAGTTTCGACTGTTTTTATAGAGTTACCCCTCATATAAAATGCTCTAGCATAGACAACCTGTTTAAGGTCTATGTCATGCACAAATGCCATTTTAAGAAAAGGAAGGTCAGATTATGAAATTAGTTACTTGGGAAAATAAAACAGAGTTCGGCCGGGCATGGTGGCTCACACCTGTAATCCCAGCACTTTGGGAAGCTGAGGCGGGTGGATCACGAGGTCAGGAGATCGAGACCATCCTGGCTAACACGGTAAAACCCCATCTCTACTAAAAATACAAAAATTAGCCTGGAGTGGTGGCAGGCACCTGTAGTCCCAGCTACTCGGAGGCTGAGGCAGGAGAATGGCGTGAACCCGGGAGACGGAGCTTGCAGTGAGCCAAGATGGTGCCACTGCACTCCAGCCTGGGAGACAGAGTGAGACTCCATCTCAAAAAAAAAAAAACCCAAAAAACCCAAAAAAACAAAACAAAACAAAAAAAACAAACAGTTCAAACATTTCTGGTTTAAAAAACAGTACAAAATATACTTAAAACAAACATGATTACATAATGAACACTCTTTCCACATGTAAGCACCATTAGGAATTTCTTATTTTACTCAGAGCTTGTCAGATCTGAGTAACTGGTTGAAGGGTGCGTCACTCAAAAAGGATAAACACAGAGAACTTGGCTAGAGATCAGAAGAAAGCCATACATTTTTAAAACCTGAAATTATGGTCTGTGAGAAAGTCAAGAACACTACCACAACAGTAGGGTGAGTAATTTAATGATAATATACAAGTAAAAGAATGGGTTCTTACACAGAACACACAAGAGTGATAAGGAAGTTTTCTGATTGGAACATTGGTTCTTTTTTTTGAGACGCAGTCTTGCTCTGTCGCCCAGGCTGGAGTGCAGTGTCACGATCTCGGCTCATTGCAACCTCCGCCTCCCAGGTTCCCACCATTCTCCCGCCTCAGCCTCCCGAGTAGCTGCGACTACAGGCGCCCGCCACCACGCCTGGCTAATTTTTTTTTTTTTTTTTGTATTTTTAGTAGAGACGGCGTTTCACCACGTTAGCCAGGATGGTCTCGATCTCCTGACCTTGTGATCCGCCCGCCTCAGCCTCCCAAAGTGCTGGGATTACAGGCGTGAGCCACCGCGCCAGGCCGGTTCTTAACGATCAAGAAAAAGACAAGGACAGGCCTGGTGGACTCATGCCTGTAATCCCAGCACTTTGGGAGGCCAAGGTGGGCAGGTTGCTTGAGCCAGGAGTTACAGACCAGACTGAGCAACATGGTGAGACTCTGTCTCGACAAAAAAATACAAAAATTAGCCAGATGTGGTGGTGTGTGCCTATAGGCCCAGCTACTCAGGAGGCTGAGGCAAGAGGATTGAGCCTGGGAGGTCAAGGCTGCAGTGAGTTATGATCACACCACTGCACTCCAGTCTGGGCTATAGAGTGAGACTATGTCTTAAACAAATAAAAAGACCAAAAGACAAAACAACAGAAACAAGATAATAACTATGAAGATGCTCAAATCCCACAAATACAGATTTAATTGACCTTGATAGGGCCCTAATTTTGAAAATATTTCCAAGATGTTTCTAATGGGTAGTCAGTTGAGAACGACTGGGTTGAAACACCATCATAGGGTAATTAAAATAATGGAATTTCCCTCTCCATAAATCCTTAAAAAGGGCTCTATTCTTCTATCAGTACTGTTTTTCAGAGAACATCAAGACTTCTACATTCTGTTTACCATCCCTTGTTTCCCAAACTCCACTTCATGCTTTTAAACCAGCATAATCTGTCTTCTGCCTCTACACAGTACAAAATGTTACAAATGAATGGCTCATTGCTGAATTCAATGGCACACTTTAAACTCCCTCCTACTCTAGAGCATAAAGCACTGGGAACTTCTGATTCTCCAACTGCTCCCTTGCCATGTCCTATCCCTGGATTCTGAAGAAGCTTTCTTGAATTCTCTCCCCATCTCATATACTTCTCTGTCTGTTCCTTAAATCAGAAGTTCTTAACTGAAATCCATGCCAGACCCTGAAAAGCTCAACAATAGGTTCCACAGGTTAGGAACCCCCTGAAATTGTATACACACTAATCTGTACCTGAGAAGGCCATTGTTTTTTTCATATTACCAATAGGTTTAAGATCCCTAAAGGTTATAAACCACTGCCTGAAATCCTTTTCCTCTTTAAACTTTTCAGGCCTCAGTTGCTATCTATGAGCTTATGGCTGGCTCCTACATCTATCCTGACCTATCAGATATCTGAATCCATATTCCCAATCATCTATTAGGCATATCTATTAAAATCGACACATACAAACAAAACTCATTAAGCACCTCAAGAAATCTTGCTCTATCTCCTTGTAATTCTGTGAATGGAGTGAGTCACAATTAACACTCGCTCACTTCAACCAGAAATTTCAGAATCATCCTTCATCTCTCATTCTTCTCCTCTGCTCAGTTAACTTTTAATCTAGCTTCTTTTCTGCATCCAAAGCAACGTTTTATTTTAGGCCAGCTCACATGTCATTATGGCTACAGGCTTCTAATAGAACTCTCTGCTTGCATTCTCCATGCTCTAATCCATCTACCAAATAGCTACCAGGATTATCTTCCTAATTGTCTCCCTATCTGAAGAAGCATCTCTTGGCTCTCTTAGAATGAAAAACAGAATCTCATCTGCTTGCCTTGGAATGCAGTGGACTTCCCACCCCCGATCTTCCTTATATAACCTAATCTTCCACTTCCAACACACCTTAACATTCTCAGCTTTACACCATTCCTCTTCCAATAACAGACTGTTTCGCGGTTTTATAGCTGCCTAAATCGTCCTTTCCCCACTCCTTCAACTAGGAAACTTTTACGCATAATTGCATATTTAGTATGCAACTCATGTGAACCAAGCTCTGCGGGTAGACACTGGGAATACAGCTCAGAACAAAATGGTCAGGCAAGCAACTCTCATGGCAGTTGTATTTCAGTGGAAGAAAAAGACAACAAATAGGCTGACAAAATAATCAAGAGAATGTGATCTATGTTATAAAGGAAACGAGATAATGAAAGAGAAACTTCAGGAGCAATGATCCAGGGAAGGTCTTTCAACTTTCTTAAGAGGTAAGAAATAATTCTTGGCCAAGTGCGGTGGGTCACACCTGTAATCCCAGCACTTTGGGAGGCCAAGGCGCATGGATCACGAGGTCAGGGATTCAAGACCAGCCCGATTAACATGGTGAAACCCCATCTCTACTAAATACAAAAACTAGTCGGGCATGGTGATGTGCACCTGTAATCCCAGCTACCCAGGAGGCTGAGGCAGAAGAATGCTTGAACTCGGGAGGCGGAGGTTGCAATGAGCCGAGATTGCACCACTGCACTCTAGCATGGGTGACAGAGCACGACTCCGTCTCAAAAAAAAAAAAAAAAAAAAAGAAAGAAAGAATCTTAAAAAGAGATCTTAAAGGATAAGAAGTAGCCAGCCATATGAAACACTGGGAGAAGAGCAACCCGGCAGAGGGCACAGCAAATGAATGGTACTGTTGGTGTTATAAGTGTCTACTGAACTGCAGACACCAAGCTCCTTGAAGATAACTGTTTAATTTAAATGTGTGTCTTTAGAACTTGGCTGAATTGCTGGCATTTGGTCCTAAACTCAATAAAAAGTTGATGAATTAAATGAATACCTTAAGAACAACTGAGAAAATGGTTTGTGGGGTTGGGGGCAGGTAAGTGTAAACAGTAGATATCTTTCACGATAGCAATAAGAATCTGAGTAGCCTCAACTGACTCAAGTTCTCCAACAGTATCCAACTCTTCCCTTACTTCACTTTCTGGTATATTATACTACTTAGTGCTCCTACACCTAACAAGTTACTAATGGTTTTAGGTCAGACCCCCAAATCCTGAAGAGCAACTGTGTTCCAGGAGCTTTTACAAATACAAAAATATATTTCTGATGTAAGAAAAGAATTATTTTAATTAAAACACACCTACTGACCTTCAGCATTTTTTATATTCCCTTTTCTCATCCTCTGAAAGTTACTGTCTCCTTTTCTTCATCCCCAAGGGTTCTAACTCACCCATGTTCTATAGCCTACAGCTAATTCCACTATAGCCGGTCATCAGAGAATGGCCACCCTGTCAGTCACTTCCAAGATATCAACCATTCAGTTAAAGTTAAACAGGGTGTGATGATGAAGCCATTTTTCCTCTATACCCAAAGAGACAGCAAAAATATATAACCAAGACAAACAAATTCAGAATATTGTTTCAGGCATTTGAAACTCTTCTAATTTTAATAGGCCAAAACCAAAAGCCTAGAAAGAGTAAATCAAGAGGCATGCATTCTAAATGTACAGACAAATTAAATAATTATCCAAGTTGTTTTGTACTGCGCACTGAAGTGGAAGTTTCAAGATTACTGGCCACAGCCAAGGAGTAGTGTTGAATTTCTTAAAATTAAAAAAAAAAAAAAAAAAGGCTGGTCAGCCAAAGGCTTTCTCTGCTATACTGAGACCTACAGATTTCCATTAGCAATATAGCTTTTTAATCTGTTGAGCCACTCAGCATCCCTTACTGAGGGCCTCCCCCCTCAGTACAAAAGAAGAGTAAAGAACAGAGTACCTTTAAGATTAGCACACTAATTTCTGTTGAGGAAGGTCTAATGAATTAGTCATTGTGCCTTCAATATGGTTGTCTGTGATCCCTGCAACCACCCTAATCTGTAACGAGCAAAGATCCTGGAAGGAGGTCAACCCACAAGCAATTAAGGTATGCTCATTACAACTTTCCTAGGTTGTACATGTACACAAGTCACTGGAAATGCCCAAGGAACACACTGCAGCCATAAGTAGGTGAGAGGAAAAACGCTTGCGGCTCACCAGAAGCATCTGACAAATTAAAAAGGATGGGGTGGTTCTTGTTCCACAAAAGCTTCAAGTTCATTAACTGAGTTTCAAACAGTAACAGGCCCTATAAATGTTGTCCACAGTCATAAATCAAATCTCCATCTTCATATTTGCACTTTTGGGTTACACATTGACTTTATTATGTTCATATCTGAAAGACAGCAACATCTGTCCCTGAAAAAGAGTGTGATAGAAAGAACACTAGGTGGCCAGGTGCAATGGCTCACGCCTGTAATTCCAACACTTTGGGAGGCTGAGGCAGAGGGACCACCTGAGGTCAGAAGTTCAAGACCAGCCTGGTCAATGTGGTAAAACCCCATCTCTACTAAAAATACAAAAAAATGGCCAGGTGTGGTGGTGGGTGCCTGTAATCCCAGTTACTCGGGAGGCTGAGGCAGGAGAATTGCTTGAACCCAGAAGATGGAGGTTGCAGTGAGCCGAGATCGCGCCACTGCACTCCAGCCTGGGCGACAGAGTGAGACTCCATCTCCAAAACAAAACAAAAAGAAAGAAAGAAAGAAAGAACACTAGAGAAAAATTAACAATGTGTTAGACAGAACTTTGTCTCAAAACAGGCAAGTTTTATTGTGGACTATAGTACTGATACCATGGCAACCTGTTTTCCTAAAAATTTCCTAACACAGGCCAGGCATGGTGGCTCGTGCCCATTGCCCATAATCCCAGCACTCCGGGAGGCTGAGACAGGCAGATCACTTGAGGTCAGAAGTTCGAGGCTAGCCTGGCCAACATGGGGAAACCCTGCATCTACTAAAAATATAAAAATTAGCTAGGCGTGGTGGCGCATGCCTGTAATCCCAACTACTTGGGTGTCTGAGGCACAAGAATCACTTGAACCTGGGAAGCCGAAGTTGCAATGAGCTGAGATGCCACCACCGCACTCCAGTCTGGGTGACAGAGTGAGACTCTGTCTCAAACAAAAAAAAAATTTCCCAGCACAGTCCTCAGGGTATCTAAAACTAAAGGAAATATATATCTCTATCTATTTGGTGCAACAGTCATGATCATTTCCTCTCTTAAACAGGAAAACAAAAGTCACACCTCTAAATACAAGCATATTTGCCAACCTCCTTAGTGTGTGGAAGCTTATAAAAACCAGCTGAAACAAATAAACAAAACCAGCACAACATGGAAGAAGGAATTATAACACTTTACCCTGCACATTTAAAGCAAAATATGCTTTTAATAATATATTTTATATAAACCTCTATAGTATATATTTTATAAAAATGGATTTCAACTAAAAACTAAGACCTGGTTATTAGCCAGAATAGGAAAGAACAGTCTGCAATTCACTTTGTTTAGGCAGAAACATTTATTTTTAGTCAGCAGTTTCCAATGTCCACACAACTAAACTAAAACATTTGGACTTAACTTTTTAAAGTTAGCTATTATTTCAGCAGCAGCCTAAACAAAACTATAATTATCAAATTATTTTCCTGATTAGGTAGCTTCAGTATTTGTTTTTAGCTTTACCATAAACAAATAATTTTGCTATCCTACGAAGTCATTCTTGAGCCACCTGAATTACTGGGGCAGAGCAGCAATTTTAGCTACTTCTAAAATTACAAAAAAAAGCTACTATTAGAACATTCATAGTGGCACAGAAAGCTCACAACACATGGCTTTACACTGATACTAACAAGCTTCAAGTTTACCATCAACTAAGGTTATACAAGTAAAAAATAGTGCCTTCTAACGAAAGCCTAATTCTGTTAAATGAAACCATTGGGGTTTATTCCTTTTATTCAGAAGTATCATACAGCTAAACAAGTCAAGTCCACAGGGAAATAGTATTTCAATAGCTGCAACATGGTGCCAGCCCAGGCTTTGTCGGCCTTCCTTTTCCAAGAAACAGAGATGTCTCTCTTTACTTAGTCCATCTGCCATCAGTGATAACCAGATGCCTGTGTGACAATTCAAAACTTAAAAAAAGTACTTCCCCCTCCTAAAGCCTAACAGCAGAGATGAGTCCAATAGTCAGTGAACAGAAAGAAAGAAAGAATTTCAATGCTCTAGTAGAAAGCCTCCCAACCAAAGAAACAAAGCATCCAAGTGGTCCAACAGTTCACCTTTAAAATAATATCCAGTGCCACTGCTACTAGCACCTGCTAATACTTTTTAAAGCTTTTAACTAAAGTTCTAAGTGCTTTATGCTAATTCTCACAGCAACCCTGTAACGTAGTAGTAGTATTAACTCCCTAGTACAGATGAGGAAACTGGGGCTCAGGGCAGTGAGAAAGCTATTTAATATTTAAGGCCATGCCATTAATTAAAAGCACAGCCATGATGCTGAACACAGGCTGCCTGCATCCAGAGTCCGTACTCTTTAAGTGTTGTACCAATCCCAATCTCAAGAAAACGTAACTGATTCTGATCAAAACTCTTCTGTCTCACAGTGAAAATACTTGTAATTTATCAGGAGCGGGAACGTTAACACCTGATTCTTTGGAACCATTTTATTAATGGAAACAAATTTTTTTACTGCTTTTAAGTAAGACTTAAGTTCTCACCTAGTGAGTTAAAAAACAAAAACATACCATGGGCCAATGTCTACACACAGATGTCTATCTTGTGCTAAGCACAATTCAATGCTGAAATCATCCACATATGTCCTAAGAAAACTCTGTCCTTAACACACCGTCTGGTTTTCAGTATTTTTTATTAATGGATGGTGAAAGTAACCAACAGCCAAACTTCTGTGCTGTACTTTTTGGTGAAATTTTAAACATTTTCATTATTGACTCCCACACAAAGGCACATCTCCACTACCCCAGAAATCACCCTATTGAGTTTTTTTTTAAAAACATTTAATGGGATCCATAGCATGCTTCAACCCACAAAACCAGCCATTTAAACCAAATTCTCTATTTTATCACCCTTTAGTCACAGACAAGTAGAATTTCTGATGTGACCTGATTCCTTTCCACTAAAGACATACTTCCAGAATCTTGCTTTTTCACAACTACACAAATACACAAACTCCATCTGTCTTCTAAAGAAAAGATTGACTGGTTAATAATACAAAAATCAAATTTGTCTATGTAGCCTGGAAAAACCTCAGATACGTATACAGTCTCTCATCCTTTTGAAATTTCCCAAAGTGGTAGTCATGTGACAAGAGCAAATATCGTGTCTACTCAAGTGAAGGCAGTCCACCATTATCTTTATTGTTTGAATTGGTTAGAAGCTGTAATCATGCTTGAGAAAGTGTCACTGCTTGTAATTTGCATGCCCACAGCCAGAATACAAAGTTGAAATTTTAGGCATCAAGAATCAGATTTCAAAAAGGTTTCCTTCATCCACTAGCTAAGCTCTTGAAGTGAAATAAACAAACATGTATCTCCTTCTATTAACAACGTAATCTTCAAAATACACACACAGGGCAGGGACATACAATATGATGATGGCTACTCATACTCCTGATCCTCAAGAAACTTCTAGTTTAGCAGGCATGATGAAGTCCATTCACCAATAGTGACAGTACCAGGCAGTATGTAATAAAGAATTTAAAATTCATATTTGTGTCTGTCATGTTTTATTACACACATGTCATTTCTCTGCTACCTACAAGTGCACAAAAAGCACCTGAAGGGAAATACCTCTCTCATCCAGCTTTGCACACCTGACACGGCACCAGACATACAGAAGGCACAACAAAATGGATTTAAGTTTCAGGGAATCTTTATTAGTTCGAATGTCACAATACAGCTAAAATTTGAAAACACCAGAGATTTTAACTCAGAGACAATGTGGAAACATTCTACTATAAATTCTTCTAAAAATCAACTGCAACGTTCATATTTTATAGCAATAATTTCATCACATGGTCTATGATGAAACAGAAGGAAATCAATCACCTAGGTTATTACTGGTATCCTTCATCTAAAAACAGTCCTCATGTTCACTCAACTAGATTATACAGTATTTTCTGATTTTTTTAAATAATGTGCCATGTCCATGAGAAGAAATAACTCTCTCCAAAAACATTCAGCTATATGTTTCATAAATATTTGTTCTACTTCATAGCAAATTCTGCATTTTATATGTGTTCATCCACACAAATGCTGATGTGACAATTTTCTATGTTAAGAATAACTTGGGGAAATTACTATAAGTAGTTCCCTCAAATTTGGCAGAATATAATTTCAGTCAAGATTGATTTTAAGAATAATTTTTTTAGAATAAGAATCATGAAAATCTAAGGTTCAATTTAAAACACAGAACAGGCTCTACAATACTTTTTTAAAAAGTGACCGTCTACAATTACAGTATTACCATTTGGACTTCTAACGTCTTTCATTCTGCTAAGTTCAAAAATTTTAATATACCTTATTTTAATAGAAGCTCTTGAGTTTCAGCAGAGGCTCTTAACCTGTTGTATTCACAACCAACAGTTACTCAGAATGAATACAGAACATCTAACATGACCACTCCAATTTTCCAAATAAAGAGGAGGGTACAGAAGGAAAATGCAACAGATAAAATCACATTAATGAAATGCACATGCAGGCGAAGGACACATGTTGAAAATGCTGTAAGAAACGGAAATGATACAGCATAAAAAATCATTTTTGATTGGGACATGATTAAGAAAAGACAGTAACTAAACTACCACCAAAGTTGGGAGTATTGGGGCGGAGGAGAGCAGGGAAAGCAGACACTGCATTGTTAATAAAGGTGGAAGCTAGGGCTTGACCCTCACTCAAACAATGAAGAGACAGACAACGGCAAACTAGATCTGGGTCAAGTGAGTCTGATGGCAGCCCTGAGGTTGAGGGACACTTCGTCAAGTCTCATATGCACAAAGATAACCCCAGGACTCAACATCCACAGCCTCAAGTATGGCTATCCCAGTATATCCTTCACAGAACTGCTACAAAGATTAAGCAACAGTCTTTGATTCATTAATCTATCTTTTTCTTCTTAATGTCTTAAAATGCAACTTAAGTTTCCCAATGTTCACACTTTGCATCCTGTCCACTTCTTTACACATGAATGAAATTCCTTTAACAGACACTGGACCTCAATTCCATATTAAAAGCTTAAGATGAAAACGCCTGAGTTGAAGCTATATTCTGGCTAGCCCTCATTCAGGAACAAGCCAGCCCAATCAAGGGCACATAGTAATAGGTCACTAGAGTTTCTGATACTGATTTTGAGGGCAGAGGGTACGTAAAGAGGAGGCTGGGGAAAGGATGACACCTTTTTGCTTAGGAGAAGTCAGGTTTAACAAAAGGGGTGGGGAACAAACAGAAGCTGTGGTTGACCTAATTGCTCCTATGATTTATCAATTTTATTTTCATCTTTAATCTTCAACTTTACATAAAGAACTTTGTATGTATATGTGGCCTTTTCATTGTGCTACAGGAAAACCTCATTTACTCACCCAAAATGATTTTGTAAAGTATAAAACCATTAAGCAGCTTGTGATGTAAGACTAAAGAGGTAACATAAACTGATATTTCACTGGGCATACCAAACTGTGAATAATCCTTTCAACCAGATAGTGCTAACAGTCACTTCTCAATAGGAAGGAACTGCCATTTTCTCAAAGAGACTGCGAAATTATGCCAGGATGGCTGAACCTTCTTATGTCTCTTTTTATATTTTCCCAGAGAATCCACATTGCTTACACACACACACGCAAACCTGCTCCCTTTTCTTAAGTCACAGTTTTAAGGCACTGTTCTAAACCCTAAATACAGAAGCTCATGCACTTACTGCCAGTGTCGCTTTGGAACTGCAGGTGACAGATGCAGTCAGAGAGCTCACAGATGTGGATTGACTGCAGTTTGAGTCTTATTGCAATGAGCACATTGACAGAGCCTGCAGATGCACATCTCGGCAGGAGAGATTTTCTTTTTAAGCCCTCATGCCCTATTAGATTTACTTTTAGGGCTTTTATTGGCTATTTTTATCACTTATCCCGACTCTCATCCCTGCTTAGCCCTACCCACAATTCATTTTCTCTTCTTCAGTTCTAGATCCTTCTCCATCAATCCTAATTTTGGTCAAAAATAATAATAAAATAAAGCGAGGCTGCCGGCATTGCCAGAATCAGAAACCGACGAAGCCGCTTTTTGGGAGCTATTAGAGAAGCCGCTGTAAGTTTTCTGAGAAGCAACGGACCCCTAGCATCTTTGCACGGTCCCTCTTCCCCTGGGTGATGGCTCCGAGACAGATGAGGAATCTCTTTTCCCCGTCTTTCCCAGTGGTGGCTTAAACGAAAGATAACCCTTCTTTTCTTATCCTACACCAGGCTCGGTAACGCTCCCAGGTACGGACGCCCCACCCCCAACCCGTTATCCCTAAAGAGATCCCCAAATATCGCCCGGTCCTCTTCAGAACTGAGCCCTCCCTCGGCCACCGGACCGGTTTCCCCCACCTCAGCGGCTGCCCTCCAGTCGCCCGCCCCCACACATCCCACCCCAAGTCTGGCCCGGGCTCCGCACATGCCCACCCCGCGCCCAGACGCCCCGCACCCGGTGCTCAGGCCGCTCAGCCGCCCGCGCTCCCTGTGCCCAGGGTCGCCTAGGGGGTTACCGTGGGAAGAGGGAGCGGTGGCTGAGGACGCGGCGGCAGCGCTGCTGCCGGTTGCGTCGGATGCGAAGGAGAAGCTGGAGGACAAGGATGAGGATGAGACGGGCGCGCTCCCCAGTCTCCATGGAACTCCCGCCCCGGCCCGTTGCTAGGAGCCCCCGAGGCTCGGACTCCGTCTTCCTTGCTTTGTTGTTCCGGGTGCGAGGCGGCCGCAGCTTCCCCGCGACAATAAATAGACTAGACGCTGGGGAGCATAGAGACAGTGCGCGAGGGCTAGAGCGCCGCCGGACAGGGCGCTCCTGGGTGCCTCGCTAGCCACTCATTTCCGGCTCTCACTGCTCCCGTCACTTTCCCCGTCCCCCGCCCCCACCCTTCCTTCCTCCTTCCTGGTCCCCAAATCAGGCCCCTCCTGCCCACCCGCTGGGCTCGGTGGGAGGTAAGAGGTGGGATGGGGGCGGCGCTAATGGGCATCGGACTAGACTTTTTTGTTTAAGAACCGCTTGAAAGGGTTCTGAAAACACCGTGTATCCTTTGTATATTTTTAGTTGATATCTAAACGTGTAGTAATTTCTGGCATACAGTCGAATATTTAGGTGGACTTTTTTGTCAAAACCGTAGAACTTTCTCATCAGCTCATTAAATTTATACAAAAGGTCCTCCCCACCCCCCATTATATAATTGCTAAAGCTAGTCCTTACCGTCCAGACGAGACTTGTTTTCTGCCTGAAAAAAGTCCTTCGCTTTTTCAGTCAAAATGAACCCGTTAATTTATGATGTCGCGATAAATTCCCCTAGTGAGATTCCTCACTAGGCGAATTGGAATCCTGGTCTTAGAGCGACCGGGGATGACAGATGACAGACGGAGGGAAGGAAGTGGGGAGAGATGGAGACACAAGGTGTGGCGAGACGGAGGGATAACGCAGGACCGTATGCCACTTCTGTCGCCTGTCCCACATTCCTTACTCTACGTGGGTTTGCGGTCGGGACTGTCCCTCGGGAACCGAGAGGCGGATCCAGGAAGGATGGGAGTGGGAGAGGGCGGATGCTGGCGAGGACTCAGGCAGCCCGGGATAGGAGGACCTCTAGGAACGGAGACCCTCCGCGGCTCTGCGCCCAAGTAGCCCTGCAGGGGCCGGGGGACCCCGGGGGCGCACAATGGCCCGTTTGAACCGTCGCCCTGGGGCCCGAGTGCGTCCTCGGGGTCCCTCGGGAGTGGCCTGAGAGGCGCTGCCCGCGGGAGCGAAAATCGCGTAACGGCCCTGAGGGCGCCACGCCACGCCACGCCACGCCACGCCGCGCGGAAGCCCCCGGCTCCCGGCCCCACGTTTCCCACTCTCAGGCCGGCATCGGCCTTTCCACCAGAGCTCGGCTGCAGTCAGAAGCCCCTGGCGTTAGTTGAGGTCAATGGCAGCCCTGATTTAATTATTAAAAGACCACGCCGAGCCGGGTTCATGGGTACCTGGCCTCTGATTGGTGGGAATCAGATGAAAAAAATGAAAATGCCACTGCCTTTTTAAAAGAGAAGACGTGGGCTGAATTCTTGGGGTTTTGACAGTAGGCAACCATTTAGGTATTTTATTATTTACGAGATCTCCAAGGATGCCTCTTGATTTTTTGCTTTCCCCTCTGAGTGTTCAGAAACATATTCGAGCATTTGAAAGCTCCGTAGAATGATGGAGTTTGTTTTCATTTCTGTACTAATTTATTTTTCAAGGGATAGTGATTATAGTTGGGTCAGGTTTAATAAAGAAAGTGAACAAGAAGCTGGGTTAGAAAGTAATGTCTGTGTGGTGGTGGGGAGAGGACTTTTAGGAGGTAACATCTCAGCCAATTTCTAAAAGGGATGGGAGTGGGAAGAATGTATGTAGAGTGTTCCAGTCAGAGGGAACAAGATATGCTGAGTACTTGCTGTGCTGGGGTATTAGTGTGGCTAGGGCATCAGGAAACAGTGCAAAGGAAGAATGACAGTCATTGAAATTGGAGGGAAATTAAGGTCTTGAACTTTCAGTGCCTTGTAGACCATAGAAGGAGTTTGGACTTTCTTCCAAGTGCTAGGGAAAGTGGAGTTTTAGCCTGGAAAATAACATGATTTGCCAAGGAAACGGCAGGGGAGACTCTCTATTCCAGTGGCTACTGCCACTCCTGAAAAGTCAACGTTACAGCAATGGCGACAAGTTCTAAGGTCCTTACGAGGCATTCTCCTTCAAGGGGACCAGCCAAATACCTAGAAGCAGGAATGTCAATTACTTTAGACTCCCTTTTGTCATGGATCAGCCAATAGTTTGCTTCCCTACATTAGTTCCACATTCTGGAATGGGATTTGGTTTTGCTGCAAGCACTATTCCCTATTAATTATAGACCTATTATACTATTCCGGTGATGGTTAACACTAAAAGCCCAGATTTCAACCACTATGCAACATATCAATGCATCAAAACTGTACTTGTACTTCCAAATTTATACAAAATAATAATAATAATAATAGACCTATCACATTATCCCATACACCATTCCTCTAACCAAAGGCCATGGGCTTCACTGCTCTTATAATGTGACCCATTATTCAGGTGCCAGCTAGGAGACAATGCATTGTAAAGTTAGAATATGCAGTATATGTTCTCATCCAAGACTATTGATCAGTACAGAAATTGATAACCTAGAAATAGGAATTGTGATTGCTGACCCTTGTATTAGGGTTTTCTAGAAGGACAGAACTAATAGGATATATATGTCTATCCTATTAGGATAGACATATATATCCTGTTATGTATGTATATAACTACTACTTAATAAAATATATATATGGGAGTTTATTAAGTAGTAGTTAACTCACATGATCACAAGGTCCCACAATAGGCTGTCTGCAAGCTGAGGAGCAAGGAAGCCAGTCTGAGACCCAAAGCTGAAGAACTTGGAGTTCGATGTTCAAGGAAGCATCCAGCATGGGAGAAAGATGTAGGCTGGGAGATGTAGACTGTAAGACAGTCTAGCCTTTTCAGGTTTTTCTGCCTGCTTTTTATATCCTGGCCATACTGGCAGCTGATTAGATGGTGCCCACTCAAATTAAAGGTGGGTCTACCTTTCCCATCCCACTGATTCAAATGTTAATCTCCTTTGGCAACACCCTCACAGACACATCCGGAATCAATACTTTGCATCCTTCAATCCAATCAAGTTGACACTCAGTATTAACCATCACAACCCTAAAATGTAGAACTGGCCTAGTAAAGGAAGTGGGGACAGTGAGGAGTCATCCATCCCAGGCTTGGAAAGTAGCAAGTTTTATTGGTTTTATCAGTGCTACTAAAAATGTGATGTACAGACCAAAGCCAGTCTGCAAGCTCTACTAGTCAACAATGAAAGAGATATGGAAAGTGAGAGGAGGATTTGGAAACGTTTAATAATTTGACATCACAGGGCTATCTAAGCATGCAGTTTTGTATTTATGAAAATATTTGTCTGCAATGGGCTGGTAATTAAAAATAATCCAAAAATTGATTCTTCACCCTAGAGACTTTGAAAAACACTGGTAGATTATTTGTTATGTCCAGTAAGGCTCTAACTTTAGGGAAATTGGCAAAAACAAAACAAAACAAACAAACAAACGGGCTATTGGAATATGTTGGCTACTTCTTGCTTCAGTGCCATGAGAGAGACAAACTAGCTCAGCATGGCCTTTCTGAAAGAAACCAGCAATAGTGAGATGTAAATTACAAAGCATTGTTGAGGAGCTCTTTTTCTAGTGGTTTAGTTATCCTGTATTCCTAAGGATCAGATAATATCTACTCTGCCAAGTGAAATAACGAAAATTTCTGCCGTCTATAAGTTAATACACTAAGTAGGAATTAGCAATGGAGTCATGGATGCTTCATTCCTCAGAACTCTTCCCAAATATCTTCTGCTATGCTTCCTTATCAATGGAAAAAGGTAAGTCCTCCCATTATACCAGTTGAGTGGTATACAACTTAAGGGCTGGCATCCAATACGATAACCTAGCTTCATAATCCCAGCCTGTTCTCTTCCTCACCCTTGGAGAGCCTATGACAAAAGCCATTGAACTAAGATATCCAGGGAGATTTCATGGAGCTGCCAGGCTAGTTTTCAAGAGATCAAAACAGGAAGGGTAGTGTCCATATTTGAACCTGAAGTCTTAGTGAGATTTCTGATAACAAGCTAATGGATTTCGCCAAATGACACTGACTGGCAGCCAAGTCAAGTTTTAAGGTATCGCTAGAAATTCCTCCTCAGCCTGGCAAAAGGTACCTACTGTTGTGCTGTCTTAAAGGCAACGTCCCAGTCTCCATTCCTGATAGAAAGATGGCTACCTAATGGCTGCCAGGATTCCTTTCACTACATCTCTGAGGCAGGATCTTTGAGAAGGAAAATCTTGACACGTTGCTTGGCTGACAGAGATCTTGATTCTTTGCCGTAGAAGCGAAGTCTGTCTTACTCTTCTTACTCTTGTCCAGCAGGATATGGTATATGCTCACAACCATTGTATGTTGCTTTTCCTTTTTCTGTTTTCTCATTAGTTTTTGTTATCTAGTGCCCCCCACCCCCTACACCTTTAACATACATTTGTACTCTAGGGATACATTCATTATTCATTATTTAGCTACATCTGGACCTCATCAAGATTGACAGTACTCAAAGATCCTGAATTTGAGGCTGGATTCAATATCGGGATGTGACTGAGTTTTCTCCTCTCACTAGGGAGGGACTGGGTATGGAGAAACCAGGGTGTGTGTGTGTGTGTGTGTGTGTGTGTTCATGCATGCACTGAGCAGTCAAAGGGTGAAGTGTAGGGAACATTTTTGTTTTGTTAGCCCAGAACTCCTCTCTTCTTTTGGGAAAAGTGCTTCACCCTCTTATTTTGGGAGAACTACTTTTCTTCTCTGCCTATCCCCAGTCTAATGATAGACCAAATGGGAGCTGCAATAGCCACGGTGATTGACAGAGAGGTAGTTTTTCTACCTAAGCTAGCCAGCTCTATAGTACCTGTGCTGTAATTTATTTGTTGCCTCTCAGTTCCAAATTCACTTTTCATGCTTGTTCTATATAGATGGATCTGACCCCTTAAAATAGGCTTCTACTACTTCTCTCAGCATTCTCTATGTGGTAGGTAGGTCTACCTACCACAATGGTAAGTTCTGTCCATAGAGAATGCTAGAGACGCATTGAAATAGGAAAGGGTTTACTTTCTGGTTCCAGTGTGCTTCCCTGACAGGCTCCTGCAGCATGGAAGGCCTCTCTAGAATCCATCTTCTGCAGCACAGGTGGCTATCCCAGCCCTAGTCAGGCGCCGGAAGGGCAGTGGTGAAGGCAGCTCCTCCAGGTGGGCATAATTCAAACAGTACATTTGTTTACCCAGCATGTCTGGAGCGAGAGATGACCAGAATGGGCAGTGGCTAATGATTTGTATAGATAGTCTGTGACTTGGAAAGAATGACATTGAAAAATAGGCAACAAGGAAGTGTGGGAAAGAGATATCTGGAAGGACTTACCTGAATGTTTAAAAACTATGAAGTATATCTGCTACATTAAATGTATCCATTGCTGAGGAGACTCCTAATAATCAGGTGGACACTCTGTGGATATCAGTCAGCATCTTTGCCCAACCAACCAGTGCTTGCTCAGTGGGCTTATGAACAAAGTGGCCACAGTGGTAGGGATGGAGACTATGCATGTGCTCAACAACATGGAATTCCCCTTTCCAAAGTTTACCTTGCCAGCACTACTGCCAACTGGTTAATCTTTCAAGAGCAGAGAACAACATTCAGTACCTGATATGGCACCATTCCCAGGGGTAATGAACCAGCCATCTGGTGGCAGGTTGATTACATTGGACTTCTTCCATCATAGAGGGAGCAAAGATTCATCTTAATTGGAATAATCACATATTTTGGAAATGGATTTGCCTTTACTGCTTATAATGCTTCTGCCAGCACTACTATCTATGAACTCACAAAATGCCCTATCTACCATCAGTGCTTTCTACTCAACATTGCATTTGATTAGGGAACTCATTTTACAGCAAAGGAAGTGCAGCAATGGATCATGCCAATAGAATTAACGAGGCTTACCATATATACCATCATTTGGAAGCAGCTGGCATAACTGAATGGTGAAATGGCTTACTGAAGACTCAATTATGATCTTAGCTGGAAGACAATACCCTGGAAAATGAGTTTCTGTCTTAAATGATATGTTTTGAGTCAGAGACCATTATATGTTGCTGTCTTTCTCATAGCCAAGATACATTTGAATCTAGTTATGGCAGTAAGAGTAGCTCTTCTTATAGTATCACCTACTCTCAGAATTTTTTCTTCCTTACCTGGAAACTCTGTCTTCTGCTGGGTTAGAGACCTCAGCCTCCAAGGGAAGAGTGCTTCCATCAGGAGATGCAACAATGGTTTTGCCGTAATAGACTATGAGACTACCACTTGGCCATTTCCTTACACCACTGAAGCAAAAGGCAAAAACAGGAGGTAGTCCACTGGCTGGAGCGATGGATCCTGATAACTAAGAGGAAATTGGCTAGCTTCTAGACAATGGGAGCAAGGAGTACAGTCTAGAACCCAGGGGATCCTCTAGGGATCCTCTCAGTACTTCCGTGTCCAATATTAAGATAAATAAAAAACACAGCAACTGAAAATAAAAGGTAGGGTGTTTGAGGACTTAGAACTTTTGGAAATGAAGGTTTAGATTACTCCATCAAGAATCCTGACCAGCTGAGTTTCTGGCTGAGGGCAGAGGAAATACAGAATGGGTAGAGGTGGGGGGAAAGCTGTAGATATCAATTATAGCCTTGTGAACAATTATAGAAATGAGGACTTATAGTCTTGTGAACAATTATAGAAACGAGGAATTATAGAAATGCAGTAACTTTACATATTTTCTGTTGGCTTATTATATATATATGTGTTGATTTGTATTTACTAACCATTTTCTTTTCACTCCTTCCCCATTTTAATTTTTTATTCAAACTCTTGGCACTTGTGTTATTTTCCTAGGGCTGCTACAATAGAGTTACCAAAAACTCGGTAGCTTAAAACATAAATCTATTTTCTTACAGTTCTAGAGGCTAGACATCTGAAATCAAGGTGTTAGCAGGGTTGGTTTCTTTCAGAAGCTCCGAGGGAGAATACGTTCCAGGCCTTTTTCCTAGTTCCTGGTGGCTGCCTGGCAATCTTTGGCATCCTTGGGATTTTCATGCATCACTCTCATCTCTGCCTTATTTTCACATTGTTTTCTCCTCTGAGTGTCTCTGTGTCTCATATTCCTCTCTTCTTTCTTTAATAAGGATACCAATATTTGAATTCACAACCCACCCTAAATCCAGGATAATCTCAAGATGTTTTTTTTTTTTTAAGACAAAGTCTGGCTCTATTGCCCAGGCTGGAGTGCAGTGGCACGATCTTGGCTCACGGCAACATCTGCCTCCAGAGCTCAAGCTATCTTCCCATCTCAGCCTCCAGAGTAGCTGAGACCACAGGTGCACACCACCATGCCTGGCTAATTTTTGTATTTTTTGAAGAGATGGGAGTCTCACTATATTGCCCAGGCTGGTCTCGAACTAGTGAGCTCAAGTGAGCCACGCATTGCCTCAGCCTTCCAAAGTTCTGGGATTACAGACATGAGCCACTGTGCCTGGCTAATCTCAAGATTTAATAACATCTTCCAAGACTGTTTCCAAATAAAGTTCCAGTCCCAGGTATTGGGGTTTAGGACTTAGATCTTTTTGAGGCCACAATGCAACTTTCCACAGAAGTTAACTTCACAATTTGTCTTTAGGTAACCATATTTGGTGGAATTGATTATGAGGATTAATAATATAGCCAGTGATGGATACAATTACTCCCAGGACTGCCTTTCCTCATTTTGGGGAAAGCATAAACTTCACTGGTAAGAAGATAGCTGTATCTTATTACATAGAAAGATAGCATTGTTTGTTGCAGAAAGGTGCATATGGAAGCTGAGTAGTCAGGCGGGTTTCTGAAGTGCATGTGGCTGCTGCAATGTGAGCAGCTTCTCTGGCATCTGATTCTTGCAACACATGCAGCTCCTCCAGTGCCCAGTTCCTGCAACAACACCCCCACCTCTGCCCTGTCGGGTGCCTCCAGTGAACTGCTTCCCCAGCACCTAGAGGGTGGATTTCCAGTCTGTGAAGCATCATAGTTTCCAAGGCATTCAGTGAGCCCTGGCCATGCCCTCTCCAATAAGGGCTGGAGCTCAGCCATGATGAGGGGGAGCGGGGGTTGGGGGGAGGTTGAGGGGCTAGGAGGACATGAAGGGAAGCTCTTTGGGTGCCCCATCTCAGCCCTAGGAGTAGTACCTGCACCTTATACATACTATTTATGTATTTAGAGTTTTCTTGCCTTCTTCCTAGATATTTGCTCAATACTCCAATCCCCTGCTATAGTTTAAAATTCTTTATATTATTGTCTCTATTCAAATTACTGTATGGTTTATCTCCCCTGACTGGACTCATTACCCCACCTTCCTCACCACTGTGATTGGTGGGAAGAAGGTATATGACCAATCCAGACCAAAGAGTATCCTACCCAGGATTAACTGAAGTGCAGCTAGGAAAAAGAGCAATTTCCTTTTCTGGTAGTAAAACTGGGAGGATGTGAACTGAAAGCAATAGGCTGACATATCTTCTGTGAATAGGAAGATGATATGCACTAGCAGATAACAAAGCTGACATGCAGAGAGCAGCAGAGACAAAAGGTGGAGAGAAAAGGAAAGCAAGTGTAATACTACTTCACCAAGCTTGTCCAACTTGAGGCCTGCAGTTCACATGTGGCCCAGGACAGCTTTGAATGTGGCCCAACAATAATTTGTAAACTTTCTTAAAACACTATGAGAGTTTTTTGTGAATTTTTTTTTTTTTTTTTTGCTCATTAGCTATCATTAGTGGTAGTATATTTCACATGTGGCCCAAAACAATTCTTCCAATGTGGCCCAGGAAAGCCAAAAGATTGGACACCTCCTGACTTAATGAAAAGCTCAGTAGTATGAAGATATCAATTCTCCTCAAATGTGCTACAAATTTAATGTTATCCCAGTCCACAGCCAATGATAATTTTTATAAAATTAATCGGATTCTAAATTTCATCTGGAAAAGAAAATGCAAGAGCACAACAGAAAATTTTGGGAAAAAAAAATACATTAAGACTGCCAGGGACCAGGCACAGTGGCTCATGCCTGTAATCCCAGCACTTTGGGAGGTCAAGATGGTAGAATCACTTGAGGCCAGAAGTTTGAGATCAGCCTGGGCAACATAGCAAGACCTCGCCTCTATAAAATATTAGTAGTCCTAGCTACTTGGAGACTGAGGCAGGAAGATTCCTTGACCCCAGGAATTCAAGGCTGCAGTGAACTCTGTTCATGCCACTGCACTGCAGCCTGGGTGACAGAGTAAGACCTTGTCGCAAAAAAAAAAAAAAAAAAAGAAAAGAAAAAAAAATTTTTTTTTTTTTAAACCTGCCAGCCAGATGTGGTGGCTCATACCTGTAATCGTAGCACTTTAGGAGGCCGAGGTGGGTGGATCACTTGAACCTAGAAGTTTGAGACAAGCCTAGGAAACATGGCAAAACCTCGTCTCTACAAAAAATACAAAAATTAGCCAGGCATGGTGGTATGCACCTGTAATCCTAGCTACTGGGGAGGCTGAGGTGGGAAGATCGATTGAACCCAAGAGGTTGCGGCTGCAGTGAGCTGTGATGGTGCCACTGCACTCCAGCCTGCATGAGACCCTGTCTTAAAAAAAAAAAAAAGGCCCTCTAGATACAAAAACACACTGAAAAGCAATAATAATTAATATAGTGTAGTATTGGGACAGGGATGGACAAAAATATGAGTGGAAAATAATAGAAAAAACAGATCCATGTATTTAAGGAATCTAGTAAATAATAAAGGTGGCATTTCAACTCTGTTGGAAAAGGATAAACTACTAATAAATGTTATTATGTCAATTGGTTATTTTAAAAAATATATATGATAAGATCTTTATTTCATAACAAAAATAAATTCCACATGGGTTCCCACTATCTCTGATCTTAGGCCACTTTTGGAGGTGTTTTTAATGAGATGTGCCAAATGTATAGGTTTTAAAAATCCTCAGCTCTGTTAGGTTTTATTGTCAAATCCGGATCCAGTATCCTTACAGTTTATTTATAAATGATTATACATAAATACATTTTCTTTGTAGAAATTCAGTACACACACACACACACACACACACACACACAGATTCCTTTAGTCTTCTTACTCCTGCCATTCTACTTTCCTCCTCAAAATTAACACTTGATATGATATCTACTTTAAATAATCCAGAAATTATCCATTGTGCCAGTCTTCTGGTTTTTAGTGCTGCTATGAATTAATTTTTATGTTTCTATTTCTTGTTAATTTAATTAAATTTTGAAAGAGTATGGAGATAAATATGTATTTCTAGTTTTGAAAGTAAAATATGGAGTTTTGAAAGTATGGAGATAAATATGTACTTTTTAAATTGACAATAATTGTACATATGGAGTACATAGTCATGTTTTGATACATTGTATGTATCAAATTACATTGTATAGTAATTAAATCAGGGCACTTAGCAAATCTATCATCATTTATCATTTAAGTAACCTTCTTGAAACAAAAGTTCAGTTGGTTATTTCAAAACTAATTCATTTTGCAACTAATATAAAACTAATAAATATTAACACTATTTTGAAGTATATAAAATCAAAAGTTATTTTGAAAATGCATTTCAGGCCAGGCGCAGTGGCTCACGCCTGTAATCCCAGGACTTTAGGAGGCTGAGGTGGGTGGATCACCTGAGGTCAGGAGTTCGAGACCAGCCTGGACAACATGGCAAAACCCTATCTCTACTAAAAATACAAAAAGTTAGACAGGTGTGGTGGCATATGCCTGTAATCCTAGCTATTCCGGAGGCTGAGGCAGGAGAATCACTTGAACCCTGGAGGCGGAGGTTGCAGTGAGCTGAGATTGTGCCACTGCACTCCAGCCTGGGCAACAAAGGCGAAACTCCATCTCAAAAAAAAAAAAAAAGAAAGGGAAAGAAAAGGAAGTGCATTTCAGCTGGGTCCAGTGGCTCATACCTGTAACCACAGCACTTTGGCAGACTGAGGTGGGAAGATAGCTTAAGCCCAGAAGTTCGAGACCAGCCTAAGCAACATAGTGAAACCCCATCTCTACAAAAAAATTACAAAAAAATATTAGCTGGGTGTGGTGGCACTTGCCTGTAAATCACATCTACCCAGGAGGGTGAGGTGGGAGAATCACTTGAGCACCCAGGAGGTTCAGGCTGCAGTGAGCTGCGATTGTGCCACTGCACTGCCCAACCTGGGGGACAGAGTGAGACCCTGTCTCAAAAAATAAAATAAAACAAAATAAAATGCATTCCACTATGTAGTGGTGAGAAAGTTACCCACTTTATTTCCACTCTAGAAACTTTATCATGCATACTTAACTCTATTAAGTTGGGGGAAGAAAGTGGAGGTCAATGCAAGAGGAATGTCCTTAAAACTTGTATTGTTTGAAAGAGGAGTTAAGATATGATTAAATTTCAGATCTTGGTGTTAAGTAGAGTACTAAGACTATTACTATCACAAGAGAATCAAACTAGAGCATAAAACTAGAGTATGTAAGTTTTCATCTAATAAAAGGCAAAAATGAAATAAGAAAACAGGTGATTAAACAAATACTGTATAAAGAAAATCAAGAGAGGAGAAAAAAGAAACAGAAAAAGTAGAACAAATAGAAAGCACAAAGAAACAGAGTAGAAGCAAGCAAGTTCTAAATGTAGTAACCATAATATGTGTAAATAGATTAAATTTACCCTTAAAAATACAGAAATATAATAACAATGGAACAACATAGTAATGGATGAAAATAATTCAAGAATTTTTTTGTACAAATATATTGAGCTAAAATAAAAACAGAGATTGTTCTGGTGGACTAAAAAAGTAAACAAAAAAACCCCTCTATTGTCTCCACAAGATTCTTTATATTTAAAGAATGGAAAGCTAGAAACTAAAAAGAATTTCAGAAAAATACTAACCAGAAAATCTAGTAGCCATGTTAATATCAGACAAATGTTTTGCTGATATTTTGCTTACACAAAAATCACATCTACCCAGGAGATAAGCAAAAATTAATAGATACACAATTGTTACCAAAATGCCAAGGGGTTCATCTAGGTCCTGCTGCTTACTGCATGGAAAGCCAATCACTGAGAGGGCAAGTATTGCCAAGGAAGAAGGCTTTAATTGGGTGGTGCAGCCAAGAAGATGGGAGCTCCATCTCAAATCCATCTCCCTGACAGACTAAAATTAGGGATTAATATAGCAGGGAAGAAATGTAACAATGCATAGAAAAACAGGAACTTAGGAAGCCTAAGGAATCAAACATGATGATTGAGGGGCCTGTTGTGTCATTGTCTGGATGCAAACAATTGCTGAGTTTCAGTTCTTTGATACTTTTTGAGAGGCCTGAGGGTCCTTTCTAGAGGAAGGAACTCAGATAAAACAAATTTAAGTTTCAAGCTTTAAGAAGATCAGGAGGATTAATTTCTATGTTTATATAAACACAAAAACAAAAAATCTATCTATGTGAGTATTGGGTTGATTTCACAATGAGAAATTGACAAATTTATATTGCAATGAATATGCCAATAATAAGCCTTTCTGAATAAGGCAGATAAAAGTAGAGATATAAGCTTGTTATTTGCTTTAAGGAAGAAAGCCTGAAAGTTATCCACTTGAGAGTGTAGAAAGAAAGGCAGAAGAAACTGCAAGAAAGAAAAAATTAACGACGAAGATAAAGACAGAAACTCATGAAATAGAAAAACAGAAAACAGAGATGATTCTATTGATTAAAAAAAAAAAACGTAAAATAACCATTGGGTGAGTCTGGCCAAGAAGAATGAGATAAAGCCCAAATAAAAACAACTAAGAATGAAAAAGGGAGTCCTAACTTCAGATATAATGAAGCCTAAAACAATAAAAGGGAGAACACCATAAACAACTTTGTACCAATAAATTGAACATTTTGAAGAAATGGATAACTTCTTAAAAATAAAAAAAAACGTATAGCAAATATAACACAGGAAGAAAGAAATGAACCTCTGGATTTTGGTAATTGACCAAACATTCTGAAGAAAACTATTAAAAATGCTGGGGAAAAAATCTAAAATCCTTTTTAAAAGCAAATACTGAACAGAGAATAAGATACTGTAAGACCAAAATTAGGAACGAAAAAGAACCAAGAGAGATAAATAAGCAGTAGAAGGTGTTTATGCTTTGTAGGGGTAATGACAACTTGAACTTTCGTTTTGATGTCCCCACTGAGTGAAAGGTATGGCAATTGCCCAGGGATTGCACAAAGCAGGAAGCTGAACAGGAAGGAGATCCTCCTGACAGTGAGGTAGGAAATGAAAGGGCTGTGTCCTTAGGGCAAGAATATACCTGAAATAAACAAATCCTCTTTTGGTTGTTTCCATCATGGTGACGGTCCCGGGAATTTCAAGCTTTGAACTTAGATTAAGGTAGTCTCAGACTGATGGTGTCCTTAGGTGCCTAGCAGAAACAAAGATATCTCTCTATAGGAAGGTGGATTCCTGTTAGGCTAGGATAGTTCCCACAAATACATTTTAAAGTACTATTACCAGAACATGTGTAGTCAAGTTTAAACAGACACATGAGGAAAGAAGACAACATAAGCAAGAACAAACAGAAATAACAAAGGCCATAGAACCACAAATACTTAATATTTGGATTTAGCAGGTTATAAAACAGGTAATAAAACTATAGTTATTATTTAATGAAATAAAAGATAAATTTGAAATATCTTCGGGAAAAATTACGTTGCAGATATTTAAAAAAGGACCAAAGAATAAAATAAATTTATATGGTTCAGAAATTCTCCACTGTTTTAGTCTTCTGGTGGCACTCCATACTGGTTTTTAGTGCTGCTACGAATTAATTTTTTTTTCTTTGAGACGGAGTCTCACTCTGTCACCAGGCTGGAGTGCAATAGCACAATCTTGGCTCACTGCAACCTCCACCTCCTGGGTTCAAGCGATTCTCCTGCCTCAGTCTCCCAAGTAACTGGGATTACAGGCATGCGCAACCACACCTGGCTAATTTTTTTTTTTTTTTTTGTATTTTTAGTAGAGATGAGGTTTCACCATGTTGGCTAGGCTGGTCTCAAACTCCTGACCTCAGGTGATCCACCCACCTCAGCCCCCCAAAGTGCTGGGACTCTAGGTGTAAGCCACCATGCCTGGCCTGAATTAATTTTTATGTTTATGTTTTTACATAATTTTTATTTTTACATTTCTTCAATTTAATTGCATTTTGAAAGGGCAAGGAGGTAAATATGCATTTTAGGCCACCTTGAAAGCCAGTTGATGACTTTAACGGCAGACTAAATACAGTTGAAAAGAGAATTGGTGAACTAGGAGCTAGGTCAGAAAAACAATAATTTAAAAGTGAAACAGAGAGACAAAAAGAAAACACAGAATAAGAATTAAAAGAAATAAACAACAGAGGAGAATAGATTAATATACATCTCATCAGAATCTAGGAAGGAGAGGAGAGAGAAATGGGGCAAAGGTAATATCTGAAGAGATAATGGCTGAGAATTTTACGGAAGTGATGAAAGACACTAATGTACATGAAAGACACTAATGTACAGGTTAAGACAACCCAGTGAGTCTCAAGCAAAATAAACAAGAAGAAACCTATATCTAAAATTGTCATAATGAAACAGCTGAAGAGCAAAGCTAAAAAAAATAGAAAAAGAAAAGAAAATAGTGAAAACAATCAGAGAAAAGTGATGAATTGCTTTCAAAGGAGTAAATATGAAACTGACATGACTGCTCAGCAGCAGCAAGAGACATCAGAAGACAATGGAGGGGGATCTTCCACTTACTGAGAGAAAATTACTATCTAGTCTTAATGTCTAGTGAAAAATATTTTAATAGTGAGGCTGAAATAAAGACATTTTCAGGCTAATGAAGACTAGTAGTTTTTCCTAAGCAGAATCATACTAAAGAAAGTTATAAAAAAAGTGCGTTAGGCAGATAAAAAAAATGTAAGCTATAAAAAGGTATAAAGAACAAAGAAAGTGGTGAATAAATAAGTTAATATACACTGAAAGAGTAAAAGAACAACAATATAGCATCTAAAAAATAGAAAAAAATGCAATTACAAGTATCACATATGTTGAAGAGGGTCAAATGGAATCAAATATCCTAAGCAGCTTGTATGAAGGGTAAAGGTTAAGTATGCATGTTGTAATTCTAGGATAATTACTAAAAGAATAGAAACAAATTACACAATCTCCCAGCAGTAAAGGGAAAAAATTGGATGATAAGAAACAATTTGTTGAAAGAAGCAAGAAAAAAGAGAAAAGTATATACTGAATAGGTAGAACAAATAGCACACCATAAGATGGTAAATTAAAACCCAAATATGTAGACAATTACATTAAATGTATATGAACTAAATACTCCAGTTAAAAGTCAAGCTTATCAAGCTTGACTGATTAAGAAAAACAAAACAGGACAGGCACAGTGGCTCAGGCCTGTAATCCTAGCACTTTGGGAGGCTGAGGTGGGTGGATCACTTGAGGTCAGGAGTTCAAGACCAGCTTGGCCAACATGGTGAAACCACATCTGTACTAGAAATACAAAAATTAGCAGAGCTTGATGGCGCATATCTGTAATCCCAGCTACCTGGGAGGCTGAGGCAGCAGAATCACTTGAACCTGGGAGGTGGACGTTGCAGTGAACCCAGGTTGCAGTGGAGCCACAGCACTCCAGCTTGGGTGACAGAGTGAGATTCCATTTCAAAAAAAGAAAAAGAAAAACAAAACAAAACAAAAACAAAATCTAACTATATGCAGCTTACAAGAGAGACCCATCTAGGGCATTTTGGGATCATGGTGGACACAAGGCAGGACTAGATTGCAGCTCTGGTCAGGGCAGCATGCGGAGGCTTGCATTATGAATTTTAGCTCCAGACTGACTGCAAGAACAAACCAGCAATCCTGAGAGGACCCACAGACCATCTGAAAGAAGCAGACTGCTCCTGCAGGACCCAGGAGATACCCCAAATACTGTGAGTGCCCCAACTGCAGAAGTGGGAAAGGGAGACCCTCCTCTCCTAAACACACACCCCTACTGGAGAAGCTGACAGTCTGTTTGCGGGAGAAGTTTCCAACTTTACCTGGAGCTGATGCAAGTTACAGAGCTGAGTGGAGTGAAATACAGGGGTAGAGGTAGCAGCAGAAAGGCCCTGGGAGCAATCTGGGTCCCCAAGCAGCCCATTCCTGCCTGGCACCACAGGGATCCATCAGGAGGGTGGCCAGAGGAGCAGGGGGTAAAACTCCAGGGGGAAAAGGAATTCTCTAGCTGAACTTTGTAACAATTTGAACTAGGTGAGAAGCCTCCTGGCCAGAACTCAGAGAGAGCAAGAATTCGGCTTGTAGACTTCACAGGTGGGGAAAGTACTAAAGCCCTTTGTTTCCTTTTTTAAAAAAAAATTATTATTATACTTTTAGTTCTGAGATACATGTGCAGAGCATGCAGGTTTATTACGTAGGTATACACGTGCCATGGTGGTTTGCTGCACCCATCAACCCATCATCTACATTAGGTATTTCTCCTAATGCTATCCTTCCCCTAGCCCCACACTCCCTGACAGGCCCCAGTGTGTGATGATCCCCTCCCTGTGTCCATGTGTTCTCATTGTTCAGCTCCCACTTATGAGTGAGAACATGCAGTGCTTGGTTTTCTATTCCTGTGTTAGTTTGCTGAGAATGATGGTTTCCAGCTTCATCCATGTCTGTGCAAAGGACGTGAACTCATCCTTTTTTGTGGCTGCATAGTATTCCATGGTGTATATGTGCCACATTTTCTTTATCCAGTCTAACATTGATGGGCATTTGGATGGGTTCCAAGTCTTTGCTATTGTGAACAGTGCTGCAATAAACATACGTGTGCACGTGTCTTTATAGCAGAATGATTTATAACCCTTTGGGTATATACCCAGTAATGGGATTGCTGGGTCAAATGGTATTTCTGGTTCTAGATCATTAAGGAGTTGCCACACTGTCTTCTACAATGGTTGAACTAATTTACACTCTCACCAACAGTGCAAAAGCGTTCCTATTTCTCTACATCCTCTCCAACATCTGTTGTTTCCTGACTTTTTAATGACGGCCATTCTAACTGGCATGAGATGGTATCTCATTGTGGTTTTGATTTGCATTTCTCTAATGACCAGTGATGATGAGTTTTTTTTCATGTGTGTGTTAGCCACATAAATGTCTTCTTTTGAGACATGTCTGTTCATATCCTTTGCCCACTTTTTGATGGGGTTGTTTTTTTCTTGTAGATTTGTTTAAGTTCTTTGCAGATTCTTGATATTAGCCACTTGTCAGATGGATAGATTTTCTCCCATTCTGTAGGTTGCCTGTTCATGCAGATGGTGGTTTCTTTTGCTGTGCAGAGGCTGTTTAGTTCAATTAGGTCCCATTTTAGTTCCATTTTAGGTCCATTTAGTTCAATTAGGTCAATTCTGGCTTTTGTTGCCATTGCTTTTGGCATTTTAGTCATGAAGTCTTTGCTCATGCCTACATCCTGAATGGTATTGCTTAAGTTTTCTTCTAGGGTTTTTATGGCTTAAGTTTTACGTTTAAGTCTTTAATCCATCTTGAGTTAATTTTTGTATAAGGTGTAAGGAAGGGGTCCACTTTCAGTTTTCTGCATATGGCTTGCCAGTCTTCCCAACACCATTTATTAAATAGGGAATCCTTTCCCCATTGCTTGTTTTTGTCAGGTTTGTCAAAGATCAGATGGTTGTAGATGTGTGGTGTTATTTCTGAGGCCTCTGTTCTGTTTCATTGGTCTATATATCTGTTTTGGTACCAGTACCATGCTGTTTTGGTTACTGTAGCCTTGTAGTATAGTTTGAAGTCAGGTAGTGTGATGCCTCCAGCTTTGTTCTTTTTGCTTAGGATTGTCTTGGCTATATGGGCTCTTTTTTGGTTCCATATGAAATTTAAAGTAGTTTTTTCTAATTCTATGAAGAAAGTCAATGGTAGCTTGGTGGGGATAACATTGAATCTATAAATTACTTTGGGCAGTATGGCCATTTTCATGATATTCATTCTTCCTATCCATGAGGATGGCATGTTTATCCATTCATTTGTGTCCTCTCTTATTTCCTTGAGCAGTGGTTTGTAGTTCTCCTTGAAGAGGTCCTTCACATTCCTTGTAAGTTGTATTCCTAGGTATTTTATTCTCTTTGTAGCAATTGTGAATGGGAGTTCACTCATGATTTGGCTTTCTGTTTGTCTATTATTGGTGTATAGGAACGCTTGTGATTTGTGTGCATTGATTTTTGTATCCTGAGACTTTGCTGAAGTTGCTTATCAGGTTAAGGAGATTTGGGGTTGAGATGATGGGGATTTCTAAATAGACAATCATGTCCTCTGCAAACAGAGACAATTTGACTTCCTCTCCTCCTATTTGAATACCCTTTATTTCTTTTTCTTTCCTGATTGCCCTGGCCAGAACTTCCAATATTATTTTGAATAGGAGTGGTGAGAGATGGCATCCTTGTCTTGTGCTGGTTTTCAAAGGGAATGCTTCCAGGTTTTGCCCATTTAGTATGATATTGGCCGCCAGTTTGTCATAAATAGCTCTTATTATTTTGAGATATGTTCCATCAGTACCTAGTTTATTGAGAGTTTTTATCATGAAGGGGTGTTGAATTTTATTGAAGGCCTTTTCTGCATCTATTGAGATAATCATGTGGTTTTTGTCATTGGTTCTGTTTATGTGAATTACATTTATTGATTTGCATATGTTGAACCAGCCTTGCATCCGAGGGATGAAGCTGACTTGATCGTGGTTGATAAGCTTTTTGATGTGCTGCTGGATTCGGTTTTCCAGTATTTTATTGAAGATTTTCACATCGATGTTCATCAGGAATATTGGCCTGAAATTTTCTTTTCTTGTTGTGTTTCTGCCAGGTTTTGGTATCAGGATGATGCCGGCCTCATAAAATGAGTTAGGGAGGAGTTCCTCTTTTTCTATTGTTTGGTATAGTTTCAGACGGAATGGTACCAGCACCTCCTTGTACCTCTGGTAGAATTCAGCTGTGACTCTGTCTGGACTTGGGCTTTTTTTGGTTGGTAGGCTATTAATTACTGCCTCAATTTCAGAACTTGTTATTGGTCTATTCAGGGATTCAGCTTCTTCCTGATTTAGTCTTGGGAGGATATATGTGTCCAGGGATTTACCCATTTCTTCTAGATTTTCTAGTTTATTTGCATAGAGGTGTTTATAGTATTCTCAGATGGTACTTTGTATATCTGTGGGATCAGTGGTGATATCCCCTTTACCATTTTTTACTGTGTCTATTTGATTCCTCTCTCTTTTCTTCTTTATTAGTCTGCCTAGTAGTCTATTTTGTTGATCTTTTCAAAAAACCAGCTCCTGGATTCATTGATTTTTTAAAGGGTCTTTCAGGTCTCTATCTCCTTCACTTCTGCTCTTACCTTAGTTATTTCTTGTCTTCTGCTAGCTTTTGAATTTGTTTGCTCTTTTTTCTCTAGTTCTTATAATTGTGATGTTAGGGTGTTGATTTTAGATCTTTACTGCTTTCTCCTGTGGGGATTTAGTGCTATAAATTTCCCTCTAAACACTGCTTTGGCTGTGTCCCAGAGATTCTCGTACATTATGTCTTTGTTCTCATTGGTTTCAAAGAACTTATTTGTTTCTGCCTTAATTTCATTATTTACCCAGTAGTCATTCAGGAGCAGGTTGTTCAGTTTCCACGTAGTTGTGCAGTTTTGAGTGAGTTTCTTAATCCTGAGTTCTAATTTGATTGCACTGTGGACTGAGAAACTGTTATGATTTCCGTTCTTTTGCATTTGCTGAGGAGTGTTTTACTTCTAATTATGTGGTCAAGTTTAGAATAAGTGTCATGTTGTGCTGAGAAGAATGTATATTCTGTTTATTTGGGGTGGAGAGTTCTGTAGATTTCTATTAGGTCTGCTAGGTCCAGAGCTGAGATCAAGTCCTGAATATCCTTGTTAATTTTTTTTCTTGTGGATCTAATATTGACAGTGGGGTATTAAAGTTTCCTACTATTATTGTTTGGGGGTCTAAGTCTCTTTGTAGGTCTCTAAGAACTTGCTTTATGAATCTGGGTGCTCCTATATTGGGTGAATATATATTTAGGATAGTTAGCTCTTCTTGTTGCATTGATCCCTTTACCATTATGTAATGCCCTTCCTTGTCTTTTTTGATCGTTGTTGGTTTAAAGTCTGTTTTATCAGAGACTAGGATTGCAAACCCTGCTTTTTCTTGCTTTCCATTTGCTTGGTAAATATTCCTCCCTCTGCTTATTTTGAGCCTATGTGTGTCTTTGCTGATGAGATGGATCTCCTGAATACAGCACAGCGATGGCTCTTGAATCTTTATCCAATTTGCCTGTCTGTGTCTTTTAATTAGGGGCGTTTAGCCCATTTACATTTAAGGTTAATATTGTTATCTGTGAATTTGATCCTGTCATTATGATGCTAGCTGGTTATTTTGCCTGTTAGTTGATGCAGTTTGTTCACAGTGTCGACGGTCTTTACAATTTGGTAAGTTTTTGCAGTGGCTGGTACCGGTTGTTCCTTTCCATGTTTAGTGCTTCCTTCAGGAGCTCTTGTAAGGCAGGCCTGGTGGTGACAAAGTCTCTCAGCATTTGCTTGTCTGTGAAGGATTTTATTTCTCCTTCACTTATGAAGCTTAGTTTGCCTGGATATGAAATTCTGGATTGAAAATTATTTTCTTTAAGAATGTTGAATTTTGGCTCCCACTCTCTTCTGGCTTGTAGAGCTTCTCCAGCGAGATCAGCTGTTAGTCTGATGGGCTTCCCTTTGTGGGTAACCCTACCTTTCTCTCTGGCTGCCCTTAACATTTTTTCCTTCATTTCAACTTTGGTGAATCTGATGATTATGTGTCTTGGGATTGCTCTTCTCAAGGAGTATCTTTGTGGTGTTCTCTGTATTTCCTGAATTTGAATGTTGGTCTGTCCTGCTAGGTTGGGGAAGTTCTCTTGGATAATAGCCTGAAGTGTGTTTTCCAACTTGGTTCCATGCTCCTCATCACTTTCAGGTACACCAATCAAACATAGGTTTGGTTTTTTACGTAATCCTGTATTTCTTGGAGGCTTTGTTTGTTCGTTTTCATCTTTTTTCTCTAATCTTTTCTTCTTGTTTTATTTCATTAAGTTGATCTTCAATCTCTGACATCCTTTCTGCCACTTGATTGATTTGGCTATTGATTGATACTTGTGTATGCTTTGTGAAGTTCTCATGCTGTGTTTTTCAGCTTCATCAGGTCATTTATGTTCTTCTCTAAACTGGTTATTCTAGTTAGCAATTCCTCTAATGTTTTTTCAAGGTTCTTAGCTTCCTTGCATTGGGTTAGAATATGCTCCTTTAGCTCAGAGGAGTTTGTTATTACCCACCTTCTGAAGCCTACTTCCGTCAATTTGTCAAACTCATTCTCTGTCCAGTTTTGTTCCCTTGCTCTCCAGGAGTTGTGTTCCTTTGGAGGAGAAGAGGCTTTCTGGTTTTTGGAATTTTCAGCCTTTTTGCACTGGTTTCTCCTCATCTTCATGGATTTATCTACCTTTGGTCTTTGATGATGGTGAGTTTCAGATGGAGTTTCTGTGTGGACGTCCTTTTGGCTGATGTTGATGCTATTCCTTTCTGTTTGTTAGTTTTCCTTCTAACAGTCAGGCCCCTCTGCTGCAGGTCTGCTGGAGTTTGCTGGAGGTCCACTCCAGACTCTGTTTGCCTCTTTCACCAGCTGAGGCTGCAGAACAGCAAAGATTGCTGCCTGTTCCTTCCTCTGGAAACTTCGTCCCAGAGGGGCACCAGCCAGATGCCAGCCGGAGCTCTCCTATGTGAGGTGTCTGTCGACCCCTGCTGGGAAGTGTCTTCCAGTCAGGAGGCACGGGGGTCAGGGACCCACTTGAGGAGGCAGTCTGTCCCTTAGCAGAGTTCTTGAGTGCTGTGTTGGGAGACCCGCTGCTCTCCTTAGAGCTGGCAGGCAGGAATGTTTAAGTCTGCCGAAGCTGTGCCCACAGTCATCCCTTCCCCCAGGTGCTCTGTCTCAGGGAGATGGGAGGTTGATCTATAAGCCCCTGACTGGGGCTGCTGCCTTTCCTTCAGAGATGCCCTGCCCAGAGAGGAGGAATCTAGAGAGGCAGTCTGGTTACAGCGGCTTTGCTGAGCTGTGATGGGCTCTGCCCAGTTTGAACTTCCCAGCAGTTTTGTTTACACTGTGAGGGGAAAACCGCCTCTTGCAGCCTCAGTAATGGCAGACACCCCTCCCCACATCAAGCTCTAGCATCCCAGGTCGAATTCAGACTGCTGTGCTGGCAGCAAGAATTTCAAGCCAGTGGATCTTAGCTTGCTGGGCTCCGTGGAGGTGGGTTCTGCTGAGCTAGACCACTTGGCTCCCTGGCTTCAGCCCCCTTTCCAGGGGAGTGAACGGTTCTGTCTCACTGGCATTCTAGGCGCCACTGGGGTATGGAAAAAAACTCCTGCAGCTAGCTTGGTGTCTGCCCAAATGGCTGCCAAGTTTTGTGCTTGAAACCCAGGGCCCTGGTGGGGTAGGCCTGGAGGGAATCTCCTGGTCTGTAGGTTGTGAAGACCATGGGAAAAGCGTAGTATCTGGGCCAGAGTGCAGGGATTACAAGCATGAGCCACCGAGCCCGGCCACCAGCCAGTTTTAATCATAATGCAAAATTCTTGAATAAAACAGTGGAACAATGATAATCTTCTCAACAATAGCACCGGAATCATTTGGTAGCCACATGCAAAAACACAAACAAAACTTCAATCCAATCCGTACCTTGTATCATATGTAAAATTAATTCAAAACGGATCCTACACCTAAAACTATGAAATTTCTAGAAGGAAGGATAGGGAAAAACCTTTATGGCCTCTGGTTAGACAACTATTTCTTATATATGACGTCAAAAGTCTGTCCATTAAAGAATAGACTAATACACTGAGCTTATTCAAAATTAAAATGTTCTATTCTTCAGAAGACATTGTGAAGAGAATGAAAAGATAAGTCACAGACTGGGAGAAAATATTTGCAAATCATATGTCTTATAAAGGATTCTAAAAACTCAAATATAAAGAAAAATTAAATAATATAAGGAGCAAAAGATTTTAATAGACATTTTGCCAAAGAAGATATACAGAAAGCAAATAAGCACATGAAAAGATAACTGTCATTAGTCATTAGAGAAATGCAAATACAACAAAGAGATATTGCTACATAGCTATTCAAATAGATAAAGTTTTTAAAAAACTGATCATATCAAGTGTTAACAAAGATGAGAAAGAACTGGATCTTTTATACAATGATTTTGGGAATACGTAATAGGAAAATTAGTTTAGAAATCTGTTTGGCAGGCCAGGTGAGGTGGCTCACGCCTGTAATCCCAGCACTTTGGGAGGCCGAGGTGGGCGGATCACCTGAGGTCAGGAGTTCGAGACCAGCCTGACCAACATGGAGAAACCCCGTCTCTACTAAAAATACAAAATTAGCCGGGCGTGATGGCTCACGCCTGTAATCCCAGCTACTCGGGAGGTTGAAGCAGGAGAATCACTTGAACCCGGGAGGCAGAGGTTGCCGTGAGCCAATATCGGGCCATTGCACTCCAGCCTGGGCAACAAGACTGAAACTCTGTCTCAAAAAATAAATAAATAAAATAAAATAAAATAAAAAGAAATCTGTGTGGCAGTATGTTAAATAGTGAAATGTATACCAACCATATGATTCAGTCATTCTACTTCTAGAAATGAATACATATGTTTATCTGGATATCCCATAAAAAAGAAAACACAAGAAAACATGTTTATTCAAAGACTGTACACAAATATTCAAGAAGCTTTATTTGTAACAGCCAAAATGAAGAAACAATCCAAATATCCATCAACAGGTGAATGGTTAAACAAATGGTGGTATCACCATGAAACGGAATACTATTCAAAAATAAGAAGGAATGTACTATTGATACAGGCAATAAAACATAGACGAATCTGTAAATAATTATAATTATGCTGAGGGAAAGAAGTCACGCAAAACTGAGCACATATTGTATCATTTCATTTATGTGAAATTCCAGGAAATTCAAACCCATATATAGTGACAGAAAGCAAATCAGTGTATCCTTAGGGATAAAAAAGAAGGGTGGGAGAAAGAGATTATAAAGGGGCATAAGGAAACTTTTTGGAGTGATGAATATGTCCATTATCTTGCTTGTGATGATGGTTTCATGAGTGTATGCACACATCAAAATTTATCAAATTGCACATTTAAATAATAAATGTGCAGTTTATTATGCTAATTATACCTCAGAAAAGCTCCTAACATATTAGCCAATATATAAACAAGTGAATACACCATGATCGAGTGAGTTTATCCCAGGAATGTAAGGTTGCTTTCATATGAGAAATAAATAATTGTAATCTACTAAATGAATAGATTAAAGAAGAAAATTAGATGAATATTTCAATGGATACACAGAAAGCATTTAATGAATTTTAATATGCATCTATAATTTAAAACATAACTCTTACAAAATCAGAAATAAAACCAAACTTTCATAAACTGATAAAGATTATTCTCAAATAATAATAACAACTTTACTGCAAATATCACACCTAATGGTGAAATGCCAAAAACTTTCCTTTTAAGAATGAGATTAAAATAGACATTTGCAAATAAACTTCTATTTTATTTCAACCAGCTCTCTGCTGGAGTACTAGCCAGTTCAGTATGGCAAGAAAAATAGATTAAAGACACAAAAATTTTAAAAAATAGTCAATGCTAGCAGATGCTGTGGTCATGTACATAGAAAATTCAAAAGAATTATAGGTAAACAATTAAAATTTTTAAAAAGAGGGCTGGTTGTGGTAACTCATGCCTGTAATTCTAGCACTTAAAAAAAAAAGGAGTCCAGCAAGGTTGTTACATTTTAAAAAATGAATATGTAAATATAAAAATCAGTTGTATTCCTATATATTAGTTAACAACCAGGAAATAGAAACCACTCTAAGTTATTTAAATAGAAACAGATTTAATAGAGGAGATTAGATGCTTATGAAATCATTAGAAGATCTGGGCTTTTCAGCGTGAATCTCAGAAAAACAGAAATTACCCTTCAAAGAAGACAACAGTAAGTAACTTAGAGAATCAGAAGACTGCCACTGTCATTTAGGAATATAGCACTGTCTTAGTCTGCTCAGGCTGCCATAACAAAATACTACAAACTGCTTATAAACAACAGAAATGTCTGTCTCACAGGCTGGGAAGTCCAAGATCAAGGCTCCAGCAGATCCAGTGCCTGGTGAGGGCCCTGCATCCTCATGTGGTGGAAAAGGCAGGGAAGCTCTCTGGTAGCCCTTTTATAATGACATTAATCCAACTCATGAGGGCTCCACCCTCATGAACTAATCATCTCCCAAAGACCGCATCTCCTAATACCACCGCATTGCCGATTAGGTTTCAACTTACTAATGTAGGGAGGACACAAACGTTCAGACCCTAGCAATCTCTAAAGCTGCAGTTCAGGACTCTGAAATCAGAAAACCACTTCTTCAGTTGCCTTTCAAACTCAGCACCTGTGAAATATGACTGGATCCTAGAACAGAGCTGCAGACAAATTTCATACCTCAGTGACCTTGCCTATTTGCCGAAAACCACCGAAGCAACAGAAAGGTGATTTCTGCCTTACTTTTTTTTTTTTTTAAACAGAGTCTCACTCTGTTGTCTAGGCTGGAGTGCAGTGGCAATTGTGGCTCACTGCAACCTCGGCTCACTGCAACCCCCGCTTCCTGGGTTCAAGCGATTCTCATGCCTCAGTCTCCTGAGTAGCTGGGGTTACAGGTGTGCACCACCATGCCTAGCTAATTTTTTTCTATTTTTAGTAGAGACAGGTTTCACTATGTTGGCCAGGCTGGTCTAGAACTCCTGGCCTCCAGTGATCCGCCCACCTCTGCCTCCCAAAGTGCTGGGATTACAAGCGTGAGCCATTGTGCCCAGCCGATTTCTGTCTTACTTTTGCCTTCCGAATCTCCCATAAATGTATATAATTGGTGGAAGCTATTCATAAAGATAAAACTAACTTGAGAATCTGCAAGATGTAGATTTTAGCTGTCCATCCTCTTCTGGGAATGACAATGGCAATCAGGTGGTGACTCTGGAAAAGGCTGGTAATAAAACTGAGGGTCAATTCACTATGTCTACTTCAACTAGCAACAAATAGTTGAGAGAATATACTACAAAAATGGATGATATTGACAGAATCCACAAAACAAACAAAGTACTTAGGAATACATGTAATAAGATAATTATGTTACATTAAAGGAGATTTAGATAAATTCAGAGATATACTATTTCAATAGATAGGAAAACTCAATATTTAAAGAAAAGTAATTTCTTCTCAAATTGATCTATACATTCAGTACAAATTCCAGTCTAGATCCCAACAAGATTTTTAGAGGAACTTGACAAACACTCCTGAAGAAGATCAAGGTTGGGAAGAAAGGTTGGGAAGAAAGACTTGCTCTTTCGATGAGCGGAATTCATTAAAAGCTATATGACTGCAGGATGAGCCACTGGTGTAGGATTAAATAAATACATTGACTAGTAAAACAGAATCGAAAGCCAAAAATCAGACTCACTTACATATAGAAACTTGGTGTATGTCAGAGGTTATACGGTGATTCCAGTGGGGAATGGGTAGATTATTCCACAAACAGTGCTAGGAAAATTGGTTATCTATATAGAAAGTAAAATAGGACACTTACTTTACATCAGATAGAAAAATTAATTTCAGGTGAATTAAAGACAAGTAAGAAGGAAAAAATTTAAAACTTTTTAGAGAAAATATGAAAGAATATGATCTCAGGATTGGGACGTATTTCTTATATAAGATACAAAAAGTATCAATCATCAAACAGTTATATTATACAACATTAGTATCCTTAATCCATGAAAAAAAAATAACCCGCCTTAGATAAAGTGAAAAGACAAGCCACAAACTGGAAGAATGTATTTCTAACTTACATAAATGCCAAAGTGTTGGTGTAGTGTCCAGTTTCTATGAAAAACTACCATAAATGAATAAGAAAAAGACAGAAGACCCAGTAGAAAAATGGGCAAAAGACATTAAGAGGCATTATATAGGAGAAACACAATAATATGATAAACATGTAAAGAAAAAGTAAGGAAACATGCTCAATTTCATGTTATTAGAAATAATCAGAATAACCCATTCACCAGGAGACAATATACAAAAATGTTCACAGCCACGTTGTTAACAGCAAAAAGTATAAGCAACCCAAAAGTCTCTTGAAAGTAGAATGCATAAATTGTGGTGTGTTTATACAAAGGAATGTAATATAGCAGTAAAAATTAATAAATGAATGCTGGAAGCAATTACATGGATTAATATTAGCAATTTAATATTGAGAGTGATGAGTAACTGGGAAAAACTACATAGAGTATGATACTAGCTCAAAGACAAGCAAAACTGAACATATATGCAAAAGCTCTTTTGAAGCAATGCAAAAAAACCCTCAGAAAAATAAATTTTCAGAAAGTAAGATATAAACACCCAATTCAGGATAGTGTTTTCTTTTGATGTGATGCAGGGGGATGGGATAGGTGAAAAGTGAGACTTTGGGTCATTTGTGATGTCTTTCCTGTTGTATTATTTGTCAATGCAGCACATTCGTTAAAGTAAAGCTAAGACAAAGATTTCTCTGATCACCATTATTTCTCCTTGTTTGTTCTAGAAGTTCTAGCCAATACAGTAAGATAAGAAAAAAAACTGATAGATTAGTAACTAATAAAAGCAGAGTTAAGTGATTTTTATTAGTACATGATGGTATTGTCTGAAAAACACAATGAAATCAATTAAAAATATCCATCAAAACTAATAAAACTTCAATGAAATAATTGGTCATTAGTATCACTATCTGCCATTTGTCATATATCTACCACGTGCCAGCAACTGGGCTCAGCACTTTATATTCATTGTCTCAGAAGCAACCCTATGTGTTACATTTGTATCTCCACAAAGATGAGGAAAAGTTTTAGGTTGAGTAACTTGGGCAAGTGTCAGGACAACAATTTGAACTTGCTTTGTCTGATTCTAAAACTTCTGCTCTGAAACACTTGATTACATCGTCTCCAAATAAATACTGAAGCTAAGATATTTTCTCCATCACAAAAATCATCAGTGATCAGGAAATTCATCCGTGGAAAAATACTTGAATATTTTCAGTGGCAAGCATTATCAAACAAGGATAGTATCTTATTTAAAAGTACACAGATCTCAAATGGACAAAATCTGTAGGCAAAGTGAACATGACTTTCTCTCCTGAACAATATTGCAGAAGACAAAATTCTTCTCCATCTCCCCCTTTTTTTAGACATTATGCAGATGGCTACCTTTCTTTTAACTTATTTTTTTCTCCAGAGGAGTTACAATATTGTTGATCAGTAATTTTTTCCCCCTGAAACTATGCCTTAGTTGGATGGGGGTGGTAGTATATTTCTCCTCTAAGCAGAGTTGCTTACACTAGAAGTTGATGCTAATTTTCTTCTGAGATGGCAGTTTTATGCGTAAGAGTTGGTTTTAGCACATTTTCTAGGGTATGGAAATTAAACACAGAACCAGTGTTTTCTAGCTCATTCATAAATTCCATCATAATCTTTCTTAATTTTTTTTTGTCCTGGAGACCTTCATACTTTCAAAGAGTTTTGATGAGGTCGTTATTTTCATACCTTTCATTTGGAAAATGCTGGAAGCGTCCTCAGCCTGCACTTTCTCTTACTATTTCACCACTCTCTGGAATGTGCCTGCTGAGCTTGCCCATGAAGTTTTTGGCCCACCAGCCTCTTCTCACGTGTAAGCCCAATCTTAGCAGGTTCAACTTTGCTATCAATTCAGCTTTGAATCATGAATTAAAGCTAGACGGAACTTTACAAATCACCTAATTCAGTTTTACAAATAAGGAAAATACCACTTTTTCTACTAGTTTCCTCCAGGGCATGGTTCTGCCTATTTGGTTTCTGAGGATTCTCCTTTCCTTTTTTCCCTAACTGGATACCTACAGCAGCAGTCAAGATCCCTATTGTGAACATACAGAAAAGGAAATGAGAGACAAGGCTGCCACCATGTGGTGTAACAGGTGAACAGGAAGGAGGGGTTTATACAGAGAAGCATAAGAATTGGGAAGCTTATGAAAGGTGAATGTCCATTCATTAGAACAGTAATTGTCAACCGTTTATAATTGCTGTCATGACTCGGTGAGATCTACAAGTTTCTGAAATCCTCCTTATGGTACATCAGGAACTCCTGGACAGCCATTAGACCTAGCCATGCAGCTGCCTTAAAACTTAGGAAGATTTTATAATTGACAGATGTCCATGGATTGAGAGGTCTATAGAAGGCCCTTAGGAATATTTTTTATCTAAAAGTAGACCTACATATGTTTAATTTTATTTTATAAAATCAAATTAAGTAAACCAATATTATGGGATATTACACTATTAACCTTCTTTTTTTTGTGTTCCCATCTTTTTTACCATCAGATAGCTTTGGCATGATAGTCATATTCTATACATGAGATTATTTAATTAAATCGAATTTAAAAAATGCTAAGTGAAGCAAGTATTTAAGAAGTCAATATTTAAATAGGTTTTGCTTTCAGTAGTTACATAAGTTGTATTCTAGTTTGAGTGTCACAGAAATGGGCATGAGATATATTTTTGTTAAACATAAGAGGGAAGCACAAGTGAACTCACTGCTCGAGTTTCATAAAAGCCACTCTGTAGATGTGATGCTCCCAGCAAGCTGACCCAGGGTAAGAAGCAAGGCAATGAAAGATCAATCCACCAAAAATACTGTAGCAGCTGCTATCCTTGTCCTAGACAATCACAAATTGCTCATGGCATGTACCCACATATCTGCACTACTTCACCCAGAATCAGTGAGAACGGGCAGGGGGCAACATATCAGCGGCTCTTCCTCTGCTAATCTAAAAGAATTAGAAATAGGCTGCTCCCTATAAAATTGCCTGACATTCTTAAAACAGCCTAATAATCTCAAAGGAGCAATTTCCTTTATTAATTGAAAGCAGCTGAAAAATATATTAGCCTCATTTTATATTTTTAAAGCTTAAATATCTAAAGTATTGGAAACAAAGAAAACTGTACATCAGAGGGGAAGCAAAAGGTGACTAGATTGGGCCCTGGCCTCATGGCATGGTCAAGATGTTGAGCCGGCCAGGCGCGGTGGCTCATGCCTGTAATCCCAGCACTTTGGGAGGCCAAGGAGGGTGGATCAATTGGGGTCAGGGGTTCCAGACCAGCCTGGCCAACATGGTGAAACCCTGTCTCTACTAAAGTTACAAAAATTACCCAGGTGTGATGGCATATGCCTATCATCCCAGCTACTTGGGAGTCTGAGGCAGGAGAATCACTTGAACCCAGGAGGGTGGAGGTTGCAGTGAGCCGAGATCGTGTACTCCAGCCTGGGTGTCAGAGTGAGACCCTGTCTAAAAAAAGAAAAAAAAAGTTGAGTCCTGGAGTAAGACTTATTTGGACTAAAATACCAGTGTCACCGCTTAGATGATGACTTTGGTGAAGTTATTGAACCCCTCCCGTCTTCAGTTTCCTCATCTGGAAAATAGCCTGTCCTCTGGGTTGTGGCAAGGATTATAGAGGTAAAGCCATGCAGAGCACTTAGCACAGTGTCTAGCATTTACTCAGCACTCCATAAATGCTAGGCTAATAGAATCACCCAGAACTAGAGATGTGAATACAGCTAGATTCTGAGCACACTCACAATGAAAGTTAAAGAGAAAAGCTTAACTTCTATTGCATTTTTTAGACATTTACAAAAAATATGTGTCATCCAAAAAGCAATAGTTGAATGCCTGCAGGATTTCTCAAAGGCAGGACCTTAGTTGAGGCACCACATTTTCAGCTTAGAACTTGGAATTTCTTAGCACATCACATCAAAAAATTAGTCCCTTTGTGAAAAGTTCGTCCTGAGTTAGTGACTAGAGCACCAATATTCTAGTCAAATGATCTTACATTCAGAGTTTTAGATTCATCACTTACTAGTTGTGAGTTCTTGAACTTCAGTTTTCTCATATTGTAAAGTAAGAATAACGGCCGGGCGCGGTGGCTCATGCCTGTAATCCCAGCATTTTAGGAGGCTGAGGCAGCCGAATCACGAGGTCAGGAGTTCAAGACTAGCCTGGCCAATATGGTGAAACTCCGTCTCTACTAAAAATACAAAACTTAGCCGGGAGTGATAGTGGACGCCTGTAATCCCAGCTACTAGTGAGGCTGAGGCAGAAGAATCGCTTGAACCCGGGAGGCGGAGGTTGCAGTGAGCCGAGATTGCGCCGCTGCACTCCAGCCTGGGTGACAGAGTGAGACTCCTTAAAAATAAATAAATAATAAGAGTAGTAGCAAGTACTTATAGACAGCTTACCAAAAGTATAGCACTCACTATGTTACCACTGCAGCAGGGAGATAATGTATGTAAACACCTATCCTAGAGCAAGCCTCAATAAGTTTATTTTATTACCTTGGAATTCTTTGATGGTGGTGTCTAGAGAAACCCTGGGATTTAGGAATTTGGGAATGGACTAACAAATCCATTTTGACTTATGAATGGAAAAAGAAGAATATAGGAGGAAATGATTTGGCAGTGTTCCAGTTATCAATTTGTTGTCTCTCAGCTCCAAATCCACTCCTGGTTGCCTGTTCAGCTGGAAACCCACTGTTCTGGAGCCAGTCTCTACCAGCATCTCTCCTTTGCAGCTGGCACGATGCTAAACTTTATCAGTAGAGGGCGCTGGAGGGACACTGTAAGGAGAAGTGTTTCCTCTTTCGAATTCATCCACTGTGCCCCTCCTAGCAGGATTTTACTTTTCTATTATTTTATTTTATTTTATATTTTATTTTATTTTATATTTTCGAGACAGAGTCTGGCTCTGTCCCCAGGGCTGGAGAACAGTGGTGCAATCCCGGCCCCCCGCAACCTCCACCTCCCGGGTTCAAGTGATTCTAGTGCCTCTGCCTCCCGAGTAGCTGGGACTACAGATGCCTGCCACCATGCCCGGGTAATTTTTGTATTTTTAATACAGACAGCATTTCACCATGTTGGCCAGGCTGGTCTCGAACTCCTGACCACAAGTGATCCGCCTGCCTCGACCTCCCAGAGTGCTGGGATTACAGGCATGAGCCACCGCCTCACCCACTGTGCTCCTCCTAGCAGGCTCCTGCAGACCATGCTCCTGCAGCAGGTGTGGCCTCCAGCAGCATCTGGTGGCCAGAACACAGCCACTCCCTTGTGGAGATCTCCATCCATCGTCTCCTCAGGTGGCTTTACAGCGACTTCCTAGGTGTGGCACCTTTTGTGGGTGGCTTTCCCCTTAAACCCTAGAGGGCAGTTTCCCAGTAATTCCCAGCCATGGTTCCCAGCTTGCCAGCCTCTGCCAGCCTGCACCCCAATAGGCAGTTTCCTGCTTGCGAGCTCTAGCTGAAATTCTAGTTTGCCAGCCTTTGCTCAGACCAGCTGTGGGACAGTTATGGCCTCAATCAACTCAGGAACCTCTCCTCTCTCCGGTGAACTTCTCCAGTGAGGTCTGAATCCTACCTTTGGGAAGGGGCCCTCTTTTCCAACTTTGTTCCCTCGCTGGGTATATTCACTCATCCCTAGGGTTCTCCCTTTATAGTTAATCCTCTGCTGCAGTCAACTTTTTTTTTTTTTCTTTTTTTCTGAGATGAAGTCTTGCTCTTTCACCCATGCTGTAGTGCAGTGGCGCCATCTCGGCTCACTGCAACCTCCGCCTCCTGGGTTCAAGCGATTCTCCTGTCTCAGCCCCCCAAGTAGCTGGGATTACAGGTGCACACCACTATGCCCGGCTAATTTTTTTATATTTTTAGTAGAGAGAGGGTTTCATCATGTTGGCCAGGCTGGTCTCGAACTCCTGACATCAAGTGATCCACCCGCTCCGGCCTCCCAAAGTGTTGGGATTACAGGCATGAGCCACCACACCCGGCCAGTAGTCAACTTCTTAAAATTTAATTTATTCAAATTACGTTCTGGTTTCTGCCCTCTGATAGGACACTGACTGCAAAGGTGGGTCATTCATCCAACCTCTGTAAAAACCCAATGAACTCTAGTCTACCATTAATAGGGTAGAACTCTATTCTGCTTTCTTGTGACCAAATTTCCTTTGTCCCTCATATCTTTCTGGGAAATTTTGAATACATAATGGAGATTTTGGTTCTTTGTGTGAGTCACGTCCCTTTTATTAATCTATCCTTGGCTCAGATGTATAAATTTCAGTGAATGGTCAAATCAATATTGATAGGAGCCTGCAAATGTTATGCCTCTTCCAGTTATGAGTTGGTTTAATGAACTGATTCTGTACCATCCTAGAATCCATCTCACTCACACGGCAGCTTACACCTTCTTGGTAAGGTGATTGGGAGAGCCTTCATGGAGGAGATGGCATTTGAGTTGGACCTTGAAGGAAGGATGGAATTTTACAAAACTGAAATATAGCCACAATCATGGGTATATTCCAGGCAGAAGGAAAAGATGCAGAGGTTTAAGCATTTATCCAACGAACATATTTGATGGGGAAAAAGTAGGAATAACATTGAGATGAAGGTAAAGTCAGAGCATGGAAGGCCTCGAATGCCAGGCAAAGAAATATCGAGGAGTATCATGTTTTCATGAAGATTTGGCTTCAGTGTAGAATAGATTGGATTGGGGCATGATTCTGAGACCTAACCAAATTCACGAATGAGAAAATTATTATAGTAGCCAAGATATGAGGCAATTTGGACCTATAGAGCCACGAGGATAGGAAATGGAAAGGAAGGAATAGTTGTACAAAACAATGCAAAGGAAAAATACGTGAGATCCTGAATGGGTGGATGTAAGAGAGGAGACTTTGATAACTGAAGTGGTATCCAGTTTGTGGCAACAGAAACAGGGATCATAGGGAAAACATGTTAGTGCTGATTTTCCAATCTGACAGAAATGTGCTGTGAGGAATGGAAAGTCCCTGTAATAAATATAACTGCTAGGATGATGTAATCCCAAAACTTTATTTATCTATTTATTTAGAAACACACCTAGCTAATTTTGTTTTTTGGTAGAGACGGGGGTGGAGGTCTCACTATGTTGCCCAGGCTGGTCTTGAACTCCCGGGCTCAAGCAATCCTCCCATCTCAGCCTCTCACAATGCTTGGATTACTGGCATGGACCATCATGCCCAGTCCTATTTATTTATCTATTCTCCTATTGCCTCTTTAAAAAGGGTTCAGTGGGGGAAGTTATTATTATTCCCCTGAATGAAAATTTGGCAGGTCCCATACTTTTTGTGCTAATTCTTAGTAGACAATTCTAAGTGTCATAGAGTTTCAATTCAGTAATTATGAAGTCCAATTCAAGATATTAATAGAAACTCTGAACTATTTGTGTTAAACCTCAGCTTGCCAGCACAGATTTGCCTGAGGCTGGAAGTGGGAAAAGGGCATTAGCTGGCTTCATCTTAGTCTCTCTCCTTTTTTTTCTCTTCCTCTACCACTAATCTTGCCAGTTTCTGACCACCAAAAGTTGAAACAGGAAGGGGTGAGTTTGGAGACTCGTAAGGGGAAAGGAAGTATCTTACTAGAACAGGGTATCATTATTATTTGGCTCCATGTATTCTGGATCTGCAGATGTTTAGAGCCAACCTTTTCCTTATGGGAACTGTCCCTTGCCCCAGACAGATGCATCTCCACTTCATGTGGCCCCCTGAGACTCTGTCTGTGGGCTTTAACTTTCTGCTTGGGTTCTTCTGCCTCCCCAAGTGTTCTGCTTGGACTGGGGCCAAGCCGACCTGGTGCCAGCTTGCTCTCTTGTGGATGACAGCTTCTGAGAAATGTGTTGTTAGGTGATTTTGCCATTGTGTTAACATCATAGGGTGTACTTACACAAACCTAGATGGTATAGCCTACTACACACCTAGGCTATATGGTATATATTGCTCCTAGGCCACAAACCTGTATGGCATGTTACTGTACTGAATTCTGTAGGCAATTGTAACATGATGTAAATGTAACATGATTTATATATTTTATATATTTGTGTATGTAAACATAGAAAAGTTACCATAAATATATGGTATTATAATCTTGAGGGATCACTGTTATATATGTGGTGTATCATTGACTGAAACGTCGCTATTTGGCACATGACCATAGATCCCAGCACAGTTTTCCTCTCCTGGCTCTGCTACAAAGGAATTGAGCCTCTGTGGCCTCAGGCAGGAATCATCCCTGGGAAATCTCTCCCACCCCAGGAAATGGCAGGTCTCTCCTTCCCCCTTGAGATAGGAGTGAAATGGGGCTCGCAGCTCAGCGCCATACCACATACAATATCTTCTTTCAAAGATATTCTTCTCACAAAAATCTTCTTTCTCCCCACACTTACCTCTCCCTTTTTATTCTTGATTTGGTTGAGGAGTTCAAGGGTCATGAAGCCATTTTTGGACCAGTTTCTTTACAAATTATTCATAAGGGGTTCTGTCTTGAATCTTACATCTGTTATAGTGTACTATCACAACAAAAACTTCAGTGTGAACATTCTCTTACATAAAGCCTAATCCCAATGGTAATTTTTTTCTGAATTTCTTTTATAAAACATAAACTAGTTATAATTTTTGTGTCAAAATTTATATGTTTACATGTTTTTGTAAATGAAACATATATTCATGTAAACACATAAATCATTTATATATATTAATACATTAGATTTATGGGTTTTTTTCACTCTTTTATTCTAAGAAAATTTTAAGACAGCTTTCATAGCTTTGGTTTATTAGTTCCATTGCTGCTCTAACCAATTCCCACAAATTAAGTAGCTTAAAAGAACACAAATTTATTATTTTACAGTTTTGGAGGTCAGAAGTTTTAAATTGGTTTCCTTGGGCTAAAATCAAGATACAGCAGGATTGCATTCTTCCTGACAGCTCTAACAAAGAATCTATTTCCTTGTCTTTTCCACATACTACAGGCTACCAGCATTTTGGCCTGGGGTCTCTTTCTATCTTTAAAGACTCTTCTGCCTGCCTCTTCCACAGTGAAAGACCCTTGTGATTGAATTGGGCCCACCTGGACAATCAATGACAATTGCACTGTCTTCAAGTCAGCTACAGCTAATTAGTAAGTTCCATCTGGAGCTTTACTTCCCTTTTCCATTGTATATCAGTCACGTTTCAACCAGAGAAGCAGAACCAGTAGGAGAAATACATATTTTAAGAAATTTACTGCGAGGAATCGGCTTATGTGATTGTGGGTGCTGGCTAGGCAAGTCTGAAATGCAGGGTTTCTTGGTCATTCAAGGGACATACACAGAGCAGAGAAAAAATTGAGTCAACTACATTCAGAGCACGTCTCCCGCTGAGGTTATTAACAAGACAATGCTCTGCTTTCCTGTCTCAGCTTTCAAACAGCGATGACCGGAGGATGCAGCCAGTAGGGGGCAGTGCAGTGTAGTGCAAGAAGCTCCAGCTTTAGGGTCAGTCAGATGAGGTTTGAAGTCCGACCTTGATAGTGGGGCAGCCTCATGCAAGTTATTTTACACTTCTGAACCTTTTTTTCACTCTTTTAAAAAACAAAATTTTAATTTTGAATAGCATTTTCACCTTTGTAAAATAAAGAAAATAGAATCTACAAGGATCAACTGTTTTGAGGAGTTAAGATTATAATCTATGTGAGATATGCTTGCTTAAATATGAAACATATATGAATGAGCACACATCCTAGGAGCAATGGTTCAGTATTTGCTAATTCAGTGTTTGCAGCTGCGTTTTGGAACATAACTACCACAAATAACAAGAATTGGCTGTACTAAGAGATGGCACTAGGGTATCTCTTGTACATTCTTCTTTACTTTTATGCATAGTAGCAACCCAATTTCCCCTTGATAATCAGGACAAATTACTTCAGCCAATACAGCATCCCTTTCTTTGTCTGTGAATGTTATGTAATGGAATCATACATTATGTAAACTTTTGGGATTGGCTTTTTCACTTAGATAATTCTCTATAGATTCATCCAGATCGTTATGCGAACTAATAGCTCATTCCTTTTTACTGCGGAGTAATAGATGTGCCAGTTTGTTTAGCCATGAGGTTTGAATTCTAATCCTGTTAGTGGGGCAGCCTCAGATGAATTATTTAATACTTCTGAACCTCCTTTTCGCTCTTTTAAAAAACAAACTTTAAATTTTGAGATAGTTGTAGCATTTTCATTTTTGGAGCTATTATTAGTAAAACTTCCATAAGCATTCATGTACAGGTTTTCGTGTGAACACAAGTCTTTGTCTTCTGAGATAAATGACTGGCAGTGCGTGGTAATTGCATATTTAGTTTTAGAGGAAGCTACCAAACTTTTCCAGAATGGCTGTGCCATTTTACATTCCCCAAAACAATGTGTGAGTGATCCATTTCTCTGCATATTCACCAGCATTTGATGTTACTTTTTTTTTTTTAAATAATGCTTTAGCTATTCTGAGAGGTAGGCAGTGACACCTTATTGTGGTTTTAATTTGCATTTCCCAAATGACTAATAATGTTGAATATCTCTTCTTGTGCGTATTTACCATCTGTATATCTTCTTTGGTTAAATGTCTCTTCATGTCTGTGTTTGAATTGAATTGTTTGTTTACTATTTAGATTTGAGAGTTCTTTATAAATCCTAGATACTAGTCTTTTGTTGGATATATGGTCTGAAAGTACATTTGTCCATCAGTATTAGTGGGGATTGGTTCCAGGACCATCCCCAATACCAAAAGTCCATGCATACTCAAATCCCCCAGTAGCCCTGCAGAACCTACCTCTTGGATATGAAAAATCAACCCTCCATATCTGAGGATTTGGCATCCTGCAAATATTGTGTTTTTTAACTGTGTTTAGTTGTGGATATGGAGGGCTGGTGGTATTTACTGAAAAAAAAATGTGTATGAGTGGACTCATGTAGTTCAAACCTGTTATTCAAGGATCAACTTTATTCTCTTCCACTCAATAGCATGTCTTTTCTTCCTTTTCACAGCGTCATTCAAAAGGTAAAAGTTTTAATTTTGATAAAGCCCAATTTATTATTTTTTCCTTTTATGGCTCATGCTTTTGGTGTTATCTTTGTTCAGGTTGCTATAACAAAAATACCATAGACTGGGTGGCTTAACAGAAACTTATTTCTCGCAGTTCTTGAAGCTGGGGAGTCCAATTTCATGTCACTGGCAGATCTGGTGTCTGGTGAGGGCTCACTTCCTGGTTTGTAGATGTTGTCTTTTCCCTGAGCTTTCACATATTGGAAAGGAAGAGGATGCTCTCTGAGGTTTCTTTTATAAATGCACTAATTCTATTCACAAGGGCTCTGCCCTTATGACATAATCACCTTCCAAAGGCCTCACCTCTTAACACTGATGATTAGGTTTCAAGACAAAAATGTTAAGAAGACATAAACATTCAGTCTATAGTAGATGTAAGTCTAAGAATTCTTTGTCTGGCTTTAGATCACAAAGTTTTTCTCCTATTTTATTTTTTCAAAAAGTGTTATGGTCTTATATTTTACATTTAAGTACATGATCCATTTTAAGTTAAATTTGTATAAAGTAGAAAACTTCAGTCTAGGTTCTTTTTTTTTCTTTCTGCCTGTGAACATCCATTTTCTCCAGCATCCTTCATTGAAAAGACTATCTTTCCTCCATTGTCAAAAAACAGTTGAACATGTTTGTGTTAGTATATTTTGGGATTCTCTATTCCAGCTCCATTGATTTATGTGTCTGTCCCTCTGCTAGTACCATGCTGCCTTGATTGCCATAGCTGTAAAGTAGGTTGTAAAATCAGGTAGACTGCTTCCACTCATTTTGTTCATGTATTTCAAAATGATTTTAGCTATTCTAATCCTGTACCTTTCCATGTAAATTTTAAAATTATCTTGCCTACATCTATCAAAATCTTGCTGGTATTTTGAGAGTACTTGTTTTAAGCCTATATATTAATTGGAAGAGAATTGACATCTTTACTATATGATATTGAATCTTCCAATCCATGAACGTGGTATGTCTCTGTATTTATTTAGATCTTTGATTTCTTTTATCAACTTTTTGTAATTTTTGGCATACAAGTCCTGTGCATGTTCTGTTAGTTACACTTAATTTTTTATAAGTAATTGTAAATATTGTATTTTTGATTTTAGTGTCTACATGTTTATTGCTAGTAAATGGAAATATAATTGGCTTTTGTGTGTTTATTTTGTATCCTGTGACCTTGCTGAACTCTCTTATGAGTTCTGTTCTATGAGATTTTGTTTGTTTATAGATTGGGATTTTCTACATAGACAATCATGTCATATGTAAAAAGGGACAGTTTTACTTTTTTCCAATCTGCATGACTTTTATTTCTTTTTCTTGCCTTATTGCACTGCCTAGAACTTTTAGCCCAATATTGAACGAAAGTGGTGATGACTAACATCCTTGCCTTGTTTTTGATAATAGGAGGGAAATCATTCAGTCTTTCACCATTTCATCTAAGTTGTCAAATGTATGTGTCTGTAGAGTTGTGTCCAGTAATCCCTTTTTATCCCCTTGAGCTCTGCAGGTATAGGTGTATTCTCTATTTAATGTGTCTTCTCTCTTTTTTACTTTGTCAGTCTTGCTAGAAGTTTGTTCATTGTATTGTTTCAAAGAATCAACTCCTTGTTTCATTGATTTTTGCTTATTTTTCTGATTTAAATTTTATGGAGTTCTGCTTTTATCTTTATTACTGTCTTCTTTCTGCTTGCAGTCAGTTTATTTTGTTCTTCTTTTCCTAGGTTCTTGAGGAGGAGCTTAGGTTATTGATTTCAGACCATTCCTATTTTCTAAAATATGAATTTAGTGCACAAATATTCTTCTCACTGTTTTAGCTGTGTTTCACAAATATTCATATGTTGTATTCTTATTTTTATTCAGTTTAATGTATTTTTTATTTTCCTTCCTCTTTGACTTATAGGTTATTTGGAAGAGAGTCATTCATTTTATTTCCAAGTGTTTGATGACTTTCCTGTTATCTTTCATTTATTAATTTCTATTTATTCTGTTGCGGTCAAAGAACATAACCTACATAATTTTAACTCTTTTAAATATGTTGAGAGACTTGTCATAAGATCCAGGATATGGTCTTTCTTGGTATATGTTTATACGCACTTGTAAAGCACATGTATTCTGCTGTTGTTGAGTGGAGCATTTTATAAATGTGGAATACATCCTATTATTGAGGTTCTTCTATATCGTTGCTTATTTTCTGTCTAGTTTTTCTGTCAATTATTGAGTGAGGAGTGTTGAATTCTTTAACTGTAATTAAAGATTGCCTATTTATCCTTTCAGCTCTATCAGTTTTTGCTTCACATATTTTCTAGACCTGTTTTTTGGTTTATATACATTTAAGATTAAGCTATGTTTTCTGGATGGATTGCCATTTTATCATTATATAATATCGTTCTCTGTCTCTGGTGAATTTCTTTGCTCTCAAATCTATTTTTAATATATTAATTATAGTCACTTCTGCTTTTTTGATTAATATTCGCAAGTTATGTCTTTTTTCATCCTTTTACTTTTAGCCTATCTGTATTGTTTTATTTAAATTTTCATGTAGACAGCATGTAGTTGGATCATGTTTTCAAATCCACTGTGGCAGTCTCTGTCTTTTAATTGACATATTTAGACTATTTACATTAATGTAATTACTGGCATGTAACAAACTTAAGTCTGCCATTTTGTTTTTCAATTTTTAATATTTCTTAGAGATGGGGTCTCACTCTATTGCCCAGGCTGGAGTGCAGTTGTATGAACATGTCTCACTGAAACCTCCAACTCCTGGGCTCAAGCAATCATTCGGCCTCAGCCTCCCAAGTATTATAGCTGGGACTAGAGGCATACGCCACCATGCCCAACTTGTCATTTTACTTTTTTGTTTATTCTAGTTTTTTGTTTTTGTTTTTTTTCCCTGCCTTCCTGTAGCTTACTTGAATATTTTTAGAATTCTATTTTATTATCTATAGTGCTTTTTGGTGCATCTCTTTGTATCATTTTATTGGTGGTTTCTCTAGGCATTACCTTACATGTTACTGTCTACTGGTATTATTTCACCAGTTCAAGTGAAGTATAAAAATCTCACTGCTCTTTATGTGCATTTCCCCTTTTTCATCTGCAATATGATTGTCAGTCTTAAATATTTCCTCTACATATATTTAGAATTACATCTGACAGTGTTTTAGAAATTTTTGATTCAACACTCAAACATAACTTAGAAAACTCAAGAGGAGAATAAAAGTCTATTGTATTCATCTATATTTTTCCTTATCTTGTTCTTTCTTTCTCCCCGAGGTTCCAAAGTTTCTTCTTTTGTCATTTTTCTTTCTACTTAAAAAAAGCTTACTTTAGGCCTTTTTTTTTTTTTTTTTTTTTTGAGATGGAGTCTCGCTCTGTCACCCAGGCTGGAGTGCAGTGGTGCAATCTCGGCTCACTACAACCTCCACCTCCCTGGTTCAAGCAATTCCCCTGCCTCATCCTGAGTAGCTGGGAATACAGGTGCATGGCACCATGTCCAGCTAATTTTTTTTGTATTTTTAGTAGAGATGGGGTTTCACCATGTTGGCCAGACTAGTCTCGAACTCCTGACCTCAGGCAATCCGCCTGCCTCAGCCTCCCAAAGTGCTGGGATCACAGGCATGAGCTACCGTGACCAGTCCTTTCGCCATTTTTTAAGGGTATGTCTGCTGGAAACTACTAATTAAAACTTAATTCTCCTAGTTTTCCTTCATCTGGGATTGTCTTTATTTTTCCTTTCTTTCCTGAAAGAAATGTTTTATGGGTGTAGTATGCTGCCTTGACAATTCTTTCTTGCAGCATCTAGAAATTATCATGTGACTTCTTTCTGGTTTCCATTGTTTCTGATGAGAAATACATTGTTATTCAAGTTGTTTACCCACATAAGGAAAAGCATAGTTAAAAAAAGATTTTTTATTGTCTTTCGTTTTCAGAATTTTAATAATAATATATCTCAGCTTGTATTTCTTTGAGTTTATTCTGTTTTGGGTTCACTCACATTCTTGAGTCTGTAGTTTTATGTTTCTTGGAAAATTTAGGAAGTTTTCAGCCATTATATCTTTGAGTACTTTTGTATTCCTGCCCTCTTTTTCTCTCTTTATGGGACTCTGATGACACAAACCACAGGTCTTTTGTTATAATTCCACAGATTTCTGAGGCTCTAATTTTTTTTTTCAGTGTACTTTCTCTCTGTTTTTTAGAATAGGTAATTTATATTGTCCTATCTTTTACTTCACAGATTCTTTTCTCTGTCCCTTCCATTCTGCCACTGAGCCCATCGACTGAGCTTAATATTTTGGTTATTATATGTTTCAGTTCTAAAATTACTATTTAGGGCCAAGTGTGATGGCTCATGCCTGTAATCCCAGCACTTTGGGAGGCTGAGATGGGTGGATCACTGAAGGTCAGAAGTTCGAGACCAGCCTGGCCAACATGGTGAAACCCTGTCTCTACTAAAAATACAAAAAATAGCCAGGTGTGGTGGCAGGCACCTGTAATCTCAGCTACATGGCAGGCTGAGGCAGGAGAATCACTTGAACCCAGGAGGCAGAGGTTGCAGTGAGCCAAGATCATGCCACTGCATGCCAGTCTGGGTGACAGAGCAAGATTCCATCTCAAAAATAAAATAGAATAAAATAAAATAATAAAATTACCATTTAGTTCTTCTTTATATCTTCTTCCTCCTCTCTCCTTCCCCTCCTTTTATTCCTCCTTCTCCATTCTTCTTGGCTGAGACTTTCCATTTCTTTTTTGAGGCTTCACAGTTTTTCATTTGTTTCAATCATATTTGTAGCTCCTCAGTGAAGCATTTTCATCACGGCTGCTTTCAAATATTTGTTAGACAATTAGAGCAGCTCTGTCATGTGAGTGTTGGCATCTATTGATTGTCTTTTTTCATTCACTTTGAGATCTTCTTGTTTCTTGGTATAATTTTTAATTTTAACCTGAACATTTTTGTATCATGATATGGTGTGTTCTATTTAAAACTTCTGTTTTAGCTAGCTTTCTCAAACACTCCTCTGGCAGGGTCCAGTGGTAGCCACCTTATTACTTCCAGGCCGAGGTAAAAGTCCAGGTGCCCTGCTTGTCCTCCAGTGACACCTGAGGGTGGGGTAGACAAGGGTAGGAATTCTGTTTTCTGTATCGTCTCCACTGACAGTGCAGTGAAGGGGGCCTTGTTACTGCTAGGTGATGGTCTTGACTCTCCCTCAGACCTCATTTAATACCACCCTAGCCGGGAGAGGAAGGGCCACCTTATTACTGCTGGATGGGAGTTCAGTTTCCTCACTTGGTCTTCACTGACACTGAAATGGAATCATTCCATGTGTTCCTCAGATTCCAAAGTCCCTGGCTGGTTTCAGAGTCTTATGTTTGTTTAATATATATTATGTCCAGGGTTTTTAGTGGTACTTAGCAGTCAGAATAGAGAAAAATACATCTACTTCAGTTTCCTGGAAGCAGATGTCCTCAGTGAAAATTTTAAAAATTTGGTAACACTTAATATTGTCAAGAGTGTGATGAAATCTCAATACTGGGAGTATGAACTTTTTCAAATTCGGAGGAGAGCAACGCCCAAAATTCAAAAAGATCAGGAATCCTACTTGTAAGGATCTACTGTATACAAATACTAACATCAGTGATTTAAGAATAAAAATGTTTACTTTAGTGTTGTTTGTAACAGGGAAAATAATAAGCAATTTAGCTATAAATAATGGATATAAATAATATATGTGTATATATTCTCTAAATAGAGAAATGTTTAAATATATATAATATACATTAATTATGCTATCCACACAATGAAATTACAGGTGGCCAGTCTTATTTTAAAAAAAAAAACAAGCAACGAAATAGGATATGTAGCACATTCCTTTTTTTTTTTTTTGAGACAGTCGCTGTCACCCTGGCTGAAGTGCAGTGGCCTGATCCCTGCTCACTGCAACCTCCACCTCCTAGGCTCAAGTGATCTTCCCACCTCAGCCTCCCTAGTAGCTGGGACTACAGGCATGCATTACCACGCCCAGCTAATTTTTGTATTTTTTGTAGAGATAGGCTTTTGCCATATTGCCCAGGCTGGTCTTGAATTCCTGGGCTCAAGTGATCTACCCGCCTCAGCCTCCCAAAGTGCTGGGGTTACAGGTGTGAACCACTACGCTGGCCCTTCCCATTTTTTTAAAAATGAAAATTGTTGAGTGGGGCTTTGCAGGTTTCTTAAAATTGATACCTAAGGCTATAAACTGTGGACAGAGAGGCATCAAGTGTCCTATTTTAAGAAAGCTCAAACATTTGTGGGCTGACAACACTATTAGAGCTTATAAGCAACTAGGCAAATTCTCACTACTACCTCCACTCATTATCCCTGGGCATCCTCCTTCCTCCAGTCTCAACCATTGCCTCAGGGCTCCCCAATAGCCCTATAAATAGGAGATCTTGGATAGTGGTAAGGTAGGGAAAAAAAATCTGTGGAGTCAGATGTTCTTGGTATACATGAAAACCCTGTTAATTCTCCACTGACTTCCCACGGAAAAAGGTAAGGGGATGCTTCTCCCTGTACACAAATCAAGTAAGGAAAAGAGGGGCATGATAATTGCTTAAGACATTGAAGGTACCTGAAAAAAAAATCTGAAACTGGCATCTTGTTCCCCAAAGGAATTTTTTGGATTTTAGCCTAAGTAGTTGCTTCATCAACTATGCATCTGCATGAACAGGTGAAGACAGAACTGGAGACAAACGGCAGACAGATGAGAGTTGACCAGGACATGAGGAGACCCCGATGGCAAGAGCACAGAGGCTGACGGGGTTGTGAAAGCTAGACACAAAGATACAGAGACAAACTCCACTCCAGAGAGCTGTGCAGAAGGGTTGCTCCAAGGCATCCTCTCCATTCCCAATGCATTCCCCTCTGGAAAAGAGCCTGCAGAACTTATTGTTGAGCCCACAGGAGAGAAAATTTTCAGACTCTCGCTATCTAAAAGTTAGCCAGAGCAAGAGAGAAGCAGCAACAACCAACAGAGAACCAGGCCCGTGGGCAGTTAATAAAGACAAATCCTCTCTCATACACCCTTCAACCCCCAACACCAGACACATAAGACCTTGAATAAGGTAAAGGAAAAGATAAGTCCGACTCCTGGCCAGGCGCAGTGGCTCATCCCTGTAATCCCAGCACTTTGGGAGGCTGAGGCAGGAGGATCACTTGAGGTCTGGAGTTTCAGACCAGCCTGGGCAACATGGCAAAACCTGTCTCTACTGAAAATACAAAAATTAGCTGGGTGCGATGGCGGGCGCCTGCAGTCCCAGCTACTCGGAATTGCTTGAACCCGGAAGGTGGAGGTTGCAGTGAGCTGAGATAGCACCACTGCACTCCAGCCTGGGCAAAAGATTCAGACCATCAAAAAAAAAAAAAAAAAAAAAAAAGCTAGACTCCAGACTCCTTTGTCCTCCTCTTCAACTGAAGTGAATGATTTGGTGGAGAAGCTGAAGAGCAAACCCACTGCAGGTCCCTGGAGGGACGGCCCACAGCAAGTGGAGGAGATGAAATCTACATCAGATATGAGATCTGAGTGGTCAACTGGAAATTATTGAATTTGTCTCTTAATAATAAGGTGTTGGAAATGCTGTAGCATCAGCCCAAGATATTATTAGGGATCTGTTCCCCACTAAGGAAAGGAGATTTGACATAGCATGGATTATAGAAAAATGAAACTGGTTTATGAATTATTCATATGAAGTTGAAGCTGTTAATCAACATGTGATATTCACATGTATGTACTGTATGTATGTTTGTATATACCTGTTTGTATATTCTTGTTAGTCTATATGTTTACATTTTCTCTAAGGGAAGCAAACTATTTAGAAGGATCCACACTCCATTATTAACAATCGTCACAAAATTGTATCTATAAAGTTGGAATTTATAATAACCAACATGTTTTACATTTGAGAAACAAAAATGTTTCCTATATAAACAATGGGATGTACAGTTCCAGACAGATAAGAGCATGCCCATAAATTTCATAAAGATGAAAAAGGCTTTATTGATTGATGAGAATAATCTTTCACCTTTGCACCCCACACATCTCAATGCTCTGAGCACCCACTGGTTTGACTGCCAAGCTGTGGCCTTTTGATTAATGAATTCCTAAGAGAATGACCCTGTCTAGGGTCATTTTAAATGTAAAAATCCCTGAGGAATAAGGGGCAAGGGCTGGGTTGAAGTTTGGAGCTACTCCCTTAAAGTAATCAAAGTGGTGGCTCTGACTCCATTGGGTGAGTTTTGGCTCCTCTTACCTTCCTGCTTTGTTGAAAGCTTTCATTCTTCTACTGGAAACAACATCAGCTTCTTTGGGACAGCTAGCTCCCTCCTATCCTGTGGATTCCTGCCCCTATCTCTGCTGATCTTCTGGGAACAACTTCCTGGTGTTCTTTTCCGATTAGCTATAGGAAATCTCCGCTTTCGGTGACTTCTCTTTAAAAGAAAGTTCTTACAGCACAGCAGTTTGCTCTCCTGGGACACTGTTCTTTCAGGTCTCAGTGGCTAGTTTAGGGTTTAGGGGATGATTGACTCAGTTGCTCATTCTCTCTGGAACCAATGCCCTCTTCAATATCCAGACCCTGTGGAGCAGCTTGGCCCACTCTACTCCACTCCTTTGCACTCATGGTAGTGTTTTTCTTGAGGCCGTCCCTGTCCCCCTTCCACTCCAGTTTCCTTTGGGGATACACAGGTTCTCAGGTCTGCACATCTCTTACCTCTAGTTGTAAACAGAGCTCAAGTTATTTCTCACAGGACTTCTGAGTCCATGCAAATCAAGGAGCATGACTGAGCCTTTGCTCTACATGTCTCTCAACATTTCAGAATGGTAAAGTTCATCAAGAGGCAAACATGACCAGACCACATGGTGGGGTGGTGGTGTCTAACTCCCGCTGACCACATATCAGCAATTACTCAACTCAAATGCCACAAAGGGAAGTAACTTGCCTTTCAGAGCAATCCTGGGACAATTCTGGGAGTGGAAACCTTCTTTCTTTTTCTTTCTCCCATTCTGTCTGTCTTTCTCAGTACAAGATCTATAAGTAAAGTTCCCAAAACCTGATTTGAAAACAATCTGGAAAAATAACAATGAAGTCAATGAAATATCTTGGACAAAGATTTAAAAGAATAATATTCAGTGTTTATAAGGGTTTATTTTAATGGGCATTCTTGTATACTGCTGGTGAGAGTTTGAATGGGTACAACCCTTTTGTAAAGCAATTTTGCAATATGTATTCTTAAAGAATTACTACTAAGATTCCATTATAAAAAACATAATTTAAAAAACAAACAAAAAAATTAAAAGAAAAAGAAAAAGAATTTGAGAGGTAATCAAAGATTAAGGATGTATGAAGATATCCAATGCAGAATTACTTATCATAGAAAAGATTGGAAACAACTTAAATGTCCAAAAATAAATTATTATTTATACATTAAATGTGATATTTAAAAATATTTAATATAATGTTTTCCAAAACAATTGTATGAAGTGGCAACAGGCTTATTCTGTAATATTAAGTGACAAAAGTAGAATATAAACTGCATATACAATATTAACCTAATTTTGTTATGTTTATCCTCTATGTCTCTGGAAGTAAACCCTTTCTTCCCAAATGCTTTAAAATAATCATAATGATTTTTATGGTTAGAAAACCAAATTAGTTAACAGAATCTGTTTTAATTTGGCAACGATCTGTTTTGGGGGTTTCTGGTTTCGGGGGTTTCTGGTTTCGGGGGTAGAAGCCTCTCATGGTGTACTGTGTCTTTAAAGGTTCTTAGAGATGGACTGGAAAAACAAAAAGTTGGAAGCCAGTTTATTCACTCCCCCACAGATGTAGTTTTAATTGTTCTCATTGTTTCATGTTCTCCTTCAGTCTTTGCCCAAGAACGTTTTTTAAAAAGTTGAAAATTGATCCAAAAGTGGTCATGGTATGAATTAGTGGAGAGGAAATAAACTCATTCATCTCAGTCAATCATTCTCTTAACCTGCAGAATGGTTAGACTTCCCTCTATGGCAAGAGGAAAAAAAAGTTAAATTAAAAATTGAGTCCTAGTAGTGAACTAAGTGATTTCTGGTGGGGTATAAAATAAGAAGCAATTTAGAAATGTGTATCAACATCCTAAAACTGGTCATGATCTTTGGCCCAGAAGTCTACTTCTGGAAGATGGAGACAAGGATCTAAGATGGGCATCCCAGCTCCAAGCAAAACTGCAAAATCAGACACAACCTAAATACCTGGAAATCATGGAATGGTTAGCTAAACTGTAGATGGAACAAATAACATATGATAAAATATTAAATGTTTTGAAGGTTTAGCAAGTTCTCGGAGTACCATGCTCTCTTCTCACAGAGGGACATCATCCTTCTCTTCTCAGCCCCATTTTGCTTATGCAGCCATAAGCAAAGTTGAGATGGGTCCCAGACCTAGGGTCATAACAGTAACTAAACAGATGTGAATGTATAATTCGTTTCAGGATTTTTTTTTAAATATTATGGAATGTGGAGAAGGAACTCATTCTAATGAGAGAGAGACAGTCTTAGAAGCAATTTCATGCTCTTTTTGGTATTGGTCCTAACTAGTTTTTAAGACTTCCTATAGCATACAGTTGAGACCGGGTGGGGTATTTATCAGACCAAATAACAGTCTGGTTCAAAAACCTTGGGATTCTTCTCTAGAGTTGTAACTTTTAAAAAATTGTTTTTAATGTTAGAAGGAACTTTAGAAATCTTACTGGTGAAGAAACCAAGGCACAGAGAGATTAAGTGACAGTTTGGATTATAATACCAAAAGACACATTTTTAAACACCATAATTGTTAATGTTGAAATCCTGAAAGAGCAAAATCCTCAAACTCTAAAAATCCTAAAATCCCCAAATCCCAAAATCTCAAACATCACCATCACAGGATAGTTGGATTATATTTGACAAGCTCTTATGAACCATCTCCATGCAAATTGCCCAAATCTATCCCTATATTATACTTGTTTATATGCTGAATTTTCTTTTTAGTTTTTAAATTTGCTTTTCCTTTTTTTAAAAATTTTCACTATTTTAAATTGTCAGCATTATTTCTTATAATTCTACACGCTATGTATTTAATCTTCACATCATTTCCAATATTGGAGGTATAAATCGTATAGAGACTTTTAGAGCATTCTAATTTGTTTTATGCATGTTTTGCAAATTTGACTCCATGAAGATGCATTATCAGAATGTTGCCTTTGTGTGTAAGCATTGTGCATGTACATAAAAATGTTAAAACTTCTTCAATAAATGAATAGATGTTCTTTTGTACATCTGCATTTGTGAAAGGTAAGATTTCTCAAGATCTCAGCTCTTAGGGTAACTGTATATGTGGTGGTGACCCATTGAGGTTTTCAATTGATCTTATCAGAAGGTTATGGTTGTTCATCATGGTATTTCAGATGGCCAGAGTTATAAAGTTGGGTACACTCAACTACCAACCATAGTGATATGCATTGATCCATTTCCTTTTCTGACCTACTTCCTTGTGAATACAATTTGTCTGCTCATAACTGTTTTGTCCATGTGACTGTCACTAGTATGCCTGAGTGCCTATGTTTGCAAAAATATATACATTATTATGGCTTATTTTATTATGTAAAGTGGCCTATGAAGCCTTCTGTTGCATTTTTATGCTTCTCAAGTAAATCCCCTTTTTAAAGTATAAATAAAAATCTTTTAAAAAATTAAATTTTTTTTTCAGAATTATATTTTTGAGATTCTGATCTTTTGGGATTCCAACATTCAGGTTTATAGCATTTGGGATTGTGTCTTTTGGGATTATGATCAGCTTCCATTAAAGGATTTGCTTGGGGTCAGAGCAGCTAGATGGCAGAGCATCCAAGCTCAAGTCTATCTATGAGCTTTTGAAAATACCACTTTTTGGTTGGTGTTATGGGTCACGCCAGTAATTCTAGCACTTTGGGAGGCCAAGGTGGGCTGATCGCTTGAGCTCAGGAGTTTGAGAACAGCCTGGGTAACATGGAGAAACGCTGTCTCTATAAATAATATTAAAAAATTAGCCAGGCAAGGTAGCACACAGTAGTCCTAGCCACTTGGGTGGCTGAGGTGTGAGGATCGCTTGAGCCCAGGACATAGAGGCTGTAGGGAGCCAAGATCGCGCCACTGCACTCCAGCCTGGGTGACAAAGTGAGACCCCGTCCCCCCCCCCCAAAAAAGGAAATATTACTTTTTAAAAAACTTATTCTAATACATTTGAATGTACCTGATATGAAATATTGAGAAGGATAGTGGAATTCAGTATCATATAATTTATGAGTTAATGTATAAGATTCAAAAGAGAAGAAAAAGCAAAAGACAGGTTCTAGAGACAAAAAGGTTTGGAAAATTGATGAACTGTTTGAGGGGATGGTCCCTAAGATGATGCAGAGGGCCTTGGGAGGTGGGGAATGAAAAATTAGCTCAGCTATCACTCTGATGGTCTATCATTCATAGTTTTTGAGTTGATTTTCCAGTAGTGGAGGTAAGTTTCTGTGAACACATCTATCATATTTAAAAATTTTTTCACTTAGGACCAAAAGTACATATTTACAAGATGGCTGCCCATATCCATGTAGCAGAATGATGGCCCACCGTATATAGCTCATCTCCAAATGGCCAGAGTCCAATTTCAGCCTTGGGAAAATAAAAACCTCCAGGACAACTACCTTAGATACAGGGAGGGATCTTTTGGAATCACTTCTTCAGATACTTGCCCACCATTGGTTAATTGGTTAGTCTGGGATAGAGGCAGGTGGGAGTGCTCCATTTTGGGCTAGCTACATGAATGGCAGGCTGAGGTGTCAGTAGCCTAGTGGTAGAGTACGGCAGGGGCAGCCAGCATGTCCTGGTAGCTGACCCTTGTGGAAACTGGCACAGCTGGCAGTTTTCAGAACACAAGATTGCCCTCCCCTGCCAGGTCCTTGCAGAAAAGTGATTGGGTCTTCTGAGGAATACTCAAGCTGGAAGTCAGGAACGTGTCCTCTAATTCAGCTATTTCCAATGTGTAGCACAGGGTCATGCATACGGTGGACACTCAATGATGATGCATATAGCCAGGCAGCCACAGATATAAGAGCAAGCCCCAGCAAGAACAGTAGAGTCCAGCTCAGAGTGAAATGAGTTACTATATATCATCATTCTAAGATGCATTTTCTCCCCAAATTTTCACTTTTTTTTTTTTTTTTTTTTTTGAGATGGAGTCTCTCTCTGCCACCTAGGCTGGAATGCAGTGGCACAATCTCAGCCCACTGCAGCCTCTGCCTCCTGAGTTCAAGTGATTCTGCTGCCTCAGCCTCTGGAGTAGCTGGGATTACAGTCACACACCACCACACCTGGCTAATTTTTGTATTTTTAGTAGAGATGGGGTTTTATCATGTTGGGCAGGCTGGACTCGAACTCCTGACTTCAAGTGATCCACCCGCCTTGGCCTCCCAGAGTACAGAGATTATAGATGTGAATTACCACGCCTGGCCCATTTTCACATTTCTAAAATCAGGATGCATCTTAACATTGGTCTCTTTGTTTCAACAATTTGTATTGTCGGAGCTATAATGGATTCAACTGCAGTTGAAGAATGTCTTTACAAAGATTATGCTCTGATTCCATATTGAAAAAATGTTATTTTATGCATAGAAAGTAATGGAAATAGAGAATCAATGTGTAGTAACAAAGGCATTTGCCATTGGAAGAATATCCATAATTCCATATTTTCTTACAAATTAACATCAAAGTGCTTTTTGGGGCATAAGAAAAAAAGTAAACAATAAGTAGATGATCCTGTGATATTTGGTTACTGAGATACATGCAAAGGATTGCCTAACACAGGCTGTATTAGTTTCCTGTGGCTGCCTTAATAAATTTCCACAAACTTGGTGCCTTCAGCTGACAATAATTTACTCTTCTCTTAGTTCTGGAGGCTGGAAGTTCAATGACAGTTTTGTTGGGTTGAAATCAAGGTGTAGGCGGAGCCATGTTCCCTTGGAGGCTTTAGGGGACAATCTCTTCCTTGCCTCTTCTGGTTTCTGGTGGCTGCTACTCTTCCTTTGTTTGTGGCTGCATCATTTAAATCTCTACTTCTGTCTTCACATCACCATTTTCTCTTCTGTGCATCAAATCCCCCTCTCCCTTTCTCTTATAAGGACACTTGTGATGGCATTTAGGGCCTACCCAAACAACCAAGGATAATCTCTCCATCTCAAAATCGTTAATCATATCTGCAAAGACCCTTCTTCCAATTAAGGTAATATTTACGGTTTCCAGGAATTAGAATCTGATTTCTTTGAGGCCACCATTTAGCCCACTACACAGGCCAAACAATGCAACTAGGGTTAGGGAAACCTCCAAATTTGTAAGAATAAGTAAAAGAAAGCTTGGTGTGACTAATTTATGTTGCTATTTTCATTATGCTCCCTGCCAAAAATATCAAGAAAGAGTCAATATTAAAACTATAGAATGGGTATCAGTTGCTTGGAAGAAAATTACAGAGATAACAGAGAACTCTTCTAAGAAATGTTCTTAATAAACCAGAAGATAAAATTGGGTGGTAAATCACTAGATATTGACCTTTCAAAGTGGAAAATTATTCAGAAGGGCCAAAGAATTTTTTTAAAAAAACTTTTGTGTGGTAGATTAATTATAAAAATAGTTCTAAATTTCCACACGTACACAGTCTACATGTTCTAAGCAAAGTGCATTTGTAGTTTCTCCCATTGAGAGGTAAAATTTATTTCCCTATCTCTTGAATCTGGGATGCCCTTGTGACTGGCTTTAGCCAATAGAACACAGCAGAAGTGGCACTATACCTGTTGTAAACCTAGGTCCAACAGGCCTTATGACTTTCTGTTCCCTCCCTAGTTGCTACAAGAACAAACTAGCCTATGGGATGATTAGAGATGCATGGTTTAGCTGGACCCAGTGGCTCACACCTGTAATCCCAGCACTTTGGGAGGCCAAGCTAGGTGAGTTGCTTGAGGTCGGGAGTTCGAGACCAGCCTGGGCAACATGGTGAAACCCTGTCTCTACTAAAAAAGAAAAAAAGCTGGGTGTGGTGGTATGCACCTGTAGTCCCAGCTACTTGGGAGGCTGAGGTGGGAGGATTGCTTGAGCACAGGAGGTGGAGGTTGCAGTGGGCCAAGATTGTGTCACTACACTCCAGCCTGGGTGACAGAGGCAGACCCTGTCTAAAAAAAAAAAAAAAAAAAATGCATGGTTTGGTTTTCCTCATACCCTAGCCAATAACTGGCCAGCCACCAGGCATGTGAGTGAGGCTGTTCTTGACCAGCTAGCTCCTAGCCAAATAGACAGCCAGCCAAAAATGTATGGGCAAGCCCCAGCAAGAACAGTAGAGCTCAGCTCAGATCAGCAGAGCCTCTTAACTAACTCAGATTCCTGAGTAACAACTAAAGCTTATTGCTTTTAAGCCACTGGGTTTCAGGATGGTTTCTTTTATGACAAAAACTGTTACATAATAAAAAGTCACAAGACTTTCATGACTGGGATTGACTAAATGATTCAGAATGAATTAGGCTCTGAATATAAAATAATTTTTGGAATATTTTAACTAGTTTATTTTGCTTATAATTTCCTTTTATGTATCCTTAATGGCAATATAGGATTAAAATAAAGTTATAAATAAGTCTAAAAGAGATCCTTAAGTAAGTATAAAATACAAATTCTAATTTTAAAAAGGCTTAATGTCATGCTTTTATTGGAAGTATTTCTTTCCTTTGTATGGCTACAGTTTTTAAAATTTCTTTTATTCTGGGACCCTCCTACATTCAAGGTAGTTTCAACAAAATAAAAGAATTCTATACTCAGCTTTCTGCCACTTTTTCACTATATAGCTCTTGGCAATTTATTTTCCATCTCTGAGTTTCAGTTGCCCTATAAAAAAAAGTGAGGATAATAATACCTCTGGGTCAGGGTTGTTTTGAAGATGAAATATGATAGCCTCTATAAATGTGCTTCATGAATGCAAATGGATGAAAAAAATTAAGAAATCTTAGTCTGTGCTGTTATTTCTTAAATGTGCCTTACAATAACATTTTACTGGCTAAAAAGTGCTAGTGATTTCCTCAATAAGATTGTTCTAGTCCATAAAGTAGATCATTTAGGTTATATGAATTTGTTTTGTTGTTATCTCTGCTCCTTCCCCACATCATAGACACAATAAGACCTGAGAACATGACCTTTTTCCAAAAACATGTTGCTCCCCATTGGAGTAGCAGAATAAACCCAGGTGGTCCATATGTAGACACCCCAGGCCTTATGGCATTGTATTATGTTTGTAGCAAACCGATTTGGGATTCTTGTTGCATTCAAAGCCTCCATTGCAAAAAGCTGCCCCAGCCAACAGCCAACCCATCTCCAGCCAACTACAGCTGATGGGATAAGAGGCATACAACTGCCTGGAGAATCTAACCACAGCCTCTAGATGAAGTCAGTAGTGGTCTCTATCTTGAAAATTCAAATTCAAAAGATATGGAGATGTAAGCTTTGGATAGTGGAGTTTGCAACTGAATTCAGTTCTTGCAGAATTGGGGCCATAGTCAGCAACTTAATAAACCAAACCTATGTGAAATCGATAGTTCAGAAGCAGTTGAAAGTGAGCCAGCACAGAAAATTAGGTTGCAGAGGACAAAATGCAGAAGACTGGCAGAGAAAACAGAGACAAGGGCCCAGAGAGCTCCAGCTCCAGAGAGGAGAGAGTTTCACTCCTAACTTTTCAGTTTCCCAGGGGATATTCCCTAATTCCTTGTTACAATTTATTTTCTGCCAGGAGATGTCAGCCAGATTCTCTGGACTATCTTTACAATACCTAATTCCCCTTTTTATTGGAGCTAGTTTGTATGGATTTTTATTACTTGTAACTATATGACCCAGTTAGTTTTAAAAAATTCTCCTGGGTTTAGAGATGTCTTAGATTGCTTTCATTCAAGGGGAATATTATTTGGTGATATAATATAAAATATAGATTTGGTCTCTGTCCCGGTTCTTGGCACAAGAGCTTCTAAGACTCTTGGAATCTCCTGAGTGATAAGAATTTTTTTTTTTTTTTTTTGCATGCTAATGAGATGGCTGGTGGCTGGAATCACTGCATGGTCCATAGACAGCTAAGGTATAGCAACTGGTTGCCTGAGGAACCAGCCTTGTGATTAGAGGGTCAGCATTTTCAGCCCCACTTCACCTCCAGGGAGGGAAAAGGGGCTGGAAATTTGAGTTCAATCCCTTATGGCCAATTGTTTAATCAATCATGACTATGTAATGGGATCTCCACAAAACCCCTAAACAACAAGGCTCAGAGTGCTTTTGGGTTGGTGAACACATCCGCTTACTGGGAGGGTGGGACACTCTGCCTCCATGGGAACAGAAGATCTCATGCTCAGGACCCTTTAAAACCTTGCTCTATATACTTCTTCATCTGGCTATTCATCTGTATCTGTTGCAATATCCTTTATAATAAGCTATTCTTTGTAATAAACTAGTAACTGTAAATAATAAACTAGTTCATCTGTGTCCTTTGTGATATCCTTTATAATAAACTAGTAACTGTAAATAAGTGTTTGTGAGCTGTTATAGCAAATTAGCAAGGAGTTAGCATCAGAATTGAATTGTAGGACACCCAGTTGGTGTCCATAGAGAATTGGAGAATCCATTTGTATGTGGGAAAACTCCACACATTTGGTGTCAGAAGTGTTGTGACTGTACAGAAAGGGAGAGTTTTTCTTTTAGGGAGGAAAAGTATGATTGTTAAGAAAAAAAAAAAAGACTAGGTGCAGTGGCTCAAACCTGTAATCCCAGCACTTTGGGAGGCCGAGCGGGTGGATCACCTGAGGTCAGGAGTTCGAGACCAGCCTGGCCAACATGGTGAAACCGCGTTTCTACTAAAAATACAAAAATGAGCTGGGCATGGTAGTGGATGCCTATAATCCCAGCTACTTGGGAGACTGAGGCAGAAGAATCGCTTGAACCCAATATTAACTAGTGTCTATTATGTTCCAGGCATTGTCCAATTACACATTATCTCACAAAAGTAGTCATTATTATACTCATTTTAAAGAGATGGAAGAACCAAGGTCCTGAAAGGTCTAGTATCTTGTCCAAGAACTCAGTCAAAAGCTCTTTCCACTATACCAGTGTCTCACCTACATCTGTGAAAAGCAATACATTACTTCCTCATCACCAACTGGATTAATTTTAAAATAAGGTCATGTAATCTGCTTAGTGTCTCAAATCATTTTCATTATCAAAGCACATTTTAAACTAATGATTCTAGTCTACGGGCCATGTAAATTAACATCTAGTAATATATTTTACTGGAAAAGGAGAGAGCATATTTCGTGAGTGCTGCAAACAATCCACCACCACCTGATTTCACCCAGTCCCATCATACCTACTTGCTTTATTCTTTTCTCAAATGTGCGCCCAGACTTCAAGGTAAGAGGTTCAAGTTCAAGTTCAATTTAACCACAACAGCCCATTGTCACTTTGCCCCATTACTCTCTATCTTATCTATCTTATAGCCTCAAAGAGTTAATGATTCATTCATGATTCAACATTTATTGAGGTGTCAGGCACTACACTGAGTGCTGGGTACAAAAGACCGCCTGACACTGTTTTTGAGAAGTCTGTTCTCGTCACTCTGGGGCATTCTAAAGGGATGCTCTCTCCTCCTTTTCCCACCCTTTCTCCCCGTTCGGCCCTGAGAGGGGCTCTTAAATAGTCCTTGGAGGTGGTTAATCTTTCGGTGAACTGGAAGGAGGGTGGGCCCGCGCAGCCTGCCCAGACCCAAAGATCAAAGGCGTGTTCCTCCAAACGCCTGAAGGAAGCCCGGCGGACTCTGAAGAATGCTGCTGGCAACCAGCGAGTTTCCAAGGGCAGAGCCAGCATTTGGAGCGAAGGATGCAAAGCTAAGAAAGGATGTTGGCAGGCCAGCTGCGCCCCGCTCGCACCTGGGTTCCCCGCGGTGTGGGGACGTAACCCAGAACCTGCCCTGCGCCTCATCCCTGAGCCAGCGGATCTGCAGCGGGACACGCACCCGCTGGCCCGGAGATTGCACCCGGAAAGGGACGGAAAGGAGGCTGTGCGGACTGAGGCTCAGAACTCCTTCCCCGTCTCGCCTACTTCCAAAAACTCTTCTCCCAGGCGGGGAAGCCTCAGAGGCTGCTTCCCTCCTCCGCCTTTGCGCTCAGCTCCCCGCTGGCCGCGAGCTCTCCAGGCACTCCTGCTGCGCTCGCCACCAGCCGTGGCGTCCCTGCAACCCCAACTCCAGGCCGACTTCCCGACGCACACAGTGCCGGACCAGAGCAAGGCCAACCACTCGCACTGGAGTGATGGGGAGATTTTTTTCTGGCCCGAGAATGGACCAAGGGACTCTCTTGCAGGGGACGTGATTCCAGGGAGCCCAGATTTCTCTCTCCCTTAGAGGTCGCAACGGAGCCAACAGAAGTCTGGCTTTAATCCACTCAGGACTTAAAAACATCATCTAATGACTGAAATCTGTCTGAGAACACAGGATGAGCGCATCCATGTCCACACACCCGGGTGGAACAAATCTTTTATTTTCTGAAGACAAGTGATTTGAAGTCCAGACTGAATGGCATTTAAGAATTAGGAATCCTGCGTGCCATCCTGGAGTGAATTAAACTAAATTAGAGTCCAGAATATGCAGCTTCTTTAAGAAAAAATTCTCCTCTGAAATATTTTCTTTCCCACTGCATTAAGTAGTGTTCCTCATGAGACACCTGAAAACATTGATTGTTAAAATGTGGTCCTGGGACCAGCAGCAATGACATCACCTGGGGCCCCACTTCAGACTCCTGGACTCAGGATCTCTGGAGGGTGGAGGCATCTAGGTGATTCTGAAGAACCACTGGCTTAAAAGTCTCCTTGGTCAGTGCTTTCCACTAATCAGTAAATATATAGAGCTAGCAGAGCTGGAGCTCTGTTTATCACTTCTCTTTTTAGAATGAAGTCTCTGTTTGACAGTGGGAAAGCCTGCTAGAATGATCCTGAGTTGCTTGTGAAGTCATACAAGCAATGAGAGAGAGAGAGAGAGAGAGAGAGAGCGAGAGAGAGGACTTCCCTGGCTGCAGTCCAGATTGGATATCTGTCTGCTTCTGAGAACTTGCAGACTCGCTTACTTGAAACACTTCATTCTCCGTTCAGGCGTCTGTAAGCTGCTTTGGTTGTTCTCCTGGTTCTTTCTAAAAGCACCTTCTAAGATAGTTTTCATAACCTAGAGGTCACAGGCAGGATACTCCCCACCCTTAACATCCCCGACCCCCAACTTCCAAACTATACTGGCTTGAGGCCAAGGGAGTTCCCCATTCTTTCTATGAAGCTACTCACCCCCTATTCATATTGAGACACACCAACTACCTGGGCTGAAGCTGGAGCAGGGTAGGCTGGGAGTTTTACCCTTCTGGGAAGACCGGAGGAGAGAGACCTATGGTGGGTGTGGGTGTGCTGATGATCTGGAATGGGAGAAGGGCTCACTGAGAAGGAGAGATGTTTAGACTGTGGGTGTGTGTTGGAGGCATGTGTGGTGTGGTCACGTTGTCATGTTCCTGGGCTAGTGGCAGCCACCACCCAGTCATTCCCACCTTGATCCTCACTCCATTCAATGGACAACCATGGGGACCTGAGTGTGCCCAGGCCCCTCCTTGGCTGAGGCTCCTGATGGGACTGGGCAGCCTCACCATCAGACACCAGTGTTATCCTATCTGCAGGTGCCAGGCTCTGACTTTGCTCTCTGGATTTCTAGGAAAAAGAAAGCTCTGGACAAATTTAGAGAGCATTAGGGAGAGGTGCAAGGTGAAAGAGAGACAGAAAGAGAGAGAGAAAGAGTCAATAGATACCAAAAAGAGGTATTTTAGTTCGTGGAAAAAAAAAGATCATTGCCTGGATGCTATAAACATACATCCCTTGGAACTTCCTGCCTGAGACACTTTCAGTTTGGGTCTAGGCACAGATAATTCACTACCCGCCACTTAGTAAAAGTAACTGACATTTTCACGGAGCTTTTCCTTTACCAAGGGATTTTACAGATATAATCTCATCTGAGCCTCACTAAGCCTCTGTAAGATGAAAGAGGAAGGTCTGCATATAATGATTATTATCATTCTCATTACCGTTATCCCTGCTTGCAGAGATGGGAAAACTGAGGATCCAGGCTCTTTCAAGAAACAGCTAGTTGGATGCAGAACCAGGGTCAAATCTACGTGTTCCCTATTCATAGCCACATGCCTCCTGCCTAAAGCAAAGGCTTCAAATTATTGGTAGGGAACTATAGATAGCCATGAAGACTTTCTAAAAATCCATGTATAGATTGGGGTTGTAAGGGAATGAGCAAGAAAAAGTTATTTCTCTATGGATGGCCTGCCTGGAATCCTCAGAATTTAGAGCATTCGTTTTGTAAAAACGTGAGTGGGAGATTGGAAAATTTGCGAAACGTGAAAGGCAATCAATTGAATCACACTGGGGACTCTTTGATTTGAACTCTGGATAGGTTGAGGCATGGGCTCTATCCCTCTGGTAGAAAGGAGAGAACACATGAATTTGAGGAACGGGACTCTGGCCAGAGCTTGAAATGTGTTCTTGAAAGTCAAGTTGGGGTGGCGGTGGTGGGGTGATGGAAGGGTATCCTGACATCTTGAAAAGTCCTCCATGTGCAAATAGACAGGTGGATGAAGTCACCGAAGTTCTCAGCCCTTGGAGAATGGGGAATTGCGCTTGGTAATGTGGTCGCCACCCCTTGGTAATGAGGTCACTATTGCTGACAGAGAGCACACCTGGCAGAGCAGCTTCTCCAGTCGGGACCAGCCTAGCGGGATCCTTCCTCCATGGCCAGGCAGAGGGCTCCACCCGCGAAGCGGCCTGTGGGGTTGGTGGAAGGGCGGAGAAGCTCTCGCTCCAGGTACCAAACTAAGCCGAGAAAAAAGGGTAAAAAATCGAAAAGAAAGAGCAAATGAAGCGGAAGTTTCAAGGCTCTCTGCGAGGAATAACAGTATAAATAACCGAAGACGTCTTGTAAACACTGCGGTCATAACCCCGAACATTAAACAGCCCCGGTGGCATCTGGCGCATCGGCCGCCGCGGGCTGCGCTGGGGCAGTGAGGGAGCCGGGTCGCAGGCTCCTCGGCCTTGCTTCTCTGTTTATCTCAACTTAATCTTCCCTTAGGAGCTGTTCCGTAGCCTGGAAAATGTTTAAATTAAACCCAGTCCGCCGGAAGTCGTGGCGGGAGCTAAACGCACCCGCTAACAGCAACCAAAAGGCAGGCATGCGGGTTTATTGTTAGAATTAATTAATGGACTATTAATAAGAAATGTAGATAATGTATGCTGCAGAGCTTTGAAAATCCTGAAACACACCCTAAGGGTTATGGAATTTACATCTTTCATAGCTTCTATTATTTCTTCACTAGTTTGCAGCTATGCTCACACCTGGAAGGTGACAAAAGGTGGAGTTTACTTTCTCGCCCGTGTCAGCAGTCATACGGTGGAATCCATGAAAATTGGATTTCCTTTTTCTGGTGCGTTTTACTCTTGAACTGTATAACTGTGGATAACTTTAATACTGCCCATTCTTTGTTTTCAGTTATATAATTTCTATTAGCCTTAAAAGTAACCGATATATTTCTTTTTTAAGGTTTCAGTATAAAACATAATCTGCATCTTCATTATGAAACTCATATGCAATTTTCTTCTATCTCTAGAAGTTTAGATTGAGGTTTAAAAGAACCATTTTCATTATCAAGCTTCCCCATAGTTTCCCACTTTCTTATTCCAAATATTTTTAAAAATCACTCCAAATATCAGAGCTTTTAGCAATATAAAGAAAGATTTATTTTCAAAAGTAGCAAAACTTGTTTGAAAAAAATATATATCTTTAAGTGAATTACTTTATAAATGTGACTGTCAAAGTCAGCTATCCTATGATCTACATTTTACAACATATTGTACAAAAGATACATTGATAGGCTCTTATCTATTTATATATTTATAATTACATATTGCACTTGGACCAGCAAGGCTTGCAGAGTCATTCACGGTAGAAGTTAATAAAGTTAAATAGATGGGAATCTTTGTAAGTACAATTGATCTCCTCTGGTTTGGAAACGAATCTCCTCGTCGTTGTAAAGTGTTCTCGCGGGGTGGGACAGAGAGAGGAGCATTGCGAGGGGGAAGCAGAGACAGAGAGCACTGAGGGCAGGGGTCGCCTTCCCGGGGCCCGCTCCCCCCGGGAGCGCGCCTTTCCCAGACTCGCACCTCCAAGGTCAGGACGCGGTGGTTCCACATAAGCGGCTCGCGGTCACCACTTCTTTCAGGTCACTCTCGGGTTTCCCGGCCACCATAAAGGGCCACGTCTGCGGGAAAGAAGAGGGTGGAGGAGGTAAGTGGCCGTGGCGGAGGGGGTGGGGTGGACTCGGGGCCTGAGATGAAAGGAAGGGGGGCGGTGGGGGCAGGCGGTGCTCTGGAGAGACCGGTTATCTCTGCAATTTACTCCCGGTCCTAGCGCACCCTGCGGCTGCATAAAGCAAATAGCTGCTTTGGCGCCAAGTCACAGCTCGAGGTGGTGGTGGTGCTGGTGGTGGTCTTTTAGAATGAGAGCCAAAAGGGCTTATACTGGGTTCCTTGTGAGACTCAATGCAGGAAGCCCCGGGCAAGCCGAGAGTGGGAGAGTGGGTGGTGCTGTGGCACTGCCTGGAGGCAGACGCTTTGGCAGTCTGAGCCGGGAAGCCCAGAACGACCTTGTGCCTACTGGGCACCGAGTTCGGGGCGAAGCGCCCTCCTGGCCTCCTTCTGAGGCGGTGGTCGGGTTTCAGGGCCCTGTCGCTTTCATCGCCTTTCATCACCATCTATTTCCCTAGTCCGACTTTCGTTTCTTCCATCGCAAACACCGGCTTTGACTACAGCTTCTAGATTAATCACCACCTCTTAAGGAAAAAAAAATGCTATACTACATTGACTTTTAATTTAAGATCGTCTTCATGCTGGACTGAGAAAGTATGCTTTCTCTTCCTTTCTCCGGGCTGTTTTATAATAAAGCTCATTTAAGTTTCTTATTCAAAGATGAAGAGAGTAGCAGTTGTAAATATTCGAGGCAACACTTTCATTTTAGGTGGAGATTTTAAAAAGCTATTTACTCATTGGGGGGGAAAAACCCCAAACTTTCAATTGGAGAGAAAACATTTTTCATGGTAAAATGTGGGTTTGCATCTTCTTCTCCAGCAATTCCAGAAACCAATTCGGTGAGAAGACAATTCAGACCCCTCTCACTACTGCTCTAGTGCTAGCTGATAAGACTTGCCTTTTAAAAGGAAAAATCTCTCATTCTTATCATATACAAACAGAGATCCTAGTAAGTTGTTGTTATTGTTTTTCTTTAGATCTTAGAAGTTTTAAAATAAAATCAAATGAAAAAAATTAAGATATATTTCTTAAACAGTAAAATACATTTGAGAAAAAAGTAGACTCAATGATTATCAGTTTTTTGTGTTAAAAAATTAGGCTCAATGGGCATTACTTTTTAAGATAAAAGGTAACATTTCTTAAATCTTGGGTGAGAGTGACCTATTTTAGTATTTATTACACTCATACTAGTGAGGATTTACTGATTTTGCTGATCATTACTAGAACTTCTGGGATTTAAAAATATTAATCCACTTATAGGAGAAGCACAGAATATTTAAGCGGTTAAGGGCTTACGTGGACAATTTGGGGGGCATAGATGTGTCCTTATCCAATGGTCCTAAATATGCTTGTGAAAGAAACGGAGTTGGGTGTTTTTATTTACAAGGAAAGGAAAATCAAGTTCCACTCTCTGCTAAAAGAAGAAAAAAGGATTAACAAAATGCCTGTCCGCTCGCAGCGTCTTGTCAGTGTTCTCAGTTCCGCAGCAGCCACTGCACCCCAGGGAGGATGGCGATGGAGCGGGAGCGGGGGATCCCTCCTCTGTGCCAGCTCAACACACTTGCAAACTTTTAATTGGGCTGCCACGTCAAACCCTCGCATAAATCACTCCCGCTCCGGGGGCTGGTAGGGCAGAGAGCGAGGGCCGTGTCTAGACCGCCCGCCTCCGGTCCCTGGAGGCTCTAGGCCCGCGGTGGTCGAGATGTGTAAGTCACCGCCGCGCCCACACCCCCACTCCCAGCCCCGCGCGCACTCGCGCCCACCGCAGGCGGGAGTGCGGGCGCGCCTGGACTGCAGCTGCAGCCCCGGGAGCACTCACCAGGTTGACCGGGTGAATGTACCCGTTCTCGTATTTGTCGTTAGCCAGGATCTGCCTCAAGTGGGCGATGTAGCTGGACGCCAGCCTGAGCGTGTCCAGCTTGGAGAGCTTGGTGTCGGGGGGCACCCAGGGCAGGGTGGTCTTGAGTCTGGAGAAGGCCTTGCTCAGCACTCGCATGCGGGCCCGCTCTCGCGCGTTGGCGGCGTTGCGCTGGACCTGCTTCCCCTCCTGGCTGACCCCGCTCAGGGGGCTCTTCTTGGTGGGCGCCTTCCTCCTCTTGCCCAGGCCGCCGCGGCCCTTCTGGGGAGACCCATTCTCGCAGTTGGAGCTCTCCTCGGTGCTCTCGTTGGAAGTCACAAATTCCTTGTTCGAATCCATTTTCAACCCGTCACATTCCAACATCTCCACCTCTTGAAGGTCCTCCACATCGCTGAGGGAGCCGGTGGACATGTTTGGGGGAGTGGACGAGGGAGAGAGAGAGAGAGAGACAGAGAGACAGAGAAAGCGAGGAAGAGGGTGAGAGAGAGACAGAGAGACCCTGAAACCAAGAGGCCTCCCGAGTGTGGCGCAGCCACCTCCTGCTGGGAGCTGGAGTTGGGGTCTGGTTGGGTCTCACAACCCTTTCCCCTTCGCAGAGTTGTGAGAAGGAACCCCGAGGACTTCTGCAGCAGAGGAACCGGCTCTCTGTTTCCCCACTCCCAGAGTCGTGGCCGTAGAGGAGGGTGAGCGAGCGCTGAGGAATTTGGTGGACACTAGGAATTTATCTGGGGAATAGAGGGGCGGATCCTTGCAGCCCAGGGAGGGGCCTGCCAGGCCCCAGCAAAGCGCTTAGACCCCTTTCACAACCGGAGGGAAACTCAATGCACAGACCCTGATTTGCAACTTGTAATGTAAATCAACTCAACTGCATCATGTACTTACCAGCCACCTTCTCCCAACTGTGGCCGGGGCCGAGAAGCAGCATGTTCTGTCCATCTGTAAAAGGCCTTCTTTCTCTCTTAAGACGTCACAACTGGTTGTTACTGAGAACTTTAGAAAAACGACTAGATCGTTTGGCTCTTTCTGGGCCTTCCACCTACACTCCATGCCCTCTCTCCTCCCAAGAAAACACGAATTAAAATACAGGGAGTATCAACCGCATCCTGCCAACACCTCATAAGACTCCAAGGCTTTACCGAGATCTTCCACCTTCCCCGGGATAAATGAAGACAAGTGCTTCCTAGAATCTTTATGGTGATGGAAAAGTAAGTATAAAACATTTCACCTACACCTGGTCATTTTCAAGACATCAAAGGACTGCCTACGTGTACACAAACATACTTGATTTGCACACTCAAACCCAACCACACACAGCTTAGTGGGAGTGGGTAGGGAATGAGAGGGCAGTATGAGTGTGTGGAAAACATTATGTTAGTTGATCATCTTTTCCTAATAAATGGAAACTTTCCCCTCGGTTTTTTTTTCTTTTCTAGAAATGCATTTAATATTGCCTTGAGAGTCTTTGTTGCTCTCAGACATCACCTTGCCTGGCACTTTTTGTGATGCACCGTCCCTTTCAATGCTGCTGTCTTTGTCTTCTTCCAGCCTGTTAGGTGCCAGTGTTCCTCACATGAAGCTGACATTACACAACACAAAGCAAGACTATCCTTTTGAGAAAGGTTCTTTTCCATCTTTAACCCCAGCTCGAACCACCTTTCCTAGAGAATAAGAAAGTCTCCTGGGAAGTAGGTAGAAAAAGCACAGGGAAACAGAACCTAGGGATTGGATGAAATTGGTGCAATGAAACCAGGGAGACTGAAGGCATAAATCTCTCTTACAATTTCTTTGCCAGGTTTTCTTCCCTTGCAGGTAGGCATTGAAGTTGAGGGGCTGGAGCAAAATGTAAGAGTGGTTTCTGAGTGGTTGGCTTAGGGTCTGAAGGCTTCTCCTACATTAAGATATCATATCTCTAATCCTAGGCTCAGCTGGGAATTCACTAACCTCTAACGTTTTGTTTTGCTAGCAGGGTCTTGTTTGCTTTCCCCCTATGCTGTAAACTAAACAGGTTGTCAGCAAATCAGTCTTTATTAATGAATTAGCGACCCCTCTTCCATAATATCTTCGCTGAGGATCCAAAATTTGTTAATCACCAGTGTAGAGATTTATGAGCTCTCTTATTTTCTGTTGTTTGTGCAGGTGGAGATTTAAATGACCACATCCACCCTAAGATTTATTGTGAGAATGATTGATGTTATAAACCAGGAAAAGGACTCTTCCCACAGCAGGGATGACAGAAATATCAAGTTGAAGTTGCCTTTGTCTTCACATACGAATGACCCAGTACTACAACACAGAAAGTATAATAATTTAATCTGAGGTTCAAGACAGCAGTGAGAGAACACCCAGCAGGCCTGTTAAAAATTTCTTCACTAATTCCTCAACTAGTTTCCTTTGATTTGCTCTCCCTTTTCTCAGTCTTGGTAAAACATGAAAGTTAAAGTTATTTTTAGACTAAAGAGCTATGTGAAAATGGGCATTGGCCAATACTTTGTGAAATGTGTGTGTGTGTGTGTGTGTGTGTGTGTAGCTACTAAGATATCTGCAAAATAACTACAAATAATTAATTTGGGCTCTGGAATGTGATAATTATTATAAATCCAAACTATGGCCTTACTGCATACATTAAGCTGTGATTTTTCTTGTTGGAGCCATTTTTTTTTCTTTTTGGCTCTGGGTCTCTGTTACACCTTAGTTAATGGACTGCTCAGGCTGTCTGGGGAGATAGTAAAAATCATAGTAATATGTACCACTGAAAAGATTTCTGTTGTCTGTATATTTTTCAATGTTGGAAACTTAAAAGTACCAATTTCTGGAAGCATGTAAAACTAGCCTCATGTCATAGGCTGGTTTTTATGCTTAGCAATTATTTTTCTTCATAGCCATATAAGAAATAATTAAGTCCCATGTCCATTTATCTTGCAGTAAGACATTTGGGCTGAGAAAGGCTAGTGGGCTGATAATAAATTTTGGAGTGTTTCTAAAATTCTGTAAAAGATGGCTTCCAGTTTGGGAGTAAGAGTCGAAGAATACTGTTGCTTATGTATCTTGATATGAAGTCTTGGAGAGAGAATATTCATATGAAAAATACTTTTTTTCTTTTAAAATTTTGTGTCTATCCCTGCTAATAAACACTTAGGGACAAATGGGTGGGAGAAATGACTTCTTGTTGGATTCTACTGAGCAAGTCATTTAAGCTGTAACTTAAGCTGTGCCAAATTCTCCCAAAATATAAACTATATTCTGTGAGAAGACAAGCACTTTTGAGAAGCTGTATTAACCCTTTTGGTAAGTTGACCATTTCTGTTCCAAAGCACGAAATAGAAAACTCGTGATTTGAAAGTATGAGATCATTTCTAAAAGTTCTTACCTGACTTTTAAGAAACATTTATGCCCCAGAGGCATCTGGCCAATTTGCTGCTCACTTCTAACAATTTGTTTTGCAAGAGAGACTATCTTTGAAAGATTTTAGTGCTAAGGAAATTTTATCTCTGAAAGCTGTAAAATGAAGATTAGGCATGGAATGTACCCTTGAACTTAAATCCTGGTTTATCAGCTGATACATTTACAGGAAGTTCAAATTTGATTCAGTTGCACTTGGATGGAATAATTTGCTTCCTTTTTTATGAGAAGGAAAACATCATAGGCTTCCTTTGAACTGACTTCATATGCCATTACATAATCTTTCTCAGGGGAAAAATATGCCTTTAAATTTAAATGTTAATCCTTTTCTCTTACTCCTCATCATTTGGTCAGGAGACACAGGCTGGCAAATTGGCAAAACTGCCCATTCTCTTTTTTCTTCATTTCTAATTAGCACCTCCAGATGTTTTATTCATTTTATTTGATGGTAACTACCACCACTTCAAATATTTGCCAACTTTCTATGCAAAAAAAAGTTGACGCCTTTTTTTTTTCTTTTTTTGATGGAGTCTTGCTCTGTCACCCAAGCTGGAGTGCATCAGCACGATCTAGGCTAACTGCAACCTCCGCCTCCCAGGTTCAAGAGATTCTCATGCCTCAGCCTCCCGAGTAGCTAGAATTACAGGTGCCTGCCACCATGCCTATCTAATTTTTGTATTTTTAGTAGAGGTGGGGTTTCACCATTTTGGCCAGGCTGGTTTCAAACTCCTGATCTACCCACTTCAGACTCCCAAAGTGCTGGGATTACAGGCATGAGCCACCGTGCCCAGCCAGGTGCCTCTTTTTTGATTTTACATAATTATCTCCATATACTTTGTTTGCTGCTGATTGACTGTTGTCTATCTCCCGCTTATATGCCTATCAAACTCTGACTTTGTTTCATTAAATTTTAACTTTATTTAATAAAGTGAGCATTACCTCTCTTTGCTCATTCTAAATTATAGTGGTGCTGTCCTGTTATATTTTGGCAGCCAAAGTGAATATGGCACTAGTGAGCTTGGTGGCTAGCTAAGAAGGTCAATAACAGTGATGCTGGGTATTGCTGCTACCTTTACCTGGCACCAGCTGGGAGATGGTATAAATCCTGGATGGTATAAATCCATTCAGTAATTAGAAGTCTTCTGCGTGTTCACTATACCTTAACCCCCTCTTTTCACATTTAATTCAGTGAATTGTAGATAAGATGCCACATTGCTAAGATTTAAAGGTGGCAAATAACAACAATAAAGTCTAGGGAAAGATTCTGCATGGTTCTTTGAATCCAGGAGTTAATCTTGCATTTCACATGTTCCACAATACAGCTTTGAAAGCAGCCAAGCCTATGCACTTGAAAGTCAGAATTTACCCTAAGGTGTAAGTGGGCCAGAGAAAACTCGGGCAGACAAAGAGAGTTAAAAATTTTGCAAAGCCAGTTTAATGTCCTCCTAAGTTTTCTAATACTAGAATAATTTTATTAGACCCTGTCAGTGTTAGGAAAGAGAGAGAAAAGGACTGAGCGACTCCTGAGTCAGGTACCATGCAGGGACTTTTGCCTCCATTCTCTCATTTCATGTATTTTCTCTCCTTTCTGTTGGCACTACTAAAGAAAGAGCTGCCACATGAAATGAACAGTGTATTAGAAATGTATGCCAGAGGCTTTCCCCTGTAATAAAGTTTTAGAAAAACTGGCTTGAGTGATGACTATTCTGTATCTTAAAATAAAGCTTGAAAGCAAAACCTCCCAAGCTTTCACAAAAAGAATAAATCTTCTAGGTTGTATGGGAGACCTCTGTAATGCACTTATATGTTAAATATAGTTTATTGATGGGCATAAAACAATACAGGCCAACTTGCTGTCAGCCTCCTTCCTGTCAGCTTGGGAGAGTATGGGCACTGGAATCAAAGGCTCCTTCGGGTGATTACCTCTTTGGGATTATTTCCTGGTGGCAGGTGCTTTCAGCTTTGAGGAGACAAGAGTTGCAGGGTTTAGATCTTAGGACCAGCAGGAAAGTACTGAGTGTGAATCCTGACTTTAGGAAGATGAAATATTTCCAGGTGATGAAGCAGTTTAAAATAGAGACACAAAGTAATAGTTTGTCAGAATTGGATGGGGCTGGGGACCAAGGAGGCCATAAATAATCACAAACTCTGTTCCAGTGAGGTATCAGGGACAGTACTGCCCACCTGACCCTGTGTCCTGATTTGCCTCGTATTATTCCTTCCACTGAGTCACATTGCCATGAATGGTTTTTGCTGTTTGAATAATCATAGTAAATGTGAGAAAGCTTCTATTCTGTTATTCCCTATTTAGAATATGTAACCATTGATCCCGAAATTATACAAAATGAGATAGACTTGAGCTGTCCTGGGATATAATGCTTAGAACCCTGTCTAAGATGGTTTAAGTAACGTAATCGCCAGAAGGACTTTGTTAAAATAAAAATCTCATCTCTACCGTAGAAACCTGATGGGCCATCCGAGGGCCACTCATTCAACTAACATATCCCCAAATCTGCCCTCTTCTCACCATTTCCTCTGCTAAACACCGGATCGAGTCACTAAAGTCACTCAGATGATAACAGTCTCTTAAATGGTCTTTTTGTTTCCATTCTTGTCCTCTTAAAATCTATTGCCAATACAGTGGTTCAAGTCATTCCCCTGCTTAAAATCTCTTAAAGCTTCTCATTGTGTTTAATATAAAATCCACACTTCCTATTGTGGCTTGTATGACTGGTTTGCTTGCTACCCTTTAACCACGCCGGCCATGTCTGTGCTCCTCCAAGACACAACACCCATTCCTCCCTCAGGACCCTTGCCTTGCTGGTTTTCCAGTTTGGATGTTTTTGTCCGGCTCTCTGCATGGCTGAGCCCTTAGATTTCAGGTCTGAGCTCAACTGTCATTTTCATGTGAGAACTTTTCTGAGCATCCAATGAAGAATAGTTTTGTTCCATGATTCTATTTTATTTATTAATAATAAAAAGCAGTAGCTAACATTTACTGTTTATCACATACCAGGCACTGTTCTAAAGCCCTTTCCAGTTTAACAAATTTAGCCCTCATAAAAACTTTATAAGGTAGGAACCTTATAGATGAGAAAACTGAAACACAGATAAATTAACAAACTTCTTTAGTTCATAAAATTAGTGTTCTAGTCGTCTATTGCTGTGTAATACCCAAATTAGTGACTTAAGTTATTATTATTTCTCTTGGTTCTATGGGTTGACTGAGCAGCTGGGTGGTTCCCATGTGGGGACTGTCATGGTGTTGCAGCCAGAAGGCATCTTACCTGGCTAGAGTCATGTAAAGGCTGGACCAAGCTGAAATCAAAGGGGACTTCTTCATTCACACATCCAGGCCTCAGCTGGGATGGCAGGAGCAGCTAGTTCTGGGCCAGCATCTCTCTCCAGACGGCGTCTCCATGTGGCTTCCTCAACCTGACAATCTTAGGTGGCTGAAGTTCTAACACAGTAGCCAGCTTCCTTCAGAGTGAGCATTCCATAAGACCCAGAGGCAAGACAGAAGTCTTCTTATGACCTAGCCCTGGAAGTTACACAACATCACTTCTGCTTCATTCTGCTGGTCAAAAGTGAGTTCTGGGGCCATCCCAGATTGAAGAGCAGGGCTTGTATGAGAGCATGAATACCAGGAGGTATGGTTCAGTGGGGGCGGTGGGGGGTTGAGTGGGGGCCATCCTTGGAAGTTGGTTACCACAGTGCATAAATGCCAGAGTCTGGACTAACACACAGACAATCTGACTCTTGAGCCTTCACTTTAAACTACCATGTTCTGAAATTATTATTTTTTAAAATTTTGTTTACTTTGTTATTATCTCTCTGCCAACCCCTCTCTAACTATGATGAAAGCTTCGCGAGTACAGGGACTTGATGTGTCTTGCTCAGTTGTGTACTCAGAACCTAAAGCAGGGCTAATATATAATATGTACTTAATAGTTGTTGAATTAATGAAAGAATGAATGAATGAATGGATGGATATTTTATCTTTTATCTTTTTAAAAAAATTACTCAGCCCCCAATGTCAGATATTTTAGATTTTAACATTTGGAAGGTACACAGTAAACTGTAAAGTATAATAATTATTTAGAGTACTAATAAATCTTCAAAACAGAGTGGCTCAGACAAGCCACAGATTTACTTTTGTCTTTCATATCAATGCAGACCTAGGCAAGTGGATGACTCTGCTCCATAAGGACACCCAGGGATCCTCGTTTTTTTCTACCTTGTTACTCTCTCATCCTTTGGGGGGTGACATACATGAGTGAAGCCAGCTTACCTTCACCAGCCCCGAGGAAGTGCGAAAAAGAGGATGGAAGGCAAGCAGATTCCTTGTAATAATGGGATCTGAAAATTATATATATAAGTTCCATCTCCATCCATTGGCCTCTTTAGATACAGGGGAATTTGGAAGTATGGTTTCTAAATATGCCATGCTAAAACTTAGGGTTAGGGGGAATCTATTAGAAAAAAGAAGAGGAGCCAGTTCACAGAATCTGCCAGTGTATTTATAGCATAAATGATAGAGTTAACTATAATGTAAAGACCTGAGTCTTTTGTTTGACCCTGATATAAAGTTTACTTTCTGTATAAGTTAGCTTCATTGTTTTTATGCAGATGACAGTTCTCTGTGAAATTTATAATTAGTCAAAATCTAGTGCTAGTGGGCTTCAGGTCTTATTTGGAGCTCAGAATCAGTTGAAAAACATTTAACAACTCACCTCTAGCTATGTGTTTGAGGTCACACACCAGTGTGAGGCATTCCAACTAATGTTGTCATTAACTTACCTTCAAAACAACAGCTTTATAAAATTACTGTTTTTGAGGCTAGACCAGTAAAAATATATAGGCTATATTTACTAACAATCATTGGCACTCACTAAAGCCCTCCAAGTTGTTTTATAAGAGTTGAGAGCAGCTCTTCAAAATAAATTGCTCTGTCACTCAGGCTGGAGTGCAGTGGCACAATCTTGGCTCATTACAACCTCAGCCTCCTGGGCTCAAGCAATCCTCACACCTCCTCTTCCCAAGTAGCTGGGACTACAGGTGTGTGCCGCTATGCTTGGCTAACTTTTAAATTTCTTGTAGAGATGAGGTCTCACTATATTTCCCAGGCTGGGCTCAAACTCCTGGACTCAAGCAATCCTCCTGCCTTGACCTTCCAAAGTGCTGGGATTACAGGCATGAGCCACCACACCCAGCCTGACATATTTTCAAGGTTTGATAGTAGTGTGCTCTTTTAGTCAGCTTAGCCTGCCATAACAAAATACCGTGTGGCTTAAACAACAGAAATTTATTTTCTCACAGTTCTGGATGCTGAAAGCCCAAGATCAGGGTGCCAGCATGATTAGGTTCTGGTGAGGGCTCTCTTCCTCGCTTTAACTTTAACTTCATTTAGCAGCCTCCTTCTCACTGTGTCCTTCATGGCCTTTCCTCTGAGTGCATACAGAGAGACAGGCAGAGAAAGACAGAGAGAGAGAGAAAGAGAGAAATCTCTTCCTCTTATAACACCACTGGCCCTATTGAATTAGGAACCCCCTTTAAGACCTCATTTAAGTGTAATTATCTCCTGAAAGTCCTATCTCCAAATACAGTTACACTGGGAGATGGGACTTCGACATCAATTTTGGGGATACACAATTCAGCCCATAAAATTCACTATTAGAAATTATAACCAAAAAATGTCTTTTCTTTATTATTATTCCCAGTTTTCTACCTATTCAAGATTAAGAGAAGATATGCCTAGGACTCTTCTCTCATTTGAAGATTTACTGTAGATTTTATACCATTGGCAATAATGGTAACAACGATAAACCTAAAGCATTAGCTGTCTTGATTTTCCTTTTTGAGGAATCATTAGGATGAATTGTACATCTAGATTCATGACCTATGATGGGGGCAGGGAGGTCATCTGATTCTCATTCCTAAAATTTGCAAAGAGAGAGGAGGACTATTCTTTAGTTAGAAGCTGTAAATCAATTTTAAAGAACCATTAGTAGAAGAATTTAGGAATTCTTTATCTAGTGCATTTGAGTACACCACATCACTCCCACACAGCAATAGACATGGGTTAGATCAATTTAGTAATAACATTTGCCAAATGATTTTGGTGGGTTACTCCATAGACAAAACAAACAGTTAGTTGATTGACTGTACTGGGGTCTTTTCAACTGGTCACTGTGACATATTTTAGATAAAGTCAGCATTATTTTAAGCTAGAATGTTAAGCAGATACTACACTTCTTGCTCTCACATGAGTAAGTAAATTCTTTTTCCTCTCAATCTAATTGCAAAGCCATCTACAGTGAAATAACTTGCCCAGGAAGGATAGGAGTCACACTTCTCAAATGAATTTGAGTGGAAGAGTAAACTAAATGTTGGATGGAAAGTATAAAGCTTACATCCTATCAAATTTTAAAACATGAAAGTCCTTAATAGAATTATGATTTTCTGTTCATTTTGTATTTTTCTCTTAAATTATTGTGGTAGGAAAATACTCCTGGACTGTGAACCAAAGGACCAGGTCCAAGTTCTGCTTATACATCTAACTAGTTGTATGAACTTGGACAAGCCCTTTAACTTCATTGGGTCTCAGTGTCCTCTTTAATGTGCTGACAGCAGGGATGGTTTCCATAGGGCTAATTGAGATGATGCATATAAAGGGATTTTGTTTAGTGCTTAACATGTAGTAAACATTTACAAATACTGGTGGTTGCTGTAACGGTAGTTGTTGCCGTCTCTTAGGCCCTTTTTAATAGTAACATTCCATTTTTTTTTCCATTTCCATTTTTGGCTAGGGGTAAGATTTTATAGAAAATAAGACTTTCAGCAATAACAAAATAATAATAATAATAACTGAAAATGAGTAAAAGATGATAGTCATATGTTTGCATCATGAAAAAACATAGACTTGCATTGGATCTTTTATGGAAAATGGAGCCAAATTTTCTATTGCTGATGAGGGAAGCCCTCAATCAACAAACCAACCAAATAAACAAAAATGCTGTTTAAAATGATGCTGTTGATACTTTGGGAGGCTGAGGTGGGTGGGTCACTTGAGGCCAGAAGTTTGAGACCAGTCTGGGCAACAAAGTGAGATCCTGTCTGCATGAAAAATAAAAAAATTATCTGGGCGTGATGGTGTGCACTTGTAATCTCAGGTACTCAGGAGGGTGAGGAAGGAGGATCACCTGAGCCCAAGAGTTTGAGGCTGGAGTGAGCTCTGATTACACCACTGCACCCCAGTCGGGGTGGCAGAGCAAAAGACTGTCTCGAAAAAAGAAAAATGATGCTATTGAATAAAAACTTTAAACTTTTAGAAAAAAGGAATAAATAGTCATGCCTCTCTAATAATAATATTTACATATGATTTCCCATTAAATGGGGGCAGGTAATAGAATCATGAAGACTCCGTTTCAGTCACTTAAACATATGCATTTTATTTTAATTTTCATATATGCATTCATATTCATATATATTTCTAGTATTAAAAAATCATCTGAGAACTGAACCAGTTATTGCAAGTATTATTTATCGTTTTGTCTTTAAGAAGAAATTTTAAAAATTATAGTCTATTGTTATGTCAAGAAAAGCATTGAAAGGCTTAAATGTTTCACCTTCAATTTTTCTATTTCTACCAAGTGACTCCACTTGATTCCAATTATTTTGCATCCTTTTCTCTCCCTTTAATTATCTTTTACAAGGTGTTCAGTCAGTATCTTAATGATGAATAATCTTAGAATAACTGTAGTTTATCTTCTCATGCCTTGTGGACTTTTATCCATTAGATCAAAAGCTTCATGGACTTCCCAAGCAATAAAGAATTAGCCTTAGAAACTTTACATAAACCATATACGTTAGGCAGCATTTCCATTTTTCCACCTTATTTTTTAATAACTTTTCTCACTGTGGAAAAGACTCTTGATCAGACAGATGTCTTTTCTTTTTCCCTTGGGCTCTTCCAATTTGTGTTATATATTTTTAAAAAATCCTTAAAAGACAACATGAATATAATATGCTTGGTAAGACGTGTTCTTTTTTTTTTTTTTTTTTTTTTACAAAAATTAAACATTGACATATAAAAACAACTCAGGTTGTAAGGGGCTTCCATCTTTCACACTGAAAGTGTTACTGACACATACCATGTGAAACGAGTTAAAGAGTAATTTTATCTCAAAGCGTCTGCAGCTATTTTTTTGTCCTTCACCTATACAAAATGACAAATAGGAATAAAACATTCTTTATCACATCCTAGAGTACTCATGAATTTTTATATCAAGTGACTGATATCTATTTTTCAAAAAATATTGTTTTTGTGACATGAAAGAAAAATGTAGTATACTCTAGGCTGATGGCTATTTGTAAGATGGCAGCATACTTTATCATCCCACAAATATTTTGACAGGGAGAATGTTGAGAGGGATGATGTCTTTTTTGACTGCTTGTTTCTGAAATGTTAAATAAACTACATTAACATGCTTCACTTACATTGTTTCTAAATATGCAAAACCATCAGAGGAATTTTCATCATTAGGATAATCCATGCCCATTTTTTTTCTTCAAAAATATAAAGATAACAAAGTGGAATTTTGGGAAAGAGCTTAAATTATGTAAATAATTGCCTTCCTTCCTCTGCTTCACAATAATTGTAAGTTCTTAAATATTCTAAAATATTTTAGTTTTCTTTTCTCATATTTTAGTTTTTGGTCTGGGCCGGATCGAGGTAAACATGCTCTGTTTCATTTACAATTACATCCAAAAGAGTGGGATCACTTTGTCCAAATTATCTTTTTATTTCTAGTTTCTATAGTTGATTTCCTTTGATGACATGCACAATGTTAACTTCAGTTAACAGCTACCACTCCACAACTCGACTGAGAACGTAAACTTGTGGAAACAAAAAACTTAAATGCCTCTGACAAAAGGGAAAAGGATTTTTAAAAAGGTAGACAAGGCATAAGTTATCATGAGCGCTGTGGGTAACTCTATAGTGTAAGTAGCTATTGACCTGTCTACCAAGTTACTGAAACCTCTCCGTAAGCTCCAGGAAGGAAAATAAAGTGTTAGTAGAAGTTTCCTGTAATCCTTCCTCATCGTGACATAAGATCCCTTGGGAAATCTGCTGCCGTTGTAGGATTTCTCCGCTCCTATGTGGAATAGTGGTTATCTTTCCAATGCCATATTCTAGGCCCCTTAGCAAGTGGTTCAATTCATTCTTACTCAGATACCATCTTCATCAGCAGGTCTTCTCAAATTGCTGTGTTTTTTAAATTCTAGTTTCACTTCAATATGGCACATAAACAGAGTATGTAAATATTAAAATTTAGCACACTGGAGCTCTTTCTTCAAAATGGCAAACAACGTATAGATAGCATTAATTGACTGAAAAGATAAAATAAAGTATTTTAGAGATATTATGACAGAATTTCACTTTTTAGCAGCTTTATGGAAGTATAACTTACATACCATAAAATTACCTCTTACAATTCAGTGATCTTCGTAAGTTTATAGAGTTGTGAAACCATCACTACAATCCAATTTTAGACCATTTCCATTAATCCAAAAGTTCTCTCCTGCCCATTTGCAGTTAATCCTCACTTACCTAGCCCTAGGCAATCATTGATCTGTTTTCTGTGTCTAAACATTTGCCTTTTCTAGACATACTATAGAAATTATAAAATACATGAATCAGAATATGTAATCCTTTGTATCTTCCTTCTTTCACTTAACATGTTTTTGGGGTTCATCTATACGATGGTATATATTTGTATTTTGTTCCTTTTAATTGTTGCTTGGTATTCTTGCATTTCAATTTTTAACCAGATATTTGGCATATTATGGAAACACAGACCCATCTAAAGGACAGCGTTTTTGACTTTAGTATTAAGAACTATATATTAAGTGTTTTAAAGAGAAACAAAATAAGTACTGTCCTTTTCACTTCTGAAAACCATAGTGGAGTGTGATGACTAGTTCTTCCAGTTTCTACAACACTGTAATTTGTTGTGGGAAGGTTGTAATAGATAGACCAAATTTTTCTTTCTATCAGTAATTCCTCAGACAGAAACTAAGTTACTACCATGATCTTTTCATGCAGACACTGGCTTGGATATATTATTTCTGCTTCTATTCTCGGATTACATTAGGTATGAAGAAGGAGGAAAAAAATTGAACAACAATACAAGATAGAAAGCAAAAGCTTAATATTATGCACCAGGGATATTGAGACAAACTACAGCTATATTCAACATCATGGATGAATCATAGAAACGTGCTTAATCATAGGAATATTGAATGAAAAATCAAGCCACAGACTACACACAATATGATTGTATATTATATATTGTATGTGATAAAACTATCTAGAAACATAAGGGATTGTTGAAAACAAAATTCAGAATGTGATTTTATCTAGGGATTTTAGGGGTATGTGATTGGAGGAGCACAACAATAGATTTATAGGTGTTGGCAATGTAGTTTTTGTGTTGAATGGTGGTTCTGGGTGTTTTAAATGAATGGTGGCTAAGGTGTTTGTGTGGATCAAATATTATGTAATTACGTACTTGTATGATATAAAACCATGAAACTCAATATAACCTCATAAGTTTTATAAAGTCATTAATTTATACCTTCTGGAATAATGTAGAAAACCTATTTATATTTATGGTGATGATAGTCATTCTTTCATAGTACTGAATATTTCCATTGTTAATATTCAAAAGAAAATCTACAATCCACTCTCCAGGCATATGCCAGAAATAGTAACCTGTTGAAAGTGATAACTTCAGTGAGACCAAACAATTTTTTTTACCAACTTGACTGAATATATTTGGGGTTTACCACTTTAGCCTTTGGGACTGACGTTAAGTTATTTTTCCCATTCACCTTCTGGGATTTTTCACTACTCGTAAAGCACCTCCATTAGAGAGGAGGGAAAGGGAAGGAGAGGAGGTGAAATTCAAAACGCTCAATGTTATTTCAGTGTTGGTTAGCAAGCTGTACTGGTGAGAGTTATGGGACAGACACTGAAATTAATAGCCATACCAAATATTTTGGATTATCTGTGAAACTCACTATCTATTGAAAGGTGTTCTTAGAGTTACAAATAAAAATAGGCCTTTTGGATGGGTTCTGCATCAAGTGACAGAAAACCCATTTTGATTTAAGAAAGAAGTGGGGAATTTATTGGCCCGTATATGTCAAAGGTCCGAGGATATAGTTGCCAACTATAGAGCTTAAATTATTAGAAATCAGTCCACATTTAGCCGGGCGTGGTGGCGGGCGCCTGTAGTCCCAGCTGCTAGGGAGGCTGAGGCAGGAGAATGGCGTGAACCCGGTAGGCGGAGCTTGCAGTGAGCCGAGATTGCGCCACTGCCCTCCAGCCTGGGAGACAGAGCAAGACTCCGTCTCAAAAAAAAAAAAAAAAAAAAAAAAAAAAAAAAAAAAAAAAAAGAGAAATCAGTCCACATTTCTCTCTGCCTTCTTTTTTATTTTTATTTTATTTTTATTTTTTGAGAGAGACTCTCACTGGTTGCCCAGGCTGGAGTGCAGTGGCACCATCACAGCTCACTGCAGTTGCACAGGCTGAAGAGCAGTGGTGCAATATCGGCTCACTGTAGCCTCAACCTCCTACACTTAAGCGATCCTCCCACCTCAGCCTCCCAAGTAGAGGGGACTACAGGTGCATGCCACTATGCCTGGCTAATTTTTATATTTTTTGTAGAGATGGGGTTTCGCCATATCAGCCAGACTGGTCTCAAACTCCTGGGTTCAAGCGATCTGCCAGCCTTGGCCTCCCAAAGTGCTGGAATTACAGGCGTGACCCACTGTGCCTGGCCTTCTCTGCCTTCTGCTGGTTGACTTCTGTGTCAGGCTCCAAATGGCATTAGAGTCATTGCCTGATGGTCCAGACCTCTTCCCAGGCATAGCCTTGGTGGGAAGAAGAGGGAATGCTCTTCTCTTGCAGCTCCAGCAAAAGGTTTGCAGGTGTGAAAGGCCCACTGGACAGCACAGACTTAAACCTGAACAAATCTGTGGGTTACTTGTTCTCTATAGTCTTTCCCCCAGGCACAGATGAATATTTTGAGTATGTCATATCTTTGACCCCCACTTTCACCTATACTCACTCTTGTGATCAGAACTCTTTCCTTTCCAGTATTCTGAACTTGCTCTTGTAAGGCCACTGTCACATTTCTAATGAAAAATACCAATGGCCTTTTTCTTGGTTTTCATCCTCTTTGGTTTTTTTGTACAGCATTGGTAGCTGACTTATTATTGATTTATTATAAACATTTTATAGTGTTTACCACCAGTTTACACAAAGAGTGCGTAAGTATATTTTTTATGGTAAAGCTTCAAATAAAGCAGAATCAAAATGAGAAAGTTCCACTTCACACTGCTGTTCTACGCCTCCTCTTTTCTCCATGTGGTGGTCAACCTTAAAGTCCACCAAATACTTTTGGTCTGTGAATATCTATCATCTATCAATATAGAGATATAGACGTGTGTGAGTATATATTTTACATATATTTTATAATGTTTTAAATTTTCTTCTTACATATTTGGAAACTTAACCACGTATATATTATTCTGTGATTTAATAATAGGGCTTGGGAATCTTTCCATCGTAGCAAGCATAGATCTACCTTTCCCAATGGTTGTGTAATATACTGTGGTATTACATCATAATTTAATCATTTCCTGATTGATAGGCATTTAGGTTAACTTTTAAAACGTTATTTCAAATAATGCTATATCACTTTCTCTATTTTTTTTAAAATACTCCTTTTGCTTGGATCCTGTGACGCTACACACCTTATATTGTTTTCACATTATCTTTGATCACTTGTTTTATTTTCACTGGGTCCTCTTACACAAACTACCTAAATGTGTTCTCAGTTTCTCTTGCTGTTTTTTTTTTTCTTCATTTTCTTTCTTTACATTAAATGGTCATGGTCATTTCCAAGTCTTTAATTAGTAGTTGTACATGTATGGTGTCCGATTAGGTTTTTCCTCTGGATTTAAATCCTGCAGTTCAGAAATGAATCTTCAAATGCCTTCTGGTCATTTCCTTATGCATTTGTCTCACAGGCAGCATGCCCCAAGCTAAGCTCTTTACTTTCTCTTTCAAACTAACTCCTCCATGTCAACATTGATCATTGATGAGAAGGAAGCCTTGGCTATTTGATAAGAAGAAATAATTGGGATTTCAATGAAATATTTGAGAGAATTTTGATTGAATTAATTTGAAATTATTACTGAATGTTAGGGAATTTTTTGTTAAATTATATGTTTTGATTTATTGGTTGTATAAGTAGGGTTTGCGTTAATAAAACCATAATATCAATAAGTTGATCAATATAAAAAGTACAAACAATAGGAGTTATTCCTGTCCAAGCAGAACTCTCCTTAAATATATAAAATAATGCTATCAATACCTATAACAACTCATGCCTCTTCCCTGCCCCTCAAGCTCCTTTTTCATTTAGCAAATATTTATTAGTACATTCCATGTATCAAGTAATGTACAAGATTCTGTGGACTTTTATGATTTGCATGCCTCTCATTCGTCTCCATCTCCATCTTATTCTTTGGGTTGAAATACAAGGCACAGCATCTTGTTTAGGCCAGCAGGTTGTACTTTCAAGCTGCAAATCAACAGATGAAATGTTGAATGGGCATTTATTTTCTCCTTTCATTTAACACATGCTTTGAACTGTCACATTTTCCTGTCTTAGTCTGTTTTATCAATTTAGATTTGTGCCTTAAATAAAACAATTGAGTTTTTTGGCTGCAAAATAGCCAGGTCTGAAGCGAAAAGGGATCCCTAGTTTATAGTGACTTTCCTCTTCTTTCAGTAAACTAGCTGCTGCAGAGAAATGAGTATCTATGAGAGGCAGAATAGTACAGCTAGGTTTGGTGCCAGATGAACGGATCATTCTGCTCCTTTCTGGCTGCATGAACTTGGGCATAATTAACCTATGTAGCTTCATACGCTTGTTTTGAGGATGATGTGAGATTGTACAAATACACACACACACACACAAATTAGCACATCTTAAGTACTCGATAAGTGTTAACTCATTATTACATGCTCTATTTTGTGTTTCCTGTATGTTCCAGGTTAGAGGTCTTTTTCTGCCATTTTTAAAGTAAAATATATTATTTCACGTATTTAGATGTATACCTTAATCTAAACTTTCTAGAAAAATCATCATTCGCTGTATAATGTGAACTTTTAATGGATTGTCAGCTATCAATCCCAATTCTATGTGCTTGAGCAAACAAAGTTACCATGGAAATCTCTGTATAACAAAATGATTATAAAACCCATAGAATTGATGTATTTTAATAAACAATGTCTAAAATGTGAATTTCAAGGCAATCAAAATATTTGAGATTTTAAAATACTTGAATTTTTGCTGTAAAAGAATTAGATCCATATTGTTGTCATAATTTTGATAAAACTACTGAGCTGTGTTATACATGTGGACAGATATAAAAACACCATTCTACCATATGACATTTAAAGAAGTTCAAAGCAAAGAAATATATTTGAAAAATCTGGATCCCATGCCTCTTTAATGGCCATATTTCACTGCAATAAGATTATATTTTACATTTCTTCAACACATTTGGTAATTTCATACAAATATAAATTTTATATGATCCTTTGTAACAATTCTTTCTGCATCGAGTGTTAAGTATTTACAAGAGTACAAGTTCATTTAATCAATATTAGACTCCAAAAGTACTATTTTCATTTAAAAGACGGTAAAATAATTTGTGCCAAGGTGCGCAGGACTAGCTGTTTTACATTCACTAATTACTTGCTTATTAAAAGCAAATTTAGCAATTCAAAAAACCCTCTAATTTGAAGGAAAAGATCTACTGTGTGCCAGATGGGTTGAGGGCTTTACATGCATCATCATATTCAATCTCATAATAATGTTTCTAGGTAGAAAATATCTCCCTTTACACACATAAAACCAGAACTTAGAATGATTATTTACTCAAGTTCAGTCTTTCAAAGCAGGGAGAAGCTGATGAAATCCAAGTCTTTCTGAGTGATATTTCTCCATTGCCTCACACCACTTCCTAATTATCTGCTTGTGGTAGAAATATTTCTTAGTAGAGAAACTTCCAAATGCCTTTATTTGTTAGATGGACTGGTGTTCTCTCAGAGATGGATTCTTGGATCTTTGTAGAATTGTTCAAACTAATTCATTTTTATTTTATTTTACTTATTTATCAACAAAAATTTAAATATTTATTTATATTTTAGAGGCAGGGTTTCACTCTCTCACCTAGGCTGGAGTGCATACCGCAGCCTTAAACTCCTGGGCTAAAGTGGTTCTCCAGCTTCAGCCTCGTGAGTAGCTAGTACTATAGGCACATGCTACCACATCTAGCTAATTTTTATTTTTATTTTTTTTATTATTATACTTTAAGTTTTAGGGTACATGTGCACAATGTGCAGGTTAGTTACATATGTATACATGTGCCATGCTGGTGCACTGCACCCACTAACTCGTCATCTAGCATTAGGTATATCTCCCAATGCTATCCCTCCCCCCTCCCCCGACCCCACAACAGTCCCCAGAGTGTGATGTTCCCCTTCTTGTGTCCATATGTTCTCATTGTTCAATTCCCACATATGAGTGAGAATATGCAGTGTTTGGTTTTTTGTTCTTGCGATAGTTTACTGAGAATGATGATTTCCAATTTCATCCATGTCCCTACAAAGGACATGAACTCATCATTTTTTATGGCTGCATAGTATTCCATGGTGTATATGTGCCACGTTTCCTTAATCCAGTCTATCATTGTTGGACATTTGGGCTGGTTCCAAGTCTTTCCTATTGTGAATAGTGCCACAATAAACATACGTGTGCATGTGTCTTTATAGCAGCATGATTTATAGTCCTTTGGGTATATACCCAGTAATGGGATGGCTGGGTCAAATGGTGTTTCTAGTTCTAGATCCCTGAGGAATCGCCACACTGACTTCCACAATGGTTGAACTAGTTTATAGTCCCACCAACAGTGTAAAAGTGTTCCTATTTCTCTACATCCTCTTCAGCACCTGTTGTTTCCTGACTTTTTAATGACTGCCATTCTAACTGGTGTGAGATGATATATCACTGTGGTTTTGATTTGCATTTCTTTGATGGCCAGTGATGATGAGCATTTTTTCATGTGTTTTTTGGCTGCATAAATGTCTTCTTTTGAGAAGTGTCTGTTCATGTCCTTCGCCCACTTTTTGATGGGGTTGTTTGTTTTTTTCTTGTAAATTTGTTTGAGTTCATTGTAGATTCTGGATATTAGCCCTTTATCAGATGTTTTTAAATTTTTTGTAGAGACGGTGTCTTGCTGTGCTGTGCAGGTTGGTCTTGAATTTCAGTCCTCAAGTGACCCTCCTGCCTCAGCATCCCAAAGTGCTGGGATGCTCAAACTATTTTAGGGACTTGGTTTAGTATCTTTGTAATATGTGTAGATATCTACTAATTGCGTAAATATGTATATTAACTTATTAATTATGTCTCTATTTTCTTGAATTTAAAAATTGAGATACTCCTGTTCCCAGGGGTACAGGCCATGGACATAGAGCAAGCAAGCTTCATTCTTCTCAAGCAACACAGACTATAGGAGACAGAAACCCAGGATGGATTCTTGATACTTCTTCCTGTCTCATTTTCCATATTAGATAATCCATCACCAATTTCTCTTAACTCTACCTTTGAAAAATCATTGGAATACATCCATTTCTTTCATCTTTCTAGCTAGCACTAATGTTGAAGCTACCATTATCCTTCACCCTGATAACTGCAACTGAATTAGTACAAAGAAGTCTCTCCATATCCTTTCTTGCTCACCTCTATTTATTCTCTGTGATGCAGCCAAAATAATCTTTGGAAACACAATTCTAATTAGGCCAGTCTTCTGTTTTAAACTCTTTCCTTTCCATTGCATTTAAGTTGAAAACTGTCTTAGTCCATCCAGGCTACTATAACAAAATGCCCTAGCCTGAGTAATTTAGAACCAATAGAAATTTATCGCTGACAGTTCTGGAGGTTGGAAAGTCCCAGATCAAAGCATCAGCAGATTTGGTGTCTTTTCCTCATAGATGGCACCTTCTGTGTCCTCATGAGGCAGAAGGGGCAAGGAGGCTCCCTCAGGCTACTTTTATTAAGGCACAAATCCCATCCATTAAGGCAGAGCCCTCATAACCTAACCACCTCCTAAAAGCCCCCTCTTAATACTACTGCATTGGAGATTAGGTTTCAACTAAGAATTTTGGGGAGACACAAACGTTAAAACTATAGCAAAAACTATAGCAATGGTTTTTGGTGAGAGATAGACTGAGTGTGGCACATATACTTATTTATTTAGTGTTTTAAATATGTAGAAATGAGTAGTGACTTCAATGCATTTTCTCATGGTTTAATATTATGAAAAGTTACTATTACCTGCTATGAAGATGAAACTTGTTTTTGTAGATAATTTTCTGAGCGATAATATTAGTACTAAAATTCACTTATAAGACCAACATGATAGATAGGAAGTACAGTATAAAGAGTATAGACTTTCCTGGAGTCAGACTGCCAATGTTTGAAACCTATTTGTTTTGCTACTTCCTCACTGGAAAACTTACTTGAGTTCTCCGGGCTTCAACTTCTCCATCTGGAAAGTAGGGACACCAACAGTTCCTATTGTGAGGATTAAAAGGGAAAATACATATAAAATCTGCTTTGGAGAGCTTGGCACACAAAAGGTATTCAGTAACTTAGAGCTGTTTTCATTAGGTTCTTTAGTAGTTAGGCAAAATCTTGTAAAGAAGACCTACATGAAATATTTTACCAAACTGCTATTACTTAGAACAATAAATGAAAACTGAGCACGATTACTGTTCTTAAATGTTAAAATATGATACAAGTTAGAAAGTAGAAAGGGAGAATTATCACAGGTAATTAGGGAATCAGAAAAATTTAAAGAGATTACTTTAATTACTAAATTACTGTGAAGAAATTTCTCCTTAAAGAGTAAACACAGATCATTTTGGAGAAAAATATGATATAGCAAAACTTAAACTAGAAGAGACAAAAAAAATCCCCTAACAGTCCTTAGAAAAATTGAAAAGCTGTCAAGACTTTCTACTGTCCCCTCATCAAAAAAGCAACAAGCCTAGATGTTTTTTTCATGGGATTCTATTTCTAAGGAGCTGATAACTCCATTATTACTTATACAGTTTCAGAGGATAGAGGGAAAAGAAAGTTTCCAAATTATTTTCATGAAGTGAGTATAACATCGATAACAATTTTTTTTTTATAAGTAGACAGTTTATTTGCGTCAAGTTTAAGGATTATAACCTGGGAGCAAAGACTCAAGTTGCCTGGAATCTACACTTTGATTAGCAGCAGTTGCAAGAGGAGTTGTAAAGACAAAAACAAAGAGACAGAGAGTGGGCTGATACAGAGTTGTTTGCCAGAAATTTTTATTTATTTAAAGAAATAACATGGGTTATTGATTAGATATATATCATTATGGTTTAGGGTATGAGATATAGTGTCCACTGTGGTATTATTAGTTTAATATATATCCACTTGTGGCAATAGTGAACAATTTCAAGAGTTGGATACATAATTTTGAAATATAAATTGTTTTAACTGAAGTATAATTAAAATTTTTAAAAATGGCACGTAGATTACTACTAGTTTATTAAAATTATTCATACTTAGATATTTATATCTAATACCCCAAAAATTTACTACCAAATTGTTACAGTGGATATTAGTCTGACATGCTTTTGATACCAAATGTTAAGAATGCTAGCACACTTGAACCTATGCATACGTATACCCAACCATCCACCATATCCAAGAACTGTGGTCCATTTTCATCTAAATCTTTGCAAAAATCCTAACCAAAATATTTATAAAAAGAATGAAGCAGCATATGAACAGACTAATATGATATATATAAGTACATTTATACATTTTTATATGTATGAAAACAATGATGTTTTAGTATCAGGGACTCTATTATCTATTAACATATTCATTATATTCATATGTCAGGAAAATCACATAGTCATTGCTATGGTCTGTGTATTAGTCAGGGTTCTCTAGAGGGACAGAACTGATGGAATATAAATATATGTATATATGTATATATATGTGTGTGTGTGTGTGTGTATATATATATATATATATATATGAGTTTATTAAGTATTAACTCACAGGATCACAAGGTCCCACAATAGGTTGTCTGCAGGCTGAGGAGCAAGGAGAGACAGTCTGGGTTCCGAAACTGAAGAACTTGGAGTCCGATGTTCAAGGGCAAGAAGCACCCAGCATGGGAGAAAGATGTAGGCTGGGAGGCTAGGCCAGTCTCTCTTTTCACAGTTTTCTACCTGTTTATATTCTAGCCATGCTGGCATCTGATTAGATTGGGCCCACCCTGATTAACAGTGGGTCTGCCTTTCCCAGCCCACTGATTCAAATGTTAATCTCCTTTGGCAATACCCTCACAGACACACCCAGGATCAATACTTTGTATCCTTCAATCCAATCAAGTTGACACTCAGTATTAACCATCACAGTCTGGCTCCGTGTCCCCACCCAAATCTCATCTTGAATTGTAATCCAAATTGTAATCCCCATGTGTGGGGAGAGGGACCTCAAGGGAGGTGACTGAATCATGGGAGCAGTTCCCTCATGCTGTTGTCATGATAGTGAGTGAGCTCTCACAAGATCTGATGGTTTTGTGAGGGCTCTCCCCCTTTGCTGTGCACTTCTTTCATTCTTCTCCTTCCAGACACCATGTAAAGAAGGATGTATTTGCTTTCTCTTCTGCCATGATTATAAGTTTTCTGAGGCCTCCTCAGCCCTACGGAACTGTGAGTCAATTAAACCTCTTTCCTTTATAAATTACCCAGTCTCAGGTATTTCTTCATAGCAGCGTGAGAATGGACTAATATAGAAAACTGGTTGTGGTAGAGTGGAGTGCTGCTATAAGGATACCTGGAAATGTAGAAGTGACCTTGGAACTGGGTAACAGGCAGAGGTTGGAACAGTTTAGAGAACCCAGAAGTAGACAGGAATATGTGGGAAAATTTGGAACTTCCTAGAGACTTGTTGAATGGCTTTGACCAAAATGCTGAAAGTGATCTGGACAATGAAGTCTAGGCTGTGTTGGCCTCAGACGGAGATGAGGAACTTGTTGGGAATGGGAGCAAAGCTGACTCTTATTATACTTTAGCCAAGAGACTGGCAACATTTTACCCCTGCCCTAGACATCTGTGGAACTTTGAACTTCAGAGAGATGGTTTAGGGTATCTGGCCCTGATGCCTTCGCTCTTCCAGCCTTCAGGCTTTGGAGAGTCTGAGCCAACTCAGGGCAGAAGGGATCCCCCCAGCACAGCACAGCCGCTCTACCAAAACATGCCCAGACTGCTGCTTTAAGTGGGTGCCCAATCCCATTCCTCCTCACTGGACTGGTCCTCCCAACCAGGACCTCCAGCCGCCCCTGCCCAGGCTCTCCAGCCAACACAGACCTGAATTCCCCTGGGGCAGTGCATCCAGAGGGAGGGGTAGGCCACCATCTTTGCTGTTTAGGCAGAGTGTCTGAGGTGACCAGGAGCTGAAGTGGACCCCCAGCATAGCATAGATGCTCTAGCAAAACATGGCCAGACTACTTTTTAAAGTAGGTCCCGATCCCATTCCCCCTCACTGGGCGGGACCTCCCATCCAGGGTCTCCAGCCACTTCCTACAGGTGTCTTTGGACCAGCAATAGGTCTATACCTCCCTGGGACAAAGCTTCCAGAGGGAGGGGCAGGCTGCCATCTTTACATTTTTGCAGGCTTCACTGGTGACACCTCTAGGTTCTGGAAAATCCAAGGTGGCTAAAGACTGGAGGGAGCCCCAAGCATACCACAGCAGCCCTACAGAAAAGTGGCCAGACTGTTACATGAGTGGCTATTCCCATAACTCTTTACCAGACAGGGCCTTTAGTCCTGGGCCTCCAGCCACCTCCTTCCAGAGCTATTGAGCCAACACCAACTCAGCAACTATCTGGACAGAGCCTCCAGGGGAAATTGAAAGCCTCTTGGCCACTCCCCCTGCAGTGGAACTTCCCTTGCCACCTCAGACTAATGAAGTAGCAAAGACCCTAAGTGCCTTATCCATACCTCCAACAAGCTGTAGTCAACCCAAGGAGAGGAGGCCAGTCCATTTCCCATAAGTCCCACACATTCGCCATAGCTCATCACTAGACAAGGAACCCCTGGCTTGGGCTCACAGCACAAACCCTCCATCTTGCTGACTACACTGAGTGATTGCTGACCTGCATCTCTCTGGGGTGGAGCCCCCAGGAGACAACCAAATGGCCCATGGCCACAGCCACTACTAAGATCTCTTCCTCTGCTGCCTCTAAGCTGGGGAAGGAACATAAACACTGAGATTGTCCCAGAGCTACAGTGGGCAGCCCAGGAGTGCCAAGTTGTGAGCTACAGGCAGCACTCAAGGGGGAGAGGAGTCCACACTTTCAGAGAACTGAGAGAGAGCATGGCTGCAGCTGTGAGGAAACATAGGGGAGCCACATAACTGAGCAAGAGTCTACTAACTGAACAATATGCCTCAGTGTCACCCACTGGATCACACCCCAAGGCTTCAACACCAAAAATATCTCACTAACATACCTCTGAAGCTACAGGCAAGAAGTCAGCTTCAAATAGAGACCCTACACAAAGCCTTGGTCCAGTGAAAACGTCCAAAAAAGAGGTCTATTGACCATACTTAATCTACACTGGAGTTAAAGGAACACCCACACACAGAGATGACAAAGAACCAATGCAAGAACTCCAGTAACTCAAATGGTCAGAGTGTCATATGTCCTCCAAACAACTACACCAGTTCTCCAAAAAGAGTTATTAACCAGGCTGAACTGGCTGGAATGACAGAAATAGAATTTAGAATATGGATAGGAACAAAGATCATCAAGATTCAGGAGGATAGCAAAACCCAATCTGAGGAAAACAAGAATCATGATAAAGTAATATAGGAGCTGAAGGACAATATAGCCAGTATAAAAAAGAAACCAATGGTTCTGACAGAACTGAATAACACAATATAAGAATTTCACAATGTAATTACAAGTATTAACAGCAGAATAAACCAATTTGAGGAAAGAATCTCAGAACTTGAAAACTGGTTCTCTGAAATAAGACAGACAAAAATAAAGAAAAAAGAATAAAAAAGAATGAACAAAACTTCTGAGAAGTATGGGATTAGGTAAAGAGGGCAAATCTATGAATCACTGGCATTCCTGAAAGGGAGAGGGAGAAAGCAAACAACTTGGAAAATACATTACAGGATATAATCCATGAAAACTTCCCCAACCTTGTTAGAGAGGCCAACAGTCAAATTCAGGAAATACAGAGAACTCCTTCAATATTCTACACAAGAAGATCATCCCCAAGACACATAATCATTAGATTTTCTGAGGTTGAAATGAAAGAAAGAATGTTAAATGCAGCTAGAGAGACAGGGCATGTCACCTACAAACGGATCCCCATAAGGCTAATAGTAGACCTCTCAGCTGAAACCCTACAAGCCAGAAGAAATTAGGAGCCTATATTCAACATTCTTAAAGAAAAAATCTTCAACCAAGAATTTAATATCCAGCCAAACTAAGCTGCCTAAGTGAAGGAGAAATAAGATCCTTTTGAGATAAGCAAATGTTGAAGGACTTCATTACTACCAGACCTTCCTTAGAAGAGAGCCTGAAAGAGGCACTAAATATAAAAAGGAAAGACTGCTACCAGCTAATACAAAAACACGCTTAGACACACAGACCAGTGTCACTGTAAAGCAACCATACAAACAAGCCAACATAATAGCCAGCTAACAGCACAATGACAGGATCAAATCCACACATACCAATACTAACCTTGAATGTAAACAGGCATAATGAGCCACTTAAAAGGCACAGAATGGCAAACTGGATAAAAAAGCAAGACCCAATGGTATGCTGTCTTCAAGAGACACATCTCACACATAATGACACTCAATGAAGGGATAGTAACCCTATTGAGGGAATGACATTCTATGAAGGGGTAGAGAAAAATCTACTAAGCAAATGGAAAATGCAGGGGCTTCAATTCTAATTTCAGAGAAAACAGATTTCAAATCAACAAAGATAAAAAAGGACAAGGAAGGGTATTACATATGGCAAAGGGTTCAATTTATCAAGAAGACCTAACTATCCTAAATATATATGCACCCAACACAGGATAATGAGTTCTTCTTGATGAATTGAGTACCCAGACTTATAAAGCAAGTTCTAAGCAACATAGACTACCACACAGTAATCGTGGGAGACTTCCACACTCCACTGACAGTATTAGACAGATAAGGCAGAAAATTAACAAAGATGTTCAGGACCTAACATTAGGGTTGAACCAAATGGATGTGATAGACATTTACAGAAGTCTCCACCCCAAAACAACAGAATATACATTTTTTTCATCACCATATGGCACATACTCTGAAATTGACCACATAATTGGACATTAAAAAGTCTTCAACAAATGTAAAAGAGGTGAAATTATACCAGACACACTCTTGTACCACAGTGTAATGAAAATAGAAGTCAACACAATGAATATTGCTCAATACCATAACATTACATGAAAACTTAACAACATGCTCCTGAATGACTTTTGGGTAAATAATAAAATAAAGGCAGAAATCAAGAAGTTCTTTGAAGATAATGAGAACAAAGATACAACATACCAGGATCTCTGGGACACAGTTAAGGCAGTGTTAAGAGGCAAATTCATAGCACTAAATGAGTTAGAAAGATCTCAAATTAATAACCTAACTTCACAACTGAAAGAATTAGAGAAGCAAGAAAAAATCAACCCCAAAGCTAGCAGAGGATGAGAAACAACAACAATTAGAGCTGAACTGAAGGAAATTGAGACAGGAAAAACTGTTCAAAAGATAAATGAATACAGGAGTTGGGTTTTTGAAAAAAATAATAAAATAAGTAGGCCACTAGTTAGGCTAAAAAAGGAGAACAGAGAGAAGATCTAAATAAATACAATTAGAAATGATGAAGGGAATGTTACTACTGACCCCACAGAAATAAAAACAACCATCAGAAACTACTAAGAACACCTCTAACCACACCAGCAAGAAAACCTAGAAGAGATGGATAACTTCCTGGACACATACACCCTCCTAAGACTGAGCCAGGAAGAAATTGATTCCCTGAACAGACCAATAATGAGCTCCGAAATTGAATGAGTAATAAATAGCCTACCAACTGAAAAAAGCTCAGGATCTAATGGATTCACAGCTGAATTCTACCAGATGTAAAATGAAGCACTGGTACCATTCCTATATAAACTATTCCAAAAAACTGAGGAGAAGGGACTTCTCCCCAACTCATTCTATGAGGCCAGCATCATCTTGATACCAAAACCGACTAGAGACATGACAAAAAAAGAAAACTTTGGGCAAATATCCTTGATGAACATTGATGCAAAAATCCTCAACAAAATACTTGCAAACCAAATCCAGCTACACATCAAGAAGCTAATCCACCGTAATCAAGTAGGCTTCATCTCATGATGCAAGGTTGGCTCAACATATAAAAATCAATAAATCTAATTCATCACATAAGCAGAACTAAAGGCAAAAACCACATGATTATCTCAATAGATGCAGAAAAGGCTTTTGATAAAATTGAACATCTCTTCATGTTAAAAACTCTCAATAAACTAGATATTGAAGGAACATATCTCAAAATAATAAGAGCCATCTATGACAAACTCACAGCCAACATTATGCTGAATGGGCAAAAGTTGGAAGCATTCCCATTAAAAACGAGCACAAGACAAAGATCCCTTCTCTCATCACTTCTATTCAAGATAGTATTGGAAGTCCTAGCCAGAGCAATCAGGCAAGAGAAGGAAAGAAAGGGCATCCAAATAGGAAGAGAGGAAGTCAAACTCTGTCTGTTTACAGACGACATGATTCTGAATCTAGAAAACCCCATAGTCTCGATCCAAAAGCTCCTTCAGCTAATAAACAACTTCAGTAAAGTTTCAGGATACAAAGTCAATGTACAAAAATCACTAGCATTCCTATACACCAACCACAACCAAACTGAGAGCCAAATCAGAAAGGCATTCCCATTCGTAATTGCCACACACACACACAAATAGCTAGGAATACAACTCTCTGGGGAGGTGAAAGATCTCTACAATGAGAATTACAAAACACTGCTCAAAGTAATCAGAGAAGATACAAACAAATGGAAAAATATCTCATGCTCATGGATAGAATAATCAATATCATTAAAATGGCTGTACTGCCTAAAGCAAATTACAGATTTAATGCTATTCCTATTAAACTACCAATGACAATCTTCACAGAACTAGAAACAATTATTTTAAAATTTATATGAAACCAAAAAGAGCCCAAATAGCCAAGGCAATTCTAAGCAAAAAGAACAGAGCTGGAGGAATCGCGTTATCCAACTTTAAACTATACTACAAGGCTACAGTGACCAAAACATCACCGTACTGGCACAAAAACAGGCACATAGACCAATGGAATAGAATATAGAGCCAGAAATAAAGCCACACATCTATAACCATCTGATCTTTGAGAAAGCTCACAAAAACAAGCAATGAGGAAAAGAGTTCCTATTCAATAAATGGTGCTCGGATAACTGGCTATCCATATGCAGAAGATTGAAGCTGGACCCCATCCTTATACCATATACAAAAATTAACTCCAAATGGATTAAAGACTTAAATGTAAAACCCAAAACTATAACAACTCTGGAAGACAAACTAGGCAGTATCATTCTGGACGTAGGAATGGGCAAGGATTTTATGACAAAGACACCAAAAGCAACTGCAACAAAAGCAAAAATTGACAAATGGGATCTAATTAAACTTAAAAGCTTCTGCACAGCAAAAGAAACTATCAACAGAATAAACAGGTAGCCTAAAGAATGGGAGAAAATATTTGCAAACTATGCATCTGACAAATATCTAATATCTAGCATCTATAAGGAACTTAAACAAATTTGCAAAAGAAAAACAAACAGCCCCATTAAAAAGTGGGCAAAAGACATGAACAGACACTTCTCAAAAGATGACATATGGGCCGGGCACGGTGGCTCATGACTGTAATCCCAGCACTTTGGGAGGCCGAGGCGGGCAGATCACAAGGTTAGGAGATCCAGACCATCCTGGTCAACATAGTTAAACCCCATCTGTACTACAAATAAAAAAATTAGCCAGGTGTAGTGGCGTGTGCCTGTAGTCCCAACTACTTGGGAGGCTTAGGCAGGAGAATCACTTGAACCCAGGAGGTGGAGGTTGCAGTGAGCCGAGATCGTGCCACTGCACTCCAGCCTGGTAACAGAGCGAGACTCTGTCTCAAAAAAAAAAAAAAAAAAAAAAAAAAAAAAAAAAAAAAGGAAAGAAAGAAAGAAAAGAAAAGAAAGAAGACATGCATCTGACCAACAAGCATATTTAAAAAAGCTCAATATCATTGATCATTGAAGTAATGCAAATCAAAACCACAATGAGATAACATCTCACAACAGTCAGAATGGCTATTATTAAAAAGTTAAAAAAAAAAAGAAACAGATACTGGCAAGGTTGCAAAAAAAAGGGAACCCTTACACACTGTTGGTGGGAGTGTAAATTAGTTCAACCATTGTGGAAAGCAGTATGGCGATTCTTCAAAGAGCTAAAAGCAGAACTACCATTTAACCCAGCAATCCCATTACTGGGTACATACCCAGAGGAATATAGAGCATTCTACCATAAAGACACATGCACGTGAATGTTCACTGCAGCACTGTTCACAGTAGCAAAGACATGGACTTAATCTAAATGCCCATCAATGACAGACTGAATAAAGAAAATGTGGTACATATGCATCATGGAATATTATACAGGCATAAAAAATAACAAGATCATGTCTTTTGCAGGAACATGGCTGGAGCTGGAGGTCATCATTCTTAGAAAACTAACACAGGAACAGAAAACCAAATACCACATATTCTCACTTATAGGTGTGAGCTAAATGATAAGAAATTATGAACGCAAAGAGGGAAACAACAGACATGGGGGTCTACTTGGGGGTAGAGGGTAGGAGGAGGGAGAGGAACAGAAAAGATAACTACTGGGTACTGAGCTTAATACCTGGGTAATGTAATAATATGTACAAGAAACCCATGTGACACGTGTTTATCTATGTAACAAACCTTTACATGTACCCCAAAACCTAAAATAAAAATTAAAAAAGTAAATAAAAATAAAATAAAATCTTATAACTAAATAGAAATGTTAATAATATCACAAAAACATATGATGAAGCACTAGACACAGTCTCACTGAAGTCAAAGACAAAAGATATATTATCTCTACTATTATTTATTATGGTTCTGGAAGTCTTAGCCAAGGCAAGTAAACAAGAGGAAGAAATTGAATTAGTAAACTGCGTAGGACAATTTATTATTGTTTTCAGATCATAAACCTGTATACCTGGATAACTGAAGAGAATCAATTAAAAGCTATGGAAAGGATAAGAATAATAAAACAATAAAACAAAGGAAACAATATTTAGAAAAAAACTCAAAAAGCAATGCTCAGGACCTAATAAAAAGAAGAATTTTTTTTGGAGCATTTGCTAGTGCCAAACATTGTTTAAGTGCTTTGAATGGAACTTTACATTATTTTAATTCATTTAATTCTTTTTTTTTTTTTTTTTTTTTTTTTTGAGACGGAGTCTCGCTCTGTCGCCCAGGCCGGACTGCGGACTGCAGTGGCGCAATCTCGGCTCACTGCAAGCTCCGCTTCCCGGGTTCACGCCATTCTCCTGCCTCAGCCTCCCGAGTAGCTGGGACTACAGGCGCCCGCCACCGCGCCCGGCTAATTTTTTGTATTTTTAGTAGAGACGGGGTTTCACCTTGTTAGCCAGGATGGTCTCGATCTCCTGACCTCATGATCCACCCGCCTCGGCCTCCCAAAGTGCTGGGATTACAGGCGTGAGCCACCGCGCCCGGCCAATTCATTTAATTCTTATTACCACTCCCTGAGGCAGGTGCTATCGTTATTTCTATTTTGTCTGTGAGAAAATGGAGGTACTAAGTGTTTATGCAGCTTACTCAAGGTCTCATAAACATGAGTCTATGCTCTTAATCAGTATAATATACTTCTTCCTGGACAATCTAAATCTCACTGATGAACATTTTTATAACTTGGGGAAAAAAACTTCTGCCATAAAACCATAGTTGCTCTTGGGTCAGAAGATTCAATATTTTGAAGACACCAATTCTCCCTAATTAATAAATCCAATGCAATCCCAAACATAATATATGTACATTTTTTAAAGCTAGGTACACTTGTTCTTATATTGCCAGAAACATTAAAGAAAAGAATAAGTAATAAAGTAATGAGGGAGGAATGATGTCATAAATTAACATATATATACTAATTTAAATAATTATGTGTTGACACCTGAGTAAACAGACACATTATTCAACCAATGTGAAGAGCCTAGAAACTCAAATATAAATAAAAATTTAATTTATGGGATAGCTGATATTTTAGATCAATGGAAAAATATATTCCATAAATTGTGTTAGGACAAATAAACTGTATCCTTACTTCACTGCTTGAACCCAAATAATTTCTAAATGGACTGAAGATTTAAAAGTAAAAAATTAAGACTATAAAAGTACTAGAAGAGAAGTGAGAAAAGTTTTATAAAGTGTAATTTTATCATGTGTGTGTGTATGCAGAGGAGGGAGCTTTCTTAGCAAATGTAAAACCTAAAAACCATGAAAGAATAGATTGATAAATGTCTTTACATATACATGTAAAAATAAACAAAATAGAAAGACACATTTCAAGTAGAAAAACATTTGGAAATATATGATAGAAAGACAGCTCATTTCCTTAATCTATCAAGAAATTTTCAAACCAATAAGAAAAAAGCCAACAACCTAAATTGCAACATGGATAAAGGAAAAATACTTCTATCGTATAATCATTTTGTATTTTAAAATTATATACATGTAAAACTTTTGAACAAAAAAGTAGAACATCATTATCCTGTGATAAACCGCCTCTCTATATATCTTCTCAGATCTTTTTTATGACTTTATTTTTTCACAAAAGATGAATTATATTTTATGATAATCCATTTTGTCATCTAACGTCATAAATATCTTTGGATGTCATAAAATTTTCTTCTATGACATAATTGATGACAAAACAATTTTTTATGTTGTATATATTTATTCCTAGTTTTTTATTACTGTGAATATTCTGTAAGTAAAATCTTTGTGTATATCCTTATTTTTTATCAAATAAATTCCCTGAAATAGAATTGCTAAAGTTAAAGGGTATATGCATTTTAAACTCTTTTACTAATACTTTTGGACATTCCTAGGTTGTTCTAATTTACATATTCTCAAACAGTATCTGGGAGTGGCTGTTTCGTTGAATTCTTGTCAATATTGGGTGTTATATATTAGGAAATTTTGACCAATTAGACCACTTGAAAGACAATCCTATTATTATTATAATATTACATAAATGATTACAATGGAGATTGAATTTTAATATATATGCATATTGGTTATTTTTTCTTTTGAGAATTTAGACATCTATTTAGAAGAAATTAATACTGTGCCTACTTGGCTAAAATAACTATCTGGCCTGATCATTTTGCTTTCCATAATCATTAAGTAGGTAGTCTTGCAATCAGTTTAACAACAGAGCCACAAATAGTATCTTGACTAAACTCTTAAATAGCTGCTTTTGTCAGGGAACCTATATATGCAGATTCACCAAGCAGCCATACAAGAAGGAAAGCCTGATGAATTAACACAAAATTTAGATGGTTCTCCAGTGTTCACGCAGACAGTAGAGTTTTTACAATTACTTCCTCTACTTTTTTTCTTATAATTTCTTTACATAATAAACCCGATAATTTAGAACTCTCCTTTCAACCGGATTGGTTTCATTTCCAACAGTCAAGGGAAGACACAAACAGCTCGGTGTTACATTGTCAATTAAACCAAGGTGGAGGAGGGGGAGGGTGGGCACAGTGATAAATGAGCAGTCATTTCAATGTTTTCTTTCCAGCAGAAATCAGAGCCAGATTACACTTTATCTCACCCTGACTTTTAGCAAGATAGATAGCCACGCAAAATTTTCAGGTTCAAATAGTCTCCATCAAAAGGGCTAAAACCCTCATCTTCTGGCCACATTGAACTTTCATCTTTCTAACTCAAGGGATCTGATTCCTTTTACTGAATAAGAAAGAATTTTATTCAATTTATTCTCCCAGTCTTAGGTCTTTAACCAAAATAAAAGCAAACAATTAAACAAATTAACCTCACTGCTTCATGCACGGCTTTTTAGATATTGTCCAAAAAGTACTGTTTCAGATCCTGAAAGCAAAGTGATTAGGTTTACTTGTTATCAACGGGGAGTTCTTGTTCAGAACTACGTATTTTAGGTATCTAAGCCTGCATATTCTGATAAGACAGCATTGGCCTTAAAGCTGAGGCAGCAATAAATTACATTAAAAGTAATAGACTTCTGGAAAAATAATTCCTTTTGATTGCATAGCAGTTAGAAATTTACCTATTTATGTTTGTGCGTAGATATTTAATACAAATGTCTCTGTTTTTAAAGGATTTTAATGTAGCACCTAATACACTAACAACAGAAATAAATAAAGTTCGGAAATACAGAACGAATGAATGTGGCAGTGGTTTGTTCTTTTCACGTTAGAGCTGTAGGAGCAAGGCTTGCAGGGTTTTGGAGCGGATCTACTGCAGAGTCGCTGAGACACCAAGGGTTGTCTGCTGTTAAGAACCAGTATATTTTAGTTACATTTCATATTAAGTGGAATTAAATTTCACGTTCAAATCACTTGTCAGCGCTTAAAAAAAAAAGACTTCTAAACGACCTCTCAGATATATGACCCGGATGCTGCCAGACCAAACGACTTTTATCCAGGTGGACCCTTCGGGGGTACTGGGTCACCTGCAGGGTAACCGGGCAGGATCTCAGATTTGGTGACCGTCCCAGAAGCTGGGGAGAAGGTGCCGCCAGAGAGTGAGCGGAAATCTCCCTTGGAGGCCTGGAGGCAGCAATACGAACCCCTCAAGCCGGGAGAGGGCACCCTGGCTGGCTGGGGCCGGCAGCGCTGCAGCCTCACGTCCGCAGGTGAAGATGCGCTCCCGCTGGGCATGCGCGCCCCCTGGGGCCAGGAGCAGGTGGGAGGTTCCTACCTTCCGCCCCAGCACCGCCTGAGGTCAGAGGGACTGTCCTTTCTTGCACTGCCCAATTTGTCAAGGTCCCGTATCGAATAAATAGCTGTCTCCCCAGACCTTTATACTGACTAATCCAAATAAATCGCAGTCACTTTTACTGTGCGTTTCAGCGGGCAGCCTGGCTTTAATGGCTCTGCCTCCTAGACCTCCGGGGGAGACTCGCCGCGGCTTCTGCGAGATCGTCAGCTCCCCTGGCTGGCCTCAGAGCCTCAGCCTCCCCTCTGGGTTTCGTGGGGTCACTGGGAGCGGTCGCAGCCCATCCCCTGCACGCTGGCACTATCTGCTGACTGGAGTTGCCCTCTGGGGTTCCCAGGGCTAAAAGCGAGGGTAAAGCCTCCCATCTTCAATGTGCGCCTGTCTAATGTGGGCTCTCCTCTGAGATCTTGTTTACTCCCTACCTTTCCACCCTCTTCCCCTGCTCCTCTAAACCTCAGAAATTCGAATTATCTTCCCCATTCCACTTAAACCCCTTCGGCCAATCAATCCGGATGTTACCGATTTCCTCTGGGATATTTAAAGCTTTGATCCGCAGGCTTACAGCTCCATCTTACGCACTCCCATCTTTCCCCTCTGGGATCCCTCTAGATGCCTGCTCAAAATACCTGCTGGCGCCAGAGGAAATTCACATGTAACAGATACCCAGCGGGTGTGAAACCAGCACTCTGCTTCCAGGGTCGTTTTCCTCCTCACCTTCCCCATCAAATTGTCGATTAGTGAGTGCTAACACTAGGCATTACTGTGAATCATGAGTGCGGGGCTGGAAGATATGGAACCGTTTTAATAGAGCCGATGATTGCTAACTTACACGTGGCATCGCGCACTCCACCCTCCCCTACTCGGGGCAACCCTGGGTGCCCGACGTCTGTAAAATTAATATGAGCCCCAGGATTGGTCCGCAGGTAGCTTTTGTAAAGGGGTCCAGAATGACTTCAAGCAAATTTCAAGATATCTAAAGTAAAAGATAATTATTCACTTGCTTCTAAAACTGTTACTGAAGTAGAAAAAAAATCAGAGGAAAGCAGTAAATCTCACTCATTTTATTTTGGTGAAAACAAACTACTAGGAAGATTTAACAGGTAACATCAATTTTGCAATGAATTTATTCCAGATACCTTTTATATTTCATATATAAGGTGAATTATCCATGAAAATAACCACTTTATATGAATGCAGATGGCCAGGATGTTGAAAAAAATGAAATTGGCTTCAGAGAGAAACAGTAAATATAAAGGGAGACACACTTTCCCTCCCTAAACATTTGCAAGAGTGTCAGGTAGGTTTTATTTGAGCAAATAACCTTATTGTAATATTTCTTTTCAAAAAAGCAAAAACTGGTAGTCCATTCATAAAACTTTTTTTTATTGTTGTCGTATTTTCTCATTCAATTTGTTATTTAATATCTGATCTTTTTCAAATTTTACACTTTACAAATCATTTGGCATACATGTGATTATCATCAAAACTGTTGAACTTTATAAAATACTGAAAAAAAGTATGTGTTGTGTTTATATTTCTAAACATTTGAATTTCTTGGGGAGATAGTGGATAATCCCCAGTGGTTTTATTTGAAAATCTCACCTGACAATTGTCTTTCAGAGGAGGTGTGGCTCTGGAGTTGTTTCTGCCTGGCTCTGTCTTTGTGCTGCTGACCAGAGCTCTAGGCTCTCAGTAGAAGCTCACAGAATTCCTTTTGATTGATGGCGAGGGGTGATGGCCTACGCAAAGGTCTCTACTTCCAACTTCCCTGTCTTCTATGGCGGCTCCAGATTAGCTCAGTGGGTGTGGGGTGGAATTTTCAGTCAAGATGCATGATGCCTCACGGTTTACTTTCTACTATAGCATCACTCTTATGGTTAAGAACTTCTGGAATGCTGTTGAGCAGTTTCCCCATTATCGATTTTGGAGATCTTGGCCTATGTTATTTAGAGATGGGTTTTAAACAGTGATAAAGTTAAGGTACAGATTTACACTGAGAGTTAGTAAGATCTTCCTTTGGAAAAAGATCTACCACATTTCAGAGGTTTGGAGCTGTTAGTTGAGCCAAGAATGACATATAATTTTTGTTACTTGAGGTCTTTCTTGTTTATCAAGTTTTCCAGTTTGCTTTTCTGCCAAACAGAAATGGCAGAAAACATCAGCATATGAAAATTTTAACTAGAAGACAATATTGTCTAGGTTCTGGGAAAGCTAGGATGATTTTAAGGAGAATACCAGGGAGAACATAAGAAATACTTTACAAATTACATTTAGATGTCAGTGTTATAATTGTTTCCTGAACCTTTTAGAGAACTTGAGGGAGGAACTAGGAGCAGGAGGGAGTTTCTTAGGATTATCCAATTAGATTTCTAAGTTTTCCATTATAGATTTTTTGTTTGTTTGAGACAGGGTCTTGCTCTGTCACCCAGACTAAAGTGCAGTGGTGCAATCACAGCTCACTGCAGCCTCAACCTCCTGGCCTCAAGGATTCTCCCACCTTAGCCTTCCCAGGAGCACACTATCACGGTTGGCTAATTTTTGTATTTTTAGAAAAGACAGGGTTTCACCATGTTGCCTAGGCTGGTCTTGAAGTCCTGGGCTCAAGCGATCCACCTGCCTCGACCTCCCAAAGTGCTGGGATTACAGGCACGAGCCAACAAGCCCGCATATGGAATGTATTTGATGGTTTAATTGTGCAAGGTCGGTTAAACTGATTGGATTTTCTCACTCCAGAGTTTGGTAGGTGGCAGAGCATAACACTGTTGTTTGAGATATTAACATCCTAAAAATAAGTCACTTTTTGATAACACCTAAGGTAAAATTATTAGCTTCAGGTTAATAAAGCATGAAAACAAAGTTTCATTTTGTTAAAGCTGAGGTAAGTTATTATAGCATTAGAACAGACAAAAAGGAACAGCAAATGAATGGGGAATAAAATATTAAGATCAAAACAATAATTTAATGCCAATTGTGATGATTGTATCACTTTTGATTATCTTCTTTTGAAAGTAAAATTTTAAAAAGTGTATTTTACTTTGTAACTGTCTCAGTATTTGTTTTTTAAGGGAGAGATTAAGAAAACCCTTAAAAACAGTTTTGAAATACAGGAATTACATTATCAAAAAAGTACAGCCAACAGTAGTTTTCTAGTGAATTTGAGTTGTGTAGGAAATTAAGTAGGTAATGGTGCCTCCAGATAACAAATCTAACCTCAGATAATTATTCAAGCCTCCTCTCCATGTTTTCACCAGAAACCTCTTGCTCACTGGCAGTCACTCCTATTCTCCTCTCCTGACCCCAGCCCTATACAACCACTAAACTATTTTGTCTTTGCAGATTTGCCTACTTTAGAATTTCATATAAATTGAATAATACAATTTGTGGTCCTTGATGGCTGGCTTCTTTCACTTAGCATATGTTTTTGAAGTTCATACATGTTGTAGCATGTATCAGTAATTTATCCTTTTTAATGGCTGAATAATATTCCATTGAATGGATGCACTGCATTTTGTTTATTCATGCATCAGTTGGTGGGCATTTCGGTTGTTTCCATTTTTTGACTATTATGAATAATGCTGCTGTGAACATTCATATCCAAGTTTTTGTGTTCTCCGCCTTGATTATGTAGATAGTGCCATGCATGGCTTGGTCTGTATGTCCATGTGAGATTATGAAAATTTGCTCTCTACCTTGAAAGAAATAGAATTCTAACCCAAGTTTTTCCTGTTCATTTACCAGGCTGAGAGTTGTTTTCTCTGATACATGCATGTGGTTTATCTCTAAGAAGTACCATCGGAATGAAGAGTTGTCTATTTATTTGAACCAGTTGGAAACAAGGGATCTAGAAAACAGAAAAATATTTGTTTTGTTTGCAGATAGGCAAATTAATATAATTAACCAAATTAAGTTACTTTCAAGTGTTAGGAACTAACTATGTTTGCTTATGGACTTTCCATCTGGTACAATTTGGATGATTATTTTTTGATTCTGCTAATCCCTAACTCTTGGATGCTTGCTATTGTAATTCCTATGCAGAAGGCTCCCGATTTACAATGGTTTAACTGAACAATTTTTCAATTTTACAATGGTGTGAAAGCAATATACATTCAGTAGAAACCACACTTTGAATTTCGAGTTTTGATCTTTTCCTGGCCTAGCAATGCACAGTAGGATACCCTCTTCTGACACTGGGCAGTGGCAGCAAACTGCAGCTCCCAGGCAGCCACGATCACAACAGTAAACAACAGATACTACACAGTGCACTGTAGTCAATAAATTACATGAGATATTTAACACTCTATTATAAAATCCGCTTTGCATTAGATAATTTTGCCCAACTGTAGGCTAATGTCAGGGTTCTGAGCACACTTAAGGTAGACTAGGCTAAATTATGCTATTTGGCATATTAGGTGTATTAAGTGCATTTTCAACTTATGATAGTTTCAGCTTACAATGGGTTCATCGGAAGGTAACTCCCATCTTAAGTCAAGGAGCATCTGTATTCCCATAGAATATGCATCTTACACTTTAGGTAGTGTTCTATTCCATTTGGTAAGCATAGCTTCTTTAACCTTTTTTTTGGTTTGATCCTATCAAGGAATATCTAATTTCTATGGCAGCAGGCTTATTTGTTTTTGTTTGTGTGTGTGTGTTTTTAGGAGGTTTAGCAGAATACTTCTGGTATTCTGTCTTGCAATGGTGACGAATCTGGCTCACCATGTATTTTAAAACAATTAATGTTTCCAAAGTAGAACTCCAGGGACATAACATGGTATGATATTGGATTGTATGAATGGCTGTTAACACTTATACATGTTCTCTGTAAAAAGGGGTTATACATTCATCCAACAGATATTTATTGATTTCCAACTATAGCTATTAAAATCTCTGCTTTAGGATATTATAAAAGTGTTATTTATTACACAGATTCACCTAGCACCTCTTAGACTATCTGAGACCTTTTGGAACTCAAAAATTACATGGAACATGATCTGTAGCACACAGCAGTTCACTATCTTTGAAATAACGAATGTAATTCCAACTGAATTAAGGTTTACATTGCGCAGAGTTAATTATAGAGCTAGTGGTTATTACTACATAGTTAATACACATTAATAATTGCAGATAATTCAGAAAACTTACTTTGGTAGGATCAGCAACACTTTTGCAAAAATCTCAACATATATCATTTGTTTTGTTTGTTTGTTTTTTGTATTTTTTTTGAGATGAGTCTCACTCTGTCGCCCAGGCTGGAGTGCAGTGGCGTAATCTCAGCTCACTGCAACCTCTGCCTCCCCGGTTCAAGCGATTCTCCTGCCTCAGCTTTCAGGGAGCTGGGACTACAGGCACATGCCACCACACCCAACTAATTTTTGTATTTTTTGTAGAGATGGGGTTTCGCCATGTTGGCCAGGCTGGTCTTGAACTCCTGACCTCAGGTGATCCGCCTGCCTCGGCCTCCCAAAGTGCTGGGATTACAGACGTGAGCCACTGCGCTTGGCCAAAAATCTCAACATATATAATGTTTCAAATAAAATAAAGTAGATCTCTTTCAATTAGCAAGAAAGAATCTTAGACAGATTCTAGTTATTCAGGCAGCTATGGCGTCAGGGTTAAAATAATAACCCCTGAAAAAGATGTCATTGACTCTTTTATAATCTCAGCAATCCAGATCCAGTATTTATATTTTGTTTGAAAGAGAACATGGGCTTTCCTGAACTGTGTAAGCTGTACAGTTAATGCAATAAGATTCAACAGGATTTTAGAGCTTTCCAATTCCCTTTCTCTCATGTGTGATCTTGATTAAATGCATCTATGTTCTAAGCCTTGATGCAAGCTTTATCCCTTACCTTGAAGTCTCTTTTTAAAAACTTGTATAGGCAAGAAGTGTGTTTTGGAATTGGGTACAGTTAGTTGTCTGAGTCAGAATTTTAAACATGGCAGCATGGTTCTTGCAGTATGGAGTTCAGGTGAGGATACTTCACTCAGTTGACATCTTAATGGCTAAAGCTTTTTACTGTTTTGTCCTGACTAGCACTTCAAAAGATACTCTACACAGCAAACATTCCCTTAAGTGTTGGAAAGCTTGGTTCCAAGTGTGCTTCTACATGGAACCAAGGATATTTGGGTGTTGAATACTGTAGGAAGGTTCTTTGGTGCAATGAAGAATGTCGGAACTATTTGACAATGTACTTGGGCACACCAGACATAGGATTCTTCATTGCACAATTATTCTCTAGCAATTTTCTTTGCAAGAAAAGAGACCTGACTTTCTTTCATGGATATAAATAAACTTAATATTTCTTATAGCTGTGCATATTTATCTTCTTAATGACACAAATTTATAACATAAATATGTTATTTACATATCCCAGGACAAGTAGCAATTTATAACATAAATATGTTATTTACACATCACAGGACAAGTAGCATCTTGACAAACTGTCCTCAGAATAGAATACAGTAACTAATAGAATACAGTAATTAATCTTTGTGTGTGTGTGTGTGTGTGTGTGTGAAAACAAACACTTCTTTAATAATGACTTTTGAAAAAAATGATGAAAAGTTATAAATGAACAGTCAGTGTTCAAAAGAGGTTTCTGTGATTTTTATAAATGCATAGCATCTTACAAACACTATAAATTAGTTGGTGGATATTTAATATGATAGAAACTATTCCATCTGAATTTTCTAGGGAGGTCAAAGTTACTTTGGTATTGTAACTCTTTTAAGCCAAATTAATTGGGTTATGTTTCCTTTTTTTTTCTTTTTCAACTTTTATTTTAGGTTCAGGGGATACATGTGCAGGTTTATTACATGGGCAAATTTCATGTTGCTAGGATTTGTTGTATAAATGATTTTGTCACCGAGATAGTGAGCACAGTACCCAAAAGGTAGTTTTTTGAACTTCTCCCTCCTCCCCCACTCCACCTTCAAGTAGGCCCCAATGTTTGTTGTTTCCCTCTTTGCACTCAATGTTTACCCCCCATTTATAAGTGAGAACATGTGGTATTTGGTTATTTGTTCCTGCATCATTAGTTCACTTAGGATAATGGCCTCCAGCTGTGTCTATGTTGCTGCAAAGGTCATTTAATTCTTTGTTATGGCTGCGTAGTATTCCATGGTATATATGTGCCACTTTTTCTTTAGCTAGTCCACCATTGATGGGCATCTAGATTGATTCCATGTCTTTGCTATTATGAATAATGCTGTGATGAACATACATGTGCATGTGTCTTTTTAAACTATAGGTATTTTGACATTAGTAGTATGCAAATCACTTTCTAAAACCATTGTATAGACTGTCTAATGGTTTCCAGTTAAAAGACACAAAGATAAGTGAATAAATAAGAGAATGAATGATGGAATAAATATACTATAAAATCCAGATGTCTGTTGTCTTTGCAGGAGGGAAGAAAAAATTTATCATGGACTTTTGAATCTAATTAGGAAATTTGCATTTTATCATCTTCTCTCTTGTTTCCTTGCACTATAAGAATACAAGTTACTATTATTACTACCTGGACAGTTAAACAGTTTGGGCTCTTTTACTATACAGGCATTAAGGCTCATGTTCTAGGGAAGAGGGAATGAATACTTGGAAGATGAGCACGTATCTCATTGGGAATTTAAAATGTTTTAGTTTAATTCTTTTGTAGATTCTGTGTTAATGGGTGGGGGCTGGATCTTGATGAAAATACAGAGGACAAAGCAACTGTCATAAACACTGATCTTCTCACTTTAGGAACCTGAGCTCTATTATTGTCTAAAAGCATGAGTGCCCAGTAAATGTCCAATGATTGCTTGAATAATTACTATGCGTTCAGATATACAACTCTGTGCTTTTGTGTGTGCACATGTGTGTGAAAAAAGGAGATATAAAAGAACTTGAACTTGCCACTCTGTAGTAACTAACAAAATTAGGTACATAGTGCTCAAAATAAAATTTCATATTTAGGATTGTTAGAAGAATAAACAGAAAGAAAATTATTAAATTGTTAATTTTGTAATAGGAGACAGAATAAACTCAGTTTTCACTATAGTACAGTATTCTTTTAGCAGCAATCCTTACAAAATATCAACTGAAAATCAATTACATAATTTTTCCTTCAAGGAAAGAGCTCATATCTTTGGTTTCTATTACTCCTGTGTTTTTATTGTCTTTGTATATTTAAAAGATGGGCTAGGACATCAATGGACAAGTCCTTGGAACATTAAAAACTATTATTCTAATTTCCTTCTTTTAAAAATATGCATATTTAATCTATTTTGGAACAATTTGGAAATTCAGGAAGCATAAAGTAACAGATAATTATAACCATGACTCAATTCTGATTAAATGTCATAATATGACTATCTTTCTTTTTTCAATGGTTGCCTCTTCAATATGCTAAGTAATGAACACCTTCTATACATTACACATACAACGGAAAGATTACAGGATCTCATTGTGCAAAATTGGTATAAATGAATGCCTCTTAAACTTCTGCTACTTTGCATGGATAAACAGAAATAATAACAAGTATAACAAATAGACCAACATTTCTTCTTTTATTTTGAAATTGAGGGAAATATGTCCAGCTGGTGGTAAGAGCTACACATTGTTTTATTTCAGAGGAAATGGAACTTTAAAGAGTTATCTGTGTTCCTTTGGGTTGTAAAACTTTCAAAATATGTACTAAAACAAGAAATAATAAATTATTGTTGTATACAGTTCTTTTTTCCTAGGAAAGAACAGTGGAAAGCTGAGAAATTATTCAGTTCAATTGAATCACTCTTATGAAATAAAAAATGCCGCCCTAAGAAACTGTGACTTTTATTTCAGATAACCCAAACCTGTCAGGGTGAACCCAATCTACACCATCACTTAAAGCTGACAGGAAAAAAATGTATACTATAACTTTTAGTTTAAAAAAATACCACTATGTATGTTTTTATAAATTATTCAGTCAGAATTAAAAAATTATGTATCATTCAATATTAACTGAACAATTCAGAATAGCAGGTTTTTGTAGTTAATATTTGTACAAGCTTCTAATAATTATTAAAATGGCCTTTATTTGTTTTTTCTTGCCACTGACCTATAGGATATACTAAAAGAAGACAGATCAGTCTCTCTCCTGATAAGAAGAGTCACCAAGAGGAACATCTGCAACAACTAGGTTGTGAGGAATTTCTTTTTTAAATGTACATAAAAATATGTTAATGTACACTGCCTTGGGTAGATGAGATGTGTTATTTCTTTAATAAGTTTGCAAACATTTACAGAAAAACAGTACTTGCTTCTTTATTTTTTGTAAAGAAAGGAATTAGTAAAAATGGAAGTTCCAGAAAATGCTAATTTCTTAGAATAAGATCTGTTTAAATTTTTCCAGTGCATAACAAAACACTTAAAACATTTTTTCAAACATTAAATTTAACATACTATGTTTTAGAAAATATGTGAAAGCAACCTGGATTTAGAGGGTTTAGATCAAGCCTTTGAAGTATCTTAAATCTCCTTGAGACCTAAAAGACTTGTTTATAACTAACAGTTGCTTTGTAAAAACAACATTATGAGATGTTTGAAAATTTTCTTGTTAAATTTTTATAAGAATATTTCGGTTGGGGAAGGAAGCATCTGTATTGCAAGATGATTTCTATTATTGATTTATTTAATCTCAGGAATGGAGAACAGGATGCCTTGCAGGGAAGTTTATCTGTGACTTGTAAACATGAAGCGACTAAAAATATGGAAAGTTCTATCATCTTTGGATGGGCCTAATAATTTCTCATTATGAGTATAAGACTAGTGATATGGCATCTTTAGTAGATTTTTGTGTGTCTTTTTTTTTGTAAGACTACTGGAACTTAATCCTGGTTCACCCAAGTTTGAGAGTACACTGTGAGACTATTGAACAGATCAAACCTACTAACATGTAATTTTCTCCCAAGTTTTGCTTTTAAAGTGATCAGAATTTATTTAAAACAGATTGACATAAGAAACTTATTTGGAAATAAAGTCTGCATTAGTATTTGGGACTATTGATAGGGAGAGAATTTTTTTCTAAGAAAAACATTTCACTGTCTTGTTGTATAATAGAAGAGAGTTTTTCACATTTGCTCTGTGCCTCACTCACTCTTGGCTATGTACTTTTGTAACATTGTCAGACTTTGCAAGAGAAGGCCAAGGAACAGAGGGAGATTCAACAAATATACCACATTCCAAAATGCCGAGTTCTTATTTCTCTACTATGAATTAGTCTGCTAGTCATTTATTTCACTAATTAAGTCCTCCAGGAAAATGTGAACTTAAATTTGTACAGCTGTTGAATCCTAAAGTAATAAAACAGTTAGGTTTTAATTAAGAGATTTAGTAGAGGGTTCAATATACTTTGCATGTTACTTATATTATTAATATATACTTTAGTATATATTAATACTAATATAAATATATTTAATAAACAAATATATTTAATATTAATACATTATCTAAATCTATTTAATGTATATTATATATTATCTAAATATATAAATATAGATGAATTGCACTTATTTTTTCTCTGTTCGATCACATACGCATTCTAGAATTTTCAGAATTGGTTGCAGTGACCCCCATCGTTTTCCTCCTATTTTCTCTAGATTCATTATTCAGACTATTAACTTATAGTCTCCAATACTTTGTCCTTACATCTCAATAATAAATGTATTTTGATCTATTTCTTTCTTTAGATTTTGAGGGCTTTATTATTACAGGGTAATAGTCCTAGATTTCTTAATATTTTGGGAATTCTATCGTGAAATTACTGAGTGATTTGGGGAAAGCTATTTTTTTGGGAAGAATTGCTTTGCATTTGGTGTTTAGTTCTGTGTTTTTAGTCCTAAACCCTATACTCATGACAAATTGGACATATTTGTGCTTATGTTGAAAAAACTGAATTGAGATTAATCTTTTTCTTTTTTTTTTTCTTTTTTAGACAATCTTGCTCTGTCACCCAGGCTGGAATGCAGTGGCACAATCTTGGCTCACTGCAACCTTTGCCTCCCTGGTTCAAGTGATTCTTCTGCCTCAGTCTGCTGAGGCAGAAGTAACTGGGATTATAGGTGTGCACCACCATGCCCGGCTAATTTTTTGTATTTTTAGTAGAGATAGGGTTTCACCATGTTGGCCAGGCTGGTCTTGAACTCCTGACCTCAAGGTGATCCATGTGCCTCAGCCTCCCAAAGTGTTGAGATTATAGGCGTAAGCCACTGTGCCCAGCCCGAATTGAAATTAATCTTATAAGAATTATATTTCTACTTCTCTAAAGAATCAGTGTTTATTGAGTAAATACATTCAGTAAAAAAGGCAGGCTACAAAAAATGCATTAGATATGATGTCATTTTTCTAAAAACAATATACACGTAGGAAAAGATTTAAAAGGATCTACATCAAGGTACTTGGTGGTTTTTAAGGAGATTTCCCTTGTATATCTGTATTCAGTAATTTTTCTACAGTGAATCTTAATTGATTTTATAAGTACAATAAATTTTAAAAATAATTCATGTTGTGGAATTGAGTATAGAAAGCTAGCCACACTGGATCTTGATAGATTGAGGTACACTTTATACTTTGTCAGCAGTTAAGTCAGAAGCCACATCCTCATCTGAGAGTTGAAACTGGGTGTGGGGAGGATGATCATAACTCAAGAATTGTTGAGTGCTCATCTTATAAAGAACTCTGGAGCTGCTGCTAGGGAAGTCTTCTCCTCCATCCTATGGATGAGGTCACTGAAGCCCTAGCTATGAGGTCATGAGTCCAGGTTCACATGGCTACATGGCTAAACCTGGTTTTAAGAAGTTCTTTTCTTAGAGGTCACAGATTTGTGAAACATTTGCTGCTACGTCAGGTCTGCAGGCCTATGAATATTTAAGAATTTGGGATTCGTGTCTGCATTTAACAATCAGGAGTATTCACATAAAAATCCAGATGTCTAAGTTATCTTGAGAAAAATCTTGAAAAGCCATACTTCATGTTCTTTTCCTAAGGTAACAGGTGGAATGGGACACAGATTGCCCATTTTATGAGGGGCACAAACTTTTGTTCTCCATTGACCTCACAAGAACCACCTGGCCCCGTAGGCCTTGGAATTAGCAACTTATGTATACTGGCCCCAAACAATGAAACAGTGGGAGCGTGATTCTTCATTGATAGTAATTAGGATCACCATTTCTCAGAATGTCTTATTCTCAGAATGCTTCTTTTCTTCCTATACTTCTATGTCATTTGGGAATCATTACTGAAGAATAAAAAAACTCATTACTGAGTTATTATTCAGTAATAATGAAGTTCTTATTATAGTGAGAGGGTAATTCCTAAACAATAGCTTGGAGCACTTAGTGTCAGACTAAGTTAGGAAACACAGCTTAAGAATGTGGATTTGTCAATCCTATGATACATGGATAGTCAGAAAAGAGAAAGCAGCAGAGGAGATGGCTCTGGTCCACTGGGCTTTCCTGAGACCAATCTGAGACAGCAGGAGGTAACACTGCCTTTTAAGTGTCTTTTTCCCTTGACTCATAAACCTTCCACTTATGTTCATTTATATAGTTATTGATACTTGATTTTTAACTCTCACAGCACCCCGAAGGAAAGCACATGTTTAATCCATAATGTGAAAAATGCATTGATAAGTCTTGACTTGAGTTCAAAGTCAAGAGGATGTCTTAGCTGTGATGTTATTTCTAGACTATCCCCTCTGAAAGCAAATTATCAAGATTTGTTAGAAATACCTATTCATCTTACTAACCCCTTTCCAAAATGGAAGCGGATTCTGAGATGGATGTTAGCATGACAATTAAGGGTAAATGGCAGGACATTTTACTCAAGAGGCAAAGAAAAGCCATATATGGTTTAAATGGGATGCCAAATAAAGTACTTACTTTTCCCATGCTTTATAATGCTGACACTTACATCTTGAAGACATCGTAAGTTTGGATTTGTTTGGAGGTTCCATTATACATTGTCATACATGCAAAAAATTTTATACATGCTGTAGTTAGAGATTCCAAAGTACTTTTGGTTATTTGATACTTTTCTAGAATAACTCTCATATCTTGGCTCTGAATGACCAAATGCCTTGCTTACTGTACATTCATCTTTATAGTTGCATTATTGAGCTTGACCAGTTTTATTTGAAGGAAAATATTAATCTAAGCAGAAGCATTCAGAACATGTGTGTAAATCATTTCTCCCAGTACACATTTGTTTTGTTAACTTTAGTTCTCAGTGTCTCACCAAGCTGCCTCTAGCACCATTTTCTTGTTAATCTAAATAGAGAAGTCTTCTTCAGTCTTGCATGACTGTTTACGTAGGCTGTTGATCAATTTTGTTTGATTTTTAAAAGTTGTTATTAAACCTAAAGAGAATACTTAATACTTAAAGCATACCACTTTTAACATCTTCTTCCTGGTTTTATTCCTAATTTAATAATTAGGACATGAGAAACCGACTCCTAAATAGTTTTTGGCTTAAAATCACACACGGTTTTTTTTTTTTTTTTTTTAACACAATGCTTAGCTATGGCTTTTGGCCAGCGTTTATTCCTTGCATGTCATTTGTGAATGCCTTCAAATAAAAAATGTGCAGAGTTGAATTTATATTTTTGGCCTCAGAGCCAGCATAAAAGCTGTTTCCATTTTAATTTTAAGCTAGTTCTGTAAAGAGATATAATGCTACTTAAATTTTAAACACATCAAGGATCTCATACAGTTAGTATGTGTTATGTTATCACATCTGGTCATTCTTGGCATTAGGATTATTCCTAATGTTTTGCAATGTTCACTACTTGGGCATCCAAAATCTCAATAACAAACCAAGACCCTAAAGGGTCCCTATTAGAGAGCTATTATCAAGAGTAAAGAATAGTATTGAAATACACTTTCGTCTTTAAGACCAGTTTTTAAAGTTTTGGGTTCATGGGTTTCTCTGAGAATCTAATGAAAGCTGTATAGCCTTCTCCAGAAAAATGCACACACAATGGAAAAATCTGAATATTCAGAAAAGCTCTCATCATGTCTCTAAGTTTATAGGTCACAGGTTAGAAAGCCCTGTGACAAACTAATATAGATATATGTTCATAGATTTGTATGTATGCACTGTATATGCTATAGGATATACATGTATTTAATTTTTTAAAAACTTCCTTTAAAATCTCCTCAAGTAGTTGAAAGCTCGAAAATCTTGGTTGCTTCTATCTAAGGATTCTTTACTTCTGTAGAAGGCAGGTAGAGGTACTGAGTTTTAGGAATCAATATATTAATAAAATAAGAGCGTGTCTAAAACAAGCAACTGACCTAAAGGTAGGTTATATAACTGCAGCTGTATGACACCATCATACCCTCATCCCTTCAACAGTTTTTGACTTCTAATGTTCATGACATGCCAGTTTTCCAGGTATGCTTATAAAAACAGATATTACATTCATTGTCTTTAGTCACATTCAGATCAACATGTTTCTAATTTTATTTTTGATGTCTTCTTTGGACACAGGAGAAATTGAGAAGTTTGTTGCAGAATTCCAAAGTTCCTAGAAATGTCTTATTAGATTTTTTTTATAATTTTCAAGTATTTTGGGTTTTTATATATTTCTTTTTGTTTGTGTTTTCTGTTTTCTTTCTGCTATTGTCAGAAAACATACTGTGCATGATTTCAATCCTGTGGAACTGATTGTAATTTGGTTTTTATATAGCCCATTTAGTTGAATGTTTTAGATGCACTTAGAAAGACTATTCTGCCACTGTTGGTTATAGTGTTCTGCATACGTCAATTAGATCAAGTTGGTTGATATATCTTTACTGATTTTTGTCTCTTTTGTCAATTACTGAAACTGGAGTGTTAAAATCTCCAAATTTAATTGTTGTACTCGGTTGAGTGGTGTTCCTCCAAAATCTATGTCTACCCAGACTTGTGCATGTAACCTTATTTAAAAATAAAATCTTTGCAGGTATAATCAGGTTAAGGTGAAGTGGAGCTGGATTAGGGTGGGCCATAATTCAATGGTTGGTGTCCTTACACACCTAGAGATCTGGACACAGAAGTAGAAGGAAGAAGGCTATGTAAAGAAGGAGGCGTAGATTGAAGTTATGGTCAAGGAATGGCAAGGACTGACAGCAAACACCAGTAGCTTGAAGAAGGAAGGAAGGATCCTTCCCTAGGGCCTTTAAGAGAGCACGTCCCTCTGATACCTTGATTTCAGACTTCTGGTCTCTGTAACGGTAAGCCAATAAATTTCTGATGTTTTAGGCACCACCCCCGCCCCCCCCAAAAAATAAAAGGTGTTAGGATGCAATGATAATTATTTTGACAGATTTCTCTGGAAAGCTTTAAATTTTTTAAAAAGCAAAAATACTCCATCACTATCCTGATAACAATCAACATGTAGTCAGATGCTTTAGCTAGCATAGTCTTACTAATATTTGTATCAATGAGCAGGGTTATAGTATTAACATTTTCAACATGGTAGCAAATATTTGTCCCCTGCACTTCTAATTATAAGGTCAAATTCAAATAAAAGTAAGAACACAAAAATGAGAACCCTCATCCAAATTTCGACGTACATTATTATTTATCAATCATCAATAGACTCTGTGCCAAGCACTGGGCTGGGTGCTGTACCTTTTGAGGATGCAAACGTAGAGTAAAAGCAGCCCTGTCCTCACGGTGCTCTGGACACTGTGCGGGGGAAGACATACAACCAGCGACATCGTAATATGGGCCATCAGTACTCTAATAACGCTGACAGGAGTGATGCTTCGGAAATACTTTTCAGTTCGTGTTTCCTTATTGGCTAGCTACGCTTTCTCTCCCCGTTCCTTGCCGATCTTAAACAATCCAAGAAAGGGGCAGACCAAAGCTACTTAGGAGACAAGAGCGGTCTTGGTGAGATTGCAGCAAGAAGGGCAAGGTTGGTGGGCGTGGTGGTGGGTGCCTGTAATCCCAGCTACTCTGGAGGCTGATGCAGGAGAATCGCTTGAACCCGGGAATCGGAGGTTGCAGTGAGCCAAGATGGCGCCACTGCACTCCAGCCTGGGCGACAGAGCGAGACTCCGTCTGAAAAACAAAAACAAAAACAAAAGCAAAAACAAAACAAAAAGGTCGGACGCGGTGGCTTACGCCTGTAATCCCAGCACTTTGGGAGGTTGAGGCAGGTGGATCACCTGAGGTCAGGAGTTCGAGACCAGCCTGACCAACCTGGTGAAACCCCGTCCATACTAAAAATACAAAAATTAGGCGGGCATGGTGGCGCATGCCTGTAATTCAAGCTACTAGGGAGGCTGAGGCAGGAGAATAGCTTGAACCCAGAAGGCGGAGGATGCAGTGAGCCGATATCGCGCCACTGAACTTCAGCCTGGGCAACAAGAGCGAAATCCTGTCTCAAAACAAAACAAAACAAAACCTGCACTAGAATAAGTGCTAGTTCTTTTTTTCTTTAAAGACGGACAAGATGAAATGTTTTAATTCTCATTTTACCTAATAATAAAGGATGTACCGTTAAAATCAAGTAGGAATTTATCCTTGTCTTATTGTCATTTTTTAAAAATTTTGCTATTCTGCACAGGACCAGTTTCTCTAGAATGTTCCCTTGCTGACTTTTCCTCTGGTAGTATCAGTTACACTGAAAATCAGTTGTATTCTTTTGCTTTATTTCACTGGGCACCATCAAACTAACAAAAGAGGAGAGTAACAGAGTAGGAGAAGATGGAGGATGCAAGGGAATAGGACACCTGTGTCCTAACCTCCTCTCGGGTATATATCCCGGGTTGGGGAACTCTTTCCACAAGCCCGGAGAGAACTGGTAACAAGAGGGCGGGGCGAGTGCGAGTTTCGATCCAGATAGGGCCTCCAGGTGGAGCGCCTGGGATCTCAACGGCACCTGGCCCCCGGGCGGGCGGATTCAGCCCCCGGGGAGCAGGCGCGGGAGTGAGGAGCCCCGATTGATTCTGCATGGGATGGGCCACGGCTCAGGGGGCCAGAGGCGGCGCCAAGGCAGGGGGCGCGGATCCAGCACAGCTCCTTCCCGGCCCAAACCGAATAAAACTCCCAGCAGCCCACAGTGAGACCCAGTGGAAAAGGCGCCCTCTGCTGGAGAGGCGCAGACGGGCGGAGCTGGAAGAGACAAAACCCAAAACACCTGAACATTTATTTCAGCAACTAGAATACTTCAAGTAGGAGGCGGGGGAAGCCGTGCCTTGTCAAGTTAAAGCGGACAACTTGTTCCTTCTCAGCACACCTCACTCCCAACTACCCTGCAGGATGGAGGTGTATCAGGAAAAACAGTGCTCCGGATCCCTTACCTGAGATCTAAAGACGCCACATTTTCTTCACAAGTGTTCTTAAGTCAACTGGGAGGACAAAGATTGCGTGAGTGCTTGGCTTATATGGTTTCATTTCTGTTTTCCAGTTGTCATTGTAGGCATGATCAATCTCTGCAAAAACAAAAAGAATAGGTTTAGGAGTAAAATATCCCTGAAATTAAGATTTCTAACCGTTCCCCTTCTAAGTGTATTTTAAAAGGGCACAACCAATTTCTTGATGTTTTGGATTTATTATTATTATTATTATTATTATTATTATTATTATTAAAGACAGGGTCTCATTCTGTCGCCCATGCTGAAGTACAATGGTCCGATCATAGCTCACTGCAGGCTTGAACTCCTGGACTCAAGCGATCCTTCAGCCTCAGCCTCTCAAAATGCTGGGATTACAAGCGTTAACAATTTCTCCCGGCTGCATTTTATTATTCTAATTGCGCAGCTTTGTCTAGTAAAGGATGGAGGACTAAAGGGAATAGGACACCTGTGTTCTAACCGCCTCCTTTTGGGTAGAGATCCCGGGTCGGGGGCCTATTCCACCTGACGGAACAGAGAGGTGCGGCTGCGCGTTTCGGTCCGGAAGAGGCCTTATATCAATGGTAGTTCTCCCTGCCTTTATATACCTCTTCTGTTAAGTTTGATAGTGCCCAGTAAAATAAAGTAAGAGTACGACTGATTTTCGGTATAACTGATACTACTAGAGGAAAAGTCAGCAAGGGAACATTCTAGAGAAACTGGTCTGTGCAGAATAGCACAATTTTTAAAAAAGTGACAATAAGACAAGGATAATTTCCTACTTGATTTTAATGGTACATCTTTTCTTTATTATTAGGTAAAATGAGAATTAAAACATCGCATTTTGTCTGTCTTTAAAGAAAAGAAAGAACTAGGACTTATTCTAGTGCAGGTTTTTTTCTTTCTTTTTTTTTTTTTTTTGACGGAGTCTTGCTCTGTCGCCCAGGCTGGAGTACAGTGGTGCAATCTCGTCCCACTGCAACCTCCACCTCCCGGGTTCAAGCGATTCTCCTGTCTCAGCCTCCCGAGTGGCTGGGATTACAGGCATCCGCCACCACACCCACCTAACTTTTGTATTTTTAGTAGAGATGGGTTTCGCCATGTTAGCCAGGCTGGTCTAGAACTCCTGACCTCAGGTGACCCACCTGCCTTGGCCTCCTAAAGTGTTGGGATTACAGGCCTGAGCCACTGTACTCAGCCTTTAGTGCAGGTTTCTACATTAATCTTCCTCTCCTTTGTTCTCGTGAGCTGACTATCAAGACCAGATTAGGATATGTGGTTGTTTCCTAAGAGACTTAAGCTTGGGGGACATGTGTTTGTTTTGGGAGTATGTCAGTATGTCTGTGTGTGTGAGTATGGTGGGCAAGGGAAAGAAAGATGAGATCCTCCCTCTCAGTTTAAGGTAGTCTAGGTCTCAGGAAAGAAATGAGGTATGAGCTGCATAACATTTGGGTAATGAAGCAGGTCTTCGAAGAACCAGTAGGGCTTCGAAGAACCAGTAGGCCTCCAATGTCCCCATCCATGGCCATACACGTGGAATCAGTGAAATGGATGAGAGTAGGTTCCCGGTCAGGATCATGTACAGGGAGTTGAGAATTCACTTTTCTTTCTTTCAGAAGACCAATTTTAATTTTTCCACCCAACAGGGGTCAGCAACACACAGAAACTTGTCTTAACTAACTCTTTCCTCTTCTTTAAAATATTATCTATATATAGATAATTTCCCCTTCTTTAAAAATTATCTATAAAATTCTCTCTCTATATATATCAGTAATTTTTAAAGGGGAAGATATATACATAAAGATATATATGTTTAATATATAGATAATTATGTATATCTCTGTTTTATTTTATATATATGATAAAACAGAAAGAGAGAGACAGTGTGTGTTTACTCTTTTACCCAAGTACATATGCCTTTCTAGTGCTTTGCAGAGTACTTTGAATAAGAAGGTTCAGAGACATCTGAAAATTATCTGTGAACTTTTGCTATTCTGATTCTTTTAAGGTGGTATATTATAAAATTTTTAAAGGTACAAAATTACTTTAAAACAGCCAGTGGGTTAGTAGTTGGTAATGCTAGTAACTGATAGTAGATGACATGTAAGTGCTCACTATGCCACTATGCTGGACAACACAAGCAAATACCGCACATACATTATAGAACTTGATTCTCACCAGCCTGATAATATCAGCGTGTGTCAGGCTTTCTAGGTGGTATCCACTGCGCTAAACACCTCAGTATGCACTATTTGATTTATTTTTTCTTAACCTTACAAAAGAGGAACTACTATCAATTCCACCTTAAAAATGAGAACACTTTTGATTACCTCTGTAAAAAAGAAAAAAAAAAGGAAAAAATGAGAAAATCAAAGCTTAGGAAGGTTAAACAATTAGCTTAAAGTCACACTGGTAGTAAGTGGTGGCACTGGGATTTGAGCAGGCAGGCTAGTCTTCGCCACTCTTGTTATTATACATTCTACACTCTTACAGAGGAGTTAGTTGAGATTCTTTAGAGGTAAATCCAATCATGTTACTCTTATTCAGTATCCTTTAGTGAGTTCCCATTTCTATCAAAGTAAAATCCACACTCTTTATTATCATGTACAAGGCCCTCTGAGTTCTAGCTCCCTGTTACTCTGACATCAACTGCTGCTGCTTTCTTGTTCTCTGCCAGCCATAGCTGTCTCTTTGCCCAACAAGCCAGGCAACACTCTTCTGTCTCAGGGCTTTTGCACTTGCTGTTTCCTCTTTTGGGAATGCTTTTTTTTCTCAGCTATCTGCATGACCTCAGGCCTGGTGAAACATCGCATCAGGAAGTTAGGGACTGGTCTATTCCAAGTTGCTACCTTCCTTTCTACTCCTAATCTTGACACTCCCTATTCTTCTTCTCTCATTCCTTATATTTTTTCTTAAATGTCTATATTTTTAAATCCACCTATTTATTAACAGTTACTTTTCCTCTTTAAGATATAAACATCACAGAGGGCAGGTATTTTTGCTTCCCTGTTTAAATTGCAGCATCAGCATTTACAATAGAACGTGGCATAGTAACAGGCACTCAATAAGTATTTGAATGAATGACAAGAGCTTAGGAAACTCACCCAAGTTCACACAGTTAGCAATAGGTGAAGTGAACTTTGTTACAAATCCAGTATTGGATTTATCCACATATCAAATGCATAAACCATCTTCCTGGGCTCTTCTTAGAATTCCCTTGGTCTTTAATTATAATAGACTGAGTGAACATGAATAAACAAACCAAACAGGAAAAAGGCAGCATTTGTTACTGTCTCTTAAAGTGGGATACTTTAAAGTGAGATCAAATCAGAGGCCAGGTCAGCGAAAGGGGACACTGGTCTTTAACAGAAAGGGAGTTGACAAGTGATGAAGTCAGGAATGTGCTGATGTTTCTGGGCTGCGTGAAGGGGCAAAGTGTGGGAAGGTCCTGGATGAAGCTGGTGTTGGGTTAATTAATTAGGGTGGGATGCCTGTGCATTAAGGGGAGGAAGGAACCAAGGGGATTGATTTGGAGTAGACTGGAGTCTCAAGTAGCATTTACAAAGGATCCTGGAGGCACAGGAAGGATGGGAGAAGTGTTGGGTACAGCTCAATTTGGCGAGTGGCCAAAGAAACATGTCAGATATTAGTGAAAACAGGCCACAGCTGCTGCACTTTACAAGCTAAATGGCAGGCCTTTCCTTAGCCCTCCCCCACCCCAGCCCATCTTATGTCTTGTAATAGTTATTTTCTTCCTGAGACAGCCAGCCATAACTCAGTTCTCACTTGAGGGCACAGGAGAAGCAAAGGGATGCTGAGGCTTCATTGCCAAGGGAAGAGGGTTCAGAGCATGAATGAAAACTCAATTTCTCCTGAAGCTGAGAATTTAAATGTTAGTGTATTGAAGACCCACCTCTTTCATTCCCAGGATCATTTTTAAAAAATCACGGTTATTTCTCTTTAATCTCATGATATCTAAACTTGTCATTTCTAAGATTTCTAGAATACTTAAAAGTCTTTTAAAACTGTTTTCCTCTTCAAAATGTATTTGTACATTTTGTATATTTGTATATTTCTCCTTTCTAGAAAAAACATCCTAGATAGTTCAGAGTAAAATAAATGTGTGCATATCTATATATATATCTATATATATATGTATATATATATCTATATATATATCTATATATATATGTATATATATCTATATATATATCTATATATATATGTATATATATATCTATATATATATCTATATATATGTATATATATATGTATATATATATCTATATATATATGTATATATACACACCCATATACGTATACTACACTGGAGTGTTTAAATATAGAAAGAACAAAAACACTGAAAGAGAACACATGTTGTTACTAAATAATACTATTTGGTTAAGCTGCTTGGTAGCATCTCTTCCCTCCTCTTTCTTACCCTTTTCCCACACTTACCTTACAAAACTTTGCAATTAGATGCATGGACTCTGGAATTCATAGCTGCATTTCAATCCAGGCTCTGCCACCTTCTAGTTGTGTAACAGTGCCCGCATTATTTAGCTTTTATTTTCCTTATTTTTCCTCATTTGTAAAATGAGGCCAAAAATAATTAACTAAAGGACATTCATAATAAAATAGTATTAAATGTTAAATATTACTATTATTTACAGACATTATAATTTTTTTTTAAGTTCAGGGGTACATGTGCAGGTTGGTTACATAGGTAAACATGTGTCATGGGGGTTTGTTGTACAGGTTATTTCATCACCCGGGTATTAAGCCTAGTACCCATTAGTTATTTTTCCTGATCCTCTCCCTCCTTCCACCCTCCACCATCAATAGGCTCCAGTGTGTGTTGTTCCCCTCTACGTGTCCATGTGTTCTCATCATTTAGCTTCCACTTAAAAGCGAGAACATACGGTATTTGGTTTTCTGTTCCTGTGATAGTTTGTTAAGGATAGTGGCCTCCAGCTCCATCCATGTTCCTTCAAAGGACATGATCTCATTTTTTTATGGCTGCATAGTATTCCATGGTATATAAGTACCACATTTTCCTTATCCAGTCTATCACTGATGGGCATTTAGGTTGATTCCATGTCTCTGCTACTGTGACTAGTGCTGCAATGAACATAGGCGTCCACGTGTCTTTATAATAGAATGATTTATATTCCTTTGTGTATATATCCAGTAAGGGGATTGCTGGGTTGGATGATCTTTCTGTCCTTTAGGTCTTTGAGAAATCACCACGCCATCTTCCACAATGATTGAACTAATTTACACTCCCACTAAAAGTGTCTAAGCATTCCTTTTTCTCTACCACCTTGCCAGCATCTGTTATTTTTTGACATTTTGATAATAGCCATTTTGACTGGTGTTAGATGGTATCTCATTGTGGTTTTGATTTGCATTTCTCTAATAATCAGTGATGCTGAGCTTTTTTTTCATATGATTGTTGGCCACATGTGTCTTTTTTTGAGAAGCATCTGTTCATGTCCTTTGCCCACTTTTTAATGAGGTTGTTTATTTATTACCTCTTGTAAATTTGTTTAAGTTCCTTATAGATGCTGGATATTAGACCTTTAAGTTCCTTATAGATGATGGATATCAGATGCATAGTTTGCAAAAATTTTCTCCCATTCTGTAGGTTGTCTGTTTACTCTGTAAATTCTTAAATAATTTTTGTATGTATTTGGAACTTCATATTGGCTGCTCATCATTTAAAGTCTAAAGCGGGTGGGAAACTGGTTTCTTAACTGGTTTTATACAGCACTTAGGAAAACTACTTCAACACTTTTATCATGTTGAGGAAAAGAAAATGTAATTACAGTTCTAGCCAAATGATGCTTCTTATTCTTGATGAAAATATAAATGTATATGGCATATGAAAAACTCTTCTATTTGGTGAAATAAAAGTTAATATAAAATTAAGAGCAGGTTCAACATTTAGGAAGTGAATTTATTGTTTTCTTAGTATCAATTTTTCTTTCTGACATTGTCCAAATGTTGTGTGAAGTTGTGTTTTTTTTTTTTTTTGAATAACACTCATTTGAATGCTGAGATGGTGTAAGGTCCATGACCCCAGGAACTACCTGCTGTTTAAGATGAGGAACGTGGTGGTTTATCAAGCACACATGATAAGAATGAAGATTTTACTGTAATTTCTTCCTTGATTTCTTCTAACATGAATTGATACTTATGAGGGCATCATAAAGCATGGATAAAGATTGTGAAAAACATTGAAACCAAACTAAATCTTATGTAAGTTATCAATGAATAGATTTACCTCAAATTGCTAATTTTAAGTGCTTTATTGGTTAATCAATTGTTCTGTGGTCAGTTGATTATTTAAACTAAACGAATTATTGATTTTTTAAAATCAGGTGCTGAGCTTTGTTAAAGGGGCTAAATATAGAAAGTTGCATAAGACAAGTCCTGCCCTCAATAGAAGTCATTTTGTATTAGGAGAGATACAAATTATCGTCTTTTAATTGTAATGCACGTGGTAATGCTATGACAATATAGGACTAGGAGGATGCTAAAAAGACAAGGGCTAATTCTTCTAGAATTAAGGGGTGTGGGTGATCTTGAAGGATGAATAGAGGTAACACAGCGTCATCTCAAAGAGCAGCCAGAGAATACTTGGTGCTTCTGGTACATGCAAATAGTCTATTGAAGCAGGAGTATAGGTTGCTTGGTGGAGACTGTCGTGATATGTGACTGGAAAAAGGATAAAGCTGAAAACAAGGCAGTGACAATGAAAATGGAGAGGAAAGTATTTACTTGATAAACATTTTGAGGTATGATAGACAACACATGCTGACTAATGGCCGTGAAGGTCTAGGGAGCTAGAAATTGGAGATAAAGTGGCTTGAGTTTGTAATATTATCTGAGATAGGAAACACAGCACAAGTTTATTTTTGTTTTATGCTTTGCTTTTGCTTGGCAAGGATGTGAGTATTGCTAATTCAGATTAAAGAGTTTTGAGTTTAAATATGTTGTCACCATGCAACCAAACTACCTTTGCCTTACTGGTTCTGGTATTCAGCTAGTCACAGCATCCTCTTAACTTGTATTTGCACTGTGCCACGCATCTCATGGCTGGTCTGGTTCATTCTTCCTCCCTTACGGAATGTTGTGTACCTTTTTCAGGGCTCTTAGTTTTTAATGCTAGCGACAAGCAATAGAACTGGCTAGTATCAACTAAAATAAAACAAAGAAAGCTCTTTCTATGATTCAAATACGACACATACCCAAACAACGTAACCCATTCCCCTGGGCACACTATTCCAGGTGACTCTTTTGGTCCTTAGAAACTTCTAGATCCCTAACCAGATGTGAGAGTTAGCAAAAGAAGTAAACAGTTCATTTGAGTGCACCAGGAAACTTCTCTCCATTCCCAGATACATTCCTATTCCTGAGAGTTATGCACAAGTCAATAAAGATTAACTAAACAGTTGGAAATACAACTAAATAAAAGCTGAGACTTTTAAAATCACTCAAGAATATGCACATTGTAAGCCATTTGGTAGGAAACTGCTGCATGTTTGTTTTTGCTCTGTTTCTTAACACAGTTTCTAGAAAAATCAGCTTTGAGACCGGGCACAGTGGCTCACGCCTGTAATCCCAGCACTTTGGGAGGCCGAGGCAGGCAGATCATTAGGTCAGGAGTTCGAGACCATCCTGGCTAACACAGTGAAACCCCAACTCTACTAAAAATATAAAAAGTTAGCCGGGCGTGGTGGCGGGTGCCTGTAGTCCCAGCTACTCGGGAGGCTGAGGCAGGAGAATGGCGTGAACCCAGGAAGCAGAGCTTGTAGTGAGCCGAGATGGCTCCACTGTACTCCAGCCTGGGTGACAGGGCAAGATTCCGTCTCAAAAAAAAAAAAAAAAAAATCAGCTTTGGCAGAAAAATGGAAGATCCTCTGTAAATGGATACTTGAGAGCTTGGGCTGTGTTCATAGTTTTCTTCTTAAACTGAAAGCCTTAATTCACTCTACTGATGGATGAGCTATATTTTTTCTCCCTTTAAAACTAATTTGTAACTATAGTATAAAATGTAAACATAGGCTGGGGTGCGGTGGCTCACGCCTGTAATCCCAGCACTTTGGGAGGCGAAGGTTGGCAGATCGCTTGAGGCCAGGAGTTTAAGACCAGCCTGGCCAACATGTGAAGCCCCATCTCTACCAAAAATACCAAAAAATTAGCTGGGCATTGTGGCATGCACCTGTAAACCCAGCTACTTGGGAGGCTGAGGCGCTTGAATTGCTTGAACCTGGGAGGTGGAGGTTGCAGTGAGGTGAGATCGCACCACTGCACTCCAGCCTGGGTAACAAAGCGAGACTCCATTTCAAAGAAAAAAAAAAGTAAACATATCAAAGTGGCATATATTAAACAAAAGCATATTTTAAGAGTTTTTAAAACAGATGAAGGCAAATATTCTTTTGGCTTATACATTTCTATTTAGATGTTAGTCTAAGAGTACTTTAAGGTACATATAATTGTGACTAGTATTTAATTTTAGAGAACAGTTATCCAATTTGTGGACTCAAGAGATAACATGAAGTTTTAAAAAATGTCGTTAACTTTTTACTTTTGGTCTTGTAATTAATTTGTGTATTTTTTCAGTATGAGGATAGAAAAATGAAACAAATCAATTCTACTCCCTGAATATAGCTCTAGTACAAAGTCAGGTGGAGTTGAGAAGATTTAAATTACTCTGGAAACTGGAATAAAGTTTCTAATGATGTGTGCATTTAGATTTATTTACACCAGTTCTTCCAGTTACAATGTAGAATTGAAAAATGGATTTAAATTATAGGAACCATACGTATTTCAATGCTAGAATGTCTTCATTGGAGAGAAAGAAATACAGAATCACTAATTTAATAATATTTTTTTTCTTGTAATTTGTACAAATGTATGGGCTACACATGCAATTTTGTTACATGCGTAGATTGTGTAGCCGTCAAGTCCAGGCTTTTAGGGTATTCATCACCCAAATAACGTACATTGTGCCTATTAACTAATTTCAAATCATCCTCCCTCACACCCCCTCACCCTTCCAAGTGTCTATTATCTATCATTCTACTCTCTATGTCCATGTTAACACATTTTTTTTTTTGTTTTTAGCGCTCACTTATGAGTGAGAACATGAGATATTTGTGTTTCTGCTCCTGGAGTGTTTAGCTTAAGGTAATGACCTCCAGTTCCATCCACGTTGCTGCAGAGGACATGATTTCATTCTTTTTTTAAATGGCTGAATAGTATTCCATTGTGTATATATTCCACATTTCCTTTATCTGTTCATCCATTGATGGACACTTAGATTGATTCTCTATCTTTGTCATTGTGAATGGTGCTGCAATAGACATATGAGTGCAGGTATCTTTTTGATATATTGATTTATTTCCCTTTGGATAGATACCCAGTAGTGGGATTGCTGGATTGAATCGTAGTTCTATTTGAGTTCTTTGAGAAACCTCCATACTGTTTTCCACAGAGGTTGTATTAATTTACATTCCCACCAACAGTGTATGAGAGTTCCTTTTTCTCTGCATCCTCACCAACATCTGTTATTTTTTGTCTTCTTAATAATCATCATTCTTGCTGGTGTGAGATGGTATCTCATTGTGGTTTTAATTTGCATTTCTCTGATGTTGATAATATACTTTCTTTATAAAGAGCTAAAAGTTGATTTATTGAAAATCTTCAAATGCTTTAAATATCTGTCTAGTAACTCTTATTTGTGGTTTCCAGAAGAAGAATTGAGCCAGCATTGCTGGTTGTTCTGCTCAGAGGAAGGGCTCCTCTCTGGCATAATCAGTTATTTTACTCATTTCTTTTTTTAACATTAAGTTTGAGAATTTACCAGTTGCCAGAAAAGGGAAACAAAAGTTTTTTTTAGATATAAAAGGCTTAAGAAGATATTTTAAAAAAGTTTTGATACTTGATGAGTTCATTTAAAAGTTTTCAAAAGTATTTCAGATTTGACTAATGTACTTATGTCAGAGTTCCTATTAGTTTTGAATAATTTCATTTTCAATTCGTTTAAACTTGAATGTTAGTACAGACTATAAAAATAATAAAATTAGTTATTTATATTGATTAAAAACTATCATATTAGTTTTAATTGATCACTTCAGTTTTATTTTTTCCTCAGTTGAGGTTACTAGCAGAGCCATTTCTAAATACATTGTTGACATGCAGAATTTTCCCTCAGAGAGTAATCTTCTCCTTCTTACCATGAGTCCAGAAACCTCATGTATTTCGTGAAATAAGATTACCCACTGTAGAGCCTCCATCTCATGTTCTAGAATTTTCTTTCATTCTCTCTGTTAAAACTTCTTTTGTCTTTCCTCTTGGTTTTGAGCTCTGTTCCTAGGCCATCATTAAAGCATTAATGGCCAATATGCCTTAATAATAAGTTACGCCTTCCAGGCAACATCTTTCTACACTTCCAAGAGAAAGTAATTTTAAGGAAAAAAAAATCAGGAGTGCTTTATTTCAAGGGGAACCTTTTCATTATTTCCCCAAATCATACTTTTAGAATCTGCTTGCCTAGTTTGGTGCAATAATTCCTAATAATCCCACAGAGCATTTTATGGGTCACAACCTGAAACCATACAGGAATGCTGCCTTGATGGGCATTGTAATACTCTAGGGCAGTGGTTCTGAAAAGATGATTATGTCCCTTTCCCTCCTCCACCCCGAAGATATTTGGTAATGTCTGTAAACATTTTTTGTTGTCACAACTGGGGAAGTGCTACTGGCATCTAGTGGGTAGAGGCCAGGTATGCTGTTCAACATTCTATAATGCAAAGAGTATCCTCCTACAAGGATTACTTAGCCCACAAATGTGAATAGTGCTGAGGTTGAGAAACCCTGCTCTCAGACAATACCAGCCTAGGATGCAGATAATTAATCTAGCCAAAAGGCTTTCTTTTTAGTCTGGAATCAGAAGTGAAGTAAATTTTGATTGACCACTTAGAGTGGCACAGCTATTTATGAGATAGTCTACTACATTTTTGCTTTGGCAGAGATAAATAGTTAAAATATATATACTTTCAAATTGGAATTTAAATTAAGCATTTTGTAATAAATGAAACAGGGAACTTTAGAGTTTTGCCTTGGTCATTAATATTATAGTTTTAGAAGTAACACTTTTAGTGCTTTTCCTTAGTGTTATTTCCCCACTCGGATTCTTTTCATTTTCTCTAGTTTGGGACAGATAACCCAGCAAGCTTCTTGGGTTTGTGTGAATGCACAATATTTATTAATATTTACTATATTTTCTTCTGTTTCTTTAAGTTACATCTTTCTATGTTTGAGTTTTTCAAAGCTTTCTATAGTTTGAATCATTCACTAATTTATTCATTAAATAAATGTTTATTGTCAATTGATCCAGATAAAGTATGTTAGGGCTACAATAATGAATAAAATGGACAAAAGTCCATACAGTCAAGGAGTTTATATTCTAGTGGAATAGAGAGACAATAAAAAAAATACACCAGAAAATTGCACAGGGATGAGTGCTATGGAAACAATTAAGACAGAAAGAGAAGGGGGAGTTTCAGGGTGAGGGATGGGGGTAAAATCTTAAATTGATTGACAAATACAGACAAACTGAAAAAGTGGCATCTGAGCAAATACCTGAAGAGGATTGGAGGTGTGCCATATGGAAATCTGGGAGAAGTACGTTCCAGGAAGGGGAAATTACAAGTGCAAATGTCCTGAGGCTGGAATGTACTTGGTCTGTTTGAGGACAGCAGAGCAGTCCGCATAGCTGGAAGAGAGTGAACTGGAGATGAAGAAGAAGCAATGGAGTCAGGGAGGTGATGGATGAAAGGATCATGTCAGAATTTACAAGGTTGTTGGAGAGATGTTGGCTTTTACCCTGAGTGAGAGGGGGAGCCATTTGACACTTTTGAGAAGAAGCACAACAGAATCTGACTTGTGTTTTAAAATGATCACGTTGACACTTACTTATACACTGTGGTGGGAATGTAAATTAGTTGAGACACTGTGGAGAGAAGTTTGGAGATTTCTCAAAGAACTAAGAGTTGAACTACCATTGGGCCCAGCAATTTGATTACAGTACATATACCCACAGGTTCTACCGAAACGTGCACCCATATGTTCATTGCAGCAGTATTCACAATAGAAAAGACATGGAATCAACCCAGGTGGCCATCAATGGCGGACTGAATAAAGAAAATGTGGTACATATACACCATGGAATACTATGCAGCCATAAAGAATTAAATCATATCCTTTGTGGCAACACAGATGCAGCTGGAAACCATTATCCTAAGCAAACTAACACAGAAACAGAAAACTAAATACTGCATGTTCTCACTTATAAGTAGGAACTAAATATTGGGTACTCATGGACTTAAAGATGGGAACAATAGATACTGGGGAATACAAGTGGGAGGAGGGAAGAAGAGGGGCAAGAACTGAAAAACCACTTATTGTCTACTATGCTCAGTACATGGATGACGGATTCATTTGTACTCCAAACCTCAGATCATACCTTTGTTACAAAGGTATGATTAGACCTGCACATATATCCCTGATTCTAAAATAAAAGTTGAAAAAAATTATCAAATAATGTTGTAGAATTCCAAAAGAAGATAATTAAACTCACATTTTAATAACTAAAATAAATAAATATATAAAATGTTCACTTTTGTCCACTATCTGGAGAATAGGCTAGTGGGGAAAGGGTAGAAACAGGAAGACCAGATAGAAACCTGTACATGGCATATGGACCAGGATGCTCAAACCTAGAAGTGGTAGATCTATTGATGGATTTGATTTGAAAACAGGAGAGGAGCCAAGAGTTTTAGCCAGAGCAACTGGGGGACCAGTGTGGTAGACTGTTTTACTGTTTACCAAATATTTTAGTTTCACTAGATGTAGGCTCCTTTCCCGTGAGGGGACAATACACCTCTGCCCTGTGGAAAATGGGAAGCCATGTGACTTGCTTGACCAATAGAAGTGGTCAGAAGCTTTAAGAGCCAGCACTTGGTTCGTGTGTCATTTTTCCTTTTGCCACAAATCCAGTAATTTTCCAGATAAAGGTTATTCTGTAATTCTGGCTCCTGGAGTAAAGCTGATGTGGATGGCAACTATAGGAGACAGGCAGAAGATAGGCAGCAAGAAATAAACCTTTGCTTTTGGAAGCTGGTACAGTGTTAAGTTCGTTTATTGCTTCAGCAGAACCCAGCTGAGCCTGACCAATACAGATAGGGTTGGCATTAACTGAGATGGAGATGTCTGCTAGAAGAGCAGGTGTTGGATGTGTATGGAGAGACCAGGAGTTTCAGTTTAGGTAAGTGAGATTTGAGATGCCTTATTAGACATCCAAGTGGAACTGTCAAGTAGCTGGTTGTCTATAAAGAGCTGGAGTTCAAGGGAGAGGTCGTGGATAAGGATCTACATTTGAGAGTCTTCAGCCTGAGATTGAACAAAATTACCAAGGGAGTGTATAGATGTATAAGAAGCCCAGGAACTGAGGTTGGGAGTATTCCAACAATGAACAAATGAGACTGAGAAGGAGCAGCAGTAAAAGAGGAGGAAGACTAGGAGAGCATATTATCCTGGAAGCTAAGTGAACAAAGTATCTCAAGAATGATAAGCTTGTCATATGGTACTGATACATCAAGTGAGGTCAAGACTGAGAATTGACTTTGTGATGCAGCAATGTGGAGGTCACCAATGACCTTGACAGGAGCAGCTTAGACAAAGTGGTCTGTAGGAAAGCCTGAATGAAATGGGTTCAGGACGGAATGGCAGGAGAAGAGTGAGACAGCAAATATAGATAACGCTTTCAAGGAGTTTTCCTGTAATATGGAGCAGAGAGTGATAGCTGGGTGATATGGTTTGGCTCTGTGTCCCCACCCAAATCTCATCTTGTAGCTCCCATAATTCCCATGTATTGTGGGAGGCAGCCAGTGGGAGAGACCTGGTGGAAGATGATTGACTCATGGGGACAGGTCTTTCCCATGCTGTTCTTGTGATAGTGAATGGGTCTCATGAGATCTGATGGTTTTAAAAATGGGAGTTTCTTTGCACAAGCTCTCTCTTTGCCTGCCGCCATCCATGTAAGACGTGACTTGTGCCTCTTTGCCTTCTGACATGATTGTGAGGCCTCCCTAGCCATGTGGAAATATATATATAAGTCCCTTAAAATCTCTTTTTCTTCCTAGTCTCTGGTAAGTCTTTATCAACAGCATGAAAATGGACTAATATACTGAGGAAGGAAATGGGGCAAAAAGGTGTTTGTGTTTTGCTTTTTTTTTGGTAAGATGGGTAAAGTGAAAACCTACTGATTTGCTAATGAAGTGATCCAAGAGAGGAAAAACAGTTGATGAGGCAGAAGAGGGAGGGAGAATTGCTGGAGACATGTCATTTAATAGGCCAGAAGAGATGGGATATGGTACACAAATGGAGATGAAGGACCACATACAGTCCGTTTACAGGAAGAGGACGGGAAGGAAAGTATGAGGATATAGATGGGTGTGGGGTGAGAGCTTGTAGAACTTCTGATTGCTTCTGTTATTTTCATTAAAAATGGAAGCCAGGTCATCCACTGAGAGTGAGGATGGGGAAAGAGCTGCTAGAGATTTGGCATAGTTGTGTGTTTTTCTCCATCTATGTTCAGTTGGATGTAATGTAAGTGTGGAGTGATGGAAAGATGCATATAACCATGGTTGGAGGTTTTCCTAGCAAATTCGACAAGGCAAAGGAGGATGAAGTGTTTGGGTGTGTATTCAGGGGAGAAATTACAGTGAACAACCATGGAATTTTAGGTGGGTAAGGAGAGATGTGAGGAACTGGGGGCACTGAGAGACAGTGAGAAGGCGGTACTGTGAATGGATTGGTGAAGTTGGAGAAGTAGAAGGAATACATTGCAAAAACAGAAGCTGTTGGTCAGAGAATGGGCTGCTTAAAATTGAGATTCTAGAAAGGCTGCAATTGGTAATGGCAAAGGCTAGGGTATGTCAATGGAAGTGAGTAGGGTGTAGGACAAGATCCTGGAAGTTTTTTACACTGAAGTTGCTCTATTTAATTCATTTCTTTTTTCTTAAGAATTTTCTTTCACTGAAACTCCTCAATTAAACTCATATTTCTTGCGAGTTCCATCCATATGGATTTCAAATCTAATGAAAATTTACAAAGCCAAATTGAGTAAGGAAGGAGTTTGTTGAGTATTATTTCAATAATTAAGATGTGTTCATATCAAAGATGACCTAATCACTCATTAAAGTCCCTAAATATATTAGACAGTTAAAAATTTGTTATTTATTTGTTTAATATTTGGCTTCATGCTACCTTTATAAATTATTATCTTTAATATCACTCTTCTCACCATCATCTATTGAACTATTTATATTCTTAAGATATTGTTTAGTGTTGGGCAGTCACTAATTATTAGGTTGTGAAAATCAGATAGGAGATACCTAATTATCAAAAAACGTGAATGTATTGTTTATCTGAAACAATGGAGAAAGTCCTGTTTTATACTTGACAAATCACAGAACTATAAGTTAACTTTGAAGCATCAGGGCTTCAGGTCAGTTTTGGATGCTTAGAAAAAGTTGAAGGTAAATCATTGAATTTATATGAAAAAATAATTACAAATAATTTAAAGTCTGAGACTAAGAATGAGACTTACTGCTAAGGAGAAAATACGGTTATTGATCCTAACCTGACCGACTTTATGTCAGTCTTTTACATTGACATTTGATTGATATAAATCTCATACAACCCCAAATTTTGGATTAGCTTTTTTCCAAATGATTTCCAATGAATGTGAATTCATATATATTTCTAATTTACATGTATGTCATATAAATTTAATTTTATGACTGATTCTGAGGTTGTTAAAGGTCTCTAAGGCAGAAACTGTTATCTCCCAATTATCCTTCTCCTTTCTTTAATATAAATACCTGATTTTGTCATAGCATTTTTCAGCTTAAAGACTGCATTTTCCAGGCTTGAAAGCAGCCAAGTGAGCTTTGGGACTAGGTTGGGGAATTTTAGGTGGTTCTTCTTAGAAGTCTTCTTTAAAGTGAGCGTGCATGCCCTTCTTTTCTCCCTCTGTCTGGTTTCCTGGAACTCAGATGTACACGTGATGTCTGGAGCTCTGGTAGCCATGTTGGGTGATGAGATGAAGGAGTTACTAGCACTAGAATTGGGAAAGAAGACCTGGAAGGTGCCTGGGTTGCTGAAGAGCTCTTGAAGCCACTGCATCAGCCTGGACTGCTGAATATCAGTTTTCTTGATGGAACAAAATTTTATTTGTGTAAATCACTATTTTCGAGGTCTCTCTTAGTTGCAGCAAAATTCAATTTCTACAGATAAAGTAAGAATCATTCGTTCTCATCCCACCCATATGTCTTTTAAAGAAATTTTTCTTTTATTGACTGCTCTTCTGTTACCTCCTCATTTCTCTATAACTTCCTAGGAAAAGACAAACTTTGGGTGGGCCGCTGTTTTCATGTACAAGGTTTCTAGCCACTTGTCTTGGTGTTCCACATCTATGACAGCAGTTTGATCTCATTATGAAGTAACAGCTCAAACAGTAGTTCTAAATGAGGGTGAGGGTGGGGGAGTTGTAGAATCATTTTGGGGAGTTTTTCCAAACTACACATTCCTAGCTCCATTATCTCTGCAGAGATTCTGATATTCTTCTATCAGCTCCCATTCGAGACTCACTTATCTGTAGCACATCCGCAAGTGTTTACTTGCTTCCAATTGGCAAAATTTAACATTAAAAACAAACCAGGAATTCTGTGAAGTGAAAAACTGCCTAGATCATTACAAGGTAGTAGAAAAAAGGTATACATTTTTAAATATTTTGAAATCCACTTAGAGGCTCACAACCTTTTAATTTAAATGTGTCTTGAATCTTAGTTTGAAAAGCCCCAGTCAAATATAAGTGGCCTAATGTAAGTGACTATATATTTTTTCTCCACTAGTTTCTTCCTAGAATTCCTCCTTTAGAAATATGGGGAGAAAGTATGGAGGAAGACACTGGGCTGTATGTCTGTCAAATCACTATTTTTCTTTTCGTTATCACACTTTCAGTAATATATATTAAACACTAAATCATATGTATTGCTGTGCTAGGTGCTATATGCATTTGCCAATGGCAAAACACAATTATCTCCTGTTTCCATCAGAAGCTCTTCCAGGTCTCTGTGGGAGGACTCAGGGTCTTCTTTTTACTCTCTTGGTGGGTGGCCTGTTGATTTGGGCTTATACCGCTCAGCGTGTACTCATTAGGCTAAGCTGTAATTAGACCAAGACTGTGGCATTCCTTGCTTTGTCTACAAGACATGGTGATAGAAGAGACAAAGACTGGATTATATATACCTGATATATTCGATGAAGAAGTAGTGTGTTCAGGACAGGTGAACTCTATAAATAAAAATAATCAAAATAGAATTAAAAACTGAAAAGAGAGCAAGGTTACATGTAACAAGGAAATGACCTTACCTCAGAGGTGTGGCAGCAGCATTGCTGATTTTAAAATTGAAAAAGAAATCATAGACTGCCTTCAATGATTAGTTCCACAATTAGAGAGGAACTAATAGGATGCAAATACTATACTTGTGTGTACTCAGAGCATTGCAGAACAGTGTCTTGTGCAAACCATATGTTCAGGGAATGTGTATTATTGACTGATTACTTTCTTTTAAGTAGTAATTTTGTGCTTTGGGTGATACTGAAAGTTCATTTCAATCTGAGTATGCTTTTGATTTAAAAAAATCTTATTTGTGTAACTTTAATTGCACAGTCTTATATTCTTTGCTAATTTATATAAGTTGTGTGAAGTCCAGGATTTATTATTATGGCATTCAGCACAAGCCTTTAATAAATAATGGGTGGATTAAGTAAGTACAAGGAAAAAACCTCAGCATTTTTCTGAGATTTGACTTTTTACCTTATTGATTTTCTTTTTACCTTATTGACTAAGACATAAGCCTTAAGTACTGGATTTGAGAGAATGGCTGTGGTTGTCAGCTATCTACCTGAGTCCAGTCTCTCCTCTGCTTTAGTGAAGGGAATACTGCCAGGCAAATGCTAAGACTTCAGTTCCCATTCTTCCTTGGCTTTTGAGTGAAAGTGACTTGTGTCACATCTGGGCTGGCTGAGGCTTTTTATAAGTGCACCTGTGGGGTTTTCCATGCTCTTCTCCAGTTTCTGCCCACTGGATACAGATGATAATGCATCACTAGAAGATAGGACAGCCACACAGCAGGTTGAGGAGAGAGGCCCATTAGTATGAATACGAGCCCTCTGCTGCTACATATGTGAGAAATAAATTGCTATTGCTTTTAACTGACTAAAATGTCCAGGTCTATTGATTACATAAGTTTATTTTAACCAGTACAGATTTTAACTTATTTATTTCATATGAAAATTAATTATTCAATCATTAAAATACTAATACATAATTAAAGTAGAAACAGATATATACTATGTACTACAAAAGTCTGAAAAAGTAGCTGATTTAATGACCACTTTCAAAGATGGGAAAGATTTTAGAAAAATGAGATTTCTGGGAGCAAACTCATAGGATGGAGACTGTATCTTGAGTAAAGATCTTGATTTTTGGTGCCTTAAAATGACGGGAGTTCTATTCCTTGTTTTGCTGCTCAAGTAGCTGTGATCCCAGGAGGCTGGGCTATGGTTTTCTCATCAGTTGAAGGAGGTTAGCCTACTGCTACTTCCAAAAAGGCTAAAATTAGGGAAGATACTCTATTTTTGATGAGTTGCTATAGTTTCTTGGGCAATCTGAGATTATCGTTGGTTTTTCATTAGCTCTGTCCTATCACAGCTTGCTTCTGTTGCTATACACAATGTTTGTGCTTTGTGAATTATAAGTAAAATGTCTTCAGATTTTCTAAAAAAATTACTTAGCTTTCTTTCAGCCTCTTGCTGTAGTATATTTTTTAATTTATAAAATTAATAGTGCATGGAATAAGTGTATTGACTTACACATTTAATAGTATACTAAATAAGTCTATTTATTTCTATTCAGTAGCATATTTAATACTGATGTGGTTTAGGCCGTGCCCCCACCCAAATCTCATCTCGAATTGTAATCCTCATAATCCCCACGTGGTAGGAGGTGATTAGATCATGGGAGCGGTTTCCCACATGCTGTCCTCATGACAGTGAGTGAGTTCTCACGAGATCTGGTGGTTTTATAAACAGCACTTTCCCCTGGGCTTTTCTCTCTCTCTCCTGCCACCTTGCGAAGAAGGTGCTGGCTGCCCCTTCTGCCATGATTGTAAGTTTCCTGAGGTCTCCCTAGCCATGTAGAACTGTGAGTCAATGAAACCTCTTTCCTTTAAAAATTACTCAGCGTCAGGGAATTTCTTTATAGCAGTGTGAAAATGGACTAATACAAATACATTTAATAATATTTGGTACCATATTGAATAAATGTATTTTCCTCATGTCTGGGTTTAGGTCATAATGAATGAGCTGGATTATTTGCTGTAAAGTTCTTTTCTAAAAACTGAGATGTATTTTTACAGGAGAAAGTTTGCCCAAATGCTATAAAGGGGAAGCATTAGGCAAAGAAGAGGCAGACTGTCCAGTCGGCTCCAAGACAGACACAAGCTGGGAGTCTTTGCTTTCACAGGATAATTCCTTTTAATCCAGTACATAGTAACAATTTTTGGATTTCTTCTTCACTCTCAGTTCTCCCCTCTGCAACTGTTCTGTTCTACTGCACCATACTGGCACTGTGGTTCTAGGAAATACCCTGACTCTAGGGCCCAGGTCCTGGCATTTTTTTTTTTTTTTGAGACAGTGTCTCACTCTGTCGCCCAGGCTGGAGCACAGTGGGGGACTCTCGGCTCACTTCAGCCTCCATCTCCCAGACTCAAGCTGTCCTTCCGTCTCAGCCTCTGGAGTAGCTGGGACTTCAGACGCACGCCACTGGCATGCGAGAATTTTTACTTCTCCAGGTAGGTAGGTATTACCCAGGCCCAACCCGCTGCATGTGCAGTGCCTCACTTGTCCAGTAGGGGCGCCAGCCACACTATGTTTGGTTTAAACTCTAAATTCCCTTTGGGTCTGGGGTCCAGACTGTGTAACGTTCTTTCTCTCTGCAATCACTCCTGAAACACATTTTTATTTTATTTTAAATCCTTAATTTATTTTATCTACTTATTTAAAATTCTTATAACACTATTACATTAGCTGGCAGATTGCATAGGAACAAAATAGTACCTGAGGCTCTGAGTTTTTAATTATGGAGCAAAACATTTGATTAAGATACAGATGTTCAGAATAAGGTTCCTAATTCTTTTTCTTTTTCTTTTTCTTTTTTTGAGACGGAGTCTTGCACTGTTGCCCGTGCTGGAGTGCAGTGGCGCGATCTTGGCTCACTGCAAGCTCCGCTTCCTGGGTTCACGCCATTCTCCTGCCTCAGCCTCCCCCGAGTAGCTGGCACTGTAGGCATCCGCCACCACACCGGGCTAATTTTTTGTACTTTTTTAGTAGAGACGGGGTTTCACCGTGTTAGCCAGGATGGTCTCAATCTCCTGACCTCATGATCCGCCAGCCTCGGCCTCCCAAAGTGCTGGGATTACAGGCGTGAGCCACCGCGCCTGGCCAGGTTCCTAATTCTTAAGAGCTGGAGTCATCTTTGCCTAAAAATTTGCTGTTGCCCTGACAAATTGTTTGGTCTGACTCTGCCAGCACCCTTCTATTTTTAAAAAGGGTATTTTGGCCAGGCATGGTGGCTTACAGTTGTGATCCCAGCACTTTAGGAAACTGAGGCTGGAAGATCGCTTTAGAACGGAAGTTCAAGATTAGCTTGGGCAACATAGTGAAACCCTGTCTCTACAAAAATAAAAACAATCAAACAAACAAATAAAAATGGTATTTGTGTTTAATGTGTCATGAATGAAACATTTTCCTTCTCCTTCAGTTTGCAGCTGAGAGGGAAGTCCTGACATTACAACAGCATTGTCCATTATAGAAGCAGCATCTGCAGGCCTGTTCTTCCTCTCCCACTGCCAACTCATTATGGATATATTGGGATGCATAGGTATCCAAAGCTCATTAAATACACAGTAAAAAGTTGGACAGGAGAAAAAGGGGTCAAAATTTATGCAGAACTCTCTCAGAGAAGCTAAAAGGCAAGAAGGTCAAAGTTTCCCTGTGTGTGTTTCAAATTTTTTTAAATGAAAGAAGACACTGTTTTTATGTTCTGTGTGTCCAAGTGTTAACAGAATGAGAAACACTTTTTGTTCACATTCCCTTGTAACCTTGAACTGAGAATGTTGAAGTTTTCGTCTTTCTTTTTTATTGCATCCCACAAAAAGGTTATTCCAAATGCACTTGGCAATATTCAGACAAGCTATTTCCTAATTCTCAAAATAGCTTTTGTTTTGAGTGTTTCCCAAAAGTCTTAAAATATGTTCATGTTCATGAACTGTATATATGCTTCATTACTAAACTTTTTGATTGAAAATCCTTAAAGGAAAAAATGAAACTTGAAGAGCAAAGATTTTTAAATATTGTAAATCTAGATAAGCAGAAAAGCACATTAAAATATCATCTTTTTACTAATAAATAGAAATCAGCTTAAAGTTATATACTCAGAAAAGAACCTCATCAATACTAGAAAGTTAAATTTTTGTTGTTCCTATTGTAAATCATACTAATTTATTGAGTTTTCAACCACAGAATATTTTTACTTAACATGAAATTACTCATGGAGTAGAAAACAAAGTAATATTATGAAATCATTCAAAACTGCATGTCCTTTTCGAAGCATTCCACATAGTGTGGATTTTCTTCTAAGGTAACACATTCTATTTTCTGAAATTGTAAACTCATTCATTTACTCATTCAACAAATACTCATTGAGTGTCAGCTGGCACTGTACTGGTACTGATAATATAATAGTGGAGGAATTAGACATTAATTAGAAATAATCACACAAAACTATGTAATCACAGATTGGGATCTGTATGATGAGGGAAATAAGTTGGGAGTCTTGAGAGACCTGACTGAGGCTGAAGAATTGGGAAGAACCTTGTGAAGAAGTAACCCTTGAGCTGTGATGCAAAGGATGAGTAGGAGTCAACCAGGCACACAGTGAGCCAGGACAACGTGTACCATGGTCCTGGCATGAGGAGCACAGCATCTGTGAGGACCTGAAGGAAGACTAATGTGCCCAGGGCACAGAAGGTGAGGGAGTCTGTGTCCCCTGAGTTCAGCCAGGTCTGGATCTTGTTGGATCTGAAACCGTGCTGAACATTTTGATTTTATGTTAAGCCCAAAGTAAGTTTTTAAGGTATTTTAAGAAAAAAGGGAGAAAGACCATATGAGCATTTAAAAAGAATTACTCTGGCTATATTGTGGAGGATAAATTAGAGAGGGAGATAGGTGTGGATGAGAGAAAGCCAGATGAGGAGTTGTATTAGTCCATTCTCATGCTGTTATGATGAAATACTTGAGACTTGGTAATGTATAAAGAAAAGAGGTTTTTCTTTATAACTCACAGTATAAAGACTCACAATTCCACATGGCTGGGGAGAGCTCAGGAAACTTACAATCATGGTGGAAGGCACCTCTTCAGAGGATGGCAGGAGAGAGAATGAATGCCAGCAAGCAGAGGAAATGCCAGATGCTTATGAAACCATCAGATCTTGTAATGACTCACTCACTATCACAATTACACAATGGGGGAAGCCGCCCCCATGATTCAGTTACCTCCCACTGGGTCCCTCCTATGACACCTAGGGATTATGGGGATTATAATTCAAGATGAGATTTGGGTGGGGCATAGCCAAACCATATTAGGGGCTATTAAAATGGTGCAGGGGAGAGTTGTCAATAGTAGCAGTGGAGAGTAAGTGATAAGTACAGAGGTTCAAGAGATTTTTAGAAGCTAAAATCAATAGGAAACTTTCTAGAGGTCTCACATAGTGAACCTTAGAAGTATGGGCAAAAGCCTAAGTTGATGAGGCACTCATCTTCTTCTTTGTTGAAAGGTACATGGCATTTATGTGACATCAGCAGAGGCAGCTGCTGAAGAAGGTAGACAGGTAATAGGCCATTGTATGCCAGAAGTTTCAATCAGAAACAGAACAGCCAAAGTTAAGGCAAGATAGTGGCCAAGCTAAGGCGAGCAGCAACAGCTGGGATCTCTCTTGGGAAGGCTCCTTGAATGAAGCAACTAAGTTGACATTCAATGCAGGCTGTATATGGGGTGGTTTAGATTCTCAGGCAGATCTGCTCATTTGCCAAAGTAACCCTAGAAAGCTAAACCTGCCAAGCCACCTGACTTATCTCTGTAACTGTTTGATGTGTTCTCTCTCTTTCTAGGTTGCAACACAATAGTCAGGGTTCCTCATCCCTCCCTCACTGAAGAGAATTTAATGTTCTAGAAAGATTTTGGAATAGGGAGTCAAAAGGTTGGGGGCTAAATGCTAGTCCTGAATTTTTTTAGTAGTGTAAAGTTTAGAGGTACAATTTCTCTCCTATTTAAACTATGGTTAATAAGATCTACAACCTTGCAGTGTGGTTGTGAAGATTAGGTAACAGGTACTCTGCAAATGGTAGCAACAGCAATAATAATAATAAGTAATAATTTTTTATTGTTGAAATATACTTTTCTTTCACATCTTTTTTTAAATAGTTATTTTCGAGATAACTTTTTTCACAATTATAGCTTCAGCTATATCTTTATTTGGCAAATGTTGCATACTAGTTAGGTGCCAGATACCATAGAAGGTGATGAAGATAAAGTGCAGGAGATGAATATATTCTCTGTCCTCACAGACTTTTTATTTTAAATTTTCATTTTATATGTATATTTTTTGAGACAGAGTCTTGCTCTGTTTCCCAAACTGGTGTGCAGTGGCATGATCTCGGTTCACTGCAATCCTCTAGTGCTTCATGCAGGGGCAATGGTGAGCACCTGCTAACTTATAACATTCCCACCAGCCTCCCTCACTTTCAGTCTATGCTGCCAGCCCCTGTTATATTAGCCTTCTGAAAGCATTGGTGTTATTACTTCCTGCTTAAGTTCAGTGGCTTCTCCTTATCTATCAAAGTGAACTCTGTAGCCTTGTATTCAAAGTTTACTGTAACCTAGTCTCATTTTATGTCTCCAGCTTTTTCTTCTATTATTCTTACCCATGTTTCTTAATGCAAACAATATTGGCCTTTGGGAGGGAATATTATTGGTTGAACCATAATGTCCCAGGAATTATAGAGCATTTAGCCACGCTGAGCCCATCCACTAAGTGCCAGGAGAACTCTCTGGGCATTATAAAATAATAAACATGTCCACAAATTTTGGAGAAGGGAAGAAGACTGTCCCTGGTTGAGAACTCCTATGACTACACCATTAACAAAAGACAACATGTATTTATTGAGTCTGCACCACTCTGTTATTTCCTTATTTAATCCACATAACAACTGCCTGAGCTAGGTGTTATTTTTATAAATATAGATATTTGGAGAAAAGTTTGGCTCAGGAAAGCGAGAATTACATAGCTACTGAGAGAAAGAGAGCTGGCTCAAAATGTTCACTTGTATACTTCATCCAAACTGGGCTAATATGCTCTGTTTTATATTGATTCTCTTCATTCTGCTTATTCTGCCTGATATGGTTTGGATATTTGTCCCCTCCAAATCTCATGTTAAAATGTGATCTTCAATGTTGGAGGTGGCCTAGTGGGAGGTGTTTGGGTCGTGGGGACAGATCCCTGCCACCCTTTTGGTAATGAGTGAGTTCTTGCTTTATTAGTTCACATGAGATCTGGTTGTTAAAGGAGCCTGGCACCTCCTCCTCTCTCTCTCTCTTGCTCCCTATTTTGCCATGTGACACGCCTGTTCCTTCTTCATTTTCTGCCATGAGTAAAAGCTTCCTGAGGTCTCACTAGAAGCTGAGTAGTTGTGGGTGCCATGCTTGTACAGCCTTCAGAACCGTGAGCCAAAGAAACCTCTTTTCCCTAGAAATTACTCAGTCTCAGGCATTCCTTTATAGGAAAAAAGGAGTACATTGCCCAAATACCCCTAATTTCTTTCTTTTCTTTTATTTTTTCCTCCCTCCCTCCCTCCCCTTCCCTCCCCTTCCCTCCCCTTCCCTCCCCTTCCCTCCCCTTCCCTCCCCTTCCCTCCTCTTCCCTCCCCTTCCCTCCCCTTCCCTCCTCTTCCCTCCCCTTCCCTCCCCTTCCCTCCTCTTCCCTCCCCTTCCCTCCCCTTTCCTCCCCTTCTCTCCTTCCTTCCTTCCTTCCTTTCTGTTTTGCTCTTGTCGCCCAGGCTGGAGTGCAATGGCGCAATCTCAGCTCACTGCAACCTCCGTCTCCTGGGTGCAAGTGATTCTCCTGCTTCAGCCTCCTGAGTAGCTGGGATTACAGGCATACACCACCACACCCAGCTAATTTTTGTACTTTTTAGTAGAGATGGGGTTTCGCCATCATGGCCAAGCTGGTCTCAAACTCTTGACCTTGGGTGATCCGCCCACTTCAGCCTCCTAAAGTGCTGGGATTACAGGCATGAGCCACTGCACCTGGCCACCCCTTGCCCTGTCTTCAAGCATGAGTTTCTATACCATTCCCTTTAGAAACTCTTCCCTGACCACATTAACCAGGGACCTTTAAGGAGCCCTGTGATGCTTTCTCCTGCTGCTCAGCCTTTTCCACAGCTTGCATTGAACCATCCTCTGTGCACCCTCTTCTCCTCCCATGTTGGGGTATACGCTCCTTAAGGGCAGGACTAATAATATTGAAGCCATTGGGTTGTCATGAGAAGTAAATAAGAATGTATGACATATTCAGCAAATTAATGGGAGCTAGTGGAAGTAATAATGAAAATAGTTACATATCAGGGCTTTAAAAAAATCAACGCAAATGTTTTTCAATGCTGACTTAGGCATTTTCCTGAAAGTCCAGGACTGAATTATCTCTTTACGGGTATGCCTGGGGATGGTGTCCATGAAGTGATTTTGGTTTCAATTCTCACTTTTCTCACACTATTCAGGTTGGTTCTGAACCTGGGAAAACACAGAACTATAGGGCAGGCTTTCCCTAATACTCCCTGGTAAGCTCCTCTATAAACCTGGCTATCAAAGTAAAAGAGGAGAGCTCTTATTCTGATCCTCACAGGAATTTCACTGGGTCATTGTACATCTAACTGTAACTCTAGAAGATTTTGATATGAAACCAACCACTCATCTATATATCCACTTATCCATTCTTTCTTCCTTCTAGTCATCCATCCACAGGCCATTTGGCATTTTTAAATGCCACCTACGTATCTGTATTATGCTAGGAACTAGAGCTGAAATGAGTACGAAGACATAGTTTCTGTCTTCAAGAACATTATAGTCAAGAAGGTCAGAGAGAAATGTAACACATTCGGTGAACACAGTTATCAAGTCAATTGTAGAAGCATGCGTAAAATGCAGTCTTCTGGATCTCTAGACTGCCAATAGACTTGAGGACTATTCTTAGTCTTTAAAAGAAGTGATAGAAAACAGCTTGCTTTGTCTAGTAAAGTAGGGTCATCCATTGTGTAAGTTAACTGTGAAGTTAGAGGGATCAGTGCACACAAGGCCAGCCTTATTTCTGATACCAGTTGCAAATTCAGGGGATTCCCAAAACCACTTCAGGTTTGATAACTTGTGAAAAGGGCTCACAGAACTCACTAAAAGCTGTTATGCTCACAGTTATAGTTTTTGGAAGGGAAAAGAAACAGATTAAAATCAGCCAAAGGAAGAGACACATAGGGAATGTATAGGAGTACATCAAAGAGGGAGCTTCCAGTTGTCCCCTGTGGTTGACTCAGGACAGCATTATTTCACTAGTGTCAATGAGTGACTATGCATGGAATACTGCCAGTCAGGGAGGTTTACCTGATGTCCAGAGTTTTTATTGGGGCTTCATCCTATAGGCATGACTGATTGCTCATATAGCTGATCTTAGTCTCCTGTCTCTCCAGAGGTCAATCGATACCATATGACCCAAAGTCCCCACCCTAATGACATTGTTATTATTAACTCAATCAGTAGCCTAATAAGGCTACCTGGTGTTTCCAGCCCCCACTCTAAATCAAATTGTCAGGCTATCCAATGTGATTCAAGTCTGCCAGGCAAACAAAGACACTCCTATTGAGCATGACATTCCAGGAGCTCAGAGATTCCTTCCAAGTAGCCATGGACAAGGCCAGACCTCTCTTTGGGCAAGGCTAAATTCTTTACCACAAATTCATCTGTAGTATTTTCAATTTAAAAATTCTCACAGTTTATAGTAAGTGAATTTTTATTGTCTGCTCATAGTCATCTACCTAAATGAATTTTGGAAGTTCTGCTCAAGGGTTGAGGATGAAGTGATGAAGATGAGTAGATGAGTTTAGGGGATTATCAGATACATTATTTGGGATTTTAGTTACAAATAATAAAATCTCGGCAGCTCTGGTTTGAGAAAAAAAGTGGGATTTATTAGGAGGATAAGTTCATGGAATTCATATATGTGCTTCTTTCTTCCTGTAGTCCAGAAAGAGGAACTTGGTCACTCCATGGTTCAGGATATATATGATTTAGGTCGAGTAAAGGAGACACTGATTATTTCTTTTATGGTCCCAATTCCAAATTTCAGTTAGAAGGAATTTGATGAGCTCAACGTGAAGAAGGTATTTACCTCTGGGTCAATAAGCTAGGACCAGTGGAATAGGGCTATCAGGTGTAAACATGTGGCAGGGAGCCAGAGAAATATGACAGGGAAGCTGTCCTATTAGATGTTGACTATAGAGATCCAGACCCACTGCAAGGGATGATCATCCATGAAATGTCATGTAGCAAAAGGACTCATGGGTAGCTTAAAAGCAAGGTAGGCTAGATGACTGGGTAAATCCTGGGATTACAAGAAGGATGCTTATGTTCTCCTTTTAATTTTGCCACACATTTATAGCATTATTTTATGTCAGACTATGCATTAACATAAGAAAGACATGGCATCTGGATACAAAGAAACCACATTTAGCCTCTTACTAATGTCTTAGTGAATTATCTTCTTGGAGCCTTTGTTAACTTATTTGTGAAATACGGAAATTCCCAACTCATGAGGTTGTCATGAATAACAAATGAGATCATGTATGTGAAAGCACTTCCTAAAATACTGAGCACACATTAACAATTATCTTTTGGAAATAATTTATTGACTTAATCCAAAGATTTTCTAATTTGTGTACTCAAGAAAATGTATACATTTAATTAGTCTATTAAGTATTTTGAACTCAAAATTATATGCAGATCTAAGTGTAAAGATTCATTTTGATGCAAAAAAAATGTTTCTCAAGGAACTATAAGACTTATTCAACAATATCCTTATTAAACTTGATGATTGATTTTTTTATAGCTGATGAGATGGTTAGTTAGGAATAATGCAACATGTTTCAACAATTCTTTAAAATCTCAGAATACTTCAGTTAAAAAATGTTGAGTGGTCATGATGTGCAAAGAATTGTTTTTCCTTAAAAGGAAAGAGGCAAATCTAATTAATACCATGATTCAGAAGGTTGGTGCTACTTCTTTAATCCTCTTTTTTGATGTATTACAAAATCTAGATAGAATCTATTTATTAGACCCTTACTGAATTACTATAATAAAGGAATTTATTTTCCCTGTGTTTCTAAGATAGCAGATATAAATGATATCTCTTTTTTCACCTTGGGATATATAGCATTTAGATTAAATGACTGAGCATGTGGTCTACCAATAAGAGAATGTCTTACCTCTTTCCCAGAGATCTTCTTCCAACAATAACTTCCAGATCCTCCCTGAAATTTTTATATAGTCCAGTGAGTCTGTCCTACTTCCTGTTGTCCCAGTGAGAAAACAGGAGAGCTTAGTAGTCTCCCTGTGACTGTCACTGAAACACAGATGTTCTGGTCTTTCTAGTGGTATCTTCATTTTTGTCTACTAAAATAAAAAAGTCCTTCAATGACAGGGTCACCACTACCATGGCTAGCTGACTTATGGTTTCTCCAGTCTGGTTTCCCTGTGCTACTTTCACCTGCCTTAGTTGCATGCTCATACCATTTTCTCCCTGGCAGACCTGAGGGCCAAGAGAGTTGAGTCTGCAGGGTTTCCAGCCTAGGTGACTGTATTAGTCCATTTTCATACTGCTTTAAAGACGTACTCAAGACTGGGTAATTTATAAAGAAAAGAGGTTTAATTGAGTCACAGTTCAGCAGGGCTGGGGAGGCCTCAGGCAACTTACAACGATGGTGGAAGTGGAAGAGACACTTCTCATGTGGCAGCAGGCAAGAGAGAATGAAGAGCAAGGAGGAAAGAGCCCCTTATAAAATCATCAGATCTCATGAGAACTCACTCACTATCATGAGAACAGCATCGGGGAAACTGCCCCTATGATTCAATTAACTCCACCAGGTTTCTCCCTAGACATGTGGGATTATAGGGATTAGAATTCAAGATGAGATTTGGGTGGGGGCACAAAGCCTAACCATATCAGTGACATACTGTGCCAGCCTTCTCCCAAACCTTCACATCCCAGCATCAGAATGTGACATTCAGTGCAGTTCAGGAAAAACTCCATCTTGTTACACAGAGATGGAGAAAATGTACTTCCTAAAGGCAATTCAGAAGACATATTTTAAGTAATATGTAGTATGATTTAAAGCTAAAATAACTGCTTCATCTTGTTTACAATTAACAAAACCTTGTGCTATGCAAACTATTATTCCCTATTATTATGCATATGCTTAATTTCTCTTTGCAATTGTGGCCATAGAATGCTTGGGACAGCTTGGTTACATAAAGAAGATAACAAATTCAATGAAGAAACTCAGAAACGGAAAACTGACAAATAGAATAAACAAGTTTATCATATTTCCAAATGGAAAACATAAAGGGTTTGCCAAGGGGATTGTAAGATTTGCTAACTTGAATGTGTGTGTATGTATAATGTAGTTTCTAGGAATTTTGGCCATTTCCCTCATAACACTGCTAAGTTACAGAGAAATCAGACAAGTAAACAAAATATTTATAAACAACTCAGAGGACATTTATGGGTCTTTGGCTTTACACACCCTCTTTGTGTTTGCTTCTTACCTCAAGTTATTCTTCATTTCCCAACAGAAAGATATCATGTCTGTTCATTATTTAAATCAGGCAGATTTCCTCTAAAAACTACATTCTCACATATTTCCATAGAAATAATGGACACTGGTTTATTTCAAATCTTCCAAATATAACCACAAGTAAAAAATGTACAAGGCATTAATCATATTATTCCCTATCTTTTAGACTTATTTGGCTGGATGGCTCTATGTGTAAAAATTTATTTTGATTCTAACTAAATTTAATACAGTAACTGCTGCATTTCAATTATTTGGGGGCCCCCAAAAGCTGACAAAACATAGTACTGGGGTTTAATCTGCTTTTTATGGAGTTCCCTAACTTGTTTCAAATGCATTTTCATTTTAACCTTAATGTCAACAGCTGGAAATTGAATCATGACATGCCTCATTAGTCAAATGAAAAATATGAAAAATAAAAATTTGATACACTAGTGTTAATATAAAGGTTACTTTTTTTTTGTTCACTTCACATCTCTAGTCAGTTTCACTCAGGAAGAGAAGGATACTCCTCCTGCTGAAAAGATATTTGGCTGATCCCACCTCTGTCTTGGACATACAGAAGATGATTCTCCTCTCAAGGGATTTCCTACTCATTATTCATATGATCAGTGTGCCTTTTCATAAGCTAGGAAGAAGCAAGTTTCCTATGCACTTGGCAATGAGTAAATTGAGGCTAATGGTTACTCAAAACCCATCTCAATTCTGAAGGATGATTCTATAGAATTTCTAAAACAATCATGTGTTTGTGGAAGTGGGCAGTCTGTTCAGGATTGACCATGAGCCGTGAAAGGAATCAGGGAAAGTGATGTCTGTGTGCCTTACTCCATTTGCCTGGTGTACTTGCTTTCCTCATCTCTGAGAAGGCAAATTGATATCATTTCCTCTGTCATCAAACTTTCAACTTCACTTTCCCATTCTTCACTATCAGCTGGTGACCTCATTTGTTATTCCACTGAGAAAACAGAAGCATTCAGAAGAATATGACCTCATCTTTGCATCACCAAATTGACCAACCTTTACATGTGCTTGTATATCAACTTTTCTCTTGTTAAAATGAGGAGTTCTGTGCTCCTCTAAGGTCACTGGTCCCATCCATTCTTCCACAACTATCATCTCTCTCTTGCATCATTATTTTATCTCTCTAACTAAATTATTCCCATGAGGCTTCAAGTATAAGGCCATTTGTCTGAAATAAAAACCCTCTGTTGACCACATACCCATGTCTAGCCCATTTCTTTGCTCTTCTTTAGTAAAATTCCTACCGTGACTGGGTATACTCAATATATTCTTAATATATTGAACCTACTCTAATCAGCTTTTCACCCTCAGTATTTCACAGAAACTGCTCTTGTTTATAAAACCACTCACCTCTCAGTTTGACAAGACAAAGGTCAGTTCTCTGTCACCTCCTGGCTTGTGCCCCGTGTAACATTTGGCACTGTAAACCACTCTCGCCTTTTTGAACACTTCCTTCTTTGAGCATCTGAGATGACACCACTCTCTTGGGATTTGTTACTTCACTGATTGCTCCTTCCCCTGACTAGCTTATTTCCCAAATTTGACCTTTCAATGTTGGCACACCTCAGGTTTCAGGCCTCAGCTCTCCTTTTTCTTCCATTTGCACACTTTTCCTAGCTGACCTTATTCTGTGTAGTAGTTTTTTTTTTTTTTTTGGAGATGGAGTCTCGCTCTGTCACCCAGGCTGGAATGCAGTGGCGCGATCTCAGCTCTCAGCTCACTGCAACAGCTGCCTCCCAGGTTCAAGTGATTCTTCTGCCTCAGCCTCCTGAGTAGCTGGGATTACAGGCGTCCGCCACCACGCCTGGCTAATTTTTGTATTTTTAGTAGTGATGATGTTTCACCATGTTGGCCAGGCTGATCTCAAACTCCTGACCTCAAGTGATCCACCTGCCTTGGCCTCCCAAAGTGCTGGGATTACAGGCATGAGCCACTGTGCCCAGCCCTGTGTAATAGTTCTAAACACCTTCAGTATGCTCAAGTTTATATTCTTCAGTCACGACTTCCCTCCTGAAATTCAGATTTGTGGGTGTAACTAGTTATTTTCAGTTTCTGCTTGAATGTCTAATTGGGATCTCAAATGTTAACATGTCCAAAACATAATTCTTTATATTATTACCCAAAACATATGCTACTCTAAGCTTCTCCAACTGAATAAGTAGCATTATATTTGTTCAGGTCCTCAAACTAGGAAGCATAGTGGATTTCTCTCTTTTCTTTACCCTCCATACCCAATCCATTAACCAGCGCTGTTGGATCTGCTTTCCTAATACATCCTGAACCTGATCACCTCTCACTGTTGTCACTGCTCCCACCCATTCTGGAACAGTTGACCGTCAAGCTAGGCCTGGCCTCCCACCATAGCCTCTTCACTGGGCTTCATGCTTCCTCTGTGCCATTTCTGTGATCAGCTTCTCATTGGTTCCCATTGCATTTGGAATAAAGCCCGTTATTCTGCATTATCTAGTGTGGTCAAACTCTCCTGTTACTTTCTCCTTGACTCCCTCTGCTTGTGCTATGCTTACCTTTTCGACATTCTTCAAACCATCTGTGCTCCTTCCTGCCTTAGAGCCTTTCCACACCTCTTCGCTTAATGCTGATGCTCTTCTCCCACTTCTTGATATAATTCAGATCTCTGCTCAGGCGTCACCTTTTCAAAGAGGCCTTCCCTAATTGCATGATTAAACACATTGCTGTCCTCCTTTTTTGCCATTTTCTCTCCCCATCCCTGTTTCATTTTCTTCATATCCCTTATCATCATTTGACTCTAATTATTTATTCAATTTTGGCGGTTTATTTTTTATCTCTTTTAATAAAATTTCTATTCATTGTTATATTTACATTACTCTCTCCTTAAAACACCTCTATTTCTTGGCATCTGGGACACCGCTTTCTTGGTATTGCTTATCTCTTTCCCAACCTGACTTCAGACTTCCTGTTGCATAACTCCAACAGAATGGTGTGGGGCCAAGGAATAGGGAGCTGCTAGGCTGGAAAAATTGGGAAATATTTAGGCTGCTCAGGGAAAATAAGAGGGGCTATCAGAAAATTTCAAGGTCTAGACAGCTAGTCTGGAGCCAACCTAAGGTCAGAGTTGCCCTTGGGAGTTCTTCTAGAGAAACAACAAAACTGAACATTAGTGGTGGTTTTAAAATGGAGTGGCTCAGGCTTTCCCAGTCATACTCTGGAGCAATCTTTCTTGATCTTAAAGATAACAAGCTCTGGTGGGTAGATGAGGTTCTCATGTAAAGCTTTTACTTTTATTTTCCACCTCTTTTGTCATGACTCTTTCTGTTGTCATCTTCTCTCCTTCTGTTGTCTGCCCTTGCACTTCATAAGGTTTAATTTTAACAAGTTAGTAGAAGTAACTCTTCAGAGGATGGAATAAGTATGATGAGATGTTTTATGCAAGAATCTGAAGGTAAAATGGTGAGCAAAATAGACTTTTCTGAGTTTTATTGAATGCTTTTTCAGCATCTATTGAAAAAATTATATGGTTTTTGTTTTCGATTCTGTTAACAATATACCTTAAGATGATAAAGGCTATATATAACAATCACACAGTTAATATCATACTGCACTGGTTTCACCACTTTTACTCAACATAGTATTAGAAGTCCTAATCAGAGAAATTAGGCAAGAAAAAGAAATAAAAAGGCATTCAAATTTGAAAAAAAGTCAAATTATTATTGTTTGCAGATGACATACTTTTATATTTAGAAAAACCAGCCTCCATTAAAAAACTCATAGAACTGATACACAAATTTAGTAAAGTTGTAGGATACAAAATCAACATACAAAAATCAGCAGCATTTCTATACACTAACAGCAATAAATCTGAAAAAGAAATTAAGAAAGCAACCTCATTTATAATAGCTACAAAAAATAAAATGCTTAGGAATAAATTTAACCAAAGAATTGGGTAACTATATTTAGAAGAATGAAACTAGACCCCTACCTCTCATTACACACAAAAATCAAATAAAAGTGGATTAAAGAGTTGAATCTACGACCTAAAACTATGAAACTAATTGAAGAGAAAACATTGGGGAAACACTGTAAAGCATTGATTTGGGCAAAGATTATTTGTTTAAGACCTCAAAAACATAAGCAACAAAAGCAAAAATAGACAACTGAGATTATAGCAAGCTAAAAAGCTTTTGCAAAGCAAAGGAAACAATCAACAAAGAGACAGCCCACAGAACGGGGGTTTTGCAAACTATTCATCTGACCAGGGATTAATAACCAGAATATATACGCAACTCAACTCAATAGCAAAAAATAATAATAATAATAATAATAATCAAATGTAAAAAAGGGCAAAAGATCTGAACAGACATTTCTCCAAAGAAGACATACAAATGGCCAATAGGTATTTGACAAAATGCTCAACATCACTAATCATCAGAGAAATGCAAATCAAAACCACGATGTGATATCATCTTGCCCCAGCTAAAATGGTTTGTGCCAAAAAGAGAGGCAATAACAGATGCTGGTGAGAAAGTGGAGAAAAAAGAACCCTCATACACAGTTGATAAAAATGTAAGGTAGTACAGCCACCATGAAGAACAGTATGGAAGTTTCTCAGAAAACTAAAAATAGAACTACAATGTGATCTAGTAATCCTATTACTAGTTATATATTCAAAAGAAAAGAAATCAGTATATAAAAGAGATACCTTCACTCCTATGTTTATTGTAGCACCATTCATAATAGTCAAAATATGAAATCAACCTAAGTGCCCATCAATGGATGAAATGGATAATGCAGTATATATACACAATGAAATATTATTCAGTCATAAAAAGGAATAAAATCCTACTCTTCGCAGTAATATGGTTATAACTAGAGTGATTATATTAAGTAAAATAAGCCAAGCACAGAAAGACAAATATTGCATGTTCTCACTCATACGTGGAAGCTAAAAAAAGTGGATCTCATGAAGACAAGACTAGATTGGTGGTTATCAGAGGCCTGGAAAAAGGGAGAGGAGGGAAATTAAGACAATATAAATTTATTTATTACCACTGAACCATAAACTAAAAATGTTAAAGATGTAAATTATATATGTATATGTTACCTCAATAAAAATAAAGAAGTGAAAGATCTCTATAAGGAAAACTATAAAATATTGATGAAAGAAATTGAAGAGGACACAAGACATGGAAAGGTATCCCATGCTCATGGATTGGAATAATTAATATTGTTAAAATGTTTCTACTACCCAAAGCTATGTACAGACTCAATGCAATCAAAATACCAATGACATTCTTCACAGAAGTGGAAAAAACAACCTTAAAATTTGTATGGAACTACAAAAGACTCCAAATACCTAAAGCAATCCTGAGCAAAAAGAATAAAGCTGGAGGCATCACACTACCTGATTTCAAATTATACTACAAAGCTGTGGTAACCAAAACAGCATGATAATGGCATCAAAACACATATATAGACCAATGGAACAAAATAGAGAACCAAGAAATAAATACACACACTTAACAGCCAACTCATTTTCAACAAAGGTACCAAGAACATATGCTGGATAAAGGACAGTCTCTTCAATAAGTGATGCTGGAAAAATTGGATACCCATATGCAGAAGAATGAAACTAGATCCCTGTCTTTCACCATATACAAAAATTGTCTGAAAATGGATTAAAGACTTAAATGTAAGACCTGCAACTGTGAAACTACTGTAAGGAAACATTGGAGAAATGCTTCAGGACATTGGTCTGGGCAAAGATATTTTGTTTAAGACTTCAAAAGCACAGGCAACAAAAGCAAAAATAGACAATTGGGATTATATCAAGCTAAAAGCTTTGGCAGAGCAAAGGAAACAATCAACAAAGTGAAGAGACAATCCACAGAATGCGAGAAAATATTTTCAAACTGTTAATCTGACAAGAGATTAATAACCAGAATATATAAGGAACTCAGACAACTCAATAGCAAGAAAACAAATAATCTGATTTTAAAATTGGTAAAAGAGTAGGGCATGGTGGCTTGCACCTGTAATCCCAACTACTCAGGAGGCTGAGGTGGAAGGATCACTTGAAGGCAGGAGTTTGAGACCAGCCTGGGCAACATAGTGAGACCCTGTGTCTAAAAAATAAAAAAAAATTAGCTGGGTGTGGTGGCCTGTACCTGTAGTCTCAGCTACTCAGGGAGGTTGAGGCAGGAAGATCACTTGAGCCCAGAGTTCAAGGGCTGCAATCAACTATGATCATGCCATTACACTCCAGCCTAGGTGACAGAGGGAGACCTCATTTTTAAATAAATAAATAAGAGCCTGGCCAAGATGGTCAACTAGAAGCAGCTAATGTGTGCTGCTCTCATGGAGAGAAATAGAAGGCATGAGTAAATACAGGATTTTGAACTGAAACATCTAGGTACACACATTGGGATTCATCAAGAAAACAACTCAACCCATAGAAAATGGAGAAAAGCAAGGCAGGATGGCTGCTTACCCAGGAGCAACATGGAGCCAGGGGAGCCTCCCCTACCCAGGGAAGCAGTGAGTGACTCTGGGATCCATGCTTCTCCCACAAATTTTTGTAACCCTGGGGTCAGGAGATCCCCTTGTGAAGGCATTCCACCAGGGCCTGCTGTCTGACACGAAGAGCTATGTGGGGTCTTAGCAGAGCAGCTGCTTAGGCACACTTGGAGCCCTGGGAGCTTTAGATATCTGAGCTTCCTAGCAAAAGTGGCTGCAACTGTGGCAAAGCAGGAGGATAGACCCCTTTAAAAACTCCTAGGAAAGGGGCTGAATCCAGAGGGCTGAGCAGCAATGATCTTCAGGCCCCACCCACTTCCATGGTACTTTGCAGGATAAGACCCACTGGTTTGGAACTACAGCCAGCCACCAGTAGCAGTGTTACACCTTCCTGAGATGGAGCTCCCAGAGGGAGAGGCAGGCCACCATATTTGCTGTTTCTCAGCCTTAGCCCCTGTTGCCTTCAGTGAAGCTGCTGTAGGAAAAGCAGCCAGATTGCTTTTCTTACATGGATCCCTGAACTTGCTTCCCCTCACTGGGTAGGACCTTCCAACTGGGGTCACCAGCCACCCCCACCAGTGTTTTCCAGCTGGCAGTGCTTCTGAGCCTCCCTGGGATGGAGCTCCCAGGGAGAAGAATGGGCTGCCATCTTTGCTGTTTCACAACCTAATCCATTGTTGCCTTCAAGCTCTAGGGAGTCTGAGGTAACTAGGGTCTGGAGTGGTCCCCCAGCACAGTGCAACAGCTCTACAGAGGAGTCGCCACACTGCTTTTTCATGGGGGTCCTAGTTTCTCTTCACTGAGTGGAATCTCCTGACTGAGGACTACAACCACCCCTACTGGTGTGTTTAGGTTGGCAACAGGTCTGTACCTTCCTGAGACAGAGCTCCCAGAGAAAGGGGAAGGCTGTCATATTTGCTGTTTTGCAGCCTTCACTGTTAATACCTTTAAGTGCTGGAAAATCTAAGGTGACTAGGGACTGGAGTGGACCCCCAGCATGCAGATTTTTTGTTACATGGGCCCCAGATCTTGTATCTCCTCACTAGGAGGGTCCTGGGTCTCCAGGCACACTCTGCTGGGGCCGTCGAGACAGTAGCAGCTCTGCAATTCCCAGTGGGAGGGGTGGGTTGCCATCTTTGCTTTTTTCACAACCCTTGCCCTTGTTGTTGCCAGGCTCTGGAGAGTCCACAGGGACCAGGAGCTGGTCTGGACCCCCAGCAGAGAGCATTCACTTCATGGAAAAGAGGCTGACAGTTCTCCATGCAGGTTCTGGTCCTCACTTTTCCTCACTGGGTAGGGCCATCTCACCTGGGACTCCAGCACAACCATCCTGACCCCACCTGACCACTTCAATCAGAGGCAGCCCAGCAGTTAAAGAACACCCACATGCAGAGATAAAAAAGAACCAACACAAGAACTCCAGCAACTCAAATGAACAGAATGTCTTATGTCCTCCAAACAATTGCACTAGTTCTCCAAAAATGTCTTATGTCCTCCAAACAACTGCACTAGTTCTCCAACAAGTGTTCTTAACCAGGCTGAGTGGGCTGAAATTACAGAAATAGAATTCAGAATATGGATAGAAACAAAGATCATCGAGATTCAGGAGAATGGCAGAACCCAATCTAAGAAAAGTAAGAATCACAATAAAACAATACAGAAACTGACAGATGAAATAGCCAGTATAAAAAAGAACCTAACTGATCTGATAGAGCTGAAAAACACACTGCAAGAATTTCATGATGCAATCACAAGTATTAACAGCAGAATAAGCTAAGGAAATAATTTTGGAACTTGAACACTGGCTCTCTGAAGTTAGACAGATAAAAATAAAGAAAAAAGAATGAAAAGGAATGGACAAAACCTCCAAAAAATATGGGAGTATGTAAAGAGGCCAAATTTAGGAACTGTTGGCATCCCTGAAAGGAATGGGAAAAAAGTAAACAACTTGGAAAATATGTTTCATGATAACATCCATGGAAATATCCCCAACCTCACTAGAGAGGCCAACAGTCAAATTCAGGAAATATAGAGAACCCCTGCAAGATTCTACATAAGAAGATCATCCTCAAGACATATAATCATCAGATTTTCCAAGGTTGAAATGAAAGAAAGAATGTTAAAGGCAGCTAGAAAGAAAAAGCAGGTCACCTACAAATGGAACCCCATCAGGCTAACAGTGGACCTTTTGGCTGAAACCCTACAAGCCAGAAGAAATTTGGGACCTATATTTAACATTCTTAAAAAAAAATCTTCAACCAAGAATTTCATATCCATCCAAACTAAGCTTCCTCAGTGAGGGAGAAATAAGACACTTTTCAGGTAAGCAAAATCTGACGGAGTTTGTTGCCACTAGATCAGCCTTACAAGATGTCTTGAAAGGAACACTAAATATGGAAAGGAAAGTTTGTTACCAGGCAATACAAAAACACACTTAAGTACATAGACTAGTGACTGTGTAAAGCAACCACACAAACAAGTCGGCATAATAGCCAGCTAAAAAGACAATGACAGGTTCAAATCCACACATATTAATACTAATATTGAATGTAAACAGGCTAAATACCTCATTTAAAAGGCACAGAGTGACAAGCTGGACAAAAAAGCAAGACTCAATGGTATGCTGTGTTCAAGAGACCCATCTCACATGCAATGACATCCATAGGCTCAAAATAAAGGGATTGGCCAGGTGTGGTGGCTCATGTCTGTAATCCAAGCACTTTGGGAGGCGGAAGTGGGCAGAACACAAGGTCAGGAGTTTGAGACCAGCCTGACCAACATGGTGAAACCTCGTCTCTACTAAAAATACAAAAATTAGCTGGGTGTGGTGGCGTTCACCTGTATTCCCAGCTACTCAGGAGGCTGAGGCAGGAGAATCGTTAGAACCTGGGAGGCAGAGGTTGCAGTGAGCTGAGATTGTGCCACTGCACTCCAGCCCAGATGACAGAGTGAGACTCTGTCTCAAAAAAATAAAAATAAATATAAAGGGATGGAGGAAAATCTACCAAGCAAATGGAAATCATAAAATAACAGGGGTTGCAATCCTAGTTTCAGTCAAAACAGACTTTAAACCAACAAAGATTTAAAAAGACAAAGAAGGGCATTACATAATGGTAAAGGGTTCAAATCAACAAGAAGACCTAACTATACTAAATATATATGCACCCAACACAAGAGCACCCAGATTCATAAGGCAAGTTCTTAGAGACCTACAACGAGAGTTAGACTCCCACACAATAATAGTGGGAGACTTCAACATTTCACTGTCAGTATTAGACAGATCTTCAAGGCAGAAAATTAGCAAAAATTCAGGACCTGAACTCAACATTGGATCATATGGATGTGATAAACCTCTGCAGAACTCTCCACCCCTAAAACAACGGAATAGACATTCTTCTCACTGCCATGTAGCACATACTCTAAAATTGACCACACAATCCGACATAAGACAATCCTCAGCAAATGCAAAAGAGTTGAAATCACACCAAACACTCTTCTGAGCCACAGTGTAATAAAAATAGAAATCAAGACTAAGAAAATTGCTCAAAACCATACAATTACATGAGAATTACCCTGCTTCTGAATGACTTTTGGATAAATAATGATATTAAGGCAAAAATCAAGAAGTTCTCTGAAACTAATAAGAATAAAGATACAGCATGCCAGAATTTCTAGGACACACCTAAGGTAGTGTTAAGAGAGAACTTTACAGCACTAAATGCCAACGTCAAAAAGTTAGAAAGACCTCAAATTAACAAGCTAAAATCAGAACTAAAGAACTAGAGAAGCAAGAGCAAATCAACCCCAAAGCTAGCAAAAGACAAGAAATAACCAAAATCAGAGCTGAACTGAATGAAGCAGGTAAAGACACAAGAAACCATCACAAAGATCAATGAATCCAGGAGTTGGTTTTTTGAAAAAAAAAAAAAAAAAAAAAAAAAAAGAAGATATGCTGTTAGCTAAATAAAGAAGACTAGAGAGAAGATCCAAATAAACACAATTATAAATAACAAAGGGGATGTTACCATTGACCCCACAGAAATACAAACAACCACTAGAGACTACTATGAACACCTCTGTGCAAAAAAAACTAGAAAACCTTGAAAAGATGGATAAGTTCCTAGACATATACACTGTCCCAAGACTGAGCTAGGAAGAAATTGATTCCCTGAATAGACCAATAATGGAGTTTTGAAATTGAATCAGTAATAGCCTTCCAACTAAAAAAAAGCCCAGGACCAGATGGATTTACAGCCAAATTCTACCACATGTACAAAGAAGAGCTGGCATCATTTCTAGTGAAACTGTTTCAAAAAATTGAGGAGAAGGGACTCCTCCCCAACTCATTCTATGAGGCCAGCATCATCCTGATACCAAAACCTGGCAGAGACACAACAAACAAAACTTTAGGCCAGTATCCTTGATGAACATTGATGGAAAAATCTTCAACAAAATACTAGCAAACCAAGTTCAGCAGCAAATCAAAAAGACTAATCCACCCTTATGAAGTAGGTTATCCCTGGGAGGCAAGGTTGGTTCAAAATACACAAATCAATGAATGTGATTTCATCACATAAACAGAACTAAAGACAAAAACCACGTGATCATCTCAGTAGCTGCAGAAAAGGCTTTTGATAAAATTCAACATAGCTTCATGTTAAAAACTCTCAATAAAGTAGGTATTAAAGGAACATACCTCAAAATAATAAGAGCAATCTATGACAAACCCACAGTCAACATCATATTGAATGGGCAAAAGTTGGAAGCATTCCTTTTGAAAACCAGAACAAAACAAAAATGCCCTCTCTCACTACTCCTATTCAACATAGTGTTGGAAATCCTGGCCAAAGCAATTAGGCAAGGGAAGGAAATAAAGGGCATCCAAGTAGGGAGAGAGGGAGTCAAACTATTCCTGCTTGCAGATGGCATGATTCTATATCTAGAAAACCCTGTAGTCTCAGCCCAAAAGCTCCCTCAGCTGGTCAACAACTTCAGCAAAGTTTCAGGATACACAATTGACATACAAAAATTACTAGCATTCCTATACACCAACAACAGCCAAGTCAAGTGTCAAGAACACACTCCTATTCACAACTGCCCCCAAAAGAATAAAATACAGCTAAGAATACAGCTAACTAGGGAGATGAAATATCTCTACAATGAGAATTATAAAACACTGCTCAAAGAAATCAGAGATTATACAAACATATGAAAAAACATTCCATGCTCATGAATAGGCAAGAATCAAATTCTTTAAAATGGCCATACTGCCCAAGGCAATATACAGATTAAATGCTATTCCTATCAAGCTACCAATGACATTCTTCATAGAACCAGAAAATACTATTTTAAAATTCATATGGAACCAAAAAAGAGCCCAAATAGCCAAGGCAATTCTAAGCAAAAATAACAAAGCTGGAGGCATTATGTTACCTTACCTGATTCAAACTATAGTATAGGGCTACAGTAACAGAAACAGCATGGTACTGGTACAAAAACAGACACATAGACCAATGGAACAGAATAGAGAGCCCAGAAATAAGGCCACACACCTACAACCACTTTGATAAAGCTGACAATAACAAGCAAGAGAGAAAGGACTCCCTATTCAATTAATGGTGTTGGGATAATGGGCTAGCCATATGCAGAAGATTGAAATTAGACTCCTTCCTTATACCATACACAAAAATCAACTCAGGGTGGACAAAAGACTTAAATGTAAAACCTCAAACTATACCAACCCTAAAAGACAATCTAGGCAATACCATTCTAAATATAGGAACTGGCAAAGATTTCATGACGAAGATGCCAAAAGCAATTCCAACAAAAGCAAAAATTGACAAATAAACTAAAGATTCTAAATATAGGAACTGGCAAAGATTTCATGACGAAGATGCCAAAAGCAATTCCAACAAAAGCAAAAATTGACAAATAAACTAAAGAGCTTCTGCACAGCAAAATAAACTATTAATAAAGTAAACAGACAACTGACATAAAGGGCAGAAAAATATTTGTAAACTATGCATCTGACAAAAGGCCTAAAATCTAGCATCTTTAAGGAACTTGAATTGCAAGTAAAAAACAGACAACCCCATTAAAACGTGGGCAAAGAACACAAACAGACACTTCTCAAAGGAAGACATACATGTTGCCAGCCAGGTGCGGGGGCTCACACCTGTAATCCCAGCACTTTGGAAGGCCAAGGTGGGCTGATCACGAGGTCAGGAGTTTGAGACCAGCTTGGCCAACATTGTGAAACTCTGTCTCTACTAAAACTACAAAAATTAGCTGGGTGTGGTGGCGTGTGCCTGTAGTCCCAGCTACTCAGGAGGCTGATGCAGGAGAATCGCTTGAACCTGGGAGGAGGAGGTTGGGGTGAGCTGAGATGGTGCCACTGCACTCCAGCCTGGGCAACAGAGCGAGACTCCGTCTAAAAAAAGAAAAAAGAAAAAAAAAAAGACATACATGTTGCCAACAAGCATATGAAGAAAAGCTCAATATCACTGATCATTGAAGTTATGCAAATCAAAACCACAATGAGATACCATCTCACACCAGTCAGAATGGCTATTATTAAAAGGTTACTGGCAAGGTTGTGATGAAAAGGGAACCCTTATACACTGTTGGGAGTGTAAATTAGCTCAACCATTGTGGAAAGCACTGTGGCAATTCCTCAAATAGCTAAAAACAGAGCTACCATTTGGCCCAGCAATCCCATTATGGTATATACCCAAATGAATATAAATTGTTCTACCAAAAAGACACATGCACGTATGTTCGCTGCAGCACTATTTACAATAGCAAAGACATGGAATCAGCCTAAATGGCCATCAATGACAGACTGAATAAAGAACGTGTGCTTCTTATACACCATGGAATACTATGCAGCCATAAAAAAGAATAAGATCGTGTCTTTGCAGGAACATAGATGGTGCTAGAGGCCATAATCCTTAGCAAACTAATGCTGGAACAGAAAACCAAATACCACATGTTCTCGCTTATAGGTGGGTGCTAAATGATGAGAACACACAAACACAAAGAGGGGAACAACAGACACTGGGACCAACTTGAGGGTGGAGGGTAGGAGGATGAAGAGCATCAGAAAAAATAACTATTGAGTAGTAGGCTTAATATGTGGGTGATGTAATAATCTGTACAACAAATCCCCATGACATGGTTTTACCTATATAACAAACCTGCACATGTACCCTGAACCTAAAATAAGTTTAAAATAAGCAAATAAATAAATAATAAAAATAAAAAATAGGCAAAAGACCTGAATAGACATTTCTCAAAGTAGAGATACAAATGCCAACAGGTATATGAAAAAATGTTCAACATCACTAATCACCAGGGAAATGAAAATCAGTGCCACAATAAGATATCTCACCCCAGTTAGAATGATTATTATCAAAAAGACAAAAATTAACAAATGCTGGTGGGGATATGGAGAAAAGGGAATACTTGGAATACTTGCACATTGTTGGAAGAAATGTAAAATAGTGCAGCCAAAATGAAAAACGATATGGAGTTTCCTCATAAAACTAAACATAGAACTAACGTATGATCCTGGAATTCCACTGCTGGATATGTATCTATAAGAAAGGAAATAGGTACATCAAAGGGCTACCTGTTTACTGCAGCACTATTCAAAATATGAAATGTTTATCAATGGACCAACAAATAATGGAATATTATTCAGCCACAAAAAAGATTAAAATCTTGTCATTTGCAGTAACAAGGATGGAAGTGGAGATGATTATGCTAAGTGAAATAAGCCAGACACAGGAAGACAAACATCACATGTTGTCACTCATATGTAGGAGCTAAAAATGTAGATCTCATGGACCTTGAGAGTAGAATGGTGACTACCAGAGGCTAGGAAGGAAAGTAAGGTGGAATAAAGAGAAGTTAGTTAATGGGTACAAAAGTACAGTTAGATAGAAGGAATACGTTCTAGCATTCGATAACATGGTAGGGAAATTACAGTTAACAATAATTTATTATATTATTTCAAATTCACTAGAAGAAAAGGATTATGTTTCCTAAATAAAGAAAAGATAAATGTTTGAGGAGATGGATATCTCAATTACCCTGATGTAATAATTGGACAATGTATCAAAATATGACATGTACCTTCAAAATATGTATAATTATGACATATCAATTTTAAAAATATAAAAAAATAGACTTTCCTGGGGCTTACAGCTTAGTAGGACAGACATATTTGATCACATCCATGCACACACACACACACACACACACACACACATACACACATATATAACTTTCAACTCAGAGGAGTAAAGGAAATCACTCATCAGCCTGGAGTCAGGAGTGACTTCCCTAGAGTTCAGATTGGAAGGTTGACTAAGAGTTAATAACTGCTTTGGCAATCTGAGCCACATCACTCCCCATTTACAAGTTAATACTCCTTTCTGTGCAGAACACAGTCAGGGTGTTTCTCTCTTCAATTGTTTCTTAACATTTACCAATATAAATGATAACTGTGTGCCCAAGGTCAAGTCTGGCAAAGCAGCAGAAGTGAGGCTGGGAAGGGTGGAGGCTCTGGAGCTTAGTTTACGGAATCAATAAAAAATCATTATGAGATTAAGTTGTGGTTTTCATAGAGACAAAATAACCATGTTGGAATTCATATTTTGTGCGGCACAGGCTCAGGCCAGCTATTCTCCACAAATGACCCAGAATAGGAGTCTGAAATACATAATACCCTCCTGAGATCATGGTAGACATTATTACTGGCCCTGTTTTCTGCTGAGCCAGCCTGGCTCAGAATCTTTCTAAGGAATGTCTTCTAGGTGTCCTCCACCAATTGGCTACAATCAACATGAGAAGAGTTCCATTTGCCAATGTGAGCATAGGTAGTGTATATGCTGATAGTCGTATTTATTAATAAATTCAGTAATGGTTACTGGTGAAGTTATGTAGTCACCATCAGTGAGCAAAGGAGCTGTGACATCTTACAGCTGTAACTTTCAAACCTTAAAGCAAAGTTCAATACCTTCTTTCGCTAATAGAATTTTGAAAAACTGGCATTGAATTGTAACCGCAGTCTATAAACCATATAACAAAAGAATTAATGTGCTTGCAGCTGGAAGTAGATCCCCCCCATCTTGGTCCTAATGTTTTTATGTTTTTCACCCATACAGAAAATCCCGAGGCATCCATGGAATCCTAACCACTATTGACACATTCAGAAAACCACTGTCCCAGATGATTGTCCTGACATGGTTTTTGACTATAGTTCATAGTTTGGGGGCTCATGAATTATAAGATTCAAGTTCAATTGGCACCCATTGGCCAGGGTCTTCTAAGACTACGAGAATGGCACTGGTCTAAAATGTCTTAATATCTCACATCTTGGTGGATAAAACCACTTGTTCACAATTCAACTGAGATTTAAAACATTTTTGCATCACGGACACTGATATGGTTTGGCTGTGTCTCCACCCAAATCTCATCTTGAATTGTAATTCCCGTAATCCCCATGTGTGATAGGAGGGACCCAGTGGGAGGTAATTGAATCATGGGGGTGGTTCCCCCATGCTATTCTTGTGATAGTAATTTCTCATGAGATGTGATGGTTTTATAAGGGGCTTCCCCCTTGGCTCGGCTCTCATTATTCTTTCTCCTCATACCTTGTGAAGAAGGACATGTGTTCTTCCTCTTCTATCTCCCCAGCCCTGTGGACTTCCCCAGCCCTGTGGAACTACTAGTCAATCAAACCTCTTTCCTTTAAAAAATACCCAGTCTCATACACATCCTTATAGCAGTTTGAGAACAGACTGAAACAGTAAATTGGTACCACAGAGAGTGGGGTGCTGCTATAAGGATACCCGAAAATGTGAAAGCTACTTTGGAACTGGGTAACAGGCAGAGGTTGGAATGGTTTGGAGGACTCAGAAGAAGACAGGAAAATGTGGGAAAGTTTGAAACTTTGAACTTGAGAGAGATAATTTAGAATATCTGGAGGAAGAAATTTCTAAGTGGCAAAGTGTTCAAGAGGAAACAGAGCATAAAAGTTTGAAAAATATGTAGCCTGATGATGCAATAGAAAAGCAAAACCCATTTTCTGGGGAGAAATTCAAGCCCTCTGCAGAAATTTGCATGAGTAACCAGGAGTTGAATGTTAATTACCAAGACAAGGGGGAAAATGTCTCCAGGGCATGTCAGAGACCTTTGCAGCAGCCCCTCTCATCACAGACCCAGAAGCCTAGGAGGAAAACATTGTTTCATGGGCCAGGGCCCAGGGCCCCCCTTGCTGTGTGCAGTCTAGAGACTTGGTGTCCTGTATGCCAGCCACTCCAGATGTGGCTAAAAGGGGCCAAGGTACAGCTCAGGCCATAGCTTCAGAGGGTGCAAGCCCTAAGCCTTGGCAGCTTCCACATGGCATTGAGCCTGTGGGTGCACAGAAGTCAGGAATTGAGGTTTGGGAACCTCCACGCAGATTTCAGGGGATGTATGGAAGTGCCTGGATGTCCAGGAAGAAGTTTGCTGCAGGAGTGGAGCTCTCATGGAAAACTTCTGTTAGGGCAGTACAGATGGCAAATGTGGGATTGAAGCCCCCACACAGAGTCCCCACTGGGGCACTGTCTTTAGTGGAGCTGTGAGAAGAGGGGCACCATCCTCTGGACCCCAGAATGGTAGATCCACCTACAGCTTATACCCGTGTGCCTGGAAAAGCTGCAGGAACCCAACAGCAGCCTGTGAAACAGCCTGAAGGGGGGCTGTACCCTGGAAAACCACAGGGTTGGAGCTGCCAAAGGCCATGGGAGCCCACCTCTTGCATCAGCGTGACCTGGATGTGAGACATGGAGTCAAAGGAGATTATTTTGGAGCTTTAAGATTTAATAAATGCCTTTTTGGATTTTGGGCTTGCATGGGGCCTTTAGCCCCTTTGTTTTGGCCAATTTCCCCTATTTGGACTGGGAGTATTTACCTAATGCCGTACCTCCATTATGTCTAGGAAGTAACTAACTTGTTTTTGATTTTACAGTTTCATAGGCTGAAGGAACTTGCCTTGTGTCAGATGAAACTTTGGACTTGGACTTTTGGGTTAATGCTGGAATGAACTAAGACTTTGAGGGATGTTGGAAAGGCATGACTGTGTTTTGAAATGTGTGGACACAAGAGTTGAGAGGGGCTAGGGCTGGAATGATATGGTTTGACTGTACCAAATCTCACCTTGAATTGTAGTTCCCATAATCCCCATGTGTGGTGGGAGGGACCCAGCAGGAGGTAATTGAATCATGGGGGTGGTTTCCCCCATGCTATTCTCATGGTAGTGAGTAAGTTCTCATGAGATCTGATGGTTTTTTAATGGGCTTCCCCCTTGGCTTGGCTCTCATTCTTCTCTCTCCTCCCATGTTGTGAAGAAAGATGTGTGTGCTTCCCCTTCTGCCATGATTATAAGTTTCCTGAGGCCCTCTCAGCCCTGCAGAACTGTGAGTCAATTAAATCTCTTTCCTTTATAAATTACCCAGTCTGCAGTATGCCCTTATAGCAACATGAGAACGAACAAATATAGACACCCTTTAAAATCTAATGAAATCTACTGCACTTCTTCTTTTAAAAAATACTCAAGGAAATATGGACACATTATTTGACATACAATTCCAAGGACTTTAAGGATCTTCAGAAGCTCTTGATTTAATGCTAGAGGCAGCCTGGAAGATGGAGCTCCTGGATGTTTATAGTTAAGGAAAGAAATGAGCTGACCCTGGACAGAAACATGGGTATTGGGCAGGAACATGCGTTTTCCATACAGTAGTATTGAAAATTTCTTTTCTTTTAAAAGACCAGTGCTTATTAGAGAAGGCCCTGGTGTAATGTTCACATCCAAAATATAAATAAATGGTAATTTGCCTTCATCATTGTTCTCTCTCTTCTCTGTCAGCCGTTCCCATCTGCACCTATAGGAAATTGGGTGTTAGATCCAAAGGCAGTGGTGGATCAGCAAGGACATGACCCTACCCACCTGGGTTCACAAAGGCTGTCCTGGGCTGCTCTGCGAGGTAGGCTTTGTCCCAATGAGATAGCATCCTCTAAGCATGAGGCAACTTGCACAATTTCCTCATAAGGATTTTGAACACTTTTCTATGGTTTTATCCATCAAGAAGAGCTCTAGTAATGCAACCTGTTAGAAAGATCATAAGTTTTGAAATAAATCAGAATTGAAAAGCTGTGCTTTGGAGCTGTGATTCATTTCGATGGGGAGAAGTCATACCCCTGTTCTGGGGCCCAGAGTGTAGCCACGAACTGCTCCAACTTGCACAATGCTAGTGTTATGCAAGGTGCCTGTAGTTGAATTAGGTGCTGCAGATTGGGGTTTGGTGAATAGATTTTGGCGCAAGATCAAGTAACTGGCTCTTGGGTGCTGCTGGTGAAGGGTACACAGGTATATTTTACAGATGACAGGAGGCTGGATTAGGCACTCCAGGCTAAGCTTGGTGAGTAGAATTAAGGGCAAGATCAAGAAATCCCTAATTGGCTAGGAGTGGTGGAAAGAGGGAGGTCATTGTTCATGAATAACCAATAATGGGAATAAAATTGTTCCTTTGCTGGATAAACAGGCCCCTCTGGAGAAACTTAGAGATAAATGGCATGGCAGATAGACAGGAAATAAGTTCCTAAAACATGAAACCATGGTCAAATATTGGTGAAACCACACGAGCAGTGAGGCAGGGCTGAGACATGATCAAGAACAATAGTTGGTATTTCTTGTTGGTGGTCAAGCTGTCTCAGCATGGCCTGCTTCAGTATCAGAGTTCATTGTTTAACCAAGTGGCTCAGCATTTCCCAGGCAGCTTCTTGGCCATCTCAGCATTTGATGTTAAGTGGGCCACTTCTTGGGGACTTGAGGTTTTCCACTGACACCTCAACACTTGAGAGACTTCTGCAAATTTACATGAGGGAAGATCAGAGCACCCTAGAGAAAGAAAAACTCTTGGACATAGACTTAAGAGTTTGAACAACACACAGGCCGAGAGCGTCAACTAGAAACTACTGGAACTTCCTCTAAAGCGAGCTAGAAGTCTTTAGGTATTGTAGGTAGTGAGAGGAGGGGAAGAACATAAGTTTGAAATGGAAAGACTGAAGAATAAAAATTTATAATTATAAGAGTTAGGGAATAAGTTGCTTATATGCAATTCTTCAAATTGTGATATAAAATGCATTTTGCAATAAAATAGTTAATATCTATTCTTAACATTTTAGTAAAATCACATTTGTATCAAGAAAGCTTAATTTAGTTGAAAAGAAGTAACTCTCTGTGTCAGTTTTGAAAAAGTCTAATTGGAGCAAAAGACACGTAGGCACCACCATCCACTGGGTGGTAATATGTCTTAATTGAGAAAGTAAACCTGGGAATGGTGTTTCTCAACTGGAGATATACATACATGACCCTTTTTGTCAAAGTAATATCTCCTGTCCCCACAGCTGGCTATGTAAATTGTTGACTATAAAAGAAAAATGCTAGGCTCCTTATTCAAAATGCAGGAAAAAAGCATTTTCCTTTTTTCTGTTGTCTCTATTGACCCATTATGGCATTCTTTGTTATTTAACATCAAACTTCTGTACCCTTGCTGGCATCCAAGGGTCACATACCATGACTTTGTGTGTGGGCTGGACTCTATTGCTTCCTAGACCTGTGCTCTGACCCCACCTGGGGAAAGGGTAACAGCGTCACTGGGCAGGGGCTGTGCAGGCAGCTGCAGCCCCTACCGGGAAGGTAGTGAAATGGTGAGAAGCAGGTGATTCTGAGCAGAGGCTCCAAACCCCTGCTCATACTCTATCATCCCATCAGACTTCACTTACAAAACACAAATTCAAAGGTAAAAATAAGAACACCAAGACTGCAGAGTACTGAGCCTCAAGTGCAGGACGGGGAGGGAAAGGAGCCCTTCTGAGAACTCCTAATCAAACCCTCATTAAACTGGCCCTGCTCCCATGCCATCAAAAATTCTGATATATTCTCCTTAGTTATGACAAAGTCACTTTGTCAGAAACTAGTGTGTTCTTCAATGTGTTGGCTATCAAAATCATCTCCAGAACTTTACACATAAATTCCTGGGTCACACTAAAGAGATTTCTGTTGGATTACAGAAATCCAACAGGAATGTTGGAAGAAATTATTCCTTCATCCCTTCACATATATATTGGGCATTTACCAGGTTCTAGGCCCTAGGGTAAGCTTTATGTACAGAATGAAGACAATAACAGTCAACATCTCTGTCTTTGTGGACCACACAGTCCACTGAGGAAGACTGTCCTAAAAGAAATGAACAAACAAACAAAAATCTAACCACATATTGTGGAAAGAGCGATGAAGAAAATACACCAAAGGTAACTGGGAAAGGTTTAGCCTGGAGTAGAGGATGGATGATATTTAAAGCCTACGGTGAGAGTCACCTCAGAGTATTTGTAAGAACCTTCTCAAATAATCCTGACTATTTGCCAGGTTTAGAGTTTTAACTAAAAGTCTGACTGCCAACTGTCTTCACCACGCAAGAGGAATTTGGCAAATCCACCCTCTCTAGTTCATATTATGAAAGCAATATGAAATCACCAAATCCTATTATAATAATGAATATGCTTTTCATATTATAAGTGCTCTGTAGAGATTTTTCCATCCCACCTCTTGGTTGTGAATCTGCAAATCTATTAATCTTCCAAATACAGTGATGACATGTTTCACAGGCGCCGAGAAGGTATATTATGGGCCAAGGCAAAGTTGTAGCATATGACAGAAGTGTGCCCTAAAAAACCACATCTCTTAATTCCCAGTCTGTGAGAGACCACAGATGTCATCACATGTCCCTAACACTTAATATTGAACATGAAGCTTCCTTGTTTCCTTCATAGAATCACTTGTATCTGTCACAGTATAATTAATGGTGGCTGTGGCAAATGGGTCAGTGTGAGGGTAGGGATCTTTTTGTTTTTAACACAGAAAAGCTGTAGGAGACACTATAGTTCCTCAAAATGCCTAACAAACCTTAAATGCATATCTCAATTGATCTTTTCTTCTGTTTTATGACTTTTCTCATTACAGTGCCACAACTGAACTAGGACATGAGTAATCAGGCCTGAAAGCCTTCACTCATGAAAGTTGGGGATGGTAGGCTTGTCCTTCCACATTTCAGGACATCCAGTAATAGAGAATGATGGAAAGGTGATGTCCAAGCAGAACTTTCTGAACCAATGAAAAATGTGGCTCATTTGGAAATCTCCGATAGGATACATTAAAAAAAAAATCATCACCTAGATACACTGTGTTGGAGCATTGGAGTAAAACAACAAAACTTAATTAGACCAAAAGAAAGAACAAAGAAAACTATTGCAAAATCAGGAGATGTAGCACAAAACAAAATTGTAGAAATAAATTTAGATCTATTAGTAATAGTAATTACTATAAATTTAATAGACTTGACAGTTAAAAGTTATAGATTGTCAAGGAGAATGAAAGAAACATCTAAATTATGAGTACACAGAAAGGTCAAAAGTAAAGGGGAAAAGATATACTACACCCCAATTCACTAACATCATGGTGGAGAGATAGGCCAGTCAAAATAGTCTTCAAGGCAAAACGTCACTAAGCATAAAGAGTATTGCTATATGATGATAAACATTTAATTGCAACCTGTAAACTTTTTAGCATAGCCTCAAAATGTATAAGGCCATAATGGACAAATCTACAATAACAGTGTAAGAATTTACAAACTTCTCTGAGTAACTGATGAATCAAGCAGCAAAACATTTTTTATGAGTGTATTAAAAGTTTAGATAACATCATTAGCAAGCTTGAGATGAAAGAAAAATGACCCCCAATGAAAGAATAAACCGTATTCTCAATTATACAAGGAGCAGTTTTCAAAATCAACCTTACCCAATAAACCATATTCTCAATTATACAAGGAAGAGTTGTCAAAATCAACCGTATCTACAATTTTGTAGAATTTTTATCATCTAGACCATTTTTCCATGTTAGAAATCAATAATAAGTAGTTGTATAGGAAAAATTTATATCTTTGAAAATTAATTTTAGAAAGCATTTCTAAATAACTCATAGCCAAAGGTGAATAATAACAAATACATGCCCAAATTGCAAGATACAATTGAAGCATGCTTTCTGGTGAATTTACAGCTCTAAATGCTTATACTAGAAAAGGAGAAAGCTGAAAATAAATGAGCTAAGCAACTTAAGAAGTTAGAAGAACAACAAAATAAACACAGAGAAAGCAGAAGGAAGGAAACTATAAAGATAAGGGGAAATTAATTAAATGAAAAACAAATATACAGTAGAGAGAATCAACTAAGGCAAAAGTTCATTTTTTGAAAAAACTAATAAAATAGACATTTTTGGGCTCAGAAAATATGAAACAACACAAATAAACAATATTAGCAATGAAAAAGAAGACAGCTATAGATACTATTGACTAAAAAGATAAAACTATGAAATTAACTTTTGACAAACACAAAAACTTGGATAAAGTGAGAATTTCTTAGAAAAGCTACAGCTTAAGAGGGAATTCAAGACAAAATAAAATGCATGAGTCTTCTTCTCATTATATAAGTTTAATTAAGATTGGAAATGTACTCACACAAAAGCCAGTTCCACATGATTTCAGAGGTAATTTAAATCAAAGAGTCAAAAAACATGATTTCATTTTTACCCTAATTTTTCCTGGAGAATCAAAAAGTCAGACATCTTCTAATGGTTTTATGTGAAACTAGTATAACCTTGCTACCTAAATTGGATAAGGAAAATATTAGAAATGAAAATTACGGGCTAATCTCACTTATGATCATAGATGTCAAATGCTAAATAAAATATTATCAAAAAAATAAAAAATTAGATCAAGTTTAAACTGGGTTTTCCCAGGAATAAGAGGATTATTGAAAATAAAATTATCAAAAGAATAAAAGAGGAATTAGTTTAATTCTTCAAATAAGAGATGAAGGATCGTCTCACAAGATGCAAAAATATTAAAATATTAAACACTTCCTTATGATAAACAATGTAAAAGATCTCTAAATGCACTGGTAGTGGAAAGCATCCTAGTTTGGTTTCCCCTAATAGGAGACACTAAGGCAGAGAAGCCAGTGCCTCCAGTATTTGGGAGATGATTCAAGAAACATGGATGAATCTCACAGATACAGGTTCAATAAGACAAACTTTACAAATAGGCAAAACAGCACTATACATTGCTCAGGAAAATCTATGTACGTAGTGGTAGTATAAAGCAATGCAAAGGAATGATGCACACAAAATTCAGAATAGTACCTCGCTCTGGTGTGGGTGCATAGAAAATTTCTTTGAGGAAGAGCAAACGGGTTTGAATTCTATTAGTAAGGTTTACTTTCCTAAGCTAGGCAGTGATGTAAGTGTGCTCATGTGACCATTCTTTATGTTTTACTTAAAAAAGTAAACAAGACAGAAAAATATAGAAAAGATACATGTAAATATCAGGGATATAGAGAACACAACTATAAGTAAACAATAGAGTACTGGCCGGGCGCGGTGGCTCACGCCTGTAATCCCAGCACATTAGGAGGCTGAGGCGGGTGGATCACGAGGTCAGGAGATCGAGACCATCCTGGCTAACATGGTGAAACCCCGTCTGTACTAAAAATAAAAAAAAAAAAAAAAATTAGCCAGGCGTGGTAGCGGACGCCTGTAGTCCCAGCTACTCTGGAGGCTAAGGCAGGAGAATGGCGTGAACCCAGGAGGCGGAGCTTGCAGTGAGCTGAGATCGCGCCACTGCACTCCAGCCTGGGTGACAGAATGAGACTCTGTCTCAAATAAATAAATAAATAAATAAATAAATAAATAAATAAATAAAATAAAAAATTAAAAAAAATGGAGTACTATAACCAATACATTACTAAGATATGCAAAGCATTGATCAGAGTGATTTGGGAGAGAGAGAGAAAGGGAATGAGAAAGAGAGAGAGGATATGTTATTACATATAGAATAAATAACTACAAATGAAACGTGGAAATATAGTAAAAGTATTTATAAAGAAATGTGAACAAATTTGAAAAATTACAGAAATATAAATTGCCAAAATTGACACTAGAAGAAATAAAAAAACCTTGAGTACATTAATAACCATTAAAAAAATCAAAGTAGAAGAAAAATATCCCACTCCCAATTATAAGCCTCAGACCCAGAAAGTTTCTAGATGAGGTTTACCAAATTCCTTGACTTGTTACAGAAAATAGAAAAATAGCTGTTTGGCTTTTGAAATGTGGTTAGTAAAAACTGAATTTAAAACTGGATCAGAATAGTGCAGAAAAGGAAAATTACAGCAATCAATATTTAAGAATGTAGATGTAAAGCTGCTAACTATAATATTAAGTAACCAAAATGGACCTAACAGACAGATACAGAACATTCCATCCAACAGCAGCAGAATATACATTCTTCTCAAGTGCACATGGAGCATTCTACAGGATAGATCAGATGTTAGGCCACAGAATAAGTCCTAACAATTTTAAGAAGATTGAAATCATATCACGTACATTGTCTGGCCAGAATGGAATGAAGCTAGAAATCAGTAACAGGTGGAATTTTGAAAAATTCACAAATTCAGCAGGCCTTTCCTATCTGTGGGTTCCACATGGATTCAACCAACTGTGGATCAAAAATATACAGAGAAAAATATTTAAAGGTAATACAAATAAAAAATGCAGCATAACAAAGGTTTACATCGTGTTTACATCGAATTAGGTATTGTAAGTAATCTATAGATGATTTAAAGTATCTGAGAGGATGTGCAGAGGTTATATGCAACTACCATGCCATTTTGTATCAGGGTCTTGAGCTTCTGTAAATTTCAGTTTCCATTGGGGTCTTGCAACCAATCCCCGATAGATACTGAGGCACTTCTGTAGGTGGAAATTAAACAGCATGTTCCTGAACAACCAATGGGAAAGAAGAAATTCAAAAGAAAATTAGGCTGGGTGCGGTGGCTCATGCCTGTAATCCCCGAACTTTGGGAGCCTGAGGCAGGTGGATCACCTGAGGTCAGGAGTTCGAGACCAGACTGGCCAACATGGTGAAACCCTGTCTGTACTAAAAATACAAAATTAGTCGGGTGTGATAGTGCATGCCTGTAATCCCAGCTACTTGGGAGGCTGAGGCAGGAGACTCGCTTGAACCTGGGAGGCAGAGGTTGCAGTGAGTTGACTCCAGCCTGGACAACAAGAGCGAAACTCTGTCTCAAAAAAAAAAAAAAAAAAAAAAAAGGAAAATTAAAAAATATCTTGAGACAAATGAAAATGAAAACACAACATGCCAAAACTTATGGGATGCAGAAAAGCAGTTCTAAGAGGGAAGTTTTTAGCAATAAACACCTATACCAAAAAAGAAGAAAGATCTCTAACAACTTAAAGTAGTATCTCAAGGAAGAAGAAAAGGAAGTGCAAATTAACCCCAAAGTCAGTACAAGGAAGGAAACAATAGTAGAGCAGAAATAAGTGAAACAGAGACTAGAAAAACAATAGAAAAGATCAATGAAACTGAGTTGTTTTTGAAAATATAAAATTGACAAACCTTTAGCCATATTAAGAAAAAAAGAAAATGCAAATAAATAAAATCAGAAATGTAAAGGGAGACATTACAACCGATACCACAGAAATATAAAGGATCATAAGAGGCTATTATGAACAATTATACATCTGCAAATTGGATAACCTAGAAGAAATAAATTCCTAGACACATACAACCTACAAAAATATACTCAAATCATGATGCAGAATGACAAAGTGACTCATCAAATGATATTGCCTATGTGATTAGTATGATGGACTAAATCTCAAATATAAAACTTCAGAGTGGACTAGAATGATACACATCAGACTCATGAAAGGGGATACTTTCCGTCAGGGGAGACTGGGAGGCAGGATTCCAAGTGTGGTCAAAGTAGACTGTAATTTTGTCTAAAATTCTTCAACATTCTTTCTCTTTGTCTTTTACCCCTACCCACTTCCCTTTCTTCTTCCCTCTTCCTTTCCCTCACTGCTTTCTTCTTTCTTCTTTCTTCTTTTCTTTCTTCATCCCCCTCAACTTCTCCTTCACTCTCTCCCTTCATTTTTCTTTCCCTTCCTTTCTTCTGATATAGACTTATGTTATGCATATAATATTCCAAAAGTATACACATAAAACATTCCTGCAGTAAATGTAACAGTACCAATAAATACCTTCCAACTCTTACATGTTATTTTTTAAGATAAAAAATTAAATGAAGCCTAAATTTTGAAATAAGCCCACATTCTTGGTGAACTACTTTATTCTAATTTCAAGAATTAGTCTAAATTTAGGCATCACTGCTAATTTAAAAAGTGTTTTATTGTGATTATCTATAATTTTCAGTCATCTCATAGAAGCACTGACTTACTTAGCATGGTATTCAGTCATTGTAAAAGAAAGACAAACCAGACAAGAAAATATGTAGTTTCATGTGGAAAGTTTCACTTCTTTTAAATACCAGAAATGAGTTCACATTCTCATGGTTGAAAGGAATGAATCCAGAATCCTTAAAAGGACTCTTTAACTTGCTTTGAAATAATGTGTATACATCAGTTCTCTCATAAGAATTAATTTCCCCAGAACTGACAACCTTTCCCACAGTCATGGACAACCTTGCTTATATTCAATGCCTGGAAGATTTCCTCATGGCCTGGATCAGAGTGAGAAACATTTCCACCAGGATGGTATCTTGAAGAAACAGTGACAACACCATTGTCTTTGGAAGAGAGACAGCAGCTCTCATGTGTAGTATTGCCTATCATTGAAAAGTATATTCCTGATGTGATGCAATTTGACAAGCGGTCAACATTAAAACTGGCTTTACTTTTCCTAAGAAACACAAAATGCCCATCTGACTCTGATTTCTAGAGTGGCTTGGCACTGTTCATTCAGTGATCATTGGAAAAAAAAATTGAGTTCATTTGGATAATTACTTTCTTGTGGTACCACTGCCACCAGAGGAAAAGTACTGATGAGATTCTAAATGTTTTAGAGGCCTTGCAAACCAGAGATGGACATAAAATAGATACGGTTGTGTAATAGCTTAATTAATGCATGGAGCTCAGACTTTTGACCTAGAAGACAATCTGCACTGAGTTTCTGGCTGTGCCAGAACACAGATAATTATAAGCTCTCCCAAGGTGGTTGTTGATGAGACGATTAATGAAATGATGGCTGTAAAGTGCTAATTGTTATTATGAGGTGTTACTTGGATCAATAAGTTAATCGTACTGTGTCAGTCTTGCTGTTGTTTCTCTTCCCATTTTGCTATTGTCTATTCTTTTCATTTGGAACTTATAGCATTTTACCTTGTATAATTTCTTACCTGTATTATAAACATGGCTCTATTATTAACTTTCCCTCTCTCAAATCCTTTGGAGAATATGGAATATAAACACTTTATATTTATTAATAGCTAAATTTTTCTAAATCTTAGATCCTTTGTGAGCAAGATTAGTATAAGCAGATTAAACTAAGTAATTCAATTTATCATGAATCTATGTGCCACTTTGTCAAACAGATGTAGAATTTTTGAAATAAATTCTTATCTTTTGTGTCTTATCATTTTTCATAGTACACATAGTAATGTCGATACATTGTAAATTCTGACATTCAGCAACCAGAGACAAATTCTATTTAATTTCTTTAATAATAAAACATATTGGCCTCAAATCTGTTTCTTGTTTCATAAAATAATGTATGTATATTTATAAATGTTTCTACCCGGCATTACTTAACTTTCTTTTTCTTCTAGGATTTTAACTTGTATTTTTATCTCTGACAAAGTCTTTTATTATTTTGAACTCAGGCTTTAAGACACTATACACAGACACACACACACACATCATTTATAGAACATATATACTGCAGGTAAAAAGTACACAAAAATTAAAGATTATAGTTATGTTTTACTATAGCCCTGCATTGGAATTAGGAAAGCAATGTCAAAAATCCAAATGATGTTTTTTATTGCTCAGTTTAAGTGGTATTGTTGGAACACTTAACTGTATAAATATGTGGTTGATACTACCGCAAATATGTCAGTTCTAATATAGATATTGTTTTCATGCACTTGAATAATGTTCTTTATCTGGCTTCATTTCACTCTGTATTGGTGGAAGATGAATTCTGAAGAACCTCTGGGTCAAATATATAAATCTGTTTTAGTTTAAAAGAGTAAAAATGTAACTTGTATATAAACCAGTTTAATAGATAAAAAGTGTAGTTTTATATTGAGTATGGGCTTAGAAATCTTCTATGTGCTTATATTTTTAAGCCAAGTGTGAATCATTAGGATTTGCCAAGATCGAAAATGTAGAGTTGTGTAAGGCCCTGGACATTTGGACAGTTTTCTCTCCCCATATGAGTCATGCTAGGTCACATGTCCAAGTTTGAAATGACTTTGAATTACTGATTTTTTCCCACTCTTTTTCAGACTTTGGTTTAGTCCAAACTGGCTTGAAACCAAACTCAGTGAAGTTGAAAAATAGGCTTAAAAATAAACCCTTCAGAGACAAAAAATATTTTCCACCTTCAATAATTTTTTAAGCATCTGGAATTTCAAGTTTGAGCTGTGACTTTTTTTGAAATTTGAATTTTGGATTTGGATTCCCTAATTTTGACATGAACTTCTGAATATGTTCTTCACTAAAAAAAAATTTAAACCTATACCAAATGTCAACAAATTTCCAATAGAAAAAATGACTTAAATTTTCCATTATAAAAAAATGCATCCTGGCTGGGTGAGATGGCTCATACCTGTAATCCCAGCACTTTGAGAGGTTGAGAAGGGCTGATCACTTGAGGCCCGGAGTTCGAGACCAGCCTGGCTAACATGGCGAAACCTCCTCTCTACTAAAAATACAAAATTTAGCTGGGCATGGTGGTGGGTGCCTGTAATCCCAGCTACTTAGGAGGCCGAGGTAGGAGAATTGCTTGAATCCGGGAGGTGGAGGTGGCAGTGAGCCGAGATCGGGCCACTGTACTCCAGCCTGGGTGACAGAGTGAGACTGTCTAAAAAAAATAATAATAAAATGCATTGTAAGAGAGTTTGAGAGGAAAGAAAACATTACCCTATCAATGTTAGGGTAAGAAAAAAAGACATGACATGTGATTTCAATGTACGTTTAAAGTGTATATGAAGAATTGTCATTTTGATGAATGATATACCTTAATGGCAAGACCTCTTGTTGCAAAGTCAAAAATCAAGTAGTGGCAATGGATGCATCATTGAATATTGCCTAAATTATAAAGGCTATTAGTACTATAACGCATAATACAATTTGCTGGAAACAATTTAAAAAATATATTGTTTAAGAGAAAGCAGGGTATTGTAGTTACACTATTGACAATGTTATTTCTTATAAGATTGTTTTTATTTTTAAAATTATTTAAAATTTTTTTAATACATCAATAACAGAGGCTCTTCATTAAAAATTAAAAAATTCAGAATGAAATAATAAGAATTCCAATTCTGTTACCTCTCTTCCTGTTTTCTAGGGGAGGCTTTGTTAACATTTTGGCATGTGTCTCATGGTTTTTGAATCCAATAACACAAAATATAAAAAGATGTGAAAATATGATCTTTCTCTCATGGACTAGGAGAAATGAGAATAACTCGTTTCTCATGTCAGAATAACTAGTTCTTTTCTGACTGGCCTAGTTGTATTTCTGTTTGTATGAAATTTGTTAAAATGATTTGGAGACAGTTTCCCTAAACAGTTTTGCCTTCCACTTTATTCCACTAAGTTTTGCAGTTTTCTCTAGCATAGAGAGGCAGTTCTGAAATAATTTTTTTGGATGATGTATATCATAGACACATTTGGAAAGAGAGTTTTCTTTTTACTGATGCAAGCTTTACTATACTTACAATTTCCACCTGAAGAACTTAGTAAATTGACATATGGACCAAAAAGTTTTTATTGGCATGTTTGTGATTCCAAAATGGATCAAATGGTAAGTGTAAATGTACAGTGTTATTTATCTCTAGAGAAAGAAATTTGAGCTTCCTAGAAATGAGTGAATATGACTTAATTGAACTAATTGTTGGACAAAAGTCAGTATGAAATTTCAAGGGAAAGTAGTAATGACTCTTCTTGCTGTCAAATTTATGGGTAGATAGGCAGAACCTAGCACTTGCCTCTGGAAAACACATTTCAGAGCTCTTCTGAAGGGGTTCCACACCTCAGAAAATGCTGCTTATTTCCATAGTAAGCTGCTTCACTCTAGTAGATTTTGAGTTTCTAGCTGTCACTAATTAGACACATTTTTCCTATGTAACACTGCCTGTCCCCAAGTAATCCACAAATAACATTATCTGTAACTTCCTTGGCCAAGATAAGACATGCTATCAGTTATTAAGGTCTTTTGTGGCTGGTGGTCCCTAGCATTTTCTTCTCCGACTTCTTGCTTGCTCTGTGAATCTTGTCTCTGCCTCAGTACTTAGCCCTACTTTTTCTATTGTTTCAGATTTTCTTATTCCTGGCTCTCCTACTTTTGCCCAATACTCTTATCTTGTTCTTCAGTATCTCTTTTCTTTTGACTCCAATTACTTTTAATATTTGCTTTGACCTGTATCTATGTGTTCCTCAATTAGACACCATTACATTAGTGTTTATTGCTTGGATTGAGCTAGTTTCACACTGTGCCTCTGTGCTTTGTTTTGCTATGACTATCTTGGTCCTCTATTTCTGTCTTTATTCTTGCTGACAGCCAGTAATAATACTTTCATCTATAATCTATGCTCTGTGTCCCCATAGGCACACACATACACATATCTGAATTATTTAACTTATGTAAACATATATATATATAGTGTATAAATTCATAAATATTTGACCACAAATTCATAATACAATCATTCTTTTCTTTTTCTTTTTATTTGGCTCCCTTTCCCCTCTTCCCTTTCTGACTACCAAACCTTTTGCCTCCCAACTGTGGGGTAGCCATATTGGCAATCTAGTTCATATACTACCATATTTTTAACTGTGCTTAAAAATCATATGCACACATACATCTAGAATATACACTTGTACATACAGAACACAGAAAATAATCTCTATGTACACACACACCACACACAGAAATACACACTCAAATGTATACGTACACACATATATGAGGGGAGATATTTAACATCCTTTTTTGTCTTATTTTTCCCATTTAACATTACCTCATAAAAATTCTTCCAAATCTAATAATATGGCCCCAAATTTTCAACAATAGTTTCAAAATATTCTATATGGTAAACATACCATTATTTATGCATCCTCTCATTAATTAAACCTTCACTTTGTCCAGCTTTTATTTCTGACTTCCGTTTGGCCTCTTGGTCTTATGATTTATGTTACATATTTGATCTTTCTTTCTGACCTAACCCGAAGAAAGACTTTTCATCCTAAAAAGACACATTTATCATTGAAAAATATTTATAGGTATTTCACTTAGAACTGCTGAATAACAAATTACCCCCCAAACTCAGTGGCTTAAAATATTCATTTTATTTTGCTCCATATTTTGAGGGTGACAATTTAGGAGTTACTCATGAGGTTGCAATCAGATATTGGCTGAGGCTGCCAATATCTAAAGGCTTGACTTGGCTCAATGTTCAAGATAACTTACTCTCATGACTGGCGTTTGCTATTGGTGATGTTGACTGGAGTACCTATGGGTGAGTTCTCCAGCATGACAGGCTCAGCATAATTGGACATCTTTCATGGTGGTTGGCTTCCCCTAGGGTGAGAAGTCCAAGAATATCAGGCAGAAGTTGCATGATATTTTCTTACCTAGACTCAGAAGTTACATGGCATCACTTCTTTCATACTCTATTGGTTGAAATAGTCATAAATACACCCACATAGATCCTACCTCTGGATAGAAGGAATGTCAAAGTTTTGGATCCATTTTAAACAATCAATGTCTATGCTCTGGTCACAAATTATTTTTATTTCTCCTACATGCAAAATACAGTCATCCCCTCTCAAGATTCCCCTTCTCCTCTTTATCCCCCCAACCACCTATCATCCCATTTCAGCATCAGGCTTGGAGATTCAGAATCTTCTTAACTAAACCAATTCTAGGATGGAGTCTCTTCAGATATTGTTCCCTGGGTTCAGCTCTGTGAGTACCATTCTTCCTGATCTGAAGATCTGTGACGTAAGGAACACATTATCTACTCCCACACTCCCAGTAGAAATTGGTGGAATAGAAATTAGACAACTTAGAGATACTCTCATTTAAAAAGGGGGGAATGGAAATGATAATCGCCACTGATTTATAGTGTGTCTGGAATAAGCTGAGCACAAATTGCCAGTTTTAAATGAGGGATCAGCACTGTTGTCTGGGACTAATTGTCTGTAGATTTTGGTTTGCCCTCAGAATCTTGCTTCTATCTCTCTGATTCATCTTTCCTTTCCACAGGAAATGGCTGGTGTTGCAGCTGAGTCATTTTTTTAGTCTGCTTCCTGTTCAAGGGCATCCCTCCATTTTGTACTGTCTATGTTCATTTCAGTTCAAGCTTATACAATTCCTTTAGAAACTCTGTAAGCTTCTTGTGTACCAATTTAAAATCCACTCCATTAGATAAAATCCACATGCGCAGATCTCTCCCAGGCAAGTCCTTCTGTACCCCGGGCTCCCTATAAGGTGGTTATGAGACCACACTCTTAGTAGTCTTAGAAGCCTTATTTAACAGAAAGGCTCACCAGGCAATCCTTAAGATACTTATAAGGCTTTTTTGTTTGAAAATGTCTCAGAGGCACCATCTAAAATGATTCCAAAATTTTAAAAATTGCTGTCACAACATAGTCTTCGTATTGACCATGAGACCACATTTTTCCAGATTCAATATTTATCCTAAGACCTTTTCTTATGTTTAGAATCTTTTTCTGGGAGAGATTGGAAACAGTGCTGTATTCAAGTCCATTAAGCCTTGGCTGCTTTCTATTTTCTCCACATAATCTTGGAAACTGAACGTTTTCTTCTTTGGCTCATCTTGCTCTATCTATGCCTTATGAATATATGGCTAAAAGAAACCAATTGACTTTTTCATTCTGTCTAGCAGTCTCCTTAGCCAAATCCATCAGTTCCTGAGGCACATTTTCTATTTTCTGTTACTGCAGGCAACAGTTTATCTAAATTTTCCCACTACAGAACAAGAATCCCCTTTCCTCCAGCTTCTAGTAACATTTTTCTCAATTACCTTTAAGCTCTCACGGAGTATTTTCGAGGGCCATTAGACTTCTGACAGTAGTCTCCTTAATCCTTCCAGCTTTTTCTGAGCACCCAAGCTGAATGTTCAGCACTCAGTCTCAAAGTCAGTGCACATTTTTTGGGTTTTATTGTTGTTATTTTTGTTTTCAACAGTAACCCACTTCTAGGTAACTAATTCTGTTTTGATTACTATTGCTGTGTAACAAATTACTCTGAAACTTAGCAACTTAATCTTTGGTTTGCTCATAATTTTATGGGCTAGGAATTTGGAAAGAGCTTGGAGGGGCGATTCTTGCTTGAAATCTCTTCTGCAGTTGCAGGCAGATATCAGCTGGAGATACAGTAGTTTGGGGATGCAGTAGTTCAGTTGGGGATACAGTAGCTCAGTTAGGCTTGATGTACAAGATGCCTCCCTCATATTACTGGGAATTGATGTTGGCTCTTCAATAGGAGCTCACCTGCACTTTTACTGAATGCCTACACATGGCCTTTCCAGCCTGGTGGTTGCAGGATAGTTGGACTTATTTCATGGTGCTTGGCTTCTTCTAGAGAGTGTTCCAAGAGGACCAGACTGAAGCTGTATGACTGTTTCTGACTTAGCGTTGGAAACCCCATCACTTACGCTATACTCTATTGGCTAAAGCAATCATAAGTTTTTCTGGGTTCAAGGGGATAGGACATAGATCCCACCTTTTGATATGAGTGTCAAGAAATTTTTGACCCATACGTTACATTACCACACTAGGGTAAGCATATCAACAAATGGCCTTGATAATCTGTTTGTTCACTAATTTGAGAGTAGAGCAAACTACTCACTTGAACAACATCCTTCAGGCCATGTTGATTAAGTTATTCCTGCAGCTGGTCCAAATGTGGTATCTCTAGCAGTCCATCTTTTTTCTTTAACCACAGGACTGCTGAAAAAGCTGGCTGTAAAATATTAGACTCAGCATGTTGGCAAAAGAAAACAGGGCCCTCAACAAGGCATATCTAGTGACAAAAACAATTTTCAGAACTTTATCTTTCAATTTAGACATCTAGTTTACCCAATCTTCTCTCTTAGCTTATTAAATAACTGCAAGGGGCACACCTAGACTCTGCCAGTTTTTTTCTTTTCTTTCTTTCTTTTTTTTTTTTAAATACAGTTATGGTGGGGTTTCAGGCAGCTCCTGCAGGATAATGTCTTGGCTTGGCTAGTAAGTAACAGTTCTGTATGTGTTTTACAAAGATGAACAGCTAAATCAAAAGAATGCAGATGTAGGTTTTCCTTGTTGGGAAAATGACTGGAGTCTACTGTAAACAGGCATCCATGTAGCATATCAAAACTGTCATTACATCCAGAGGTGACACCTGAGAAGCTCACAGGGGAACTAGTGGCTTTCAACTTGAATGGGAAAAGCATTTGGAATCTTGGACCCACTTGACAGTGCTTTCTCATTATGGAGGTTGGCATCCCTGTTGCCTAGATTGGCATAGCAGCTTCACATACAAGGAAAGAATTGAAGAACAGCCAAAGTATTAAATTATTAAGTTAATGTAATATCAGATAGGTAATCAAAGTGCTAAGAATTATTTCACTTAAGACAAAGATAAAAAGAATCAGAATTCCCTCATTATTAATCCTCTCATGCTCTGTCTTTATCCAGGATGGTCTTGTCCTTTCTTGGTGGTCTAGTGACCTCTCTCTCCTCCACCCACTGGCTCTCCTCTCAAACATGTCCATTGCAATACTGGATCTTTAATTTTCCCCCAGATCGTTAAACTTTCTATAGAGTGCTCCTTTTGCCTTCTCAGCTTACCCAAAACATGAATTTGCTCTGATGGCACTCCCTTCCTCAAACCCAGCTGGAGGGAATGCTGTCCATTCTGCCTCTCCCCAAGTCCTGGGGTTAGAAGATTAAACCAGCTTTCTCCTAGCTTTCTTACTTGACCACTCTGTGATATTGGCACAAATCTTTAATTCCTCCTTCTGAAAACTCTCTGCTCTCTTGACTCCCAATATGTTATTCTCTATGGTTATAACCTTTCTTCATAGACTTTCTGTATTGGTTCCTTCCCTTTGCCCTGCCCTCTCAGGATTGGTATTCTCTTGGTGTTTTCTCTGTCTAGAATCATGTCCACAATCTCCAACTTTCTCCAAATCCTCATCCTCTGCTTCCCCAATATATTTATTCTTTTTCTGTAGTTCTTCTTTTAGTTAATGGTGTATTCATCTGGTTTACCACCAAACTGAAAACCTCAGGGTCAACTCTTATCCCAAGGTGTAGTCAGTGACCACATATGGTAGATGCTGCCTCTAAATTATTTCTCAACTCAATCTCTATTATTCAGTAACTGTCATTGTCTTAGTTCAGACATCATCTTCTCTAATCTGATCTTGGGAATCTCTTACTTGATTTCACTCCCTTTGGGCTGTTGCCCTACAAACCCATTCTCCATAGTGATCTTTCCGTTACACAACTGGAATCATGTTATTTTCTTTTCATCAAAGTCCCTTGTGGTTCTTTGTTTTCTGCAGGATTAAATTCATTAAACCAGCTCAGCTTTCCAGTTTCATGTCCTGCTTGTTCTTCCTAGCTTTATGGGGCAGCTTTCTACTTCTTTAAAACAGCATGTAATATGCTCTTTCATGTACAGACTGGATACACTCAGTATCTGGAATGTTTTCCTTCCTTGTTCTTTCTTCCTTTGAAAACCAACCCTTTTCAAGACATGGCTCAAATATTATGTCTGTGGTTGAGTTTCTTCTATTATAGCACCTAAGAAAGAAAATGGAATACACAATATTTACTGAGAGTTAGGTATTTTGCCAAGTGCTTAAAAGTTGTAATTTCATTTAATTTTCATAACAGCTCATGCAGTAATTATTTTTACCCTATTTTATAGATGAAGAAACTGGGCTTTAGAGAGGAGGGATAGCTTCTTGAGAATGTCCATTTACTGAGGGCAAGGATTGTGTCTGTTTAGCTCTATGCCCCCTCAGCACCTAATTCACTGGCTAGCAATAGTAAGCATTCAATAAATATTTATTGAAGGAAGACGAATGAAAGTCTATTCCATTAAAGCAGGAGCTACAAAGAGGTAAAAATCTGTAACAGAAATTCTCAAAATAGTGGGGGTTATTGTAACATGGGATAGAAAATTGGAGTAGAGTCAAAGGAGAGAAAATGGAGAAAATGTTTTTTTCAAAAAGGAAATGTAATACTTGATTGAACTCAAGACAGTAACATTTTGATGTCGATATTCATAGGAATACATGGACATAAAGATTAGGAAAGGGTTCCTCTCCTCATATAATATTTGTGGATTGTGCTAAATCGATAAATCTCAGAGATAATAATGTACCAAATGAAAAGTAGGTAAAATGAATACAATAGGTCACCCAACAATTTATATTTTCTAAGTTGACATCATTTCCCAGTGTGCTAAAAAAATCATATGATTTTGGTGTTTGCCTCTTCAGTCAATCTTACTACATTATGAATATTTCACAGTTCAGCTAAATTTCTAGAAGTTAAAAACTTAGAAGTAATTTCAAAGCTCTTTAAGGCTTTTATGTTTTTAAAATATGTATTAATGTTTACTTAACTAATATTTGAGATCTATATAATTTTTGCCTTGCATTAAATTATAATGTTAAAAAGTTTAGGTGGACCAACATTTAAAAAATTAAAATATGAAAGTATTAAAATGCAAGTGAGTATTTTTAAAAAAGAAATGCAAAATAAACATGAAACTTGAAGGCAACAGGTGATATTTGCCATGGAGGACAAATTTTATGTATTTTTTAATAAGGTACCTCTAAAATAGACCAAGAACTCCTGGAATTTTAGTGGGGGGTTTTGATAATGTTCTAGAAGCCTAAACACCTAGTTGTAAAGTGAACAAAGTGAGGCAAGAAGGTAAGTGGGATTAATTAAGGGTCATACATACAGTAAGATCAGAGCCAGTGACCATCACCCAACACATTTCTAAGTCTTTGATTTCTTTTTATTTTCACAGTTATTATAAACTAAAATGACTGCTTTATTATCAATGGAGGAACAAAGCAATCTGGTTGATGACATCAGTGCATTGGCAGCTTCTGTGGTTTGTTAAGGAAGGGGGGATTCACTTAGGTTGTCTTTCTGTCGCCTTCCCTGGGATGGGCCCCATGAGGATGAACACTGCAGAGTTAGAGGCATAAAATGTGATAAATACCTTGAAAATATGGTTTGAGCCTCTAACTTGAGGAGTTACAAGAAACATAACTTAGAAAGAGGCAATTAGGAAGGATGTGCTTATCTTAGGTTTTCCCAGATTAAATATAACCTTGCATTTTAGTATAAAACTGCCAGAGCTAGTAATACTTTGGTTTATTTTAGGGGGGAAGGGAGGGCGGATATTCAGACAAGTCAATTAAAAAAGAAATTCTTGCTTAAGAATTATCTTTATGGCTCACAACTGTAAACTGTTCTATATTCTCTATTTATTAAATAAAAATTATTATTCATGGACTCTTCACTCCTTTTCATGCTCTAGTCTTAAGTTTTACTCAGAAGTGTAGAAGGATCTGCTTTTACTCAGAAGGGTTTTGAAGACTTCCAGAACCAGGGTCCTTGCGTTTCTCCCACTAGTACTTATCCGAAGCTGAGGGATCCGCTTGGGGCTTTCTGAGAGCAAGCCCTTTGATTGTCCTGCTTTTGGCCAGCTGCCAGCTTTGCTGCGTGATGATTAAGTGTGCTTTTACCCAAAAAAGTTCAGAAAAGCTTTAATTATTCTTGAAAAACAGAAAGTGTTATCAGACTTTGTACACAATTGGAAGCCAGATAATGACCAGCTTTTCTTACCTCTAGACAGATGCTGCTACAAAGAGACCAATCAACAACTGCTCAGCAGAGATACAGATCTGAAGCACAGAAGTGCAATAGACCTTCCTGATGCCTTCGCCAGGTACCTCTGCATTCCTCTATCTCATGTCATTTCCTGCCCACTCCTCTGGCCTTTCCAAATACCCAAGTATTTATTGGAATTTTTATTATGCCACATGCACAGCCTTATATTTTATATATGGAGGGTAGGTAGCTATAGTTCATTTGGCCTTGCCTGCCACTTTATTCAAACCAGTACAAGGATTCTGAAAAACATCACGAAAGATTATCACAGTGAAAGAATGAAATAAGGTTTAGGTGCAAAGTAGAGGGAAGGGGAAAAGAGCCTATTTACATTTAGGAGATGATAAAAGTAAGTTCTTGCATTTTTTGAAGTATGTAATACATATTATTTTATGGAATAAATTGTAATTTAATAAGTAATTGTAATTTAAATATGGGACATCTTGTTATAAACAGTACAATAGATAACAACTTATTGTACTGCTTTTAGGTATTTTCTTATGGTAGGGAACTAAAAATCAATGCCTGGTATTTCTCCAATCTGCCAAATAAGATCATTTTCTTTTTTTCTTTTTTTTTTTTTTGAGACAGAGTCTTGCTCTGTCGCCTAGGCTAGAGTGCAGTGGCGCAATCTCGGCTTACTGCAAGCTCCGCCTCCTGGGTTCACTCCATTCTCCTGCCTCAGCCTCCCGAGTATCTGGGACTACAGGCGCCCGCCACCACGCCCGGCTAATTTTTTGTATTTTTAGTGGAGACAGGGTCTCACCATGTTAGCCAGGATGGTCTCGATCTCCTGACCTCGTGATCCGCCCACCTCGGCCTTCCAAAGTGCTGGGATCATTTTCTTACCCCCACCTTGACTCAAGCCTCATGTTCCAGCTTTTTTATTTGTATAACTCTTACCTTCTGGACCCAAGGTGGGAAGAGAACCATCTTCAGCCCTGAATAGACACTCAGTTTTTTGGCTTTCACTAAACTGCACAGTCAGATCCAGGTCGGCAAAACAATTTGGTCTCATTTTGCTTGGAACCTGCTTAGTCAATGCTGATTAAACCTGAATTGCGTGGTTTGGTCACAGAGTTGGTAACTGAACCTCATTTGATTCAGTCACTGTTGTTTACCAAGCTTTCATCCTCCTTCAGTATTGGCCCAGAGTAGGATTCATTCAGTCATGTACTTCCTGGTTTAATATGCACCAGCTGCTAAGGGAGATATAATGAATGAGATGGATGTGGCCCTGCTTTTGGGAACTTAAGGTCTATTTGGGAATACAGATCACTAAGCAGGCAATTACACATCTCTAAGTGCTGGGAAAGAGAAAGAACACTGTGTTATGTAGTCACCAAGGGAGGATGCATAATCCTGCCCTGAACATCAGGGAAGGCTTCCTGGAAAAGATGGCATGTAAATTGAGGTCCACAGGATGAGTTGGAGTTAGCCAAGTGACACTTGGAGAAAAGAGTGCTTCAGATGCAGAAGAAAGTGCTTCGGGGTAAGTAGAAGTCTGAAGAAGAGAGGGCATGGCATATCTGAGGAAAGGAAAGGAATTCCACATTAGTAGATCATGACATGTGTGTGTTTGTTTAGTAGGCGAGGGTGGGACTAGGAGGTGGGGTGGGGAACAGAATAAGTAATGGCTTCACTGGGCTTTGTGAACCACGTGGCTCAGATTGAACTTCACCTTGAGGGTTTTGGGAAGTGCCTGGAAGAGTAATGTGATGGGATTTGTGTGTCTAAAAAGATCACGCTGGCTAAAGGAAGGAGAATGGACTGGTGAGGCACAGTTAGGAAGCTGCTGCATTAGCCCAGCCAAGAGGCCCGTTCTAGTTTGGTAGCATTGAGCCTGCAGTGAAGCCAGTAGACAAGAGACAGGTTTAGGAGGTGGAATTGATAACGCTCAGTGATTGATAAGATTTAGGGAATGAGAGAGTGGAAGGAGGCATGCATGATACCTCTGTTTCTGGTTGAATAACTGGATAAATTATGACTTTTTTCCCCTAGGTGGAAAAGGAAAAGCATTGGTTTTTCCTAGTTTCCTGTGATCAGCCATACTTTCTTAACAATTCTTCCCTTTTTCCCTCTTCTTACACTCACTGGTCTTGCCTTTCCCTCATTTCCCTGTTTTCTCTAAGGTTGTTTAGGCATTCAGTAAATACCTGAACAACTCTAGGGTTGCTCTCTTGACCTGGAAATATGGGAGAGACTGTTCAATCTCTTTAGTTATGTTTACAAAGAGCCATGAGCCTCTGGAGGGAGAGAGAAAGAGGTCAAGAATGAATATTTCCCATTAGTGCCAAGCTTACCTGAAATAGCTCCTGGCTTTGTCCCATTTTAGAGGTGTTTAACTTTTCTCATTTGGAAAACCTTGCTTCATAATGTTCATGCATTTGTACCTACTTTCTTCTCTGTTACAAATGTTTTCTACCACTTATTTTTCAGGCAAAGTTTTGCCAATCTACTTAGACCCAGATCAGCTATGACCTCTTCAGTGAAGCCATTCCCAGCTCCCACAGGGAGAATTTTGTGGCTCCATCCCTATTCTTCTACATCCCTTTGTCCATATCTCAATCACAGGACTTACTACCCATTGTATTGTCTGTCTTCTTCCTCCTCACCTTCCCACCATCCCATCACCTCACACCGGATTATTATCAGCTCCTTGAAGGCAGGGATTCTATCTGTTTTATTCCTGTTTCTGTCATCATAAGGGGTTGGACTTACACATACTAGGTGTCCAAGAAGAGTTTAATGAGAAGCTATGAATGAATTACTCATAGACTTTCTTTACAAATTGGTTTAAATGTCCACCTCCCTCCAAAAAGTTGTTTTAGTTAAGTCTATTCCTTAGCCAATTTACCAATACATATTTGAGTCTTTCTTATAATAATTGTCCTTTTATGGGAATAGTTAAGCCAACCCTGTGACACTCCTGAGTTTGTTATGAAATGCTAAGTTTCCTAAGGACAGACAAACGTTGTTTCTGTACAACGCTGACCACTCCAATTCTGTAATATAACGTACAATGTTTCAAAAATATGGGGTTAGTTGTGACATCTTAGGTAAATTACTTAAACCTTTCTAATAAACCTAAGTTAGATATAAAAGGTAATAATTTCTATCCCATTAATATGCTACAAGAATTAATTGAGAAAAATGCATTCAGAGCATTTAGGACAGTACCTGGAGCACAGTAAAAATGCTCAATAAATGCCATCTTTGCTTAATCTCTGCTTTCTACATATTTAAAATTCATAGATAGTTATGATTTTTTTCAACTTTATCTTAACAGACTGGTGATTGCATGTGTGCATGTGTGTATATTCATGTAACAGATGTTGATAAATCAATTATTTATTAATTTAACTTTATTTTTCATTTTCATATTTTAGATTTAGGGGATGCATGTGTAGGTTTATTACATGGGTAATAAATCACAATATGTGTGATGTTGAAGCTTGGGCTTCTCATTTTTCCATTGCCCAAGTCGTCAACATAGTACCTGATAGGTAGTTTTTCAACCCTTATTTATTTTGATTTATTTTTACCAAAGTGCATACTCGTATTCCATGATTAATTATTAAAGAAAGCAGTGTATATTAAATACGTTACCTTGGTCAGAAGAGCTCTCACGGTTTGCACATTTGCCTTTGGCAACAACTTTGTTAAATCTCATGTTTTGCTGCTAATCTATCATTTAACTTTTGCTTATATAATTCTTCTTGCTCCAGTGGGAACTATGTCTTTTATTTCTTTGGATCCCTATAGTGCTAAGTACTAGGTTTTGTGCTTATTAGGCATTCAGTAAATATCTGAACAACTCTAGCTTTGCTCTCTTGACCTAGAAATATGAGAGAAACTGTTCAAACTCCCTAGTTGTGTCTATAAAGAGCCATGAGCCTCGGGAGGGAGAGGAAAAGAGGTCAAGAATGAATATTTCCCATTAGCACAGAAGACTTTGAGAGCCCTCTCATCTTTTTCTCTGAAGTTGTAGGAAGTTCTGTTTCCTTTTACCAGTGCTTTATGTTGCCGGACCCAAAGTGAATTTTTGAGGAACTAAGGGAGGATGAGAGCTGATCCAAGATTCTGCACTAACCTCCATAGCCACAGTATTCAGAAATCAAGCATCTGGGTTCAGAAATGATGATGTGCTTTAGTGAAGCATGTGGTTAAAGGGCCAGTAAGTCTTCTAATTATGCAATCCCCAGCCTTCTGTGAATACCAAGGATAAAAGAGCAAAGCATGTGCTCTTCCTTCTTCCCTTCCCCCTCCCTCTCTCCCTCTCTCCCTCCCTCCTTCCCTCTCTCCCTGTCTTTCTTTCTCCCTTCCTTCCTTTCTTTTTTATCTTTAGAATTGTTTTTACTGTTTTTGTAAAAATGATGCATGCTTATTACAGAACAATCCAAGCAGTGTAGTCATAGTATATTTAATCTCTTCTAGATTGCCTTCTGGAATTTCATCAGGATCGCCCTTTTAGGGTTAAGATGAGGTCTCATTTTTGTGGTTCCTGCAAACAATGTAAAGTGACAGCACTTCTGACAGGGTGGCCCAGGTTGGCTTCAGAGGCTCCCTCATGCCACAGGCTGGCCTGAGCTGGATCTTCCAAGTGTTCTGCTTAGATTTTGATGGCAAGGTTTTGCTATCTCAAGATCTCTCTTCCTACATTGGAAAAAAATTACCTAAATGTAAGAACATGCAGCTATGACAACTGTTGATACTCTGGGTTGAACTGGCTGTTCTTGTTCTTTCTCTCCCTCCACTCCATGTGTGTCCCCTGAGTCTGTGTACTGGTAAGATCTTCACAGGGAAAGTACAAGTTGACATTCCAGGGTATATGAGTGGATGTGGTTCCCCTGATCAAATTCTTAAGCCGTTTTGGAAAAGTTAGGAAAGCACTAAGAGTTGTGTGCACCTGCATACAATTATTAATTGTAATTACACAAGATACCCATGGGATCCTTACACTTTGGATCTGAAAGTATTATTCAGCTTTTCTTAGTATGGATTATGTCTTACTAAGTGTCCTTGAGTAGACATTCTGGGGAAGCTTTTGAGTTTTTCATTGCTGTAGGTTTATGAATGTGATATCCATCTGGAAGAGGGAGAAATGTACTACATCACTGCACATAGTAGGCAGACAATAGATATTGTTGCTGGACCTCAGAGCCAGGCCAGCACTTGAGCTCTTTAGAAACTGGGTGACTTGGTTAGCCTCCTCCTTTACAGACTTCTTTAGTATCAGAAAATTTAAAGATCAGGAGGTTATTTAAGCTTTTGGTAACCCCTGGTAGTTTACTTTGCAGAGAAGGCACTATGACTGGTACTCTGGAAATGTTTTGGGCTGGCTTATTCTCCAGTGCTGCTCCCTTAGGAAAATTTTCTCCTAACTTGACTTTTCGATTTGAATATTTTCCATATAAACTTTGCCTTCTTTCTGCTCATCTTTTTTTCTTGCCCCACTGTAACATCTGATTGACTGTGATGTCACATTCCCCACCCTCCCACAGCAAGGAGACGATGAGAAATGACTGTTCATTGATTGCTGAGTATGTGGTATACTGCAGTTATGGGTCTTGACATTGAAAATGATCTTGTGAAGAGGGTGTAGGAGGAGTGGATCAAATGGGATAATGTGTTGAGAAAGCTTTGTCAAAGTTCATTCACCATTTTTGCACACTTCTTATAGACCAGGTGCCGTGCTAAGCATAAATATATGGGATGAACAAGACAGACTTGATCCCTGCACTCATAGCTCTGACGGTTTAATAGGGGAAGAGAGACCTGTTTTAAAAGGAAGGCTTTGAGCAAGGATAGCTGAGGGACATGACATAGTTTCCGGGGCCTGTGAAAGACTTCTTGGGGTTCTAACTCAAGCAAAAAAGTCTTCTTCAAAACTCAGTTGTCATGCTTTTGTTGTTACTCTTGTTGGAGGACTCAAGATCTATCCCTGACATACATTAACCATCAACCGGGCATGCACATGTCCAGTGTAAGGTACTTGTGTCTTCAGGAGAAGGCCATGCTGCAATAAAAGTGCAAATGTTATTTGAAAGGCAGCAAAGCTCGGTGAATACTAGTATTAATAAAATTATCAGAGGATTAATTTAGGAACATTAAGCTATAAACCCCTGAGTTACATAGTTTATACATTTGCTAGTCCAATCTGATTGTCAGGAAACTGAGGAAATGGAACTCAGGAGAAGTCTGTCACAGAGCTAAACACTTGATGAATGAATAAGTAAATGGTTGAATGGATTGGCACCACTCTACATATACCTTTTAAGATACCTGTCAATTTATTCTAAAGTTTCCTACATAGTTTTCTCAGTGATTCTTTTGGTTTCGGAAGTTAGATTAGAATGTGAGTACTTCTGGAGAAAGTTACACTAACAACTACATTTTATTAATATGATTATTTTTATTATTTCATAACACCTAATGAGCAATGTCATTTAATTCTATGGGAGTGAAAGTGAAGCAAGCATATTTTAAAATCATTAAGTATAAAACAGTAATATTTTAAGACCTTTTTATTTTCTGCCAAAAATGGACATTAAAAGAGGTGTTTTTTGTTTTTTTTTTTAATGATTCACCCATTTCACAGATTTAAAAAATGAAGTTTGGACACTTCTCTAGGTTTCACATGGAAAATCAGTGGCAGATGAAAGAAACTCAGGAATTTATTTTTTCAACTTGTGCTTAACCAATTGGAGACAGGCTGTCTCCAGGCTATATTTTCTTTCTAATAGCTATAAAGTGAATGAACTCAAAGAACAGTCTAATGTCCTGCTGCAATTGATATGAAAAAGGACAGGGGAAGAAAAGATTCCTCATTAATGGATTTATATTCTAGTGATAGGGTTAGGGGGTAGAAAGGTCATTTTGAAAAGAAAAGTGAAATATAGACCATGCAGAAAAATTATCTTGTTATCTGACTCAGAGACATGAGGCTGCATGTTATCCTCTGTTCGTTTATTTTTTCTCCTAGCTTTTCTTTTATTTTTAGATAAATGTGAGTCAGACAGATGAGACAAGAGTAATTTTTAGAAACTCTCTTCTCTTGCAAGCTTTTGGGAGCAGAGTTTTTCTCTTTTTATATGGTCTAATTGGAAGTACCATTTAATTGTAAAGGAAGAAAATTGGGCAGGTAAATTAGTAAGAACAAATAAGATATCTTATTAAAAGTTGAGCTTACCTTCTTATTAAGTATATTAGGTCATAATCAGACAAAATTTAAAGCTTAATTGAAAAACTAAAATTGAAGTTCTCTGCAGGTTTTTTTAAGTGGAAAGACATTATAACCCCGGAAACGACTTTTTAGTTTAGGAAAGAGCATGGGATGCGAAAGTAACTAACTATTTTGGTGGTTTTATGTTTAGTGACAAGTTTCTTACATATGAACAACTTAATTTAATTTTCAACAGTTACTTCACCAGGGATGTCTTATTTATTTATTTTTTTCAAAGTGTAGAAAAGGAACTTTAAGCCTTGAGAGTGTAAATGTATTGGCACAGTATCCTGGGTTCAAATCCAGCTTTGTCTGGCTCTGACCCTCTGCTCCTTTCCCATACAAAATTTCTCCTGAGGTATCTACTAGTTTCTGGTATTGGGGATGTGGTTGAGTGAAGCACACTGTGTCCCACTGACTTCACATCCAGACACACACAAATGGGTGAGATACAGCTTGTGACTTGGGGCATAATGGAGTACGTACCAGGCACTGTTGTGGCACAAAGAGGGGAATGATCAGCTCTGCTTGGACTGAGTGGAGCAGGTCAGCCAAGATTTTATGGAGGAGGAGAAAAAGCCATTTGAGCTGGGTCTTCCTTGTAGAGAAGGCACAGTAGGTCACCTGAGATGGAGGGAAAAGCCTGCCCAGAATGGCTTGAAACAGTGGCATGGAGGATATGATTGCAGTATTGTCAGATAAAGTGCAGGACACACAGTTAAAGTTGAACTTCCCATTAAACAACAAATAATGGCTTAGTATATCCTATGCAATAACTGGAACATGTACGAACCCGTTATTTGTGGGTTATTGGAAATTCAAATTTAACTGAGCATTCTGTGATTTAGTTTGTTAAATCTGGCCATGCTAGGCATTCGGGCTTCATTGGAGTGTAGCGTGTAAGGCTGGGGGCACCAGGAGGGATGCTGAGAGAGTCAGGTTGAGGCTTACACTTGGAGAAACTGGTCTTTGCTATACGTGGTAAATAGGATTAAAAATAGCTTTACTGTACACAATAGATGTCTGTCTATCCTATGGCTTAGTAGGTCATATATGCCACTTATCAGTTAAAAACACAGTTTGAATAAAGCATTGTCTCAAATGAAAAGTACTTTTTTGCTCAAGGAGTCATTTAATAAAATTACTTATAACAAACTTTCAAATTAATTCCTAATGTCTGATTATTCTTTTCTCCATAAGAGAAATGTATGAGAAAGGGAAGAAATGCTTTAGAGGGAGGAGAAAGTTAAATAAAACCAGCAAGAGAAAAAACAGATACATTTATATGGCATATATGTGTTTCCTGTTTAATTTTTAAGTGGAGCAAAAAAGACAGATGAAATTGCATTATCCCTGTGCAAATCCTTTCTAAACTAAAGCAAAGATATTTTACTCTGACTCAGGAGCATGGAATTCTTCCCAGAGTCACAGAAGATGGCACAGCCTGGGGACAATTGGGAATCACCTGGAGGATGGCAGGTAGCACTGTTACATTTACTTAAAAATTTGGCCAGGCATGGTGGTTCACACCTGTAATCCGGCACTTTGGGAGGCCAAGATGGGAGGATAGCTTGAGGTCTGGAGTTTGAGACCAGCCTGGGCAACAAAATGAGACTTCATCTCTAAAAAGATTTAATTTTTTTTAATTTTTAAAATTTGAGGGTCACAGATTGTTTAAAAAGGTATTTTATTTTTGTGTTTTTTCTTAATGATGTCCCAGGTATCTGTAACATTGGCTCATGTAGCATGTCTCCTACATTTGTGGTATTGGTTGAAAGGCGACATCTAAACATTTCGATATAACGTTTAGAAAATAAAATGGCTTGTGAGAGCAGTGACTGCATACCAATTTAGATTTTTCTCTCCCTCCTCATTAAATATGTGACTGCGTCTTTTGTTTACTTTTCTCCTTACTCCAGAAAGGATTTAGGGCAGCTCATAAATATGTGCGAGACCTATCACTCCTACGCATGTGGCCATTCAAGTGTTTTGATGATTGTACATTTTAAAGTTAAATGCAAAGACCTCTTTATATTTAGTGTGTGTTTGCTTCTGAGGAAAGTTACGGTAATCATTACTTTTGTTGTTATTATTTCATTGTATCTAATGAACAATGGTAATAAATCCCATGGGAACCAAACATAGTATAACATATATATTTTGAAAACCGTTAGATATAAAAATTCTAATTGACTTGGAGAAGTTTCATTCATTTCATTTCATTTCATTTTCATTTATTAGGGTATTTCATTGTCCTTTGCTTAAGCCTTTCTTTGCTTTAGTTGAGGTTAAGGAAAGACAAAAATCTAACTGTGGTAAACACAATCTGAATTTCATTATTAACACTTTCATATAAAGACAGATTAATAACCAAAGTAGATGCTGGTCATAATGAATGACTTTTGATTTGTTATGTTTTCCTGAGTTATTTTTACTTTGGTAGGCATGTTATTTCTGCTTAAAAATGAAGTGCTATTAGTAATCAAGGATGTGAGTTCATAACAAGTAAGTTAAATTTTAAACCATGGTTTATTTGAGATTTTGCTTTGTCTGGGAAAGGATTTAAACCTCAGCAAGAACGATTTAGGGGTTAGAAAAACAAATCTTTGATAGGGAGAGTGTAACATGTTGGAATGGGTTGTCTTCTCTTAATGATTTGGCAGGCATCTTGTCAAATGAGCTGGGGTTTTATTGAATCTGATAATGGTAATATTAGGCTCCAAATGAGTTTGACACGGTGCCCAAATGGCTGGATCTCACAGGATAAAGTTTAATAGGAATAAGCAATAAACACATAGCCCATTACCTGGATTCAGAAAAGCAACTGGAAAAATAGTTCACATTGAAAAACAGTGAAAAACAATGGGTTACGGCTTTTAGATAATAGCGAGTTCAACATAAGTCAAGAGAGTGGTGGGCTGCTATAAGTCTAATAGGATTTAGAATCAATTTTAGAGCAAGCTTGCCAGACTAAGAAAGTTATAACCCCAAATCTACATTCCATAGTGGGCAAAACTTTTTTTTAAAAAAATACTGACTTTATATCTAGATACTATACCTTAAAAGCATACTTTTAAAAACAAAAAAATGTACTTGATGAGAAGATATAAAACCATGTCAAAAACAAAAAAAAGAAGGAAAACTACAGGAATAGAAGATGTTTTACCTGGAGAAAAGAAGAGCTTCATTGTTAAAGAGGAAAAGGTTTATTGTCTCTGATGTTGAATTTCTGCAAGGACCAATATATAGAAGTTTCCGTATAAGAATGGACTTACTTGCAATCAATCCTTTGTAGATAGAATGGGCTGCCATTCTGTGGATATGGACATCAGCATTCCTCACCTGTTGGAGAGGCTGGAGAAAGGTGATTTACACATTGCATCTAGATTTAGAACTTTGTGGTCTCTTCCAAATCTGCTATTCTGTGATTCTAAGGATGTTTAGGATAGTTATATATATATTTTGGTGTACATAACTTCTAGACCAATCAATTATTTCAGGAAATTTCATGACATTAGAAAACAAAAAACACCCTCACCAATCTACCCTTTGTTATTACATAGACAAAGCAGCTGGTTGATTGACTGGAATTTTCTATTTTGCTGGGTAGGTATCTGGGAGATGTAGCTTGATTTGTGCTTATTGGGTCACCTTGCCCACATACAGGCCTTTTCAATGTAACACTCCATATAAAAAGGCAAAATGGGTTGCAAAAAATACACAGAAAACCCTGATGAAAGCAGTTCTTAGAATACATTAGCTGTAAAATTTCATTGCAATCAGAATTTTGTGTTCCTTGCACTTATGTATTATTGCCTCTTTCCAGCCTTTTAACATACAATGAAAAACCTCTAGATAACAAATACTTGTCAAGCCCCAGCCAATTGTTCACTTGTTTTGAGGAATATTTGGTACTATAAAATATCCATATGAGAAAATAAGAAAGTCAGTTCCTTGGAGTTTGTTTTAATAAGATTAATACAATCAATGCTATGATTCTTTTTTTCTTCCTATCAACACCCCCTCTATTTCATTTTTGCTAGTCACCAGCTGGCTTTTTTTTTCCCACCACAAAATGACTCTAAACTGCCAGATAATTCTACAAAAAGAAATTTGTTCCAAAAGTTACACGGAGCCAACTATGTCAGCAATGGAAAGAACTAGTACATTTTGTTTTGAAAATAAAAAAATCCTAGATCTGAAAATTTGTCTACTTAACCCCAAAACACTCGACTCCAGAACTCCACATGAAGAAGTTTGCCTTTACTTTGTCATTTATTTCTAAAACTATGAAGGTAAAATTTTGGGGATATCTTTAAATAGCATCCCATGTAAAGTATTGTAAAATGTTCAATTATAGTACAACAGTGTATGTACTAGTTAGCTAAATTAGATGGTTAAATGGTTAGAATGCAATGCATGTACTGAACTTTTTATAGTTAGGAGTCAAAATAATGATATGAGTTTTGATATATTCCTTTGCTGAAACTCTTGGTATTAAATTTCATTAGTATCTTTCTTTCCTTTCTCGATATCTTAATATTATTACACTGTATGTTTAGTCCCAGAATTTAGAAATCAATTACAAAAACCTGAAACAAGACTTGTCCTGGTAGGGTCATCTCAAATTGTCATTCAGGGATTCAGTGTTTAGGTAGAAAAGCAGACAGCATGTTGCCTTGAGTCTTATTTTTTCAATAAATACAAGCCAGTTCAATTCACTGCTTTTCAGGTAAAATACCTAGCAAGAGCTGAATATCTGGAGACATGCTGCACTAACCTTGTTCCTTATAATATAAACTCCCAGGGGAATGGCAAAATGCATGAAGGTTAGACAATCATATTGAAAGAACTTTACATCTTCACCTTTCCAGGAGACTAAAATAGAGGCTGCCCTCTTATCCCATGTTCTAGGAAACTCTTATCATATGTAGGGCCCACTCTAGAGCATTTCAGTGCACCCTATGTTGTCTAATTGAAGAGTAAATCTGTACATTCAAAGCGTGCATTTTTTTGGTCTAAAAAAAAGCACTGCTCAAATATGAGGTCTTGTGGTTGCATATCATTTTAATAGAGCTACACACTATGCACCATAATTTTTAATTCATGAAAGAGCTTAGAGCTTGCATGTGGCAAAGGATTAACTTCTGTCCTAATTACTTTCTCAGAAAAGCTAATGGAAAATTAGATGCACTCCACCAGGCAATAAATATATCACACCAAACAAAATTTAAACTAAAGAACAATCAACCCCTTTTCTTTGTTGTTTCAAAGGAGAAGGAGATTAGACCTTTTTAGAAAAAGATCAAGAGCATTTTATGGGAAATTCCGGAAAAAAAAGCTATTTGGACTGAAATCAAAATGTTATGAATAGTACTTTCTAAGTAATGACACATATCAGCAGTATTTGTAACCATAAGAACAATGTGATAAATTTTAATCACTTGGGACTCCAGCTCTGTGGGAAGTGCTTACTACACAGACATCATTTATAGGTTTCCAGTTATGACCTACGTCTAAAAGACATTTTAATGATAACTGGAGAAAGTAGATAGATTGTCTTCCTAGAGTGTTGAAGTTCCTGCTTGTTGTCATCCTCAGCTCTATTAAAGAGCAGAGGCTTTCAAAGGTACACTTCAGCCTAGCAGTCAGGGTGCGAGACCAAAGGGATGGAACTATCTGAGATAAAATATGCCAGAAACGTACACTCCTCAGGATTTCCTGTGGGAGTCTGCCCAAAATAAAGCAATATTAATAAATATAAACTCTGGAACACAATTATAAACAGAAACAGAGTCTTGAAATGTACCCTTGAAATTCTTCTAGTTTCCTCACGCAGGTCAACTATTACAACGTAACTGTGCAAAATGTTAGACCTCCCTACAGGGACAATTGCTTTAAATTATATTAAGGACTCAAAGACTCTAACATACATGCCAAAGGAAGGAGTTTAATTTGTTGAATGCTCTAAATCTTTGAGTTAACTCAGGGTCCTTTGGCCCCCGACCTTGAAAACATTTCTGGGGAAAAAAATGTAGTTTCAAAGCCTCTGAACATTAAAAAATATGCAATTGGTCAATTTGCTTTTTATCTTTTCCCCTCTCTGTACTGCATTTTTGGAGAGAAAGGAAGCTCAGGTAATGCAGATGGAATACAAAAAAGAAGAAAGAAACAACAAAGGGAGAGAAGACTTGTGTTCCTAAGCCATAAAGAATTGTTATGCTCCTTCAGATTTCATCCCAATAACCTGAAAACCCACCCTTTGAATGTAGCTCAAAGTCAAAGAAAATTTCCTGACCCTAAGTTTCTTATGAGGCAAAGGTTTTGCGAGATTTGAGTGTTAGGTCTCTTGTGGCTTCCATACCATCCCAAGCAAGCGAATCATTTCTCACAGCTAGGAAGATCCTTGCTTATAACTACTATTTTTCCTTTCCATCATCATTTCCTTTCCAACATTTCCTTTCTGATGTGGGGGAATGAAACATCTTCTGCCTCTTTCTTTCTCGCATTCTGGTTTCAAAGTATTTCTTACTCCACAGAATGTAATATTCCTTAGTACAATTAAGGGAGTCATGATGTATAATACTCCACTGAAATCTAGCCATTTTACAATCAATTTGGAGTAAAATCTAATTTTTATAAGTTTATTTTTCCAATAGGACTAATTATGAAAGTGCTTGATTTTTCCAGCTTTGCCTAGAAGGGTGCCGGGTTGACCTAGTAGCGTAAGAACATCAGAAAGAACTAAGGATAGGAGACAGGACAGTAATCACCACTTTTCCCTTAAAGAGTCAATAAATGCACATAAGTTTAAAGAACCTTTTGTTTTCTGGTTGATAATTCTAAAGTGTGTTTTTTTGATAAGTTATTTAAAGGTAAGAATGATCAGAGTGGTAGCATATCAAAAATAATGGAATCATCAAACTTGTCACTAGATCCATATTTTAAACCTCCAAGATTTCTCAGTATTACTGTCCTTTTTACTGCTTCTATATTAAAATGTAAGACTTGGTGTTAAACCAACAAAATAAAGAACTCAGAATCAAGGTTTGTTATTGGACACACAGAAAGCACAAGGATTCATGATATTTGTTATTTCTAAAGATGAGGCTCAAGTCCAGCTGTTTTGACTATCCAGTGCCTGGCCCTGGCTCCGCTCACTAGACAACTGCTCTCCAGAAAACATGGCCCTTCTTCAACCAGGCTCAGCCCCAAGCACCATCAGTAACTTGGCCCAAGATGAAGGGGCTCAAGTCAATGTGAAATGTTTAAGTCATAGAATTTTCTAGTTTTAAATGGCCTTAACAACCTAGACCCTTTTCTATTCCTCCCATTCCACCAAGGAATGGTTCAATGTCCTGCCTAGTCTTCCAACCCAGATCTCCAAATCAATGGCTTACTTGTTTTCTTTTGCTGCTGGAAGCACAACCATGATAGGATTTTGTCATTGTTATTGTTTCTTTCTTTTTCTGTTCTTTTTCTTTGCTTTTAATTTTTTAATAAAGAACTCTTTAACATAATAGAAAGTCATGTCAGTGGATATGTTTTTCCAAATGCTTTTTATTTTCTCCCAAGCTACTCTTTCAAGAATGCTTATCTTATGAGAAAGGACCCTATCATGAACTGAGTGTGTGTAGAGCTGTTGAAAATACTGAATGATTGCAATACAGCAGAAGAATGATACCCAACATCAACTTCCTGGTTAGGTTAACTGATTACACTTTCTGTGATTAATAAGCAACCCTGCAGATTAGCAGTGAGAACTAGTTATTTAACCATAGCTGCAGCCCAGCATAGATGTGATAGGCTATCTACCCAAGAAGTCTTTTGAACTATAGAATACTTTTCATTTTTTTGCTTTCAACTAAAACATGGTTCTAGCCCTTTCTCCATTTCCTGTTTTATGGCCATGGATAAAGTTTAGACAAAGGAGCACCTCAGTTATGTGTTAATTCAAAGTCTCTCTGAAAGAGGAAAATTCTAGTGCATAACAAATTGTGTTGCTATTTCAGTTCATAAGACTTTTATTGCAGATTCTGGGGTTCCAGCTAATAAAGATGTAATGATAATTGTCTATCAAACAGAATAAGAAGAAATGAGTAGAAGGAAGAAGGTACATTATAGTTGATGGATAAATGATATCTCATAAGTGACAGAGGTTTGTATCTAATGCTTAGGACTAGCATATTTATCAATTGCTTTTGACTTTTTCATTCACAAGGGATGTTTATTATTGAATAGTGAATCCAAACCGCATTGGACTTTTGAACTTCCCATTCTAATGGGAAGGCCTTGTCAGAGAGAAATCTGAATTTGCACAGATTTGAGAAGTGATGTAAGATAACACATACTGTGTTTTACAGCTTTTGAAGCTCAGATCCTCCCTGCATATAACACACACAGCATTCCAACACTCACAAAGCTTAGCTGTGATGAACAACTCCACTGAGACTGAAATTATTCAACTGATGTCCCATCCCCTTCCTCACCAAAAACCTCCTCCATGAACAGGCCCCTTTGAAGGCCTCTGTGCTCAGGAGAGAGATGTGGCCACATCAAGGGTCAGGAGTCAATCTAACTCTAATTATCCACATTATTATTGCCTGGGAACCGGATCTACAAGCCTCTCTAACCCAGGCAGGGCAAGTAATCAGGTTTCACAACACTCATCCTTAATTGAGGAGCATCTTTGCTTCAGTTTTCTTCATATTGCATCCATGTTAAAACACCATCTGACTTGGTTAGGGTTTTTTTTTTAATAAATCATAAATTCCCAGGTGAAATGAAATTTTAATTATTAGAAAATAGAATTCCTAAAATTTCTATCCCCAAGTTCTTCTTTCAATTTGTTTAGTCTGTCGAAAACAAAGCATGGCTTAACCTAGGGTCAACAAGATTTTGCTTTGGAAATAACATTTTTGCTTCTTTAACATAAGGATATCTTACACTTTTGGTTACTATCCTCAAATTGCAAGAACTCACTAACTGATGCACAATCAGTTTTAAAAGAATATAATAGAATGTGAAAGACCTTTCAGAGTGAAAAGATTGCTATATTCAAAGCACACAATTTCATTTTCAAGTGAGTTTCAGCCGTCTGCTATGAATGACTGGAATTTTAAAAACAACAAGACCACTCAGATATTTTTCCAAGACTCACAATCTGGAGCCTCCCCATTTTGCCAAACCTCCCACTAGACAAGCAGGAAAGGTAAACAAAGCAACAGACCCCTGGGTTGTACACATTGACAAGACCGCAGGCCCTAGGATTAGAATGTTTCATCCCCATATCCAATGTCTCCCAGAAGGACATCGAGTAGGAGGAAGAAGGAAGCATGAGGTTAGAAACTTACAAAGATTGGGCAGATAGTCAAAGCACTGGATAGATGAGGCAGCCTGTAACTCATTATTAGCAGAACATCTCCAGGGAGCCCCTGCAAACATCCTACAGCCAGCAAAAAACAGAAGTCTTGTGACAGTTGAGGCTTTGCGTTATGCCTGTACCCACTGCAGGCCAGGGTATTGCCCACAGGTGTTGGGGAGAGTCCAGGACATGCTGAAAGTGTAAAGCCTTAAATCAATGTTTGTTGAACTGAAGACTTGGTGAAAAATGTCATTGCCAGGACTGCTGTCATGCAAGAAGCAGAGTGGGAATGGGAAGGGAAGAAAATATGTATTGTGACATTTCAAATATCATTTTAAAATGATCAGATGAGTAAGTGACTGTGTAGGAGGCACGGGGTACCAGAGGCATACTTCGGAAAAGTAAAGGAAACAGTCTTTTATTTTGGGTGAGGAATTTACTAAAAAATCCTCAAGGATTTCATGTTTACATTTATCCCAATGGTAAATATCCTAAGGATAAATATAATTCTGTTAGTGAAAGATAGACTTTTTTTGGCATTGCTCTTTCAGTTCATCAAGGAATCATTTACTAATCTATGGCTGTATTTGTTTAAAAATGTAGTACACAAAGCATCTGACAGTGCACTGGACTCTCTCACATGAGCAGGACAGGATCTAGAAGACCACAGAGATCACTCACCCTTTAATTCTCAATCACAGCAAACGTCGTGCCTCTTTTAATTACATATATTTTGTACTGCCCTCTTTAAAATCTGAAATAAAACTCATAGTTTTTCCATGTACACAGATCATTTAAAAAACTTTAATAAATTTCCCAACTATAATAATAAGAAGAAATAAAAGAAAAGTAATTTAAAATAAAGCAACATTCTTGTTTTTTTAAATTTTACTTTGAGTTCTGGGATACACGTGCAGAACGTGCAGGTTTGTTACATAGGTATACATGCACCATGGTGGTTTGCTGCACCTATCAACCCGTCATCTAGGTTTTAAGCCTCGTATGCATTTGGTATTTGTCCTAATGTTCTCCCTCCCCTTGTCCCCCACCCCCGCAACAGGCTGTGGTGCGTGATGTTCCCTTCCATGTGTTCTCATTGTTCAATTCCCACTTATGAGTTTGTTTTGTGTTTTGTTTTGTTTTGTGTTCTGTTCAAACTAACACAGTTTGCTGAGAATTATGTTTTCTGTTCCTGTGTTAGTTTGCTGAGAATGATGGCTTCCAGCTTCATCCATGTCCCTGCAAAGGGCACGAACTCATTCTTTTTTATGGCTTCATAGGATTCCATGATGTATATGTGCCACATTTTCTTTATCCAGTATATCACTGATAGGCATTTGGGTTGGTTCCAAGTCTTTGCTATCGTAAATAGTGCTGCAATAAACATACATGTGCATGTGTCTTCATAGTAGAATGATTTATACTTCTTTGGGTATATACCCAGTAATGAGATTGCTGAGTCAAATGGTATTTCTGGTTATAGATCAGCAACATGCTTTTCAAAATGTGACAACATAGGTGCAACTACACTAGAAGAAACTATGAAGTAGTCTGAGGCTTGCACCTACTTGCAGTGCATAGGTTTGTATTTAAATGAAGACAATATTCAAATTCATGCTGTAAATACCTTCTTCTATATTGGCATTTTGGAATATGGTCTAAATAATTATATTCTTATATATCACCATGAATATGATAATGTAAAATGCAGAGATATGGGTGTATTTCATTAGCAACTCAAACACAAGAAGAAGCTTCATATTTCTAGGAAAAGTTTTGTATTAACATTTGATTAAATACTTTATATTTTAATGCAAAGCAGAATTGGCTTCTAGGCTCAGATAATAATAAATAGTTTTTTTCCCATGCACGAGGGGAACATTTGAAAGCTGTGTGTACATTTCAGGTTGGGACTGCTCTGTACATAACAAGACATCAACCATCCCTGGCCAGGTCCATCAGATGCCAGCATCACTTTTCTGTCTCAAATTTTTGTGGGAGCCATAGTTGTTCCTTCATAATTTTCCAAACACTTCTATACTCAGATGTCTAGAACTGCTTTTCTATTCTTGCCTTCTTAATCTACAGATGTAAGTCGAGTCCTTGAGAGGTTAAATCCTTTCTTCAATATCACAGTTGTTGATATTGAACACAGTAGCCAGAATTAGGATTAGGTACATGGATTTATTGGTCCTTTATTTAATTAGTTTTAAAGCCTTTATAAAATCTCTATAATGGCTTAAACCCTTCTATCCAGGCTTCATCCACTTTGTTTTCTTATATCCTGTAGTTTTTCTTTAAGGTCAAACCTGCATACTCGCCATCCCCAAAACATATCCATTTGCTACTACTTGGTATTGTTTTTCACAGTTTCTATGCTGAAAGTATCCACTTTGATCATCTTTTTTCAAATATACTCTCTTCCATGAAGGATTTCTTTACACCCAAACCTGAAATGATCTCTCCCTCTGGGGCAGGAGTCCCCAATCCTGGGGCTGTCCATGGCCTGTTAGGAACCAGGGGATACAGCAGGAAGTGAGTGGCAGGTAACCCCGAGAAGCTTCATCTGTATTTACAGCCGCTCCCCATCGCTGGCACTACTGCCTGAGCTCCACCTCCTGTCAGATCAGCAGCAGCATTAGATTCCCACAGGAGGACAAACCCTTATTGTGAACTGCGCATGCGTGGGATCTAGGTTGCAAGCTCCTTATGAGAATCTAATATCTGATGATCTGTCACTGTCTCCCATCATCTCCAGATGGGACCATCTAGTTGCAGGAAAACAAGCTCATGGACCTCACTGCTTCTGTTATGGTGAGTTGTATAATTATTTCATTATATACTACAATGTAATAGTAATAGAAATAAAGTGCCCAATAAATGTAATGCACTTGAATCATCCTGAAATCATCCCCCTCCTCAGTCCATGGGAAAATTGTCTTCCATTGAAACTGGTCTCTGGTGCCAAAAAGGTTGGAGACCACTGCTCTAGGTAACTTCCATAGGAGTTCTTGACAAGCAGCTTGCCCTGTCACTCATTGACCTTCACTATTTGGGGAGTGTGTCCACCTTATAAGTACCTCGATGGCAGAAACTAGACCCCATCCTTCGTTGTCTTCTGCTTACCACTAATCACCACTATATAATACATAGTAGGTACTTAGGATTAGTTCTCAGTTTTTACTGTTAGATCTCTGCAGTGCCTACAATCTTCAACAAGAGGGGAACAGATAATTGAAGTTAATTTATCTTACCCATCTCAGACAGAGGCAAAGCACAGCTTCAAGCAACATGGCCATGCTGGGGAACATCTGGGAAAGAACAACAGAGACAACGGTCTGGCTTGCAGCAGTCAGGAAATGAAGTGGTTCATTCCTAGCAACGGACCATTTTGTATTTTGGAGGCAGAGATATAAACAATGACAAGCTCTGTTAAAAGCAGCTGTAGTCACAAATCTCCCAACAAGCTTCATATGTGCAAACTACAGGAAGGACTCCTGGTACCATATTGGGCTTCTCAGTCACACACAGAGAGTGGAGCAATCACTGTCAGTAGTGTCATCTTTGAATACAATGCAGAACAAAGTGTTCATGTTCCACTTGCCATGTGCGTGAAGGTGGAAGAGAAATGGGGTAGGGTCACTGACACCAGTTGGTCATTTTTTTAGGCTGTTTTATTAACTCTCTGCAAAATCTGAACAAAAATTTTATCCTTAAACACAACTTTTTAAATTTTAAGTAGAAAACAGACTTCAAATTAAATCTACACCCATTTTATAGATAATCTCTACCTTTGGGTTTTATTTTTTCTGAGTGTTCACTGATTGGTTGTCAGGTTGTTTTGGTTATCGCCTTCTCATCTGAACATTTTATTGTGAAAGTGCAACATGTGAAATCTAGCATGATGTATTAGACCTATAAGTAATCAGGGAAGAATTTAGTTAAGCTGATGGATTCTTTGGAAATATGCATAAATATTTACAAATTATAGAGTTAAATCCAACTTTTTTTTTGCTAAATGAAATATATCCCTTTTTTTGTAAATGAGAAACATCAAACTCTGGAAGGCAGTAAGAAAGCAAAGAATAGAACACTGGGAAAATTGATTCGTAATCCCAGTTACAAGATAATTGCATGTAATTTTCATAACTCCCTCTAACAGCTTTTTAGATTTACATGTCTAAAATGTGTATGTGTGTGTTTTTTACAGTTGTAAGTAATTTTGGTAGGAATTTTGATGATTAGCTCTGCATCTGGACAAGGAGATTTAAAGTCAATTCTTTCTTAAATGTTAAAGACACTATTCATCGTATTTCTGGCTTTTTGCATTTGCAATTCACGGCTCATAATACAAAATTTTCAAGCAGTTGAATTCATAACCTATTTTCTTTCTCATCCTAGAGTTTGCCTCAATACAAAGAAATGAAATCAGAGACTATATGTTGGCAGTATAAGCAGTGACTAACCAGTAGAAGTGATCACCTTTAGACTAGTCCACAGACCAGAACGCTCATTATTCAGTGCTTGTGTGGTTTGGTTAAACAGCAAATTCTACTTGGAGGAGATACTTTTAATTTAGAAGAGATTATTTCAAATAATTATCTTTGTTTATTATATAAGCTTTAGCTAGTGTTTTACATTCACTGACCAAGCATCAAAACACTAGAGAAAATGACACAAAAGGTGAGTCAGTTAAATTTGGAGAATGTTGGAAGAAGAAACATTATTTCAAGAGTATGGAGGATGACCTAAAGAAATAATAAAAAATGATTTTCTGGAATTATTTCTAGAAGTTAAAGGTGAAGCATCATTGATAATGGTGCTTTTCATTTTATCAGTGGAAATACAGTAATTATTTGGGGGGATTCATCTCTACTCCTGAGTGTCGGTTAGCTGGGGGTACACATGGAGCATTAAATGGTGTCCTACGTAGTCATCACAAGCCACAGTACCTGTCCTGTCACACAGAGGGGTCTGTAAAGGGGTGACAACACAGAGGTTTCCCTTGATGAATGATGAAGAATCCTTTCTCAAGATAGGTACAAATTAGTTGGACCCAATTGATTGAATCAGTTGATTTTATAAAATTGGGCGGACACTAGGTATCATTCTTTTTTCAAAAGCAATTGGCTGGGCGCGGTGGCTCACGCCTATAATCCCAGGACTTTGTGAGGTGGAGGCGGGTGAATCACGAGGTCAAACGATCGAGATCATCCTGGCCAATATGGGGACACCCCGTCTCTACTAAAAATACAGAAATTACCCGGGAGTGGTGGCACACGCCTGTAGTCCAAGCTACTCTGGAGGCTGAGGCAGGAGAATCGCTTGAACCCGGGAGGCGGAGGTTGCGGCGAGCTGAGATCGCGCCACTGCACTCCAGCCTGGCGACGACAGAGTGAGACTCCGTCTCAAAAAAAACAAAACAAAACAACAACAACAAACACAAATAATGTTTTTGACCTGAAATAACTACTTATTTTAGTCAATATAGGCAAACTATGAGCATATTCAGATGAAGACTCAGAATTGGGAGGGTGGGTTTTGAAGGGAGCATCTACCGCGGAGATGGATTCCCACGAATTTGGAGCTGCACTGTCTCTTTGCAATGAGGTCCTGTACCTATGTATGGGCTTGGGCTTACTTTCAAGAGTGACATGTTCACATTACAGAGAAAAGTGTCATACAAGAATAATATGTGGAATGAAGAAGAACAAAAAAAGTGTCAATTCTCACTTATTTACCAATCATGTTAGCCAGAGCAAAAGAATTTGGCATACCACACTCCTCCTCTGACCTAGATTAGAGATATCCATCTTAAAAAAATAAGGGGACAGAAAATATATTGAGAAGGGTTAGTGATAACACTTTTCTATTAAAAAAAAAAATCACCTGTGTCAATCTCCGTGACCATACAATGCAATGGAACTCTCCCAAGAATCCCAGGCTCAGAGCCCTTTAAAGAGCTCCAGGCAGGCTGGGCGCGGTGGCTCACGCCTGTCATCCCAGCACTTTGGGAGGCCGAGGCGGGTGGGTCACGAGGTCACGAGATCGACACCATCCTGGCCAACACGGTGAAGCCCCATCTCTGCTAAAAATACAAAAATTAGCGGGGCGTGGTGGTGGGCGCCTGTAGTCCAGCTACTCGGGAGGCTGAGGCAGGAGAATGGCGTGAACCCAGAAGGGCGGAGCTTGCAGTGAGCTGAGATCGCGCCACTGCACTCCAGCCCGGGTGACAAAGCGAGACTCTCTCTCAAAAAAAAAAAAAAAAAAAAAAAAAAAAAAAGCTCCAGGCAGAGACAGAATTCCCAAGCCCTGCTCCAGGTGAGTCACCAATGTGGAACGAGGAAGTATCCTATGGAGAAATTCAGCCTTCTCATTAGGATGGAGAAGCCTACCTGTGGTTTCAACCCCAGCTACCTTTCAGCTTCATGTCTAACACACAATTCAATACCTGCCTCTCAAACTGAATTCATCTCTTCTTCTCCCACACACTCTGGGGTTTCCTGCCTTCCCCTACCCTTGCATTCAAAATGTACTCATCCTTTAAGACTTACCTCAAATGACTCCTCTTACAGGAAGGGTTCCTCCATCGATTCCAGCTAAATTCGTCATTCTCTTTTCAACATTTTCACACTTCACACACTGACTAAGTGTACAGACATTTCAGGGAAGGAAGGAGGAGGAAAGAAAGTTTTATCAAATATTCAACACTTTTACCAGTACTTAAAAATAACATTTATTGCTTCTTTGTACTAGGTTAGTAATGCATATTTAATGAAAATAAAAACGACAGTACTTCTATGAATACTTTGGCAAAAATCCTTCCATTACTTTTATTTATTGTAGGAGAGTGAGTATGTATGTGTAGATACATAACACTTGAAAAAAATGAAATCATATAAATTGTTTTTAAATGGTTTATTATTTATTTATATATAGACTATGTAGTTCCACACCTTTAATCGAAAATTTCCAATGGCTACCCAGTATTTCACTGTATGGAGATAACAGTTTATTTAATGCCTTATCCTGGGACATTTCAGTTTTTTCCAGTTTTTGCTATTATAAACATTCTTATTGCAAAAGTATTTTTATACATCTATTCAAAAATATTTATTAGGCACCTTTTTTTCTTAGGCATATGTGATAGGCATTCCATTATTGTTTTTCTCTGGATAAATTAATAGAATTTTAAAAATCTGGGTCAAAATGTATGAATACATTGAAGTATTGATTTTTCCAATGTCCTCTTCAAATTGAATATATATTTATTTTCACACCTTTGCCAATGTGTTGGGGGAAACCATTTGCTTTTACTTGATTTCCAGTGGGATTTTATACTTAAAAGTGTGTTTTGGCCATTTTACTTCTTTTTTATTCTTCTTTTGTGAATTAACAGTCCTTACCCTTTATATATATAAAATATAAGGCCAGACACAGAGGCTCAGGTCTGTCATCCCAGCACATTGGGAGAATGAGGATTGCTTGAGCCCGGGAGTTGCAGACTAGCCTGGGCTAGATGGTAAGATCTCAGTCTCTGAAAATAATTTAAAAATTTATTTTAAATTTAGTCCTAGCTACTGGGGAACTGAAGCAAGAGGATCCCTTGAGGCCAGAAGTTTGAGGCTATAGTGAGCTATGATCATGCCACTGCACTGCAACCTGTGGAACAAAGTGAGGCCCCATCTCTTAAAAAATAAATAAAATAAAATAACAGATGCTCATCTGTCTCTTATTGATTTGGAAAACTTTAAAAATATTAAACAGACTACTTTGTGAGGCTGAGGCGGGCAGATCACGAGCTCAGGAGATTAAGACCATCCTGGCTAACACAGTGAAACCCCGTTTCTACTAAAAAATACAAAGAAATTAGCCGGGCATGGTGGCAGGAGCCTGTAGTCCCAGCTACTCTGGAGACCGAAGCAGGAGAATGGCGTGAACCCAGGAGGCAGAGCTTGCAGTGAGCTGAGATCACGCCATTGCACTCCAGCCTGGGGGAAAGAGCAAGACTCCATCTCAAAAAAAAAAAAAAAAAAAAAAAAAAAAAAAATTAAACAGACTACTTGCCTATCGCTGTATTGAAAATATTACCCTCAATGTTTTTCTTGTTTGCTTACTTTTTTTGTTAACAGATTTAAAAAATAACTTTTATGAAGTCAAATCTGTCAGTCTTTCCTTTCTATCTTTTGCCTTTAGTGCCACATATGAAAAATTATTCTATACACTCCCAGCTCTATACATTGATATTTTTGAAAAATTTTTACCTTTATGATTGTGGTGATTTTTCACTGTGTCAACTTAGCTCCTTGCAAGTACATTTAACAGAATTCCATCCCCTGCATAGTTCCAAGTTTGCCTGAGCCAGAAGAGACATTTTGTGTGAGATTTGGAAGATGAAAGTAAAGGAGGGATATTTGCCTGTATGCTCAAAAGTTTGGCTCAGGGTCAGCAGGCGCTGTTGCAGCTTAGGCATGTTGTCAACCACCTGCTACTCCACCTGGTTGGTCCTGCCAGGTTCTCCTCCATCTTCTTCAACTCTGGGGCCGGGTGGGTGTTTAGAGCTATCAGATGAGACCTGGCATCTCCTGAAGGACCCCTGCACCACTGCATTTGGAGGTCTGGGGTTAAGTTAAATTCAAAAATTAATTACAGGAGAATAAATATCTTTAATATAATGTTTATAATTAGTAACATAGGATATTGTTTCATTTATTCAATTCTTTGACATATCATTTTCTTAATATAGTTCCTTCATATTAAAAAATTAATACAAGTAATTTATATATGTTTTGTTATTTCTAGTGGAATCTTCTACTAACATATATGTACATATATGGGTATGTATGTGTGTGTATACATGTATATACTTCTACTAACATATATATGTACATATATGTGTGTGTGTGTGCGTACTGAGGGACAAAGTTGTCCGTCAGTATCCATGGGGGATTTGTTCCAGAACTCCTGCAGATACCAAAATCTGTGGATACTGAAGTTCTTTATATTTGTTTATAACTTAATGCACATCCTCCTGTACACTTTAAATCATCTCTAGATTACTTATAATACATAATACAGTATAAACTCTATATAAATAGTTATGTTTTTATTTATGTAATTATCTTTTATTGCTGTATTATTTTTTGTGTGGGCATGTGATTTTTTTGGAATATTTTGTGTCCCTAGTTGGTTGAACCCATGGATGCTAAACCCTCAGATGCAGAAGGCTGAAAGTGTATATATTTCAATTACATCCATAGGTATACAAGAGCACTAATGTTTTTTTCTTGGTATATTTAGCTCACAATCAGCCACCTTTCTGAAATTTCTTTGTTCTAGTAGTTTTTTTGGGGGAGCGGTTTGATAGAGAGGTGCAAATAATGATACTTTGTATTTTCTTTTACAATATTTGTCAATCTCTTTATTTTTTACACTTTCGTTACAATTTCAAATATCTAAGCAATTCTAATCTGTTTGACGTCTTTTTTTTTTTTTTTTTTTTTTTTTTGACAAGAGTCTCGCTCTGTGCCCATGCTGGAGCGCAGTGACGCGACGTCGGCTCACTGCAAGCTCCGCCTCCCGGGTTCAAGCGATTCTCCTGCCTCAGCCTCCCGAGTAGCTGGGACTACAGGAACATGCCACCACGCCCGGCTAATTTTTTGTATTTTCAGTAGAGATGGGGTTTCACCGTATTAGCCAGGATGGTCTCAATCTCCTGACCTCGTGATCCGCCAGCCTTGGCCTCTCAAAGTGCTGACATTACAGGTGTGAGCCACCGCACCCAGCCTGTTTGAGATTTTTAGCAGTGTGTTTTTACTTAATTAGCTGGTATGGATAAGATAATAAGCATTGCTTTCTGGTGAAGTAGAATTGGTGCCAAGCAGTGTTTTTCTAGGAGGCTCGACCAATTAGTAGTTGTAATTAAAGCTGAATATAGTTATATAATACTTGAATTTTCTAATCCTTTGCATTTGAAAATATGTGCACAGAAGTGCGCATGTGTATGTGTGTGTGTGTGCGCACACACACACACAGCTGAATCTCCAGAAACCCTAAGTAGGTTTCTCCCCTGCCTCTCACCCTCAGCACAGCTAGGTCACCTTCTTCTTCTGCATCAAAACCTGGTTCCAAGACCCCAAGGACCAGCGGGCCAGGTTCTTCTCTCACCTGAGAGAAAAAGTCAGCATTTGCAAATGATTAAAATATTAAAGTATTATATAATTAGATAATTAACAACATAACAACTATTTACATAGAGTTTACATTGTATTAGGCACAATGAAATCTACACCATGTAACAGGCATCATGAAGCAATGATGGAAAATAAATCGACATAAATGAAATCTCAGCTGAATTTCTCTTGGGTGAAAAAAGAGCCTGGTGCCCTGGTCCTTGGGGTCTTGGAACCAGGTTTTGATGCAGGAGAAGAAGGTGACCTAGCCCCTCTGAGGGTGAGAGGCAGGGGAGAAACTGACTTAGGGTTTCTGGAGATTCGGCTGTGTGTGTGTGTGTGTGTGTGTTCACTCATGCGTAGATGTTGACAGTGGACAGACGGGAGTGAGCCTCCTGTTAATTGCAAAATAATAGATCGTGTTACATGTCTCTCCCTCCCCTTCCCTTTGCTCTCTCCGTGTCACCTTGTAGTCAGCATAGGAACAGCTTGGGTGGTAATTAGGCTGTCTCTGCCCACATTAGGAGTTGCTGCAGGGGGAGCCTAGCTATTGTATAACACTTGTTTAGATTTCTCCACTGTGGGATTTCTGGCTGAAGCCTTCTAATGGACAAGCAATGAACTCTCTTGGGAAGATATCTTTTTTCCTGCCACTACCACAGCTGGGGTGTGGTTTTCATTCTGTTCTCCAAAAATGACTGTCACTCAGACAACCTCTATATCCAAAGCCAAAGCTCACTAGCCTAGGCCTTTCTCATAAAAAGGATGGAAATTTTTCACTGAAGCACTTTTTTTTTTTTACACCCAAAGTCATTGACTCCTGTCAGGTTATAGTGTCACCCTCAGCCCCTCTTAGCCTCAGAGGACCTGGGAATGAGCAGGATGTGATTTCTTTGCATTTTCTGGTCCAAATTATTGAATAATAAGTGTATGAGAAAAGACTTTCGCTAGGTGATTAAATTCCCTTACATGCTTTGCCTGTATTCATTGGTTTGGGGAAATAATGGTAGAATTTATTTTAAAAACTTTCAAAAATAGATTGGAAAATTATGCAAGAAAATTCTCCTGTGGTTTTATTTTGTATAAATTGTGAACAGCTGCGTCTGACTCTCAGTGTCATTGTGAACTGGTCACAGATTTTTTTTGGAGTTACTCAAGAATTTGGTGGCAAGAATCAGTCCAAATATTCATATGACATAGAGTTTAGTTCTTCCAACACCCAGTTCAGACAGATGTTTCTTCACCTGTGTTCTTCTCACCTCTAGGTCCTCAGTTTTATAGAAACCCTTAACTTCTTATGCTAAAGGAAAGTAACGGAAAAAGTGACAAAGATGGTGATGCTAATCCAGAGGAATGGGTGACTGGCAAATGTTATGCTTCAGATATTAGGGAGAGTTCAGGGAGAAGCATGTTAGGGACAGGGGCTTTCTTGGGCCACTAAATTGGACAGCGTGGATTGCTGCCCATACGTGGAGCCTGCCTTGTGTGCAGAAGCAACTGAAAGGAAGGCATTTTCCTTAATGATCATAGCACAAAATTCATGTTGAGTTTTGACTTTTGGTGTACTCTAGCAGTTAGTTTGTTATTATTGCTGTTTTCATTGTAATTGCATCCTTGATTAGGCTCTGCTACTTTGGACTGAGCTGGACACAGGGATCATATCTTACAGGAAAAGCACCGTGTGCTGTTGGTATATGATAGGCTTGGCTCTGTGTCCACACCCAAATCTTATCTCGAATTGTAATCACCACTTGTTGAGAAAGGGACCTGGTGGGAGATGACTGGATCATGGGCGAGGTTTCCCCCATGCTGCTCTCATGATATCAAGGGAGTTTTCACAAGATTTGATGGTTTAAAAGTGGCAGTTTCCCCTGTGCGCTCTCTCTCTCCTGCGCTAATGTAAGAGGTGCCTTTCTTCCCTTTTGCCTTCCGCCATGATCGTAAGTTTCCTGAGGCCTTCCTAGTCATGTGGAACTGTGAGTCAATTAAATTTCTTTCCTTTATAAATTACCCAGTGTCAGGTAGTATCTTTATAGCAGTGTGAGAACAGACTAATGTAGTAGACGTGGAGTCAGTGCACACCCCCACCCTCTCACCTGCTCATGCTCACATATCCTCACCTGCTTCCAAAAGCATCAATCCAGAAAGATTTCAGGAAGAACCTGGAAAATGGCCTTCACATGAGAGAGCTGGGAGAGCCCCAACCTAAAAGCACAAAACATCATATCTTTTAAAAAGGTGATTTTGAAATCCTTAAAACCTTGACAGATACCCTTAAGCTGCTTTTCTAATGATGTCTTCACAGGGAAGAAAAGTTCTTTAGAAAAGGCAAAAATCAATATTTTGTTTTGTTTACAGAGCAAGCATATAAGTTAACCATACTTATGAAGTGGAATGAAAGACTCCTGCAAATGTTCATGGGAAAACATCAGGGATACTGTACTTCTTTCTTTCCCTTCTTCCTACTTCTCTTACTTATCATTTGGATATTTCATAACATATAACACCTAAGATCTAAACATTTTAATGCCTACTGATTGAGTCTTAACACTCTTAATCAGACAAATTAAACAAAATAGTCTAATAAAAGTGATTTTTGCTCAAGTATACATTAAGATAACACTTTATTAGGCATAGAAATGAGAGGCCTCTTCTCGGCTGGTTTCCCACAGCAAGGGAAGTGCTCAACACGCAGTGCTGGTCATGTGTTCCTCATTCACTGTATACTACCAAGGTCGATTTCTCAGGTTGGGCAGGTTTAGAGGTGTTAAACTTAGCAACCAATTTTCAATAATAATAGTAGCTACAATCAGTAACTTATGTACCTCTCATTTAGAGCCAGGAGCTGTTCCAAGCATTTTCACATCTATCAATCCATCTAATCCTTGCAACTAACCTATGAGGTAGATGTGACAATTATTATGTCTATTCTATAGAGTGGGAAATTCAGGCACAGAGAGGTTGCATGATTGCTTTGAGATCACACAGCTAGAAATTGGGGAGCTAGACTTTAAACCCAGGCATTCTGGTTCCAGGGTATACATTTTTAACTGCTGTTCTATCCTGCCTCAAAAGTAGAAGGAGCTTTGAATCAGGTCTAAATAACAATAAATTCAGAGCGTTAGTCAAAATACAAATTGCGCTTCATTTCAGAAATCAATTTGTAGCCTTGCATTTTAGTTTTCATGTTCTTTTGATTCATTCGGCAAATATTTACTGATGTTATCATAAGCCAAGAGTCTTCCAAAGGTGCTGGGAATAGAAGTTTTTTCATGGAAACTGCATTCTCAGGTAAAACGTGAGACAAAGCCAGATTAGGTGTGAAACATGTTTAAGATAAAACTGGATTTTCAGAATAATATTTTCACAAGCAGAAAATATTTTTCCCTTAAAAATAGTCACCTAAATAAATTATTTTTACTCTTAAGTGGGTGAAAAGTATTACTAAAATAGAATAATTATTCAAATTTTTAAAATTACAAATAAAAATCATATGTATTTATATGTACACATGATGTTTTGATGTGTGTAACCTTGTTAAATGATTAAATCAAGCTAATTAACATATCCATCACCTCATGGGCTTGCCTTTTTTATTTTTGTAGTGAGAACATGTAAAATCTACCCTGTTAGCAATTTTCAAGTATCTGTTATTACTAACTGTAGTCACAATAGTAATAATTATTATAATATTATCTATTAATTATAAATAAATTAATATTTAGAACTTAGTCATCCTACCGAAACTTTGTACCCTTTGGCCAACATCTCTCAATTTCCCATCTCTCCCACAGCCCTTGGTAGTCACCATTCTGCTCTCTGCTTCTATGATGAGTTTTTAGATTCCATATATAAGTGAGATTATGCAGTCGATATTTGTCTTTCTGTGTCTGGCTTATTTCACTTAGTAAAAATGGAATAATTCTAAATCTTCATGTGAAGCCATTTCGATTCAAGGTAGAAATACTTGCAGTAGTGTTTTATGTGGATGAAGCAGAGTTTAGCTTCTCAGGGACATTTGGGCAGAAGTATGTGGTTATAATATCAGAAAGATTCTAGAATATTTTAGTTACAGTAAAGCACAAGAATATCAATTCCCTTGGAAAGGAAGAATGCAAACATTAATAATTATCTAAAGTCTTTATAAAGAACAGAATCAAAAGAAAGTGTCCTGGGAAAGGAGAAAAAGGGGAGGAGGCTGAGTAGAGATATAGTGCAAGGATAGATAAGGACAGCCAGATGCAGATGCATTCTCATTCTAAGATCATGAAAGACAATAAAAAAGGATTTGAAGAGGGGAAGAGTGAGGTGGTAAATGAGGAGGACAAAGGTAGCTGCAGAGAAGTCTATCCACTAAAAATCTCAGTTCAATCAAGTTAGTGATATTTGTGACACATTTTAAAAAGTTATAGTCACTTCTCAAGTGGGTGAAAAATAATTCAGGCAGCTGAAAAGCAGGAATTGACAAACAGCTGAAGACATTATGTAAAATAAAAAATACTGATGTACTTGTTCATTTTATCTGGCTTGTTTGAAAATGAGAATTAGAAAAATCAGAAATATAAAAAATGGCAAATCACATATGTACTATTTATTAACCAAAAAGAAATTCTATTCTTATTACTGTTGACATCCTTAGAATTTAAGAAAATAATAAAAAATGTAAAAAAGATCTTGGCTAATAAACATTAATATACATTTAGATTATTCATGGAGTTATTAATTAAGTACCGTTCATCCTAGCATGGTTATCTACCAGATTCTCTGGATGCCTAAGAGAGTCTGTTAGGTAAACATGATAAGATTAATTTTTCTGATTACTTGACAGAAGTAAAATAGTAGCAAACAAAAAAAGTAAAAGAAAAAAATTATAGTTTAAATTAACTGTATAAAGAAAACAATCCCCGTGTAATCAAAATAATTCAAAGATTCTATGAATTAAAGATTTGTCTAGATATGGAGAGATGTTCAGTTTTATTTCATAGCTTCTGAGGCCTATGTGACTAGCAAAAATTAATATGGACTGACAAAATTTAATTAATAATTAGCAAGAGAGAAAAATTATAGCTATAAAGAGATTGTTATTCATTTTACTACTCACTTGCAGAGACTATGAAAACATTTCTTTGAATTAGGAAGTTAAGTGAAGAAACATAGCACTAACTAAAAGCACTTAATATAAGTATACATCAATTTAAGGAAAACTTCAAAATATAAAAAGATGTGAACAATTGCTTTATAAAGCAATTGTTTTCGTAGTAAAATGATTCATCATAAAATTTCTTAAAATATCAAAATCTCTTCTAAACTATTTAAATAAACATTAAATTTTTTTAAAGTAACACTAATTTTCAATAAAATGTAACTGAAATTAAGAAAAAAAGGGTAGGGTCAAAATACTAAGGAAAACAGAGCATTCCTTGAGCACTGAGCAGTCAGGAACTGCCACATATTTTATTTAGTTCTCTAAACAGACCTGTAGCATAGGTATTATTGATACATTTTACAGTTGAGGAATCAAAAAATCAGTGAGCTTTACCTAATGTAACCCAAGTCTACTTAGCTAGTAAGTGGCAGAGTTCCATTCAAATGTTGATCTTGCTGACTCTATTAGAATACATTCATCAAACTATAATCTACTGGACTATATTTTCTACAACTACAGTAGACAGGTACACAGAGGAGTCAATGGTGTATCTTCTACACCTGATATTTCCTGTTTAATATGTATTTCTTGGAAGCTCCAAAATTTTAGAGGAGATTGAAAAACAATTAAGTGGCATACAGTTTAACTAGTTTAATAAATAATGAGTGAGCAAAGACAATGACTAATATCCTAATATAAAGGATGTATCCAAGCTGCAAAAGAGCCTGAAACATAAGAACTTTGGTGGTTAGTTATCTGAATAATAAAAATATTCTGATTAAAGTACTACATATTTATTCATAACATTTGGCCATATGGATGATTCCATTGCCTTAGCTGTCTTTGTAGATCATGCTTATTGATTCAGTGTAAGTGATGAGCTGTAACTGTCTACATGAATTGATTTGCCATGCTGAAATCTACTTATTTCATTAATTTAAACAGGTCAGAAATACTATAAGCATTTGTGATGTAAAAAGCAACTGAAATAGATGGATTAGATGATAAATTTCCCTTCCTTATGTGGAAGTTATTTCTCTCAATAATGTCAATTTATTCATTTATGTAATTGTTGCAAGCCTGCCAATGTGTTGGGCATTCTTCAAGGTGTTGTGTATATCACAAAACAGTATAAAGTCCCTGTCCTAATGGAATCTACATTTCAATAGAAAGACAGACAATAAAAATTAAACAAAGAAACACATAATTTAATGTCAGGTAGTGCTTGAAGTGTTATGAAGACAAAGTAGAGAAAAGGGAATGGTAACTGAAAAGGGAATATTTTCGAGAGCGTGGCTACGGAAGTTCTCTCTGCGGTGCAAATTGAGGCAAGATTTAGCAAAGGAGGACAAATTGCATTAAAAAGCGTGTTGTTATTTCAAGATTTGTGTTATCTTGCAGGCATATTGCTGTTCTTACCTTCTGGCAGGAGTAATTGTTTTTCAACTATGGTTAAAATACATATAATATTATATATATTTTAATAATATATAGACAGATAGATAGATAGATAGATAGATAGATAGATAGATAGATAAAATTTACCGCCTTAACCATTTTAAGTGTACAATTCAGGACTATTAAGTATATTCACTTTGTTGTACATTAGATCTGCAGAACTTTTTCATCTTGCAAAACTAAAAGTCTATACCCATTAAACACCAACTTCCCCTTTTCTCTCATCCCAGATCCTGGTAACCACCATCTACTTCTGTTTCTATGAATTTTGACTACCTAGGATACCTCATATAAGAGGAATTTAGCAGTAGTTTTCGTTTAGTGATTGGCTTGCTTCATTTAGCATAATGCTCACAAAGTTCATCTATGTTGTAACATGTGATTGATTTCCTTCATTTTTAAGGCCGAATAATATTCCACTGTTTGTACACATTTTCTTTACCCCTCATTCATTGATGGGTGTTTAGGTTTGCCTTTGGCTCTTGGCTATCATGGCTAGTACTGCAATGAACATGGGTGTGCAAATATTTCTTTGAGACCCTGCATTCAATTCTTTTAGGTGTATAACCAGAATTGTGATTGCTGGATCATATGGTAGTTCTATTTTTAATTTTTTGAAGGAATCACCATACTGTTTTTCACAGCAGTTGCACCATTTTACAGTCCCACCAGCAGTGCAGAAAGGGTTCCAATTTTTCCTTCACCAGTACTTTTTGTCGCCAATAAATTTTGTTATGTTCTGTTTCTTTCAATAATAGACATCCGGCTGGATGTAAGGTGGTATCTCATTGCGGTTTTGACTTGCATTTTTCTAATGATTGATGCAGTGAATCTTTTCACGTGCTTGTTGATCCATTTGTATATTATATTTGGAGAAATCCCTATTCAAACACTTTGCCCATTAAAGAAAAGATTATTTTTAGAGCAATTTTTGATTCACAGCAAAATTGAAAAGAAGGTACAGAGGTGTCCAGGTACTCCCTGACCTCATACAAGTATTGACTTCCCCATTATCAATCTCTCCTACTAGAGCAGTACATTTGTTACAATTGATGAACTTGCATTGACACATTGTTATCATCCAGAGTCCATAGTTTACATTAAGGTCCAGTATTGGTGTTGTATATTCTATGGGTTTAGACACATTTATAATAGAAGTGATCCACCTCTATAGTATCACTACCCTGAAAATCCCCCATGCTCTGCTCACTCATTCCTTTCTTCTCTCAGCCCTTGGCAACCATTGATCTTTTTTACTGTCTCCATAGTTTTGACTTTTCCAGAAAGTCATGCAGTACAAATCATATGGAAGCCTTTGTTAGATTGTCTTCTTTTGCTTGGTAATATTCATTTATGTTTCCTCCAAGTATTTTCATGGCTTGATGGCTCATTTGTTTCTAGTGCTGCCTTTGTCCATTTTTAAATGGGTTATTTATTATTTTATTGTTAAGTTGTAGGAGTTCTTTATATCTTCTGGATATCAACCCCTTATCAGATACATGATTTGCAAGTATTTTCTCCCATTTTGTATGTTACTGTTCACTTTGTTGATTGTGTTCATTGACACATAAAATTTTTTGTTTGTTGTAGTCTCATTTGTCAATGTTTGCTTTTGTTGCCTGTGCTTTTGGTGTTGTGTTATAGCCAATAAATTATTGCTGAATATAATGTTGTGAAGCTTTCCCCCTACGTTTTCATCTAGGAATTTTATAATTTTAGGTCTTATGTTTATGTCTTTAATTCATTTGAATTAGCTTTTGTATAAGGTGTAAGAGAAGGTCCAACTTCATTTTCTCTGCGTGTGGATATTTGCTTTTCCCAAAGCCGTTTGTTGGGACTGTCCTTTCCCCATTGTGTGCTCTTGGCATCTTTGCTGAAGAGCATTTATTTCTGGGCTCTCTATTCTATTACATTGATCTATTCTGTCTTTATGCCAGTACCACACTGTTTTGATTCCTGTAGCTCTGTAATACATTTTGAAATTAGGAAGTATAAGTCCTCTAACTTTGTTCTTCTTTTTCAAAATTGTTTTGGCTAGCTGGGGTCTTTTGAGATTCCATATGAATTTTAGAATCCTTTTTTCTATTTCTGCAAAAAGTACCATTGGGATTTTGATAGGAATTGCATTGAATCTGTAGACTGCTTTGGTTAGTATTGATATCTTAACAATATTTAGTCTTCCAATTAATGAACATGGAATGTCTTTCCATTTATTTGTGTTTTTTTTTTCCATTTCTTGTGTAGTTTTCAGTGAACAAGTTTTTCACCTTCTTAAGTTGATTCCCAAGTATTTTATTCTTTTTGATGCTATTATAAATGGAATTATTTTGTTAATTTCCTTTTCAAGTTGTTCATTCTTAGTGTAAAGAAACAAGTGTTTTTTGCATATTGATTTTGTATCTTGCAATTTTGTTGAATTTACTTCTTGGTTCTAACAGGTTTTTGTGTATGGAATCTTTAGGGTTTTCTACATATAAGATCACATATTTTGCAAACAGATAATTTTTACTTCTTTCTTTTTAATTTGGTTCCTTTTATTTCTTTTTCTTGCCTAATTGCTCTGGCTAGGACTTTCAATACTACATTGAATAAAAGTGGTGAGAGGGGCATCTTTGTCTTGCCATTAATCATAAAAATGAAATGTTCTCAGTCTTCCACCATTGAGTCTGATAGCTGTGGGCTCTTCACATACAGCCTTTATTATGTTCAGGTAGTTTTCTTCTATTACTAATTGTTGGGCATTTTTATCAGGAAAAAGTGTTAAATCTTATGAAATTTTTTTTTGCATCAAATGAGATGATCACTTAGTTTTTGTCCTTCATTTTGTTAATGTGGTGCATTACATTCATTGATTTTTGTATATTGAACCATCCTTACATCCCAGGGATAAATCCCACTTGGTTGTGGTATAATACGGTATGTAGTATAATCTTTTTAATATGCTGTTGAATTCTGGTTTCTAATATTTTGTTGAGGATTTTTGCATCTATTCAACAGGGTTATTGGCTTGTAGTTTTCTTTTCTCAACTGGCTTTTGTACTGAGGTAATTCTGGCCTCATAGAATAAATTTGGAAGTATTCCCTCTCTTCAATTTTTTGGAAGGTTGGTGTTAATTCTTCTTTAAGTATTTGATAGAATTCTGCAGTGAAGCCATCTGGTCTTGTGTTTTTGTTTTGTTTTGTTTTTTAGTTGGAAGGTTTTTGACTGCTGATTCAATCTTATTATTAGTTATTGGTATATTCAAAAGTAATTTTTAAAATAAACTTTAGAAAGATATAATTTACATGAAAGAAAATGCACCCAAAGCTCAATGAATTTGCCGACACTAGTGTTCAAAGAGCTCACTATTGTACTTTTGAAACATTTGCTTTATATTTAAAGTGTATTATTTACATGTCACTTCACTAAGAGTCAAATAACAAAATGAATATAACCTAATGATATAAGCCACAAAGTAAGTTAAATCCTTATATAAGGCCTCTAATGGAGATAATTTATTTCAGAAATTGAAAAAAATTGTAATACTTTCTAATCTTTGTAAAGAACTGAGAACCAAAAGAACACTGATAAGCTTTTTAATCAATTCATTAAATAAATTTAAATTTGACAACTATATGTGAAGTAGTCACCATGTCCAAGGCATGATGTTAGGTGCTGGTAGGATCCAAGTACAAGAAACTGTTCCTATTTTGAAGAAGCCTAAATACAGAGTGGGAAACAAGCAAGTAAAGAGTCACTTATGATATAAGAGAGAATATTCACCAAAGAGGACGTATTAGGCAATAGGCTATGGGATGTAAGAAAACTGTGTGCACTTGTGTGTGTGTATGTGTGTGTGTGTGTGTATAAGGAGGTGAGGATTTAGGCAGTAGGCAATGGGATATAAGAAAACTGTGTGTGTGTGCTTGTGTGTGTGTGTGTGTGTATGTGTGTATGTGTGTGTCTATGTATAAGGAGGTGAGGATTGGTCTCCTCCTGATATCTCTTTCAGTGATGAGCTGCTAACTATGGTTAAGTCTTTTTCATTGTAGCAAGCCTTAGGGAGATAATTCTTGCAATATAAAAGCAAGGCCCACAGCATACACTTTTAGAATAGTAAAAAAGATGAGTTGCAGTAGAAAATAGGAGCAGTGTTAAAACACTGGTCTTTTTTTCTAGATGCTGATGAATTATTCTGATTTTGAGGCTTTGCTTTCCCAAACCTGTACATCTAAGACTCCTTAGTACTGAATCCTCATTGAAAAGGAAGAGAATCACAGGAAGAGGAAAAGAAGAAGAGAAAACAGTTGACAAAAGGAGGGATTTCTTTATTTGCTTATTTGTAGCTATTGGTGGGATCATTGCAAATGCCGGATGCTGAGAGGGTGCACATACACTAGCGTTTGTTAACATGTCTGAGAGGCAAGCATACTGAGAGCTGGAGTTTCTGAGCAGACTGAACAATTCCAGACAGCTGGCAGGTCACAGCGAGTCATTAAAAACAGCTTACTTCCTCTCTATAAAGGAGGAATCCACTGGTCTGCAACACAGGGAAGTTATTATTTGTGTAAATGTCACTAAATTTAATGGATATTTTATAGTCTCCATTTTATTTGTCCTCTCTCAGTGTTTTTGAACACGTCCATGTTCCCACAAGACTCTGCTTGGCTCCCATGATACCACCCTTTTCTGGTTTTCTTTCTCTCTAGATGTTTCTTCTCAGTCTTCTTTGCCAGATCATTGCCCTCTTCCCATCTCTGAAATGTGATTTCTTCCCAACTCCGAAATGTAGTTTCATACCAGTATCTGTTTCTGGCTCTTTTCTTTCTCATGCCATATATTTTCCCTGGTAGATGTCCTCTAATCCCATAGCTTCATCTCTCTCTCTGTCTCTCTTTCTCTGTCTCTTTCAGCCATCATTCTATATTCTGTCTTCACAATCTTCACTTGCATGTCCCACAGAAGCCTCAAGTGAGCATGCCTTAAAATGATGTTATTATTTCTAGTTGTCTATTCTAAACCTGACCCTCTTTTTTGGTTTCCTTATTTAATAACTGGTACATTGTTCATCTTATGACCCAAAACAGCATTTTCGGCAGTATTCTTCACATTTCCCTCTTCCGAACTCCCAACATTTCATTAATCACCAGATTCTGGTGGTTCTGTGTCCTTGGTACCTCTCAAATCTTTCCACTTTCCTGCATCCTCACTGCTCTTACCCTTGATAAACCCACCAGCCTCTCTCCATGGCTTATTGCAAGAGCTCTCTAAGCACCTTGGCTCAAGCCTTGCCCCACTCCCTTATCTATTCTTCATACTGTGATCTTCCTACTGTGCAAATCTGATCATGCTTCCTCTGCTCCCCACTGTTCTCAAGGTAAAGACCAGCCTCCACAGCAGAGTGTACAAGACCCTTCACTGACTGAGCTTTGCACTCTCTCCAGCCTCAGCTCTTGCCCCATTATCCTCATATCTACTCTGTAGGCTCCAGTTCTTTTGTATTCTCTGTGTTTCTAAAACATATTCTATTAAGCCTATTTTGGTGAAGTGTTCCTTCAATATCCTTCTCAGCTTTGGTTAAGTGTTCTCCCTATGTGTTTCCATGGAGCAAGGCAGTTCGCCTCTACCTGCCCATCATATGGTATTGAAATTTTGCTTTTGCTTGCCTGTATCTACCACAGAAATCTAAACTTCTAGAAGGCAGAGCCCTCTTGTAGACTATTGTTCTCTAACATATCATACAGTAGGTGCTCAATATAAATTTACTCACTCAATCAATAAGTTGCAATGCATTCTAGGAAGGTTAAAAAAATGTTCTGTCTAGAAAGGCCATGGCTGTCAAGCACACAAATGTTTTCTTATGCAATTCTTTCTTATATCCCCTTTCTAATATCTCTTTCTTATATCTCCAAGATCTCTTAGTACTTTCAAATAATGATGGAATACCTAAGCCTCTTTGACATTCCTTCTCTTTCTCTACAGCTCTAGCATGTTTTTGCTTCCAATTATATTTATTCTTTCTTTATTTGTTAAAGCAAAGAAAATGGTGTAGGGGTTCCTGCTTCTCATACATTATTTCCAGAATAATTTCACCTGCCTTCCCTTTTCAATGCATCATTATTTCTGGAATAATTTCACTTCTTTTCAATCATTTTTATAAAAGTGACAGATTACACATATTACTATACCATTTGACTGCTAAGCCATAATGCTGAGATATTTTACTTTTCCCCAAATTTGTAAGGTTTTAGAGCTTTTAGCTACTTGCACTATTACATCTTTGTGCTGCTATGTAATAATAAGCTGCCTTAGCTTGTCTAAGGGTCCTAGAACTGTTTAGATTTCTAAGGTAGTAAGTTCAAGGAAAACTTACCCAAGGTCTTTATACTCAAACCACTCTGCTTCAATGTTTATACTTTATGGTAAACATGTCTATAAGACTATACATTTTATACTTTTACATTTTTACGAGGTCATAATGACAAGGAATGCCACATCTGTACATCTGAAAGTGGCATTTACTTCCTCACATGTAAGATAAGCAGACTTTTTATGATATCTTTATATGTTTAATTAGTTCTGGCACATCAAAATTCACCCTCATTAATTGAACACGTAAATATTTGGAGACTATGTGTCTAATAGTGATATGACTTCTAATATTTTAATAATAAAACCTTTCCAACAGACAGACATAAAGGGATGTCAAATTCAGTTTATAGGCCAGGTAAATGTTAATTGCTAAAGGTCTGTAATGATTCAAACTTTATAGCTGTGTTGGAAAGACCAATACTGCATATTGCATATTAATTTAAATTTGCGGTGTCCTCCACATTGGCATTAGCTTGTTTCCTGTTTAATCTGATTGTCATGTAATTTAAGTAGAGGTTACTTCAATATTTCTGGTTTTGTGAATAAAATAGTTCAGCTCATCTGCAAGGATACAGCTCCCTTCCTTTGCTTGTACGACCTAAACTAAAATAGAATAAGTTACATCTGGGCTTATTGTCAGAAGTGGGTCCTTGTTAAGGTGTTCTATAGTTAATATTAGGAATTTATTGAGACACTGCCTCCCAAATTCTCAGGACCAGACCCTTCAAGTTTTTCTCATGGATGGACCCTTCAGGTCCATCCTCCTTGTCATCTGTGGTGCCATCAGCCCCTGGCAAATTTCTTCTTTACTATAGGGAACTGTCCTGTACAGGTGGTCAATACTGATACCAACACCGAAGCCTCATGTGGCGGGGAATATGGTGCTTCTCTTTAGTACTTTATAGCACATCATCTCAGATTTCCACTTCTAGCATGGTTGAGTAAGCTCCTATTGGACCATGTCTTTTTACAGATAGTAACTGTAAACTCTGAAAGAAATACATATTTAACAACAATAACAGCAACAACCTGAAGGCACTGATGAGTGAACAAAAGCAGACATGTGGGAGAGTAGTCAGCACTGGGAAGACGGGAGCCACATGGGTGAGCTGCCCATTTTATGTGGCCTTTAGCCTGAGGGCAGACCAAGGATAGTGCTGTACTGGGTGGCTAAAACTGCAATAGAAAACCCACAGTATTTCTGGATTTAAGAATCAGAAGCCAAAGTCTAGGGCAACCACAGGTGTTGGAAAATAAAAGAATGAGGAGAAAATCCTGGAAAGAAGAGAGCCAGAGAGTACATCTAATTCTGTGCATAAATTCTTCCCAAATCTCTGACTGACTCTTGGACTGTGTATGTGTGAGACAGACTCAAAGATGCTCGACTAAGGATGAAATAACTGAATAGGGTTTTGAGCTGTCATTTGTGGTTTGGTTCAACCAAGCTAATTACCTGTTACACAAACAATCCTCTTTAGAGGATTTTTGACATAACCTTGAATCTTTGCAATATAACATTATCCATACCCAGGACAAAATCCAAAATTACTTACCATACAAGGAATCAGAAAAATGTGACCCATTCTCAAGAGAAAAGACAATCAATGGAGATAAACCCTGAGGCTTAATTCAACCATGTTTTGAAATTTGGTGACAAGGATTTTAAAAGAATTATTTTCAATTCTTTGTCAGCCAACTATAAATCTGTATTTCTTTAGGGTAGTTTTTTTTTGAATTTTACTTTGTTCCTTTGATCAGGCTATCTTTACCTGTTTTTGTCTGCTTTGTAATCTTTTGTTGAAATTGGGGCATTAGAAAAAACAACCACCTCTCCCAGTCATTATGGGATGGCTTTATGCAGGGGAAGACCTTCATCTCTCAGTCCTGCTAGAGGTTCTAGGACCTCTGAAACATTTTCCAGAGACGTGTCTTCTCTGAGTTGTGCATGTGCTTTTTGCTGTCTTAAATTCCCTAAAGTGCTTGCCCCTGCTTCTTCTCAGAAGGCTGTAATCTCTTGCTCCCCAGCATATGCCTATAAAACTGTAGCTGTAACATGCTGCAGCACTCATCTCTGTTTTCAGTGGCTTCCAAACTATGCTGCCAGTCCCATCAGCACTTCAAGTCAGGCAGTCCCTTTGCAGCTCCCAGACAAGCAAGAAGACTGGATGCACAGTCCATTCTTTTGTTCTGTCCTTAGGGAGGAGCCCTAGTATGAAATATTTCTTCCTGTGGCACCTCTATGCTGGGTAGGAGAGGGTCAAATATGGGTGCATAAAATGCAATGAATTTTCCTACCTCTTTCACTGGGATTGCTTCTTGATTTGATGTTGGCTTGAGTATTGTAGCTTTTCAACTGGTCCCTAGAGTTCTCACAAAGGTATTCTTGTGCACATATTGTTATAGTTATGTCAGTGTCTCTGTGGGGAACTGAAGTTTACTCATCTGTCATCTTGGTGACATCACCCTCTAACAAGGATTTTAAAGTAGCTATTATAACTATGCTCAAGGACATAAACAAAAGTGTGTTCACAATGAGTGAAAAGATAAGAATTTTCAGTGGGTAATTAGACTATTAAGGAAACACATGGAAATTGTAGAGCTAAAGATACAATAACTGAAGGAAAAAAATTACTAATTGAGCTTAACAACAGATTCAACGCAATAGAGGAAAGATCCAGTACATTTTAAGATAGATCAATAACAATTATCCAAATGTGAAGAACAGAGAGAAAAACATTGAGTGACTAGTTTCTCAGGAACCTGTGCAACAATGTTGAAGGTCTAGAATATGTGTAATTGGAGTTACAGAAGGACATAGAGAGAAAGAATGAGGGCAAAAAAATATAATAGCTGAAAAACGTCCCAAATTTACACATTTAAGAAGCTCAACCCAATGCACACAGAGTAAAAAGCAAATCATCCCTGGGCACATCCTACACTGCTCAACACTACATAAAAGTAGAAAAAACTGAAATAGCCAGGGAAAAATAACATATTAAGTATAGGAAGATATTGAGTCCAATGACTGCCAAAGTATTTTCCCTATGTTTTCTTCTAATAGTTTTGTAGTTTCAGGTCTTACATTTTAAATCTTTAATCCACTTTGAGTTGGTTTTTGTTTATGGTGAGAGACAGGGGTCCGGTTTCATTCTTCTGCATATGAATATTCCGTTTTCTCAGCACAATGTATTAAAGAGGTGGTCCTTTCTCCCATGTATGTTCTTGGTGCCACTGTCAAAAATCAGTTGACTGTAAATACATGAATTTATTTCTGAGTTCTCCATTGTGTTCCATTGGTCTATGTGTCTGTTTTTATCTCAGCACCATTTTGTTTGGGTTACTATTGTTTTGTAGTATATTTTGAAGTTAGGTAGTGTGATGATGCTAGTTTTGTTCTTTTTGCTCAGAATTGCTTTAGCTCTTTAGGGTCTTTTGTGGTTCCATATGGATTTCTAAGATTGTTTTTTCTATTCCTGTGAAGAATGACATTGGTATTTTGATAAGGATTACATTAAATCCGTAGATTCCTTTGGGTAGTATGGCCATTTTAACAGTATTAATTCGTCCAATCCATTAATATGTGAGGTCTTTCCATTTTTGTGTATGTCTTGGGCAAAGATTGTATGCTTCTATATTGACCTATTCTTAGGATGATCTCAATGAGAATTTTCTTTACCTTGAGGGGAAGTTCAGCTCTAACTCTTGAAGCATGCATGGCCCTATGAACCTGACAGAATAGTCACATAATGGCTTCACAATCGTATATTCCCTAAAGTCATGCTTATTTGGGCTTGAATAGCCCTACAATTGTTTATCAACATTCAGCCAAGATTAGTTTACTTGAATTTGAGCCTAGTTTCTTTTCAGTCTTTCCTCATCAGATATTGAAAAATTTTCTGCCAAGGCTCACTCAGGGTTAACCTGTAACACATATAAAAAAATGTCTAATTGTACTCACAATTGAATATCTGTTTATTTCCAGGTTACAAAAGCATATTCATTTAGAAAACTCGTTCACATATAAATTTATGTAAGTGGTTGTTTAGTTATACCTAAAAGGGAAGCCTGGGGTGGTTCTCAAGTAGTCTTTGATATGTAGCCAACTCCTTAGCAAGTTGCTGGGCCTCTCAGGGCAAACAAGTGATCACCCACACTACCACGAACATGGATTGCGCATCTTTATTCTGTATTTTTATCCTTTGGCATACATTTGGTACGAATACATGGGTCTTACTCAAGTTCCGTGGTATATCTCAGCCCCAAATAACTGTGTATTCTTAAAAAGAAGGAAATATTTCACACATTCCTTGAATTCCTTTACCATGAGGGAGATGCCTCATCTTCTTAAATGTATTCCAACTTAACAGAGCCACCCTCATCCATTCATCTTTGTATCCTTGGAGAACTGAAAAAAAAAAGTACACTCATTGGGAACACTTCATTAATTTTTTTCTTTCGGTTCTCAGAGAGTAGATAATTGCATTAACCATCTTTCTCAGTTCATGGCACACTCTCATCCTCAGTCCATAGGGGTTTCTATGTTGTTTCATTTTATATTTCCTTAGACCAGCATGTAGTGCATGATCTATATCTTTGGATATATATGTACATTTTAAATAATTTAATTTAATTTTTAATCAACAGATAATCATATATATTTATGGGGTGCAATATGCTGTTATGATAGATGTACACATTTTAGATTTGTATATTCTCATAATATATATATTGCTTTGGTACATATGGGTTTTATATTTACAGTAGCATTGTGCTATAGAACTTGCTTATTCTTGGGCCGGGCACAATGACTCAAGCCTGTAATCCCAACACTGTGGGAGGCTGAGGTGGGTGGATCACCTGAGGTCAGGAGTTCGAGACCAGCCTGGCCAACATGGTGAAATACCCGTCTACTAAAAATACAAAAATTAGCCAGGCCTGGTGGCACAAGCCTGTAATCCCAGCTACGTGGGAGGCTGAGGCAAGAGAGTTGCTTGAACCTGGGAGGCAGAGGTTGACTCCGAGATACACCACTGCACTCCAGCCTGGATGACAGAGCGAGACTCTCTCTCAAAAACAAAAACAAGGCCGGGCGCGGTGGCTCACACCTGTAGTCCCAGCACTTTGAGAGGCTGAGGTGGGCAGATCACAAAGTCAGGAATTTGAGACCAGTCTGGCCAACATGGTGAAACTCCGTCTCTACTAAAAATACAGAAATTAGCCAGGCCTGGTGGCAGATGCCTGTAATCCCAGCTACTCAGGGGGCTGAGGCAGGAGAATCGCTTGAACCCAGGAGGCAGAGGTTGCAGTGAGCCAAGATTGCACCACTGCACTCCAGTCTGGGTGACAGAGCGAGACTCCATCTCAAACAAAAACAAAAACACCCAAACTTGCTTATTCTTTTTTTCAGAATAGTCAACATAATGCTTTTTAAGAACAATTCATATGTTATGTATACATTTATTGGTTTTATTTCTAATTGGTACCTAACACTACAAGGTATACATCTACCAAATACCCTTCCACATTTCCTGGTTATGAACACTTAAGGTGCCCCCAGTTGGTGCCATAATGCATATCCTTGTTCAGTTCTTTCAGGTGTATACCCCTGAGTGGAAATCCTGGGTCATCAGATGGACAGAAATTGCCCTGTAGGTAGGCTCCCACCTGCGGTGCATGAAATTTCTGTTTCCACCTTCCTAAATCTTACAATCTCTTGGCATAAAGTGGTATCTCATTATTATTTTATTTTTATCTGACATTGAGTGAGGCTAATATCTCTACATATTGAATGTTTTTACTGCCAATTTATATCATTTGTTTGTTTTCTTTTACATTTCTTGCTTTTTATTTTTCATTTGCAGGAGTTCCTTATATATTCCGGATACTAATCCTTCATCAGTTTTAGATATTTACAAATATAGTCTACTAATCTGTCATTCACATATTAACCTTGTATGTGGTATATTTTGTTGAACTGAAAAATGTAATTGCAGTGAATTAATAAATATTCATCTTTTTTCAAGTTAGAGCTCATGTTTTTAGCATCTTAAGTTCTAAAGATTTCAAAGGCATTATTCTTCTTTTTAAACTTTATAGATTTACCTTTTACATTGAAATATTTATCTCAAATTCATATTTGCCATATGTTTTAAGATTGAAATCCACTTTTTTTCCAAAAAATAAGCCCCAATTTTCCCAACCCCTCAACTATGCAATCCATTTTTCTCAATGATTTATAGTATAATATTTAGCATGTAGAGCGTCTCCATAAATACGTTGGCCTGTTGGCAAGCATTCTATTCTGTTTCACTGATCTATTTGTCAATTCCTCTATCGATATCATACTGTTTTTATTATTATGGCTTTGTGGTGCATCTTAACATCTCATAGGCTAGGCTGGAGTCCCTCCTATTTGTTCTTCCTTATCAAAATTGACTCAGCTTTTTGTTGAATAGTTATTTACACAGTTGTTGGTATACGTATGTCAGGGTCTTTAAAATATTCATTTTGAATTTTGATTGGGAGTTGATAGGGTTTGGTTCTGTGTCCCCACCCAAATCTCATGTTAAATTGTGATCTTCAGTGTTGGAGGATACACCTGATGTGAGGTAATTGGATCATGGGGGCACATTTCCCCCTTGCTGTTCTCATGATAGTGAGTGAGTTCTCATGAGATCTGGTTGTTTAAAAGTGTGTAGTACTTTCCGCTTTGCTCTCTTCCCCTTTCTGACATGTGAACACATGCTTGCTTTCCCTTCGCCTTTCTGCCATGACAGAAAGTTTCCTGAGGCCTCCCAGCCATGCTGCCTGTACAGCCTGAGGAAGTGTTAGTCAATTAAACCTCTTTTTTCATAAATCATCCAGTCTCAGTTAGTTATTTATAACAATGTAAGAATGGGCTAATACGGGAGTGTAAAGAATTTGAAGATAAATTTGGAGCAAGATCATTATCTTTATTAGGTTAAGTCACTCCATCCATGAACATGGTAATCTTTTCTTCATTTATTGAGATTTTATTTTATTTTATTTTTTTTTTATGTTCTAAAATTAAACTTTAACAATTATCCATGAAGTCTCCTTGTGCATTCTTTTTAGATTCATTCCTGAATTCCATTTGTTTCTTTGTTTCTGTTACTATAATGAATGGTGTCTGTAGTACTTTGTACTGTGTCAGCTTGGTCAAATTGGAACTATGTTTCTCAGAATTCCTTTCCCTGTATGTTTGCATATTGTCTAGAGTTGGTCAAGAGAGGAGTTTGTGTGAGATTTGGAAAGCTAAAGTGAGAAGTGGTCATTATGATCTGACAGTTATTGTGCTTAGCTGCAGTGACAAAGAGACACAGAGGTGGCATCGGGTTCCAGCTTATCTTCAGTATTGTCTGTTTCACATCCAGCTCTTCCCAACTCCTGACCCTATTGACTAATAGCAATCCCAGATCCATCACCAGATTCTTAGGAGCAAAACTATAGAGGTGTTAGCAACATAAAAGGACAGCTTCTCATAGACCTTTTCAGGAACCTTCCCCTTCCAGTCTGATTTAGATGGCAAAATATGCTAGGCTTCTCAGATTGATTGACTGGGGGCTCCTCTGGTCTCCAAACTTTCCTCTTGGAAATTTGCTTCCGCACTTCCTCCTACAATGAAGTTTAACTTCTGTAGTAAATCATCATTCTATAACTCAGTGTGTTTCTGCATCCTGTCTTGAATCTTTACTCATAAAGTACATTGTTTTCTTGTGTATTTTTTCTGATTTTTTTTTTTACTGTTAATGGTTTTTATTTATTTTTTATTGTATTATGATTAGAGAATTTAGTTTCTTTCAGTTTGAATTCCTGGGATTATTTGTGGCCCAGAGCATGAAATTTTTATAAATATTTCAGGAAATCTTTTTATTACTATGAGCTTTGTGATCATGGTACTCGTATTTACATTTTCATGTATTTTTTATTTGCTTTAATAATCAAGATAAATATTCATTAATATTAGTAACTCCGTTGTTGTTCTGCCTGTATCTCTCCATAGTTATTTCAGTTTTTCCTTTTTATATTTTGAAGTTACATGGTTCCATGCGTATTTATTCAGGATAATTAAAACTTTTTGATCAGTTACTTATTTTACTTGTAAGAGTATCCATCTCAGTGCTTTATAATGTTTTCCATCTTAAGTTGAAGCCAAGTTTTCTTTTGGTGTATATTTTTATGGTATATCTTTTTTATTCCTTTACTTTAAGTATTCTATATTAGTTAGTTTTTAGTATGTGTTTGTTGAAAATATCTCTGAATGTTTTAAATTCCAATTTTGAATGTCTCTGCTTTTAGGCCAAGTCATGCATATATTCAGTAAATACTTATGTATGCTTACTGTGTGTCAGACATTGATCACAGATAAGAATCCTTGTTGTGTGGAATGTGTGTGCTAGGTGGGACACACAGCCCCACCAAAATGTTTAAGTAAAATATATAGTAATATGATAAATGTTATAAAGAAAAATAAAGTAGGAAAGTGAAAGTAGTGAGAGGAGGACATTGATCAGAAAAGGCCTCTTTGATAAGGTGGGATTTCAGCAAAGACCTGAAAGAGGTAATAAAGTGAGTCAGGGTCCGGTTGAAGAAAGAGAATTTTAGGGAGAGGAAAAAACTATTGCCAAAACCCAGATGTGAACTAGAGGAACAAAGAAGCGGCCAGTGTGCCTGGAATTGAATAACTGAATGGTGAGTGGTAAGAGATGAATGCAGAGAAGGCAGGGGAGGCCAGAATGCGTATGGTCTTGTACAACCAAGTAAGGACTTTACTGTGATTGGAAGCCAGTGCAGGATTTAGAGCAGAGGATTGATGTGATCCCATTTACATTTTAACAGATTCTTTCTATTTTTTTTTTGTTGAGAATGAATTCTAGAGGGTAGAAGTAGGGAAGATTGATAAAATAATAATACAGGTGAGGAAAGGTGATGGCTTGGACCAGTGTGCTCACGTGAAGGTGCTGAGAAGTGATGAAATTCTGAATATATTTTGAAGGCAGAGCTGGAAAGCTTGGATTGGATGATGGATTGGTTGTGTTGTGAGAGGAAGCAGAGACAAAGATGACTTCAAGGATTTTAATTTTCCTAAGCAACAGGAGAGAGTTGCCAATATCAGCAAGAGACAGCAAGAAGAGTGTGTCTGAGAGGAGGATAGAGGTCGGGTTTTGGTTTTGCTCAGTATGTGCTAAGTTTGAGATTCTAATTAGACATTCAGAAGAAACTAATGAGCAGGCAGTTTAGACACACAAGTTGAGGCCTCAATGGAAAATTGCTGAAGATGTACATTTAAGAGTTGTTAGCTTGTAGATGGTATTTAAAGCCTTGGGGTAGAATGATACCACAAAATGAATTGAGTGCAGTGAAGAGGAAAGGTTCAAGGTTTGAGATCTGGAGTACTAGAATATTCAGAAACCATGGAGATGAGGTGAAATCTGTACGAGTGATTAAGGACAGGTTAATGAAGTAGAAGGAAAATTGGAAGATTGCAGGGTCCTAGAAGGAACTGGTTCAACTGTATCAAATTTTCCTGATAAACCAAGTAAGTTTTGATGAACTCACTTATCACACTGTAGAAATTTATTTCTGTAATTTCATTTCACAGTTTTTATTTACCATACTTTCTTTTCTGTATTTTCTTTTATTTTTCTTTTAGGAACAGAGTTTTGTTCTGTCACCCAGGCTGGAGTACAGTGGCATGATCACAGCTCACTGTAACCTTGAACTCCTGGGCTTAAGTGATCCTCCCACCTCAGCTCAGCAGGTGGAAATAGCCTGCACCTGGCAAATTAAAAAAAAAAAAACCTTTTTTAGAGATGAGGTCTCACTATATTGCTCAGACTGGTCTCGAGCTCGTGGACTCAAGCGATCCTCCCACCTCAGCCTCCAAAGAAGCTGGGATTACAGGTGTGCACCACTGTGCTCGAATTTATTTTCTGTATTTTCACCTTTCTCCATTTGTTTGGCTAAATCAAATTTTCTTCTACTGATTTGAAAGATATTTATTTTCCTGGTTATTACAATGACTTATGACATATATCTTTATTTCTTGATTATCTTCATTAAGATATAATTTTTATAGGAAAACAGGCACATATTTTGCTGTACATTTTGATGAGTTTTGACTGATTTGAGCAATTGTGTGACTATCACACAATATGAAGCCATTCCATCACTCCCAAGACTTCCCTTGTGCTCTTTGTGCCTCGATCTCACCTCTGCCTCTCATTCCCACCCTCACTACCCAACCCAGATAACCATGACTCTGCTTTGCCTCACCTTAGGTTAGGTTGTTTTCCTTGTGGGGAAGGAGGGGTCAATATAATTAATATAATGTGACTCTTTTGTGTTTGGCTTTTTGGCACAGCATATTTTTGAGATTTATTCTCATTGTTGTGTACATGAGTAGTAGTTTCTTTTTGTGATATTCAGTTGTATCAATATACCACAATTTGTTTATCCACTTACTCATTGATGGACATTTAAGTTGTTTCTAGTTTTTGACATTTATGAATAAAGTTGCTGTAAACATTGGTCTACTAGTCTTTGTGAATACATATATTTTCATTTCTCTTGGGTAAATTCTTAGGAGTGAAATTATGAAGTCGTATGACTAGTATAAGTTTAACTTTATAAGAGACTGGCAAATTATTTCCCAAAGTGGTTTTAGAACTTTTCATCTCCACCACTATAACATCTAAGCATATCATTGGCTTCATATCCCCTGCCCAGTTTCTGTTGGGTTGCTTGTCTTCTAATCATATCAAGAGTTCTTTATATATTCTGAATACACATTGTTTATAAGCAGGATTGCCAGATAAAGTACAGGACAACCAGTTCCCTTTGACTTTCAGATAAACAACGAATAATGTGTCAGTAAATCTATGGTCCTAATATTACATGAGACAAACTTAGGCTCAAAAAATCATTTGTTGTGTATCCAAAATGTGAATGGAACAAACCTGCACGTGTACCCTTGGATGTGTGGATGTTCTTTGTTTTTATTTGTTAAACCTGATGTCTTGTCTGTATGACACATTTATTGGAAACGTTTTTTCCCTATTCTGTGTCTTGTATTTTATTTTCTCGTGTTCTCCAAAGAGCAGATATTTTAAATTTTTATATAAATCCAGTTTGTCAACATTTTTAAAGGGTTCATGCTTTTTGTATCCTATTTCAGAAAACTTTGGCTACTTCAAGGTCACAAAGATTTTGGATTTGTTTTAATCTACAAGTTTTATAGCTTTGACTTTTATATATAAGTCTGATTCATTTGGAGTTAATTTTTGTGTATAGTGTCAATTAAGGGTCTAGGTTCATTTATTTTCTTATGAATATCCAGTGGTTCCAACAGCATTTATTGAAAAGACATTCCTTTTCACATTCACATGTCCTGGATTCTTTGTTGAAAATTAAGTATATATGTATACATATACACACTTTATATATATGTGTACATATATATATATATAATATGTAGAAGTTAATGGGAAAGAAGAGAGTCCAAAGTAGAATATATATAGTTGAAAATTGATAATTAATAACTAGTAAATACTTATTTTTTAACTTTTAAGTTCAGGGGTACAAGTGCATGTTTGTTACATAGGCAAACTTCCGTCATGGGGGTTTGTTATACAGATTATTTTGTCACCCAGGTATTAAGCCTAGTACTCATTAGTTATTTTTTCTGATTCTCTCCCTCCTCCCATCCTCTACCCTCCAAAAGCCCCCAGTGTGTGTTGTTCCCCTCCAGGTTTCCATGTGTTCTCATCATTTAGCTCCCACTTATAAATGAGAACAAGCAGTATTTGGTTTTCTGTTTCTGTGTTAGTTTGCTAAGGATAATGGCCTCCAGCTCCATCCATGCCTCTGCAAAGGATATGATCTTATTCTTTTCTATGGCTGTATAGTGTTCCATGGTATAAATACTTAATTTTCAACTATATATGTATATTTTATTCTGAAATCTTCTTTTCAAATTTGTATGTCTGTTCTTTATCTATGCCCTTATACCACTACCATACTTTATTGATTATTAGAGCTTTATATTAATACTAAATCTAATATTAACACTAGAGCTTTATATTTGTAACATGTCTTAAAATCTGATAGTTTAAGTCCTCCAACTTTATTCTTCTTTTTAAAAATTGCTTTGGCTATTCTAGGTAATTTACATGCTTTTATGATGGGTAGTTTAGGCTTCATCTGTAATGAACTTGGTAGTCTCCAGTAGCTAAAATCACATGAATTTGGTAAGGTTTTTCATTCAGTCAAAGGGTAAAAAATTTCTTTAGGTCGTTAAGAATGAACCCCCAAAATAGGCATTTAGAGATATAAACTATTTGATTTCTGATTTTATATTTAGTATTTCCTTCCTACTACTTATTTCGAGTTTAATTTTCCCCCTTTTTATTGTTCTTTAGGTGAAATGTAGATTATTGATTTTTAGACCTTTCTTTTGTGAAAATTAATTATATACCTTGTGTTATTCTTGTCATACCGAACTAAATCAGAGTTAAGGGCCAGGAGGAAAAATCACTCAGGGAATATAGCACCAGTTCCAAGAATTATCTGCAAGCCTAACTACTGAAACAGTCTGCTATAGCCCCAGTACCAGTTTACCTAGTAGCTGCTAAACAACGTGCCATGCCTCCAAGATTGGTTTTACCTATGGCCATCATTCACCAATCAGAGCTTGCCAGCTCCCCAAAACTTTGCTAGTGCCAAATCTTCTTGGCCCTAGCTTTCTTTCAAAACAATATGTAACATTTCTCTTTCTAATAAAACTCTCAACCTTTTCTTCTTTGAATGTACCAAAGACTACCCTGCTCTGTGTGTATGACCCGAATTGCAATTCTGTTTTTATATATGTGCATTCCCAGAAAAAATGTTTTGCCTAGAGATTTGTGTCTGTATTTTTATTTGACTTTGACACTTTTAATGTAATATAAGCATTTAATGCAGTACTTCGGTAACATCCCAAAATTTTTTGGGTGTTGTTTCCATTTTCTTTAGTTAAAAATATTTTTTAATGTTCCTTGTGACTTATTTTTTGATCTTGGAATGATTTGGCACTATATAACTTTTAGTTTTTGGAGGATTTTTTTCAGATATGTTTCTCATACTGATTTCTGGTTTAATTTCCCTCTTGTCAGAAAAGATAGTTTGTATATTGCAAATTTTAAAAAAGATATTGAGACTAGGTTTATGGACCAGAATGTGGTCTATTTAAATAAATGTTTCATGTACACTTAAAAAGAACATTTATTCTGCTGGCAGGAGGCTGAATGATGGCCCCAAAGATATCAGGTCCTAATCCCTGAGACCTGCAAATGTTACCTTATTTGGAAGATGGGTCTTTGCTAATGTGCTTAAGTTAAGGATCTTGAGATGGAGAGATTATTCTAGGTTGTCTGAGTAGGCATAATGTTATCACATTGGTTCTTCTACTCCTTTATAAGGACTATAAAAGGGAGGCAGGAGAGTCAGAGAAGATGTCCATGGTAGTAGAGATTGGAAAAATATGATTGCTGGCTTTAAGGATGGTAGGGGGCCATAAACCCAAGAACATGGACAGCCTCTAGAGGCTGGAAAAGCAAAGATTCTTCCTTAGAGCCTCCAGAAGCAACGCAGGCCTGCCAGCACCATCATTTTAGCTTAGTGAGAATTCTGACTTCCTGTCCTATAAGGTAGTAAATTTATATTTGTATTTGTGGTTTGTGGTGTTTGTTCTCTGAATTCGTTGTACTTTTCAGAGAACAATAGCAATAGGAAGTTAATACAAATGCTCCATGTGGTTGTTTTTTAGAAAACTATAATTCTGTTTCTTTCCGAATTACTGTAGACAAGCTAATTATTATGTATCTTATAGGATAGTTTTCCAAATTACAGAAAATACTGAGTAAAAAGGAACACAAGTCAATTCCTTCTATGAAGTAAATGTTCTGCAAATGTTGATCTCGTTTGCTCTCCTCACATGTTAGGAAGTACAGCATCGTTATGGAGTTCTAATCAGAATGAATGAAATAATTGAAACAATGCTTTACAAAGATATATCTTGCAGCAGTTGCAGATGGGTGAGCAACAAGGGGCTGCTGCAATGATCTAGGTATTGGGTGATAAGGTACTGGACTGGAGTGAAGACAAAGGTAATAGAAAGGAAAGGAAAAGTCCGAGAGATATATCAGAAGAGCTGGTGAAATATTGAATGTAAGGAACAAAAAGGAGAAAAGAACCAAAGATGACTTTTAGCAAATATTTTCCCTCCAGGGCTAAGTTGAAAAGCACCATGTAAACCCTTAAAACCTAGGAAGTACATGAATACCAGTCAAGGCCATTGTTATCTCTGACCCTGAGCTAATGTGAGAAGCCTCTATTGCTAGTGCTCCAGACCATCATCCTCTAAGTTGCCCATCTTCTATGATAAATTCTTGACAGCAGCCGTAACAAATATGGTCTAGGACAGTGTTTTTCAAACTCTAGTCCATGACCAATTAAGTGTCATGAAATTGGTGGTATGAAAACAGCATTTTAAAAAAATGTAATAGAATATGATAAAATAATAGAGAAAATATGTGTATGTCAATTGTAATAGTAGGAATTATTTTATTTTTATTGTGTGTTTGTGTGCGTGTGCCCACACTGGATTGCAATGCAAAACATCTTTCTTATAGATTGCTGTCAAAAGCGTTTGAAAAATCTGATGTAAGAAGCATCAGCCTATGCATGCCCTGTTTATATTACGGGGGATTGAGGGGTAGAAGATGAGGTCAGCCTCCGGGGCAATGCAGAAATCACAAGTTCCTTTCATTCTCCACTGTCAGAGATTAATCTCAGGCTAGCAGAAGCATAATAACCATCTTAATTCTCTATTAATTGACATTTATAAGGCAAATCTATTAAGCCTACATGTTTATGGGGTAGGCCTTTCGATAACCTAGCCCTCCCTTTGTAAATAATAACCATTCATTTAACATCCATTTGAGAGATGCATACTTTCATGGATAATTTGGCTAGTTCATGTTTTGTGGTATTCCAAGGCTTTTCATGTACATTTTAAAATCAGTATAATTCCTATATTAACTAATTATATCAGCATCCACATTTCAGACATGGATTTATGATGAGTATCTAGACTCCATTTATAATGAACTATGGTAAGGATCAGTAGCCAAAATCACGTAGATTTTGGTAATGTATTTTAATTCATCTAAAGGCTAAAAAAACATTAGGTCATTAGGAATGGATCTTCCAAATAGGCACTTAGAAATTTAAAATATTTGTAAAATATTTTATGTCCTGAACTTCAGAGTGCCTACTATCTTTTAATAAATCTTTGCTTTATGGAAAGGTGGAAAGTTATTTGAAATCAACAACTCAGTATACTAATTGCAATTAATTAAGATAAAATTAATGGTAGCATAAAGATTTCTTTTATAGAGGCAAAGTAATATAATAAAGTTGAAATGGAAATGAATACATGATAAAATTCCATTTGAATAAGGATTGGAACACCTCGGGGCCTTTCACAAGCAAAATGATTGATGAAGTGTCCAATTCAGTTTTTAAAGCACAAGATAAATCTTAATGAGATAAATTAAGATCTCAATTTTAAAATTAGTCAGTAGTTATTCAAATGAACTAGACACTCAATGCTAGGTGATCCCCTGATCAGCTCTTATTTGTTTTACAATTATATTTTTAAAAAGGATGCAGGGGATAATTTGTTACTTTATAAATTATGTTTTCCTTATACCTAGAAAAGAGCTTCCTATGGAAGACACTGCCGTGATTCTTGGTCATACATGTTGTAGGATTTTTTTTTTCATTTCCTATGAAAGACACTGCCATGATTCTTGGTCATACATGTTGTAGGATTTTTTTTTTTCATTTCATGGAATTTAGTGTTACCAGTCTCTAACATTTTAGTTTTGAACAGATTTCAAAACAAATCCACAGACACATTTGGACATTGGTTATTTTGGGCAAGTGTTGGATAAGTGAATATTCTAGAAGTTTCTGACATTGTGCCAAATGTGTTTAAGTCTAAGCCATAAAGTCATGTTTTTAATGAAACTTTGAGGTTTGCCAAGAGGTACATTTTTTATATGTTACCCTACTACATTCAAAGGACTTGTCTAAAGAGAGGTTGATAGAGGGCAGTCAAGTCTTTGCACTGCATAAGTTATGTCATTAGGTGTCTGAATATGGATTGACTTGTTCTGAAGACCTAAAAACTAAACACTGCTGAGAGCTAAATCCTGTGACAAATGAAAGTTCTGTGCAAAGATCACAAACAGCATATAACAAATGGAATTTCTAAAAATTGCACTATAATATATACCTGATAAATGGTCATCTAAAACTGTAATTTGGGGGAGAAAAAGAATTTAATGTTGCTGCTTCAGGATAGCAAGAATTGTTTAAAAATGTAACATACACATTGGAAGCAGAAAAGATTAATGAATTCAATTTAGTGTTCAATGTAAAGAAATTTGGAGGAGGTGAATTAATGATGAAACCAGATTAAAGTTATTGCATTAATCTGTTCCCTCTGAGATTCTTGTTGAAACAAAGTTTTTGAGAAGGCAGCCTATCAATTGGGAGAAAATATTTGCAAACTATATATCTGATAAAAGGTAAATATCCAAAATATATAAGAAACTCATACAGTTCAACAGCAAAAACAAAAACTAACAGCTGATTAAAAGATGTGCAAAGGACCTGAAAAGACATTTTTCCAAAGAAGATATGGAAATAGCCAACAGGTGTATGAAAAGGTGTTCAACATCACTAATTATCAGGAAGTACAAATCAAAACCAAAATGAGGTATCACCTCACACCTGTTTGAATATCTTTTATCAAAAAGACAAGAGATAAGTGTTGACTAGGATGTGGTGTAAAGGGAAATCTAGTACACTGCTGGTGGGAATGCAAAATTGGTGTGGCCATTGCGGAAAATGGTGTGGAGGTACCTAAAGAAACTAAAAATAGAGTTACCATATGACCTACACTCTCTCTTCTGGGAGATGAAATCACCACCTTGTGAAGACATCTGCACTCCATGTTCATTGCAGCATTATTCATACTAGCCAAGATATGGAAACAATCTGAATGACCATCAATGAATGAATGAATAAAGACAATGTTATATATATACAATTATATAAGCATATATATGTGATCTATATATACACACACAATTGTTATGGTACATATATATATATACACACACATATACCATATATATATATACACCATATATATATATATATAATGTTTTTAAGGCTGAAGAATATTCCATTATATAGTAGAATATTATGGGCAGGAATATAATGGCAGGATTAGAGATGCTGCCATTTGCCACAACATGGATGGACCTGGAGGACATTATGCTAAGTGAAATAAACCAGGCACAGAAAGAAAGATACCGGATGTTCTTGCTTATGTGTGGAATCTAAAAAATATATATCAAATACATAGAAACAGAGAGTAAAATGGTGGTTACTAGGGATGGGAGCTGAGGGGGGAAATGGGGAGATGTAGGTTGAAGGGGACAAACTTGTAGTTATATAGGATGGATAAGTCTAGAGTTTTAACGTGTAACATGGAAACTATAGTTAATGCATTGTATAGTGGAAATTTACCAAGAGAATAGATTTTACTACTTTACCACAAAAAGAAGAAAGGTACTATATGAGATGGTGGTTATGTTAATTTGCTTGGTTGTAATAATCACTTCACGATGTGTGTGTATATCAGAACATCATGTTGCACTCTTTAACTATATAAAATAAAACCAAAAAAAAGTAGGAAAAAATAAAAGGAAAAATCTTTTGTATTATCTGAGGTAGAATATTTAATCCTGCCTTTAAGGTAAGACCAAATGGCTATTTGATGAAATAAGGGAAAGTCCAACTGCAGTGCTCCTAGGGTCCTCCCCTCCACATACACAAAAAAGATTCTTGCAATTATATTTTTAAAATAATTTATCATTATTAATAACAACATATTTTATTGAATAATAATTCATATTACACAAGTATTAAGTAAGACCTTTTTTGTGAGTAGTGATTTAAGTCAGCCATGTGAGTCAAATTTTAGAGTTATTACTATGACTAATGATATGGTTTGGCTCTGTGTCCCCACCTAATTCTCACCTTGAATTGCAATAATCCCCAAGTGCCATGGGTGGGGCCCAGTGGGAGATAATTGAATCATGGGACAGTTTCCCCCATGCTATTCTTGTGATAGTAAGTTATAACAAGATTTGATGGTTTTATAAGGGGCTTCCCCCTTTGCTTGGCTCTCATTCTTTCCCTCCCTGCCGCCATATGAAGAAGGACGTGCGTGCTTCCCCTTCCACTATGATTGTAAGTTTCCTGAGGCCTCCCCAGCTATGTTGAACTGTGAGTCAATTAAACCACTTTTCTTTATAAATTACCCAGTCTTTGGTATGTCTTTATTAGCAGCATGAAAATGGACTAATACAACTAATATCTGAAAAATTGATATCAAATCATTTAACCAGCTGAACTGGTATCCGTACTAAGTAGTTCATAGTCCATTTGACTATATTTCTTTCTCAGATTTTTTTCATTCCTTGGGCATGGCTACTATCACTAGTGGAGAAAACAATTAATTAGGAATCATAATATAAAATGATGGAGTTGGAGTTGAGATTAATAGCCGGTACCCAGGATTTGAATTATACTTTTAATAATCAAATAAGACTCAGTCTATATAAGTGCAACTTAGTGCACATTTACGCCTTCTCTATATTGATTGATTTATTCAATATTTATTATTGTGTATCAGACTTTGTGTAATTCATTGCATGTACAATAAGGAACAAGAATGAAGAGGTCCCTTCCCTTCTCTCTTCCTCCATTCAACTATTTTGAATTATCTTACTCCCCTTCCAGAATATAGACTCTTTAAACAGGCTCTATGAATCTTTTAAACAATTTTTATCATAGTACTTAGTACAAATATTTTGCAACAAATTTGCAATAGTATATGTGCAATAAATATGTAAATAAAAAGAAAATTTACAACTGGAAGTAACTTAGACATAATATGGTGTAATATGCAGAAGATTGAAACTGGACCCCTTTCTTACACCATATACAAAAATCAACTCAAGATGAATTAAATACTTAAATGTAAAACCCCCAATTATAAAAACCCTAGAAGATAACACAGGCAATATGTTTCTCAACATAAGAACGGGCAAAGGTTTCATGACAAATATGTCAAAAGCAATTGCAACAAAAGCAAAAATTGACAAGTGGGATCTAATTCAAGTAAAAAGCTTCTTCACAGCAAAAGAAACTATCAATAGAGTAAACAGACAACCTACAAAATGGAAGAAAATATTTGCAAACTGTGCATCCAACAAAGGTCTATTATCCAGCATCTATAAGAAACTTAAACAAATTTACAAGCAAAAAACAATCCCATTAAAAAGTAGGCAAAGGACATGAACAGACACTTTTCAAAAGAAAACATACATGTGACCACCAAGCCTATGAAAAAAGCTCAGTATCATTAGAGAAATGTAAATCAAAACCACAATGAGATACCATCTCACACCAATTCAGAATGACTGTTATTAAAAAATCAAAATATAACAGATTCTGGGGAGGTTGCAGAGAAAAGGCAATGCTTATACACTGTTGGTGGGAGTGTGAATTTGTTCAACCATTGTGGAAAGCAGTATGCCAATCCTCAAAGAGTTAAAAGCAGAACTATCACATGACCTAGCAATCCCATTACTGGGTATATACCCAGAGAAATATAAATCATTCTACCATAAAGACACATGCATGTGAATGTTCATTGAAGCACTATTCACAAAAGCAAAGACATGATGTCAACCTAAATGCCCATAAATGACAGACTGAATGAAGAAAATGTGGTACATATACACCATGGAATACTATGCAGTCATAATAAATAAGAAGATAATGTCTTTCTCAGGAACATGGATGGAGCTGGAGGCCATTATCATTAATAAACTAACACATGAACAGAAAACCAAATACATCTCACATATAAGTGGGAACTAAATGATAACTCATGAACACAAAGAGAGGAACAATAGACATTGGGGTCCACTTGAGGATGGAGGGTGGGAGGAGGGAGAGCATCAGAAAAAATAACTATTGAGTATTAAGCTTAGTACCTGGGTGCCAAAATATTCTGTACAACAAATCCCTGTGCAACAAGTTTACCTATATAACCAACCTGTACATGTACCCCGAACCTAAAATAAAAGTTAAAAAAAAGAAAAAAGAAAGAAATGATATGGTCTAATGACTTAACTCCTATGGATAACAAAACAGTTAGGCAACTTACCCAAGGTCCATAGTTAATGACACAGGCAGAACTAGGATTCAGGTTTCTTAGCTTAGGTTTAGGGCTTGTTATTGTCAGCTCTTCTATTTCTAGGAAGATGATTTTCATAGAAACTTTCAAGGATGAAATAAAACCTGTGTGTTATATCAGAATATTATATTAATAACTATATTATGTTAAAATATGTACATTTCACCTAATTAGAAATGAATATAGTGAACAGATACAGTGGTGGTGAATTAGGGAAAGTAGGATGATGTTGAAGATAATGAATGAGTCTGACTTATGTATAAAATATCATCAAAGATGAAGGCAATTACTATGAACCTTATAGAAAGGAAAAAAATACTAGTACAGAAATTTGAGAAAATCATTAATAAATAAATGATTAATAAATGAATTATATGCCTCCAATAAATATAGAATAATGAAGAAGAGGGAAGCATCTGAGAATAGACTTTCTGAATTTTATATTTACATTCTGAGATTTAAAGTAGAAGCTTGAGGATATGGTAAAATTTTGTTATAAACAAATATACCATATACTTAAGTCTACAGAATTTTGAATACTATATGCTACATATAATTGAGTTTTATTAATTCAAGTGATATTAAAGATGCACATTAATTTTATCAGGGGGTTGATTGAGTTAGTATAGGCTATTATTATAATAATTAAACTGAAGGAAAACAAGAGAGATATTCTAAACTTATAAATGTGGTAGGTCAATATGACACTTTGAGTTTCCAGTCTTCACAACATTTTCCTCAATGTTATGGTTTTAATCTTCATGTAAGCTCAGTGAATTAAGTGAGAATTTTCTAAGTATCTACATTTGACAAATAGGAAAACACATGTGTAGAATGACATTTTTGACTTATGCTTATATGATTGCAGATTTGTATACAAAACCAGGTTGCCTTATTTTGAGTTCGTTGTTAATTTTCTTGGTTCATCCCTGATTAGTGAGTCATCTTGAAGTAACGTCATTCAGATACTTTATTAAGCATTTTAACTCATAGACGGCTCAGCAATACAGAAACAATTTTAAGTATTACCAGCAGTAATAAACAGAATACGCCGAATTTGTTGCTGAGGAAACCCACAGTAGCTTTCAGAAATCACAGGAAACCACAGTCAAGATTTCAGCTGCCCACACCATCAGTGAGTGATTTGAAGGAAATTGCTCACACCACAACAGAACTGCACCATCTGTCAAAGCCACTTGCTAGAGGGGTAGTAATGGCTCTGCCTTCCCTCAGCCTTTCACACTCCATGTAAATGCCTCTTGTTCTCAGGCTCTGAACCAGAATCCTGCTGGCAAGGGATTCTGGAAGAAGTGCTCCTTGATTCCAGCTCCAGCATGGGATACAGGGGAACAGGCAAAGCATGCTTGTTGCCCCTGATAAAAATAACACATTGTCCTTCGACATACAGCTTATAAAATTTCTTAAGAACAAGCTATTTGTTTCTAAATTATTATATATTTGAGACCTAGATGTTTTCTATGGATAGTGTGTACTAAACATATGTTTATTGCTGCTGCTGATAAGAGCATTATGGTGGTTTTCTGTAACTTGCTTTAGTGTTATATTGTTTTTGAATGCACTCATAGAAAAATTGTCAAATCTACTGTATCCATACTTTAAAATAAGTCTTTTGTTAAATCATCAGCAATAACAATGAATTAGTAATAGTGGCAATAAAAGTAATATGCAAACACTTACTGAGTTTATAGACTATTTCCAGTGTGGTACTTAGGGTCCTTTACATCTCTTGTTCCAAATCTTACCACAATTCTGCTAGGGAGCTATTTCACATTCCACTTTATAGATGAAGAAGCAAATATCAAGAAATATTAAGTACTTTCCCAAGATCACACTTATTCAAACATAAGTCTGCCTGACTTCAAACATGCTTCTCCTACAACATTTGTTAATTTAGATTATGTGAACACAAGTAAATACAGCATATATATACATTACTGTAAATACATTACATCATTCAATTTTCAATTTGTTCCCATAGTAGAAAATCAGAAGAGAAATTACCTTTCTCTTCTTTTTAGTATTTTAAGTTAACTCTTTGTGAAAACAGTAACAGAAACTGTGACAGAATGTGAAATTGCATTTAATATAAATATGGTTCTCAAACTTTAAGCCCCATAAGGTCAATTACAAAACAGCTGTCTCCTAAAATGTTATTTTCCAGCAAAACAAAAAAATCCATAAAGGATCTTCTTTGTCTGTTTTCTGCTACTGCCACAGAATACCACAAATCAGGTAATTTATAAAGGAAAGAGATTTGGTTTAAGGTTCTACAGGCTGAGAAGTCCAAGATCGAGGATCTACATCTAGTGAGGGCCTTCTTGCTGCATCATAACATGGCAGAAGGGCAAGTGAGCACACAAGACAGACAGCAAATGGGGGATGAGCTTATCCTTTTATCAGGAGCCCACTCCCACAATCACAGTCTTAATCCACTCATGAGGGCAGGGCTCTCATGACCTAATCGTCTCGTAAAGGCCCTCCTTAATATTGCTACAGTGAGAATTAAATTCCAGCATGAGTTTAGGAGGGGGCAAACATTCTAGCCATAGCAGTCTTCCTTTAGTGCTTTGTTTTGAAAAGCAGTGGCAATGAGAAACATCGAGAATACCCTTGCCTCGAGAGATTGGTGTCTCCTGTGTTTCATGTTTTTTCTCCTGCCATTCTACTTTTCCATTTTTTTTCTTTTCCAAAGCATGTTCATTTAGAGCCAGCTAGGGTCACCTGGCAAGCTGTCTGTGTAACAACTGCTTCCACCACTGTCACTACAGGCCTTCTGGATGTTCATTTCATTCCAATTCTCTGACTAAGTTGTATCAACAATCTCCATATTATTCTGAGAAAATTGCAGTAGGTGCAGCTAAACTCCACCCAGTTAAAGTATGGTATAAAAAATCTTATGAGACCACTGTTGTATATGTGGTCTGTCATGAACGGAAATGTTATGTGGCATGTGACTGTACTAGAATTTATTTTGTGGAGGAAATGAAAAATAACAGTAATGTATAAAACAATAGTTCTCAAACTCTTTGATCTCAGGACTCTTTTAAACATTTTTATAATACTGAGGATTCCAAAGACCTTTTGTTTATTTGTGTGATATTGATCAATATTTACTGTATCAGACAAAAGCGTAAATGCACACAATCCCACAAAATTTTGCATTCCACTTCAAAGGGCCCCTTGATTCCCTTTGTGGTGCATCCACAGATTATAGATCAAAAAACTAATATATTGGAATTTGAGCTTAGAATACACGTCTGATTTTGCCAGAACAATTTGGATTGGTTCTAAAAAACAAAAAACTTCACAATTTTGGTTTTCTATTGCTGAGCTAAAATATTCTATAGTATAAATCATGCTGCTGGGCTAGATGGCCTTTAAAATCCCTCCAAACCTAGGATTATATTGCATTATGATTCATCCTTATTGGCTAGTTAGACTGTTCTGATTTCACTGCTCTATTGCACCACCGTTACTTCACTCAAGTCATATCCAACTGGCCTCAAGTTTATTCCCCAGAAACTGTAGTCATAAATTTATCTTCCAATTTCCTTTGCTTAATTTGGAAAACATTTAGTGAATTTAAAAGTCAAAGAATAAAAAGCATGGCAAATAGCTTATTTATTACACAAGTACATACTTCTCATGACAAGGAACAAGAGAGGAAGTATCTTTTGGCCATAGCATTTAATTTTCACAATTCACAATCTTCTTTAGCTTGTCAATTCCATTGTTTCCTTCTTTTCTACACTACTTTTTCAACAGAAAAATATTTCCATTTTTACAAAAGGACATCTTTATCCAAGTGTGCATACCCAATGAGCAAGATCTCTTCTGCTTGAGAAGGGCTACTGTGCCATAAATCAGCAAAGATATTTTCAGAAATCCCAAGAGCAAATTGTGACCTTGAATATATCATGTATTTTCCAGGACTTTTGAAAAACTTTAGAGGCAGAAAACTCACTAAACATTAAAATTTGTGTTTGTGTAATATGAATCAGCCAGTTGGTTACTAGAAATTGCAGCTCTAAATGTGGATTTTCCAAATATAGGAATGTTTGATATTTGAAAGAAAAAGTTCAGACTTTAAATTAAATGCATGTAAGTGAATCAGCAAATCTGAGTCTGCCTAAATTTTCTCAAAATGAGATTTGATTTAGCCTCAAGTGTGAGTCAACTAACTGGCTACTTACTAACTGGTGTTATGGCCTTTCCAGTTGCCTTTCTGCCTTGTCCTCTTTCCTGCCTAACTTGAAATTTTCACTATACAAAATTCCTACATGTAACCTAGACCAGGATGCTAGCCTCTCACTAGTACAGAGCAGACCAGGGCATTATTGAGTTGATGCCTTGCTTCTGAGGATAACACACATACTTTAATGCCAGTAAAAGGAGAAAACTGAAGGCTGTATTCTCAAATCTACACACACACACACACACACACACACACACACACACACACTCCTTCCTGAAAAAAGCAAATCTGAGTGTTCTGAATGATGGAATAAGCTTAGGGACATCAGCACAGAGCTATCATCAGCATCAGAGCAGTGAAGATATCTAGAAAACACATCACCTGCTTTACGTTTTTTCTATCATCAGTGCAAGGGTCAGGGAGCCCTAAAATTTTCTTTCTTCCAAGATGGGGAGTTCTAGAATGGTCCATAAAATAAGTATATCTGTGTTTTCTCTCCAACTGAATCATTCACGTGTTACTTTCTGGCATGTCCCACACCTAAGGAACCGCTGCATTGACAAGTGTAAATAATACATCTTAAGACCAGGTATGGTAGGTAGCTCATGCCTATAATCCCAGCACCTTGAGGGGCTGAGGTGGGAAGATCGCTTGAGGCCAGGAATTTGAGACCAGCCCAAGCAACATAGGGAGACCCACATCTCCACAAAAAGTAAAAAATTATCTGGGTGTGGGCTGGGTGTGGTGGCTCACGCCTGTAATCCCAGCACTTTGGGAGGCCGAGGCGGGTAGATCACAAGGTCAGGAGATCGAGACCATTCTGGCTAACACAGTGAAACCCTGTCTCTACTAAAAAAAATACAAAAAATTAGCCCGGTGTGGTGGCGGGCGCCTGTAGTCCCAGCTACTCGGGAGGCTGAGGCAGGAGAATGGCGTGAACCCGGGAGGTGGAGCTTGCAGTGAGCAGAGATGCGCCGCTGCAGTCCAGCCTGGGCGACAGAGCGAGACTCCATCTCAAAAACAAACAAACAAAAAAAATTAGCTGGGTGTGGTGGCACACGCCTGTAGTCCCAGCTACTTGGGAGACTGAGGCAGGAGGATCACTTGAGCCTAGGAGGTCGAGGCTGTAGTGAGTCGTGATTGCCCCACTCCACTCCAGTGTGAGCAACAGAGTGAGACCCTGTCTCTAAAATAAATAAATTTTAAAAAATACATATTAAAACAAAAAGGAGTCATGCATCTCAAAGTGCAAGCCTGGTAGCTGGTAGCAGCTTTCTCAACCTGAGTGGCATTAGCTAGTTCATTCGCTCACATTAGAGAAAATTTCTTCCCTCTCACTAAACAAATCTTCTGAGTAATCACATATACCAAATATTGAGAGAACGTGGATCATTGGGACCTCATACATGGCTGGTAAAGTAGAATAATTGCTTTGGAAAAGCAATTTGGTGCTATCTTGTAAAGCAAAACATGCAAATAACCAGTAAATCCATTCTTAGGTGGACATAGAGTAGCCCAAGTGCACCAGGAGCCAAAGACAAGAATGTTTAGAGCAACTAATATGGTTAGGCTCTGTGTCCCCACCCAAATCTCATCTTGAATTGTAATCCCCATAATCCCCATGAGTTGTGGGCGAAACCTGGTGGGAGGTGATTGGATCCTGGGGGCAGTTGCCCCCATGATGTTCTCATGATAGTGAGTGAGTTCTCATGAGATCTGTTTGTTTGATAAGTGTGGGGCTTTTCCTCCTTCATGCACTTCTCTCTCTCACCTGTTGCCATGTAAGAGGTGCCTCTTCCCCTTCTGCCATGATTGTAAGTTTCCTGGGGCCTCCCCAGCCATGCAGAACTGCGAGTCAATTAAACCTCTTTTCTTTATAAATTACCCTCTCTGGTATGTCTTTATAGCACTGTGAAAACAGAATAATACGGCAACTCTGTTCAGACTTCTAAAAAGTGAGAAAGTACCCAAATGCCAACAGGGATACAAATAAATAAACCTGGTCTAGTCATACAAAGTCCTAGTACACAACAGTGAAAGTGAATGACCACAGAGCAGCATGCATAAAACTTAGAACAAAATGTTAAGTGATGAAAAGGCAAGTCCCGAATACTATAGATAGTATGATACCACTTTTAGAACACTCAGAAACTAAACACTATCTTGTTAAGATATAGGCATATGTGATAGAATCATTTTTGAAAGCAAGGAAATTAAAAACATAAGACTTTGGATCCTGGTCATCCTGGGTTGGGGGAGGCAGAGAGGGAGGGCTAGGAAAGAATACCCAGTGGAGGCTAATTTTTGGCGATGTAGTAATTCTTGGATTGTGGACACTTTATGACTCATAAAGAGGTCACACATATTCTTTTGTATATATCAAATATCATATTAAGGACATAGAGGAGAAAGGAAGATGTTAAGGGTTATCTTCTTTCATTTCTTTCTAGTCCTCAACAAGGAGAAATAAATAACTGAGAGGCTCAGAGAAAGTCCGATTGTTAGAGAAATTGCGGTCATGTCTCTCTTGAACTTTTTGCTGCCTTCAACACAATGCTTTCTTCACAGGAAGTGTCCAGGCAAAACCTCATTATCAACTCCAAACATGAAGCTCATGTCCAACAGGACATGGGAAGCTTTCAGTTGCCATACGCTGCCCCCAGAGAATCCACTCATTTTGTGTGCTTGTCGACTGTCATAGCTCAACTTGAGTGTCCACACGATAAGCTCTTCAAGGCAGAACATTTCCAGCTGTTGTGGTCAGACAGCAGCAGGTTCTTATCTGAGGACAGCAGGGCCATGTGGCACACCACAGCCGGGGCAGTGTCAGGGGAAGCATGTGGTCTCTGTACACAGTAGCAGGGTCCAATAGACAGCAATTAGCACCGGGAGAATGAAGATGAACGGGACATATACATAACCTTCATAAAAATGTCACAGGGAAAAAGACTCACAAACCATATGGATCCATGCTGGGGCTTTCCCAGGCATGGCCTTTTATGAGAGGTCTTTTCTCTGCTGTGTCTTCCTGGCCAGTTCTAAAAAGGGAAGTAAAGTAATAGGCTGCCTAGGTGATGTTGGATCAAATGTAAAGGACATTTAAATCCACATGTTGTAACTTTCTCCACTCTGAGTTTTCTTGATCAGTTGTCTCATCAGCATCATATGTTGATTGTTAATTAGATGGACCACCTCCTCTTGTACTATTTTCTCTTTCAGTTTTAGTGATATTTTTCTGAACCTATGAATATTTCAGAAATTTCCTCATCCATTTTCGAAAGACCAATACTTGGGTGTTCTTAGTTGTTAGCAAAGAAACAGAAATCCTCACTGGCTGACTTAAACAGAAATATAATTATTCAAAAGGATTTTGTCTCACTTACAAGATCATTGAGGTGGCTGCATAATCAGTCCCAGGAAACTGACTGTGCCTGACCCCATTCTAGGTACTCGAGAAATATCTCTGAAGGAAATAAACAAATGCCTCCACCCTCTTGAAACTTATACTCTAGGTTAGGGTCGGGGAGAGTGAGTTATTGGGAGACAGACCATACCAATGGATACCATAAAGAAGTAAGTTAGGTAAGATGATTGTAAGTGATAAATGTTTTAGAAAAAAGGAGAGCAGAGTAAGTGGAATGTGTTAGGGTTCTTCAGAAAAACAGTCAGGTTGACACATAAAATTAACCATTACAGGAGATAAGAAGGGTGGGTGTAGAGGGGCTTACATGTGCAGTTTTTAAATGGTGTGGTCAGGAAGGTATCATGAAAAGGCTGACATTCAAGCAAAGATTTGCAGAAGCATAGGAATGAGAGAACTTGTTGTGCCCATTGCAAAACATACAATATGGCATGTGGACCATTTCAGAAGGCACAAGGAAATGATTTCTGGGATTGGGGAGGGTGGGAGGGAGGTAAGAATGAGGGATGTGCTAAGCCTTATGGGGAATAAAGAGATAAGGGGGTTAACTGGGAGCATGGGGCTTTTTTTGCTAATTGATATAAACAGAGAAAAAGGGCTAAATGAGAGTATTCCTGGATGGATTCAAGGCAGAGAGTGTGGACTAGAGGAAAATAAATTTGGGGTAGCTTTGTCTTAGGCTTAATTTGCAGGTCCTTTCTGGCCCCTGAAAATGGTGGCAAAGGCCCAGGGAGAGAGTGGCCTCAGACTCAGTGCACTTATTGGAAGAGATGTCTGCTTATTTTGGGTTTTTAGGGTCTGTCTTAATATGTTAATAGAGTTAAGATTTTTGGAGAAGCTGGTGGTTATTCCCAGTGTGCAGACCTCTCTTGACACTTGATGACAGGGTAGAAAGTCTAGGTGATTTTGGTGGAGTCATCTGACCAGCTGCATCTAGGTCATGTTCCCATCCCTATTCCCAAAGGAGATTGGTAAATAGAATATCTGACTCATGATGCAAAGTCCTCAAACATTACACAGGGATTTGGATGCTGGACCATTGAAAAAGAAGGAAGATATTTAATGTATTTTTTAGTCTAGCCTTTTTAAAATGTAATGAATTTTGGGTTCTTCATAATACAAAATCCTCTTCTATCATTTTCTTTACAGTTTATTTGTTGAGGAATCTGGGCCATGTGCCCTGTAGTTTCTACCATCTGGACCTGCTGAGTGCATATTCATGGTGCTGTTCAACATGTTTCTCTGTTCTCTGTATTTTCTGCAAACTGGCAGATGAATTTAGTCTTTTTTTTTTTTTTTTTTTTTTTTTTTGAGATAGAGTCTTCCTCTGTTGCCCAGGCTGGAGTGCAGTGGTGTGATCAGGGCTTATGGCGGCCTCAAACTCTCAAACTCCTGGCCTCAAGGGATCCTTCCAGCTTAGCTTCCTGAGTAGCTGGGACTACAGGCACACACTAACATGCCTGGCTAATTTTTAATTTTTTTTTTTTTTGTAGAGATAGGGTCTCATCATGTTGCCCATGCTGGTCTGAACTCTGGGACTCAAGCGTTATGCTTCCACCTCAGCCTCCCAAAGTGCTGGGATTACAGCTGTGAGCCACTGTGGCTGGCTTGAATTCAAAGTTTTGATCTGACTTAAATGAAACCTTTTTTTTTTGCAAGATATACGAAGTGTTATTTCATCAGGAAGCAAATAATGTCTGGTTATCTTTTTTTGGGAGGTATTTTTAGCTACTATTGATGCCATATGCCTGGATCAATTAGTTCTGGGTTACAAAAGGATAGTTTTTTAAATTCCACATATTATTTTTAATTTATTATATTTCAACTTTAAATGCACTTTATTTTTTAGAACAGTTTTAGATTTACAGAAAAAGTGAGCCGATAGTACAGTGTGCCTACATTCCCTTCTCTCCATATAACCAGTTTCCCCTGTTACTATCTTACGATAGTACAGTATGGTTATTATAATTAATGAACCAATATTGATATAAGATTATTAACTATACCTAATGCCCTTTTTATGTGGCAGGATCCCATCTTAGCCTGCTTGGGCCACCATAATACTGTTACCGAAACATTAGGGGTTTGGTCTAGGTCCTGCTGCTTGCTGCACAGAAAGCCAATCACTGAGACAAGTATTGCCAAGGAAGAAGGCTTTAATTGGATGCTGCAGCTGAGGAGATAGGAGGTGAGAGTTCAGTCTCAAATCCATTTCCCTGACTGACTTAAACTAGGGGTTTATATAGCAGGGGAGAACTGTAACAATGTGTAAGAAAACAAGAACTAGGGAGGGGCAAGGAAGCAATCGTGGTGAATGAGGGGTCCCACATCTGATGCGGTGATCTGGTGAGTTTCAGTTCTTTAATACTTTATTTAGAGGCCTGAAGGTCCTGTCCAAAGGAAGGAACGCAGATAGAACAAATATAAGTTTCAAGCCTTAAGACCAGAAGGGTCAATTTCTATGTTTATCAAAAGATCAGCCTATAGGACCAGTGGGTTGGTTTCTTCCAGTTCTGGAAGCTGGGAAGTTCAAGATCAAGGTGTTAGCTGATTCAATTCCTGGTGAGGGCCCTCTTCCTGGATTGCATGCAGCTGCCTTTCTCCCACATCCTCACATGGCAAGGAGAGAGGGCAAGCTCTCTGGTGCCTCTTTTAAGGGCATTAATCACATCATGGGGGCCCCACCTGCGTGATCTCATCTAACTATTATTATCACTCAAAGGCCTGCATATCCAAATACTATCACATTGGGGGTTAGGGATTCAACATATATGAATTTAGGGAGAATACACATATTCCATCCATAACAACCATAATACATTTAGTCATCATTTCTTTTAGGCTTCTCTTGGCTGTCACAGTTTCTGAGACTCCTTGTTTTTGATAACCTTGAGAGTTTTTAGTATTGTAGAATGTTCCTGCATTGGGGTTAGTCTGATATTTTTCTCATGATTAGACTGGGGTTATGAGTTTTGGGGAGGAGATCATTTTTCCCTTCCCCCCTGCCAGAATCTGGAGGGAATCCTCGTATCTTCACTGGTAGAACATGGTGCGGTTCCTGGACATAAGACCCATGAAAAACTGTGGCCCTTAGGACTTTCTAACTCTCATACTAGTCCATATTCATTCAGTCTCCTGCAGTCTGTCAAAATTACCATGTAAGTGTTTTTACCAGTTTGTGGCTCCAGAGGCATCTGCTCCTGGTGAGATCTTGGCTGTGACTCTCTGTATCCATCTGTCTCTCCAGATTTCAGGGTGTCAAATTGCCATGCAGCTTCAGTCCTCTGAGTGTTGATGGAGAGCCAATGATTTTCAGTTTGTTCAGTTTTTTTCTTCTTGTAAATACATGAGTGATGATTTCCAAGCTTCTTACATGCCCAGGCTGAAATCAGAAGTCGCAGTCAATTCCTACTTATTAGCTTTGCTTTTTAAGGAGAGACTTTTTTTAAAAAAATCACCTATTAAATTACCCTGGGGTACAGTTATTAAAAAGGAAATATAAATTCCTGAATCTTTCCCTGTCTTTATCTTTATTCTGGCTAATGAATTGGTTTCCTATTTCTCTTAAAAGTGACCAATTAGTTCATGGATATTATTATCAACTCATGAATTTAAATACATTTAATAAGTTTCAATCCACTGTAATTATTATCTTTATTTAAGCTCAAGCTATTCCATCTTTGAACAGTAAGATCCTTTCAAGTTAGCTCCTCAGTCTTTTGGACATGACACTAGTGCTTTGACAGATTTCTAGCTATCTAGCTATCAATCAGATATGACAAGATGGTTCAGTCTCATCTTGAACATTTCCTGAACTAATTTAAGTATTTTAAGAACATAATCTGTATGGGCACTAGAGATTCTCATTCCTAACTGCATTAATCAATGATTCTAAGACTCAATGTACAGAGAAATATATGTAGACACACATATACTTACATGTACACACATAAATATGATACCTTATACATTTGTACTAATATTTCCAATTTAAATTTAGTATTATAAATATTTTATTTAGCCAATTAATAATATAACCATATCTTCTTTCTTCCATACCAAGTATCCTGGTTCTTAAGCTGTACTTCAAATATCAAGGCTGTAGAAAAACAGTTTTTTTGTTTTCGTTTTTTGGTTTTTTTTTTTGAGATGGAGTTTTGCTCTTATTGACCAGGCTGGAGTGCAATGGCGAAAAACAGTTTTAACTTACAAGAATCTAGGAAATCCTGGACTAATTAGCCCTTTTTGAGGAATCTACCATTTTAATGACTGGGAAAATTTCAGCAAAAGTTTGAGGGTGAGCATTTTAAAACATAATGATGTACATTGAAGATTTAATGGCAGGAATGATGGTGGAAGACTAATGTACAAATGTTACATACTGTGCCACAGATGATTCACCATAAAAAACGCATGAGAATGGCCCTCAAACATATAAAAAATGTTGAGCCTAATTAAAGAGAAATGGAACATTGAGCTGCTATTTCTCATCTATCATATTGGCAAAGATTTAAAACATAATGACACTTTCTTTGTTTAGGCTAGTAAAAGCAGACACTCTCATACATTGTTGGTGGGGAACTGCAGAAGATATAATAGTTGCAAAATATTGGAAATAAATAAAATACCCAAACATAAAAAAGTGGATGAATAAATCTGATATACCCACATAATGAAGTACTATGCAGCTATGAAAAAGAAAACAAAGAATTAGGAAGAGCTCTCTATGAACCAATTAGAGTGATTTCCAGGTTATACTGATAAGTGACAAAAGCAAAGTACTAAAGAGTATCTATATTATGCCACCCTTTTGTTAAAAAATAAAAGGATTTAAGAAAACACACTGGTATCTGCTCATTTGTGGAAAAGAAATTAAAAATAGTAAACCAGAAGCTAAAGATATGGGTTACCTACAGGTGGCGATGAGAAAGGGGTGGAAAGAAAGGAGGAAAGAGAATGTATTACCATGGATGAGAAGGGAGAACCACTTCTCCAAGCATATCTTTTTGTATGTCTTTGCCTCTTAGGAAGATAGTGACAGTTTTTACATATCCTCCCTCACTCAAGTAAATAAATAATTTGAATCAACTGAGATGTAAGGAGATCCAAAATGGAACATGAACACTAACAAATGAAGCTAGCCATCTTAAAAATTAACAAAATAATCACACCAAAGGGGGTGCAAAAGAATTCACGTAAGTAACCTTGGCAAAACAGTATTTTTACGGGCTACTGTAAAGCTAAAGACAAAAATAATTATACAAAAACACTGTACTCTGTTTAGTAAATCTGTTTCTAATAGGAGTTTGAATTAGCAATTTTATAGCTCTTTTATGTGTATACTGTGATTGAGTAAATAAATGAATATATTGTAAATAGATAATGAGAGCCAGATTCTCACTATTGGAGAAAGAATATAAAAATAAGGAAAAAGGGAAATCTAGAATGAATGTTCCGGTGTTGAGTTGGAATCAGAGCTATCCATTTGAATTCAGGGTTTCATACAGAGAGTTAAACATAGAAATAAATATAGATGTGTGTGCATGAATGTTTCAGTGCACATACATGTATTTCACAGCTCTGTCTGCTGAGAGGACCTAGGAGTAATGACATCCCAGTAGCAATGAGCATGTGTTGCACCCAGTTATTGGTTTCTAAACACCGTTCTCCAATAAAATAAATAATTCTTTGAAAAGTGGTTAATTCCAGGAGTGAGCAGCAAAAATACAAGATAAACTTGGTGCCAGGAAATAATGAGGAACTCAAAAAAGATGGGGCATGCCAAAGGCCACAGGTTGAAGCACTCAATAGCCAAATGTGGAACAATTTGAGCCACAAAATAAATAATGATTGTATTGTCTTATAGCCTATAGAATAAAATAAAGAATTTGTGAGCTCATACTTACATAAATGAATAATTGATCAAATAAATAAATGGAGGATAAGCAACAGCTCCACCTTACAGTATAAATTTAATTAATAAATGTCAATGGAAGAGGGAAATGTAAATGCAAAATTAGGCAAATACCACGATAATAATTGTTGCAGGTAAGATGCACTGTTGGATTCATGGGGAAATGTTTGAGAAGAAAAAAGACATTTAAATAGTGTCAAAGTATCTTTCCCAAGATATTTATCAATTAAAAAGGGCAAGATAATAACTACAGTGGAGAATCCTGGTAGAAAACACCTTTATCAAGTGTTCAAAGTTAACATCACCAGTAATACGACACATTGACCTCATGTACTCCCTACTTCTATGTTGCATTAAGAACTAAACATAACTTTTATGGTATTCTTGCCAGAAAATGCAAAATCTCAATATAACTATTAGAAAATATCAAACAAACTGAATTAACAGATATTCTACAAAAACTAATCAGTACTCATAAAAACTGTCAAGGTCATGAAAGACAAGGAAAGAATGAGGAACTGCCATAGTTTGGAGGAGACTCAGGAGACATAACTACCAAATACAATGTGGTATCTGAGATTACATCTTGACATAAACAAATAAAAAATGGCATTAGAAGAAAAATTGATGAAATTAGAATAACATATGCAGTTTGGTTAATAGTATTGTACCAATGTTAATTTCCTGGCATTGCTAATTTTACTACAATTATGTAAATGGTTAACATAAGGAGAAGCTGCATATGATTTCTCTTTATTATTTTTTGCAAATATTCTATGAGTTTAAAATTATTTCCAAATAAAAAGTTGAAAATACATAGTGAAAAGACATGCCACAGTATGAGAGAAAATAATTGCAACACATATATAAATATGAAAAGACTCATATCCAGAGTACACTATAGATCAAATAGAAAAAGACAAACAACATGGTAGAAAAATAGGCAAGAGACTTGTGTAGGTACTTTATAAGAGACGATATCAAAAATTCCAATAAATCCTTCAAAAGGTGCTCAATTTCATGAATCATCAAAGCATTGCAAATTAATACTACTATGAATACCATATTCATTCACCACAATGGCTAAAGTAAAAGATGGGCAAGACTGTGATGGGTCAAGATGCAGAGCAGCTGGTACTTTCATACACTGCTGGCCAGAGTATAAATAGGTACAACCACTTAAAAACTATTTGGCATTATCTACTAGAGTGTTATATATATTCTATATATATTATATATAAAATATATAATTCATATATTATATATATAATTTGACCTAATAATTCCACTTCTAGGTATGTACCCCATTAGAAATGGGAACATATGTTCACCAAAAGATGTGCCATAGCCAAAAACTGGAATCTACTCAAATGACTGTCAACAGTAGAATGGATAAATAAAGTGTAGTAATCATACAATGGAATACTATACAACCATGAAAATTAGTGGTACACAGTACAATGTGAATGACTCTCACAATCATAAAATTGAGCTAGAGAAGCCAGACATACATAAGGTATGCTATGAAATTATTGACGTGAAAGTCAAAAAAAGGCAAAACTAGTCTATGGTTTTAAAACTCATGATGGTGATTATGTTGGGTGAGGAGGCAGGAGTAGGGTGGGAACTTCTGGGGATTTGGTAACCATCTCTTTACTGATCTGGGTGGTCTTATGGGTATGTTCCACTTTGAGATAATTTATGGAGCTGTACTCTTGGGATTTTTGCACTTTGACATATGTGTGGTAGACTTCAGTATAAACACTTTCTTTAAAACTGTTTTTTCCTTAATAAAAACAATTGTTAGCTGCTTAGGAATACAGGTAAGGTGATACCCAGATATCAGTTGGAATCCTTTCCTGGATTCCACCCCCACCATCCTTTTTGTGTGGGATGGGATAATAAACATTTTCCCCCAGTATCTACACACTTCTATCTCTGATTTTCTACTTCTGAGAAATTCTCTCTTTTATTTCCTTTCTTTTTTTCTATTTTCTTTTGTATACCTTCCGTTGATCCTGATGGGGAAGACAAGCCCCCTGCCTTAATTTCTTCTCAAAACACTCACAAAAAGCCAATGTAGGTCATAGACCTTTACTGATGATTTAGAGCAAATGGGGCAAGGCAAGAGGCTTATGCAGATTATTTAACTTAAATATAAAGTTCTGAACTTTAAACTCTTTTCCATTATCCTTATCTCCTCTTCCCCCCAAAATCTTCTGCTGGAAATTTTTCAGTTTATCTCCTCTTGTTGAATTGCCATTCCCCATCATGTTTCTTTTCTTCACCAATCTTGTGTTTTTCCTTCTCCTCCCTAGCTAGCTTGTTGAGATCTCCTAAACATATTTTAAAAATTACCTTATCTCATGCATCAGCTTTATGGCCTTACCCTGGAAGCTAACTCCCCATACCAAACATGTCTCATCAAATTGGCTAAACCGAAACAGTCTTCTTCCCAGGACATGGATAAACTACTGCTTCCCAGGCAGACTTATGCCGATGGCCCTTAAGCTGACAACTTGTTTTCACTTTCCCCAATCCTTAAAGTATGTGTGTGTGTGTGTGTGTGTGTGTGTGTGTGTGTGTGTTTGCTTTTTTAGAGACAGGGTCTCCCTCTGTCGCCCAGGCATGATTATAGTTCATTGCAGCCTCAAACTCCTGGGCTCAAGTGATCCTTCTGCCTCAACCTCCTGAGTAGCTGTGACTACAGGCATGTGCCACCACCCTCGACTAATTATTATTTTATTTTTGTGGAGACAGGGTCTCTCTAATTTGCCCAACCTGGTCTCAAACTCCTGTCCTCAAGCCATCCTCCCACTTTAGCCTCCATAATTGCTGGGATTATAGGCATAAGCTTCTGTGCCCAGCCTCTTAAACTGTATTTATTCAGACTTATTTTCCTAAAATGTAGATCCCAGTGCACTGCCTTCAGTTTAATTTTAAAAGAATTAAAAATTATCCTTTAATTAAAAAATGGAGACAGCATAAAGACATGCAACAGCTTAAAAGGACAGAGTTGGTTTACTGTTCTTTTGTCTTTTTCTTCTGAGGACGAATTCATTCCTAGATGACCTTATCATATCTTTACAATCTGTTGCCAAACTAATATTGTATTAGTCTGTTTCCATGCTGCTGATAAAGACATACCTGAGACTGGGCAATTTACAAAGAAAGAGGCTTAATGGGCTTACACGTCCACATGGCTGGGGAGGCTCACAATCATGGTGGAAGGCAAGGAGGGGCAGGTCACATCTTACATGGATGGCAGCAGGCAAAGAGAGAGAGCTTGTGCAGGGAAACTCCCCTTTTTAAAACTATCAGATCTCATGAGACTTATTCACTATCACGAGAACAGCGCAGGTAAGACTTGCCCCCATGATTCAATTACCTCCCACCAGTTCCCTCCCACAACACATGGGAATTCAAGATGAGATTTGGGTAGGGACACAGCCAAACCATATCAAATGTCTTCATTCATATTCCTCTGTCTTATATTTTACTTCACAAGAATTACATTTGTAGTTGCCGGATGGACATTATTACACAGAAATCTGTTGTTACAACCATTTTATCATATCTAAAACCCAATTACCCAATTAATGTTTTCTGTTTGTCCACAACACTGGTCCACAACACGATTACATCATGCTAACCGTACCGGATAAACAGATAGTGGAAAGTACTTTGGATACTTAGTAAAACTGATGAACAGCAGAGGACATGAAATAAACATTGATTTATTTTAGAGGCTTCTCACATTAATAAGGTTTTTTGTTTGTTTGTTTTGTTTTGTTTTTGAGACAGACTCTTGCTCTGTCACCCAGGCTGGAGTGCAGTGGTGTGATCTTGGCTCACTGCAAACTCTGCCTCCCAGGTTCATGCCATTCTCCTGCCTCAGCCTCCCAAGTAGCTGGGACTACAGGCACCCGCCACCACTCCTGGCTAATTTTTTTATATTTTTAGTAGAGACATGGTTTCACCATGTTTGGTCTTGATCTCCTGACCTCGCGATCTGCCCGCCTCGGCCTCCCAAAGTGATGGTATTACAGGCATGAGCCACTGTGCCTAGCCAATAAGGTTTTTATGAGTCCAGTGGTTTGGGGCAAAATGGAACATCCTTTCTAAGATAAGGGACAACTTGCTGTTTCTTGCAGCCATTCTCATTACAAAAGAAGTGTGATGCTTTTCAGCCCTCTGGATTTTGAGGCAGCTTCTACTGCATGTGGGAATACTGCTCTGGCTCACATGTCACATGGCTCAGAAGGCTACCAGTTTTGAGAAGGACCCAGCATGAAGGAGAATTGTGTGCCAGATCCAGACTCAGTGAAAGTTGTCGTGACCCTTGAGCCATTTGTATCGCAGATCTGAGAGTCCTAAAGGTATCCACGGTGGATGAGGATGCAGGTGGAAGGTCTAGCAACCTCCATCAGGGGAGTCACAGTTCAGACACCTACCATCAGACACCTAGAGCTGGGGCATACCTGCTGTAGCAGAGAATCAACAACTTGCTGTTTAAAAGCAGTTCCTAGTGTGTTCTTGAGCCCTTGCAGAGTCTGAGTGTCTGCCGTTAGGACCTCAGTGACAATGATTCAGAGAAAAGCTGGTTGGAAACCTGAATGTGGCACGATCCTTTGAGATACCAGACATCTGTCTCAGACCCCAGAGGGGGCAGTGATGTATCCTGACCAGAAATAGCATCCACACTGGATGTGAGTTTGCTTTTCTTACCTGCAGTGCCTCAGCCAGCACCATCATGCAAGGAATTACAAAATGCCAATCATTGGTATGGTATCCCAACTAGCAATGGCTGAGATTGAGGTGCTTATTTTATGACAAGGGACATCTGGTACCAGACTATAAATCTTATCGCTCAGAAGCAGTTCAACTGAGGCACCAGCAAAGTGGGTTGTCATTGTCCAGGATGTGGTATGTTTGCTTGTCCAGTATTGGATGTTTGGGGCAGAGTCATTAGAATACTTGGGTCTGGCAACCAAAGCACAGAAGAAATACCGGATCCTGTTGATGTAGGAGGTGGGACTTGACTCCAGAGGCAGGGCTGCGACAACGGACCAGATTAAGGACTAGCTAAAACAGGGCCAAGGTCAAAGCAGCTTTCAATCAGATACACACATCAGTGTGCTATGTCAATTTACCATTGCCATGGCAACACTCAGGAGTTACCATCCCTTTCCGTGACAATGACCCAGTGACCCAAAAGTTACTACCGCTTCCCTAGAAATCTCTGCATCAACTGCCCCTTATTTGGATGCAGTTAAAAGTGGGTGTAAATATGACTGCAAAACTGCCATGAGCTGCTACTCTCTGCCTGTGGGGTAGCCCTAATCTGCAGGAGTAATCACAGACTTGTAACACTGTCAGAGCTGTAACACAGTTTTCCATAAAGCTGTTTTCTTCTACCTCTGGCTTGCCCTTGAATTTTTTCCTGGGAAAAGCCAGGAACCCTCATGAACTAAGTTCCACTTTGGGGCTCACCTGCCCCCATCACCCTCGCCATCATGGTGACCCTCTTTTGGAATTTGTGTTTCCCATTTCTGCTCTGCCAGATCAAGTGTCCCAGTTCTCAGGGAAGGGAACACTTCCACTAAAGCACATAGGAAAGAGTACTCTGAATTTAAAGTTCCAACTAGCACCCGGCCACTTTGGGCTTCCCATGTCAGCAAGAAAAGGAGTAACCTAAAGTAATCAACTCTAATTGCACTGAAGATGTAGGTTTGCTGTTACATGACGAGAACAGAGAGGTATATCTCAACTGCTAGGTATTTCTGGGATGTCTCTTGGTGTTTCTGTGCTCAGTGACAATGGTGAATGGATATGTAACAACCATTGTTTGAAAAGGGAAAGTTACTAAGGCTTAGACTCTTTAAGGAAGAAGAATTAGGTCACCACACTAAGCAAGCTAAGGCGCTGTCAAAGGATGAAAGATTTCTAGAATGGGTAGTGGAGGAGTGAGATGAGAAATATCAATTTCAGTCTCAGAACGAACTGCAGTAGCTTGTCACAATAAGCCATGTGTATAAAGTCCTTACAGATACTGCTGCTGGTTTTGACCTAGAAGGGAACCCTATGATGGGCTTGACTTAATGGATCATAACTGCATTTAAAAAACACAAAGGATGGACTACATCATACCTTTCTTGTGTGTCACTTCATATCTTCCATGTAGATATCCACCAGCTTTCCTCAGGAGCTTCTTGACAACACCTCACTCAGACCTGCTGTCACTTTTTCCCCAGAACATCTCTGATGCTGCAGCACAGGATGTTTGCACGAACCCACTTAGCTTTCATGAATGTACAAACCAGGACTGCAGAGATGACAGATCTGTAGGAGCTTCCTTTACTAATGGGGGAAATGGGGCCACGTCATAAATGCTTTTCTCTTTTTTTGTTCCCTGTTTGGACAATTCTGAGACATGTTCCATGAGATTCCTGAGAAATTCCTGGCTACATGGTGCATCAGCCCTCCATAGTGATGGCCAATTCAACATGCACCCTTGGATTATTTCCCTTTCTCCTGTCTCAATCCTCATGCCCCCTCCCTTTCTCACTTGTATCACTCCCCAAATAAACTATCTGTGGGTAAGGCTTTGTATTAGGGGTTCTCTTTAGAGAAATCTAGACTAAAATAAATTGGAGAAGAGATTAGAGCTGGAGAATGAAATTGATCAAAATTTCATTTCAGTCCCTTCAAAACTGACTGTAATTAATTAGTTTGGCAGGCTTGGCTATCATGCACTTATGTGAACTCTTAGGTATGAAGGTAGAGAAGTTTAGCTGCCTGAAACGATGGGGTCATTATTATTCTCCAGATTACTCAGGATCCAGTTCTAGTGGGCTGCCTCAACTCAGTCTACCCTCAGAGAACCCTCAAGAAATTGGTTGTGTAATTGCATTGCATAATAAACTGTATCTATAACCAAACTAAATTCTATGCTCACCTTATCAACACTATAAGCTGGTTCCTCCTGTACTTGACAAGTATAATATCAATAAATCAATTTTAGTGTTTTAACATTAAAACCTTGTCTCTTTTTATTATCAGGTCTGAAAGTGATAGTGTATCATTTATAATGCACCCTGAACCAAGAATGCCCTCTTATAAAAGTCCTCAGTTTGTTTTTCCTCTGTAGAACAATATCCCTATAAACTGCAGAGAATCCATTGTTAAAACATGGAAGCTGTCTTTGATGATTTTAACTATACTAAGTAATAAAGTCATTTTGGTCCAAATGCAAGAGAAAAGTCTCTACCTCCCTTTTATTTCTGTGTGTCTCATTAAAGAAAGGGCTAAATGTTAATTTGGGAAATCAACAACTTTAAATGATGAAGGAAATGAGTTTTTTTCAGTACCAATAATTTAAAAGTCTATCTTGAATGTTTCAGCATTGGATAAGAAGAATGATGAAGCTATTAATAATTCTGCCTTCGTGTTACCAAAAATTGTTTTAATGAAAGACAGCGTATTCTGGATTTAATGTAAATCAGGCTAAGAGAAACATAGTGCCTTAAAAATAATTAGACATCCAATTGAAAAATCTTGCTTCTATAATCTTTCTACCCCACATCTTAGCCTGCTCTCCAAGGTAAAACTATAACGGGGTCTCTCTGGTTCCTTTTCTGTCCCCCGTGTTCATCTAGAAAAGACGTGAAGAGCAAAACTATACAAGACCTCTGTTTCATTAAACAAACTCAAGTCCAAGAAGATGCTTCACTTAAAAATTCAGCTAGCCTAAATGTGATAAGTTCTATTGATATTTTTCTTCAGTCATGAAAATGTTAATCAAATTTTCCACCTGAAGATCCAACTGATAATTTAAAATGATACATTAATTAAAATTAGTTGAAAACATTTTTAGATGAACAGAAAAGAAGTTTTGAAACTATGGGAGGGTGAGAAACATGGAAAATTACATACATTATATAAGTACAATTGAATAAATGCTAATATATTATTTAATACATTGTATGGTCTACAATATTTGAATAAGTAAAATACATGACAACTAATAGATCAAAAGGTGGGAAAAGAGTATATGCATTGTTGGGGACATAGCAAAAATAATAAATATTAAAAAATAAATCAAAAATGTATGTTTTAATCTTTAGGGTAATCCATAAAAGAATAGTAAAATGAATTATAAAGTAGTAGAGACTGTGGAATAGTACTTGATTAATACTTGACTAAAATTGAGGAAAAATAAAAAAATTAATCTGTTCTCACACTGTTAATAAAGACAAAGGCGAGACTGGGTAATGTATAAAGGAAAGAGGTTTAATTGACTTACAGCTCCACATAGCTGAGGAGGTCTCACAATTATGGCAGAAGGTGAATAAGGAGCAAAGTCACGTCTTACATGCCAGTAGGCAAGAAAGCTTGTTCAGGGGAACTCCCATTTATAAAACCATCAGATCTCATGGGACTTATTTACTACCACTCGAACAGTTTGGGGGAAGCCTCCCCATGATTCAATTATCTCCACTTGGCCCTGCCCTTGACATGTGGGGATTATTACAATTCAAGGTGAAATTTGGATGTGGACACAGCCAAACCATATCAGAACAAAAAGAAAGTAAATAGTAGGATAGTCAATTTAAACAAAAATATATGAGAGTTTTAATTAAATGTAAGCAGTCTAAATACTGTGATTAAAAGATTTGTCAGTTTTTTTTTTAAGCCAGACATTTATGACATACATGAGATGCATTTTAAATGTAAGGCTGTAGAAATGTTGAAAGCAAATTTAAAAGAGAAAAAAATTAATAAAAAAGCTGTATACACAAATATTAACCAAAAGAAAGTTGATATATAACATTAGAAAAAGTGGGCTTTTATGCAAGAATAATTGCCTATATATGTTTCAGTTCATTAATTCTCTTTTTAGCAGTGTTCAGTCCTCTGTTTAATCAATCCATTGAGTTCTTTATTTTGGCTAATCTATTTTTCCAAGTAGAATTTCTATCTGATTTTTTCTTTATTCTATTTCTTGGCTGAAAAACTCTATTGTGTCATGTATTTTTCTTGAACAGGTTAATCACATTATTTTAAAGTCTGTGTCTGATAACTAATATTTTATCAATTATGCATCTATTTCTATTATTCTATTATTTCTATTATCCCAAGTTTTTCTCCTTGTTTTCAGTGATTTGATTCTGTGTCTGGTATGATTGATAATTTTTACTGGATGTCAGACACTGTATATGAAAAGATTTAAAGATAACGTGAGGCTCCTGATGTAGCTGATTTTCTACATGGAGGACAAATTTTTGCTTCTGGCAGATAGCCAATTAGAAGAGAAATAGGTAAACTTAATTGGTCTTGTACTGAACTGACACAAGGTTATTTTGTTTTTTGTTTGTTTGTTTGTTTTAATAATAGTGAGAAGTACTCTATTTCCATTTCCCTTAGCCCAAGAGTATAGACTTTCTGGGCTTTAAAGGGAATGTCTGGAGTATTTTACCTATGATGAGGTTTGAACTCCAGTATTATTCTCCCCAGCTTTTGAGACTGTCAAAATTCTCCACTGTTTTTCATTTTAATTACCAGTTTTTGTTAGACCTCTAGCCTCTTGGCCAAAAGTTATGGATTGGCAAATATTTCTATGGTCCAGGCAATAGTAAATGTTGATCTTATATCACTGTTCTGATCTCCTTGCAATATTGGTTCCTAATATCCTAACTATTTTGATTGTTCTGTGACATCTTAAAACTGATTTTTAAAAAATTTCCAGTTATTTTTGTTGTCTTACATTAAAATATTTAGTTTCATGCAAGTTAGTCAGCTATCATTACAAGTAAAAACCCTATGATTGTTATTTTGTTTGTATAACCATTTATTATAGAGAGGTTGAGAGTACTTTTATATATTTACTGGCCATTGTGTTTTCTTCTCTGTGAGCTCCTTGCCCACTATTTATTGGGTTGTCTTTTGGTTTATAATACATGAAGAACTATTTGAGAGATACTATTTGAGAGAAAGGAGATTTTAATATGCCTGCAAATATCTTCTAGTCTGTAACTTGTCTTAATTTTTTTATGTTGTCATTTATCACACAGAAATTTTAAATTTTGATAGTTAAATTTCAAACATCTTTTCCTGTGTAGTTTTGATTTAACAAATTATTCTCTATCCTGATATCATAAAGATATCCTTCTAATTTTTCTCCTAAAATTTTTGCAGTGTTAATTTTTATATTTATGTCTTTAATTTACCAGGTTTGTTTTTCTGTGTTGCCTTATTAGGAATAGCCAGTTATTCTACAACATGTGTCAAAGTGCCAATAATTTCCCAACCATTTGGTAGTGACACTGTGTTTTTTTTAAATTAATTATATTATTTTAAAATTCATTAATAGTATTAATTTCTTCACGTTCACATGAATTTCTTAAAGACAGTGATTGTATCCTGTGGTCTCCCAAACTCCTCAAATTTCATAAAAACTAAATATTTATGAATGGATATATTGATCTAGATTGGTTGATTGATATGTATTTGTAAATAACATAGCATTTTATACCTATCACAAAATTTACACTCATGATTTCTAGCCAAAATTTTCCAACCTATGCAACAAAATATTGACTTTTGGTGCCTCTAAAATAAAGTTCTAAAAAAGTGATAACGGTGCTAGCTAACACTCATTGATTACTGATTGTAAGCCTGGCAATGATCTAAGAACTTTATATGTTTTAATTCATTTATAAGGAAACTATGAGTCAGGGGAATAGCATTATCTTTCATTTTTCAGATGAGATAATAGACCACATTATAGTGAATTTTTACTTAAGTTTATGAAGATAGTCAATGCAGAGTCACTTTATTTAAATGTGCTTTATTTTAATTTATAATATAAATGAAGTATTGCTACTACACAACTTTCAGGCAAACACTGAATATGAATATATCTCTAAATACAGCTATAATCATTTCTGTGTGGTATGTTCACATTTATATTTCTATATACAAATGCTGTTATCATTATCCTTAATAATTCATTAGAAGCTTACCAGATTTGCGGTGTTAGACAAGGTGTTAAAATTAACTATAATTTGTTTGAATCTACATAAAAAATTTGGTATGTCTGAGTTTCACAATTCTTTCCTTGATCATGGCTGCATTTCAAGGGATAATGCACTTTATCTGCTGCTCTGGTGGTAAAAACAAATTTCACATAAATGGAGTAAAGAGCATTTAATGAACTGAGCTCCATGCATGTGAAAGCCAACAGCAATATTAGAAATGGTGTTTATTTTATGGCCCAGAAACTGCATTTTAAATGCTAGTATATGTTTATATGACAGTTCTATTAAATATAAAAGAGTCCCATTACAAGGGAAATCCTTTGCATGGGCTTTTTATATGGTCTAAATAGCATACCCAGCTCTGCAACTACTCATGTGAGACATTTTTAGAACCTTATTTATGTTAAAGCCATAACAAACTAGCAACTAGAAAACTATAATGGGCACAAACGGCTAATAAAAATGAGATTGTTGAAAATACTTCTCAATAGTAACTTAGGAAGTATCCTGATGAAACAAAGTTAAGGCTTGGTGTCTCTGGAAGCCTGCCACCGCAGTAATCACAGACATTTGGCCACAGGTACTCCCCTTTTCCATCTTTGCTTTTCTGGCTGAAAACTAAATAGCCAATGCAGTTTAAGGTTGGTATTTGCCCCATTTTTCATTGTAATGCCTACTGAGCCAGAGGTGCTCTAGAAAAAAATCCTAGGATCATTCTTCCTCCCTGCACTGATTATTCACTCAGTGATCCCTCTGCAGAAGCCAGATGCTCCCAAGATGATTAGAGGAGGAAGAATGCCAGGATGCGTTCTGGCTCCATTTGTGCACATGTGTGTACACAAGCTGCTTATGTGTGCAAATGTGTGCAATATATGTAAGTCCTCAACACTTGAAATCTGGATCACTTCTCTACTAAACTGCCATGTTTAGACAAGCTGGCTAAAATGAACAGGTCAACCATTTATTTATAGAGTGAAAACTATTTGATCTGGGGTAGATAGCTCCACAGGCATACATGTTGAGCCAAAGTCATTTTTATTGCTGCATCTTGCAGAATTCCAAAATAGTTCACGTGGCCCTTCATGTGAGCAAAACAAAAATTCCCACAGAAGGGTGGGCTGCTCAAGGGTGAAACGTGGCTTGAATCACCCCAAACCAACATCTGTTTATATGAGCAAGAGTGTAAAAGAATGGAGAAAGAATATCTTTGAGTTTTATACTAATGCTAACCTCCTAATGAATTTTGTTCATCCAGTCCCTGGTGGTACTCTGCTAGGGCAGAACTGAGTAAAGAAACAGAATATATAATGCTATCTCTTTGCACACAGGGATGTTGGAACACTGTTAAATAGAGTGTGGAAATTACTCACCTATTGTAATTATGCCATGACGACTGGTCCAAAAACCATCCATTTTTGGCATAGGATCACCTTCCAGGTCAGCAGCATTCACCACTCACTCAGTGTGGAATTTCCTCCACAACACCCAGGATGATGGTCCTCTGGTCTATTTTTGAACTCTTCATGTTGGGAAGCACATGATCTTAAAACTTGTCTAGTGGGCTGGGCTTGGTGGCTCACGTCTGTAACTCTATCAATTACAGAGGCCAAGGCGGGTGGATCACCTGAGGTCAGGAGTTTGAGACCAGCCTGGCCAACATGGTGAAACCCCGTCTCTACTAAAAATACAAAACTTAACTGGGCGTTGTGGCGAGTGCCTGTAATCCCAGCTACTCAGGAGGCTTAGGCAGGAGAATCACCTGAACCTGGGAGGCAGAGGTTGCAATGAGCTGAGATCACGCCATTGCACTCCAGCCTGGGCAACAAGAATGAAACTCCATCTCAAAAAAAAAAAAAAAAAAAAAGTCTAGATTCACTTGTAAGGAAGTTCTTTACAAAACAGTTCTCAAACCACATATGCTTAATTTATGTTAGCATGTCACTTAACTGAAAATGGCCACCCAAGAACAGCTGGCTCATCTTATAAGCTTCCCACTGCCATTCTGGGAATTTCTCTCTGGGACAGAGAAAAGTATTAATGTATAGTTATGAATATTAATGTCTTTTTCAGCTTGTTGTCCTGCTCAGGTCCTGAGCCTTTGTTATGCTAAGGGAAGAAGAGAACTGGAAGGCAGGAGGCTGTAGACTGGTTTACATTAGAAAGACAAGGAGCTCTTTGCAGAGAGCCAGAAACGGCTTAGAAAGCAGGATACTGAGGGACGAGTTTGAGCTCACATAAGCAGTTTGTGGGGTGAGTTTTATGAGAAGAGAAAGATATGAGGACAATTGCCTGGGATTGCAGACTCTGAGAGACACAAGTGCAGGGGATTTTAGGAATTTTGACATAGGTTATATTCTATTACTCTCTCTTTGGTTTGTTTTTGAGACATCAGTGAAGATCAACTGCTTTTCGAGGTATATGAAGTTTGATTTCTGGATGAAACAGCTTACTTGTTCTATGCCTCGGCCACTTAAGATGTGATCTTGCTCTATATTTCCACCTCATTAGCATCTTTGTAACTGAGTAGTTGCTGTTAAGGCACATGGAGACACTATTATCAATATTTTGTCATTTGGGAAAATATGAGTTAGTCTATCTGAGTCTGATTAACTCTAAAATGCAAACGGTAAGTTTCTGGACCTGCAAAACTGAGGGTCTGCCTTTGAGATATGTGGGAGGTAGTGGGAGAGGAACTGGTGCTGTAGACTGGTGGCTGCCTAGACATCACCTCACACTGGGCTGTGATCTTAGACAAGTCATCAACGAGGCTGGGAGCAGTGGCTTACACCTGTGATCCCAACATTTTGGGAGGCCAAGGTGGTAGGATTGCTTGAGCCCAGGAATTTGAGGCCAGCCTGGGCAACATGGTGAAATCCTGTCTCTGGTAAAAAGACAAAAAATGAGCTGGGCATGGTGGCACCTGTCTGTAGTCCTAGCTACTGGGGAGGCTGAGGTGGGAGGATCACCTGAGCTTAGGGAGGCCAAAGCTGCTGTGAATCATGATCGTGCCACTGCACTCCAGCCTGGGCGACAGAGTGAGACCCTGTTTCAAAAAATTTTTTTAAAAAGTTACTAAGGCTTGGAGATTGGTGCTCAGTTTCACAGATTCAAAAATTTGTTGCTGTTTAAGCCTTGGAGTTGATCAGATTCTGAGAGACTGACTCATATTTTTCAAATTTATGAGATATTGACATACAAATTAAAATATCAAATATGCTGGTATATAATATCAGTTGGCTTTTCACCCAACAGGAAAGCATATGGAAAAACCACTTAGAATTTAGGTTATTTGGTTAGTGTGGGATTAGAGCAAGTAGAAGGGGCTAGGATAAACTTGTCTTAAAAATTCACTTCTGCAAGAGACATAGACTCGCTGAGAGTAAGCTGGGAGCTTGATTGAGCTGAGCTTCTATTGCCTAAGTTTGGCTCAATAAACACCATCATTCTGTGGTCCTTTGCCAATCACTAATCCATCCTCCACTCCTATTGATACAACTTTTCTTTCTCTATATTATTATCACTGATATGTACATAGTCAAATGCACCATTCTAATTTCAGTCTGGGAGACATGTTATCTATTTCTTACTGTGCTTTTCAATATTTTCTTCTCTATTCAATTTTCAAAGCATTTGTTTGACTTTGTAATGATTCCAAAGAACAAATATTTTTGTTTTGACTCTGTAGTTGGTATTATGTAGTATGTTAGACAGAAAACAGATCTAAGAAGAATGCCATTTACAGTCTCACCCCTCCCTTCATCTTTTTCCAAACCCACCTCCAGTAGATAACTAATGTATCACTCCTCTGCATTCACACAAACATATATAAACAGGCAACCATGTTGTAAAATGAGAGCATATTTATTCATGAATCTGTAACCTGTCTTTTTCCACTTAATGTATTATAGACAGCTCTCTGGATTTTCCCTCCAACTCATTTTTTGGAGTGCCCAATATTCTATCTTATTAATTTTCTCTAATTTATTTAATTAGCTTTTATTCATAAACAGTCTAATTATTTCCAGTATTTTGCCCCTATAAACAATGCTTCAATAAACTCAAACTTTGTATAATAATCTTTTTTCTTTTCCCTGTAGGAGAAAATCTCAAATGTGGGATCACTGGGTCAAAGGCAACATACAGTTTATATTTTAATAATATTTCTAGACTCCTTTCTTGAAATATTTCCTAAACCAGTGCATGAGAGTACTAACTTCCTCTAATTTTCATTTGTACTGGATATTATCAATCTTTTAAATTTTTGTCATCATGACACTTTAAGTTGCATTTCCCTCATTAGTGGTAAATTTGAGTTTTTCTTAAAAAATCTATTCGCTTATATAAACCTCTTTGACAGTGTTTGCCTATTAATATTATTTGCCTGTTTTTCTGTTGGGTAATTTTAATTTTTTCAATCAATTTGTAGATGTTCTTTCTTTCACCTCTATCGTTTTCTTTTTCTTGTCCTTCTTCCCTTCCTCCTTCCATCTCTGTCTTCATCTCTGTTCCCTCCCTCCTTCCCTCCCTCTCTTCCTTCCTTCTCTCCCTCCACCCTTTGTCTTATTCTCTGTCCCTCCTTCTCTCTCTTCCCTCTTATCTGTGTCTCTCTTTTTCTTTTTTTCTAAACACCAGTCAGACTTTTTTCCACTAGAGCTTCTTTATGGTTTCTTTTGTTGTATATTTCAAGTTTTTACATGACAAAGCAAATACGTCTGCCTTTCTCACAGGTTTTCTGAGTCTCCATCTTGTTTATTAAAGTCTTCTCACTTTATTACTATTATGTATTTCATTAGGCAGATGTTCTGAGTTCCAGTATTCTACCATACACTGATGTGATTTATGCCATAATAAGGATATACAGCAGAAAGCCTGCTGAGTCCCCTTTGGTTTATTAGTACTCCAACACAACATGAGCAGAAAGTTATTTTTTAAAAGTACACAATTTTTAAAAAAATTTTAAATACAAAGAATTATTTAATGTTACATCGTAGAATATTCCAGCAATTGACTAATTGTTCTAGCCTGTGGTGTCATTCTCTTCTTGTAAAGTAACAGTTTGGGCTAATCTCTGTTGTTCTAGTTTCTTCCTAAAACATAAACAATTTTTAAGCTGTTTTACCAGTGCCTTAAAGATAACATCTCCAGGTTATTTCAGGGCCCTGAATATAGTGTCTTTGGAATTGGAATATGAATAAAGATAATCAAATGTGCTCTCATTTTCTTATTTTCCATCTTAAGCTTTAACTCCTTCTAACCCAAGTTGGTTCTTCCTGTTTGGAGACTATTCTCCCTAACAGGACTCTCCTAATAATACAGCTTCTGGGTATGGGATAACAAGACTGCTAAATGGATAATATAAATTTATATGCATCTAGTTATACCTAAATTCAATTCCTAATTAAAGGTGCTAGCATCATAAGAATTGGGAGGAAATGCGAGGTTTTGATTTTTGTAGGTTTTAATAACTCCAAGTCTATTTGAATGGTTAAAACAACTTTGAAAACAAAATATAGAGTTAGAGCACAAATACCTTATTATTATTATTTTTAATTAATTAATTTATTTATTTATTTTTTGAGACGGAGTCTTGCTCTGTCACCCAGGCTAGAGTGCAGTGGCGCGATCTCGGCTCACTACAAGCTCCGCCTCCTCGAGTAGCTGGGACTACAGGCACCCGCCTCAGCCTCCCGAGTAGCTGCTCCTCAGCCTCCCGAGTAGCTGGGACTACAGGCACCCGCCACCGCGCCCGGCTAGTTTTTTTTTTTTTTTTTTTTTTTTTTTTTGTATTCTTAGTAGAGACGGGGTTTCACCGTGTTAGCCAGGATGGTCTCGATCTCCTGACCTCATGATCTGCCCTCCTCGGCCTCCCAAAGTGCTGGGATTACAGGCGTGAACCACCGCACCCGGCCAAATACCGTATTATTTTAAGATTTATTATAAAGCAATAGTAATTAAGGTAGTGCGGTATTGGTACAAAGATAGAGAATAGAACAATGAAATAAAATAGTCTAGAAAATGGCAATTGATTTTCAATCGATGCAAAGGTAATTCAACGGTGAAAGGACAGTCTTTTCAATAGAAAGTGCTGAAACAATTGGATATCCACGTGCAATAAATAAACAAAAACCCTTTAATCCGTACGTTACACTATAAGCAAAAATTAATGCAAAATGGGTCATGAATCCAAATGTGAAACCTGTAACTCTACAGCTTCTAGAATATAACATAGGAGAAACCTTTGTAATTTTGGATTAGGCAAAGATTTCTTAGATGCAAAACCAAAAGCATAATTCATAGAAGAACAAATTAATAACATAGACTTCATAAAAATTTAAGAAATTCTTTGAAAATCATTGTTAAATAATGAAAAGACAAGCCAAGACTGAGAGAAAATCTTTGCCTAGCATACATTTGATAAGAGACTAGTATCTAGAACACATAAAGAACTCTTAAACATCAGTAATGAGAAAAAAGTACCTGTTTTTTTCCAATGGTCAAAAGTTTTAAACCAACACCATATCTAAGAAGATACATAAATGGCAAATAAGCACAAGAGAGATATTTAATATATTTAAGGAAATACAAGTAAATCTACAATGAGATGGAGCAGAGGTTCTTCTCAGGGGTCAGAGTGTCTTCCTACTTTCAAAGTGCTTGCATGGAACCTGGTCCTCCTCTTAATTCATTCCCCACCCAGATGGCTGGCTGCTTACAACTTTCTCATGGGTCCCTTAGGCAGTGCCAAGTTCCCTGTCACCTGCCATGGTGACTGGTCCCCCAAGCAGGTGCACAAGAACTACCACCAGAACTTGGAGGTCACCGTCAACCACCAGATCAACTTTGAGCTCAACACTTCCCCATCTACCTGTCAATGTCTTGTTATTTTAACTGCGATTATGTGGCTTTGAAAAACTTTGACAATTTCCTCACCAATCTCATGAGGAGAGGGGACATGCTGAGAAACTGTTGAAGTTGCAGAACCAACAAAGTGGCCAAATCTTCCTTCAGGATATCAAGAAACTAGGCCATGGCCACTGGGAGAGTGGGCCGAATGCAACGGCATACGTTGCATTTGAATAAAAGCATGAATCAGCTACAAATGATCACTGAAAAAAAGAGACCCCATTTGTGTGGCTTCATTGATATTCATTACCTGAATGAGTAGGTAAAATCCAGTAAACGTGAGTGACCACTGAAACCAGCTTGCATGAGATAGGGGCCCTGGAATCTGGCACGGCCAAGTATGTCTTCGACAAGCTCACCCTGAGAGACAGTGATGCTGACAGCTTAACCTTAGGTTGGTTCCCTCATAGCCAAGGGAGTGACTTCCACCAAGGCAGTGCATGCATTTGGGTTTATCTTTATCTTTTTCTATAAGTTGTACCAAGACATCCATTTAAGTTCTTTCATGTGTACTATGTTTTCAAATAAAGTAATTTGGTAACCCTCCTCCCCCAATGAGATGCCACTGCAGACCTATTAAAATGGCTAAAATTTTAAAAGCTGACCACACCACATGTTGGCAGCAAAGTGGATCTCTTACCTACTGCTGGTGGAAATGTAAAATAGCACAACCACTTTGGAAACCAGTCTGTTTGGTAAAAAGTTAAACATATAACTATCACATGATCTATCCCTTCTCTTAGTTACTTACCCAAGAGAAAAATGAAAGCACAAGTCCTTATAAAGATTTGCACACAAATGCACATTCAAGCTTTATTTATAATAGACAAAATGTGGAACCAACTCCAATTGCCATCAATAGATGAATGCATAAACTAATTGTGGTATATGGTATATCTATCCAATGGAAAGCTACTCATTAATAAATATGAACTACTGATATATGCTACAATATGAATGAATCTAAGTAATTAGGCTGAGTGAAAGAAGTCAGCAAAAAAAGAGAGATTAAATCCTATTTCATTCCAATTTTATGAAGTTCTAAGAAATGCAAGCACATGTAAACTGACAGAAAACAGATCAGCGTTACCAGAAGAGAGGTGAGGAGGTATTGGAGGAAGGGATTATGAAGTGGTGCAAAGAAACCTTTGGGAGTGATGAGTATGTTCCCTATTTTGTAGGAATAGTTCAAATTCTACACTTTGAATATGTGCACTTTATGTATGTCAATGACATCTCAATAAAGCTGTTTTAAAAATCTCTAAATGGTGTAAACTTATATCAGCTTCATCTTTAAATGCATCGTTTCAAGGCTGGGCACGGTGGCTAATGCTTGTAGTCCCAGCACTTTGGGAGGCCCAGGCGGGCGGATCACGAGGTCAGGAGATCGAGACCATCCTGGTTAACACGGTGAAACCCCTTCTCTACTAAAAATACAAAAAAATTAGCCAGGCATGGTGGCGGGCACCTGTAGTCCCAGCTACTCGGGAGGCTGAGGCAGGAGAATGGCGTGAACCCGGGAGGCGGAGCTTGTAGCAAGCCGAGATCGCGCCACTGAGCTTGTAGCAAGCCGAGATCGCGCCACTGCACTCTAGCCTGGGTGACAGAACAAGACTCTGTCTCACAAAAAAACAAAACAAAACAAAACATAAATGCATCGCTTCAATGTGGAAGGCCCAGCACAGGGGTGCACATGCAGGAAGGAGCAGAGATTGCTCACCTCACTGGTGGGTCCACTGATCTTTCTCCGGCATCTCCCTGCTTTCCCTAGCTTGTAGGTGTGTGGTCGTGTAAGGTGGCTATTGCTTTTGTGGCTTGCTTCTTTTTCTCTCATTTTTTCTGCTCTTTTTCTCTCTGACATATTTTTCTCAGGGCTTAATGTTCTCAATGAAATTCTTTAAGAAAAGATACATATAAAACCAGTAAACATCCTTCTTCCTTCATTTCCTCCTTTAAAAACCATACTGGTTCTTAGAGTAAATAGCATTCATTTTTGTGTTTTTTTTTTTTTTCAAAGAAAAATATTAACATCAGCTTTACATTTGACATTTTAGAAACAAGGGAATGAGCGGAGTATGTGAGCCTTCTTTCTCGTGGAAATTGGTGCAAGCAGATAGACTTTATTCATCTGGTCAAACAAACAAGAAATTGGGAGGGCTGGCCCATGAATCCCATCTGGTTCTTGACTTAAAGTTCAGCCCACAGTCCAGGAGCCCCAGGTGACAAGGCTCTCTGCTGCTTCTGTGGAAAGCATGCACTAACTTCATGGGTTTCAAGGATCAAAAATTCAAAGACCACAGATCACAGATGAAGGTCCTTCTCTGTGAAAATCTGCCCTGCTTTTCTCCTTTCTGTGTTAATGGCTGTGTGTCTCTTCCTCCATGGGGCCTCTCTCTTTATCTCCCCTATGTGACTGTGTGTGGTCTCCTTGCATGTCTATTTCTCCTCCCTCTTCGACTCTCTTAACTCTATCTTGAAGTTAAAATTTGTTTTTATTATTTTATTTAATGAATGGGATGTTTGAATTGCCTTCCTTTAAAGCAGATGGGTGGCATATTTTATTCCTCTCAAAACCACTCCAATTACAATGAATTTACAATGCTTTATGCTTTTTATTTATATGGCTTTCAATTTGCTTCATTTCGGCCCTATGGCACTTTCCTCTCCTCTCCTGCCAGCGATTGTAAAGCAGCAAACAATTTAGTGAATTATTGTAGCTTACAGACCTGTTTGTGGGTGTTGTCAAAAAGTGCATTACCACAGAGCTGACAGTGCATTTAAGTATTTGTTGTTTTTATCTTTAGAATCTTTTTCTATTTTGATTTTCAATAAAAAATTGGATGATTAAGGTGAAACTAACATATGTAATTTTTAAAGCTTGCTTATTTAATAAAATTGTGGTAATCTTCAAAAATGACAGCAAAATTAAGATTCTGAAATCAGTAGCAGTCAACACAAAACATGAAGTTTCTAATATCGGTTCTGGCCACTTTTCTCATTTTGGAGGAGAGGGCAATCATGACCTCACGATTTGCACTGAGGGATCATAGAGGACACTTGTTTCAGGAATTCAGTTTTATACATGTAGAGCCTTGAACTTCACAGAAAGTTTACTTAACTATTGGCAATCATCTGCGAGGCTGTTGTTCTACCTAATAAAGCATGAGGCCAGGATTAATGGACCTTGTAACAATTACAGCACAGAATGAAAGAATAATAAAGCAAATAATAAAGCAAAACACAAATGAGAGAAAAATTACAAAAGAGTTTTGGAAACTTTAAGCAAAAATATTCTAAAATGATTTAGTCAATTCTGCAAGGAGATTAGAAAAAAAATAAAATACTGCTTGAAATCCTGTGCCTCTGATTCTTTATTACCTTTTATTATCTTAGTTATAGAAAATAAACAATACAAGACGAGGGAAGTTCTTTTGACATACAAGTTTGAGAGAACTTCTTTTGTAGTTCCTTTATTATATCATCATCTCTTTCCAACTCTGCTCTTACCCTGTGACTTCCTTATAAAGAGAAGTTATAAAATTTCCAGAATTATACCCACCTGCAGGAGTAAGAGTTAGAGATGGGAGGATTTCCAGAAGGAGAGTTCAGCCACATTGCTACTGACCTTTGGAGATATAAAACAACCCCTTAGTGACAAGGCCCCTTTAATAATAGCCAACCATGCAGGGGGACCACTTGCTTGCATCCCATCTCTAACCTGTGGCCTTTCCTGCCCACATGAAATGATATTTGAGCAATTAATACTACCACATCAGCAGACCAAGTGGATGATGGAATGTTACATCAAATTTGGATTAAGAGGCAACCAGTAGGAGGGGCAGAAATCTCAAGAGCAACTCTACTTAGAACAGACTTCGGCCTTGGTTTTTCCACAGTGCAGCAAACACACACTCTTGTAGGTAAAGAACAGCCAGCAGGCATCGCATACTTTAACCACAGTAGCTGAAGCGTCTTCAAGCAAGACTTGAATTCCTCACACCTTCCTGGGGAGAGAATCTGGAGGCTGCCAGCTTATCTGGGATTCTTCAAAGACAATCCTTGGCAGCAGAGGCTAATGGTGTCTCCTCTTCTGCTGCCTGAAGTCAGCACTAGGCTGAGGAGGCTGAGACTGAGGCATCAGGCCTTGGACTCTTGGGTTGGGACTCTGCTCCAGAAGTCCTTACTGTGTAGTCTCCTTTGTCTTTCTAAAGTCAAAAGAGCAGCCCTCACCCACACTGCTACCATCTGTGCTGCCCCAAACTTCAGTATGGGCTCCAATCAATTGCAAGGCAGGGACTATCCCCACCAATCCCATCCCCTGAGTCTTATATGAACCTAAAGACAATTGCCATGTCAAATGGGCACCCATCTTGGAAGAGGCAGAGTTCAGATTGCCTAGAAGGAGGAGCTGGTGTGAATATTAGCAGTTAAGCCTTAATTTCTGCCAGATAAGGCTCAAGATGGCTGCAGTTGGGCTGAGACAAGCATGGCATCATTAGGTGATGTGAATTCATCAGAACGTGTGCAGATTAAAAGGATCGTTCATGATTAAAGAAGGAAGGAAGACTCAAGACTAGGGGCTTTTCATATTAGAAACAATTACTGATTGAGGGCTTTCTATGTTCCATGTACTTTACCTGTATTTTCTCTAATCCTTATTACAATTATACGAGGTAACTATCCATTCATTCTCAACAAATATGAATAGAAACCTACACTGTGCCGAGTTAAATGCTTAATTTTGGGGAGATAGCTGAGAACAAATCAGCTTGCCTTTCTGGAGCCTACATAACCTCTAAAATGTCCTTGTGTTAGAGATGGGGAAGCTGGGGCTCAGAAAGGTTAAGTAATTTATTAAGGATTCATAACCTGTAAATGTGGAATTGGGCTGGATTCAAACCCAGATCCTCTGACTGAAGTGTTTTTCTTTTAAGCTCAATACTAACAATTTTAAATGTTTTTCTTATTATAACATATATCATATTTGGGGTCCACTGTGTAATATCCCATCGTAGGCTGGCTTGTGTCATTGATAAACCATACTTCAGTATTGCTCTCCCATTCACCTTTAGGAAAATACACCTAGGAGGAAGTCAGTGTTGTGGGACTGATGAAGCATCTTCTCTATTTTATGTCAAAGAAATCTTTCAAAGACATCATTATTTTAATTATCACTGTTACAAGCCCATATTTGCATGTTAGGCATCAGTTAGTCTGCAGTAGATGAGCCGTTTGCTAAGCCACGTGTCTGCTAGACTATCCTATTCTCTGTCTAGAAGGAATCAGGCATGGGGCATAGTGGTGAAGGCACAACTGCCGACAGAGACAAGGGCTCTGCATTCAATATTGCAGTTATCTGGCAGTGTGGACAACCTCTCTCCTTCCACCTCTGGAGTCTTACAGAGCCAGGTTTGCCAGAACCCATGTGGCTAGTCTCTCATTTCTGACTGAGGAGAAACTTCAGCATGGAAGGTCCAGTTGTGACCCATCCTTGTCAGTTTCTACCTGACTTTAAGGCCTTGATATCATTTGTATCTGTGTCCCTACCCAAATATCATGTGGAATTGTAATCCCCAGGAATGGAGCTGGGGCCTGGTGGGAGGTGGTTGGATCATGGGAATGGTTTTCATGAATGGTTTATCACCATCCCCTTGGTGCTGTCCTCGTGATAATGAGTAACCTCTTGGAGATCTGGCTGATTAAGAACATGTGGCACATCCCCCTTGCTTTCTCTCTCTCTCACTCCTGCTTTTGCCCTGTGATGTGCCTATTCCCCCTTTGCCATCTGTCATGATTGGAGGCTTCCTTCCTGAGGCCTCCCCAGAGACAGATGCTACTATGCTTCCTCTACAGCCTGCAGAATGCTGAACCAGTTAAACTTCTTTTCTTATAAATTACTCAGTCTCAGTTATTTCTATACAGCAGTGCAAGAATGCCCTAATACAGGCCTCATGCACTGGACACAGCTGTCTTGGAGGCAACGTAAGAAGTGTAAGATCTTACGGTTCTTATCTCTGGTGATAGGACTGGATGCTTTGGGTTTGGTTGCATTTTCTTAATGTTAATTATTTGTAATTAATTATTTGCAAACAATTAAAATTAATATTATTTGGATGATATCAAAGAAATTTTTGCGGCCTCCAGCTTCCCCCGGGAAAGAGACTGAAGCAGAAATGTGTGTGAAAGCAGTTAGTGCTGAGTGCTCTCAGGAGAAGAGATCTCTAGGCTCATCTTTATTCTAGAGCCTTAGCTCTCACTTATCTCAGCAGGCCTTTTTTTTTTTTCCAGAAAAATACATTGAAATCTCCCCCAAAATGTGGTTTGATGGAGAGGATATACCTTCTTACATTACAAAGGAAGGAGAGCAAATTGTCACATATGCACTTATTTATTCATTTGTGTTAACAGCAGTAGTCATGGTTTAAGTAAAACCAGGTTGACTTTTTTTTGTAGGTAGGAAAATGTATCGGTCAGGTTTCAGTGAAAGATCAAGAAACTAGTGTAAGCAGTTCAAGTGCATGGGGTTTAACATAGGGAATCTGGTGTTTATAAAGCCAGTGGAAAGGCTAGAGGAGCCGAAGTCGGGTTGCAACTGGACACTTGTTTCCAAGTTGCACCACTGCAGCTTCAATCCATTGGTCAGGAGACTGCTGCCCTCTCAACTGACACCCGGGAGGCTGGGGATAGACAGAGGAACATGGAGTCTGGCCCTTGCAGACCCCCAGTCTATCAGAGCTCCTGATGAGCCCACATGGGGGCTTCCCACCCTTCCACCTCTTAAATCTCATGACAGCGCTTTTCATCGGGAGCACTTAAATCACACCCAGGGACAGAATCATCTCTCCAGTTGCAGGAGTTTCAGAAACACAGCATTTAGTCTTACAAACCTGAAATACAAGAAAGGAGGAGGAGGAGGGATTGCTGTAGACGGTCAGTAGATACTCTCTAGTACAATCTATTATTATGTTAGACTAAAACCAAAATATTACTGTGTTACTTTCCACGAGCACAGTATTCCTGACAAAGCTAATGCATCATCAACCCAATGAACACTCCAATGGCCAGAAACTACAGTCCACATTTACAAAGGTAACTACATTATATAAAAATAAATTTGTTATTTTTGGTAATCCAACTCTGCTCTCATAAGAAATGATATGATTATACCATTTTAAAATCTTACATCTATGATGCTTATGGATTAAATATTATGATGTCTTTTCATATAAATAGTTTAAAAGTTACAAGCAAAATGAACCATTAAAACCAAATAATTTAAATCCCGTTAATAAAAAATCATAGGCCGGGCATGGTGGCTCACCCCTGTAATCCCAGCACTTTGGGAGGCCGAGGCGGGCAGATCACGAGGTCAAGAGCTCAAGACGAGCCTGACCAACATGGTGAAACCCCGTCTCTACTAAAAAGACAAAAATTAGCCAGGCATGGTGGCAGGCACCTGTAATCCCAGCTACTCAGGAGGCTGAGGCAGGAGAATCACTTGAACCCGGGAGGTGGAGGTTGCAGTCAGCCAAGATTGTGCCATTGCACTACAGCCTGGGTAACAGAGTGAGACTGTCTCAAAAAATATATACATAAAAACAATTTATAATTGTTGTAATATAGCTCTTTGTAATGGTTAATTATGCTTGTATTGATTAATTTTTATTTTTTGTGACAAAATGAATAATGCCAACAAAGCTGGTCAATTCAGTCAATTAAATTATCCTGTGGTTCAATTTCCTATTCCTCCTTCTGAGACTAGATTTGGTAGCTACCATGTATCAGAGTGTTATTTTCAAGTATGAAACACAAAAAAGACTAAAGCATTAAGTAATATTATTTGGATAATATCAAAGACATTTTTGTGATCTCCAACTTCTCCAGGAAACAGACTGAAGCACAAATTTGTGTGCAAGCAATTAATGGTGAGTGCTCTTGAGAGAAATGTCTGTGAGGAGTGAGGGATGCAAGATTGGGCAAAGCAGGGAATTTAAACTACGATTCAGTTTTAATGGAGGCCTCAGAGGATCCTCTGGAGTTGAGATGACCTGTCAGTGTTGTCCTGAATCTAGGCAAGTATGCCAATCCTTTTTAAGCCAGTCCTCTTTACTACACTGGATGTGGACTGTGCCTAGGGAATAGGGGTAACCTTGGCTGAGGCAGCTCCCATCTACAAAGACCAATGTCCAGAGAAGAACTCATCTGTGAGCTGTTAGCAGCCAACATCTCAACATCTGGAACAATGAGGGCCTCAGCCCTTAAGGGGAGATCTGTCTGGCAAACCACAGCACTTTGGAAGGCCAAGGCAGGCAGATCGCTTGAGCCCAGGAGTTTGAAACCAGCCTGGCCAACAGGGCAAAACCCTGTCTCTACTAAAAATACAAACATTAGCTGGGCTGGTGGCACGTGCCTGTAGTCTTAGCTACTTGGGAGGCTAAATCACAAGAATTGCTTGAACCCAGGAGGTGGAAGTTGCTGTGAGCCGAGCTCACACCACTGCACTCCAGCCTGGGCAACAGACAGAGACTCTGTCCCCCAAATAAATAAATAAAATAGACACAGATAAATAGGGTGGACATTTCAGGTGAGGAAATGAGCAGCAGAACCTAAGAAGTAGAATCCATGTAGAAAAGTCAGTCATGATTGAAGATAAACCAGATTATGACAAATATCTTAACTACCATAAGAATGACAACTATTTTCTGGAGAGTATTAATAACCTAGTATTTTCTAGTATTCATTATACTTTGCTTCTTTTGCCAACTTTATTTTCTTGTACTATAACTTTGCTCCAGAGAAATTGCTATTACTAATCTTTTTTTTCTGTTACTTTTTCAACTTTTATTTTAGGTTCAGGGAATACATGTGCAGGCATGTTACATGGGTAAATTGTGTGTCACTGGGGTTTGTGCACAAATGATTCCGGCACCCAGGTAGTGAGCATAGTAACCGATAGGTGGTTTTTTGACCCTCATCCTCCTCTCACCCTCACCCCTCAAGTAAAGCCTCAGAGTCTATTGTTCTCATATTTGAAAAGCTCATGGGAACTAGGTTTCTTCTTTCTTCAAGTTGCATTTAAATTTTTCTTAGATTTTTTTTCTAATCTGACATATGCTGGGCTGCTGAATGAAGAACAGGCCCAAGGCCCAACAGTCTGAGACTGTAACATTGATTCACTTGTACTAAGATGCTTAAGAAATGCTTATGTTTTAGCTGAAAGTCAAGAATCCAACATTTGAACATCCATGATTTTTTATTAATCTGGAAGGTATGTTACCCAAAATGTCCCCTATAATAACAAGTCAAAAAACAAGAATACTGGAAGCACCTTGTAAAATTAGATTTGGGAGTCAGGAGAACATCCATTATGGAAATCAATTATATGTATCTTGGTCTTTTCATTGGTGGTCAGTTGTTCTTCAGGTGACCCAATGGGACTCACTACATAGAATCAAACCATACCATAATGGTATGTAATGAGGTTACAATGAAGAAGCAGCTTATCACTAAGGAAAGCTACTTCCTAATGCCCTTACCCATGATTTCTCCAGGGTGACTATTTGGTAGAGTTAGGCTGCTATGCTAAATGTTTCCCAGCACACTATGGACCTCTGGTTCCCACACCATATCAGCATCCCCATGACCAACCTCCGAGTTTAGTTCAGCTGCACTGCACAGTTGCAGACAACCTCATGCTCACCTCACCCGACAGTGTCCTACCTCAAGGGCACATGCCCTCTTCTCTATTATCCTCCTTCATTCAAGTGCAGCCCACATGTGGGGGTGGGGAAGTTTTAATGTCTAGAGACACTCTTTAACCACTGAGGGGTAGTAACTGGTAGGTGTATGCCCCTCTTTCATTCTTTAGGGGGACAATTGTGAGAGGCATTCTGCTCATGTCCCAAGCAGTCCCAGAGAAATTGATTGCAAAGCAGCAACCTCAGTGAAGCATCTTTAGGTTGGCTTTTCCTTGTTTCCTGTCTTACTTCCCCCTTACTTCTCCCAGATGCCAACTCCCAAATAAACTTCCTGCAGCCAGGTTCTTGACTCTGCTCTCCCTTTCGGGGACACCCAAAATAACACAGTTCTGATGATCATCATTATTATCATCATCATTGCTGTTTCATCATCTCAAATACTCCCTGCTAAAATTTTGCAAATTTTAAGCATTTGTGTGTATTTGGGTCTATTTTTGTACTCTGTTGTTCTACTGATTTTTTTTTAATTTTTTGGTTTTTTAAAAATATTTTATTTTAGATTCAGGGAGTATGTGTGCAGGTTTGTTACATGGATATATTGCGTGATGCTAAGGTTTGGTCCTCTATTGAACCTGTCACCCAGATAGTGAGCATAGTACCCAACAGATCATTTTTCAAGCCTTGCTCTCCTCACTCCCTCCCCACTTTTGGAGTCCCCAGTGTTCCCAGCATTATGTTCATATGTACCCAAGGTTTAGCTCCCACTTAAAAACGAGAACACATGGTATTTGGTTTTCTGTTTCTGCGTTAATTCACTTAAGATAATGGCCTCTAGCTGCAATCTGTGTTGCTGCAGAGGATGTGATTTCAATCTTTTTATGGCTGCATAGTATTCCATGGTGTATAGGTATCACATTTTTTTTTAATCCACCATTGATGGGCACCTGGGTTATTCCATGTCTTTGTTATTGTAAATACCGCTGCAGTAAACATGCAAGTACAGGTGTCTTTTTGGTAGAATGATTTTTCCTATGGATAGACACCAAGTAATGAGATTGATGGGTCAAATGGTAATTCTATTATTAGTTCTTTGAGAAATCTCCAAACTGTTTTCCACAGTGGCTGTGGAATTTACATTCCTACAAGCAGTGTATAAGCATTCCCTTTTGTCCTTAACTTTGCAAGCATCTGTTATTTTTTGATTTTTTAATAATAGCCATTCTGGCTGGTATGAAATGATATCTCACTGTGCTTTCAATTTGCATTTCTTTGATGATAAGTGATGTTGAGCAGTTTTTTTCTTGGCCACATGTATGTTTTCGTTTGAGTGAGAAGTGTCTGTTCATGTCCTTTGCCTACTTTTTTTTTTTTTTTTTTTTTAATTTATTTTTTTATTGATAATTCTTGGGTGTTTCTCACAGAGGGGGATTTGGCAGGGTCATGGGACAATAGTGGAGGGAAGGTCAGCAGATAAACAAGTGAACAAAGGTCTCTGGTTTTCCTAGGCAGAGGACCCTGCGGCCTTCCGAAGTGTTTGTGTCCCTGATTACTTGAGATTAGGGATTGGTGATGACTCTTAACGAGCATGCTGCCTTCAAGCATCTGTTTAACAAAGCACATCTTGCACCGCCCTTAATCCATTTAACCCTGAGTGGACACAGCACATGTTTCAGAGAGCACAGGGTTGGGGGTAAGGTCACAGATCAACAGGATCCCAAGGCAGAGGAATTTTTCTTAGTGCAGAACAAAATGAAAAGTCTCCCATGTCTACTTCTTTCTACACAGACACGGCAACCATCCGATTTCTCAATCTTTTCCCCACCTTTCCCGCCTTTCTATTCCACAAAGCCGCCATTGTCATCCTGGCCCGTTCTCAATGAGCTGTTGGGCACACCTCCCAGACGGGGTGGTGGCCGGGCAGAGGGGCTCCTCACTTCCCAGTAGGGGCGGCCGGGCAGAGGCGCCCCTCACCTCCCGGACGGGGCGGCTGGCCGGGCAGGGGGGCCGAATCCCCCCACCTCCCTCCCGGACGGGGCGGCTGGCCGGGCGGGGGTCCGACCCCCGCACCTCCTTCCCGGACGGGGCGGCTGGCCGGGCAGAGGGGCTCCTCACTTCCCAGTAGGGGCGGCCGGGCAGAGGCGCCCCTCACCTCCCAGACGGGGCGGCTGGCCGGGCGGAGGGCTGACCCCCCCACCTCCCTCCCGGACAGGGCGGCTGGCTGGGCGGGGGGCTGACCCCCTCACCTCCCTCCCGGATGGGGCGGCTGGCCGGGCAGAGGGGCTCCTCACTTCCCAGTAGGGGCGGCTGGGCAGAGGCGCCCCTCACCTCCCAGACGGGGCGGCTGGCCGGGCGGAGGGCTGACCCCCCCACCTCCCTCCCGGACGGGGCGGCTGGCCAGGCGGGGGGCTGACCCCCCTACCTCCCTCCCGGACGGGGCGGCTGGCCGGGTGGGGGGGCTGACCCCCCCATCTCCCTCCCGGACGGGGTGGCTGGCCGGGCTGAGGGGCTCCTCACTTCCCAGTAGGGGCGGCCGGGCAGAGGCGCCCCTCACCTCCCGGACGGGGCGGCTGGCCGGGCGGGGGGCTGACCCCCCCACCTCCCTCCCGGACGGCATGGCTGGCCGGGCGGGGGGGCTGACCCCCCACCTCCCTCCCGGATGGGGCGGCTGGCCAGGTGGGGGGCTGACCCCCCCCCCACCTCCCTCCCGGACGGGGTGGCTGCCGGGCGGAGACGCTCCTCACTTCCCAGATGGGGTGGCTGCCGGGCGGAGAGGCTCCTCACTTCTCAGACGGGGCAGCTGCCGGGCGGAGGGGCTCCTCACTTCTCAGACGGGGTGGTTGCCAGGCAGAGGGTCTCCTCACTTCTCAGACGGGGCGGCCGGGCAGAGACGCTCCTCACCTCCCAGACGGGGTCTCGGCCGGGCAGAGGCGCTCCTCACATCCCAGATGGGGCGGCGGGGCAGAGGCGCTCCCCACATCTCAGACGATGGGCGGCCGGGCAGAGACGCTCCTCACTTCCTAGATGTGATGGCGGCTGGGAAGAGGCGCTCCTCACTTCCTAGATGGGATGGCGGCCGGGCGGAGACGCTCCTCACTTTCCAGACTGGGCAGCCAGGCAGAGGGGCTCCTCACATCCCAGACGATGGGCGGCCAGGCAGAGACACTCCTCACTTCCCAGACGGGGTGGCAGCCGGGCAGAGGCTGCAATCTCGGCACTTTGGGAGGCCAAGGCAGGCGGCTGCTCCTTGCCCTCGGGCCCCGCGGGGCCCGTCCGCTCCTCCAGCCGCTGCCTCCCGGGCGGCGCTCGCCGGCGCGGCGGCAAAGACTGAGACAGCTCCGCTGCCCGCTGAACTCCATCCTCCCGGCGGTCGGGCGGCGGCGGCTGCGGTCGGTCGCGGCAGCGGCTCCGCTTCATATCTGCAGCTGGGGCCCGCGGGCGTCAGCGCCGCGACTGTCCCGGCTCCGCACTGCCCCGGGCCGCAGCGCAGCCGCGCCAACCACCAGCCGCGGCCACCATGGCCGGACGGGCTCCCTAAGCCACCGACCCCAGCCCGCGGCGCCTTCGACCCTTCTGGGGCCTCCGGCGCCGCGACCTCCTCTGCCTGAAATTTCTTTTTTCTTTTCCTTTTATTTTATTTTATTTTTTGAGACGGAGTCTTGCTCTGTTGTCTGGGTGGAGTGCAGTGGTGCAATCTCGGCTCACTGCAACCTCTGCCTCCCAGGTTGAAGCGATTCGCCTACTTCTTAATGGGGTTGTTTGCTTTTTTCTTGTTGATGTGTTTAAGTTGCTTATAGATTCTGAATATAAGTCTTTTGTTGGATGCATAGTTTGCAAATGTTTTCTCTCATTCTGTAGGTTGTCTGTTTACCGTATTGATAGTTTATTTTACTATTAGTTTTTAGTTTAATTAGGTCCCTATTGTCAATTTTTGTTTTTGTTGTATTTGCTTTTGAGGACTTAGTCATAAATTATTTGCCAAGGCCCATGTCCAGTAGTAGAGTATTTCAAAGGTTTTATTCTAGGATTCTTATAGGTTGAGGTCTTACATTTAAATCTTTAATCTACCTTGAGTTTATTTTTGTATATGGTGAAAGGTAGGGATCTAGTTTCAATCTTCTGCATATGGCTAGCCAGCTATTCCGGCACTATTTATTGAATAGGGAGTCCTTTCCCCATTGCTGATTTTTGTCAACTTTGCCAAAGATCAGAAGGCTGTAGGGTTATGGCTTTATTTCTGGGTTCTCTATTCTGTTCCATTGGTCCATGTGTCTGTTTTTGTACCAGTACCATGCTATTTTGATTACTGTAGCCTTATAGTTTGAAGTTGGGTAACGTGATGCCTCTGGCTTTGTTCTTTTTGCTTAGTATAGCTTTGGCTAGCCAGGCTTTTTTTTTTTTTTTTTTTTTTTAGTTGTATATGAATTTTAGAATACTATTTTCTAATTCTGTGAGGAATGATATTGGTAATTTGATGGGAATTGTCTTGAATCTGTGGATTGCTTTGGACAGCATGGACATTTTGATGACATTGATTCTTCCAGTCCATGAGCATAGAATGTTTTCCCATTTGTCTGTATCATCTATGATTTCTTTCACCAATGTTTTGTAGCTCTCCTTGTAGAGGTCTTTCACCTTCTTGGTTAGATGTATTCCTAGGTATTTTTTTTGTATTCCACTGACAAATATATATATTTTTTGGAATTGTGTTTGCTTTATAACACGTTAATATATGTTAAAGTATGTTTACCTTTCAATTTTCCTCTTTTTCAAGATATTTGTGTCTCTTCACAGTGATTTATTTTTTATAAAAATTCTAAACTAATTTTATCGAGTTACAAAATATACCAGATTGTGATTACAGTAAATTATTGCTGGTTTTGGATTAAATTTACATATTCATTATTACTAGAAGAATTGCACTTTAAAAATAATGTTGTTTCATTCAGAGGCAAGATATATTTTCCTAAGTGTTCAAGTGTTCCTATTATTTAATTTTCCTTATCTAAGTTCTGTGTTTTTCTTATATAATATATTCCCAGGTATCTTTTTCATTTTTGTTGCTATTATTAATTAATATTTATTTTTCAGTTTGGATCTTCAACTCATTGCTAATATAAATAAAATCTGTTTTTGTGATTGTTTTCTTTTATCTGGCTTCTTTGCTAATTTTTTAATACAGTTGTTGTATTAGTCTGTTTTTATGCTGCTTATAAAGACATACCTGAGACTGGGAAGAAAAAAAGGTTTAATGGACTTACAGTTCCACATGGCTGGGGACGCCTCACAATCATGACAGAGGGCAAGGAGGAGCAAGTCACATCTTACATGGATGGCAGCAGACAAAGAAGGAGAAAGAGCTTGTGCAGGGGAACTCCTATTTATAAAACCGTCAGATCTCATGAGACTTATTCACTATTAGGAGAACAGCAGAGAAAGACCCACCCCCATGGTTCAATTACCTCCCACTGGGTCCCTCCCATGACACAGGGAATTGTGGGAGTTACAATTCAAGATGAGATTTGGGTGGGGACACAGCCAAACTGTATCAGTTGTATTAGCCCATTTTCACCTGCTATAAAGAACTGTCTGAGACTGGGTAATTTATAAAGGAAAGAAGTTTAATTAACTCACAGTTCCACATGGCTGGGGAGACCTCAGGAAACTTACAATCATGACAGGAGGCAAAGGAGAAACAAGTACCCTTTTCACAAGGTAGCAGGAGAGAGAGATAGAGCAAGAGAGTGAGGAAGTGCCACACTTTAAAACAATCAGCTCTCCTGAGAATTCACTCACTGTCATGAGAACAGCATGGGGGAAATGACCCCCATGATCTAATCACCTCCCACCAGGTCCCTCCCTTGACATGTAGGGATTACAAATCTCTTCATTCGAAATGAGATTTGGGTAGGGACACAGAGCCAAACCATATTAATTCTTCTAAGTATTCTGGGCATAAAATCATATTTTAGGTATGTAGAAGTAACTGTCCCCTCTTCTTCAATAGTTGTATTGGTTATTTCGTTTTTCTTACTGCATTTTCTAGTGCCTCCCAAATGATGTTGAATTATAGTGGTATTAGTAGATATCTTTTCCTTAGTTGTGATTTTTTTGTGGGAATTATCCCAATGTTTATTTCATATGCCACAGTTTTTTGTAAGTAGCTTTGATCATATTTAGGTAGTTTTCTTCTATTTCCATTTCACATAGAGTTAACAAAAATCCAGGAATTGAGGGAATGAGATAAGAAGAATTTCTTATGGCTATAAGCAAAGGCAAAGGATCCCATAAATGAAAGAGCTTGATGAAAATAAAAGAGAGAAATTATTTAGCAAGGTTACAGATGAGGAAAGACCATCCTGCGAAAGTGGTAGAATCCCTTCCCTGGCAAAGCAAAAGGGAAGGAAAGAAAGAAGCTTAAAAATCCAGAAAAATCCTGACTTGGGGAAGAGGGATGTTTTCTTTATGTGTGAATTCCTCATGCTCTTTTATGAAAGACACTGGGTAGAAACTAAAATGGACAGGAAAGTTAGGGTTATCTTAGGTTTGATAATGGCAAGTGTGATGACAGAGATGTGCCAGAAGATTATACAACTCAAAACAGTGAGCCAGGCTGGACCACAGGGAAGCTCGGAGGAAAGAAGCAAAAGTGCAGGTTCCTTGAGAATGACCTTGAGGAGGTGGATGGAAGTAAAGAGGCTGTGGTCTGAGGATTGAAGTCAAGGTTTTATGTGAAGCTGAGTGCCCTATGTGCCAGAGGGAGACTTAATAATTTAGTAGGGTAATGGTAAATGGAATTAAATTCAAAGGACTCCAATGAATGCATTTTTTTTTGAGACAGAGTTTCACTCTGTGTCACCCAGTTTGAGTGCAGTGGTGTGATCATAGCTCACTGCAGCCTCAACCTCCCAGGCTCAAATGATCCTCCCACCTCAGCCTCCCAAGTAGCAGGGACTACAGGAGTGCACCATCATGCCTGGCTAATTTTATATTTTTTGTAGAGACAGGGTCTTGCTATGTTGTCCCAGCTGGTCTCAAACTCTTGAACTCAAGTGATCCTCTTGCCTCAGACTCCCAAAATGCTTGGATTACAGGCATAAGCAACTATGCCCAGCCAAAGGCAAGAGTTTTTTAAGAACCATTAATATGGAGGTTAAAGCAAATCTTAATTGATGGTAGGGGTTTCAAATAGAAAGAACAAAATTAAGTCAGGGGCTGAGTCACAGAGGAAGCTGGGATCTGAAGATGACATTGGTGAGCATGAAGACAGGTAGTTGTACTGGATGATAAGTTTAGGTAACACCAAAGGTGGTCTTGGCTCAGGTGGGGAGGAGGAAGGAGTACTTTGGGAATATTGTGGATTAGGATGAGAATCCAATGGGATGATAAAGGCATAGGTAGCTAGTAGGGCATAGCTGAGCAAAAGAGGGATGAGTGTTTAGGAATCTGCTGATGGGAGAGGAAGGTGAGGATAAGAAGAAAAAGGAAGTAAAAAATCAGTGATTAATTTGGGGTCACATATTATTTGTACTGGACAGAGTTTGGTGATCATGCTGTATCAATGATGTGTAGAACTCCTAGCTCCAAAGATTGAATTAGAAGTTTATGGCAGGGGCTTTCTGAAACTTTGTTTTATGGTAGGCCTAGTGGGTTAAAAGATTCTTTTGCTGATCTTCTTGTGTGTCTGTGTAAGTGTGTGCCTGTTCTTGTTACCAGATTTAGCAAGATCACCCAGCTAAATCAAAATGTCAAAAAACAAAGAATAATTTTTTTTTTAGTATAAGTATGCCCCACGCAATGGAGCATATTTCACAGGACATACTTCACTTTTTTGTTATTTATCCAAATTCAAATTTAACTTGTTTGTGTGTCTGTGTGTCTATGGGAGCAGGTATCAGGGATATGAGCTGATGAGTTATTCCTTCAAACTTAATTTTTTTAAAAGAGCATCTCAGAGTAAGTCATGAGAAATAGTATCACTCTGTTTCCCAATCATTCTAATTTTAAAAAGCAGGGGAATTTACACTTACAGGGATTCTTTTAGGTTTTTAAAAATATTTCCATAGCTTAAGATAGACATGTTTGTTCCCATTCTGTATTCTCTTTGCCTTCAGCAAGCACCTTAGCAGGTCGTGTTTTTTTTTTTTTTTTTTTTTTTTTTTCCTGGTGGAGTGACCCAAACTTTCATTCCTGGGGGTCTGGGCCATTTGTAGTCCTGCCTCAGTTGGGCTGTTGTAGTTTCCCATTGACCTTATTCACAGGGTATGGTAATACTAAGAGACACCTTAATGGATTGCCTGTATTCCATGCATACTCTTCCCTACCTCTGTTGTGGAGTAATAGACTGATTTTGTCTTGATTGTCTGGGTCAATCACCCCAGCCAACACTATAACTCCCTCCTTAGCCTGTTGACTTAAAGGTAGGAGGAGCCCAAACTATCCAGGTGGCAATCTTAACTTCCAGTTCAATGGAATCGTTGTGTCCCCTGGTGGCAGCGTTCCTCCCTCTGGAACTAAAACCTCTAGACCAGCAGAAGGTAATGTCGTGGGAACATTTTGCTAGTGGAAGGAAAAATTTTGCTAATGGATCACTAGGGGTGATGGTGAGTGGTGCCACTTCCACTTCCACACTTGATTCCTGAACCTGTGAATCCTGGCTATGGGAGAAACAGTATCATATATTGGACGCTGATTCAGAACATACATGGCCCTCTAGAGAACTTTGCTCCAGCCCTGCAAAGTATTGTCACCTAGTTGGCATTGTAATTGTGACTTCAAAAGGGCATTCTACTCTTCTATCAATCCAGCTGTTTCGGGATGATGGGGACCATGGTAAGACCAGTGAATCCCATGAGCAGGAGCTCACTGCCGCATTTCTTTAGCCATAAAATGAGTGCCTTTGTCAGAGGCAATGCTGTGTGGAATACCATGACAGTGGATAAGGCATTCCATGAGTCCACAGACGGTGGTCTTGGCAGAAGCATTGCGTGCAGAATAGGCAAACCCATATCCGGAGTAAGTGTCTATTCCAGTGAGGACAAATCTCTGCCCTTTCCATGATGGAAGAGGTCCAATATAATCAACCTGCCACCAGGTAGCTGGCTGACCACCCTGTGGAATGGTGCCATATCAAAGGCTCAGTGTTGGTTTCTGCTGCTGGCAAACTGGGCACTCAGCAGTGGCCATAGCCAGGTCACCCTTGGTGAGTGGAAGTCCATGTTGCTGAGCCCATGCATAACCTCCATCCCTGCCACCATGGCCTTTTGGTTCACGGGCCCACTGGGCAATGACAGGAGTGGCTGGGGAAAGAGGCTGCGTAGTGACCGCAAAATGGGTCATCTTATCCACTTGATTATTGAAATCCTCCTCTGCTGAGGTCACGCATTGGTGAGCACTCACATGGGATACAAATATTGTCAGTTTTTGATAACTCAGAGAGGTCCATCCACATACCTCTTCTCCAAATTTCTTTGCCACCAATTTTCCAATCATACTTCTTCCAAGTCCCTGAGCATCCAGCCAAACCATTGGTTACCACCCATGAATCAGTATATAATCGCACATCAGGCAATTTCTCCTTCCATTCAAAGTGCACAAACTGGTGCACTGCTCGAGGTTCTGCCCACTGGGAAGATTTCCCTTCACCGCTGTCCTTCAGGAATGTCCTAAAAAGGGGCTGTAGTGCTGCAGCTGTCCACTTTCAGATGGTGCCTGCATATCGTGCAGAACTATCTGTGAACCAGGCCCTAGTCTTCCCTTCCTGTTAACTGATCATAGGAAACTCCCCATGAGGCCATTGGTGCAGGTTGGGGAAGAGAAGGCAGGGTGGAAGGAGTGGAGACCATGGGCATTTGAGACATTTCCTTGTGTAACTTACTTGTGCCTTCAGGATATGCTCAAGCCCGATCGCCTATATACCACTTCCATTTGATGATGGAATGCATGACCCACTTTATGGCTAGATGGGTCAGAAAGCACCTAGTTGATGATAGGCAGTTCAGGTCACATGGTGACTTGATGACCCATAGTCAAACGTTCAGTTTCAACCAAAGCCCAGTAACAAGCCAAGAGCTGTCTCTCAAAAGGAGTGTAGTTATCTGCAGAAGATGGCAGGGTCTTGCTCCAAAATCCTAGAGGTCTCTGCTGTGATTCCTCTATGGGGGCCTGCCTAAGGCTCCAAAGAGCATCCCTATATGCCACTGACACCTCAAGCACCATTGGATCTACTGGGTCATATGGCCCAAGTGGCAGAGCAGTTTGCACAGCAGCCTGGACCTGTTGCAGAGTCTTCTTCTGTTCTGGACCCCACTCAAAACTGGCCGCCTTTCAGGTCATTTGATAAATGGGCCAGAGTAACACACCCAAATGAGGAATGTGTTGTCTCCAAAATCCAAAAAGACCCACTAGGCATTGTGCCTTTTTCTTAGTTGTAGGAAGGGCCAAAGGCAGCAACTTATTCTTCACCTTAAAAGGAATATCTCAACAGGTCCTACACCACTGGACCCCTGGAAATTTTACTGAGGAAGAAGCTCCTTGAATTTTAATCAGATTTATTTTCCAACCCCTGACACACAAATGTCTCACCAATAGGTCCAGTGTGTTTGCTACTTCTTGCTCACTGGATCCAATCAGCATAATGTCATCAATGTAATGGACCAGTGTGACTTCTTGCAGAAGTGAAAAGCGATCAGGTTCTCTCTGAATGAGATTATAACACAAAGCAGGAGAGATGATATATCCCTGACGTAGAACAGTAAAGGTATATTGCTGGCCTTGCCAGCTGAAGGCAAATTGCTTCTGGTGGGCCTTATGGACAGGAATGGAGAAAAAAGACATTTGGCAAGTCAACAGGTGCATACCAGTACCAGGAAATGTGTTAATTTGCTCAAGCAATGAAACCACATCTGGTACAGCAGCTGCAATTAGAGTCACCACTTGTTTAAGTTTATGATAAACCACTATCATTCTCCAAGATCGATCTGTCTTCTGCACTGGCCAAATGGGAGAGTTGAACAGGGATGTGGTAGGAATCACCACCCCTGCATCTTTCAAGTCCTTGATGGTGGCACTAATCTCAGAAATCCCTCCAGGGATGTAATATTGTATTTTATTTACTATTTTTCTAGGTAGAGACAGCTCTAATGGCTTCCACTTGGCCTTTCTCACCATAATAGCCCTCACCCTACCAGTCAGGGAGCCAATGTCAGGTTTCTACCAGCTGCTAAGTATCTCTAAGCCAATTATGCGTTTTGGCACTAGGGAAATGACCACAGGATGAGTCCGGGGACTCACTGGACCCACTGTAAGTCATACCTGAGCTAAAACTCCATTAATTACCTGACCACCATAAGCCCCTACTTTAACTGGTGGACCACAGTGACATTTTAGGTCCCCTGGAATCAATGTTAGCTCAGAGCCAGTGTACAGTAGTCCCCAAAATGTCTGATCATTTCCTTTTTCTCTGTGCACAATTACCCTAGTAAAAGGCGAGAGGTCTCCTTGGGAAAGGATGGGAGAAACATTCACTGCATAAATTGTTGGTAATATAGTGGGGTCCTTCCTCAAGGGGACCTGGTCTCTCCTTCATTCCAGGGGTTCTGGGTCTGTAAAGTGGCTGTAGTGCTGCAGCTGTCCACTTTCAGATGGTGCCTGCATATCGTGCAGAACCATCTGTGAACTAGGCCCTAGTCTTCCCTTCCTCTGTCAACTGATCATAGGAAACTCCCCATGAGGCCATTGGTGCAGGCTAGGAAGAGAAACCAGGGTGGCAGGAATGGTTCAAGTCTGGAAGTTGGTTGAGGCGCCACGACTCTCTGTTTTTATAATTCAAATTAGTCTTTTGTCCATTCTACCTAGAAGTTTTCTGCTTGTGTAAACTAAGTAGGAATGCAGTAAGCTTCTGTCAATTTCACTTTTTGGGAACACCATTATTAATTAGCCAATGCCAGAGCTTTACACGTGTCAAACTATTCTGATTGCCTCTTTGCCTCTGCTGTCCATTACGGTAGTTACGCCTACCTTGCATTTGATGGTTGAGTTCTGCCACTTGGTTCCTCCCACCTTGGGATCCAATTATTCCCGTTGTATTTCAATTTTATAGTTGAGTGACTGCAGTTCCCACTGTTAGATCTGGCATACAGAGAAGAGCAATTACATATTCTCTTCAAAGATGCTGGTGCTGCCCTCACAAATCTATTTGACAAGGCATTGGTCAAGGGTATATCTTCTGGACCCTCCCAGCTGGGATGAGTAGGTCTAAAGTGACTAATCCACTCCACCATCCCAGTCTCCCTAAGCCTTTGGATCCCTTCCTCTACATTAAACCAAGAGAGATCAGGCATTTCCAGCTCACTCACAGTGGACCGTCTTTTAATCCATATTTCAGCTAACCAAGCAAATAAACTATTAGAACCTTTTTTAACTCCCCAAGCTGCAACATTAAATGCAGAATACCTACTTAGAGGGCCCAAATCAATAAATTCAGCCTAATCCAACTCTTATGTTCCTTCCACCATTATCCCACAACTTAATATCCATTCCCATGCTTGTTCTCCAGATTTCTGTTTATATAAATTAGAAAAGTCAAGCAGTTCTTTTTGAATGTAGCATACCTCCTCAAGGGTCATGCTCTCAACTTCACCTCTAGGGGCCCACTGGGACTTTAGTTATAGGTCTAGAAGCAAACCGGGGTGTTGCGGGTGTCTCATGAGGAGAAACAACATTATCTTGCCTGGCAACTGCCTCACAGGAGGCCATTACTGTGCCTCAGGCAGCACAGGGTTTATCTCCTCAGACAAAGGTGGAAATGCTGAGGGCAGCATGGGTTCAGGAGTGATGTTGCCACTACTGGGGTTGGGGAAGCTGTTTCTTCTGGCAAAAAAGGTTCATCGGAGTTTACAAACTCAGTGTCCCCAGCTTCATCAGGGTCCTCTGACACATCCTCATTCCAAGTTACAGGGTCCCATTCTTTTCCAATCAATGCCCTCACTTTAACAGTGGACACCTGGCGAGGCTGTGCGTGCACCTTTTGTTGCAGGTCAGACACTTGCATGATAAGAGCCGGTGTCTGTTTTCCCCTGATTTCAGCTCTTTCTCTACAGGAGATAAGACTCTCACTCAGGGCAATCTTAGCAGATTTGAGGCTCAGTATCTGCTTCTGAAGCCTGGAGATAGAATCCCTGAGTTCATCATTTTCTTTCGTCACTTTGTCCACTGAACTTAGGAGCAACCAACCAGCTTCATTATGTTCGTTGGTTCTCATATGGTCAAAGGTATTATATATAGAGTCACTAAACTCCTTGTCTCTCATGAGCGATGAATCAGGATTATCAAATGCATTTATTTTGCATAACTCTCTAAACAGTTCATGCCAAGGACTATCAACGTTCTTCATATTATTAGAAGTAGAGTCCTTAGCATTTTTTTGGTCTAATCATATTAAGCAGCCAACTCCAGAAACCCCAAAACCCACAAGAAAAACTCTATCCTTAATATTCTGTTTCTTTTTTTTTTTTTTTTGACAGTTTATATTTTAATCACTCAAACTTCTACATATATATTTATGTAAAGAACATAGACAAAAAATGTTCCATTTTTATTTCAATTTTAAAGGAATTATGGAAAAAGCCTTAATAAAAAAAGACTGAACTTTTGGTTAACTGAAAAAAAGGTAGGAGGAAGGGAATATAAATAACTTGAGATCATAATAAAATTAACATCATTTAAAAATTATCCAAAGGCAGATTTAAAGAAGAAATAGAAATGTTATTGTTAGAACTGGGCCATGGGGGAGGGTAAGGAATGACAGTGGCAATGGGAGATGGAACTCCCAAACACCACCCTGCTTTAAATAGAGTACCTATTCCCATCCCAGTTTGTTAGACAGCCTGGAGCAAAGCTAGGAATAAACAGGATTACTCTGCTTTGCCTAATTTTACAGAGTTTCATTGAAGAGCCAAGAACCACATTTCATCAAATATAAAAAGCCATCCATTGAAAACACATCATTAGTTTAAACGTCATGAAGAAAGAAAAATTAAACTATCATAATCAACCTATGACAAATACTTTCTTATCATTCATTATAAGACAATCTTCATTTCAAAGATGTTAAATGTGAACAAATGAGTATAATATAATCAATGAAATATTACACAATCCAATTCTCAGATTTTAACCTTAGTATACAAGTCTATTCTGGATGAGTAAAAATCTGATTCTATGACTAGGCATAAATTAAGGCTGGAAAAGTTGAATTGGTAATCTACTTTTAAGGCATAATATAACTGGAAAGAAATAGCAAATTGTTATAGAAAGCTCATGGGTTTTTTAATTGAGTTTTTTTTTTTAATTTTTTTTTTTATTATACTTTAAGTTTTAGGGTACATGTGCACATTGTGCAGGTTAGTTACATATATATACATGTGCCATGCTGGTGCGCTGCACCCACTAACGTGTCATCTATCATTAGGTATATCTCCCAATGCTATCCCTCCCCACTCCCCCGACCCCACCACAGTCCCCAGAGTGTGATATTCCCCTTCCTGTGTCCATGTGATCTCATTGTTCAATTCCCACCTATGAGTGAGAATATGCGGTGTTTGGTTTTTTGTTCTTGCGATAGTTTACTGAGAATGATGGTTTCCAATTTCATCCATGTCCCTACAAAGGACATGAACTCATCATTTTTTATGGCTGCATAGTATTCCATGGTGTATATGTGCCACATTTTCTTAATCCAGTCTATCATTGTTGGACATTTGGGTTGGTTCCAAGTCTTTGCTATTGTGAATAATGCCGCAATAAACATACGTGTGCATGTGTCTTTATAGCAGCATGATTTATACTCATTTGGGTATATACCCAGTAATGGGATGGCTGGGTCAAATGGTATTTCTAGTTCTAGATCCCTGAGGAATCGCCACACTGACTTCCACAATGGTTGAACTAGTTTACAGTCCCACCAACAGTGTAAAAGTGTTCCTATTTCTCCACATCCTCTCCAGCACCTGTTGTTTCCTGACTTTTTAATGATTGCCATTCTAACTGGTGTGAGATGATATCTCATAGTGGTTTTGATTTGCATTTCTCTGATGGCCAGTGATGATGAGCATTTTTTCATGTGTTTTTTGGCTGCATAAATGTCTTCTTTTGAGAAGTGTCTGTTCATGTCCTTCGCCCACTTTTTGATGGGGTTGTTTGTTTTTTTCTTGTAAATTTGTTTGAGTTCATTGTAGATTCTGGATATTAGCCCTTTGTCAGATGAGTAGGTTGCGAAAATTTTCTCCCATTTTGTCAGTTGCCTGTTCACTCTGATGGTAGTTTCTTTTGCTGTGCAGAAGCTCTTTAGTTTAATTAGATCCCATTTGTCAATTTTGGCTTTTCTTGCCATTGCTTTTGGTGTTTTGGACATGAAGTCCTTGCCCACGCCTATGTCCTGAATGGTAATGCCTAGGTTTTCTTCTAGGGTTTTTATGGTTTTAGGTCTAACGTTTAAATCTTTAATCCATCTTGAATTGATTTTTGTATAAGGTGTAAGGAAGGGATCCAGTTTCAGCTTTCTACATATGGCTAGCCAGTTTTCCCAGCACCATTTATTAAATAGGGAATCCTTTCCCCATTGCTTGCTTTTCTCAAGTTTGTCAAAGATCAGATAGTTGTAGATATGCGGCGTTATTTCTGAGGGCTCTGTTCTGTTCCATTGATCTATATCTCTGTTTTGGTACCAGTACCATGCTGTTTTGGTTACTGTAGCCTTGTAGTATAGTTTGAAGTCAGGTAGTGTGATGCCTCCAGCTTTGTTCTTTTGGCTTAGGATTGACTTGGCGATGCAGGCTCTTTTTTGGTTCCATATGAACTTTAAAGTAGTTTTTTCCAATTCTGTGAAGAAAGGCATTGGTAGCTTGATGGGGATGGCATTGAATCTGTAAATTACCTTGGGCAGTATGGCCATTTTCACGATATTGATTCTTCCTACCCATGAGCATGGAATGTTCTTCCATTTGTTTGTGTCCTCTTTTATTTCCTTGAGCAGTGTTTTGTAGTTCTCCTTGAAGAGGTCCTTCACATCCCTTGTAAGTTGGATTCCTAGGTATTTTATTCTCTTTGAAGCAATTGTGAATGGGAGTTCACTCATGATTTGGCTCTTTGTTTGTCTGTTGTTGGTGTATAAGAATGCTTGTGATTTTTGTACATTGATTTTGTATCCTGAGACTTTGCTGAAGTTGCTTATCAGCTTAAGGAGATTTTGGGCTGAGACGATGGGGTTTTCTAGATAAACAATCATGTCGTCTGCAAAGAGGGACAATTTGACTTCCTCTTTTCCTAATTGAATACCCTTTATTTCCTTCTCCTGCCTGATTGCCCTGGCCAGAACTTCCAACACTATGTTGAATAGGAGCGGTGAGAGAGGGCATCCCTGTCTTGTGCCAGTTTTCAAAGGGAATGCTTCCAGTTTTTGCCCATTCAGTATGATATTGGCTGTGGGTTTGTCATAGATAGCTCTTATTATTTTGAAATACGTCCCATCAATACCTAATTTATTGAGAGTTTTTAGCATGAAGGGTTGTTGAATTTTGTCAAAGGCTTTTTCTGCATCTATTGAGATAATCATGTGGTTTTTGTCTTTGGCTCTGTTTATATGCTGGATTACATTTATTGATTTGCGTATATTGAACCAGCCTTGCATCCCAGGGATGAAGCCCACTTGATCATGGTGGATAAGCTTTTTGATGTGCTGCTGGATTCGGTTTGCCAGTATTTTATTGAGGATTTTTGCATCAATGTTCATCAAGGATATTGGTCTACAATTCTCTTTTTTGGTTGTGTCTCTGCCCGGCTTTGGTATCAGAATGATGCTGGCCTCATAAAATGAGTTAGGGAGGATTCCCTCTTTTTCTATTAATTGGAATAGTTTCAGAAGGAATGGTACCAGTTCCTCCTTGTACCTCTGGTAGAATTCGGCTGTGAATCCATCTGGTCCTGGACTCTTTTTGGTTGGTAAACTATTGATTATTGCCACAATTTCAGAGCCTGTTATTGGTCTATTCAGAGATTCAACTTCTTCCTGGTTTAGTCTTGGGAGAGTGTATGTGTCGAGGAATGTATCCATTTCTTCTAGATTTTCTAGTTTGTTTGCATAGAGGTGTTTGTAGTATTCTCTGATGGTAGTTTGTATTTCTGTGGGATTGGTGGTGATATCCCCTTTATCATTTTTTATTGCGTCTATTTGATTCTTCTCTCTTTTTTTCTTTATTAGTCTTGCTAGCAGTCTATCAATTTTGTTGATCCTTTCAAAAAACCAGCTCCTGGATTCATTGATTTTTTGAAGGGTTTTTTGTGTCTCTATTTCCTTCAGTTCTGCTCTGATTTTAGTTATTTCTTGCCTTCTGCTAGCTTTTGAATGTGTTTGCTCTTGCTTTTCTAGTTCTTTTAATTGTGATGTTAGGGTGTCAATTTTGGATCTTTCCTGCTTTCTCTTGTAGGCATTTAGTGCTATAAATTTCCCTCTACACACTGCTTTGAATGCGTCCCAGAGATTCTGGTATGTGGTGTCTTTGTTCTCGTTGGTTTCAAAGAACATCTTTATTTCTGCCTTCATAATATTCTGTTTCTTTAGAATCAGTCCTGGTACCAAAATCTGTATTAGTCAGGGGTTCTCTAGAGGGATAGATCTAATGGAATATATATATATATATATATAATTCCCTATATATATACACATATAGGGGAGTTTATTAAGTGTTATTAAGTTTATTAAGTATTAGCTCACAACATCCCCAGGTCCCACAATAGGCTATCTGCAGGGTGAGGAGCAAGAAAAGCCAGTCTGAGTTCAAAAGCTGAAGATTGGAGTCCAATGTTTGAGGGCAGGAAGCATCCAGCATGGGAGAAAGATGTAGGCTGGGAGGCTAGACCAGTCTCTCTTTTCACATTTTTCTGCCTGCTTATATTCTAGCCCCACTGGCAGCTGATTAGACTGTGCTCACCCAGATTAAGGGCGGGTTTGCCTTTCCCAGCCCAATGACTCAAATGTTAATCTCCTTTGGCAATACCCTCACAGACACACCTAGGATCAATACTTTGTATCCTTCAATCCAATGAAGTCGACAGTCAGTATCAACCATCACACACTCCAATTGTGTGGGTGGCTGGTTATGTCGAGTATTCCTTAGCGCTGTATTTTGTGATGTTTACGTAGCAGTGCCTGGTAAAGCCCAGTGCATCCTCCATCTTCCTTCTTATGGATGGTCCAGGGATGTTACACTTGCTAGCCCTTACCGGAGACTTTCTGTTACATGATTCTACTTGGTTTTTGTGTCCACCTTCTTTTTGCAGAGGAGCCACTTGGTAACTATATGTGTCCCCACCTCCCCCTCTGCTGGATGCATCTCTACAGAGATCAAAAGCTCTGCTCTGACTCCAGACTCTGGTCGGGGAACTGTAGACACCCAAGCTCAGTCCTCTGTGACTTGGCAACAAGGCTCCTTGCTACTCATTTATTTTCAGCCTCTCCTTAGTGAGTGTGTGGTTCTTTATGTATTCACATACCTTGTGAAATGACACAAAACCTCCCAAGGTAAATTGTATTATTCACTGATTACAGATATGGGGACTAAGACTCAGAAAGGAAAAGACAAAGAAATCAACATTTCCTGTGCATATACTTTGTGCCCAGCACTGTGCCAAGCATTTGAAAAATATAATCTCATTTAATTCTCACCACGTACTTGAAAATTAGATGCTCGAACAGGCAGGAGTCATAGCACATATTTTACAGATGAAGACACAGATTCAGAAAAGTTGAGTAACTTATCCAATCATCTATAGCTAATGAGTAGGGGGAGAAGAATTCAAGTCAGTTCTTTGTAGCTCTGAAGACAATGTTTGTCCCACTCCACAATGGCTCTGCATGGAGGGCAGTTAGATTATCCAGCTTTACCTAGTTGGGAAATGGGGGATATAGGGTTGAACTTAGGTAAGTCTGAATCCAAAGCCCACTAAAAATAGCATTTAATGGAGCTGATTAGACCATTCACAGAACATTGATGTCTATGGCAGGTCCAAAGAAACATCACAGCTGTCATCATAAATAAATTCTCATAACTTGTGTGTATGTGTATGTGATTTTGGGAACGAACTTAGCAGGTTGCCTTCAGAAAGATGCTAAGAGACCTTGAAGTGCGATCTACTTGCTCCTTCCCCAGTGCTTGGTTCTTGAAGTCCATTAAGTAAGCCTGGGCATTTGAATATAACTACTTTAGTCATATATCTATGGGAATTATGCTGATGCCATCCTTCTAATGATAGAAGTCATGCAACTAAAGCACAGAGAAAATCCTACCGGATTTCATAAGAAGCAGAACTCATTGTCGAGATATACAGAGATCACATCAGATGCTTTTTTTTTAGAGGATGGGGTATGGGACAGATGTGAGTCATTTTATGGTAGACACTTGGCTTCTAGTTTGAGCTTTGGGACTAGCACACTGGGGGACATTGGGGAAACTGCTTAACTTTTCTGGGTGATTTGTTTCTTCATCTGGATGGAGACCAGGGAAACCATCTATCTAAGTTAATATACCTCCAGCATTCTGTGATATTATGACAGTGATATTTTCTGCATTCTGCTCTTCTCTGTTAAGAAGCAAAGTCATGTGTAGTGGACCTAGGGTGATGATGGGATTCCTACAGAAAGCAGGCCGGGGTAGTCACGGGAAAAATGGTATAGCAGACAAGGTTGACCTTGGAGAGTCTTCCTTCTCTTATCTCAAGTCCCCAACAGCAGCATGAATTTTGCCTTTGGAGACAGCTTTCCACCTACAGAATTTCCAGTGGGCCCTTACTTGCTTCTTATGCTCTCTCCAAACCCATCTGTTCTGAGCCTCATCCAGTGCCTCACACAGAAGCAGTATAAACAATAAGTATAGTCCTGGGCTAAGACTACTTTGGTTTATATCTTGGCCCTATCGTCTCTCAGTTGTATGGTACTGGGGAAACTGCGTCCCATTTCTCTACTCCTGCTTTTATTTGTAAAATTGGGAGATGATGGTGTTTACCTCATAAGCATGTTGTATGCATCAAATGCATTAATATACAAACTTAGCACAGTTCCTGACACATGTAAATGGTCAATATATATTAAATAAAATATAGAATTAGGACTCTTTGAGGTGACTAATGTAACCTGTTAATTAGCACTAATGTACTCATGAATGTCTGTGGCTCTACATTTTTCCTAACCCTGAACACAGATGTGCATTTTCCCATTTTTATATTAAAGAAATGAATGGTTTCCCGGGAGTTCCCAGCACCATGGCTTACGACTGAGGCAGATGTTTTGGGTGGGCATCCGTTCTGCAGGCCTCAAATCACACCCCAGAAGTCCCCTTTGCATCCCAAGCTGGCCCTCTGCATGGGCAGTTTGACAACCCTGGGAAGTCAGCACCCCTGACAAGAGTGATTAAGAATTACTACAAGAACCACCACAGCCACATCTTATCACATGCTTTAAATGTTGTTGGGGTGGCAACTAGATGTGTTTTCACGCACACCTTACTAGTGTCCTTTTTGGGCCCCTGAGGGAGATATGAAAGCACAGAAGGGCATCTATAATACAAGAATTTCCCTCTGCATCAGTCTTTAATAGAGTGTCTGTTGATCTCTACACTGCATTTTATGCTTCTATTGACCTGAAATGATGGGTAAAACTAAGGCTTTGGATTGGTGTACTTTTTTGTTTTGAAGTAATATTCTACATATCAGAAGCTGATTATATAACTGTTCAAAGAAACTGCTGTCCAAGTGTTGCATGGAAAACCTGGATTTCTTTTTCAACTGTCATCTACTTCCTTTTAATGAAATTGTAGGATAATGTTCTTTTTCTGGTTAGACTCAGACAATCATAGGGAATGAAAACAACAACAAAAAAATCAATCTTTTACCAGTGTCCTGCTTTGTCCCCTTTAGTGGGTCTGACAGTCAGGAATTTGTAAAACGTTTGGCATTATGTGTGCAAGAATTTTTTCACATGACAGGCATTTTCTACTGAGTCCACTCGGCATCTTTAAACATCACTATTGAGCCAGTGCCAAGTGCCAGTGTAATTAGTCAAACTCAGGCATCTGAATGGTTTGGTTCAATAACCCACAAGGCTTTTATTATAAAACTCCAGCCTGGTCAAGAATTGGTTTCAAAAGAAATCATGTACTTGATTAACTAGGATTTTTTTTAAAATAAAGAAGTTACAGTAAATATTTTAGAAAGCAAAACAAGAGGCAGACACATGGAACATTTCTGTCTGGACCAGAGTAAGATTCAGAATCCAGAGTATAGCTCAGAAAGCCAATATCTTACTGAATTTACCAAGAACAGCTGCACTGTGTAGCAGATTTGGACTAATAATGAGAGCTATCTGGTATTGCTTTTCCTTGTAAGATTGGTATATTTGTATTCTGCTCTTATCAAGGGCAGAGTGTCCTGGCTAATAAAGATTGTTTTTTGTATCAAATGAGTAACTAGAATAATCTCTAAGAACCTCCAGTGAGTTACTGACCACGCACATGGCCACATGTCTTCTATAGGAAAAAGCTCCTTCCGCTATTTACACATATTCATGAAATATTTCTCCATTCTATTTTCTCTGACTTTTTTCTGCATCTTTTATTTACTTACAATAAGAAACATGTCTTTCATTTAAGGAACAATTAAACAACATTAGGCAAAAAAAAAAAAAAAAGCACAAGGTAAGATATCTGTGTGTGAAAGAGACATTAAAATATCAACTTCAAACAGCATGGGGGAGAAAACAGTATGTTTCCCATTTCTTTTCCAAAACAAAGGAAGTAAGAAATTCTTTCATGGTTTTTGTTTGTTTTTCAAATCACACTGTCCTCAACTTTTAAAATAATAATCTTCCTTGACAGTCATTTAATAATTGTGAGTGATCTATGACTTTATTATAAAGTACTCATCTAATGATCTATTTCCTTTACCCCAGGGGCCAAGTACAAAGCTAGAGAATTATCTTGGTGATACTTTTAATAACTTCCTGTGGGATTGCAAGCTCTAACTGCAGCAGACTCTGCAAAGGAGTTAATCATGTAATTTCACAGATTAGACACCACAGGGTTACTAATGAGAAACTTCGGTTTAGTGATAAACTTTTTTTTTCCAGGAATATTTTGAGAGGCCTGTAACCTTTGGCTGACACCCAGCAAGGCTATTAGTTTAACCATGGGATGCACTACCAAATGCACGAGAGTCAGCAGAACTTCTTTTCTGGAAAGTTGACTGTAAGAATAGTTTTGTTAAAGAGACTTCAGAAACAGATGGGATGGACAAAAGGGAGAAAAAAAAAAGGCAAGCATAAAAAAAAAAACTTATCAACTTCCGTTGGTTGGCATAACTTCAGCTTCCAGTGTCTTTTCAACCATATGCTCATGATGGAAACCGCAGTTCACATTTAAATGTCATGCTGCCCTCTGTTCCATAAACATGTATCATCCATCACTAAATATTTAGATCTGAATTGTTGGAGCTGAGCTCTGTGCCAGGGGTAAGGGGATTAATTCCTTTCAAGGCACTCACATGATGGATTTTCCACTGAAGTAAACATCCGAGAAGAGCTCACACTAAAGCCATAAACTATATAAATAAAGTTTAAAGTTTAATTAAGTTAACATTATTTAAAGTGGTTGTCATATTTTATGGCAAACTTTTCGTGTTTATTTTGTGTGACTCCTAATAAATAGCCCCTCCTAATCAGACAAAAGGCACAGCTAGGTTAAAGTCAAGGGCTCCAAACTTAGGGCCGGAAGAACATGGCTGAGTTGGGGGTAATGCAACATTTTCCCATTAGGCTTTTTTTTTTTTTTTTTTTTTTTTTTTTTTTTCCCGAAAACCAGCATGTTAGCTAGACACTGAGTCAAGATCCTGTACAGGCAGAATGTTTCAAAATCCTTTAAGGATTTATCAATTGGACTGCGGGGAGACAATATAATCATATAGATAAGAACACAGGAAGGCAAATAAAAGTGAAAAACAACTTTCATTTTATTTTACTATTTTTAGTTCTCATAATAATAGAAATCATAAAGATAATAGCTAATTTAAATACGTTCATACTGGCTTATGAGCTTCTTAAAATTATTAATTAATTAATTAATTTTTTAAAGATAAGATCTCCCCTGTCACCCAAGCTGGAGTGCAGTAGCGTGATCATGGCTCACTGTAGCCTCAAACTCCCAGGCTTAAGTGATTCTCCCATCTCAGCCTTCTGAGTAGCTAGGACTATAGGCATGCACAACCATGCCTGGCTAATTTTTTATTTTTTGTAGAGACAGGGTCTTTCCATGTTACCCAGGCTGGTCTCGAACTCCTGGGCTCAAGCTCAAGTGATCCTCCCCACCTGGCCTCCCAAAGCGCTAGGATTACAGGTTGAGCCATGGTGCCTGGCCTTAAAATAATTTTTTTAAAGATAAATCACTTAAATGTACATAACTCCTACTCCTCAAAGGTCAGTATTCTACGGCACCCGATTTTTGTCCATTAATATTAAATAGGGAAGTTGTTAATAATACACTTTCATGTGTGATAAATATGATGTTTAAGGAGAAGGAGCAAGTAAAAACAAGAGGATTTCCTATGGCAAAGAGTCGAAGCACAGTTGCCTCTCAATAAGGACTTTTTCCTTTGCAAGAGCTCCCTCAACATGACATTGAGAGTCCTATTTTTTCCCATAGAAAGAAATCCCTATTCAAAGAAATATTTAAGCTAGAAGAAAATGTTTAGAGTTAGGTAAACCTTTAGCTTAACCCTGACATTTTTTAAGAAGAAAACTGAGGCTGAGAGAAACTAATTGTCCAAGTTCACATAGTTAACTGGTAGCAAAGTAGTCCTAGAACATGTCTCCTAATGCCCATCTTACTGCTTTCCTACCCATAATATTCACCAAATAATGCAGATCTTTGCAGAGGAAGTTCATGGTAGGTATTATTGGCAGGCTTTGAGAAGATAAACTGGCAAAGCTGTGAAGATTGTAATAATATCTTTGATGGTTCTTAGGATACATGTATTTGGAGACTGGATTACTTGGAGTAAGATGCTTAATCATTGTTTCAATTTCTGCAAGTGTAAAATGCAGGTACTATGAAGATTAGAGGTAGCATTTGCAAAGTGCATCCAGCATATACACAGCAGACACCAGTGGCATCAGTGATCATGGGTATCACATCCACACTTTAGAAGCTACATATTAAGGACAAAGTGTCTTTCCAAATTATTAAGTTGCTGCCATGGCTGAGGATTATTTCACTTATTTTGCTAAATTGGGGCTCACATTTATTTTTTGACATTCCACAATCTTCTTTATATACAGAAACAAAAAATCTAAATAAATTTGTTTTTTGGAGTAAAAATATGTGTTATATCAAATGAGAAAATACATGCCATCAAAATGTTTATTATCACTAGGACTAGAGTTTGAAGTTTTAATGAACTGAAAAATTTTTTTAAAACACACTGTTTTGGCCTGGCATGGTGGCTCACGCCTGTAATCCCAGCACTTTGGGAGGCCAAGGCGGATCACGAGGTCAGGAGATGGAGTCCATCCTGGCTAACACGGTGAAACCCCGTCTCTACTAAAAATACAAAAAAAATTAGCCAGGCGTGGTGGCGGGCGCCTGTAGTCCCAGCTACTCGGGAGGCTGAGGCAGGAGAATGGCGTGTACCCGGGAGGCGGAGGTTGCAGTGAGTCGAGATTGCACCACTGCACTCCAGCCTAGGTGACAGAGGGAGACTCTGTCTCAAAAACAAACAAACAAACAAACAAAAAAAAACACCGTTTTAAGCAAAACACAAAGTTCATTTCATTCTTTTCTATTGAGAAAATGTCTCTTCACATGTTTACATTTAGCATATTTAAATGTGGTGATTAATCATACATCAAATGAATTAGGAAATTAACAAACATTCAATTATAATATACGTATATTTTAGGCATTTGGTCAAAGAAGACTAAAAGAAAAAACTTACTGATAACAATATAAAAACTAAAACTATTTCAAGGACCTAAATCACTACATACAAACTCTCTCCTTTTTAAAATTTTATTTAGTTTCTTTCAAGTTCATACATTATTCTGAATGTGAATTTTTAGTTCCATATCACTTCTCTCCATATTTCTACATAGTTCTCTTCATCAAAAGCAGTGAAACTATTGCACTTTTTACATTAATATATCACAGTCTGCTGAATCACTCCTCTGGAGATTACATGTTTCATGAAATAAACATGCGATTAAAGGGAAAAGAAATGAAAGTGAAATTATACTTCTACACTAAAAATTTAAAATTAAGATTATTACAGACATGAAAACATTATGCCAAGGCAGATGATTTTATGAAAACTTGCATGCAAAATGATAACTCTAATTGAATTATTCACTATTTCAACATCTAGTAGATCTATTATGAGATCTATTTGAAGATACATTTAAAATTCACTAAAACAAAAATGGTAAAGCATAACTCTACTCACCTGATGGGCACTATGGTATTTATCTTTTATAAAAATTATTTCGCTGGATAATTCTAATGGTTTAACATTCTTTATTAATTTGCATCTTCTAAAATTATCTTTATTTTTCTGCTGCCTTTGAGTCATATACATTTATAAATAAATACATATACATTTATATCTACAAATAGCTAGACTGAGGAAGTTATCACTATTTGTTACCTTCCTAGGGGTAGAAAAAAAATCAATTCGAATATGGTAATTTGTATGTATTTAGTATTTTCCTTTATTTATTTATTTTTTGGAGACAGGGTCTCACTCAGTTGCCCAGGCTGGAGTGCAGTGGCACAATCATGGCTTACTGCAGCCTTGACTTCCCTAACTCCAGTGAACCTCCCACTTCAGCCTCCCTAGTAGCTGGGACCACAGAGACATACACCACCATGACCGGCTATTTTTTTTCATTTTTATTTATTTATTTTTTCGAGACAGGGTCTGGCTCTGTCACCCAAGCTGGAGTGCAGTGGTGCAACCACAGTTCACCGCAGCCTATATTTACTATTTTCAGTAGATGGATGACCAAACTGTCCATAGGGAAATTTTAATAAGTATGTGAAAAACATAAAAAGCCATCCACAAAACTCTGCTTTCTTTTCCACTGTGCTGCTTACAAAAAAAAAAAGAAACCTTTCCTTGATTCATACCTAACCTCATCCAACTAGGCTTTCAGGAGTGTGGTTTCCGATGCTCATAAATTGGTGACCTAGAAGGCACGCTGAAGTGTGAGTTAATTTCATTAATGTACTCTGAAGGAAAGCGCATGTGCAGCTAGTATTTCCAAACCATTTATTTGTCTAAACAATTCCCCTCACTGAGTTATTTATACATTATGTGGTGGAACTAGAGTGGGTGCGAAAGGTACAGTCAAATGAGAACCTTTCGAGATGTAACTCACAGGTAGTAAATCCTAGGCTTTTATCAAGGACACTCTTCAGTAAGCAGAATATCCATGCAGAAGCAAAGGCTTTCAGAACAGAACAAGTCAGATAATGAAGACTTACACTCTTAAGCCTTAGCTATTCTACAAAACATTTATTACTAATACATCAATTTATTCCACAAATATTTGTTGACTAACTCCTGTGCAGTTAATGAAACCTAATGAATAGTAGACTTTCTGTATCTTCTACCTGGGATGAAAAAGTCTTTTAGGATTCCTTGTGAATCTTATATCAACACACACACACACATACACACACACGCACACACACACACACACACACACAGAGAAGCATATATGCATGCATTTTAAAAATGTGTGTGTAAATGTATATGCATATGTTTGGTCTTAATAGAAGATTCATATTAATTGGTTTTTAAATAAATTATGTATGTATTTTCAATCTAAGTAAACACATATCATTCCATGTATTTTGGCTTTATTGTATCTCATGAGAGAAAAGAGGGATGAATGAGATTAAATTCTTAAAACAATCAATCCATAAATATCACCAACTCTTCAGTTTATCAGTTCTAACTAAAAAATGTGGTTTTCATTTTAGATAAGGGTTGAATGAAAGAGGATAGTAGGAAACGACTTCGCTTTTCTTTAGCTAGAATGCCTCGCAAAGAAAGTTCAAGAGTCTGTAAATTAGTACAAATAAGGCTGTTATTTCATCTACATCACAAAGCCACTGACTTAATAGCTCACTTTCAAGTGTAGACATTATTCATTTCACCTATATTCTATCCAAACTATAAGCCATAACATTTCTAACTCATTAAAATGTAAATATCAGTGGAAAGCCACTATGCTTCCCTGATAAAATAGTTCTTAACTTAGTTGTGTTTTGACATTATTTTCATATTCAGTGTATAACTTCTATGTAACTGTATTATTAATAAACTCATAACCCAGGTGATAACAAAGTCCAAGACCTTTATCTATGTAGCATGCTGAAATCTTGGCATTGTCATAGGGCTACATATTGTTTAAATATAAAACTAGCAAGTATGCTTTGGTAAGGAACAGGTTGGGAATATGAAGGTGGAAACTGTCCTTTAAGGATCTTGAAACAGCAGGTCATCATTTATAATATAAAGCCATGGATTTAAACAATTATAAAAATAATTTTATGTAATAAGTCATTAATATCATGGAAGTTAAAAAGAATAAACCTGAAACAAGGAATTTAATTGAAAAAAGCACATGCATTCAACTTGAGCCAGCATGATCATTTTACACTGTTACCATTAACTCCAAAAATGAGAGGAAAAAATAAAATCCCAAGACTGTAGTCAGAGATAAGAATTAGAGAAATAAAATTTCAAATTTTAGTAGTAAAAACTAATAAATCCGTTCTTACTTTACTATGAAGAACTACCTGAGACTGGATAATTTATGAAGAAAAGAGGTATAACTGACTAACAGTTCTGCAAGCTGTTCAGGAAGCATGGTTGGGGAGGCCTCAGGAAACTTACAATCATGGTACAAAGCAAAGGGGAAGCACGCACATCTTCGTATGGTGCCAAGAGAGACAGCAAGCGAAGGGGGAAGTGCTACACACCTTTAAAGAACCAGATCTCAAAAGAACTTCATCATGAACTTCATCATAAGAACAGCAAGAGGGAAGTCCACCTCCATGATTCCATCACCTCCCACCAGGCCCCTCCTTCAACACATGGGGATTACAATTCTACATGAGATTTGGGTGGGGACACAGAGCTAAACCATATCAGTGGGAGTGTAAATTAGTTCAACCATTGTGGAAAGCAGTATGGCAATAGCTCAAAGAGCTAAAAACAGAACTACCTTTGGACTCAGCAATCCCATTGCTGGGTATATAACCAAAGGAATATAAGTCATTCTACCACAAAGACACATGCACGTGAGTGTTCATTGCAGCACTATTCACAATAGCAAAGATTATTGTGAATAGTAAATAGAATCAACCTAAATGCCCATCAATGACAGATTGGATAAAGAAAATGTGGTACATATACAAGATGGAATACTATGCAGCCATAAAAAAGAGCAAGATCATGTCTTTTGAGAGAACATGGATGGAGCTGGAGTCCCATCCATGTTCCATCCATTATCCTTAGAAAACTAACACAGGAACAGAAAACCAAACACTGCATGTTCTCACTTATAAGAGGGAGCTAAATGATAAGAACTCATGAACACAAAGAAGGGAACAACAGCCACTGGGGCCTACTTGAGGGTGGAAGGTGGAAGGAGGGAGAGGACCAGAAAAGATAATGATTGGGTACAAGGCTTAGAACCTGAGTGATGAAATAATCTTTACAACAAACCCCTGTGACGAGCTTATCTATATACAAAACCTGCACATGTACCCCCAAAACTAAAATAAAAGTTAACAAAATAAAGAAAAATAGAAACTCGCCCAAGATCATGCAACTTGTAAATGGTGGAACTGGGGTTTTAAACCCAGGAATCTTGTTCCCAAGGCACTGTGCTATGTTGCCTGGTTGGAGGAGCTTAATAAACCTCTTTGAGTGAAAAAAATAAATGAAATAAAATGTGGTTTTAAAGGAAATACTGAACTTGTTTCAATTGCATCTCCATTTTTATTTCCCAGGAACCAAGCTAAGCTTTAGCTTAAACTGTAAAACAGTTGAACTGAAATAAAAACTCAAAAGGGGGGTTACTTGGCAGAAGTGTTGATATGAGAATTTTGAAGGAAAAGGTGTGGTAGATGGTTAAAAAAATGGCCACCGATTCTTCCCATCCCTGCATTCATGCTCTTTGCAAAGTGACTTTGTAACTACGCCCATCAAGAGCTGAAATCTGTTTCTCCATCCCTTGAATCTAATCTTGACAATGTGACCTACTTTGGCCACAGACATGGAAAACGTGACACAAGCAGAGGTTTGCCCTCTTGCTACTGGAAACATTTCCACCGCAGCGTGAGGAAGCCCAGACTAACCTGAAGCAGAGGCTACATGGGGGAGGACTCAGGCACCCTGATGGGCAGACAGCCTGCCCACTGCCAGCCTATGAATGACAGCGCCTGCCACAGCCAAGGTGCCGACTGACTGCAGTGAGCCCAGTTGAGGTCAGCAGAACTGCCCCACTGAAAGCCAGATTTCTGACCCAGAGAATCATGAGCTAATTCAATGTTTTTATCCAAATCAAAGTTTCATGGTAGTTAGTTAAAATAGCAAATTCTGTAACAAGTTAATTTAAAAAAAATGGAATCCTTAATCATTTTTTCCTGTAGAGACAATAAATTTGAATTTAACAATGTAAAATTTTTCATGTTTGGTCTCACTTCATGATCAAGTAATGTATTTCGTACATGGCTTGGTTGCTATGGAATAATTTTCCTCTGAAGAAAGTTAACTGACTTCTTTAGTAATGAAACATAAGATTCTAGTTTCACAAGCATCCTGCTTCTGGAATGGGGAGGCTTGGCTCAGATACTATTTTCAAAAGGGTCTCTGCAGCCAACTGAATGGTGTATAGTGATCAGGCCACATTATAACTTTCAGGAGCCCTAGCCCCTTTTCCTGTACGGGCAACTTCCTTCATAAAAGATACTGATAATTATGGTTTATGACTGCATTGGTATAAAGATGAATACACTCATATTACATATTAAAGCCTTTTTTTCAACTTAAAAGTTTGGTTTTCTTTTCTTCTGACTTTAAATGAAAATAAAATATTTTTCGTTGACTCCCAAAAAGATTGTGGATCCTGGGCACTGGGCTTATTGTGTCTAATGAATAAGTCAGCCTAGCCAAATATTATAAAGGTCAGCTGATTTACTTCTTTCTTCCTTCCAGATCTTCAGAGCTGCTATTTTATAACCACGGTTGAGAAGGGGTGTGTGTGTGTGTGTGTGTGTGTGTGTGTGTGTGTGTGTGTGTGTGTGTGTTTTGACAGTGGCCTCCTTTTATGACTAAAGTAGGTAAGCCACCCCTCTAGTTTCTCCCACACCCATGTCTTACAACGTAGGGGCACCCTGCATAAAGGCAACTATATAGAGATTGCAGAGGACGTAACCATTCATATCCTACAATGGCAAAAAAAAAAAAAAAAAAAAAAAAACCCACACTGGGGAATCTTTAGTATAAACATTAATAGTTTCTCACGTCTTTGTTTAGAGAATAGCCCGAGGATTTCTAAACTTGTAGATCTTATTCATTCCAGAACTGTTTCGCTTATGGCCACATAAATCTTGATCCTTTAGAAGTTCCAAGATTAAGACTCTTTGGAAACTAGAATTACAGAGAACTCACAGGTGAACCATGTAAAGCAAATCTGCTTTGGGCCATTCAGGAGACATACCATTTGCTGAGATAGTTTGAGTCTAGCTCTCATATCAGTTATAAAGAATAGAGACTTGGGGCTGGGCATGGTGGCTCACCCCTGTAATCCCAGCACTGTGGGAGGCTGAGGCGGGCAGATCACGAGGTCAGGAGATAGAGACCATCCTGGCCAACATGGTGAAACCCCGTCTCTACTAAAAATACAAAAATTATCCTGGGGTGGTGGCATTCACCTGTAATCCTAGCTACTCGGGAGGCTGAGGCTGGAGAATCACTTGAACCAGGGAGTTGGAGGTTGCAGTGAGCTGAGATCATGCCACTGCACTCCAGCAAGACTCTGTCTTAAAAAAAAAAAAAAAAAAAAGAATAGAGACTTGCTTAAGAAACACTGAGAGTTTGGTAACAATTATAGTTTTCTTGTTGTTTAATGAGGTTGCATTGTTTTCTTCTGATTACAAAAAGAGAGACATATTCAATGTAGAAAATTTAAATAACCGTCCTTTTGTAGAATAAAAAATGAAGACTATGAAAAGTTATATACAAGGCTGACAGGCCAGATGTGAAAGTGTAAGGTTTTATATAATTTTTTCTCTACCTACAAACACATTTAGGTGGCATTTTATTTTTTTAATGTATTTCATTTTGAATCTAGTCTTATAAAAAGCTCAACCCTCCAACATGTTCCAAAGTGAAAAAGTAACTATTTTAAAGAAAGTTTCCATGAGAGCTACAAGAGCCTATGGCTTACATTTCCTTATAAGTTTTAGATTTCCCTATCCTCTCACATTTTGCCTGGCATATAAATTAAAAAATAGTCCGCTATTCACAACTCTCCTCCTCAGTTCATGCCCGCTTTTAAAATTAAAAAACTATAAAACAATAACCATATAACTCCCATGATGTAAAAGAAACCAGAAATTCATCTCAGTCATACCTCATAGCTCTCCAGTTTATCAGGATCTTCAACCTATTGACCTCCGTGTTTTGTCACCATCTATTGACCCATCTGACTTGCCTTCTGTTCCCCAGAGCCTGATGTCCAGGTTACATCATTTTCATGTGGCAGTAATAACCTTGTCTTTGCTCAGACACTGGTTCCTCAGGGTCGCATGCTCTGACATGCAAAGCCCAGAGGTTGAAATGAGAATGGAGGGCAGGGAGCACATTTTGCAATCTTCCCCCTTTCTCTTCTCCTCTGTCTAGGAGTACTTGGGAAAGCCCTATATAAACACAACATTAGAACAAGTCTAGTTTTGTATTTTGCATCTTATTGCCCCAGAAGGTACTGAAATGCTTTAGAAACTAAAATATACTCAGACAAAAACTGTCCTCAAGGCTGCCTTTCCCTCTTAGACTATCTCAAATCTGCAACTTCAGGTTTGGAAGGTATCATGGAACTCTATTGCACAGTCAGTCATGTAGTACCCAGAAGCAGAGGAATTCTCACCACCTGCTATGGAAACACCTTCCAGCTGCCACAGCATGCCAGAGCCAAACCAGTAATAGGAAGATGGGCATCATCTCAATGCTCATAGCACACACTCGGAGATCACTTATTCATTGCATTGTCTTCACACCTTACAAGTTCTTGTACATAGGTCATCCCAAGGACTATAAGGCATCTTCATTGTTCTGGGCAGGTGCAGATGGTTTGGTGACATGAACTTAGACAAGGTTAAACAGCAAAGAAGGTGCAGCCTGTGTCTGCGGCTCTCAGTTCAGGATGATGCTGTGGACCATGGGCTCTGAGGTCTGTAATAGATCTCAGTGGTGTTCCTTCCCTCACTAACCCACCTCAATTCAGTCAGTCCCTAACTCCCTGTGCCATCAGCACTCCACAGCCAGTTGGAACAGATTGTTCAGACCCACTTATTGGTTGTTTTTGTGATTTCTGAGTCATTTCTCCAACTACATTATAAACTCTGAGGCCCTGTCCCTGGATGGCCTTATCTCCCCACAGGACTTCAATTTCCACATGTGGCCATTCCAATATATGTGCCCAAATGCATGTCAGTCATCAGCACGTGGATGTCCCACAAGGCTCTCAAAGGCAATGTTCAAAACAGAACTTACCATTGCTTCTAATCTTCAGGCCCTGACTCTACTCCCCCATTTGCTATCTTAGGGAACAGCATTCAGACCAGAAACCTGGTTGTCGTGTTGGGTTCTCTGACTCACTCCCCATAGCCATAAGTCATTGACACTCTTATTGCCTTAATAATTCTTCACTCAGTGTCTTTCTTTCTACTCATGTTGATAGGACCGAGGAACTCATTATCTCTTGTCTGAGTTGCTGCAGCAGCCTTCCAGCGACTTCTCACATCCTTCTCTTGATTTCCCAAACCAAGCAACACGTTGGTGGGATATTTTTCTAAAACAGAAATCTGATTATGCAACTCCTACTTAAAATAATTCAATGATTTCTTCTTCACCTACCGCCATCATTCACAGACAAGAAGCTCCAGGAGGACCATGGTGCATCTTCTTAAAGATTAATTTATTTGAAGGTAAATAATTCAAAGTCTACTAAAATTGATATAATATAGAGTAGGTTACAAAATTCACATTTGTTTTTAAACCTGGAAGCTCCAGAAATTTTAACATGAGCTACAACCATTTCAGGTGATGTTCCTCTATCTTCAGAGGATAAATACTTGCTCACAATTGCTGTTAGGAGTAATATGATTTAAAAAGGGATAATGAATGGATAAGATCCAAATTCCTTAACATGGTTTATAAAGTTTATTTTGATCTAGCCCTCCTTGTCTTCTCAGCTTCATAAGTGTCTTCTTAGGCCTCACCCAAGCACTAATCTGACTAACTCCTAGTTGTCATTACCTCTCAGGCATGGCTTCATCAGAAAATCTTCCTTCTTTCCCTCCTTTCCCAATCTGGTTTTAGACTTCCCTTCTCTACAATCCACCAGCATCCTGGGCCTACTTCTATCATAGCCCCTTCCACATTGCTTTGATGTTGTGGTTTTCTTATGTGATTCTTCCATTAGACTGTAAGCACCCTAAAGGTAGGTGTCATAGAGCTTTGAAAGTTCAGTGCCTAAGATAGTATAGCATACATGGTAGGTGTTCAGTGAAGCTTATGATTAGTTGAATAATCACCCTCCACAGAGCACAACACAGGTGTTCAATAGATGTTTAATTTAACAATTGATAATCAGAAAATAGACATTTCTCATTAACTCTTTCCCTTTCCTTTTGAGCATTCATAATGTTCCACCACTAATTCTTAAAACCCAAGTTCCCACCCTCTAATCACAAACTCCTGTTGCGAGGGGGGATTGCTGAAGGGAGTCTGATAGGACACAGATCAGTGCATCTGCAAATTGATCCTTCTCAGTACCAAGTGGGCTTCTTTGTCATCTGACAACCTTTTAAATTGTCCTTTTCCCTCAGTGGATATTTCAAATATTCACCACTGTCATTGATTCCATTAACATTTCAGTATGAAGTTCACTCTCTAATTCATAGTTTATCCTCAACTTTTGCCCTCCATTTAAAACACTGACAGATTCATCTTTATCTTGTGTGTTCTTCTGTTTTCTTTTTCTTTTATGGGGAAAGTTATCCTCTTCTCTTCAAGAGCTTGCCCTCCAGGCTCTAGGTGCCAATAATCACCTGACAGCAAATTCCACGAATGCTTCGCCTTGTGTATTGTAAGTGGCCATCTGTTGCATTTGACATCATTACTGATCTTTTTGTAAGTGGAAGTCCCCTTGGTTTGAGTGATAGATTATCTTACTCTTCAACTTCTTTGTCCTTTGTGCACTGTTTTCTAGAGTTCCATCCTTTACTGTTCTTTCATTACCCATATTCTCTCAATAGAGAGAATTAGATCCTTCTACTCTGAAGGATTTAATTGCAAGTGATATACTAATATTGGCCAGATTTGTATACTCTGCCATACAGCTCCTAGACATCTCAACCTAGAAGCTTTATGGAGATTTCAAACTCAAAAATCAATAGCTTATCATCTTTATCTCATCTTTCTTCTTCTAATACCCTTAAAGTTCTCTTTGTCTTCTGTTTCCTCTCTGGGTAAATTGGCAGCATCATCAAGTTGCCCAAGTCAGAAACCTGGGAACCATCTCACAACATCCCTTTTTAATGTTGATGAAGAGCTCTTGACAATTCTTCCTCCTAATCTAATCTCAGTTTTTCCCACCCTCTTTAATCCAGCTGTCAATGCTCCTGCCTGGTCCTCACCAGCTCTCACATGCTGTGTTACAGCAGACCCTAATTGTCCCCCTTTCAGGCCTCACCTCTCCCAACCCACAGTTTTTACGGCTGCCAGTGTTGGTTCTCTGAGTCAGCCCAGATATTGCTTCCTGTAGAAACTCTCGCAACACCATCCCCTGGGCAGATATAGCTGCTTTCTCCAGTATGAATCTGAGACCTGGTACAGCATAAAGTTCTCCTGTAATCTTTTACTCTGTTGCATTCTTTCATTTTCTGTTTCTTTCATTTTCTCTCTTCCACTTAATTGCAAGCTCTTTGATTACAGAAGTTGTATCTTTCTGAATTGCTTAATAAATATTTATTGAATGAAATGTTTATTGAGTGAATTCTTCCAATTCTTTGCCTTTTTCCACTTAATTTCACTGTTATTGTTTTTTATTTAGAGGTAGAAGAGTGTAGCATTTATAAGTTCAGGTTCTGCAGTGAGACTTTCTGAGTTCAAATCCCAGCTCCTCCTTAACTTTGCAAGCTCTCTCATTTTTCTGTGCCCAGTTTCCTGATCTAGAAACTGGAGATAATAATAGTAACATTTTCCAGGAAATTATGAGGACTAAGTGAATTAACATGTAAACATTTGAATTTCAGACTATTGCCTGACACACATTAAGCCCTTAGATGTTACTTTTATTATTGTCATATTTTTTCTTTTTTCATCTCTTCTTCTTTCCTTCCTTTTTCCCCATTCTTTTTGTTTGTTTGGCATTCAATTTTCTTCCTTCTTCTCCTATTACTCTCATATTTACTAACAGCTCATAATGTCCCAGCCACAGAGAAGGTCCTGCTATGAGGAGTCACACAAACAAATACCTCTGTAAGGTCATGTTGATGTGACATTTAGAGATGGAGTAAACAGTTGCATTGTGGCAGTGGTCATGCTCAGGAATTTGACTGCAACACAGCCCTCTATAGCATGGAATGCAGAATAATCTCACTCCAGGACCCCGTCCAAGGCAGGGTGGAGCATTTCTAGGATATTATTTGTGTTATGACTCCAGGCATGGGACTACTGCAGGCTTCATGGCTGTTTCTTTGTGGTCAATATCATCTGATGGATCCATTTCAGAACCTTGCTCTGAGCTGGTCTTTCCTGGTGGAGAAGGAGGGCTCCAGACTGGATTTGGGGAGCACATGATTTTAACCCTCAAAGGGAAATTTCTCTGGAAGTCTGACTGCTACTTCTTCCAATATTTTGAAAAGAATAAAAATGGAAAGACTATACCACCAGACTTTATGCAAATATGTGATTGTTTATGGCCAATGTTATATGGACACGTCAAAATGGTCTATCTGTGTGGGTGCATGAGTTCATTTTCAGTAATATGAACATCTAGAAAAGTTTAGGTGTGTGTGTTTGTGTGTCTGTTTGCTGTAGAAAGAAACCACAAGGGCAGTTCAAAAATATGCTTAGCCTTTTTTATAGAATTAATCTAACCCAAATTTAGAGGAGAAAGACTCAAAGATTAACCAACATGAAAATACTTAATTGGGCAAATTTGGGCAAAGGCTTTTGTTTTTATGTTTTTATGATTAGTTTTTGTCACAGGATAATAATTGGATTAGGTCATTAAGAAGCCCCGACACACTAAATTATGTAGCCTAGTGCCTTACACATAGTGGATACTTGGTAATTACTTGAGGGATGAATGAATAAGCAAGGAAATGGATTCCTCAGTTTAAATGATGTGTACCAAATTGCCTAGATAAGTTTTCTGGAGGAAGATACTTATGAATACATCAGCCAAGATAATTGGAATGAAAGTAAAAGGCTAGGATAAAAATATTTAAGGGGAAAAGTGAGTTGTGGCAACGAATTTAGAAATATAAATTCAGTTACTATTGGCCTAGTGACACTTGAAAGCCATTTGTAAGATTACTTTTTGTGGCAAATTAGTGGAGACAAAGAATAATTTACAAATGAAAACATGTTAGGAATGAAATGTAATTTTAAGCCTGAAATACTTGCTTGTCCTCCACAGCCACATCTGCCTCAAGATCAAGTCCTTCATAGCTAATGAAAACCAGAAAACAAGAGAAAAACTTAAAACTGAGATTTCTTTAACTATTGTTCACTGAGCATACATTTAGATAAGGCCTTGTGCTTAGTGCTTCAAAGACTTGAGAAATCCAGATCTTGATTTCAATAAATTTATTCTCTAAAGAAGAAAGAAATTGAGTAAACAAATTAATATTGACACAAGAAAGATTATAAGACAAGGAAGTTTTTGGTATTTTCTTGTTTTTGTTTTTGTTTTTTTAGTTATATCAGTAAGGATTCAACCAGAGAAACAACATCAGTAGGAGATACTAAGAGATTTATTGCAAGGAATTGACTTGTGCAATTCTTGGTGATGTCAAAGCAAGTCTGAAATCCACAGGACAAACCAAGAAAGGCAAGCTGAGAGTCCTGAGCATAATTTCAGGTTGCTATCTACAGGCAGAATTTCTTTTTCCTTAAGGAAGCCCCAGTTCTGATCCTAAGGCCTTTGACTGATTGATTCAGGCTCACACTGACTATCTGGGATAATCTCCCTGCATAACATCAACTGATTATTGACTTTAAGCACATCTACAAAATACCTTCATCGCAACAGCTAGATTGTGATTGAAGTTTGATTGAATAATGGGGACTATAGCCTAGCCAGGTTGCAAGGTAAAACTGACCACCACAGTCCACATCTTGCCAATTTTACATCCATACACATCTTCTGGAACCATACTTAATCTCCAAATAAAAATAATGGCAAAATCATACTTCCATCTAATATGATACAACTATCTTCCATGCCACCAAAACCACACTAACGCTTTCCTCAGAAGAGGATGCAAAGTCTTGGGTACTGTTCACTTTTCTCCTTGATATTCTATAATGTAAATATTGTGATATAAAGTTAACTATTATTAATACAGCCTATGTTAGATGAAAAGGGGATAAGAGAGGAAAGAACACAAAAATATTTGCTAAATATATATACAAACATTCATAATAAGAAAAAAATCTGTAACTATTATAGTCCTTATTTTTGCAGCTGATCATTAGCCATAATTGATATTTATAACTATGTTCTTCCACTATTCATTCTGTATTCCTTTTGCCTTCAACAAGCACCTCAACTGCTTATTTTTTATTACCTGCAGGGATGTCCCAGATCTTCATTTCTGAAGGATCTGGACCATTAGCAGTTTTGCTACAGTTGAGTTGTTGTAGTTTTCCATTAACTTTAATCACGGGGCATGAGGATTAGGAGACTCCCTGAAGGATCTACTGTATTCTCTACATACTCCAACTTATCTGTGTTCTGTAGAAAGATCCCAATTGGTAGTCAATATCAATAACACAAACCAGTATAGAAACTTCCTTCTTTGCCTGTTGCTTCAGAGACATGAGGAGCCCAAAGTGGCCAGGTGGTTCTTTCAACTTTCAATTCAATGGAATCACTGTTGTGTCTCCTGCTAGAAACATTCCTTCCTTTAGAACTCTAGACCAGCAGAGCCCAAGGTCAGCAAACATTTTGCTGGTAGATCAAAAAGGATAATAGTGATTAGAGCTACTCCCATTTCTACTCCTTGATTCTCAGACCCATGAATTTTGGCTATGGGAGAAAAAATACCACACGTTGGATACCGATTTAGAGCATATATGGCCTCCTGCCCCAACCTCACAAGGCATTACCACCTAGCTGGCATTGCAACTGTATCTTCAAAAGGCTATATGCCATCTGTCACCCCAACTGCTTCAGGATGATAGGGTATAATGGTAAGACCAGTGAACTCCATGAGCACGGGACCGTTGCGGCCCTTGATAAGAAGCACTGCTTTGTACAATGTCATGATTGTGGATAAGACATTCCGTACGTTTCAACAGAAGGATTATATACAAGAAAAGCAAACCTATATGCAGAATAAGTGACTTTTTCTAAAAGAACAAAGTGCTTTCCCTTTTATGATGAAAGTGGTCCAACATAATCTGTCACCAAGTAGCTGGCTGATCAACCTGCAGGATTGCGGCAGTGTTGGTTTCTTCTGCTGGCAGATTGGGCACTCAGCAATAGCAATAGCTTAGTCAGCCTGGTGAGTAGAATCCATATTGCTGAGCCCATGCATAATCTCTGTTTCTAGCACCATGGCTACTTTGTTCATAATCCACTGGGTGATGAAAGGTGTGTCTAAGAAAGATGCTGAGTGGTATCCACAGAATCAGTATTTACTTGATTATTAAAATCCTCTGCTGCTGAGGTCACCTTTTGGTGAGCAATCACATGGGCCACACGTATATTCACATTCTTTGTCCATCCAGAGAGGTCTATCTATTCATATACTTCCCCCCACCCAGAAATTCTTGTCAACAATTTTCCAGTCATGTTTTTTTCCAGGACTCTGATCATCCATCCAAACCCCTGGCAATTACTCCTTTCAAGCAAAATAAACAATCAGGTGCACTGCTTGATGTTCTGCCCACTGCAAGGAAATCCCTTCACCACTGTCCTTCAGGAGTATTCAAGAAAGGGGCTGTAGTGCTGCATTTGTCTATTTCCAGGTGGTACTTAGCTGATATGTTTCAATGATTGTGTTTCCTCAAAAATTCATGTTGGAATTTAATCCTCAATGCAGTAGTATTAAAAAGTGTAGCCACTGGGAGGTGATTTAATCATGAGGGCTCTGCACTTATGAATGGGATTAAGTTGAAATGAGCACACGCACACACACACAAGCATTTCATACTTATTGGTATATATGAGATATATATATATATGTATATGTGTGTGTGTGTGTATATATATATATATATATATATATATATATATATATATATATATATCTCCTATTAATTCTGTCCCTCTAGAGAACCCTGACTAATACAGCTTGCAACAATCTTTCAAGGTATTTATTGTGACCCCCCACTTAATAGATGAGGAAACTGTGACTCACATAGCTGGTAAATTGCAGATTCAACATTGGAATTAACATCTGCCTGCCTCCAAATCCTTTGCTTCTTACCTTATAGCATGTTGTTATATTTGGAAATACCTATTACTTTCAATAGCTTTTGACAAATAAATGGCTTTTATATATTTATAACCTATTGAGACAAATAGAGAAATTTATACATCAGATAAACTGATCTCTACAGCTAAATCATGTGAGATAAAACCAAAAGTACTTTTCTAGTGTACAAAAATATTAAGAAGGCTTGGCTTGGTGGCTCATGCCTGTTATCCCAGCACTTTGGGAGGCAGAGGCAGGTGGATCACCTGAGCTCAGGAGTTTGAGACCAGCCTGGGCAAGATGGTAAAACCCATCTTTACAAAAAGCATGAAATTAGCTGGGATGGTGGTGCACACCTCTACTCTCTGCTGCTCTGGAGGCTAAACTGAGTATCAGGTGATACTCTGGAAGATCACCTGAGCCCAGGGAGGTGGAGGCTATAGTGAGCCATGATCGGGCCACTGCACTCCAGGCTGGATGACAAAGCAAGACCCTATCTTGAAGAAAACAAAAAAGAAAAAATCTTTTTGTTTTTTAAAATGTTAGAATTGTTGGAAGACATAGTCCTTTGTTTGCCCTTTGTTTGAATTGCTTTGGCATAGGACACAGTGCGACATAATAAATACATTTCACAAAGTAAATTTATTTCCCTCAAGATTCATATGTCGACACAGTACATGCAAATAAGTAGCACAGAGCCCATTGGGAATTCTAAGAAAATCATATTGCCTAGTGCATGATAGACACCTATGAGGCAAATGGAAAATAACAGCATTTTTAAAATGTAACTTTCAGTAGGAAAATAATGGAAATAAAAATTAAACTATACAGTTCACCATACAAAAAGAATTTTAAGTGAGGGTAAGTAAAGTGCAGTGAAATAATGTGGAAAATAACTATAAACCTTTAAAACACTTATAATAAATAAATGTTATCTGAATTAAACTGACAAGTTTTAATGAGGCATATGTAATTTATTCGTGTCTTGATGAGGCCATAATTTTATCCAAAGCTCGTATCCAAATTTTTTTTCTTCATAATGAAAATAGAGTAGCACACATACCAAAAAAATCATTTGAAAGATGCTATAATTTAATCCAGAAAGATAGTGAAGGCCCATGTCCATTTTGGGGAGCTTGTGTTTTTTTACATAACATGGTTTGCAACAAAAAGCTGGCTGTGGAATAGCACTTTATTCCATAAGCAGCCAATATATTTGCTAAAATGTTTGTTCTTTTGGTCCTAATCACATTGCAATCTTTTGGGACGATTTCAATAATAATAATTGCAACAATTAATAATATCCAACTGGAAAAAAATTTCATGACTGAGTTGCACAGTGATGTCCTATAGAAACTTTATGGGGTACATGTTCTACATTTTGATGTTTTTCATGCAAAAGAGCTCATTCTCCTGATGCACTGCCTAAATAGTTCGTGGGTGGTATTGAAGACTCTGGTCAAAGGGCATAATACAAATACAAATCTTGTTTAATGCAAAGAAAGGAAAAATTACACAAGATGAGAGTACAGATTAATTTCAACAATATACACTTTCACAGAATGTGCCCATTTGCGATTACCTGAGCTGGTAATTGATAAACTAAATCCCCGTTACAATTCATTGCCTCTCCAAAACGATTTGTAGTGTTATATTTTTACAAATTATACTTTAGTCTTTTATTTTTAAATTCTATACACCAAATGATGGAATCCATGAAATTTAGAACCTCGAAGATATTCCAAAGTATTTGACCTTTCTCTTGCCTTTTACTTGGAAGAGTGTTGGTACGTTGATAAAGTGAATGCCATCGTTTCATTAAACAAGTATTTGTGAGAGATACTTTTTCAGATACTTAAACCTTGAATATCAATCAAACATGAACGCTTGCATCCAGGAGCTTACTATATTTAGAAAAGACAGATATGTAAATAAATAAATACAGCACAACATGATAGAGGCACATGTAAAATACTGTGATTCAACGAAAGAACAATAAATTCTGGAGTGTGAATGGAAAAGAAGAGTTCTTTGTGGAGGTATTCCTTGACCTGGAACTTAAAGGATGTTCTGTAGACAGACTAGAGGGAACAAGTATTCCCAGGAAGAGAAGTAAAGAGATTCTGCCTAGGTGTCAAGGAGAGGAACAGCGTGGCATCCTTTCATCCCCCTTGCAAAAGGTTTAGTCAATAAGGAACATTGTATTTCCTAGTCACAAGCCAATGACACAAGTATTTCTGAGCAAGATGTGTCCCTAGCAATGGAGTGTCAGAGGATGCAATAGGATATGAATGATGGTGTAATCAAGTAGTATCCACGCAGCACAATCCTACGAGCCAAACTTTTATGCTTTTAATGTTGGTGTCCTCCGAGGATTCCAACATTGTACATAGCTAATGATTCCATAGCACCCAACAATATTTTATTTAGTGTCTATTTATAACCCCAAGCATATAAATAAATGATAATGCTATGTGAGAAGTTCAATAATGAAAGTATCTTCAAAATAAAGAGAAAACCTAGAGAAGGGGGAATAATTAATAATTATTACTAACAATTTTGGGATTGAGATGTCTCAAGAAGACTTACTGGGAGAGTAATTTGGGCAAAATATTGTTGGAGCATAAATTTTGATGGAAATAAGAATGGTGGAAGGTGAGTATGTCAGTTAGGCTTCCATCCTGCAACAATAATAGAGAACCCAAATTAACCAAACAGACAAGGGTTCATTTTTCTAATATAGTCAGGAAGTTTTTTTTCAGTAGATCCACTATCAGGGCCAGCGTCTCTGCAATTTTAATGCCCTTTTTTCATGGTCACAGAATGGCTGCTCTAGCTCTAGTCATCTTATCTTTATTTTTAAGTCAGGAAAAAGGAGGAAGAGGGGAAGTGGAAGCCACTAACATATCTTTTTCCCTTTCCTAAGGATAACAAAAGCCTTTTTTTAGAAGTGCCTTCACTGATTCTGCTTGTAATTCTCTCTTCAGCTGGCATTGTATCACATGGCAGCCCCTAATCCAAAGGGAGGTTGGGGAAGTGACAGTTTAGCTTTTCAGGTTCTATTTCAGAGTAATAAAGGAGAATAACAGTTGGGAATGAATATCAGATTGAAACCTGTGTCTGCAACATGAGCTTTGAGAGAGAAGCAGATTCTATATCATGAGGATTTTCGGTTTTCTTTTTATATGGGAGGTTAAGGACTTTTAATTTTACCTTGTAGAGAAAAGGGGGTCCAGTGGTTAGTTTTGAGAGGTGTGATCAAACATGAATATTTGAATAAAGAGTTGCTTAATGGATTGATAAGAGAGGCACACTCAGGAAAGCCTTATAAATGTGAAAGTTGTTTGAAAGAAAATGAATAGGAACAAACCATTGTACAAACATTGATCTTTCTAGCTCTGGGTGCACACAGTAATTCCATATTTGAGGATGAAAGGATATAATCACACACACATGCACACACAGAAACACACACACAACATCCATGTACTTCCCATGCAAGTTATAGAGCTAGATCCCTACTTAATTTTGTTCATCATCATAGTTAATTTGTCAATTTCCAAGTGGGCAATCAGTTTATTTTCTGGTTCATGGCTCCATCTTTATTCAGTTCCCTTGGAAGGAGCCCTTTGATTACTATACTTGTTTGCAAATGAACTCTTAAAAAATATGACTCAGAAGCAGCTCAGTTCCCTAGTTCTATGTGTTAGAGTGGAAGCCAATCATTGTCTTTTTCATTATTGTGTTTGTAATCCAATAGGAGTATTCATTACAATCACACAGGAGCCGGCTAAAATGAACAGTTTTTCCTCATCCTACCACGAGTTAGAAAATTAGTAAGAACAGAAAAGATTCTGGCATAAAATGTGAAAGAAGGACTTTCCCCAGACTGTTTCTATTTTTTAAAAAATAACCATTTCTCAGACTCAATCTCCGAAGCGGAACTGCTCATTTCACTTTCTAAAATATGGAAAATCACAGATGAGTTTAAGGAGTAAAAGAGCACTGCACTTACTAAATAAGTGTACAGGAATAAAAGCATAAAGGAAAAATGTAGTTAAACACAATTGCTTCCATTTCAAATGAAAGAAAAGAGGTGAAGAGTCCTTTGGTGAGTCAGGAGAATGCCAAAAGAAACGTCTATGAATGGGAGCTGGGCAAAGGAGTCAGTGGAAGTCCCCTGGGTAGCACTGGAGTGGGATGTGCCTGAGGTCTCCACAGACAGGCATTCTCTGAAAAAAAAAAAAAAAAAAAAAAAAAAAAAGGTATGAGCAGAATGTGAAGCAAACTGCCAAACTGCACAATGGGTCAAGAGGGAGTTGGACAGAGTTTTGGACACAACAAGAAAATACACAGCTGCTCCCAAGATTTTTAAGCTGAGGATGAGGAGTTAGTGTGTAAATGAACTGGTATTTCCTGGGCAGGCCTGCACTGAGATCTTGTCTTCTCCAAGTCCCAAGTGTTGCACTATTTTTGCTTGAACTCTTACCTCTACATAAGCGTGTGTCTTTACCTGCTATATCTAAGAATTAGTACGACCTTATCTTGATATTAATGAGATTTTCACTGCACTTCTTGATCTGTTTTTCTGTCACCTTGGTGCTGGTCAATCCTTGCAGGACTTTGAATTACAGTGTAGAAATGGGGAGAGGAAAGGGTATCTATTTTTATTGATTTCATATATCTATACCTATATCTATATTTTATTCTCCAAACAACAATAAGCTTGTGAGGTAAATATTATTGTCATCATCATTTGCATATTAATAATGATGAAATGGGGATGCAAAGAGGTTAAGCAACCTAACAGAAACAAGCACCAAAAAAAAAAAAAAAAAAAGAATCACAAAAGCAGATGCCCTGCTTAGGAGCCAAGCTCTGTGCTGGAGAGGCATGGCTGAGGTCTCACTTCTGGGACCAGGAAGGTTCTGGTTATGCATCTCCAATAACTTAAAAAGGGTTCATGGGGCTTCAGTGGACCAGTGGTATTTACTGGGCTCTCACCGTGTGTACAGGACATAATGAACAAGTGCTAGGGGAGAAAAGTAGAAAGCAAATTAGAGCACCTTCTACCTAGCTGTTTAAAATATGAATAATGTATAAATATGTTTGAATATGAAAGAACAAGGATGAAGTGCTGATTATTTGCATTCATACTAAGGGTGGCATGTGTGCCAACTGCTGAGAAAGTGGAACAAGGTGAGATAATTCCACCTTTCAGAGGCATGTTTATTCTTGTGTATGGCTCTTTTTCTCCCCATCTATAATGCTTGCTTCACTCAATGCTTTTTTGAATATTCTTCAGAGTTTGGTTCTTTGAGAAAAAAATCTTTCCTCGCAATGTCAGCCTAAATTCATGTTTTCCTTTTATAATTCCCAGTTGGATTCATTTTGTGTGCCCTCTGCTCTGATTTAAAATTTAACTTAGACTGCAACTTCTGCTTTGCATTGGCAAATAATCATTATCCCTGTTAAAATGAACTGTAGAAATGCTGCTGTCAGAATTTGCAATAGGTAGCTGTGTGAAACAGTGTGATACTATGTGAACTTGAAACAGAATGAGGCAGGGTTTCCTCAGATTTCTTCTCTTGCTTTAGAAATGTTGAACACTTCTCATTCTGGCACACAGGATGGGAGTAAGGGGTGAATCACATAGTCTGACTCTCCCTAATATAACTTTGCTATAGCATTTACTATCCTTTCTTCTTTACACTAGGGAAAGCATGTCTGTAATGAGAATTTCTTCTTTCTTGTTCATCATATACAATAGGTAGAGATTCAGTGACCTCTGATCATGGTGCAGGAGCCACTGAAGGACACACTATCTCTTTCAGCCATGGTCTTGTGGCTTCTGTGGAGGAAAATGATTTTCCTCCTGAGAATGATCCTCAGATGGACCCAGATGCATATTTGAACAAAACTGTAGCCTTTAACTTGGAAGGGGGATGACTGTTTAAAAGTTCTTAATATTGAGTTTGGGTTGTTATCACTCATTATTTATGTGAGCATATAGACATAAGAAAGTCTTCAGGCTCCTGGCCAGGCATGATGGCTCACACCTGTCATTGCAGCACTTTAGGAGGCTGAGGCGGGAGGGTCACTTGAGCTCAGGAGTTCAAGACCAGCCTAGGCACATAGTAAGACTCCAACTATACAAAAAATAAAACAAGTTAGTCAGGCATGGTGGTACACATTTGTGGTCCCAACTACTTGGGAGGCTGAGGAAGAAGGATTGCTTGAGCCAAGGAGGTTGAGGCTGCAGTGATCTGTGATCAGGCCATTGCACTCCAGCTTGGGTGACAAAGTGAGACCCTGCCTAAAAACAAAGAAACTCTTCAAGATCCTGATAATTAGTCCTATAACTATATGCTTTGTCTACTGAAAGGACTTTGAAGTTTCCAAAGCAGGGATCCTACGCTGGGCCATTTGCCATGAAAAATGGGACCCAGCAGCAGTTTAGTCCTAGAGCCTACAAGTGCCAGTCACTGGGGTCTTCCCTGAGACTCTCTTAAGGATACAGATGGAATCTACTAAACTTAAGGAATTTCAGCACTCTTAAGTTCCCATTGTTGATTAATTGAGATATTTACGAGAGTCTGAGAAACTTCAGAATCTAGAACTACCTTTATTTTGTATTAACACAGTATGTTTTAGAGAGCTGATATAGAGCTCCCAGTGCTTCACCACGTTGGATATAATGTTTAACCAGAAATAGACCTGGAACCATAACAAATTCATAGGATTTTCTTTTCCTTTTTTGAATAGGGGTGCTTTTCTTCTTTTTTAATTTTTTTAATTATGCTTTAAGTTCTGGGATAAATGTGCAGAACGTGCAGGTTTGTTACAGAGGTATACATGTGCCATGGTGGTTTGCTGCACCTATCAACCCGTCATCTACATTAGGTATTTCTCCTAATGCTATCCCTCCTTTAGCCTACCAGCCCCCCACAGACCCCAGTGTGTGATGTTCCCCTCCCTTTGTCCATGTCTTCTCATTGTTCAACTCCCACTTTTGAGTGAGAACATTCAGTGTTTGGTTTTCTGTTCCTGTGTTAGATTGCTGAGAATGATGGTTTCCAGCTTCATTCATGTCCCTGCAAAGGACGTGAACTCATCCTTTTTTATGGCTGCATAGTATTTTATGCTATATTTGTGCCACATTTTCTTTATCCAGTCTATCATTGGTAGGCATTTGCGTTGGTACCAAGTCTTTGCTATTGTGAAGTGCTGCAATAAACATACGTGTGCATGTGTCTTTATAATAGAATGATTTATAATCCTTTGGGTATATACTCAGTAATGGGATTGCTGGGCCAAGTAGTATTTCTGGTTCTAGATCCTTGAGGAATCGCCCCACTGTCTACCACAATGGTTGAACTAATTTACACTCCCACCAATAGTGTAAAAGCATTCCTATTTCTCCACATCCTCTCCAGCATGTTATTTCCTGACTTTTTAATGATCACCATTCTAACTGGCATGAGGTGGTGGTATCTCATTGTGGTTTTGATTTGCATTTCTTTAATGACCAACGATGATGATTTTTTTTTTCATATGTTTGTTGGCCGCATGCATGTCTTCTTTTGAGAAGTGTCTGTTCATATCCTTCGCATGCTTTTTGATGGGGTTATTTTTTTCTTGTAAATTTGTTTAAGTACTTTGTAGATTCTGAATATTAGCCCTCTGTCAGATGGATAGATTGCAAAATTTTTCTCCCATTCTGTAGGTTGCCTGTTTACTCTGATGATAGCTTCTTTTGCTGTGCAGAAGCTCTTTAGTTTAATTAGATCCCATTTATCAATTTTGTCTTTTGTTGCCATTGCTTTCAGTGCTTTAGTCATGAAGTCTTTGCCCATGCCTATGTCCTGAATGGTATTGCCTAGATTTTCTCCTAGGGTTTTTATGGTTTTAGGTCTTATGTTTAAGTATTTAATCCATCTTGAGTTAATTTTTGTATAAGGTGTAAGGAAGGGGTCCACTTTCAGTTTTCTGCATATGGCTTGCCAGTTTTCCCAACACCATTTATTAAATAAGGAATCCTTCCCCCATTGCTTACTTTTACCAGATTTGTCAAAAATCAGATGGTTGTAGATGTATGGTGTTGTTTCTGAGGCCTCCGTTCCATTCCTTTGGTCTATATATCTGTTTTGGTACCAGTACCATGCTGTTTTGGTTACTGTAGCCTTGTAGTATAGTTTGAAGTCAGGTAGCATGATGCCTCCAGCTTCGTTCTTTTTGCTTAGGATTGTCTTGGCTATACAGGGTCTTTTTGGTTCCACATGAAATTTAAAGTAGTTTTTTCTAATTCTGTGAATAAAGTCAATGGTAGCTTGAGGGGGATAGCATTGAATCTATAAATTACTTTGGGCAGTATGGCCATTTTCATGATATTGGTTCTTCCTATCCATGAGCATGGAATGTTTTTCCATTTGTTTGTGTCCTCTCTTATTTCCTTGAGCAGTGGTTTGTAGTTCTCCTTGAAGAGGTCTTTCACATCCCTTGTAAGTTGTATTCCTAGGTTTTTATTCTCTTTGTAGCAATTGTGAATTAGAGTTCACTCATGATTTGGCTCTCTGTTTGTCTGTTATTGGTGTGTAGGAATGCTCATGATTTTTGCACATTGATTTTGTATCCTGAAACCTTGCTGAGGTTGCTTAGCAGCTGAAGGAGATTTTAGGCTGAGACAATGGGGTTTTCTAAATATACAATCATGTCATCTGGAGATGGAGACAATTTGACTTCCTCTCTTCCAATTTGAATACCCTTTATTTCTTTCTCTTGCCTGATTGCCCTGGCCAGAACTTCCAACACTATGTTGAATTGTTGTTCCAATACTATGTTGTCTTGTGCTGGTTTTCAGATGGAATGCTTCCAGCTTTTGCCCATTAAGTATGATATTGGCTGTAGGTTTGTCATAAATAGCTCTTATTATTTTGAGGTACATTCCATCAATGCCTAGTTTATTGAGTGTTTTTAGCATGAAGGGGTGTTGAATTTTGTTGAAGGCCTTTTCTGCTTCTATTGAGATAATCATGTGGTTTTTGTCATTGGTTCTGTTTATGTGATGGATTGCTTTTACTGATTTGTGTATTTTGAATGAGCTTTGCATCCCAGGGATGAAGTCAACTTGATCGTGTTGGATAAGCTTTTTGATGTGTTGCTGGATTTGGTTTGCCAGTATTTTATTGAAGATTTTCTCATCGATGTTCATCAGGGATATTGGCCTAAAATTTTCTTTTTTTTCAGGTTTTGGTATCAAGATGATGCTGGCCTCATAAAAAGAGTTACGGAGGATTCCCTCTTTTTCTATTGTTTGGAGTGGTTTCAAAAGGAATGGGTACAGCTCCTCTTTGTACCTCTGGTAGAATTCAGCTGTGAATCTGTCTGGTCTTGGGCTTTTTTTGGTTGGTAGGCTATTAATTACAGTCTCAATTTCAGAACCTGTTATTGGTCTATTCAGGGATTCAACTTCTTCCTGGTTTAGTTTTGGGAGGGTGTATGTGTCCAGGAATTCATCCATTTCTTCTAGATTTTCTAGTTTATTTGTGTAGAGGTGTTTTTAGTGTTCTCTGATGGTAGTTTATATTTCTGTAGGATCAGGGGTGATAGCCCCTTTATCATTTTTAATAGTGTCTATTTGACACTTCTCTCTGTTCTTTTGTATTAGTGTGGCTAGTGATCTATTTTGTTAATCTTTTCAAAAAACCAGCTCCTGGATTCACTGATTTTTTGAAGGGTTTTTCATGTCTATCTCCTTCAGTTCTGCTCTTATCTTAGTTATTTCTTGTCTTCTGCTAGCTTTTGAATTTGTTTGCTCTTGCTTCTCTAGTTCTTTTAATTGTGATGTTAGGGTGTCAATTTTAGATCTTTCTTGCTTTCTCCTGTGGGCATTTAGTGCTACAAATTTCCCTCTAAACACTGCTATAGCTGTGTCCCAGAGATTCTGTTATGTTGTGTCTTTGTTCTCATTGGTTTCAAAGAACTTACTTATTTCTGCCTTAATTTTGTTATTTACCCAGTAGTCATTCAGGAGCAGCTTGTACAGTTTCCATGTAGTTGTGTGGTTTTGAGTGAGTTTCTTAATCCTGAGTTGTAATTTGATTGCACTGTGGTCTGAGAGACTGTTATAATTTCTGTTCTTTTGTATTTGATGAGGAGTCTTTTACTTCCAATTATGTGGTCGATTTTAGAATAAGTGTCACATGGTGCTGAGAAGAATGTATATTCTGTCGATTTGGGATGGAGAGTTCTGTAAATGTCTATTAGGTCCGCCTGGTCCAGAGCTGAGTTCAAGTCCTGAATATCCTTGTTAATTTTTTGTCTCTTTGATCTGTCTAATATTGACAGTGGGGTGTTAAAGTCTCCCACTATTATTGTGTGGGAGTCTAAGTCTCTTTGTAGGTCTTTAAGAACTTCCTTTATGAATCTGGGTACTCCTGTGTGGGGGGCATATATATTTAGGATAGTTAACTCTTCTTGTTGCATTGATCCCTTTACCATTATGTAGTGCCCTTCTTTGTCTTATTTGTTCTTTGTTGGTTTAAAGTCTGTTTTGTCAGAGACTAGGATTGCAACCCCTGCTTTTTTTTTTTTTTTTTTTTTTTTTTTTTTTTTTTTTTTTTTTTTTTGCTTTCCATTTGCTTAGTAAATATTCCTCCTTCCCTTTAATTTGAGACTATGTGTGTCTTTGCATGTGAGATGGGTCTCCTGAATGCAGCACACCGATGGGTCTTGACTCTTTATCTAATTTGCCAGTCTGTGTCTTTTAATTGGGGCATTTAGCTCATTTACATTTAAGGTTAATATTGTTATGTGTGAATTTGATCCTGTCATTATGATGCTAGCTGGTTCTTTTGCCCATTAATTGATGCAGTTTCTTCATAGTGTTGATGGTCTTTACAATTTGGCATGTTTTTGCAGTGGCTGGTACTGGTTTTTCCTTTCCATATTTAGTGCTTCCTTCAGGAGCTCTTGTAAGACAGGCCTAGTGGTGACAAAATATCTCAGCATTTGCTTGTCTGTAAAGGATTTTATTTCTCATTTGCTTATGAAGCTTGGTTTAGCTGGATATGAAATTCTGGCTTGAAAATTCTTTTCTTTAAGAATGTTGAATATTGGCCCCCACTCTCTTCTGACTTGTAGGATTTCTGCCGAGAGATCCACTGTTATTCTGATAGGCTTCCCTTTGTGGGTAACCTGATCTTTCTCTCTGGCTGCCTTAACATTTTTTCCTTCATTTCAACCTCGGTGAATTTGTGTCTTTGGGTTGTTCTTCTCGAGGAGTATCTTTGTGGCGTTCTCTGTATTTCCTGAATTTGAATGTTGGCCTGTCTTGCTAGTTTGGGGAAGTTCTCCTGGATAATATCCTGAAGAGTGTTTTCCAATTTGGTTCCATTGTCCCTGTCACTTTCACCTACACCAATCAAACACAGGTTTGGTCTTTTCACATAGTCCCATATTTCTTGGAGGCTTTTTGTTCTTTCCTTTTTACCCTTTTTCCTTTAATCTTGTTTTCATGCTTCATTTCATTAAGCTGATCTTCAATCTCTAATATCTTTTCTTCCAGTTGATCAATTTGGCTATTGATACTTGTATATGCTTCACAAGGTTCTCATGCTGAGTTTTTCAGCTCCATCAGGTCATTTATGTTCTTCTCTAAACTGGCAATTCCAGTTAGCAATTCCTCTAACCTTTTCTCAAGGTTTTTAGCTTCCTTGCATTGGGTTAGAATGTGCTCCTTTAGCTCAGAGGAGTTTGTTATTACTCATCTTCTAAAGCCTGTCAATTCGTCCAACTCATTCTCCATTCAGTTTTGTTCTCTTTCTGGCAAGGAACTGTGATCCTTTGGAGGAGAAGAGGTGTTCTGGTTTTTGGAATTTTCAGCCGTTTTGCACTGGTTTTTCCTCATTTTGTGGATTTATCTACCTTTGGTCTTTTATGCTGGTGACCATCGGATGGGGTTTCTGTGTGGACATCCTTTTTGTTAATGTTGATGCTATTCCTTTCTGTTTGTTAGTTTTTCTTCTAACAGTCAGGCCTCTCTGCTGCAGGTCTGCTGGAGTTTGCTGGAGTTCCACTCTAGATCCTGTTTGCGTCAGTATCACCAGCAGAGGCTCCAGAACAGCAAAGATTGCTGCCTGTTCCTTTCTCTGGAAGCTTCATCCCAGAGAGGCACCTGCCAGATGCCAGCCGGAGCTCTCCTATATGAGGTGTCTGTCAATCCCTGCTGGGAGGTGTCTCCCAGTCAGGAAGCACAGGGGTCAAGGACCAACTGAGTCCCTTAGCAGAGCTCGAGGGCTGTGCTGAGAGATCCGCTGCTCTCTTCAGAGCTAGCAGACAGCAATGTTTAAGTCTGCTGAAGCTGCACCCACAGCCACCCCTTCCCCCAGGTGCTCTGTTACAGGGAGATGGAAGTTTTATCTATAAGCCCCTGACTGAGGCTGCTGCCTGTCTTTCAGAGATGCCCTGCTCAGAGAGGCAGTCTGGCTACAGAGGCTTTGCCAAGCTTTGGTGGGCTCAGCATAGTCCAAACTTCCTGGTGGCTTGGTTTACACTGTGAGGGGAAAACCGCCTACTCAAGCCTCACTGATGGCAGACACCCCTCGCCCCACCAAGCTGAAGCATCCCAGGTCGCATTCAGACTGCTGTGCTGGTAGCGAGAATTTCAAACCAGTGGATCTTAGCTTGTTGGGATCTGTGGGTGTGGGATCTGCTGAACTAGCCCATTTGGCTCCCTGGATTCAGCCCCCTTTCCAGGGGAGTGATCGGTGCTCTTTCGCTGGCTTTCCATGTGCCACTGGGGTATGAAAAAAACTCCTGCAGCTTGCTCAGTGTCTGCTCAAATGGCCGCCCAGTTTTGTGCTTGAAACCCAGGGTCCCTGGTGGTACAGGCACCTGAGGGAATCTCCTGGTCTGTGGGTTGCAAAGACTGTGGGAAAAGCGTAGTATCTGGGCTGGATACTACCATTCCACATAGCACAGTCCCTCAGGGCTTCCCTTGGCTAGGGGAGAGAGTTCCCCAACCGCTTGTGCTTCCCGGGTGAGGCAATGCCCCACCCTGCTTCGGCCCACCCTCCGTGGGCTGCACCCACTGTCTAACCAGTCCCAGTGAGATGAGCTGGGTAACTCAGTTGGAAATGCAGAAATCACCCGCCTTCTGCATTGATCTTGCCTGGAGCTAGAGACTGGAGCTGTTCCTATTCAGTCATCTTCCCAGTCACCCCAGGGATGCTTTTCTAGATCATTTCTAAAGGCATTGGTAGCTTCATCCAGGTTTGGACATTCATTCGTTCATTCAGCAAATATTTATGATATATCTCTTGTGTCCTATACATGCTCATTTCTAAGCCCTGGAGATAAGATAGTAAACAAGATAAACATTTATCCTGGGGGATTTTTGAAAAAGACCAGAATGGAGATAGTCTGCTTCCTATTGCCAATTTTATCATTAACAGGATGTTTAACTTGCAATCAATTACCTACTGTGGGCCTTAGTGTCTGTATTTGAAAAAAAGAAAAAAGCTACAGATTAGGATGTTTCTTTCCACTTTAAAATTCTCTGATCTTATATTCCTTTCATGTTTTCCACACTCCAGGAGAAAAGCACAAATAAAAACAAAACCAAAAGAAACCAGTATGTCTGCTGCCCTTAATGAGCAGTCTTCCTTTATCAAAATGTATTCAAATAGCCTGAAAAGAAACTTGACTCAGTCCGAAGTAAAAATTCAGACAGAGAGACAAAGGATTCAAACCACATTTAAAAAAATTAGCAGCAATAAACGTTTGTAGGACGAATGAAGAAGGAATGAATCTACCATTTATGTGTTGAAAAAGTAATAGCTGTAGAACTTGTAAGGCTCTTCCTAAAGCTGTTTCACAGATGTGATTACCATAAAGAAGCAATGTACTGCTGGTTTTACAAAGTACACAGAAACAGGAACATAAAAGCACTTAAAAATATTTTCAGAATTAGGAAAAGATAAAGTATGTACTTTTCCACTTCATTCTAGTTGTGGACCTTTTGCATACGACAAAAGGCTGCAATCCAGCCCACTTTCTGGATAAGCTTTTCTTCTTCTACTTTGTTTTCACACACCAGTGCCTGCCCTCAGGCTATATAGTTTCCCAGGCACAATTACACTTATTCCAAGACAAGTTTCCTGTGAATTTGAAGGGTAAAGTTTAACCTTCAGGTGTCTCAAACGCTCACTCTATTTTTTAATCTTCGTGTCAGAAATGTAAAGAGATCATGACAAATTAATTCTTACATGTATTCCTCAGCTTATACTGGGAGATGTTACATATCTTTCCAAAGTCTAAGAACTCAGGCCAAGTACAAATGGGTCAGTTTCCTATAATGTCATATAAGATTTATGGGAGCCAGACTCTGTCTATCTGAAATGGAATAAAATAAACTTTCCATCGTGAATCCACCTTAAATACCTTAGGGGATAATTTTGTATTATCAACTATCACACAGGTATATGTTTCAGCAAAAGCTGCCTCATACTCTTGGGGTTAGATAATATTTGACTTTTTTTCTTCTGTTCTCCTGTGGCTTACGCAGATAGCTAGCTCAGGGGTTGGCCCTGTGGCAGAGTGGAAGAGAGATCATTTTCTGGTTCGTGTTTCAAAAAGCCTAAGCTCATCTGAAAACTCACAGGGCTTGCAGAGGAAGAAGCATGGAGGAGGGTTGCAGCCATGTTAGGGGCTTGCAGGGCTTCCAGAGGAAGGAGCATGCAGAGGGCTTCCAGAGAAAGGAGCATGGAGAGGGTTGCAGCAGTGTTAGGAGCTTATAAAGGAGGTGGGGCTCCAGCATGGTGTTATCAGCCTCAGCAAAGACCCCTTGCCTTAAGGATGATGCAGCAGCAGAGCCCAGCCATCTCCATGACAACACAGCATAGAGGAATCTGCTTACAACTCAGATGTTCTGCTGTTCTGCTCATCTATGATAAGAAGTAGGTGAAGCCAATCAAAGGCTTCCTAAAGGAAATGGCTATTTTTATTTTAAATTCCAAAGGAGGTGAGAAACTAATATGCACAAAGGCACAGAGGTGAGAACCAGAACAACCTGCAAAGTATTTCCAAATTCACTGGAGATGGCTGGAGAGGAGACAGAATAACGGATGCTGAGCAGAGAGATCATGAAAGGGAGGAACTAGTCATTAATTAGCTTGAAAAGACTGGTTATGACCCAAGGGGTTGACCAAAGACTGAGGTGATGAAAACTCTTCCTGTTGAAGAACTATGTCTGTTGCATTTGGGTGAATGGAGATGATTTGGGAGGAAGTTGGAGATGATTCTAGGGAGATAACCACAACAATTCAGGTGTGAGGTGGGAAAGGCAGAGCAGAGTGGGGTTTTAAGACAGAATTAACAGGCTGCAGTCATGTTGGATTGGGGGCATTGGCAAAAAAAAAAAAAACGCTTTAAAATGACTAACCAACCAGGAGTCTGTTGCTTGGGGTAGGTAATCTTGGTGCTATGGGAGGTAACAGCACATTTATAGGAGATGAGAAGGGAGAGAGGGTGAGAGGAGGTGGAAACAAAGTGGATAACTGTAAAGAAAAGTGAAAATGAAGACCATAGTTTCACTAATTATACGATATGCAAAAAGTTAGGTATAATATTTTTATGATCAGAATATCCAGTGTCTTAGTTATTTAAACCATATCTTACTGATGAGGAAACTGAGGGCTAGGGAGACTGAGGCTACTTCATCCAAGACTGTTCAGCTGGTGGTTGGAGAATGGGCACCCAAAGCCTGTGTCCTCGCTGTCCATTAGGCCCCACCATACTGTGGCACTCTTGGCTCCATCCTGCTGCCCCATGCTGCCTTTCCTGCTCACTGTATTTGTTCATGAGGGTCTTTCCCCCAAAGTTTCTGCTAAACTTTGCATTACATTTCTCTAGTGCATCAAAGAAAGGCTGGCTATCAGGACCTGTGATATTTAGGCCTTTTTCTAAGTTATGTCTACTTTCATTCAGAAATGTTCTTTGCACATCCACTCTATGCCAGGCAATGCTTTGATACAGCAATGGAAGAAGGTGTCCCAACTCAGGGAGCTAACAATCTAGTGGGAAGAGACAGACAGTAAACAATAAATAAAATGTCAGGTAGTGACAATTGCCATGATGAATAGAATAGGGTAAATGGAAAATGAATAATCAGACGGGTGATCAGGGAGAGCCATTCTAATAAGGTGACATATGGAAGGAACCCAAATGCAAGGAGAGAAGGACTTGTGTGGATAAGTGGGAGAATAACCTAGGAACAAAGAGCGTAGCAAAGTTCTGAAAGTGGGAATGTCCTTGGTATGTTGGAGGCTGACGGGACTGCAGCAGGCTGAGCAAGGGGAAAGAGAGAATGAGGTCAGAGAATTGGCATGGACACAGACCCCATGAGGCTTGTAGGTTATGGCCTTTGGCTTCTGTTGTGAGTGAAAAGAAAAACCATTAGAAGGTTTAAAGTAAAGGAGTAACAATCTGGTTTATAATTTCAACCTGGTTTATAATTTATAGGAATCACTCTGATTGCTGTATGGGGAAGAGATTGTAAGGGGGCATGGATCAAAGCAGAGACACCAACAAGGAGGTCTTTGCACTAGCCTAAGTGAGAAATGATTATGGTGTGGTCTAGGGTGACAGGCATCACACATGGTTAGCATTGGGGCACAATTTGAAGGTAGAGTCAACAGAATTGCTGATAGATTAGATGGAAGCCTGAGGACTCACAAAACACTTTAGCCATGATAATTTATTTTCTAATTTATGAGTGAGAAAGACTTGGGAGGCACAGGTTTAGTGGGAATTAGGAGGGAGAGATAAATAATGACTCATGTAAGGGATGTTTCAAGTCTGAGATGCCTTTAAGAAAGAAAAGTAACCCCTGACATCAGGGAACTGTCCTGGTACCAGCTAGCTAGGCCTTGGTGTGTGTTCCTGAGAGTCTTGACTGGAAGGTTTTGACAACCTTTAGATATTCCAGTAGAAATATGGCAAAGGTCATAGCCTATATCAGAGAGAGGATCAAGGCTAAAGATAGAAATTTGGTGTTCATCTGTGTACTTAAAGCCTCGGCACTGGCTTTGTAAGCCATTTCCTGATAGTAGATAGAAGAGAAGATGATGGAGGACTAATTCTGGGGTGCTTAGTATTTGCAAGTTAGGGGGACGATGAGAAAGATCCAGCAAAAGAGATTAAGAAAGTCTAAAGTAATAATGACTAAAGTAGAAGGAAAACTGAGAGAAAGAAGAATATAAGAGAAGCCAAGTAAAAAAAAAGAAAAGAAAAGTATTTCAAGACACAGAGAGTGAGTAACTGTGAAATGTGAGTGGTCAAGTAATCTAAGGATGGAAATTCATTTGGAATGTGGAGGTCACTGGTGACCAGAGGAACACAGTTTTGGTGGAGTGATTGGGATGAAAGCTGGCTTAGAGTGGCTTCAAAAGAGAATGTAAAGAAAGGAATGTAAAGACAGTAGTATAAATAACTCCTTTGAAGAATTTTGTTGCAAAGTGGGGAGGGGGGAGGTGGAGCAATAGCTGGAAAGGAATATGGGGATATGAGGCAAAAGGAGGTGTTTTTGTTTGTTTAAGATGGTGAATATAGCATGCTTGTGTGCTAATGTGAATGACTTAACAGAAAGGGATTAACAAATGACGCAGGACAAAGGGTACACTGGGGTGAGTCACAGGATGGGATTCAGAACACAAGTTCATCCATCACAGAAGGGCAAACAGAATGTGAGGTCCAGCCACACCAAGGTTGGCTGATAGACATGTGGGTTCAAGCACGTGAGTGTTGACTCATAACCCTTCTGACAGCTTCTGTGAGTATTTCTGAGGGAAATAAGGAAGGTGACCACTTGAATGAGGGCAGGAAAGAGAGCACAGGAAATTTGAGAAAGGAGAAATGGTTGTGAAATAACTCTAGGAGAGTGGGAGAGTCTTCCCATTGATCTTCCTTCTCTTCAAGTCCCCCATCTTAGCAAATAAGGAATCTTAGAATGGATGACAATATTATAAGCAGTCTTTCATTAAAAAAATATAACTCTCTCTCTATATGCCATATAGTATATATACAGTTGACCATTGAACACAGATTTGAACTATGTGGGTCCACTTATATGTGGATTTCTTTCCTATAAATATTTTGAACAAATTTTTGGAGATTTGCAACAACTTGAAAAAGCTCACAGATGGACCTAATAGCCTAGAACTATTGAAAAAATTAAGAAAACATTAGATGTGTTATGAACACATAAAAAACATGTAGATACTAGTCTATTTTATCATTTATGACCATAAAATATACATGAATATAAGATATCTTAAAATTTATCAAAACGTAGGCACACAAACACTTACAGACCACCTATGGCACCATTTGCAGTCAAGAGAAATGTAAAGTTGCAGTATTAAATCATAACTGCATAAAACTAGCCATACTACATACTGTACTGCTGTAATAATTCTGTAGCCTCCTCCTGCTGCTATTGCAGTGAGCTTGAGTGTTGCGAGTATCTGCTTAAAATGCCAAGTGACCAAAAAACGCACATCATCTCCTCATTTCCACTGAGCAGTTTGCCTCTCCAGTAAATTGCATTTTGCAGTACAAAGTGATCTGTCAGGCTTCTCTTGTATTTGTCATCGTGTTTAGTGTGATACCGTAAACCATGAATAACAGCATGGAACCGACACGAAGCGCCATTAGTGACGCTTGGAGTACTCCCAAGAAGCAAAGTCATGACATCACAAGAAAAAGTTGAATTGCCTTATATAGACTGTAGATTCAGGTCTGCAACTGCGGTTGCTGCCATTTCAAACAGACAATTCATCTTGTCAACAGACAACCTAAACTTGTGGAATCAATAAATGTAGTATAGTGCTATATATGCATTTTCTCTTATGATTTTCTTAACACTTTCTTTTCTCTAGCTTATTTTATTTTAAGAATACAGTATCTAACATATATAACATACAAAATATGTGCTGATCAACTGTTTATGTTATTGGAAAGGCATCTGGTAAGCAGTAGACTATCAGCAGTTAAGTTTTTGGGAAGTCAAAATTTATGTGTGGATTTTCAACTACACGGGTCAGTGCCCCAATCCTCATGTTGTTAAAGGGCCAACTGTATATAAACCATATACATATATGTAGTTTCAATTATATGGTGTATGTGTATATATATGTATATAGATACACATACATAAATAGAAAATTTGGTATTATTAAATGATACTTATTTGAAAAAATATTAAATTAAGGAATAAAATAATGCCTGCACATATTGTAAAAACTAATTGAATTTCAGGGTATGTATTATGACTTTATTTGAGATCTTTATGATTTACTACTTGTTTTACCCAGAAACCTTGAAAGTTACATCATCTAGATCAGTGGTTCTCAAATTTGAGTGTGCATCAGAATCACTCAGAGGGTTTGTTAACATAGGTATTGCTGGGCTGCACCCCCAGAAATTCTAAGTATGTCGGGGGTGGAGCCTGAGAATCTACATTTCCGGTATGTTTCCAGATGCCACTGCTGGACAAGGGACCACACTGTGAATCGCTGATCTAGAGTCAAGGGATCTTGTTGGTTTTCCTGTGTGTGAAGAGCAAAAGGGACCTGGGAGAGACATGAAAAAGGTGGATAGGTCTCCACAGGACACAAGAAATAAAAGAACATACTTATGTGTCACAGTTTGTTGGGACCTAGACTAGCTTCAATCTTCATTTCTTCCTTTTTTTTTTTTGAGATGGAGTCTCACTCTGTAGCCTAGGGTGGAGTGCAGTGGCCTGCAACCTCTGCCTCCCCAGTTCAAGTGATGCTCCTGTCTCAGCCTCCCAAGTAGCCAGGAATACAGGCCTGCACCACCACGCCTGGCTAATTTTTTGTATTTTTAGCAGAGACAGGGTTTCACCATGTTGGCCAGGCTGGTCTCGAACTCCTGATCTCAGGTGATCCGCCCTCCTTGGCCTCCCAAAGTGCTGGGATTACAGGCGTGAGCCACCGCGACCGGCCTCAATCTTCATTTCTTACTTTAGTCTCCAACTACTGCACTTCCCATCAGCCCTGCAAGAAGAAATTTCTAAATAGATTAGACTCTAGAACTAAGATAGGATTGCATTCTGCTAGAAAATAAACTCTGTTAATTATAAAGCCTTTTCTCTTTCTATTTTTGAGGTAGTTCCTAGTATTTATGAATCTCCAGCCTAAAATAGAAAATGCTGCTTTGATAGAGAAAGTAGTCAACCTTTTAGCAGCTTGTGCCAGCTTCCACCTTGTGTAGGGCCTTGATTCCAGTTTTCTTAAGGGAATGCAGGCAGTGGCCTTACATTCCCTCATCACCTACTCTTCTCTTTTGTCCCTGCTTGCCAACTGAGGCCTAAGAGGCCCCTTGAGACTGGCCAAATCCATTTGTTAGGAGTCCATGCAGTAAACATGCCACTGATCTCAGCCCATTAGTAGAGCTTCTGCCAAAGGGCCATCTGCACCACAGCTCCGCTGGGCTTCTTGCTTCAGTTTCCTCCAGATCTTTACGTTTTGTTTATAGTCATGTACACAGTTCCCACATAATAAATGTCGACTAATAACTTGACCAACATCAACAGTAACACAAATGTGGATGTTCTGTAATTTTAACACATAAAATGGGAACTGAGAAAAGGTGGGCTATTTCATATGCAGTATCAAGCATCTGTAATGTAGATCAAATCACAAGGTAATTTATTTTATAAATTTCTTACATGGCAAAAATTCCCACAGGTAATAGGCATTCATTATAGTTATCAAAGCAAACAAAAAAGAATTAAAGTACCTGTAATGCCATCACCTATACATAGATACAGTTGTGGGTTTGGCAACTAATCTTTCACACAAACACACACACATGCATGTGTGCATGCCATGCACAACACATATATGATAGAACTAGACATGTTTTTTTTGACCTGTTTTATTTATTTATATTTTTACTTAATACATTATGAATAGGCTGGGCACAGTGGGTCATGCCTATAATCCTAGCACTTTGGGAGCTCGAGACAGGCAGATTGCTTGAGCCCAGGAGTTTGACACCAGCCTGGGCAACATGGTGAAACTCCATTTCCACAAAAAAGAGAAAAAATTAGCCAGGCATGATGGTGTGCACCTGTAGTCTCAGCTACTCAGGAGGCTGAGATGGGAGGATCACCTACCTGAGCCTGGGAGGTCGAGGGAAACTGGGTGACAGAGTGAGACTATATATACATAGTAAACATCATTCCACATCATTAATCTCATAAATTTCTGCGTAAGTATTCCAACATCTGGATGAACCAGTTTATTTGTAAGTTAACCAGTCCTCTATTGGCGAATATTTCCTCCCAATTTCTTACTTTTATCATAGTGCCACATTCTTTTAACAGTGTTGTATATAACTTCAGTCCATCTTTAGTAAGTTCTTTAAGACAAATTTTTAGAACTTTCATCTTGAAGATATTAATGCATATTACCAAATGACCTTCCAGAAATCTCACTCTGGAAGAAACGTTGTTTCTATGTGTGGAAGAATGAAACTGGATCCCTACCTTATACCACATACAGAAATCAACTCAAAGACGGATTAAAGACTTAAATGTAAAACCTAAAACTATAAAAATCCTGGCAGATGACCTAGAAAATACTGTTGTTAACACAGAACCTGGCAAATATTTCATGACGAAGATGCCAAAAGCAATTGCAACAAAAGCAAAAATTGACAGATGGGATCTGATTAAACTAAAGAGCTTCTGCAGAGCAAAATAAACTATCAGCAAACAACCTACAGAATGGAAGAAAACATTTGCAAACTGTGCATCCAACAAAGGTCTAATATCCAGAATCTATAAGGAACTTAAACAAATTTACAAGCAGAAAACCACCCCATTAAAATATGGGCAAAGGACACGAACAGACACTTTTCGTAAGAAGATTAAATGCAGCCAACAGGCACATTAAAAAAAAAAAAGCTCAACATTAACCAATCATTAGAGTAATGCATATCAAAACCACAATGACATGCCATCTCACACCAGTCAGAATGGCCATTATACTAGCTCCTAACGAGTTCCTAATGGTGCTTATATACTAGTTCCTAATTAGTTCAGCCATTGTGGAAAGCAGTGTGGTGATTTCTCAAAGAACTTACAACAGAATTATCATTCAACCCAGCAATCCCATTATGGGGTATATACTCAAAGAAATATAAGTTGTTCTATCATAAAGATACCTGAACGCTTATGTTCATTACAGCACTATTCACATAGCAAAGACATAGAATCAACTTAAATGCCCAACAACAGAAGACTGGGTAAATAAAATGTGGTACACATACACCACAGAATACTACACAGCCATAAAAAGGAATGAGATCATGTCCTTTGCGGCAACATGGATAGAGCTGGAGACAATTATCCTAAGCAAACTAACACGGGAACAGAAAACAGAAAACTGCATGTTCTCACTTATAAGTGGGAGCAAAACAGTGAGAACACATGGATACTAGGAGGGGAACAACAGACACTGAGGGCCGACTTGAGGGTTGAGGGTGGAAGGAGGGAGAGAATCAGGAAAAATACCTACCAGGTACTATACATATTACCGGGTGACAAAATTATCTGTACACCAGACCCCCATGGTATGTAATTTACCTATATAAGAAACCTGCACATGTACCCCTGAACCTAAAATAAAAGTAAAAAAAAAAAAAAAAGAAATTACAAAAAAATACAGTGTTGTTTCTTGTAGACAATCAGACTGCCCATTTCTCTAATATTTTTGTAAACTATAGCTACCACCAATTTTCCAAACACTTTGTTTTAATGTGTATTTTCTTCTTAGCTAAGTGACACTAAGTCTTGTCTGCCCAATATTTACTGGCCATTCATATATTTTTCTTTTGTGAATTTCCTATTAATATTTTTTGCTCATTTGTCTACTTTTCCTATTTTGAAAGCATTTGTGATAGTTATATTTATGGGTCAGTTTGACTGGATTAAGGAATACCTAGAAAACTGGTACAGCATTACTTCTCCATGTGTCTGTGAGTGTTTCCAAAGGAAATTGGCATGAGTGAGGATTGAGTGAGGAAGATCCACCCTCAATGCTGTGGGCACCATTCAATCAGCTGGGTGCCCAAGTAGAACAAAAAATGAGAGAAAAGGATTTTCTCTCTCACTCTTCTGGAGCTGAGACACTCTCCCTCTGTGTCCTGCCCTCGAACATCAGAACCCCAGGCTTTCTGGCCTTGAGACTCCAGTACTTACACAAGTGGCAGCTCCCAATCCCTGCATTCTCAGGCCTTTGTCTTCAAGTTACACCACTAGCTTCCTTGGTTTTGATGCTTTCGGACTTAGAGTGAGCCATGCTATTGGCATCCCACGGTCTCCAGCCTACGGACAGCCTATCCTGGAACTTCTCGGCCTCCATAATTGCGTGAGCCAATTCTCCTAGTTAATCCTTCCTTATATATCTATGTCAAATCTATATCATCTGTCTACATCATCTCTATAGCTACCTATTAACATATCTTCTATTGATATTGTCTATCTGGAGAACCCTGACTAATATAGCATGATTTTTATATATTAGTGATATTTGTTTATGTGTTACCATGTCTTTCAAGCTTACTTTTGGCATTCAGTTTTGTTTATGGATTGTCTTTGACCTTTAGATATTTTAGATCTTGTGATGGTTAACTTTATGTGTCAACTTGACTGGGCTGTAGGGTGCCAAGATATTTGGTAAAATATTGTTCCACTTGTTTGTGTTAACATTTAAATTGGTAGACTAAGTGAAGCACATTGCTATCCCTAATGTGAATCCAGTCAGTTGTGAGCCTGAAGAGAACAAAAATGCTGATCCTTATGCAAGCTACAGAGAATTGTTACTGCCTGATTGCCTTTGAACTGAAACACTGGCTCTACCCGGCTCTTGAGCCCACTGGCATTTGGACTGGAACTAAGTCATTTGTTCTCCTGGGTCTCCAGCATGACAAATAACCCTGAAGATCTTAGGACTTGCCTGCCTCCATAATCATGTGAGCCAATTCCTTATAATAAATCTCTTTATCTATATAAAATGCATCCTATTGGTTCTGTTTCTCTGAGGACCCCTGATTAATACAGATGTTTATATCCCTACATGGTCATATTTATCAACGTTTTCCTTTAATGTTTCTGTTTCTGGCATCATTACAAAAGGGTAATGGGGCTTTCTCAAAGTAAAAGTTAGAAAATAATTTTTGGTTATTCTAAATAAACTTGTTAGGTTTTACCCTTCATTGCAGATCTTGCTCACTCCAGGGTTTACAATAGTGTCTCCTCAGCTGGTTTGTTCTTTGATGTGACCCCAGATCTCCAATGAAGAGTTGTTGAAGGCTGCACACTTTTTGGTAAGAGATGTCAGCTCCAGTCATGAAAGGAACTTAAGAAATATCATTTAAAAAATATCAGAAATGGCATAAAATAGAGGTTAACAGTTTCACTTTTGAAATCATACAGACCGGGTTCAAAAATGCTTTCTATTACTTATTCGCTGACATTGGGTAAATTAAATGTAAGTACAATAAAACTTATCTAACAGAATTGTTGTTAATATTAAATAAGACAATTCATATAATACACTTTACATGTTTAGTATGTAATAAATGGAAAGTAAATTTTTTCAGAAGTTATTTCCAAATTTCAAGTGTCTTAAATCAATTAACTTTTTCCATGTCATTACACAGGATGTTGAACAAAATAGCAATCATTCTCAGTTCTTGATTCTAAAGTCTTTGAAGGCAGGGACTTTGCATGTCATTAATATTTGCATTCGCAGAACCTCTTACAGTGACTGACACACATAAATATTTGTCAAGTGAATTAATAAAATTATAAGTTCAAATATCAAAAGTGTTCATTTATATTCTATGAATCAGGAATAGAATATCTTAGCTAAACCCATATTTTACCGTTAGGAAGACTATAAACGTTTGAATAGAATTATTGAATCGATTGCTTTGGTGAAGACTTCAGAGATCATAGACCTTTAGATAAAGAGAAATTAAGCTAAGAGCACCCTACTGTTGGGGATTACAAAACAGAGTGAATGGGAGCACATTTCAGGGAATATTGTATGGTGGATAATATATATTGGGGGCAAATTAATTGCAGCATGGAGTAATAACTCCCTAAGTGACAAAATGTGCAACATAAAGGACACCGTGATGGTATTTTTATAAACACAAGACTCTCTCTTAAGGGTTTTATTCATGTTGAGGCTATATCAATTATCTATCTGTATCTATGTATTTATCTATCATCTGTCTATCGTCTTTTTATCTTTCTGTTTAATAGTCTAAAATCTCTATCAGTTTGTAGCAGTTTTGTATTAACACCTTTATATCATGTAGAGACACGAGTTAATAGACTTTTCTCCTTCCTCTGAGTGTCCAAGATGATGGATGTATGGTTGACATTCATCAAAAGAATATATAGGTCAAAGTAAATTAACTTAGATGAAAGAGATTGGTAAGCATAGAGCAGATATGAAGTAATATAAGGAGTCCAAAAAGGTCTACCATGGTGGATGCTATTGTTTGAATGTGTCCCATAAAAAGCATGTGTTGCAAGCTTAATCCCCAATGCAATGTGTTGGGAGATGGGACCTAATGAGGACCCTTGTGAATGGATTAACGCTGTTATTGCAGGAGCAGATTCATTATCTTGGGAGCGGGTTCTTTATAAAAGGATGAGTTTGGCCCTCTTGCCTCTCTTTCAACCTATTTGCCCTTCTGCCATGGACTAACAGCAAGAAGGCCCTCACAAGATGCTGGCCCCTCAATTTTGGACTTCCCAGCATCCAGAACTGTGAGAAATACATTTCTTTTCTTTACAAATTACCAGTGTGTGGTATTTTATTATAGCAGCACAAAATAAACTAAGACATTGGACAACAAATTAGAAAATGATGACAGGATCAATGATTCATTAACTCATTACTCAGTGTTCATCAAGCCCTGCCTGTGATCAGTTACTTGGTTAAGTCCTGAGGGAATGTAAAGATAATCAAGAATAGGCTCCTATACCCAAACAACTTACAAGCCAGTAGCAAATATAACATCTTATAAATTACAGAGTATTGGCTAGGTGTGGAGGCTCATGGCTGTAATTCCAGCACTTTGAGAAGCTGAGGCAGGTGTATCACTTAAGGCTAGGAGTTCGAGACTAGCCTGGCCAACATGGCGAAGCCCCATGTCTACTAAAAAATAGAAAACTTAGCTGTTGTGTTAGTGCATGCCTGTACTACTCCCAGCTACTCGGGTGGCTGAGACATGAGACTTGCTTGAACTGTGGAGGCGGAGATTTCAGTGAGCAGAGATCACACCACTACTTCCAGCCTGCACAACAGAGCTTGACTCTCTCAAAAAAAATTACAAAGTATTTATCATAAAATTTCTTGATTAATCTTCATGATATCCTTGCAAAATAAGTAGGGCATATATTATTAGGCACATAATACATGAAAGTGAAAAAGTAAACTGAGGCTCAGAGGGAATTTTCATAAATATTATGACTTAGTAACAAGTTCCAAAACTAGAACCTTAACATTTCAGTGCATATTTAATTACATTCTGATGATCCTCTAGGTTTGCGGATATTTTGGTTAAAAAAAAATTGTGGGAATGACAATTAAGACATTCCCAGACATTCCCCAATCAGAGGTTTCGAGTTTTTTTAATAAGGTCATGGTAATATGGGACCAAGATGCAGCAGATATTTTTGTATCTCTTTTAACACTTCTGCTTACATTTTAGGATGAAAACTGTGCACTCACTAGCTTTTATAAATCACTATGACCACATGGTTTTCTCTTATTGTTCTATTCAGCAACTTGTGTGGTCGCAGAGGGATCCTTGAGAGATAACACTGTAAAATTTCTGCAAGACAATCAGTATCAGCAGAGGAGAGTGCATGCTTTTCTTACATGTTCTGCTTTCTAAGGAACAGCAAACATCCAGGACAACAGTGTCTGAGAACACCGATATTTACAAAGCCATGAGACAGAGGATGTGCCTGCTGGATGCAGAGGCTTACAGCAGGATGGAGCTTGTATCCTGAGTAAAAAATAAAAAATAAATAGAAAGATAATACAATAGAGAGAAGAATGTACCCAAAGGAAAGAGTTTCTTATGGACTGAGAAGAACCAGAGGGGAAGAGAAAGGGGATAGTCACACCACTCTTCAAGTACACTTCCAAGTATACTTGTAATGGGCTGCAAGTAAGACCATGTTCTCTATGGGATGGATTAATAAAGGCTTCTTGGCTTTTTATTTGTAGCAAGCATAATGCATAGCTAGTTTTCCACATATACTTAAATTTATTTATTTAAATGAAGTTTTAAGTAATTTTTAAGATTTTTCTATTAAAAACATTGACAGAATAAATTAGAAATTGTAAAAGACATCATTTGGGCTCTCTGCCTAGCTCATGTTGATCCCTAAGAATGCCTCTCTGCAGTCATGGGGTGGGATCTCTATTGCCATGTTTTTGTGTTTACCACTGATCCTTTGGCTACAGTTAATTGGGCACAGATATTCATGTGTTTCCCAGTGTGGCTGAGGGAATCTTCCTAATGTGCCTTTCTAGAGAATTGGGAGTCAGTGGTAATTACTTTTTCTTAGGATTTGAGTAGAATAAACATTTTAGAATTGGGGCCTATTGAGCCTCCATCTTCTACACACCAGAGTACAGATAAACAGAGATGTTCAGAGAGGGACAGAGAATGATAGATGAGATAGCCTACTGCCATTCTGGGTTCCAGAGTCATATTACTACATCAACAGTGGTATAGGAATGGATAGAAATAATATAGTATGCTAAATATGATTAGTTTGAAATGTGAAATATAAAAGCCAAATAAATCTGAAAAGGAAAGGGGAGATAGCTGGCCAAATGAGAGCCATAGTTACCAGTAAAAGCATCTTTTGAACATAAAATCCATCATCAGCTATTCCAACTCTACTGCTGAAAAGCAAGCTCCTGAAATCTTAAGACCCATTCCTTGTAAGTGACCTTTACTTCTGGTATAATCTTTCGTCAGTTTTCTAAGTAACTATCAACATTCTGTTGATTCCCTCACTGTGATGGTTAATATAGAGTGTCAACTTGATTGGATTGAAGGATGTGAAGTATTGTTCCTGGGTGTGTCTGTGAGGGTGTTGCCAAAGGAGAGTAACATTTGAGTCAATGGGCTGGGGAAGACAGACCCACCCTTAATCTGGGTGGGCACAATCTAGTCAGCTGCCAACGTGGCCAGAATAAAAACAGGTGGAAGAACATGAAAAGATGAGACTGGCTTAGCCTCCAAGACTACATCTCACTCCTGGATGCTTCCTGCCCTTGAACACTGGACTCCACATTCTTTAGCTTGGGGACTCAGACTGGCTTCCTTGCTCCTCAGCTTATAGATGGCCTAATTGTGGGACCCCACCTTGTGATCATGTGAGTTAATACTCTTTAATAAACACTCACCAAATATTTTTGAAGTTCTATTATATGCTAGGAATTTTTCTATGTAGTTGTTAAGCAAATATGAATAGGTCAGAAAAAAATAGCCCATTTTTCATATAATTTAGTCCTAGTTAGATGGAAAGAAAAATCCAAAATAATCAGGAAAATTATGAGATGATTATAAGCACTATACAAATAATTGAATAATTGATATATTGTGATGTGATATTGATGTGTTGATATCATATCATAATATTTTGATCTGATATTGATAGTTGCTTTGCACTGGGTGGCGTTGGAGGGTGCTCTGAGAAGTTAACTTTTCAGTGAGCTCTGGTTCAGCCGGTGAAAATGGAGCTGGAACAGTGAAGAAAATACTCCAGTGAAGTTGTTTCCAAAGTGTGGTCCAGAGACTCCTGGGAGTTCCCAAGTCATTTCAGGAGATTCACAGGTCAAATCTATGATCACAATAGCACTAAGAAATTATTTCACTTTTTCACTGTGTTGACATTGACACATGTTGTAAAAGCAAAGGTAAGACTTTGAACCTTTAGCAGGAATCAAGTCAGTGGTTACCAACTGTGTCTATAGTAATAGTACTTTTTTTAACATTAAGCAAACATAGTTTTAAAAATGCTAATATCAGTTGCTTTGAGTTTGTTTGGATTACTTATTTATTTGTTAGAGACAGGATCTTTCTCTGTTGCTCAGGCTGGAGCATGGTGGCACGGTCATAGCTCACTTTAGCCTGAAACTTCTGGGCTCAAGCAATCCTCCTGCCTCAGCCTCTAGAGTAGCTAGAACTACAGATGTGAGCCAACATGCCTGGCTAGTTTTCTTATTTTTAAAATTTTTTGTAGAGACATGATCTTGCTATGTTTTCCAGGCTGATCTTGAACTTGTGGACTCAAGTGATCCTCCTGTCTTAGCCTCCCAAAGTGCTGGGATTTCAGGTGTGAGCCACTAAGAAATATATACTTGTATCCCCTAAATCTGTAAATATGTAGAATTTTAAAAATTGAAAATAAAATGCTAATTTCATTTTACAACTTCTTTGAAGTGGGAAAAATGATCAACTTTATTATATATCTCACCCTTAGAGTACACATCTTTTTAATAGTCTAGGTGGTGACAAGGGAAACACACATAACCTACTTCTTCTGCATACCAAAGCATGGTAATTGTCTTGGGGAAAAGCCTGTAATTTAAAAAGATATATTCTTATAGAAAAACTTCAGCCACTGAATTAAGAAGTGTCTCAGTCTGTTTGGACTGGTATATCAGAATATCGCAGAATGGGTAGTTTATAAACAACAGAAATGTATTTCTCACAGTCTGGGAGGCTGGGAAGTCCCAGATCAAGGCACCAGCAGGTTTGGTGTCTGGTGAGGGTCCACTTCTCTGCCAATAGATGGTCATTTTCTCACGGTGTTCTCACATGTAAGAAAGAAGGAAGTAAGCTTTCTTGAGACTCTTATGAGGACACTAATCTCATTCAGGAGGGCTCTCCCCTGAAATCCATGCTCATGTAATCTCGATTACCTCCCAAAACTAATCCCATCACATTAGGGTCTCAACATACAAAATATAAATTTGGGGATGGGGGGACACAAACATTCAGTCCCTACAAGAAGTAACAATAGAATTAGAAAATCATCATTACTGATAAACTAATGGATCTAGGCACTGATCACAAAAGAGAAATTCAACCAGATATTATGTACTTCCTGAGGGAGGACCGCACCATGACCATAATTAAATAAGTAAATAAATAAATAAATAAATAAACAAGACTTTAAATCAAACTACCAACATACAGAAACCATAGATGACAAGGGGTTATGTTAGATAACACAAGGAAATGCAGTCAGCAAAATGTAGACTTTGGGAAATTCTGCAGGACAAATAGTCTACTTTCTTCAATATAAAATTCAAAAAGTAAGAAAATAAAGACAGAAAGTTCAGAAGTGGGGAACCTATAGGTTAAAAGAGATTATAGATGGCCAGGTGTGGTGGCTCACGCCTGTAATCCCAGCACTTTGGGAGGTCGAGGCAGGCGGATTACGAGGTCAGGAGATCGAGACCATCCTGGCTAACACGGTGAAACCCTGTCTCTACTAAAAATACAAAAAATTAGCCGAGCGTAGTGGCGGGCACCTGTAGTCCCAGCTACTCGGGAGGCTGAGGCAGGAGAATGGCATGAACCTGGGAGGCGGAGCTTGCAGTGAGCCGAGATAGCGCCACTGCACTCCAGCCTGGGCGACAGAGTGAGACTCCGTCTCAAAAAAAAAAAAAAAGAGATTATAGATCATAAGAAATACTGAATAATCATAATATGTGGATCTTTTTGACACTGATTTTTAAAAATTCCTTATGATATTTATGAGACAATTAGAATCTGATTATTGACTAGTTGATAATATTTTATTAACTGTAATAATTATTAATATTATAGTTACATCTTTTAAAATATCTTTATCTTTTATAGATACATACTAAAATTTTTATAGATTGAATGTGAACAATAAATCCATGAAACCAAAAGTAGCATCAGGCTTACCGATAAACCATAGGAGAAAATTTCTATAAATCAGGAAAAAAATAAATATGCCCTCTATCTCCATTATCATTTAATTTTTTTGGAAGTGTTTAATAATTGACTTGATAAGTGAACTAAATGAAGAATACAATATTTACAACAGAGGAAGTAACATTATCATAAGTTACAAAGAAAATTCTGTAGAACGTGAACTGAAAAACAATTAGAAATAATAAAAAAACCAGTAAGTCTACTGGTTACAATAATAATGTATAAAATCATTAACTCTCCTTCACACAAACAAGAGCTTTGAAGCATAAAGATAAGCAAGATCACATTCAAAATGGCAGCAAAAATGTACAACACCTAGGCATAAATGTAAGAACTATGAAAGACTATGTGAAGAAATATTTGAAGCTTTAATGAAACATGAAAAGTACGTAGAAGAAACTGATATAACAAAGATATCCACTTTCTAAGTTAGTTTGCATATTCTGTACATTCTTAAACAAAAATCAATATGATTTGGGGGTAAAGAAAACCAATATGATTTGGGGGGTAGGTTTTGGGAAAAAATATGTTACATTTCTTTTAACAAATGAGCCGGTAACTATGACTAAGGAAAGCAGCAGGTTTTAAGTCCTCCTTTGCCTGTCTCCCACTCTGAGAATGAAGGAAAGCCAAGACACCCTGAGCTGTCCATCCACAGTGGGCTCACTAATGGGGGCTTTGGCTCCCGCAGCCCCGCTGAACCCAGCTGAACAGAAGAGGACACTGTCAGCAGCTGTGAGCCCTCATACAACATCTCACTTAAAATGTCATGTGTGCTACTTGGTTTAAATTGTCACCCCTCCAGCAACCACAAACAATGCAGACACAGCAGATGTGTTTTCTATTTAGAATTAAACAGTTTATCTCAACCACTGTCATTGTTATAGGGAAAAAATAAATAAATATCCATCTTAATGTAAACTTCAAAAGGTACTTTCTGGCAACATGAGATACTTTCAAATCCAAAGTCCTCGGAGAAAACTAGGATTCGACCACAGATTTTTTTTCAAATCGGGATGCTGGCAGCTCCAAGAGTAGTAAAATGTAGCCTGGTCAAAAGATTTTTGGCTAGATATTACATACAATAACTCATGTCATTGATGCTTAATGGTCCAAAACATTAAGTAAACATCATAAATGTCTTTTGTTATTAAACGTTCCATTCAAACATTTTGTTTAACTCTTGTGTAATGGATAGAAAATAAGAAAGCTATAGTAGAGACTGGCCTTCATGATAATCTCTGATTCACCTTTCGGATATGTTTTTAAAGATGTATGCCATCCTGAAAGTTACAGCAATAAAATAGCTTTCTGTCTTTAGAGCATGCATTCTATCTCTGAAAGTTAGGCTACTTGTAAGTTTGACTCTGTTAGGTCAAGTTCAAATTACCACCCATGTGTTTAGAAGACTATAACTTTGTTCTCTCTAAAGTTGGGAGTCAGCCTTCCTCTGTGATAAATAAAGTAGAAATATGGGTGTTTTCTTAATGTGAGGTTACGAAGACAAGGAAAATGCTACTTTTCAAAGATCGTTTTACAAGAATAACAATTGCTGTAGTAAAAGGAAAAACCGAAATTGGTTCGTAAAAAATGGCCTATCAAGACAGTGATCGTCTAGTGTCGTCCACCCAGTCCACAAATCTTGACATAAATGCACTTGTGTTCCATAATCTGAAGGTTCCGTTCAGTCGTTAAAACATGACTCATTTTATCCTGGATCTAACCTCAGCTTTTCTCTTGCAGTGTTTTTTCAATCTGTAGCTAAAACATAGTGAAAAGCCCTGCAATGACATTGAAATTGTTATATTTTCTCATGGAGCTTCTTTTCTTCCAGTTTGAGTAAATACAGTTGCTCAGCTGCCCTACTTGGATTATATATTCTCATAAGCCTCAAGTGCTGAAAGAGTTATCGGGATGCTTTCTGTTTCTATCAGGGAAGAGAACATCCAAACAACACAAACCAAACGGACCTCCATTTATATTTTATAACTTTTGTGTAAAAAAGACCTGAAATCACATTTGGTGCATTGCATCCCATCTCAGTCAATTCTAACTGTATGTTTTGCATCATATGCAGGAGGCATTAACTTTCTTGGGAAAAGGCACCTACACTGTTCTAAATTGTGTTTTTCTGAATGAAACTCCTGGAAGTTGATGTTTTCGTAGTATATCTATAATTCATCAGTTTATTCATTCATTCACTCTGTTTTATCTGACAATTTTTTATTAAGCATCTACTATGCTCTAAATCAGAAAATCCTGTCCTTACATTTATGGAATTGCTAATTATATTCCACTTGGTTGGCCATATTTCTGCTCCTGTACAATGAATACAGTTTTTTTTTTCTATAAAATTCATCCAAATCCTTTAGGACAATCGCCCCCTGTTATCTACTGTGGAATGACCAAGGCCACTGTGTTGTACTTTTAACTATAGTTATATAGGATCTAGAGCCATAGATTTTGCCATGAATGCTACAAAAATTAGCAGGCATGCATACTTTTATAAGAGTAATAACAGGTAAGGAGCAACAGCAACAACTAAAATACTGTTATTTATCTTCTGAGCTTGGGAAAAATAAATATTCCTAACATGTATTCTAAAGTATTTGTATTTTCACTGGTTCCAAGATCTGATGCCTACACACATGATTATAGAGAAATTTTTGAAATATACTGCATAAGCAAACATGTAGTGAGGGAAATTCATAACGTATTGTTTCTCTATCAAAAAACCTTAACATTTCCTGCTATCAAACTACTATTTGAGAAAAGTGGTATTTCATGGCTCAACTATCTACATCTTGATAATGTCACTGCATTATAAACAAAAATATGGCTGGTCTGATATTTGAAATCAAATATCATGCAAAGGGAATGAGGACAACAGTGACAATGTATAAATAATAACATTGGGCTTGCTGGTTTCTTATCTATTTTTGTCACAACAGAAGCTTTATTGGAATTTTGGAAAAGAGAATATGTTAGTAATCAAACTTGTCAATCAATACCAAAAACAATTCCTTTTCCATTGAAGGATTTTAGAAAGGTAGAAGCAGGAAAGAGAAGAACTATGAGCTTCCCCCTGAAGAGATCAGTAAATATTAAGAGATTCTGGAATATTCATATCTTGCAAATCATTATTTAGTTCTCCCCCTTTCACTGCATTAAATAACATCACTGAGAGAAATTTAAACATCCGCTTTATAAGAATATCAAAGAACATTCCTAGATATTATTATTTGGTGGAAGAAAATTTGAATGTCCTGAAAAATTCCCACACTACTAACAGCTATAGAACCATTAAAGCATAAAGGACTCTCTTAATGACTTTCTGTGGCACTTCAGCGCATGGGGTCTAGGAACACTGTATTACAAATCTCCAATCTACTTCTATTAACAAAGAACCAGATTACCTCTGTTCATAGGCTTGTTAATGACAGCCGGTTTTTTCATTGGCTTACCTGAAGAGATATGCTTTGAAATAAACTTTGGAGAGCTTTATATATTTATGTGGAACTGTTCTCTAAAAAGAGGAAGGCAACACAGAAGTCAATAAGAACTATGAACTGGGAGCCAGGATGCCTGTGTTCTGGTCCATGTCTTGAGCCCATGTAGTGATCCAGGTCCAGGGGTGGCTTGTTCTTTCCACCTCTACTTCTCTCTTTGAAGACTTTTGTGCTTCCCTCATTAATAAAGATGCTTGGCACTTAAAATGTGTAAAATATGTGAAGACTCTTTACATTCTAAAAAGGAGAAACAAAATACTAGGGGGGAAGGGAACCAGAAGATTTTCACATGATTTATATTGTGTTGAAAACAGGGTGAGTAATTTTAAGGAGGATGTCCTTCCTGATGAGAGAACTTAGTAAGGACCTTAGGTTTCAAAGGCAGACTTAGAGGTAACTTAGACAATAGGTCTCATATTGTTTTATAGTTTACCTGTAATATGAGGAAGGACATCATTCTTTAGGGCACTCTGTAGCCTGTAGTACCAACATGAAACTAATGTAAGGAAGAATTTTGGATTATTCATACCAAAGTCTAATTGCAGCCCAAGCAATAATGTTCAGTACATTCTTTCTGTGTGATTATTGCTTTCTGTCTTTTTGTTCTTCAACCTGAGGAATGGCTCCAGTAGAAATGTAATTTTGAAATAGGTCCCGTATTTATGGGCTGCCAGAACATTTTTTTTGAAGTTGTATTTTATAACTTGGGTATTTGAGGAGAAATTATGCACGAATGCCCATCCAGAAAAATTCTCTTTATTACAAAGATTTGAAAACATATTCTGAATTAGAGATTTTCACTGGTTAGAAGAGAATGCTATTTCATCAATTCACTCATAAAGCAATAAGGATATAAAAACAGGAGTTCAGAGCTATAATAATCCTAACTTCTATTCACATGTATTATATCTGAAAAGGGGTCTGATTTTCTTTTTATGCAAACCAAAAGAATATTTAGCCATAATATTTCTTTTTAAATATTAAAATAGTTTGTTATGCAAAACAAAACAATTATGGAAGTCCTAAGTGATGAGATGATTATCTCTTCTTACTATACAAAGGAATCAAACATAATGGAATAAATAAGCAATGTGATGATGAGACTTGTTTTACGATAAATGTAAGACATCACAATCAAACATGAGCCAATGCATAGCCTCCATTTCAAATGAAATGACAGTCTGCTATCTTAAAAGAGCAGTTGGTTCATAAATTGACTATAAAGTGCTTCTTTTAGCTTTTAGTGAACATCCTTTTTTAAAAATGCACCCAGAGATAAGATATTCTCCAATGCTCAAAGTGGTCCTCCGATTACAGTAGAATTTTAGTGTTTACACATCCTAAAGGATTGGAAGAGCATGAGGCAATAGAGAATGCTGGAGTCTCATTCTTGTGACTAATTTTTTTGTAACACATCTCTTTCCATACTTTTAATGGCTAAACCTCTATAGATAGTGGATTAGCCAGAGCTTTTTCAGTGGCAAGTGACATAAACCCAAATGAATTTGAGCTCATGTAACCAAACTATGAAGGGGGTATGGGTGGAACAGAAATGCTCTGACAATTTATCCCAGGTTCTGAATGCTGTCAGCTTATTACCATTCAACACCCCCTCTCCCCACTCTCTCTCTCTCTCTCTTTCTCTCTCATGTTGCAGTCACTATCCTAGACATTGGAATACAATCATGAACAGAGGAGCAATAGAACTCTCCACCCTTATGAGGTAGCATTGTTTCATAAACCTTTAAGCATGAGTTTAGTGTAGTCAGACAGATGGGGAAAGGGCAACACTGGAAGAGGAAGCAGCGTGAACAGTTAACCAAGGGAGGGAAGTGCATGTGATGAAACATGCCAGTAATAGCTAGGGATCAAGTATGGGCATGAAGAGAGAGCTGAAAGCTAAGGTATAGTCGAATGCCAAAGACATTGGGTGCTACAATAACAAGTGAACAACTACGATGTCATTCTGAAGATGAGTCAGCAGAATCTGCAAATATAATAGGTAAAGAAGAGAGAATTGTCCAAAGTGAGTGTAAAGTTTCTAATTCTAGAAACTATGAAGAAGCATACCCCATTGCCTCCACTCACAGACTTTACATATAGCCACGCCAAACTATAATTGTCAGTATGAGTCAGGTTTCTCCAGGTAAACAGAACCAACAGGGTACAAACATATTTGAGAGACAGAAAGGAAGAAAGAGAGAGGAATTTATTATAAGGTACTGGCGTGATTACGGAGATTGAGAAGTCCCAAGTTCTCTAGTTAGCAAGCTGGAAACCCAGGAGAGCCAATGGTGTAAGTGCCAATCTAAAGGCCAGCAGGCTCAAGACCTAAGAGCCAATGTCCCAATTCGAGTCTGAAGGCAGGAAAAGACCAATGTCCCAGATCGAGGAAAAGGAGTTTCCTCCTGCAGAGGATCAGCCTTTTTGTTCTGTTCAGGCCTTCAGCTGATTAGATGGCCACCCACATTAGGGAGGGCAACTGCTTTACCCTCCCTAGAGGGCAATCCATCAATCAAATGCTGACGTGATCTGAAAATACTCTCACAAATACACCTAGATTAATGTTTGACCACATATCTGGGAAACCTGTGGCCCAGAAACTTGACAGATAAAATTAACCATCACAGCTGGGTTCCGGCACATTTTTGAGCCTTTGTTTACGAGAATTCCTTGGTTGGAAATATTTTCTCCACCCTCCTGCCCTTTCTTTACTCTCAATCCTATTAGCCGCCACCTTCGTCTTTGAGAATACCTGCTCATCCTTTAACAATTTGCTCAAATGTCATCTGTGAAGTCTTTTCTGAATTTCTGTGCCCCAGACTCATCATTTTTTAGTTCTCCTAGCACCCTACATTAACTACCAATATAGCAATATCATATTATTTTAATCTCTGGTTTAAACTTCTGTCGTCTTGTACTAAAATGTGATTCCCCCAAAGGTATGGATAATTTTTTCTTTTTACTGTTACATTATTTTATTTCTCCTAGGTATGTGTGTGTGTGTGTGTATATTTATATATATGTATGACTTGAAAAGAGGGACTCACACAGATTATTTGTAAACCAATGTTTGTAGCAGCATTTTTTCACAATAGCCAAAAGGTGAAAACAACCCAAGTGTTCAACAGATAAATAGATAAACAAAATGTGATATATCTATTCAATGCAATATTATTCATCCATAAAAAAGACTGAAGTTTTGATATGTGCTACAACATGAATGAAGCTTAAAAACATTATGCTAACTGAAATAAGCTGACCATAGTTTGTATTTTTTTTTTTTTTTTTTACGACAGAGTCTCTTTCTGTCACCCAGGCTGGAGTGCAGTGGCGTGATCTCAGCTCACTGCAACCTCTGCCTCCTGAGTTCAAGCAATTCTCTTGCCTCAGCCTCCCAAGTAGCTGGGACTACAGGCAGAAGCCACCACGGCCGGCTAATTTTTTGTAGTTTTTGTAGAGAAAGGGTTTTGCTATGTTGGCCAGGCTGGTCTCAAACTCCTGACCTCAGGTGTTCCGCCCACCTTGGCCTCCTAAAATGCTGGGATTACAGACCTGAGCCACTGCTCCCAGCCAACCATGTTTTATTCATTGTTGAATAAAATTCAACAGTGTTGAATTCATTTTATTCAACAATGAATACCTACCACTTAGCATGGCTCCTGGAATATGGGTGGTACATGTATAATGATTTCGTGTATAGATTTGGAGCCAGAGTTCCCGAGTTCAAATCTTAGGAACTTCACGTCCTAGTTATATGATCTGAGCTAGTTATTTAACTCTTATGCCTCATTTTTCTTATTTGAAAAGGGTCAAGAAGAGGTGAAACAAATGTACATATCTTGTAGGGTTATGAGGATTGAATTAATTTGTAAAGAGATTAGAAAAGTATCTGAAGGCCAGGCACAGTGGCTCACGCCTGTAATCCCAGCACTTTGGGAGGCCGAGGCGGGTAGATCACGAGGTCAGGAGATCGAGACCATCCTGGCTAACACGGTGAAACCCCGTCTCTACTAAAAATACAAAAAATTAGCCGGGCGTGGTGGCGGGCGCCTGTAGTCCCAGCTGCTCAGGAGGCTGAGGCAGGAGAATAGCGTGAACCTGGGAGGTGGAGCTTGCAGTGAGCAGAGATCGCGCCACTACACTCCAGCCTGGGCGACAGAGCGAGACTCCGTCTCAAAAAAAAAAAAAAAAAGAAAAAGAAAAAGAAAAATATCTGAAACACAGTAACACTAACAAATGTTAATTATTATCATTATCATTGTTCATGTTATAATGAATTTATGGATGAGATGCAGGTTGGAGAGAAGAAGTTCTTAATATTTAAGAGAATAGCTTTTAGAAAAAAACTATTAACTCTAAGGAAACTTAAATTGTTTTAAAAGATATTTTGTGTTGTATCACCAAGAGCATAAAAGAATGGGCACTGAAGCCATGCCGCCCAAATGGAAATCATGGCTTCACCATGCCCTAGCCATGTAGCCTTGGATAAACCACCTAACTGTCTGAGCTTCAGTTTTCTTTTCTAAAATGGGATTCGAAGAGGTTGTTATGAGGACTAAAGGAGACAATGCATGTAAAGTGCTTGACATAGTGTCTGGCACAAATTAAACACTGTTTAATAAATGGTAGCTGATATTAATAGTGTTAAACTAATAGTCTTCATTGAACTCTTGACTCTCTTCGATTAAAAATATTAGTCAGTGATTTTTAATATTCTATCCCCTTTGATTTTTCCTACAATTTTAAGGGAAGGACAGGCTTTTTTATGTTGTAATAAGGTTTTAGCTAGTTTTCCAGAATGCCTACATATGTAGTCATAAACATGACATTCCTCCAAAGCTGACCTCAATCATTTATTACTGCCTAGACATGGAGGAGCAAAATTCTTCATCTTTGTGTAATGTTAAGCTCAGTGCATGTCCTAGTTTTAAAAATAAGACAATTATGCAGATAGAACAGATGGATTGTATCGGTGGGTGTTTATCATTTTTTAATATTTTGAAACCAGATGTGCTACATACACATTGCTGGTTGCCTTCTAAGGAAGCTTCATTGGTGGGTTACTAATCTTTAATAAGAAGTTACAATGTTTTCATCCAACTTAAATCAACTATTTTTGATATACAATTGGACAACCACTGCTGCAAGCCTTTAGAAAATAGAAAACAGATGCTTAATACAAGAAATACTATCAGCCAAGAAATTCCTGATGATCTTTTTATAAAATGTAAACTTACATATTTTATGGGTCCTTTAATGAACTGCTATAGAACAACTTCAGCAGTCAAAACATTTCATGAAAATAGACGTGAACAATTTGTCACTTGTTAGTATATTTACAGAAAATCCTTCAGTTGCACTCCTGGGAAAATGGGCATAATAGTGGTTCTTACTAGATTATTAACAACATCTGTTATTTGCTATAAACCTGATTGGATACGTTGGAGAAGGGAGGAGTTAGTATAAACAAACCGATATGCCTCTATTTCTCTAGGTGTTTCTGTTAGACCTGACAAAGATCCCTTGCAAGGGCATGAATACTTCTGTGTTTATTGTACTCACAGGAGAAAGGTGGAGTTCAGAGCCATGCCAGAGAGATTGTGTTGTGTTTCAGGATGTCTTTGGCAGAGAAAAGTCCGACAGAGACTTAGACCCTTGTGAGTAGAATTAAGGACCAGAAGAGTCTAAAGGGAGCCTTAACATCTGTCCATTAGGACAACCATTAAATCAACCTTCCATTGGCTCAGTTCAACTCTAAAACTGAAGACAAGGAGGTAGCTAGTTCCATTTCCGAATTGTGCCTCTGCCGGATGCGGTTGTATGTACCCTGTACCTCCACAAACTGGGACATCGAAGCAAGGATTGGTAGAGTGGGAATTAACCCCTCCCATAACTCCACCCCATCACCAATGTCAATCTCATATACCCTTCACCTTGGTTTATGATTTCTAATGCTGGTTTGGAGTATAAGAGAGCAAAGTGAAGAAAAAGTAGAAGAGTTGATAGACAACAATCTAAGGAGCAGGGCAAGTAGTTTGCACTTAGCATCATCCCAAAGAAGAGGATGGGCTTTTAAGCAATTTATATATTAAAAAAAAAAGCATCTTGCCCATTCCTCTTCGCCAGTGTCCCTGGGAGGAAATGGAGGCCTGATCATCTGATGGTGCTAAAGTCAACAAATTTACAATAGAAAAGGATTTTCTCTCCTGGAAATATACCCAAGCTATTTTCTTTGTTTAAAAAAATAAAGATCTGCTCTTACGATCCTTTGTGAAGTTAAAAAAAAAAAAAAAAAGAAGGAGATACTACCATACTAATAATTTGCTGCCTGTGGAAAGGTTTAGACAAATAGGCTTTCTTACCTTAGTAAGCAATGAGTGGAAATCCCCATCTTGAGAAAATTCAACATAAAATACAACATTTATAGCTTAATGACAGTGTTACTATCAAAAGACTTAGGATATCCATAAATCTGAGCAGGTAGCAGGAGATGAGTAGGCTCTACTTAGTGATATATACTTTTCAAGATGCATAAATATAATTAACATGCTCATAAGGAACTTACAGGCTTCTAAAAGTAATACAAATAATGTAAATATGGCAGAGACTGCTATTTACTAATAAATGTCTCTTTTAAACATCCAGCTAAATGGCTGCACACCCCTGGCAATTAGGTGTTACATATTATTAGATTCCCATTAATGAAATGTAAGCAGAAGTATTGTTTGGGATTTTTAGAAGGCTTTCGAAGGGGAGCTAATTCGTTTGAGAAGAGGGCCTTTTTATTCCTTTCCTTCTGACTTCCTTTCTCCTGTTTACTGGAATATGTATGATTTGAGCTTTATCAGCCAGCTTGAACAATTAGGTGATTTTCAGGATGAAAGTGCTAGGTTGGGCAAACACCAAAAAATAGAATCTAAGACTGGATCATTTTGAGCAAGGAATCTAAATACCTAAATTCCTAAACTGAGAGATCCCAATTGCGTTTACATTAAATAACAATGAAGTCTTGTCTTATTTGGACCAAAACGAATATTAAATGCTACACTAAATTACTATAATTAATCCTGGGAAGTGATAAGTGCTAATTTATAGATACAAATCAAATACCAGGAGAAGGGAGGAAGGGGAAATCGTGATGATCAGGGAGGAATTGCAGAGGAGATGGTGTATTAGTTTGCTCAGCTGCCACAACAAAATACCACAGACTGAGCAGCTTAAACAACAGAATTGTATTTTCTCACAGTGTTAGAGATTGGAAATCAAAGGTCAAGGAGCATTCAGGGTTGCTTTCCAGTGAGGCCTCTCTTCTTGTCTTGTAGACGGTGACCTTCTTTGAAGGGTGTGTCCTTATATGGCCTTTCCTCTGTGCACATGCAGAAAGATTTCTGGTGTCTCTTCCTCTTCATATAAGCACATCTGTCCTGTTGGATTAGGGCCCCACCCTTATGACCCCATTTAATTTTAATTACCTTAATTCACTCTCTAAAGGTTCCTACCTCCAAATACAGTCACACGGAGGGTTAGATCTTCAACATATAAAATTTGGGGAGAAATAATTCAGTCCATAACAGGTGGTATGCGAACTCAGCTTGTAAAATTGAGTAGGACTTATATATACAGAAACTTCCACTATTAGAAACCAGGGGATCAAATACTTGGAGGTAAGAATATCCAGGTTACACACATAAAACAGGAGTTAGTCCAGTTGATTGAACTATAAAGGCCATAAAGGGAATTGGACTATAAGAGTCATAAAATAAAAGAGTTGGACAGCAAGTTTGGGGTTTGAATGCCAGGTTCAAGTGTGTACTTCATGGTTCAGAGAATGAAGAGTCATTGAAGGTTTATGAGCTGAGGAATGACAGGATCAGAGTTGAACTTCAGAAAGATAATTTGTGAGTAGTGTATGAGAGATTGGAGTGAGTGGAAACTGGAAGCAGAAAGACCAGTAAAAAGACTATTGCAATCGTTCAGGGAAGAGATAATGACTTGAAAGTTATATTCGATTAAATGGAATCATTGTTTTGCTTTTAAAGTGGAATTCTTAATATTTTCCTTATCACTATTTTTTCCATTTGATTTTTGGCATTCTCATTCTGCAGCTTTTCTTCTGGCTTTTTGTGTTCTGAGGATTTAATCCTACTATTGAGAAAGTCCTATGGGGAAATACATGAAATTCACACCTAGTGATTAAGAAATTTTTGGAAGTGTCACAGGGAGAAAAAAATCACCTGTCAGAGATCCATAATGCCCACAATGCAGTTGGATTTGGCTATCCACCTGAAACCTTACAGTTTTCGTATTCATATATTCATAAAAAAGTATGTCACAACTACAAATGTAACTGTCTATGGAAAATGCTAAACTTGGCATTTGAATTTTATTGAGATGTTATTCAACTACACAACCTGACTACCAAATGAATGCTTACCATGTTATCCATACCATTCAAAATAAACACCAATGTTTATTATATAAATAGGAATTTAAAAAACAAAACAAAAATTGTCAGCAAAACCACGTGTATAGCAAAAACAGCATGTTTTGCGTGTATTTTAGCTACAAGTTGTTTAGTTTTTCATGTTTTTTTTTTTCAAAACAACCTCATTTCTTCTCATGCTGGAGTTCAGCTAATTGTTCTATCTATGATAACTAGAACTACAAACCATTTGGCATTAACCCAGCTGATACTTAGCCGAAATAATTTAAATAGTTATTGTTTCCAAATAGCCCCTCTCATTTAATTGCTATTTTCTTTCCCAGACTAGAAGTCCAGTGGTTTATAGCACATCCTTGTAGTTTCTCCATAATGCCAGAATCATAATCCTCTCTCCTAGTTTGCAGAGAAAGACTACCTAAGAAAATAAATCAAGAAAATATATCATTAATCAGTAAATAGCTACTGACTTGCCATCAGGAGCAAGAGTGGGCTAGGCACTGTTGCGAATACAAATATAAACCCTGCTCACTGACTTACAAGCTCTGGTTCCAGACAATAAAAATAAAAATAATAATTTTTCCCAAACTCTTCCAACTAGAGTTCCAAGAGCTCCAGCCCACCTGAAATTCCTCTGGAATCTCATTCCTGTGCATGTCTTTCCTCTGTTCAACTCCCCTGCAATACTTTCTATTGTGGAAAAATACACATAAGATCTACCATCTTTGCCATTTTTAAGTGTACAGTTCAATGGTGTTAAAACAATCATAACAGTGTGCAATCAATACCATTATGCATCTCCACAACTCTTTTCATTTTGTAAAACTAAAGCTCTATACCCATTAAATAAGAACCCCTCCCCTCTCCTCCCATGCCCTGGAAATCACCATTCTACTTCTTGTCTTTATGATTTTTACTACTTTAAGTATCTCATATAAGTGGAAACATAAAGTATTTATCTTTTTGCAACTGGTTTATTTCATGCAGCATCATTTCCTCAGGGCTCCTTCTTTTTTAAGGCTGAATAATATTCCATTGTGTATATACCACATTTTGCTTATCCATTAATCTGTGGGTTGACACTTGGATTGCTTCCATGTTTTAGCTATTGTGAATAATGTTGCTATGAGCATGGACGTACAAATATCAAGACCCTGCTTTCAATTCTTTTGTGTATATACCCAGATGTGGAATTGCTGGATCATATGGTAATTCCATTTTTAATTTTGGGGGGAATTGTCATAATGCGTCCTACAGCAATGGTTCCATTTTAGATTTTCATTGACGGTGCACAAGAGTTCAGATTTCTTCCCATCCTCACCAATACTTATTTTCTGAATCTTTTTGATTATAGCATCCTAATGGGTATTAGGTGGTATCTCATTGTAGTCTTGATTTGCATTTTCCTAATGATTAGTGATGTTGAACATCTTTTTATGTGCTTATTGTTTATTTGTATATCTTCTTTGGATAAATGTCTAATCAAGTTCTTTCCCATTTTCGAATTGGATTGTTTGTTTCTCTGTTGTTGAGTTGGAGGAGTTCTCTATATTATTCTGGATGATAATCTCTTATCAGAAGCATGATTTGCAATATTTTCTCTCATTCTGTATGTTGCCTTTTAACTGTTGATATTGTCTTTTGATACACGTTTTTCAGTTTTTATGAGGTTCAATTTGTCTATTTTTGTTGTTGTTGCCTATGGCTTTGGTTCATATCCAAGAAATCATTGTCAAACTCAATATTGTAAGGCTTCTGCCCTGTGTTTCTTTCTAAGATTGCCATAGTTTTGGTTCTTACATGTAGATCTTTGATCCATTTTGTGCTTGTTTTTGTATATGTTGTTAGGTAAGGGTCCACCACCACTCTTTTGCATGCAGTTATCCAGTTTTTCCCAGCACCATTTGTTAAAAATACTCTTTTCCTCACTGATTAGTCTTAGCATACTTGTCAAAAATCATTTAATTATGTATGTGAGGGTTATTTCTGAGTTCTCTATTCTATTTCACTTATCTCTATGTATGTCTTTATGCCTGTTCCACACTATTTTGATTACTGTTGCTTTGCAGCACATTTTGAAATCAGAAAATGTAAGTCTTCTAGCTTTGTTCCTCTTTTTAAATATTGTTTTGATATTTGGGGTCCCTGGACATTACGCATGAATTTTAGGATGGGTTTTTATTTCTGAAAAAAAATACTTGGGATTTTGATAAGGACTGCCTTGAATCTGTAGATCTTTTTGTGTAATATTGACAACAATATTAAGCCTTCCAGTCCATGAATGTAAGATGTAGTACCACTTATTAATGTCTTCTTTAATTTCTTTCAGCAATGTTTTGTATTTTCATTGTACAAATCTTTCACCTCCTTGGTAAAGTTAATTCCTAAGTATTTTATTCTTTTTGATGGTATTGTACACAAATTTTAGTAATTTCATTTTCAAATTGTTCATTTTTAGTGTACAGAAATGCAACTAATTATTTGAATTGACTTTGTTTCTTGATGCTTTGCTGAATTCATTTATTAGCTCTAACAGGGTTTTTTGTAGAATATTTAGTTTTCTACATATAGGATATTATCTACAAACACAACTAATTCAAATGTTTACTGCTTCCTTTTCCACCTGGATGTGTTTTATTTCTTTTTCTTGCCTAATTGCTCTGGCTGGGACTTCCAGTACTATGTTGAGTAGAAGTGACAAAAGTGAACATCTCTGTCTTATTTCTGATCTTAGAGGAAAACCTTTCAGTTTTTCATCACTGGGTATGATGTTTTCTGTGTTTTTTTTTTATACATGACCTTTATTATGTTGAAGTTGTTTTCTTCTATTTCTTGTTTGTTTAGTTTTTTTTTTTTATCATAAAAGAGTGTTGGATTTTGTCAGAGGCTTTTTCTGCCTCAAGTGAGATTATCATAAAAGTTTTTCCCCCTTCATTCTGTTAATGTGGTATATTACTACATTGATTAGTTTTTGTATTTAGAACCATCCTTGCATTTTGGGAATAAATCTCACTTGGTCATAGTGTATAATGCTTTAAATATGTCATTGAATTTAATTTGCTAGTATTTTGTTGAGGATTTTTACATCAATGTTCATAGGGATATTAGTCTGTAGTTTTCTTTCCTTATAGCAATCTTGTCTGGCATTGATATTAGGGTAATGCTGGCCTCAAAATTAGTTCCTGATGAGTAGGAAGTGTTTTTTTCTCTTCAACTTTTTTGAAAAGTTTGAGAAGGATTGGTTTTAGTTCTTTAAATGTTTGATAGAATTAACCAGTGAAGTCATTAGGTCCAGGCTGACTGTTCTATGCCAGGAGAATTTTGCTTGCTGACCAATCTCCTTACTAGTTGTAGTACTATTTGTATTTTCGATTTCTTCATTATTTAGTCTTGGTAAATTTTGTATTTCTTGATATTTGTCTATTTCATCTCGATTATCCAATTTGTTGGAATACAATTGATCCTAATACCTACTCTCTTATAATCTTTTTTCATTTCTGTAGAATTGATAGTAATATTCCTATTTTCATTTGTGATTTTAGTAATTTACTTCTTGTCTTTTGTTCTTAGTCAATCTAGCTAAAGGTTTGTCAATTTTGTTGATCTTTTCAAAGAACTAACTTTTGGGTTTATTAATTTCCTGTATTGTTTTTCTATTATCTTTTTGGTCTTTGCTCTAATCTTTATTATTCCCTTCCTTCTGCTAGCTTTGAGTTTAATTTGTTCTTTTTCTTGTTCTTTCAGTTGTAAAGTTAGGTCATTGATTTGAGATCTTTTTGTTTTTTAATGTGTTTAAATTTATCCATTAGCACTGTTTTCACTCCACTGCATAAGTTTTGGCAAGTTGTGTTTTGCTCTTATTTATCTCTGAGTATTCCTAATTTCCCTCATGATTTCTCCTTTGAGACTTTCATTGTTAAAAAATGTCTTGTGGCTGGGCGCAGTGGCTCACGCCTGTAATCCCAGCACTTTGGGAGGCAGTGGCAGGCAGATCACCTGAGGTGAGGAGCTTGAGACCAGCCTGGCCAACATGGTGAAACCCTGCCTCTACTAAAAATACAAAAAAAGTCAGCCGGGCTTGGTGCCGGGCATGTGTAATCCTAGCTACTCCAGAGGCTGAGGCAGGAGAATTGCTTGAACCCAGAAGCCGGAGGTTGCAGTGAGCCAAGATCGCACCACTGCACTCCAGCCTGGGCAATAAGAGCAAGACTCCATCTCAAAAAAAAAAAAAAAAAAAAAAAAGTGTTGATTAATTTCCACAAAATTGTGAAGTTTCCAGTTTTACTTCTGTTATTGATTTCTAAATTTAATGCATCGGGATCAGCTATTTTATATGATATCTGTCTTATTAAATTGATTGCAACTTAATTTGTGGCCTAATATATTTTCTATCCTAGAAAAAGTCCCTTGTGCACTTAAGAAGAATGTGTATGCTGTTGTTTGGGGTAGAATATTCTGTATCTATCTGCTAAATCTAGTTGGCTTATTGTGTTCTCTATTTTGATACTTATTTTCTGTTTGTTCTATTTATTATTAAAAGTGGGGTGTTGAAGTTTCCAACTATTACTGTAGAACTGTCTATTTCTCCTTTCAATTCTGATATGCTTTGCTTGGTATAATTTAATGCCATTAGGTCTGTCATTAGGTATGTAAATGTTCCTGTTTTTTCTTCTTGCTGTATTGACATTTTTGTTAATATCTATAATGTCTTTCTTTGTCTCTTGTAACCATTTTTATTTAAAGTCTATCTTTCCTGATATTAGTATAGCCACCCCTGCTCTCTTTAAGTTACTATTTACGTGGAATATCTTTTTCCATCCTTTCATTTTCAAGCTATTTGTGTCTTTGTATCTAAAGTGAGTCTCTTGCAGACAGCATAGAATTGGATCATGTGATTTTTTCCAGTCTGACAATCTTTGTTTTATGATTGGGGTGCTTAATCCATTTACATTTAAAGTAATTACTGATAAGGAGGGACTTCTGTCATTTTGCTCTTTGTTTTCTATATGCCTTGTAGTTTTTTTGTTCCCCATTTCCCATGTTGCTGTCTTCTTTTGTGTTTAGTTTTTTTTAAGTGAAATATTTTAATTCCCTTCTCATTTCCTTTTGTATATATTCTGTAGATTTTTTTGTGATTACCATAGGAATTACATATAATATCCTAAAGTTATAACTGTCTAACTTGAATTCATATTAGCTGTCATTTAATAATGTACACAAATTCTATTCCTTTACAGCTTCATCTCCACCATTTTTGGTTACTGATATCAGAAAATTGTGCCTTTATATATGATGTGCTCCAAAACACAAGCCAATCATCCCTCTAAATACATTAGTCTCCTAAATTATGTAGAAAACAAAATGTGGAATTACAAATCAAAGTTACAGTAACACTAACTTTTTTTTTTTTTTTTTTTTTTGAGATGGAGTCTTGCTCTGTCGCCCAGGCTGGAGTGCAGTGGCACAATCTCAGCTCACTGCATACTCTGCCTCCCAAGTTCAAGCGATTCTCCTGCCTCAGCCTCCCAAGTAGTTGGGACTACAGGTGTGTGCCACCATTCCTGGCTAATTTTTTGTATTTTTAGTACAGACGGAGTTTCACCGTGTTAGCCAGGATGGTCTCGATCTCCTGACCTCATGTTCTGCCCACCTCAGCCTCCCAAAGTGCTAGGATTACAGGTGTGAACCACCACGCCTGGCCCTAACTTTTAGACTAATACTTTAAAAAAAATGTATTAGTCTCTTGAATCACCTAGGAAACAAAAGGTGGAGCTCCAAGCTAAAGTCGCAATAATATTAGCTTTTATAATTGCCCATGTATTTACCTTTATTAAGATCTTTATTTCTTCACCTGGCATTGAGGTAGTTTAATGTCCTTTCATTTAACCCTGAATAACTTCCTTGAGCATTTGCTGGGGGCCGAGCTAATGGGAATAAACTCCTTAAGTTTTTGTTTATTTGAGAATGTCTTAATTTCTCCTTTACTATTGAATGAAAATTTTGCCAGATATAGAATTTTTGTTGGCAGATTTTTTTTCTTATAACACTGGCCTTCAAAGTATCTGACGAAAAATTTGCTGATGATCTTATTGTGAATCTTGTGTATGTAACAAGTTGCTTCTCTCTTGCTGGTTTCAAGATTCTCTCTTCATACTAAGAAACAAAATTGACTGAAATTAATCACAATTTACTGTCTAAGCCTTCTTCAGGAAGTTGTAAACCTTCAGTAGAGTTCAGAGTTCCCAAATAGTTATATCAGATTCTGCCAGTGCAATTGTTGTCTAAGTAGGAAGACAGATTCCTGGTGCTTCCTACTCTGCCATCTTCCTGGAATCCTTCCTATGCTTGCCTCTTAATGTTGCTTCTCCATGATCACATTTCTATTTTTGCTCTACAGCCATCTCTCATGTTTCTGTTCTATAGCTCTGGCTGCCAAGTGATGCCTGCCACTCATGCAGTAATCTGATGCTTTCTCTTTCTCTGCCTGTTGGTGTTGGTTGATCTAGATCCATTCTCGGGGTAGTGCCCACCTGTGTTTCACCTGGCTTCAACACAGCCTTTTCACTACCCCTGCACTACAAAGCAGCCTACAAAGCAGAGCTTCTTGGTGATCTCCAGTTCTTGTAGATATTCTAATTTAAATGAAATGAAGAATATGTTTCTTTATAATTTTTTTATTATACTTTAAGTTTTAGGGTACATGTGCACAATGTGCAGGTTTGTTACATATCTATACATGTGCCATGTTGGTGTGTTGCACCCATTAACTCTTCATTTAACATTAGGTATATCTCCTAATGCTATCCCTCCCCCCTCCACCCACCCCACAACAGGCCCTGGTGTGTGATGTTCCCCTTCTTGTGTCCATGTGCTCTCATTGTTCAATTCCCACCTATGAGTGAGAACATGCGGTGTTTGGTTTTTTATCCTTGCAATAGTTTGCTGAGAATAATGGTTTCCAGCTTCATCCATGTCCCTACAAAGGACATGAACTCATCATTTTTTATGGCTGCATAGTATTCTGTGGTGTATATGTGCCACATTTTCTTAATCCAGTCTATACAGAGAACCCCTATGGGGAAAAAAAACTCATTCTAAGGAAATGATAAAGTGCAGTAAGACCATGGAAGTGGAAATCTTTTTTTTATTTTAGTCCCTAAGATGGTCCTTCTGTCCGGTTCCTGTGATCCAGTATTAGAATTTTTTTTTAAATTCTAATACTAAAATTTTTTAATTTTCTAATACTAAAATTTTTTTAAAAAAATTAGATTTTTTAAAAAATTCTAATACTGGATCACAGGGACCAGACAGAAGGACCATCTTAGGGACTAAAATAAAAAAAAATATTTCCACTTCCATGGTCTTACTGTACTTTATCATTTCCTTAGAATGAGTTATTTTTTTTCCCATAGGGGTTCTCTGTCCCTCAGGCTTCCAACTACCCAGATAGATCTGAATCCTGGGGTAAAACAGCTTAGGCAGAGAGAAGCTGGAATTGCAACAACAAAGCTTTAGCAATTCTTTAGAAGGTTCCATTTTCCTGATGTTTATAGCACTGAATGGTCATTTAACTGGCTAACTAAAATTTTTCTTCTGGGCCTATGTCTCAGGGAGGAAGGTTCCATCTTATCAAATAGCAGTTGGCTTTGTAGTCCATGGGAAAGTGGAGCACAGGTCAAGGTATGGGAGAAATTCCTGCTGGAAGGAACCAGAAACAAGTTGATGTACGGAATAATCGCACTGCTCTAAATAATGAACTAAACCAACCTCTTTCTTGGAAGAGTAGAAGCTGATAACATTCAAAAGATTATGTATTTGAAAACTACATTTGACACTCTCAAAAATCAGAATAAATAACTCCAAAAATGGATCTTATTTCACATCTTCCCTGAAGGGTAGCAGCGTTCCCATAACTAGACTCCAGTTTCCTCCCCTCTTGGTTTTCAGGCAGAGACTTCTGGATGAAGGTCCTCAACCAATAGATCAGGAGAGTTCTCTCATCCTGGTCCCCAACATCCCTGCAAGCACCAGGCTTCAACCATGGAGGCGTCTGTGCTTTTTTAAGTATTAGAAGAATATTACAACAGTCTTACATTCTAGGTGTATTAGCCTGTTTTCACACTGCTATAAAGGATTACCTGAGACTGGGTAATTTATAAAGAAAAAAGGTTGCATTGACTCATAGTTCCACGTGGCTGGGGAGGCCTCAGGAAACTTGCAATCATGGCAGAAGGCAACGGGGAAGCAAGACACATCTTACATGGCAGCCTGGGGTCGGGGGAATTGTCACACACCTTTAAACCACCAGATCTCATGAGAATTCACTCACTATCACAAGAATAGCATGGGGGAAACCGCCCCCATTAGCCAATCACCCCCCACCACACCCCTCCCTCAGCATGTGTGGATTGTAATTTGAGATGAGATTTGGGTAGGGACACTGAGCCAAACAGTATCACTAGGGATAAACCCTATTTGGTTATTATGCTTTGTCCTTTTAGATATTACATATTACTGGATTCAATTTGGTAATAATTGTGTTTCTTATAATGTTCTTGTTGGGTTTTGATATTAGAGTTATGCTGACATTGTAAGTTGAGTAAGAGTCTTCCTACACTATTGTTTCAAAGAAAGTTTTGTAACATTAGTATTACTTCTTTCTCAAATGCTTCATAGAACTAACCAAACGATCTACCTGGTTGTAGAGTTTTCCTTGTGGGAAGGCTTTTGACTATGAATTCAGTTTTTAAAAAATAGTCCCAGGGCTACTTATATTTTCTATATCTTCTTGCCTCAGGTATGGTAAATTTTGTCTTTCAAGGAATTGTTCATTACAATTAAGTTGTCAAGTGTGTTGGCATAAAGTTGTTCATAATTTGTTAAGAGAAAATAATATTATATTAGCTTGAATGCTTTGTCCTTTAATTAAACTTTTTCCTTTCAGATAATGATAGCTTCATATGCAGTTTTGAAAAATTATACAGACAGAGCTCCTGTAACCTTTACCCAATTTTCCCCAATGGTAACACATTGCAAAACTATAATACAATATTACAATCAGGTTATTTAATTTGACAGAGTCGAGATACAGAATATTTCCATCAGCGTAGAGATCCCTCATGCTACCCTTTCCATTCCATTCTTTAACTCTGTCAACCATTAATATGTTTCCCGTTTCTAAAATTTTGGGATTTAAGAATGCTATATAAATGGAATCATACCTATGTACCCTTCTGAGACAAGATCTTGCTCTGTTGCCCAGGCTGGAGTACAGTGACATACTCATGGCTCACTGCAGCTTCTACCTCTCCCCAGCTGAAGCGATCCTCTCACCTTAGCCTCCTGTGTAGTTAGGATCACAGGCATGTGCAACCATGCCTGGCTAATTATTTCTCTTCCCATTTTAACCATGTTGGTCTCCAACTCCGGGGATCAAGTGATCCTCCCTCTTTGACCTCTCAAATTGCTGGGGGGTCTTCTTCTTCTTCTTCTTCTTCTTCTTCTTCTTCTTCTTCTTCTTCTTCTTCTTCTTCTTTTCTTCTTCTCCTTCTCCTTCTTCTTCTTTCCTCTTCTTCTCCTACTCCTTCTCTTCTTCTTCTTCTTTTGCTGTGTTTTCTTTTTTTTTATTTCTAAAATTTCCACGGAGTTCTTCTTCTTCTTTATTTTTTTGCTGAGTGAAACTTTCTATTTCTTTGCTGACATTTTCTATTTTTTCATTTGTTTCAAGCACATTTATATTTTTTTGTTGAAGCACTTTATCATAGCTGCTTTAAAATCTTTGAGAGATAATTCATCTCTGATTGTCTTTTTTATTGAGTTTGAGATCTTTTAGTTTATAGTATGACACATGTTTTAATTGAAATCTAGACATTTTGGATATTAGATTATGAGACTCTGAATCATCTTTAAACCTTTTTTTTTTTTAAGCTGGCTTCCTCTAACACTGTCTGGCAGAGGAAGTGACAGATACTGCCTATCTACTGCCAGGTTGTGGTAGAAGTCCAGGATCTCCACTCAGTTTCTATTGACACCCAAGGAGAAGGGGGCTGCTTGTTACTACTGAGTGAGGGTCAGAGTTTTTGCTCCCCACTAGGTCTCTTCTGATCTTTGTTTTTTCTGTCATGGGTTGGGGAGAGATCACAGGGGTGTCTGTGTGTGTGTGTGTGTGTGTGTGTGTGTGTGTGTGTGTGTGTGGTGTTTAGATACAGAAGAGCAGTTATTTTCTAAAAGTTTTTTGTCTTGCTAGACTGACCTTCTCTTGGCCTTTTGGCTGGGGAACACAGGCTATATTCAGAGCTTTTTTGTTCATGCTTATTAGCATTTCCGGCTTCTCCTGAATCCAGTTTAGAATATATGAGCCAGAAATCAAACAAACAAACAGGTAACTCACCAACATGTCAATTTTCCAGTCCTGAGGTTTCTGACTAATCTGCTTTCTTCTTTCAGGATCTTCTTGTTTTGTTTTACATACAATTTCCAGGGATTTTAGTTAGTTTTTCTTAGAGGGAGAAATACAGAAAAGTACATCTACTTCATCTTTCTGGAAGCGGAAGTCTTATCATCCTTTGAATTTTTCTAAGAGGCTTTAGCTAGATTCCCTTGCTCTCCAGCAAACTACAGCTTTTTAAACACTTCGGAATGATCTTTCTTCACAGCTATATGCCTCCTTCCTTTTTTTTTTTTTTTTTTTTTGAGACGATGTCTCGCTGTCACCCAGGCTAGAGTGCAGTGGTGCGATCTTGGCTCACTGCAGGCTCCGCCCCCCGGGGTTCACGCCATTCTCCTGCCTCAGCCTCCCGAGTAGCTGGGACTACAGGCGCCCGCCACCACGCCCGGCTAATTTTTTTGTATTTTTAGTAGAGACGGGGTTTCACCGTGTTAGCCAGGATGGTCTCGATCTCCTGACCTCGTGATCCACCCGCCTCGGCCTCCCAAAGTCTGGGATTACAGGCGTGAGCCACTGTGCCCCGCCTATGCCTCCTTCTTTTGACCCACTAGGTCTAATAACATAGGTCATAATAATAAATTTAGAAGTCCCTTTATAAGAGTATACCAATCAGGTGTACATAACCATAAAGAATACAAAAGAAAATATATTTGATTTTATTCAACATACACTGAGGACAATCCGTTCTAAAAATATAGGGCCACTTATTACTGTTAATTCAGTCATCTAGACTTGGCAAATCATCTAGATTTGACAAATTTCTTTCCCTGAATTCTGGTATTCCTCAAGAACTCAAAACTACATGAAATATACTCTTTATTAATATCTGATTGATGCATCTGACCTAATTAAAGATTAGGGAATGTTATCAGAGAATAATAATAATAGTTTGCATATACTTTTTCTTTTGATATTTGCAATAATTTCCAGGTAACAATTTAAGAGGTGTTAGTCTTCCAATTTATAGATTAAAAAATGGGTTCAAAAAGAAGTGACTTGAAGGGAAGAATGTTTAGTTATAGAATGTTTAGTTATAGTACATTTAGTTATAGCTGACTGAAAGCCAAAACTAGTTTTATAGTTTCATGTTTTATATTTAGATCTCTTATTCATTTTGTGTTAACTTTCATATAAAGCATTAGGCTTCTTCTATATCCTGGAAGAGTGTGCAGAATTGTCTTTCCTTTTCTTTTCTTTCTTTCTTTCTTTTTTTTTTTTTTCTTTTTTGAGACAGAGTCTCGCCCAGGCTGGAGTGCAGTGGCACAATCTCAGCTTACTGCAACTTCTGCCTCCTGGGCTCAAACAATTCTCATGCCTCAGCCTCCCAAGTAGCTGGGATTACAAGCGTGCGCCAATATGCCTGGATAATTTTTGTACTTTTTTTTTTTTTAATAGAGATGGGGTTTCACCATATTGGCCAGGCTGGTCTTGAACTCCTGACCTCAGGTGATCCACCCGCCTTGGCTTCCCAAAGTGCTGGGATTACAGGCGTGAGCCACTGCGCCCAGCCCAGAATTGTATTTCTTCACAAATATTTAGTAGAATCTATTGGTGTAACCATGTAGGCCAGGAGTTTCTTTTTCAGATAGTTTTAAACTATAACTTCAATTTCTTCTATAGTCATAGGACAAGTTATGTCATGTGGGTTGTTTTTAGTGGTTCTTAAGGAGTTGAGTCTCCTCCTTTAAGTTCCTTCTCCAGTCTGCTCAGGTCTCCTTGTCAGCTCTGCGGGTTCTTCTCCTCTCAAATCACAACTTCCCATATCCTTAGTAACCTCCTGCCTCAGCTTTTTATTGTAGGAAAAAAGAAGTAGCTAAACAAATACAACATAAACAGAAAACATAGAAAACAAAACTTTCATTATCCCTTCAATTAAAATTCCTCTCTCTCATTCTGAAACGCTGAAGATAGGGGTTGTGTGATCCCACTGCACCCTCCACCTTGCACACATCTTCCTTCTAACTTCAGATGTTCTGTTTCTGCTCAGGAATTGCAGAAAAATGGCTTTTCCCGTGTTGTCTAGGTTCAGGCAATGTCACAGTGTGTGATGTGTGTGGCTCACCCTGTGAGCATGATATTTTACCATTCTCATGGTGTAAGGGCTTACTTTATCAGTCTTCTCTAAGTGTTTTAAACACAATAAACCAACTATGTCTTCACATCCCTTCGGGAAAGTCAATCTTTCTTACTCATAAGGAGAAGGAACAGAAGAAAGATTTTTCAAGATAAAAATCTTATTAAGGCAACCCTCTTAGTAGAAACAAAAAAAAAAAAACCCAACAAGATGAATCAAGGAGCCATTCATTACAATAATAGAATCTTTCATTTACGAAGCATTTTACAGGTTTCAAAGTACTTTTACATTATTAGTTTAGCATTTCCAAACTCATTTGGCCCCAGGAAACTAATAATATCAAATAAGGGAATAATAGAAAGATATGATATATAAAGTATGTTTAGATTAATGTAAGTAGCAAAAAATTATCTCACAGATTAAATGGTTTCCAAAAAACAATCAAAATTAAATTTTTCATAAACTATACAGAATTCTTATGAAACTTAATTCAGGAAACACATTAGATATTTACAATTGTGTGAGATAGCCACAGTAAGTTTTATGATGTCCACTATAGAAAAGACGTTATTTTTCTCAGTTACTAATACTTTCAAATGATTATATAAAACTGTTGTGACAAAAAGTAATGGAGAACATGATATAAAATATTGAATTCATCAAATTCTTCTAATGTTCCTTTCCAGACTTTTTCTATACATGTTATTTTTTACATGCATGACACATTATCAATTCCTATTTTTCATTCAGCAAATACTATGTCAGAAACATTTTTCTAATTGCTTTGTTCATAATTCTCATTTTATTGGTTATATAGTTTTACAGGATATTGATAAGCTAAAATTTAATTGTTGCCTTTCCAACTGTTAGGCATTTAAATTATGTTCAGAGAATATCAGAGAATAGTCACCTGCATACAACTATTTCCTTTCAATTTAAAATAATACCGAACAGCAAGCAATATGAGCACGGGGATGGTGTGTCACTTTACGCTGGTCATTGCATTTCCAGTCCCTAAATCGGTGAATTGGAGGTGCTCAGTTATTACTTCTGGATTTTCCGAATGAATGGAATCCTATATTTTGAACTATGCTGCAAAATTGTTTTACAAAATGACTTGCTTTAATATTTATTAAAACTAGCAATGTATGAATATACTAGTTTCATCATGTGCTCATTAAAACTATATATTTTATTGATTTAAAAATACTTCATTATTTTTATATTTTTCTTATATAGATTGTAATTTGCATTTCTTTGGTAATGAAGTTGAATATATTTTCATGGATGTTGTCTAATAATATTTGCTCTATTTCTAATTGTTGGTTCAGATGAGGGAAATAAGATTCTGGGATGTTGGATGATAATCAAGAAATATGCACTTAAATGAAATTAGTCAAGCATCAAATCTCTTTCTGATACATTAAAATATGATCTCTACCATGACACCTCAAGCATAGTTAATTTTTTAAGCAAGTGTTTTGATTAATTTAGCTCACAATGTGTATATATGCGAGACTCTCAAGTTAAAATATTTATGGCTTGTCCTCTGTAGAAATTATAAATACATTATTCTTAAATCCCAGATTTTCATAGATTTAATTTAGTTGAATTGTCAGTGATTTTGCTCATGTTAGTAATAACCAGTAATTGCTGACTATTTTAATTCAATAAATTATTTTCTAAAATTTTAAAATGTTTTAAAATTACTTAAAATGTTTTGAGACTTAAGAGGTTTTTATTTATAGGTTAGAATCCCTCCCACTACTTATATATTTTGAGTCAGTTGTATTTTGCAAGTCACAGAGTAATTTCTGAATATTAAATATATCTTCACAGAAAACACAAACAACTTTGGGTGCTGGGGAAGAAGAATTAGCTTCTTTTAGAAGGATTTTATGGACATTGGGGCTAATAACTTTCTGCAAGTAGGTTTAAAGAGGGCTAGAATTGCAAAAATGTATGGCAAATAACGCTTTAACGTCTACCCTAAAGTTAGTTTACTTCATCATTGCTGAGATATTGAGGAAAAATTATAGTTTCATTAATAAGTTGGATGTTGCTTCTAAGTGCTTAATTTCTAGTACTTTTTGACAAATGTATTTTATGTGAAGCATATTTAAATCTGGTGTACTAGAGTTAGGGCAATAAGGCCAGGTTTAGCTAGAGGGAGCGCTGAGATTGTCTCATCGAGGGGAGCTGGTTTTAAACACCTTCCTCAGGATGATGCATGCTCCGTGGCCCTCATATGACACACCCTGCTGGGGTGACTACAAAGAGCTGAGTCACCAAAGCTCCGATCCTCACTTCTCAGTGAAACTCCTGTCAGTTGCAGTCAGGAATGATGGAATACTATCTGTAATGTTAATATTTGAGACACTGATCATAGGTTTTCGAGGGGGTCATAATTTGTACAAATATACACATGCATACACACGTATGTATACTTGTTTTCATATGGCAATATACGTGTCTCCTGTTATTCTTTTCCTGAGAACTAATGTTTTTTCTAGATGTTTGTGACAACATCACACGTATCAAGTAGGTAGTGCCGAAAAGGAGCCTGTTCCCAGCCAGGAACCGGCCACAGTAACAAAGCGGGCTGCCGTTTTCGAAAGCTTTAAGCACCTAATCTCCAGAGTGTTGTGATTGTACTCCCCCTCTTGTTTAGGCTTGGAATCATCAGTATTCATGCAGTTCGCAGAAATTCTGTGTAAAATACAATATTAATATTAAAGTATAATACATTATACCACGGCTTCTCTACAAGGCATGCTGCTTCTACTTTATTTCGTGGAATAGTTCTTAGGTTAATTTGTCAGTTGAGATTTGAGACTCTGAAAAAGAAAGATGGGGTTTTAGAGAGAATCCGAACAGTTAAAATACATCGTCCTCTGGTGTCCTTCTGAGGTATTGCCAGTGGGAAGACTTTCAGAAACCTGAATAATGAAGGGAAGGAGGAAAGAAAAGGATTGATGGCGTTTTTTCCTTTAACTGAATAAATTTTAACAATAATTAGCTTATTTCTAGGGAAGGACCTGGTGAGGGGTTCTTATGAGGAATAAAGAAACGTCTTTATTCTTATCTCACTCCTTAGGTTTTTGTTGTTGTTTTGAGACGGAGTTTCGCTCTGTTGCCCAAGCTGGAGTGCCATGCGCGATCTCGGCTCACAGTAACCTCCGCTTCCCAGGTTTAAGCGATTCTCCTGCCTCAGTCTTCCCAGTAGCTGGGATTACAGGCGTGTGCCACCACGCCCAGCTAAATTTTTTTTTTTTTTTTTTTTTTGTATTTTTAGTAGAGACAGGGTTTCACCATGTTGGCCAGACTAATCTCGAACTCCTGGCCTCATGTGATCCGCATGCCTCTGTCTCCCAATGTGCTGGGATTACAGGTGTGAGCCACCGCTCCCAGCGTAGATTTTGTTGTTATGGTTCGTGTTACTGTTGTTTTTCCTCAGCCTTGAGCCAGTTATTTTCTGCTCAAAACGTTCGACCCTATATCTTTTGGCCTCAGAGAGCAGTAAGTGCAATCAGGGTGTAATCGAACAGATATCTGTGGTGCTCCTTCTATGTGTCATGTACTGTGTTAGGTACTAAAAGAAAGATGGAGGGGATACTTGGAATTTTCTCACTTGCTCTCAAGTCTTTTCTGACTATCCAGGTTTTGCTGATTATTTAATCAAACTTGTTTTTTTCACAGACAACACGAACCTGCAAGTAATCATCCGACCAACTTCCTCTACTGCTTGGGAATTGCAGGCAAGTTCAAATTCTTCCCCCAAATTTCTCAGACTCCTCGGAGTTGTCTCAAATCTACTTGAGAATCGTTCTGTATTTCCACGTAGCCCATCTCCAGAAGCTACTGAAACACATGCATCAAAAGTCACTGCAAGTGGGAAAAGGGTCCCTGAATTCCTTCTGCGCCCCGCGCTGCTACATAAAGGGTCGTGTTGAGCCCTCGGTGGCAGAGATTTCAATCTGTTGTTTTAAAACTTATTTTATTTTCTATTTGCTTAGAGACTTATAGATGAGTCAACTTTCCTCTGCAGAAACTGAATCCTTGGTAGGATGAGGCATTCACTTAAATGAGGATCAGAAACTGGAAGAGGGGGTGGGAAAAGTCTGGAATGTTGGGTACTGTTCAGAAAACGCTGGTTGGGGAGAATGAAGAATTATGTGAAGCAGAGAGCAAGGAAGCATCATGAGGGCTCTGGACATTGCAACAGGAATGAGAGGATGCAAAATGCAGGGAGAGTGGTCAGTGCTGGAAAAGGTGTAACTATGCCAAGTGTAAGCTCTGGGTGTGGCAGTGTCATGGGGTGGCATCTCCCTCCCTCTACCCCAAGGGTTAAGTGGCCAGCAGTATCCCCAGGCCTGGGCCTGGTATTAGGGCATAGTTGTAATGGACAAAGTAATAACCAGAGGCAGTGCCCTATGCAGCCTATTATTTAGCATTAAAGGATCCAGGACTCAGTTATTAAATCCAAATAGAGAAAACCAAAAGGGACTGGGATCTGAAGCAAAGTGAATCAGAGACTGAAAGAGCAGCTGCCCTAATAAATGCAAGTATGGAAGAAATTCACAGAGCCAAGTTTCCACACCCACCGTGTTTTATGTTTGTTTGTTTGTTGTTTGGTTTGGCATGCTCATGGCCTATGCCACTGTATAGGAAACTGACATCCTGCAAATGAAAATCATATCCCCAATTCAAGTTGGTTCAGAGCCCAAAGATCCCCAGAACACTGGGTTGAATGATGCAGTAAAGTATTTTGAAAATTAGTCTGCTTTTCTCCACCTGCACATCCTCTCCCTCTTTGTAGCTTGGAGACCCATACACAATTCCAGAATCCTACAATTATTATTTTAATTAATTTGAGATGAACTAGTTCACAATACATTCTCATTATGTTCTCTGAAATCACTTCTGTTTATGTCTCTACTATAGCCCTTGTTGGAGTTTTGTTAGTTGTTTTTGTATCTACTGTTTTCATTTGTTATTAGAGCCCCTTAAAAGCAGAGACCATGTCTTCTTATTTATTTTTGTATTATTAGTACTTAGCACAGGATGTGCCTGTGGTGTTTTTTAAAGGTGATTTATCAATATTTTGCTGAGTAAATGGATGAATTGATGAGTGATTGAGGTACATTGTAATAAATGAATTGTAGATAAACTGAGACCAGGTCAATTCATTTATATTCACTTACATGGCTAGCCTTTAAGTTTCTGTTTGAGATGGGCTGTCAGGAGCTTAAACAAATTAAAAATAAGAAGAAACAATACCCCAATTAGGAAAATGTTCCATAGTGTTTAGTTTAGTATACAAAATGGAATTAAAAAGAGGCACCCTGGAATATTATAACATGTAACTCAAGCTATAAGTTCATTTTGTCCATAAGTCTCAGGTGTGCTATATTTTGGAGGAAAATCTAGGTTTGGTGGTCAGCAGTGAGAATGATGACTGATTTCTGATGGTGGGTTATCTAGGTGGGTGAAGTAGAAAATCATAGATGCCACTTCATGGCTTTTTGGGAGAGCCATTTTTATCATTTTTATTTTAAAAATGATAATTACTCTAAAACTTTTAGACCTCAAGATATATTTCTGATTAGGCACAAGTAACAATTGTAATATAGTAAAACTCAAATTAAATACCTGTAGTTTTGTCTTTGCTTCTTTCTTCTCCCCTCCATCCCCCAGCAGAATTGAATATTTTTAGATTGTTTATCTGAGTGCTGGTGTCTGATCTTGGTAAACTTGTTGACTGTGCTTACTCTGTGGGTACAATTATTTGAACAGAATCAATTCTAGTTTTCTAAATGGGCAGTTTTACTTCCAAAAATTATAAACCCTTTGCCTACTGGGATTTGTTACAATTATCTAAGTTGGTTTACTTCTTACAAAAATTATAATCCTGTGTTTCTGAGACCAATATTTTATTAATACCTGAGGAATAAGATATATTCTCATTCAGCCCTTTCCTAGTGATGATTCTTATCCTTCCTAATCTTCTTTGGGGAGTATGAAAGGAATCACCCAAGGTTGTTCCTTTTATTGCTGTTTTGAAATGTTTAGCTCTGTGCCCAGAAATTGACTATGCACAAGGTATAGGAGTAGAATATACACTCTTGATAACCTGGCTCCTTGGTCATGTGAACTGTATCTTGATATTAATACAGGAGCTACCAACAGGTTAAAAGGTACCTTAAAAATTGAGATAACCCTTTTGAGAAAAAAATATTGAACAGTTTTTCCCACTTCTTTTTCTTAAAACATTATTTGCTATGTTTTTAAAAGTTACCTAATTCAATAGTCACCAAGATTTCAGTATAATGACCCAGTTTCAAGTTTTCTAATATCAAAGAACAATTATAAACATTCATAAGGTAGAGTAAATAGTACCATATAACCTTGATATAACCATTACTCAGATTCAAAAACTATCAATAGTTTATATTTGCTTGCCTATCACTTTTTCCTTTTTTTTTTGCTGAAATATTTGAAAGCAAATCTTATATTATTTCACCTCTACATAACAATGTTTTAACATAACCACAATGACATCATAACACTTAACAAAATTAAAAATTGTTCTTGGTCCCATATAATATTCAATTAATAACTGATTTCCCGGATTGTATCAAAATATGGTTTTTACTGTTTTTTGTAGAGGTTGCACACATCCAGTGTTGAAAACATAGCCGAATTCCCACATAATACACATTGATTAGGAACATGAAGATATATTACCTATGTGAACTTGGTAAAACTTTTAAATATAATTGTGTTTTGCTATTCTCCATATCATCAACATATATTTAGAAAACAATAGTGCATATGTGTGGTATTTTTCAGATTACACACAGTGTTAGATGACCATATGTATTTGTAGTATTTGTAATAATTTTGCCACCCCTCTTTAGGCTGTGAGTCTTTGATCTAGACTAGGTATGTTAAATGGTTAGAGAAAATGCTAATTTAGATAAAGATTTGTATTTATTTTGGGATTTGTTATGTTGTTACTGTATTTTGTTACTGGTTTCATTAAGAATTATAAACTATCCTCTCTTGGTGGAATTTTAGTTATAAGCCTGGATTATTATTCTAGTGATTTTCTAAGGCTTAATGCTATGGAATACTTAATGCATGAGATAATTTTGGATCTTTTGGCATACTAAAATCTGAGAGCTTCTTTATACTTGACTTTGCACTATTCCATTTTTATAATACTTGTTAGTTACTCATATATTCCTAAATTGTGAATTTTACATTATTCAAAAGTTATTTTTATAATTAAAATGATGCTTTATGAATTAAATTCTAAAAATTATAATCTTAAGGAACTGAAACTTACTCATTGTAGAACACTTAGAAACTACAGAAAAGGAAGAAGATGATCTCTTATGATCTGGTGACCTACAGAGAGCCTGTTAATATTTTGAAGTACAGCCTTCCAGTTTTCCCTGTTATAATTTGGCTCATTGGGCCTATACAACTAAATATTCTACTTTTTCCGGTTTCATTAACTATGCTTAGAGATGTGGTTTTTACAGATGCCATGATATTTCACCATATTTCACTTAAACATTATGTCTTTGCTGAGCCTATAGTTATTTATAACTATTATAACTAAACCAATAATTATTGTTCTATGATTTCATCTAATTATTTTTAAAAATAATTTAAACTTATTTAGTAATTATTAACTAGTGACAGCTCTTTTAAACTAACTGTACTGGATGCTTTTTTGTTGTTGTTTACTTTGACCTCCAAATCGCGAGAATCTGTTCTATGCCTCTCAAGGTCCTAGACACGTGACATCTGCTCATTCCTTTTTCTCACCACCACCCTTTACATCTTGTTGCATTATCCCCCACCTTATTACCCCAAGGAACTTTAAGTTCTCACTCAATCAAGCTGTCCCCAAAATATTTCCAACTCTTATTTTCTAACTGAGATGCAGTCCTATCATTGTATATCCCGAACAACGCAAAATGTTCAGGAGAACAAAATGGACTTTCAGTGACCAGAATCTATTTTTAAAGGGCAGTTATAGTTACGCAGGCAATTTTCCTTCATTAAACAAATAACTATCTAATAATTTGCCCTGAACATTTTCCAGGACTATCTGTGGAGTTGCTAAGAGGTAAGGCAAAGAAATATATCAGATACTTAGCACAATGCTTGGCACTTATAGTGCTTAATAAAAGATGATAATGATGATGATGATGATGATGATGATGGATACATCTCCTTCATGAATATATTGGATTGACCCTTGTGAAATTGGCATTTTCATAAACCAGTGGTATATCAAATTATATTCCATATAAGATGTTAAATTATGTTCAACACATTTTGAGAAAAACCTCTGAGTTGAAAAACAGACGAAACTTACTCAAAAAAAAATATACTCCACTGAGAAAGCTCTATGGGCTCTATCAATTATTTTACTACTACTAATTATTACTAGTATTATATTTGTATACATGTTCTTCAACTGCAAAACTTGAGTCTAGTATACACAAATCCCTCCTGTTGTGAATAATCTGGAAAAAATAGGAGCGAGAGGGTTAAAATTTTAGATTGGGGAAATAAAAGACAAACCAGGAAGGGACTTAGAAAGACAAAAAACGAAGGCATGATAAAATAAACCAGATCTTGGCCCAGCGCAGTGGCTCATGCTTGTAATCCCAGCACTTTTTGGAAGGCCGAGGTGGGTGGATCACGAGGTCAAGAGATCAAGACCATCCTGGCCAACATGGTGAAACCCCATCTCTACTAAAAATACTAAAATTAGCTGTGTGGCGCCTGTAATGCCAGCTACTCAGGAGACTGAGGCAGGAGAATCGCTTGAACCCGGGAGGCAGAGGTTGCAGTGAGCCGAGATCGTGCCACTGCACTCCAGCGTGGCAACAGCACGAGACTCCATCTCAAAAAACCCCCAAAAAACAAGCCGGGCACAGTGGCTCACGCCTGTAATCCCAGCACTTTGGGAGGCTGAGGCGGGCAGATCACCTAAGGTCGGGAGTTCGAGACCAGCCTGATTAACATGGAGAAACCCCATCTCTACTAAAAACACAAAATTAGCCGGGCATGGTGGCACATGCCTGTAATCCCAGTTACTTGGGAGGCGGAGGCAGGAGAATCGCTTGAATCTGGAAGGCAGAGGTTGTGGTGAGCTGAGATCGCACCATTGCACTCCAGTCTGGGCAACAAGAGCAAAACTCCGTCTCAAAAAAAAAAAAAAAACCAAAAAAACAAAAATAGATCTTTTTCAGAATGACACCTGGGCAGCTTAAGAAGCAACTAAAAACTTTGACATAAAATTATCATGAGCTGAGCTAGATAATAAATTTGGACCCTTACCTTACACCATAGAAAAGTATGTATTCACAATGGGTTAAATAGATTAATGGCCTAAAACCAAGACCTAAAACTATAAAACTCCTAGAAGAAAACATAAAAGAAAAGCTTAAGGACATTGTATTTGACAATGATTTCTTGAATATGACATCAAAAGCACAGGCAACAGAACTAAAAATAGACAAATGGGACTACATGAAACTTAAAACTTCTGCACAACAAAGAAAACACTCATCAGAGTGAAAAACAACCCTTGGAATGGAAGAATATATTTTCAAATCATATATCTGATAAGAGATTATTATTCAGAATATGTGAGGAAATTCCACAGTAACAACAACAAATATAACTCAGTTAAAATATGGGCAAAGAACTTAAATAGACATTTGTCTAAGAAGATATATAAATGGCCAACCAGTATAAGAAAAGATACTGACTGCAATGGTTAATACTGAGTGTCAACTTGATTAGATTGAAGGATGCAAAATATTGATCCTGGGTGTGTCTGTGAGGGTATTGTCAAAGGAGATTATCATTTGAGTCAGTGGGCTGGGAAAGGCAGACCCACCCTTCATCTGGGTGGCCACCATCTAATCAGCTGCCAAAGTGGCCAGAATATAAAGCAGGCAGAAAAACATGAAAAGACTAGACTGGTTTCGCTTCCAAGCCTACATCTTTCTCCCAAGCTAGATGCTTCCTGCCCTCGAAGATTGGACTCCATGTTCTTCAGTTTGGGACTCAGACTGACTCTCCTTGCTCCTCAGCTTGCAGATGGCCTGTTGTGGAACCTTGTGATTGTGTGAGTTAATTCTTAATAAACTCTCCTTTACATATACATATACATATACATATATGTATATATATACCTATATATATACACACACCTATATATATACACACACCTATATATATATATATATACACCTATATATATATATATATAAAAATTAGTTCTGTCCCTCTATAGAGGGACATATATATATACACACACACACACACACACACATATATATACACATATATATATAATTAGTTCTGTCCCTCTATAGAGCCCCGACGCCCTGACCAATATACATTTTGGTATCAGGAGTGTTTCTAGAGGAACAGAATATTAAGAATGGGGTTATTTCACTGGTTTTGGGGTTTCTGGAGTTGGCTGCTTAATATGATTAGACCAAAAAATGCTAAGGACTCTACTTCTAATAGTATGAAAACACTGATAGTGCTTGGCGGAAACTGTTTAGACAGTTATGCAAAGTAAATGCATTTAATACTCCTGATTCACCACTCATGAGAGGCAAGGAGTTTAATGACTCTATACATAATACCTTTGACCATATGTGGAGAACCAAGGAACATAATGAAGTTGATTGGTTGCTCCTAAGTTCAGTGGACAAAGTGATGAAAGAAAATGATGAACTCAGGGATTCTGCTTCAGAAGCAGATATTGAGCCTCAAATCTGCTAAGATTGCCCTAAGTGAGAGTCTTAGCTCCTGTAGAGAAAGAGCTGAAATTGGGGAAAAACAGACACAGACTCTTATGTGAGTGGCTGACCTGCAACAAAAGATGCATGCACAGCCTTGCCAGGTGTCCACTGTTAAAGTGAGGGCACTGATTGGAAAGGAATGGGACCCTGTAACTTGGAATAGGGACGTGTGGGAGGACCCTGATGAAGCTGGGGACACTGAGTTTGTAAACTCTGATGAACCTTTTTTGCCAGAAGAAACAGCTTCCCTATCCCAAGTAGTGGCAACATCCCCTCCCTGATCCATGCTGCCATCAGCCTTTCCACCTTTGTCTAAGGAGATAAACCCTGTGCTGCTTGAGGCAAGAGTGATGGCCTCCCCTGAGGCAGTTGTCAGGCAAGATGATGTTGATTCTCCTCAGGAGCCACCACAAACACTCCTGTTTCCTTCTAGACTAAAGTCCTGGTGGGACCCTAGAGGTAAGGTTCAAAGTGTGACCCATGAGGAGGTGTGCTACACTCAAAAAGAATTGCTTGAGTTTTCTAATTTATATGAGCAGAAATTTGGAGAACAGGCATGGGAATGGATATTAAGGGTGTGGGATAAGGATAGAAGGAACATAAGAGTTGGATCAGGCTGAATTTATTGATTTGGGCCCAATAAGTATGGATTCTGCATTTAATGTTGCAGCTTGGGGAGTTACAGAAAGGTTCTAATAGTTTATTTGCTTTGTTAGCTGCAATATGGATTAAAAGATGGCCCACTGTGACCCAGCTGGAAATGCCTGATCTCCCTTGGTTTAATGTAGAGAAAGGGATCCAAACACTTAAGGAGATCGGGATGGTGGAGTGGATTAGTCACTTTAGACCTACTTATCCCAGCTGGGAGGGTGCAGAAGATATACTCTTGACCAATGCCCTGTGAAATAGATTTGTGAGGGCAGTGCCTGCATCTTTGAAGAGCTTTGTGGGTGCTCTGCTCTGTATGTCAGATCTAACTGTGAGAACCACAGTCACTCAACTACAAAATTTAAATACAATAGGAATAATTGGATCATGAGGTGGCAGGGGCCAACTGGTGGAACTCAACCATCAAAGGCAAGGTGGGCATAGCTACCATCATGGACTGCAGAGGCAAAGCAGCAATCAGAATAATCTGACTCGTGTAGAGCTCTGGCATTGACAAATTAATCATGGTGTTACTATAAGTGAAATTAATAGGAAGTTTACTGCATTCCTACTTAATTTATATAAGCAGAAAACTTCTAGGTCGCATAGACAAAAGACTAATTTGAATTATAAAAACAGGTCATCATGGCCCCTTAATCAATTTCCAGACTTGAGCCAGTTTACAGACCCAGAGCCCCTTGAATGAAGGGGAGGCTGAGTCCCCTTGAAGAAGGAACCCACTATATTACTGACAATTTATGCAGTGAATCTTTCTCCCATCCATTCCCAAGGAGACCTTTGGCTCTTTCCCAGGGCATCTGTGCACTGGGAAAAGGGAAATGATCAAACATTTTGGGGACTACTGGACACTGGCACTGAGCTAACATTGATTCCAGGGGACCCAAAACATCATTATGGTATCCAGTTAAAGTAGAGGCTTATAGAGGACAGGTAATTAATGGAGTTTTATCTCAAGTCTGACTTACAATGGCTTCAGTGGGTCCCTGGACTCATCCTGTGGTCATTTCCCTAGGGCCAGAATGCATGATTGGCATAGACATACTTAGCTGCTGGCAGAATCCCCACATTGGCTCTCTGACTGGTAGGGTGAGGGCTATTGTGGTGGGAAAGGCCAAATGGAAGCCATTAGAGCTGCCTGTACCTAGAAGAATAGTAAATCAAAAACAATATCACATCCCTGGAGGGACTGTGGAGATCAGTGCCACCATCAAGGACTTGAAAGACGCAGAGGTGGTGATTCCCACCACATCTCCATTCAACTCTCCCATTTGGCCTGTGCAGAAGACAGATCAATCTTGGAGAATGACAGTGGATTATTATAAGCTTAACCAAGTGGTGACTCCAGTTGCAGCTGCTGTACCAGATGTGGTTTCATTGCTTGAGCAAATTAACACATCTCCTGTTACCTGGTATGCAGCCATTGATTTGGCAAATGGCATTTTCTCCATTTCTGACCATAAGGCCCACCAGAAGCAATTTGCCTTCAGCTGGCAAGGCCAGCAATATACTGTTGGGAACAGGCCCCCCAAAATCTGGCCATGAACTGGCCCCAAAACTGGCCATAAACAAAATCTCTGCAGCACTGTGACATGATGGCCATAATGCCCATGCTGGAATGTTGTGGGTTTACTGGAATGAGGGCAAGGAACACCTGGCCCGCCCAGGGAGGAAAACCGCTTAAAGGCATTCTTAAACCACAAACAACAGCATGAGTGATCTGTGCCTTAAGGACATGCTCCTGCTGCAGATAACTAGCCCAACCCATCCCTCTATTTCGGCCAATCCCTTTGTTTCCCATAAGGGATACTTTTAGTTAATCTAATATCTGTAGAAACAATGCTAATGACTGGCTTGCTGTTAATAAATACGTGAGTAAATCTCTGTTCGGGGCTCTCAGCTTTGAAGGCTGTGAGACCCCTGATTTCCCACCTCACACCTCTATATTTCTGTGTGTGGGTCTTTAATTCCTCTAGCGCCGCTGGCTTAGGGTCCCCTCGACCAAGCTGGTCTCGACAATATACCTTTACTGTCCTACCTCAGGGGTATATCAATTCTACAGCTTTGTGTCATAATCCTATTTGGAGAGACCTTGATTGTCTTTCACTTCCAGAAGATATCACACTGGTCCATTACATTGATGACTGATTGGATCCAGTGAGCCAGAAATAGCAAACACACTGGACTTACCGGCGAGACATTTGTGTGTCAGAGGATGGGAAATAAATCCTACTAAAAATTCAGGGAACTTCTACCTTAGTAAAACTTCTAGGGGTCTAGTGGTGTGGGGCCTGTCAAGATATTCTTTCTAAGGTGAAGGATAAGTTGCTGCATTTGGCCCCTCGAACAACCAAGAAAGAGGCCCAATGTCTAGTGGGCCTATTTGGATTTTTGAGGCAACACATTCCTCATTTTGGGTGTGCAACTTCAGCCCATTTATCGAGTGACCCGAAAGGCTGCTAGTTTTGAGTGGGGTCCAGAACAGGAGAAGGCTCTGCCACAGGTCCAGACTGCTATGCAAGCTGCCCTGCCACTTGGGCCATATGACTTAGCAGATGCAATGGTGCTTGAAGTGTCAGTGGCAGATAGGAATGCTGTTTGGAGCCTTTGGCAGGTCCCCATAGGTGAATTACAGAGGAGGCCTCTAGGATTTTGGACCAAGGCCCTGCCGTCTTCTGCTGATAACTACTTTCCTTTTGAAAGACAGCTCTTCGTCTGTTACCAGGGCTTTGGTGGAAACGGAACATTTGACTATGGGTCATCAAGTCACCATGTGACCTGAACTGCCTATCATAAGCTGGATGCTTTCTGACCCGTCTAGCCATTATGTGGGTTGTGCACAGCGGTATTCCTTCATCAAATGGAAGTGGTATATAGGCGATCCGGCTCGAGCAGGTCCTGAAGGCACAAGTAAGTTACACGAGGAAATGCCTCAAATGCTCATGGTCTCCACTCCTTCCACCCTGCCTTCTCTTCCCCAACCTGCACCGATGACCTCATGGAGAGTTCCCTATGATCAGTTGACAGAGGAAGAGAAGAGTAGGGCCTGGTTCACAGATGGTTCTGCACAATATGTAGGCACCACCCAAAAGTGGACAGCTGCAGCAATACAGCCCCTTTCTAGGACATCCCTGAAGGACAGCAGTGAAGGGAAATCTTCCCAGTGGGCAGAACTTCAAGAAGTGCACCTGGTAGTGCACTTTGCATAGAAGGAGAAATGGCCAAATATGCCTACATCTTTCTCCCATGCTGGATGCTTCCTGCCCTCAAACATCGGACTCCACGTTCTTCAGTTTTGGGACTCCGTTTGGCTCTCCTTGCTCCTCAGCTTGCAGACAGCCTATTGTGGGGCCTTGTGATCATGTGTTAATACTTAATAAACTTCCCTTTATATATATATATCTCCTATTATTTCTGTCCCTCTAGGGAACCCTAATACACTCACCATCAGTAATTATTAGAGAAATGCAAATCAAAACCACTATGAGATATCACCTCACACTCATTAGCATGGCCACTATCAAAAGAACAGGAAAATAGCATGCTGGCAAGGATGAGGAGAAATTGGAACTTTTTGTTGCACCATCATGGGAATGTAAAATGGTGCCGTTGCTATAGAAAGCAGTATAAATCTTCCTTAAAATTTAAATTTTAAAATTTAATTTTAAAAATTTAAATTTAAAATTAAATTGCCATATGATCCAGCAATCACCCTCATGGGTATGTATCCAAACAAATTTAAAGCATGATCTTAAAGAGCTATTTGCACGCTCATGTTTATTGCACACTCATGTTTATTGCAGCATTATTCACAACAGCCATGAGGTACAAGCAACCCAAGCAGCCATTGATATATGAATGCATAATAAAAATGTGATACACACACACACACACACACACACACACACACACACAATGGAATATTATGCAGCCTTAAAAAAGAAGGAAATCATGTCACACGTTACGACATAGATGAACCTCAAGGACATTATGCTAAGTGAATAAGCCAGTCACAGAAGGGCAACTACTGTATGATTCCATTCATATGAACTATTTATAGCACTGTAGTCAAAATCATAGAGACAGAAATTAGAAATGTAGTTGCCAGAGGCTAGGTGGATGGGGAGGGGCATTAGTGTTTCATGTGTGTAGAATTTGTTTCACACGATGAAAAAGTTCTAGAGCCCCGTTGCACAATAATGTGAATATATGTAACATCACTGAACTTACACTTAAAAATGGTTAAAATGGTGAATTTAATGATATGTGTCTTATTACAATAAAAAAGTTTGATGCTGAAGCACATCTCATCTCTTCTTATACATGTCCAAAGTTTAAAAGTACAGCTTTGGATTGTGAGTTATTTAATCAATGAAGACTCCAGTTTCACTGAAAACACAGGTGATGACAAAAATGATAGGACTTAATACCACCAAAATTTCACACTTCTGGCCATCTGCTTTTCAGAGTCAATGAGTCCTGAAGACAAATTAACATGTGGCATATGAAAGAAAGGCAGGAAAATTGGGACTCTGCCCAGACCTTCAAAGACTAGTACTATCCATTCTGTTTGAAAGCAGTTCTTTTATATATGGACAGGTCTTTCACATTCCGGGCCAAACTATTTCTTTATATAAACAATCTCCTGTAGCCTAATACATCCCATGCTCCTCTGTGATAACTATTCAGCCTCAAGCACAGTAACCCGAGTGCCTGATTGATTGCACTTCTGATCAATTCTTTTTGTATTTGGCTTTTACACCTGACTTACTGTTCCTATGTGAGGTACAGGATAAGTTAGAATAAGCAATGAAATGTAAATCTTCATAGAGCTACAAATGCTGAATTCTTTTGTCAAGAGATCTATACACCAGCAACCAAGGGCATCCCTGGCATTTAAATATAGACCAGTGTCTGCACCAGCAACAGGAAGAGTATCTGGGAACTTGTTAGAAATGCAAGTTTAGCGCTTGTAATCCCAGCACTTTCAGAGGCCAAGGCAGGTGGATCACTTAAGGCCAGGAGTTTGAGATCAGCCTGGCCAACATGGTGCAACCCGTCTCTACTAAAAATATAAAAATTAGCCGGGTGTGGTGTCAGGCGCCTGTAATCCCAGCTACCTGGGAGGCTGAGGCACGAGAATCACTTGAACAAGGGGAGGCAGAGGCTGCAGTGGGCTGAGATGGCACCACTGCACTCCAGCCTGGGCTGGAATGAGACTCCATCTCAAAAAAAAAAAAAAAAAAAAAAAAAAAGAAAGAAAAGAAAAGAAAAGGAAAAAGGAAATACAAGTTTTGGAGTCCCTTTTCAAACCTATCAAGTAAGAAGCCCTGAAGGTGGAGCCCTGAAATCTGTATTTTCACAGCCCTCCAGTTGATTCTGAAGCCAGTTGAAAAAGCAATTGCAACAAAAGCCAAAATTTAGAAATGGGATCTAGTTAAACTAAAGAGCTTCTGCACAGCAAAAGAAACTATCATCAGAGTGAACAGGCAACCTACAGAATGGGAGAAAATTTTTGCAATCTATCCATCTGACAAAGGGCTAATATCCAGAATCTACAGAGAACTTAAACAAATTTACAATAAACAAGCAAACAACCCCATCAAAAACTGGGCAAAGGATATGAACAGACACTTCTCAAAAGAAGACATTTATGTGGTCAACAAACATGAAAAAAGCTCATCATCACTGGTCATTAGAGAAATGCAAATCAAAACCACAATGAGATACCATCTCACGCCAGTTAGAATGACGATCAATAAAAATCCGGGAAACAACAGATGCTGGAGAGGATGTGGAGAAATAGGAACATTTTTACTCTGTTGGTGGGAGTGTAAATTAGTTCAACCATTGTGGAAGACAGTGTAGTGATTCCTCAAGGATGTAGAACCAGAAATACCATTTGGCCCAGCAATCCCATTACTGAGTATATACCCAAAGGATTATAAATCATTCTACTATAAAGACACATGTACACTTATGTTTATTGCAGCACTATTTACATTAGCAAAGACTTGCAACCAACCCAAATGCCCATCAGTGATAGACTGGATGAAGAAAATGTGGCAAATATACACCATGGAATACTATGCAGCCATGAAAAGAATGAGTTCATGTCCTTTGCAGGGACATGGATGAAGCTGGAAGCCACCATTCTCAGCAAACTAACACAGGAACAGTAAACCAAATACCACATGTTCTCACTCATAAGTGGGAGTTGAACAATGAGAACACATGGACACAGGGAGGGGAACATCACACACCAGGGCCTTTCAGCGGGTGGGAGCAAGGGGAGGGAGAGCATTAGGACAAATACCTAATGCATGTGGGACTTAAAACCTAGATGACAGGTTGATAGGTGCAGCAAACCACTATGGCACATGTATACCTATGTAACAAACTTGCACGTTCTACACATGTATCCCAGAACTTACAGTAAAATTAAAAAAAAAAAACAAAAAACGCAAGAACATTGAGAGCCACTACCATAGATCTTTTCCTGTGTGAAAGAGGCCAAATAAAATCCAAGTCCTACCAGCACATGTGTGAAGAGTGACAGCAGGTGGCAGTGTTCGACTATTTCTACCTTTTCTAGAACTCTATTCACCACGGAGCAAATGAAATTTGTCACAGTTTACTGGTCATTTAGTGAAAAAAATAAATTCCATTGCTGTTTTCCATTTCAAAAAAGAAAACTAATTCTCTGTAGATACAGAACCAAAACCTAAAAATAAAATATACACTTTTTTCCTTTTTTGAAATTTAACTTTGGAGGTATTTTTTAAACTGTATTCCATCAAGGTAATAAAATGCCTCTGCTGGGACCCTCCTAGTTGTATTCACATGAAGTCAACAAGATTTCTTCCCACCCACACACCATGCCCTGCCACTCTGTACTATTTTCTATTCTGTGCAGCCATGACTTTTACTTGCCCAATTTATTAATATATAAATATCAGTGCAAACACTGAACTTAAGGATAGTTTATATTTTGAAAAGGGTTCCTTGCAGTGTAGGCCAAAATATTGACCATAGTCCATGGGAGGATGGACTTGGAAAAGAACTATCGTTGTCTTAAGAGATTACGTGACACATGCATGATTTTACAGCAAGAAAGTGAGGAGTCAGGCTTTCCATCCAAGCAACTGATTCTTTTCCCCACTAGTGGAACCAACACCAGTTGCTTTCTGATCCTCAGTGGCCACAGGGATTCAGCCTGACCTGCCCAGAGCCTTCTTTTTTTTTTTTTTTTTTTTTTCTTTTTGAGACAGAGTCTCACTCTGTCACCCAGGCTGGAGTGCAGTGGCTGGATCTCTGCTCACCACAAGCTCCGCCTCCCGGGTTCATGCCATTCTCCTGCCTCAGCCTCCCAAGTAGCTGGGACCACAGGGGCCCGCCACCACGCCCAACTAATTTTTTTTTTGTATTTTTAGTAGAGACCGGGTTTCACCGTGTTAGCCAGGATGGTCTCAATCTCCTGACCTCATGATCCACCTGCCTCGGCCTCTCAAAGTGCTGGAATTACGGGCGTGAGCCACCGCGCCCGGCCCCAGAGCCTTCTTGAAGGCTGCCCTCTGAGTGACCCTTCCTAGATCCCAGAGACTGGCCCACTGCACTGGGCTTGCTCAAAGCAGGACCAGAAAGACCATACTGAGCTCCAGACATTGCCTCGTCCCTTTCACCATATTCTCTAAACACAAAGAGTTTTGAATTTTAACATTATTGTACCCTTAAGAGCTTTTCTTGATAAATGGCTCTTTGGATGACATGTACAATAGCATCCAATGCCTTCTCCAAGACGAATGACTACTGTAATAACAGCAATACACTTAGGGCTATTCCGCCTACAACTGAAGCTTTTGTTTTCTGATGTTCTTTTATCCCTAACATCAATTTGTTCCTGTCAGTAAACATAAGCTATCGAGGCAGAATTTCATGTACAGAAGGCAATGTTTGGTCTTCCCTACTGGCATGTTAAATACATTTTCCTGATGCAATGTTACATTTAATGTTGTGCTGCTGGGGAGAAAAATTCATCAGTGTCTCTTCAGCTCATGATCCTATCTTGTCTTGAGATCACGTTTCATTATTCCTCAAGCCAAGAATACACGGGGTCTGGTCTATGGCCAAATAATGTGATTCTGGGACATAGATTGGGATTACTGAAGATAAAGTGGCCTGGCCATGAGGCATACTGTAAGAACACATGTTCTTATTAGATTGCATCCCATCTCTGCGGTGGCTGCCCTCCTGCCAAGACTGAATGCTACTAAGCACATACCTCCCCTCAGCTCTCAAGTGAGTCACAAGTTTGCTTTCATTCCAAAAGCAAAACATAACAGTGAGAGAGGCCCAGGGCCACTTAAGAGCTACAAGCTGTTGGTTCGTATGGGGGCAGAGCCTGCCTTCCAGCTGAGGCAGCACCCCAATAATGCCAAGTGGCGCCTTCAGCATTCTCACAGGTGCAAGCTATTTCTTCCTGAATGAATCACCGAGTCTCCTCTAAGTTCTTTGTGCTACTCACTGTTGCTTACATCATAAACACACGGAGGCTGCAAAGCTTCACACTTTGTTCCAAACATTTAAAAGGAGCTTTTAGCCTGTCTCCCTCCTTATATGGCGATAACTGATCTCTGAACCATTCTCAGCTCAGGGCCTTACCTTGGAAAGGACCATGGAAGTCAAAGGCAATATCAATAGCTGAAGACCTCCAGTGGTTTTTTTTAACGGACCAGATATAATAAGGCAGGTATATGGCCAACCACTTTTCAGATGGAATTACAGAGATGAGACCACAAGGAGGAACTCATGAGCCTTAGGAGTACTTTAACATCCAATAGTGAAGTCCACTTGGTCTTAAGTGAAAGATCTAGGAGGCAGAAATGGCTCTGTAATTTTATTCTTCCATTTGTCATCTTCCTTATCCAAAGTGCCTTAAGGTTATGGGCGGGTCTCATAGTTTCTTAAGGGCCCTAAAGTTAGGGGAGGGTCTCATAGTTTCTTAAAGTGTAGAGTGCAGAGTACCTGTGTCAAAATCACTGGAAGTGCTTCTTAAAGGTTTATTCCTAACCCCCACCACATACCACTCACTTCTCAGTGAACAGAATCACTCAGTTTGGGGCCCCAGGCATCAGCATTTTAATGAGATTCTTGGGTAATCTTTTTGGACACTGCCTTTTGAGGACCATTTATTTAGGCTCTTAAGAGACTTTCACACTACTGATAACAATGTCATTCCCTGAATAGTTGTCATGGAGTATGATGAGCTCCAACCATGCCTTCAATTAAACCCTTGGGCAGAACTGGCACTCAGAGGTGGTTGTTCTTACTATGTATATATCACCCACTGAGACACAAACCTCTCAAGGTCAATAATTAGGTCTTTTACTTCCTTTATTTTTTTCAGCAATGGTAATGACAGTGCCATTGTAAGTAAACAAGACATATAATCTTGTAAAATTAGATGTAAAACAAGGCATATAGTCAGTAAAATAAGGCAGAGAAAATTATTTGAACTTATTGTATTGCATTTGAAGGACATTCTACTGGTATTCTGTTGGAATAGGTCTTGCCTGATTGCCTAATTTCACTGAAGCCCACAAGGACGTGGCAAGGTTGACAAGCGGGCTTAACTGGCTATTGGCAAAGTTCTGTTAAGAGGACAGTCCTTACTAGCTGAGTTGAAACCTGGAGTGACCCAACAGAGGTCCAAAGGCTAGAATACAGCCTGACATACTAGGTGTTCAATAAATGCTTGATGCATAAAAAATGAGAACTGTGATTCTATTGCTTTGCAATATTTGCTGATTCACAGTTTCCTCATATTCTTGTGCAGTTATTTTATTCTTATTATCCTATATATTTGCCTTAATGCTCAGAGAGTTATAAATAACAATGAAACTTAATTTGAAAAAAAATTCATTGGTATTAATTAAGGGAAAGGGTCACAATGAATTCTATCAGACATTACTGAGGCTCCCAGCTAAAGAGCCTAACTTAATACCGCTTAGACAACTTAAAACCTTAGATCTAAGCAGAAAACCTAGGGAGAATAAGTTTTAGAGAAAATCAAAATGCTCAAACCTCTAGGAAACTATCCCCAGAACCTTTACTACTTCTCTTTCTATACACAGGCACTATCTCAAATATGGTAGTTGGACAAGAATATTGCACATGTATTACCACATGCAGTTCTAATGCCTCCCTCTATTTAGAATGCAAGCTCAGTGAAGACAGGAACTAAAAATACACTCAATAATCCTCATAGACACAAATAAGTTAGAGTCTAAGTAGCTCGCAAGCAGTTAATAAATACCTAAATACTGGAATGAATGACAACCAGGATTCTGGCAAAAAAAATAGGCAGGAAATCTCCTCATGCCTAGAGGGGTTTGCCGGATAGTAAGGAGGATCCTCTGAGGAGGGGCCAGTGGAAAGTTCTTGCTTGAAAAAAGATTCTGAGCTGAATGCTTACTTATTCCCAAGGACCAGCCTGACTCTGTATGTGCCGTTCTGGAGGAAAAAAAGAAAAGAAGGAAAAGGAAAAACAAGAGCAACAAACTCTAAGTGGCAGCAAACAGATTTGAGGCAAAGGCATCTATTTGTGCTCGTTCATACAGCTCTTCAGCCTCTGTCCTGTGCCTGCTGCAAATGAATGACCCCTTCCCATTGGGAAACAGGTGTCTCCTGCCAATTAGGATTTAAAAATCAACAGGGGCTTCTTAAGAGAATGATGACAAGTCTAATTGCAAGAAGCAGCTGTAGAGCCCTTGGCTACACTAGGGCTGGTTTTATTAATCCCCATTTTGTTGGGTGCCTGGAACTGAGCTGGGGTCAGCTCCCCTGTCAAAGGGTCGAAGCTGTAAAATGTAGGGCGAGTATTTAATGACCTGAGCTCAGCAGGAGGGATTAGAGTGCCCTTCCCTGACACAGGGAGTTGGGCGTGTAAAAGTCAAGTGGACACAAAGGCACTGTCAACAAGAGACAGCAATTCAAAGGGTTGCCACCACTAGAGAAAGGGACCAGCAGGCTTACACAACGCTCTGTTATTTATTTGACTTTACCGTGTTTACTGGTCTGTTGTCTGAACCCCACCTCTCTGTCCAAGGGAAGAACCTGGAGTTTCTTAGGAGCGTGGCCTCAGTATGATTACTGATGTTTGCTTTTGCAAACATACATATCCTTATAGTGCATAAACCCTGGCTTGAAGAGATCAAAAAAGTGTGGTAGCATAGTACACCATCTGTATAGAACTGGCAAAGCAAAGCAAGACAAACAAATCTGTGCATTTGAACGGCCTATTGAGACAGGCATTTTAAAGATAAATCAAAACTGTTGACTTGAAATAGTTTCTTAAGATTTCCTAGTGGCAGAGCCTTCCTAGAGTCCCCCTTCTATGGGTGTGTTCTCTAGGCAGCATGTACATTCATATGTGCTCATATGCATATATATATATGCATACATATGCAAATAGCACCTCTCCAGCAAGCCCTCCTTACCCTCTGTGCTTCCGTAGTACAACATTCCTTCGAGTGCCTTTACTATTTGCTTTTATACCCAGTTCATTCATTACTAGAGTGCAAACTGTGAGGGTTCATTGTGTTTTAATTGTCTTTGTATCCTTATCTTCTAACATGGTACCTGACATATAGCAAGTGCTCAATAACTATTTCTTTGAACTACCACTTCCCCAATCAGGAGGTGGGGAAACTACCTGCCAAAGAAATGCTAACAACTGCCAAGGCAAACATACTGTAATCATGTGGTTCCCTTGCCATCTAAGAAGTCATTCCTCTAAAATGCCAGTGACGATAAGAAAGTCCAAGAAACATTCCTCCAGAAACACATGCAAACATCCACTGTGGAATGCCTTGGCCTTCTCTCATAAGAATAGCTCAGTGAGAGCCCAGCAGAGAGGAAAATGAAACCAGAGGCTAACATTTGCTCATAGAAATGTACAGACCTTAATTTAGGCAGTGCTGAAAGGTCAGGGTCAAGTGGATGAACAGGATGAAGAGTTTTCTATAGGGAAATTCTGCAAGTCCTGTGAATACGTTTAGGTCTACATGTAGAAACTAGGCCATATACAAACAAAATCTTTTAAAACTAACATTTACTGGGAATTTATTATCTTCTGTTCCGGTCAATAGAACCCAGAGAGTGTTGGTCCCACAGTGCCATGCTAAGAAGTTTCCACTTGGTCTGTTAAAAGATCCTGGCATCACACAGACAGACAAGCTCAGTTCTGTTCCTTATCACCCTAGTGGGCTCATGCAGGATGTATTAGAAGGACAGGGACTTCAGGAAACAATTTAACTCTATTAATAATCATCTTGGCAAACAGGAATTAAAATCTTTAATTAGAGATATGGCCAAGGGAGTGAATTAAAGGAAGTTTTGAAGAACATTTTACATATAATATTGATAAGCCTGGAAAGAAAAGGGAAAAGTAACGGTCAATACTAAGTTAAAGTTTGATAGTTTGGAGAACTAGGTGGATGGTATGGCATAAACAAAGATATCATATGGCATAAACAAAGATAGGAAGGGGAAGAGATGTTTCCAGTTTGGAATTTCAAGTGAAATGCTAAATTATGGAGACATGAAAGAAAAAAATTTTAAGATAAACTTGTAAAAAGCTGACAGATATTACCCTGGGGTCTGACCCTATAATTAATAAAGAATGTTTCCTAAATAAACTATTTTAACATAATATTAGGTTGATGCAATAGTAATTGCGGTTTTTGCCATTAAAACCTAGATCGATATGTAGAAAAACAAGCCTGTATAAAGTGGTAAATAAAGATTCATCTTATAATTTCAAATAATGTGAATATAGCATAAAAGGAAGAGACCAACACACTGAATCCCAAATATACAAAGCTAAATGTGTTGCCTGAGGAAGGAAGAACTTTGGAAGAGCTTTGCTGGTCCAGGCACAGTTTCACTGAGCAAAAAAAGGCCTTACAAAGGATTTGGGGAATAGTTGTTTTGTGTTGTGTTGGTGGCAGAAGCAGGAGAAGGGTGCCACAGTCTGGGAGGCAATGTTTTGTGTGGGTGACAGGGTGGGTTGATTTCAGCCTTAGAAGCATATTCTCTAGAGAGGATGTGCCACTCACTGGCTGACTTTAAATATGTAAGGCTGCTGTTGATTGGCTGGCTTCGAGAATTGTGTTCTCTGCAGCAAGTTGTCACTAATTGGTTAGGTAAGTTTAAAATCAGCTCTGGTGTTTATTTGTTACCACAGCCCTTGAACTGAAATTTATTGATTAAACAGGATTAAAACTAGTTTCTACTCTTTACTGGCTAGCAAAGCTATAGAACTATTGGGCTTTTCCTGGGAGTATGGTGTCTTCAGTTTTTCTTTAATTATTCTCAATACATACAAGACCAATTCAGTAACAATCTAATGAGCTATTTCACTGCATTACTTCTCTGGAAATCTTTTTTTTTTGAAGTCTCAATTTTTTCATGGTGAAACCTCGTCTCTACTAAAAATATAAACAAAACAAAACAAAAAAATTAGCCGGGCGTGGTGGCGGGCGCTTGTAGTCCCAGCTACTCAGGAGGCTGAGGCAGGAGAACGGCGTGAACTCGGGAGGCGGAGCCTGTGGTGAGCCCAGATAGCGCCACTGCACTCCAGCCTGGGCTACAGAGTGAGACTCCGTCTCAAAATAAATAAATAAAATAAAATAAAAGTGTCGCCGTTTTTTTTAACTTCTCATAACAATAGAAAGATAATTATTCAATCAAAGATTTCTGAAATTGCCAAATGCTTTTAATTTGTGTGGTCTTACCGACTAATTAATCTACCATAATTTGGCTAACACCTAATACATCTTTTCATTTTGCTTATTTTCATGGCATTATGCACTGTTTTGTCCTACGTGGAAGATTTTATATTCAGTACTGAAGTTATTTAAATTCAGAATGGTTCCTTACTGCACTTAGGGGCTATGCCTATGTGCTGTGGGTTTTCTCTTGTAAACGATTGGTTGTGCCTGTCATACTGTTTAAATACTTTGAATTCTAAGGCAATTTTTGGTAAGGCACCATTTGGTTCCCTTACAGCTGATGTCTGGGGCTATATGTGATTCAGCTGTGGTGCTGGTCCTGACAGGCTGACAGAATGCTTGCTAAGTGGATGTCTAAACACATATGTCTAAGCACATATGCTTTCTCTGCACGGGATCAACAGAAGGCCTGCATTTTTTGGAATCCATTACACTGTTTATATTGTGATGTAAGACGTGGAAGCCGTTTTAGTTTTTTTTTCCTAACATGGCTGAAAGAGAATCCACCTCAAACATTATTGAACTGGAAATAACATTCAATTCCAGATACTACCCCATGTAACTTTTATTATAACGCTTACTCCAGGTCATTGAGGTTGCCTGTGATCCTAATTGTATCCCTCCACAGTCTCCAAAGTCCCTAGAGGGCCAGGCCTGCTTCCTTTGATGTTTGGGTCGGGTAGCTGTACGAGGGCTTGACATGTAATAGGTACTCAATAAGTGTCTGTTGAATAAACTGATCAGTAAGTTTTTAATGTCAGATATTTCTTCTGTGGAAACAGAAGTAACATATTCCTTTTCTTATGCTCATTTTCCACTTCTGTAACTATATATATATATATATATATACACACACACACACACACACACACAGAGAGAGAGAGAGTACAATATGATCAGGCAATAGGTCTTTTGATTCCGAATCCAGTGCTTTTCCTATCACCACTTACTGGTATTTTTACACTATTTTTATTTTTTTTCTAGAATTCCAAAACAGTTACTAAGCATCATTTGTATGTAAAGTTCATTGAACTCTTTAAACTTAATCTCCATATATTCACTAGAATCAAGTTTGGAGAGTAGAGTTCTTATGATCAGCTCTTTGCCAATACTGAATCACTTAAACATTTTCACAATGATTGTCACTGGATACTTCAAGCTACTACTCTCAGCTTCTTCTTTTACACAAATGACATTAAAATGTCTCCAAAGAAAGAAAGGAATTCTAATGACAAAAAAATAAGAAAGAAAAAATAAATTGTATAATTTAATATCCATTTCAGGTTTGATTAAACATCAAAACATCTTGTAAACCCATGGTCCTATGTGTAACAGGGAACTATCTTGGTTCTCTTTGACTGGTTACAATCTCACATGTTCAAATCACTCATTCCTTCCTTCCTCAGGCAAGGGCACATATTACAACCTTTGACCTCAGGGACGATCTGGTCGAGAGGCAAAAAGAAGGGCATGCCTTTAAGCAGAAGGAAATAAGCTAGAACATATTGGAATATATGGCTTTTACAGTTGTTCATGAACTGAAACTCACTTTATAGAAATTGGAGCATTCCTATTGCTAAAAAATCTTGGGAAAAATCTTGTATAAGTCAAAAACAAACCCTAAGATACAAATGTAAGTGTCCACAATGCATCTCTGTCAAAGGCAGACACCAGGCTGCTGATATGAAACCAAGTATCAGGCTCCTTTACTCTCTTTTTGCCTTAAAATGGAACACCCACCTGACCTGGAAAGAACTAAAGGACAGCTCACATTCCATTGCCCTAAACCAGCAGTCCCCAACCATTTTGGCACCAGGAACTGGTTTCCTGGAAGACAATTTTTCCACAGATGGGGGCGGGGGGATGGTTTTGGGATAAAACTCTTTTACCTGAGATCATCAGACATTAGATTCTCATAAGGAGCACACAACCTAGATCCCTCTTGGGCAGAGTTCTCAATATGGTTCGCACTCCTCTGAGAATCTAATGCCACCCTGATCTGACAGGAGGTGGAGCTCATGCAGTAATGCTGGCTCACCTGCCTGCCTGCCTGCCGCTCACCTGCTGCTGTGCGGCCTGGTTCCTAACAGTCCCAGGGATTGGGGACACCTGCCATAAACAATCCAATCATTGAAAACAGGCAGTGGTACTTACATGTAGACACTATAACAAATCAACGTGAGCTTAGTGAAAAGCAGGTAGTTCTCCTGAAGGATATTTAATGAACTGTGAACTGTGCCAACTCAGACATTTTAACATATTTTCTCCGGAGATTTGTGTCTAAGTAGAAATTAAGAGTGTGATGCCTGCAGTTTCTGGACCAACTGCTTGAGGGCAGAGAAGGCACATGTGGATGTTTAGGTGGGTCCAAGTCTTTTGAGTCTGTTCCCCTCCTACTTTTCAATGGAATGAGGTAATATATTTTTAAAAGCAAGTGATAGGACCAGGTGCAGTGGCTCATGTCTGTAATCCCAATTCTCTGGGAGGCTAAGGCGGGAGGATCACTTGAGGTCAGGAGTTTGAGACCAGCCTGGGCAATGTAGCAAAACCCTGTCTCTACAAAAAAATTAAAGGTGTGGTGGTGTGCACCTGCAGTCCTAGCTTGGGAGGTTGAAGCAGGAGGATCATCTGAGCCCTGGAGTTCGAGGTTACAGTGAGCTATGATTGTCCCACTGCACTCCAGAGGGGGTGACAGAATGAGACCTCGTTTCTTAATAAAATGATTAAAATAAATTAAATAGGCTTTTAATGTTCTTGGGCAGGAATAGCCAGTTTTTCACCTGCAAGGCACATGGAAGTGCCTGACATTGCTCTGTCAAGGAGGGTGTGTTAAGCTGCTTCATGATGACAGTGTGCTGTCATTCAGGTGTACTGTCAAGAAAATTGGACATTCCTTGGAATAACAAAAGATAAGAAGATAGTTTATTAATAGTTGTTGATCCTGACTTTGCATTAAAATATCCAGGGAATAAAAGAACACCATTGTCCAGGTCCCAACATAAACTAGTTAAATCAGTATCAGTAAGAATGGTTTCAGTATTCTTAAACCTCCTATGTAGTTCTAATGTACAGCCAAGGTTTGGAATAATTCATTTAACCCTTTAAAAGATGTGTCCTACTAAATAAATGCTCCATCACCAATTTCTGCCCTTAGACATGATTCTACCTGCCTCTCTGCTCTACCAAAGTTTGGCTTGGGTCAAGTCCATTTCCTCTACGTCTTGTCCTATTGCAAGTCTCCTAACCATTCTCGCAGCCCCCAACCCCATTCCCACCACCTCCCTCTGTTCTCTGCACAGCTACCAGAGTGGTCTTACCCGAAATGAATCTGACCATGACATTCCTCCACTGAAAACCTACTGGCCCTCCAGCATGTATCCAATATTGGTTTATTAATACATGCAAACTCCTCACAACAGGCATTCACAATCCTTCCTAATCTTTTCTGCTGCCTTCTTCTGGAGCCTCAGCTTCCACTACTCTAGGCAAATTAAATGTTTGCCCCAGGATAGAGTTGCCAGAGACAATGCAAAATACCCAGCTAAATGTGAATTTCAGATACACAAATAATATTTTTGTTAGTAAATGTCCCAAATATTTCATTATTTACTGTTTACCTTAAATTCAAATTTAGCTGGATGTCCTGCATTTGTATTTGCTAACCTGGCAATGAACCCTAAGAAGAATTCCAGGGAGCAGGCCACCACCCCTTTCCCTGCCCACATTGCCACTGCCCCTTCTAGCAGGCATTCCCTTGCTTGAGTGCCCAGAACTGGTTGAAGACCTGCCTCTTTCGCCCAGATGGTCAGGCCCTCCTTCCTCTGCACACACACACTTCTTTCTTCAAACTCCCACCTAAGGTGAGAATTGTCTCTGTGCCTGTCCCCTCATCTACTCTCCACCCCCAGGCAGGATGAGGGGCAACATGATGTCAGGAGCTGAGTCTTAGTAGTGCCCAGCACACCGGGGCTCAATAAACGCTTGGGAAGTGACTCAACCGCACTTCCTGAGCACCCTGGCTGACACAGTGAAGCAGGACCATTACCTTACTTTTCAGTAGAAAACAATAGGAGCAGAGACAATATGAAAGCATTACCCTTTCTGGAACATTGCCAGCACGCTCATGTCTCCCCATTCCTGAGGATACTGTATCCTCCAAATACAGTGGCATGCTATTTTTGGATTTCTTCTATCTTACAAAAAAATACATTTTTTTTTGTTTTTATTGTTATTTGTTTTATTGTTAATTTCCTTTAGAGGAACCTCCACAGAAGGCAGACTCTTTAAATATTATCTCATTTAACTCTCACAGCCAACCACAAGAGATGGGTAATGGTTAGGGATGGGAAGTTTAAGGCTCAGTGAGGTAATTACCACAAGGTAGCAAGAGTGCTCTCTTGCTACCTGGATGACTCAGGTACATCCTACTCTGAATGTGCTCTTTCCAATTGACTGCGCCGATTCATCTCACTTTTCAATCTGTTTGCGTCAGTGCCAGCTTCATCCTAGAGGGAGGCGGCCAGCCTCCAAAGTAGCCCCAGCGATCCCCTGCATCCTGGTATTAACATCCCATGTAGCCCCCTCCCACACTGTACCATGCTTGAGCTATATGACAAATGGCATATGGCAAAAGGTACACCACTTCTGAGGTTAGGGTAAAAGACTGCAGCTTCCATCTTGGGTGCTCTCTTGCTAGCTTGCTCCACCTCTTCCTCTTGGATCTCTTTTTGTGAAAAGCAAGCTACCATGCTGTGACTATTCTCACGGTGAGGCCTATGTGGCAAGCAACTGAAGACTCCAGCAAAGAGCCAGGGAGGAACTGATTCTTGCCAACAACCACTTATGTGAGCTTGGGAAAGAATTCTCCAGCCCATCAGGACTTGAGGTGACTGCAGTCCTGGCTGATACCTTGATTCTAATCTTCTAAGAGACCCTGAGCCAGAACTGTACAGCTAAGCTGCTTCCAGCTCCCTGACCCTCTAACGCTATGTGAGATAATATATGTTTGATGTTTTAAGCTGCTACATTTTGGAGAAATTCATTATGCGGCAATAGAGAACTAACACACAAGGAGACAAGTAATCCTCCAAGAGGTTTTCTGATAACAGTTGCGTAGAAGAAAACTTCAGATGTCTAAAATCACACTATTTAGCCCACTGCTTGCCTCAGCTCCTGAGATGATGATGGACAAAGACCTTGTCTTAAGGTGGAATACTGGGGTCTAAGCCTTGCTTCTAATGTATCAACTATGGAGAGAAAATCGACTTAGGGATCTTTTTTACACCATCTAGCAACTGGGGAGCAAGCATTCCCTCTTAAAGCCTTGACTCTCCCCAAGGCGCTGGTGGGTGGTTATTTATGGTTATTCTGAGTTATTACTGCATAACATCCACACAGGCAGTTAGCACAGTATTTATTGAGCAGCCTTTAATGATGAATAGAGTGAGAAACACCAGGCAAAGAATATGGTAATAACAGTACATAAATTTTATTTTCATTTAGCATGAAAACACCTGATTTCCTTCAACACTGTAAACATGTCACATTATTACACAGTGAAAGGCTGATGAATTTAAACATTCATGTGTACATTGTTTTGAATGGAAAATGTACTTTCATTCCACTTGCCTCCACCATTACAGATCATTTTGTTTTATTTATTTCACTTTAGCTTGTTTTAATTAAAAAAACAAAATCCGAGGAGAGAAAGTAACTAGAAGGTTTTCTCAGGATGGGATTGGTTATTTTCAAGACATTTGACTTCTTATTCTCCTCAGAAACAGAGAGACAGCCTCAGAATAGAACATTTTATGGTCAGAGTTGGCAAGTACCTCACGGTTTGTAGTTAATAAACATGATTAAACTAAATGTTCAGAAGGAAATTTTGCTAGACCATTTTTTTAAAAAAACAAAACACAATGAATGCACTCATTAATTATGTACAATTTTGTCATTGGGTAAAGAAAGAAATTTCAGGCTAGGAAGGCAACTTATTCCTAGACATAACGTTAAATAAATACGTGCCTTCAAACTTGAATTATTGCCCTGTAAAAAGACAGACAAATGTCTCAGCAACAGCTTCATTACTGTCAAGCTCATGATTTGTTGTTCCATTGACATGATGATGTGCTTTCTAGCACTAAGGTCTTGTCTGTTGTTGCAATAGAAACTCTTATTTTTAGAATTTATCATTTAGTTATTTAAAAAAAAGTTATAGTTGATCAAAAAGCATGGTAAATAAGCTCTCAGTATGCGTGCCAGTATGGGTGTATTGGAGTTACATTAGAAATGGGAGAAAAGGAACACCTATACACTCCTAACTACTACGCTAGTCCTGTTAAGCAGAATGTTGGAGGCTTAACGTGATTCAGCAGTGCCCTTTCTATTTAACACATTGCTTGCCTATGGGTGGAACTGTCATAGGTCAGGGTTATAGGTCACACATTTTTCCAAAGAAGAAAAATTAAGGAGTGGTCATAGGATGTGGCATCCTATTCACTAAGTGAGTTCTAAATTGCATTTCACAGATAATTTGATGTGGTTATGGGATGGCGCTGGAATGCAAGAAACAGATGGAGCACTGCAATTCTAGTCCTGGATATCTGTGTTCTTAAGAGGTGTGGCCAAATCGCAGGGTGACACAGAGTGAGGTGCCAGGATTCATCCAAAGCACCACAGTTTAGAGGGGAAAATATTTTAAAGTAACAATGTTAAACTATTGTGAGACATTTGAAGCCCCTTTCCTTATAAATAACTATCCATCTCTTCCTAGTCTCACATGTCTTGGCCACTATATAGCTGGAAAGAGCAGAAGACCTAGGGAATAACACAGTCAGGAGTCCCAAACTCACTTTTTATAATTTGAGTAATCGACTCCAACATCCTTTCTTCTTTAACATCTTTTATTCTAATCAATCCTAAGCACTGACTAGAGGGCATGCTTTGAGCTGCTGGTTCCAAGAATTAACATTTCCAACTGGACATTCATGCATACTCTCTTGACCACAGATGACAGAAACTAAAGTCAATCAAGTTCAAGGAAAAAAGAATAAAAAAGTTTTGGGCTTACAAAACTAGAAATTCCAGGCATGGTCACTGAGTTGAAGTTCTGTCTCCTGACATCCTAAAACCAAATTCTCTGACAGCATCAACAGGGCATGGGTTCTGAGCTGTTTCCCACATGTTGGCTTCATATTCAGATTCTCTCTCAATGTGGTAGGAAAGATGGTTCTGGCATTTTAGGCTGACATAGTCACCAGAGATCCTAATCCCAGAAAGACAGTGCATCTTTCATAATGACTTTGGAGAAAAGTCTTGGGGTGAGTTTTCATAGGCTTAGCTTGGGTCCTGAGCCCATTCTTGGGCAAATAAATATGACAAAGAGGGTGGAATATGTTGATTGGCTAGGGTTCAGCCATATGCCCAGGAGTATGGTGTTCCCTAAAAAGAGGGATGCTTTGTATACACACAAAAGTCAAGTTTACTATGGAAATGGTAACCCAAGGAATGGGAGAAAATGTCTGCAAATCTTGTATCTGATGAGGAGTTAATATCCAGAATATACAATTCAACAACAACAACAAAAACAACCCAATTAAAACATGGGCAAATGATTGAATTGACATTTCTCCAAAGATATACAAATGGCCAATATGCCATAATCATTAGGTAAATGCAAATTAAAACCACAATAAGATATCACCTCACACCCATTAGCATGGTTACTATAAAAAACAAACAGAAAATAACAAGTGTTGGTGAAGATGTGAAGAAAAGGAATTTTTGCACACTATTGTTAGAAATGTAAAGTGGTGTGGCTGCCATAGAAAGTATGGCAAGTATGGTAGTTCCTCAAAAAATTAAACATAGAATTACACAAGATCCAGCAATTCCACTTCTGGGTACATATCCAAAAGAACTTAAAGCAGGGACCCAGTTATTTGTATACCCATGTTCATAGCATCATTATTTGCAAGAGCCAAAAGGTAGAGGCAACCTAAATGCCCATCAATGGAAAAATAGAGAAACAAAATATAGTATACACACATATTATTAGTCAGCCTTAAAAAGGAAGAAAATTCTAACATAGGCTACAAAACAGGAGAACCTGAAAGAAATTTTGTTAAATGAAATCAGCCAGTCACAAAAGGACAAATACTATATGATTCTGTTTATATGAGGTACTTCAAGTAGTCAAATTCGTAGAGACAGAAAGTGGAGGAGTTGCTACAAGGTACTAAGGGGAGAGGAGAATGGGAAGTTATTGTTCAATGGGTAGAGTTTTAGTTTTAGAAGATGAAAAGAGTTTTGTGGATGGATGGTGGTGACAGCAGCACAACAATGTGGATGTACTTAATGCCATTGACTGTACACTTAAAAATGGTTAAGATCGTTACCTTTATCTGTATTTTACCACAATAATAAAAAAAAAAATCATCTCCACTAGGCGGAGGTTGCAGCGAGCTGAGATTGCGCCACTGCACTCCAGTTTGGTGACAGAACAAGACTCCGTCTCAAAAAAAAAAAAAAAAAAAAAATCATCTCCACTATAGAATTTCAGAAAAGAGGTAAACTTGGCTACATAGCTTTTCTCCACTTACCCTTTAGGAACTTGCTTCTGAACATCTTCCATTCAGATACTCCTAAAATCATAAATCATGCTGACTCAATGCTCCATCATGGTTTATTTTTCCTATATTAGGTGGCCCCAGAACCTTCCTAATTCCCCACTCTAATCAGAAGCCTGTCCAGTACCCTTCTTGGAACCATGCTGTAGGTTAGGGAGCCTGTAAGTCTGTTGTATTAAGAGCAGTTGATATGCATGCTTAAAGGTGTTTTAAAAGGGAGGAATCTGCAAAATGTATCTTAACTTAAATGCAAATTAATTGAGCAGCTTTAATTGAATAGTTATCTCTTGGGCCTTCATATAGGACTGGATATAATTCCAATCATCAAGTCAAATAATCAGCTTAGGGTCCTTTTACTGCTTATCTGCAGAACTAACATTCCTACTACATAAAGGCCATTTCTCACATAGGCAACACAGGAGTTACTTGGATGGCAATTATATTCACAGAGAGAAAAAACAGTGACAGTTAACTCCATTGCTTGCAATCTCACCTGCTCTTGATGGCACTTTCCCTCAGATCATACCCCTTCAAGTGCTAAACAACTCAACTGAAGTCAATGGACAGAAGATATGGTGCAATGAGCCTATTTTGCAGTCCAGATAATTTCCACCTAATGGACTAAGTTCCAATTCTGTCTGTGCTACCTACAGGTTGTATAATCTTGGGAGGTCACTTCAACTATACAATTGGACTAAGAACACTGACTCTCGTGGGTGTTATAATTAAATCAGGTAATATATGGTAAGGTAAGCATTGATTAGTCTCTTCATTAGTTGATTAGCCTCTTCAAATGTTAGTTTGATTAGTCTCTTCAAACGTTAGTTTCCTTCCTCTTTTCAGTATGCTCGCTGAAAAGCTGGCTACAGAGCGAGTGACTGAATCAAAGCATCACATCCTACATGCTCCCATTCCCCATCTTGCTACAGTGGTACCAGCTTCTGTGCCCAGAAGATGGTGCTGTGGTTGGATGAATAAAACAATTACAGGGCCTTCAAGGATAAGAAGAAGGAACATGGATAAATATCCCCATTCTGCCTAGACAGAAATAAGAAAAACATTCCCTTTTCTCTTCTTTAAAACGAATTCTTGAGTCATGCATGGCAACAATATGTGTTGCCAAAAGTGGCCAGTTTGTGGTAGTAGGTTTTATTCAGAAAATCAGTGGGTGATGAAAATTTAGAAGATGCACTCATCATTTGTAAAACTGTAGATGAAAGTTTAAAAGATGATGTTATACCACTTTTTCTTCACTGCCCTCATCAGTGGCTCCATCCCACCCTCCTGCTGTTCTCATAACTGATGTAGAAATAATTTCATGAGCCAAACAGGATGGTTTTATACGTGTGTGTTTGGCATTAACTTTATTTCCTATTCACGTACCAGATATTACTGCCCGCTCTTATGAAATAGTTTATTCCACCATAAATGTATGTTTTAATGATCACCACATTTTTTTGGAATACATTAATCTGTCTAAAAATAGGTGATTAAATCATCTGTCATTCTGCTGTGAAGCTCTTTAATGTTTTCTTTGGGAAATAAATTAGAATGCCATATTGGTTTCCAAGCAGACATAAGCTGGCGATGACTTTTTTGTACAAAAGTTACTGATGAAAAGCTCATAGAGGCATTTGGATTTCTTCAGGGTTGTAAATCCAGGTATGTTACTACTTTATCTACTGGAAATTGGGGTAATGCAGGAGATGGGAAAGCATGATGTTAAATCAACTGGTGACCCCAAATAATTTTCCATGGTGTTCATCAGCCATGCACACACTGTATTACTGTCATCATTCCTAGCTTTTCCACTATGCTGTCTCAAGTTTGCACAAATTGTAAGTGATTTTAAATCATTAACTGATGTGACATAATCAAATTACTTAGGGTTTTATTTACTGTGCTCCGAGTAATTCAGTTATGACTTGGCAAGGTATTTAACAGACAATAGTGAAGTTACTACAAATTCAACTTTGCATTGGACAACTCCATTTGAGGATACCACCACCTTCAAATTAACAATTCCAGAAACTGGTCTCAGTATCTCGTTCCAACAACAAGCATCACCCACTACAATAAAAACAGCAAGTAGAATCTTTTTACTTCTTTTGTGTTTCTCATCTCGGCAAACTGCACTACAATCTACCAAACTGCCCGAGCCAGAAACCTAGAGGTCAGGCTGGATTTTCCTGAGGACATGAGGTGAAGAAGCAACCACTGCGAAGTACTAAGGTATTCTTAATACCCTAATTTCTTTGAATCTATGCACTGTCTCATATTCATGCCCATCACCTAATTCAGGAATCTCTCCAGGATCCTGCACCAGCCTCTTAGATCCCTCACTCTCCTCAGCCTGGCCAGAGTAACTATTATAAGATATAAACTGGGACACATAAATCCTCTGTTAACAAACCTTTCATTCAGTACCTACTGATACCCGAGTAAAACTGAAATTGGTTGATGCTGTATTAAAAATCCTCACCAAGTGGCCCTTGTTTTTTTTTCAGTCTCATTTCTTACTATTCCTTTTATTCACTCCATGCTTCAGAAACAAGAATTACTTGCAGTTCCCTGACTACACCATTCTACCCTTCTCCCTCTTACCTGCATTCTCTTACATATTTTCCACTTTGCTTATATGCTTCCAATCCAGTCCTGCAAATGCTCTGGCCTTCTCGGTTTTGTCCTTGGGGCTTCAGCTTTGGACTCATTTTCTCCAAGAATCTTCCCTTTAAGGGCTGGTTAGGTTTCTCTGCAAGTGACTCACCATGCCCCTGTGCTTATCCCCTGCTAACACCCTTCATTCGTTATCTTAAGAGTCACCCCGATTGAAAAGCATAAGAACCTTAAGGGTCAGGACTGTGATGAGTTTAGGGTCAGCAGTACTCTGCTGTGGTTCTGTGGAGGATGATTTACTTGGTGGTCCCTCTACCTTTTCCAGTACACCCTCTTTCAATTCTATGTATTTTCACTGAAGGCTCACCAGAAAACTAAAATGGCAGCATCATAGCAGACATAAGGCACACAAATCTAAGATTTCATGACCACAAAGGACAATGCATTGCCCTTTAGCCATAGAGACACTGTCCCTGCAAGCTGCAATCAAAAGGCATTTTGTTGGGAGGGAAAATAGTCATCTGGCTTATATGGAGTTATATGCATTGTCAGAGATCCTTTAGCATATTACATTTGGAGATCTTTCAAACTGTGTGCTAACACAGACCTGGAAGGTTCTGTGGATGAAGGAAAAGCTAAGGAATAATGGCTACTATTTCCATTGAAAGTCAGAACTTGGGCACAATGAACATTTTCCCCTTGAGGCTCTGAGAGGGCATCTTTGTTGATTGCAGTATATCTCAAGAATTGACTCTGGCACAGTCAAATGTAGACTGCTTTGTGTAGCGACCTGTGTATTAGCACACATGCATACTTTGCCAGAATTACATCCAATAACTTTTAAAGAATATACAAAACCATGCAGAGATGTTAAATAATGGTTATTAGTCTGGGTGCAGTGGCTCACACCTGTAATCTCAGCACTTTCGGAGTCTGAGGCAGGAGGATTGCTTGAGTCCAGGAGTTCGAGGTTACAGTGAGCTATGATGGTGCCACTGCACTTCAGCCTGGGCAACAAAGCAAGACCCTGGATCAAAAAATAAATGGTTCTCTTTTGGTAACTAAACAACATCCGACACTTAAAATTTTTTTTGTTGTTGTTTGTTTCAGGGACTCAGAATCATGAACCACAGTTTGCAGAGAGATCTGATTTTTACATGTTTGTTTGTGTGTGGCTTTAAGTAATGTAAGTCAATTAAGCCTACTAATATTGCATACTTTTTCTTTTATGAAAGGGAAAAAGGGAGTATAAAGGAGGCAATCGCTGATTCATTGTAAACGTTTTTTATCCAGACGATCATTCTCAGGTCACATACAACCTTTCTTCAATTACATCTTTGCTTATGGCCATCCTTGTTCTTTATTTCCATAAATTAGGCCAGCAAATACTCCAGCTAAGGTATAAAAACTTACACAGGTCCTGTGTATGTTTTCTTCTCTCCTTTTCCCTTTCAAATCTAGCTCGATCATTTCTTTTCTTTTCTTTTTTTTTTTGAGACAGAGTCTTGCTCTGTCTTCCAGGCTAGAGTGCAGTGGCGTGATCACAGCTCGCTGCAGCCTCCACCTCCCAGGCTCATGCGATCTTCCCGTCTTGGCACCATGAGTAGCTGGGACTACAGGCACGCACTATCACATCTGGCTATTAGAAAAAGAGAGACAGAGAGAGAGACAGGGTCTCTCTATGTTGCCCAGGCTGGTCCTGAACTCCTGAACTCAAGTGATCCTCCCACCGGCCTCCCAAAGTGCTGGGATTATAGGAATGAGCCATCACACATGGTCCTCTACCACTTTAAATCTCTTCAATTCTAGATCATGCTCATGCAAGTGTTTTCCTGAAGTTTATACATTGTAATGGATGAATCAACAACACAAAAAATAAATGTGTATCATGCTGGATTAATCTAAGAACTAAGTATTTTTTCTTAGTAAAGAAGGAAAATGCTAGAGGTGTTGGGAAGCAGGTGCAATTTCAGAGAGGAGGACCTTTACAGCAAAAAGGTGTTCTTTAAGAACTGAAGAAACCCAGGGCATAGGTGATGCAAAGATCTGGGTGAAAACCTTTTCAAGTGGAAGGAATGGTGAGTGCAAAAGGCCTGCAGCAGGTGGGTGGGTGCAGGTATGTGCCAAACACGGAGGTGCCAGTTTGGCAGTGAGTTGTGAGACAGAGGAAGGGAGAGCTCACCAGGGATGCTGCCTGTGGGCTTACAGGCCATTGCAAAGGTCACTGGTGTTTGTGCCAAGCGAGCTGGTGGTTTCCAAGAAGAGGAGAGAGATATCCTCTGATGCACGGTATGTTTCTGGCTAGTGTGATGAGATGGTGAAAGGGTGTGAGGGCCAGAGAAGGGAGACTAAGCTAGAGGCTGATGTACTTATCTATGTGAGAAAGGATGCTGGTTTCAGCTGGGGTGGTAGTCGTGGGAGAGGTGAGAAGAGGCCGGCGCAGAAGCACAAGCTCAGATTTGGACATGTTGATTTGAGAGGTCGTTTCTTCCAAGCAGGTATATAAATAGGCAAACAAGATACATTTGTTTGGAGTTCAGTGGGGAGCTGGAATACGATATGTATAATTTAGTCTTTCTCATAAATTCAATTTCAATGGCAACTGGATATAAGAGAAAACAAAAGAAGTTTACATATTAAATTTATTTTAAACATTTCCATTGTTTTCCTGTAAATCAGTATTGATTTTTGGATGGTGTAAGGCTTACTAGAATGTTGCCACATAGCTCCACTTAAATACCATTAATTTGGAGGCTAACATTTTTAAAGGTTGTGAATGAGCAGAGGTTTATCTGAAATTTGCATTTGGTTTACATGTGAACAACAGATTCACAAATAAATAAATACTATACACCAGACAATAAAGGAGCTATTAAATCTGTTACAGAAAACTACCTTTTTATCCTCTTGGAAGATACTTATAAACTATGTCCCATATTCACGTAAACGATACTTGCTTTAAATATTCTAATAGGTCTAAATATTTTAATTACTTTATCATTAGTGAATTGTGGCTACATTATGCATTATACTTACTTGAATGTAGCTACCTGTGTATAAAAAATTATGCAACTGACATCTTTTCAGTAAAGCAGCTCACTTTTAGTCATAATTAGTGACGTTTTACTGTGTTACATCTCATTTTGCTTTAACTGGAAATTATGCAACTTAGGCATAAAAAAGAAAAGTTATGAAGACCAGAAACCTAAATACAAATTTCACATGATTTAGAACCAAGCTAAATAAACACACAAAAACTCTACAACATGGGAGGGTGAAGGAAATGAAAACAATTGCAAAGGTATTTATTGAGAAATAGTAAAGATATACATATTTTTACAAGCTTTTAATATTAATTTACATTTCTTTTAAATTATGTAGGCCCCAATAATCTATACTTTACTAATACATAACAGAAACCCTTGACATTGTGAGATGTCCATAATGCTACCGTAGTTGGGAGTCAAAGTGCAACTTTGGCTCATGATGCTTAAGTTTGTTTTCAAAAGAAATACTAAATGCCATATTCACTGAGAATGTAGGCTTGTCATAAACAAATGTGCTTTAAAAAAAACAACTTCATATAGGAGCATGCTGTTGACACTATTCTGAATCTTAGCTCATTGCGGACTAAGGAGAAAACATTTTTAGAGACAGTTATTACCTACTTGTCGTGTGCAAACTGTATGATTCTAAAATATGTTTTTGCCTCTGAATTTGATTTACAAAATTTTGCAGGGGCATAGTGTCCTAATTGTATGCTATAATACCATAGCCAGGCCACCTATTTTGTTATGGAAATTACATGGTCTTGATATTTTTAAGGTGCAACACAAGGTGGTTATCTTTCGTAGTAATATACCAAGCTGTATACATAATAGCCGAAAACCCACTTTAGTTACAGAACATTTTTCAAACTGGTTTACAATAAGGCACAATATTCCATATGTCAATAGGAGGTGGGAACTGCCAAGGGGTTGGTTTTGTGTTTGTTCAGTTTTCGTTTTTCAGATTAGAAAGGAAGAGGATTTTCTATTCCTAAGGTGGGAAGGGAAGAGTTCTAGTTTGTGCATACTCAACGTCCCATGGCCAAGCTGTGATGCTGGCTCGTGGGCCTGCACCATTGTTGTGCCAGACAAGCTGTTCTCCGTCAACCTTGCATTTAGGTTTTATGCCGGCAGCCTCTTCTGAACACAGAATCAGAAAAAGAGATGTGTGTGAGAAACTGCACGGGGTGATGCAACCAGCCGGCTTCTCTTTGCCCTTCCAAGGGGTGTTTCTTTCTGCACCCACAGACTTAGCAGCATAAAAAGCCTTGCTTGTTTGATATGAAAAGACTTACAAATTTAGATGTAATGCCACAATTCTATCAACATTTAAAGAAACCAGCTATACAGTAAAGATAATTTGTTTTTATTCACAGTAATAAATATTTAAGGTTTTAGTGCACAACATAATTAAGTACTGATAATCAAGGCAACATTTAAATTTTTTTAACTGCTATTTTCAAGCTAAGGGCCAACAGAAGTATAAGATTTACTATCATTATTTTTATATTATTAAAGGTATTCCAACTTTAATTTGCCTGGAATAGTACTTGGGGCAGATGCAGCCAAAAGCTACAAAATTTAAAGGATTAAGTTTAAGGTTTAGATAATGAAATCACAATCTTGTACAAAATTGGGATCTCAATATCTTTCTACCCAATATAAACATGGCCTTAGCATTCAGTAAAGAAATACAGGTTTGTAGCCTAAAGAAATGAAATCATATTTCCACAGTGAATGTTGTGATCTGTGAGCAAAATGTAGACTTTATTGAAGCCACAGAGGCCTCAGTTGATGAACTCATGAACCAGCCTCTGGCTAGGGGCACTGACTAGTAGCCTGACTCCAGGATCCACATTATGACATTTTAAACACAGAACTGCAGGTGCAGACACCATAAAAATACTCTAGTTCTTAAAGTCTTAAATTTCCACAAGGGAAATCGTGTCATAGGAAATAAGAGGAGAACCTGTATCGTGTTCCCAACATGGGCTACACACAAGGAAAAAAACCATGCAAACACAACGATGATGGGCTCTTCTTGTAATGAATGCCATCCGTTGCGCAGTGACAATACAGGCAGAAACTAACAAACATATGCAAGTCTGTTACGAGGAGAACCTGCATTGATGTATTCAGATGGAGAACCAGGTATTATTTTACTGTTGTCATTTCAGCAGCGCTGCCAAGATCCAGCGCACTTGCTAATTTAATTTATGATGATATTCTAGGTAAAATTTTCATAGACTCATTGCTTTCATTAGACACCATCTGGGAGAACTGCCTTCCATTTCTGATGATATTATCATTTTTGCCATGGCATTGGGAATAAACATACTTAGCTTTATTTTAAGCCCTGTGCACTCAATGTGAATTTTATGCCATGTTCATGGCACATTCTAAAAAAGTTTATGTGATAATTGCTCATGATTTGCATGATAATATCCTCCTCTATGCAACTTACACATATCAAAAGTCTCAACCTCAAAACTGTGCAAGTTGTCATGAATATGGCTCTTAGTTTTCTCCAGTAAAACTGTAGAAGGGGTACTTGAGACTTCTACATACATTTCACTTTCTAAGTAAAGGTCCCACAGTCTTTCCCAAACCTTCCACTCATGGTTGGATGCGCAAATAGTTGCCTCATACAATTATTGGAATTATTAAGAACCCAAATGAAACACAAGCTTTCCTTTATTATTGTTGTTTTCTTATTGCAAAAAATACTCAGTTTCTTGCTGATGCGGTAATTAAGCTCTGAGAGCTTGACTTTTAAATTTGGTCATGTTAAGAATCATCACAAAGGTTTTTTTTTTTGTTTTTTTTCATTATCTACAGAGATTTTAACCAAAGTTACATTGTAACACACAAATGCTGTCTTGTCTTTAAGGCACAACACATCAGTATGAACATTCTGTTTGCCAAACTTAAAAAAGAGACAATATTATATTCCCATTTCCCCTCCCATTCCCCTCCCCAACAAAAGAAAGAAAAATTGCATCCACTTTGAAAGTCAGCTGCTAATAAAGTCACAGTAAATTATTTTCATCAATAATTTACACAAATTACATGTCTAAATAGGACTGTCCTTATACAGTCTGAGTGCATTCCAATTCAGATTTTCTGGGTTAGGTAGGCTAAAGTCAGATTCAAACCTCAGGGCTGAGAAGATCTCCCATTTTGAGGAATGTTGTTGACCACCTTGTCAGACGGAGCATGTGTGTTGCTGCTTTGCCAGGGTAAGAGTTCTTTGCTAAAGCTGCTCATTCCAGTTTGGACTCATTTGGTGTGTACCAGCAACCTCCACAGATTTTTAAAAAACCCATTAAAGTGTTGTAAATATAAGACCATAGAGTTTCTTTTCTGTAGCACTAAAGTTTAACTCCATTCAGCAATCTGAATTCTTCATTCTGGAATTTTTATTCCAAATATGATTTCATCCATTAAGACAATTTATATGTGTAGAGCCAGAGGCATTGAATCACACATAAAAATTCAGTGTACTTGAAATATAAAAAATGGATCTCCGGCTAAAGAACACAGTTACAAATACTCTAATTCCAGTGCTTGGTGGAGAGCCAGGAGGTCTGAGTGACTGGATATCCTCCAGAAGGGCATGTTGTGCTGTGTGGTTAGGAGAAGGAGGGATGGGAGAGAGAAGGGGAAGGAATGAGGCATGGAGAGAGATCACAACCATTGTCTCAATGAAGCAGCAGCACACACAGGGATGTGTGGTCCACCCAAGTTCAGGGGAGAGAGTTTAAAGGCGGGATGATCATATGTGAAGGCTTGGCAGCACCAATATGGCACTGTCAAAGTAACAGAGAAATAGATCTGAACTGGATTTTAATGAGAATAATAGCAAATATTAACATTTCTTAGATAGTTTAATATTTATTCTGGAAGTATCGCTACCAACATCAACATCTGGGAAAGCAAGTGGGCATCAAAATCCTACCTGGCTAATGGAAAGCAAGTTTTAATCAGTGCATCACTCCTACGGGCCTCTCAATTAAAAATAAAATGAAACAAAATGACAAACTTCTTAATTTTGTTAATCTAGGAAGAAAAGAGGGTGAATTCCTTTCTGTATAAAAATAATTTGAAGCAGGACTACATAAAGTAGAAAAAAAAGGTGGGGATTATAACTTTCTTACTTGTCTGGGACAACCAATAACTTAAGCCAGTAGAGTCGACCTGATTTATTTCACTGGCGTAGAATTGAGAGAAAGTACTCTAGCATACATTTTCAATGGGGAAGATATCTCCAAAGGGACACAAATGAGCTCTTGTGGGGCAGAAAATCTTAGACATTACAGTGGTTTGTGGCCTTCAAAAGATATACTATAATAGTATACAGTACATATGTGACATTAAAATTTCATGAAAGGGAGTAATTAGAAAAAAACTGTCTAAAGAGTCCCCACTGGCGATGATAATGAAAAAGAAAAAACACTGCATTACAGGAACTGACAAAACAAAAGCATGATTTGTTAAGTTTGGGCTGATGACATCTTCTAGAATATGTACGTATAAAATATTCATGTATATAAGGGAAATGAGTATATAGATATAAAACATGCAAAAGATATTTTATTTAAGAACTAAGTAGCATAATAATCCTTATTGCTATATAATTCCTTGCTGCACACTATGGTAGCCACCAGCCACATGTGGCTATTGAGCACTTGAAATGTGGTTGGTCCAGTTTAAAATACACAATGAATTTCAAAGACTTAGGACAAAACAAACAAACAAAAAAGAATGTAAACATGACTTCAATAATTTTTACATTAATTAGATATCAAGACAATTATTTTGGGTATACTGGGTTGACATGTTATTAAAATTAATTCTACCTGTTTCTCTTTAATTTTGTAAAATGTAGCTTCTAGAAAATTTCAAACTACATATACAGCTTGTATTAATATTACATGTTTCTATGGAAGAGCGCAGCTAGACATTCCTATTCCTAAACTTTGATATTTCTTCTTAAATTTCTCAGACAAAATATGTCTAGGTCAAATTAAGTCACTGAAATTCACATAGAAGTAACATTTTTTCATTCAGCTCAGATCTATTTGTAACAACAAAACAGTACTTAACATTTCTGCACATGCGATTACCGCTACATCCAAAGAAAAGCATGCATTCTGGGTACTAGAGAAACCAATCACCTCTGTTTTAAAATAGAATAATAAGCCTTCACCATCACCAAAACTGTACCTACATAAACAACCATTTGGAAATAGCATTCTATCTGAGATTGTTTTCCATTCAGGGTTATGCGTTTCCCTCCTGAAGTTTTAGGTATAACAACTGGTAAACCGAATCTAAACATTAATGCTGTGGAAAACAGGTAGACTCGGCTAAGTTTTAATTGTCAAAAGCATATTGTGTTACTGGTTTGGAAAACTGAATTATATTAGTCCTTACCTAAATATACGTGAATTTAATTTGCATAGGCTAAAAGACATGTAAATTTAGCAGGAGTGGGGCTGTATTACTAATCATTGGCTGCTCTTTGTTGTGTATAACTATGGTGCCAATAAGAAAAATCACAACATGGACTCAGGACATTGACAAACTCCAGAAGATATTTCAGTTCAGTGTGACTGGAAGCATTTGAAGTAGTAGTCAGCAATGAAAGCCGTATTTCTTGAGGCTGCAGCCCTGACCTCATACAGGACGTGCTTGGGGCTAGTGTGCTGTCTTGGGTCATTGACACTGCTAATGAAGGCTGAGGTGTTCTGTGGCAGGCAGAGCCTGAGCCTACTCTCTTAAATGTAATCGAAAAGCAAGTATGGCTGCCAATACGTCACCAAAACTTCTAAAGTGGAAGTGCTTTCCTTTTCTCCATTTTGCTTGATTTAAATCGACTAGAAACATACATCATTTCCTTTCTCTTTCTCTTATAGCCATAAACTTTTCTATAAAACTGTCTATGTTGACTGTTTTTTGAAAACAGGTAAACATTCCAGCACATGCAAATGGCAAAGGCTTTATTAGATGATGATTTAAAATCTCCTTAGGGTGATACAGATGACATTCTTTCTATGTAAAACAGTATAGGCTGGCATGTCATTGTTTTAAAAATACTAATTCATCATCTGGCTTTGTTTTGTAAATTCTATCACTTTTATCTTGGGTAGATGATATTTTTCTATCATTCGGTGAAGGCAGCAGTAGATCTTAGGGTGGAGTTGACAGTCTGGTGGTGGGGGCCAATCCTGATATCATTCTTCTTTTGATGTTGAACCAACCATTTAATGGTTTTTAATTGCCTTGGTTTCTTCTTCAGAAATACGGGCCAGATGAAAAGGCTTATTAAAATACTTAGGGCCCATGGGATCTTCTGAATGTGTTCAAAGCCAGCTGCTTGGCTTCAATCAAGTACCACTGGCTCACCAAAACAGATGAAACTCTTCTAGGAGATGTGAGGCACATTACGGCTAAGACAAGTTGGTGCAAAAGGATCTGAGCAATACATCCCATTTCAGTAGCACTTATTAAAATCTCTTGTAGCAGTTTTTCTTCAGCTATTAAATCTGCCCTCAGCATTCCTTATCATGGAGCATGCCTACTTCCAGGCACTCACGAGGACCATATGGCATGCAGGTCTCATGAACTACTCACATGACTTTTGTATGGAGCTCATTAATCTCTATCTTGCTAAATTTCATGTGCTTAACAATGGTTATTCTCCCCCCCAATCTTTCTTGCAGATCCCCTGGCTCATCTATATCTGTGCACATTGTATGTGTATTAATATATACATATGCATCTATATAAGCATGTGTATACATGCCCACACAAATATATATGTTACTATATATATTTACTATATGTATATACTTTCAAACACATAAATAAATATAACTAAATTTCCCTGCATTTCCTATCAAATTTCAGGCAAAAAATGCTAAACTCCAAATGGTTTATTTGAATGTAAGTATTGACCCTCTCATGCTCTTATTGCTTTGCATCTATAAATTTAAATCATTTGTCAAGCTGCCATTGGGCCAAACTACAGAAATGCAAACAAAAAGGCTTGCATTAGAAGTATCACACCGACATTGTTTGAGACAGGTTACCTTTTTTGCTGCCTGTTCTTCTTCTACACCATCCCCAATTACAACATACACTACTTTTCTGCCAAACCTTTGCATTATTCGTTCAAAGCAACTTTCTTTTCCTGGAAGATAAATGAGATAAAGTTCAGAGTGAAGTTACCTGGTTAGCGGCATGCTCCTCATCTCGGCCATCTCCAATCACAACATAAGTTATGTTAGTGCCAAATCTGGACACTATACGCTCAAAACAGCTTTCCTTGCCTGAAAAACAATGCACTGCTTATTCTTCCAGCCACTGCATTCATTAACCTAAAGATTCATAAAGTGTTAAGTTAATGCCTCTTGAACATCACTTGAACTGGCTCACAACCTCTGGGTTTATGAAATCAACATATATTTGAATAAGGTAAGGCGTTACTTCGGACAGATGATTAAACAAATGTGTTTCACACTCCAAAAACATCAGTAGGGATAAGCATTTGACCTAGAGAAAATATTAGTATGTTTTTCTCCACCAACAGAGTATTGGGGTAACTTTACAAGCAACTATAAGTTTTAACCTTTGTTTAATTCTGTAAATCAATTTTAAGTAGCATAGACAAGTCAGCTAAATGTGTTCTAGAGAAAAACTGAAGGTTCACCGCTAAAAAAAGAGGAAATACTAAGAAGTGAATTTATCTTGATAAACAACACCTTTCTTCAAGTGGGTGAGAGTTAGCCTGCTCAAATAACTTCTGCTAAGGGTGCTGTCTGACTGGGCCACAGTACTGACAACACTGGTATCCTCTTATTGCACTACGGGAACATCACCGTGGAATTTCTACATATTCTTTGTTTTTAAAACATTGGCATTATTCTCTAAATTTCACTCCCAGAATGTTCATGCAGCCATGGCTACTTCTGCCTTTTTTCTTAATCTGATGGTTCAGAAGTCCAAAAAATACTAGCTTAATGGAAAAAATAAAAATGATTTTGTTTCAGATTAAAGAATATAAGGAACTATTTCGCCAACAGAAAGAATATTGTCTTTACTAAAATAAATGTTTATTCTGCTGTAAAATTATTTGATTCATCAAAAAAGCAAAATTACCTTCTTTCTATTAGTCCTGCTGACATAAATACACACATTTAGATTAAAAATGTATGGTATTGATATCCAGGCTCTGAACTGTAGTGCTTATGACAATGTGAAATTTACTCTACGGAAGCTTGGCTCTCCTTAACTGTACTCTTGAAACAGCTGCCACTGGAGGCTCCTTTTGCCAGGGCCAACATCAGACCTCCTCAAAGCCCAGGGCAGGTTATTTTTGGTGGGGGATTTTAGGATTTTGAACTTCTCTTGTCAATGTGCCAGAGCCTAAGTTTGTTGACCTTCAAGGCATATTACACAACCCATTTATTTTCCCAAGTATTTCCTTGACAGACAGTGGAATACATCAGTTTTAAGTCTTTCAATAAGGCAGAAGTTGATGAAGTTTTGCTTTTGAATGTTTATTAGAAGTTGGAGTCTGCGAGAAATGCACTTAAAAATCAAAGATGGCTCCACAAGCAGATATCATCTAAATAAACAAGGTTGTGGTTCTTTGATTGCTACTGCACATTTTTGGAAATGCAGATTTCCAGTCGCTCATGTGTTATGAATATTCCTATTATGTTTTCTGATACATAAAACTCTTAATTTTTTTCTGTAATTAAGGGCACTCGTTCAATCCATCAAAGAATCCCCTGCAAAGCCAAAATTGTATTTTTATCTTGGATCTAGATTACTGCATATGCAAGGATGCAACATTATAAGCCAAACTAATTAAACTATTAAATACTATGGCTAGAGGTATTACATATTATTTAGATAACATGGGCTGTAATATTCTGTGAAATACAAGAATGAAATATCTATACTCAGATACTGAGTTCTTAATGTCACTAGGCAACAGTTCTCAAAAAATTCATACATGTACAATGAGTTGTAGGGGACTTTGTAATTTGAACTTTATCCAAATTTGTTTCATGTACTAAGTGAAATTGCTGAAAAAGGGAACTAGGCAGAGACACACAGATGTGGACACATTCCATACAGAGTTTAAAATAATTTCCTTACCTATTTTAGTTGCACTGTAAATATTCTCAATGGGGAAAGCACCTCCTAAACTATAGAGTAGAACCTTCGCAAGTGCTGGGATCAGTTGAGTTGTCGTTACCAAGACATTTATGCAGTTACTCCTAAAATAGGGAGGAAATATACATGTTTGTTTTCTAATACTAAATAACTTCTAATAGATTTAAAATTGTCACTGTGGTCTCTAAATTCCTTAATTAATGGTCCCTTTCAAAATTCATTACTATTGCCTATCAGCAGACAGACACTCCTCCAATAATGGCAGATTATTAAGAAGAATATACAAACCCATGACTATACTGTGATGCTTAAAGTTCTACAAAATATTTCGTCAAAACAATATGCTATTAAAAGTCATACGTAGGCAAATGTTACAAAATGTTACAGAATGAAAACATGGTAGAATGAAATAAAGCACAGGCTTTTAAAGTTTCGAGATGTGGTTTGGATATGAACTTTTGTGACTTGCACTGTGTGATATTCAGAGTTACATTTCTTTTTAAATTACAAACACTGTATATACTTGTAACAGGAAAATTTGTAAAAGACAAATATAAAGAAGAAAACAAAAAACATTAACTATTATTTAACCATCTGGAGAAAACTGCTTTCTCCATTTCATGCATTTACTTTCAGTGTTTCTGTTCATATACAGATTTTGTTTTCCCATTGGGAACATTCTGTATATTCAATTTTGTATTCTACTTTATGTATTTATATCATGAGCCTACTTGTTTATATCTATTAACTATTATTCCCCTCTCCCAACAAAACAATGTAGAGTACATACACGGTAGAGTAGTTTTATACATGTATATACTCTACACGGTAGAGTAGTTTTTATACATTGTTTTGTTGGGAGGTGGGAATAATAGTTAATAGATATAAACAAATAGCACACCAACATGGCACACGTATACATATGTAACAAGCCTGCACGTTGTGCACATGTACCCTAGAACTTAAAGTATAATTAAAAAAAAAAAAAAACTACTCTACCATGTAGATGCACCAGAATTTTTTTTTTTCCTTTTTTTTTTTATTATTATACTTTAAGTTTTAGGGTACATGTGCACATTGTGCAGGTTAGTTACATATGCATACATGTGCCATGCTGGTGCGCTGCACCCACTAACTCGTCATCTAGCATTAGGTATATCTCCCAATGCTATCCCTCCCCCCTCCCCCCACCCCACAACAGTCCCCAGAGTGTGATATTCCCCTTCCTGTGTCCATGTGATCTCATTGTTCAATTTCCACCTATGAGTGAGAATATGCAGTGTTTGGTTTTTTGTTCTTGCGATAGTTTACTGAGAATGATGATTTCCAATTTCATCCATGTCCCTACAAAGGACATGAACTCATCATTTTTTATGGCTGCATAGTATTCCATGGTGTATATGTGCCACATTTTCTTAATCCAGTCTATCATTGTTGGACATTTGGGTTGGTTCCAAGTCTTTGCTATTGTGAATAATGCCGCAATAAACATACGTGTGCATGTGTCTTTATAGCAGCATGATTTATAGTCCTTTGGGTATATACCCAGTAATGGGATGGCTGGGTCAAATGGTATTTCCAGTTCTAGATCCCTGAGGAATCGCCACACTGACTTCCACAATGGTTGAACTAGTTTACAGTCCCACTAACAGTGTAAAAGTGTTCCTATTTCTCCACATCCTCTCCAGCACCTGTTGTTTCCTGACTTTTTAATGATTGCCATTCTAACTGGTGTGAGATGGTATCTCATTGTGGTTTTGATTTGCATTTCTCTGATGGCCAGTGATGATGAGCATTTTTTCATGTGTTTTTTGGCTGCATAAATGTCTTCTTTAGAGAAGTGTCTGTTCATGTCCTTCGCCCACTTTTTGATGGGGTTGTTTGTTTTTTTCTTGTAAATTTGTTTGAGTTCATTGTAGATTCTGGATATCAGCCCTTTGTCAGATGAGTAGGTTGCGAAAATTTTCTCCCATTTTGTCAGTTGCCTGTTCACTCTGATGGTAGTTTCTTTTGCTGTGCAGAAGCTCTTTAGTTTAATTAGATCCCATTTGTCAATTTTGTCTTTTGTTGCCATTGCTTTTGGTGTTTTAGACATGAAGTCCTTGCCCATGCCTATGTCCTGAATGGTAATGCCTAGGTTTTCTTCTAGGGTTTTTATAGTTTTAGGTCTAACATTTAAGTCTTTAATCCATCTTGAATTGATTTTTGTATAAGGTGTAAGGAAGGGATCCAGTTTCAGCTTTCTACATTTGGCTAGCCAGTTGTCCCAGCACCATTTATTAAATAGGGAATCCTTTCCCCATTGCTTGTTTTTCTCAGGTTTGTCAAAGATCAGATAGTTGTAGATAGGCGGTGTTATTTCTGAGGGCGCTGTTCTGTTCCTTTGATCTATATCGCTGTTTTGGTTACTGTAGCCTTGTAGTATAGTTTGAAGTCAGGTAGTGTGATGCCTCCAGCTTTGTTCTTTTGGCTTAGGATTGACTTGGCGATGCGGGCTCTTTTTTGGTTCCATATGAACTTTAAAGTAGTTTTTTCCAATTCTGTGAAGAAAGGCATTGGTAGCTTGATGGGGATGGCATTGAATCTGTAAATTACCTTGGGCAGTATGGCCATTTTCACGATATTGATTCTTCCTACCCATGAGCATGGAATGTTCTTCCATTTGTTTGTATCCTCTTTTATTTCCTTGAGCAGTGTTTTGTAGTTCTCCTTGAAGAGGTCCTTCACATCCCTTGTAAGTTGGATTCCTAGGTATTTTATTCTCTTTGAAGCAATTGTGAATGGGAGTTCACTCATGATTTGGCTCTCTGTTTGTCTGTTGTTGGTGTATAAGAATGCTTGTGATTTTTGTACATTGATTTTGTATCCTGAGACTTTGCTGAAGTTGCTTATCAGCTTAAGGAGATTTTGGGCTGAGACAATGGGGTTTTCTAGATATACAATCATGTCGTCTGCAAAGAGGGACAATTTGACTTCCTCTTTTCCTAATTGAATACCCTTTCTTTCTTTCTCCTGCCTAATTGCCCTGGCCAGAACTTCCAACACTATGTTGAATAGGAGTGGTGAGAGAGGGCATCCCTGTCTTGTGCCAGTTTTCAAAGGGAACGCTTCCAGTTTTTGCCCATTCAGTATGATATTGGCTGTGGGTTTGTCATAGATAGCTCTTATTATTTTGAAATACGTCCCATCAATTGAGAGTTTTTAGCATGAAGGGTTGTTGAATTTTGTCAAAGGCTTTTTCTGCATCTATTGAGATAATCATGTGGTTTTTGTCTTTGGCTCTGTTTATATGCTGGATTACATTTATTGATTTGCATATATTGAACCAGCCTTGCATCCCAGGGATGAAGCCCATTTGATCATGGTGGATAAGCTTTTTGATGTGCTGCTGGATTCGTTTTGCCAGTATTTTATTGAGGATTTTTGCATCAATGTTCATCAAGGATATTGGTCTAAAATTCTCTTTTTTTGTTGTGTCTCTGCCTGGCTTTGGTATCAGAATGATGCTGGCCTCATAAAATGAGTTAGAGAGGATTCCCTCTTTTTCTATTGATTGGAATAGTTTCAGAAGGAATGGTACCAGTTCCTCCTTGTACCTCTGGTAGAATTCGGCTGTGAATCCATCTGGTCCTGGACTCTTTTTGGTTGGTAAGCTATGGATTATTGCCACAATTTCAGATCCTGTTATTGGTCTATTCAGAGATTCAACTTCTTCCTGGTTTAGTCTTGGGAGAGTGTATGTGTCGAGGAATGTATCCATTTCTTCTAGATTTTCTAGTTTATTTGCGTAGAGGTGTTTGTAGTATTCTGATGGTAGTTTGTATTTCTGTGGGATTGGTGGTGATATCCCCTTTATCATTTTTTATTGCGTCTATTTGATTCTTCTCTCTTTTTTTCTTTATTAGTCTTGCTAGCGGTCTATCAATTTTGTTGATCCTTTCAAAAAACCAGCTCCTGGATTCATTAATTTTTTGAAGGTTTTTTTGTGTCTCTATTTCCTTCAGTTCTGCTCTGATTTTAGTTATTTCTTGCCTTCTGCTAGCTTTTGAATGTGTTTGCTCTTGCTTTTCTAGTTCTTTTAATTGCGATGTTAGGGTGTCAATTTTGGATCTTTCCTGCTTTCTCTTGTGGGCATTTAGTGCTATAAATTTCCCTCTACACACTGCTTTGAATGCGTCCCAGAGATTCTGGTATGTTGTGTCTTTGTTCTCGTTGGTTTCAAAGAACATCTTTATTTCTGCCTTCATTTCGTTATGTACCCAGTAGTCATTCAGGAGCAGGTTGTTCAGTTTCCATGTAGTTGAGCGGTTTCGAGTGAGATTCTTAATCCTGAGTTCTAGTTTGATTGCACTGTGGTCTGAGAGATAGTCTGTTATAATTTCTGTTCTTTTACATTTGCTGAGGAGAGCTTTACTTCCAAGTATGTGGTCAATTTTGGAATAGGTGTGGTGTGGGATGCACCAGAATTTTTTAGAGTTAAATTGAGTTGCTTAAGTGGCTTTTGATTTCTAAATATTACAAGTAATGCTACCAAAATATATTCTTACATCTTTCGTTATTCTGAGACTATATTCACAGAATAATTAGGGTCAGAGGGTAAGTTAATTTTGCTAGGGGTTCTACTACATAATTCAACAAAGCATCTGTTTTTCTGACATTCCAGGCATTTTGTGAAAACTATTGGGTTGGTGCAAAAGCAATTTTGTTTTTTGCCATTAAAAGTAATGGCAAAACTGCAATTGTATCAATATGGTAATATATGTGGATAACTCAGCAAATTCCATAGCATGTAACTACTCAATGTATGTTGATTTCTTTTTCTCCTCCCTTCCTTGTTATATCTTTATTTATTTCTGGAATATCACATATTCCTTTAGTTGCCTTAAAGCCATCTGTTTAATAATTAATCTGTATATATTATATAGTATATATAATCTAATAATGTAATCATCTTTTTTAACTTATATAGAAGACATCTTTTAGAAATAATGAAAGCTATCAACCTCCTTCTCAGAGAAATGCACACTCCACTACATTTTACACATCATGTCAGTGGCTCAGGGGTCCTCGTGCTCCAGCGTCCCTGACATTTGGTCTCTCTTGTCACCAATTACAGAGGACATGAGATAGCAAGTCCCATTTCAACTGGTTTAGACATTTCTTCCTTATATAGAGCCAGAATCTCCCTTGCAGGATTCCTACTCATTGGTCCCAGTTCTTTCCTTTCCAGACACAGGGAGAAATCTAATTGATTTTCAGCCTAACGTCTGAAACAGGTGAAATTGGTAATCTTGGTTCTGCACATGACTCTTCTGACTAAGCTCTCTGGCTCCTCCTTCCATCTGTTTCTTTTAGGTGGTTCCCACAGTCCAAACCCGTGACTGCCACACTTGACACAGGCTGCTTCAACCCTGCCACAGCCCCCACTGGAATATGGTCCCTAGAACTGACAAACTAAGCTGCCATGGCTTCCCCAGTCAGACACAGGAAGCTACTTCCCCTCCGCTCTCCATTTGGACTTTCTGCTATCCATGCAGCTCTGCCTGTGCCACGAGTCAGAAGCTGTGCAGGATGTGACAACTATTCATTTACTTTCATGTTCTTAATATTAACTTTTTTTTTTTTTGCCCTGTCAGGCTTTTCTGCATTCTGATTCAATTAGTCCAAATAAATCTTTCTCTGAATGCTGTGTTCCCCATACATTTATTAAGCATGCTTTTTTCTTCTTTTTTTAAAACTAACAATTTGTCATCTTATTCATTGATCTTTTCTTTTCCAACTTTTATTTTAAGTTCAGGGGTACAAGGGCAGGTTGGTTACATAGGTTAACTTGTGTCATGGGGGGTTGTTGTACAGATTATTTCATCATCCAGGTATTAAGCCTAATACCCATTTTTCTTTTTGCTGATCCTCTCCCTCCTTCTATTCTCCACCCTCTGGAAGGCCCCAGTGTGTGTTGTTCCCCTCTATGTGTCCACATGTTCTCATCATTTAGCTCTCACTTGTAAGTGAGAACATGCGGCATTTGGTGGGAGTGTAAATTAGTTCAGCCATTGTGGAAGGCAGTGTGGCGAATCCTCAAAGATCTAAAGACAAAACTACTATTTAACCCAGCAATCCCAGTACTGGGTATATACCCAAAGGCATATAAATCATTTTATAATAAAGACACATGCACACACATGTTCACTGCAGCACTATTCACAATAGCAAAGACATGGAGTCAACCTAACTGTGCATCAATGATAGACTGGATAAAGAAAATGTGGTACATGTACACCATGGAATACTATGCAGCCATAAAGAAGAATGAGATCATGTCCTTTGCCAGGACATGGATGGAGCTGGAGGCCATTATCCTTAACAAACTAACACAGGAACAAAAAAGCAAATACTGCACGTTCTCATTAATCTTTTCTTTACTTTTTTTTTTTTTTGAGACAGAGTCTTGCTCTGTCTCCAGGCTGGAGTACAGTAGCATGATCTCAGCTCAGTGTAACCTCCGCCTCCCAGGTTCAAGCAACTCTCCTGCCTCAGCCTCCCGAGTAGCTGGGACTACAGGTGTGCACCACCACGACCAGCTAATTTTGTTTTTTTTTTTTTGTATTTTTAGTAGAGATGGGGTTTCACCATGTTGGCTAGGGTGGTCTCAATCTCCTGACCTCGTGATCCACCTGCCTCGGCCTCCCAAAGTGCTGGGATTATAGGCATGAGCCACTGCGCCTGACCCATTAATCTTTTCTTAATGGAAATGCTGACAGATTCTTTTTTTTTGACTTTTATTTTAGGTGCAGGGATACATGTGCATGTTTGCTATATAGGTCACGGGGTTTTGCTATACAGATTATTTTATCACTCAGGTACTAAGTCTAGTACCTAACAGTTACTCTTTCTGATTCTCTCCCTCCTCCTACCCTTCACCCTCAAGTAGGCCCCAGTGTCTGTTGTTTCCCTATATGTGTCCATGAGTTCTCATCATTTAGCTCCCACTTATTAAGCATGCTTTTATTTATTCACCTAACTCAGATATAAAATAATGGAAGCGGACAGTACAGAGATTCAACTCTACCTTACCAGCTATCACGTTCCAGACTTACTTACATCACTTTATGAATTAGCATATTTGGCACCTGGTTGTACAACTGGTTACAAATCAATTTAATTCTGCTCTGTATACTGACACAAGTCAGAATTTCACTGTTTAGTTCAAACAACAAAATGGTTAGAATTTTTTCAAGAGCTTTCTCCTGCTTTTCTGATGTGCTTACATTATGTGTATTATCCATTATGGCCTAACACCTAAAACATGCCTTTTTGTATCAACAGTACTGTTTCATATTTGCCATCACCCCCTTGTACTTTGCCACCAACTGAGTTCTCTTTCTTTTTTCATTAGAAGTCATGTAACCATTCTGTGGGGATTATCAGTTGCTATGAGAAGAGATGGGTGGTGAGATAGGGTCTCCTGTTTATTCTGAGAAGCAGCAACCTTCTCTCATCCCAACACACACACACACACACACACACACACACACACTCACACACACACTCTCTCTCTCTCTCTCTCATGCACATGCACTGAAATTGAAAAAATCACTGAACTCAGAATTGTTAGGTCCCTTAAAGTCTAAAACAGTCTAGGAATTAAAACATTTTTTCTATGTTGTACAATTAGAACTAAATCTTCAATACGATACACATAGAAAGGTAACAATTCCACTTACCTAGTGCTAATAATTGATAAAGACTTAAGTGCATTTGTTAGCCAGGAATCTGTCAGACCTTCAATCTCTGCCCTTAACTGTAGCCAGGCATCCCTCTTGGCAGGGCCAAGGAGTCCTGCAACACCAAAAAACCAAGGCAGAGTCGAGAGATGAATATTGTCTCAGAATATCTAGTTTAGATTCCCTTCTGTCTGGAATAGATCATTTTTATTTCAGTATATATCAGAAATGCAGAGAGATACAGATTTATGTCCATATTGATCCTTCGTTTCTGAATTGAATATCCATTGATTCCGTCAATGAATATTTACTGAACTTCTAGGTCTCAGGTAGTGCCACTGAAAAGTGGCCCCAGTCTCTGCCCTCACTGATCCTACAATCTAGCGCAGTGGATCTCAATCATCTAAAGAGCTTTGAACATGCCCCTGCCTGGATCTTATTCCAAGGGACTGTGATATTTGAGGTCTGGAGGAATAGTTGGGCTTCACCAACCTAGGGACACAAATCCCAAATGTTTTGACTGTCTGAAAACGTTTAGCTTCTTAATAATCACAATCATTTCCACTTTCAAACAGTAACAATGGCATCATCATATGTAGCTGTTAAAATGTTTCTAATACTACTGCTAATGCTACTATAAATACTTTGCTATGTAAAAAATTAATAATTTTGTTTAAAATCATGAAGTGTAGGACAGTTACAATCATGAATTATAATATTGATGTTAAAAGAAAAAAGATAGATGTGCTAATTTTTTATTTTAAAAGATCCAGTTCTTGCTTTTATGATAAAACAAGATCATGTAAATCCATTAAAAAGGAAGGTTTCTTATTGAAATTGTGTTTTAGAATATCGGGAGCACATACACACTTGTATGGTTTTTTCAATCAAAATTTACAGTTTCTAGCAAGTCTCATTTGTCCTCATTATAATAGAGAGATGCTCACGTATGACAGAAAGTAGACTCGTGGTTGTTTAAAGTTTCTAAGATACAAGATTACTTCTTAGTCTTCTTGTTAACTTAAAATAATTTTATTAATACACCGCAAGAAGGAAATGATGACATCTGAATGATAAAAATTAACTCAGATTTCCCAAGGGGATATTTATTTTAAAGTTAAAACATATTATCTACCATTGATTTTAACTAGAAAATCTACTTATTTGATTTTACAAAAGCATCATGTACAGAGCACTAGAGCAAATCAGGAAATCAGAGATTCTCCCCAGCACCCCATGCAAGTCGGCAGCTTGCAGGGGTCAATTTCTTTTTGGAAATGAATGTCTTCCATATCTAAGCTCCCTTTTGTTGCTAACATTATTATCCTCTTTGGCTCTACATTTTTTGTTCTCTTACAGTTATTATGTATCTGTTGAGCATCTCTTATGTGTTTCACTGCTAGGCACTGGGGATACAAGGTGACCAGACACATAGCCCCACCCTCATGATGTATATGGATATATGTGATTATATACTATATATGAACATTTTATTTACTATATTGTATTCTATGATATATATGTGAATATATGTATGTATAGTATGCACATGTATATTTAGTATATTGGATTCTAGTTTATGTTCCTCAATTACTCTTCCTTTTTAGAAAAAAAGAGAAGCACATAAAGAAACAAAATCCTGGGAGATTAATCTGATGTGACCTAATAGCAAATTTTAGGAATCTTGTTTACCTAAAATTGATTCTAATAAGATATCACCAAGGTTTATTTTATATATAGAAGCACATCCAGGATCACAGTTTTGATAGCAAAGGTTTTGATATCACCTGTAAAATATATGAAGGGGTATAAAATGGTTTTGATATTACCTACAGATTATTTGAACTTTTAAAAACTATGATAATCATAGTTGACACTATGCATGAGAATGATACACTGACATAAAACATGATTTTTTTAAAAGATAAAATAAACCTGTTGAAAGTCTTTGAAATGACATTAATAACTGTTTATATTTATTTTTGATGGGATTCCAGAAAGATAATGCTTGCTAACCACCGTCCTTCAATGATTGAGGCTCTCTACTTGAGAAAGGACTTCTTTCTGTTGCCTCGGTTAGTTCCTCTGTCTGATTTTCACTGATAATGCTCCAAGCACCAGCTGATAAAGGGTCAACTAAATGCCCTGGTATAAATCTTGACCAAACATCTGGGCACAAGGTTACACAAAGAATTCCCAATTTATGTGACGGTGGTGCATGTTTTATTTTGTAGTTAAATTTTTTCCCACCAATTCTAAGAAACTTCTGGCTCAATGTGGTTTAATATGAGCTTTTGCTTGTTTCTTTTACAGCAGAATCATCTTTAACATGAAACTACAGATTGAATTCTACCTATACCCAGAGTACCTTTGTTAGATTGAAAAAGCCACACATACCTCCAACGTTGTTCTTGTAGGTGTTATATAATTCTTTTACTCTTCTGTAACGAAAAGCCAACTTCCTCATCCAGTCAACCCCTCCTCTTACACCTGTTGGCAAACAAAGGTTTGCACTACTTGCAGCTGCATGGAAGCCATCAGTTGCAAAACTGTAGGTACTGTAACACCCAAAATACATTAAAAAGAAATAATTACATGTGCAAAACTCCACAGCCGAATTTCTGTAGGAAACAGCATACTGAAAGGCATAGCTTACCTTAAGTCCTGCCCATTATCATCAGAGGAAACATCATCTATATGAACTTGATCACACTCCTGTTAAAAACATTGGAAAAGTTATTTGTTTTCTAAATGATGCTTGTTACCATGCTTGAAGGTTTTCCCATCTTCTCATCTGATCAGACTACCACCAGAAGATGGCAGCATGTGCCCGTCCATCTCATTGCCTCACTCTTGTTTTCTTCTGTTGGGAAATGGCACCATTTCTACCCCACAAAATTTAAATCCAGAAGAGTTCCATAGAAAGGAGGGGTGAGAAAATATACGGCATGAGAGTTTCTTTAGAGCAATTTAAAAATTTTAATCTTAAAATTATTGATAAGAAATTCTCTTGAATCTTCATAAGCATTTGAGTTCCCTTCCAGGCCATTTCTGTTGTGCATACTTAAGCATGGCTAATCTGAAGATACACAAAACTTAGTCTGAACACCTCAGATGGTTACTATTATTTATCATTTGTTGAGTGGCAACAGAGGGGCTTGCCTTCAGATTATGGTGTCCTGTGGAATTTCCATGACTTCCTGCTGGACCAGAACCATGAAAGAACCATGCTGGTGTTATTTCAAGGTCCTAGTCTTTTGACACAGAAAAAGGGTAATGATCATAGATATTGACATTTTCTTTTTGTCAAGTTTTTAAATTTTCAAATCAAAAAGACTACTTTTAAGTAAAAGGGAAATAATGACGATTTATCATCTCAAATGTGCTACAAAATTCCAAGCAAAATAAACTTTATGTAAGTATACCCACACAATTGACCTGATTTTTTTTTTTTTTATATGGAATCTCACTTAGTCGCCCAGGTTGGAGTGCAGTGGCGCGATCTCGGCTCACTGCAAGCTCTGCCTCCTGGGTTCACGCCATTCTCCTGCCTCAGCCTCCCGAGTAGCTGGGACTACAGGCGCCCGCCACCACGCCTGGCTAATTTTTTTGTGTTTTTTGTATTTTTACTAGAGATGATGTTTTACTGTGTTAGCCAGGATGGTCTCGATCTCCTGACCTTGTGATCCGCCTGTTTCGGCCTCCCAAAGTGCTGGGATTACAGGTGTGAGCCACCACGCCCGGCCACAGTTGACCTGATTGTAAGTTACTGTGTGCTCAGAACAAATGGTAACTTATGTGGATAAGGATTTGATCCTTCTTTGCTGTTCTGAGTCTTAGTCCATCTTCAAATAATCTGCAAAGTTCCAGCGCAATATTACAAGATCTAAAGGTGAAATTTGGTGAGGGCATTTAAAATGCCTAGTTCTCAGAATAATAAATATATAATAAATAAAAATAAATTATTTATAATAAATAACTACATCATATTAACCTCAGAGTAAGTATGGTTTAGCATCTTGGGCCTCCTTAGTCCCCCTCAAAGTATTTTACTCATACTTACAGCTTCTGACTATATACATAGTGCTTAGCATTCAAAATTAATTTTTAAAAAAAATCATTAAATTTGAAAATACACCATACTAAACAAAGGTTTTTTGAAAGCTACTATTTATATTCATTATTGGGCTTGAAAGTATCTGGCAGTCAAATATTTCATACCTAGTCTCCAGATTTCCACACAGAAAGTGTTTAATCCGGTTCCAGTTTAAAGGTATAGTTGACTCAGGCTTCCTTTAATATACAAAACTCAGTGACTAGCCCAATCAGTACCTTCTGAGTATGTAACTTGAAAATCCAGGTAAGTTAAAAGTTCATATAATTTACAGAAATTACAGGGTTAGTAAGTTTTGAATAAATCTCCACCTACACGTATGGGTCCCCAAATTTAATCTGACTGGAAGTGCCCTGGAGTGCGGCATTTGGTTCACCAGGTTACATCCCCACTTACGGCACAATCTAGCATAGAATAATCACTCCACAATTCTTTCTTAAATAAATGGGAGAAGTCTAGACAAATGCTAATTCTTTACAGGATTACCACAATCATTTAAATTTTCTAACACAAGGTTACGATGATATAAAATAAAAGCATTCTAAATGGTGAGGAGAGTAAGAAGATATTTATGTCAAGAGTGGAAGGAAGGGAGAGAGAAGAGTGCAGAGACTGCCCAAGGAATGGCCTGGCCGGACAGGTATTTAGAAAATGTCTTCCCCTCTTTGACCAAGTATTGGCTGAAAGGAGTGCAGTCCAAACTGTAACCAAAGGAGGCATTATGCTTCCTGAAAAACATCCAGTAAAGGCATTGCAAGCAATGATAGTAACTGCTGGACTGGGCTTTAAGGAAAAGAGTGGAGAGATTTTACCCATTAGCATAAGGGTTGGAAATAAAGTTTTTCTCCCAGAATATGGAGGCACCAAAGTAGTTCTAAATGATGAGATTATTTCTTATTTAGAGATGGTGACATACTTGGAAAGTCCGTAGACTGAAATAAATCACTATTGAAATGGTGTCACATGAAGTTGCCCATTCCATTGAAGCTCTGAAATCTTTCCACATGTAAATAACTTCTGTGTTTCTCTTTTATAATAAATTAATGACATTCAAAAAAGTGGAGGAATCCTTGTAAATTTCCCTGGTAATCAGAAGTTATTTCTCTATTTAATATCCTCTCATTGTAATTTTTAGAGAAATTCCTCTGACATTAAATATTAACTCGCATGATTAATTTGTACATAGGTTGCCCAAAAACTTATCTTTTACTCCTGAGGACAACAGTATATCACACTTATTGGACCATAAGCTCCATAATTGAGGTTATATTTGAGGTTTTTCCAAATTTAACTTTTCTTTAAATTTATGCCTAGTTAACTATGCCTGTTGACTCTGGACGGTTGCCTGAGGATTACGGTCCAGTGAAAGAAACCTGAACTTCCATTATTTACATTTTTAGAAAAAGCTAAATAATTGTCCTTCAATTATTTTTCACTCTGAGAAACTTTGTAAGAATCATTTTGACCAAAAAGTGAAATACTAAAAACACTGTAATGTTTTGGCTTTAACAAATTTTAATAAAACTCAAACATTTGAAAATATTCTAGAACTAACTTTAAATACTTTAATTTTGTCTCACAAAGTGACCAAAAAGTGGTCACTGATATTTATCAGTTATAATTCACAGCAGTCTTTTCTCACCTTTGCCATCTCAAACTTCCTGAGACTTCTTTTCTGGAGGTTATTCTAACCGAAATAGCACTTTATTTAAACACACAGGATTCTCTTCTGTTGGGGGAGGGTAGTTTGGGCATCTGCCTTCTCTGCAGTTGGGCAGGATGCAGTGAAGTGTCTATTAGGAGGATTTAAATTTGTATCTTTTAAGGAATTATGTGAGGAACAGCTGCTACTATATATGTTGCAGTATCTACTGAAAGAATGGAGTGTCAAATTAGATGGTTCGGTTTTTTTTTTTTTTTTAAGAAAAGCACCCTGAGAGCTTAAATATTCAACATCAACAATGACAACATAATAAGCTAATGTTAGAGTTACTCTCTTGAGGAATTCTTTTTGTCAACAAGAGTAGAAATCATTTAATTCCAGTTATGGAGCCCAAGACAATTTTTGGCTGTAAGAGGTTTATTGAAATAAAAAGTTGTGTGAAAGTAAAACTGCCTTTCAAAGTCAGATGCAGAAGGATAGGGCGCTATGTATGTAACTGTACTGAATGCTTTTGAAAGCTACTGTTTTGATTCTATTGGTTTTAGTGCTTGTTTACTCAAGTCAGTAAAAATCATTTATGTTTCCTTGGGCACTTTATCTGGATGTGCAAGCATTTGTGTGGCACGCATATACAGTGAGAGTTCAATTTATCTGCAGAAACTCAATTATTTTATTGATTAAGTACAGTATTGTTGAATAGCTAAGTTCTAGGGTTTGAGTCAAATGAAATTCTTATCACATTCTAAAACACAACTAAAAAGCTATATACTCAGAGAAGAGAAAGTCAATACCAGTATTTTCTCATGAACTACTTCTACCAAAGATCCTGCCAGGTATTTTTGAAATACATATAACATAGTACCTGAACTAAAATAAATGTCTTTAAGTGCCATACATGACTACAACATGTTTTTGATATACCAATATTCATTTCAAACTTGCTAGTTAGTTACAAATTCATTATATGCTACTTTCACCTTCTCACTGCAGTGTTCTTTTAAAAGTTGGGTAGCAAATTTATTCCATCTGGCTTCTAATGTGCCACTACAAAAGCTAAAAGTTCATTTATTCCACTTATTTCCAGTAAAAAATAATTAACCAAATGAAATAAGCACTTTTACTTGGATACTACCACATAAAATTTCTTTTTTCTTTTTATACCTTTGAAAAGACTAATAATATTAAGATCCTCTTTACAATGCAACTCATCCATACTGATCAACAGAAAAACTAACCCCAAAAGTTATCGCTGTATGTAAAAAATTCAAGTTGTGGAAAGGTTAAGGTGTTTGTTATTACCAGATATATATATATAAAATCATTCTGTATTCATAAGTAGCAGGATCAATTTAAATCAGGTTTTAGAGAGGTGATTATTATTTGTTATCTAAAACTGAAAGCTTGCCTAGTAATATGAGCTTTCATACTGTCCACTGTAGAAAAAAAAGAATGCCGCTTTAAACAGACAGTAATTGTATTATTCAGTAAAAACATGACTCACCATAGAGAAAAACAACAACAACAACAGCAAAATGCTATTACACAGATTTCAGCACACACATTTATGGAATGTACTGAACCACTCATTTTTACTCTCATGTCTCAAATATAACTCAAACTGGATTTAAGACCTTGTCATTTAAAAAAAAAAACTTTCTAACTGGCGTGTTGGTGGGAGTGTAAATTAGTTCAACCATTGTGGAAGACAGTGTGGCAACTCCTCAAGCATCTAGAACTAGAAATACCATTTGACCCAGCAATTCCACTACTGGGTATATACCCAAAGGATTATTAATCATTCTACTATAAAGACACATGCACATGTATTTTTACTGCAGCAATGTTCAATAGCAAAGACTTGGAACCAACCCAAATGCCCATCAATGATAGACTGGATAAAGAAAATGTGGCACATATACACCATAGAATACTATGCAGCCATAAAAAATGATGAGTTCATGTCCTTTGCAGGGACATGTATGAAGCTGGAAATCGTCATTCTCAGCAAACTAACATAAGAACAGAAAACCAAACAATGCATGTTCTCACTCATAAGTGGGAGTTGAATAATGAGAACACATGGACACAGGGAGGGGAACACCACACACTGGGGCCTGTGATGGGGTGGAGGGCTAGGAGAGGGATAACATTAGGAGAAATACCTAATGTAGATGACGGGTTGATGGGTGCAGCAAACCACCACAGCATGTGTATATCTATGTAACAAACCTGCACGTTCTGCGCATGTACTCCAGAACTTAGAGCATTAAAAAAAAAAGTTATTTAAGTAACTCAATAACTTGGCTTTTCTTTCTCACACACTTGTAAAATTTTCAGCAAAGGATGGGTCAGAAGTATGTGCTCTGGAGCCACGCAAATCTGCTTCAAATTCCAGTTCTGCCATTTAGATAGCAGGTAACTTTAGATGTGATTTGTATGTTGTGGACCATACAGTTTCTCCCTTGCATAAATAATGTGATAAACACATTTACTTCAATACATTGTTAAGTAATTAATGGAAAGTCCAACATAAAATATCTAGAACAAGGTAGGGGTTCAGTAGTAGTAATCTCCCTCTCAATTCATAATATGACTATAGATAAAAACTTTAATTATGAAACTATGAGATAAAAAATAAATTTAAACATGCCATCTGAAAAAAAATGAAAGAGAAATCTCTATTTCAGCATAGTTATGCTTGACTGAGAAGTACTTCTGCCAAGAACCTGAACTATTTAGTTATTTCGAATTCTATTATCTGAATGTCTAATAACCTAGGTCATTAGCACACAGATGGCATACTTTATTGCAGTACACATTCAACTACTCTGAGGCTATTTTTCCTTGGGTCGTTTCATTTTGCTGTTGATTTTTATTTTCTATTCCTCTTATTTGCCATTTAGACACTGTCTTGCCATTTGAGGTTGAAAATAGAAACATAATTTTTAAAATGAGAAAATAAATGCATTTAAATGCATCAAATGTGCTTAAATAGTTCTAGCACTGTTTTATCCAGAAGGGAAAGAAACGGGGAATGATAATGTTAGCTAAAGTTAAGTTTCAGATTATCCACAAAATTAATTGATCCACGCTATCACCATGAATAGTGTCTGTGAATATCGTTTAGTGATTAACCTAGATAGGTTCCGGGTTAATAATCTGGAAGAGCTAATGCTGAAACACTAAAAGAACCAAGAGTCATGTACAGCTGTGGACAGTAAGGACAGCAAAGCCAACAATCTCCTCTTCAGAGACATTTTTGTTCTACATATGTATTATTCATGAACACAAATTAACTTTCTGCTTATATTTGTATATACAATTTTTCCTCTTGACAAGAACTTTATGCTTCTCTTGAGCTGAATTTTTATCTTTCTGTTTTCTCGAGGTTATCTACAGATACAGAAACCATCTAGGAGGTCTGGTGTTGGATACAACTATTTGTACCTTGTAAAATTCTTACCTCTAAATCATTAAAAAACAAATGAGTATCAGCAAGATTAAAAATCATTTCTTCCATGCGGAGTCCAAGGGTTACAGCCATGGGGGGATCCTGTAAAGAAAATGTACACATAATGAGGTAAAATTTCAGTAAGCGCTTATTATTAAAAATATTTTAAGCACATATTGCTGTGGTGGAAGAGGGAGAAGACTGCATGGGTTTTTACTGAAGATTCAAAAGATTTCTCAGTTTTCCAAAAAGGTGACTTTCCAGAAGGTTCAGACATACCAAATGCACAGACACACCTGGGAATTCAGACATACGTAACGATGACTCAGCATACATTTTCACATAAAGCTGTATGTTGAGGAGAGAAGGAGGAAGGAAATCAGCTAGTTCATATGACCCAGTTTACATATAATCTATGGAAAGTATTCTGGAGAAAGGTATTTGGATGGGGTGCTGAAGAATGGAGCAAACTTACTAAAAAGAAAGGATGTCTTTTTAAGAATAATGACAAATAATAAGAATTAAAAGATAGAGAAAAATAGGTCAACTGGGTATTTATAGGACTTGAGTAGAGAATGTTATCTGGAGGTGAAACAGGAAGAGCTGGCAGAGGATGGTGCGACCATCACTTAATTTTTAATTGCATTTTTATCAACAAGGTAAGAGGAATCTCCCTATCCAAACATGTGTAGAGTTTGGTCTAACCTGCATTTGACTAAGGTTGAAGAAGGGAGGGGTGAGAATAGCTAAAAGAACATTAGTTCTCTAAGTGTAATCCAGGTAAAAAATATATGCTTTGGGAAGTGATGGGGTCAGTAAAGAGTTAAAATGACTCAATTTTTGTTTACAGAAACCAAGATATTAAACAGCAGCAAGAAGTCGAAAATCAAGACCAGAGTTGTTACTTTACCATAATTAACTGCAGCTGAAGGCCTAGCATCAAGAGATATAAGACTAAAAAGAAAGGAGCATTTGGGGATAGGGATGGGAATAGGGAAGTAATTCATGCTCAAACATTGTGTTTAAAATTATCAAAGTTGGAATGATGTCTAAAGAAGAACTGCTCATAGGTGCAACTCCGAAGATAAGAGAAAGAAAAAACCTGGAAGGGACAAACCCTTAAAATTTGAGACCAGATGGGTGTTAGCAGGGAGAAGAATAAGGTTTTGAATAAAGCTGACAAGTCTAGAAGGATACTATTGGTTTTGGCTGGGAAGTTATTTTGGAAGACCTCAGAGGGTGATTTGGGTTGAGTGGCTGGGCCAGGAGCCAGACTGCAGGGATTTGAGAAGAGAGAGCCGAAATTGTGTTTTCAACGTTCTAATAGTTGGCATTTCAAGAAATGTATCTCAACTTGGGGAAATGTAATGCAAACTTTACTCAATTTATGATAAGAACCTGCAACCCAGGTCAGGCCAAGCAGTATTCATCTACACCCTGAACTGATTCCATTTGCAAGGAGAAACCACTCTTCATTCCACACCTCCACTATGATAATCCATTTTATTCCTATATTTCCTTTCATCATGTTTTGAGGGGGAAGCCCTAAAGTGTAAACATATTTGAGATGTCATCCTGTGTTCTATAGCCATGAAAACCTGGAGAATAGGAATTAAATGCTAAGAAAAAGGCATTGAGTGCTAAGGGGTCACTGGGGTATGAGAGCTAAACTAAGACGATGTGAGTGAAGATAGAGACAAGATAATAATACGCTGGATTTCAACATAATTTTCTAATTGTTTGCATCTTCTCATTTAGAGATTTATGTGGATTTCATAGGCAGAGATTCTCATTTCTCAGTAATGGATGCTGACTCTTCACATATCTGATGGCCTCCTGGTATTATGTCATCCGGTAGCTTGACTGTGCTGCCGGATTCATCCGTCTTCCAGTGACAGAACCATTTGGGACTATATACCCAAAGATCAAATCAGTTCTGTTTTAGCCAACAAATATTCATTAAAAACAAGAATAAAATTATTAATAAGTAGGCCAGGCACAGTGGCTCACGCCTGTGTTCCCAGCACTTTGGGAGGCTGAGGCAGGCAGACCATTTGAGGTCAGGAGTTCGAGACCAGCCTGGCCAACATGGTAAAACCCTGTTTCTACTAAAAATACAAAAATTAGCTGGACACAGTGGTGTGTGCTTGTAATCCCAGCTACTCAGGATGCTGAGGCACGAGAATCCCTTGAACCTTGGAGGTGGAGGTTGCAGTGAGCCAAGATCATGCCACTGTACTCCAGCTTGGGTGACAGAGTGAAACAGTATCTCAAAAGAAAAAAAATATTAATAAGTGCCAGTTTGTGTCTCAAGGGGTTTCAGAGCTCAGAAGGGCCCCTTGCTCTGTTTCCTTCAAGTATAAAATTCTTTTTTCTTCATTTTGTTGATCATGTTTTTGTTGAAATAAAATCTCTAAAGGTTGTGTAAATTAAAAAAAAAACATTTTGTCTTTTTTGGTTGAAAAATTCCTATAATTAGTCTCTGTCTTTTTGACAGGGTTGGGGGAACTAGGCATTAACTAGGCTGAGGATATTCTATGAAACTATTCTGCCTAGTCATGGAACCATGAACAAAGTCTACAGAAATATCAGGAAAAATCAAATGTAATTATAGCATGAAAACATATAATTCCATTAGTGACGCTCTGTGCTTCTGAGGAATGTTCACTGATGCAAGACAATAAAACTGAGCTCCACACTAGTCTGTTATGTTTCTGATGATTACTGCCCTAAAGATATATATTTCAGATAGGAGTTCAGAAATATCTGATTTAAAAGGTTTTCCTTCTGGAGACCAGGTTGGTTAGGCTCTTATCCTATGATTTGCCAATTTTTCTTTTTAAGTTTTAAATACCATTATTGAATTTCTTATGTTCATTCTTCACATTCTTTGCATTTACAGATCAGATTTATGGGGATGGGAGAAAACATACTGTTCCTTTTGATTGTTACTTTGATCAATTCCATGCTTCTGAAGTACGTAACTCTGTGCTACCCAAACAGTGATAGGAAAATCCATGAAGAATGCATTTTGTACATCTGATAAGCATGCAAACAAGCATAATTTTTTTTAAAAAAAGCAAAATGCAAGAATCTGCTAGCAAGCAAGCATGGCATGTGGTGTGATAAAAACTGTAGTTGAGCACTCCACTGGAATGCAACCCCACGGCACTGGGAGGGCTGGTCATTTGTTTTTCAAGCTGTGGAGATTCCACATCACACACTCTGTGAGAGCCAGGACTTAGTAAGCATTTTGGCAAAATATCATTTGTAACTGGGAAAGTTTAGGTTTGTGGTTTGCTGGAGTGTGAACTAGCTGTATTTTACTAAGCTTTCCAGAGAGCAAGGCCTATTGAAAGAGAGAGGTTTCATCAGCCATGCCAAAGTCTTGGCACAGATGGGCCAGGGCTAGTCATGCCATCAGCCAAGGAAAACCATGCCTGTAAGAGGTGGTGATCTTGTTTCTAAGAGAATGTCTGGGGCAGGCTTACTTTCAAATATCTAATTTTAATTTTGTTTTTTTCCAGCTTACTAAGTCACTGGGACAGCTAATTCTAAGTGAGCAGATTACAGCACTGCATTTTTCCAGCTAAAGGACTCACAGATCCAAGAATCCCAGAAAGATGACTGGACATTTGGTGGGTGTAGCCTTAGCAATGCTGGGCACCCTCCATCTTGCCAAACTGCTGTGAGGGAGCTGCCAGCACCTGCAATTCCACTGTTTTATCAGGCATGTGAGAATGAAACATACTTCTGGATTGAACCCAAGTTTTATACAGAGATGTTTGCTCATTTTCATTAGATGTTTGTAGAATTATGGGCACCTTATGAATCAAGAGTTGCTTTTTTTTAATTTGCATTTAAGTGTAGTGAATGTTGAGTTTAGGGTCTAAAATGAGGTGATAGCAAAATCTTGGATAGAGGAAAAAAGTGGGATAATAAAGGCACTAACAGGGTTTTGTGGAAGTTCTGATATATATTATACATATTATAACAGTTCCAAAAGGTTCAAAGTGTCTACAACAGAGTTTAATAGGAAGCAAATTGAACTACTGCCAATTTATTCTGTGTACTGCTCTATCAAAATACTGAAACTATTCCCCAGACATTTTACTGAATAGAGAGAGAGAGAGAGTGAGAGAGAGAGAGAGAGAGAGAGAGAGAAGAGGAAGATGAAGAAAATAAATAGCTCTTGGCCTTTAAATGTGTGGTTCTAAGCCAGATGTTGCCAGTGTATAACCAGGGCAGGATCCAGTACAGCAGTTCTCTAAATCAAAATACTAACGCCTATTAGCCATGTGAACACAGAGCATAAATTGGAGCCAGACTGTCTGTCTACGGGCCTCTGCCCTGCATTGGGCCATCAGCTGGAATTCCTCCTCTAGGGACACACTGTAAAAATATCTCTGGAGAGGCAGCAATTATGTATTTTTAAAGAAACTAAGGACGTTTTTTTTTGTTTTTTAAAGACATCAACCTCTTGAAACAGTTATTCTTTTGGGACCCGTAGCATATGTGTAGACATGTGCACACAAAGATAGAAGATATGCAAGTTCATCATGGAAGAAAGAAGGCAGACCAGCTCCATGAACCAAGGTGGAAAAAGTTACTGGATTTTTTAGAATACATATACTCTTTAAATCATAAGAGATAAAATGAAATTCAGTCACAAATCAGAACAGAAATTTTACAATTGTGATACTTGTCTATGATGGATAGGTAGTGGGCTTACAGGTTCTTAGGAGGAACTGGAAAATGGTTTCAGGAACATTCATTTATTCATCATATATTTATTGAGTGACTAATTATGTATTAGACACGTTCAAATTCCAAGCAGAGAGCAGATAACCAAAAAAGCAAAGCCCGTACCTTTATGTGGTTTATATTATTACTGGATGAGATATCTGATAAACAGACAAGAAAACAAGGGAGTATAAGCATTTCAGGTGGTGATGAGCTATGAAAGAAAAACCAGGACAAGCAGATACAGAAGTGATGAGGATGAGTGGAAAGGGCTAATTTAAAGCAAATTCAGAGAAGCCCCCTTTCAGGAGGTAATGGCAGAGAGAGAAACAGAGGCCTGACAAAGGTGAGGGAGCTAGGTATGAACAGGTGCAATAGTAGCGAACATACACAGAGCCCAGAGGTGAGGAGTCTGTGTGTGAGAAGAGGGACCCTGACCAGGGAAGGGAAAGGAAACAAGGATTTTAAGAATGCAAGAGTGCTCCACTGAATGTATGTGAGAGGCCCCAGCAAGATAAGCCAAGAAGGAACACTTGATTTGGCAACAAGGTGGCTCCTCAGACTTGGCAAGTGTCATGTTATGGCAAAGCTGGAAAGAGCAGAGAAGGAGAGCAGTCACCAGAGGGGAAAATGGGCTCAAGAAGCTCTTCTAATGACAGGAATGTGACAGCAGATACGATGGTGATGGGAAGAATCTAGGAGAGTGAGAAACTGGTGGCTTAGCGAAAGAAGTCCTTTCAGGAGTCGATTCTTTGGGTAGGTGAGGGAGCACGGAACCAGGGTGCAAGAGAGGTGCAAGAGACATCTATGGCTACAGATGTAGGAGGCACGGATTTGGTGGTGCAAAGATGACAGAATTCATTTGTTTGCTTTTTTCCCCCTAGTAATTGAGGAGGTTTGTACAGAATTGGGAGAGATATGCTTGCTCTCCCTTCAGCTCTTCAAAACCTCCAATAGGAAGAGTTCATGACCCCAAGAGTGCTTGCACCCACTTGAGATTTGTGGCCACATTCAACTGTTGAGGTACAGGCAGTCAGTGGGGTTTTCTGATGGAGAAATAATGAGGAAAGGATAGAGAGGCGTTATGGAAAAGTAGGGTTATAGTGGTACATAAGGAGGACTCCAAGCTGGGAGGATGACATATAAGACAGGAGTTCTCAGACTCCACCATGCATGGGGAACACCGGTGGAGCTTTCACAATGCCTGTTGCTCGGGCCACACCCCATACCAACTAAATCGGATTATCTGAGGTGGGTCCACGCATCAGTCATGCTAAAGCTCTGCAGTGAGTCCAATGTACAAACGAAATTGAGAGTCAGCAGATGACAGTCTTGCTACTCAAAGTGTGGTTCACAGACCAGCACCATTGGCATCATCTGGAAACTGTTAGAAATGCACACTTGTAGACCCTTCCCCAGATCTAGTTTGCCAGGTAGTTTAACAAGATTATCAGGTGATTCATATACATGTTACTTTTGAATAAATACTGGTCTATAAGATATTATAATGAGAGACTGGGATAGTTAAGAAAAATCAGAGCTGGCATGACCTTCTGGCTTTCCAAGAGTTAAGCCTCTGTGGTGCTTCCACAGGACGGCTGGACTTGAGCCAGCGTGATCACTGAGTAGAACTGTGGCTTAGTATAATTTCTCGGGAACTAGACTTCTCTAGAGTTGCTTATGAGGAAGAGTGCCTTTTCCACCCTTCACCTCCATAAAGATCATTCTGTGGACTTAACTTCAAGGACCAAATGTCTGATGGTGTCTTTTTCTTAGTAATGTAGCCAATTACCTGCTGGGGAGCTGGTAAAGGTGAAAAGCTAGCACATTTTGAATTAAAAGATTTTGTTCACAATTCAAGTGTTCAGTGTAAGCAACATATTTGCAGTTGAACAGTAGTTAATGTTGTCAAGCTTAAATTGTATGATGAAGGGGATCATCACACAACTTACCACTAGAGGCTTCTACAGTTTCAGTCAGAAGGGAATCCAAATGTATTAAACTAATAACAGAATAAATGTACTTCAAGGGGGGAATTACAGTGGTAGTACATGGCAACAGTGTAACATGGTACTTGGATGGAAAGAAAAATACCATGTTGGGAGGATGGGCTAGAAAGCACAGGGCCCAGAGAAAAGTGGCAGAGCAGAGGTGGCAAATACACACACCTCACGAGGCTCCTCAGGACTCCAGGAGAAAGGTGATTGACATGTTAGGAGATGGCTATAGGAGGAAATGCCTAGGAGAGGGTTGATGATGGTTAAAGAATACTTAAGGTAAGTTAATGTTCTAATCCCCCACCTTCTCAAGATATGAGATTAAATGATCATCAACTGAGATCAAAGGAACTGAAAACTTCAGGGCAGGTTACAGAAGGTTGCTCTATGTGTTTTTAAGAGATTAGTTACCATTATCTCTCTGGTATATTAGCTTCAAGTTAATCAATGTGATGTCCTTTCAAGATCTTTCCCCTTTTCTAACATAATTCCAGCAATTACTTGCTAAAGATGGGCTTAAATAAAAGTTAGGAATATATTTGGCTATTCATGAGATCACGCAGAGTCATTCCATTTAATTTTTAAAAGAAATTCTCAAACATATACTCAACACGAAGCTCTGAAAGGGGAGACAATAGGTAGCAATGATTCCCCAATTCCCTAGGGAAGAGTTCGAGATATGTCACTGTCTTTGATTTGGCTTTATTTTCACATGCATATGTATGATATTTATGTACACACTATATACATACACATGCACACACAAACTTACTATAAGCTACCAGTAAAAACATTATGCATTTTTTGAGTCTTGCAAATTCTGTAATCATTCCTTTTATATAATATATACCAAAACCACTCTCTAGTCACCCTGGCATAGTGCTACTTCTCTGCAACACTGACTGACTCATATTATGAGGTAAAATAACAGATACAAATATAAAATGCAAATTTCCTTAGAAAAATTCAGTTTCCTGTATTCCAGATTTCCTTGAAACTAAATAAATAGGTTATGCTTACTGAATGTTTATTCTGTGGTGAGTTTTAATGCATTAACTCATTTAACCCTCAGAATCAAATTACTACTTTTATTATTCTCCTTATTTTATATACAAGACAACTGAGGCTCATAAATGCTAAATAAACTACTCAAGGTCACATGGGTACTAGGAGGGAGAGGCAGAATTTGAACTCAGGGTCATTCTCCCTCCAAAGCCAGAGCCCTCTAAGCATATGGTGTTTGTTAGCACTGCCATTAGGATTGCCTCAGATCCATGGTTCTAACACTTGATTAATTCTATTACTTTCTATTAAACCATGTTGGTTTTCTTTAGTCCAAATGCACAAACATCAGCATTTATCTTCATGACTAGCCTATCATTTAAAATCCAGCCAAATGCTATGTTAGAAGTATTTTTCTGCACAAATGTGTGTAGACTGTTCAATATACAAGCAATCAATTGATTAATTCTGATAAACATATTATTTTGCCAGCACTGCTGTTAATATGAGATGTTGTCTAAAATAAGCAAGCAGTTTGGGGACCCTGAATCTGAGTTTCACATTATCAGCCAACCATTCACTTTTCCTGCAGTTCCTTCACTTTTTCCCCCTGACTTGGGCTATTTCCTCTGTGTCCTTACTGTGGAATAACTTTAGAGTATCATAGCTTCATAGCACATGATACATTAATGATCCAAGATAAACCAAATCCCTAAAGCACAATTTATATAGCTTTCTTCACCCTCCCCTGAAAACAAAAGGAATCACTGCAAGTTATCAGGTAAAATGATATACACAATCAGGGAATAGAAATAAACTCTAACGTGATGGATGATTCCTGGTCTACATCCTGTCGAATTTACAAGCTCCTATTTTAGAGTTTTGCAGCACAGACACTGTACATTGCAATTGGTGCTCAGCTGCAAAACCCATCACCAGCCTCATAGCAGCAGGGCTCAGATAGCAAGGTTCCTCATTCACCATCGTCAGAAATGTCCAGGAATAGTTCTGCTTGGAAAAGACAGTGTTGACAATTGAACAGGGTCAAAAAGTGATAACCCATTAGGAAGATGCTTGGGAAATTCACATAATTTAATTTATAAATGGAAGTAGAATTTTCCAAAAGTTTTTTTAAATTAAAACACAAAAGTTAGTTGGGACAATTTATGGGTAAAAGGTCATTCCTACATTACTGTGGTCCACACATTTTATTTTTACAAGTTGTGGGGAAAGAACACGAGACCAAAGAATACAGAGATTAAGAACCTGCCAAAGAGATACGGATTTCACTGATCTTGCCACTTATGAGCTATGTATGGTAGTACCAATCAATCACACAGGGTGATGGGAAAAGCTAATGAGAGAATGCATTTCACAGGACACTCAGCCAAGGGCCAGGCGCACAGTAACCAGTAAAAAAATGATACTCAGTATTGCCCACTAATTATGGGTGCGGGGAGAGGAAGAAAGACAGGTAGATATGCAGGTAGGTATGGTAATTTCAGGATATGATTGACATCTCTGGTCTTCATAGGTGCAGCTCCCAGCTCACTATACTTGAGGCCACTGCAGTGCCACTTCACATGGTGCAGGAGTAAACATTGACCTTGCAGGTCTGAAAACATCTGCCTTTAGTTATTTCTCATTTTGGAGAAAGAAGGTATATTTTTATGAATTTTCTCTAACCTAGGAGGTAGATGATAGTTTTCACCGTGTAGTGTCATTTTTATATACGTACATTATCTCATTTAAGCCACCCCGTAACCCCTGGAAGGAAATGAATTATAACCATTTTCAGATGAAACAGGCTCAGAGGTCAGTTTGCCCTTAGGCACAGCCAGGCACAGGAGGTCCTTCTGACTTTTAGTTCAGTGCTCCTTCAGCTAGTCGACTGCCTTCCAGGCTGTATTCTGAGCAAGCTCCAGGATTCAGGAACACCTTTCATGGTGACCAAGAATGATGGGGAAGGGTGGTCATGTAGGGGAAATGGGATCTCTCCAGTCCCCCATCTGTACATTTTACCTAGAGCAGTTCTGCCCTTAGATGTTCTATACAGTGATGCTCTCGGTCATATGTGTGTAGAGGAATCTCTGGCTAAAATAATCAAAAAAATCACTATGCTATACCAAAATGTTGTTACACTCTAACATGCATATTGTGGAAATAAGACTGATCTAAGAAATGAAAAGAATTAAGGACCCATAATAATTTTAAGGACCCATAATAATTTCAAGCTTAGACAATCTTAACACTACAAAGGTCTTTTCCCCCCTCCCAGAAATAATGGCTCTGGTCACTTTTGTTATTAGCAATGCAAAGTCCTGACTTAACTAATCATCAGAATAACCTTATTTCAGTCAGTCCTCAAGGTTATTACTGATGACATTAGGGAACTGAGGGATTAAACTTAGTTATAGAGGATTCTTTTAAACATCTCATGACCTTTAATATGATAACATGCATTGAATGGCTATAAAATGTAAGCATTCCCTAAATATATTTGACCATGGCCTTTTCTCAAAGACTATTAATTAACATGTTCATTAGTTTGCTCAAGGAAAAAAAGTCTGGGAAATACTCCACTCTAGTGGTTCTCAAAATGCAGCCCAGGACCATCAGCTTTATCTGGAAATTTGTTCCAAATGCAAAACCTATGGTCCCACCTCAAACCTCTTGAATCAGAAACTCTGGGTTGTAACGCAGCAATCTGTGCTCAACAGGCCCTGCAGGTTATTGTGACACACACTCAAGTTTCAGAAGCACTGTTCCTATCTAAGGCATGGCCATTCTTACTGCATAGTGTCTCCTAAGTGGTCAACTTGTGTCCACTCTTATTCCTCTAAATTCTATTCTCTGCATAGCAGACAATAATAAACCTAAAACTCCCCAACAGCTTCTCACTGCAACCAGAAAAAACCCAAACACCTTACCATAATGAAGAGTCCTTGCCTGGTCCAGCCCTTGCCTACCTCTCTCTTCTATATTTCTTTATATTTATTTATAAATAAATGAATATATTTCTTTATATTTATTTATAAATAAATGAATATATTTCTTTATATTTATTTATAAATAAATGAATATATTTATATTTATTTATAAATAAATAAATATATCTCTGTAGTATTTTTTATTTTTGTGGGTACATAGTAGGTGTATATACACATGGGATACATGAGATTTTTTTTCTTTTTTTTGAGACAGAGTCTCACTCTGTTGCCCAGGCTGGAATGCAGTGGAGCCATCTCAGCTCACTGCAACCTCTGCCTCTGGGGTTCAGGCGATTCTGCTGCCTCAGCCTCCTGAGTAGCTGGCATTACAGGTGCCCACCACCACACCTGGCTAATTTTTTTATTTTTAGCAGAGACGGGGTTTTGCCGTGTTGGCCAGGCTGGTCTTGAACTCCTGACCTCAGATGATCTGCCCACTTCGGCCTCCCAAAGTGCTGGGATTATAGGCGTGAGCCACCGCACCTGGCGTCATGAGATATTTTGATACAAGTATACAATGCATAATAATCACATCAGGGTAAATGGGGTATCCATCACCTCAAGTGCTTATCATTTTGTTGTGTTACAGACAATCCAATTAAACTCTTTTATTTATTTTATAATTTTATTTATTTTTTACTCTGACATCTGGGCTGGAATGCAGTGGTGTGAACATGGCTCACTGCAGCCTCAATCTCTGAGCTCAAATGATCCTCCAACATCAGCCTCCTGAGTAGCTGAGAATACAGGCATACACCACCATGCCCAGCTAATTAAAAAAAAAACACTTTTTTTTTTTTTGTAGAGGCAGGGTCTCACTATGTTGTCCAGGCTAATCTCCAACTCCTGGCCTCAAGTGATTCTCCTGCGTCACCTCCCAAAGTGTTAGGATTACAGGCCTGAGCTACTGTGCCTGGACTCTCTTAGTTATTTTAAAATGTACAATAAATTATTGTTGACTACAGTCACCCTGATGTGCTATCAAATACTAGATGTTATTCATTCTGTCTAACTATATTTTTGTACCCATTAACCATTCCCACTAACTGCACCCCTCAACAACTACCCTTCCCAACCTCTAGTAACCATTGTTCTACTCTGTCACCATTAGTTCGTTTTTTAGCTTCCAAATAAGTAAGAATATGTAAAGTTTGTCACCTTGTGCCTGGCTTATTTCACTAAAAGAGCTCCAGTTCCATCCATGTTGCTAAAAATGACAGGATCTCATTTTTTATGGCTGAATAGTACTCCACTGTGTAATGTACCACATTTTCTTTACCATTCATCTGTTGATGGACACCTAGGTAGCTTCCAAATCTTGGCTATTGTGAAAAGTGCTGAAATAAACATAGGAGTGCAAATACCTCTTTGATATACTGATTTCCTTTCTGTCGGGTATATACCTAGCAATGAGATTGCTGGATCACATGGTAGTTCTATTTTTGGTTTTTGAGGAACCTCCAAACTGTTCTCCATAGTGGTGGTACTAATTTACATTCCCACAAACGGTGTATGAGGGTTCCCTTTTCTGTACAACCTCATTGGCATTGCCTGTCTTTTGGATACAAACCATTTTAAGTGTCTTAAGATGATATCTCATTGTAGTTTTGAGTTTCTCTGATGATCAATGATGGGAACACCTTTTCACGTACCTGTTTGCCATGTGTATGTCTTCTGAGAAATATCTATTCAAATTTCTTGACCGGTTTTTATTCAGATTATTAAATATTTTCCTATTGAGTTGAGCTCCTTGTATGTTCCGCTTATTAATCCCTTGTATAATGGATAGTTTACAAATATTTTCTCCTATTCTGTGGATTATCTCTTCACTTTGTTGACTGTGTTCTTTGCTGTGCAGAAGCTTTTTAACTTGATGCCTCCCATTTATCCATTTTTGCTTGGTTGCCTGTGCTTGTGGGGTACTGCTCAAGAAATCTTTCCCTAGTCCAATGTCCTGGAGAGTGTCCCCAATGTTTTATTGTAGTAGTTTTATAGTTTGAGATCTTATATTTAAGTCTTTAGTCCATTTTGATTTGATTTTTGTATGTGGCAAGAGATAGGGGTCTAGTTTCGTTCTTCTTCACGTGGATCTCCATTATCCCAGCATCATTTATTGAAGAGACTGTTCTCTCCCCAATGTATGTGCTTGGCATCTTTGTAAAAAATGATTTCACTGTAAATGTATGAATTTGTTTCTAGGTACTCTATTCTTTTCATTGCTTTATATGTCTGTTTTTATGACAGTACCATGTTGTTTTTGTTACTATCACTTTGTGTTATAATTTGAAGTCAGGTAATGTGATTTTTCCAGTTTTACTCCTTTTGCTCAGGGTAGCTTTGGCTATTCTGGGTCTTCTGTGTTTCCATATAAATTTTAGGATTGTTTTTTTCTGTGAAGAATGTCAGTAGTATTTTGATAGTGATTGCATTGAATTGATAGATTGCTTCAGGTAAAACGGACATTTTAACAATATTGATTCTTCTAGTCCATGAACATGGAATCTCTTTCCATTTTTTTTGTGTCCTCTTCAATTTATGCCATCAATGTTTTACAGTTTTCATTGTAGAGATCTTTCATTTCTTTGGTTAATTCCTAGGAATTTTATTTTATATGTAGCTATTATAAATAGCATTACTTTTTTATTTCTTATTCAGATTGTTCACAGCTGACATATAAAAATGCTTCTGATTTTTGTATGTTGATTGATTCTGTATCCTGCAACTTTACTGATTTTATCAGCTCTGATAGTTTTTTGATGGAATCTTTAAGCTTTTCTAAAAATAAGATTATATCATCTACAAATAAGGCTAATTTGACTTCTTCCTTTCCAAATTGGATGCCATTTATTTCTTTCTACTGTCTAACTGCTCTAACTAGGACTTCCAGTACTATGCTGAATAACAGTGGTGACAGTGGGCATCTTTGTTCTGCTCCAGATCTTAGAGGAACGGTTTTCAATTTTTCCCCCTTCTGTGTGATATCAGCTGCAGGTCTGTCATATATGGCTTTTATTGTGTTAAGGTATTGTTCTTCCATACCCAGTTTTTTGAAGATTTTTTTTATCAGCAAAGGATGTTGAATTTTATCAAATACTTTTCAGCATCAGATGAAATAATCTTTATGTGTTTCATTCTGTTGGTATGATGTATCACGTTGATTGATTTGCATATGTTGAACCATCCTTGCATCCCTGGGGTAAAGCCCACTTGGGTCATGATGAATTATCTTTTCAATGTGTTGTTGAATTCAGTTTGCTAGTATTTTGTTGAGGATTTTTGCATCAATATTTATCAAGGATATTGGCCTGTAGCTTTCTTTCTTTAATGTGTCTTCTTCTGGTTTTGGTATCAGAGTAACAATAGCCCTGTAGAATGAGTTTGGAAATATTCCTTCCTCTGTTTTCTGGAATAGTTTGGGCAGGGTTGCTATTAGCTCTTCCTTAAATGTTTGGAAAAATTCAGCAGTAAAGTCATAGGGTCCCAGGCTTTCTTTTCTTCTTCCTCTTTTTTTTTTTTTTTTTTTTGAGACGGAGTTTCACTCTGTCCCCCAGGCTGCAGTGCTGTGGTGCTAACTCGGCTCACTGCAAGCTCTGCCACCCAGGTTCACGCCCTTCTCCTGCCTCAGCCTCCCGAGTAGCTGGAACTACAGGCACCCGCCACCATGCCTGGCTAATTTTTTGTATTTTTTAGTAGAGACGGGGTTTCACCATGTTAGCTAGGATGGTCTTGATCTCCTGACCTCGTGATCTGCCCACCTCGGCCTCCCAAAGTGCTGGGATTACAGGCATAACCCACTGCGCCGGGCCTGCTGGGGTACTTTTTATTGCAGCTTCCATCTCTACTTGTTATTGGTGTGTTCACGTTTTGGACTTCTTCATGATTCAATCTTGACAGCTTTATATGTCTAGTTGTTGGTCCATTTCATCTAGATTTTCCAGTTTATTGGCATGTAGTTTCTCACAGTAGCCTCTAAGAATACTTGGAATTTCTGAAGTATAGTTGTAACGTCTCCTTTTTCATTTCTGGTTTTACTTATTTGAGTCTTCTTTTTTGTTAGCTAGGCTGGTTAAAGATTTGTCTATTTTGTTTATCTTTTCAAAAAACCAACTTTTAATTTTGTTGATCTTTTGTATTTTTTTCATTTCAAGTTCATTTATTTCTTCTCTGATCTTTTCTAGTTCTTTAAGATGCATCATTAGGTGGTTTATTTGAAGTTTTTCTTTTTTTGATGCAGACAATTATAGCTATAAACTTTCCTCTTAGTGCTGCTTTCACTGTATTCCATAGGGTTTAGTATTTTGTGTTTCCATTATCACTTTTTTCTTTCAAGAAATTTTTAATTTCCTTCTTAATTTTTTCATTGACCCATTGGTCATTCAGGAGTTATTGTTTAGTTTCCATGTGCTTGCACAGTTTCCAAAATTCCTCATTATTGATTTCTAATTTTACTCCATTGTGGTCAGAGAAGATACATAATATAATTTCATTTTTTTTAATTTTTAAAGACTTGTATTGTGGCCTAACATGTGGTCTATCATGAGAATGATCCATGTGTGTAGGAGAAGAATGTATATTCTGCAGTTGTTGTATTAAATGTTCTGTAAATATCTATTAGGTCCATTTGGTCTAAGCCTGTGCAGATTAAGTCCAGTGTTTCTTTGTTGATTGTGTGTCTGGATGATGTGCCCAATGTTGAAAGTCAGGTGCTGAAGTCTCCAGTGACTATGGTATTGAAGTTTATCTCTCTCTTTAGTATTAATGATATTTGCTTTATATATCTGGGTGCTCCAGTATTGAGTGCATATACATTTAAAATTGTTATATCCTGTTGCTGATTTGACTCCTTTATTATTATATGATGACCTTCTTTTGTCTAATTTTTATAGTTTTTTTTTGTTTTACTTTTTGTGTTGAAATCCACTTTGATGATTATAAGTATAGCTACTCTAGCTCTTTTTTAGTTTTCATTTTCAGGAAATATATTTTTCCATCCCATTATTTTCAGTCTCTGTGTGCCTTTATAGGTGAAGTGTATTTCTTGTAGGCAAGAGATCGCTGGGTCACGGTTTTTTGTTTTTTTTTGTTTTTTTTTAATCTATTCAGCCACTCTATGTCTTTTCATTGGAGAGTTTAGTCCATTTACATTCAGTGTTATTACTGATAAGTAAGGACTTATTCCTGCCATTTTGTTATTTGTTTGCTGGTTGTTTTGTGGTTTCCTCTTCCTTCTTCTTGTCTTCCTTTTAGTAAAGATGACTTATTTGTTGGTATGTTTTAATTTCTTGCTTTGTATTTTTGGTGTATCTGTTGTATGTTTTTGATTTGCAGTTATCATGAGGCTTGCAAATAATATAACTCATTAATTGAAATTGATGGCAATGTAACACTGATTGCATAAACCAACAAACTAACAAACCAGCAAAGAGAAAACTAATTAAAAACTCTACACTTTGACTCTGTTCCCCTGCTTTTTAACTATTTGTTGTTTCTATTTATATCCTATTTTACTATGTCTTGAAAAGTTGTCAGTTATTATTTTTAATTGGTTCATCTTTTAGTCTTTCTACTTAAAGTATGAGTAGCTTACATACCACAATTACAGTGTTACACTATTCTGTGTTTTCCTGTGTACTTATTGTTACCTGTGAGTTTTTTACCTTCAGATGAGTTCTTACTGCTCATTAACATCCCTTTCTTTCAGATTGAAGAACTCCCTTTAGCATTTCTGGTAGGATAAATCCAGTGTTGATGAAATCACTCAGTTTTTGTTTGTCTGGGAAAGTATTTCTCCTTCATGTTTGAAGGATATTGTCACTGGATATACTATTCTAGGGTAAATATGGTTTTTTTTTTTAATCCTTCAGCACTTTAAAAATGTCATGCCACTCCCTCCTAGCCTATAAGGTTTCCACTGAAAAGTCTGCTGCCATGTACTGGAGCTCCACTGTATGTTCCTCATTTCTTTTCTTTCACTGATTTTAGGATCCTTTCTTTATTCTTGGGCTTTGAGGTTTGATTATCAAATGCTTTGAGATAGTCTTTTTTGGGTTAAATTTTATTGGTGTTCTAGAACCTTCTTGCATGTGGATATTGATATCTTTCTCTAGGTTTGGGAAGTTCTCTGTTATTATCCTTTTCAATAAACCTTCTAGCCCCACCCCTCCATCTCCTGTTTAAGGCCAATAACTCTTAGATTTGCCCTTTTGAGGCTATTTTCTAGATCTTGTAGGTGCGCTTCATTCGTTTTTATTCTTTTTTCTTTTGTCTCCCCTGGCTGTGTATTTTCAAATAGCCTGTCTTCAAGCTCACTAATTCTTTTTTCTGCTTTATCAATTCTGCTGTTAAGAGACTCATGCATTCTTCAATATGTCCATTACATTTTCAATTCCAGAATTTCTGCTTGATTTTTACTTCAATATCTTTGTTAAATTTATTTTATAGGATTCTGAATTCCTTCTCTGTTATCTTGAATTTTGTTGCGATTCCTCAAAAAAGCTATTTTGAATTCTCTATCGGAAAGGTCACATATCTCCATCTCTCTAGGATTGATCACTGGTGCCTTGTTTGGTGATGTCATGTTTTCCTGGGTAGTCTTAATGATTGTGGATGCCCACCAGTGTCTGAACATTGAAGAGTTAGGTATTTACTGGAGTCGCTGCTGTCTGGGCTTCTTTATACCTGTCCTTTTTGGGAAGGCTTTTGAGGTATCTGAAGGAACTTGGGTGTTGTGATCTAAGTTTTTGGTCACTGTATGCTATCTGCATTAAATGGGGGCACCCAAGCCCAGTAATACTGTGGCTCTTGCAGACTCATAGAGATGCCCTCTTCTTGGTCTTGGATAAGATCTCAAAGAATTCTCTGGATTACCAGGCAGAGACTTTTGTTCTATTCCCTTACTTTCTCCCAAACAAATGGGGTCTCTCTCTTGTGTTGAGCTGCCTGGAGCTGGGGAAAGGGTGACACAAGCACCTCTGTGACCACCACCCTGGGACTGTGCTGGATCAGACCTGTAGCCAGCACAGGACTGGGTCACATTCAAAGCCTGTGGTAACCACTGCCTGGCTACCACCTATGTTTGCTCAAGGCTCTACAATCAGCAGGTGGCAAAACTAGCCAAGTTTGTATGATTCCCTTCAGGGTGTCAAGTTCCCCTGGTCCCTGGTGGGTCTACAGAGCCTGGCTCCATCTAGGAGCTAGGACCTGAATCTGGAATCTACCTGGTGCTCTATTAGGAAACTACCTGTTGCTCTATTCTACTGTGGTTGAGCTAGCACCCAAGCCACAAAATGAAGTCCTTCCCACTTTTCCCTACCCTTTCCACAAGCAGAAAATTCTCTCCCATGACCACTATTGACTGCTCCAGGCCCATGGCAAGTAATGTGTAGCTATCACAGATGTTCATTCAATGCCCAAGGGCTCTTCAGTCAGCTTGTGGCGAATGCTTTCATGCCTAGGGCTCTCCCTTCAGGGCAGTGGGCACCCCTCTGACCTAAGGCAGGTGCAGAAATGCCATCCAAGAGCCATGGCCTGGAATCAGGGACCCCACATGCCGACTTGGTGCCCTATCCCACTGTTGCCAAGCTGGTACCTAAACTGCAAGAGGAAGTCCCCTTTATTCTTCCTTCTCCTTTTCTCAAGTAAAAGGAGTCCCTCTCCATAGCCACCACAGCTAGGAATATGCTGGGTCACACCTAAAGCCAGCACATCTCTGAGTCTCACCCAAGGCCTGCGGCAAGTACTGCCTTGCTACTACTGTTGATTATTCAGGGCCCAAGAGTGATGAATCTTGGTAGCAGGTGATGAATCTTGCCAAGATTGGATCCTTCCCTTCAAGGAAGCAAGCTTCCTTCAGGGCGTGTGTAGAAATGTTATCTCAGAACCAGGGCCTGGAACTGGAGCCTCAGGACTCTGCCTGGTGCCCTTTCTTTCTGTGACTGAGTTAGTATCCAAGTTGCAAGGCAAATTCCTCTTTACTCTTTCCTCTCCTCCCTCAAGTGGAAGGAAGACATCTCTACTAGAACTGTGAGCTGTGATGCCTGGGCCTGAGGGAGGGGTAGCACAAGCACTCCCTTGGCTGCCCTGGCTGGTGTCTTACCATGTCATGTGTCTGCCGAGTCCACTGGCTTCAAGCCCAGCAGAGCAGCAGGACTTGTCCAGGAATTGCGGTCCTTGTGGCCTAAACTGCCTGGACCCCAGAGCACTTTATCCCATGGTGGTGATGATTTGCCAGAACTCAGGTTCCAACAGCTGAGATGGAAGATTCTTCTCTAGCTAGGACTGGTCTAAATGCCCCCTCCATGGGTGTTGGCTAAGTTCTACCCAGTGTTGCTTTCTGCTGTGAAAGGTCACTGAGTTCCAATGCAAAAACCTACACTCACTGAGCTCTCCCTCCCCCAAGTGCACAGATTCTCTCTCTGTGCCATTCAGCTGCTGCTGGAAGACTGGTGTGGGGTGGTGGTGTCAGCAAGTCAAGACTGTCTTTCTTACCCTCTTCAGTGCCTCCTTCAGTAATATGAGTTAAAACTAGGTATTGTGTGATTGCTCACCTGGCTTTTGGTTCTTATGAAGGTGGTTGTGTTGTGTGGATACTTATTCAATTTGGTGTTGCTGCAGGGAGGACAATCAGTGGAGGTTTCTATTTTGCCAACTTGTTCCACCTCCTTCCCTTTACCTTGTACTATTCTTTCTCTTGTTTACAACCTTCCAGCCACACTAGACTTCATATTCCTGGAACACTGGAAGATCAGCACCCACTGCTGGAATGCTCTTTCCAATTCTCCCACTCTCTTAATTTGTAGGGCTAGCTCCTCTCAGTACCAATGTCACTTCCTCAGTCACATACCCCAGTCACTCATTATACGACCTAGTTTTATTTTCTTCACAGAAGTCACCAATACCTGAAATGTGTTTTTTTTTGTTTTGTTTTGTTTTTTGTTTGGTTTGTAAGCTCCATGAGAGCAAGAAGCATGTCTATTGATATTACTAACTATTTGTTAAATGAATGCAGTCTGTCTGAGGGGCTCTAGTTTACCATTTTTCAGTTATGGTTTGTGGTGAAGCTGAAGCTACCCAACGTCATCTCTGTCCCATCTGCCGTGAACCCTGAGGTGTCTGTGGTCCATAGCTTCATAAGATGGGCCTTATTTAGCTACTTCTCAATATGCCAAGATATTATTTATTACTGGCTAAAAGGCAGTGCCGATTTTCTGAATTACATTAAGTAAATTGTCAATGATAAAACAACTTTTAGAGAAATATATGTAATAATTCAATAAATAAGGCAATATAAGTTGTTTTTCATGGAATTCGACAAGGATGTTTTTGTTTTTATTAAAAAAAATATAGCCTAAAAACACTTTTACTTTAGTTTTCTTAAATTGCTCTGAGTAAAAACATTATTCAGTGTGGTCAATCTAACAGATGGTGTTATTCCCATTTTACAGATTTTGAAACTGAAGATTTAAGTAATTTGCCAGAGTCAGAATGCTGTAAGCATCAGAACTCGATTTTCGAACTTAAGTTTATCTGACTCAAAAGCTTTTGCCTTTCACCACCACCCTATTGCTTCTAAAATGTCAAACATCGGCTGAACCACAGGACAGGTATCCTATAAATGTAAGTTTATCTTTCTCATCCCCTTCCAATAGTGCCTCTGATTCTTTCTGTATTCTGCCCCACCAGCAGATACTGATTACTGTCTGCCATATTCTATTTCATGGAATATTTCTTAAGTTTTACCTCTTGATGAAAACACATTCCAAGTGTCTGAGAGAAGATCATTAAAATTACAACTTAAAAGAGAACTCACCCAACTGCCTATGCAGTACCTCACTAATTGTCTTTACTCCTGTTTGGAAATATTACTTTTCTATTGCATTCCTGGTATATTAACTGTCCAGGCCATGCGATGTGCTATGGCAGAAAGAACATGGCTTCAGGGTCAAAGAATCTGGGGCCCCAGGACTCGTCTCTGCCACTGACTGGTTGTGTGGCTGTGGACACATTTTTATTACTTCTCTGGATATGTTTCCTCATCTATAGCTTTGAGAGAACAGCCTACCCCTTCATCCTGTGGGATGCTTCCTGCCTGGCGCATCATGAGCCTTCCATAATGGTTAGTTTCCTTCTTCCCCTCGCTTTGCCCCACCCTTTTGGTATTCTCCTTCTTTTGGTTTTAACCTTCTAGAAGCACAGAGGATGCATAGAGAGTCTCTATTTTGAATTTGAAAAAAAACCTTTTAGGGAAATACTTTGGAAAAATAAAACTTGTGTGTTGAAATGAGTGCTGCATGTCCTGTCGACATCCTGGGAGCTGACAGGTTTATTTCCATGACGCAGCAGTGCTGAGAGAAGTTGAACTTTGCTTTTGGAATTGCTCTTAAAGCCAGTTTATGAGTAAATTGAGAAAGGCAGCTTCATTACTCTATGGTATTTTTGACAAAAATAAAACAAATATATACAGTGACAGTTTTACCATGCTCCTTATTCACCGCCTTGGGTCCGAATGATCTTTCTATTTTTAAAGAAAGATCAAAATGACCACAAAAGGATAAAGATGTGAAGCCAGGAAATATGTTAAAAGGCTAATGATAATTCCAAAAGATGAGTTCTACCACTGATTTGGCACAATGGGGGCAACATGGATATTTAGGTGTAACACCTCATGGTGACTATTTTGAAGGGATCTTTATTTGGGCCAGTCTGCTTATTAGATTGTTTATTTTAAACACTTACCTAATATGAAACTTAGCTGCACAAAAATATTGCAATCAGCTCAACAGGATTTACTGTGTACTTCTGATAAGCCAATACTACTTAGAATAAATTCTTCAGATTATAGTCTGGAAACTTTTTATATTGCACACTTAATCAGTAGTAGGATATTGAGTGTGTACTCCAAATTTCTGTATAATTTACTTTACTTTTGTGATAAAGGGGCTAACACTTCTTGTAAATGGTTGTTAAACAAAATTATTACCTTCACATCTGTTTAGAAATATCCATTACCTCATTACCTATACTAAAACCAAATGACAATGCAGATTCACCCAAAGTGTAATTTAGGAAGACTAGACTTCAACGCAATTTTATCATTACTTGTCAGAAGACAAAGCTTAATATAGCTTAATATAGACAAAGCTAAAAACTGCATGAGCATGAGATATTATAAAATAATGGAATGCTATGAAGACATAGGAAGACATTTCTGTAAGCGTGATATGTAAAGGAACCAAAGATACAACTTTGAGTATAGTAACTGACAGTAAGCCAACATGTTCTGAGTTGGCTTTAGTTTGATTATGAGCCCTACAGAGTCTAAGACTTAAACAGTTATTGCCTAAACAGCTGTGTTTCTAGCCAAAAAGCCTTTCAGAGTTGCATCAGTCTTCGGAGAAGCACTCACAGAGGTTTGTAATAATGATGTTATAAGAAGCTAACTATAAAAATAACTGCTGGGTGTGGTGGCTCACGCCTGTAATCCCAGCACTTTGGAGGCCGAGGGGCAGGCAGATCACTTGAGGTCAGGAGTTCGAGACCAGCCTGGCCAACATGGTGAAACCCCGTCTCTACTAAAAATACAAAAATTAGCCAGGCATGGTGGCGGGCACCTGTGATCCCAGCTACTCGAGAGGCTGAGGCAGGTGGATCATTTGAGCACGGGAAGCAGAGGTTGCAGTGAGCCAAGATCATGTCACTGCACTCTAGCCTGGGGGACAGAGTGAGACTTTGTCTCAAAATAATAATAATAATAATAATAATAATAATAATAATAATAACAATGAAATAAATAAATAAAAGAGAAAATAAAAACAATAGCAAGAGAGAAAGGCAGGTGAGGCATGAGACCATCTATTGCTGACTTTGTGTATGGGAGGGGGTGTTACCTCGGTTGCTGTTCATATGTGTACTCAAGTCACAGAAAAAACACTCATTCATAAATCCAAAAGATCTGTCAGACGAAAGATTACTCGCTATTGCTATAAAATTGCAACAAATTAATTTAAACAATTTCTTAAAGCTCTTTTATTGGGGATAATATATGATTTTATAATGTTTTGAAGTCCATTTCGATTTACAATTTTTTTTCTAAAATAATTATGTGAGACTAAGAAGCTTGGTCTTGATGTAGAAAACTCAGTCCTTTTGAAGAAATAGCAAGGAATTCAATTTATAATTAGCTTTGTTAAATTTGCCAGTTCATATTAAAGAACTATAAGACACTAGAAATAGATAATTAAGAGAAGATTTCACAGACTGCAATAAAAAAACACTTAAAAGAATTTTTAAATAGCCCTTGATTTTAAACAAACACAAAAAATTTAACAAGATTTCTTGGAGTAACATTTCTTGATTTCTTACCTTGCCATACTTCTGTGCATAAGACCCGGTGAGCAGTGAGTGAAAAACAATGATGGTTTCATCCAAATCCCAGACAAACACACGCTGAAGACAAAAAATAAATATCAGAAAATTAAAAAGTCCAAGGAAACAGAAATCTCTTTACAAGCAGAAAATGTCTCCCTTCCTAGAGATCATCTTGATATCATTTAATAGAAAATAATACTATTCATTTTTTTGTTTTTCAAATTTGCCAAATCTAACTCCTATAAAGCCTGAGGAGCAGGAATTATACAAATTATAAGCTTAAGAGTCAGATGTCCTCGCTTGAATAAATTAATCCATACATTTACTCGTAGTTAACACCAAAAAGAGATACATTCAGACTTTATGATAGAAGCATGCTTGAAACTCTACATATTTTAAAGTTTTATACCTTAGGGATTCATAAACTTTTACAATTTCTGCAAAGAATTAGATTTTAAAGAAATATTTAAAAGAATCAATGAGTAACCGCTAAACAGAATTGTCAAGTATAGATCCTGGGGTCACATTAGGCCAGCAGATATGTTGGCCTCCCTGGAGTTTTGAAGGATTTCAAATTATGAATTAACATTTGAGAACTAGGCAATTGCCCACAAACTTCAGGGTTTTGACTGTAGCACAGCAACTAGAAGTTGTGGCCAGGCTGGCTGCCATTCCTACATGGCAGTGACAGGCAGGTCCCTCAGAATGGGCCTGCACTCTGAGCTCCTCACAGTCTGCTGGGCAACTCAGCCCGGTCACTCATTTATATCATCTGTCAAGTTCTTGAGGCAATGTGAACTTGTTGCTGTTGTTCAAGAAAAGGAAGTTATCTCTTATAAAGAATCACAACGTCTGTCACTTGATTTTACTAAATCTGGAAGTTCAATTTTTTTCTTAACCGAAGTATGTGGTATGTAAGAAGTAACATATTATGGTTAAGAATAGTTTCTACTGATGTTGTATATAAAAATCAACCCTGCTTAGTACAGATATATCTCAAAAGAACTCATAAATAGAAAGTGACATATAATGAAATTTTCAGATTTTAACACATACTATTAAGTGATTGAAACTTGTCCTATTTTTAGAAGATGAATTTTTCTTTCTATACAAATTACTTTCATCTTTTTAAACTTAATGACCCATTTGGACATCTTCCATTACTTTAGTGCTATCGAATACAGTGCTACATAGAAAAGTATCCCACAAACAATGGCTATAGTTTTAAAATTTGTCGGTGCCAATTTAGATCAAAACTTGCAATTATCTCAGGCCAATAATCTGTAAATCAAGATCATTTTTATACTGTTATTTGTTCTTAATTTTAATATTATAATGGATGGAATCTCAAACTTCAGAGTTGTAAAATGCCTATCACAAAGTAGTTCCATTCAATTCATGATATATCTTGATTTTTAAATTTGAAACATAATGGAACTGTAAGATAGAGAATGTATCATTCGGTAAAATAAAGCATCACACTACAATCTTTAAGAATGAGTAGGCATACCTCCAGGTCACTATCAGGAGGCGGGGAGGGATTATTTTTCCGGCCTCTTCCTCTGGACTTTGACCCAGAACTCCTACAGGTTCTCTCATCAAGATCTTTGATGGGTGTGGAGGGACTCTGCATGGTATCGAACTCTCCTATAGATAACATGACTTAGGTCAAGAATAGCACTTCATTTTTAGATCAAGTATGAGTCTTCATTATTAATTATCTTAACAAATTCCTATACAATAGAAACCTCCTGATGGCAAAAAAGAGATTTATAATCCCAAGCACACACAAGTCAGTCAGAACTTTTGTAGTTTACACAAACTCCTACTAGTTGTAATCTATGTGATCTATTAAACTTGAATGTCTTTTCTACACCATACGCCTTCAACTTCCTGTCTATACCTTCACTTACATATTTATCTCCATTTAGATATGTCCTCACCTCCTTTTTTGTCACAGTTCAGAGAATGAGATGTCTTCTTCTGGATCAATTCCATCCCTCCACCTGCAAACCTGACTCCCAGCCCCACCTCCTAGGAAGTCATGCTTCATTAGTCAAACCCTCTCTCATCTTCCCTTCCACCTCTCTCATCTTCCCTTCCACCTCTCCCATCTTCCCTTCCACCTCTCCCATCTTCCCTTCCACCTCTCCCATTTTCCCTTCCACCTCTCCCATTTCTTGGGGTCACTGAGAAGTTAAAAAGTCCTTCCCTCTGACCTGGAATTTCCATCTAGATACTATTTGCTTCCATTTTCTCTTTTACATAAAACTTCTTAGAATAGTGCATACTAGTGCTATATGACAGAAATACCATGTGAGCCACAAATGTGATCTTATATAATATTTTAAAGTTTTTTATCAGCTATGTTAAAAAAAGTAAAAAGAGATATGTAAAATTATCATCACTTCTATGTTAATTGCCCCAATATATCCATGTTATCATATCAGTATGTAATCAATGTGTTAATTGACTCAATATATTCATGTTATATCCGTATGTAATCAATATAAAATTATCAATGATATGTTTTACATTTTCTTTTTCATACTAAGTCTTTGAAATGTTGTGCAGTGTTCTATGCTTATACTGGATCTCAGTCCACACTAGCAACATGACAAGTGCTCAAGAGTCACGTGTGGCCAGTGGCTGCAGCACTGGACGGCATATCTGTCCCCACTTATTGATATCCAATTTATCATAATCTAGCTTCAGTTCCCCAAAATGCGATAAAAATACTCCTGCTAATAGTCCCCAGAAATCACCTTGTTGACAAATGCAATAGACAGACTCAGTCCTTGTCTTCCAGGATCTCTGTGCTGTGTGTGATTCTCTTAAACAGCACCTCCTCGAAACTATTATTTGACAGCTGATACCTTGCACTCTCCTAGTTCTAGAATCACTCCGATCAGTCCATCTCCATCTAGAAAACATGGACTCCTGTACTTCTCCCATTCCTTATGAGCTAGTATGTCAGAATTCCATCCTCTGATCACTGTCTTCACTCCACACAATCTGGGGGATTTAACTCTCTCATGTGTTAATGACCCTCTCTGTGATGACTCACATATAAACCTATACCTCCAACTAGGCCACATCCTAAGTTTCAGACTTTAATTCAGTTTCAGAATCCAATTGACTTCTGTACGTCCCATAGATATCTAAAACTCTGAAATGATTAAAGCTTGTGAGAAAGTATCTTAGGAGGTAGAGAGTACTGAGTAGTAGCAAATCTGTAGGAGCAACTGTTAAGATAAACTGAGGCAACTGTGAGATACAGTATAACAAGTTGAAGAGTCAGAATTACTATATGAGTACAAGCATTTTATTCAATCTCTCTAAATCTCAGTTTCATGGCAGCTTTCTGGAATACTGAGGGATAAATCTGATTTATATTTAATTTGATTTAAATTATATGTATAAAGTGACAATTTCCAAGACAGAAGGTAAACTACATTAAATTTAAATTACATGATTTTTAAACAAAAAGATATTATGGCTATTATTTTTTATCATTAAATTTAAAAATTAAAATAAAACAATTCTGAGGAAAACCAAGCAGTTATTAATCTAAATAAACAAATCTGAACAAACTAGGCATCACTTTTTCTGAGAAATAGTAATTTTTACATGGGTAACCTCTAACATTTTCTTTGGGAAACACTGTGCATGTCAGCACATGATCAAAAAAATATGCCTGTGCTCCAAATATTATTTGCACTTAAAATATTGCCAGCATAGTTCATTTCATGGGTCTATGTTATCACCTCGGTGAGAGTAGATAGCAGAGTAATAAGGTTTTTAAGTTATGGGGTTGAATATAGCCTTGTCTCATAGTAAATCATGTTTCACCTTATTTGTATAGGCATTAAATTAGTCTTTAGATGTCTGAACATACACCAACTTTTAAATAAAATCACATAAAAGTTCCATTTTTAATTATTTTTGAAACAGAATTTTCCTAAGGTTACTATATCCCACAAACCAAATGTCTGCTTTCAAATAAAATGGTGATTAAAATTAACCCTCACTTATTAAGCATGCATTTAAAAAACATTTTGGATGACGTTCCATAAAACTTCTCCTTATAGTCATTATAGATCAATTTTCAGGTGTTAACTATCATAAGGCAACTTTGTTCTTGTCACAGTGCAAGAGCTGAAAGGACAAAAACTTGAGGAACCCCAGTCATGGGTGGTTGTAGGCTGAGTCCATAAAGGAGGAGTTTAGCAGGAATAATTCTGCTATTCAAATGAACTGGGATCCAGCAGCTGTCACAGCAAAGGGGTGAAAAGAGCAGAAGAGGAAAGAGAAAAGACTGTGGTTGTAGGACGTATCTGGGTTTCAGTAAACCTAAGACTTTATTCCCATTGATGCTTTTCAAATTACTGAAGGATCTTAAAAGGGCTCTAAGAATTTGGACAAAATATCTGCAGAAGTGTTTTGATGGGGATAAAGACAGCCTTTTTAGAAAACTATGAAGGGTAACTCTACATTTATTCACCCCTTAGTACATGTCATGCACTGTTCTTTAAAAATTTTTTTTATTGAAATATATGTGTTTGGCTTCATTCACTGCTGTGAGATAATCCATATTCTAGCCTGGGATAGCAGTTGTCCTTTCCTTAATGTGGCTAGAACTTCTTCATGTATATATATATTACACTGTATCTATTACACTGTATCCATTCTGTTGATGGACATTTGGGTTATTCACAATTTTAGGCTACTATGAATAAAGCTGCTATATACATTCTTGTACATGTCTTTGTGGATACAAGCTCTTAATTCTTCTTGGGTATGCATACCTGGCAATGTGATTCCTGGGTCAGAGGGAAGGCATATGTTCATCTTTAACAGACACTGACTTTTTTCCAGTGTATTACTCTCTTTCCAGTGTATTAACGACCATGCTAACCCACTGCTCATTTTTATTAATTTAAAGACAGTATTAATTTACTCTTACCACAATGAGAGTTTCAGTTGTTCCACATCCTTGTCAATACTTGATATTGTTAGCGTTTTTTTATTTTCACCATTTTGGGTGTGTGATTGATGGTATCTCACTGTGGTTTTAATTATAATTTTCTTGATGAGTAATTATGAAGAATACTTTTTCATGTTTCTTGCTCATTTGATATCTTCTTTTTAATGAAGTAACTGTTAAATCTTTTGCCCATTAAGAAAACTAGGCTGTTTGTCTTTTTCTTATTGATTTGTCAAAGCTCTTTATTATGAAACATTATATATATTTATGTGTGTATATATATATATGCGTGTGTGTGTGTGTGTGTGTCTGACTTAAACCTCACTCCAACCCGGTGAATTAGGTCCTTCATTATTGTCTTTTAATAATGGAGAAACTGGAGAAGTGGCAATTAATTTAACAAAATTAAATAGCTTGTATGATGCAACACTGGTATGACTGCAGAACTCCTCCTTTAACCATTTGGCTATACTTTCTCAGGCAAATAGCAATGGACTCTTCAGGTTACCAGAAGGTCAAACCTAGATCTGCTTCTACTTATAAAAGAGTCATATAACAACCTACTAGAGTGAGAGAAAATATTTGCAAACCATACATCTGATAAAGGGTTAATATCCAAAATACACAAGGAACTTAAACAACTCAATAGTAAAAAACAAATAACTCAAATAAAAAATGGGCAATGGGTTGGCATGATCATCACTCAAAAGAAGACATAAAAATGACAACAGGTGTATGAAAAATGCTCAACATGACTCATTATCAAAGAAATGCAAATTAAAACTACAATGAGATACCACCTCACACCTGTTAAAATGGTATTATCTAAAAGAAGAAAAATAACAAGTGTAGGAGACACTGTGGCGGACAGAAATCTTGCACACTGCTGGTGGGGGTGTAAATTAGCACAGCCATTTAGTCCATTTTCACATCGCTATAAAGAACTACTCGAGACTGGGTAATTTACAAAGGAAAGAGGTTTAGCTGACTCAGTTGAGCATGGCTGAGGAAGCCTCAGGAAACTTACAATCATGGCAGAAGGGGAAGGGGAAGCAAGGCACCTTCTTCACAAGGTGGCAGGAAGGAGAAGGAAAGCAGAAGGAACTACCAAACATGTATAAAACTGTCAGATTTCATGAGAACTCACTCACTATCACGAGAACAGCATGGAGGAAACTGCCCCCCTGATTCAATTACCTCCACCTGGTCTCTCCCTTGACACATGGGCATTAGGGGGATTACAATTCAAGATGAGATTTTGGATGGGGACACCACCAAACCATATCAGCCATTATAGAAAATGCTATGGAAGTTCCTAAAAACGGAACTACCATATGATCCAGCAATCACACCGCTGGGTATATATCAAAGGAAATGAAATCAGTATGTTGAAGAGATATCTGCACTTCCATGTTCATTGCAGCATTATTCACAAATAGCCAAGATATGGAGTCAACCTAAGTGTTCATCAATGGATAAACGGACAAAGGAAATGTGGTATATGTACATTATGGAATAATGTTTGGCCTTAAAAAAGAAAATCCTGTCATTTGAGACAACAAGGATGAACTTAGAGAACATTATGTTAAGTGAAATAAGCTAAGCACAGAAAGACAAATACTACATGACCTCATTTATATGTGGAGTGCAAAAAAGTTGAACTCGTAGAAGAAGTGAGTAAGATGGTGGTTGCCAAGGGCTGTGGGGCTGGAGAGGGAGACTGGGGAGCTGTTGGTCAAAGGATATAACACTTCAGCTAGACAAGAGGAGTAAGTTCAAGATATCTATTATACAACATGTTACTATACGTAGTAACAATGTATTGTATTTCTAAAAATTGCTAAGAGAATAGATTTTCGGGGTTCTCACCACAAAATGATAAGCATGTGAGGTAATGCATATGTTAATCAGCTCAATTTAGCCATTTCACAATATAAATGTATTTCAAAACAATGGGTTATACACAAAAATAGATACAATTTCTTTTTAAAGACTCAGACTCCTGGACTCAAGCAATCTTCTCGCCTCAGCCTCCAGAGTAGCTGAGATTACGGGTGCCCATCACTGCACCAATATATATACTTTTTTATTTGTCAGTTAAACAATAAATTAAAATAAAAGTCACATGGGCATTATATAATTTCTGTGAGATGGAGGGCCAAAGAATTCACTGAAAGAACTTCACAGAAGCAAAAGAGCATGCCCTGCAGAGGCCATGCGATACATCTGGGCTCCTAGAGCAATCACCCAGGTGGAATTGTACTGACCTCTATTCCTTTTGCAGGTGCTATCCTTTCTTCTGATAAAGGGTAAAACCAGGAACTTGAGCTCAACCAGTCATTAAACATTTGTTGACACTTTTTTTTAAAAGAAGAAAGCTGTTAATTCCAGTGCCTCTGCCAAATTTCACTCAGGTAATTGCACAAGGGCATAGCAATGCCACAGGTAGGGAAAATGTAAATTGGCAGAGCAGTTGAATGTGGTCCTTTCTATCTAAATCCTCTTGTTAGTTTCCATTAGATGAGTTAGCACTTTACTTCCCTTCCTTTCCTTACGTGAAATACCATGAAGTTATCAAAAGGCTGCTGTGTTCTGCCTAAGAAACTGGCTTCTTTTCAGAGAGTGAAATGATCTTACTCTATCCTTTACTTTTCTAGAGCACCTGTTAGGTTCAGTTAGCTAATGTATTGTAATGTTTGTCAAAGTGTCAGGGTAAAACATAATATTGTTATACAAGACTAACTGTATTTGATTTTAAAGATGTTTAAAATATTTGAAAAGGAGGCGCTATAAAAATATTTCTCATCTTCATGTGCAAATCTGTCCTCAAACTTTCTTAATACAAATAAAAAATCTGATATACCCAATATAAATTTTACTTTAAAGAAAGACCTTTAGAAAGAGAATGAAGTAAAATGTCTGCTCTTAATCAGCATGGTAGTGTTTCTTTAAATCCACTGTCAAACTACCTAATAAGGTAAATTAAATAATGGAATGCTATTTGCAATTTCCAAGTAACATCAGTCATTACAAAATTGCCCTAGGCTTTTCTTGACCCAATACTATACATGATTGAATAATTATCCTTTAATCAGTACAGTAATGAATAACTGCACCTTTTAAGTTTTGGATATTTAGATCCCACTTTATTTCATTAGGCTTATCTCTAAATCAGAAAAACCAGCTGTCTCTTATTGAACATAAGGTATGTTTTCATTATAAAAGTAGAATTCAGCAGTGACTGTTCTATGAAAAACTGTGGGTTTAATTTTAGGTTTCTACTTTAAGTCCAAAATGCAGAACCAGTCAATGGGAAATACTTTTCTTGCCCTTGAACTAAATACATCAGATTCCATCAATAATAAAGAAAAATTCCATAGTTATAAACTTGTTTGCTTTTTGGCCGTATGCCAGATCTGAAAAGGCAAAATTAAACCTAAAACTGCATTGACTGAAGGTCTGAGGTCATAGAATTCTTTAAAGATCCAGACATGTGTGTTGTTACGATTTTGGTTGAGAGAATAATATAGTTATAAGTAGAATTAATTCCTTCTTTAAATTCAACAGACAGTCTAATAAAATCTGAAAATGATGTCAAACTATATTTCTTGACCTCAGCAACCAATGAAGGCCTGATGAAATTGCAGCATTCTGATAGTGAATGTCAGAATTCCATATGTGAATGTGTCACATCCAAAGTCACATACTCAGAATATCTACCTGCCTGCATTTAATATATTTAATAGGAATAAAATAGCTATTTTCAATACTGATTATTCTAATAAGGAAAGTAACCATCTGTGTTTTTCCTGCAGAGAAGCTTTCTCGTGATTATATGGAAATTGGAGCAAAAGCAACATTTTACACAAAGCTCCACGTAGCATATACCGTATCTGAGTACACAAATGGGTTTCATTCTTGGTAGCTGTAGTCTAGCAAATTAAAAAAACACCCTTTTGGTCTTGTCCATCATTCAGTCTCTGATATCTTGATAATTAAATACTTCTGTGGTTTCACCCTACCTTGTTTTCCTCACACATTCATCATTGAGAAAAACCTTCCACAGGGTGATAAGAGGTCGTGAAATATCTCCTTCCCTGAAGTATCTCCACTGCTTGTTAAGCAAGGATTCTGAAATCATTCATTCTTTGAATGAAAGTAAGATCCTTGATGCAACACAAGTATTGACCCAAAGAGGATCATGACAGATTTGGAACATGTGATTTGGGCTGGGGCTAATGAGTAAGGCGCCTAGGGCACAAAATTTAAGGACCCCAAGAACGAGTTCCACCTTAAATTTTGTGCTCTAGGTGCTTCACTGACCTCACCCTAATCCTGGCCCTGCAAGGGGTACAGATACCCAGGGAGGCTAAGGCTAGCTGAAAAGCCAAAACAGAGAGCCCCAAAGGGACAAGGACCAGAAATTCAAAGGGGCTGTGTGCCCACAGGTAGGAGGATATAAAAGGAAGATAAGGGGAAAAAACTAAAATGTAGGGGCATCAAAGACAAGCTCTATCTACTAGATAATTATTTCTTGGACCCACAGGTAAAGATTATATTCTGAACAGGGAACTAAAAATCATGAATGTTATCATTTCATCAATTCATGATATAAACATATCTTGGCTGTTGCTTAAAATATCAGTTTCATTTTTACTTTATGTCCAAATTAGTTTACTTGTTAATATCCCCCATATGACCTACCATTTTCCCTTTCTCACTATTGTAATTACTTGCTTGATATTTGTCCTGCTTGTCAAATGAAAGCCAAAGGTGGGCAAAGAGCTCATTTACTGCTGAAATATCAGTTTCTAGCACAGTGCTGATGCCTAATATATACTCAATAAATAATCGTTTAATGGCATTGAGTCATCTTGGCCCCACTGGTCCAGTTAGAAAGAGTTTACAGTACTGTGACCATGTTTCCCTATTTTCCCTCCCATCCAAAGCTGAATAAGAAAGAAGTAGAGATGAATTTGGATCTTGCAAATAACTGAAGGCAGAAAAATATACTTGAACAAATTAATGATATTTTAAAAATTTCTTAACCTAATTTTTCTTAGTGAATTTTGACAGTTCTTTATATATTTATATAATTCCTGTATCAGTATGTGTATTATAAATATTTTCTCCAAGTCTATAGCTTGTCTTTTTAAAAGGATGGAGGAAGATCTACCAAGCCAATGGAAAACAAAAAAAGGCAGGGGTTGCAATCCTAGTCTCTGATAAAACAGACTTTAAACCAACAAAGATCAAAAGAGACAAAGAAGGCCATTACATAATGGTAAAGGGATCAATTCAACAAGAGGAGCTAACTATCCTAAATATTTATGCACCCAATACAGGAGCACCCAGATTCATAAAGCAAGTCCTCAGTGACCTACAAAGAGACTTAGACTCCCACACATTAATAATGGGAGACTTTAACACCCCACTGTCAACATTAGACAGATCAACGAGACAGAAAGTCAACAAGGATACCCAGGAATTGAACTCAGCTCTGCACCAAGCAGACCTAATAGACATCTACAGAACTCTCCACCCCAAATCAACAGAATATACATTTTTTTCAGCACCACACCACACCTATTCCAAAATTGACCACATACTTGGAAGTAAAGCTCTCCTCAGCAAATGTAAAAGAACAGAAATTATAACAGACTATCTCTCAGACCACAGTGCAATCAAACTAGAACTCAGGATTAAGAATCTCACTCAAAGCCACTCAACTACATGGAAACTGAACAACCTGCTCCTGAATGACTACTGGGTACATAACGAAATGAAGGCAGAAATAAAGATGTTCTTCGAAACCAACGAGAACAAAGACACCACATACCAGAATCTCTGGGACGCATTCAAAGCAGTGTGTAGAGGGAAATTTATAGCACTAAATGCCTACAAGAGAAAGCAGGAAAGATCCAAAATTGACACCCTAACATCACAATTAAAAGAACTAGAAAAGCAAGAGCAAACACATTCAAAAGCTAGCAGAAGGCAAGAAATAACTAAAATCAGAGCAGAACTGAAGGAAATAGAGACACAAAAAACCCTTCAAAAAAATCAATGAATCCAGGAGCTGGTTTTTTGAAAGGATCAACAAAATTGATAGACCGCTAGCAAGACTAATAAAGAAAAAAAGAGAGAAGAATCAAATAGACACAATAAAAAATGATAAAGGGGATATCACCACCGATCCCACAGAAATACAAACTACCATCAGAGAATACTACAAACACCTCTACGCAAATAAACTAGAAAATCTAGAAGAAATGGATACATTCCTCGACACATACACTCTCCCAAGACTAAACCAGGAAGAAGTTGAATCTCTGAATAGACCAATAACAGGCTCTGAAATTGTGGCAATAATCAATAGTTTACCAACCAAAAAGAGTCCAGGACCAGATGGATTCACAGCCGAATTCTACCAGAGGTACAAGGAGGAACTGGTACCATTCCTTCTGAAACTATTCCAATCAATAGAAAAAGAGGGAATCCTCCCTAACTCATTTTATGAGGCCAGCATCATTCTGATACCAAAGCCGGGCAGAGACACAACCAAAAAAGAGAATTGTAGACCAATATCCTTGATGAACATTGATGCAAAAATCCTCAATAAAATACTGGCAAACCGAATCCAGCAGCACATCAAAAAGCTTATCCACCATGATCAAGTGGGCTTCATCCCTGGGATGCAAGGCTGGTTCAATATACGCAAATCAATAAATGTAATCCAGCATATAAACAGAGCCAAAGACAAAAACCACATGATTATCTCAATAGATGCAGAAAAAGCCTTTGACAAAATTCAACAACCCTTCATGCTAAAAACTCTCAATAAATTAGGTATTGATGGGACGTATCTCAAAATAATAAGAGCTATCTATGACAAACCCATAGCCAATATCATACTGAATGGGCAAAAACTGGAAGCATTCCCTTTGAAAACTGGCACAAGACAGGGATGCCCTCTCTCACCGCTCCTATTCAACATAGTGTTGGAAGTTCTGGCCAGGGCAATCAGGCAGGAGAAGGAAATAAAGGGTATTCAATTAGGAAAAGAGGAAGTCAAATTGTCCCTGTTTGCAGACGACATGATTGTTTATCTAGAGAACCCCATCGTCTCAGCCCAAAATCTCCTTAAGCTGATAAGCAACTTCAGCAAAGTCTCAGGATACAAAATCAATGTACAAAAATCACAAGCATTCTTATACACCAACAACAGACAGACAGAGAGCCAAATCATGGGTGAACTCCCATTCACAATTGCTTCAAAGAGAATAAAATACCTAGGAATCCAACTTACAAGGGATGTGAAGGACCTCTTCAAGGAGAACTACAAACCACTGCTCAATGAAATAAAAGAGGACACAAACAAATGGAAGAACATTCCATGCTCATGGGTAGGAAGAATCAATATCGTGAAAATGGCCATACTGCCCAAGGTAATTTATAGATTCAATGCCATCCCCATCAAGCTACCAATGACTTTCTTCACAGAATTGGAAAAAACTACTTTAAAGTTCATATGGAACCAAAAAAGAGCCCGCATTGCCAAGTCACTCCTAAGCCAAAAGAACAAAGCTGGAGGCATCACGCTACCTGACTTCAAACTATACTACAAGGCTACAGTAACCAAAACAGCATGGTACTGGTACCAAAACAGAGATATAGATCAATGGAACAGAACAGAGCCCTCAGAAATAATGCCGCCTATCTACAACTATCTGATCTTTGACAAACCTGAGAAAAACAAGCAATGGGGAAAGGATTCCCTATTTAATAAATGGTGCTGGGAAAACTGGCTAGCCATATGTAGAAAGCTGAAACTGGATCCCTTCCTTACACCTTATACAAAAATCAATTCAAGATGGATTAAAGATTTAAACGTTAGACCTAAAACCATAAAAACCCTAGAAGAAAACCTAGGCATTACCATTCAGGACATAGGCGTGGGCAAGGACTTCATGTCCAAAACACCAAAAGCAATGGCAACAAAAGCCAACATTGACAAATGGGATCTAATTAAACTAAAGAGCTTCTGCACAGCAAAAGAAACTACCATCAGAGTGAACAGGCAACCTACAACATGGGAGAAAATTTTTGCAACCTACTCATCTGACAAAGGGCTAATATCCAGAATCTACAATGAACTCAAACAAATTTACAAGAAGAAAACAAACAACCCCATCAAAAAGTGGGCGAAGGACATGAACAGACACTTCTCTAATAGTGTCTTTTGAAGAGCAAAAGTTCTTTACAATTTTTTGAAATCTAATTTTATCTGTTCTTTTCTTGTATGAATTGTGTTTTTAATGTCATATCTATAAAATCTTTATGTAGCCCAGGGTCACAAAGATTTCCACCATTTTTTTCTTCTAGAAGTTTTATAGTTTTAGCTTTTTAGATGTAGGCTTACAATCCATTTGGAGTTAATTTTTGCATATAAGTTGAGATCCTTTCCTCTTTTGCATATAGATGTCCAATTGTTCTAGCACCATTTGTTGAAAAAAACTATTCATTCTCTACTCAATTGCCTTTGTATCCTGATTCAAAAATCCATTTTCTAGCATATATATGCATCTGTTTCTGGACTCTCCATTGTGTTTCATTGCTCTATGTGTCTATCCTTTTGCACTCTCTTGATTACTGTACATTATAAGTCTTTAAATCAGGTAATCTGAGTCTTCAAACTTCGTTCTTATTTTTAAAAATAGTTTTGACTATTCTAATTCATCCACCTTTCCTTGTGATTTTAGAATCACCTCAATAATTTCTCCAAAAAGTCCTGGAACTTTTCTTAGGATTATACTGAGTCTCTGTTACATTTGCTTTTAACTTTAAATACTTCAGCTGTGTCAAATTACGTGTCGCAAATGCAATTCAAATACTGCAAGTTTCAGATAATGAAACACACAATGGATTTTAAATACACACTGATCACACAAAGATATTAAACTACCTATCACTGATTCTACAAATCCCAGGAATGTAGGAAATGTTCACGGGCTAGAGCTACTGACAACTTACAAAGGTGAAGGGCTTATGCAGTCTCTTTAGCACAAAAGAAATAATATCAGTCATAAGGAAGATAATATTACAACTTTGTTGCAAGTTCTTCACAAATGAATAATGAGTCTGGCAAAAGCTCCATATTCATATGTACACCATCATTTAGAGATTAAAATCGCCTATCTGTCCCATATCTAAAAGAAGGATCTTCTGAAATGCCAGAAGAGCCTCGTCTTACACAGTCATGCTAACACAGATTAAACATCAGCACAATTATCTGGGAGCTTTCCGCCATGTTTTTGGAATGTCCACTTTCTCCGTTTTATTAGATATTGCAAAACATATAAAAGTATTTCACCTGGGTGAAGATCTGTACCTGGTTGGTTAGTCAGTCCTGGGAGAGATTCCTGCAACTGATAAGTAGAGGTTGAAGAGGGTGTGCCATCGGCTGTGTTATTCGATGTCATATACGCTCCATACGTTGATGCTGAATAATACTGTGCATACTGGTTTTGGCCAAAGGCTGTATAGGATGGATAATCCTGAAACAATAATTGAGATGTGTGTGTTTGAAAGAGAAATTACTCTTTAATACTCTCCCAAGAAAACCAGTCATTATGGTAACTGAAAGATTAGTACTCAGCCCCATTTGTTTCTGAGTCCACAGCTTTGAGGTGATCCTAATGAGCAGAGACTACTTTGTGGGCATTTCTTACAAACATATAGTAGTGAAATACCCTATTGTTTTGGCAAACCAGGTCCAGTACACAAATTTTAATGTGATTAAAGTTAGCATATGCTTCACTTTGCTCCTGATAGTTACTTATTCAAGGATTTACATCATCAGGACCTACGTGTTTGAAGAGGAAAGAAGGAGATGGAATCAGCTCATATTCACAAAATCCGTTCTTACACATCTTCTAACATCACCAGCAAGGAGTTGGGGCTGCCCCTCCTAGACTCCACAGAGACCTCAGTCTGCATTTTTGTGATTTTTGTTCCTTTCTGGGCTACCACTGATAATTCTGTTTTCTTGGCAGGAGGTAAAAAGTAAATAAAAGAAGATGAATATTATTATTTTTTTTTTACCCAGCCTCTCACAAACTACATGCCACCTGAGGCCTTGATTTAAAGTCTTTAGTGAACTTTTCAATGATTTAGTTTCCCTCCTTTGTTACAGAGAAAAATGAAAGCACTGAATCAACACCCCTGACCTGCTTTTTATTTAAAAATTTTAAGAACCTTAAAATGATTCAAAATCCTTTTACACAGTAGGATGATGAGTAAGGATTTGTTGTGATAATTGGTGTTTAAGATATCTAGCATGTGTCAGCCCAAAATGTTATCAGTGATGACAAATCCTTGGTCATCACTGATAACATTAAGATCCCCTGATGAAATGTGTTCCAAAGGAAAAAAGATCTACATTTGATGTGGTTTCCAAAAAATAAAAGAAATAATCTTTATAAGTAAATATGTATATCTTCATAAATGATTAAGTAATATGGCAGAAAACTAAAATTCTATTAGTCTGAAAATTTCAAGATCCAATGTTTCCCACTACTGTAACTTGTGAGCCAAGAACAAAAACCTCATCATATTTAAACAAAGTTCCTACCAATATCTCTCAGAGTAAAACAGTGGTAGCAAATGTTTACATAGTGCTTACTCTGTATCAAAGCACTGTTCTAAGGGCTCAGATATATTTACTCATTTAATCCTTATACTCTCTTATGTGGTCTTAATACTATATTCATTTTACTTTGAAGGGGACTAAGGCACAGAGTGGTTAAGTGATTTGCACAAAGTCACACAGCTAGTAAGTTTCAGAGCTAGAATTTAAACCCAGAGTGCCTAAGTCAAACATCTGTGCTGAAGCTCTCTGTTAGCCTACTAATTCCTGCAGAAGAGGATGAGGTTACATACTGGAAAGGTCCAGGCTATTCCCCACTGGGGAATATAATGTCTTTTCATATTCAAACATATCTCAAAGATCTCACTTTCTTTTCATTTCCACTGTCGCCCCCTTGTCCAAACTACCTTTTCTTCCTGTTGCAGGCAATGTATTCATTTTTAAATTTATCTCCTCGTTTCCATTTCTGACTTTCTCCAAAGACCTTGGTGGCAGAGTTATCGTCTCAAAACATAAATTAAATGATGTAATTTTCTTGCTCAAAATGCTATCATAGCCTCCCACTGGGCTTGGAATAGAATCCAAATTCCTTATTGTAAACCACCAGGCCTTACGTGAGCAGGCCCCCGCCTATCTCTGCAAATGTGCTTCCCCACTTCCCCCTCATGCACTAACTGAACTCCAGCCTTTTTTTTTTTTTTAAGTTCAGTGACACACCAAGTTTTCCATCCATTGGGGATTTGGTACACTCTGCTTTCTTTGCCTGAAACACCACTGCCCTCCTTCTTCACCTAACTCTTAGAAGTCTTGGCCTAAATGTGGTTTCCATAGAGAAGCCTTATATAAAACCTCCCCTATTCAAAATTATATTCAGTTGATGTTTTCGCAGGCCCTGTTCTCTTTCTAATTCTGCATTTATTTGTGTGTTTACTGGTTTATTGTATGTTTGTCCCAGTAGGCTGTAAGCTCTATGAGGCAGGAATCAGATCTGATCTACTCCAGCCCCACCTTCGTGTGCCCCAGTATACAGACCAATTCCTAACACTTTATGGGCACTCAATAGGTATGAGCCAAAACAACAAACTGGTGCTCAGGCCATGGTCCCAAATACAGATTACATTTTACATTGGGATCCACTATATTTAAATCTTCACAGAGAATCAGATCTGTTCTATGATTAACTCTTTTCAAATAAATGCTCTTTTCCTTTACAAATCTTTTCTTAATCCTCCCAAATAGAGGCAGAGCAGTTTTTCCTTTATAGTACAACTCTGCCTAGTGTATATTTCTGTTATTATATTCACTATATCCCATCCCACCCTCTGTCCATCTTATTTTCATATTTGTTTCTTTCGGAGGACTGAATCCTTCTAAAGAGCAGGGAACAATGAGTTACTCGTTTTGAATCTTCAATCCCTAGCCAAAAATCTAACATATAGCAAGTGCTCAATAAATGCTTGCTGGACCAATAAATAAATGCATAAAATCAAGTTACAAAAAAAACCTCAATTTTAAAAAATAAAATGTATACACTGGCTCTGATGTTTAGTGTTTTAAGACATCATTTTCCTAATGCTAAATTACACCGTTTAATCCTATCAAAAATATTATTATTCCACACGATTTTAATGATCAAAATTTCCTTTCTGCCTTTTGTGATATCAATAAAACTAAAATAAAGCAATTGATAAAATTCCTTCAGTAAATCTAAAAAGTAAGCACTTGTACAGTAACTTACATTTTAGAATATATAAGTGTCTAGCAACTATACTAAAGTAAAATAGTGTATTGCCAGACCAGAAGTCAGCCACTAACTCTTCAATCTCAACTACTTCGAACATGGCTGAAAATCAAAAAATAAGGACAAAAGATTTGGAAGTGTCAACATATATCACGAATTCATCTCACTCCGAGCTGATTTACTTATTCAGGGACATTCACTCTTGCTTCATGCATAATTCTAACATGCTAGATTTTAAAACTCACAAAAATATTAAGAAAACATAATTAGAAGGAGGACTAAAGACTACCAGAGGCAGGCACAGTGACAAAAGCAAAAAGTTGCAGCTGTCAGGAAAGTGGGAATCAAACATTTATTAAAAGTATTCATAAAACTAAAAAACAGAAAAATTATTTAAAAGCCAACAGTAGTCTTTGAGGCATTTTGTTTAGTAACAAAGGACACTTTTTAGGACTGAAAATGTTATATAGTCTGTAGTATAATCCTATGACTTATTTTAATCAATTAATATTGATTCAACCAATTAATATTCATTATAATAACTGCTTTATCAAGAAAAATAAAATTGTTCTTAGTATATTTTAAGATAGCAAAATATCCAATACATTTTGTAATTCCATGCCAAATGATTAAAACAACTACAGCATAAATGTTTAAAGCACAAACCTTTAGCAATCAAAAAATCTAAAATAGCCAGAATAATGCATATTCCAAGAATTCTAGATAGCTAATTTTTTACTATCCTGAAATGCTATCATAATTTTTAAATAAAGAAACCTTATTCTGGGAGAGTATGCACATATATGGCAACCTGAGAGTACTCTTCAAAAATCTGAAATACATATAAAAAGCATAAACACAAAAAGCTACTATACCTGTTGTGAACCACTGAAATTCGTTGAATTGGAAACTGAATTATTTGCATAAATAGTAGATGATGGTGCAAAACTAGAACCTAGAGGTAAAAAACAAATTGCATTTTAAAAGTATTCCTTGTAAAATGATAAAGATATTTCACTTTGCAGAATTCTGTGAGAGAAACACTTTGAAATTTGTCGTGAAGACAGTGAAATTTGAAGTTGAGACATTTATACAGAAAATAGGCTTAGCTCTCTCCCTCTTGTAACAGCTGGTAAACCCTTTCCTATTGAATCTGTTGAGCTAAACAGAAGCACATGGGAACAGTCTTCATAAGGAGTGAGGCCAACATTCAAGGGTTAAGAGTCTAGAAGTGCAGGGGTATGCAAAGGATAAAATCTTACACAGACTAAGACTACCTCCAGGAAACTACTGGAACTTTCAAACCATATCAACTGCATTTACATACAAAAAATCACTTGAGTTCAACATTTGTACAGGGTTTTTAGCGTGGGAAATAAACATACAGAACCCCATTTAGCAACTCCTTGTACTTTTGTTCCCTTTGTCTTTTCTTTAGAACAAAAATAGCTGTGAATTAGGGTTCAGACTCAAGGGAGAACTGTTTATGGTACACAAATCTAGGGTTTGAGGGCCTTCTAAAACTTTACTACAAGGTCTGAAATTTAATGATTTCTCAAATCAGGGCAAAAACAAGTGAGCTGCCAATTACAGGTTTCCTAAAAAAAAAGTCCTTATGGAATGTGCTTGTCAAGAAGTAAAATGAAAGGCTATTGAGGTAGCTGATTACTTGTTTTATCAATGTGTTTTGACTAGCAATGTATTATGTAATCAGTGCCACTGACCTGACCTGGAATAACCAGTATGAAAGTATTCGTGAAAAAAAAAAAAATACTGTCTGTCACATGGCTAACTGAAGCTGTATGAATTTTTGTGGCTATAGCATGCTTTCAAATATGTTTCAACCTACATTCTAGGTAAAAAAGAGCACTGCTATTCCAGCTGAACATATCTAAGTAATTATTTCATTTGAATCAATTGACCAAAATGTCATACCAGTTGGTTCAAATATGTTAATATAGCCCCAAATTTGTGATTTGCAGTACAGACAAAATGACAGATAGTAACCAGCTTTTAAAGTTTTTACTATGTCACTAAAATTCTTTTGGCAACTATTGCATTAAGATAAAACACAGCTAGGCATGGTGGCTCACGCCTGTAATCCCAGTACTTTGGGAGGCCGTGGCGGGCGGGTCACCTGAGATCAGGAGTTTGAGACCAGCCTGATCAACATGGTGAAACCCCGTCACTACTAAAAATACAAAAATTAGCTGGGTGTGGTGGTGCACACCTGTAATCCCAGCTACTCAGGAGGCTGAGGCAGGAGAATCGCTTGAACCCAGGAGGTGGAGGTTGCAAGTTAGCCAAGATCATGCCATTGCACTCCAGCCTGGGCAACAGAGCGAGACTGCATCTCAGAAAAAAAAAAAAAAAAAAAAAGATAAAACACAATTTTAATAGGAGTCTAAAATTTAAAAAAATTTAATGATCCTATATGCCTATATGGAGGATTGGAGAGTAAATATTATATAACAGTCCTATTAAGCAATATAGTATCAATAGGAGAGAGGAATTTTAGGAATGAACAAAAAATCCTCAACTGGTCAATAATATATGGAACTTAGAAAAGAGTTAATTCAAGTTTAAGTATAATCAAAACAGCATTACATACTTCAGGAAGAGTGAAAAGAAAATACTGGTTTGTGCTACAGATCTTTTAAATTGCTTAAGTAGACGCCAAATGTGTGGCTGACCTGGTGTCTGGCTTGGGAGTTGCTTTGCTTGGACTTGGTTTCCTGCTGATGTTACGCAGCTTAAACTTAAGTATTTAAGTTTGGTATAGGTCATGTTTCCTGACGTATACTCAACCATTTCATCGTGTTTCTGTCTAGTTATCTTTCTTTAGAAATTGTGTGAGCTGTGATAAAGCTTAAAACTACCTTCATGATTGGATATTCCTAGTCTGAAGCCAATGAGTCTCACTCAAAGAATTAGTTCTCCCAAAACATGTTTCATGTGTAGCTACTTACCTGGCATTTGGTAAGAATAAGGTGTCTGGCCTGGCTGTGGGGTAGAGAACCCTGGGCTGTAACTGAGGCAGCCACTCTGTAATGGGGACTGAGTTTGGGAAAGTCCACTCTCTGTCTTGATGGCTGGCAACATCACACCCAAATCTGTTCAGAAAATTGAATGTGTAAACCATTTAATTAGTAAGATGATTTTCCTTCTAAGTTGTAACCTACAATAGAATACAAAGCTACCAGCCAGCAGGATTACCTGCCTATAACCAAAGAAGAAAACAGAAGATGTGAAATACCGTAAGTGGGCAAGCTGTAGGGCTGTCCTGTCTGTGAGTAGGCTGTGTAGACGGCTGGCTGCTGCATCCCCGAATACTGAGTCTGGCCTGCATAGGCAGACATTGTTTGAGCTGCTGGTGTAGAAAGAATGTGTGGATAGGGCCTAAATATCAGAAAAATAGCATTACTGTGGCAACAAAGACTGTGTATTAATTTAGACAGCCTAGATTCAGTGAAACCCTATAATATCCAGGAAGTAATCCTCTTTATCCACAATATAATTTTAACAATATAGGAAAAAGCAACAGTCTGAATGTCAGGAGCTCAGGCTCTGCTACAAGCCAATCTAGTGACCATAGACAAATGATTTAAACTCCCTATGTCTATACCACACCTGTAAAAGTAGAAATTTGATTTAGATTTTACACCTGTGTCTCTTCCAGGTCTACAATTCTTGCTCATATCTGAAATAGCACTCCAGTTAATACACAGATGAGGAAAATGGAGCACACACTAGCTAATTAATATGCTCATGAGCAAATTCACACTCACCATGAGTGACTTAATGCTATGCAAAGACTATGGAAGTCTATTTAAAAGCCCTACTAAGAATTCGCTCCCAAGAATTGGAAATTTAAAAAAAGAAAAAGAAAGGTAGGAAGCTTCCTTAAAAAAAAAAAAAAAAAAGGAACATCATTCCTTTCATCATGCCACATTTTACATCATGTTCCCCATTGGATATCCAACCTTCAGTCTATATATATGTAAAGGCAGACACTCTAGATGCTGCAGAAAATAACATACTATATTTAAATGTGTATGTATCAGCAATACAAAATCTTGGCACGTCTGGCTGATTCCAAACCAATTCAGATATACACCCAATATAGTTAAACTTAAGAAATATCTACCACTGTCCTCAATAAAGTGACTATATTAGTTATAAAAACAATAAGGCATATTCTTCAAAAATATGTTTATTAGAACTGGAAATCCAACAAAAGAATTTCAATGATGGAATTAATTATGAAGTGTTGACATTTAGATAAAATGTAATCTCTTTAGATTTTTTAACCAGCCAGCATTTTTGAATTTGAATTAAAATGCAATGTATTCTAATTTGAGCTTGATATTTTTCTCAAGGTATACATAAATATTCAAGGGAATCATCAAGATACATGTGGGTGTCTCCATTTCAAATTTGTACAGGATATTTATCTATATATGTAATCTATCCAAGTATTATCCAACCATCTATAAAACATGTATAGACATAAATGTTTGCCAATTTAAAGCAAGAATCTACTGACCACTTACTTGGAAGGATACAGCTGTGGGGAATACTGATGTGCTGATCTGGGGCTGTAGCCACTACTTGTAATTACTGTAAGACACAAAAATACCAGTGCACCAAAGGTTGCTTCATAAATACATTTCACTAGAGTGTACATAACCAATTTGAAGAAATTACCATGTTAAATACATGTTTCCAGAAATTCATTTTCTAAAAGGAAACAGCTGCCTAAACACTTTCTCCTAATTAAACTGCTTTGAGTTTTGTGCAAAAAGCATGAAATAAACATTTGTCTCACAAATCATTCCCTCTGTCATTCTTCCAGTTTCTCAAATCATTAGCATGCTCTTATATATTAATATGCTATGAATAAATATCTTTGATTATAGGGTAATTAAGCTTTCAAAATATAAAAGTAAATTTTTAAAATTTGCAAACTTTACATTTTAAAATACCAAATATGATGGCAATATATACATATTGCTCTTCCTCCATATCTGTTCTAATTCAAATACAATACAAAATAAGACTGTGATGTTCCAAACTTCATTTTCTAATGGTAAAATACTATTTTATTCTATTTCCTCTCATTTTACCCATCAGATGAACAATTAAAAAATGCAGTCTAAAATATTCCAGTAATAATTAAAGAAAGTGCAGGTGATTTCTTTAAAACATAATCACAAAATGCAGTAGCAATTACATTTACAAATATACTTTGAACTATTAGAGATAATACTTTTCTGAGAAGAACTTAAAGGTGAAAGTGAGGTCCTATTAACAGTTCATCCAAACATGGAGCCCCAAACTGGAATATATCCAATAGCTTGGAAGTTTCTCTTTCCTTTAACTATCTGCCTTGACTAAGACAGATGTTTTGCAAATATATGGACTCTAAAGTGTGAGCCAGTTCCCTTAGAGCCAATCCACACTGAGCGAGCACACAGAGTGTCTTTATTAGGCCATCTGCTGTTCATTCACTTTTCAAAAAGATTAAAGTAGTACACAATGCAGTGCTGGAATTAGTTTAGTCTAATCAATCATAGTTATACTTCAAAGTACTATGTCCTTTCTGAGTTGTTCATAATAATTCTGGAGCGAAACTTTTAGAATTGTAAAAGTGACAAATAGGTTTAGGTTGCTAACTATTTTATGAAACATGATATATTTCTATATATATCACAAGAACCCTTGTGATCTGCTTCACAAACATGCATCATTTAATGTGTTTAAAATGCTATTTTGCCTATAAGCTCTGAATATGGAAAGAATATTTTCATTTTCATAGCGATAATGAAGTAAGTATATTTTTAAGAATATTATCAGTCAATTTTGAAAATCATCAAATTTGACTAAAGGTGTTACTTCTAAATATTTTCAGCAACCAGAATTTAACTGAATTTGATACGTATCGTTGAAAATAAATTGACCAATAAACTATTACTTTTCTACATATTTATCAAAACTTAAAGAACGTTTTAAATTTTCAAATCAACTTAATGAAAACAGACTCTTTGTTCTACTACACAATGGACATTAAATGTGCACTTCATAATAGTAGTGTTATTCCAAAGATATTCATTCTAATTTATCGATTAACAATACCAAATACTCTAACAGAAATATAGTTAAATGACGCTTGATTAAATATTCTTTCGTCTCTTCTTTACAGAATTTCTCCTTGGTACACTCAAGACTTGGGCTATACTCATCAGTTATTATCAATATTGTGAAATAGAAGGCTTTTCCAAAGAGACGCTGAATCATGAAGATAAATATTCATTATAGTAACCTTTTATAAATAAGACATAGACCAAAATTACACATTTCAGAAAAAACTCATATACATGAACTCAATTCTGAATATATAGGATGTTTCTTCTAATGATAAATCTAAACATCATTAGAATAATGTACTCACAACACTATAAAGCCTCAACTAACCTTTACAAATTTCTATTAACGTCTATATGTTCATTTTCTAAATAGAACAGAAAACCTTTGGCTCAGAAAACTACGATGTTCACGTAGGAAAGTTTATGCTTCTTTACTAAAATATATACATTTTGTTCTAATTCAGAAATTTGCAGATAACTGAAAAGAACAACAAAATTGGATTAAAGTGAGTGGAAATTTTGCAGATCAAAGTAAAGACTGCTCCCACAAAGGGCAGCCTCATTTCCAGAATGGTTTCTGGAATATCTTGTACAAACTTGAAAGAATTTCGTTTTATTCCCCACTGTCATCTGATTAATCATAAACATTACCCAAAACACTCATTACATTCCATCATTTCTGCATACAACAGTAAGCAAAACTGCTTGTTTTCAAAATGCCCTGAAAATTAATTTAAATACATGTTTAATATCTATTGTCAGTTTCTCTGATGGTGTCAAAGCAATTTTAAGGTTTCATTCTCATTATCGTGCCATCTTAGATTGGTGACTCTCAATGGGATGAGAAGTGGGTGGGGGTGAGAATTTTGCCTGCCAGGGGACACTTAAACAGTCTGGATACATTTTTGGTTGTCTTTAGTAAGACATCTTTGGTTGCTTCTTTAGTAAAGAAGCATCTGGGGGAGTGCTGCTGGCATTCTGGGATAGATGCAGCCAAACATCTTACAGTGCAGAGGATAGCTTTCCCACACTAAAGAATTAGCCCAAGTCTTTAACAGTGCTGATGTTGATAATCCCTGCCCTGGATCACTGCTGTGGAATAAAACTTTCCACAGTGTTGGAAATGTTCTGTATCTGAGCTGTCCAATATGGTAGCTGCTAACCACATGCAGCTGTTAAACACTTGAAATGTGTTTAAACTTGAAAATTCAGTTAAATTTTGGTTGCTGAAAATATTGAGAACTTAACGCCTCTAGTCGTACTTGATGATTTTCAAAATCAATTAATAAAAATATACTTACTGCAATATTGCTGTGAAAATGAAAATAAAAAACAAAATTTTTAATTTTATCAAATTTTAATAACCACATATGACTGGTGGCTACCTTACTGGACAGCACGTCCCTAGATACTTCTTTAAAAATTTGCGAAAATATCTACAAAGACAATATGAGTGAATTTCAGACAGGATGATTGTTCATGCCTATTTCTTTTTCCATCTATTTTCTGATGGGGCATTACAGAAAGGACCCAGGGACTGATCATAAGGACATGGTTTTAGATTTGTTTATACCACTGACCAGCTGTGAGGCCTTGACTGTATGGCCTTAACCACTTTTAACTTCTCTTGTCTACAAAACGGATCAGAGAGCTCTGAAATTCCTTCTGGAGCTAACACTTTATAGTTTTGTCATTCAGCTTTCAATTAACTTGTAGTATACTACTGAAGTAGGTCAGCAATAAGTTAATAACTCCATTCCTTTCCTTAACAATTTGTTCATATAGATTTATTTTGCAGAAAGTTTACAAAAGCTATGGTAAGTGTGCAATACAGAATACTGAACTGGTAACTATCTCCTGAGAGGCAGGTAAACTGCTAGAAAAGATGTGGATTAGTACATATGAGTCTCTGTGCAAAGTTTATGTACTATTATTTCTTTCTTGGAGTACTAATATTTATGTAAATATATGGCAACTGCTTCTAATCGGTGTGAACTAGTGAAATTAGATCATCTGTAAAAATCAAATATATGCTATAATGACATAATACTCTAAGACATATCTCAACTATTTTTACACAAAACATACTGACAAAAAAATCCTTATAACATGAGCACATGGATAAATGTAAAATGTATTAAAGTAGAATAACAGAACCGAGATTCAATTACCACAAATACTTTCCTAGGTTTAATGTTCTTCTTTCTGATGTACCCGATCCTCCTCAGGTTAGAAAAATCCTTTCACCAGATAAAAAGCCGAAGAAATATTGTAACTTAAAAAAATTTAATTAAGTCTACTTAATTCATGCCCTTTGTGCCCAGCTGGGAGTTATCAGGTATTTATATTTTAAAGGGATTGATGTTTAAAGACATGCTATTGTTCTCTTTGAAGCATTCGAGCGCTCTCAGAGGCTGGGTTCTAATGCAACCAGCATGTGCTCTCCTGCAGCCCATTAACCTTTAATACTTGTCACTCAGCTGCTTACACAGGAGGAGTTTTTTAAACCCAGAGAGGAAACAAGGTTATTTAGAAGGAATCAAATGGATAGTTTTACATCTCGAATGTTAAACAGAAGGCAGTTTTTATGTAATTCAAATGGGTAAGTTGAAGAAGCAAGGTCAGCTACTACAACTTAATTATTAAATTAATTAAACATCGTATAAAATAATTTTGAAGGAAGTTAAGTTTACTTATCCATAATAAGAAAGTCATGGGACTTTTGCTGTCAACTAAAATATCAAGCGAAATTATTCTAAATATAATTTATAACAATGCATACTGCTATGACTATGAGTTCTCAAAAAATAAGAATTTGTTTCTAACTTTATAAGGATCAAAGTTCTAAGAGCTTGGATGCTTATGTTGCTTATTCCCGAGGAGGAGGATGTGGATGCACCCCCATGTGTACGTAAGGACACACGAGCTAAAGGCTTTACCTGACCCAGTAAAAGTGTCAAGCGCTCCATCTCCAGTCGTGGCTGTGGTTTCACTGCTGTTCAAGGGCTCTGTTTTGACTGCAAGAAGAGACACTACGTAGAAGAATAAGTACATGTGAGTTTTACTTCTAAATTTATGTCAAAGACTCTGTCCGTTCTACTAGTGATATTTCTAGCTACCATGGGCATGCAAGAGAAAACCTGAGAAGTTGATGAAGAGAGTTTGTTAATTTAGCTTCTAAACGGGCATGCATTTAGAGGATTTAATCTAAAATCCTCTGGCCAAGCTAGTTCTCTCAAATCCAGCTTTTAAAGGCAGTCAGCCTTAAAAAGTGAAACAGCAGTACACATATTTGTATTTTTAATTCACCTAAACACACTCTCATATAGTCAATAGGAAAGAAGGAATCATCATCAGTCTTCAGCACATTTAATTAAAATTATACCAAAGAAATTTACTAGCTTATATTTTATTTTTCCCAGGAAGATATTTTTTAAGTTTGCATAATAATACAATGGAGACATATAAAAGTATAGAAACCATGGGCTCATTCACACAATGAATGAAAAATGAAGCACTCAATGAAGCTCTAAAAAAGACTCACGAGCTATAAGGTGTTGGGCTTCATACTTTAATGGCATAACAATTTTTAATATGTTTAGAGATAAGCGTAGAAAAAGAGATGACTTCTACAGCAGCAAGTACACCTTTTGAAAACTCATTTTAATATGTTATTTCTACGTGGTAATGGTGTATTTTGGCAAAATCTTTGCTTGGTAACAAAGTGGCCTAGTACACATTATTATCATTATTAGATGCAACAAGGGTGATGGGGCGTGAGAATAAAGTTTTACCCATTTGGTCACACCATATTTTCCCTTTGTTGGCAAGGCTTTACTACATATATCATAGCAGCAAGGAAATAAACTAAGCTATTTTCTACTTAACACCTCTTGTGTTTCCTGGTCATAAGTGAAATGAATGATACAGTTAAATAACTTAGAAGCAAGCAGAAAATTATAAAGAAGAAAGCTGAAGACTAGCCAAAGGACAAAAAAGAACAGTCAGTCATAGGGTACCCACCAATCACACAAGTCAGTAATGTTATTCTGTTAGAAAAGAAATTAATTGATAGAAAACCATGCGGTAATGATTATGCTCTTTTCCACATGAACAGAATTAACCAGACCTTCAGTGAGCTCTGGGTTAATTTAGTATCCATTATTTATTAATGACATGATCAGCTGGAAGATTCAGAGGAGAAATGTAAATGTTGGAAACAGAAAGTAAAGAAACTTGGATTACTTTTCTTAGCAAAAAAGCAAACTCAAGTTTGACTTATCTTTCAAGAGCAACAATGATCTGAAGAGTAGTCTAATTATTTATATAATGATAAATAATGAATTGGTGGTTATTACTTTTCAGTAGTAATTTGCACAGTAATCCCTATTATGGTTATACCTTATCAATAACTAAACCTATCATTATAAAATCATTTTATCACCTTTATATTTACTACTATAAAACTAATACTTATTGAGAGCTTGCTACGTGCTAGATGATGTACATTTAGCTAATCCTTAAAACAACTCTAATTAATACAAATCACTATAACCATTTTATAGACAAGGAAACTGAAGTTCAGGGGGGCTGAAAAGCCTGCATAAGTTCCAGTGCAGGAGACGGTAGAGCTAAGATTTGAACTCAGGTTTTTAGCTCTAGTATGCAGGATCTTTCCACCGTATCAGGCTGCCTTCAGGTACGAAAATAGCTTATGCTCATGACAGTGTCTCTTCTCAAAGGCCCAAAGCATGATGAGAATGCAATTATCTCCTAGATAGAATAATTAAAAATACTTCACTGAAAATAAAAACTGCAAAATACTGGAATAGGATACTAAGGCATGTTTCCCATTTCTTCCTCATGGGATATTTTAAAAGACATCAAGAAGTAGCAAATTTGAAATTAGGTAACAGTAACAGCACACCCTTAAAATGAACTTGATACATTCCAGGCACTTCTCTTGTCCTTTACACCTACTGATTTACTCCTCTCAACAGTCAGTAGATAATATCATCATCTTTATTTTTCAGATAAGGAAACTGAGGCACAAAAAGGTTAAATAACGTCCCCAGTCACAAAGCTTGTAAGAGCTAGAATTTGAGACCAAGTAGTGTGTGTTCAGAATCCAAACTCTTAAACCATACTGCCTCTCAGGCAGCACTAGCTAATCAAGAATTCCTTTTGTCTGTATGAAGATAATGCAGAGTATAATCTAGATGGGTATCAAGGCTACTCCATTTCACGCAATGTTTACAATTGAGTTCTAACATTTATGACAAAAAGTCATGGCCCAAAGCCTTCAGCAAAACTAAGAAACAGTTTATCAGAGCTTCTGACTTCTACTTGCAGCTAAATTCCTATTTATGCATATCTATATCTACGAACAATATTTGCAAAAGTAGCTTTATTATACTAATTGTAATATAGATTTTACTTGCGAATGGAGGTGGCAGAATGTGAGCTGTGTCTAACGAAACTGGTCTAGAAGCCAGACATGAAGATTAGTTTTGTTACTTTGAATTTCAACTTTGAGACCCAATTTCAAAAGCTTAGTATTGATTTTGATTATAATCTCTTCAATTTGAAAGTTTGGGGAGGTCAAAAGGAGAAAGAAGAAGGAGAGAGTGAGTTTTTGGTCTAATTCATTATACTGGAAACATCTCTCATTAAAATTTTAAAGGTTTGCTTTTAGTCAAAGATAGACAAAGGAAGTTCATTTTACTGAGAAAAGCCATCCCTGGGAAAGTATATGAAGAGAGGAGTAACAAGCAAGATGTGTTAGCTTTACTAAAATGCCTGAATTTTAAAGTAATGGATGCTAACATTTGAGGGGAAGTGGTACATGTTAATGTAAAATTGTTTTTCCTATGCAAGGGTAGAACAAAATGGAAAAGTAGAAATAAAACATTTATTCTGTCACAGAAAATAAGCTGCATTCATACTAAGTGAGCATCAACAAGCACCTCTTGATCTCTAAGTAAGTCCCAAAGTTATTTTGGTTTGATTTTTCTAAATAAAAAGCAGTAATATTAGGTAATAATAAACAACTATTTTTTCAGCAGTAGAAAGCTCAAATAGAGAAGTGAATAGACACTCCTTATATTATTAGCTGATTTATTAAGACATGTTAGAATACGAAGAAGTATTATCTTGATATTTATATAACAGTTAACTAGTATAAAGTAAACATTATATAATAATTATAGATAAAGCTTGGAAAACAACGTTATTTTCACTGAAGCTAGAAATATATTTGAAATGTATTCTTTTTTCTTTTATCTTGCTTTTGTTTCTGCACTTTAAATTACACCTACTATATACTTTTCTAGTGGCAGGAAACTTTCATTAAATATATGCAAGACACTATTGGAAAAATGTTCATTAGTAAGACAAATCTAGTCTTATTACTACTAACTTGTAAAAATCCTTATTCCAAATAATTATCAGTGCCTATTCCTTGACTGTTCAAATGTATGTTAAGCTATATTTTGTCTTTCTTAAATTAACATGAAGTTTAAATGGGGCTTTTAATTTTCAGGACAGCAAACCAAAATCATTACATGCAATAAAATGGAAGCAAAATCCTTTTATAGAAGACAAGCACCGTATTTCTCAACCAAATGCAAGCTTACACACCAAATGTTTTGATTTCAAAAGAAACAATATTTTAATGTCCTAGGTTGAAGAGTTTTGTGGGATTATTATTCTGTATCTTCAAAGTAAGTGAGTCAGAGCTCGTTTTGCTAAAAGTGGCATAAAATTACTTTCTATACCACTTTGTCGAGAACCGTTAAGAAATCCTTGTACTGTCAGGTCCCCCTCCCCACTAGTTAGCTACTTGCAATTTGGATGTTTCTGATAGAGTCAAATGGTAAAAATAAATAAACATACATGATTGGCTTTTCCATTTTTTTAGCTTTAAAAATAATTCTTATCTATAGACTAAATCAAGGTCATACATAATTATTGTCAGGTACCAGTAATGGCTACTAAATCACAGATTTCCTGTCTTCACATCCCAACCTTCATCCCTACTGCCATACACTTATTTTTAAAGCAGTCTTACTCTTGTCCCCTTAAATTGTCTTTAGAAGTTAAGTATAACATTAATGTCGATTAATTACTTTTAGAGAAAGTCTGTTTTATTATCATAACTCAAAGTTCATATTCATATGTTGCAATTCAGGCTTCATCCTCGAAAGGTAACCCACATAATTTACATTTACATTTCATCTTCATAAATCAGTGTAGTTTAAACATAGATTAAGGTGTGTGTGCACCAGTTTAAGGTGTCCATTTAAAAAACTACATATATGTAATTCCACATACACTTCTTTCTGAACCACAAAAATCACATATAGAGGCTTTTGACAGCTTAGTTTCTACAAAGAATTTCAGAAAGAGTTAGATCAGGAAAGTTACAATTTATAACACTGCAGGGAAGCAGTAAAAGTATTGCCTACTGGTTTTAATAATCAGTATAGCCTATGATTTATGCTTGTTTGGATCAATATATTCATTCAAAAACCTATGATTACCAAGTGTCTTTCATTCCTAACTACCCATAAAGTATTTAATTTTGTAAAATAATTTGATGAAGCCATTTATGACTTTTATTCTAAAAAAAAATCTACAAAAGAGCTGACCCACAGCAGTAGGTAGCTCTATTGCACAAATACTAATTCATTATATGTGAGTCAATCATCTCTACAGTAAAAATTCTAGAAGATTCTTTTCTATATCGATTTCAAATATAGAAAAAAACACTAAAGCTGATCAGAATGTCTGATTTCTATTCCCCCAAACCTTTTCTTTGAAGTTGTTTCTTAATCTCCATGTAGAATCAAATATTCCCTCCCTCCACTGTTCATCCACCTTGAACATATTATGGCATTCATTATTTTCATGTCTGCCTCCCTCTGCTAGACTTTTGGTTCCTGGATGGCTGGTATTGTGTTCTTTAGGTCACTGGGTTCCCATTTCCTGGCATAGAACTTGGCATATAATAGGAACTTGATACATTTCAATTAAGTGAGAAAGTGAAAATTTACTCTTTTAGATACTGCCCTAGCCCTCCCAATAGATCTAAGTATTTTTGTATATGAAGTGTAGTTCATCATGAATCCTGACACCATTCAGCAAATTAGAATCTGGAATTACCTATATCTGGAAGTAAATTTTCATATAATTGGCATGCATTCTTATATGTACAACATAACTTATGTATACACATATAGATCTATATCAGGAGTTGGGCCAAATCTGACCCATGGCCTGTTTCTGTATGGTTTTAAGCTAAGAATGGTTTTTACCTTTTTAAGTGGCTGAAAAATATCAAAAGGAGAATATTTTGTGACATGAACATTTTAATGAAATTCAAATTTCAGTGTTCATAAGTCAAATTATTTAAATACAATCACGTTAATTTGTGTAGGTATTGTATATGGCTGCTTTTGTGCAACAATAGCAGAGCTAAATAGCGACAACAGAGAGCAGACAGCCCACAAGGCCTGACCTCTGCTTTATTTGCTAAGGTATGCTTGCATTTATGCTATCTCTATATTTTACACTTTAATAATTTTACAAGTGCTAACAATTTCAAAGGAAAATCTATGTTCCATATAAATCTGCAGATGTAATTATATAATTAGGATTAAGGTAGTGAAACACATTAAATTACTTTCAAGAATATTGCAACATACTTAAAGAGCACCAATGTAGTAGGATAAAATCTAAAGGTGATACTATCTACTTATATCAATTAAAAAAAATTAGGCTGGGTGTAGTGGCCCACGCCTGTAATCCCGACACTTTGGGAGGCCTAGGTAGTCAGATCACCTGAGGTGAGGAGTTCAGGACCAGCCTGGCCAACGTGGTGAAACCCAGCCTCTACTAAGTAAAGTACAAAAATTAGCCTGATGGGCGTGGTGGCGTGTGTCTGTAGTCCCAGCTACTCAGGAGACTGAGGCAGGAGAATCACTTGAACCTGGGAGGTGGAAGTTGCGGTGAGCCGAGATGGCACCACTGCACTCCAGCCTGGTAGACAGAGTGAGACTCCATCTTAAATAAATAAATAAAGAATCTTTTTGAACATCTCGAGTTATTGGAATGATCTTGAAAAGCTATTAAATTAGTTCTTTTCTTTTGCCTTTTGTTTTGTTATAATTTTATGAAGTGATACAATTCCAACAATAAAAACCAAGAATTGAAAATAAAATAGTTTATTCTTAACAGAAGAGATCATGCAACAAATGCTTAGTCTGTGTCACCAACACCCACCATAAAAAGTCATTGAAATTTGGCCGGGCACGGTGCCTCAGGCCTGTAATCCCAGCACTTCGGGAGGCTGAGGCGGGCCGATCACGAAGTCAGGAGATCGAGACCGCCCTGGCTAACACGGTGAAACCCCATCTCTACTAAAAATACAAAAAATTAGCTGGGTGTCGTGGCGGGTGCCTGTAGTCCCAGCTACTCGGGAGGCTGAGGCAGGAGAATGGCATGAACCCGGGAGGCGGAGCTTGCAGTGAGCGGAGATCGCGCCACTGCACTCCAGCCTGGGTGACAGAGCAAGACTCCGTTTCAAAAAAAAAAAAGTCATTGAAATTCATTAAAAGTTTCATATAATATGCTACCAGGACTACATTATTAATAATCAAAGTTTATCTAACATTTTGTTACCAAAAGTTTGCTTTCTTTAGCCCAGTTTACACATTTCTAAATGCAACTAAATTTATCTGACCAAATGGAGTCTGTTAACACAATGCATATTTTCATTTTCCTTAAAAAGCTGTTGCCTATTATTGCATTACTAATTAAAGAAAGGAAGACATACTGATATTTATTGTTAAGCAATTTATATACATTATCTAAGACAAAAGTCTTGCCAAGAAGTATTATTATCATCCTTTTATAGAAAGGAATTGAAGCTCAGAGAGCTTAAGTAACTTGTTCAAGGTGACACAGCCAGTATGTGTAGTGCTAAGATCCAGATCCACAGTGGCCCTGACGCACAACTCCTTGTTCTTCTCCCATGGACTCACGAGTTTTAACACTGACATTAAGAACCAGGAAAGCCTGATGCTTACCACTTAGAAAAATGTTTCTGGTTGAGATCAGAGGTAAATTACTATTTATTGCACATATTCACTATTATAATGTTGCTTGTGTTAAACACTATTTGAGAACAGACCACAGCCAGTAAGCTAAGAACATTTTTTTACATATTAAATGTTTAAAAAGTTGTCAAAATTACAATATTTCATGACACATGAAAATTATATGAAATTTAAATTTTAGGGCCCATGAAGTTTTATTGGACCATAGCCATGCTTATTCATTTACATATTTTCTATGTTGCTTTTGCACTATGATGGCAGAGCTGAGCAGCTGAAACACAGACATGTGGCCTACAAAGCCAAAAATACTTACTATCTGGCCCTTTAGAGAAAAAGACCCTGCTATAGAATTAAGAGTATCTAAATTCTAGCAACATAATTTTAAGTATGAAAAGTATATTTAAGTATAAAATTGAAAAACATTAAAACTAAAACTATACAAATACAAATAATGAGCATATTGAAGTAGTTTTTCTTCACTGATCATATATTCTAATTTCATCAGAGATAGAGCAAGGTCCAGGCAAACTGTGCCTATTCTAACTGCTTGTTTGTGATGCACATTTCCAATAGGCATGAGCTCCTTTTTGATTCTACAACTGGGTGGTGCCACAAAAATGTGATGGCTTTGTTCTAATTGATTTTTTTTAGGATATTAGAATTTGATTTAGGAGAAAGTTTGTTTATATGTGTGTAGGTATGAATGCAGTTAATATCCATAGTTCAAAAAAATTTAAAAGCCAATATTAATTTCTAGTTTTAAATGTATAGCTTTCATTACTGATAATTTTTAAGGTGAGGGGATATTGATTATTAATGTTACCTTATATACTTTGGAATATTTCTCAAAGTCTGTAGAGTAGCAAATATCTTTCCTTAATTAAGAATTTAATTTAAATTATGAAAGTCTGTGGGTTATGAAGGTGATTAAGTTTGCATGCGTGGCCATTCTGCTTCAATTGCTGTTTGACATGGCAGTTGTTGGGCAAAATTAATCATGTAATAAACTGATAAATAGTTAGAAAACCAATATATGCATCATTTAGGTGAAATTATGAAAAATTTAAGAAAAGAATACTAATACTACTGACCTAAAAAAATCTAAGAATACAGATTGATAAGAAATCATAACCAACTGCTGTCAATAAACAACTAAAAGGCATGTTCATTTTTCCTTTTTAAGTACTGAACACAGAAAAGAGATGCAAACATAGACATAGCAACAGACAGCAATCCAGAGGGGCAAATCCACACACCCAAACACATGCAGTGTACCAGCATCTCTCATACTTGTTGCAGAAGAGGGGGTGTTGCAACTCAGCAACCAGTCTGCTGTGTTTAAAACAGTCATGTTTTCCCCTGAGAACAGGAACAGTATAAAAGTTCATTGTCTGAATGCCTGCTGAGTGGATATGAATAATCTTCAATGCTTGCACTGGTTTCTGACCTTTTAGCCAAAATTATAACTGCACTGTATGACTTCAACATTTTAGTTTATCAGGTCTGTTTTAGTTCAGTCAAATATATACATATGATGATTAGTGAACTTCACCAGTCTGTTCCTAGAGTGCTTGAGTTTTTAAATTTTATTATTTGTACCCAATTTAAGGTTTAAATGTACCTTACTCTAGTTTTCATCACTAAATATTCTATACATTTGCAATTGCATAATTAATTAGCTGAAATTACAGATGCATGTTTAGAGACAAATAAACATCATAAACAAGGAAAATGTTAATCTACAAGGGAACTGGTGTAAAACATTATTAAATACAGGTAAGTTGCAATGCACACAACCTTACAGAGAAAACTTTAGATTGCATCGTTATTCTAAAATAAATGGGAAGAGGTGTATCAATTTCACAGATATTTATTTAAAATTTAAAAGAAAATATGATGTGGCAAATGCTAATATCTAAATTAAATGTCATATAATTCTAAATTTATTGGCTAGATGGATCTACAAAATTTCAAATTGTGAATAATTTAAAATACAGTCTATATATAAGTGTATACATAATCTCTACAAACACACATTCTGATATAAAAATTGGACCATATTTTCTGACAAGTTGAATACATTTTATAAAAATAATAAAGCAGAATATCTGAAGTAATAGCTATTATTGTTGTCATGCTGTGGCGTAATTATGGGCTAATAGAATGAGAAATTATCTGAAAAAAATGCAATTCCTTTTTAAATAAATGTTAAGTGTTATTCTCTTTGAAAAGAAAATGCAGCAGATATGAGTATTTTTGTATTTCCAAAACCATGTGTTTTTTTAAAAAAGCACTTTTAAGAAGAAACATTTTTAAGAAAAATGTTTATAATTCAAAATAAAACCAAAAAGTAGTAAGTGTGTACACACACACATACAGACATTTTTGCTAATACCAGGGTGGAAATCCTTTGACCTCAATTTCTAAAGTTTGTGGAATATTTACAAGGGCAAATACAAAAAGAAAGCCTTGTTCAAGGCCCTTGAAATGTTGCTCAATGCTATCTATTCTCTGTGAATGTTCCCAGCTATACAGGAGGAGCAAAAATTTCAAGAAAATCATCAAAACAATCAATATTAATTATATATACCTTGGATATAATGCTGATTTGTGTTATTGATAATAAGATATTTATTTATTAGCAGATCTCTAAGAAGTAAAATTAAAGCAAACATTGAAATATGATTCTGGGTATCTTCAGGGTAGTACACTTACCTCCTGTCCCATTTGTAGTAACTGATGTGCTGCTGAGATTAGATTTTTCCAGTTTGGAGCTACCTGGAGTATCACCACCTCCAACAAGAGTATGAGGACTTGCTAGGTCCTGCATTTCCATAGACCTGGTAGAGCAGTAAGCAGCAGAGAAAAGTTGAAATTGCAGCAGTTATTTTTTAATAGATTACAAATATTATTCTATTGACCACGTGATCTCACAGTAATAATTAAAACCAGTATCTAAGACTTAGTCAACCAGATGAACATGCCAGTTCATGAGAAACAAACATACAAACAAATGCATAAATAAATAAGAAAAGCTTCCCTAGTAAGTTAAGCCTCATAACCGGTTTGTAATAACATAACACGTTATTATAACATATTATAACATAATATGGAAAACATGTTATTACTAACACAAAAATAAACATGTTATCACTGACATATAAAAATAACAAAAAATAATCCTATGACTATTCCATATAATACTGTAAGAAAAAATGCAGATTCTGTCATCTTGGCAATTTAAGCTGATATGCATACCCACCCTCCTAAACTGATCACCTTAGCTACACACTAGAGAGCTGAAAATGTTTAATTACCTAAATTTGGCATCCCCTGCCACCAATATGGAAGAAATCAGTAGCTAGAAATAAAGTGTGAACTCCAAATCAAGCAGAAGCTTCCAGCTGACCTTGTTGACCCAGGGAGTCAAAAAATGAGCCCAAGTCCTGACAGCTGGTTTTGTAACACTTTTAGTATGCATTCAGGAATAGGACTTTGACTTAAGTTTGCTCCAGAGATTGTGCTACAACTGGGATAAAATAAAATTGGGATTCTTGAAGGGCTGACCATCTTTTGAAAAGGAAACTAGAGGCCGGGCGCGGTGGCTCACGCCTGTAATCCCAGCACTTCGGGAGGCCGAGGCGAGTGGATCACGAGGTCAGGAGATCGAGACCATCCTGGCTAACACGGTGAAACCCCGTCTCTACTACAAATACAAAAAAAATCAGCCGGGCTTGGTGGCGGGCGCCTGTAGTCCCAGCTACTCCGGAGGCTGAGGCAGGAGAGTGGTGTGAACCTGGGATGCGGAGCTTGCAGTGAGTGGAGATTGCGCCACTGCACTCCAGCCGGAGCGACAGAGCGAGACTCTGTTTCAAAAGAAAAAAAAAAAAAAGAAAAAGGAAAGGAAACTAGGAAAAAGAACTGTGCAGTAGCCCAAAGAAGCTACACATGCTTTCATGGAAGAAAGAAACATAAAGATCAATAAAAGTTGAGAGAATTTCTCACCAACAACCTGAACTATAACAAATACTAAAGGAAGACCTTCAGCTCAAAGAAAAGATACCAGAGGAAAACTCAGACCTACAGGAAAGAATTAAGAATAACATAAATGTAAATATATAGGTAAATATAAAAGATTATCTTTTATTTTTCTCTTAATTCATGAAAGACAGCCTATTGAAGCAAAAATAATTGCACTGTATACAGGGACTTATATAATATGTGACAACAACAGCAAAAAGTGGGGTGAAATTATATTTTTCAAGGTTCTTTCATTTGGCATGAAGTGTTATATTAAACTTGGATAAGAGGTTAAGTTTAGGGTACATGGAGTAATCTCTAGCATTAAATGTTAAGAAAAATACCATCAGGTATAACAAAAACCCAACAGAACGATTAAAGCAGCATTTTAAAGAATTCAATTAACCCCAAGAAGCCAAAAAAAGGGAAGCAAACAAAGAATATATGTGAAAAATGGAAAATACAAAGCAAGATGGCACACTCGAACTCAAACACATTGACGATTACACTAAATATCAATGGACTAAACACTCCAATAAAAAGCTGACTATGGTCAGGTTAGATTATACAACCAAGACCTAATTACGGGGGATCTATGAGAGAAGCACTTTAAATATCAGCATACTGTGCTACTTTAGTACGCTGCCCAGACATCCTGAAGAACTCATTCCCATAGCTGCTGAGAGTGTTACCAACTGGTAGCTTTCTACTGAGTTCCTTTCCAAAACTTGCCCTCAACTAAACGGGGTCACTGTGCCCAAGAGCACACTCTTTCTGAGGGCAGCCCTCATCTACTGACAGGTCAATGGAGGGGTAAAATGACTATTCCCTCTTACCCTAAGGGTCACCATAGTCTAGGGCCTCTCATAAGACTAGCTGAGACCTTTGCTGCAACTGTGCTACAGATCAACGTCTCTGAATCCAGCCCTGCTTCCTTCATGCCCCTCAAAAGGAACTAATACTGACAGCACAACCCAAATAAACTCCTGCAGGAAATATCTCAGCATCTGCATCCTGGGAACCTGAAAAGTGATAAGGCCCAAATAGGTGGAGGGTCAAAGAATGGAAAATGATATACCACGCAGATAATTAACATAAAAAAGATGGTCAAGCTAATATTACATCACACAAAATAGGCCTCAAGATGAAGACTATCAGCAAATATAAAGAAAGGAATTGGAAAATGATGAAAAACAATAAATTATTCAAGAAGACATAACATGTGCCTACAAGCAGAGATACAGAATACATGAAGCAAAAACTGACAGAATTAAAGGAAGAAACAGATAAGTCTATGATCATAGTTGGAGCTTTTATGACACAGTTTTCACAGTAACCAACAGAAGAAAAGTAGACAAAAATAAATTTTAAAAAATATACACGTAAGATTTGGAAAGCGTTATCACCAATGTGACCTAATTGACAGTTCCAGGACACTAATACCCAATAATTATAAAATGCACACTATTTTCAAGTGCACATGGAACATCTATCAAGAGGACAGACCTGGGATATAGGTGGGCTATAAAGTAAATATTGATAGATTTTAAAGTTGAAATTTCACAGGGTATAGTATCTGACCACAATGAATTAATTTAGAAAGCAATGGTAATAAGACATATAAAAAATCCCCAACATTTGAAAATTAAACACTACACTTCCAAATAATTTGTGAACCAAAGGAAAAAAAATCACAAGTAAATATAATAAATATTTAGAACAAAATGATAATGAAAAGATCAAATCAAACTGTGGTATGTAAATAAAGTAGTGATTAATGAGAAGTTTATACCTTTAAATGGTTATATTAGAAAAGAAGAAGGATTTAAAATCTGTGACCTAAGTTTCCACTTTAAGAAACTAGAGGAAGAAAAGGAAATTAAACAAAAGGTAAGTAGAAGGAAACAATAAAGAGTAGAAATAATTGAAACAAAATCTGTGAACAATAGAGAAAATTTACAAATCCAAAAGATGATCATGAGAGATACCAATGATTTTGAAAGGGTAATAAGGAAGTATTATAAACTATATTATGCCAATTAATTCAAAGACACACAAAATCAGTGAATTTCCTGAAAGACACATTTATTAAAATTGATCCAATTAACATAGAAAATCTAAATAGTCCTGCATTGATTAAAAAACTTAATTTATAATTAAATATTTATCAAAAAACCTCCAGGGCCATATGGTTCAATTAATAAACACTAGCAAACTTTTTTTGCTACTGTTATTTAAAAAAAAATTTTTTTTAGTAACAATTTTTTTAATAAATTCTTTCAGAAAAAATAGAAGGAAACACTTTTCATTCCATGGTAGGAGACCAGAATTACCCTGACCCCAAAACCAGAAAGGAACAATTTTAAGAAAAGAAAATATGGATATATATTTCTTATAAACATAGATGAGAAAATATTTAACAAAATATTCTCAAATCAAACCCAGCAATAGAAAAAAATCATGACCAAGTGCGCTTTATGCCAGTAATGTAAAGCTGATTTCACATGTGGAAATCAATGTAATTCAATATATTAACATAATATTATTTCCATGAGTGCAAAAAAAATTTGACAATATTCATCATCCATTCATGATACAAATTCTTGGCAAACTAAGAAAAGAAGTATTTTTCCTCTGTCTGATAAAAGCACTCTTGAAAAGTCTATAGCTTATATCATATTCGGTGATGAAATAATGAATTATTTCGGTAGCAAGCCAAAGACATCTGCTTTTCCTACTTCACCACAATATTCTACTAGCAATCTTAGCCAGTACAAGACAAAGATAAATAAAATAAGCAAAGTTTAGAAAGAAAAAACTTTAATTCACAAATGATTTAATTGTTTATAGAGAAAATTCTGGGAAATTCATACCCCAAACCCCCAAACTACTAGAACTAATGAGTGAATTTACCAAAGTTACATGTATAAGGACCTTGCCAGTACTAAATAAAAATATTAACTAAAAAAAACCCTAAAAAATTATAACTTCAGTCAATGCCTCTCCAGTTCAAATGTTGAAATATAAAAGCAGTGATTTTTCAGAGGGATGGAAGTTGGGCTAATCATAGTCTAGCTCCAGTTAAGCTCAACTCTAGGAAGGGTCTCAGTGAACAGATCCTCACCTTAACTGCCAGAGGAAAGAACTACCACTTTTTGGGGAAATAAAACACAAAAGAAATACTATGCTTCAATCGCTATTGATTTATTGTATATAATGTTCAGAACATTATAAATATTTTGTGACCTAACAAAAAGCAGAAAAATATGACTCCTAGTGGACAGAAAACACAGTAAATAAAAGCAGACCTGTTTATGACCCAAGTGTTGAAACTAGCAGATAAGGATTTTAAAACTAATGTGAATATATTAAGTAACTTATAGGAAAAGATACACACAAAAGGTATATAAATATTTATATGCCATATATAGGTATTAATATATACATATCTGCCATATATACATCTGTCATATATGGATCAATACATATATGTATATAACATATATATAAAAATATATGTATTGTTAGATATGAGTTCTAAATTTCTTTTCAAAGAATCAATATGTCAGTATTGATTCTTTGCCTTCTACTTTTAAACTTAACTTCCTCATAAAGCAACCCTTTTCAATTACCTGTTCCACCCTGACTCATTCTGATTACCTGCTCCACCCTGACTCATTCCAATTACCTGCTTCACCCTGGCTCATTCTGATTACCTGCTTCATCCCAACTCATTCCAATTACCTACTACCTGCTCCGCCCTGACTCATTCTCCACCCTGGATAACCATTTTTTTCCACCAGACCACTCACCCTGTCACTCTCTTTAAATTAGCCAATCAGAATTAGTTTAGCCATCTCACCATAGCCAATAGGGGAAAGACACGGCAGCAGGGGCTATGTGCCTCAGGGGTAAGAACCCCTTTCCCTCTGTTGTCCAGGTGTGCACTCACCATTGCTCTATCTGTAAGTGCGCACCCTTCTATAGAAGTATGTTGCCTTGCTGAGAATTAAAAAGAAAATTTTATATTCGAGTGCCATTTCTTTTGCAGCATTGAAGCTTTATTTATAACAGTATGTATCTCTATATTGCATAGGGAGAAGAAATGGAAACTCTTAAAAAAGAACTAAATAAAATTTCTAGAATGAAAATAACAATATATTACATAAGTATTATTTGAGTGGACTTAACAGCATATTGGACATTGCAAAAGAAAGGACCAGGATATCTGAAGCTGGGCCAATGCAAATTATCCAAACTGAAGCACAGAGGAAAAAAGTGGGAGTGGAAACTTAATTGAGTATAAGTAACCTGTGTAATATTATCAAAAAAACAGGAGAAAGAGAATGATACAGAATAATATTGGAATAAGTAATGGTCAAAATTTTCCCAAATCTGATGAAAAACATCAACCCCAGAGCCTTACAGCACCACAAACATCAAATAGGAAAAAGAAAAACCACAGCTAAACACATCAGTCAAATTCTGAAAATAACAGAATGCTTTATTAAAGCCAATCATAAGAAATGCATAGAGGGGAACAAAAATAAAGTTATATGTGATTTCTGAGAAATCCAAACTTAGCTCTTATTATATGTCTTCTCTTTACAAATATAATCAGTACTATCCTGTCCCAATGCCTTACCCAGACATTCACAACTCTCCATTCAGCTTTATCTTCAAGTAATCACCTAGTATACAGTTTCTTGTATCAGAAATGATTATTGTACTATTGTCACAATTTCCCCTTCACAATTTTAGCTTGTACAGCATCTTTCTTGTCTGATAGCTCCTGAAAACCATCTTAATCAATGTTTAAATACCTCAGAAATGCTACTTTCTCCAAACAGCTTTTTCTGGTCCTCAAAACCAGAAGTGACCTGGTCATACTGTCATATTTTTGTTATATTATTTTTACCTTCCTCTGCAGCACTTTTCACACTCTGTCTTAACTTATTGTCATTTGTGTACACGTTCTTCTAGAAAACAAATGAAAAAAAAGAAGCTGCCACAGGATGTCTGTGATAACAAGATTCTTTTTCATTTATCTTTGTTAACTCCTGAAGTGCCCTTCCTATTAAAGATGCAAATAAACAGCTGTCAAACTCAGTAGCTTCCAAACTACTAGATTGTTAATTGAATAAAAAAAGTAAGCACCTCAAATATGTGTACATATTTATTTAGGTGTCATTTATATGTGCTAATTAATTATGTACATTTTTATATAGGCACATTATAGAATATATTCAAAAGCATAGAAAGGAAGTAATAAGAATGAAATAACATTTTATAAAGAGTTGTTCAAATTACTTGACTATAATTCCTGTCTATGATAGAGTAACTGGGACCTAATATTGCCACTATAAAACTAAAACTGAGGAAACAACGTTGGAAACAATTGTTTAGATGGCGCAGGGCTTGGTCCTTGAGAGAAGAAAGAAAATAAGTGAGGTTAGCCCTTGTGCAGTAAAAAGTGTATCGTCCAAACCCTGCACATTCAAAAGAAAGGTCTGTCCCTTGACCAATTCCTGGGAGATAACCTTTAAGCCCTTGGAATATCTTAACTTATTAGAGTACCTGTGTTTAGCTGGAGCCTTGGGCCACACCAGATACTCTTTGCTAACAATGATGCTAACAATGTGATTCCTGGTGGGGGCTTTGAGCCACGCAGAATCAGTCTGACTTATGAAGGGGCTAAAAACAGTAATGAAGGTCAGCCACATGGGTGGTCAGACATGTTTATATAACTGACCTCCAATAATAGTGACCCCTGGGCACTAAGGCTTGGATGAGCATCCACCATTGGCAACGCTCTGCATGTACTGTCGCACATTGTTGTAGGGACAAATAAGTGCTATTTGTACAACTCTGGACAGAAGACAACTGGAAATAAACTCCGGTTTCTCCTGAACTCTGCCCCATATGCCTTTTTCCTTTGCTGATTTTAATTTGTATTATTTCATTCCAGTGAATCACTGCTATATCCTTATTGCCTGCAAAGCTGCCTGAAAAAGTAGTTTCTCAAGAAAAGCAGTTTCTCAAGAAACATTTCAGTAATAAATGAATGAGTGAAATGGTGTGTAAGCCATAACCATCTTAGAAACAGCTGTGAAATCAAGCATGTGAGTGTGACAAGGTGAATTTAAGTGTGAAAAACTGGGATAAATGAGTTTAAATGGCAGTCAGGAATCAGAAGATTTGCCAATCATGGAACAAACAGAAGAAAAAGAGATGTGAAATCCAAGAACAAAGATGAGCTCAAAAACAGTACCAAGTAGTATCTGTAGCACATCCCGATAACAGACTTAATTACAGTCAATGCTAAATGCTCGTAAAGTCATTATCTTCTACTAGACTCGCCCAACCCAAAGACTTTTTTTTTTTTTTTTTTTTTTTTTTTGAGACGGAGTCTCGCTTTGTCACCCAGGCTGGAGTACAGTAGTGCAGTGGTGCCATCTTGGCTCACTGCAAGCTCTGTCTCCTGGGTTCACACCATTCTCCTGCCTCAGCCTCCCGAGTAGCTGGGACTACAGGTGGCTGCCACCACGCCCGGCTAATTTTTTGTATTTTTAGTAGAGACGGGATTTCACTGTGTTAGCCAGGATGATCTCGATCTCCTGACCTTGTGATCCACCCACCTCGGCCTCCCAAAGTGCTGGGATTACAGGCGTGAGCCACCGCACCCGGCCAAGACTTTTAATTTAAATGATCAAACAAATTAATGGTTGCTTACTACATGTAAAGCACTGTCACAGGTGTTAGGATTGCTGAGTGAAGAAAACATGGCCCTACCCTCAAGGAGTTTACCATCTAAATGACAAAGCAGCGTCCTGTGAATAGAAAATTAAAGTACAGTAAGCGTCCATAAAGTGGAACAGATAGAAATTAATGTAAACTTAAAGATTCTAGAAAATGTCATCAGAAATTCTTAGCTGGGTTTTGATGAATTCGAATAAGGGATCCTGGGGGAGGTATCTGCTTAATGATATCACTGAAGCCACAAAGTAGTGTAGGGGCTCATAGCCAATCTGGACGACATACAAGATGAGTAAAGAAGGAACACCGGTCAGGAATAAAAGGATGAAGCACACACCATAGAACGGAGCAGAGAAGAAACAGAAAATGTTACCCCTGAAAAACAAAAACCTCAAAATAAAAATAGCCTTGGCATTCTACATTCCAGTCCACAGGAAACCGAAATGCAATTATCTAGATATTTACAATTTAGTTACTTATGCTTGAATTCATTTAGGTAGGTCAATGTTTCTTGCAACTAAAAGTCTTCAGAGAACAGAGATACACTATGGCTACTAAGAATACAGCAAAAATATTCCTGTATTTCCTTTTATATGTTTTGTGATTAATTTAATTGTGACACTTCATTTTCTTTTTAATTCCAATTTATACAGAATGTAAAATCTATAAATTTTACCTTAGGTTTAAGCAACAGGAAATGATTAATGGGTATCAGTTTTTACTGTGTATATATTGTATGTGATATGGTTTAGGCTTTGTGTCCCCACCCAAATCTCATCTTGAATTGTAATCCCTGTAATCCTCATAATCCCCACATGTCAAGGGAGAGACAAGGTGGAGGTAATCAAGTCATAGGGGCGGTCTCCCCCATGCTATTCTCAAGATAGTGAGTGAGTTCTCACAAGATCTGATGGTGTCATAAGTGTTTGGTAGTTCCTCCTGTGTTCATTCTCCTCCCTGCTACCTTGGGAAGAAGGTGCCTTGCTTCCCGGTCACCTTTTGCCATAATTATAAGTTTCCTGAAGCCTCCCCAGCCATGCGGAACTGTAAGTCAACTAAGCCTCTTTCCTCTATAAATTACCCAGTCTTGGGCAGTTCTTTACAGCAGTATGAAAATGGACTATTACAGTATGACACATTCTGTGTTTGGTTTTTCATATATATATTATCACCTTTAATCTTTAAAATAACGTATTAATATATAATTTTCCACATTTTACAGATGAAGAAATTGAGGCTCAGAGAGGATACACAGCAGTCCCAAGGTTACACAGATAGAAAGTAGCAGCACCAGAACTTGAACTCATGTTTATCTGATGCCAGAGCTCAGACTGTTTCTATCAATTTAAGTGACTTTATTTTATTCACACCATGAAATCACAATCAGGAATGCATATCCCTGAAATAAAACATTTTGAATAGTTTTCAGGTTACTAAAGTCAATATAAGGATCTGCTCTGCCAAATGTACACTGCTCATAATATTTAAAGGTAGTCATTCTTTCTTTCCAGGATGTTTATTTCAACCCCTTGTTAGTGGTCCTTATGTCATGAGGCCATTTGAATATTAGCATCTTTCCAGACAATATAAAAAATGAACTTAGTCATAAACACAAAAACTTAAAAAAGGAAAAGAAAGAAAAATGTAAAGACATGCAACTAGTTTCTGGGGATTTTTTTTTCCTGCAATTTTTCTGTAGCATAGATGGAATTTCTTTCTAATAATTTGAAATATCCTCTTCAAACCCAAGAAAGGGGAAGCCTTAAAACTGTGTAGTTTAGAGTCTACTCGAACTCTGAAGCCATTATTTATTCTGTACAGATCCTGGTAATGAGTCATGATCCTGCTTATTTATAAGTTGACTCCATCAGTTGTTCACAACCCAAGAAATGCAAAAGCATTCTTGATGTTCAAACACTCCCACTCATGCCAGCTTTTTCTCTTTGCATAAAGTGGACATGGGTCTATTTCCCACATTCTCAAGAGTCCACCAAAATAGCAAATTTGCATTTGACCATCAGAATGATTTTAAGGGCAAGACTTGCTCATAATTTTTTCTTCCTATGTGACAAAAGCCTCAATTCTCCTTACCTGAAAAGTAAGAATAACAACAATAGCTTCTATTCACGTAATTAAGACTGTAAGGCACCATCAGGGTAGGATTGTTTTCTAATTTGTTCATGAATTTTTTTCCCTATTCCTAGAATAGTGGAGTATATTTAGTGGGTGCTAATGAATAAAAGGAATAGAAAAAAATGTAGATAAAGTCATTTGGTTACATGGAATCAAATGTAGTCTAGTTCAGCAAACATTGCTTGAGCATCTACTTTGTTCTTGGGACAGTTCTTAGAATACAAAGAATCTTCAAAGATTCCCACAGGCTAGGCAGGAGAGCAAGGGGCTAGGTAAGGGGAGATGGAATTAGTTCTCTGATGGAAATGCATGTGGAAATTTCTTTTTTTTTTTTTTTCCTCAAGACGGAGTCTTGCTCTGTCGCCCAGAGCTGGAGTGCAACGGCACGATCTTGGCTCACTGCAACCTCCGCCTTCCGAGTTCAAGCAATTCTCCTGCCTCAGCTTCCTGAGTAGCTGGGATTATAGGCACGTGCCACCACGCCTGGCTAATTTTTGTATTTTTAGTGGAGACGGGGTTTCACCATGTTGGCCAGGCTGGTCTCGAACTCCTGACCTCCTGATCCAACTGCCTCAGCCTCCCAAAGTGCTTGGATTACAGGTGTGAGCCACCGCGCCCAGCCTGGAAGTTTCAATATTTATATGTGCAGTGTTAGATCTCCCAAATGAGTGAGGGGGGGTGTGTGTGTGTGCACACATGTTTGTGTCTGTGTGTGTGTGTGTACACGCGTGCACATGCACTTTAGAGTCAAAGAGGAAAAATATACTGTGGAATAAAAAAAGTAATAAAGCATCCTGATCAATTTAGATCTTATGAAAATTAGTAGGACATGCCACTGCTGTGTATCAGTTCCCACTTTCTGGAAAAAGTACGGGCATTTAAAAACATCAGGTAACAATGCCAGGTCATGTTAAACCGACATATTTCAGATTAGGATCCAAAAACCACTTGTCACAACTTGTAACCCTGAGCCAATTACTCTGCTGGCAGGCTGGCTGGGAGATGTGGCTCCTCTCCGCGGCACAGTGTCTATATCACTGATCAGGTGGACAGATAGTCCCAGAAGGAGGCCCTCACCAACCCATTTCCCCAGACACAGTCAGAACTGGGGTCAGCTGCAGAGATGGGAACCGCAAGAGGAAGGAGACCCTTAACAAGGACCAGGAAAGTGGTGTATGCATAAAGAAAGGAAGCTGTTCTTGAAATGTGCCAGTGACCTCATCCCTGTCCCTGAGGCCAGCATGAGTGCTTGCAGTGCAAGTGACCCATCTGCCAGGGTGACCTCAGGCCTCGGACTAACAGCAAATAAAGCCATGAACACACTGTTCTCTGGACACTTTTGCAATTTTTCCTTTCCAGGGCCTACAGCTCTAGACTTGAGACCTGCAACTCTTCCCCTTTGTTCACTATGACTCTAACAAATTTAAAACATGTCAGTTCTCTCCAACCCCAAGAAATGTGAATAAATGTTTCCGAAAACCAGAAGCATTTCCCTAAATTTTTGTTTTTAAAAGTCCCCCTTAATCGGAAAACAAAGAAATAAACAAAAATCCAATGGATTTTCCAAGCATTATTTGAATGGCACAGGATTCACTTTCTGTCAGATCAGTTCAAACCATCATTAATGAAGCAGAAAATTATTTTCCTCTAGCAAGTAGTGGAGTAAAGCCATAAGACCACAATCAAAACATTTAATGCCATCAATTGTACTAAGAAACATATCACTGTTTTTTTCTAAGAAAAAACTCTACCAGTAAAGATCAAACTGTTCACAGGATAAACAAATCTAGGTTTCCCAATGTTGTACTAACAAGAGCAAAGCATTGATATAATGTACAAAAAAAAGGTGGTAACCTATTAAAATGATCAGATTTCCAGTTCTGAAGGGACATTAAATGTCCTCAAAAGCAAAATGGAATATTGTGCTTAAGGCTATGAGAGCAGTGTTAAGAGTCTCTACTGTCAACTAAAACCTGAATTTTAAACTCTGCCTCATTTACCAGTCATGGGACCTTAGTCTCAATATTGGAGATAATAATATCCTCTGGAAGGCTAATGTGTGAATTAAATAAGATCACACAAAAAAAAGTATCCAAAGGTTGGCCTACAGTGCATCCTTCATAAATTTTATTACTACAATCACTTCTACAACACAGACAATAAAACAGCCTGGTTTGTCTATTTGAAAACTTGTAGTGTCAAGAAAATCATTTTCTTAAGAGGCAGCCCTTTCATTTTCAGATAACTTATACTATCAGAAAGTTTTCTATCCGGGGCTTCCCTGAAACTTTGGTCCAAGAAAATTCATTTATTGTCATGGGTCAAGTCTAAACCTTCTTTCATATAACAGTCTTTCACACATCAATGACCTGTCCTGCCCAAGAGCTTTTTCTCTCTCAGGGAGGGCATCTCCAATTCCCTCAGTCCACTCAGTCCATCTCAAACTCTTTTACTTTCCTAGCATTCTCTTCCATAAGATCTCCAGGATTCTTCTTTAACAGTGGTCCCCATAGTCACACAGTTGTGGTCCAAAATATGGCAAGGCTATTACAACTCTCACTTGTCAGTGTAGACTGAAGAGTACATTAGCTTTGTCCTCAGACACTGTGCAGTCCTAATTCATGCCTAAACCCAGCCAGTGAAATTCTCAAGTCTTTGTCCCATGTGATGCTTGAGAGCCCTGTGTCCTCCCAGTCGCTCACTACACATGCAGTTGGCATTTGGGACCCGAGTGAACAGCTTTTCATGTGTTTCTCCTAAATGCCATCTTGTTGGACTTGAGTCCATTGTTTCAGCCTGTCTGTTAGATTCTGATTCTGCTGTTCAATGTCCTCTTTCCCAGTGAAGTTCCTATCTCACCTACAAACTTTCTTAGCATGCCCTCAATGCCCTCACAATAAACATGTTGGCCAGCCACAGTGGCTCACGCCTGTAATCCCAGCATTTTGGGAGGCCAAGGTGGGTGGATCATGAGGTCAAGAGATGGAGACCATCCTGGCCAACATGGTGAAACCCCCTCTCTACTAAAAATACAAAAATTAGCTGGGCGTGGTGGCGCATGCCTGTAGTCATGTTGAAAAGCACAATGCCAAGGACAGGTCTTAAAGAGGGTACTAGAGGTATACCTCCAGATTTATATCAGTTCATCGGGAATAGTTATTGAGCTAATTTCTGTCTTTTTCTCATAAATATCCGAGCCTCTGGCATGCGCTTGGCTGAATTCTATGTGTTCTAAGTGTAATGCATGTCTTTGCTCTTCCTTTCTGGTACTGCTGTCACAAAAGACTATGAGGTTACTCTGGCATGTCTTTTGCCTACAGAACTTATATTGGCTTCTCATTATCACTGCCTCCTAATTATTTAAATTTAATCATTTGAGAATTTCATTTTAGAACCAGCAATTCACAAGAAGTTCAGTGGTTCACTGATCTATAGTTTATTATGCTATACAAAAATACAATTGAAGAGAATGATTTTTTTAAGCAAATTTCATGATAAAATCTACATAAGGAATGTGCTTTTATTAGATAACAATATGGATTAGGAATCAGGAACATGAATTTAAGTCTGTGATCCACCACCTAGAAAAAGTTAATGGGTGTGTGTAGATGGGTTTCCAAATATCTTCTCGGGTTTACAGGGCTAACTAATAACTAAATAACACTGAGACTCTTCCATAGACAGGCATTCTGTAGTCTTTTCCTTTCTCTGCCAAGACATTCTGTATCTTTATGAGGTTACTCAACCCATTCAGTTTGAGAGCAAGGAAGTTAGCACCTGCCACGAGGGATCAGAATGTGAAATGTGATGAGAGGGCCCTGTGATAAGTCCCTGACCTTAGCAAACAAAAATAAAACCTTGAAAAAAAAAGACGAACATGCAGTAATATACAAATCAGAGTATATTTGTCTGTCCCTGAATAGGAGCCATTAAAGTTCCACTCCATAGCAAGCAATGGTTGAAGTTGTGTACGATTCATGTAACAGCAGTGTCAGGAGATGTCAGGGAACTCCCTCACTGCCCCAGCTTTTGATACTATAACATGATAGTCTCCATGAAAAAAAAAAAAAAAGTCAACCAGCCGTCTTAGTGATAGGAACTTGGGCCCATTTCTCATCTGGTGTAATACTTCACAAAGCTGATCCAAACACAATGCAGCGCCCTGAAATCAGCAGGAGCTCAGCCCTGTGTTCAGTGCCAAAGAGCAAGATGAGAAATGTGGCTGGCATAAATATTCAATTGGGAAGTTATGGCCAATCTCCTTGCGCCGTGTGTTTAGTGCAACTCAAAACTGCTCCACCTGGTCCTTGCTGGCTCCCTCATGTCTACTGGGGCTGGCAGCTGGGAGGCAGGCTGACCCTTGGAGATCTTTTAATTTGCTGTAGCACCAGGAGAGCAGGCAGGAGGGATGACAATGCATATGCTGGGATTCAATTACAGAGCTGTCTTTTTCCCAGGTGGGAGGCACCACTGACTGAAGAGAATTCAATGCTTCCGTTTGTTAAGGTCCCTAAGGAAATGACTGGTGGTTTGCAAATGCTGGGGGCGGGGGTGGAATAATGCACCATGGTCTGCCCTCATGAAAAAGATATTGGCAAAAAAAAAAAAAAATCAAGAAAATGGACTATTTTATTGGGCTCATGTGTTATCTTTACTTTTCACTTATTTTCCAAAATGAAATCATTCTGTAACTTCTGCCCTATGAATCTCACTGCCAAAAAAGTTTTTAAATATTGCATAAAATTAGATGTGTTCCAACCATGAACATTTAAGGGGAACACACAATGTTATAAATTTAAAGCACTCCAACAGTTCCTAAAAGCTTGACAAAAATACCTGCCATATAATTCTTTCTTTACAACAGAATGTTATAATAACATTAATTTTAAGGAGACTGATCTCAATAATCTGGTAATTTGTCCCTGCTGAGGAGGGATGGTGCACTTCATATTGCACTGGCTTCAAAACAAAGTTCATCAAATACAAGAGTAAGATTGCATGAGGAGTGATTAGTCAACTAGCATCAACTGAATGATTTCTATATGAATAGTTACTTTGCTAATTACAAACCATTATCACCTATTTATTGTAGTAGATCTGACAGTGCTATTACTTGCACAAACTCCCTGAATAGGTAGCTTTACTTTATTAAATATTTCAAGGAAACAAAAAGTTACATTTGTTTGAACTTTATCTCCCCAAGCCACACTTGCCCTAGAACAGCCTATTCTCCCCAAGGCAGTTAGAGTGATAACCAGCTCAATGCAATCAGTCCTCTGCTCTAAACCCTCTAATGCCTTCTCATGTCTCTTAGAGTAGTTCCCAAATTCCTCCCACAGTCTCTAAGGCCTTGCTTCCTTATATGGCACACTGATGCCCCATTTCTTGACCTCATCTCCTAGGTGATTCCCCTCACTCACAGAGCCCCAATTCCCTACATCCCATCTCCCCAGTCTAACCTGCTGTTTGTCAAACACACCCAATGTGTTCCCAGGTGAGGACCTCTGCACTTGATTTCCCCTTTCCCAGGAACACAGTTCTCCCAGCCATTCTTCATGTCCTGTGTCTCAGCTCAAACATCCCCTGTTCAGAGATTCCCTTCCTGCTCTCCTCATACAAAATGAAAACATTTGTACTAATTGCCTACTATCCCATTATCTCATTTTATTCTTCTTCAAGGCAATTATCTCCCTGACATATTGTATATTAATTTATTTAATTGGCTCTCCCTCTAGAATGTATACTCTATGAGAGCAAGAAGCCTAGCACAAGGCCTGTCACATAATAAGTGCTCAATGAACACTTGTTGAATGTATGAATAAATTTTCCAGTAACTTCAATTAACCTACCTAGTTAGACTTAGTTACCCAGGTTTTGCTGCACTACTCAATATTACTAGTTTTTTTTGTGGCATAGTTTTATTGTTTTTTAGAATCAATTCTCTGACAAATAAAAAATATGGTATAAGAAATTTCTCCAGTATAAAGAATTTTATAATCTGATTGATGGAGAATCTCTAATATTTTTCATCCTTAAATATGAAAAGTAGAACAATTTAATAATCATTTAATGAGTTTCTACCATGCATTAGGCACTATGCTTTCTATACATTTGTAAAAAACACAGTTCTACCTGAAGTTTAAAAATTTCTTGAATTCTCCGTAAAACATGGATTTTAGCCTAAGACCAAACAATGAGGTAGAAAGTAAAATTAGTTTATTTTCTGTTTCCCCCAAATGTATTGAAGACTTGATGGAGTATAACATTTAAAATATCTCCTAAACACACACACCTAAAATATAAACAATATTCTCTTCTTTAAAATATTTCTGAAAAGGACATGATTCCATTATGTTTTGGCTGCATAGTATTCCATGGTATGTATGTACCAGCTGGAGGTCATTATCCTAAGTGAATTTACTGCAGGAACAGAAAACCAAATACCGCATGTTCTCACTTACAAGTGGGAGCTAAACATTGAGTACTCATGGACATAAAGATGGGAACAATAGACACTAGGGACTAATCGAGGTGGGAAGGAGGGAGGGGCAAGGGTTGAAAACTAACTGTTGGGTGCTGTGTTCACAATCTGGGTGATGGGATCATTCACACCCTAAACCTCAGCATCACACAATCTACTCATATAACAAACCTGCACATGTAACTTGTGATTCTAAAAGTTGAAATTATAAATAAAATAAAAGAAAACTGAAGAAAAATATTTCTGAAATCCACCAACTCCATAGGATAAAAACAGCTTTCTTTTTTTCCCTTTCAATGGATGAGAAGTCAAAGAGACTTGACAAGTTGACTAAGTTCATACAACTGGTCACTCAAAGCCCCTTCATCAGAGCCCAGTTAGAAATCACTGACTAACTTTGAAACATTTAATTGATGATCATGAAAACAAAACAAAAAAGAAACCCCTGATTCTCATTATTTCCCCCCTCTAGCTATTATCTTTATCGTTTCTTTCAAAACTCAGAATCTTGAAACTAGACTCAATTCCTCATAACTACTTTTCCCCTCACAGTCACCCTCTATCCACTTTAATTAGAATCCATGGTGTGTCTCTGGGGTCACATTCTAATTACTGCTCTCATGGGCATTTTTCCGCCTCTCCTTAATTCTTCCCTTGACCCATTTGGTATATGACAATGTTAATAACTTCTCCTCAACCTTTCTCCCTCCTAAGCTTACTAATGCTTCTGTAGTGCTCCTTGTTGTCTGCTATGCATTAACTGTCTCACTTCCTTTTACCTAACAGAATCTTAATTTTTATTCAGGTATTCACCTCTCACCAGCAAAGGCTGGTGCCTCAAAAGAAGCTAAATCTGGACAGGTGCAGTGGCTCATGCCTATAATCCCAGCACTTTGGGAGGCTGAGGCAGGTGGATCATGAGGTCAGGAGTTAGAGACCAGCCTGACTGACATGGTGAAACCCCGTCTCTACTAAAAATACAAAAATTAGTCGGGTGTGGTGGCGCACACCTGTAATCCCAGCTACTCGGGAGGCTGTGGCAGGAGAATCGCTTGAACCTGGGAGGTAGAGGTTGCAGTGAGCCGAGATCATGCCACAGCCCTCCAGCCTGGGCAACAGAGTGAGACTCCATTTCACAAAAAAAAAAAAAAAAAAAAAAAAAAAAAAAGAAGCTAAATCTACCCTCAGCCCCAGAAGATGGAGGCCTAATTCTTAATCTAAATTAATAATTGTTTTGGGAATAATTAGTTTACCAAATTTGTGCCAATGGGACAGAAGGAGCACTTTGCTGGAGACTTGGGGGTAAGTTCCTCTTCATTCTTCTAGGAGAGGTTCCTATTCAAACTGCCTCTTCCGCTGAATATAAAGGAGGGAGCATGTAGTCTGACTTGTATTACCAGTCATTCTATCCCCAGAGGAGAAACAGATGTAGGACAAATTCACAGCCGTGGATGGCAGTGCAAAAGGAGACAAAGGAAACTGGTTTCTTGATGAAGTTATTGAGCTCCTGGATCAACCACTCTTGAGGCCAGTCTACCTCTGGAATTCCAGTTATGAGAGCAGATAAATTACAGTATTGTTTAAAAGTGGGTGGGTCAGGTTCTCTATTACTTGTAGTTGAAACCATTTTAAGTGATACAACTACTCTTTCCTGGTTTCTTGACGTCACGTCTAGCCATGATGTGCTGTCTTTGAGTGTCATTCTTGTCCTCTTAACATTCTGCTGTCCTTATCTGCAGCCTCAGCCCTTATTTCATCTCAATGAGGTAAGCACCCTTCTGGGGAAATTCCACATGGATTTATGTTTTCAACAACTATTTTTTGTTGATTAATTCCAAATTCATCCCTCCTCAGCCCTCATATCTCTCTGAGCACCAGAACTTACCTATAATTCTATACTGGTTATCTCCACAGGGATTTTCTATAGACTCTTCTAACTTCATATGTCCACAACCAACCCCATCATCATTCCTTTCATACTTTCTCATACTCTTATCTCTAACTATATTATTAAATTGGTCTCTCAAATCAGAACACTGGAGTGTGTCTTCAAACCCTCAATTTTTACACCGTTCACCAAGTACAATCAGCATTTCTAGCAGAATAGATTCCAAAGTGTTCACTCCTTTCCCTCTAATCACTCTTAAATTTTGTCATCATAATTGTTCATCTAAATTTTTTCCAGCAGGCTATACTTATAACAGAATCTTAGTTATTCACTCAGCCCTAGGTATATACCAAGTAGTAGGTGCTTTATAACTGAACCTTGATGAATGAACAAAGAACTTCCTGGTTTTACTATCTTCTGTCTTCTCTCTATATCATTCTCTAGACAATTACCCTAATTTTTTTCTCAAATTCAACTGGAACTATGTCACTGCCCTTCTGAAGTCCCCCTCCTCTTAAAAAAAATGGTTCTCCAATGGCTTCCATTCAACTATTTAACACATATCTAGTACGTGTCAAATTTTGAGCTAAGGACTTCAATAGAGTGAGCTTTAATTTTTTCCTTTTAACAATCATGGAATTTAGGAAAGACTTGCAAAATGGCCTTACCCCTGTCAAAATACAGATATCATCACATTAATCTGGATCCAAGAACCTGAATCTACTTTTTTACTTTGAGTAGAATGTTCTCATATCATTTCATGCTCCATTTATCCACTTCTGTAATAGAACTATGTTGAGTTAATTTCAATTTATACTAATGCATAAAAATTCCAGATAACATGATTGACTAATTGACACTATCTTGTACAGAAATCATGACGTTCAGAAGTGGTTCTAAAATTCAGAACTTTAATGCTACATTTTAGATAAGTGAATATGGTTTTGTAATTCCACTCAAGAAATTGCCTCTAAAGTATCACATACTTTAAAATTCAGAAATTCAAATTTGTTCATACTTTCTTCAAAGTGCTTTTCTTCCGAGGAAATGAGGATTATTTGAACCAGCACCATGCAACTGTTAATTTCATACTTTCATTCACTTATTTAAGAAATATTGTGTGTCTCAGCCCTTGGCTTTCCTTTACAGACAATACAGACAAAAATTCTCTGCCTTTGTGGAGCTTATATTCTAGTATAGGGTAGGGGGGAAAATATAGATTCCGATATATAGAGAGAAAATATGTACATTGTAACTTCTATTCGCTTTGAATAGCAAATTGCTATAGTTCAGAAGTTCCAAGGAGATGTGATATAAATAGATAGATATAGATATAGATAGAAAGGAGATATGATGCAGGTGCCAACTTTAGCAAGGCATAAATAGTCAGTAGAATTCAGACAGATGGGAAGAGAGGACAAGGGTATTCAGGCAAAAGGATAAATGTGAGCACCGGCACACAAGCTGGAAGGAACAGAGCTTGTTATGGGCAAGTGGGAAGAATGGGTTAGCTGAAATGGAGACTGTGTTATACAATAGAAAAAAGTCTGATTATTAGAGTAGCTAGAGCTTTTGAAAGCCAGGCAGTGGAATCTAATGGGGAAATAACATAATTAAAGCAGTCTTTGCAAGATTAGTCTAGCTAATCTGTGTTACTATAGTTTAGAAAAGAGGGATAATTTACTGACATAGGTTAGCAAGCTGATTCAACAATTCAGGAAGAAAGTTAAATGGTTTTTGACTAAGGTGGTGGTGACAAGTGAAAACAAGTAAAATACAAGAGGCATATGTTGGCTGGGATATTACAACTTGATGATCAGATTATTTCAGTCACATGTTCATTTATTCGTATTTATTGAGCACCATAATTTGAGTTACTCATATTTATTCAGCACCCAAAATATTTGCCGAGTACCTATTAGGTAACTGCTCTTGTACTTGTTACTAGATTCAAAGGTAAAAAGCCACTTGCTGTGGTCACAGTCTAGCATGGAAGATCTGGCAACAGTGCAAGGGCAGTGTTGTAGACACTTGGCATAGATGAGGAGTGGTTAACTTTACTGAGTTTTCTGTAAATGTACATGTATGCAGGAGATAAAAGAAGGCTTCAAATCTGAGTTCTGAGTTTTCTCCTGGTCAAAGTTGGCGAAACATTCCAGAAGATGGATGGACAGGTTTATTCAATGGCATGGAGATGGGAAACGGCATCGTGTGTTCACGTTCCTGCAAGCAGTTAAATATTTCTGCATGATAGAGGTCAGGGAGAAAGCGTGAAAAGCATAGAGCATCTTCAGTGCTATCCCACGAAGTCTGAATTTTAGCCTACAGGCAATGAGGAGCAAATGGAGAGGTAGAAGCAACAAAGCAGCATGGTCAAAATTACACTTCAGAAAAGTGTGTGATGACCATGTGGAGGCTGAATTAGAGAGGGGAAAGCCAGTCAAGGAGGCAAGATAGATGACTAAGTGCTGAGCTAAGAGATAGTTAGAGCTAAACTAAAGCAGTCATAGCGGCAACAAAGTGGGGGCATTTAGGAAGCAGAATAACCAGAACTTGGAAACTAATCAAATGTGAACAGAGGGACATTACAAAAATAATTCAGGTTTTGAACTCAGTAGTTAGGAAAAGATTTGAACAAAACAGGAAGAAAGTGGAGGGACTGTTTTCAGTGAAAGATGAGTGATTTAATTTAGGATGCCTTGAACTGAAAGAAGGGAGACTTCCAAGTAAGTGCTGATGGCGAGGTTGGGGGGGTGTCATGACCTTTGGGTAGAAGATGGATATTATTATATTACTGATTTCCATTCAGGTCAACTGCTCTGTGCACTTTAATTTCTTAGGTGTGCTTGCTTTGTTTTCCTAATTAGATTGCAGATTTTGCCAAAACATGTCTAAGTTCCTTTAACACCTACTTACTGAATACCTATGCACGTCCTGTCCCAGGCACTGATTACAATACTAACAGGGATTATTTCCTATTTAACATTTTGCATATGACAAAATTTATAGGCGCATATATATATTCTTCTGTGAAAGATTAAGTGGTCAATTAAACAGCTGGAAATAACACAAATGTCCATTAATAGGTGAGCGGATAGATAAACTGTAGTACCACCACCCAAAGGAATACTGCTCAGCAATAAAAGGAATGACCCATTGATACACACTTACAACACAGAAGGCTCTGAAAGCAACTATCAAGGAAGATCCATGGTTGCCAAGAGATTGGAGGGAGGAAGGTGGTAGTGATGGCAGTAGTTGATGCCATCACACTGGCTGTAGCAGGGAGGCACTGCTGGGGCTGCACACTCCATGGAGCGGGTGGGAGCCCCATCCCTTCTGAGTGGGCGGGAGCTCCCTGGATGCCACTGTAGCCGCCCAAACTGCGGCTGTGGATCCAAGCCTCCTTGTGCTCTTGAGGGGTGCCAAGAACAGGCAGAATCTGCCCTCCTGGGTGCAGCTGCAGCCACCTGACCCACAGCTGCAGACCTGGGCCTCCCACTCCATGGAGAAGGCAGGAGCTGGGGACAAGTAGGAGTCCCGCCCCTTCCAAGTTGGCAGGGTGGGAGCTTCTGGGTGCAGCTGTGCCTGCCCTCCCAGGTGCAGGATCTGGGTCGTCTCTGCCACTGGCACCCACGGTGCCCCCAGGAAGGACCCCCATCCTTATAGGCTGGGGGGGGGGTGTTTGCTCCCGTTGCCTGGCCTCTCTCTGCTCCTGGCACCTGCTCCAAGATCAGAGCAGGGGTTGGGGCCGAGACCAGGGCCATGAATGGCAGTAGGAGGCAGACTGATTCTTGAGCAGAAGGAGGAGGGTCCTCAGTAAGGCCCCACTTTCAGGCCAGTGAGGGCCTGAAGGCTGGGGGCTGGGACGCCAGTCCTGCAGACCAGAGTGGGGAGTCTTGGTGCCTCTTCTGGGCCACCAATGGCCACCCATGGACCATTTGGCAGGCACTTCCTCCCTCTTCCCCTCTGAGGTCTGTAAAAGCCCTGGGCTCAGCCAGAGCAGGGCATAGGACAGCCAGAGGATGGCCGAAGGGGGCAAAGAGACAACAGGACAACCAGCAGAAAGAGGAGCTACCCTCTCTGCTGAGAGCTGCAGCCATCTGGACAACCAGCTGCAGAGACAGGCTACTCTCTCCAGAGCCTCCTCTCTGCTGAGAACTGAACACTCCACGGATGACATACCTACAGAGAGGAGCCACCCACTGTGGGTCTCCTCTGAGCTGTTGTGACACTAAATAAAACTCATCTTTATCTTGTTCACTCTTCACTTGTCTGTGTACCTCATTCTTCCTGGATGCAGGACAAGAACCTGGGTAAAGGCGCCACGGTCACAGAGGTTTCTGGCTAGAAAATTGACACCCCAAAGATCCCGTAACAATAAGTAGAGAGGAATAAATTATTAAGGGGCAGGAGCAAACTTTTGGGGTTGATGAATAAGTTAATTATCTTGACTGTGGTAACGGCTTCATTGGCACATACATATGTCAAACTGAGGTATGTTTATGTGGCGGCTGATGGTTGCTTGCTTGTGTTTTTAATGATTTTAATGATATTATAAAACTATACTACCTTTGTAATAAAATTTATTTTAAAAATTATAAAAGTTATAAAAATGCACTGGACAAGTATTCACTACAGTCCTAATAATCAGTGAATGAATTATAACTTTAAACAACAATGAAACATTGTATCAAACCTATCAGGCTGGCAAACATTACAAAATCAAATAAAGGTCAAACGTTAACTAGAGTGTGGTAAAATGGGTAATTCTCTCACTGCTGTTGGGAATGTAAATTGGTACAGCCAATTTGGAAAGAAATATTACATTATCTAGTAAAGTTGAAAATGTGTTTACACTACTACTAACTGTAACACCGGTTTTTAATTTTCCATTAATAGGTGCCATTTTAAAGTACTAGCATATATTTTTGTGTATTTTGCATAAATACTGATATTTGAAACTATAATATCTTAGTCCACCCCTCCTAGATTTTTCCCTGTTCCCTCTCTCCTTCCCCTTTCCTTACTCTTTCTCCTCCCTGATCCTCCTGCAAACCCTCCAGTCATTTTACCACTCATGAAAACCCCTTGTGTCTTAGCATTTCCCTTTGTGTTCCCCATCGCCCATATCTAGCCACTCACCCTCCAAAAAAAGGCTGAGTAGAGATGAGAAGTGCCATCTGAAAACACATCTCTCCTTTGGGATGGGAAGCAGTCAGAGAGTGGGCAAGGTGGGTAGAGAGAGAAAACAAAACTGTTGCCAGAGATACAGAAAGAACTTCACTCAAAGCTGCATACACTCAGCAGGAAGACAGGAAGCCCTTACAGGGCCAGCCAAGTCAGAAGGGGCAATTCCAAGGGTATTCTGGGTTGAGGGAACTAAAGACTAGGGAGGCAGCAAAGCCAATAGCAGGCAGAGGGATATTCTACCAATTGTGTTTATTAATTTTTATTGAAATCTTTGAAATATTTTTACAAAATGTTATTATTGAATGCACACATTCTAATACTTTAATTTACTGTTATTAAAACTTGTATTACACAATAAATGGTGAAGCAAGTACCTTGCACTAAGTCCCCAAATTCCTCTTTTCTGTTTCAACTCCAGAAAAATTATTCCATAACATGGTTTCTAAGAGTTAAGAATTAGAAATAACTTAAATGTCTATCTAAAAGAGAGCATAGTCTATGCCATATAATTACAATGAAATACTATACAGCGGTTATAATAAATGAGCTAGAGCTACATGTATTAATAGGAATAAATATAAAGAATATAATCTTAGATTTTTAAATGTCACAGCATTATGCATACAATTTTATATTTATGTGGATTTTTAAAACTGGCAAAAGCATATTATATATTGTTTCTGAATTCATAAATATGTACTAAAATATAATGTGAATGCACTTATGGGAATGATAACTTCTAAATTCAGGATAGTGTTTTTCTCAAGGAGCAATGGGGTCGATATCTCAGAGGAGTATAGAGACCCTCATCAGAGTCTGTAGTGTTTATTTTTACGATCTATAGTGAATATAAAATGATTATAAGGCCTTATATAGGTAGCAAGTGGGTACACATGTGTATTTGTCTCTGCTGTTGTCTGTTTGCAATATCATAATAAGAAATGGGTAAAATTAATAATTGTATTCCCTTTCAAAGCAAAAAGCACTGATACTAAAACTTTCACATATTTACTAATGAAAAAAGATAGTAAGTTTAAAAACAAAAAAGAGTTTTGTAGGCATATCATATCTTCAAAACCCCATTATAATGGAGAATAGTGAACTCTCCAGTTATAACACAAGTAATTTAGGCTGACTGGGTTTCCCTTCCAAATTCACAATCCTATCTATAAACACTAGGGAAGTATACGGCTATCCATAACTCTGTCCTGATTAAGCTGATCCTGCATACACTTCAGCTTTTGATTATGTGAATGGTTTTATAGGCAAAACACCTTCTAAAGCTGAGCTGTTGTTGTTCAAAGTTAGCTTTAAGCAAAACAATAGAAAACCATGGTTTCAATCCCATCCCATAATATAATTCTCAATTTCAGAAAAGTCTAGACTTTGCAATTCAATGTCACCTCAAAGTGAGGAAGAGCTTCAGGACACCCACAAGAAAATGTCCAAATATCAAGACACGGAAATGCACAATGTCTAAGGCTACTCTTGAGAACTCATGCTAAATAAGACATATCATCACCAAATTTTAGGCATATGGAATAGATTCAAAACATCGTGGCTCGCCCACAAACTCAGTATATTAAATCTTATCCCAAGTATGATATTACTTGATTTATTTAGACTCCGTGGCATGTTTGAGTTAATGTGCTGGTAGTCTGATCAGCTCTCCTTCTTAGGTTCTACAAGAATTCTTGGATAGAACTAAGACGATCTGAATGACACTGATGCTGGAATGTGGCTCCAGGTGCAACTGTAATCAGCGTGTAGTAGGAACAGCAGTGGTTCTTTCTGCACACTTTGGTTGGGTGCATCTGCTTAGAGAGAAAGGTAGACACCTCACATCTCACTCTGACCTCTTGCATAATGAGGCCGTAACTAGCCTTGTCTTCACTTGAGGCACAGTCTAAGAGGAAGCCAAATGGAGGGAAGAAGTGGGGGAAGAATAATTCTTTAAAGGTGTCTATCCATCTCCTTTCTGCAGCGAAGCTTGATGTGGAGGCAGGCTACAGTAACAGTAGTAAGTGAAAAGAAACGTATGACAGATAAAAGGCTGTTAAACAGTACCCTATTCTGTATACAGTGTGCAGCAGGTCCTTGAACTACTGCAGGACCTGCTTACCTTGTATTAAGTTGAGTGGGAAGAGTTTAGAGAAGTACTTGTCTGATTCCCTGGGCTCATACCATGACAAACATCAACTCTATCTGTCTGCATGTAGCAAATGCAGTTATGCCATGGAGTTAGCATTTTAGCTTACTGTCACCTATGGGCACACCACAAGTTTAGCAAAGTTGATTTTTCTTGTATTTACACAAGTGTTAAAGTTGGTCAAGGTCATCAAGGTTGTCCCTGCTTTGGATGTTGTTATAATATAAGCAAAGGTAAATTCAAGAGCCTGCTGTCAGAGTCTTACTTTAAGTCTAAGTGGGCAGGCAGAAAGAATGGATGCCTGGAAGGCTTGGGCTCTAGTCCTGTCTCTACTTTTTCCCAGGTGAGAGACATTATTTAGGCTTTCATGTATGAAACCAGAAAAACAGCTCTTGTCCTAACAAGGAAGATGGAGTGAAGAATAATGTATGTTTGAGACGATGCTTTCAAAATTGTAAGTTGTATGCAAATGCAACATATTGTTTGTAGTAATGGCAAAAATCATAATCAGGAGAGAAAACCTACATTTTACACAAGGTACCCCTTCTTTCTATAGTCTTTGCCTAACACCAGGATGTTTATCAATCAGCTCTGCCCAGAGGGGATACTGAATAAGTGTTCATTCTCTTAATAGTGAATATGAATGCATATTCACTATTAACATCTCTTAATAATGGGAAATTTCTGCATAATAAGGTATGGATGATTTTTTTTTGGTGTTGTACTAAAGCCAAGAATTACAGATCTCCTTAGAGATTTCCTGCACAGTGGTGTCATTTGCCCAAATAGGTTCCTACAGCTTTTCCTCTATGGCTAATCACCTCAAAAATGTACTCCTTCCATTTTACAATGCCACTATTCCCACCTTCACACATAACACATACTAAATGGGACCTCAAGCAAAACTAATAGCATAAAACATATTTTCTGAGTTTTAAATGTGGGGCGTCTTATTCATTCATTCATAAATGTCTATCTTTAATGCCCACCATGTACTGGCTGCCATGCTAGGCACCACAGATGCAAGATGAAGCAGTCATGGGGGTGTTCTGCCTTAATGAGATTGCACCTATTCAGACCATCATGGCTGGATGCATTGTTGCATTGTGTTGCACTGTTTTTTAATTGCACAGACTTTTTTGGTGGTAGTATAATAGTTTGGTTTGTCTGAGTCTTCTTTTGCCATGGAGAGATGTCCACATAGAGTGAACAATATTTACGATGTATCTACATGCTGTCTTCCATTTCAGAATTATTTTCATACAGGATAAAATTATCTCATTAACTTACAAATATTTATCTGAAATCTACTTCATCTGAGGCATATTTGGAGGATACTGAGTTTTATATGATAGAATCCATTTCCTACAAGAGTTCAGAGTTCAGGAAGACATATCATAAAGGCTGTATATCATGAAGGCCTAGTGACGACAAACAGACAAGACGTGTCCTGAGGTGTATCAAGAGATAACACCATTGACATCTTGTGAAGGACAAGGAAATTTAATAAATCACAATTGACTTGCAAAGGGAAATTATTCCACATGCAAACTAAATTTTCCATTTCAATAAAGGATCAGTAATGTTTGGGAAAATACATCCCTCACGGTCACAGTGTGTAAAGCTGGCTGACACACTGTTCATGAGTTTATGTAAGTAAAAACAGTGCAGCTGGACATTGCTCCTGGGCTGTATCCCTTACTCATTTGTAAGGCCGTGCAGGGCCTATACCTATCGAAACAAAAGAAATTAAGTAATTTTAAAAATTGATGAAAGGAATATTGACTTTCTACTGGATAATTATACCCTTATAAAAAGAGAGAAAGGCCACCCTATGTCCTATGAGTGGATATTATTAGACAATATAACAGTGGCCCAGAAACTAGAGGGAGAGAACAGGGCATTATATCATTCTATTCATCCTTATCAACAAAAGGAACAGAAGGCCATGTAAGTAAATCTTTATTACTTTAGAAATTACTGCTCCTGGGTTTACCGTTTTCTCTCTTTTCAAATATATGTCAAAAAAAAGAAATATACAGTATTCTAAACTGAAAATGTTTATCTCTAGATCCCTCATATCTATTTGGTTGCCCTTATTTATAGAGTTGTGCTTAGTTCCTGGACTACCATTTCCCCAGCTAATCTGTCTAAAATATAAAGCACTCATGTTGCACAAAACCTTAACTTCATGTTTCAGATTTCATACAACTTATCTGTGTACTGACTTATCAATTATGTATATTTGAAATGTATGGAGAATACATATGTATAGTTTAATATTTGTGTGTATATATAATGTATGTGTATATATATGCATCTGTATATATTTAAATGTTAAATGTCAAAGAAAAAAGTCCACAGAATAATGCCAATAATAACTTTCATTAACCATGCATTCAACAATGTTTTTGAGCAATTAATACAGACAAGGTGCTGTGTAAGGCACTGTGGGGAGAGGAGATTTGTAAGATGTCTAACAGTCTAGCCTATGCCTAACAAAGCCCAAAGAGAAGCCACAACTGTCACATCCATGAAGAATGTGATCTGTTACTCAGACACCATACTGAAGAGTCAAGCTTCTATGCACAAACTCCTAGGATGCAGTGAATCATGACCTGGATGGGAAGCTTGGCTTTACAGATTTCGCTAGGTAGTACACAGATTTAGAGTGTATATGGCTCTCCTCCAGCTGCTGAAGGATGAATAGCTCGAGAAAGACCCCAGGCAAAATTAATGCCATAATGCACTACATCTCTAAACACTATGGTGTATGCTGTCAAACAGAGGAAACCAATAGCTTAAGGCAACTTAAATCTGGAAAAGCAGATAAGAGGGTGTGGGATATATGTTTTCTGAGGAGCCGTACTATGCACTGCCTAAAATAAAGGAATAGACTGATATAACAGGTTTAAAAATTCACCACAGAAGAAAATTCAGACCCTACATGCTTGGGGTGAGTGAAAGGGCGCCTGTGGAAAGAACAGATTTTAATTAAGAAACTTGTCTTCAAGTCCCACCTCAGCTCCTCACACTAATTTATGACTTTAGGCAAACATTTAAACCCTTTGAGCCTTATTTCTATGTAAAGGGAACAACAATATCTCTCAGTGTTTTTACAAAGATTAAAGGAGAAAATAACGTTTTGACTGCTGTTTTGTTTTGTTTTTATTAGTGATATGCATGTTATGAATATCCAATACAGAGTGTATCTGTGATAGGTATATGTATGAGGGTTGTGTGTGTGTATGTGTTTTTGCCTATATAGAACATATATATTCTAACTACCAAGTACAAATGCTCTGCATTACCTAACTCATCACAAGTCCTATGAGTTTATCTTGACATATATTGAATATATGTCATATTCACCTTTTCTTTCTTTTTCCCATTCACTCCACCCTATTCAGGTCCTCTTTCACTGTCTCAGGTCTGAAACACGACAGTATCTTCTAAACTTCAATCTTCCTTCCTAACCTACTATAATAACAGACACATCTTCCTAAAAATGGCTTTCCTTTCCTTGTCTAGGTGCCTCATAACTCACAGAGTGCAAAGAGAACCAAAGTGTGACCCAATGACCCAAGAAGTTAACGTCTAGTGTTGGTTCTGCCTGAAATGCCACAAACATTGAGCAAATCATTTTGCCTCTCTGGCCTTTAATTACCCCATCAATAAATTCAGTAGATTTGCTCTAAATGATTCTGGATCTCTTCCAACTCTAATATTCTTAATTTTAAGTTTCACATTCAAATGACACATCAAAAACATCATTGCAAAAATCGATAGCCAAGACAACTGTTTCAAATAACGATCAGAATAGGAACAATGACAACAAACTGCTTCATCAACAGATTGCTTTGCTCTCCTTCACATGGGCAGTAGGTGTTCGGCATACACCCAAACCTACCCTGCACCCACAGTGGCGTAACCACAGAGGGCAGTGGGCCCCGGCCAACTCCACTCATTTCTAGAACATTCCGTTTGAACGCTATAGGGAGATGGTGCTTTGCCCTATTCTCCTATTCATGTGTGAGTCAAGGTATGTGAAGAGCAGAGGGACACAAAGAGAATATGCAATTTCACATCAAGGAGTGTGGTTCTACTCTTTTCTGCCAAGCAAACTGAAATACATTTGGGGCCTCTATTCTCAATGCGAAAATATAGGTGTATAAATTCTTATGCATGTGCAGTTTTGCTCTTCTATGATATCAATGTAATATAATATATACGTAATGCTTTATCTTATCTATATGATGTTGAAATTCTATCTGAAGCTCAATCTAGTGATGCAGAGATAGGTTCTCTTACTTTCTCATTCCCCTCCTAACCTCCTCATGGAAAATGGGACCTTGTAAGGATTTTAAAATAGATCAAACAAAACAAATCAACAAAACACTTGATCAATATAGACAGTTATTAATTGACTTCAGGAAAAAAAATGTGCAAGAGGCACTGACTGACAGTCTCCTGGAGTCACCTGGTTTTTCCCCTTCCCTCACTAACCAAATCCCATCAAATAAAAAAGCGTGATGCTTTAAATTCCTAAACTTTTATGAGTCAGTCCTTTATCTGCATTTTAACTCCTCCCTGTACTATGCAACAACCTTCCATTATCTTTCCTGCCTCCAATTTCATCTTCTTCAAATCCATTATTGATACTGTAGCCTGAGTATTCCCTCCATAAAGGTTCATCTGCCCATGGCACTCCCTTAACAAGCATCCTTCCATGAGTTCTCACTGCCCAGAGTATCACATCTTAGTGTCCTCTACAAGGCATGCTGATTCTGATCCCATATCCTTGCACAAAGATTCACTCTACTCGGAAAACCTTACCTCTTTTTACCTGACAGACTCCAACTTATCCTTAAGGGATTAGCAAAGGCTTTACCATTTGCTGGAAGTGTTTATTGAGCCATTCAGAATAAACTAAATGCTTGTGATGTTCCCTATACATATCTCTACTATTGCCCTTCCACGCTGTTTTATACTTGTTGTGTGTCTGTTTCCTCCCATTAGACTATGAGTTTTTTGAGATGTCTTATCTGGCACAGGACCTTGGACATTAATTAATTAACAAATATTTACAGAGCACCTACAATGTACTAGGCACCATTCTAAGTGCATAAAAGTGCACAGAGGAGTTGGAACTCCTTAACCCCACATCTTTAATAACTAAGTAAATTGTGCATTATGTCAGGAGATGGTAAATTATAGGAGAAAACCTGAAGCAGAGATCGACAGTGTTGATGAGGAGGCAGGGTACAATTTAAATATAATTGGCACATGTGTCTCATAATCCTCATTCATGCAGATACCAGAGGGAAGAAAATTCCAAACAGAACAGCCTGCGTAAAGGCTGTGAGAGGAGGCACGTCTGGCAGGCTCAGACAGAGCAAAGGCCAGCAGCCCAGAAAAGACCGAGCAGTGAGAGAAGAGGAGGAAGTGGAGCCAAAGATATCATGGGGGGCTAGGCTGCATTGGACTTTCAGACTATTGTAAGTTCTTGGGCATTTATTCTGAGAGGAATGGGGAACTACTGGAGGGTTTTACAAAAAAGAAGATAGGTAAAAAGACTCGCTTCACCTCAGGACCAAGGCACAGTTTCACTCTAGTGGATCACTTACCTACCCAGTAATGAGGTCCTTTGTCAATACAATAAGGCTCTGGAATTTACCAAACCAGCAGTGTGGGTAAGTGAGAAAGGAGGCAGGTTTGATAGCAGCCAAGCCTGAGTTTGAAAGCTGGATGTGACTAGCTTTGTGAACTTTGGTTAGTTACAGGGTTAGTTACAATTTGCCCATCTGTAAAACAGGACAATAAGATTTACCAAATTGGATGAAATAAATTCATGTACATAAAAAATATGGCATAAAATAAAGGCTCCAGAAATGCTTATTTCTGATGTCCCTTCATCTTTAAGTTATTCTCTAAGTATATCAATAAAAGTCCATAACTGACATATAACGTCACCCACCTCAAACAGGTAACAGACATGGTGTAACTTCTGCTTTTACCTAAGATGGAGTAACAGGGAACTAACTTATCTTTCCACCTGAAAAAAACTAAAAAGAACTAAATAAAATACAGATAATAATGTTTCTCAAGATATTGAACATCAGGCAGCATGAGACAGTGCTCCCTGGGAAATGGAAAACAAATCTGGTGAGCCCTATGATTGCTCCAGTTTACCCCCTGGGGAAAATTTTCAGGCCATGGTGCAGAAAGGAGGAAGCCAGGTGAAGTCCAGTGAATTGAAGAGATATAGCCTGGCATAGCAAAGGGCCCCACCCTTCTTTCTATTGGATCCATGCCAATGCTGTATCTCGTGTTAAATATTTTAAATAACATCTATAGATACAGTGAGGAATGAGAAGCTCAAAGTCTAGTAAAGGTAACATCAAATCAGTAGAAAATTAAAATACATTTTTCTAAGTAATCTATCATAACGGCAAGCTTTGGGGAATACATACGAGGGATTCTTCATGAAACCTTGGGAGTGTGTGAGTCAGACAAAGGTTGTTGGCAGAGAAAACTGTTACCTTTTTTTTCGAAATCTAAACAGAAGCTAGACAAAGAAATGTAGGACATTCCAGGCAGAGTGGGCAACACATGTAAAAACCAAGACATGGAGATGAGCATAGAGAACATGGAGGATCGGAGAAGAAGGTGGAAATGTCAGCAGGCACCACACCATGGGGGTCTTACATGTCTGGATGCATAGATTAGAAGAGAAAACCACATGCAGGGAAATGATCAAGAGACTCCACTACCAAGGTGACAGATTATGGGTATGAACTGGAGTAGTAACAGTAGAGATCAATGAAAGTCAATAGATTCTAGAAATTTTAAGAAGACACATTTTTCTAGGGAATTGTGATTGATTAAATACGAGGAGAGAGCATGAAAAAAGAATCAGGATGGACATCCAGATTTCTGTGATGAAGAAGGCACGATGCACCAAGATAAGAAGAAAAGAAAGAGGAGAATCTTTGCAGATGCATGTGAGTTCAATTCTGGACATGTTGAGTTTAAGGTGCACAAGGGATATGCAAGTAGAGATATCCAGCAGTCAGCAGGAAGCTTCACAGAAGAGATCTATGCTGGAAACAGAGATTTAAGATTCACCAGCATATACTGGGTATTCAAGCTATGGGTATGGAAGAGGTCACCCCAGAAAAGTGTGGTAAGTAAAAAGATACAAGTGATAGAACACTGGGAAGCAACATTGCTTAAGGGATAAGCATAAAAGAGGAACATATACATGATATCAGAAAAAAAGAGAATCAAAAGATGGCAGGAAAGCCAGAAAGATACTGTCTTAGAAAGCTAAAAAAAGAATATTTTAAGAAGTAGTTAACACGTCAATAGTGATAAATTTAGCAGAGGTTAAGAAAGTAAAGGCCCAAAAAAAAAAAAAAAATCACTGGGTTAACACAAAAGTTTTTGGTAACCTCTGAAATGGTAGGAGACCCAGAATATATATAGAGAGAATTGGCCATTTACAGAATGAGGCACAATAGACAGGCTTTTAATTTATCCGTGAAGTGGGAGTCAGGACCTTCAAATGTGGAACTATGAAGGCAAGATGAAACATAGTAAGTTTAAGGAGAGTGGAGAAGTTTTTAAATAAATACTATTAGAAATAAAAGAGAGTTGTCTGTGAAACAGAATAATTTCCAGGCAGGATTAATGGCCTAGCTGAGAATAAAGAACAAATTGGTAGAGTTTTCTAGCACATTTCATAGTTATCCCCAGTATTTTATGATTTCCTTCTTCCTTTGCAATAAATAGGATTTAAGTTGTGCTCCTGGGCCCCCAACCATAATTCTGTACTTTAGAATATCTCTTATATGTAAGTGTACACATGACTGCATCCTATCTAATGGAAGGGAGTGTAAGAGAGGTGTGCAGGCTTGTTCTCCCTGTCCTTACCACATCCAGCTGCTGGGCTGTGGTGAGTATGGAAATAGCCACTTCAAACCCACCAAAGGAAGTCCGATGAAGAGGACAGCAAAAACAACCAGCAGCCAAAGGCCACAATGTAAAGAAGATGAAGAGAAAAGGAGACAGGAACTTAAGACTGTTGGAAGATTAGTGGTTGAAAAGGTGAGCCATGAGATCTATGCTGAATAGGAAACAAGCAAAGATCATTCAGAGACCATGTAAGGTGTATCAAGACATGACATCTTAATGAGGTCTCACTCAACATTAGGGCCACAAAACAAAAACGAATGGAGACTATAACAAACACATGCTCTCACATAGCAAAATGCATAAATTTTACAAATACAAAGTTAAGCAAAAGAAGCCAGACACACAAAAAATACATACATTACACGAAATTCCATTTATACAAAGTAGAACACAGGCAATATTGATCTACAGTGTTGAAAGTCAGGAAGAAGGGGTATGATTGTGAAGAGGGCATGAGGGAGGATTCTGGGAATTGATCACATTCGATGTCTTCTCTGGGTACGGATTACATGGGTGTATCCAGTTTTATGAAAATTCACAAAACTGCATATTTATGATATGTATAATTTTCTGTTTGCATATTGTACTTTTAAAAATAAACTAAAAATCTGCCAAACTAAAAAACTCATAATTTTTACTTAACCAACACTTACATCATGAAAGTCATGATCTGGCTATATATCTATATATTATCTTTGTCTAAACTGGTTTTGCAAATATTAGTAAATTTGCTGCATTAAACTTTTAATAGATATGCATAGGTTGAAGTTGTATTTGAAGTGTTTCAGAAGCTTAATAACCCTCTACTTTTTAAAATATCCATTTAAATGACTTTGAAGAAGGGAACAGAACAGCAACAATTATAGTTTACAATGACAAAACAAGGTGCTGACAGGCATGAGACAAGAACTCCTCTGCCATGCTGGCTTTGACTTTTCAATGGTATAAGCTTGATGGAATGCTATCTGGCAAAATGTTCAGGAGCTTTAAAATATGCATGACCTTTGACCTGAAATTGCATTTCTAGAAGTTCACTCTAAGAAAATCAGGAATATGAGAAGATTTATGCACAAATATATTCAATGAATTATTTATAAGAGGACAAATTCTGAAAGGAACAGAAATATCCCCAAATAAGAAAATGATTACATACATAAATTATTATGTGCTCTGATATATTATGCAAATAACTTTCAATTCTATGGTGAAATATTCATAAGATAATGTAGAGTTTTTAAAAAGCAAGATAGACTGAGTCATACATTTTATGAAACAAAAATTAAAAAAAGACCGAATATATATATATATAGATAGACAGATATACAGATACACACACACACATATATGGAAAATTAAATGTGCCAAAGTGTGGTTAACTCTGGGTAGAGTGACTGTGTTTTTAGTTTAATAAATTGAGTATTTTCTGATTTTCTAAAAAGAACATGCAATACTTTACTGATTACAGATATTTAAAAACCATGCTGGTGTTTCCCTTTGATGTGCTTTTCTCATGGAGTTTCATATTTGTGCTCTATAACACAAGTAATAATTGGGTCCCGCTCCATAAAAATTTATTAACTATTTCACTCAGCACTGCCTGGGAACAAGGAGTCTCTTGCTCATCATAACCTTCCCCCACAGTGTCTTACAGAGAATAGAGTGTATGTTCAAAAACCACCGAATCAAAAAAATAGTAAGTCCTCATCTGTTATCTTCTGTTTATACAGTTGTACTATACAATAAAACATCATGTAGTGTTAAACCGTTTGTTGCTTGTATGCAAAAGTAAAAATAAAGTGCTTGTAAGTAAACAGTTCAAGCACATAGCCCCCTCTGTCTTCTGATTAGGCTTGAGAGGGCAGAAAGTCAGGGGGTGGTGGGGGTAGGCTGGGGTCAGGCGGGGGAAGGGCAGGGAGGAACAGCAGAGGGGCTGAGGGCTCATCCCCACCTCTAAAGCTCCAACTTCAGTACTGCTACTTTGATCTTCTTCAACTCTCTTCCCCTTCCCCCATGCCTGAAGACTACAAAATGGTAAAATGCAACAATGCCAAGGATGAATCAACACCTGAGGGTAATAATTTAACAGGCCCGCTAGGGAACCAGAGCCCTGTTTGAAGTGGACTGCAGGAAGCCCCCAGGAGGAGAGAAAAGCCCTGCCAACAGGAGGGACTGCTGCTGCAGGACAGAGTAGGGAGCCTTCAATGCAAACGGGGAAAACACATGATTGATAGAAGGAATTAAGACCTTAGTTCTATGGAAAAATACAGAAGTTTTTTTTTTTTTGGTTAGGAGGAGCTCTTTCAGTCAATTCATGAACTTTACTCTTGAATAAAGCTGTTAAACTTCATGTTAGTTTGTAAATTTTTATAAATTTGTGACCTTAATAGTAATTATCCAATGTCCTTAATTAAGTTGGATTTATATAGATTTAAATAATACCTTCTCAAAATAATATATTTTCTTCCTCTTCAACTTCCTACAATGCTGTTCACTTTAAAGTTTATATCCAATTTAAAAAGCAGCAGCAAGTAATCTATATTTAAGAAACACCAATAACACATCCCTATTTGAAAAATATTTACTTTACACGAACATTTTACTCATGTTGTATTCAATAGGAAGTTTCAAGGACGCCAACCATTTACTTAGACAAGTTTTAGTATACTATCATCTCATTAAATTAATGAAATCTATTCATCAATAGATACTAAGAACACTTAGGACATGGTCAGAATCTGACTATATATCTATATATTATCTCTATCTAAACTGGTTTTGCAAATATTAGTAAATTTGCTGCATTAAAATTTTAATATGCATAGGCTGACGTATTTGAAGTGTTTCAAAAGCTTAATAACTCTATTTTTTAAATATCCACTTAAATGACTCTGAAGAAGGGAACAGAAATTTTATATGGGGGGAGGACATATATTTAAGGTGTACAACATATGTTTTCATACACATATACTTAGTAAAATGATAAGACAATCAACATATCATTTCTTTCACAGTCACCTTTCTTTTTTGTGAAAGATTTTCTAACATCCATACTCTTAATAAATTTCTGGTATACATTACAGTATTATTGACTATAATCTTCACACCAGTGCTTTAGATTTCTAGAGTTATTCATCGTACATAACTGTAACTTTGTAAACTTTGATCCACACCTCCTGATCCCTCCTCCCATCTCTGGTAACTACCATTCTACCCTCTGTTTCTATGTATTTGACTTTTTTATTTTTAGATTCCACATATAGAGATATACATAGGTTATAGTTGTATTTGAAATGTTTCAACAGCTTAATAGCCCTCTATTTTAAAATATCCATTTAAATTACCCTGAGGAAGGGAACAGAAATTATATACAATTTCTATCTATCTATAGAAAGTACGTGTATTCCACATATAAGTGAGATCATGCAGTATTTTTCTTTTTGCGTCTGCCATATTCACCTAGCATAATGTCCTCCAGGTTCATCCATGTTGTCACAAATGGCATAATCTCCTTTTTAAGGCTGAATAACACTTCTTTTTTTGTGTGTATATATTTTGCAATTTCTTTATCCATTCAACCATCTATGAACACTTCAACTGTTTTCCATATCTTGGTTATTGTGAATAACGCTGCAATAAACATGGGAGTGCATACATCTCTATGTGGGGCTGATTTCACTTCCTTTTTGGATAGTGAATAGAAGGTTTTATGCTCCAATTTTGGTTGGGAATAATACAGGTTTCTAAATTACCTTGCCAACCCACCCTTGAGTAGACCTTTGTCATTCAGGACTTTTCCATGTAACAGAGCAGCTACAGACTAATGACCTATGGACCACTGAGTCACTAACTTCATTTCACTCATAATAAAATCCAGATCAGAACAGGGAGTCTGCAAAATCAAGTCTAGTGAGTGGAAGGTGAACTCTTTTTTTCACTATGTAAAAAGGAATTAAAGTTACTCTCCACTAAAAGTGACCACACACCTCCATGAGCCTTATCAAAATTAGCATTGAACCACTCAATATTAGTCCCAAATTTAATCCTAAATCATACACAAATGAGAACATATTCTTGTCTGGTGAATACCATGAATAATCATGACATCATGACTAACACTCACTGAGTACTTAGTCGCGCCAGGCACTGTCCTAAAAGCTTTGACAGTGTAAACCATTTAAACCTCATGGAAACATATGAGGTAGATATTGTTATTATCATCCTGTATGTGGTTAGGGAAACCAAGAAGGCACAAAGAGATTAAATAACTTGTCCAACACTGTATAGCTAGCAAGTGGCAAATCCATGTTTCAAATTAAGCATTCTGGCTCGAGAATCTACATCCTCTACTAGATTGCCTTTGTAATAATAAATTTAATTTTTTTTTCCAAAACTGAACTTGCTGAGATTCATTTAATCTTATGCGTAGATTCTAAGAACCAGACCAAATATATATGTATTTTTAACCTCTACATAAATCATTCAAGAGGACAAGACTATGCAGACAGTCCATCTACAATGTAACCACATAAAAGAATTCTGGGGAATCTGAGCCCATTAACAAAAGTGTGCATGGAATCAGCCAAGAAGCCAGATGTCTCCCTCAGAGGAGGAGTATCTTCCTAGCTTTTCACTGAGACCTTCAGCCAGGTATTCCCCAACAAAAGATGGAGGAAGGACGGTCTGTTCACCATGCAAAGGGGCCAAATGTAAAATGATTGATGTGTTTAGTAACAACCTTGAAGTTTTTAGTAGTAAATACTTTTTAGCAAAATCCAAATTGCAGCCCCAACAATTAATAAAACTCTATAAAGATATGTATTATAGTTCAGGAAAGTTTGCATAATGAAAAAGTTAAAGCTTTGCCTAATCCCTTTTTCATGTTCAGCTCTTAATGTAAGTCAGGTTTCCTTTTCTTCCCCCCATACTTTAAATCCTCCAAAGAATGCTAAAGAAAATCAGGCAAGCAAAACAAGCAGCTTTTGATTCTCTGGCACTCTACCATTTGGAAAACAGACTCAAATTGCATGACAGATAGTGGTCTAGGAATTTGAGAAATATGAGTTGGTTTCAATAAGAAATACCTTTATAAGGAAGCTTTAGAAAATAGCAGCAGTATTTTTCTTTTATTTTTTTTTCCTGAAAATTAGTAACAAACATCAGAACCCTAAGTTGAATTTGAATCTATATAGAGCTCACTGTTTGATCCACAAATTCTTACTGGGCTCAACTTAATTGAATTTAGAAGACGAAAACTGCTGAAGCTGAGAAGATTTATGATTGCATGTTATCTGTGGCACAGGGAGTCTCTGGATTATTCAAAAGTGAGGGGGGTTGGCATGCTGTGGAACTGCTTCTGCTAAGCTTGCTGTAAGGTGAAGCTACTGGGGAAAAATCTGAAGGCTCCAAGAGCAAGGAAGGCGGGGGTGAGTGAGTAACAGCCAAAGCCCTGGTGATTTGGAAAGAGTTTGCACCTGTAGGGTCCATCGCCTTCTCCTCCTATCCTCCCATTCAACATTTAGTCCAACTTTAAGAAACACTACAAATTCCCAGAGAATATGTAGAATAATCTAAATAAATCTCTTTCGATAAATACGTTTCCTTCCAAAAAAAAAAAAAAAAAACCCTAGACTCCTTTATTTCACAGTGTAGGTTGATAAAACTATGTGATAACAAGTGGTTGATAAACTGAATTAGCACTTTAACAATTAACTCAAATATCCCAATGTAAGGAGTTTAATTAGACCTTTCCCAAATTAAAAACTTGATCTCAAAGTTTTTTCTTATCTTCTGAATTTAAAGACATTAGTAATATATTATGTATTACACTGAGATATGTCATACCAGCTCTATGTAAAATCTGCTCAAGAGAAAGACAATATAGTTGAAACCTAAAAGCTAAATAAGTGCTTACTTTATTCTAGAAAAACAAATGCTATATACACATTATTTTTCTATTCAGCTTTCTCTATAAGTAACTTTAATTTTAAATTATTCTGCATTTCTCCCTAATTTACACTCGAAAACCTATAGAAGACTGAAATAATAAGAGACAGATTTCATACATTTCATTTTCATTTTAATAGAAAACCTTCTAGAATTAAAAATCGCATAGTACACTTGGAAATTATTTTGTTAAAGTATAAGAAACAGGTTTTATACAACCTGTTAACAGCTTTCAATCTGAAAAATGTATATAGCTAACTGAAATATCTAATTGAATTTAACTAAAATATGCTGGCAATTAGGTGAGGGCAACACAGAATTATGAAGACCAAGGCACTGAACATCATGACAAATCTTAGAACATTTTTAATGAAGAGAATTCACAAAATATATACTCATTCAAAGGCTTTCAAATGCTGACCAAAGCTTTCCTTTTGACCTTACCTATCACTCCTGCCTTCACAGATCCTGCACTGCCAGTGACTCAGTGGGTGTGCCCCCGTTTACACCATTGCATATGATGTGCCGTTGGCATTGTATGCCTCTCAAGGTGCAGTTTGATGCCATCTCTTCCAAGAAGCCCAGATGTCATTCTCTAGCTGTTTCTCTGGCCAATGAGTAGTCATTTCCTTATGAGAGCTCATCTCGTGTCATGAGTCCTGTATGTGTCTTATCTCTGATTATTTCGTAAACTTCTTTTGGGCAAGAACTATATCTAATAGATTTTACTTTCCTTAAAATACCTAAGATAGAACCTGGCCCATGGTAGGTGGTAAATAACTGCCTGGTCAATTAGTAAATAAAAATATGAATGAAGTTTGACAGCCTATACAATATATATATAAAGTAATCTGATACAATGTTACTAAATAGATAGATAGAAGATAGGTAGGTAGGTAGGTAGGTAGATAGATAGATAATAGAATTTAGCAGCATTCTCTCTGCTCTCCAGTTGACTACACAGTTCCTAAAATACAACAGACATGCTCTCACCTCAGGACCTTTGCACATGCTGTTCTCTCTTCCTGGGACTCTTCTCCCAGACAGCTGCATGACCCAGCCCTCATTTCCTCCTTAGTGAGACCCAGCTCTCACTAAGGCCTTCCCTGGCCAGGCAATGCAAAATTGTCACCCCCTTCCCCCCATTCATTCTCTCTCTTCTTTTCCTGCTTTTTCTCCATTGCACTTACCACCTCTAATATACTGTTTTGTATATTAATCTTTATTATTGCTTGCCTCTCTCCACTGGAATGTAAACCCCAAAGGAGAAACTTTTGTCTGTTTTATACTTTGCTGTAGCCCCACCTAAAATTGTGCCTGGAACATAATTGACATTCAATAAATAACTGTTGAATTAATTTGTTGAATTAATGACTCAAGAGTATTCACCTTTCATACATAGGAAATAGAATATAGAATACCGAGAATGATTTTTATGAGATCTGTGGAAATCAGTCACATCATCACGACAATGCAAGAATAAAGAAGTTAGTAGATGGCCTTGAGTTTTCCCAAACAATGGCATTTTCTGCTACCAAAATAAATATGTTATTCAGTCAGAACCACTGGACTATAAGAAGTATATTCCATTCTGGTTTTTACTGGGGGAAAGGATGTTGCCACAAGATGTCAGTCCATTTATTCATTCATATATCCAATAGATATTTTATGACCACTTCCATGTGCCAGGAGATGGCTAAGATCCTTGGAAGACAGATAAAATGCTACCTACCAACTCAAAGTCCAGTTAGGGAGTCAGGGGGTAAAACAATATTCTAGCACAGTGTGTTGAGGCCATGGCATGGTGAGCACAGGAGCCTGAAGGAGTGGATGGAAAAGGCACCTCAGAATCATGACACTAGGAAATGATTCTCAGTGAAGCAGGCTCTTAAGTGAGAAAATAAAAGTTGAGGAACTAAGAGCGACTATGTTCAAGCAGAGAATAGCATGTCTGAAGGCAGCTACGAATGAGTAAGCAGGGTACTGCCAGGGTAGAGTTTTAAAATAGAATGAAATCGTAGATGTTGAATCAAGTGAACAGGGAATTAGGGTTTCCCATTTCTCTCTCTCCTCATGCGAAGAGCCAAGGAGACTAGAAACTGGATACAAGCAATCCACTTTAAGGTGGGTGATGAGGCAGGGCTACACGTGAACACGAAGGACATCCCGAAACTCAATGAAAGTCGTATTTATTACACACAGACTTACATTAACTGATAACTAAATGCATAGGAAGTTACTAGTCTCAAATGTTTTGTGTTAGAAAAAAGCTTTACTATTCAAGCCAACAACTGGAATTGCTCTCTATGACTAGAAGACTGTGGGTGCTGAAACTAGAGATTATTTTTGTTTTATTTAGCATGACCATATGTATTTTCTGTCTGAAGAATCTACAGTGTAGTAGATCCAATGTAGTAAATTTGTAATACGAAAAAAAAAACAGCTCTGAAAGTTTTACAAAAATTATTAAACTAGGAGTAGCTACTTGTCAACCTTGGTTAAGAGGAGGTATTGTCTTTCCTGTAGGATCACAGTGACAGAGACAAACAAAGCTCTTCAATAAACACTGGCTGAATGAGTGTGAATGGACAGAATGATGTTATTAATCGCTTTGGTAACTGGGGATCTTATCTGCTCTCCCCTCATCACTGAGTAACATCCACATTAGAAAAGAGATGATGTGCTTTGTCTTTTTTGTCTAATCTCTCTCTTATTGGCAACACTCACTGAACTGAGAAAAATAAGTGAACAGGGGAGTCAGTCCAAATAAAGGGCTTAAATTCCTGAGACACTCCTGTTAAAAATACATGACAGGAGGCCGGGCACAGTGGCTCACGCCTGTAATCTTAGCACTTTGGGAGGCTGAGGCGGGTGGATCACCTGAGGTCGGGAGTTTGAGACCAGCCTGACCAACATGGAGAAACCCCATCTCTACTAAAACTACAAAATTACCCAGGTGTGGTGGCACACGCACAACTGTAATCCCACGTACTCGTGAGGCTGAGGCAGGAGAATTGCTTGAACTCTGGGGGCAGAGGTTGTGGTGAGCCAAAATCATGCCATTGCACTCCAGCCTGGGTAACAAAGGCGAAACTCCATCTCAAAGAAAAACACACAAACAAACAAAAACAAAAAACATGACAGGAAAAGATAATTCCCAGTTCAGAAATATGACTTGTAGAGTGGCTTCCTTCCTTATATGAGAGTTTAGTTGATGAATGTGCAAATAGAAGACTATGATTTATCCAGATTTGAGTGGATTATTTTAGGCACATAAGCTCAATTATGAAAAATAAATATTGCTTGATATCAAGAAAATTCCTTGAAGTAAATGTAATCTTTCTTAATGAACACTTTCTTCAAATGGTCATTTTAATATGGAATTAACATTATATACTATGTGTACTATCTTTGACTTAAACATACAAGAACAAAGTTGTATTTTTTCCCCCTGTGGTTAAAGCAGGCATTTAGAGCAAAATGAGAAAGATTATTTATGTGACTATGTCCTCTAAAAATACTATTGTTTAGGCTAGGTCTTTGGGAGTTAAATAAAGCCTGTGAAAAATATCAATAAAGCAAGACAGCCAGCTATTTCATAGTTTTCATTCTCTATCAGGCCAATTCCTGTTTTTCTGTATAAACAAATCAAGATGGTTTTAAAGCTTTTTTGTTATTAGAATCCCAGAATCATGTTAACCTTCAGGTGCAATAAAATCACATAAATTCTAATTTAGTGTAATCACATTTTAATTTTTTTTTGGCTATTTGAACCACACAATGTTCATGTTTCCTTTTCCACAAAATGCATAAACACAAAATTAGTAATGGAAATAATAAAAATAGCACTTGATGCTGCTGGAAGTGTTTTAGTTATAGCTAATTTAATCCTCATAACAATTGTAGAAAGCAGGCATTGTTATTAGCCCCATGATAAAACCGAGGCACTGAAGGGCCCAAGTTGGTAGAGTGGGTGCTGGAGGGGCTGAGACTCCACTCCTAGAGTGTCACAATTCATGGAAACATCAGATAATGAACAATTCTATAAGCCATGTGCTTCCCTAATTCTTACTGGTCTTGTCCCCTGTTACCCTCCCTCTTGTTTCTCTATAAACATGGGAATTTACTACATTTGCAAATAGATTCATTCTGTTATTCTTTTGGGTTCACATTTTATTTCTCCTGGCTGTGTGTGTGTGTGTGTGTGTATCACATTTCATCTTTATATTGCACAGCTCCCTGAATCAGTAGCCTAGACAGAGATGTAAGCATATGACACCCAGTTCCAGACAAAAATTCCCACAGTGCCTCATCAAAATGAATTTGCTCAGGGAAAAGTTGACTACACTCTTTCAGTAGATTTCAACATTTGTGTTGGTAACAAAACAATGTGAGTTTAAGCCTCCAGATATATAGCTAGATTCTCACTTTAGAAATTTTTATATAATACTGAGTTATTTTATGAATGTTCCATTTTTAGAAATCAGACAGGGAATAAAAAGGGTAAGTGCTGTATTTAGAGAGCCAATGAATAAATAACGAAGAGCAACTACTTAGAGAATAAAGATAATATAAGAAGTGCTCACCACTCAGTGACAACAGATGTACCAAAGTGGTTTTCCCTCTTAAGGTATTTTGGAGAGGTATTAAGTACTGCCATTAGAAATCCTTCTGTGTCATGATGCAATCTTTGGTAGCTGTACGTGTTAATTTTACAATTCTACAATGGTGTAAAGAAGGGGTATGTGTGTGTGTATGTGTGTGTGTGTCTGTGTCCCTAGAATCATATAGATCTTTTTTTTGATTTAAAAATATGGGTTTTTGCTGAAATGATCTAGATATCTTTTAGAACAAAAGAGCAAAGGAAATTCCTCCCACAGTCAGTAGAAACAGCTGGTGGGCAACTCCTCAGTTCCTTCCCCTTTTCCTCTTGATTCATTATGGTTATGCTCAAAGAACAGAAAAAGAGTACAGTTCACCCATGGCACTGTTGCTATCATCTTTTCCCTGTGACTACTAAAATATTGAGTTTCTGGTATTAGAGAGAGGTATGCAGGGAAATACCCTCAATCTAATGCTAATGATCCTGAGAGGGGTGAGCCCTGGATTGTGCCACATTTCAATAGGTCAACTAATATTTCTCTAGAGTTATTTGTACAAAGGCTGAAGATAACTATCTTTCATTGAGTGTTAACTATGTGTCAAACAGTACACATAATGCCATCTAATTTAGTCATCAAGAAAATAGAAGAGGATGGTACCAGATTTCGGGGTTAAACGATGAAGCTAAAAGACTATATGAAACTTAGATGTTAGTAAGAAAGGGAATGATATTTGCACTCAGGTCTTTTTGCATCTAAGGGCTATAGTTGTTATATGATGTTATTTTCTTTTTAAAGTTGGTACGTAACAGAAGGACACATTTTGAGGGTACGTGTGATAATTTGATACATTCATATAATCAAATCAGGGTATTTGGGATATCCATCATCTTAAATATTTGTATTTTCTTTATGCTAGGAACATTCCAATTATTCTCTTTTAGAGATTTTGAAATGTACAATAGATTAATATTAACTATACTCACCCTACTGACGTGTTGAACACCAGCTCTTATTTCTTCTATCTAATTTATATTTGTACCCATTAACCAAAATCTTTGGATCCCTCCTTCCTTCCTACCCTTCCTGGCCTCTGGTAAACACCAATCTACAATCTACTCTCTATCCTTATGAGATCCACTTTTTTAGCTCCTACATAGGAGTGAGAATATGTGATACTTGCTTTTCCGTGCTTGTCTTACTTCACTTAAATAATGACCCCCAGTTCTATCCATGTTGTTGCAAATAACAGGATTTAATTCTTTTTATGGCTGAATAATATTCCATTGTATACATATACCACATTTTCTTTACCGATTCATTCACTATGGGCACTTGGGTTGATTCCAGAAGAGAGGGACAGGAGAAAATAGGAAACCTTGAGCTGTGTCCCCAGTCTCATTCCAAAATCAAAGCTGCTCATATGAACCATTTCAAACTTTCTCTCCACTGTTATGCAAAAAAGTTAGAATTTATTAGAATTTATGGCAATTGAGTAAGAAAAAGTCTACAATTTAACATAAAAAAGCAGGTCCCAACTTCAGTTAAATTTATGTTAAATTGTACATTCTAAATAACAATTTAAGATATCTCCAAGGTATTTAAAAATAACACTGTAAAAAAATAAGGTAATCAATAATAATTTTTATACTTTATTACTATCCTTTAATTGACTGGGATACCCTTCAATATGATGTTCAGGGCACAAACACTATGTCTATTTTCATGAATTTTGCTAAATGAATCCTATATTAGAACAGATTATTTATGCAAAGCGGCTTGCAATATAAGCATATAATTTTTTTTTTCTTTTTTTTTTTCAAGACAGAGTCTTGCTTTGTCACCCAAGCTAGAGTTCAGTGGTGCAATCTCAGCTCACTGCACCCTCCGCCTCCCGGGTTCAAGCAATTCTCTTGCCTCATCCTCCGGAGTAGCTGGGATTACAGGCGTGCGCCACCACACCCTACTAATTTTTGTATTTTCAGTAGAGACAGGGTTTCACCATGTTGGCCAGGCTGGTCTCGAACTCCTGACCTCTTGATCCGCCCACCTTGGCCTCCAGAAGTGCTGGGATTACAGGCATGAGCCACCACGCCCCACCGCATATAATTTTCTAACTCGCATCTGTATCAGTGTATACTTTTGTAATGGTGTTGTTTTGCACATAATATGTATTCAGTGTATTTCATTTTATCATGAAACTCTTGAATAGAAAATATATAAGTGCAAAAAGCTATAAATATGTATTAATGGATAAATATGCTGCTATTCTGATTTGCAAACTCAGAAACAAAAAAATCAAGTGATGTCAGAGAATAATGCAAGGAACCCTATAAATAGTATGAAATTTGAAAACCCTAGTTCACTTCTTTTCAGGTCTAACTACCTAATTGTTCCTTCTATGTTTTCCCAGTAATTATACAAAACCTCCTCTTTGTGTTTTCTCTTATTTAATTTTGTTTAAACTATGGGAGAACTTTATACACTGACATTAAACAATTACCTTCCCATCAAAATTATTTTAAGAAACCTACTCTGGAAATCATACAGGCACGTTGCCAATTTATCTTTGTAATGTGAAGGAGAAAAAATGCTGTTAACATTTTTTAAAGTCAGAAAACTACTCTTAAAGGCAGAAAAATAAAGTATTGTCATTTGATGGGAACTTTCGTTTCATATCACAGCATAGACTCCTGCCAGAATTCAATGCCATATAACTACTTACACTTTGATTTTCAGCAGATGTAGTCCAAGTTGACATTCTTCTGTGAATCATTAGAGAGTATTTTCACTGAAAACATATTCTTGATTTAAAACATAAGTAGCCTCATTGTATTTTTTTTTCTCAACAGCTTGTATCAACCTGTTTTTAACTCTCTAACTTTTTCCACCTTTCTACACCACACATCAACATCTTGATCTAGTGAACTAACCAGATAATGAATAATACTGTGTATCAGTTTCTCATAGTCATCCTCTACTTGAAAGGGAGAGAAAAATACATTGAAGTACTAGTTTAACAAAAGTAATTTCCTTCTGTTCACTTGTGCTTCATTAGGAATCATTTATATTTGCTCCAAATTAAATGGTTTACTATCAGAAAGAAGAAATTATAAAAATGAAAATGCTTGGCCTGACACTAAAAATTATGTATGTATAAATTATGCCTAGAAAATCCACTAGCTAAGCAGGCTGATTCCCTTTGCATGCTGACCTGAATTTAGCATGATCCAGTGTGGGCACCAGCAGAGGTGAGCTGGCGCTGGTCAAAATAAGAGAGGAAAAGTCCGCAGACATGGGAAGGCATATATTTAGCTAAAAGATGAATAAATAGGTAGTGACATTGTATCTTATACTTACTTAATTCACTTTTGTCCACATACTTTATGATTAATCTTTCAACAAATCCAACCCTCCTGCAACATGCACTGATGTATCCTGTTTCTCTTCTTTGTGCCTATTTCCCTGGTTTTATTTGGGGACAAGGTTTTACTAAATACGATTTGGCACTGCATGTTGGCAATTTTTTTTCAAAGAAGCCATATTAGGGTTTTCTTTAGGAAACTGCCATTCGCTTTCTACAGGATGGCCAACTTACCAAAGAAAAGGTCCACATTCTTAGCGAAATTCTGGGCTCTACTTAGAGTCTTCTCAAAGTTTTTAAGCAAGCCTTCCATAGCATGCATGCAAAAGAAACAATTTTAGTAGAAGTCCTTGAAATAAAAAACACATGTCACACTTAGAAGTTCTAACTCTTATTACTGACAATGTAAACAGCCAACTGGATAAAGGCAACATGAAAATATGAGGAAAAAAAATAGCAGCTGAAAAAAATCAGACTCTTTAAATAAGAAGAAATTGAAACCTGTCCTTATAGTCATTCAGTTAGCAAGAGTTCAACCAACTGATAACAGCTTCAATTTGGTTGTGAAAATTCAATTTAATGAAAGTCTATTGCATAAAATTCTTTCCCCCATAAGAAAAGGAGTAAGAATATTTAGAAAGTAAAAGACACCCAGAATATCTCAAATAAACTAGTCTCAATAACTCCCTCACCCCTAGCATACACATGGACTCAATTCACATGGTTTGCAAAACCAGTTTGGTCATTCCCAGGAATTGCAAACATGGAAAATAAGCTTTCTTTCACGATTCCTCTGTTTCTTGACTAGGCAACAAGGGCTGATATCTTGCACTGTCCTCCCCCCCTTTTCTTTTTTCCAGTTTTATCTCTTACATTTAGCACAAAACATTTAATGGCCACTCAGTTGCTTTAACTAAATGGATTCACAATGTATGGCCATAGGGGAAAAGACACACAAAACAATGCACTGTAAGAAACATGGTGATATGGTTTGTCTGTGTCCCCATCCAAATCTTATCTTGAATTCCCACATGTTGTGGGAAAGACCCAGTGGGAGGTAATTGAATCATGGGGGCAGGTCTTTCCCATGCTGTTCTTGTGATAGTGAATAAGTCTCACGAGATCTGATGGTTTTAAAAAGCACAAGCCCTCTTCTCTTGTCGGCCCCCATGTGACACATGCCTTTTGCCTTCCGCCATAATTGTGAGGCCTCCCCAGGCACGTGGAGCTGTAAGTCCATTAAACCTCTTTATTTTGTAAATTGCCCAGTCTTGAGTATGTCTTTATCAGCAGTGTGAAAACTAATACACATGGGGATATATCATATATGCAAATAAAAGGAATCAGTTCCAAATATTTTCCAAACCCTGTTTAGAGCACTGATAAACAATAAATCAAGAAGCAGTTATCAATATGTGAAAAGCCAACTATTCCCAATATTCCTCAAAGATCACTAATTCTAACTGCACAAAAAAATAACCTTTCCATGAAATAAAATTCAATTTTCTAAAAATCTGTATGCCCTAATATCAAGAATTTGCTAGATGGAATGCAGCTGATTGGAAATGGAATGGAAAGAGAAAAGATGCTGGAAATGTAGGCGTTTTGGAAACAATTTGAAGCCTCACACTGCTCTTCTTCCAGTGTCAGGAAAAGGCTTTGAATTCAGGATCTGGAGCTTATTGACTCTTTCTAAGCAGCACCTACAGTCAAATGATGTTACTGGGAAACCAACTGTGAGTTGCTTTTCTAAGGTATTGAGGGGTTGTGCTTTGCTGCCTATACTGTCATGTGGATGCCCTCATTGCAATGTTAAGTATCTGGGCAGCCATGCCATGGTTCATTGTCAGAAGCTATAGAAGAGAATGCTTTTTCCAGCCAAGTTGAGTGATTCATTCTGGGCCATTAAAAGTCTGCTTCACTAACATTTTCTAAGCCTTGCATTTTCCAGATCTTTTTAAGTCCATGAGATGTGAATTTTTAGGATACACAGTATCTTCCTCTGATGAAAATCATGCATCTCTTGGGTAGCCAGGAGAGTGTGAAAACACGGCAGGGAGTTTGGGGTTCTCACTGTGACTGGAACTGCTACTGAGATCTGGAAGAAGGCATGGTTGGATAGTTGTGTCATGTGCTGTCAGCCCTGCGCAGAAAGAATTAACCCTTCTAAATCCCCTTTGGAGAAATACCAATGGGTAATCCACACTTCCAGTCATGTTGCATGCATGCACATATACACACAGACACACACACAAACACACCCTCTCCTCATTTTTTCTCTATACCATGGTTTTCATCATTGTTTCTCTTTAAAACAAACACCTATAAATAATGAGAAAAACCTAGGATAATAACTACCCCAACAGCACACACATAACATAATGGTTAAGAATATGTAAATGTCAGTGTCTCAGCCACAGTAAACTATTTTGTCTCCCGTTCGATGTCACACATGATGCTCCTATGTAATGCCTTCAGTCTTTACTACAACAGCTGTTGCACCGAGCAGGGTGTGGCGCATCTGTCTTGGCATCCCACCAAACCACATTAATCATTTTTTCCCAGGCTCTAGCATGATCTCTAACATCCCCATTAGTTGGGACTTTAGCTCTTCTATTTGAAGAATAATAGAAAATAAGAGAATGAGGAATACAGAGGAGATAAATAGTATAGGATTACATCACTTCATGTAATAAGACTGTCTATGTTCTTGAAAAGATTACATTATTTCTGACAGGTATGGAATTTTGACAAATTAATCACATGACAGAATGCATTAGAAGAGCTTCCTATGGAAGCCAAGCCTAAAAAAATGGAACAATTATTTCCCAAGTCATCTTTCCTTTCAAAGAGCTTTTTCACATATTGTCTTGTATTAAAGATAAAAGTGCAATGCCCATGGTAAAAGTCATCCTAAGATAGGAAAGAAGGGGAAGGGAGAAAAGAAGGGGGAGACAGAAAAAGGGAAATTCTTGATTATTACATTTTTATTTCAAAAACCTTTGGTAAGGACGTGATGACTTTAATTAGAATAACCATTAAATTCATCATGCAAACAAGACTTTCTTGAAAGTAAACTCTCTATCCAAAAGGGATGCTGAGATACCAAGTGTAAACTGGGACTCTACATGGGGTAAGCTGGGATACAGAGTTACTCTACTTGTTAGAGCAAACTTAGAGGGTTTTTATTTTATTTTAATTTTTTAGACGAAGTCTTGCTCTGTCACCCAGGCTGGAGTGCAATGGCACAATCTTGGCTCACTGCAACCTCCACCTCTCGGGTTCAAGCGATTCTTCTGTCTCAGCCTGCTGAGTACCAGGGACTACAGGCACGCAACACCACGCCTGGCTAATTTTTTGTATTTTTAGTAGAGATGGGGTTTCACCATGTTGGCCAGGCTGGTCTCAAACTCCTGAATTCAAATAATCTGCCTGCCTTGGCCTCCCAAAGTGCTGGGATTACAGGCGGGAGCCACCACAGCCCAAACTTAGAGGTCTTCCTTAGATTTGATCTTATTTACAGATGACATTTAAACCTTCTTATATGGCATACGGTAGTGCGACTAGTGTAGGTAAAGACTTGAAGAACTTGCCACTTCTCTCCCCAAAATATAAAAACTAGCTCCTCATTCATTCATTCACCAATTCCTATTATAAATATTTATTGCACTCCTACTATGTGCCACACACTGTGCTAGGTACCTGACCTGGATTGGAGAAAAAAAAAAAAAAATCCCTAAGTGATCCAGATGCTTGAGTTGCTCATGTTAGCATGAAAAAGGAATAATTCTAGATAACCTCATCTATCCAGAACCTTCAAGGAATTTGGTCATTATGGTTTAGTCAAATATTGTGTGTTGCTGAGCTGTGGTTATTTTAAGCAATAGCATATTTTAAATGGGATCATTTTGTAAATAAATAATTCTAAAATATTTTAATGGGATCATTTTGTATATAAATAATTCTAAAATGTTATGATGTTAAATGTAATTTAACTTTTACTGAGAAAATCAGGGTGACCAACACTAGTGAGAATCATCACACAGTACTAAGGCATATCAATGTCCTCAGGGATTACTAAAGCATACTGGGCTTCCAGTGTTCATGCCAAAATATCTCATGTGACTAAGCATTTTGCATTCTTACATTTATGCTTCGCTATTTTTGTCTTTTTGTCATTAGACTGTCACTTGTCAATACTATCACTATGCCTACTTGTAATAAGAGCAGTCATTTAAATTCACATAATACAGTGGCAGGTACTTTGTTAAACATTTTCGATATATTCCTTCACTTAGAATTTAAAACTGTGCATTCAGTAAGACAAAACATTCTGAGACAACATCTCAGAGATACCTCTATGAAGCCTAGATTTGTCATAGGCTTTTTTTTTTCTCTCTGTAATTCTCAAATATGTCTGTATGGGTGAGGTTTGCTAGACAATTGAGTTTGCCATCAAGTCTGTGGAGCCTTGGAAATTAATTATAACTAAAGCAAAAGTATTTTTTAAATACAAGCTTATAAAGGTGCCGCTGTTGAACTAAAGATACCTGTATTATTTGGCTCTTACTACCCAAGCAAGACAAGTATTTGTTTGATATAACTTTTTCTAGAATTTTAAGAGTGGATTAAATCATTCGATGACCAAAAAAAAAAAAAAAAAAAAAAAAAAAAAAAAAACACAAGCTTATATATACATTTTTCCAACTATTCTTATGTTGGAGATTCTCTCATTGGAAATGTAAATATTTAGAAAAAGTAGAGCTTAATTTTAGCTACATGAATTTTAGGAATATAAAGACAGTTATTTGGCACAGTAAGCATGCCTGAAAGACTTCAAGTATCAGGTGATAGAAATTCATAAACACGTGAACAAAGAACCCATTCATCCATTGGCTTATTGAAAACCAAATGAGAATACTGTGTAGGTTGCTAAGACAACTGAAATGTGATGATTAAATGTAAGATAATAAGCAGAATCTCTGTACCTTTACAAATCAAAATTTTGGAATCTCTATTAAGCCCTCATCTATATTTAAGACTGAAACTTTAAGAACACTACTTTAGAAAAAGCCTTAAGACTTCGAGTTCCACTGGTGAAGAATCTTGAAGCCTTCTGATCAGGAGAGAGCCCTAGTCTTAGAAGATGTGTGTGGTGTGGCAGAGAGAGGTGTTCCTGGTTGGGGATCAGCCCCATCTTGTAGCAGTGACAAAAGAGGCAATTAGTCCAAGACATTTATTTGAAAATGGTTTATTGAAATTACAAGTAAATATTTCCAAAATGTGGAAAAGACTAGAAATAGTAGCTTTTTCTAGAATATTGCTATTTCAAATTTTGAACTCTGGGCTCACTCTATTCTAGCCACACTGTCCTTCCCTCTTCTGTCACCTGAACATGCCACGCAGGCTTTTACTGAAGGGAGTGTACTTCCACCAGCTCTCTGCTTGGCTCACTCATTCATTTCCTTCAAGTTTGCTAAAATATCACCCAATTTAAAACCACAACCATTCCCCTCCGCAATGTTCCTGATCCTCCCTATTTTATTTAATTGGTGGTTATGTATTACCTTCTAACATACTCCTTTACCATGTATGCTCTTGTTTTGTTTACTGACGTATCTCAAGCATTTGGTGCCTGACCCATAGTAGATGCTCAATAAATAGTACCTTTAAGGGGGAGAATAAGCATTTAATTGAACTACTGAGAGGAAAACCACTATATCCCCCTTTCTATTACCATCTAGAGTTGGCCAAGCATGAAGTGGACCACAAAAGCTTCTATGTTTCTACTCACACTGAGTCTAGAATTTCTGCACTACAGATGCTCTAAGTGCAAAATAAGGATTTAAGATGCTTAATAACCCCTAAGCAATCTTGGAGAATACTCAGAGATGGTTGTTGCCCTCAATCGACAACATTCTAATTACCCCTGTGATGCAAAGCAGAGTCTTGTCCTAGCTCCTTAGGTCTTCTGGATAGAAGTCACTGCACAAATGCTGCTTTACATGAGGAATTACTCTGACCAAATTAACTCAAGCAGCTAACAGTCTCCAGAACGAGTTTTGTACTGTTAACCACAAAGATTTCTGAGCTCAGTTTACTGTAGGAGAGGCTGACCAGGAACACAGCCATTTTCTGGAATTAATCACTAATACATGTGGCGAAGACAGGCATTTTCTCATCTCTAAAGAACAATGCAAGCTGTCAGAAAGAAGAGGCCAGATCCTTCCCCCTGCCACCATGCCTATTTCAAGCCAAATCTATTATTTCAGGCTTTATATGCATGTATTTGTTCTTAAATCAAAAGAAATAAGTATCCACTGTAGAAAATTTGGAAAATGTGTTTAAGCTATGAAAAAAATAGTGTGTAATGCCGCCCCAAAATAACCACAATTTGCTAAGTGTCTCTCCAGCCTTTTATGTAAGTTTCATAGCTGGTCTCCCTGCCTCCAAGCACCTGAGTCACGGTTGATCTGTCATCACCAGTACAATTTTAATTATATCATTACCTGATCAGAAATCCATTGGTGAGCTCTCAATACCTGTAAGAGAGCTTGCCAAGTTTTAAATCTGGGCTCTAGGTTATTGATTGCTGACTGTCTTTCTGCAGGTATGTTTGAACATTGTTTTTTTTTTTAAAGAGCTAAAACCTAGACACTAATCTTGGCAAAATTGAGGGCATTAGTCAGACAATTATCTAACAACTACACACAGGAAATGGAGAAAGCAATTTGCATTTGAATTGGTATTTGAGAGCCGAAGAGAAGACTGGGTCCCTTGAATAGGAACTGGTCAGCTTGGGGATGGGTATAGGGAGGCCAAAAATTGGTACAAGAGTTTACATAAAGAGGGGAACTGAGTTCCTCTTACTTTGCAGTTTCGCTGCCACTCCACTTAAAGGTCTGTCTCCAGCAATCTCTACTTTCAGATCACGGTTTGTAGATGCCTGACCTATGAAATCAAGCTCTAAGTCTCTATAGTAGTAAAATGAATAGCCATTGAGTTGTCTCTAATTAGGAAAGGGGGGAGTGCATTTTCAATTTCCTTGATATATGCTAGTTTATATAGGCTGGATTATAAAGTGAAGGATGAGGGAGGGGTAGGTGCTGGATAAAACTGGCAGGTTAAAAATGTCCTGGGAAGGGAAGGAGTAGAAAGTAGAGGGCACTTGTGGGTTATCTACCCTCAACCTTTGCTTGAAAGCTCCTCACAACCCAATTCATAGGCTCCCAGAGGTGGCTCCTGAAAGCCACATTTCTGTTTTGTGACCCTGACTCTCTGAAAACATTCCCGTCCCTAGAAATCTGGAACTGAGATAATGAAAAAGAGAGGAATCTATTATCTAGGTGGCTAAAGAAGTCAAATGTATAAAATCAGGAGCAGTGTCACATGGGCATTTTCCTCTTGTTGTGTGGCCTGGAGAAAAACAAAGCTGGTCAGCCAGAGAGATAAAGACACAGAACGGTGAAGCAAAGGGGACAGAGATGAATAAGAGATGAACAGGGAGATAATCTGTGTCTCCCATACCTTCTGAAATTCAGCAAGCCCTCTTTTCCCGAGTTAAGAAATTAATCCTTTGCTTAGGTGCATGCCTGTAATCCCAGCTACTCAGGAGGCTGAAGCAGGAGAATCGCTTGAACCTGGGAGGTGGAGGTTGTGGTGAGCCAAGATCATGCCATTGCACTCCAGCCCTCCAGCCTGGGCAACAAGAGCGAAACTCCATCTCAAAAAAAAAAAAAAAACAAAAACAAAACCCAAAAAATAATAGATACTAAAACTTCCTTTTTCTGCTTCAACTGGCTGACAACAGTAGCTGCAACCAATAAGAGTCCTAACTAAAACAACTAGCAAGCTAAACCAGCCACAAGCTGTGCTAACCTACCCTAACTTTCTAATCTCATCTACTATTTCTTCACATGGATCAAGTGGGACTATCCAAAAACCATACCTTTCAATTTCAGCTCCTGGGTTTTTTGGTTTGTTTGTTTGTTTGTTTGTACCTCACTGTGAGTTCTCTTTCCTTCATTTCTTCAAAATTTATCTATTCTTTGACATTCAGCTATAGCCCCCCAATCTTCTATGAAGCCCTTCCTAACCACACTAACCCCCAGTGCTCAAACTGCACTCTGGTGCTCTTATTCTCCTCTATCCCTCTAATGAAATGATTTCATCTGTAGAACTTACCAGATAAGTATTACCTAAAAATAGATGCCCTTGGGTGGCCACAGAGTTCACACATACATGATTTTACTCTATGATACATGTAGGAAATGGAGACAGCAGGGGAGATGGAAAACATTACCTATGTAACTGGTATATATTTTTTCCTAGAATGTTTTGGGACTAATGTTAGAGCCATGCACTGCTATGTCAGTTTGGAACGATAGGTAGAATACAAAATGAGACTCAAGCAACATTTAACAGAGTAAAATAAGGGAAATAGGGCCAGGTGCAGTGGCTCACGCCTGTAATCCCAGCACTTTAGGAGGCCAAGGCGGGCAGATGACTTGAGGTCAGGAGTTTGAGACCAGCCTGGCCAGGATGACAAAACCCCACCTCAACTAAAGATACAAAAAGTAGGCGGGTGTGGTGGCGGGGGCGCCTGTAGTCCCAGCTACTCAAGAGGCTGAGGCAGGAGAATCGCTCAAACCTAGGAGGTGGAGGATACAGTGAGCCGAGATTCTGCCACCGCACTCCAGTCTGGGTGACACAGCGAAAGTCTGTCTCAAAAAATAAAAATAAAAATAAGAGAACTAGGAGAGTGGACAACAGGTAGCCCAGAAAACCCCTGACCTTTTGTGGGCAGTAATTAGGCACAAAAAGTATATTTTCACATTTTTACTTCCTGCACATATAAACTTTTAAGGTTATTTGCTCATGCTTCTGTATATACTCTGTCTACTGAATACTGCCTGATCAATTGACCAACACGGCAACACCATATGGAAAGTGTCATTAAGAAAGGCTCTCTGACAGTCTTGGCAGAACAGAAAGGCAGGGTCTAGACCCTGTAAGCCATGTGAAGACCTACTGCATTCATTCAGAGGTGAGGTGGCAAGATTCTGAACTTTCATAGTGGCAGTGAGGTGAGGCAGGATAAAGAGATTCAAAAAGCACGGCAGAGGAAAATTCAAAAAACATGGTTTCATAGAAAATTGGGGGGGCTATAGCTGAATGTCAACTTGATGACCAGCAGGATTAGGAAAGGGAGCAAGAAGTCAAAGATTGCTTAAAAGTTCTGAGACAGGACAACTGAGAGAATTATTTATCACTAGAAAGGAAAGACCCTGGGGAAAGAAGTGTAATTACAATTTTTCACAAGTGGAGCTGAGATGGCAGAGAGAAATCCCTAACTAAATTACACTAGGGATTTGTGGTTAAAAGAGATATTCCAGGAGCAATTGCAAGCCAGATTTGTGTATTTGGAAGTTATTCATTCATTTAACAGATATGTACTGGGGACCTGCTATGTGCTAGGCCCTGTGCTGTATACTAATGAGGCAATGGTGAACAAAGGCAGATATGAACTCTAACCTTGTAGAGCTTATAGTCTGGTGAACTGAGGAGGCATCTACCACATGCAGAATCTCTGAAGGAGAAGAACATGGTACCCTGTGGCCTTATGACAGTGGGGCTGGACTAGTTGGCTGGATAGGGAAGGCTTCCTTAAAGCACTGAGCTTCTTCAGGAGTTTGGCAGCCACTCCACTTAAAGGTCTGTCCCTAGCAATCTCTCCTTTCATATCACAGTTTGTAGATGCCTGACCTATGAAATCAAGCTCTAAGTCTCTATACTAGTGAAATGAATAACCATTAAGTTGTCTCTAATTAGAGAAGGGGAGAGTGCTGCAACGGGCGCAAAACATCTGGAAGATGATTTGAAATGATGTAGGTAAGCAAAGGTGGGAGGGGAAAGGAGAAACTGAAAGGGAAGGAGAGTCCCAGCCTCTGTGGAGAGAGGCAAGTAGCAGTGGTGAATGCAGACCTCCTAACAAGCAGCAGCTCATGCACACCGAGCAGAAGCAGAAGGACGTGGGCGGAGCATGCTAGGCACTGTGGGCCACATCAAGAGTTGTAAACAGAGATTATACATGAAAAAGTATGAAATGAAAGAAAAGCAAAAGCATCAAGAATAAAACCTAGGGAGCTGAAGACAGTGAGGCAAAGGTTAAATAAACACGGTATGAATGAAGAAATGCCACTGTGAGGCCCTTCCTCCTTTTGGTTGTAGCCTATTCCTTTTCCTTAATGGGTTTTAGGATGAGTCTTCTTCAATTTAAACACATAATAAGCAACTATTCTCTGAGTAACAATGAGAAGGGACATGTACTATATTATTCTCATTTGCCCATTCATTTAATCTTAGAAAATGATGAACTCTACAGGGGAAGTGCAGAAAGAAATCAAAAAGTGTACAAAAATAACACTCAGCTACACTGGCCAATAAAGATAAGTTACCAGGAGTTCCCAATGAGCTACTGGAAGGGTCGATTGGGCACATATGTGATAAGACATTTAGGAAACAATAGTCTATGTTTTGAGACTTTTTTTTTTTTTTTGAGACCGAGTCTCACTCTGTTGCCCAGGCTGGAGTGCAGTGGCATGATTACGGCTCACTGCAACCTCCGCCCCCCAGGTTCAAGCGATTCTCGTGCCTCAGCCTCCCAAGTAGCTGGGATTACAGGTGCCCACCACTATGCCCTACTAATTTTTGTATTTTTAGTAGAGACGGGGTCTCACCATGTTGGCCAGGCTGGTCTCGAACTCCCAACCTCAGATGATCCACCCGCCTCAGCCTCCCAAAGTGCTGGGTTTATAGGGTGAGCCACTGTGCCCGGCCGAGACTGTTTTTTAAAGCTGCAATTATCACTGAAATAAGTGATTTGGCAAACACCACAGACAATTATCTGAGGAAATCAGCACAGATGCCACCATGAACAAAGGATCAAGATAGGTCAGCTATCAAAGACACAATTAACAGCAAAACAGAGGACATCATTCACCCTCATTCACAGCCCCATCTGCATCCATATCTGCAGGAATCTGTCAGCACACCCCAGAAAAGGTAAAACAAATTCTGAAAATCTCCAGTAAATGCCAGCCAAAAATGATGAAAAGACTAGAGAAGCATCCACATGAGGCCAGACTTTGAAACAAGACAAAACACTTTCCAAATTGGGAAGAAAAAGATTAAGCTATAATATGACTCAGGTTAAATAAATGACATGAGAATTAAATCACACTCTTAGAATATTTAACTATTAGAATATCTATCATTTTCAGGGGAAGTATGCCTTATAATTTGAAAGAGGTGTTTTTTAATAATTAAAGGAATTAATTATTACTTTGCATTGTGATTAGTAATTTCCTGGGTTCATTAGTCAAAAAGATAATATATGATAATATAATTAAGTCCAAGAAATGGTTACCCAATTCTGTGGTCTGTACAACCAGATCATGTTATTGAGAGAATTTAAGGTATTTAGAACTATATTCCAACCTTCCAGGTTTGAGAAAAACATAAACTGGCAGTAATGATTTTTGGTACTTCTTGGAGACAGAATATTGGGCTAGATGGACCTCTGATTTGACACAGTGAAATGCTATGCATGTTTCACAAAGGAGCCCTCAGCTTTCCCTGCTTTGAAAACAATACAGCATTTAATTTTGAGACAGGCAATTATATGCAGATAAACATTTCAGTCTTCCGGAAGTACTGCAATAATTATTTTACTAGCAAATAACTATGTATAATTTAATACATTAAACATTATTAAATCACAACTGTCTACATAATAGGAGTTAGGAATTTCATTTTTTTAAGCTGTTGCATGTAGACATTGAATAGATAAACTCCCTGAGGCTCACTTAAATATTACATATTAAACTGAAACTAATTCCAATGCTTCTTTAAAAAACGGAAAGTCATTTTGCCTTTCTCTTAATAATTGGAAAGTTAGTAAAGACTAGGGCAAGAAGACACAGGCCAAGGCCTTTACTAATTTCAGGTAATCATTAAGTTCTCAGCAAACTCAATTTCTTTAACTTACGAAGTGGAGAAGAGTCAATCCTCCCCACTATCCACAGAATCTTTTGTTATTCTCCATGTGGAAAAACTATCATCTTAGCTCATACATACCACAAGTTCTTCCTATATTTTAAGATTCTCCTTAGATCTCCTTACTATATTCTACTGGTGACACTGTGGCCAGGATGAAACAAAGCTACTAAAGGACAAGAGCTGGCTTAACTCCTGATAAGTCACTTCACAGCCCAATTTCACCACAATTTCTATTTCTATTCACTCTCTAGTTAACAAAACGAGTATAAAATAAAAATTTCCTATTTTGAGTTTTATTTCCTTCCTATGTCTTTGATCTCTTCTTGGTGAAAATGCTAGTCAGTGGCCCAAGAGAGGAAAAGCAAAGAGAAACAGAAATAGAAATTCAACAGAGAAATCATTTGTGTGTTATAGGGACTACTTTAACACAGAGACACCCTAAGATATTTGTAAAGTATGCAATACAAGAATGAAATAAATTATTTCCTCACCTCATTATCAGAAATAAAAAGGACTGAAAGTAGAGGAGTTAAAAAAATAAGATTCATGGAAACTTCTGCTGTAAAATTCATTTGTCCAGGAGCTATTTATTACATTAAACAAGAACCATGTATTTTCGGTGATGAGTCAAATGGGACCCAAATTGACACAAATAAATTCACCATGAAGACAGAAAAAAACATCAATGCAAAATATCATTTCAGTTTATGTTTTAAGATGGTCTATCTAGTAACAAACTTAATTTTAGGGTAAGGATATTAATTTTGTTTTTCTCATAAATTCATTTTATGGTTAACATTAGTTTAGGAACAATAGTACATCCTGGACATGGTTAGCAACACAGAGGAAAGCAAAAAAAGAAAAACATTTAAGGAATGTCAAATTTTACACAAAGCACATCACATCCCTTTCCACATGACATCAAGTTTAGTAGCTTTAGGAAACAGGGAAAAAATACTATTCCTGACATCTGGCTTATACTATATACATGTAATGCTATTTCAAAGAAGATAGTTTGGTGCCGTACTTATACTGCATGGGTTTGTAAATTCTTTTTCCCAATATACCATTACATCTGCAGCCCAAGCATTTCTTCCCAAAAGAATTAAGGCCAAGCAAGAAAAAGAATTTGCTGATACACATATGTCACTTCAAGAATTCTCTTGTCAAAGTCTCCACACCCAATTTAATTATTTCCCTACTGTAAAAACACTTTCCATCTGCATTTATTCTAATCATTTCAAATCCAAAACCAACATACTATAAAGCTAACTAAATAAATGAATGATATTAGCTTTAGGTTCCAAGTGAGGCAGCATTTTTTAGGCAGTAGTTCTCTGGCTCACATTTTATGCGGATACAGTATTTCACTTTGAGTTCAATTCTTTATTTGATATTTGTTTAGAATAAAACTACCTAGCCCCGGGCTTTAAATCTCAATCTGAATCTCTCTCTCTCTCTCTCACACACACACACACACACACACACACACACACACACACACACACACACAGAGAGAGCATACATACACACACAGAGGAGAGAGAAAAAATATATATATATGTATAAAATATATATATTTTGTGGGTTTTTTTTTTTTTTTTTTGAGACAGAGTCTTGCTTTGTCACCCAGGCTGGAGTGCAGTGGCACAATCTCGGCTCACTGCAAGCTCCGCCTTCCAGGTTCACGCCATTCTCCTGCCTCAGCCTCCCAAGTAGCTGGGACTACAGGCGCCTGCCACCACGCCTGGCTAATTTTTTGTTTTTTTAGTAGAGACGGGGTTTCACTGTGTTAGCCAGGATGGTCTCGATCTCCTGACCTCATCATCTGCCCGCCTCGGCCTCCCAAAGTGCTGGGATTACAGGCGTGAGCCACTGCGTCAGCCCCTGTGGTTCTTAATGAGCAAAAAAGAATGTACCCATATATGTATGTATTAAAATAATGCTGCTTAGTGTCTATATTAGAGACATTTTTCTTGTTTGGTTGTCATTTTTTTTGTTTTTTGACAGGTTAGAAAAACTGAACCTCAGTACATGCATATAATTTGTTCACTATTCAGTAAATTCTTGTATCCTTTTTGTGTCGAGTGCTCTTCGGTATATTTTTATTCTCTCCTTGGTGTTCCATCAATACATTAAGTGCCAGTTCTGGCACTCTCAGGCCTAATATTGGGGAATAAATACAGGATCCAAGAACAGTCACATTTTTATGTTATTGATAGATATTGACCAGAGTGTGGAGATTGACCATTGTACCACAGGTCAGGAGAGGAGACCTGTCATTATCAAAACGTCTGGGCAAACTTGAACCAACAAATGACTCTAGGTCTTCTTGAAGGTCTTTCCATCTCACATTTTAAGAAAAATTATTGTATTTGTTTGCTTGTTTTTGATATCACAAAGTTATGAAGTTCTTAGAAATTGATTTGCCTGATTTTACCCATTTACATTACAGATTAGGAAACTTTAAGCAGCAGCTAATCCACAGCAACTAACTGCTGATTTCCAGGAACTCTGGCTACTTTTCCATTTAGAGAGACAGTTATTATTAAATGACAAATATATTTTAAGCAGTCTTCAAAAAAACTATTTTTTTCTTAAAAATAAAATTATATTTTTAAGGCCACATGGGCTGGGATTTTCTAGATAAAAAAGAATGACCTAATTCCAGGTTTAAATACACTGAGCTCTGAACTCTTTCTATTTCTTCTCCAACTTACTGATACCAACTATGAACAATGAATCAGTTTGATCGCTTTCTGTTAGTTTAAAATTTACTTAAGCATAGTATTATCTGCCCAAAAATCCTGAGTAGCCTCAAAGCTAAAAAATTTTGATATGAAATATTAATAATAAGGATGATTATATTGTTCTGTTTTTCCTAACTCCCAAGACCAGCTGCTTGCAAAAATTATCTAATTACATATATCATCCTTAAAAAGCAAGTTATAGGTAGGTCACTTATATAGGTCTGCAAATACTTAGGAAGGAGGTGCCTCCAAGGAATAGAGCCCCAGTCTTCCCTTCTGTTCGCACATCCTAGAACTACTCTGCTTTGTAGGAAAACATTTAGTGGTTCATCCATTTCCTAATGCTCCAATAATCTAAAATTAGTTAGTTCCATTTTGATAGCTAATTACACAGAACAAAGATCAAAGATCAAAAATCTGATATCATATCATATGCTCTTCATGATCCAAAGGGAAAATCCATATGCAATCATTTTAATATAATATGCACAGGAATCAATTATAGGAATATCATACTGCATACAACAAAACAAGAGTTACTCAAACTATAAGTGGACTATACATAAGATACACTTACTCTACAAAAAGAAAAACATAATGGCCATTACATTTTTTTTTTTTTTTTTTTTTTTTTTTTGAGATGGAGTCTCGCTCTGTCGCCCAGGCTGGAGTGCAATGGCACAATCTCGGCTCACTGCAACCTCCGCCTCCCAGGTTCAAGTGATTCTTCCACCTCACCCTCCCGAGTAACTGGGATTACAGGCACCCACCATCCATCATGCCTGGCTAATTTTTGTATTTTTGTAGAGATGGGGTTTCACCATATTGGCCAGGCTGGTCTTGAACTCCTGACCTCAGGTGATCCACCCACCTTGGCCTTGGCCATTAACATTTTACCTAGATATGCAATGTTTTCATGTACCAAGAAAATCACTACATGCACTATATGCGGGAGCAAGTAGGACAAAATAAAACGAGACCCATCTCTCAACTGAATACACATAGGTTAAGTCATATCACTCATAGCATAGTAAGAACATGTGTTTATTATTGTCATAGTATTTACGATACTTTTACTTATCCATTCAAAATTGCAGCCTGGACTTTGAAATGAAAGCAATGAAAATGTGTAGGTCTAAAAAAATCTGTTGGGCATCTGGTTCAACCACAAACAACTAAATGGTGCTAAATTCCTATATGAAGTGGCCTCACCACTTTAATTCATCATTTCCACAGGCTCCAAACAACCCAAACGAGAATGCCAAATTAACTATGAGTTTCCTAATTTGACAACATTCTCAAAATCTAGCAATGTTTCACTGCAAAGAAAAAGAAATATCATAGTTTTTTTTTTTTTTTTGTAAACACAGATTTGACAGTTATTCAGTATCTGGCACAATTTTAGATTCAAAACATTATAAAAAGAAATTAGAACAAAAAAATGAACATTAACTTAATGCCAAGGGATTTTTTTTCACGTATTTCTAGAGATACTTCCACTATTGTTCCTTAAAACTGACTTCAATCACAGTCCCTTTGACTAATATTATGAGTAGTGGTACGCTAGCCAGCATGATATACAGTTTCCATCAAGATAAGTTCTTCAAGAAGCTCAATGTTTCAAATCACAATTGTGTCTCAGGTATAACATCTTACTAGTGCTCCGAAACTGCAATTCTCCTTAGGGGAGTCTTGGTCTTTATTTTACTGTACCTGGAATTCTGAGATTGTGAAACATCTGATTCTGTGCACGTTTTCTTTACCTGTAAGAAAAGAGTACTAGTTATTCTCATATGAAAATACAACTTCCTCACTCAGGTTCACACACTATTAAAGCGGATATAGCTCTGTTCACCAAGTTCTCTATAAAATACCCCCCACACTTTACAGCAGCAGCATACAGTACTAAATAGTGTATTTCATTATTATCCCATGAACAGCTGCCAAATACACTTCCCTGGACTCCATTAGTATGTAAAATGTTCAGCTGAAATAACTGGGGATAAGCCTAACCAGGAACAAAGAAACCAAAGAACCAGGTTTCCCACTTAGGAACTAGAAAGCATACTGTTCTCAATCCACTAAGAAATGTTTTTCCAACTGATACTGCTTCTGTCTCCTACTAAAAGCACATAATAATAAACACCAGGTTTTGATGCAAAGCACAGCATTAACTAAAATGTTCATACACTAATTTTCATTTTCTCAGTCTAGTGGCTGTATGTTTTATATATGTCTCAACATATCAATTAAGTTTAGCACTGCTTCACACATATATTTTCAGTATATCTTGCAGACTATATTTCAACTTTGTGGTTTTTAACCCACAGAGGTAAAGGATGAGAATAACTCATACTTCTAGGCCATGCTATCTATTTCTGGACAAAAGTATGTGGTACATCCTCTAAAGATGGTGAAATCCATAGATTTTCACAATTGCACTTCAAGCACTTATATCTATATCTGATTATTATGGTCTTAAAAGTATATGCAGAGTAGACTAAACTTCAAAAATCTCTTGGTTAATATGAAAAATGTACAATATACATTTATAAGCCCACTATTTCTGGGTGTTCATATTTCAATAACTTAACTATGCAACCTATGGAATCCAAGGAGTTTTACTTCCAATATGTGGTTTGGAAGCAAAAAAAAATTCTACTGAATATATACCATGAGGAACATGTGTGCAATGTGAATTGCAATATGAACAGTACCACTTAAAAGTAAGTCTTAAGCTTTGAAGATACAGCATTGTCTTTCCAACTCACAAAGTAATTTTTTCCTCCTCTGTTTCAGAAAAATCCTTAACAAACAAACTCACAAAAACCCTACATTTTCAAAAATCCCGTCTTTTGCTTTTAATACAAAGTCTAGACATTTTTATAATCTGGGAAATCAATTATTTTCTTGATTAACTCTGTAGTCTCTTTTGCATCTTGTGTATACACTTACACAATATGAAAATAAAACTGACCAGCAAAGAGACTGTCATCCTGTTTTATTATGTAATGTCTTCTATGCCTTTAACATGGTAATCAGTACCATGAGATGGAGGGGCAAAAAAAAAAAAAAAAAAGAAAAAAAAAACGGTTTCACAGAGAGAAGAGAAGAAAAAGGAGGAGGAGGTAGAGAAGGAGGAGGGGATGAGGAAAAGAAGAGGAAGAAAAGGAAAAAGAGAAAGAAGAGGAGGAGGAGGAGAGGGAGAAGAGGAAGAAAGGAGGAGGAAAAAGGAAGGAAGGAAGTAACGGGAGGGGAGGGGAGGGAAGAAGAAGAAGAGGAGGAGGAGGAGGAAGAGGAACAAGGAGGAGGAGGAAGAGGAATAAGGCGTAGGAGGAGAAAAGGGGAAAGGGTGGGGAGGGAGAAATACTTTTTTAAAAATGTAAACATAAAATTAACTCCAAATCCCACAAGTCTTATGTCCATTAAATTTGTATGAGGAAAACAAGAATTAAAAGGAAAGCATATCTGAAAAAAAAAGAACCTTCTTTCCTACTGGTTCTTGCCTATGATTTATCACCAAAAAACTATATGAACTGCCCAATGAATACACAGAAATTATCCCCAGGTGAATGTCACTTTCCTCAAGACCATGATGACTGGACCTTGGGACTGGCTGAGGAAGCTCCAGACCACCACAAACTAGACATATGCTCGCAACTGAAAGTCAGAGACAGACAAGCTTCCTATCATTTAACTTTTTTTAGTCTTTAACACCCACGGCTTTCCAAAGCATAATTACCCCAAAGAACTTACTAGAAAGTTCTGCTTGTTTTAATTTATTCTCAAAGTAGTAACAGTAAAGGCAGAGAACACATCTACAGGGTTTTGCTATTTAGTACCCACAGAGTCCCACACTTATAACCAATGCTTAACAGGCATGTGATGAAAGAATGAATTAGAAATTCCTTTAGATATTAAAATAACCATTTAGCAGAGTGGTTATTTTTAGAGGTTTCATTCATTTGTTCTTGGTCAAATGAGAGAAGAATAATATTTAGGATACCATGACTACTCTAGGGGAAGTCTATCTAAAGTATTGTGAGTGTTCATAGAACAAATTAACTTAGCCAAAGGAAGATGGAGAAGGCAATGAAGAAAGTAAGTTCTGAATTGAGTCTTCAGAGACTGTATGTGGGAAATAGTAGGTATTTCAGTGTCAAGAAGTTTGCCAGAGGAAGCATATTATGAAGCCCTTATATACGGTAAAGAATTTGGAATTTAACCTTTGGTCAGTGAAGACCATTGAAAGGTTGTAAAAAAACAAACTGGGTAGAGATGCTATAGAAGGTAATGTGGAAGGGGGATGAGGTGAGGGCTGAAAGTTGGGAAAAGCCTAATGCAACAAAACGGATAGTAGAAGTTCCATGAAGGCAGAGATGGCATTGATCTGGTACATCATTATATCCCCAGCCCTGAGTAGGTGTTCCCCAAATGCTACTTTGAACCATTCAATCTGTCAGTGAGAGGTGGTGAAGACTCAAGACAGGAGCCATGGGGTGAACTGAGAGGGTGTTTTTGACAAACACTTCTGAGATAGAATTGACAGAATATTGTAATTGATTGAAGTGTTAACTAGAATATTATCAGATCTTTTTATCTGTATTTGAAAAGAAAGATTAGATATACCGAAGACAAAAAAGGTTATTTTATGACATCTTCAAATTACTTCAAAACCCTATCTTATTTCTGAATTAAGGTAGAGGAGTTAAAGGAATCATCAAGAAAAATATTTCTAGGGTTTTGATCAAAGAAGTAGAGGCAAATGGATAGTTTTACCTAATTTGAACACACTCTTCCATTTGAGACTTCATTAAATGGCAAGTGCTGACCCATATATGCTATATAAGAAAGAATATTCTTATAAAACATATAGAACCTTCAATGACTATCATTTAGGCAGGAGTGCAGTGGCTATTCATAGGTGCAATCATGGTGCACTACAGTCTCAAACTCCCTAGTGTAAGCCATCCTCCTGTCTCAGCCTTCCACGTAACTGGGTCTACAGGTATGCACCATCACCCCAGGCTTACTTCTGAATGTGTTTTGAATGAAGTGGAAAACAAGCAGGTCAAGAAATGAGTCAGAATTTCATGCCAAAAAGTTAAATTCAAATCCTAGTTTTCACAAGACACACAAGGGGGTGGGCCAATAAATAAAAAAATAAATGTTGAAAATTTTTCCATAGAAATACACACACACACACACACACACACACACACACACACCAAGACAGAAAGGATGAATAGCGTAAATGAATGCAACTTGCTGCAAATAAAGTGAACTTTAACCTATGCAATATCTCTTCAGAGAAATTATAAAAATACAGGAAAATTCCAAGCACCATGAAAAAGAGTTAAATATTTAACTATTTTAAGAAAAGCAACTATTAGTATTCAATGAAAACATAAATATCAAAATTCTAAATTTTTGAGATGAAGGAATGGGTGAATAACAGCTAAAATTTTTGAGTGTTTTCCACATGCCAGGCACAGTGCTTAGATATATACAATTTTCTTCCCAGTTCCCATATAGTAACACTGAGAAGCAGAAACAACCTGAAAGCAAGTTATGTAGCAAATTTCAACTCCAGATCTATGAAGGCATTTTAACCAGAACCTATGAAGAACCTAAAATTCATAAACATATGAATTAAAAATGTTCAAAATGAAGATCAAAACGTCTTAATATTTAAAATTTGACTTCAATTACATAACAATAATAATTACTGCCATTTATTAAGCAAATATTCTTTTCCACTCACTCTGCTAGACTATGTATATATATAATCTCATTTAATGCATGTAGACAGGTATGATTAATAAAATCCTCCTCTTATGAACTAGAAAACTAATGTGCAAAGAGGTTCAACAACTTGCCTAATATCCCACAGCTAACACTAGCAAGGCTGGAATTACAACTTAAGGCCACACATCAAGCCTTTCATTCTCTCCTATGCTACATTTGCCAGTTGTGTTCATTAGTTTACTTTCCTTTCTTTTTAAAATCTCACTTTATTGAGGTATGATTGATATACAAAAAGGTACACCTATTTAATGTATACAACTTGATGAGTTTGAGATAAGAATGCACCTGTGAAACTACCACTGTAATCTATGCTGTGAACATATCCATCACTTCCAAAAATTTCCTCCCAAATTGTGTGTGTGTGTGTGTGTGAACATAATATAAATCTACTCTCTTAGTGAATTTTAAAGTATACAATATTAGTGCCTATATTGTTGCTATAGGCACTGTTCTGTACAGTGGATTTCTGGGAACGACCCACCTTGCATAAGTAAAACTTTGTACCCTTGACTAATATCTCCCATTTAAAACTAAGAGTGGAAATTAAAGTTCTGTGGAACAATTTTCAAAGAAGAACCTACTAGTTACTTTTATAATACATCAGTCATTAAAGGAATCCTTTAAACTAGACTACTGAAGTAACCAGTTTTTACCAAGCACTAGTAACATTTAAACTCCATGTAAGCAAAATAAATAGTAGTTTTGAAAAAATTATCCAGATATCTCTAGCATCCACCTCCGCCACCACCCCAAAAACAGCCAAAAAAAAAAAAAAAAAAAAACTAATGTGAAAAACAACTTCTGCGTTGTTTCTTTTTCTGTCCAAAATATCAAGATTTGCTCATTCAGCAAGGCTTTACTGAATGCCTGAGATATCCGAGGCAGTGTTCCAGCCACAGAGATGAACTAGACGTAAGCAGTTTGACACAGGAGCCACTAACCACACGTGGCTATTTAGAGCTTGAAATGTGGCTGAATTGAACGGAGATGTGCTGTTAGTGTAAAAAGCACACCAGATTTCAAAGTCTTACTATGAAAAAGAGGAAGTAGAATATCTTAGTATTTTTGATATTGAGAGTAAAATGATATTTTGGGTATACTGTGTTAAATAAAATAATTTCTCCTGTTGATTCTTACTTTTCAAGTGTGACTACTAGAAAATTTAAAATACGCATAGGATTTGTATCATTTTTCTACTGAACAGCACTCACCTAGACCAACAAACACCTGTCTGCCCAACAAACACCTCCTCCTCTAGTGGAGGAGACATACAAGAAATAAGTAAACTGGTAAATGAACAATACAATGCCAGCAGTGGTTAAGTGCTGAGATGAAAATAAAGCAGAATAAAGGAGTAGAGAGGACTGGTCAATATTATTACATTAGTCACACAATTATTTTTAAATGTCATTTCTCTTATTACACAACACTATGCATCTCTTATTTCACAATACTATTCACCCCTCAAGCTTTTTAGGTTGTATTTACGTAAGTAACATAAAGTATACTTTAAAATAAAGAATGTGTGATTTGGTATTGAGAATAATTAATACTTTCAATATCTGGAAAATATATGTAGAAAATACCATAATTTCTGGACTCTTTGGAATTATGACTATTACATTCATATATAAAAATCAATCTTAATTTTTTTAATGTTTCCAAACCACTAGGTGCTTTGAGAAGCTCACAATCTTTTGAGGAGAATTAACTCATAAAAAAAGTTTGCAAATAAGAGCAAGGTTCTTTTATTATATCTAGCATCTTCCAAAATAGCTGGGCTCAATTATCCCAATTATCTTCTAGTGAATAGTTCTGATTACAAATCGTGAAACATTAATGGGAATAAAAAATGTAAAGAATAGAATAATGTAAGAAGACATTTTCAAAAGATCTCTTTTGGAACTTCATTTTGTTTTGAAATGAGCATTAATAATTGAGTCTTAGGACATACTATACACTGAAAACAAAAGGTGGATTCAGCAACTATAAATTCGAGATTAAAATTTCACAAATGAAAGTTTATGTAATAAATAATTTATTAATATATATTCTTATGGATGGTAAGACTACTTCTTCACTGAACTGTGTAGAAAATATAAAATATAATGTAAATGAGATTAAATGCACTATTGCTTAAGGAAAACATGGATAAGCAGATAGAAAAATATTTTTTTCCAAAAATGGAGATTATATTACAGATTATTGCATGCCAAACTCTTTGTAAACATAGAAAACGATACAGAATTACTGTGAACAACAATTTAGACTTGTCGGCTTTGTTGGCATTTCTAATGTGAATACTCTAAGATGTGAATCTGACTGAATAAGTGATATTTATTTCAAAAAACTGTAGTATATCAATGCCTAGAGTCTTATATGAATGCATACTTTATGAAATGAATTTTATGACTGGGTTGAATAAAATTGTTGTAAATTATTGCCTGATTAAGCAGAATGGTATCTAACTTTAGTTACCTTTGGCTTCTAATTTAGCGAAAATAAAAGACTTCTTGAAATGTCCATGGCTATGTGACATTTTTCATATTTTCTAATACTTACAAGTTATCCATATTTGAATTTTAAATTAAATAATGTAATTTAAAAGTATTTTAAATAATTATTCCAGCTTTATTCCAGGAATAGCTGTCATGTTCTTATTTAATGCATCTCAATTGACTGGCCCTTATCACATTAATTTTTTTAAAAATTGATAACCGACTGATACAGGGTTTAATGGGCTGCCCTAGATTATCCTGGTTTCTAGTTAGCAGCATTTAATACATATGAATTAAAATATATCCTTTCCTATTACATATGTCCTTTCCTATTACATACCTCAGGAATGTATGAAGGAACATAAAAAAATGTAAAAGTAGGTATTAACTTAAAAATTGAGTCCTAATGTAATAAATGAAATAGGCAAAACATAAACAATTTTTACAATATAAGCTTTTACTAAAAATTATTCCAAAGTTTACTTACGTACAGGTGTGAAAGAAAATATATACTCATATCCTAAATATAATATTTAAAAGTTAATACCACTCAAGGACTTCCCATAAGATGTACACTTTACTGTGATAACCTATGATTATTTTTGGATCCAAGTAAATATGATTTATGTTGTGAAGATCTTCATAGGATTGGTGTACTGCTAGGCCCATAGGGATATAAACTTGGAGATGCACTTTCTCAACTGGCTAAAAATGTGTCAACACTTCTCAATACGACTCATTTTCTATCTTTCACTTACGTTATACTTCACTTCTTAACTTTTAAAAACTCGAAACATTAAATCTTTGCAACACAAAAGTTGTCACCAAGAGTTTTAAAAAATATATCTCTGTTTTAATATGTTTATACAAATTTGAGAGGCTTTTCAAGGAAAATAAAATGGCATTTTGCCAAATGGTGGTCAAAAAATTAAAGTCTTAGAAATACAGTTTCTAAAAATCCAATTATTAAATAATACAAAACTTTTAATAAAGTGTCTTTGTTTTCCTTAGAAACAAAGATCTTGCAGCTGTAAAATGTATACATTTCTGAAATTCTTTTCATGTAGTTAGGGAAGTCTATTTATTCCTCCATTTTCTTACTATATCACTTTTCAACCTCTTTATCATTCCTTAACCAAGCTTCTCCCTGGCAAAACCAAAACCGTGTTTCTAAAAGCCCAAATCACCATTTATTGACTATGAAAGTGAGAGGACTCTACTGCATACCTGGAAGTCTGCATCTACTTCCATTCAAAGAAAACCTGCCATAACCCTTCTTTAACTGCTACACATCAAAGATACTATCAAATACTCTAAGTGCAACAGTAGACAAAATAACATACCTATTAAGAATAGTGGAGTTAGATAATTAATAAATAAAATCCACCACCAAAAACCTGAAGGCAAAATTATTTTACTCCTTTAGTATTGGGCTGTCACAGGCAAGATCTCACTTGATTTCTGGCCTTTAATGCGAGGGCCTTCCAGGACCCTGGTTTGGGGGAGGGAGGTTAGACAAAATCATGCACTAGGGAGGAATTATGTTTTAAGTGGAAAAACTTCTATAGTCTATAACTCTTCATCAACTACAACTGTCACAATAGCTTTCAAGTGATTTGAGAGTTCATAGCAAGGTTGAATATATTCAAAAAGCAACTTAGCAACAATAACAGAAAAACAAAGCACAATTATTTATGTACAGTATGTAAGTATTAAACCAAATGTCAAATCACATTAACCTTTAAAATGCCAAAGCACGTTTTCTCCTTATCTATGCCACAGTCCTTTTTCACCTGCCATAAATGCCATATCGGCTTTATGAATTATTTAGGAAAATTTCAAACTCCTTCTAATGGTATATTTTTTCATTATTACCCAGTGGGGCAGGCAAAGGTAACACATTACTTTTTAAAAAATGCCACAAAAGGAACCATAATATGCTTTAACATATCATGTTACAGCTCATATGAAAGCTCCCATTCTAAGATTGGAAAAAAGACTAGATTGTCCAGCCTTGATACTATGCATAAATACTATACATAAGCGCTAAAAGAATTTTTTTCCTCACAAATGTGCATGATAAACAAACACCTAAAGAGATACTTCCTCATATATCTTGGTCTTCTTTATACCTTTTGTTTATATGTTTCTTTGCCGTCCTGGGTGTCACAAGAAAGATGGATAAATGCTTTACAATGTATTAGCATAGCAAAAAGAGCAAAATGAATATTCTAAAGAATTATCACTTAATGATCATAATGTTAATTTGGTAGAATCTTCTGCAGCGAAATTAAAATTGCTGACTACTGTGCAGCTTCGCAGTGAACCAGGAAAGAAGAATTCCAGCAGTATTACATATCAGAAACTTTAGATTTCCCTGCATTAAAATGAATATTTATGAATTCTCACAAATATTGCTTTAAAAATCATCTTAAAAATTTAACCTAGTCCCCTAAATAGAGAAAATTTGCTCATGTTTTTCGCAACATATTCTATATCTTTATAAATTTTTTTAAAGATATTGGAATGTTTTGGCCACAAGGTTAAGAAAAACTCACCCATTTATCAAGATCTGCCAAGCACAAAAGGACCCCAGACAAGCCAGTGCTCTACCACTTAACAAATGCAGCTCATCTTGGTCATTAAACTTCAAAAGAATTTGGCCACAGGCATAGTTACATATGTTTCCAAACATAAAATATCAATCATTATGTAATATACTCTAGTACACCATCATTTACCTATTAAGTAAAAATGACAACTAACCTTTTCAATTTGAACAATAATTGACTATAAAGGTTGTCTCACTTACCAATATAAAATTGTTCAATTCATATGCAAAAGTTTTGTTAAAGTTTATCTGTGTGCGTATGTCTGTATAAGTACATATATATGCCTAAACTTTAAAAAACATTTTAAAAGTATATATAAAAACTCTCCTAATGTGCCCAATAGTATCACCATAACTTTTAAAAAAATTAGAAATTCTTTAACTTTAAAAACAAATTGATAGAATGCACACAAAATTTTAAAGCAATTTTAAATTTAACAACATATATCTCTATATATCTGTAGATTAATTTATATAAAATATAAATATTTCTAGAACAATACATTGATAAAATAATTATGTAAAACAGGCATATTTTTGAATTTTACAGATTTTATCTTCTTGATCTTCCATTAAAATAGCAACATTTATAAAGAGAAAATTCAAGAATGTTGGCATCAAGTTCTTTATTTTTAAAATTAAGCTTTATACAATAAAAAAAAATGTATTTATAGCATGCTGGATTGAATCTGATATTTTCCACAACATCGTAGCAACATTTTTGAGTTTTAAAATCTATTTTAAAGTAGTTTTATATTTTATATTAAATCTCTCTTCTATAACCATTGTTATAAAAAAAGATTACAAATCACCTTTTCTCAGGTTTTAATCCTAAAATAAAATTCTTCATTAGTAGTTAATAAGACACTGACTGTAGCATAATTTACACACCAAGAATGCAAATTATATGATTTGTTTGAGTAGAAATACTCAAATTGTCAAATTAAAGAAAAAACAATTTAAATTACCTGTAAACTAAGAGCTGAAAATAGTTCTATGTGAAACATTTCACACATACAAGCATGTGACCAGAAGAAACAGCATCATTAACTGTGTAACTTCAACTAAAATCTAAGAAATTTATTACAATAATTTTTATATGCAGAAGCTTATTCCTTAGATGAAAGTAAAATTTAGTCAGTTAATTTCACAATTTTTATGTCCCTAAATTCTGGACTGTCATAAACAATTAAATACACTCTGCAGTCTAAATGTTAAAGGGATTCATACAGCAGGAATGCTCAAGGGTTAAAGAGTATAGGAATTATAGATTAGGTATATCTGTAGTGAAGGTCTCATTCTAGGTAAACCTAATAAATAATTGAGATATACTCACAATTTCTTCCTCTTTGACCTCAATTAAAATGGCTTTCTGGGAGCTGGTTCTAAGGACAATTTATCCTGGTTTCCTCAATACACGTAGGAAGTCATCTGGCTTTTCTATTTCTTCAACAGCTGCATTACCTGTTAAATTTGGCTTGCACCATTTCCCTAAAGCAAAATGTGTGCCACCCCTGGACTCACACAACCATCTCCCTCTACAGGGTTGCTACAGGATCAAAAAGTTAGATCATACAATTTTGAAACTGCTAACGAGAGTAATTTATAAGGAACTTGGAGAAGAAAAGAGAAAAACCAAAGTAGAGATAAAAAATTGGCCTCTCTGTCCCTCTTCTTCCCCCTGCAAAAAGTTAGAACCCATTATATGGTTACTGGTATTTGCTTTTCTTGGTCATTTTTGATAAGTAACATTTTAGTGGTTTAGTGAACTTTCGGTTAGAAAACAAACAAAACGCAAAATAAGGTAGTGTAACATCATTATTCAATTGCAGAGTATTTCAGAAAATAGTACCTACAACTCAGAAAAGAAGTGGGAAACTGGATAGTGCTGACTGATGCTCAGTAGACCCCGTAAACCAAACGGGAAAACTTATTGGCTGGGATAATCTATCCTCCCTTTCTTCCAGCAGCTTCCCTAACTATCCACCTCTAACAGTAAATCAGTACTCGCAAATACTTAGAATAGATCTATTTTCTCCGCCTGAATTGTGTTGTTCTCACAAGAATAAAATAGTCCCAACACAGCAAAGCTTCCCTCAGTCGTCTTTAACAAAACAAATGCTGTTATTATTTTGACAATTCTCCCACATCTCAACCCTCTGATGCAGCAAAACAGCAATTTACACTTCTTCTTCTTGAGAAAGACACAAAGATATATTTAAATAATTTAAACCAAAGCATACCAAAGCCTTCCACATCAAGGTTTTAAATCAAAGTATGTGCTCAGTACACATCTAAAGGAAGGTAAACCTCACTAAACACTACAGGATTCTTTAAAAAGTTAAAATTAAACTTGATCTTACTATTATGGTTTCAGGAAAAAATAGTTCCATAAATGGAGGGAAACACTCATTCTCTTAAAAATATGACATATCTATCAAGATGACTACATCTCAAATCTAATGAAAAGTTCAAATTCAGCACAAATTTCAAAACAAATTATGCAGAAAAAAGCCTTTCATTTAAATAGTTGGTATTAGTTTTTTAAAATCCTGCAGTAGCATGTACTATTAGGGGAAAACAAAGTTGACTGTTAAAAGTTTTGTAGTGAAATGTAATCTATTATCACTTATCACGTTACCTGCATTTCTCCCAACATTAACATAATGTAATTTGAATAGCTGAATTTTATAAAGTAAACAAAGACGAAGTGTGTTTCACACTTTAGCCATAAACAGATCAGGGATTTTCTCTAATTGATTGGCTTGCTCAGTTCCTATGTACAAGTTTCTTCTATCATCCTTGTACTAAAAAACTGTGAAAAATCTAAACAACCTATTTTAACAAGAAAAATATTTTTCTCTGAGATAGAACTGCCTACACTTAAATGTGTGACTGCCCATGGAACATAATAATAATGATAACGCTTCAACCAAAAGCTAAATGCAACTTACCTCATTCAAAACCCCAAAACCTGAAATTTATTCCAGCTGTATTTGGAAGTCAGTTCTGTAGTGCGTGTGTGTGAAGTTCAGCAGCCAATAAATTCCAGTCTCCATTGTCAGTAGAATGAAACTGTGTCGAGGTTTACAGAATGCTCTGAGAGGTTTATAGTCTCTAACCAACACCCAGGTAGCCTTAAAAGCACCTTGCTCTGGCGTGAACCTTCGGGCTCCAGGAGCAGTGCAGTTATGTAGGTTAAATAGGAGGAGACCTGGATAGTAAACACTCCTGGTTCCGACCAATGGCTTTCCACGCCCTTCTGTTTATAGTAAGATGACTTGATGTCAGAGGTCACCCTCATCAGCAGCTCCTGTCTTTCAGTGAAATCTAACGTAGGGCATTATCTGGAGGTGCTTTTAATGAAGCCACATCTCCTGACTCCTAGACTCTAGCAACCTGCTGTCATGGTGATACATTCATAACCCATTGTTGTAAACCACTCAGAATTAAATCCCTGCATTAAATTTTCAAAAAGCAAATTTTACTTTAAATTTCTTTAAAGCAAAACATTTCTGTAGGAGAAACACTTTATGGCAAGTTAATATCAATAAGGATGGTATTCATTTAAAGTTCCCTACCAACATTTTACATTTTTGTTTGTTCTCGTTTTTTTGGATAAGACAAGGTATGTAAGATTTCACTTTCATTATTACTTCACTCTAAAAAGTACAGGGCTCTCTTCTAGTTTTAGGTACACATGTATGTCAACAAAATGGAAAGATAATTACAGACATTTTTATTTAATTTATTTTGTATATATTTTCATCTGAGGTAGACTGAAGGGATGAACACAATTATAAATGCTCACACAGATGTTAACATTTTATGTAATATATTTTATAAAATAAAGTCTTTTATGTTTACGAAAGAGAGGGATATATTAATTTCTAATGAAATGAAAATGAAACAAGAATAGATAAATTCAAGAGATAAGGATAATGTGAGTAATCTTAATGATTAGATAATAAAATCAGATAATAATGCTATTATCTGATATTAACATTCCCTTTTATTCTAATAGCTTATGAAAAATAATTATTTTCTTTAAAGAAAACAGTATCTTCCAACTCATCTCTCATCCCTTCAAAAATGTCTTAACAGATCTTAAAAGAAAGATTAAACTCATTTCATAAGTTCTTCAGACAGTATTTCAGTGTAGCATTTCCTGTCTCTAATTTGTTTATCTAACACTGAGTTTATTTCTTTTTTTCTCATAATCTTTACAGTTTGGCTCTAAATGATACAGTGACGTACAGGAAAAGAGTAAATACTGCATCTGAGTAATTTGTAGCACAAGTATTTACTGAAGTCATTTTCATTTTCAAGGGAGGATTGAATGAAGAATCATTTACCTATTTCAGGTTTGGACAGCACACAGACGCCCCAATGGCTTTAGGAACTGAAGACGGCGCTGTCTCCCTACTAGTGTCAGCTGCTTCTGCTGCGAAACTGGGTGAGTGTGTGCATTCCACCTGCAGCACATGGTCAGCCCAGGTTTTGATGCCACTATGATATTTATATGACAGAGAGCTGCCTGACTTCATCAAAGTTCACAAAGCATGTGGATTATTTTAGAGCGCCAGAGATCCCATTTTGACAGACGCAATTCTTTGTTCCTAGTATGGTTAGGATCACTAAAAATAATGTCTTTGCAGCCAAATACTTTCAAGCAGTTGGAGCCTGTTGAGTATTGTGGTATAAATTATATTTTTAAAGTTCAACTGAATATGCTTTTTTAAATGGCTACTTTCTTAAGGGACTGTAAGTCATTCAATATTTTCAAAATGCTTATGAGCTCAAGAAACACTCACTGAAGCAAAATATATGTCTGTTCCTGTTACAATAGAGGCCCAGTGAACCTTGCCTAAAACTCTGGGAGAATAAGTTCTTCATGCATTAAAGAAGCCTGGGTGGATTGTAATTTTCTTCCCTAATCTTAAAGCGGGGCGAGGTAGGAACAACAAACAAAGTGTGGTGAAGACTTTATAAATATAAACGTGAAAACAAATGTCATTTGCAGTTTCAATTTTTAAAGAGTACAAATAACTATAATTTTTCTGATGAGAAATATAATCTTTATCTCAGCTTACACCAGGACACCAAAGTGTTCCTAGAAACAGAGAAATGGTATCCCTTTACTTTGTACCATTATAACCAAGTGGGAAAATTGCATAGATGATTTTTAATAACATTTTATAAACAGAGATGTCTAGGATGCCCTTCTGGTTCCAGCATACTGCCACCAATTAATTATGTGACCTGGGAACAAACATAGAGGTTTCCATCTCAGAGTGCCAGTATTTATTTTTGAATATGAACCACACATTCTGAAAGACTCCATCTTCCATATATATTTTATTTAACAATAACGGTTTTCATTACCCCATGTTTAAAACCAAGCACATAGCAATCATTCAATGCTGCTAATTATTATGACATCCTGTAGGTACGAATTATTAATAGTTAATAAGATAGCCAAAATCAAAGGAACTGGATATTCTTAAAAACCAGTACAGCCTTACTATGGGTAAATTCTTAATTTCCCTTGTTTTAAAATGTTGAAAATGGCACCCTGACCTCCAAAACCTCTATACAGTGCTTTTGAGTCCATCAATCTATGAGAGTCAGCCACACATTCTGATAAAAGTGAAGCTATTATGAACTATTGACAGCTGATATATTAAATAGCAGTGACTTTCCCATTGTCAGTACTACACTGGTATTTGTTGGATGCATGAATATCCTTCAAAGTAATATGCGAATCAAGATTTAGTCAGTAATGACACCTGTTAAGTTTGGTAGAAGTCTTGCCACATATATACGTATTTTTAAAATCAAGAAAATAAATTAATTACTGCAGTTTCATGGGGTGCATCCTTTACATTTACTTTGTCTACTCCCTCTCCATAACTCTTAGCACAAGGAAGCTGCTTACATACTTCCTTTCTTCGTGTCTTCTACTCTTCTCAGCATGAGTACACATAAGTAGGCAGCAAGAATCACAAAAAGTCTGAGATTTTACCCTGCTTGTAAGCTAACACAGTAGCCTCAGTTGCACGGATATAGGAAGAAGACCCAAGGATCCAGGTTATGGGGGCACTTGGTGAGCAGTTTAGTAAGACTACTTGTCTAGTAATCTATCAAGCACCCTTCATCTCCAAAGCTGTGAAATACCTCCAGGTTCTTTTACAGCATTTCTTGCCACTTTTCATTACTGGCAAACTAACTAAAAGAACTTCCTGAATGATTCCAAGAAATGACATTTGACATTAAGAGATAAAACAGAGCCAACATGGGAGAACAAAGAAAAAAACAAAAGCATAGTCATGTAATTCTGATAACTACTGGCAAGCATTAGAGAACGAAGAAAAACAATGTACAATTTCTGTATGTTCAATAAGCCCCTAAATTGCTACTTTGAAAAAGACCACATGAAATCAAAACTAAACAGCCACCACAGCTTCCTTAGCCAGGCTACTGATGTGTTATCTACATAGAATATAAAATCCAAAACCTAAGGGACTACTTTTAGTTAAACACTTAACAAATCATGTCCATGCCACTGTATAACAAATACCACGTAGAAATCAATGCAATCATTTCATTTGCCATTTGCTTAACTGTCTTCCTTCTTTGCCTATTAAGGCTGACAAACTCACATACATTCAGAAGCCAAGATGGTTATTTAAAAGAGAGAAGCAGGTCAAATGGAGGTGGGGCTGTGGGCAAATGCATGATCTGCCCCCAGTCATTCAAACTCTACTGGATAATTCATCTAGTGCCATGCCTTAACTACTGTCTATATAGTGTAGGTTCCCAAATTTTTATCACCACCTGAGATTCATCCTCTTAGTTCTAAACTCTCTCACTCTCCTGCCTAACTTATACCTCTACATAAATAATCTCACAGCCATATGGAACTTGAACATGTCCAGTGCTGAACTCTTTATTATTTCTCTACCAATGCTATATTTACCGTCCAAAATGTTTCATTTAGGTAAAGCCGGAAACAGGAGTCACTGAGTCCTCCCTTTCCACAAACTCTATATCTAAATTCATCATCAATTGAATTGATGCAGGCTTCAAAATATGTCTCAAATCTGTTCACTTCTCTTCATCTCTTCAGCCACTTCTCTAGTTAAAACCAATGTCATCTCCTATTTGGATTACTACAGTAATCCCCTAAGCAGTTTCTCTCCTCTAAAACTGTTTTCTTATATTGTGTTTGTCTATTTGGCATCCATTTATCACAAGGCCAGTTATATCAACTCTATTTCATTATTTTCTGTATTCCGATGCTCTGGAATTTGTGGCCTCACTGAATGGGAAGAGACTATACTCCCAGAGCTAGCCAATTCTTAGTGCAAAGGGCTGGTCTGGGATCATGCCCTTCATATGCAGCTAACCAATCCAGAGACCACACCCTCAACTATCCCCTTTATCAACTTCTCATCAGTAAGTCAATACTCCCCTTCCCTAAATCTCCCAGGGCCAGGTACCAGACAACCAGGTATCACCCCTACAACCCACAGCCCACTGAAATTACTCAAACTAGCCAGTCCTAAACTGTTTCCTCTGCCCTTCCCTTTCCCACAGAAACCCCACTAAAGGATATGGCCCAGGCTTTCCCTTCCTCCTTCTGCATCCTGACCAAACCCAGTGCTTCCCCATGCGCCCCATCGTGGGAAATGTAAGTAATAAAATTACTTACATTTAATGTAAGTGCCCCCCCTCCTCTTGGGAAATGTAAGTAATAAAAATAATCTTTCGATGGCATTGGCCTCTCCATGTTGTCACTCAGTCACCTCCATAAATTAAAATCCCCTGGTACAACTGATAAACTCCCAATTTGTACCATTAACTCTTCAATCCATTCGGCAGGAAGTGGCTAAAACTATTTCAATACATAAGTAGATGTCAAGAATTATGAAAGGTCTGAGATTTTACCCTATGTGCAAGCTAACATGGTAGCTAGCCTCCGTTTCGTGAATACAGGAAGAAGACTCAAGGATACAAGGTTTGGGGGCGCTTGGTGAGCAGTTTACCCAACCAAGCGATCAATATCCTAAGATAATGCAATCCAATAAGAAAACTCAAGAGGCTGAACCAGAATAAATTTGAATTCCTGTTCCATCTTTTGACCAGGCTGCCACCCAGCAGATGTACCAAACAGTCTAGCCTGAGATAGGTATTAGGAGAAAGAAAGATTCATCATGTCTAGAAATGGTCAGGATGATATCCTGAATTTTCAAAATAGTTCTAGATAACCTATTTTCATCCTGATCATAACCAAGAAAGGACAAAAAGAGGATGATCCCTAACTGGGCCAGTTGCAGTTAATGACCCAACTGTCTTATTAACGTGTCCAAACCAGGAGGAGATTAGGCAGGTAGAGTTTTAAATCTTTTTGAGTTGATTTTAGGAAGCCATTCCAACATTCAACAATACAAAGTGCCTATGTACTGTAGGGAGCATGGAAAGACTATCAAATACTTTGACTATCAGCCCTGGCTTCTACAATAAAAGGTGCACCACTGGCTTTGACTAACTGGAATGCACCTGGCAAACTCATAACCTGAAAATGTGTCAACAGCAGTGAGGCACCACCGCCAGTTTCAAGAGGAGTCAAATGCAGTAAATCTGTTAAGAATTAGCAGAAGTAACTCCCTGTACATACAATGTGTCTTCCTTCATTGAGACAAACAGGTCAACTATTGGCAGGAGCCCCAAGTCTGTGATGCCAGTCACCTCGATATCAGAAGTCCTTCACCTTGTGCCCAGTCTGTGCTGTGGGTGTGTCGCATGTCCAACACCCTGATGAAGCGAGGCAGCAGTGGTGGCAATCTGGGTGGTGCAAGTGGAACCAGCAGCTTGATTCCCATTGCTTTTCATCAGAGAATAGGCCCTTACCATCTATATAAATAACTGTGACAGCCCAACCATTTCCACAGCTTGTGGCCCCAAAGAGGGGAGTTTATAATCTTCCAGTTGGCATTTTTTCAAGTGGCAGCCCAAACACCTAGGTCATTGGCAACACTTGCAACACTCCCAGAGACAGTAAAAACACAGCAAGATTCATTAAGGGGAGTATTGGCCAGGGCTAAGAGCACTTCCTTGATTGTGAACACTGAGCACAGAAACAATGTCCATTTCTAGTTGAGCAGGTGATGGTGAGGCTGAACATAACCCACTGGATACCATTAGGTTTCAGGTTAGCTGATCCATAAGTGAGGCAGGCCCAGGTACTTAGGGGAACCTTGGTGAATCAGGCAGCAGAGTGGGAGATTAGAGCTGCCACTTTCTCAAGTGAGGTTAAGATGCTGCTTGCCTCAGGCTGGCTGCATTCCTAAATTTGCCATTTCCATTTGACAACCCAGGCCTGTTGGGCCCTTCCCTTGTTATTCAATGAGTATGACTGGACCCGAAAGCGGGAACATCAGGCTCAAGAGTTACAAGGTCTCGCCGGGCGCGGTGGGTCACGCCTGTAATCCCAGCACTTTGGGAGGCCAAGGCGGGCGGATCATGAGGTCAGAAGATCCAGACCATCCTGGCTAACACAGTGAAACCCTGTCTCTACTAAAAATACAAAAAAAATAGCCAGGCGTGGCAGCGTGCGCCTGTAGTCCCAGCTGCTGGGGAGGCTGAGGCAGGAGAATGGCGTGAACCCGGGAGGCGGAGCCTGCAGTGAGCCTAGATCGCGCCACTGCACTCCAGACTGGGTGACAGAGCAAGATTCCGTCAAAAAAAAAAAAAAAAGAGTTACAAGGTCTCCACGGGCCAGGCATTCAGTTTAACTAGAAGAGACCCTTCTTTAAAGGAATATACCTGTTTCAACGTCAGAGCTGTGAGTCCAGAACTCCAAGGGTGAATGCTGCTTCCTTTTGCAAGAGGCTCCAATCAGCAATACCATCAGTCATAGAGAACTGAAGCTCCAAAGAGGTCATTAGGGTTGTGGGGCCCCAAAGGAAGAAGCACTTCTGTACTTGCAACTCTTCCTGGTCAGGAGACTCCCCTCTGGACTTCATAAACATCCATAGTACAGTCATCTACAATTCAGCAGGGGAAGCTACAACAAAGACACACTAATTGGAACAAAGGCCCCACCCGTAAGGTCTGCTAGCTTCCTTCCCCCACTGCAAACCATGTTCAAACCACCTTGGCTGAATTCAGCTATCCCCTCCTTCATCGGACTGGGCAGGATGATAAATTGGGCCAGTTAATATTTCCTTAATGTGTATCTCACAGAGCCATAAAAGTTTAAGTCCCTGCCCTCGCCAGAGTTTCCCAGCATACTTGGAGAGAGGCATGTAAGAACTGTGGACCTCTTTCAGGACAGAGAGAACCCAGCTCCATTCTTTCCTCCTTAAAGAAGCTAAAGCTGAAGTAGAGTCCGAGGAGGGGGAATCAGGGGCAGAGAGGGAGAGAACAGTTCTATGTTAGTAAACAAGATTTATTTACTTTCAGTTTTGATTGGCAGCTGGCTCAGGGCTCAATCAAATAAACTTCTACTATTTTCATTCCATGCAATGCTCTATATTTGGCAGCAAGATCATTACAGACACCATCTATTCCAGTTCTGGGAACCCCTAGACTTAGCAGCCATAACCACTTTCTGGCTGTGGCTATAGAATTTGTTCCATTTGTCTGATTTGGGCTTGACCTGCGCAGCAGCTATTTTTTTTAAGGAGTCTGTTTCAATTGAGGGCATTTACTGCCCCATTATTATAACATCTCATGTTCTATCACTGCTTCACCAAAAGAATTATGAGAGTTTTGCGAGGCAACAGGGGTGACGGTAAGAATTTGTCTAGATTTCATTAGGTCAGTTTCTCATTTTCCAATAGGTAATCTTCATCAGCATTACAAACCCATTCTAGGACAATAACGGCCCAAAGACTAGTCAATACCTCATCCATGGCTTCCTATGGGAGCTTTTCTCTTTCAAGGAAATCTCCCCCAAGGTAACCAAAGCTCCCTTATAGCAGCCTGGCCCCACTCTAAGAAATTCTAAGTCTCCTAGTGAATCTAAGGTTGGTGTGATAGTCTACAGGAGGGGATAAGCTGTAAAATGGTGCAACTAAAAGAACCTTGAGGGTTAATACTTTCTGAACAAGTATTACATACCCCACACCTTCATCTTCTAAGGGAACCACCCAAGGTTATAGCTATTTGCTTGGTTTCTACCTATAGTGGTTACAAATTTCCTTCCTTGTATGCCAGAGCATGAAATTATAACTGTTGTTACAAAGAGGGTCAGAACCTTCCTCCAGACTAGATTGGGTCACTGGCCTACTTGTCACAATGGGTGGATCTGAAGCTGACTGTTAGATTGTCAAAAACATCTCCATGCCTGGAACAGGGCTAGTAACATGCAGGGCACCTTTCAAACAGCTGACTTTAAACCTATTTCCAGGTACTTGGATTACAATCATCTCTCCAATTCTTCCTCATCAACAGATAATAAAATGGAGGGTCATTTATTCCCTAACTGACCAAACAAGTTGATCAACATGTTCACTAATGATGTCCATGGATTCCTCTCAAATCTCATCAATTGGCCCAGGAGGTCTTCATTCTTTCTCTTCCAGAAACTTATGTCTCTATCAGGACCCCATCCTCATCCCTAAAACTGCCAACAACTACGAACGGTTTGAGTTTTATCTTATTCACAAGCTAATAAGTTAGCCTGCCACAATTTCACAGATGCTGGCAGGATACACAAGACTTCTCGGTCAGAGACTTATTACTCACAATAATGAGACTTATTACTTCCAATAAAGGAAGCCCAGGTATCAGCATTTTCTTGTGACAGTTCTCTGATCCCCAGTTCCCTCAAGGTGACATGACACCTGTACATGCAATTGATTGTATTGCAGCAAACGACCCTGAATGTAGGGACATCAAATATTTTTTATAATGGGCAGTAAACAAGCCTGCCCTTGGTTCCAAAGAAAGACATTATCTTTATTATCATTCTGGACAGTAAGCATGCCTGCTTTTGCTATGGAGGGAGGTACTATGACTTTCTTCTAAAGTTGTTCACAAACATCCTTGAAAAGGGAGTCTGTGACAACGACAATGGACATGGAGATGTTTTTGACAATCTAACAGTCAGCTTCAGATCCACCCATTGTGATAAGTAGGCCAGTGACCCAATCTAGTCTGGATGAACTCTGGAGTATCAGGTATTACTCATAACACATACAGAAATGTGAGAGACCCATGGAGAACTGCCTTCTTCCAAGAGTAGGTTCACAATATTCCAGTCTAAAGCGCTTCTGTGTCTTCCCTATGCACTTAAGACACAATTCTAACTCTCAAAGCATACAAGAAATGATGTTCTCTCTATTCCATAAACATCCCAATCTCTATGCTATTTCAGGACCTTTGTACCTATGGGTGTATGGGATAAGAGAAAGAGGAGCATCGAGAATGCCATCCCGGTTTCTGACTAAATAGACACCAGGAAGACCATCTGAGGAAGGTGTAGAGGAAAGCTGGTTAGAGAGGAACACGACCAGGCAACCCTCCCTCTATGTGCCCAGCTCCCCTCACTCTCCATACCTGTGTTGAAATGCCACTTTCTTGTGGTATCCCTGTTCACCACTGTATTCACAGAGACTGGCTTATCATAAATGCTCAAAAAATGGTTGTTGTAGAATCTGACACTCAATTTCTTTGAAAAATGAAAATAACACTTGTTTGATTATGGTGATAACACAAGATATCCTGAAAAGCATCTAACACATTGGTTGGCATACAGTAGGTACTCAGATGTCATTCTCTTTTCCTACCACCCTTTCATAGTCACAGTAGCATCTGTTTCTCTCAGACAGAGCATGTATTTATAGCACTCGTTATGACAGATGACGAAACTGGAGCTCACTGTTCTTCTACGGCTTCTCCTAAATAATAAAGTAAGTAAAAGTCGTCTCTGACTCCTAGCCTACTAAGCCGTAACACTGAAATTATCCTATTTGATACTAAGTATGTATGTTCACAAGACATAATACCTTTACTTGTAAATGTTGTCTAATTAAATCATAATGGTTTGCTTTTACCTTAATGTAGAAGAAACCATTTTCTCTCTTTTCTCATATTTTTATTCCATTTTATAAAATAAAAACTTTCTTGTGAGTATCAGGTATTACTTCTTTCCTTTCTGATGAGTAACAGAAGAAAAGGTCACAGGGCAGGTTTCATTAACCCTTCCTGGGCTACCTTCTTCAGATGCAGCCTGCCTTCCAGATGTACATAGCGTTCTTTCTCTGTCTTCTGGTTCTGGAGACAGAGGTCTGATTGCATTTGTTAAGTTCAGCTTGGGTAAAGAAGGGGAAGCATGATTTAGGCCTTAGGTTCATGGACAGCTGTCCAGTCTGGCTTTATTAACAATAAACCTGGTACTGTCATCTTTGTCTAACTCCTGTGATTATTCACAATTGATTTGAAACTCTTAAGAGAATGGGATAAGAGTGGCTCCTCAGACATCAACAACTTTATGTAAATATCTCCCTCATTTAAACATGATTTATTTTTTGGCAAATATTTTCAAAGTAAAATCAATTTTACAATTAGGAATAGTCAAACATGACTGCCTGTCCTACTGAGACAACAAATATTACAACAATCCAATGGGCTCTCACACAGAAGCCATTGGCTATTACTTTACACGTGCCTAATAAACTAAACATGTTGGTTTCTATGTCTGCAGCTCCTCAAAAACAGATAAGGGAATTGCTGAAATCAAATGAGAGCAACCCAACAGCAGACAGAAAAACTATGATTCAGACATAAGAATTCAGAAGATCTTACAGGGCAATGGGCCTTTCACACCTCAACAGCCCATTAGGGTTTCATTTCAGTGACTGATTACATAATAATGGCCTCAGACATCAGAAAAGTATGAAACTGTTCAGCTAGGAAATTTTCACAGCACAAAGAGCCTAGGACTAGGGGTCAAAGGAGGCTGGAGCTTTCATCCTCCCCTCCCAGCAGGGTGACCTTGGGCAAGTCAGCCCCCTTAACCCTCAGTGTCTATACATGGAAACAAAAAAAGTCTTCTGCATCTCAACTGGTTTTAAGCTATAAATATGTTTTATAAACTATACAGGATTCTGTATCTTTTGTCAGACCAGTCTTCTCCATGTTTCCTGTGTTCTAGTCACACTGAATTTCTGTCAGTTTCTTGAAAACAAAAAGGGCCTTTTTTTTCTTACGAGGCCTCTTTTCCTCGTTTCCAGTACCTGGAATCCTCTCCCCCACATTCTGTAAGGCGGCTGGCTCTCATCCTTCAGATCTCAGCTTCAATTTCACTTTCTCAGAGAGAGCTTTCCTGACCACTCAACCTACAGTAGTTTTTCCCCTCTGTTTCTTCTCATAGTGCCCTCTTGTTTTTCTTCTTAGCAGTTATCACAATGTGTGTATCATTTATGTGTGTTTGTTTTACCTCTTGAGTGCGTGTCTTCCTACTAGTTCATACACTCTGTATGTCCATTTTTCCATCAGTTTATGTACAAGGCTTAGCACAGTGCCTGGAGCAGAATAGCACTCAACAAATATTTGTTAAAGACTTAATGAATGAATATACAAATGTAAGGCAATAATACCCGTGCATTTTACAAAGCAGATACATGTAAAATAATGTTTAGAAAAATGCTCAATCAAAATAGTTCAACTAGAAAAAAATGTTTGGTGCTTTAAATGGGTAAAACCTAGAATATCTGAAAATCCCAACTACATTCGATGATTCCTTTTCACTGTGAATTCTATCTAGAAGTATGACTTTATAGATGCATTTCCAACAAAAAGGGAGTTTTTAAAATTAACTTATTAATTTTCTCATTTGAGCCTGTGAGATCATTCTTGTCTCACTTTCACTGAGGAAAATAATTGAAAATTCAAATATTTAGCAACTTCCTCAAGGTCACAACAATGATACTCAACAGTCAAGATTCAAACTCAAGTCCTCTGATACAAGTCCAGGACCCTCCAATACACTAGATTACCCCTACCTTAAAGACAAAGCTCTGTCCAGAGGGCTCACTAAAAAAACTTGGGTTTCTATTAAACTAGTTTCAGACCACTGTGTTTTGCTCTGTTGAAGCATAAACTTCAATAAAATTAACAGTAAGTAAACAGCAGCTATGAAGCTATCGGGAGGTTCGCTTCAGGGTTTGTTTTCCTTTAACATTTGCTTTAATTCAAACCATAAAGGAAAATATTATACCGTAGCAAGACTTAGCAATACTTTAGATAAACAGGGCCTAAACAGATATAGATAATATAGATAATTATTTTTCTCAAATATATATTTCATATTATATATAATTTTATAGAACTGTATCAAAATGATTACATAAGTATTATATATAAAAAAACTATTTTTCCCAAAATGACAACAAGCATTACCACAGCGCAAAATCTGTGCCACAGGAAAAACTATCAGAAAGACCCCTTTACCTTCCCTTAACCATTAATACAGAACAAACACAACACCAGCGAGTCCCTGCTTGTGTGGAGTGCCTCCTAAGAGAAATAAGTATTAGTAAGACAGCTGTTTCTGGATAATGGGCTCCTGTGTCTGTGAAAACTGCTACAAACCAAACAGTTTAGATTTTTTGACCTGACCTGGAAATGGAAGTGTTTGGATTTATGTGAAATTCTGAAATGTATAGTGTGAGAATGGAAGGATATTTGGGGAATTTTTCTGAATAATTTCTTCAGTTCAAAAATTATCTTACAATTAGATTAGGTACCATAATTTAATTAGATCAAAACAATTCACCTCTCTACAGTTCATTTTGCTACTTCAACAACATTCAGATATTTCTGCAAAATACATTTTGTGAGAATAATACAAAGGTCCCCCCTTTTCTTTGCTAGGAAATAAAACTGGTAGAGTTTATGCATAAATAAAGAGACTAGTTAGTTTTTTCTGCTCTTTTTTTTTTTTTTTTTTTTTTTTGAGACGGAGTCTCGCTCTGTCGCCCAGGCTGGAGTGCAGTGGCGGGATCTCGGCTCACTGCAAGCTCCGCCTCCCGGGTTCACGCCATTCTCCTGCCTCAGCCTCCCAAGTAGCTGGGACTACAGGCGCCCGCCACGAAGCCCGGCTAATTTTTTGTATTTTTAGTAGAGACGGGGTTTCACTGTTTTAGCCAGGATGGTCTCGATCTCCTGACCTCGTGATCCGCCCGCCTCGGCCTCCCAAAGTGCTGGGATTACAGGCGTGAGCCACCGCGCCTGGCCTTTTCTGCTCTTTTATAATGGAAAATAAACTCTTAAAATAGGACAATCTCAGTTCAAAAAGACTCAGATTAGCCAAAAAGAATCACTTGAACCTGGGAGGCACAGGGTGCAGTGAGCCGAGATCATGCCATTGCATTCCAGCCTGGGCAACAGAGTGAGAATCCGTCTCAAAAAAAATAAAAATAAAATATATATATACACACACACACACACACACACACACACACACACACACACACACACTGAATAATGCTTTGACACTTCAAATGCTAATAGATAGTAAACTAATCTTTAGCAATCTTATGCTCATAACTCTTTCACATTCACTATACTCTTTGGTCCTTATATCTTATTATAAGGCTTGCTTCATAATAATGGCTCGCATTTCTAAATCTGTAACTGAGTAGACACTACGATCACTTCAGCAGCATTCAACTTCTATCTTCTGCATAACTTTCATAACAATAGTTATAAATAATAAATAATAACCTCAGAAATAAAACAAAAATATTTAGGAAAAGTACCATGGAATTCTAGTCAAGCACGAAGTTCCCTAACATGACTACATCATCATCAGAAACATCAAAATATGTATTCATATAAGTAAAATACACCAATTTTAATAATGCACATGGGTTACTCCATTTGAGTGAAAAACTATAAATAAGTAGTATAACTCTTGACTTTAATGTTGGTGATACTAAACTGATGATGTTCGTTATGGGCTGAATGTCTGCATTGCCCCAAAGTTCACATGTTGAAGCCCTAACTTCCAATGTGAGATTATTTGGAGATGGGCCTTTGATAGATAATTAGGCTTATATGACGTCATGAGGAGCAGGGTCATCACGATGGGATTAATGCCTTTATAACAAGAGGCACCAGATAGCAAGCAGGAGCACACTCTTTTCTCTCTCTCTCTCTCTCTCTCTTTCTCTCTTTCTCTCTTTCTCTCTCTCTCCCCACCCCTAACCCCCAAGACAGGAAGAAAGCCCTCACCAGAAATTGATCATGCTGGCACCTTGATCTTGAGCTTCCCAATCTCCAGACCTGTGAGAAATGCATTTGTATTGCCTAAGCTACCCAGTCTATGGTATTTTGTAACGGCAGCCTGAGATGACTACAACAATATGCAACTATGTAATACAACAATTTTGAAATTTTGAGAATTATATTTCTAATAAAAGCATGCCCTCTTATTTTTATTGATTTTTACATTCAAGATCCTGAATTCTTGACATACATAACATAAAAATGATTTTTCAACACAAGAAGCTTAATCTTTGAATATAAATAACAATACAAATCTCTTTAGAGATCTTATAGAAGGTACTTATATAGCAATCAATGAGGACAAGCCATCCCAAGTAAGCTTAAGAGTATGGTTCATCCCCAGGAAACTGCAATCATTAGAGAACTATTTTTCTAAGGATAGTGGCCTCTAGCTCCATCCATGTCCCTGTAAAGGACATTATCTTGTTCTTTTTCATGACTGCATAGTTGTCTATGGTGTATAGGTACCACATTTTCTTGATCCAGTCTATTATTGATGGGCATTTAGGCTAATTCCATGTCTTTGCTATTGTGAATAGTGCTGCAATAAACTACCTGTTCATGTGTTTTTATAACAGAATGATTTATATTTCTTTGGGTATACATCCAGTAATGGGATTGCTGGGTGGAAGAGAATGCACAAACACATAGTGGGGAACGACAGGCACTGGGGCCTCTTGGAAGGGTGGAGGGTGGCAGGAGGGAGAGGATCAGGAAAAATAACTAATGGGTACTAGGCTTAAGAGATGGGTGATGAAATAATCTGTACAACAAACCTCCATGACACAAGTTTACCTATGTAACAAACCCTGCACTTGTACCCCTGAACTTAAAATAAAAGTTAGAAAAAAAGAAAGGAAAAAGAAACTATTTTTCAAAACCATTTATCTGAATCTTTACTAGGATATCTATGTACCCAAAAGGTAGATTTATTATTCTACTGTCTAAAAGCTGTGGCAGCAGTCTTCATGAGAAGTTCTGGGGAAAATCAAGGTTGTATAGAAAGACTCTGTTTTTAAGATTTCCCACAAACTTTCATGTGAAAAAACAACAACAACAACAAAACACTACATTTCAATCTGTTTTCAATGGACCTGGTTAAACAGAAGCTGAATGCCTTCATAAACAGAAATAAAGTTTTCCACATTTTTATCTTTTTCCCTGGCACAATTTTTAATAAACTAAAGAACTCTTCCTTTCTTTCTCTATAAAATATTCTTGTTCCAGAAGTCCTAACAAAAATGTATTTTAAAATTTTCACGGAAATTCTTATAAAAGGTTTTACAGAAAAAGAAGCAATATACGGCAATGGAAATTAGTACATATTTAGAATCAGAGAGCAAAGAATTTGTTTTCCCTTTCTGCTGCATACCAGTTGTGTGAAATTCTTCATCCGAAAAATTAAGATAAAATAACAATACCTGAGTTATTCTGGTGAATAAATGACATGTGAACCTTAAACGTATAGCACAGAGTAAACATTCGGGAAACAGTAGCTAGTCTTTATCTTCTTCCTCTATTATTACTAATAGGACAATTATTATTGCTATGACTTTTCAACAATGTCACCATCACTGCCATGATGTCCAATAATAATAATAATAACAGTAACTATTATTACTGGTAGTATGTTCACTCCTGGTAGTTAAAGATAACAACTTCCACCTCTCTGGAATTCATAGTTATATAAGACTTACTCAAGAATTTCAGTGACATTTTGTCACAGAAGCTGTAAATAAGGATTTCTAGAGCATATATAACCTTGTTCTTAATACCACAAACATTAATGCAGTTATTATGTCTGCAATTTTCTAAAAATACTATAGCACATCCAGTAATTATGCATGGTTTACTTAGAATAAGCTACACTGTAGGTGCTATGAGCATTCTATTCAAAAATGTGACAACAGAAAGGTAGCATTCTCATCATAAAGCCCACCTTCCCTCACATGAGTACTAAAAGTCTTCTGGTTATCTGAATTTCCATCAACAAACAACTTTTTGAAAATTAGAATATTTAATGTCAGAAATGGGTTTTCACTGACGAAAACAGTAGCCTCTTGAGTAGCACTGTGAATGGCAGAAATGAACTCGCACATCTCATTTTAATAGAAGTTAAAACTACTCAAGATAAGTAGATCACTAAAATATTTTAGCAATACTCTCCACCCTTACGTAAATCAAGTGTAAAAATTAGATAAGCCTGCAGCTTTCACTTTCAAGAGGATGTGTTTGGCTAAGTCTTTTTAAGTATTCCTATGCCTAGTCATGAACTACAGAAGATTCTAATTGCCTGATGCTAGACATAAGGTGAGAGAATCCGGTCTTGGAATTTTCACGTTTATCTCAACTGGAGTTTTCATACCAGGTAATGGTCAAAACATCTAAAAGGACATAAGAGCTAAAGTGTCCTTGATCCTACAGAACAAATATAGAGTTACTTTTTATGTGTGTTTGCTTGCCAAGAAATGTTCAAAAAATATCTATATGTAAGCCAGAATTTGGTTTGACATTTCTTTCATTCTTACCTAGAAGCAAAATTTGGAAGGAAAAGTGGACAGTCTTCACTCATCTCAACATTTGTCACCTAACAGAACTAACGAACCATCATTTTATAACACACATACACATACACAGCATGGAAGCACAGGCATACTCACATGCCAATGCTGTTCTCTGGCAAGATGTTAAAAATAGAATCTTGAATAATAGATAATTGAGAAACTTATGGGTCAAGTAGACATAGAGGATAATGCAATAACTATCATGATACATTGTTCAGGAAAGTTATCTTCATTGTGGGAGAATAAACATTCTCAGCACAACTTACAGACATGGTTTTTACATGTGAAATTTATTCCAAAGTAAAGAAATTACTACCCACAGTGATATTTTATTGTAATATATGCTTGTTTTCAAGTATAATAAGCTATGAACTTACTATCATTTGAACTTGTAGATACATGCCTGAAATATCATTAGTGTTGGGACAAGATGATCAACTCTTCACAATTGTCACTGATGATATTTTGAGCTAAGACATGTGAAGCTTTGTTAGTGGTATTAACTTTGTTGGTTTTGCTACAGGCGACTGATTTTCCAACTTTCATTCTGTCTTGCATGATTCTTCCTTTTATTAAGCTTGGCTTTGACTGTGTTTCTGTCATTCTCCTTTCAATCCAGCTACAATTCTGGCCTCATTATCATCATGCATTAGTAAGTTAAGTCAGCTGGATATGTCCATTAACAATAGATTCCAATTATTTTCTTTTTAATGCTTTCTAACTTGTATTTACTGATGAAATAGTGTCAAATAAATTTTTAAAAGAAAAAATATATTCTCACATATCTGTTAGAAAAATCACTAACTTAATTTTTTTCTAGATTTCTTTTAAGATTCAAATTACCTGTTATACCAATTTTATATGTACGTATATGACATTCTTAACCATTTATGAAATGTAGATGAAAGTGTTGTGTAGTTTCTTTCACTTAATATTAAGTATTATATTGTTTTAAAACATTTTCCATGTTGTTTCATTGTTTACCTTTTAAGCTCCTCCTCATAACAAAAAACAGTCAACACAAACTTCCTTTTGAACAAGATATTACTGGTCAAATCTATGGTAGCCAATGAATTGTGACGTTACTGTGTTTTATCAGTTGCAACCAAATCACATTGTATGTGATATGAATCACATTGTATACACAAGATGATGCATAAGGTATACAAACTGTTGAAACTATCAGACTATTTGTAAAGCTTTGGGCAACAAAAATAAAAATGCAAATCAAAGCTTTATTTAAAATAGATTTGGCAGCATTCAAAAAGATTAAGTTGTAAGGTTTCTGTGATAATAAAACAGATTGAGATCTATAGTTCAAGAATAAGTACCAAATAAATAAAGAAGAGATTCAATAAATACTATCTTCTCCTGTTTTTTTTTTTTTCTTTAACACAGCATGAAGTTTTGCCATTTTAAATTCTTCTAAATTCTTTCTTATGATCTAGATGGGTAAGAGGCTGGGAAGAAGGTATAGGTGAACAAATTTGGCACCATGTAGCTAATTGTTAAAGATGGATGGTGGGCATAAGGGTTCATTAGGTTCCTTTCTCTACCTCTGTACACATTTGAAAATTTCCATAATAAAATGTTATGGGAAAAGAATCTTTCTCAACATCATTCATGACCATGTTAAAGAACTTGTACCCAACACCCTTCCTGTAATGAAACATTTAGAAATCCAGAGAAATAAGTGAAATGGTTGATTTTAGATGTTAGACAAAGGCAGTGGAGGACTGTAATCCAGGAAAGAAGGGAAACAAAGAAGGTCAGCACTATTATCACAACTGTCTGTCTACAGTAGCTTTCTGGACTGTGATGCGGGAGGGGGTATCCTCAGTTAAGCAGTCAGATAGAGTTCTGGAAGGTTAAGGTGTCTGGTGTCTGCAGGGCAGGGTACTGGGGATAACACAGCTAAGTAGACAGAGAGCTCCAGAAATCTGCATGGGGACTCACTATATAGTTGCTAAAGACTGAACTGCATATACATAGGTTGAAACACAACAAGACTGTGCAAAAGAAAGGGCCAATTAATAAGCTGTAATCTTAACAATATGCAGTTTACAGGGAGCTAGAAGACATTTGTATTTTATCCAGCCAGAGTACAGAGGCCTCACTAAATACCGGACACATTCAACTGAGATCCTGAAAGTTCACACCTTAATGGTAAGACAAAACTAACACTAGATTAAGGGCTTCAGCAGCCTCACTATAATACCATTTAAAAACAAGCCTCTAAAATTTAAGCTGATTCGGAAGTTACTTAACAGCCTTCTCAAACAGGTTTAACACTCCATAAAAAAGACAATAAAACCCAGACAGTCAACAGCCAAATATCCAGCATCTCCTAAAATGTTACTTGTCATGCAAAGAAAATGTAAGCAGAAGAAAAATCAGTCATTAGAAATAGGCCCAGAAATAACAGAGATAATATAATCTGAAGAAATTGATATGAATTGATAATTGATATTATCATAAATATATTCAAGAATCTAGTGAAGACATGAATATAACAAAAAAAGAAATGAAATGTATAGAAATGGAATGAAATGCAATTTCTAAAGCTAAAATATAGAACATTTAAAATAAAAATAAATTCTTTGGACTGGATTAATAGCACATTTGACACTGAAGTGGAAAAGATCAGCAAATGTGAAGATGTAGCAAACTGAAGTACGAAAAAGATACAGAGAGCAAACGACAAAGAATAGAGCCACAGGGGCCAACTTCCCTAACTTCACCCACCTCAGCTCTCTCCCTCACTGCACTCCAGCCCCTCTGTCCAGTTTGCTGTTCTCCATGCACAATAAGTTCCTTTCAGCTTTATGGTTTCTTCATCTCATATCCCCATTGTCTAGAAGCTCTGCCCACATATTTGAACGGTTGCCTTTCTTGCCAACTGGTCTGTGCTCAAAAGTCCCCATTTCAAACATACCCTCATCAACCACTTAGTATAAACTAGCCAACACCTAACCCCAGCATTCTCTATCAGAACATTTTGTTTATGTACTTATTGCACTTAGGTCTATGTAAAATTATCTTTTTCACGAGTTAATTTGAACATTATCTGTCACCTTTCTCTCCCCTCCAAGTAGGATGGAAGTTTCATATCAAGGTGTACTTTTGTCTTCATTCTTGTAACCCTGGCACCTAGAACACTGCATGGCACATAATGGGAACTCAATAAATTTTATTTGTTCATTTTTTGGTTCAATTAGACTGTCAACATCAAAGATCAGGCCCTTATCAGAATGAAGAGCAAACAAGAGAAATGGCAAAGGGAGCCAGAAACACTGCAAAAAGATTCTAGGAATTATTCTTCATCAAACATTCTTGATTTGATTGGTATTTCATGTCCTACATTTTCTACTCAAGTTATTTTACAAACTTTTCTGACGACATTTTAAACCAGGTAAAGTTTGCTAAAATAGATAGATGTCTGAAGTTTATACTTCTTTTACTAGAGCTCTCAAATTGGCAGTCCACAAGTTGAATCTTGCTAGAAGATGTTTTATTTTACCCACACAAAATTTTGAATTGGAAATCGATATTTATGAATTGCTGGAGCTCTCATAAAAATCTGGATTTGCAGCTGCTTCTTCTAAGTCAAATGGCAAGGCACTGTTTGCCTATGATAGCAATGAGATGTAGCCCACTGATTAGGGGTTAACCCTGTGGTTTATTACAGCCCCCACATTCCTATATTATTTGCACTCAAAGCATTTCATACACTTACATTTCTGGCCTGGATCATGAGGCATTTTGTTTCAGCATACATTCACTCATAGGCCCCAGCTATCAGAATAAGAGACCAAAACTAACTTGCCATCATTTTCAAAAGAAGATAAAAGTTCCTAATAAAACTCAAATGCCATTCTTTCATTCATTTATTCATACATGAATTCAACAAATGTTTATTAAGTGCATAATATGTGTCAAGGACTGTCCTAGGTGGTTAAGTATACAACACTGAAATAAAAATCTACAAAATCTATACCCTCATAACACTTATATACTAATTGATGGAGACAGAAAAGAGTAACAAAACAAAAAAACTAAAATTTATTATGCTACCTAGAGAATGTTCATTACTATTGGGCAAAGTAAAGCAAGTAAGGAGTGTCCAGCAGTTGAGGAATGAATGCTATTATAAAATGGGTAGTCAGGGAAAGCTTTATTCAAAAGATATTTTGGAAAACACCCGAAGGGGCTGAGGGAGTGAGTTATACAAACACTTAAGAGATGAACGTTTTAGACATAGAGGAAAGTAAGTGCAAAAGCCCTGAGGCAGGTGCATACGTCTGGCACATTCAAAGACCACATCCTGCTATTTTGGCTAGGGTGAATTAACTGAGGAGGAGACAGATAACAGACAATGTCAAAGGTGCAACTAAGGGCCTGTTTGTGTAGAGCCTCAAAGGCCACTGTAAAGATTGTGACTTTGAGTGAGATTGGAAGCCAGGTTTGAGCAGAGGAACAACAGGCTCTGACTTAATCTTTTAATGGCTTACTTTGGGTGTTGTGCAGAGAATATACCATAAGGAGACAAGTTAGAAGGCTACTGCAATCACCGAGATGGAGATGAACCTCTGAGCTAGGTTGGTAGCAATAAAGATGTAGAAATTTATTAAATTCTGGTTATATTTTAAGGGTAGAGCCAACAGGATTGCCAATGGATTAGATGTCTACAGATCAGGGAAGAGGTCTAGGTTGGAGATAAAAGTGTGAATCTTCCCTATAAAAAATGGTATTTAAAGATCAGAGACTGGATGAGATCACCAAAGGAGTATCCAACATTAAAAACTTGAGGCTGGGTACGGTGGCTCATGCCTGTAATCCCAGCACTTTGGGAGGCCGAGGCAGGTGATTCACAAGGTTAGGAGTTTGAGACCAGCCTGGCCGATATGGTGAAACCCCGTCTCTGCTAACAATACAAAAAAATTAGCCGGGCATGGTGGCGCATGCCAGCTACTCAGGAGGCTGAAGCAAGAGGACTGCTTGAACCCGGGAGGTGGAGGTTGCAGTGAGCTGAGACTGCACCACTGCACTCCAGCCTGGGCAACAGAGCGAGACTCTGTCTCCAAAAAAAAAAAAAAAAAAAAAAAAAAAAACTACTTGAAGAGATGAGGAGGAAGATTTGTAATGGAGATGGAACAGTGCCCACCACATGGGTCTGAAGGCTTCAAAATTTATGTTTAAGCAAGAATGGGTAGAAAACTTTGCATTACTCACTGTTGAAGGAGTGATACTTAATCATCACCCAAACGAAGAAGCTGAGAGCTTGAAGGATGGAAGGAACTGATTTTTAAAAAGTCACACAACTAATTATGGCAGAACCCAGATTTCAATAAGCGTACACCTAACTTCTGACCTACTCTTTGACCTATCCAATATGCTCCCCTTTATAACATTTAAACACCACCATATCATACGGAAAAATAATTCTCTAATGTGAGCCAGGAAATGCTTACTGAATATTTATGAATGACCGGTTCATAAATTACAGATTTGCCTCCAAGCTGAGAAGCCCCAATTAAGTTTGAAACATGCAGTATCTAGAATCAGACTTCTTCAGTTCATGTTTTCACTCTGCCACTAACTAGGTACATGATTTTGGGACAAGTTATTTAACCACTCTGTGCCTTGGTTTTATCATCTCTAAAATAGGCATAACAACAGTTATCTATGCATAAAGTTAAAGTGAGTAAATAAAATAATCCATGAAAAATGCTGGCAACAGTGTTTGGCATAGAATAATGCATAATAGGGGTTAGCAATAATTGTTACTAGACACTGTGTTAAATCTGGGCAATCCTCTTGCCCTTTTCCGTATTTCCTATTAAGTACAGCTACAAAACAAAAGGGGAGGACACAGGGAGGCATGAATAATCACCATTTTAAATGTACATTACCACTGTAAATCTCCATTTTAAGTGTATAATTAACACATTTTAAATCTCAGAAGTCAGAAAAAGAAGAGTTAAATGCAGTTATATATTTTGAAAAAAAAATTTAAAAAGGATAATTACCCTTCCTCAAGAACCTAATAAAGTAAAATACATGTTTTACATAGTAGTAAAGAGAAATGGAAAAGCATATGAAAGCAAACACAATGAAACTGTGGGGAAATGCATGGTTTGGAATACACAGCACAATCAGAAGTCCATGTGAATTTAGATATGAAAAGGATATCATGAAATGTGGAACAAAGTTGCACGGGAGAATGTTACACAAAAATGAAGTATTTTGCTCTCCCTTGATCTCAGGCATCTGGTCTTCTCCAAAGCCCTCCCCATGACAGAATTGCCATGTTCTTTTTTGACCGTTGAAATAACACAACGCAATTATCTGATAAACTCTCTCTCCAGAAACCTGGAGCTCCACAGAGCAGGGACTGGATCTTCATCTTTACAATGTCAGTATTACCAAAGATTTTTAAAATGTAATTTGGTCACACATCATCCTTAAAACAATGCTTCCATTTCCATAAAATGCAGAATTGCAGAAACAGAAAGCTGGTCTGCATCATATGGAAAGTTCACACTCTGGGTGCCTTACGGTGTGTGGTTAAGACTCAAAGCCTACAGCCAGGCAACAGGACATGAAATCCTCATTCTGCTACTCACCAGGTAAGCCACCTGGGGCAAATTATTGCCCGAGAACAGGAAAATGAGCATACCTGCCAGATGAAAGTGATAGGAAGACAGAAGGAAATAAATTACGAGGAGGACTTAGTATGAAGTGACACAGGAGGCACTCAATAAATATTAGCAGTTATTTTGTAGAAATAGTAGTAATTAAGGAACTGCACAAATAAAAGACTTGTAGAATGTTCTAAGACTATAATTTTGAGATCCCAAGGTTGCTAATGATAAGATTTTTAAAGATAATAAACTTTCTGAGAAAAATGAATTTGGATTGGTATTAATTCTATCTGGACATTGCAGAACATGCTTAAGAAGGTTTGTTCATCAGAATACGACTTCGTCTGACTACTAGTCTTTCAAGCCTGTGAAACTGTACATTCTAAGTCCACGTCAAGAAAGATTATGTAATTATCCCTTGGGGAAAAAAAACTGAATGACTATATCAAATTTTAGCCCCAAATCTGACCAAAATTAAATTTATTTAGATCTAGAATTTAAAAGAAGGAAAGCAAACTTTAATACTTCTGGAACATACAGATGACATAACTCAAAAAGACTAACGTATAAACCAATCACTTCAATCATATCAAGCAGTCATTTATTTCTCCAAAAGTAGTTTTCCTTCAGGATCCCTAAGCCTGACACAGCCCACAGATGGCATATAGGGAGGGCATTTGACTGAGAAAGGAGTGAGCAAGTCAAGTGTCTATCGCCTCCTGGAGTGTAGACTTTCATGATCTTTAATTGCTAGTCTGCCCACGATCAAGTCTTCCACTCCAAGTAACCAGCATTCAAATAACTCTGAACTAGAAATACTCAGTTTCTCTAAAAGATGTCCTTACCTTCTCTTAAGCACTGCATAGCAGTGTGCAGAAGAAAATAGGAAAATATGCCTCAAAATGTATTATAAGAGACTTTTCCTTTAAAATTAAGGGAGAATCTAATGAATAGACTATTTTTATTACTTTACCCCTTTCTAAAAAATCAGTTTTCTTATAGTTGACTAAGTTAACAGACAGATTAACAATTTAATTATCATTACTCTCAATTTTAATTTTTAAGATACAACCAAAGTATTATTTTAAAGGTGCATTCTGTCACTTTATTACTGAAACAGGTGATGAAATAGTAATGCTGTTGAATGTACTCTCTAAATATGCTGTTTTCTGGTTTATTTACAAAGAAAAGGTGAATGAGATTGATAATCAGCAAAATTTATATTTCTTTGGAAATTAAAGGTTGAGGATGCAGGTCTTAGATTTACATTTTTAATTTAAAATATTTTAGTAAATCTTGTTTGTGTACATATGTCTATGCAAAGATATATACATCATACTTACTACGCATACTCCTCATAAAAGTATGGAAAATTCTAGTTTGTTAAGACAGATTAGCCAAATGTAACTCTTCAGAAATGACAAACTCAATATCTCATCATATCTGCAACTTTCCCTCCACATAACAGCTGCAGTATTTAATTAGCAAACTATATGAAAAGAGCATATTTAATAATTTTTCTTTCATAGCATAGTTTTACACAGTATTTTTTTTCTTTTAAATTTCTTAATTCCAGTGATTCATTTCAAAAGGCTAGATAAGATCATGGGTCCCATACATACACAAAGTTAGGAAAACAGCATGTTGAAAGTTAACAATTTTACCTTATTACAGACATCTCAAGGAGTATCTAGTCCTTTCTCAGAAATAAGAAATAATAAGACTGTTCCTTTCTAAAATGGAAGGCATCTATTTAACCCTATTAAGTAGAGAGAAGAAAATCTCAAGGCATTAATGGCATTTCTAGAAGATAAGCTAATAAGTTTCTCAGTTCTGATGATATTGATATATGGAGTAATTATTATATAAACACATAATTTCATACCATTCACATTGTTATAAACAACTGAAGATGGAATGAGTAAATGAAAAGATGCAACTTTGGTATGATTAAAAGAATATGTATCAAAATCCATAATTTGGGTTATGTATACTATATGCAAATTTGGATGCAATGTTATATTGAAATGTTTCATAAATATAATCTCTAAATGCATAATGTATAAAATATATATAATATTAACATCAAAATAATCATTTCAAATGCCAGCTCATTTAAAAATACCAACTTTGTCTAAGGGTAGTTTTCTGCCTTAATTGGTTTATTACCTACAATGGATCAGTTCCAAGTATAAATGGACCATATCAAATATATCGTAAAGCTGACCTGAAGTTTTGACCAACCAGATAAGATTAAAATAAATAACAAGTTATTATGGTGACAAGCAAAAGCAAAATTCTCATAACAGTGAAATTTAGTTTTGGACTCTTAAATTCGTAAAATTTTATTTTTCAAATATCAAGAGACACCAGAAATATTTTCAAAAGGAAAGGGGCATAGATATCTCTTGTCACATATATTTGAAATAACAGGGTCCTACATCTAGTTCACCTATTTTAAATGTAGAAATGGAAGATGTGAGATAAGTCAGACAAGTCATGTAGACAAAGGCTTGGGTCTCCCGATCTCTTCCAGTCCAATGCGACTTGGCATATAACCGTGCCTTGCATTTATCCAGTGTTTAAAACATGTCCAGCCTTTCTCCTATAAATGCTCTGGGTTGCTGTCTCCATCTTCACTCATACTGAATGAACACTCTCCTGTTCTCGCTTCTCAAGAGTAAGAGGTTGCTTTTAAATCAGATATGACAAACATCACCAAAGTAATGATTTCCTCAATAATGAATACAATTTATTGATAAATGGCTATCAAATTAGAAGATTTGCAGAGCAGTATTTTTCTGATAAACAAATAAAACTTTGTATATATCATAAGAGTCCATATATATTTGACCTTCCATCCTATCACTGAAACATATTTATAAACACTTATGTGGACTTTTACATATGTAAATATGTGTAAATATTTATGAAAAACATAGTCCTCCTTTAACCCATATCTCACTCTTCCTTTTCTATTTTGAAACAGGAACCACTATCTCAAACAGGAAAATGAATATGTAAACACTTTGTAAATAGTAATGTGGTGTGTTATTTGTTATTATTAGTCTTTGTTAAGCTTATCAAGGTAAGGACGCCGAAAAACAGTCTACCAGAGTGTGTATGGAGAGGGTCAAGGGTGGTGGGGTGGGTGGGGGGGGTGGTGGCGGGGGTGCTGGTGGTGGTGGTGGTATTGTTGAGCTAGGGGGAGGCTATCTGCTAGGGAACTCGGGAAGCACCGAGGAATGAAAAACAACAACAGTGATCCAGGATAGCAGGTGAAGCTGAGTTCAAGCATCAGATCAAGGTCTGTGCCAAGCCAAAGTGGAGCAAGAGAAAGCATTGAGCTCAAGGATGGCACAGGGTGGGGACAGAGTAAAAGTGTGAACAAATGAGTAAGAAATAAATCAACAATCAATCTAAAGTAAAAGAAAGGTCACAGGGTCATCCTGGTAAATACAGTTGAGGAGTCACATGCAAGAATTATATCTTTTCATATGTACAATTTTGTTCTGATAGATTTCTTCACAACCAAGCTTTTGTTAGGTTGATCTCAGGTCATTCTTTTCTGTAAAGAAACCCACCCCTCCATTTCCCCAGGATATCTGCATACATTCTAGAACTGTCCATATAACATTTGAAAGAAATGGTTGCCACCTTCTGAGCCATGTATAAATTAAATAACTCCAATAGCCATTGATCTGTAAATGTTCATGGTTATGGCAACTGTTCACGTCTCTATAAATTAGAAAATAAATTAAGCAAAAATTAATTGTACAAAAATCATGAAGGTCAATATGCCTAATATAGATAATGGTGTTCAAAATGCAGAACTATTAGTAAATACCTAGGAATCAAATCTGTACCATATTTTTAAAATATTGCATCAAAATATAAAGAAATTTTCACTTTTAAAATAAATCAGTGCTTTTTAATTTCTATCAATCCTAGTTGTTGATTTAGGTTATGCTAAATAAAGATTTCAGAAATCTCAAATCCTCTTTGTCAATACCTGTTAATCCTAGCCAGGCCCAGATATAAAAATGCTAAATAATTATTGTATGAATGATAAATTCATGTGCCTTAAGCTAAGTTCAGTTAAGCCCAGAGAAATATAAAGAATTATATATATATATATATATATATATATATATGGCAGTGTGTACCTTAAACTGGATGGCAGCAATATACCATGTTATCAGGTAATCCTGGTAATGAATGACCAAAGCTCAGAGCTCACTATAAAACAGGCTTTCCTGTCCCTTGCTACACCTTCCGATCTGAATCTGTGCTTCCTTCCCTTGGATGGACCCAGAAAATTGTCCTGAAATTCAGCCCACTTGGCTGGACTCTGAATATGTGCCCAGGCTTTGGGAAGCCCTTCTGGGTACTGGACCCTCCCTTTCCAGTCCCCAGAAGGGCTTCCCAAAGCCTGGACACATCCTTGAATCTAACAATGAATTGTAGCCAGTAGGTACCAGATCCAAAATGCTTCCATGGCACCAGCCACCTGACTCCACCCTGCTACCGAAGAAACCCAAAGAAGCTGGTACCAATCTAGACTGGTCTCAATTTCAACTCACTGTCTGTAATTTTATGATCTTGATTTGGGGCTCTGCCTTAGGGTCCATAAGTTACCCTTAAGCCCTGATGATTCCAAGTTAGTGCTTTCATGTCAGTCAGCCTCTTTAGAGGCCCAGCATGTTTCAAATGACTTGTCAAGATATTTATGAGACAATTCAGCAGCATTAGACCAAATCCTGTCATAAAATTCATCCTGAATTTGACCATGAGAAGACATGATACAAAAGTAAATAGTTTGAAAAAATGTATTCAGTCACTTGGGGAGACTGCTGAAAATCAAATTTCAAAGATGCTATCCATTCCACACTAACTATTTCACTTGTTGAATGGTAAGTTTTTTTTTCCCCTTAAGTGGTAGTTGGCTTAAAGCCACCGTCCCCATTAGCTCCATAGTTGGTGAGAAACAGTGGAGATTGTTTGTCCTGCTTATCTAGAAATCCTGCCCTCCACTAGCTATTCATTTGTGAGTCAATGTTTTTTTTTTAATGCAACTATTGCAAAAGTCCTTTGTTTCAACATTAGAAAAGAATTTTCTAAATTCTGTTCAATGTTACACCTTTAAACTAGAATTTATTAGGCTATTCTTATTTGGAAGTCCATAAAGCTAAATCCAGCTGGAATTTAAAATTTAATGTTATAGTGGATTTCATAAAGGGCTCCACTGTTAATGTTTTATCCACATCTCTCAGAATAGTTCACAGATTATTTTCATCTGTTTTGTTCATGCTTTATTCCTGCGTACCTACAAAGTGTTTGGAACATGGTAGGTATCCACTAAATGTCAGTGGAATGGATAAATGATTTGATGGACAGGTGAATGAATTTAACCTATATGGTAATTTAAATTTTAAAGGTAAGTGGAAAAGCCAGGATTTATTCTCATGCCACATTTTGATCAAAGCAACTATTCTTTCTACTTTAACCTGTGAACTATTCCCTCAGGTAGCCTAGGCAACTGTTTGCTGTGTTTACTCAGTTCCTCAATTTGCAGAATCTTCCTTGGATGGTTGGAAGATCTTCTCTTAAAATGCATGTTCTGGGTCTTCAAACCCAGGGTTCATGTCCAGGGTCTATGCCATAGCAAGTATAAACATAGAAGCTAGACCTTAGCATTTTCTAAGTTTTGCGCTCCATGATAAATAACTTCTATTTAAAATCCAGTCCATTAGCAAGCCGTGTTGGCTAAATCTTCAGAATACATCCATACTTTAACTGCTCCTTCCCACCCCTTCTAATTTCAGGCTGCTCAGTGGCACAGGCTGAGCAGCCTGGATATGATTCCTTTCTTCACACAGCAGCCAGAGGGACTCTTTCGAAAAGTTAGATCAGCAGTCCACTCTTCTGATCTTATCCTCCAGTGGCTTTCCATATGACTCACAGCAAAAGGCAAGGTCTTTATTGGCCCACAGGGCTTGATATCAAAAACTTCACCACTCCCTCTGACCTCAGCTTCGAGTCCCTCTCCTCACTTTCCCTCCTCTGCCGCCTCTTGGCTTCTTTTCTGTTCTCAAGCACAGTTCTGCCTTGGGGCCAGTGCACATCCTTCCCTGGAATGCTCACTTCCCAGATACACATACACTTCCTTTTCTCATGTCTATGAAGTCTCTGTATAAACACCACCTTATCAATGGGGCTCACCTACCCTAATTTAATTCTCTCTCACCTCCTTTTCAGCTGCGTCTTTCTTGTAGCACTTATCATCATCTGACATGCCATATATTTTGTTCATTTATTTATTATTTTTTGACTCCAAACAAATGTAAGCACTACTTTATGTAGATGTGAAAAGAGGCAAAGGCAGCAGAAGAACCATTCTTGCATTCAGAGGGATAGTCCAAAATCAATTTGGCAAAGAACAGGACACAGGATTATACCATCCGTTGCTTCACTTTTAAATGGTTTTTCTGTGTCTATACCTACAGTCCCTCTAGTACACAGAAAAAGCATGGAATGACTTTTGCCCATGTTTTAACACATTAAGCCTATATATAGTCTTAACATTAGAGACAATTTCGTTTTAACCCCTGTAATGGATATGATTACTTCTGATAGTGTGACGTAACTTCCCCTTCTCTTTTAAGTCTTTTCACCACTTATATTAGTACTAACCTCTACCCCTACTGGTTGCTAAATTCTATCAAGCCCAGGAGCACTCTTCCAAACCTACTTGTTGTTTTTAGCAACTACTTTATGCACCTCTGTAATCCATCCTTGGCCACCGTCCCTGATGATTTGACATCATGTTACTAAGCATTTCTGCCTTGTAAGCACAGTCCTTCGCTGCCTCAAAGTCAGCGTCCTCCCAGTTTTTATCCACTTTGGCTACCTATAAACACCTACCTGGACTTGTCCTAACTTGTTATTAATCAACCAAGAGTTCAACCAAGTTAGAACTCTTAATAGTCCCTCTCTAAATACAATGTTTTCTCTTCTTATCACCTCAAAAATCACAATTCTATTGAGCATTCTGCCCTGACCACTTACCACAGGCCCTTTCTGGCTGTCGTGTTTCATTAGGCAGCCAAGAATCCATGGTCATCCTTTCAGAGCCTAATTTTTCCAATAAGCAAGTATAACTTATTCCCCCCATTTCTCTTGCATATTTCCTTCTCCTCTCCAGGGACAACCTCTGCTTTACAGACACATGTTATCATATTTCCCCAATTCTAAAAACAAACAAATTTAATATTCTTCCACTAATGGCTCTGTACTACCTCTATCCATACAGTCTGACCTAACTGCAACCATTACACACTTGCTGGTCTTTAAAGGCAAACAGTGAACCTCACACTGGTATTCATAGCAACTGCTTAGGTACTTTGAATATACAGCTCCACTCATTCTACCAGCTCTTTGAGCTTGGTATTTGAACTTGTCTCCTTCAGAGATGCTAACCAAATGGGCCTGGGGTCTATCTTGATGCACTTTATTACCTTGTCCTGCTTCAGTTCCTTTTCCCAACTACTTAGCTAGTTCCCTATACAGGCTATCCAAACTCTCACCAAACAATGATTTCATCAATAATAACTTATGTAGAGACATATGACAAGTTTGTGGCCAGGTCTCCTGATACACAGCACATGCTTTCCTTACCTGACCCTGCACCCCGAGCACTGATTTCAGCACCTAATAAGGTTTACTGATAACGATAAAAATGAAGTGACAATCAATTTACAAAAGAGCCAAGTGATGCCCAGAGACACCACCTTCTTTACAGGATAAACCTGATTCTTAAGGGTTTATATTTTTAGTACATAATCCATCTGCCCATTTCTGAGAAGACAAAAAAAAAAAAGAAGCAATTGGTGATAATTTTCTGAATTGTATTATGTGTATGTGCATCCATGTAATATTGTTTAGTTTTAGCAAGAACTAAAATTGTTACCTCTTCTGTAGTCATCATGCTGTAGTTAAACACTAAGCACCACCAACTGGGGCTGCCATGATGTTTCCTTAGAAATTATTTTAAATTATTTGTGACAGTGGGTAAAAGTACAACACATCCAAAGTGTTGTAGCAGGATTCATGGTTTTATATCATTTTTCTGTGACTATAGATTTAATAGAGGCTGAATGATTATGATATCTAACTCCTAGAGGTAAAAATAAAAGGCTTAATTTGTATGAATTGTTATCACTATAAATAAGTAGAAAACTTCCTGACAGAGCCATCCTGGAATATAAATACACATTCAAGTGAAGTGACATAAACCATCTAGTTACCTCTCATTGAAGAACTATAGTAAAATACACATAGTACAAAAAGTAATTATTTCATTCACTACATGTAAGGCACAAACAGATTTTAAGTTTAAAATGAGTACAAACTATCTACATCAAATGCCAATTGATGTAGTGACCTTTTTTTCTATTTACTCATTAAATTGAGTGACCTTTTTTTCTATTTACTCATTAAAAATTTTCAATGTTTCTAAAATGGGTATCTATTACTTGCGGTAGAAATATTTTGGTAATTTTTAAGCTAATGACTAGATGGTAAGCCCACAAAGTAAGCTCTAAAGTAAGTTTTTAGCTTTTTCTAACTCCTACAAAGAATGAATGTTCTTTTTACAATAAAAAGTTGGAGAGAGAGAGTAGATGGCAGGCTGGGTAGTTACTTGCTTCACCCTATGCATCTGGCCGAAAACAGAGTTTCTGGTCCTTGGCTAACTACAGCTGTTGGGTAAATCTTTCACCAACTCAGAAAGTCACCCCAACATCTAAAACCCCAATCTGCGAAATTCTCCAGGTTCTGAATACATGCTGTGCTGACATCGGCAGCGTAAATGTGTGTGGTCTGAGTCTCAGTTTGTGGATATCTGAACAAATTCTGGAAAAGGAATAGCTTATATAATATTTTTATATAGCATAGTTTCCTAGAGAATAAACAGCATAGAAAAGTGTTTTTTACAACGTTGCAATTAAAAAGAGTTTATTATTTGTCTTGAAACTGCTTTAAGTGAGAGCAATTAGAGATGTGTATCAAATTAGTGCTACTTTGTGCAAAATTAATGTACTACAGTACTTTCTGAAGGTCTGTTTTTCCATTTAAGCTGTGTTTAACTACCCAATATATACAAATGACACATTTCCATTTTGATTGCAAAACCCATGATGTCTAATACCAAATCTTGGATCTTTCTTCCCAAACTTGCCCACTTTCAGACTTCTGACCTCTGTGTCTGACACCAACATTCTTCCATTTATACAAATAAAAAACCAGCGAGTCATGCATTAAATCCCTCTCTGTCTTATTCCCCTATTAACAATATAATATGAAGTCCAGTCATTTTTTACCACCTAAAATTTATTCATTTCTCATATCTTGTGCTTCTCTCTCTCATCCTAGCATCCTGGTATGAAGCTATCACATTTTCTGCTATCAGGTCTACCGCATAGCCTCCTCACTGGTGTTCCACAGCCATCCATTCTGTGTAGTTTAAATCAAGCACAAAGACTCTCTCTGCTACAGACACTATTCAACTTTAAGCCCCAGGTTCCCGCTGGAGGTATCCACAAACTGAGACTCAGACCACACAACACACATTTACGCTGCCGATGTCAGCACAGCATGTATTCAGAACCTGGAGAATTTCGCAGATTGGGATTTTAGATGTTGGGGTGACTTTCTGAGTTGGTGAAAGATTTACCCAACAGCTGTAGTTAGCCAAGGACCAGAAACTGTTTTCGGCCAGATGCATAGGGTGAAGCAAGTAACTACCCAGCCTGCCATCTACTCTCTCTCTCCAACTTTTTATTGTAAAAATTTTCATAGATGCAAAAAAATTGAAAGATTAGTACAATGAACACTTAGATATTGTCCTCCAAAATTCCACAGTTCTTAACATGTTTCCATATGTATCTTATCTGTACCTTATATGTATCATTGCTTTTAAATCGTTTGGAAATAAGTTGCATATGTCAGATTTCACCAGTAAACATACATGATCTCCTATCAAACCTATAAAAATTAACAATACCATAAAATCCTCTAATATCTCCAATTGTACTAAGAAGGTCTTTGATAGCTTTCTAAAACCAAAATACAATTGTTTGTTTGGTTGTTGGCTGTTGCATGTCTTTAATCTTGTCTGAAATATCCACTCTAGGATTCTTATAGAATGTCTCACCTTATGGTATAATTTAATTCATCCTCCATTTCTTACATTCTCTACAGACGCAGAGTTCTGTTTAGAGGCTTGATTGTGGTCAGGTTTGACTTTTTTCTTCTTTTGTAGAAACACTTCCTTTGTAAGGTTAGGTACTCCATATTCTATCACATCACACAATCTGTGATACCAGGCTGTACCACTAATTGTGAAGTTAAATCTAATCCCTTGATTAAAGTGGTGACTCTGATATATTATCACTGTAAAGTCACATTTTTTCCTCTCTTATTAGTAAACAGTCTTTAGAGCAGGATTTTGGCACCACAGGACTATATTATTCCCCAAAAACATTCCTCTAACAATTTTAGCATCTGTTAATGACACCCTGATCAGTTATCCTATTGGGAACTGCAAAAATGGTGACACCCCATCATTCTTTCTATTTATAATAGTTGGCATTTTTCTGTAAAGCAGAGCTTTCCTCTACCCTACCCAATCCTCAAGCATCATTTTGGATTCATGAATTTTAATTTCTTCCATTTGTGTTATAATAAATCACAATCATTATGTTTTATCCTTTATTAATGCCTCTAACCTATGGTCTACAAGTACAGCCAAAGTCACCTTTGCTAAAAGCAATGCTCACTCACTGTCTCTCTAACTTGTTAAAGCTTTCCTATTGCTCTAGGGACAAAGACAAAAAAGACCCTAAATGTGGCCTACAAGTGCTTGATGTCCTGGCCCCTACTTACCCGCACAGCTTTACTGCACCCAAATGCTTCACTTTGTTTTCGGGGTTCCATTCACAATGCACCATGCTCCCTCCCGCTACAGAGTGTGCACATTATTTCCCCCACCTAGAATGTCCTCTCCAAGAACCTCTTCCTACTTAATTCCTATTTATTAGTTTTAGTCTTCAATCAATCCCTTCCTCAGAGAAACCATTTAACTACTTACCTAACTCTGCAGCACTTAAGACAGTTGGATTGTATACTTATTTGCATGGTTATTTGCTTTATCCCTCTTTTAACAACTTGATTGCAAGCAACATGAGGGCAAGAACAGAGTCTGTCATTTGTTCATCAGGAACAGTGCCTGGCATTTAGTAGGATCCTCAATAAATATCCGTTGAACAAATTAAATGAACCCAATGAATAATGTTACTAATTATTTTCACTTATGTTTAGGACAATTTAAAGATAGAATGAAAGTGTATATAAAGATGTATAAACTAGCAATCAAAGTCTTGAGCACTTATTGTTGAGTCCTTCTGTAATTAGCCAAAAAGGAGAAGCAAAGCCCTAGGTATACACAGGTGCATTGCTGAACCACTACTGCAGTTCTTCCAGTTTTTTGTTTTTCAGATGTTTAATTTTCTTTTAGTGATCCAGATCAATAAACTATCTTGAAAAAAGGAAATGCAAAAAGGCCTCTTCCAGGTCATCAGCCATAGCTAAATATAATTATCCTTTCTTTTGTGGAATAAGAATTCTCTCACCTAACAAACACATTGTACCATAGCAAAAGCTATATCAAATGGTCAATTAGCACTTTGATGACTTCTCATTCCTAAAACTAGCTAAAGAGTATTATTTATTAGCTAGAGCTATATGTAGCTATTTGTAGCTATATGTAGCTGGCTTGATTTTTAAATTTCAGCAGTAAAAGCAAATTTTCAACCAAAGACAACTGGATCATAAAATATTCTTTATATAGGTATTATTTCTAATATTTATACTAATACTTACCAAGATCTTCAGAGTACATAATACAGCCTTAATAAAATAAGCTTTCATTAGGCTTATTTTCAATAGTCTATTTTATAAAGAATTTGGTGCAGGTCACTAGGGTTCTTTTTTTCCTTGCTAAGAGAGATCAAATAGGTAGATTGGCAAATGCAGACTCATGTAGGAAAACTACTGAAACACAATACAACTTCGAGTTTGTGCTAAAATGTTCAGCCCTGGTGACACATGCCAACTAGACACATGGTAGCAGGAAAATACATTCAGGTAGAGCCTGCTAATCACAATTACTAATACAATTTCCAGATATCCCTCAAGAACAACAACAAAAAAATCCTACTGTGACAGTCTTACTATTACCACTAACCTGCAAATGAACAAATCACATTGAAAGAAAAGTTCCATTCTGGACTAGGCTGTTTTAAATCTCTGGTTCCAAAACACTAGTGGTTTGACTCTCTTCTCTCAGGCACAAGAATGTGAGGAGTTACACGAATTCTGTCCCTATGTGCCTTTGAGGCACATCACAGACAATTTAGTCTTTAAAATCGGATTTTTTAAAAAAGATGTTTTTCTTTTAGCATATGCATCTGCTAATTCGAATTTCTGTTGTCTTGTAAGTTTAAAGTTATTAAGCCATGTGGGAAATATCCTCCCCAAGACTGACTCATTTTCACGGACTGAATGGCAAACTGGGCTGGAGAACTATAAGGAGGCTCAATGTTGTTCTGCTCTGTCTTTTTAATTACACTAAGTGGTCAAGATTGAAACATAGCTGAGAGCAGTGGAATTTTACCAATCAGTGGAATTTTACCAATTAAAAGAAAGATTTCCTTAGTATACATAGAGCCCACCAGTAAAGTTCCTTACCCTAAAAAAACCTTTTTTCAGAAGGCAAGATTAGCTTAGCTATCTGAAAAAAAGTTTGTCTTTACATAGTAGTAACATTCAAAATTTACAGTACAACCTAATCAGATATTACTCACTACAATGATCATGTTACTTATTTTCCCTTTTCTATACATTCATCACTATTATAATATATTAAGTGTTCTTGCTAACATAATTGGTATAAAATAAAAGGAAAAAAAGAATCCCAGGGATTCTTTGGTGTTAGACATTGCTGTGGCTAAAATATTGAACCAGTTGTCTCAGTTTTCACAGTACTCTGAATAAATGCTTAAAGAATAAATTAGAAAAAATATTCAATTTCTTCAAGAAAGCAAATATTGAGAGACTGTCACCAAGTAGATATAATGTCTTAGTCAATTAATAGGCAACTATTGATTGATTATTTCCTAGCTGTTGGAACCACCACCACACAGAATTAGAGTAAACTGTTATGGTCATCTATTTCAATTTCCTTTCTCATGTGTCAGTCCTCTCTCTGGAGGCAAATCTAACACAGAGTTGTCTAGTCTCTTTTTAAACATTTCCATGCATGGAAAATGCATTGCCTCTTAAGGGGGCTCCTTCAAGTGTCTGACAGATTAAATTGTTACGTTCTCATCTCTGTTGTTTTCATTCACTTATCAAGTATTCATTAAGGAATACTATGTACCAGGCATGGTGCCAAGGTTTCAGCATGATCCTTGCCTTCTCAAGGCTTACAGTCTAGTGGGAGAGATAAATCAATAATCACAGAGGATGACTATATAATTATATATTTTGATAAGTTATAGGAAGGAAAGCAAAAGCCTTGGCACATGGTAGGTCTAAAATAATTTAGCACAATATTGAAAGAATCAATGGATGTCATGAGAGAATATAACAAACTGGAAGAAATTAGACTGGGAATCTGGGAAGGCTTCTCAGTGGAAGTGACATCTAAGCTAGGGCCTAAAGGATGCCTAGGAGCACATCTGGAAAAGATCCAAGAGAAAGCAGCAGAAACTGAACTGACTAAACAACTGCAAATAAGAAAGCCTCAGGCTGGGCGCGGTGGTTCATGCCTGTAATCCCAGCACTCTGCGAGGCCAACGCGGGCGGATCACGAGGTCAGGAGATTGAGACCATCCTGGCCAACATGGTGAAACCCCGTCTCTGCTAAAATACAAAAAAAAAAAAAAAAAAAAAAAAATTTAGCTGGGCGTGGTGGCACATGCCTGTAGTCCCAGCTACTCAGGAGGCTGAGGCAGGGGAATAGCTTGAACCCGGGAGGCGGAGGTAGCAGTTAGCTGAGATAAAGCCACTGCACTCCAGCCTGGCAACACTGGCGACAGAGCAAGACTGGTCTCAAAAAAAAAGAAAGCCTCAAAGTGGAAGAAGTCTTGGCACTTTCCAATTGCCAAAATAATATCACAGAGAGTATAGCACAATGAATATGCAGGCCGAGGAGAAGGCACAGGGGTGACAGAAACTGGGAAAAGGAGGCACAGCAGGGGTGTTCTGAAATAAAGCTGAAGGAGTGGGAGAAGCCTTGTTAAAGATTTCAGAGTTTAGTTCAGATAAAATTAGAAATCCAAAGAAGAACTTTAATTAAGGGTGATGAAACAAACAGGTTATGTTTTGTTTTGTTCTTAAAGACCCTCTGTCTGCTTTCCTGTTACTTTGGCCCTAACCCTGATTTCCTTGGCTTCAAAGAACAAGACTCAAGCCTCCTCTTTATGGCCATCTTCCATTCAGGCAACTAAGGGAAAGGAGAAGCCACAAGAATTGGGCGACATGGCCAGAGTCTCCAGGAAGGCTTCTGTTTGGTGACCACGCAGAGAGCTAGTACTTCCGGGAAACTGTTGAGTTCCCACTGAATTATAAGTAAGTCCACTGATTTGCCGTCTCCTTATTACCCATATAACCCTGGTCGGAGGCAGTGACCCCACTGGGGCAGATCTGGGGTGAGGTCAGGAACTGACAGACCATCCACACAAGAGCACAATAACATACCTATAGCTGATACCAAAATGTGACTGCATTACCTATTTTTGGCCTCTAAAAGGCGACATTTTTGTCCCTGAATTAGGAATTTACCCCCAAATTACTCTGAAAAAGCATTTTCTATTCTTGACATCCTTGAAATATTTTTAAAATCAAAAATTGCTTCAACAATTTGGAATCCAAATCTGAAGGTATTGGTCAATTATCCTCTCTCTAGGTTCTGAAATAAAAATCAAGCCATCTTCTTGGATGGCCACATTGTGAGGACTCAGCATGGCTGTATAAAAAGCACCGTTGCAGTAAACTAGGTCCTTTCTTAGAAATGGAACAGACAAAGCCTTTCATTTATTATTAATGATGCCTTGTGCCCATGTCAACTCCTGATTAATAATTAAAATTAATCTCATTACAGAAGATTTCATTACAGGATAATTTAATTAAATGATGAATTGGCTCCCAGATGTTTCCTTCTGTGCCATCTTTTAAATAATGCTGATGATGACACAGGGATTCACTAGGCATCAGTAGGTCCTTAAGAAAGTGAATTATTTATTGGGTTCTGCCATTCTGCTGATAATAAATGATACTGATCACTACTATGCATTATCCTTCTCCAAAGTCATACATTCCCAAGATTTCTGATATTTCACAAATTTTTAAAAGTCCATTAGAGATTTTGAGCCATCCTTTAGTCATTTTGTCATTTCATAAAACCATATCTATTTGGTAAAAATTTTAATGCACAGAGCCCATTCATTTTATAGGATAAGAATACAATGGGGTCTTTGAATTAAAAACCTAAAATTTCAACTTTAAAATAAGTATGAGGCGGGATATATTAATCATTACACTACTTCTGGTTCTGGTGCAAAAAAAAAAAAAAAAAAAAACCCGTTTGGTTATACAAAATAATCAAATAGCATTAGAAATGAAAACCAGAATTTGTTTATTTACATAAAAATTCTCACAAAGTCAATGTACTTTTAAAAAAAAATTGCCAACAGCCAACATAAATCACAATTTTTAGGCTCTTCTAGTTACCACATACTTCACTGATGTAAACATACTGTTCTCGCCACACTTTGCACAAGATACATATCCTGATATAGCAACATAAGAAAATATTAAAACCACCAAACCAGACTTTTAGAGGTGAAAACATTTAAAAGACATTTCTTTATTTACTTGGGACAAATCTGGGCTTTTTTGAATACCACAGTGTATAACAAAATCTGTGCCACTCCAAAAATTACCAGCTAAACATACAGCTTTTAATTATTCTACTTAATTTATTTTAATGCTTCTTATCCCCCCCAAAAAAGTATGTGTGTGTGTGTGTGTGTGTGTGTATATATATATATATATATAAATCTCAGTATAAAATTGTAGTTTTGATATTTGTCATTTCTAATAGTAGAGGAGATTTTTTAAATGGGATTTACAAAATCAGTTAGAAAATGTGACATGATCTTCCCATAAAGAAGTGTACTGCTTCATTTAAAAAATCTTCAAAAAACTTCATTGTAATTAGCAGAGGGGGTAATTTATAATTACAGAGCAATCAATTGTGCTGTCATATCTTTCACACACTATATTCATTGGCTAATTAGCAATACAAATAGGAGAATCACAGCATTTCAGAGGTGGAACATATCTTAGAAAGCATCTAGTTTGTCTTCTACCCAATGTATGAATTCCGTAAACAACATCCTATAAGGAGACGCTCTTGACTTTATTATCTCTATCAGTGGATATCACAACTTTGCTAGGAAGCTCGTTCCACTTTTAGTCAGCTGCTACAATTAGTAAGTTCTTATAGATACCCTTTTCAACTCTCTTGAGACCTTCCATTCCTTTTCTTTTTTCTCTCCTGCTCTCCTGCCTCACTGTACATTGTTTCATTAAATGGTCAAGTTCCTGGCTCTGACCCAATTCAATCATCTTTCTTAGACAACTCTTGTTCATTCCTATGCAATCTGAGTTCCTTTTCTGACAAATCATGTTCCTTCTCCTTTAGAATTGATCCCAAACACACCACTTCAGAATTATTTGACATCACGTCACCATTCACGTCTATAAATAATTCTTATTAGTTCTTATGTGATTTGTACCATGCCAATTTATATGTGAGTATATATTGTACACTACTACAACAGCAGATGTCAAGTATGTTAGACCCAGGTTATTTATGGGGAAATATGAGGCCTTTTGAGAAACACCAAGCACCATTATATTTCATTTTATTGGTATGAACTAGAAACAGTTTTACTAGAAGACATATGCAATGTAACATCATTCATGGGCATCCACATTTCTCACAGAAATAATCTAGGTTAATTATTCAACCAATAATGACTATTTCTGAGATTTTTGTATTAACTGAGGCTTGTGACTTGTTCACTCGTAGTAAACACTCATGGTATCAAAGGTTTACCAAAACTGCAAAAACAAAACAAAACTATGCAACAAAAATTGTCATTTGATTTCAAATTCTCCGTCCAGAATTTCATCTCTTTCATGAGAGGTTACACATTATCATTTCTTCTTTATTCCTCTATAGCATTTGTAAAAATGGCATAGTAGTTACTCAACGGACTGGGAGTATTGCACTCTAGACTGGGCATGGATTTGCTAGCACATAATAAGACTATTAACGTGGATCCAATTTATGCTGGGAAAATACACATTGGAAAAAATAAGTTCAGAAAAATTTAACAACTTTAAAAAGTTTGGATGATATAAAAACAGACCTAAGAATCATCAAATCATATTTTACTAGAATTAATTGTTGTTGACACCAGAGAAATGTACAGTTGGAGCAAATAAAAGGAAATTTAACTTCAGATTTAAAGTGAAGGATCATATTACCCTAACAGAGGCTTCTGCTTAAAAGTTTTAAAAAGATTTAGACAAATTAAAAAAGATACACAGAAACACACTGAGTGGGAAAATTTCTTTGCACTCAGGTGGCCCTCTATTTGTTGAAATGAATTTAATTTCGATTTGTTTAACTTAATATCAGATGGGAGCTTTTGCATGAATATCCAGTACCATTTTTATAAGCCAGACATTTACCCATAACAACCTAGTATCTTCTGCAAACCTGTGTTTTCATCAAAATGATCCATCTTCAAGATTTAAAAATTTATCAATATTGGGTTTGGAGAGACAACCCTTTATATATACATTTGTCTGGTTTTTTTGTTTGTTTGTTTGTATCTATTTGTCTATCCATACAAAATACTAAACTGAATTTAATTAGTCAGTACATTTAAATATATTTGCCAGTGGAAGGAAATCTTAAATTAATTTTGAAGAAATGACATATAGTAGATAGATTTCACTTCTACATATATTTTATTCTCTACCTAAAATCAATCAGGTTATTTAAACCAAGTATTTTTCTCTTTAGAAAATGAAAATTAGTGCTGCCATTTATTGAGCATAGTCTACGTGTTAGAAGATTACTTACATTGATCTGAACAAATCCCTAAAGCCATCCTATGCAATCAACCCCCACAATAAAGAGAAGGGTACTTAGAGAGTTTATTTAATTTTCTGACAGCCACACAGCTAGCAAATGGTGGAGGAGTGATTTAAAACCATGTGTATGTGACTCCAAATAATAACAATAATAATAGTGATAACATATTTTAAGTGTTCTAAGTGTCTTATTTGTATTGTTTCATTTAATCCTCACATAATCAACTGCATGATATTGTTGATTCTTCACTGAACTATTTTAAAGATGAGAAAACTAAGCACAGAAAGGTTAAATAATCTTCCCATACTTAGGTATAGAACTAGGCTTTAACATCAGGTAGTCTGACTTCTTGGTACTGCTCTTAGCCTCTGCTCTAAGATTGCTTTCCCAAAGACTCTAACTTATTCAGACCTTTATCCCAGAGAATTACACTGGTTATGTAAATAATCCTGAGCTTTATTAAAAGTTTATCAACTTGGCCCATATGAAAGTGACACTGACGACTCTATAGTCTCTAAGAATTTTTTCCATTTCGCTTATACTATCCTGCCCAGGCTATCATCTGGACAATCACAGTGGCTTCCTACCTAATCTTTTAAGCATCTATCATTTCCTCTCTCTCATCCGTAAACATAGGAAGGAGTCTCTATAGACTGATTTTATAATAAAAGAATAAATTCCACTTACGTGTACTTCTGAGAATTTTTCTGATATAAAAGGTAAAGCATCACTAATCCCTTGTACAATTCCATTTACTGAATTGGATCAAGCATTTTGACTCTAGGATGGTAAAAGACAATTTAGGAGCAGAAATCCTCCTAATATGTCTTTGTTACTCGGGGAAAAACAATCCAGTTAGCATTAGTTTTATTTTGTTAATTTCAAATTGCTCCCTATGTTCCATGACCAATTTGAGGCCCTACTGGTCCTTTTATATGGCTTTAATTTATTTTGACTATCTTTGAGCACTGATGATAAGGTTCCTTAAAAAAATATTTTAAAGACCAGGTGCTGTGGCTCACACCTGTAATCCCAGCACTTTGGGATGTCAAGGCAGACAGATCACTTGAAGACAGGAGTTTGAGACCAGCCTAGACAACATGCTGAAACCCCGTCTCTACTCAAAAAATTAGACTGGCGTGGCGGCGGGCACCTGTAATCTCAGCTACTCGGGAGGGTGACACAGGAGGACTGCTTGAACCTGGGAGGGAGAGGTCGCAGTGAGCTAAGACTATGCCACTGCACTCTAGCCTGGGTGAAAAAGCGAGACTCTGTCTCAAAAAAATAAAAATAAAATAAAATAAATTTTAGTGTAAGATTTATTTGTAATTTAACTACCAATGACTATAAAATGTAGGAGTTTAAACAAAAAAATCAAATTATATACCACTCCACTGAAAAGAATCTGTATTTTGGCAAAACTCATGCTGGTCTGACAGTGAAGGCAAGAGCCCTCAGGAACAAGGGTCAGCGAGAGGTCAAGGCACAGGGGCAGGAGGGATGGAAGGTGGCAAGAAAGTGCAAAGAGGTTTGGGTCAGGCCAGTTCTGAGAGCCTAGTAACGGCCAAGAGATGGAATCATGTAATTGGGCAGCACATGGAAGATGACGACGTCACCGGTACTTAAAGAACAGAGTCAGTTGATGGCAATCTGCCCATTAAGAGCAGCACTTCAGTCACGGTGAAGGGATGAGGAAGGGAATCCAGGACTCTGGGGAACAATCGGTCCCTGTGTCCAGGCAAGCCGGCAAGGTCCCACTCCCTGCAGAGGAAGAAAGGCCTGTGAACCCGAGAGGGTGGAGGGTCCAGTTTGCCAGTTACACAGCCTTGCCCAGATGTGGGTGTCAACAATAGTAACGCTGATAACTAATAAATTGGTCCACACCAATAACACACACCAAAAAGACACATTATTTCAGTTCTCTTTCTGTATATACAGGTTGTCCCTTATCCAAAAGGCTTGGGACCAGAAGTGTTTCAGATTTCCAATTTTTTTCAGATTTTGGAATATTTGCATTATACCAGTTGAGCATCCCAAATCCAAAATCTGAAATGCTCCAAAGAGCATTTATTTTGACAGTCATATTGATGCTCAAAGAGTTTCAGATTTTGGAGCATTTCAGTTTTGGGATTTGGGATTATCAAACTATCTATCTATCTCCCCAGACCTACCTGGCACCAGTCACTCATCCCACACCCTGCCAGCTTCCAGAGCTAAGTTCCCCCAGCATGGGTCAAGCTCTGGTCAAGGCTGGCTCTGGAACCAGGCTGCTCTGGCCAGAAGGGTGAAAGGCATCACTGCCTCCATATGTGAGGAACAGGAAAGAAGGGCAGAGGTGACACACATCTTCCCAAATCTGAACTTGAAAGATGTATGGAAGTCCCCACAAGCTTCTCCTACAAGAAGGTCAGTGAGGCATAAGAAGCAAAGAGGCAGACCACCAAACAGGAACAAACAGGAACCTGTAGATACAGCATACAGCAGAACGAACCCCAAGACGGGTAGCTAATGACAGAGGAGGATGTGGCAAGGAGTGGCTGGCAAACTACAGCCTGTTTCATGCTCCTATTTGTGCAGCTGAGCCAACAGAAAGCTAACAGCTACACCTTTCATTTGCATCTCGTGGATGGCTGCTTTTTCATTGCAACAGTAGAGCTGGGTAACTGCAGCCATGGCTCTATGGTCCAAAACATTTACTACCTTGCCCCTTACAAAAAACATCTGCTGACCCCTGCCTTAGAGAAATATCAGTCTTTCCAGATGCAGATTTATACATGAAAGTGCATGCAAACAGTGAAAATTTAGAACCATAAGGTTTGAAAGGACAGATAATAAAAATGTCATAAAGTCAATCTTGATGACTTGACAGCTAACCCATCCTGATCAGATGGATCATACAGATGTGAATATCAACAATAATAATGCTGATACTAACAAAATGGTTTACACCAATAAGATGATATTTCAGTTCTCTCTCCCTATGTATATATTATTTTTCCCTCCCAATGGATACGTTTACCTTCCACAAGATGATATAGGTCCTTTCTTCTTGGAATAATAATCCTCTTCCTGTACAGCTCCCATTGTTACCTGATTAAACATGCATGCAGCACTGATCACACTCTTCCCATCTGATGTGGATCTGTGGCTGCCACAATGGACACTTCATCTGATGGGCTAGCCTGGCATCCTATAAATGTGCCAGCTGGCTTTAGAAGATTACACCACCTCTATCAAAATAGTTTTTGAGGCTGGGCACAGTGGCTCAAGTAAAAGCGGGCGGATCACAAGGTCAGGAGATTGAGACCATCCTGGCTAACACGGTGAAACCCCGTCTTTACTAAAAATACACAAAATTAGCCAGGCGTGGTGGTGGGCGACTGTAGTCCCAGCTACTCAGGAAGCTGAGACAGGAAAATGGTGTGAACCCAGGAGGTGGAGCTTGCAGTGAACCGAGATTGTGCCACTGCACTCCAGTCTGGGGGACAGGGCGAGACTCTGTCTCAAAAAAAAAAAAAAAAAAAAAAAATAGCTTCTGAAATATACTCCATAAATTTTCAAGAAAAACTAACAAAACTTGAAAGAAAAGACTGGATTTATTAATCTGATTTTTTGAAATACCAATTTCCCAATGAAAAGCTTTCTTTTAATTTATTATTATTTTTAAGAATCCATACTCGATGAAGTTCATGCAACCTTCCACTCAACAGGCATTTACTGAGGGTCCTGAGCTATGCTGAGAACCAGCCTGGATCAGAGAAACAACCTGGTATTGGTCTCCTATCTTTCCACTTTTACAAGGATCCTCTTTCTCAATATTTCAGACACATAATAGAATAACTTTATAGATTTACTTTATAAAAATAGAAAAAATAATTCATAAAACCAAAATAGGAATTGCAGTTATATATTGTACATAATACATAAAAAAACTTTTAAAATAATAAATACTTGAAAATAGAATGTTGCTGAATCAAGTACTATATAACACTTCTCTCTGCCTCCTGGCCAAAAGTAACCCCAGAAAACAAACAACCAACAAAACCAGAAGTTTAAGATCTTCCAAGATTCTAAATTTCTTCCATTTCCGTCAAAATTACAGGAGCTTAAATGGAATTGTAAATAAATATTGTAATTATGGATACTATTCAAAAATATAACCAGATTGCTAGAATACAGCATAATTTTTGGTCATATAAAGAGATGCACTATATAATAATTCATGTGCTTTCCCTCATTTAAGAATTTTAACTATATTTTCTACTATGAAGCTACAAAATGACTGTTTGGACAGCAGTGGAGAATATATATGCATTATATATGAATTGGTGTCCAATTTTCAAGTTGTCTTTGAAAAGCTGAAGGGCTGATTTTCCAAAGAAGAAGAAATCAATAATACTCAAACTTCTTCACATGGAGATGGAAATTCTAAAAATTTAATGGAGAGTGAGTTTTAATCCCAAAAAGTTCATTCTTATTGTGTGAGAAATAAGAGTGACCACCCAGATATCCAGATATTACATCATGCCACTTCTTATGGACCTATATTAAGAACCTTGTGTTTGTACTACTTCTTCCTTGAGGCGTATCTTGTAATCTGAGAGCAGGACTCTTCAGCATTTATAACAATACAGAAATAGCTATTATAGTTTCTTTATTATTTTTGACCACAGTAGTATATCAAACCTGTTACTGGAAAATGAGGTTTTAGAAGCATTCTATCCTGATACATTCCTATTCCTTCTCTCATTCTCTCACACATATGTACACACACCCAAAATCCTTGCTTCCCCTAGAACCTCATTATCAACTATTTTTATTACATATATGCAAAAACTAAACATTTTTGCTGAGCTATTTGGTGATATGAATAATTCAAATTTTAGTAGAAAATGAAACAGCAATATAGCTGGATTTGACAATCGATCTGATTAACCAAAGTTTACGCAATTTTTCAGTCTCAATTCAGATTAATATGTCAAAATACTACATCTTATTAAAAATTTTTGAAGGAAGCAGCAGCAGAAACTTTTCACACTTCTGTTGAAATCCAAACTTAGAAACCTAGGCAACACTCTGCAGTTCTGAGTCTCAGAGCTCTTCTTGGAGCCACTTTAATTCTTAATGTCTTAATTACTTGCTCTTATTAAATAATTGAAACCCTCTAACAAACAAAAGATGAGATGGCTCTTCTTCTATCTGACCAACATGATGGCAAGAGCTTATTCTAAAAAGAGAAAAACAAGAATTATGTTGGCTTGGGGAAATATGCTAACGAATAAAAAAATTTAAAGCCTGTTATTCATCATGAGTTTTTGATCCTCACACACACACACAAACACACACACACACACACACACGGATTTTATACTGATATAGACATAGATATAGAGAATAAAATGAATTTTGTCTTGAGAAGCTGATAATATTTATATTTAGAAACAATCACTAAAATCATGGGCTTTCAAAGATAGGGTAAGTAGAGATCATTTTGTCACATCTCACCAGTGACAAAACATGTAGGCAGGTGTGGTACACATGTAAGTTTTGCAACTCATAGAAAGTCTGAAATGTGTTTGCATAACATGAACCTTTACTTTTACTAGAGGTAATTCAAATTCTATATATTGGTTCATTCTGTATTTGCAAGACATAAACACTATAAATTTCTCATATATGCTTATTTACAAGATTTATTAGGAATTATAGTAGGTTATAGTAGTTAAGACATAGTCTTATGATACAATGTGCCCATCAACTTTACCTCAAAATTAACTCCTACTGCTGACATTCTTCCTCTGGCTGTTTTTTGGAAAATTAGGCCCAGCTACTATGAGATGTAATACTATAAATATTTTAAAGAGGGAATGGTACATATTGCTGAAAAACTTCATGACTAACATCAGTTTCAGATTTACTCATACACACATTTCTTTCTCAGCTCCATACTCCATGTTTTCAAAGACTCTTGGCCTTTATATTTATACAATAATCATGTGTTTCTTATAGAAAAAGCTGTCTTGTAACTCTAGGTAGCATACAGACATCAATAAAAATAACTGTGATATTGAATCATAAATATTCCTTTCTAAAAATTTAAAGAGGATAGTCCTTTTATAGCACAACGACTACACAATTCTACATTCCTATAATAGCTCTGGCTTACACTTATAATCCTATATCACTACTAATAATGTCTTCTGTCACTCTCAAAGGTATCTGGGTGTGAATATTAAATGATATAGTCACTTGATCAATAATCAATGCTTACCCTTTTAAATTTTTTCTCAGCAGTTATTCCCCAAGTCTAGCCTCAACTTCCAGTCAAATTGCTTCCAAACAAGATGACACATTTGATCACTGACATAAGCCCTCTGGCTCAAAATCCATAGCAATGATAAACACAATCTGAAAATATACAAAGTCATAGGGCTGTAACTGATATCTTTTAAATATGGCAAACATCTTTAGGCAGGAAATGGGAAAGTGGTAAGAGAGGAGAGACCATGGGCCCTCGGGCCTCTACGTCCAGAGCAGGCAAGAATCTGGCTCCTGAGACCATGAGCCTAAGGGAGCTCAAACAGTAGAGAGGACACACCTAGGATGACTCCATGAAACTGAACTCGTGTGGTGCTCATTTTCCCATCTCATACTCAATTTCATCTAATGTGAAAAGATGCTGTGGGGGAAAGAAAAGACTTTTGCTGGAATCTTCCAACTCAAATACAAGCCAGCACACCAAAATTCCAAAACACACAGAAATACATTCTAATCCCAAGAAATACAGTGAACAAGATCGACCAATTTAAACATGAATTTTTCTCCACATGAAATTATTTTTATGGAAGTTTGTTTAGGATTTTCAAATAGGTAGTAAGGGGGAAAGTTCCTTGTCTTCCTCCCTCAAAAGTAAAACTTCTGCAAACAACAACTGGCAGAAATGTAAAAAGAACATGAGATAAAAGCATTATAAATTTAAAACATGAGAAAGGAAATTTAAAGCTGCTGAAATGAGCAGACAGCACAGAACAACTGAGAGGCTCCATCATCTATCTAATAAAAATTGCAGAAAAGGGGACTGCACATAAAGACAAGGCAACCCTATTTGGAGATATAAAAGTTGAGAATTTTAATAAAGTTAGAATTCTTGACATCAAGAATTTATTTGTCCTACATAGGATTCAGGACAAATAAAGCTGAATCAATACCTAGATACAACATAATAGACTATAAACAAAGTTAAGTAAGTAGCAAAAGCTACTAGGGAGACAAAACAGATTACTAACAAAGGACCAACCGACAGACTGACAGCAGATTCTTATTAGCAACAACGTGTCATTCATTCAAAAATATTTTTGTTTATTGTGTCCTAGGCGGAAGACAATAGGATAACATCTTTGAAGTGCCGAGAAGAAAACAATTTGTAATCTAGACTGTTATGTCCAGCTAAAGTATTATTCAAAACTAAAATTAAAAGAAAGCCACCCACCCTTAGACCATTGTTGAATCAATTACTTGAGGATACACCTCAGTATGTAGAAAAATGAGTTCAGGATACTAGGAGGCCATAAAAGAGAGTGAAATCATGTCTCCTGCAGCAACACAGATGGAGCTGGAGGTCATTATCCTAAGTGAAATAACCCCGAAAATCAAATACGGCATGTTTTTACTTTTACGTGGGACCTAAACAATGGGTACACATGAACATAAAGATGAAATTAATAGACATGGGAAATCCAAAAAGAGGGGAGGGTTAAAGGAGGGTAAAGATTGAAAAATTGCCTATTAGGTTCAATGTTCACTGTTTGGGTGATGGGTATGCTGGAAGCCCAGACCTCATCATTACACAATATGTCTATATAATAAACCTTCACATGTACCCCCTGAATTTATAATAACAAAAAAAGAAAAATGAATCCATGAGAATGCAACAGGATAAAAGAGAAAAAAAAACAAGTAAAATATAGATTTAATTAACTGTTTACTCTAAAATAAGTAAGTACATTGCATTTAAAAAAATAAAACCAAACTCTAATTAACAATGAGAATTATTCAGTGAGCATTTATAACATGCTAAGGTCCACTCAGGAAGAAGATATAAATACAGATTAAATTTTTTAAATGTATAAAATTTATCCATCTTTAAAAAGTAAAGTGGAAGAGTGATCCCTAAAGAAAGAAAACCATGCTGTATAGCTTTCAAATAAGCAGAGAGAAATAAAGTGAAAAACAGAAATCCCTAACAATCCAATAGAAAGCAAGAAGTTGGGAAAAAAAGGAGCAAAAAAAAAAAAAAGGAATGGTCATCGAAAACTCAATAGAATATGAATACATACAAACACACAAATACAATAAATGTAAATAACAAACTCCCTATTCAAATACAGAAATTATCAGAGCTATTTTTAAAATTATGAAGTAGGCTGGGCATGGTGGCTCACACCTGTAATCCTAACACTTTGGAAGGCTGAGGTGGGTGGATTGCTTGAGCCCAGGAGTTCAAGACCAGCTGGGCTACAAAACTCTGTCTCTACTAAAAATACAAAAAAATTAGCTAGGCATGGTGGCACACACCGATAGTCCCAGCTACTCTGGGGGGCTGAGATGGGAGGATCGCTTGAGCTGGGAAATTGAGGCTGCAGTGAGCTCTGATTGTACCACTGTGCTCCAGCCTGAGTGACAGAGTGAAGCAATATCTCAAAAAAAAAAAAGAAGAAAAGAAAAGAAAAAAATCAGAAGTAAAACATATTCTGCATAGAAGAGACACCCTTAAAACAAAATCACGCAAAACAATTTTTTTAAGCGAGAACATGGGGTTAGAAAGAATATCAAAGTAATACTAGCCAAAAGAAAGCTGATACAGCAATGTTGATATAAAAAAGTTTAATTAAAAATAATCATTAAGACTGGTAAAAAAAAAAAGGGACACTATCCAATAAGCAAAGAGAAGTCCACCAAGATGTAATAATTATGAACTTGTATGCATAAGTGGCATGACCTCAAAATACACAAAGTAAAAACTGACAGAGCTATGAAGTAAGAAAAAAAGGCGCAATCCATAGGGAAGATTTTTACTCATCTAGTTTCCTGGCAATTACAGATACTTATGTACCTCTAAATTCTAACTGCTAATTCTGCATGCAGAGTCACAACTTCCGGCTTATGCCTTGTTCTGAAATTCTCTATCTTTTAAAAGCTATCACCATGTGAATATCCTCAAAGCTTGGAGCAAAGCCCTGGGGTTGAATTCTTCCCTCTTCTCTTATAGCAGTGAAGAGAGGTTTTATGAGGTCTAAAATCTGATAGAAGAGGTGGGAGAGGGAAAGAAGGGATGAAATTTTATTCTGCACAGATGGATCTACACCATACAAATCAGAATGAGGACTTACTAGACAGCACGGAGCTGCCTGCTGGACAGGCTGTTAAGCAGAAATGCTGTAAATGTGGCCTCCTATAACCAGATTCACTGCTTGGACACAACTCCACAGATTCATATGAGCTTTAGAAAAATCGTACTTTATGCTCAGATCATCGCATTAATATAGTGCGTGCGTAAAAACCATGAATAGTACAAAGGAAGTGGAAGAAGAAAGTAGAAAACACAGTTCAGGACTTGCAAGGAAACTCAACATTAGGAACACACTTACATACAAATGAGAGTACCAGGCAAAAATAAATACGAGTGATATGTGTCAGCAACATCTATAGAGGCACAGAACCCACTCAGGTATGCTGGATGTTTAAAAGGGCAGTCAAAGCTGCCGAAGGAACTAAATTAGCTCAGGAGACTCTGGATGATTAAAAAAAAAAAAAAGAATGGCTTAAAATTACTTTTTCAACCAAGAGGGTTCTGGGTAGCAGAATAAAAAGAGCATCTGGAAACAGAATAAACCAACCTCAAGTTTTATCAGATGGGAAGACAGAATAGATACGAAGATGAAGACACAGGCACCAAGCGAACTAGGATCTGAAATTAGGACAAGCAAAGAAAAAGTCTTTGGTTTTTGTTTACCTCCACCGGCAAATCACAGTTTTAACAGTTCATTCACTGCCAGAAAAATGTTTACATCAAATTCTGAACAATCTCCAAGCCTTTTCAGATTTAAAATTCCGATTCTACACTTGTGGTAATTCCTCTCATAATTTTCCCCTAAGTTCTATCATCAGCGAAGTCAATAAAAAAGAAGAGTCACACCCATAGAAGGGTCCAACCCCTACCACAAGGCAGAGACTTAAATTGCTCACAAATTGCCATGCTTCAGCAAAAATAAAAAGTCCCAACTAAATAACTACATGCTAAGAAATAAAGCACTAGGACATCATTTCCATGAATTGTAGGTCAATAAACAATTACAGGTGACTTCTACAAATATGTATTATTTATCTTCAAAACTACATTTAAAAAGCAAGTTTCATTATGAGATAAAGGCTGCACTTGTATAAGAGGGTGGATGGATGGGTGGGTAGATGGATCAACGGAAGGAGGATGGATGGATGGATGAGGGAATGGGTGGATGGGTGGGTGGATGGGGCACCGGGGGATGGAGGGATGGGTGAATCTGTGGATGCCTGGATGCGGGCATGGGAGGATGGGGGAACTGGTGAATCTAGGGATGGATAGATGAACGGGGGGCTGGATGGATGGACAAAAGGGGAGATGATTGAGAGTGAGATTGAGAATGATCATATAGAAATTCAGATACCCAACTATTAGGTGATTATTACCTTGGGAATAGAAAGGACACGATGAAGAGAAGACATAACTTGTTTTTTATTTCATACACTTAATAACAATTTTACTCCAGAACATTGAGATGTATTATTTTATGATTATTTTTACACTTATTAATCTAAGCACATTTTCCAAATAATGATATAACAAGAATAAATATTAACTTAGAATTGTGTTAAAGTTGAGTAGTTCCTATATAAAAGCAAAGAGAGCAGAAATACATTATTATTAATTACATACACAAATAATTCATAATAAAATCATAAGTATGTTGGTTCCAGTGCTTACCCAGGAGAAATGATGACTGGGTTTGTTACTGAAAACTCAATTTGGTCACTGCTTACCTGGCAGCTAAATTAATCTTTGGCTGTTTATTTATATGGGTCATTATGACAATGTTCTCAAATGAACTTGAGATTCTTCAAAGCATCATGAAGATCTGCACACACCTGTCCTGTGGTAATTACAGGTTTGTGCTACGAGCTATTGAAATGAGCTGCCCACAAGTATCTCTTTCTTAATGTCTCAGAGCCTTCTGACTTTTTGATAAGCCAAGAGAACATATGGAGCTGTACAGTTTTGAGCAGCTGTTTGAAGGTGAGAACACCATCTGGTGTAGACTCTTGTCTCTCTAACCTCTATTTCTGTCTCTCTTTGTCATTTCCTTTTTTGATCCAAAATGGACAAAGAATTCACATGAGGCCTCAATGGTCCAAAATGAGTAAAGCTTTGCTTCTATGCAGGCCGAAGGAAGGCTTCTATGCTAAGCTAGGCTTCTATGCAGGCCAAAGGAAGAAACTACTAGGTCCTAGTAAGCCACTAGGACCCAGGGAAGGCTCCAGAGCACCTCTCGGCCAACACAAGGCAGTTAGGAAGTGGTGAGAGCCCTAGCTCCAGCTCACACGTACCTTCAACTAATATGCACAAGGAAAAAGAAGGCCATGCCAGATGCATCAAAATCGTGTTTTCAGAGGAAAATAGAGAGATGGACACTTTATGCATCTGTTGGTGTGGCATGAATGAGAGGCAAAACACAGTATGAATAAATAGCCATGTACAAGTACAGCAGGGCCAAAGAGGGGTAGCGTAGTCAATTAATGGAAAGTAACTAAAGAAGAAAACGACAGTCGTGGAATTGGTAGGTTGAAGTCAATTTCAATTAATTGCTTCAGTATTAATTTTCTAAACTATCAGGTTATCTAAAAAGAACTCCAGTACTCAACAGCTACAAAAAGACAACTTCACTACCCAGAAAAATCTGCTCTAGGATTTATTTATTTTAGCTAATAGCTAAAACCTATTTAAGTAGCTGATTATGTAACTATTATGTAAGTACAACTGTCAGATTTTTACCTTGGGGACTGTAATTATGCACGGTGGGAGGATTGTATTTAAGAATTTAGGGAACAAATAAATGCAGCTTATTTTTTTTTCTATGATCATCAGCACACTTTATAATATCAAAGAAATCTCTAAATAGGCCTTCACTAATATCAACTATTTGCTGAGAAAAACGTAAAGTTTTCAGGCTTTTAAGAGAATTAGGGAGTTTTCAGCTTACTGAAGTGAGAATTAGGGACAGCCTCTTGACCAGCATACGTATCGTATACCCACCTACACAGGGACATCAATGAGAAGGTGGTGCTGAGCCCAGCCAGGGTCTGCGGGATGCCCTACGGGAAAGCAGAAGTGCTTTCTGGAGTACATGCTGCCTAGTGTCACAGCCTGCTCCCATTAGCCAGACCTTGCTGCTGACACTTCAAAAAACACTCTGTTCCTGTTGATTTTACATCACCCCCTTTTCTGAAGTTCCCACACTGTGGCTGCCACTCTATTCCAAAATGAATTTCTATTAGAAGATGCAAAACATCTTTCCAATAATATAAATCTTAGCAGTTGGAAAAATGCTTTTAAAATGAATGTAAAATAAGAATCCATATACCTCATGATCTTACTGTAGAACACATTTCTCACCATCATTCACTTCCACAAGCTTCCTGTTTGTCTCCGTGGTTTACATTTTTACTTCTATTTCAAGGCTCTATGACTCTGCTTCAGTCACCCTGATCATTTCTGTTCCCAACATTGCTTCAGTATCTTCCCACTTTTCTATCAGTGGCGCGTTTCTTGCACTCATTTTCTTTTACCATTTTGGAAGGAGAATTCTCAGCAAATTTTCTGAATTTAAAAATATCTGACAACCCAACCTCACATAACGGTAGATTTTTCCCCTCTTGCTTAATAATGTCCCACAAAATTGTAATTTTAATGTAATTTTCTCATTTAAAAAATAAAGTTTACACATAATTAAAGAAATATTTCACCTTGAGGTTGAAATTGCCATAAAAGGAGAGAAAAATCTTCAACTTTCCCAGAAAATACTGAGTTTTAACACTTGATGAGTTTCCAAAAGCACTGGGAAAATATTCTATAAAAAACAGACTCTGTGGTTGCTGCCCTGAATAATATCTGCAGCCTCCCCTGACTACACAGCTGTGCAGGCCAAGAGTGATTTAGTGGCCTCAAAAATGAAATTCTGAGCCGCTTCAGTAATCACAGATCTTTATTGTTCAGGGGTTCCATCAACCATGTTCTTCTCCAAGAGACTGGCTCCGTTCCATGCGGGTGAATTTCCCCTCAGCTTAGACATGTGGTTTTCTCTGAGGGTAGCTGGGGAGACGCAACAGTTTATATAGAATGTTCTCTTAAAGTTGTATTGAAAAGTCAGTCACCACCCCAAATTAAACATCCATATTAGATGAGGAAGGAAAACAAGGTGGCTCCTGAGTTTGGTTCTTCATGGATTCCAATTTCAGCTAGAAATTTCCATTGGTTTGGAGTTCCTACCACCAGCTACTAAAAGGAGGGTGCTATGCAGTAATTTAAATTACCCTATTAAATATTTTAGGAGCTAAACATGTTTTAACAGTTAAAGATAATAAAGACAGTAAAAATCAAAATCAAAATTAACCTTTTTTAATACTAGCGCTTTATTTTTATGGTTGTAACATTTCTATGTTAACCAAATTTTAGTTGAAAAGTATGATTTGATAAACTGAAATATTTTCATGCAGAAGGGAAGTTACACCAGTGTACCTGAAGGAAAAACATGTTTTATTACCATGTTGGAGAATTAATGCTTTCTATAAAATAGAATAATAAAAATAAATATGCAAGTATAGATGTTTTCACACAAATTACACCATGAATAGTTAACTTTCTGCCATTCACACTACAGGAAAGAAGACATTCATGACTAATCTAAAAACAAAAATATTTAACTGTGAGATGTTTCTCATTATTTTTCCACACATTTTGTCACTAGGTTTAAGAACATATTTAAATGGTCTTTCTAAATCAAATAAATGAAAATTAACAATGTAAACTGAAAATGGTCAAAGTTTTGCAGAAGTTAACAACTTTTGTGTATAACATATACAAGCATACAGTCACACATTGGCACATACGGTGCTACTTATATTTTTCTCATCTATATTTTTTTCCTAGCATTTCATTTAATCTGTATCAGAAGTCATAAGTAATTTGCAACAGATGAATGATTTAACCATAGTTATATTTTCATCACTTTAACCACATATGTACCTCCATTGATAGCTTTACTCAGATACTAACATAAAACATACAAGCTTTCTACAACTTAAAATAAGATTTTTTAAATATAGAAATAGCTTTCAAGATAACAGCTTCATATTAGAGTTCAGCCATTTTTAATTACATAGAAGTTATTTTGAAAAGACAGACCATTTCTAACCAAAGTCAATGCACAGCCTCTCTCAGAAAAAAAATAAGACATCAGAAAGATCCTCATGGAAAGGGAGAAATAATTCATATACATTTGCTAACATGATTTCTCTATAGTCAGCTTAAATACAATAATGAAATGAATGAAACTGACAGAAAACAAAGTCCTACTCTAACAACTGTGTAAGGAAAATAAGCCAGGGAATTACTGCAGGTATTTATTAATGAAAGAATGAAAACAGAGTTATAAAATATATTTTACAGCTCTAAAGTTATCTGAATAGCTGAATCTTGGTTAGCATATTTTAGCAATAAGATAACTGAATCCAGTTTCATTTTCCTATTGGAATAGCAACAACTAACCTCGCACAGATTTTATATTTCATTAAATTATCCTAATTAGTATCTAAATCTATTTTCTCCTAGAAAATATACTGTAGATCAGCTGGAATGGGAGATAAAATTAAAAAGAGAGGAGTCTTCCATCTAAATGATTTTTCCCCAAAATAAAGGCAATAAATGTTAAATATGAATGACAGTAAGAATCACTTCATGTGGCTAGATACTCAATCTCCACCTCTATTCTAACTTTCTCCAGGCAATGTGAAGAATAGACACAGGCAGATAGCTATTCCTCAGTCCTCAGGAAGGAGGCATGCTTGGCTTGGAGCAAACTTTCCTACTCCACAGGAGGAGGAACAATGTCCTTCTATCCAAAATAAAAGGGAGCATCTCCTTCATTGTAAACCAAAAAGTTAACAAAGCAAGCTCTCCCACACCCTGGCACTCCCATACCTTATAAGTCCAATATGTAACTTCTATCTTTAAAAAAGTAATAAAATGTTATCGACATGAGTTTGGGGAGAGGTTTTAAATAAGAGAACCTGCTTACTAAGAAGAAAATGAAAATAAAATATAATCTTAAAAGATCTTAGGAGATGTGGATACACCTACACTTAATCCTAAACCCCTCTCCCCAACAAGGAAAGGCAAAGGAAACATAAAAGGGCATAGTCTTAGGCTCAGTGCTACAGGGAAATGGAAGAAAGTCCTATTCTGAAAGTGAAATATAGCCCAAGATGGAAGGAATGGAAAAAAAAAATGAGAAGGGTGGTAAGAAAAAAACTAAGAAGAGAAGTTAAATTTCTTAGAAGCAGAAAAAGAGGATGGAAGCAAAGAAGCTATTAAAGAGTTAGAGCTCCAGTTAAAACATTTACTTTGTTGTTGAGGGTGGAGTCTTGAGCAAAGCTATATGGTGAGGAAGAATATCAAAATGATAGTCCAGCTTGAATGGCTGCAAACCAATATTGAGGAATACAAGGAAATATCTGAGAAATAGTTAACTACAATCATCTACATGTATACCAATACCAACTCACAGTTTATAACGTATTTTTACAATTCCATTTGACGTTCACCATAATGAGTTAGGCATTTTTAGGTGTGTTTTTCAAATGAGATAGGAATCTGCAATTCAAAAGGTTAAGTGATTTGCCTAAGGTAGATCTCATATTCTCTTGCTTTATCTCTGTGTGTGTGTGTGTGTGTGTGTGTGTGCACGCGCCTCTCTCTCACACACACACAAGTACCACCAAGACTTGAACCTCTCCAAATGTTAATGTTTGCCAAGATCCACCCAAGTGCTTAACCAAAAGCCTACTAATTCCTCCCTTTTCCTCACCCCTCCCCACATTCAGCTTATTAGAAATCCTTAACAGCAGGTAACCGCCAATGCTCCTGCCTTCTAGCCACAGTCTGCTCCTGCCCCTACAGGCTTTGAACATGCAGATTTTTCCTCTAGAAAACCCCCTCCCTGCATATTCTCTCCTCTCCCCACTCACACAAACACCCCAACCTCCTGTACTCCCACTCATCACCTCAGTCATGACTATCTCAGTAAGACTTCACTGTTACCTGCTTTCATAAAATCATGAACCTATTCTTCACAGCATTTATCAGTGTTGTACTTTTAACAGATCTTTCTGCAATTACGTGGATAATATCTATTCTACCAGTAGATGAAGTTCCATGACTAGAGTCCACAGGTGTTCCTGTTTTCCATTTCTTTTTCTTCTCTCATTCTTATTTATTAATTTATTACTATGTCCCAGTACTCAGCACAGTGCCGGTGTTGGACACAAGTGTTTTAATGAACATTCCTGAATGATAATGAATGTCCTCGTGGAGCTTACAATCCAGGAGAAGCAGACCATGCAGGCTTTGCAGGCCACACTAAGGAGTTGGGATTTTTAGAGTCCAACAGGGAGCTAGCTACTGAAGGGCTTTGGAGGTGAGGTAGATGTTATCTAATCTAAAATTTAAGCCGGGTGCAGTGGCTCAGACCTGTAATCTCAGCATTTTGGGAGGCTGAACCAAGAGGAGTGCTTGAGCCCAGGTTTTTGAGACCAGCCTGGGCAACACTGGGAGACTCCCATCTCCACAAAAAATTAGCCAGGCATGCTGGCATACACCCGTAGTCACAGCTACTTGGGAGGCTGAGGTGGGAGGATTGCTTGGGTCTGGGAGGTAGAGGCTGCAGTGAGCCGTGATCGCATCACTGCAATCCAGCCTGGGCAACAGCATGAGACCCTGTCTAAAAATAAATAAATAAACAAATAAAAATTAAATTAAATTTTAAAAATTACTACTTCCATTGTATAAAGAAGAGATGCCACAGGAAAGAGGGGAAGGAAGGGACACTGCCAGAAGCAACTACCATGGTCCAGAGAGGGATTATCACAAGCCGGCAGTAGCAGATGTGAAGGCAGTAGAACAGGAAAGGTGTGAACAGGCTTGGAACAGACTGAGGGATAAAATGGACAAGCCTGGGTAATGGTAATACTAAGAGAATGTATGTGGGGAATAAGCAAGAAGAAAATAGTGAAACCTAGGTTTAGGCTTGAAATACTAGAGAGACAAAAGACAACTTCAAATATAGGTATAGGGGAAAAGTCTGAGCTCTTATGAGAGTTACAGGATCATCAAAAGAAACATTCTAAAAAATGGAAACTAAACAAGAATAATATAAGTCCTTCTAGAAATCTAATACAAAGGAAAGTTCAAAACATAACACACGAAGTTGTTTCCTAGGAAATTAACGGTAGGCATGTTGTTAAATTATCCTAATACTTTAGTATTCAGAAATCCATTTTTGGATTTTTGATTTGGCTAAACACAAGGCATCTAAATCATATAACTCTGCTACAGTCTGCAATGCTACAAATTTCTTTTCAGCGTTTTTCACAATTTAGTTTTCCCCAAGACTCCTCCAAATATCTTTTAGTCACTGAAGTCTTGAAATCAATGGAAATACTGTTAACCAAATCTTAGTGCCATATTCAAGTTCGTAAGTCCTCAAAAAACTATTACCAAATATTTGACGATCATTTCTCATGTCAGTTATATGATACATTTTTCTTTACAATGGCAATTAATAATTCACTCACCAAAGCTAGAAGAAAAATATTAAACTTCAAACTAAATCTGTATCCTAGCATATTATATTAAAATTATATGTCAAATGATTAGCTGATGTGGGGAGGGTAACAGATGACACATGTTGCAATAACATATTGGTGGGAGATAAATGAGTAACTACTCAGAATCCAAAATAATCATATAGATAGTGAAGTAGTTTTCAAGTCAGAATAAGATGACAAATACACAGATGCGAAATAACAAGGCACTAAGATCTCCTCCTGTTCACCAACCAATATTTTGCTAAGAAAAAGGCTTCCTTTCCTTTTGCAAGTAGAAATTATTGACCATCCTATATGGCAGGAATTATCAAAACACAACCCAGTGCTTTCACGTTAAATTGCCAAATAAGTAAAATTGACCTCCTCACTTTCGCTGCTGTGTGATAACTGAGGCCACTGGTGTGAATACCAGGCTCCCTCACAACATCACATAAAACCTCATATTAAGAGAAGATTGTCTGTTTAAGACTTGTTAATTGTCAGCAAATCATAGAGATACCCTTCTTTTTTAAAAATATCCTTCCCAAATATCTTTCTTTTCTACTCTCCTACAAATCCCAGAAACTTTTCCCCACTACCTTCTTCGTCAGGACAGAATACTGTTTCATAATCACAAGAATAAGATGAAGCTCTAGGCCAGACAGACCGTACATTACAATGGGGTTTAATTGTGCAATCTTCTCTCCATAGCTAACCTCACTTGCCTTCCTTGTGCCAGAGAACTTTAAGATCCACAACTTTCAAACCAGAAAAAGAGATCTGGTTTCAAATAAGGAGGCATGTTGGCATGTTAGTACATTATCTTACTGCGGCACATGGTTTTATTAGTCTCCTATTGAGGAAAGAAGCCAGAATGGTAACATTAATAGCAAATTAATGAAAACCACTCCTAAATATTTTGGAATAGTACTGCCTTAATCAGAATAGAGAACAAAGATTTGTTTGAAAATGTCTAGAAGGCTTTAAAACAGAAATTTTTTATGAAAACAAAATATGTTTCCACCACATTTGCTTATAGCATATATAAGAAGCCATAACTGCCTAATAAGTTAAAATGGAATATTTTAAGAGAATCATTACTGTACTTCTGGATCACCATATAACCATTATCAGACACTACTTAAACTCTTTAATATATTGACATTTGTTCCCTGAAAACAAGTGCAGTTCTGCATTAAACCTCAACTTCAATATCTTTAATTTCACCATTTAGGGATTTTTTTCATAACCTATAAAAGAATATTATATTGTTTTAATAATAAAAAATATATTTAAAGTAACTACTAAAGGAAACTGTATCATATTGGACAATAGCATAGCAAAATTATACACAAATCTCTTCAAACACAATATTTCAAGTGCTTTTCTGTGTTTGTTATATTTTTTGCTATATTTTGTTTTAAAAAGTGAATATTCTAGTCCACCTACAGAAAGTTTGGTAGTTATGAAAAGTCATATCCACAGTCACAACCTTGCTTCCTCTCTGATTCAATTTAGATAAAAAAAATTCAAAAAAATACCTCTCTGAAAAATTTTTAAGTTATATATTAAACATATTTAAAATATTTTACATAGTTGTATTTAAGTTTCTATGCATAAAAATACATATAATTGCTGAAAATGAAGGAACATGTTTTAGTTTTAAAAATTATTGAATTTGGATAAAAAAATGTGGTACACATATACCATGAGATACAATGCAGATATAAAAAAGACAAAATCATGTCCTTTGCAGCAACATGGATGCGGCTGGAGGCCATAATCCTAAGCAAATTAACACAGTAACAGAAAACCAAATACCGCATCTCATAAGTAGTAAAACCAAATACTGTCACTTACAAGTGGGAGCTACACACTGGGTACTCATGGACACAAAGATGGTAACAACAGACACTGGGAGCCATTAGAAAGGGGAAGGAGGGAGAGAGAATGATTGAAAAAGTAATTATACAGTACTATGCCTACTACCTGAGTGAGTGGATCAATCAAACCCCAAACCTAAGCATCAAACAATATACCCATGTCACAAACTTACACATGTACCCCAAATCTAAAATAAAAGTTGAAGTTTTTTTTAATTACTGAATTTGGAATTAGAAGTCATGGATTCAGCTCCTTTTTCTATTTATTACATATGTGATTTGGGTGAGTTATTTAACCTCTCTGATCCTAGCTATATCATCTGTAAAAACAGGAATAATGCCTGCATTGCCATGAAAGTTAAATTAGAAGGCTAGAACTCACTAGCTGTATTAGTCCATTTTCATGGACTAATGAAGAAATATGAAGAAACACCTGAGACTGGGGAATCTATAAAGAAAAAGAAGTTTAACTGACTCACAGTTCCACATGGCTGGGGAGGCCTCACAATCATGGTGGAAGGCAAAGGAGGAGCAAAGGCACATCTTACATGGCAGCAGGCAAGAGAACGTGTGCAGGGGAACTGCCCTTTATAAAAACCATCAGATCTCATGAGACTTATCCTCTATCATGAGAACAGCACAGGAAAAACCCACCCCCATGATTCAATCACCTCCTATCAGGTCCCTCCCACAACACACGGGGATTATGGGAGGGAGCTGCAATTCAAGATAAGATTTGGGTCATGACACAATCAAACCATATCACTAGCCATGTAACCTCCAGCAGGTTCTACAGCCTTTCAAATCTTCAATTTCCTCACGGGTAAAATGGGAATTATAAATGTATCTACTTCTTAAGACTGTTCTTATGAATAAGTGAGATAATTTTTAGAAAGTGCTTAGAACCATGCCTGTACATGGTAAGGCCTCAGTAACTATCACTACTTGTACTATTGTCATTATATAGGGATAAGGCAACAAACAGTTTCCTGAAAGAAAAACACTCACATAAACTTTACAGCCAGTCAAATCTGGATTAGAATGCCAGATTAGTATTAAGGCTTGAACTGCCTCCAGCCCATAGCACTTAATGGGTACTTGATTAAATAGCTACCTGTTATCATGGCAATAGGTTCTCAATTAAGGTGAGTCATCTTTAAAAGAGAAATTATTCCTTTCAAACTGTCAAAACCCAGTAAGAATTTTTCCCAACAGATGGGGCATTTCTGCTGAAGCTTTTAAAAGATACAAACTTGAATTTTATCTCTCCAGATTAAAAGGAAATCTAAATGCAATAATGTTTAACTTCACTGATTTAGTTCTTTAGGAGGCCACAAAAAATTTCATGATCTATTAAAAACACTCAAAACCTCAGGGAGCTAAGACGGATGTTGGAATTCTTTCAAACCGTGGAAGAAACGATTCAGGATGCAGAAACGTGCTAGGAGGCTCCTAATGAAACTCGCCTCACATTCATCATGTGCTGGATCCTGGAACAGCTTTTGCTTTGTCCCAGATGGTGGCTTAAATACATTTCAAACTATTGTGGGTTTATATAGTACATGACAGAAGATAATTTAAACACAGTGTCCCAATTGTATATTTGTTTTGGTTATAACACTTACTGTGTGTGCAATAAATGCCCCACTACAAAAATAACAAAAAAATGTTTTCCTTCTACATAAATCATACCCTGCTTTGTTGCAATGACTGGGAAGTATGGATTAAATACATGTGATACTTATTTTTTTTAAAGTTCTTACTGAGGATCTCTGTCAAGTTCAATTCTTCTATGATTTAAATTTATGTGAGTTATAAATAAGACATATTTTATTCCTTATATTTGATTTGTAGAAATAACTATTTAAATATGGCTACAATATCAGGTTCTTAAAAGTGTTAGCTATCATAAATGAACATGAAACAAATGAGAGAATCTAAATTTGCTGATTTTTCAATATAATTAAATATAAAACAACTGAAAGATACAAATCTGATTTTCAAATTAAAGATTCAGTTTTTAATAAATCGTCACATTAAAACATTCAGCCACTCACAAACTTTAAGAGAATAAAGAAAGTATTTGTTTCTTCCCTTGGAGAATACACTTTTCATCTGGAAAAACAGCTGATCAAATTAAGGCTGTGCCAGGTAATGGAAGTGAGAGGCACAGATTACAGTACTGGCTCTACCAGTTACTGGCTACAGATTCTACCTATCAGAACCCCAGTTTTTCACATGCAAAATGAAGAGCTCTGTCTATAAGGTCCCTTCTAATACCACATGCCTATAGTTTTCCCTTGGGGTGATCTACTCAGCAAGAACACGGACTCTGGAGCCAATCTGTTGAATTCTCAAATGAACTCTGCCACTTACCGCGGTAAGTATCTTTGGTCATTTAGCCTCTCTTTTCTCTAGTCTCCTTGTTTGTACTTTGTACTAATCATCATGCAATATGAATGCATTGTCTACATCGGACAGAAAAGGAACCAGAAGCATCACAGACTCTTGCAACACCATTAAAACCGCCAGGAAAAGTGGTTACATTTGGCACAATGTCGTCTGTGATCATATCAAACATACCATTTAGAAGAACAAATACACACACACAATGACATCTATTAAGCACATAGATAATCATTATTACTTAAGAGTTACCAATAATGGCAGAAATATAACAGACATGTCCTTCATATGCTTCTTTCCTTACATATTTTATTCTTTGATAGAATCTACTTGAAATTTTGAATATCAGATGCAATCTAATGGACATAGTTGAAAAAGACAGACCTGGTTTCCAGTTACCAATTCTGTGGTCCTGAATACCTTCAACTTCCCCAGTGGTACCACATGTAGCATAGATCTTGGTGTAAGGAGAGCTACCACCTTGGGTTAGTGAGAAGATTAGGAGAAAACATGCTAAGGAGGCTGTACAATGCTAACTCACCATGAATGCTCTTGGCTAAATGATAGCAATTATTATCTTAGCCAGCAAAGTTCCTATTCTTACAAGTGAAACTCAAAGATTAAAAAAGAATTAAACCCTGTTTGCTGAGCATAGATAGAAGCTTTAACAGTCAAACGCTAGCTGACATTTATTAATTCCTTACCATTTGGCAGGCACACGGTAAATATGAAGTGATTTACAAGTTATTTAATTCCTTACAAGCACCACTTCTCACCACTCCATTCCTAAAAACTGGCCTTGTAACCGGTCTTCCTCGTGCCCTTGCCCTAGCTAGGCTATTCTCAAAACAGCAGCCAAGGTGTCCTTATGAAACATATTATGTTATTACTTGCCCAAAACTCTCCAGTGGCTTTATCTCACTCCAAATCCTAATAATGACCAATAAAGACCTACAAACTCTGGCCCCCACTACTAGCCTGACCCCATCTCTTACTATAACTCCCACTGCCCCAACTTTCATGACTCTTTGCATTTCTCAAACATGTCAGGCATTAAATTTGGGGTCTTTGCATTTGCTCTTCCCTCCAAAACGCTCTTCTCTCAAATACCCTCAATTAATTGGGCCTCCATGTCCTCAGGTCTTCATTCAATTGTCATCTCAAATAATTCTTTCCAGACAATGTTATTTAAAATTGCAGCCTTCCCTCTTCCTCGCTCCTAACCTAGTCCCAGATTCTTTATCCTCCACCCACCATTTAACAGACTGTATATTTCACTGATATTATTTCTTATCTATCTCACCACCACACTCAGAAATATAAGCTCTTTGGAATAAGGATTTATCTCACGTTTAGTGCTGTATTCCCAAGGCCTAGAGTCCTGGAACATGGTATGCATTCATAAATTCACTGTTGAATGAATACACAAACCCTGAAAGATAGATCATTTGTATCCCCATTTTATGTGAGAAAAACAGAGAAGGTGTCTGACATTCAGAAAATGTAGAGGCAAGGGTAAAACTCTACAATGGCCACTTGACCACTGTATGCTCTACTTCCTCTCAAGATAAAGTTCAAGTCTCCTTACCATGATACACATAACCCTCCAGAAGCTGACCCCAGTGTATTTCTCCAGACTTATCCTCCAACAACACAGCTTGAGAATCCTTATCTGTACCTCATTGTCTCACCCACCTCTGTTAAAGCCAGCCCTTCAGTCTAAATTTTCTTCTGCTCTTCTTCCTGTTATTTCCCTAGCTTGCCTATATGCATATTTCAGGATTTGGCTGGGAATGCAAGAGACAGAAAAGACTGTCCATCTTCCTGAAACAGAGTGGGGTGCCCTCCTCTAGACTCCAGAGAATCCGGCACAGCTCCCAGAGTTGCACCTGCCACATTTTATTAAAATAATATGTTAATGTTTGTCTTCCCCACTAGATAATTAAGTAATTGAGTATGTATCCCCAGAATCTAAAATAATACTTAGGACAGGATTGATGCTTAGTTAAGGGTGAGCTAAATGATGGCCACAAAAACCCACTAGGAAGTTTTATGTGTTTAAGGTATATGAAGGAAATTACTGCTAGCAATAATATCATACTCATCACCCTTGTTCCTTCAAGTGGAATATCTATCCATTCATTCCATCATCACATACTGATCTGAACCTTCTGCATGTGAAGCACTGCATTAGACTCCAGGAACGGCTGAAGATAAAGGAGGCAAGTCTTCCCTGTCTGACCCCTGTACCCACCACTCCACCTCCACCTTCACCTCCAGCCAGGAGCTAATAATCTCATATTAAATTTAGTGCCACAGAAATTTCATAGGAGTGATATGAACAAAGTACTAACGGAACCATGGCACATGAGATACCACTTCAGGCTGAGGCAATAAGGAAAGATGGCATGAATCAAGTGAGTTTAAAGTAGGAGAAACTGTTATATTGTCACATTTGTGATTTTTATTACAGAGAACAAATATTATTCCTAAACCAAGTATTAAAGGATAAAGTGAAATATTCTCTTTTCCATCAATTAAATGAACCCCCAAAATTTTGTGTTTCTAAACTAAAATTTTACTGTGTATCAGTATTCAAAATATCTACAACTAACCCCAGAAATAGAGGAAGGCAGAAACGAAGGAAAGAAAGGAGCCCAGTCACAGTCACTATCTTGGAGGCAGTGGAGAGAGAGGCTATAAACTTTGGTCTCTCCAGGTTCATACCACTGGCTGCAAAACACTGGTCTAGCTCCAGCACATGCCTCCAATCAGCCTTCTGATAGACAGAACAACCTCTCTAGTTAAGTGAATATCTGAAATAATTACAAAGAACAAACCACAGTCAAGTCACCATGAAATCCAAATGACAAGAAGACATAAAGGCCAAAACAAATAAATTAATGTATCTAGTCCTACCAAATATAAAATTACTGTATGTCACTAAGGGGAAAAGCATCACCGACAATACACTGAATACCAATATGGTTAAAAGAAGCATCTACTAGAACCAAATACAGTATTGTTCAGTGTAAGCCTGCATCATTATAAAATTAAGAATCAAGAACAAGTAAACAAACAAAACTATAGAGCAAATAACTGCCCATATACCAAATCCATCCTGTCATTTGCGTTTGGAAATAAAGTTTTATTAGAACACAGTAACATTCATTCATTAACATATTGGCTGTGGATGTTTTCATCCTTCAATAGCAGAGTTAAGCAGCTGCAACTGAGACTGCATGGCCCGTGAAGCCTGAAATATTTACTTTCTGTCTTGTTAAAGAAAAAAATCTGCAAACCCCTGGATTAGGCAAATAATATAAAACTTTTATCTGTGGTTGATATTGCTAATATAATATTTCTTGACTACAGCAAACATTTAAAATTCTACGAACTTTTCAAAAAGATTTTCATTTAATAAAAATAAATTTATTATTGTCACATTATAATAACACTATCATCTGTTCATGAAGATTTAAGATCTTAACTTTTAAAACTTATACCAATTTGAGACTTAGTGTAAGCTGATAAATAGTAAGTTGTTGTGTAAGCATGTGTGTGTTTGTGTGTACTGTGTATATATTTTCTTAAAAGTCTCAACTTCATTGCAGAAGCTAAGAGCTAGGCTAAAAACACAAGTATAACGGATTGTTTGCTATAAACAATTTTGTTTCTAGAGTATCAAAGCTTCTGGCTGAATAAGTTCCAAACACATTCAATTGAGAAACGATTATTAATGAATATACTGCCAAAAGTGTTATGAATTTTTGTACAACTTTAGTATTAGATTGAAATCCCAGGCACTTAAACCTTTTCATCTCTTCCTATCCCCTAAGGACTTTGATCTTGGACTCCTGACAGACAGCCTTCAATATGATCTTCCTAACTGGAAACTCTCCACTCTAAAACAGAACTTCTACACCATTGCTAGAGAAATCTTTGGTTTATTTATTTATTTAAAAAAAAAGAGCAAAAAATAAAACAGATAAGGAAATCCCACCCTATTATTGCTTACATTCTTTTAATGGTTCCCCAGTGTTCACACTGCGTAACCCAGAACTCCTTCACTAGGCATCCAAGGCTTTTCAAAATCTGGTTTCTGAGTCATTTGCAAAAACTGCTGCTTTGCAAATTCTGTCCTCACTTCCCCGAATATCTGGAATACCCTTCTCCCTTTCTATACCAGCTAAGCCTAAATATCACTCTCCAAGAAGTCAACCTGATACTTCCTCTCTCTTCGTCCCAGGCAGATGTGCCCACAGCTCCATGACCGTCTAATCAAGTAGACTGCAAGCTCCTTCAGAGCATGGGCTATGTCACATTCATCCTTCTGCTCCTGAAGCCCAGCGCTTCCTCCTTCAAAATGCAAACTGGCAAAAACATGTCACATAAATGAAAGCATCAATGAAAACCATCAGAATAAATCAAGTGTGACACAGTAGATAAGAGCTTGAGTTCTGAAGGTAGGTCCAAATCCCAGTTCCGATACTTACTAGCTCTCATATTGTACATGTTATTAAACAGCACCAAGTTCCAATTTCCCTATAAAATAGAAATAAAAATAGCATCTTCTTTATACAATTGTGTGAATATTAAATTAAGTAACACATGTAGAATACTTAACACATGCTTAATGTGCAGTAATTCCTTGATAAATGCTGGCTATTAATATCATATGTGCAGCTATTTTCATTCACTTTGTATTAGAACATTGTTTTCTTCACCAAATAAAAGGCATCCGGGAATCCACTAAAATCTTGATAATCATAAAAGTCATACTGGTGCATCAAGGGAAAAACCTGGAAATTCAGAATGTACACAAAGGAAAAACTCACCAGCCAAAGATAACAGTGGATAGAATTTTCATCATGTGTTATTAATACAATCATATAATGTTTAAAAGATAAACATCCATTCATCAGGTTTTCCTTAAGGAAATTCTCTGTAAATGTTTTTTTGAATGAATAGTTTACATGTTTAAAATTTCTTATCAAGATGGTTTAATATACTCTTATGATTATAATAATTCACATATTCCAAAAAACCCTCATACAGAACGTAAATACAAACACACATCCTGTTCATCAGCGTGACTCACATGGATATGCCAGTCTCATTACAGTCAAAGTGTGTAAAATATGAAACACATGATACGAAAAGTCAAGGCCTGGCTAGAGTTGGCCTTTAGCAAGATGTTTCTTAGTACTTTGCAAAAACTTTGCTTTTAATTTCATAAGGACTGGGAAAATAACTGGACACATAGAATACAGTAGGGAAGCAGACCAGCTGTGGTAACCATCTAACTATTGCGCTCATTAAAAGTTATAAAAGACACTTCATGAGAAGAGTCTCATAATATTCCTCCATTCTGACACTATCATCAATTAAAGCACTTCTGAAAATAATTACAGCCAGTATAAGAATGCAACATGCCTACAAGAAACAAAGTTATAATACATTTTGCCTGCCCAAAATGGTGAAACCCTGTCTCTACTAAAATACGAAAAATTAGCCAGGCATGGTAGCACACGCCTGTAGTCCCACCAACTCGGGAGGCTGAGGCAGGGGAGTTGCTTGAACCCAGGAGGCAGAGGTTGCAGTGAGCTGAGATTGTGCCACTGCACTCCAGCCTGGTGACAGGGCAAGACTCCATCTCTAATAATAATAATAATAATAACAACAACAATACATTTTGTACAAATATTTGTGATTAATACAGAGACTAAATACTGGCCAGTAAAAGAAACTAACTTCTGAAGGAAGATCAGGTATCTTCAGCCACATAGTTGTGTTAATTTTATGTTACTCTCATTACATTAATATTTAACAGTAGATGATGACAGAATCATGGAATAAACTACAGTGGACCCTTGAACAACATGAGTTTAAATTGTGTGGGTCCACTCACTTGTGGATTTTCTTTCATCTCTGCCATCCCCGAGACAGCAAGACCAACCCCTCCTCTTTCTCCTCCTCCTCAGCCTATTCAACGTGAAGATTATGAAGATGAAGACCTTTACAATAATACATTTTCACTGAATGAACAGTAAATCTACTTGCTCTTCCTTATGATTTTCTTAATATTTTCTTTTCTTTAGCTTACATACAGTACATAATATACGTAACACCAAAAAATGTGTTAACGAACAGTTTATGTTATCAGTAAGATTTCTGGTCAACAGTAGGCTATTAGTAGTTGGGTTGTGGGGTAGTCAAAAGATATATATATATATAGATAGATAGATAGATAGATAGATAGATAGAGATCTTTATATATACATATGTATATGTATATAAGTGTGTGTGTATATATATAAAGTTAGCACCCCAATCCCCATGTTCATCTTAACATGATCATCATATAAACTTCTAATCGCAGTGCTATTGTGAAGGATAATCACATTAGCTTGATTTTAAGTGTTTTTATTTTATTTTATTTTATTTTATTTTATTTTATTTTATTTTATTTTATTTTTTTGAGACAGAGTCTCACTCTGTTGCCCAGGCTGGAGTGCAGTGGCGCGATCTCGGATCACTACAAGCTCCGCCTCCCGGGTTCACGCCATTCTCCTGCCTCAGCCTCCCGAGTAGCTGGGACCACAGGCGCCCGCCACTACACCTGGCTAATTTTTGTGTATTTTTAGTAGAGACGGGGTTTCACCGTGTTAGCTAGGATGGTCTCGATCTCCTGACCTCGTGATCCACCCACCTCGGCCTCCCAAAGTCCTGGGATCACAGGCCCAGCCGATTTTAAGTGTTTAATGGCACCATCTCAATGGTGAAAATACTGCTCTGAGGTTGGGTTTCCGGCACATAAGAAAGACACACAGAAAATTCTAAAAAAGGAAAACAACAAAGAAATACATAGAATTTTAACATATATTAAATTTCTTCATATTATGGAAATAGCTTCATGATTATTAAAGATTTTTGTCTGCATTAAAACTGTGTGTCAAATTGCACACATTATTGCACACACGTGGTTCATCATTTTCCTAAGTGACTCCCTGAGGACATCCCATTGGAGTTCCCACCTTAATTCTAGGGTCTTCAATCTAAAATTCCGCCCTGTTCAGCAGACTGCCAGATTTTGTCTCCTTCCCCCAAGTCGCTTGTGGTAACCTAAGAAGAGTCCTGCTTCATTCCCCCACCACAGGCAGAAAGCACTACAGTGCTAGGAAACTTTATTTATAGCTCTATTATTAATCTCTCAGCTTCTTCAAGGCAGAGACTCTTTTACTTATCTTTATCCACAGCAGAGCTGTGGATACAAACAAAATGGACCTTAAAGCAAAGGGTGCTGCCCCTAAAAGGCATTCGGTCAATGAAGGTGTTCACATTTATCAGGATGAACCGCATGAAATTATTTCTGTAGGTTAAAGACAGTCAAATAGTGGCAGTTTCACACGGTCCGACCTCATATTTTTAGCAAATAATTTAAAAGTATATCCTCTGAGCCAGGAACTGCTGTGAGCACTTTATATAAATCCACACACTTATTTCTCACAACTATGCTTGAGGTACTTTTATTATTCTGATTTTGGAGATGCGGAAACTAAGAAAGACAGTGAAATTAAGTAAATTGTCCAAGGTCAAACAGCCAAAAGTACATCGAAAAACTGGGATTGTTTACCTCTATGCTATAATTGCTGACACTACTTTTTCAGAGAAAATAAACTCTCAGTTGAGAATACCAATACAGACTTATGATTTAAACACACACACATATACATACACACACACACAGATTTTCTTGTTCTTTCCACTAAAAGGGCCCAAATACAATGACACTTGTAGGAACAGGTACATCCAGAACTCCAATTTTGGTTTCTGAATGTCGCTTCTCATCAAAAGAAGCCGGATTCGTCAGAAAAATTGGCTGCTTCCAGATCTGGAGCAGACAAAGTATAAAGCCAGCCTGGGACATCTTATTCTGCCAAAAAGCAAAGATAGACTCAAAGACTTTAGTGAAGCACAGCAAAAGGGCACAGGAGTTGGCTTCAGGGGCTTCCACCCTAAAATTCAAGACAATTTGAGTATCAAAATAATTATCATAGTAAAGAAGTATAACACGTCAAATTAAAAAATGATCCATGAGAACACAAGACAAGAAAAAAGTAAAGAGATGCTGGGGAAAAACTCTTTTCTTTACAGAAAAAAAGGCAACTAATAAATGTAAAAGAAATAATAGAATTTGAAAATCACCATATTGTAGCCTCGGTGTAATAAGTAATTCAGGCAACAATCATTAGTGGAGGCTAAAACCACTGAGTGAATGGTTGTGAAGAACAGGATCTTCATGCAACCTGAAAATATCCACCCCACATAGCTGGTGAACAGATACCACAGTGCTAGGTTTGGCTTCAAACTCTCCTATGTTTACAACGTTGCATGTCAGCAAGAACTACTGTGAATCAGATGTTCAGAGAAACCTTTGTTGGTACAACAGATGAAAAATATTATACAAAAATGAAGCATCTTTTAATGCCTGGTGGGGATGGCAGGAAAGTAAGGAATATCTCAGAGAACAAAAAGGAAAAGACGTGAAAATTCTGTAGGATTAGCAAGCACAGGCTGTGTTTGCCCTGAACTCAAACTTGGGTGTTAGTAAGGCAAAACCAGGAGTCCAACTTCAGATATTAAAAGTGGGATGGTCACATCACAGTGGATTCCCTGAAGGGCTGCACCCTCAGTGATAAACCAGAAAAGCCCCATCTTGCAAAGGGCAATGATGGGGATACAAGCCTGTTTTGACCTTGGCTCAGAGGGAGGAGGAAAAGAAGAAAACACTGTTCCTGACAATTCCTAACCACAAGCCCGCAATATTCAATTTGGGATCAAAATTCATGCTATCTGTGAAGCCAAACAAGTCCTAAATCAAACTTTAAACTAACCCCAGATGATAGGGTTTCCAAGTGTCTGACAAAAGTGAATCTGAATTCAGACCCCAGGGATTCCCACAAATAAAGTTCAAGACAATAGGAGCTCAAAAACAGAAACACAAATGCTATCTAAAGAAATCATGTGTGTAGACACATTCATAAAAAACAAAAAGGACCTTAAAACAAAGAGTATTTGATAAAGAGCATTACATATTGAGGAAAATTTAATTCACCAGGAAGAATTAATGCATGAATTCACCAGAAAGAATTAATGCAAGAATTAGTGCATGCATCCAGTATCATAATTTCAATTATGTATATAACAACAATAGAATTGTAAGATAAACTGATAAATCCACCATCACAGTGGGAAATTTAACACACCTGTCTTGCTAGTTGATAGATTCAATGACAACAACAAAATATTTTACAGGTCAAGTGATAAAGATCAGTAAGATGGAAGCTTTGAACAAGACGATTGGTAAACCTATTTTCATGGACATAAATGGACACCTGATAGATGATAAATAAAAAAATAGATGATGAATGAAAAAGGAGAAAGGCTAAGAAATGTGCTGGGAATCGTTTGCCATATAGAGGAGAAAAAAAACCTACCCCACATCATACAAAAACTGAACTCTTTTTTTTCCCATCTTCCCTCCCGAAAAGCTTCTCATCATAATACTTAGGGTCAAAAACTGACAGTCATTACTGACCCTTCCTTTTCCTCAGACCCCACATCCACCATCAGCTTATCTGGTTGGCTCTACCTCTGAAATAGATCCAGAATTCTACCACTCCTCATTACTTCCACAAGTACAACCCAACTCAAGCCACCACCATCATCTCATGCCTGAACTACTGCAACAGCCTCCCAACTGGTCTCCTGGATCCTTCCCCATTGTCCTACAGTCTATTCTCCATCTAAAACACAAGGCACACTATGTCAGACATTTGCCCAAAGCCTTCCAGTGACTTGACGTCTCCCTCAGAGTAAAAGCCAACGTCCTGACCAAGGTCTACAGGTTTTGACACCACACCACCTCTTGGACCTTGTGCTCTACTCTCTCCCCAACACTCACTCTGCTTCAGATACACTAGCCTCATTTCTGTTCCATGATCATGCCACCAAGTCCCCACTTGAGGAGCACTGCATGAGCTCCTCCTTTTGCTTGTAGGCTGTTTCCTCATGTATTCCCATAAGCTCACTCTTTTACTTCCTTCAGGCCTGTGCTCAAATGTCAGTTTTACAGAAGGAGCCTTCCCTGATCACCGACCTCCACAGCAATACAGTACAAATACCTCTTGTACCATCACTTTCGATCCTGTTACACTGCTTTGCTCTTTTCTCTGTAGCACTTAATGCCACTAGACATATTTGTATATTCTATTTCCTTCACTAGAATATAAATTATTTGAAAGCAAGAACTTGGTGTCTTTTTTCACTGCAGTATTTTCAGCATCTATAACAGTTCCTGGCAATGGGAAGGGCTGAATTAATCTTTGTTTAATACATCCATCAATGAATAATAAATATGATATAGCAGAGTAAACAAAGACCCTGCGGTCTGACAGACCTGGATTTGGATCTCATGTTTGCTAATTTCTATATGAGTTTGGGCAAAATCCTAACCTTACTAGATTTTATTGTCCTGTCTTTAAAAAGAGAATGTAAATACCCCAATTATACTTGTCATTTTTGCAAGGATAAAAATTGCAAATATACATACATATATTTAGTATCTATGAAAAATTATGTCATATATAATCACTGTGGTTTATAATTAGTAGGTACTCGATAAACAATAGGTTTCATTATCATTTTATTTCTGGAGACAACTTCCTACTCTATCTCCCTCCTTAACAGTCTCTGAGCAAATGCAGGCATTTATTTCAAGCCCAATCTCAATGCAAAACTTTAAAATGTTACATAAGAATGACAGTTGTCCTAGTAAGGCTAAATGAAATTCTTTGAATACAGCTTCAAATGTAGTTTTTCTAGGTCAGCTTAGAGTCCTAGCATTAATCGATGATTTCACTTATCACCACTCTAGGGGAGCACTTGAACATAAAATTAGATGAAAAATATAATTATGGAGCTGATCATTTGAAGAGTCCTTTTGAAATTCAGACATCCTTTGAAACATTAATTTTGTATAACTTATACTGGTCATGAATAAGCTTTCCATCCATAGCATATTACTCAAAATATTAACTTTGAAACCATTTAAAACATTTAAATATATTTAGTATAACACTATCTTGTGTGATATAAATGTTTATTGATATTAATTCAGAGTCTAGCAATTTAGCTATATTACACTAGAGCAAAAGAAATACAATATGTTAGATACTCAAATAAGAGAGAAAGTTAAGAAATATCTAACAAATGCAACGTTGACATCTACGTTTCAATAAGAAGAAATTGGCCGGCTGTGGTGGCTTGCACCTGTAATCCCAGCACTTTGGGAGGCCGAGGCAGGTGGATTACTTGAGGTTAGGAGCTTGAGACAAGTCTGGCCAACGTGGTGAAACCCCATCTCTACTAAAAAAATAAAATAAAATAACAAAAATTAGCCACGCATGGTGGTTCATGCCTGTAGTCCCAGGTACTCTGGAGGCTGAGGCAGGAGAATCACTTGAGCTCAGGACGAGGAGGTTGCAGTGAATCGAGATCGCACCACTGCACTCCAGCTTGGGTGACAGAGCAAGACTCCATTTCAAAATAAAATTAAAAAAAGAAGAAGAAATGTATTTCGATGTTGAATGACAACACAAAGGGCAAGAGACTGAGCAGAGTGGTGACACACACCAGCTACTAAGGAGGCTGAGGCGGGACGACCACCTGAACCCAGGAGTTATAACTGCGTCTGTGAACAGCCATTGCACTCCAGCCTGGGCAATGAAGTAAGACTGTCTCTTAAAAAAAAAAACAAAAAAAACAAAAACAAAACAAAAAAAAAACAGAAAGAGCAAGAGACCAAGAATATCCTTTTTCTTTATATTTCCTCAGTGGACTAAAGCATATACATTGTGTCCTATGTAGTTATTTCGAGTACATATAAACACACTACTTAGGAGGATAAGCCTGTGAGTAGCCTACCTGTGAATAGTTTGCCAGGGAAAAAGAGACCTGCCTAGTTGAGATGATGATCATCATCACTGTCGCAACTCATAATATCATAATATCTAACAGTTTTTTAAAATATATATCTACAGTAGAATGTTATATATAGAATAGAATTATATATATATATATATATATATATATATATATATATATAAAATCACCCTAGGGAGCACAGGAATTTTATATATATATGTAATATATATATGTAAAATAATATCTATATTTATATATATAAAACATTCCTGTCTCCGAGGATGGAGTGCAGTGGCTTGATCACAACTCACCACAGCCTCCACTTCCAAAGCCTCCACTTCCAGGGCTCAGGTGATCCTCCAACCTCAGCCTCCCAAGTAGCTGGTACTACAGGTGCATGCCACCATGCCTGTCTAATTTTTGTATGTTTTTGTAGAGATGGGGTTTCACCATGTTGCCCAGGCTGGTGTCGAACCCCTGGGCTCAAGAAATCCCCTGGCCTCAGCCTCCCAAAATGCTGGGATTACAGGCATGCGCCCAGGCTCTAACTGTTATATTTATAAAGAACTTTATGTTTTACAAGGCACAGTTTAACTCTGACTCCAGTGCAGGCCAGGATGAAGGTTATAGACGAGGAAAGAGGTTCAGAGCAGTTAAGGTGCTATGACAGGTTATATGGTAATTCAATGAGTGGGATAATGTCCCTCCTAAAATACTATGTTGCCTTTCTTATTCTCATTCATGATTTTTAACTATAGTATTCAGTCATCAAGTGTTTCTGAGAGATTATTGATAGCAGAAAATTTACCTATTTCCCAAGTATATATATAAAAAAAGGAATTCATCAAATGTTTGTCTACATGTGAATTAAAATGCATCTCTATGTGTCAACTGTAATAGAAAAAAAAATCATTCTGCAGGTGATGTGTCTCATAAAAAATAAAAACACTGTCATCTTTTAGTGGATCTTTGGATGAAAAAGGCACAGTTATCTGGGCATACATTGGATGGTGAGGGCATAACAAAGACAGCTAAATTTCTGCAAAATGAAGTAGGAGGAATTGAGGATGCTGAAGACAAAGAAGAGAAATTCAAAACACCTAAGGAAGAGGAGGAGATCCAAGAGGGGATCAGAGAAAGAGACCACGGGAATACATTGCAAGCCAGAGACCCCTGGGGGGAAGATGACCAGTGGCCAACGAATGACCAACAAATTTCTATCAACTGTGTTGTGTGACAGTGAGTGTCAAGTTCTTTTTTATACTTCATTATACTCAGACTGATCCTTAGTTTACTCTAATTACATCTATGAAATGACAGAGTTGGACTGTGTGATCTCTACTTGCTCTTCAAGCTTTAACATATAAACACTCTGCCAAAGGGTTGACATTCAGGAAAAGGACAAAAATATTTAAACAGACTTATTCAAATTTCTGGGGGTATAAATATGCATCTAGACATCTGAGACAAAAATATTGTTTAAAGATGCTTTAATGTTTTAAAAACATTAACACAAAAATTTTCCTTTTAGATCAACTCCTAAATTTGTTACTTTTCACAAACAAAGAGCAACCAGGGACTGAGAGTACATTTCTTCCCAATTTCCTTGTATAAATGTTGATACATTCAATGTGATGGAATCTAACAGCAAAGCAACTTCCCGTTTAAAATCCCAACATCAACATTCAATCCATGTTCATGTAATAAACACCCATATCCTAAGGCCTTCAATTAATTCCCTTAATGCTCAAGCTATTTGATATTAAGGGCTCAAGAATTAAAACAATGTACATATAATTCCAACAATTATGCAAGAATAAAACTAAGAAGAAAAATTACTCTGGCATTATGAAAATATTAAGCCTATTAAACCAGACGCAATTGGTGTAAAATTTACTCCTTTGAAGATTAGCAAATTGATTCAACATTCTAAAATAAGTATGCATAACCTGAAATTATCATGAGTGATTCCTGACTTACTTTTGCAGAGTAATTTTGTGCAACGGAATGTGTCTGCATCATCCAAAAATTAAGCAGATGCTATTACAGTAAGTTCCATATAAATGTCCAGTGGACAAGCACTCTGGAAAGGCCTCTTAACCACTGATAACAACTTACTTAACATAAACTTTTAAATACCTCTTAGGATTTTTCACAAAGATTTTCAGTCACAAATTATTGCCCTAGGATAGTATGCAAGTACTTTAATTTTGAAGGACTTTCAAAATCTAAAATATTAAGCAAACAAACGAAAAAAGGAAAAAAAAATCAGTCTAGCTGGGATCCCAGCCAATGAAAACTTTATTTCATGGAAAGAAAATAAGAAGTTCATAATCTCACAGTGAGGATGGAAACAATCACCCCAAACATGAATCAATGTGGATAATACTATGCAAATCACAGAAGAAAGGGGAAGCAGTCAGTCCTACAGAGAGTGAGCTGAGGTGACCACTTTTATAAGTGGCTAAAGGAAGAATCCTTGCATTGCTAGGAAGCTGGAGTTGGTAGCACCTTGGCACTATTTGCCTCTTTCATTTTATGAAAACGCTCCTAAAACTGAAGCTGCAAAGCCTTTTTATTTTGAACTTAGGAATCTTCAGCCTTACTTTCTTTAATATTAGCTTTATTACCACTTGTAACATCTACTCCATATTTTTCATTACTGAGCACCATAACGAAACTATGGCCTATATATGTAGTTAAGCAATATATAAAATCATGTTTATATCAATTTGCCAAAGATGTTTATTTAAAAAACACTGATTATATGCAGTAGTTATCAAATACATACATCTTATAAGATTTATGAAATAAACAGAAAATTCTTTGATGAAGGAGCTATTCAGACAAGAGTTAGCTAAAATAAGAAAATAAAGCTATAAAGATATCCCTAGGAATTTGGAAATAACTGTAAAATGCTTTTAAATCTTTGTTGAATAAATATTTTAACTTCCTGAATACAACTTAAGTCTATTGTTTAATTCCGGGTCAAAATGAAGTAACCCAAATATGCACTCTGTTACATAAAAGGCCCAGGGGATGAAATTACATCTCTCTCTAATAAGGTCCTTTGAAATCCTATACTACAGTAACTTAGCAGCCAAATTATTTTTCTTCTGTTAATGCTGATTGAGCAGTAAATAATAACTAGGAGAAAAACAAACATGCAAAATAAAGTTTTCACACCTTTGCTTGAGTTTTTTTAGATGACCCTGATCCACCAATTGTAGTAGAAACTCAAAAGCAATTATTTCATTAATCTTTATATATAGTAATAACTCACCACAGTTTTCAGGGAGGCTGGGGCTGATGTTAATTTCCAAATATTAAGAAACTTACACAAAAGTATGCTTTCAAATTTGTGTGAAGGTTGGAACGAATCAAAAAACCTCATTTCAAAACAAAGTGTTGTTGTTAATGTTCTCACTCTGCTTAAACCCTTTCAGTCTCCATTTTTGCATCTGTTAAACTAACGTAAAGGATTTGGACAGCATAATCTCTAAAGGTCCTACCACCTAGTAAACTAGTCCTGGAGCCCTCTGTATCAAGCATGGCAATACGAAAAGGAGATTAAGTGGGCAAGGCATTTAATTGAAACAAATGAGAGTGTGCTCTATTTAGAATCTCCCTAAAAACCCTGGTGTAGAAAAACCATTACAGACTCCAAATCTCACCTAACTCCTCCCCTTTTTTCTTCACATTAGCAGATTGAAAAATAAATATAGTCTAGGTTGTTGTCTACCCCTTTCACATCATGTCTGATACAACAGACTGTAAATCAAAGAAAATGTTAATAGGGGAAAATAAACCCATATCAAATTTTTTTCTTCTTATGTATGAACTGAAAACATTTCAAACTTTTTTGATGAAGGCACAAGTCAGGGTGGAGGACTGAAAAATAAATAAGGTATTTTTCTAACAAATCTGTCCAGCAGTTACAATTGCCAACTCTCAAGCCACACTTCCCGGGGTAAGATTCTGCTCCCCTACCCACAAGTTGGGCAATCCCTCATCTAGAAACTGGGAGATAGAGCTCACCTCATCAAATCGTCATGAGAATTAAATGAGTTAATGCATTTATATTATATATACATTCATTTATAGCACTTAGCCCATGGCACACAATGAGCATTACATAAGTGTTAGCTGTGGGCATCTGGGGCTCAGAATCTAGTTATAATCTACTGTCCACGTGTGTCAACCACAACAGTTTAGGCAAAATAATGAAAGCAAAGCAAAGTAAGTAGGGAGTGTTTGCCCTTTCATTTTTAACTCTCCTTTGTTTGTTTGTTTTCGCAGTTCTCCTTCTACCCTGCTATCCTAGCTCTTGCCAAGAGAGCTAACACAAACTTTTTAACAGATTAGCCCTTACAAAGTTATTTGTATTCTGAAGAAGTCTGAGCAGAGAAATCAATCCCTAATCCAAGAAAATATGAAGCCACCGAATTTCAAGTACTTTGAGGCAAGTACTTTTAAAGTCAATGTCAGCTAACTTTAGTCTGACTCTATTGTCAAATTTGACCCAATCATATTTATGAACATAGGCTCTTCTATTTGTTGGAGATGCTAATATCCAAGGAAAACAGGCCACATAGTTTCTTCCAAAGATAACGAGAGGCATATTCATTAATCTTAGAAGTGTTTATTTTTCCCCTTTATCTTCTTAATTGTTTCAATACAAAATAAAATAAATTTTCAATGCTAGCAGTATAGCCTTAAGTCCTAGTCAATGAGAGATATTTTGCTAAAAGAAAACTGAGTATGTCTCAATAATCCAAGTATTGAGTTCTAGGAGATCACCTACTATTTTTTTATAACAATGGCTACTGCAAATCTTCTTTATACTACTTAAGCCCTTAATTCTAACCCTGCTTCCATCTACTTCCTGATCTTGCCTGGACAAAGGTATTTGCCTCCTGTAAAAAGAATGCATTAAGGAAGAGCACTTTGGAAAATTCCAGGATATCCACGTTCTCTTAAATTTCCAGAGTCAGAGTGTATCACTCCTCTCCAGCTAGTTCACCTTCTTTCTGTTCTCCATTAACCTCATCATCCCTTCTGCAACAACTTGAAGTCTATTCTCCACTGAATCCTTCTCAAAATCTGTCATCAAACACAAGCAAGCCTCCTCTTGGAAGAAGGTGCTCCATTCAATTGCTGTTCTGTGTCTCTTCTTTAAACTTACAAACTTTCTCTTAATTCCTCATTATCTTCTCTAAATTGAATCTCTGGGATGCCTTTTCTTACCACAACTCTCTTGGGACTTCCTTTTGAAGGGCCACCAGTAACCTTCTGGTCAAGAAATGAAACAATCTCTTTCTCAGTGCCATTCTGCTTGACCTCTTGGAACGTCAGACAGTAATGACCAATTCCTCCTGAGAGTTAGCTTGGCCATGGCTCTGAAGACACTATTATCCTACTGGTTCTCATTTCCCTATCTTTTCTCAGTTTCTTACAGTTCATCTTCCTCCTTGCACTTCATAAACATGCTGGTCTCCTATGTTTATCTTCATCCTTCTGCCCTTCCTCAGATACCATCTCCCCTTAAAAGCATCACCTCAAGGAAAATACTGTTCTGTTCCACACATGAGCATGGAGAAGTTCCAGACTTCTCCCCCATGGCCCAGCAGGCCTTCACCAATTGCTAGTTTAACATGTTCTCAAAAGTCCTCAATTCAAACACATCTTTCTCTTTCCTTAAGTCATTGATACCTGCTCCTAAACTCTATTAATGACATCTTCTAGGCTTGAAACTCCAGGATAATCTTTTTCCTCCTCCAAGTCCACCCCTTGCCCTTCCTCCTACTAACTCTATTTGGTTTAGTTACCAAGTTCAGCAAAGCTTTATTTTCAAGTTCCTTTTATTGATTCTTTACTCGATGTCTTTCTTTCCACCATCATGTCATAAGTTTAGGCCAGGGGTTGTCAAAGTATGGCCCACCACCTGCCACATGCTTTTGTAAATAAAATTTTACTGGAACACAACCATGCCCATTCATTTACTTAATGTCTACAGCTGTTTTCACATTTCAAAAAAATTGCCAATCCCTGACTTAAGCCTTTTTTTTATTGAAATGGAGTCTCACTCTGTCGCCCAGGCTGGAGTGCAGTGCAGTGGCATGATCTTGGCTCACTGCCACCTCCGACTCCTGGGTTCCAGCGATTCTTCTACTTCAGCCTCCCGAGTAGCTGGGATTACAGGTGTGTGCCCCCACACCCGGCTAATTTTCGTATTTTTAGTAGAGATGGGGTTTCACCATGTTGGCCAGGCTGGTCACCTGACCTCAGGTGATCCGCCCACCTCGGCCTCCCAAAGTGCTGGGATTACAGGCATGAGCCACCGTGCCCGGCCACTTGGTTTAAGCCTTTCGGAGTTCATGTGCAAACTCCTTCAAGATCCCCTAAGCCATCTCTCGTACTCTCAATTTCCCACCTTCAGTAATCTCCCTACCATCTGGTTAATTTTCCTAAAACATCATTTTAAATATATTAATCTCTTGCCGAAAAATTATATGTAATTTTCCATTATGTCCAGGTTAGAAAGTCCAGAAATACAGGACTGTTATCTTATACATCTCTGTCTTTTGTGCAGTAATGAGCATCATGGTGGCCACCCAAGAACACGAAAACATCTCAGCTTGGCTTCAAAGTCCTTTTCAGTCTAGTCTCAGTGCTTCTCAGCCAGATTTCCCACTGCCTCACAACCTCATGCCCACAGAGCTTCTGATTCAGTAATTCTAACCTAGCCACAGTCCTAGGCAGGCCTTAACACCTTATATTTGGTACCTCTGAGCTTTTATGCCTGATATTCCCCAGGCCAGGATAGGTTCTCTTCTGTCCATACAAATTCATTCTGCCTTTCAAGACCCATTGAAGGTGTAACCTAGTCTATCTATAATTCCTTTCTTGTCTTTTATTGAACACATTTTCCATGCTGATAGCATAGTACTGTTACCTTTGCAATATTATTTTGCTTTCTTGCTTAAATTCTATATTATGTCTTTGGCTTTTCATTGCAGTTCCCTCAATAATATATCATAGCATAGTATATATTATATTAAATGTTCAGGTAAACTTTCTCAAATGTTTTGCAGGCAGTAAGTATATAAATAAAACACTCATTGGAAACAGATGTAATGTAGATCTGTGGTCCCCCCGACACACACAGAGAAGACATTTGGCAATGTCTCAAGACATTTTTTATTGTCACAACAAAGGAAGGGGGGTGCTACTGACATCTAGTGGGTAGATACCAGAGATGCTGCTAAATAACACAATGTACAGGACAGCACCCCTCCCCAACACTACAAAGAATTTTGTGGCCCAAAATGTCAACAATGCTGAGGTTAAAAAACTCTAATTAGATTAATTCTTTCCTAACCTGAAGTGCCTAGAAACATCACATCTACAAACAAAGCAATGAAAAAATGAAAACTATTTGTTGACTGAATTTTCTTCTAAATATTTCATGATTTTGGTTACTTTGATGGAAATCTCAAATAAGTGAATACTGTCTCAATACCTATTCATAGCTGTATGGTGCTCTTTCTGCTATGATAGAGGTGAATCCAGTAATCAGTGACCTGGATATGTGTTTTTGGAAATTTGGAAAGAAGCACCTCGGAGGAAAATTCACTGAATGTGGCCACATACAGTCTATGACATAACTCATTGCTTATGGGTATTAGGATCAAGCAGCTATCTATGTAAACTAGCATCTCCTTGCTCTCTAACCTGGGGTGCCCAGGGCTTAGTCCTTTTAATTTGTCCCTAGCTAGACTTATTCTTTTGGAGATTTCAACAAATATAATGTTTTGAAATACCATTGATATCTTGAAGCCTCCCAAATTTATATTTCAAGTTCAACTCATTTCCCTGAGTTCCCAATGGTTACATCTGATGCATATGCCTAAGAGAAAGTAAAATTTCACATGCGTTTAATTAGCTTAGTTGGTTAACACTCCCCTCAGAATGTGCCCCCCATGCAGTGCACTAGCAATCCAGCGTTCTTCATAACTGGGGATCCCCATTGTTTCCCTGAGGCCTCCTCCTCCTTCATCACCCTAGGAGAACACAGAGACCAAAGAATCATTCTGGGGCTTCTCACTGCCTCATTCTCAAAATGATCAACATTATCACTTCTCCTTACATTTCACAGGCCAGCACTAGTTATATGGCCCTGCTGAACTGTAAGGAAACTGAGATGCACCAGAAAAGAGGGGTATGAAAGAGGGTTGGTGAAAACACAGCAATGTCTCTGCCACCATGTCTAAAACTGACCTCCTGATCTGCAACCCCAACCTGTTCTTCCCCAGTCATCCTATCTCAGTCAATGCCAACTCCATCCTTCCCATTTCTCTGCACAAAGACCTTGAAGTTATGTCTGACACCTTTCTTTCTATCATAATCCATAACCCATACATTAGCAAGTCATCTTAGATTAACCCCAATGCAACGACTTACTACCTCCAATGCTACTTTGTTGATTTTTCATCTGGATAGTTAAAATAGCCAGTCTCTGCTCTTGTCATCATAGTCTATTTTCAAAATAAAAGCCAGAGTGGGTTATTTAAAAACTTTAGTCACATCACACAATACCTAAGCTCAAAAGCCTCCAATTGCTTTACATGTCACTAAGAGAAAAAGTTTAAGCTTTACAATGGTCTGGAAACCTCTACACAATATGTATTCCTCCACCCTCACATGCCCATGCTGATTACCTTTGCAGCCTTATTTCTGCCTTGTTCTGCCCATCACTACCACCAACGCTGACATCCTTTCTATTCCTTGAACCTACCCTGCATGCTACCACCTCACGGTTGCTGTTCCCTCTAATTAAAACCCACTTTCCCCAGATATCCACATGGCTCACTTCCTCGCCTCTCTTGAGTCTTTGCACAACATCTTCTCAGTGAGGCCTCCCTAACTACTCTCCAAAAACCGCAGCTTGGGAGGCCGAGGCAGGCAGATCACAAGGTCAGGAGATTGAGACCATCCCCGCTAACATGGTGAAACCCCGTCTCTACTAAAAATACAAAAAATTAGCCGGGCGTGGTGGCGGGTGCCTGTAGTCCCAGCTACTCGGGAGGCTGAGGCAGGAGAATGGCGTGAACCCGGGAGGTGGAGCTTGCAGTGAGCCGAGCTCGCGCCACTGCACTCCAGCTTGGGGGACAGAGTGAGACTCCATCTCAAAAAACAAACAAACAAAAAAAAAAACAAAAAACCACAGCTGTCCCTTCACCTACCTACCCTGCCCGCAAGCACTTCCTATCCTCCTCCCTGCTTTATTTGGTTTTTCTCCTTGCACTTATTACTATCTGACATACTATATTTGTTTACTGTTTGTCTCCCCCTCCACAAGAATATAAGTTCCACAAGAACAGTAATATGCGTCCATTTTGTCCACCAAGTATTTCCAACAATGAAAACCATGCTTCAAATATAGCAGTGCTCCACAAATATTCACTGAATGAATTAGTACTAGCTATCCAAGTCTCGTTTTAAAAGAACTAAGAATAGAACTTACACAGTATCATATAATCTTATGCTAAACTAAAATTTAGGGGGAGAAAAGGAATTATTATATTCATCTTTTAATCCCTAGTATAGCAAAGTTTCTAGAGGATAGCAAGAAGTCTTGAAATGCTTACTTAATTGAATTTGCTGAACTATCATTTAATTTCCATACATTCTGCTATCTTATGACTGCCTGTTAAAATATTTACTAATAGGGTCAGGTGCGGTGGCTCATGCCTGTAATCCCAGCACTTTGGGAGGTCAAGGCAGGTGGATCACATGAGGCCAGGAGTTCAAAACCAGCCTAGCCAATGTTGCAAAACCCCATCTCCACTAAAAATACAAAAATTATCCTGTTGTGGTAGTGTGCACCTGTAGTCCCAGTTACTCTACTCGGGGGGCTGAGACAGGAGAATCACTTAACTCAGGAGGCAGAGGTTGCAGTGAGCCGAGATATGTGATTAATGAAGATTGTACAATTAATCTGTAATCACGGTGGAATAATTTAAATTTCTCACTCAAATCCATAATATTTAAAATTGTTTGATCTTCATATAAATAATCTAAGATCAAGCTGAGTTTTAATACATACTCTATGACACCAAGTTGACCGAAGGGTCTGAAAATCATGTAAGTTGATGGAAGCAGGTGAGTTCACGTGTTTAACATGAAATCGTGTCTTTAGCAGTAGCATGGATGGAACTGAAGGCCATTATCTTAAGTGAAACAACTCAGACACAGAAAGTCCAATATCACATATTTTCACTTATAAATGGGAGCTAAATAATATGTACATATGGAAACAGAGAGGAATAATAGTCACTGGAGACCTTTGGAGACCACTGGAGAAGGGTGGGCAGGTGGGAGGGAGTGAGGGATGAGAAATTACTTAATGGTTACAATATACACTATTCAAATGATGGTTACACTGAAAGCCCAGACTTCATCACCATGCAATATATCCACGTAACAAAACCACACTTGTACCCCTTAAACTTACATATTTAAAAAAACAGTATGGATTCTGGAATAAAGACTATGTGAGTTCATATTCCATCAGCATAGCTTCCAAGCTGGCACAACCCTGAATAAGATACCTAAACTCTGCTTCAGTGTACTCTTCTTCAGACTGAGGTTATGACAGAGCCTCCACAAAGGGCCGTTATGAGATTTAGTGAGATGAGTAGCATAAAGCACTTGGCATGGTACCTCTATCGATGAACATTAACTTTTTTCATCAGTGAATTTTTCCATTTGTTAAATACCTTATAGCAGAAATTGCATTATATTTATTAATGTTTTCTATTTCTCAAGAGTATTAAACCATGAAAGAGATTATATTTCTATCATAAAAATTATTTTCATTTTATTTTTTATATTATTATTATTATTATTGAGACAGAATCTTGCTCTGTCGCTCAGGGTGGAGCACAGTGGCACAATCTCGGCTCACTGCAACCTCCGCTTCCCGGGTTCAAGCAATTCTCATGCCTCAGCCTTCTAAGTAGCTGGGACTACAGGCATGCATCACCATGCCCGGCTAATTTTTGTATTTTTAGTAGATACAGGGTTTCACCATGTTGGCCAGGCTGGTCTCGAACTCCTGACCTCAGGTGATCCACCCGCCTCAGCCTCCCAAAGTGCTGGGATTACAGGAGTGAGCCACTGCACCCAGCCTGAATTATTTTCATTTTAATTTATAAGATAGAATTATTAGATAACAATATGTAAATTGTAAGTTCAGACACAAGACTTTTGGTACCCAAAGATATCATAGCTCTTATTTATATCTATACTATCCAAACCAACTGCCCAGGGATCTTGACAACTCACCAGACCAGAATTAGCAGTTATGAGGCTTGGTGCTACCCTTCTTCCTTACCAAGTCCATGGCAAATCACACCAAATTGATAACATTACTTTTCCAATGAGCTCGGATGTAGCCATAGGTTCCTTCTTAACACAAACAGCTGTTACCAGCTGATCACAGTTGACAGAAGAAAACGTAATATTTAGTCTCCAGATCTTGGCAAATGACATAGAATCACACTCCATATTCTGTATAATATGAGGCTCTCCATATATACATATATATATATACACACACATATGTGTCATATATATTCTAAGATTTGAGAAAAAATTTTAACAAATCAAATTATAATTTTAGAAGTTCATAGAAGATAATAATTAATGAAATCTTGTGCTGAATCTTCATAAACTCACACAAAAATATAAAAATTCAGAGTTTAAAAAATACTTAGAAGTAGGAAAAGGATATGAACAGACATTTCTCAAAAGAGGACATACAAGCGGCCAACAAACATGAACAAATGCTTAACATCACTAATGATCAGAGAAGTGCAAATCAGAACCACAATGAAATACCATCTCACACCAGTCAGAATGGCTATTATTAACAAGTCAAAACATAACAGATGTTGGCAAGGCTGCAGAAAAAAAGGAAACACTTATATACTGCTGGTGGGAATGTAAATTAGTTCAGCCACTATGAAGCAGGTTGGAGATTTCTCAAAGAACTTTAAACAGAACTACCATTTGACCCAGCAATCCTACTACTGGTTATAGACCCAAAGGAAAAGAAACCATTCTATCAGAAAGACATTATTCACAATAGCAAAGACAAGGAACCAACTTAGGTGCCCACAACAATGGAATGGATAAAGAAAATGTGGTTTATATACACCATGGGATACTATACAGCCATAAAAAAAATGAAATCATCTCCTTTGCAGCCATATGGATGCAGCTGGAGGCCATCATCCTAAGTGAATCAACACAGGAAAAAAAAAACAAATACCACATGTTCTCACTTAGATGTGAGAGCTAAGCAGTGAGGAAACATGGACATAGAGACAGAAACAATAGACAGTGGGAACTACCGGAAGTGGCAGGGAGGAAGAGGAACAAGGGCTGAACAACTACCAGTTGGGTATTATTCTCACTACCTAGGTGCTGGCATCAATCATACCCCAAACCTCAGTGTCACACAATATACCCATGACAAAAACCTGCACACGTACCCCTGAAATCTAAACTAAGTTGAAGTTTAAAAAAAAATCTTCCTCAATAAAATTTAACTCAAAATGAACTAAAGACCTAAATGTAAGAGCTAAAACTATAGAAAACTGTAAAATTCATATAAGAAATCATAGGAGTAAGTATTTGTGAAGGCCATTATCTTAACTGAAGCAACTCAGATATAGAAAGTCAAATATCACATGTTCTCGCTTACATATGAGAAATCATAGAGAAATGAAATCATAGGAGTAAATCTTTGTGACCCTGGATTAGGCAAAGATTTCTTATACACAACACTAAAAGCGCAAGTGACAAAAGAAAAAAATAGATAAACTGGACTCAAATTTAAAACTTCTGTGCATCAAAGGACACTATCAAGAGTGAAAAGACAACCCACAAAATGGGAGATATCCTTTGAAAAGTGTAGATCTGGTGAAGGACTTTTATCTAGAATACAGAAATGACTCTTAAAACATAATTGTAAAAAAAGAAGTAACCTTATAACATAGGGGCAAATTTATATTCTTTCTATTTAAAGAGTATAAATAGAAGTGTCTCCATACAATGGAATATTATTTGGCCATAAAAAGGAACTAAGTACTGATTCATGCTACAACATAGATGAACCTTGCAAACATTATGTCACGTATAAAAAGCAAGCCACAAAAGTTCTCATATTGTATGACTCAATTTATATGAAAGGTCCAGAATAGGCAAATCCATAGAGATAGGAAGTGGATTGGTGCTTGTCTAGGGCTGAGGGGTGCTCATCGGGGGAATGGGGAGTGTGCTAATGGGCATGGGATCTCTTTCTCAACTGATTAAAAATCCTCTAAAATTGACTGTGGTAATAATTGTACAACTCTATGAATACCCTAGAAATCACTGAATTGTACATTTTAAGTGGGTGAGCTGTATTGTATGAGAATGACATCTCAATAAAACTACTATTGGCCGGGCGCGGTGGCTCACACCTGTAATCCCAGCACTTTGGGAGGCCAACGAGGCAGATCATGAGGTCAGGAGATTGAGACCATCCTGGCTAACAGGGTGAAACTCCATCTCTACTAAAAATACAAAAAATTATCTGGGCGCCGTGGCACATGCCTGTAGTCCCAGCTACTCAGGAGGCTGAGGCAGGAGAATCACTTGAACCCGGGAGTCGGAGGTTGCAGTGAGCCGAGATTGTACCACCGTACTCAACAGAGCAAGACTCCATCTCAAACAAAAAAAAAGAAAAAAGAAAAACTATTATTTTAAAAATGCTTAAAAAGGAAGAGTAAGCCTTAATGATTATGAAACATTAAATTATACTGAACGCATCTACTTTGTAACTTCAGTTTAGGTACTCTACTACATAACTGCAAAGTCAAGCTGTAATTGGCAATTTGGAGTTAACAGTAATTCTGAAACTGGGCTTTGAACAGAATTCCACAGAACTCTGAAGTATGTTATTCAGTTGGATAGTATAAAAATTACATGTTGTAAACAAGATTCTTTTAACTAGTTTAAAGGTCAAGTTCTTCGATACAGAATTGGATCCTGAAAAAGAATAATCCAACATTGTTTAGATCTAAGTAAAATATATTTAAGATATTCAGTACAAGTATGCCTTCTGGTCGAATGGGTTTAGAGTACCCAAGAATAAAGCAACAGAATAATAGAATTTTAGGATTTTGATAATGTCACATTATAAAAATAGAAAAATGATTTAAACAAAAATTAATCAAAATAATTATATTCTAGCATACTGTTTAAACACTGTCATAAATTGGTGGTTCTGAAGTTCTATGTCTAGATGATAAGTTTAATGGCAAATTCAATTCTATACAATAGTTAAAAATCTGATACAGAGAGGAGTACACGTTTTAAAGATGGGCTAGTGGCTATAATCAAAGATAATACTGTAGGATCTCTAGGAACAAAGATCTGAGGACTAATCAAAGTCATGAGTACTCTAAGGAAAAACAAGAGAGAGATAAAAATAAATTAATTTACTAAACTAGCTCTAGAATTTTAATAGACATTATTAAATTAGCATGGTTGGTGAAGGCAAATAAATACAATTCATATCTACAAATGCATGTAGAAACAAATTTCCAAAAGTATTACTGAAACATGTCTATGAATATGTTTCATAAATACAAATAGAATAGCTTTGAAATATAAATGTATTATATTTAAAAATGGACACAGAAATGAATTTCCAGAAGTATTAATGAATCATACAATATGTAACATAATCCAATGAATGTGAGTTAATTTAGATGTCACTAATAAAATCATGCCACCAACAATATAAGTGAATTGATTTAGTAACAATGTGGAAATACATATGAATGTTCAGGCCCGTAATGCATAACATTTAGGGAAAGCAATCCTGCTGTAACTTATTCATTTTACTTAGTTTTACTTAATATTCACGAATGTTTTACTTTATAACATACAATACTTAACATTAATAAAATATATTTCTTTTCAAACCTGCTGGCTTGATCATTAATTTAGGCCAGACTCCATCTCATGTTGATATGAATGTTTTGGATGAGAAAAAATCTGAAGTAATATCCCGGACCACCAAAATAGGATTATAAAACACCTCAATCTATAAAGATATTATAGAAGCTATAAAAATAATAAATATTGCTCATTCTCTGCTTGAATACAAAAATACAATATATTTCACAGTATGAAGGGAGCTATTGCTAGGTATAACCTACATTCACAGCCATTTCTATTATCAAGAACATTTCATTAAAAACTGTAATAAGCTGTAACTGGCTATAACTTAAACCAATTCTAAAGAATTATGAAGCTCTAAAATAGAACTGCAGATAAATTTATGACAGTTAAATATTCTTTTTAGTTGCTTATCTCTTAAAATTCTCTACATCCTCTAAGCCAGAATGCCAAATAGGAGCCAGATATACTAGAGGAAAAATGAAGGACTGAACTTTATTTTGGTCATATGCAGTTAAATTCATGTTAGACCTTCTATGCAATTTTTTAAGTGAGTCGAATATAAATTCATGAGTCAGTAATCTACTCTGAGAATAACATTTTGGCTTTCTAAAATTTGTCAGGCTACTCATTAACATACCTCACTAAAAGTATATAAAGGCTTTTGAAGAAAACATTTACTGAACACTGGCAAGAATCGTGCTAAGAAGTAAGAGTACGAGATGAACGAGATCCACCATTACTCTTAAGTAGTTTATAATGTAGTGGTGAGATAGGCAAGTAAACAGATAGGGTTTCAGTCCTGTAGGGTAAGTGCTGGGCTAGAGGTAAATGCCAAAGGGTTATGGCAGCACACTGCAGAGGGCCCTGACCGGTAGGGCTGATTGGGTGAGAAGAAAGGAGGTAGTCTGAGAGGGCTGCTCAGAGGGATGGAAACCTAAACTGAGTCTTCAAGAATTACAGGTTATCCTGGTGGTGGGAAAGAGACCCTTCTGGGAAGATATTAAAGCACTTGCAAATGCATAGAGACCTCAGAGAACCTGGGAGATTCAGAAACTGACAGAAACCAGAAAAAAAAAAACTGAAGAAATACATAAGCATTAAGCTCTGTATGCTTGATGACACACTTGAGCCTCTCCCTTGAAGGCAAGAAAGGGCTTGTGAAGGATAAAAAGGAAGGTAGTGATGTGATCAGGGTTGTATTTTAGGAAGACAACTCTAGAAGCAACTTAAAGTAAAACAAGAAAGTCAAGAGATAAAATAAAGATCTCAACTAAACTAAGGGAGCTCGAGCAAAAAGAATAGCTTTGAATGACATTAAACATTAAGAGTGGACAAAGCTTTGAGATGCGGGATGAAGAAAAGGAGGATTACTACCTCTTTTCTGCCATAACCCATTCAGTAGCTGATGATGCCATTCACTGAGATGAGTAATACTGGCATAAAGGACAAAGGAAGAAAAGCTGGGAGAGGGAAGGAGAGCTGGTGAATTTATTCTTCATTTGCTGAGTGTGTGGACCTGTGAACTCCCAGAAGGGATGTCTGGTCAGTAGCTGGATATGCTAGAATGAATGAATACTCATTAAAGAGCATCTGAATATCTCAGGTATTTGTGATAGCAGCTAACATTTATTGAATATTTACTCTAAGTGAGGCATATGCAAGCACTTCATAAGACATCTTTTTATTATCCTTCCACTCCATAGAGGAGGAAGAGTTTAAGTAATTTCCCAAAGGTTTTAAAGCATTTAAGTGACAGGGAAGTCTGATTTATAGCTCATGCCCTTAACTACCTATTATGTTGTATCATGCAAAATCCATTAAAAGTTTTGGGGCCAGAGAGAAGTTGGTTTAATTCTGATCTCTACTACTTAACAGCTGTTTGACCTTGACACTCTCTAGGTCACAGTTTCATCTGTAAAATAGTGGCCTTAAAAATTGCAATGAAGGAATACATGGTAAGAATTGGAGCAAGTATATGGAAAATGCTAGATGCAGTGTGCATGTGCCACAAATGACTCCTACTGCTATGTCTACACCCAAAGAATCCCTCTTGAACTAAAATAGCAATGATATGAGTAAATTCACTTTCATCTAACTATGAACTTTATTTTAATTCCACCCCTACTTGTTCTATATCTTAATAAATGCTATCATTTTTCAAAATATTTTGAGACATTAATATACTCCACAAAATTTAGAATCATATAAAGATTTCATTCAAAGAGAAATTATTTCCATGTAAAGGGGCTGATTCTTTTTCTTTTCTTTTTTTTTTTTTTTTTGACATTTCTATAAATGCCACAATATGCATAACCCAAAGGCAATGAGGCACGTCGATGTTATGGAGAGAGCTTTGGACTTGGAGTCAGAAGAACCGTGTGAAGTCCTAACTCTGCCTCTTATCAGCTATGCCAACATGGGCAAGTCATTTAACAGTTCTAAGCATCTCTTTGCACATTTATGAGATGAATACATTGGTCTACATGTTTGAAATTTAAATTCAGCAAATGGGTTCAAGCTGAGAGGGTAGGCAGGTCTCCCTAGATTTCTTGTTCTCAAACCTGACTGCTCACTAGCATCACTGGAAACTTTTAAAAACATACTTTAAAAAGAAATAGTGAGCTCCATGACCTTAAAATATCACTAGAAGGACACCATATCTGATTTACAAGTTCTGTGCTTCATTTTGTGAACGGTGATATGACGCATCTTTAGTAACACATCACTTTAGTGTTAAACATAAAAATATATTCTCAACTGCATTGAAAACAAAATTCTTTCTTGAGTATATACACACCCTATAGTAATTAACAGAATCAACCATCCTGGTTTTCCCCCAAACTTTGTGTGCTTTAGCACTGAAAGTTCTATGTCCCTAGAAAATCCTCAGTCTCTGGCAACAAAAAAACGTTGGTCACTCTAACATATACGCACACATACATACAAACATTTGCATATACACACACACTTGTATGTGACCCTCGGTGTATCAGAACAAAGTTCAGATCAACAGCACTCTTTTAATGAAGCATCACCACTAAGATGTTGTCAACATTTACTACTAACTATTCAAGTCCACCATAGTCACACAGACAGACTTCTGATTCCAACAGTCATGATGACTAACCTCCATTTTGCTAGAGTCCATGCTGTGAATATTTACAGTCAATAACCAGCATTTTTAAAAGTTTGAAAGCCCTTGCCTTCCCATAGCCATTTCTGTTTACCTTACTAAAGAAGTCACACAATTCTAGAGGAATATATCTCTACCATTTGACAAATTTCATAGTTTTTTCACTTTATAATTTTTTGTTACATTTTTCCTATGATGCCATGTGAAATAAATCATAATATAATATATATTGAAATTAGACTATGGTCATGTCTATCCAAATTAAAGGCATGGCTATCATTTCTTTTAAATAAAATATCCACTAGAAAGCAAATCAAATCAACTTCAAATGGCACCAGAATATACATCCCTCTTAAAATTAAACTCATCACATATACCTTTTCTAGAACCACATTATTAGATATAAGTATCTTCTCCTCAGTTGCCTGATGGAGAAACATTTGACTGTAAGATCAAGTCATGATCACATAAGCTAATAAAGAACAGCATCAAAAAAAAAAAAAAGGAACAGCATCAGACTGCAGAACACACTCTCAGTAAGCACACGTCTTGTTACTTGTAACATCATGAGTTGTCCGTATGCAAAACAGCTCAAACGACAGCTTCCAGTAGTGTGAAGGCGTGGGGGTGTGAGGGAAGCCCTCCCACTGCCTCTAGTTCCACACGCTAAAGAACTACTGTCACAGAGACACCACTAACAAGCTAGGAGGAAAGGTTGCAAAGAGCCTTTCCCTTGGGAAATCAGAATCTTAAAAGGATTGCCATCAAGCTGGTGCATTCTTGGTCCTGCAATGAATCTAGTAAAATACTAAAAGCGCTTGAGAACTATGGTTTCTTTCCTCCTTAAAATGACTAACAAGCATGCTAATAATATACTTTCTCCTTTTATACTTCTGATATTCAACAATATCCAGCATATCTGAAATAAAATAATAAAGGACGTATATAAAATTGTTTAGACTGTCTAAAACATGCATCATGATTTCAATGCCTTAGTCTTTCCACCACTAGTTTTCCAAGTAGAAAATCAAAGAAGACATCAAAATGTGACATCATCATTAAGCAGAAACGGCATAAATCTCCAAAGGTCTGTTTCATGGTCTTTGAAAGGAAATTCAAAAATCATTTAAAAATATATTTAATGAAAAACTTACTTCTTACAATATATCTCTTTTACGTATGATTTTCAGTAGTGTTATCGCAACTTTTTTCAGCAAAACTGAGAATGAAGACTTACTGATTGTTCATTTAAATCCTGGGAGTCTTCCATGTGGTTTTCTCACTTCTCCTGCCACTCCCAAGTAGAAGCAGCTTCCTTCAAGTAAAAATGACTATCTAAAACAAGAAGATGGAAACAAAGGGGAAAAATGTTATCTTTATATTCATTTGTAAGGTTACAAAAACATATCAAGACATAGCATGGTAATTAGTAACTTGTAGGAGCATTCTCTCAAGAAGAAAATCCACTAATATTGTCTCCATATCTGATGCAATTAATGATCTTGAAAATAGTGTCATGGTAAAAGTGGGGTATGTGAACAGCTAGTCAGGAATTCTACAGATCAACAAAAATATCCATAGTCTGCACTAAACACAGTCTGCAATAAACAGTTAATACACTATTTTACTGAGGGAGGTATGTCATCAAGCAATTGACAGATTAACAATCAAGAGTTTGAATTAACCATTTACTTTCAAAAGTACATAAAATAATTTGAAAAAGTAAGTGTGCATTTTAATATGACAACTTTCTCTTACAGGAAAATTTGAATTATCAGATGATTATTCTTCTGAAAAATAATTACTCTTCACTTTTTAAAAATATAAAATACATGACCAACCTTAAAAAGACAATATGTTAAAGAATGTATTACAAATAAACATGGGAAAGATAATTAGTAATACACTATGGTGAGATAACTGGTTAACTATTCAAAAAATATCTTTACTCCATACCATACATTAAAATATTTTCAAATGAATTAAAGTTGAAAAACTCTAAGAAAAATAGGCATATATTTTTAAATCCCCAGATAGAGGATTTTATCATAGTAGCAATAGAAGACACACCAAAAACCCAAGTAACCCTGAATCCTCTCTCTTGCTCTCTCTTTTAAAACACATACACGCACACACACACACCCACACACACACAATGAAAATTAAAAGGCACAGAAAAATCTAGAAATACCTGTGCAAATACCAAACACAATGGGCTGATGTTCTTAACATATAAAGAGCTCTTACAATTCAAACAGAAAGGCACATGCCCTACAGAAATATGTTCAATTATCATAAAACTGTGTTCAAATTCACAATGAAATGTAATTTAAAATTGCAATGGTACATTTCTAGTGTTCAAATTCTAATTCTAAAAAAGAAAAATTAAAAGATTATAATAAAAACAATTTAGATTTAAAAAGTTGTTCATCATAGATGAACATAATCATTGAAGTCACATTTCAAGAAATATCTACTGACATTAAATATTTCTGAAAATACAATTTAAATGGAAAAGAGTATTACAATCTAAAGAAACAATCGGACACTGTGGTGGTTAATACTGAGTGTCAACTTGATTGGATTGAAGGATACAAAGTATTGATCCTGGGTATGTCTGTGAGGGTGTTGCCAAAGGAGATTAACATTTTGAGTCAGTGGGCTGAAGAAGGCAGATCCACCCTTAATCTGGCAGGCACAATCTAATCAGCTGCCAGCGAATATAAAGCAGGCAGAAAAGTGTGAAAAAAAGAGACGGGCCTAGCTTCCCAGCCTACATCTTTCTCCCGTGCTAGATGCCTCCTGCCCTCAAACACTGGACTCCAAGTGCTTCAGTTTGGGGAATCGGACTGGCTCTCCTTGCTCCTCAGCTTGCAAGCAGCCTATTGTGAAACCTTGTGAACATGTGAGTTAATATTTAATAAACTTCCCTTTATATATATATATATATATACATATATATATCTCCTATTAGTTCTGTCCCTATAGAGAACCCTAATACAGATTTTGGTAACAAGAGTGGGGTGTCTAATGAGCATCAGCATCGGGTGCCTTAACCCAGCGTTTGGCTCCTCCCACAGTGCCAGTTCTGCTTACCAAAAGTGGCCCACTAGGGACTCATATTCCACGCCTAGCTCTATGCCAGCGAGCCAGGCTTCTAACCCATTTAAAGTTTGAAAATAGGTTGAGATCATTTTGGCCCCAAGACCTTTAATCATTCACTTTACCAAATAAAACTGCCTGGGGTCCAGAACAGGAGAAGGCTCTGCAACAGGTCCAGGCTGCTGTGCAAGCTGTTCTGCCACTTGGGCCATATGATCCAGCAGATCCAATGGTGCTTGAGGTGCCAGTAGCAGATAGGGATGCTGTTTGGAGCCTTTGCCAGGCCCCCATAGGTGAATGACAGCAAAGGCCTCTAGGATTTTGGAGCAAGGCCCAACCATCTTCTACAGATAACTACCTTCCTTTTGAGAGACAGCTCTTGGCCCATTACTGGGCTTTGGTGGAAACTGAAGGTTTGACTACGAGTCATCAAGTCACTATGCAACCTTAACTGGCTATCATGAACTGGGAGCTTTCTGACCCATCTGGCCATAAAGAAGGTCGTACAGAGCAGCATTCTATCATCAAATGAAAGTAGCATATATGTGATCAGGTTTGAGCAGGTCCTGAAGGCACAAGTAAGTTCATGAGGAAGTGGCTCAAATGTCCATGGTTTCTACTCCTGCCACCCTACCTTCTCTCCCCAAGGCTGCATCGATGCCCTCATCGGGAGTTCCCTATGATCAGTTGACAGAGGAAGAGAAGACTAGGGCCTGATTCACAAATGGTTCTGCATGATATGGAGGCACCCCTCTAAAGTGGACAGCTGCAGCACTACAGCCCCTTTCTGGGACATCTCTGAAGGACAGCGCTGAAGGGAAATCTTCCCAGTTGGCAGAACTTTGAGCAGTGCACCTCGTTGTGCACTTTGCATGAAGGAGAAATGCCCAGATGTGTGATTATATACTGATTCATGGGCTGTAGCCAATGGTTTTTGGCTGGATGGTCAGAGATTTGGAAGAAGCGGGATTGGAAAACTGGTGACAAAGAAATCTGGGGAAAAGATATGTGAATAGACCTCTCTGAGTGATCAAAAACCAGGAAGGTATTTGTATTCCATATGAGTGCTCACAAATGGGTTACTTCAGCAGAGGAGGATTTCAATAATCAAGTGGATAGGATGACCCATTCTGTGGACACCACTCAGCCTCTTTCCCCAGCCACCCCTGTCATTGCCCAATGGGCCCATGAACAAAGTGGCCATGGTGGCAGGGATGGAGGTTACACATGGGCTCAGCAACATGGACTTCCATCCTCCAAGGCTAAACTGGCTACGGCCACTGCTGAGTGCCCAATTTGCCAGCAGCAGAGAGCAACACTGAGCCCTCGATGTGGCACCATTCCTCGGGGTGATCAGCCAGCTACCTGGTGGCAGGTTGATTATATTGGACCTCTTCCATCATAGAAAGGGAAGAGGTTTGTCCTCACTGGAATAGACACTTACTGTGGATATGGGTCTGCCTATTCTGCACGCAATGCTTCTGCCAAGACTACCATCCACGGACTCACGGAATGCCTTTTCCACTGTCTTGGTATTCCACACAGCATTGCCTCTGACCGAGGCACTCACTTTATGGATAAAGAAGTGCGACAATGGGCTCATGCTCACAGAATTCACTGGTCTCACCATGTACCCCATCATCCTGAAGCAGCTGGATTGACAGAATGGTGGAATGGCCTTTTGAAGTCACAATTACAATGCCAACTAGGTGACAATACTTTGCAGGGCTGGGGCAAAGTTCTCTAGAAAGCCATGTACGCTCTGAATCAGCATCCAATATATGGCACTGTCTCTCCCATAGCCAGGATTCACGGGTTCACGAATCAAGGGTGGAAGTGGAAGTGGCACCACTCACCATCACCCCTAGTGATTCACTAGCAAAATTTTTCCTTCCACTAGCAAAATGTTCCCACGACATTACCTTCTGCTGGCCTAGAGGTCTTAGTTCCAGAGGGAGGAACACTGCCACCAGGAGAGACAACAACGATTCCATTAAACTGGATGTTAACATTGCCACCTGGACACTTTGGGCTCCTCCTACCTTTAAGTCAACAGGCTAAGAGGGGAGTTACATTGTTGGCTGGGGTGACTGACTGACCCAGACTTTCAAGATGAAATCAGTCTATTACTCCACAACGGAGGTAAGGAAGAGTATGCATGGAATACAGGAGATCCATTAGGGTGTCTCTTAGTATTACCACGCCCTATGATTAAGGTCAATGGGAAACTACAACAGCCCAATCCAGGCAGGACTAGAAATGGCCCAGATCCCCCAGGAATGAAGGTTTGGGTCACTCCACAAGGAAAAAAAAACATGACCTGTTGAGGTGCTTGCTGAAGGCAAAGGGAATACAGAATGGGTAGTAGAAGAAGTTAGTCATCAATAGCATCTACGACCACGAGACCACTGCAGAAACGGGGACTGTAATTGTCATGAGTATTTCCTCCTTCTTTTGTTAAAAACATGTTTGTGCATGTATACACTTGTACTAAGAAAATACCTTTATTTCCTTTTCCTTTATCATGTGACATAAGATTTATTGACTTCATATCGGCATTTAAATATTGTTAACTTTATGTAATAGTATTTGGGTTGGGGATTGGTGCATTTCCGGTTATACAAAGGACAGCTGTATTATGTTAGGTATAATTATGACCTTATTATTGTCTTTATTTGAAGATGATGTATAATCTCAGGAGATGTATATGGGTTCAAGTTGACAAGGGGTGGACTTGTGATGGTTAATACTGAATGTCAACTTGATTGGATTGAAGGATACAAAGTATTGACCCTGGGTGTGTCTGTGAGGGTGTTGCCAAAACAGATTAACATTTGAGTCAGTGGGCTGAAGAAGGCAGATCCACCCTTAATCTGGTGGGTACAATCTAATCCGCTGCCAGTGAATATAAAGCAGGTAGAAAAATGTGAAAAAGAGAGACTGGCCTAGCCTCCCAGCCTATATCTTTCTCCCATGCTGGATACTTCCTGTCCTTGAACATCAGGCTCCAAGTGCTTCAGTTTTGGGACTCGCACTGGCTCTCCTTGCTCCTCAGCTTGCAGACAGCCTATTGGAGGACCCTGTGATTGTTAAGGGTAAGTTAAGTTAATAATAAGTGTAAGTTAATACTTAATAAACTCCCATATATATATATATCCTATTAGTTCTGTCCCTCTAGAGAACCCTAATACAGATGCCAATTCAGTTTATTGAATATTCAATATCAGTAGATGTTTTGCTCAGTTTTACATATATCCAGTCATATATTCCCTACTGCATCCAAGTAGGCATGGTCTTAATTTCTTCAATTTCTTTTATGCTTTGCAATATTTTCCAAAGTACATGTTACTTTCCTTATTAGATCACAAGACGTTTTAAAAATTACAAGAGAAATTTAAAATGTAAATTGCAAAAGTTTTATGCATATATAACAGAGACACAGATCAAAGGTATGTTTTTTTCATTCTTAAAAGTCAGAAAATAATAATAACACATGTATATAATGTGACAGTTTCAGTGAGATATTGATTTAAAATACTCCAAAACTAGGAAAGCATCATTTCGAAGAAAAGCACAATTTTAAACTGCATATGAAAAGGGAAGGGAGGGTATATAGGATATGGTGGATTATCAAGCACACTGAAAGTTGATGCAGTACACATTCGGTTTTTTTGTTTGTTTTGTGTCTTTGAGATGAAGTCCTGCTCTGTCGCCCAGGTTGTAGTGCAGTGGCATAATCTCAGCTCACTGCGACCTCTGCCTCGTGGGTTCAAGTGACTGTTGTGACTCAGCCTCCCAAGTAGCTGGGACTACAGGAGCGTGCCACCACGCCTGGCTAATTTTTGCATTTTTAGTAGAGACAGGGTCTCACCATGTTGGCCAGGCTGCTCTCGAACCCCTGGCCTCAGGTGATCTGCCTGCCTCAGCCTCTCAAAGTGCTGGGATTACACGCATGAGCCACCATGCCCAGCCAGCAGTACACATTTGAATTCAGGAGTATAAGTAGGCAGAGAGTTCTAGATTTACGGTGGTGTTTTTGTGTTGGGACAGCATGGGGTGTGGAGGCTAAGAAACCGTGATGGAAAAGCCCAGCTTTTTGCCTCTTAGCTCACACGCCCACCTTCCTCCTCCCACTCTCCCTCTTCTCCTCCTGATGCACTGGTTCCTCCCCTCAAATCTGGGTATCTCAGCCTGGTCCTGATTCCTGCTAATCCCTTTCTTGCTTATCCTTTCCTAGCTGACCCATTGATCCTTGGTCCTGTGAACTGTCCCCTGGCCCAAGTAACCAAGACCACTCTGGCTCAGGTTCACCTTGGAAATGATGCACGCAAATAGTTAAGTGCTGGCCACTGGTCAGCAGGCACAGAGCTGCCCAAGACTTGACACCTGCCCACCTCATGTCAATCCCTCTATTCTCCCAGACTGAACTGTGGCTGGCCTTCTCCTTTAGAGCCATTTTCTCCTCATTACCTTGATAACAAATTAGCCAAGTGCTCTCTTTCCGAGGAAAATCTGATGTTCCTTCTTACTCTGATAGATACATGGATTACATAAATGGCAAAAATACTGCATTGGATTGCAAAGAGACCATACAATTCATTGCCTACATAAACAAAACAAAGCAAAACCTTTGCATTTCTGAATAAAGAAAAACAGCCCCAAAAGTAAAAGGATACAACAGATTATGGAAAATATCTTTAGTAAATAAATGTGACTATATATACACTTACTGAGGACATAAAAATTAGTGAGGCGAAGTTTAAATGCCCACTAAATGATTAGGAAAGAGTAGGAGAACATAATTTATTATAAGAAAATGTAAATAATAAACTAATATATGGAAAAGCGTTCACTTTCAGTTACTGAAATACATAAATCTGAGCAATAAGTACATGTTTTTTGGATTATTGTATACATATTCAATGCCCAAACTATTTATATATTGATAATACTTAATATCAGAAACACTGTGAACACGGTGTCCTCAACCATTTGCTAGTAACAATGTCATTTTCTAATATTTTTAGAAAGCAATCCATCTCTGTACTTTAAAAGCTATAAATATGTTTAAGCCCTTTTACCCAGTATTAACTTTCCTAAGAAGTAACCTTTCCCCAAAAAAACTCGTAAAATATAAACTACAGAATAATTCATGACAATGAAAACTAGAAACAGCCTCATCTTTGCAGTGGATTAATTAAACAAATCATGGTCAGTTGTATAATATAATTTAATGATCAAAAAAGTAATTATAAAAATGATGAGGGGCCAGGCGTGGTGGTTCATGCCTGTAATCCCAGCACTTTGGGAGGCCGAGGTGGGCGGATCACCTGAGGTCAGGAGTTCGAGACCAGCCTGACCAACATGGTGAAACCCTGTCTCTACTAAAATACAAAAAATTAGCCGGGCATGGTGGCGGGCGCCTGTAATCCCAATTACTCAGGAGGCTGAGGCAGGAGAATCGCTTGAACCCAGGAGGCGGAGGTTGCAGTGTGCCAAGATCATGCCACTGCACTCCAGCCTGGGTGTGACAGAGTGAGACTCTGTCTCAAAAAAAAAAAGTGGAAAAGTGAACATTGTTGATTGTGAATTAGATGAAAAAATAAGAACACCACATTTTAGTTATGCTAACATGGATGCACAACTAAGAATGTATTTGGATACTGATGAATGGGAAACACTAAAAAAAATTTGATAAACAATTACATTTTTGGTTTCACATACTTTAATTAATTTTATGTTGTCTGTGCAATAAGTAAATTTTATTTTCTCCAATATAATACAGAAGCACAAAGTAAAACCAAATGATGCTAAAATGGTTTCACAGGATCAGGTAAAACTACAGCAGATAGTGAAAATGAATTTTCATGGTAGACTCTGCAAATGGCCTCTTTCACTTCTTCTACAGATTAAATTTCATGCCAAAATAATCTCTTTAGGGGAAGGGAATGTTTGTCTTATTTACCTATCTACAATACCTAGCTCAAGGCCTAGCAAATTTTAGGTATTTAATAAATATTGATTGAATGTAACATACATAATGTATGAAATCATACATAATGTATCTGATAATGTAAACAAAAAAATGGAATAAACAGCCAGATGATTTAAGTTTTAAAATTCTTTCTCAAATGTATAGCCATTTTAGGAAAAATCTTTCCTAAAAGATTTTTCTTTCCTTTTTCACATTTTTCAGGTACATAACTGACTCCATTTTAATTTTTGCTTTGTTTTAGGACAATACAGATAGAAACTTTTAGACAAGTATTATTTACTGAATGGGAATATTTTAACTTTTCAGAAAATACAACATTGATAATTAGTCTACCAGGCAATTTCCTACTCACCTGACCTAATAATAAAATATACTTAAAATTATTATTTATACCAATTAGAACTACTGTTTATTTACAACATAGCATGTTGCATTAGTTTCCTAGGACTCCTATAACAAAGTACCACAAACTGGGTGGCTTAGAACTGAAATCTATTCTCACAGTTCTGGAGGAAAGAAGTCCTAAATCAAGGTGCTGGCAGATTTATGCTTGCTCTGGAGATCCTAGGGAAGCATCCTTTGTCTCTCCCCAGCTTCTGGGGGTTGCTGGCCATCCTTGGCTCATAGATGCATCACTCCAATCTCTGCCTTCATTGTCACATGATGTTCTCCGTGCCTAACGTTACATGGCATTCTTTTGTGTGTGTGTATGTCTCTGTACAAATTTTCCTCTTAAGTACAACAGTCATTGTATTAGGACCCATCCTAATCCAGTAAAATCTCATTTTAACTTGATCATACCTGCAAAGACCCTGTTTCCAAATGAGGTCACATTCCCAAATACAGACATTAGGATTTAAAAGTATCTTTTACGGAACACAATTTACTCACCACACATGTATAATTATTACATTGAAATTATTTTTAAGACGTCATCAAAGTATGAATGTAATATTTCCAGAAAGCATATGTAAGAATTAAATTAAAGATACTGATTGTCAGGAAAGAAGTGATAATTTTCCAGATGCACCACCATCTCAGAGTACTGTTGCTAACGCAAGTGAAATTAAATAAGACTTCAGGAAAGATATTGGAGCATAAGAGAATTAAGCCAAAACTAGCCTTTCTTTGTCAACTGCCAGTTCAGAATCTATTTCATGAACTGTTGGGGAGTTATTTACATTAATGTTCCATGTTACAACATAATACTTTGCTTTATATTTCCTTGAAATTTAGATTAATTGTTACTTGGTTTGACTTTTTATGGTAACGTGAATTTTTTTCTTGGCCAATCACACTAAGGTACTAAAATATTATGAGCCTAGTGATTTTATATTATTGAACCAAGTAAAACTACCTAGGCTAATTGCAGACACAGTATTATTTTACATCATAATTTAGCAATGGTTGTTATGTTAATTCCTTTAACATTTAGTTTTCACAAATATATGAGAAAAAGATGAGAACATTCTCCAAATCAAGTAAGAGAAGCATTACCTCATAATAAAGATATAAGATTAAGGAATAACAGTAACTGCATGCTGTTTTATGAGCCAATAATCTAGTTCCCGCTCTATCTCAAGACTGTTCCACCAGAAAATATGAATTTCAAACAGTATTATTAGGTTTGTGCAAAAACAATTGCGGTTTTTGCCACTGAAAGTAACAGCAAAAACCGCAATTATTTTTGCACCACCTGTAGCAACCTCACCCATTCCATATTAGATTATTTCTTCTGCAGTTTTCAATATATAGACCATTCATCATATCTTTTTCTTTAACTCTGCTAGAAGCGAGCTACAAACTCTTGTCTTAGAAAATTAGAATTACAAATTCAACATTTCTTCTCATTTAAATACATAATAGCAAGTTTCTATATAAAGTTTTAAGACAATTCTCAGAAATGGAATGAGGCACCATGGCGCCGTCCAGGTGGGAGAGACTGTAAGGTCCCTTAAGGAATGAGATGCTGAAGGAGGTTTGAGAAGTTTGTAGAGAAGTACACCTAATCCTCTGATCACTTGAGGCCAGGAGTTCAAGGCTGCAGTGAGCTATGATCACGACACTGCACTTCTTCTAGGTGACAGAGCGGAGACCCTCTCTCTCTAGAGAAAAGAAAGAAAGAAAGAAAGAAACCTAGGTTGTCCAGGCATGCTTTGCTCTGGCTAAAGAAACGTGAACATGGAGTGGAGGGGGCACATCTCAACTCCACACCAGGCTGCCGCGGAATGAGGACCGACGCTGCACATGGAAACGCTAAACCTCTGGATTCTGTACACAACCGGCACAGGCATAGCCAGTCATCAAAGCCAAACACCTAGGCTTTGTCACTGACTCCCTGCCCATTTGCTCTCCACATTCAATATATTACCAAGTCCTACCAATACCTCCAAAAGTTCGCCAAATCCCTCCTCTCTCTCCTCTCTGCCAGTACAGGCGTTCCGCCATCATTGTTCCCTGCTTGGGCAGGAGCAACAGCCACGTAATGGTCTCCTTCCCTCCAGTCCTGCTCCCTGGACGTTACCGTTCACAGTGCAACCAGAGTGATGGTTCCGAAATATAGATCTGAATGCAGTCTCTAAAAACAATTCAGAGCTTTACCCTGTCCTCAGAAGAAATCAGAAATTCTTTAATCAGTCCTACCTGCAGCCATGGCAGTGTCTAGCGGTAGTACCGCTCTGCCAAAAGGCCCCTTGAAGGGGCTCCAGGGGTGTTTTTTGCTCCCTGGGACCACCGTCCCAAGTAGTAGTTCTGGGGACGATTCCTCTTCCTTCTCCCTCAGTCCTGTTCCATTGTTCTCGCCATTCTCTCGCCCTGTCAGCAGCCTCACACTGTCCTGCAGCCAGAGCCCGGGACCTGTACATGAGTCTCCTGTGAGGGTACAAGCAGGGCTGAGGGCTATACTTGCCTCTTGCTGCAGTGAAAAGGAAAACAAGGGAAAGTGGGGGAGTACATTCCCTACTGCTTTAAATCCCTAGATACCCTTGGGAAAAGATTTAAAAATTGCAGCTGCCAAAACTTTTGTTCCAGTCCATGTGCAGACCTTGGGATGGGGAAACAGGTGCCTGAAGAGTCCCACTCATGACCTCTGACACAGACCCTTTCCAACCTGGGTGGGGCTTTCAAGAATCTTTCTGCCTATGCAGAGTTGCCTGGGTCACAGAAAGTGCCATTACACTAAATTCTAACACTCACAACAGTTGGTCTACTGTTTGGCTTCCAGATTTTCAAACTGCAAGTAAATTTTCAGAAGCGTATCTTGTACAATATTAAGGTTTGCTTGCATGTGTATTATACCCACAAAACATATCTCCCTCCCACAGATGCATATCCAGCTTAACCCATTAGGTAGGGTCTGCAAGTCTTCTCCAGTTGCACGAAATTACTTGGATCTAATGATTCATCTTCCTTAGGATATGAGTCTGGGAAAATATCAGGCTAGTCCTCCTTCAGTGGCAAAACCCCTAGGATATAAAACTTGGAAACGTTTCATATCCATGTGGAAAAAAGCTGGTCTGTAGGGAAAGACAGAAGAGAACTGACCGAGAAAGAGGAGCAAAAATGAAGATGGCAAGAAAGTCCTGGCAGAATTTAAGCACCCAGATCTTGTGACTCCCAAAGTCTCACTGTTTCTCTGCTCTTCCTGTTGCTTAGTTGTCCAATTCTTCCTTGCATTTCATGAGCTATCTTCACGGCCTTCAATTATCTTCTTTATATTGCAATGGTATAGGAAGTCTAACAGTTTATATTCCTGTTACATTATTGAGAAGTTATAGTTGTGATCAACTGTCCAGATGGGCATTGCTTTACAATTCTTGTGTACCTAGTTACCTACTCTGCCCTCCAAATTTCATTACTGGGTCTGTGAAGCTGGATCAGGCACTGGCTGGCTCCAACCACCCGGGAAGCATGCCAGAGAGGAAAGCCAATGGCACAAAGAACACCTAGCTCCAATTCTATGGCCAACTGTTCAGAGACATGGAGATGCACATTCTTGGACTATGCACATGACTCTCCTCCCTGGCCGTAGAAAAGAAAAACAGCTGAGGTGTCCAAGAAACAGATCTGGATGAATAGTAATGAGCACCTTGCCTGACTTCAAGCTCCTTAAATGGAGCCAACCTACAAACTAGATGCTGAGCTATTTTTGAGCTGTCTATAAAGATAGAACATGGACTTTGCAAAACGGTCCATTTAACTCAAAATGTTTAAAAAATGATAATGGGGTTCATACTTCTCATGCTAAAAGTTACAACAAGCTCTACTTTGTGAGAATCATTTGGGTCATTTGTCATAAGTTCATTTGATGGCAAGTCTTCCTGGAATTATAAATTATGATCATTTGATTTTTGACAAGCAGGTCCAAACAAGGTGTTCTATTTTGTCTGTGTTTGCTAATTGGTGATGGTTGCCTAGATAGCCTAGAAAACACAGAAGTAATTCTGAGTGAATTGTCCCAGGGAGACATGTGAAAGAATTCTTAGCCCAAGCAACCTCATCACCCCTACGGATACTAAGGCAGACTCTGCAGACCAACTTTCCTTCTCTTGTGTTACTCCTATTGCTCTTCCCTACCAGTACTGAGAAATTATTCTGCTGAGCATTTTGTACACACTGTAATGGTTCATCTAGCTGGCTCTCCTGTAGCCTGTCAGAAGAGAATATATTTGAAGCCTTTCTTAGAAGCAATCTGCCTTTTTCTCAGCCATAAATCTCTCTTCTGTGTAACCTGGAAATCTTTTTTGATCAAGAGTATATGACTATATATATTGCTTAACACACATCTGATGACTTTATGATCATCCTGAGGAAAATGTGTTGCACTTTGAGAGAATTTAAGAATAGATCTCCCAAGTTTAGCATTGAACTCTTGAAACCCTAGAAATGTAAACGATAGTTTTGCTAAAGGGAATGTAAGTTTAGTGATTCCAAATAAAGACTGGAATAAAATAGATCAGCTTGTGAAAACTTGCTTTTACTACTGGATAAATGTATGATCTTGGAAAAGCTAATTAATATCTCTAAATATCACTGTCTTCATCCATAAAATAGGGCTTTTAATAACATTTGTATTATATTTTGTTATGATTAAACAAAAAATATATTTCAAAAATACAGACCACTTTGCTTGCTAGTGAGAGTGGAAGAAAACCTGTTTTTATATTTTGCTCTTCATATACTGAATTAAAACATTTTAACATTCTTTGCTGTACAGTAGAGTAGTATCTGCAACTTAAACAAATGTAATTATTTTTAACCCTGCTCAACTAAGAGTATTATACTAACCACTGATCTCCAGGAGCTACATTAACCAATTATATTTAGATAGTAGCCAAAAGTCACCAGTCTTTTACCAATTCTCTGAACTCAGGTAAGCTTGTAAAAATGAACAACTCCTCGATTAAGTCATTAGCATTTGTCACCTTTTAGTTGTCATTCTGTATAACATCAAAGTTGTGACTGGTGCCTTTAGTGTTGAGAGACTGATATAATCAATAAACAATTATAGACGGACATGTGAAAGAAAAGGGAATAGGAAAGCATCAGCATTCAGTATTAACAGGATGTTAAGACATTTTAAGTTGGCAAAAGCAGGAGAATAAGTACAAAATACAATTAAGACAATTGGTTATTACAATATTTTGATAACCTTAAAAGCCTTAAAACCCCCAAAACAAAGAATGGCACATGTGATATCATTGCAACAACACATCTACTTCAGATTTCTGACAAACAAGATGAACAAGAAGTGGAGTTAAGTGGCAACTTAAAGGCTGCTGTGACGCTCCAAGTGAGAAGCCAAGAGAATCTAGACTGACATGGGGTGGAAAAAGGCCTGGAGAAGTGGATATGAGGGATAATATGAGAGATACATCAATAAGACAAAGGAACTATATGAATATAACTGATAAGGCAAATGTGACTTTCAGGTATCACACCTTAATTCATGAGAAATTGATGATATGGAAAAGTTAAGAGGAAAAGGTACGTTTACATTTGTGTTGTTATCGTTTTGTTGTCATTATCTTCTTTTATGGCGATGGGCAGGAAGCAAAAGCAAGAGGCAATCCACAGAGGAAGGAGTCTAAAAAGTTTGTCACATTTATTGGAGGGGGGATAGAAAAACTCGGCCCACCATCAGATTCAGCAAAGAAGCCTGTCCTATGATGGAGCCTTTGGGAAGAGAATAAAAGAAAATAATTTCTTGAGTGAGATAAATCAAAACTTCAGCCTTGCAGGATGTAAATTCTAAATGTTTACTGCATCTGTGGTATGGAAACCTCAAGACAAAAAAATAAAATAAAATAAAGACTGACCTAGAGGTTTGAAATCCCTAGACTCCAGGGGAATGCAAAATTGCTCCACAGAGTACAAAGGGTTCTAAGAGAGAAATCCACCAAAAGTTATAAACTACAGGCGAGGTGCGGTGGCTCATGCCTGTAATCCCAGCACATTGGGAGGCTCAGGCAGGCAGATCACTTGAGGTCAGGAGTTTGAGGCCAGCCTGGCTAACATGGCGAAACCCCTTTTCTACTAAAAATACAAAAGTTAGCTGGGCATGGTGGTGGGCACCTGTGATCCCAGCTATTCGGGAGGCTGAGGCAGGAGAATCGCCTGAACCCAGGAGGCAGAGATTGCAGTAAGCCAAGATCGTGCCACTGCACTCCAGCCTGGGCAACAGAGCACAACTCCATCTCAAAAAGAAAAAAAAAATTATAAGCTACATAAAGAAACAAAACACAGTAGAGAGTAGCCACAACAACAAATTAGGAATCTAAGAATGTGAAACTACAGAGCAATGTGGAAAAAACTAGATAGGTATACTTAAAACAGACACAAAAGAAACAGAAATAAAATTGAAAAGCCACACACGAAAAAAATATACACACAAACCTGGAAGAGAACCATAAAAATGTTTTTAAAAATATATTCACTGAATTTTTTTACAAGAAACAAACTAAACAGCAAATTAGATACATCTAAAGAAATAATTTATGAACTACAAGGTAAATCTGGTAAATCTCAAGAAGTGTGTGCCCATCCCCATAAAAGAAAATAATGACAACAAAAACAATAACAAAATCACAATTATATCTTTCCAAACAACTTTTCTATAACATTAATTTCTCAGGAATCAAGGTGTGACACCTGTGAGTCATATTCTTTATTATGGGGAGGGAGAAGTCCCAAACACAACAAAGTAAACATGAGAGTTATATAATATGGCAATAAATCTGATTCATCTAATGCCAAGTTACTGATTTGAATTGTGTCTATAGTGAATACTAATTAAGAATGTAATTAAATAAGATGCTGTTTGCTTTCCTTAAATTTGGGACACTTGAGGAAATTTTATTGATCCAGATTTTTAATTGAGGCATCCAGGAAAGTTTGAGTACCCTTTTTCCTCTCAATAAATTCCCCTGTAGCATTTGAATATAAAAATCATTCCACTGACTCTGTAACTGAATTAGAAGTAGGGCCACCTTTACCAAAAACTGCCCTTATAGCTTCTAAAAATCCAAAGACCTTTAAAAGGGCTGAAGTTGTAAGAATTCAGAAAATAATGTATCAAATACATTTGGTGTTTTGAGTCAACTCAACGTTATGCTTCCCTGCTATGTGTCCTGCTTTCACATGTATGGCAGGCTGTTAGATATTAGGAGTATGCTGTCATTCCTGTCATTCCTAATCTTTTTCTCTCAAGTTAAGTACGGTGCCCCTGGTTAACAAGACCACTTCTTCAATTTAAAAAAAAATCTTTGTTTCCCAACAGGGAATTATAAGGGAATTCAGTCAGCCACAAAAGCATAATTGCTTAGGAAATGCATTAAGTGGAAGGCAGATATAAACTAGGTCATAGTGCATCATTATTTTTAAATCACTCAATTATAAATTGACGTATTAATATAGATCAACATTAATGTATACCAAAGTATCACATTTATACCCAAATAAAAATGTAAAGGAAAACCAATTAGCTGAAATAGAAATTAATGATGATAATCTTCAAAGCAGCAAGAATGCACCTTTGAGAAAGACCCTAGGGTTCTGTTTGCTTGTTTGTTGGAGACTAAATTATTCTTCAGTAAAATTGAAGGGGGAAAAAAGACTAACGTTTAAGCTACAGGAAGATGTGGTTTGCCTGGTACTTGGATGTTCTTTGTAGAATCTACAAGTTCATCTCCCAGGGGTCCAAATGCTCTTGGACCTAAAAAGCCCCCGGGAAAGAACTCTTCCAAGGGAAGAGATGGAGAGCCATACAAGCAGAAACCAAGTCTGAGTCCTAAGTCTTGGGGCTGCAAGAAAAGAACAAGAGAACAAGCCAAAAAAGTTGCCCACTAAACTCTCTATAGAAGGGGAGGAGGGCAGGTGTCATCACTACGTACTCTGAAGTCTCTGTTACAGGGTACTGGACTGAGGGAAGTTGCTAGACACTTTCCTCATTTCAAATTACTTGTAACCCCAGCAGTTCGATCAAAAAATATAACTCCGCAAGCTGATGGAAAGAAACGAATTTGGTGAAGAAAGCGCGGGAAAATACTGGTTAAACTAGTAAGAAAAAGATCGCAATAAAAAAGAATTTAAAGCGTGAGAACTGAAATCAGGAAGATGGCAGAATGAGAAGCAGAATAATTTGCCCCCTCTCTCTTGACTGAACCAAATGTAAAGACATCAGGTGGTAGAGATGTGGATACTAGTCCTTACAGTACTCTCTAAGAGTGCTATGGTTTTTCCTCGTCCCCACTCTATGCCCCAGGCATCTCCTCCAGGGCTTCAGCCAAGTTCTTGTTCAAGCACTTGAACAAACTAGATTCACTCCTGAATTAGCTTCAGGTGCTGCCCATAGACACTGCTATGGCCCACACTTGGACAATCCAGCTTGGTTTTCTTAATGTCTTAATTTCTTTTTCATGATCGTGAAAAAAATGCAATGAGTTTCTTTGAAGAAATATCTAAGATATATAAATTCAGAATATTCATAGTCCCTAAATCAAGACTGTATCATACAAAAACACCGATTCTTTTAAAATGCATGAATGAGTGAATGAGTGCATAAATAGTCAATAGTGCATAAATGCATGCATGAATGAATGAATGAGAGCATAAATAAGCAAATAAGGAAATATACTTCTAAAGCACATGTCAGGAAATGGATAAATTACGTTTCATGAAGTTTCAGATTGAATCAGGCAAACAGAATTGTAGATTTCTATGTCTGCCATGACTCAGTGTATAGCTTTGGGAAAACCTTGTAATTTCTCCATACTTCAGTTTCTCACCCTATAAAAGGAGTATATTGCTTGAAATTTAATTCCCTCACAGCAGTGAGAGTTTTGATTCAACGTTTATAAAACGTTTTTTAGCTTCCCTGATTAATAGGCAAAATACTGTGGTAGTTTGTATAATACATTTTCCAAAAAGGATAAAGGTAACTGGTCGAATCTGATGTAAAATAATACTTTACTCAAGAAATAAATATCAGTCATATTTATTACCTCTCCATTTCATTTGCTAAGTAATAAAAATTACTTCTAACAGAAAAGTATCAAATTAATATTCAAGCCAGTTGAAGTGTTATCATCACAGGCCTCACCTACGTTGGGGGAAGGAGAGTTGTTTTGTTTTTCCAGGCTACCCCACATGTTTATATGGTAAAGTCAGGAATGTTGGGCACAGTTTTGAAGGCCTCTAGCGTATTCATTGGTTTCTGGCATTCTAATGCACTCTACTCTTATAACCATAAAAGTACTCTTGAGTGCTTCTGGAAATATATAACAAATCCTTAATCAATTTAAGAGTGTTTTAACTGCATACATGAAATTTCTTGGGAGGAAAATATTAGCTATTCTACACACATACAGTACTTAAGTTAGCAAGAGAGTTCCTTCTGAAAGGCACAAAGCAGCTTCCCCATAGTAATATAATTTTCAGTTTTATATGTGTAAGTCCTATTGAATCCCTTAGAATAACAGGAAATTCTGCAGGAAAAAAAACCCCACAAAAATTGATAGCCATATTTATTCAATGCAAGAGGAATACATTAGCTATTCTGAGTTGGACTACTTTTTAAAGGCACTAGATAACCATTGAAGATTAATCAAAATCTTAACCAAAAACTACAAGAACTGAATATTCTGGAGACAGAATTTTCTACATATAAAAATCGAACAACAAAATCAACTGATTAATATACTTCATTTTAAAACTGTATCTATCAGATTACTTTAGCCAGCATTTGAGTAGCAATTTTCTGGATTTTGATGCATTAACTTTTATTTCCACATTAAACAGATTATAATAAGTAACAGATTTATAAATTAGTCATTGATATGACACAACTGATATTGTGACATGTATAATAATATTTATCAACACATTTATAATGGAGTAATGTCATTTATTACTTATACAATGTCTATACCTTTCATCTCTATGTTAAAAAGCTATCGTAATATATGTAAGGTGCTTAGAACTGTGCCTGGCACAGAGTAGGCTCTTACTAGAATAACAATATATCATTCCTCATAAGTTCTCACCAATCACATGAGAGTTAGAACCATTTCTCCTAATAATTCTGGTAAATATTTGATGGTACTAAGTAAAAAAAAATGTAGTGAATATAATATTACTGATTTATTTCTTCCTAACATTTGGGCTTACGAACCATAAGTAAATATAATATGCATTCATAAAAATGAATACTAAATATTCTTAAGTGAGAAACTAATTATATAAATTATATGTATATATTAAATATATATCGTTAATAGAATTATTTATCCTAATCATAGTGGAGTATTCCGATTACTATATGAGTTTCAAGGAATTTACTACTATAACCATTTTTCTTAACCAGAGCACAAATAATTACAAGGTTCAATTAAGTTGAAATTTTTGCACCTGGTTTTTGTGAGAAAGATGAGAATATTACCTTAAAGATGCAAGATTCATAAATCTTTTTAAAAAGCATTTTGGTATTTTCTATGGAAAATGCACATACATATTTATCTATTAATATTGCATCTAGAGTTTTATCTACAGATATTTTTGGCAGATGTACGAAGAGACATAAAAATCATCAGTGCAACATACTTAGTAATAGTAAAAATATGGAAGCAATGTAAACATACACCAAGAGGGGAACAGTGAAATTATGAAATATCTGCATACATTAAATAGAAGCACCCAAAACTATATGTACTGATGTGGAAAAATATTCAAGATTCAGCAGATCAAAAGCAAGTTTTAAGGAAATCAATGATCCTATTGGAGTTAAAAATGTAAAATGAAAATAAATTACATCCTCACATAGTTATTACATTTACACATATATAGAAAAAAAAATGCCTGAAAAGATGCACATCTAAGTATAACAACTTATCCTGATTTGCAGAGAATAAGAATGAGTAAATCCACTTTTTACTTTAAATATATCCGTATTTTTAAAACTTTTTAAGAAAGTATAACATATGCACAGTAAAATAAAATACATAAATCAAAAGTTGATCACTGATGAATTTTTATTGAATAAACACTTTCACATGACCAGCAACCAAACCAAGATAAAAGACATAATCAGCATTCCAAAGCCTCTCTCTTGCTCCCTCTGGTCATTCCTCTCAAAAGTAACCTCTATCATCTCTGTTTTAATATGTTATACAAAGTATGACTTATTTGTATTTTTTAAGTAACAGATTAAAAAAAAAAACTTGCTTTAGCAGCATGAATTTCCTTCTCTGAATATCAAATACACTCAGCATTTTATTCCAAGATATCAATTCAAACTATAACCTGAGCTTTTATAGTGGGCCAGGCACTGAACCAAATGTCTTTCCTGCATGAATTCAATTATTCCTTACAACTCCATGAGGCGAGTACTGTTATTATTCCCCATGTACACATGCTGGAACTATGGCTTACAGCCACTCAGAAAATTACATGACCAAAGTCACATCGCTGATGAGTGGCAGAGCCTGGATACACACAAAGGTAGTCTGATTCCAGCATTCTCAACTCCTCATCAGAAACAAACAAATAAAAATAAAGTGGTAAGATGTAGAGTTGGGAGCATGAAGTGTCCCCAGCATGAAGTTCTCTTTTTCTGTTTTGTTCTGAGTAAATGACTTAAGGTCTTAAGGTCACATAATACAACATCTCATCTGCAAAATGGAAGGGTTAGGCTAGATCTCTCTTCTGATCTGATCATCTGACGCTGATAAATAAAGTGACCCACTGAAACACAGAGCAAATATGCTTTGTCATGATGTAGTGCAATCATGTACTGCACTATGCTAAAAAATGACTCATACAAGAAAATAAAACCACAATTTTTGAAACTATTGGAAACAATAATCTTAATTTAATGTTATTTCTGGACATAGGAAGACTTTCCCCCCTAAATAAGCAAATTGGTGGTTTTTGAAGGGTCTTGCTCATCTTTGTATGGAAAATGCCTAAAAACAAACCACTAAAAACTAAACAAAATTTTTTTACTTCCTCAATTGTGCCTGAAAAAAAAGATGTAATTTCCCTCAGCAAAAGGCCACGTATATTTTTAATAGATACATCTGGGATTTTTGGTCCTCACATTTTGAAACACTGACACAAACAAATACAGAACATGCTTTCTCTCAAATGAAATCTATAATTCTGAGGGTTAAAAATTCTTCAAAATAACATGAAATCGATCTTAGCAGAAGGCAACCAAAGAGATCAAGGTCTGTTTCTGGAGAAAACTAGAATTATGAAGACCATAAACCTCAACGAGAAATCTGTCTTTTAAATGTCAGTTTATTGAAAATACCAATGTACGCCGGACATACCTGTTTTTCCACTAGAAAATCAGTAATACTTTGGTACAAATGAGGCTTTAAATAAGTTGGAGTAGAAAATAACCAATAAACCAGCTTTCATGACCACAAGCAAAAGAGAACCAGTTTTCCAAAAAGTTAACAGGATTCATCCTTTGCAGATGTCTGGTTTGGGACCTAATGCCCTTTAAAGATATGCATGGAATAGTGCAGTCACTTAATTTCCATTAACATCTCCAGGTGTTGAGGTTACGGAGGGAAAAAGATATGATCTCTCCCCTCTGTGAGTTCATAGTCTCTCTAGAAGACAGACACATACAATGAGCCCCAACACAATCTGCTGTTATATTAACAGTCCAAAAAAAGTGCTATGGTATTACACAGAGAAAAGAACTAATTCTGCCTGAGCCTTAAGGAAGGCTTCACAGAGGAGGTGACATTTGAGCTAAGCCTTGAAAGATGAGTAGATTATTATTATTATTATTATTTTGTCCAGGTAGGCAGCAAAAGAGCACTAGGCAAGTAGGTTAAGGGAGTTGGGGCCATGGAGGATAAGGGTGGTGAGAATATGCCAGGGAGAAAAAAGGAAGTGACTGACGGCATTATAAGAAATAAAATGTTCATAAGTAAGTCTTACCACATTAGGACCCACTATACAAAGAATCAACCTGAGAAAGGAGATATGTGACTTGAATACTCTGTGGGGTTCCTTGATTTATGAACCCAGGAAGTGCTCATTTGGAAAAATAGAACCTCTGGGTTTTTGGCCGTTCTCCAGTAACTAAAGGGCTACTAGGCTTCCCGTTCAATATCTGGCATAAAGTGCCTGGATGGACCTGTGGTTCGCTGTGCCTTCTTTGGACTTCCTGTCCATGAATGAAGCAGAACTCTCCTCCACTATCTGTGATTTAAACCCCTGTCTCAAATTCTCCGCAACACTCCCCGAGAACGGCCTCCACCTGTCATTGGGTTGCCCAGCACCCACTTTATCTCTCTGCTAACAAGGAGCTATGCAGGGTCCTTCTCCACCTAGGAAACAGAAAAATATTTTGGTCAAACACAGTATGCTGTATTTGCAGCCCTTTGCCACCTAAGCACACATTTCAAAATTAAAGCACAAATCAAAGGAAGTGAGAGAGAGAGAGTGAGTGTGTGTGTGTGTGTGTGTGTGTGTGTGTGTGTGTGTGTGTGTGTGTTTTCAAGTACCTCTACCCTGCCTACTTAGGCATCAATTAGTAAATGATGTGAAATCTCCAGGTTAGTCTGACTGCTTCCATGATTATCTACCTAATACAATTAAAGTACAACCACTAAATTAGACAATGCATAAGTGTGGAATTTCAAGTATCTTTGCAATTTCTAATAAGATAAAAATTATCTACTGTTTAGAACTCTTAAGAAAATTAGTCTAATCATATATTTATAATATTAATGTTTCATATTTCAGAATAATTTTGAAATTCAACCCAAAACTCATATGGGAAAAGTTATCCTCTCTCACTTTATGTGAACATTATTGTTCCCATTTTGTTCAAGTGATTTTTGAAATGTGTTTCATATATGCTTAAATTATGTAAGGGTGGTGCCCAAACAACAGTCAAATTTACTTACATCAATTATATATCATTTCATAGATAAAATGTATTGGTCAACATCAAACCCATAGAATGAGAACTTAAAAGTTTGGATCTGAGAATTCACAAAAGAGAGTTTTTACATGTAATATATTTATTTTTACTTTCTTCTAGCTGTACAAATGTTATTAACTCAAGATCTTGAACTTGTGGTTACAACTGAAAGCTACACATAATTCTTTTGAAAATTTCTCATTACAAACAAATAATTTAACTCACTAAGTATTTTAATCTTCAGCAGTTGTGATTATCAGTAACTTTACCTTTTCTAACACTACAGACTAAATAAAATAAAAGTTTCTTATTACTGAATATTTACCCACAGAAATGGAAAGGCAATGGTCATTATTTAAAAATAAATCCAAACTATCTACTGACAAATAACCGGAAGAAAAGACACATAGATGATTCAAATAAATATTTACTTCCTACATACTCTCTCTCAGGTATTCTGTTACTCCCACTCATATATTATTTCCAGAAAAGGAAAATATGCTGGAGATGGTCAATCTGTGTGAAGCGTATCTGTAAATCCCCTCTGTGCAAAGTTAATCTATCAACACAGACTAATGAGAATTGTTTGACTTCATGTTTAAACTTGGGAGGAAGGTATTAGGATTCTCCACACTTGACTGGAAATAGAACAATCCTCTTATGCAGAGCCCTGGGAGTTTTTTGACTATATCAAATGATATTAAGATCTGCTTAGGTTATGGGTTCTCAAGAAGAGGCAATTTTGCTCCCAGAGATCACCTGACAATGTCTGGAGACACCATCATTACCAGGGGAGGGAGGGTCCCTGGCATCCAGCGATGCCACTAAGCATCCTACCAGGCACAGGACAGTATCCCCTGAATAAATTATCCAGCCCAAAATGTCAATAACCAGAGCTTGAAAAACTCTTATTTAAATATACTGAAGAATTCAGGTACAACGTTATCATTTTTAAAACTATACAGATACACCTGGTAGCAGTTCCAGACAAGCTGTAAAAATGAGACCTTGACAATTAATATTTTAACTTTCCTTTTTCCTTCAGCCCCATCCTGCCACATAGCCATTATATCTGAATCCAAGTGATAAATTCTGTAAGTAGAGGTACTAATTACCTCCTACTGTCTCTCTAAAGGTAAGAATCATAGCAATATGTAAAGCTACCTTTTAAAAAGTTTACATTGAGTTCATCAGGCCCACTGACTATTGAAAATTATACAAATTCTCATAATTGGTACCTTACGGCTGAAAAAAAAGCAACTGAGGAAACTTAAATATTGGCTATAAAGTACTACCATTATACAACGTGCTTATAATTGCTTAAAGTAGTTAAGGAACCACACAGATTAAAGCTCTAAAACAATCTAGATTACTGTATGCGGAAATATTTACTAAAAGAAATATTACTGCACAACGTAAATGGCCAATGCCAACTGTTGAGCACCTATAGTGTCTTCTCTTAAGGCTCCAAATACAACCTCAGATTTGCCAAGATGACCCACAGTATCTAATTTATACTTGGACTACTGGACACTCCATTTATGGTCACCAATCCATAGCCCCCCAAAAAAGACCTTCAGCTCTAAATATCTCTGGAACATTTGGGGGTAATCTAATGAAAGATACCCAATCATAGTAATAACAACTGATACTCATATCAAGCACTACTCTAAATATATTTACATATATTTACTCATTGAATTCTCATCAGAACCCCATGAGGCATGTTCTGTTACACATGAGAAACTGAAGCAAAATCTGTTTCAGTAATGTGTTTGATGTTACAAACTCATCAATGTTAGAGCTGAGGTCTGAACCCAAGTGCCTGGCTCCATATTCTTCTTCCTTTTTATTTATTTATTTATTTTTGAGATGGAGTCTCACTCTGTTGTCCAGGCTGGAGTGCAATGGTGCAATCTCAGCTCACTGCAACCTCTGCCTTCTGGGTTCAAGTGATTCTCCTGCCTCAGCCTCCCGAGTAGCTGGGATTACAGGCGCCCACCACCACGCCCAGCTAATTTTTGTATTTTTAGTAGAGACGGGGTTTTGCCATTTTGGTCAGGCTGGTCTCGAACTCCTGACTTCAGGTGATCCATCCGCCTCGGCCTCCCAAAGTGCTGGGATTACAAGTGTGAGCCACCGCGCCCAGCCCCCATATTCTTTCTACTTACTCACTGTGCTATAAGAACTGAGTCTCTCAGATTTCAAGTACTATGAAATTACCGTATCTCCAGAGATTTTCAGGATCCTTGGCTTATCCACCAGATCACTGACTTCCCAGTGGTAAGAAATAAACACATTTCTACATTCACGTATACATACATATAACCTAAGCCTGGATTCACAGCTGCAATTCTACTGGGTTTATACCAAAACTCCCTGAGGTTGTTATTGAGGTAGTCCCACCTTGTAATAGTCACTGCCCTTCTCACTGTTCCCAGTCTCAAGGAGGGGATGTTCAGTGTCACAATCTCTGCTCTCATTCCCAGTACCTCTACTCATTCATTCAATGGGAATATAACAACTACCTACTGACTATATGTCCAGCAGTGCACTGTGCATTAGCGATACAGAAATGACAAATACAGCTAATCCTTCCAGTAAATTCTCAGCTTAAAGCAGGATTTAGACTAATGTAATCTATTACATTTCAATGTGGCAAGGGCTATGTTAAATGTAGAAGCTGGATGCTTTGGGAGTAACAAGAAAGAAACGTTCAACTCAGACTCTGGAGGTCAGAGGAACTTATCAGAGGAGCTAACATTTTGCACCTTAAGTATTGAAAAAGCAGTAGAAAAGATATTTGCAGGGGGAGAGGGGCGATGTTTTCCAGAGAAAAAGCATTCCACGCACAAAGAAATGAAGTGGAAATGTCCAAGGTGTATTTGAGAACTGCAGTTTTCCATACAGCTGGAAAAGAGAGTTGTTGTGAGTGGGGAGTGAGAGATGAGAAGAGCAACCTGAGCAAGGTTCTCAGTATGAAGGGTTATCTTCCCTGCAGAGAATTTTGGAATTTGCCCTATAGGCAGCAGGCAAATTTTTTAAGGAATTTTAAGTCCAGGAGGGACCTCATAAAAATCATGAACAAATGTGGTTGAATATCTTAGGGACGTGAGAGAGTGTTAGAGACAGCTTCAACACAGTCCAGAATGGGCCCCCAGGAGAGGCATCAAGATATTATAACTATATTTGTTATGACAACATTAATACGAACAAGTGTGTATAGGACAATTGTCCACCTAAAGCTAATTTGAATACCTGAGGATTAGACCTGTGACCTTGGTTACAATGATTCTCTCTCTAAATATTCCTGGGAATGGTATGTAAAAATATAAGAATACAATAAAAGCTCCAAAGTCTTCAAAGCCATGCAGAGTAGAAAAGAAATCTATCCATCCCACTCTAATTTTGCAAGTCTTCAGCAACACTGATAAGGAAAAAGCATTTAACAAGCATTTACCAAGTACCCACAACTTTGCTAACCATTTTCATGAACGAAACCTTTAAAAACTAAAGTCAACAATTAAGGGAAAAAACTAGACCTAAATTAAAATTCTTCATGAGTCAACTAAGAAAAATAACAGTACCATCATCTTATCAACTAAAGTTAATGCAAAAACAAACAAACAAAAAAAAAAACAAAATAAAACAGTAGAATTGCCGTTCTTGACAGGTTTATTGAGGTTTGCATGCTTAAGTTACCTACTAGAAGCATTGTTTTAGATTACTGGAAAACCTGCAAAAGGAAATCTGAATGTGATTCACCTACAACGTCATTAAATTTAGCAAGAATGACTTGAGTCATAACCGCACATGAATATACATTTGCATTCAAATGTAAGAGAAAAGAATTAGGTAATGTAGAGATCTGCTGATTCCCCCAAGTCATCATCACTTTCAACATACTGAAAACATTAAGTTAGAAATATTCAATCTCTTAATCAGAACATTCGGTTCTTTTCAAATCTTTTAACATTAGGGAGTTCAAAGTCAGAGGTGAAATGTAATGAATAGATCACTCCGTTGGGTATATGCAGAGGTCTGTGAATTGTATATATGACCTTGTGCATAATGAGCCCTCCCGGTATGTGGTACACCTACTTGATTAGGGATAGAATTTCAAACTCTGTACTGTTGCTTTTGTGAGTAGAATTAAACTTAATGGCACATGAATGTAAATTTTTATGATTTAATTGTAGTCTTTCACAAGAAATGTCCCTTTCATTTTAAAAAGAAAGGGGGAAAGGATAACAGAAATAGTAGCAATAATTTACGTGAAAATCTAAAGTCATGTCAAGTTAGGCCACTGCTGGTGTTTCTTCTTACAGTCTTTAAAGGAGGAAAGATGTTCTAATTAATAAAGTCAACCTTTGCAGGTACAAGTCCTTTGTGCCTCATTCAGACCTGTAACTACACACAGGGAACATTTTGATCAGTTTTAATTTTCTCAGTGCTAAATCGAATTTGAAGACTGGTTAATACGGATACTCAAGTTATAGAAGGGAGAGTAGACACACCTTTCTGCTGATATGTCACACTGGGAGATATTTTACCGTATCTGACAGTCTGTTTTTTAGTGATGCCACATGAACATGTTAGGGCAGGTACTCTGAATTAACCCCTTTTGTCAGAAGACTTGAATTTTTTTGCAGCAGTTTCCATACATTGAAGACACTTAGAGAGAACTCCAGAGGCGGCGGCCACCGTGAGAGGGTACTGTTGGTGAGTCATTCTCAGGCTACCTACATCCTGCTTCACCTAGAGCAGTGGCACATTTCTCTACTGGGCATATCATCAGTTTCCATTTAAATGAAAGGATCCGTGGCTGAGTATATAAGTAAATAAAAAAATGAAAACCACTGCTTCAGTGGAAAAATACTATAAAATTGTAAAACAGGTTATTAACAGCAAAAGTATTTACCTACAGAAAACCTTACACATGCGATAACCAGATAAATTGAATGTATTTCCAAAATATGGGCAGCTCCATTATAATTTAAACCTGCCTCCAGAAGTCCATCATGCACTCTTTAACTCTTCAAGCCTTATTAGTTGGTTCAACATAAATGTGCAGATTTGAGATTCAAAACCAGCATTAAAACAACAAAAAACAAAAACAAAGAAAATACAAAGTTGATAACATTTAACCAATTTGGATAAGGCTTGAAGAGCAAAGGAAGATTCCACATGTTAGTTAAATATTTAAAAGATCTGGTCATAAGTTCTTGATAATTGGGAAACATTACAAAATACAGCATTTCTCCAAATTCAGTCATTTGCTGTCCAGCCTTCATGACTGTGGTTATTTAGGCCATATTCTTGTTCACTGTTACTTAATACGTTTCTTCAGATACTTAATTTTTTTTCTTTGACTTCAATACTTTGTTTGGTCTTGTCTCAAACAATATTGCCCATGAAGTTACAGGTTTAATACAAAATTTAACAAATTTTTCTAATATCTAGTTATCCTTACATAAAATATAAGTATTATTAAAACAAAATGTTCAGGTACCACCTAAAAATGGTGGTATATGACTGATGGAAGCAAGAGCCCAGCACACGCTTAAGGATAAGGGTGCTGGCCTCATACTGGGGAGTTAGGATCCTGGCTCCACTGTGCTGCATGACTGGGTCTCAGCTTCCTTATCTGTAAAATAGGAATAACAAAAGTACCTAATTTACGGCATAGTTAAGAAGATTAAAATTAGCTAATCCATATAAATGCTTAAAACAGTGTTTTGCACGAAATTCCTGAGTAAATGCTAGCTATGATGTTATGATGGTGATAGTGATTAATATTATAGTAATAATGACAGCCAAATTGTAATTATCTAAAGACTACAGTGACCACTTTTATTTAAAAATACACTTTAGGATATAAATATACTCAAGAAAATATGCTCTCATATTTGACATCTACATTAATATATGCCTTGGTGATACAAAAGCTATTCCACATTGGTTTAACGCAATTTCACTTTGAAAATATTCATGTGATAATAGGAATCAGACTTTGCCTAAAAATTATAACCTAAATAAACTACCTGTGCAGAAAAAAAAAAACTAAAAAATTCTAACACGATAGAACATATAGGTCTTTCTCCTACTGTCCAAAAGTACGTTAAAATAAATTTACTTACTGTATGTAAATAAAAGCTTTAAAAATATGAACATACTGTATTAAAACATTTCATATTGGAAAAAAATGAGAATTTCTGGTATTTTAGAATGGTGTCTTTCTTCATCATCCATGCACTGAAATCTCAGGGTAAGAAAAGGGCCAGACCAACTCTGAAAGGTTTCAAATATCAAACTATACTATTGTGTCAGTACCCTAAGATCAATTAGCACCTTTCAATGACAAAAAAGGTTACAGTGAGACTCAGAGGTGCACTCTCTGAAACTGTCTCAAATCACTATATAAATGTGGTTTTGATAACACAAAATGGTTTCTATTTTAAATTAATCAGTTTCATCTCTTTTTCTGGAGGTGTGAAAGGGGTTAGGGGAGTAAGAATAGTAGTGTTCATTTTCAGTATCTCTTTACTAATAAAAAGATGGATGGAGAAACACTAAGAATGACAAATTTCAAGCGTAAAATGACATATCACCAAAGCATATATTAATGTACAGCTCCACAAGCAATATTGAGTGACAGTAATGTTTACAAAGTCTTCAAACCTCTTAAAAGCAATCAAAGTTGCTTGTACTTCTTTTGAATGTGTAACTCTTGTTCATTTTCTTCCACTTAAGTTCAAGCTAAATGACGCCAAGTTTGGCTCCAAAAATGATTTAATGACTATGCAGTGTCCCCTTCATTAAAACACATCTAACTATAAGATGCAGCATTACACATATTGCATCTCACCCATCTCCAGGGCAAATGCCTGAAACAGCATGTCATTTCTTAGTTTAGCAGGAAAAATTCATGAGAGAAGCAGGTACACTGCAATGCCACCCCATTCCCCTGGTGTTGATTTCCTTCACCTAGTAACCATTGTAATAAAATCCCCCAACTGTATTTCTGAATATAATTAGTTTAAGATACTCTACAGGGAGGCACGTTATAAGAGTTTAGCATTTAGTACATGTAAGAATAATATCCATTTAGAAAAAGAAACTGTCAAGATTATATTCTCACTGAAAAAAGAAGAAGGTGTTTTGATAGAGGTTTGTTCAGCTCTTCAATGAGAGGATTCAAAACGTCTCCTACTTTTGATAGCACACTTTTCTATTTATTTCTTAAATAAGTGATCTGAAATATTTACAACCAGACAGTACCTAATTTTAGGTTTTAAGTGCTTTAACAGCTCCATGAAATATGATCAGCAGCTGCAATACAGAACTATGGTGAATAAACTCCTTATAAAGAGGGGCCTGTTTTTACAGAATGTCCAGTGTTCTTGCATTTACCTAACAGAAAAAAATGATAATGAGAAAGCATAATACATACTTGCATTCTTAAATTACTTAACACTTAACTAAGTAGTGAAAAAGATTATCACCCCTCTTCTTGAAATCTGTATAAAAACTGTGAGTTTTTGTGGGGCAAAATAAGTTTGATTATTTGAAAGTTAGAATGTGAACTTCCTAACATTCTAACTTTTTATAACAATAGTCATCGTCTTTCTGTCATTCTATCTTTCTAAAAATCCTAAAAAATCTAATTCCAGTGCATAAAATGTTAAAATGAAATATCAAGCCATATAAATATATTTTTAGACACGACATCAGTCATTTAGAGCTTGCAACAGAGACTGAAAACATGAAATTGGATACTCTATTTCCCGTGGCTATGTAAAATTTATTTACACCCCAAAGTACAACATAAATAAAAAGGAAACTCTTAGAAATGGAGTACTTGTTTTTCCTTTTTTTTTTTTAACCCAAAGAGCCTTATTAAAAGAAAAAAATAAATTATAGCAAAATGACAAGTAACTCATCTGCCAGTCACCCGTCAAAAAAGAAACTTCTATGCAATTTTTTTCTCCAGCTTCTAGAAACCCTCTGAAATTCAGCATCTATTTTTCTTAACAATTAATAATTATTATTCCTTTTTATACAATCACTCCTTTTTATACAAATCTTAAGATTTTAAAAATTTTAAAACTTAAGCCTACTACTTAAAAGAAGTGTTAATTGTGAGTACATACATATATGTGAGACGTTTTATTTTGGAAATGAGAAATTCAATTTCAAATATTCAACAAATACTAATAAAAAGAAAACAACTGAGTAAATCTTATTTTAGTTATAATTGTGAACCAACCGGTAGTTACAATGGTCTTTAAATATTGAAACATACTATTTTCAGGAAATTTACAAAGGAAAACAGGCTTTTGAAAACCATATTGATTGTAGACCTTTACTTATTATGAAAGACAAGTACATATCACTAATAATCAGAGAAAGGAGACATTTTCAACAAATCTAATTATGTTGCTTTCAAAGCTGTAGCTGTCAAAGGTTTTAACATTCTTGTACAGTCATTCCTAAATACGGGTTTAACTTTGAATGACTTACAACTTTTAATCAGGTGGAACAAACTATTTTTACGGTTTATAACAATAAATGTGGGTGTAGTTATGTCTGCTTTCGATATTGTTGCCATAAAAATCAGATTCTGGCAGTCTTGCTCCACACAAAACAATCTGTCTCTTGTTACTACTGCTTTTTGTTTCTTGGGATAATGTTATTTTTAAAAATACACAAATGTCTTTGAATGCAGTCTCCTAAAACGCTCCGTATCACGTATCAAATATTTTTTGGGGGGATTCTCTCCCCACCCCCTCTAGTTTTTGGTTCTTCAGGTTTAAGCTTGCCAATAATATTTTAAAAGACAAAAAAAAAAAAAAAGGCACTGATTCTGCTTAAAACCAAACCGTACCCGGGAAAGGAATTCAAGTACAATCCCTTCCCTAAGGTTTTAAAAACAAAAACAACGCAACAAACAAAAAAACCATCGTCAACTTTCAATCCTGTCAGTCACCTACGTGTAAGTGAAACTTCAGAAGCTGCTGATGGGGAGCCCGCGGTTGTTAAACGCTCCTAAGACTCCCACCTAAATCCCGCAGGAGCCCGCACTGAAACTGACAAACACCCGAGGGTTCACAAAGTGGCCACAGATGAGAAGAGGAACAAAATGCCATATTCCAGGAGGTGTATTTCGCTCCAACAATTACGTTGATCCCAGGGTGCCAAGCCAAAAGGGGTAAGGGAGAAAGAAAACTGTTAAGTATGAGCCCTTAATGTGAAACCTAACCTGTTGGTTCTCTTAGGTATCAGATTTTGGAAGTGTCTGTAATGACAGCCAGGAAAGCAAACTAATGGCCAACGGCCCACTGGGTTTGAACACCAGAGTCCTGTTACCTCCTCACAGATCAAGTACACAACACACACACACACACACACACACACACACGAAGTTGCTCCACGTGGAACTGCTCTGGAACCAAAACACACGCCCGGGCGCTATTCTGCACCTTGGCAGAAAGGGCAGAGGGACCTGCACCTTCCTCCCCTGCCCTCAGGTTAAGATTCATGAATGACTCTCTAGGCCCGCTCGGGATGGCGGGGAGAGGCGCAGGAGACGCGGTGAGAGAGGACAGTCTCCACACCACTCTCCCGCACACACTCTCACCCCAGGCGCAAATCCGTTGTCTTCATAGGAAGGAGAAAGAGGGGTGGTGGTGAAGGGAAACACTATCCTCCCAAGCAGGGAAGAGATGACAAAAATTAAATTGCGCTCTCTGCTTTCGCCCCAGCTCTGCCACCGGACTCGGTCCGCAAATTCCCTAATCGCTCCGAGCTGTTCAGAATCTCGCAAACAAAGGGAGAAAACTCTTTCAAGTGCTACCAAACGAAAGTTCGGGTTGCTGTGCGGCGCAGAATAAAACAAGCACACACACGTCTACTTCCAAACCTCGCTTCACCACGCTAAAAATCCGAGCCATTTCAAGTTCCACTGCCTCCCCAGACCCAGCAGGCTTGGAAGGAGAGAAAAACCTGCTCTACCCAGCCAGGTCCCTTCCTTTGGAGAAGTTATAAGCCTTCCATGGCACCCGCTACTCGAGCCAATGAACGCGACTGCTCTGACAAGGCGCCTCTAATTTCACCGACCCTGGCAAACTGCAGGAGACATTCAGTCCACGCCACATAAAAACTATTAAAGTGGGATCGCCGCAGTTGAAAAGCCCGATCAGTGCCTGGAGATTAGAACGCGAGCCTTTAAAGTACACACGCACCCGGCACCGGGAAAGCCCAGGCGCCTGTGACCCTCCGAAGGACTCTGGGTCAGCATCCTCGCGCCTGGACCATCTAGGGGGTCATCAGAAAGTAATACACGTCATAAGAAAGATGTGGGGGAGACCCCGATGCTCGCGCCTCTGCCAGGTGGAGGCGGGGTGCAGGTAGAAGCCGCGCGCTGGACTGCTGGATGAACTCCGTTACGCGCAGGCTCCGCGCCGACCCCGGAAGGGACAGGCAGGCTCGGAAGGGACCCTTGGGGCTTGGGGACGTCTTCTAGGGCAGAGAGCACCGCTGCGGTCCGAGCGGCCCGGGCCCTCAGGCGTGGGGCACCCGGCCTCCAAGCGCCCCCCGGGGACGCAGGCGCCCACGCACCGTCCAGCTGCGCGTCCTCAGTACCCAGCGCTCGGCGTCCCCGGCGGAGCCTCGCGCACTTTCCCGGAAAGTTTGGGGGTTCTCTCAACTCAGGCTCCCCCGGGAGCCCTGGGGCGGGGGTTGGAAGAAGGGGTCACTCACCTCGTCGCCCGGTCCGCCTCGGGTTCCCGAAGTGTCTGTCCCAGCCGCGGTTCAGTGCGTCCGTAATTAAGTATTTATTCTCGTTCCTTCCAGTGTCGAAGTTTCCCCTTCGCGCTGTGCCTCTGGTGAAAACAGGACATCCCCTTCGGCCACCCCACAACAAATAGCGTACACAAGCGGGGGAGAAGCGGGGCGGAGGGAGAAGCCGGCTCCGAGGGGGAGGAGGAAAGGAGAGGAGCCAAAACTCCGGACTGCGACAGGGGGGAAAGGAGAAGAAAAGAAAATGAGAGAGCGCGCCCAGCCGCCGCAGTCGTCACTCCCCGGCTTTTCCCGCAGCTCTTTCCCCCTCTCTAAGGCAGCGACAACTTCACGTGGACAGGATGGAAGTTTTGCGCGGAAGCCGGGAACGGCCGGAGCGTGCGCCGCGCTGCCGGCAGCCTCGCACTTGCGCAGGGAGGTGGGGCGGGGGCGACGTCGCCACCGGCTACTGCGGGCTCGTGAGGCCGCCGGGGGCCTCGGGGGAGGCCGCCAGGGACGCGGGGGGCGGCGGCGCGCGGGGGACCCACTCCGTTTTTATTTGACCTCGGGTGACTGCCTATTGTCATGGTTTGCGATCTCGCGTGGGGACCGCCCAGGGCCTCGGGGCCCTGGATGTCCCGGGTGGCGCCGCCGTAATCTCCGTGCCCTCCGCGCCGCCCCCACCCCGCCCCCACCCGGGCCGACTCGAGCGGCTGCAGCCTCCAGGCTGAGGGGAGGGACCCGCGACCGCGCTCTCCTCCCTGGGCCGGAGAGCCACTGTCGATCCCCACCTGCTTCTGTGGGGCAGCCCCCGGAATTGCCTGGAACTCTCTCGCTACCCAGTTCCCCTGTGCAGGCCACTGCGGGCCCCCTGCCGGACTCCTTTCCACTTACCCCAAGGGAGGAGACAGAAGGGACTTCGCCTACTTGCAACAACGTGAAATAAAAACCAACCCAGACCAGACTGGGGCGCTTTTTCTGACGGGAGGAAATACCCTTTTCCGTGGAGATATATGTTATGAAGGACTAAGCGGTCTGGGGATAGGCTGTGCTGCGAAGGGCCTGGGCCCCTTCCAGTGCTGCTGGGTGCAGGTATAGGCATCCGTCCCAGACGCCCAAAGGTCAGGCAGCAACGACTTACTTCCAAGGCGGCGTCAGAGCTTCTCTAGGCACATTGCTGAAATGACATTTCGTGTCTAAGCCTTCTGCGCATGCACTACGCGACTACATAGGATTTACGATTTTATACCCACACGTGTGTATGCCACAACCAGGGGACACAGCAAAGGTAGACGGAATAAACAATCCATAAATTTTGCATCCATTTAATCACCTCTTCCAAAAACCTATTGTCTATTTTAGCGGCACCTTCTCTGTCATATTGATAATAAATGTTTTAATTTATTGATAAATCACTGAGTGTCAATCATTGTATTGGTCACTTATGGTACATGAGTTCATTTAACTTCCATGACAACTCTACGGTGGTCATTATTAAGCCGGTATAAAAGATGAGGAAACCAAAGCCCAAAGAATCATGAGTGACTTTTCCAAAGACAAATCCAGTGGTCTCTAATCACAAAGCCTATGATACAACAACCTCTACATTACCTTAGGTGTGGTCTAAGAGATTACAGATTAATCCGTAGAAATTACTCCCATTCAAAGAAAGTTTAGTTTTAATATATTCACTAAGTTACGTTCTGAAAAAGGTTCAGAAAAAAGATTTCATCCTCTACTTTAGGTTGGTCTTATGCAACTGATATGAGCACTGTCTAATTCAAAAGCAGTATCAACCCTGAATACTTATGGTTACAATTTATTTTTTAATGAGTGGGGAATTATCTACAATGCTTAAGAGGCTCTAGAAAAGGTGGTGTTGTAAATTTAAAATGATAAAGGCAGTCGTTGCTGCTCTCATCACTTACTGGGTGTTCTTTCCTGCAGATTTATTTTGGAGGGTGTAGGCATTGCCAGGCATAATGTTTCCTTTTCTGGTTCTCAAGGTAGAAAGGGTTCTGGCAGTGGGGTTGGCACAAAGCGGATTTGGAGCATGGTTGAGAGCACATTCTGGCCTAACGAGGAATGCCAGTTAATATACACTGGAGAGAAAAATATGAATGGACAGATTTAATTAATTTTGCAGATTTATTTTCTCCATTTCACATGTGAGAAAACTAAGGGCTCAGAATTTTTAGAAGCTTGCTAATAAATGGCAGACCTGAGTTTCAAGCCAGCCTTTATTTAAGTCCACTCTTAGTCACTGTGATGCTATTATTAGTATTAATGGTATTCAGAAAAATAGTAATTCTTTTAAATATGTAATATATTACAAGCCAAATATGCAATTTAAATGTTTTGTGAATCATAGTGTCTAAGAATGTTCTGTGGCTATAGCAAATATCATGTAAGGATTAAGTACAATGATGAATTTAATACTGTCCTCAAAAGGCAACAACATTTTGAATTTCATTTTGGCATAAAACATTATGTGCTAGTTTCACCTACAAATAAAGGTGGGAGATGTATGATTTGAATAAAATAAAAATTCATACTTTAGCATATTGTTAACATAAATATAGGGTGGGTTTTCTTAGCATGTTTCTTTGTACCCTTCTAAAGTCAGATTTTTCAGTTACACTGACCTTGCTTTCAAGGTCACTTTGCTCCTGCATAGTTTTTTGTACATCTAGATAAGAATACATGTACAGAAATTATTTTTAAAATCCAGGATAATATATTAGTTATTTGACTTCATATTACTACCTTCTAATAGTTGTCTTAAATATACATATATTAACATGGACACCACTAGGTGTCAGATAAAACGTCAATTTTCAGTACACATTTGAAATAAGTTTAACATAGGAAACAGAATTTTAGGGTTATAAAGGCAAAAATGTATTGTTTGCTTAAATGAGGCCTTATTTCCAGCATTTACATTGAATATCACTTTTATAATTATAGCCATATCGCCTATATTATTGACTTAATATGTATCTTTAAATAATCTATTTTTATTAAATAAGTTTATCTGATAAAGGACATTTTTTATAGTCACCATAAATGGAAAACTAATAAAACCCGCCATGAATAGAAGATGATCTTGCAAAGGAACCTATATTGTAGAAATAAAAGTTATTTCTCATGTACCACCTAAAATTATCTCACATACAGTTTGAGAAACATTGGTTTAAAGAATTACATTCCATATGTCCCTCAGGCTCACCAAGAGATATTTTCAAGCCTCCCCTTTTCATAACCGGAACAAAATGTTGTGTCCAATTTACTTTGAGGTATTACTTTTTAAATTCTGTGCTTATTTAATTATTGCTTTTCTTGTCTAAAATATACTTGAAGTCTCTGAAGTTGAGGCGTCTTTTTAAAATTCATGTATTATTTATTGTTTTACTTACTATCTTATTTGTGGTAAAATGCAAACAATTCATAAATGCACAATTAAAAAGCAAATCACTTTCCTGAAATATTGTACCGGTTACTCATTACCCTTCCCTAGCATCTATTAGCCCAGTAGTGCAATACAGTACAGACAATGAAGAAGAGAGGGAAAGTAGAACAGTGGGAGAAACGCAAAGGGCCTAGAAAGACACATGGGGGAAATTGAAGTCAGAGACCTGCTGCCAGATTCTTGAAGTGATTCAAAAACACCAGTGGGCCCTGCATGACATGAGTCAGGCTCTCAGAATATTTGTACATGTTCAACTCAGTCTGAAAAGGGATGTGTTTTGGGAGGAGTGGGGAGATAAAAAATATAAGACTTTATAGGGTAAATCAGTGGAAATATAAGATTCACTTATTAGCAATTCCCTTAACCAACTCCTCTGGAATGGGATGCCTCTGCAGTTACCATTTACTATTTGTTTATTTTTCAAACGTGCATGGCACTGTCTTGGCATTAGATTTTGTATAAGTCAAATTAAACAAAGCGCTCTAGGAGCTCATAATCCAAAACATAATTTTTGTTTTAATTTCATTTAAAAGCAACCTTAAGGGAAAAACCAGGCCCTCACTTTAGTAAGAACAGATTTTAGGCTAAAAAATGCTATAAGACACTACATTTATTGAAAAAGAATGCAGAGAACTGGATGCTTGTAGAAATAATCCCAAAGTAAATCTCTTGAGCAACTTTTGGTATATCTATGAACTCTAGCTGGAAATATACACAATTTTTCAAAAATACAATAATTCAGTTGTTTCTTAGTAAATTCTAAGCCAAACTATTTGAGCTTTGGAAGTATGGAGTTTTAAAGACCAACCTTAATGTGAACAAGGTTGAACAGTCTTTTAATCTACCTCTCTGCTGATGACAGACCACAGGAATAAATGAAGATAAAATATGATTGCCCAAGAATCTAGAGTCCTATGCTGCCGGTTTTCTAAAATCTATAAATAAACACACTTTCTGAGTAATTTTGTGCAGACAGATCAAGCTTAAAAAGGTTTCTACTAGTTTGTGAAAGTGAAGAAATCAAATCTTCAGGGGACCTGCTAAATTTCCTCATTCTTGGCAGGGCCTCTGAAAGAAAGGAAATGCACATTTTCTGGGAGACAGCTTCATTATATTTACTTTTAGATTTTCTCTTGAAAATTCTCTCCAGTTGAATCATTTTAGTAGCATATTAGGCAACTCTACTCCTTCTTCCATGCTTACACTCAGCCCTCAGATGTTTATAAACAGATATCATGCTCACTTTTAAGTCATGTTAGCCACGTTAAACAAATAGAAGGCCTTTTAATCTTGTGGCAGTTCAGTCTTTACAAACCCATAATCATTCTTATTGCTTGTCTCTGAACTATTTCCAATTTCCTAGATGTTCATTTTTGTTAGAGGTATCCCACATTGAATGCATTGTTCCAGGTGTGGTCTCATTAACATATTAGAATGAGTCCGAATTTATTTTCTTCGGTTGCATTATATTTTTGCCTCACTTTGAATTCCTACCAACATATGCTATTTTCATATTCTAACAACTTACATGTAATTTCTTTTTCTATTTTCACTTCACACAATATTTTTCTTGGCATACTAATCAATCTCCCAAGTACTTTGAATGAACATTTTAAAATATTAATAATAGTCAAAATATGAACAATATTACTTTCTTGTTCCTTTGAATTCATTAGCATATAGTCACCTGATTCCTTTATTCCACTTTCTCAAAAAAAGTGACCAGCCCTCAGTGCATCCACTTTGTGACTCTTCTTAATCCTAGAAATATTACTTCTGCTCCTATTCCTTTACTGAGACTGCTGTCTTTAAGCTATCATCAATGGTCTCCTATTAGTCATTCCTGAATCTTCAGCCTCTTTTATGTCCAGGAAGCATTTGGTATTATTGACAGCAGTCTTCTGTTAACTGGCTGATCAGTTTTTTTGAGAAAGTGGTGGAATAAAGGAATCAGGTGAACAGGAAAAGTCATTTTAAGGTGTGTTGGGGCTGCTGAGAATATATGCTTAAAATAGAAAACCATTGAAGAAATTGTTTCCAAGTGTACTATTAAATGTGGTGGAAAGAAGACACATTGAAAAGCTTTCATTATACTTTTCATTGATATTATAATATCCTTATTCAGAAATATTCAGTACAAGTAGATCGTTGCAATTTATCAGTGTTCCTAACTTGGACTCAGCCTCCTGAGTAGCTGGGATTACAGGCACATGCCACCACACCTGTTTTTTTGTTTTTTTCTTTTTTTTTTTTTTGCTGAGGCAGGGTTCCACTATGCTGCCCAGGCTGGTCTCAAACTGCTGCTCTCAATCAATCCTCCCATCTTGGCCTCCCAAAGTGCTGGGATTACAGGCATGAGCCAATGCCCTTATCCTCTTTTTTCTTAATGACACTCAAAAATGGACCTAGATGCAGGTTCTTTTCTCTTTCTTCACAATGCTCTCTCCTTTGATTCATCCTATAATCTCTTCTTTCACCTCTAAATAGGTGACTTAAGAACATGAATGTCCTTCCCAGAATCCTGGTTATCTTTACCAAAGGGTCAAGGTAGCATCTCAAGCTGAACATACTCCCCATCCTCTCCACCTGTCTTAGTCCATTTTCTGTTGCTTATAAAAGTATACTTGAAACTCGGTAATTTATAAAGTAATTTATTTATTACAAGGGCTGAGAAATACAAAATCAAGGGCCAGCATCTGGTGAGGACCTTCTTGCTGGTCCTTCTTTAAGAAAAATAAAATAGTTGCTTAAGTGAAGGATGTCTAAATACTCCAGTTTATAACCCTATGCCAATACGGCAGCAAACATTTAGTGTGATGAGAAACCTTCTCTGGTATTTCATTTGTTTTGAGAGACTGCCAACTCATGTAGCCCTTTGGGCAATTTGCTATACCTCTAAGCTTATTGTCTCTCTTTTGTATTCTACAATTCCATGTTTTGTTTTGTACTATTACACATTAGCAGAGATGAAGTGGTCTGCTTGTGTCCTATAATTTGAGATCTGTGATAAGCAATTTTAGCTTCATAATATAATCTCCAAAGCAGTTTATAAGTTCAAAAGAGAAAATGGAAAGATTGGGGTGTGTGGCCCAGAGGGGAGCTTGAGCATAATCCACTGAGACAGAAAGCTTTACATGCACAAAAGAGAGATGACTGGATTAGAAAAAGGCAGAAAGGAAAGTGCTATGGTTTGCATGTGTCCCTCAAGTTTCATATATTGGAAATTTAAATTCCATATTCATATGTTAATTGAAGATGGGTCCTTTGGGAGATAATTAGGATTAGATATGGTTATTATGGTGGGGGCTCCCATGATGGAACTAGTGGCAATATAAGAGGAAAAAGAGAAACCTGAGTTGACAAGTACACTCTTGCCCTCTTTGTCAATGGATGTCCTCCGCCATGTTATGAGGCAGTAAGAAGGCCCTCAGCAGAAGCCAACCAGATATTCGTGCCATGCTCTTGGACTTCCCAGCCTCCAGAACAGTGATACAAATAACATTTTTTCTTAATAAATTACCCAGTCTTAGGTATTCTGTCATAGCAGAGTAAGGCAGAAAATTGGTACTGAGAAGTGGGGCTATTGCTAATAATGAGTACATGAAAATGTGGAAATGTTTTTGAAACTAGGTAGTGGACAGAGGCTGAAAGAGTTTGGAGGAGCAGGCTATAAAAAGCTTATGTTGTTATGAATGGAGCATTAAAGGAGATTCTGGAGAGGGCTCAGAAGAAAAGAAGACTGGAGAAATTCTGGAACTTCTTGGAGATTACTTAAGTTGTCATGACCAGAATGGTCCTAGAAGTATGAACAATAAAGGCAATTCTGACACGGTCTCAGATGGAACCGAGGAACAAAGTATTGAAAACTGGAGCAAAGGTCATCCTTGCTATAAAGTAGTGAAGACATTGGCTGTATTGTGTTCATGTCCTGGGGCATTATAGAAGGTGGAACTTAAAAGCAATGAACTAGGATTTCGAGCAGAAGAAATTTCTAAGCAGTAAAATGTTCAAGATGCTGCGTGGTGACTTTTGGTCACTTATGATGAGATTCAGAGCAAATAGATGGTTTGAAGACAGAATTTATTATGAAAGGTGAAGAATAACATACAAATTTGGAAAATTTGCAGCCTCAAAATATTAAAAAACAATTAGAGGGCTGGGCACAGTGGCTCACGCCTGTAATCCCAGCACTTTGGGAGGCTGAGACGAGAAAATCACTTGAGGTCAGGAGTTTGAAACCAGCCTGGGCAACATGGTGAAACCCTGTCTCTACTGAAAATACAAAAATTAGCCAGGCATGGTGGTGGGCACCTGTAATCCCAGCTACTCAAGAAGCTGAGGCAGGAGAATCACTTGAAACTGGGAGGTGGAGGTTGCAGTGAGCCGAGATTTCACCACTGCACTCCAGCCTGGATGACAGAGCTAGAGTCCATCTCAAACAAACAAACAAACAAACAAAATAATTAAGACTGCTAGAAGGAAGCCAGAGGCTATTCATCAGGACAATGGGAGAAAGATCCCAAATGTATTTCAGAGATCTTCAAAGCTGCCCTTCCTGCCAGAGAGCCCAGGGGCCTACAAGGGCAGAATGGTTTCTCAGGATGAGCTCAGGGCTCCTGCTACCCAGATGCAGCTCATACCACTGGCCCAGATGCAGCTCATACCGCTGCTTCAAAGGGTGCAAGCAGTAACCCTTGGCAGTGTCCACATGATGCTAATTCTGCAGGTGTGCAGAATGCAAGAGCTGTGGGGCCATAGTAGTCTCCATCTTGATGTCAAAGGATGTATAGAAAAACCTGGGGGGCCCAAGAAGAGGCTTGTCACAGGGGCAGAGCATACTGAGAGACCTCACTAAGGCAATGCTGAGTGGAGGTGTAGGGTCAGAGTTGGAGCTACCCTCAACTCTCCAGAAATGTGTGGCCACTGGCAAACATGCAGTGCTTGCCTGAGAAAGCTGCAGGAATCAGTGTGTGACTCCAATCTGTGAAAAGCAGCCATGTGGGCTGAGCCCAGCAAAGTCACAGGAGTAGGGTTGCCTGATGCATTGAGGACACACCCCCAGCCTCAGTGTGTCCAGGAAGTGGCACATGGGGTCAAATAATTCATTTAAGGCTGAATTATTTTCAGCTTAAAAATTTAATGTCTGCTCTGCTTGTTTTCAAACTTGCTTGGGGCCTTTTATTTCTTTCTTCTGGCTAATTTCTTCCTTTTCAAATAGGAATGTGTACCCTATGCCTGTTCCACCATTGTGTCTTGAAACTAGATAATTTGTCTTGATTTCACAAGCTCACAGATGAGACTTTGGACTTTGGACTTTTGAGTTGATGCTGGAATGAATTAAGACTTTGAGTCTGTGGGGATGAAATGAATGTATTTTATGTGTGAGAAATACATGAATTTTGGGGGTCAGAGGCAGAATACTATGGTTTGATATGTATCCCCAAATTTCATGTGTTGGAAATTTAATCCCCAAATTCCTATGTTGATTGGCAAAGGGTTCTCTGGAAGATAATTAGGATTAGATAAGATTATAAGGGTAGGGCCCCCCATGATGGGGCTGGTGGCTTTATAAGAAGAGAAAGAGAGACCTGAGCTAACAAGCACACTCTTGCCCTCTTGTCATGTGATGCCCTCCACCAGGGTTATGATACAGCAAGAAGGCCCTCAGCAGTAGCCAACCAATGCTGCTGCCATGCTCTTGGACTTCCCAACCTCTAGAAGAATAAGAAGTGAATTTCCTTTCTTTATAAATTACACTGTCTCAGCTATTCTGTTATAGCAGCACAAAACAGACTAAGATAGGAAGGATTAGGGTTGGCTGCCTTTAATTCCTCTCTCTATTTACAGTGCCTCGCCTAGGGCTGGGGACATAATAAGCACTCATTATTATTGTGTTGAACCAAGTGAACTCATCCTAGCTGCAGTGTCTTGCTAATGTGATTTAACTTAAAGTGAGCCATAGTTACCCATCTGAAATGAGAAGATGATCCCTAAAGCTGCTATTTCAAGATGAAATGAGACTTTTTAATTTCTAAAGTGATATATACACATGTGAGATGAAACTTTAGGGAGGCCATTGTTTTATTGCTCCTCAGTTCTGCCTCATCTGAGTATTAGAGTGGTTATACTGGTGTAGCATTTTTCTTTCTCATTAATGTTCAGATAAGCAGTGGTCTACCCAGGTATCCAAGAGTGAGAGAATGGGGACAGTCTTCCCAAGGGGGACTGTGTTGCCACTGGGCCAGTCTGAGCTCCTGCCCTAGAGGGCTCCACTTGCTGGCATCTGGAGTAGCGGTTTCCTGGTTTCCAAAGCCTCACCTTCTACACCTACTTTTAAAGCTTAAAATTTCCTCTGATTATATACCCTGTAGTTGCCGCACACCTAAGAATAAGTTTACAAGTCCCTTACAGACCTCTTCCTCCCTCTGTCTACAAGAACAGAAGAAATGCAAAACTCCTCTGCAAATGCCAGATCCACCATCTGACTCCAGGCACTCCAAATATGAAAACTCCCTGCCTTGAGTCCCTGTATTGCCATGCTCTGTCTGCTCATGGAGTGTCAACATCTGCCACCATCGTACCACCCATGATGGTGCATACCACCCATGCAGTGCACCCATAATGCACAGCAAAGCCCATGCACCACCACCCAGGGTAGAGACAGTGGACTAACAGCAACTGACACCTATGGCTACTTTATCTACCTACACTAGGAGCATCCCTTGAGAATTTTCACATTTATAATCTCCCTCATCTGGGCTATCAAGTGAATTTGGACTATTTGGAACTAACATATCTTGGAATAAAACCTCTGAGAGAAAAGGAAAAGCAAAACAAAAACAAATCAGCAGGCAGTCTAAATTACAAAAATAGATTATTTGTCCCCATGAGAGTCAAGGAAGCTATTTTAATTTTGAATTTATAAAAAAAGAAACCCATAAACATCTAATACTTTTTTCCCCAAAATTGGCCCTATTGCCAAAAAGTTGTTTTTAACTGTGAGGATGGAAGCCACCCGGGACACCAATCCAGAGGAACTTGAGGACCTGGTGGCAATGCATTTATTTCCTAGTTTCCATCCTGGGTTTCAGGATATCAAATTTCTCTCTTCTTTCCCTGGCAAATCATTTTCTCAGTTCTCCTACTTGAGGACCAGTTCTTTGCTGACAAGCCTCATGCTGGAATTTTCTTCTCCTTTGGCTTCTGTGGGTCTGCTCTGGCCTCAGTCAACTCCAGCGTCCTGACCATTCTTTCTTTGTCTTTTCACTTAAATCCTCTCTGGCCATTTAAAGGTGGATACTCCTTAGCATTCTGCTCTTAGCATTCAAGGATGCTTATTTGAAATAAGGAAGTACAAAGATGAACCACGCATAGTCCCTGTCTTCCAGAAACTTTTGGTCTAGAGCAGAAAATTGAACATTTAAAAATTGTCATTACATTGGGGAGAAAGTGTTGAGCTCCTAAAGAGAAACATTGACAAACATGCTATTTTAGTTCAGAGCAGAGAGAATTTGCTTCCAGCTGAAGGAATGTAGGAGGTATCATTTGGACCTGGCCTGAAATCATGAAGAGTATTTATGCCTAGGAAGATGTACAATTCAATATAACAAAAACAGAAATGGTTGTCTGTCTCCACCCTCCCCAAGACAAGATACTCCTCTCCCTAAGTTCCTTTATCTGTTAATGGGTGCCAGTCACTAAAAGTAGAAATAAGTGCATTTATTCCTTGGCCCTGTTCATCCAGTCAGTTGCTAAAACCAGTAGTTTCCAATTCTGCAATAAACTGTGCTTTGTTTCTCCTTACTATAAGCTTTTTAATGCCATCTTAATCTGGGTCTCATTTACTCTTACACAGGCTATATGTTTGGGTCAATTCTGAGATGAGTATGTAAAATTAAAAGTAGTTTTCTATTTCCAAATAGCAAACATCACAGCTCATCAAGGCTCACACACATTTCACAAATTAAACCCACAACAGCACTGTTTATACATTTAGTTCAATGTGCAAACAATGCCTCATTGAGGGTTGTATTTCAAAACAAATAAAAACTTGCTCTAGTTTCTTTTTCATTTCATTGTAACTTTGAAGTGTACGCTTATATGAAAGAGTTAGCTTTTCATAGCTATCATTGGTCTGTACACCATGAGTAACTAGTTAGATTAATTCCTAGTTTAACTTTACTACTTGTTATGAAGTCTACAGATTGTACCTTGGTGCCTTTCTTGATCAAACAAAAAAGATAATATTTTGTGTCTCTATTTTTTCAATCCATATTTCACTTAGATCTCTTAAATCATTCAATGTCAAAACTATTATTTTAATGTCATCAGCTTATCTGTTAAAGTAGTGGTAACATATAAGTAAATTTTCAAGTTAAAACTCATAAGGGATCATTCAACTTAGTACTTACGAGAATTTTATATTCTGAAGGATTGCACACCATTTTGAAAATGAGTATCTGTGAATTTCCTCGTTTTTAAAATTGCTATATAACCTGAGATTTGAGATGGCCTAATAAAGAGAACAGCCTTCTCTGCCTATTAATTTGACCCCCAAATTCTAGTTTTTTATTAATAACCCATTCTTATATATGAGTTAGTCTTTACTTTGAAAAATCTTCCTTTCTTGCAAAGACTGTTCCCTCATTGTAATATTCTTAAATGCTTCCTCATGATTTTATTACTTGATTAACTTTTACTACAAGGCCTCCAGAACTTTCTTGTGAGGAAACTGAAGAGCTTCACTGTTGTATAAAATTAAGAAATGAATACACATAAAACTCCTTAAAGACAATTGTCTTTTGTTTGGATCTTCCCAAATCCCCTAAGATTTTTCATGAAGTATGGTCACCAAAACTCTTATCACATTCTAGATGCGGGTGAACCATAATTCTGAGCAAGGCTATGGCAACCATTTCTCTTATGTTTCTAATGTATTTCTTGACAATGTCAAGAAGTAGCAAAATACTTTGCGATGGTTTCACCAGCACTTAGGCCAATGTCTTCAGGAAAGCATCTCATTACAATAGCTATTTCTCCAGGGTTGTAACCAATAATTTAGAAGGCATCATCCCAAAGTATTGTTTGTGGTACTTTCTGCTAAGTCTGCCTTTCAATTTACGTCCTGAAATTCACCTGCATAGAGTTGTTCATGCACACACCTTAAAACATTCTTCCGAATGTTTACTTGGCATCTTACAAAGTAGAGTGGCTTAATATCACCTCAAAGATTAAATACTTAATTGAACACTTCTCCCTTTAGATATTCAAAATATTATATGTCTATTCTTTATTCCAGTACACTGTTTGATACCAAACCTTAAATGTGCCATTTATCCTATTCTGTTTTCCAGCTAGATATCAGTTAGTATCTATGTCAAAAGAAAACCTTCAGTTCTATTATCTAAAATATAATCTTTGATACAGAAAGAATTTAGCTCCTAAAACAAATAAAAAGCAAAAGCAATAGCATAAAAATGGATGTTTCTTTCTCCACATTAGTTTGTATTTCAACATTTATTTACCTTACCAGCGATTTTATATGCTATTTATGTCATTTTTGTGTTTATAATTTGGAAGTGAGATTCATAAGTGTATTACAATTTTGAGAGTCCTCTCAAAAAACTTTTCAGTAATTGGGAATCATATTGGACATCTGCCAGATACTCAGCACCTTAACTGTTTGTAATGAGAGATGATATATTATGTCCAACAATTGTATTGCCCAATTTCATTATTAAGTATCTTCAAATCTCTCTAATCAATTATGTGTGGTCCTGGTAATTTATCTTTATGGTTTCATATCAAGGGAAAGAGGAGTTGGAAAGGGGGCTGCCCAATTAGTAGGAGGTAGAAGGAGCTGGAGGTAGGGTTAGATAAAGTAGTTAGATGCTGATTCTAGTTGCAGTCATAGCTAAGGATATCCACTTCCCACTTTTAACAATAATTCTTTTGACAGAAACCATAACCCATAGTCATTTAACACTAGCTCAGGACCTGGTACATAGTAGGTACAAAAAAAAATATTTGTAACAAACAAGTGAATGTTTGTTACATAAGTAAATTAATCCAATCTCAAATTTAGAACTTGATAGTGTTGATACTTCCTTATGTTTCCCTGAAGCCACTGCTCCTATGTTTTGGGGCAGTCATGATTGTATACCTTTTGAGAGTTCTATATCATGGAACAACAGAATTGCTCTGATATACCTTAATCTGAATAGCAGTGCTTCTTGAGGGAGGGAGGGGGTGGTTCTTTCTCTGTGTGTGTGTGTGTGTGTGTGTGTGTGTGTGTGCACAAAGTGAAAGTTATTAAGGGCTCAGTATTCATAAAACAATTGGCTTTTATGCTACTTCGGTTCAAGTTTTAAATTTAATAACTCTTAATTGATGTCACATAGATGAGAGAAGAGGCTAGGATGATTAGAGAATACATACAAAATATTCAAATATTCAATGATACTTTTAGTTTTTCATTGAAATTTACTACTTTGAATGTACTGATTTGGCAAAGAATGACCTTTTGGCTCTGCAAATTACTATTTCTGTAACACTAAATAAGTTTCAAGAAATTAATCCTCCCAGCACACTTATAGAAGCAATAATGGTACAAGTTGGTTATGAGCTGCTGTGATAGGTACTGTAAAGCCCTTTAGTCTTTAAAGAGTCCTGGCATTGGGTAACTTTAATTGTTGGTTTCAGATGTCAGTCTCCATCAAGAACACAGCTGGATACTGATAGGTGTCACTTGGGAATAAGCATTTTGGATAACTTTGAAGTCAATTGGACTGAACATGAAAATTTTATAGTTAGTGGCAGATTTAAGATATATTTAAGTAAAGTATCACTTAAACCAATTACATTAAAAACTACACAGAATAAAAAACCTCAAAGGAAAATTCTTCTCAGTGGCAAAGTGTTAATCAAATAAACCAAGAAAGCATTTTTCCCATACCCATAATTTCCATGCTTTGGGTTGCTTTCATTTGGAAGCAGCCTGTTTTGACTCTTTCCATTTCATTTCTAACCATCTTCAGTTTTGATACAGTCATTTTGAATGGTAGCATACCTAGGACAAGGGCAAAAGTTGTGCTGGTTAAGTACGGCAGGGAGCACATGTCTTGGGAATTCCATCTGTGCCTGATTGTGACTGATCACTCGTGTGTTCACTGGAAAATGTGAACCTCCCAAGAGGAGGCAAGACTAATGCCTCTTGGTCCTCTGAATTGTCTGGTTTATAAGAGAGTGGGTTAGGAGTGATTCACTTACTCTCTAAAGGGTGCAAGAGGACAACAGGGCTGTATTCTCTCAGTGATTGTAATGCTTCAATTTTGTTTCCTACTAGAAGGTTTACATACATCAGTTTTTAACTGAATAGTGATTTATAGCAGAATTTTAGCACCCTTGAATCAAAATGGAAAGTAACGTAATATCAGAGTCCCTGGATTCTAAATCAGTGAGCAGATCTAAGTGCTAAACGAAGATCTAAACTAAGTTTAATAAAGTTAACAGTGCTAAACTAAGTGCAATATGGTGGCATCAGACAATGAATTGCTGCTTTACAAAAAAGCAGAATAAAGAACATAAAAGAAGAAATAATATGTAAACTGGTTGACTTCAATGTGTCATCCAAAGTTACTTCCACCATGTTCCCAAGTTTTCCAGCTCTTGTTTAACTACTACTTTAGTATAAATAACCTTGTGTTAACGCCAGATAAATAACTTCATGTTTTATTGCCTCAATTTTCTCACTCTAGGCATTCTCTGTAATACCATTAGACAGCTTCTTCTATTCTCCACTTGGATCACGGAGAAACTTTTGTTCCAAACTTTTTGTTGTTGTTGTTGTATTACTGGTATACATAAAGAGCAAAGTGAATCTGGGGGTGATGACTGTTTTATGGTTATCTGCCACTATGTTATATTTAGGTTTATCTCATCATCCAATTGTAAGCCACCTGTGAAACAAATACATTTGTGGGTTTTTTTTATAAATAGAGATGCAAAGATGAAATATATAAATGGAAACTGTGTAATAGTAGAGGCTATTATAAACATTATCCAGCCACAGGGTCAGAAGAGTGACATGTATTTTAAGATATATATCAATGAGCTATGCAGTTCTTCCTAATGATTGGTGATGACATTTTATAGCTTTAGCATCGAAGTGTGTCTTTTGCCCTTAGTATTTTCTTTTGACACATGGACCAGAAATCATAATAGAAGGAGCACTACACTAGAATTCTGGGTATAAGGTTCGCTTCTGTCACCATTTGTTGTCATTTAATCTCGGTGTGTTCAGTTTCCGGATATGCAGAAAAAGGGGATCCAGGACAGTGATTTCTCTCTAAGGCCTACTCCAGCATTAGTGTTAATTTTCCTCTTCTCCCCTTTTAAAGTTGCTTGCTTGCCAACCAATGAATAAGCATTTAATTGTTGCCTAATATGTACCTAGGTTGGATCAATTTCTTAGTGACTAAATAAATCTGTTTCCCAACTGAGGCCAGGGCTATAAATGGTAAGTAAATTAAACCAATAGCATGAGGACTGCTCTACTCAGATTTCTTCAGGTTTTCTGTGAAGTGTAACTGAGGGTCAGGAAGCAACTGTGTGCCTGGATCTGGCTGCTAATTTAGCATAGAGAGGGCCTGTGCTAATCCAGGATAATTACTTTTCAGGTCCAGCTTATCATGGGTGTGCGAATATGGCTGTCTTTCAGATGGTGTTCCCTAACAACTTTTAAGTCATGGGGGGAGGGTGAGATGGGAATCATGTTAGCAGACATAATTACAGGTAGTGAAAAAGTATTAGCATTTCAATGAACTCACACAAAATATGCTGCATGTGTGTGTGTGTGTGTGTGTGTGTGTGTATACGTATATTTATGTGCAAGTGGATATGTTTAATCAGGACTAGGATTGCCACGGGCTGTATAGTCATTGATAGGTTGAATGATTTGATCTATTAAAAAATGAATTTTCCCCAGATGGTCTCACTTGCAGTTCTGTAAAGGATTCTCCAAACCCCACCATTCAGAATTGGTTCCTTTGAATCAAATCAAGATTTTCTTATTCACATGAGCATATCTTTAGACAGGTGGTTCCATAATCTTTAAAGCTAACTCAGTGGAACTTTTCTCTTTCCAATGTGAAAGCAAAGTGGACCACATGTTAGGACTATATCATACAATAAAGATGTGAGATAGGGAAATACAGTGTTTGACTGGCCTGGGAAGGATAAGGCTGGGAGAAGTGTCACGGTGAAGATAAATGGAAACCAGGAAGGATCAGCAGGAGAACCAAGGATCCCAGGAGAGGAAAGTGAACAAAAAGGGGAAATAGAAGGATAAAAATACATATATTTAGTCAACACCCTGTTGCGTTTATAGTCCATTGCTGGCTTATGTTTACATCTTGGATATTTTTGGTAAAATGTTGCCTCTGATTCTTTGAGTACTTAAAGGATTTCATTTACATTTATGCCACTTGGGAACTTGTGTGAGGCAGTTTTCTTATTAACTCTGCTCACCTATTAATTAGGATGCACAGATCAATTTATTGATTTCTCTAAATCTAATGTAGAGATAAAAAGTTACTTTTCCTAAGTTCTTATTCTAAAAAGATCAATGACTAAAGTACAAGTAAATGAAGAAGAATACTACCAAAATTCTAGCAAAGTTTACAGATAAATGCCATGTGTTAAAGCTGTATGTTGTAATTTGTATATAGTAAAGTATGCAGCAATATTAGCCAACTTTATTCTATGCTTAGTCCTGAGTTACATGGTTAATCTCTTTTAAACCTGACAACTCTAAAAGATAGATACTATCCTTAGCCCATTTTACAGGTGAAGAAACTAAGGGTTAGATAGGTTCAGTCACTTAGTCAACTCACTCTGCTAAGTAGGAAACAGAGCACAGATTCAAACCCAGGTCCATGAGACTCTGGGGATGAAATGTTAAACAACTCTGGGAGATGGCTTACTGTGGTTGGGTGGTGGTAGGCTCACACTATTAGTGAACATTAAAACAGACAAAAACCAAAACCAAAAAGAATTAATTGCCGCGGAATTGATGGTACTATGTAAAAAATACACAGGCGTAAAGACCTGAAATCTGGGGTTATATTAAATCAGGATGAACTGCAATGATCACTAATCAGCATTCCTGCAAGTACCTTTCCAAGCATTTGTATAATGGCCTATTCGTTATACCAATTGAATTAAAAGTTGATTTTCAACCTAGGAAGTTATAGTAGGCCCATGACTAAGTAAGAAGTTTTAGACAAATGGAAAATACAGCTGACAACATTCATAGTTTGGCATTATTGTTATTCTCTGTATTGCTGCTTGCCTTCTTTTTGGAGGAGTACTGCTGGGAAAATTTCTCCAGCTGGTCCAAATGCTGTGGGCTAATTCATTCCTCTGGATGCCTTTCAGTGAGGCTGTGCTTTTGGTTACTGTGACCACTCACATAGGATAACATTACCATAGCGGTATCCGTGGCCAAGAGACATGACAACTAAGGCTGAGATGTTTATTCCACTCTACCCTCACTTGTTCTAGTTCTCTGCAATTTTTTTCCACTTGGATTTTGATATTTGATGCCAACTCAGCAGAATCTTGACTTCGAATCAGATTTTTCTCAGTCCCAATTTAAAATAAAAAATAAACATAAATGTGCAACTGGGATGGTAAATGTCAGTTCTAAGGTAGGATATTGGTCCAAAGGATGTATGTGGCTAAAGACAGGAGTTGTGTTCCTGTGTTACCTGAAAGTACAAAGTAAGGCTGAGACACAGGAAAGTACCTAGAAATAGAAACAACCATATGCCTAGACATCTTTCCCCAGCTTTATACACCTTGCTTACCACCATGCTCTCACCATTAAAGCTCCTTTTTCAAATGTAATTATGTCTATAAATTAGCCAAAAAAAGACAATGATAGAAAATAGGCAAAAGTCTTCAAGAGGCACCTCACAAAAGAAGGCACATTGAGAGCCAAGAAACACATGAACAATGCTAAATTTCATTGCCGTCAGCATAATAACAATCAGCAAATTAAAATTATAGTGAGACATTACTATATATACACAAAAATAACTAATAGGAAAAGGCAAACAATAACAAGTGTTGGGGAGGATTTTGAAAAACAGACACACTAACATTCTGCTACAGGGAGTATATACTGGTTAACCAGTTTGGAAAACTTTGAACGTTTTGCAAACCTTTACTAAAGCTGAAAATATGTGTACTCTATGAACAGACAATTCCACTCCTACGTATATATTCACTAGAAATGCAATGTTAAGTTCACCAAAACACAAAACAAAATAAACAAACAAATAAAACATGTGAAGACTATTCATGGCACTGTTTATAATATCCTCAAACAGAAAACTACCCAAATGCGAATTAACAATAAAATGAATAAATTAAATTGTGGAATATTCGCACAATGGAATGCTATATTTACAATGAGAATGCCTCACAAACACATGAAACAATATAAAGCAATCTCACAAGCATAATGTTAAAAGAAGCACAAAAGAGTATATATATATCATTAATATATATATTATATATCTAAATATATATATTATATATATCTTTAAATATATATATTATATATATGATTCAATTAAAGTAAAGTATAAAAATGGACAATATGCTGCGGGAAGTTAGAATAATACATACTTTTGGGGCAATAGTGCTTAGAAAAGGGCTTTTGGGCTGTTGGTAATGTTCTGTTCCTTAGTTTGGGTACTGGTTATTTGTGTGTATTCACCTTAATTGAATCATATACTCATGACTAATTCATTTTTTCTGACTATACTTTATTATTCAATAAAATCATTCTTACAAAGGGGTAAGGGAAGACTTCTTTCAAAATGTATTAATCTGAATATCACATAAATGAGGCTGAGTTCATCAGATTAGTTAGCAATCCCCTTGAAAAGCAGAGAGTGGGGTCTTGACACTATGGAACTCAGAAGAAAGTTTTGATATAGATGGGAAGATGCAAGAGAATCTGAAAGGGTTTTGAGCACAGGACAGCTCACATTAGGCCCAAATGAAGAGCTATTGTAGATGTAGTTGCCTCTAGAAAGTAGCTAATGGATCCTTTAAAGGGCCTGGATCAAGGCAAGTGCAAGCAGGCAATGGAAGAAAGAGATTCTGGGACATAAAATGGAAATCTGGAGGGTAAGGGTTAAAAATAAACTTCTCTTTTTTCACAATTTACTCAGAGCTAAATTTAGCTGAAAATAAATTTGATGTCATTCCAAGTTTCATAAAGTTTAATTGAACTCTTTCTAATAATCCAGAATGGTATCTCGCTGTCCTTGCTAGTTGTGTGGTGTAGGTCTGAATAAAGAATTAATTCTTTATTAACAATTTACTAGGAGGCTGGGCATGGAGACTCATACCTGAAATCCAAGCACTTTGGGAGGCTGAGCGGGGAGGATCACTTGAGGCTAGGAGTTTGAGACCAGCCTGAACAACATAGTGAGACCCTGTCTCCACAAAAACTAAATTAAAAATAAATTTGCCAGGGACAGGAGTGTCCACCTGAAGTCCCAGATACTCAGGAGGCTGAGGTGAAAGGATTGCCTGAGCCCAGAAGATCGAGGCTTCAGTGAGCCACAGCTATGCCACTGCACCATGCTGGGTGACAGAGCAAGACCTTCCCTGTCTTAAAAAATAAAACGAAACAAAAACAATTCACCAGGAGAGGAGCTGAGAAGGGAAGAAAGCTAGTGAGCATTACATGCATATAGAACACTCACTCTGTAGAGATTCTAAACAGTGAAGTGTTACCAAGAGGACTATAACATTTTAGTCAACATAAACTCAATGCAAGTCAACATAGTTCCAATACTAAATACAAAAGCTTTAATTAATTAGCATTATTCATAGAAGAATTAATTTTGTTTAATGAAAACAACTTCCTATATTAATTCATTCATTCATTCACTTATTTCATAAACAGCTGATGAATCCCTGTCATATATTACTATTAGGTACTTCCCTTCAAACCTATGACAGCATGAACTATAGAAATAGTCCCAACCATGAATGTCTCAAAACATTTGAAAATATAATTATAATATAAATTATAAAATTTTAAATAAAAGAAATGGTAGGCACCTAAACTAGAATGTGTTTTTTAGAAATCTTTCTGATGAGTTAAAAAATATGGCAGAGAATTGAGAAATAAATTAAATAGTATAAAATATCCTGGACTTTAAATTCTGTTGAATATGTTTCTAATACCAGTTAAAAATGTTTTCTTCTCTCTGTATGTTCAACAGTATTAGATCTGAGTATTGAGGCCCTGTAATGGAACTCTTATATTTTTTGTTTTTGTCTGTTTCTACAGAAAGAATATGCAATTGAGAAGTCATTTGTTTTCATCTCTTTTTGGGGGGACCTGTTACTCTCTTGGATTGCAACAAAGACCACAGTTTCCACAGTAGTTTTTAATCTCAGTGGATTATTTTCTTTTTTTTGAGTCAAGAATAGGAGAAATGGCCTCAAACCAAGATCTGCAAAGTCAAGTTAACTAGAGCTATTCAATTTCTTTTCTCTCTGAGTGATTGGTTCCTCTTGGCACCAAAGACCTTTCTTTTGTCTTTCAACAAAAATGTTGCTTAATCTCCATAGAGATTTAATACTGTGATTCCTTTCTTTCTCCTTCCTAGAGCCAATTTTCTTCATTTTTTAAAGAAGACACCACGTACCTCCTCATAATTTGAAATTGAAACAAGTATCTTTAAATCAACAGGCTGTTTTGAATTTAAAAAGAGAAGTCCCATCCATTGATGTTTGTTTGAGGGCTTCATATTTCTTAGGAAAGGGCTGGCCTATTTTTTTCTGGGCTAACCTGGCTCCCACCTCTCCCCTCCCCAACTCAATAGGAAGCTCTATGTAGGTATCTGCAATTGCAATTAACAGAGCTCTGGGACAGAATTCTAAGTGAAATATAAGATTATGCTTTGAAAATTGTGTATTTATTTGTTCTGTCTTTTTTTAATTGGCTATCAGGGCATTTTCCATTTGAGGATAGTCATAATCCTCCTCCCTATGTAACCCTCATCTTCCCCATCACGAATCACAGAAGGCCTATAGGTAATGAATAATTACAGTGTTAGTCAGATACTGTAATTCTCCCTAATGAAATTTTGTGTTGTGTTAACATTAATGTTAACTTATCTAAGAGATGGGGTTAATAATAATATCGGTCTCATGAGTTAAATAAAATAATGGGAATTAAACTAAGATAGTGCCTATAAATTGTTTACATAGTTCCTGGTCCGTAGTTGACACTCAGTAATTTTAGCTATCTTTCTATTGTCATTATTATCATTTTACTTACAGAAGATTCTTGTTATTTGTAGTAGTTACGTTCTAAAAATTCCCCTTGAACACTGAATTAGCAAATACTGAATCATTGCCACTAGGGAAAACACAGGGGTACACTCCTACAAGTCTCTGGTCACAATATTTCATTAACCAAGCAATACATAACTTTAGTTGATGCATGTTTCTGCTTAAAGACACTTAAATATACAGTTGATTCATTAACATTGAACTCAGACAACAGCACTCTAACTCATGCCTACATAAAGCTTACCTAACACAAGTATTTCCTACATAAGGTGTATCACAGTCTTCTTGCTCTTAGGAATTGCGTTAGTTTGTTTTCAGGCTGCTAATAATGATATACCCTAGGGAGAGTAATTTACAAAAGAAAGAGTTTTAATTGACTCACAGTTCTGCAGGGCTGGTGAGGCCTCAGGAAACTTACAATCACTTATGGAAGAGGAAGCAAACACATCCTTTGTCACGTGGTGGCAGGAAGAGAAGTGCCAAGCAAAGGGGGAAAAGCACCTTATAAAACCATCAGATCTCATGAGAACTCACTATTATGAGAACAGCAGCATAAAGGTAACCGCCCCCATGACTCAGTTACCTCCTACTGGGTCCCACCCATGATATGTGGGGATTATGGGAACTATACTTCAAGATGAGATTTGGGTGGGGACACAGCCAAACCGTATTAGGAATGATAGGCAACATTTCAGCACTATGCTTGGGAATGATTTTAAATAGCAAAATCACTAACAAAAACCACAAACGTGCAAAAAAGTCACACCAAATAGACCACACAAAGGACACTTATTCACAGTATGAGAGCTGAAACCAGACGGCAGAACATCATCTCATTCATCTGCAGCTGGAAACATGTACTTCAGGTGACTCATTTTTCACTGCTCTGAGCATGTTGGTGAATAACTTTGAAAGCACCAGGGGTATTGACTTCTGAATTACAAATAAATGTTAGCCAGTAAGAGCATTTGTAAATATAGAATCTGTCAATAATGAGGATCAATTGTATTGCACTTTCAAAAAACTAAAATAAATTCAGTCTGCCCAGATAATAGAGTTCAAGAGGAGAGCAGCAGGAAAAGAACTGGAGATTTACACTTATGCCAGGAAAGGTAGGACCTAGGCACATTGTTATGAAGTTGGTCCTTTTTTTCTAATAATAATGAGGCATAGTATATCCATTTCTACTTGAAAATGGCATGACTTTGTATATAGAAAATCCTAAGGAATCTACTAAAAACTATGAGAATTAATAATTTCAGCAAGGCTGCAGCATACAAGATCAATATACAAAAACCAATTGTATTGCTATATAGTGGCAATGAGCAAACTGAAAATGAAATTAAGAAAACAATTTCATTTACAATAACATCCAAAAAATACTTAGGAATAAATTCAACAGAAAAGCCAAAAACTTCTACTCTGAAAGCCATGAAACATGGTTGAAAGAAATTAAAGACCTAAATAAATGAAAAGGCATCCATGAATGGAGAGACTTAATATTCTTAAGATAGCAATACTCTCCAATTTGATATTACACATTCAGCATAATCCCTATGAAAATTGTAGCTTTTGGCTGGGCGTGGTGGCTTACGCCTGTAATCCCAGCACTTTGGGAGGCCGAAGTGGGCAGATCACGAGGTCAGGAGATCGAGACCATCCTGGCCAACATAGTGAAACCCCATCTCTACTAAAAATACAAAAATTAGCTGGGCATGGTGGCGCATGCCTGTAATCCCAGCTACTCGGGAGGCAGAGGCAGGAGAATCCCTTGACCCAGGGAGTTGGAGGTTGCAGTGAGCCGAGATCGCGCCACAGCACTCTAGCCTGGCGACAGAGAGAGACTCCGTCTCAAAAAAAAAAAAAAAAAAAAAAAAAAGCAAAGAAAATTGTAGCTTTTGTTTGCATAAACTGATAAGCTGATGTTAAAATTCATATGGAAATTCAACTGATCCAGATAGCCAAAACAATCTTAAGAAAAAAAAAAAACCAAAGTTGGCAGATTCACACTTCTTTTATTTGAAAACTTACTATGAAGCTACAGTAATTAAGATAGTGTGGTACTGGCACAAGGATAGACATAAAGATCAGTGGAATAGAACTGAGAGTTCAGAAATAAACCCTTCCTTACCTTATGATCAGTTGATTTTCAACAAAGATGGTGAGACACTTCAATGAGGGGAAGAATAGTCTTTTCAACAAATGTTACTAACTAGACACCTCATGCAAAAGTTGTACCCATAACTCATACCACGTACAAAAATTACCCCACAATGGATAAAAGATCTAAATGTAAGCTAAAACTATGAAACTCTAAGGAAGAAATTATAAATCTTGATGACAATTGATTTGTCAATTATTTCTTATATATGATACCAAATGAATGCGCAATAGCAACAACCAAAGATAAACTGGATATCATAAAAATTAAAAACTTAAGTGCTCCAAAAAAACACGATCAAAACGGTGAACAGACTACAAATAGAATGGGAGAAAACTTTCGCAAATCATATATCCGATAAGTGTCTTGTATTTAGAATATATAAATAATGATTACAACTCAGCAAAAATAAAAACAATTAGAAATGTGCAAAGTATCTGAATAGAGAGTCCTCCAAAGAAGATAAAAGCACATGAAAAGATGCTACTGTTATTAGCTATCAGGAAAATGCAAATCAAAACCTCAACGAAATCCTACTACACAACCACAAGGATGGCTATCATCAAAAGGCAGTTCATAAAAAGTGCTGGTGAAAATATATAAAAATTGTAACCCTCAACACTGCAGTGCAAACGTAAAATGGTGTAGCTTCTTTGAAAAGCAGTCTGGTAGTTCCTCAAAAATTTAAGCATAGCATTACCATTTGACCCAGCAGTGCCACACCTAGGTATATGTTAATTAGGATACGCAGATCGATTTAGAGAAATAAAAACATATATCCACACAAAACTTGTACATGAATGTTGATAGCAACATTAGGCATAATAGTTGCAAAATGGAAACAGCCTAAATGCCCATCAACTCATTACTAGATAAATAAATACAGTACATTCAAATGATGGAATATTATTTCACAATAAAAAGTAATGAAGTACCAATCAATACATGCTATGACATGGTTAAACCTTGAAAACATTATGCTAAATGAAAGAATCCAGTCACAAAGAACCACATATTGTATGGTTTAATGTATAAGAAATTTCTGGAATAGGCAAATCTATAGAGACAGGAAGTATATTAGTAGTTTCCAGAGGCCGAGGAGATAAAGTGATGAGGAGTGACTGCTAATGTGTTTGGGGTTTCTTTTGGGAATGCTGAAAACGTTTTGGAATTAGACAGTGGTGATGGTTACATAACTTTGTGGATATACTAAAAACCACTGGATTGCATACTTTATAAAGGTGATTTTTACGTGTAAATTATATTTAAAAATTTTAAAGAACTCTATAAAATCTCAACTTTGATCATGTTGCGGTAATTGCTAAGAGAATTGCCCTCCCACTGGTAATCATCCCAAACATGGATAAAATTTGCCATGAACTGTTGAGGCTTTGGGCAATGGGTGGTATGGAATTTTTGAGAAAAGGAAAAATGATGAGCTGTTTTGAACTTGACTATATGAAGAATGGAGTCCAAACAGAATATAGTAATCTTGTGTTGCTGAGGCAGTAGTTATTTGCTTTCAGAGGCATGGAGGAAGGTGAAATTTGAGAGGCAGGTTTCCAGTGTTAAGGAAGCTACTCTGGTGGGTGGAATAAGTATGGATGCAGGTTCCATCCCTACTGTGGTTTCTGGACTCTGTATGCCCAGGGTAAAGCTCCATGAGGCCTAGGAGAGAACAGCTCCTGTGAGACACAGGGCAAATGAAGATTTCAGAGTTTTCTGTGGGTTGGGAAGATGGGAGGAAGGGAGAAAGAGGGAGACAAGACCTTTGAAGAACAGAAGATACGACTGGATATATTGCATAGCAACAGTGCCACACCGTGACAATCTTCAAATTTCAAGGGATCAAACAAAACCAAAACAGTCTTAAATAATTATTAAGGGTTGTCAACAATGTCGACCCATAAAAATTTAAGAAAAATCAAAATGGAAAATGTTAAATAGTAGATTCGCAACCCAGAAGACTCATTAACTGTGGGGAACACCACTGCAGAGCGCTAGATGACCAGTTAGTGGGTGCAGTGCACCAGCATGGCACATGTATACATATGTAACTAACCTGCACAATGTGCACATGTACCCTAAAACTTGAAGTATAATAAAAAAAAAAAAAGAAGGAGGGGTAAGTCTAAGCATTTGGTAGAATTTGTTTAGCTTGGCATGTTCCATTTATGTGAAGTGATGGGCTGAGAGAGAAGTAATAGGCAAAATGGAGAGATATTCCAACATCACTTTCTACTCGATAAATTATTCTATAGAACAGAATTCTTCCAGAAATAGATTTTTACAAGATCAATCCAGTTAGTTTATTCATCTAAATGGAATCCTTGATTTGGAGTCAAACTAAGTACAGTTATACTAGAAGCACTACTCAATTTTAAAATAAGGGATTAATGTCCACAAAGGTGCCAGTCAACCATTTCCATTAATATTTTACCCTTGTCTCCTTTCCATTTGAGTAAAGAATACATCTGTCAATTGCAAACTTTTATTCACCTATTGGCTGAACAAAAGGGCCAGTTGAAAATGAGGGTAGGGAAAACCTGAGCCTGGTCTTATCACATTAACAGGTGATTTGAAAAATTGTTTTAACCTTGTAGTTCGTGGTTAGTTACCACCATGTGCACCACTAACTCAAACTAGGTATTTGTTCTTTTGCCAAATAATGTCACTTTAAATGTGTGCAAATATCAATATCACAGTGAAATTTAGGACCTAAATTCTGACAAGGTGTAACCACATGTGTGGTAATGAAATTTCATCTGTTCCCTAAAAATTTCTTCTCTAAAGATGCTTTATTTGAGGAGAAATGAAACCCATTTAAGTTTAAAATATCCATTCAGAACAGCTATGAAAAAATAAACTGTACTGACAAAATCCTAGCTCTAAGTATATATGGATTTGTTATTCAGTGTAACTCATTGGTAATGTTTTCTAAGGGACTAAATTTTTTAATACATTATGTATGAGAAAGCAAAGTTTTACTGTATTGTATATTAGGTTAAACCCTTTAAAATAAATACTAGACAGTGAAATTCATCACAATATGCCTTCGTTTAACATTTTCCTGCAGCTAACGTTCATTTTTTAAAGTTCTGGCTAAGGGCCCAAAGAGGATCATATATCACTGAAAAAAAAAATCCTAGATTTCTGGAAAACATTATAGGGAGACATTCCAGTGCATTTAATTTTTAAAAAATGATATTTGTCAAATTGTTAGCCATCTATTAGACTGTGCACTCTGTGACTATACCACCATTTTAAAGTGTTGATAATACATCTTACTGGCCTCCCCACTAGCCAAGAGTTCCTGGTAAAATATTTTCCTACCACATAAGCCACTAGTCATCAACCATGTCAAACAACATTTTCAATCTGGATAATAAAATTCTAAGTTCACTATGCTCAATAAATAACAAGAGATATATGATACTATTCATATAATATTTTAACTATATTTAAATGAAGCTATATAACATATAGGAATTTAAGGCAAAAATTTTATGTTCATCAAACACAGGTAAATCTATTAATTACTATGTTTTATAAATGTATAATTTTTAACCCTGTCTTCTTCAGGCTGAAATTCAATTGCATATCTGTATTTGAAGCCTAGGACTAGAAATCTACCCTAGCTGAAGAGTAAAAATATCAAATAAATTTACTTAACTTCTGTTCTCTTTTCCAAATATGTTATATATTTTGTGTATGTTATAAACATAATGTTTTAATGATATTAATCTGATATTTATTATATATTTATGTATATATTTAGATATAAATATATTAATATATAAATATAAAATATACTTTATATTTATCATAATATACATATTATATTTATTATATATACAAATGTATACTTTATTTCACTATATATGGTGATAAAATATGCGTAACATAAAATTTACTCTCTTAATTAGTTAAGTGTATAGTTTAGTGGCATTAACTACATTGACATGGTTCTGCAACCATCCTCACCATCCATCTCTGGAACTTTGTCAGCCCAGACTGAAACTCTGTACCAATTGAATGATAACTCCCCATTATGTCCTTCCCCTCCGGGTCCCTGGCAACCACCACTTCACTTTCTGTCTCTATGAATTTGACTACTTTATGTACCTTATATGAATAGAATCATACAGAATTTGTCCTTTTTGACTGGCTTCTTACACTTAGTGTAATGTCTTCAAGGTTCATCCACGTTGTAGCATGTGTCAGAATATCCTTCCTTTCTAAGGCTGAGCTGTATTCCATTGTCTGTATACACCACATTTTATCCATCCATTCCACCATCAATGGACAGTGGAACTGCTTCCACCTTTTGGCTATTGTGATGATGTTTTTAGGAACATGAGTGTATTTGTTTGAGTCCCTGCTTTCAAGTCTTTGGGGAATATACCCAGAAATAGAATTGCTGGATTCTTTGCAGTATATTTTTAATACACGTTTGGGTCTACCCATGGGCTCATTTCATATTTTCAAAGTGGTTATTGCTCTTTTGAGGGACAGGCATGTCACCATATCCTTCCCTTAGAGTGTTCCCAGTCAACACATTTCCTCTCCATATCTCCTTGCTCTCAAATTGATAGAGCTTCTTATAAAACAACAGTCAAGAGGCTTCTTAAGAAAGTCTACCATTGACCTATTTATAAATTATGAATATTTATTTTGCTTAGGGGTACTTAAGAGTTAGCTTTTGAAAAATCAAACTTGGAAGAGGCTTGGGGAAAAAAATGTTGTCTATTCTTCAGCCTTCATGTAGAGTCTCATCTGATGCAACATAACCCTATTCTAGTGAAAACTTCTAGAAGACAAAATTTCAAAGCCTTCCTCATCAGTCTCTTCTTATAGTCAACACTGTCTCAAGAGGTTTCTTTATATCTACCTGAATTCTCACTTTGCTGTTATACTTCTTACCCTGCTTCTCTGTCAGCTCTTCTTTCCTTACACCCTGAACTCCATTATCATTCCAAAAATGTACACATTGATCTTTGATAATTCAAATAAGTGCCATCTCTTTTTGGATGTCCTTCCTTATCCAACAAGATAACTTAGTAGTTTCCTTCCGAAAAATGGAGAGAAAAAAACTCCTTTTCTTCCACTGGTTTGTTGTAAAGACTCAATTGTAAAAGAAATATGCTGAGCACTTCTAAAGCAGATAGTAACCTCTCAGTAAAAATTAGCTGTTGTTACTAATGAAAACAAAATGTAAGGGGAATAAATAACAGTTGCTTCATATCTTATATTACAGTTTTTGTGTGTAAAACCATTATTACTTTGCCATTGAGCTGATCCATATTTTTTTATCTTTTCTAATACATCTTGTTTTCTAATACATCTTATGTTCTCACTTTTTACTTAAAGCTCTTCCCTGAGTCTTCACTCACTAAATTATCTTCATATACTTCAGCTATCCCTAAGCTTGATATAAAATGGGAATGAAAAATGTCAAATATAATTGACAATGGGAAGAAGGGAGATTCCGATTTAATTAACATCTTCTTTCGTTATGATGCACGTTCTCTAATACTCTGTTGAGCCAGTGGTGTGTCCTTCTTAGCCTTTTTTGGGCCACAGATTCCCTTCACAAATATGATGAAAACTACAGATTGTCTCTTGACTCCCCAAAAATGTAACTCACAATTTTACATTGAAATTCTGAGAGTTCATGGACCCCCATGAATATTTTCAGAGAGTCCATAGATCCTTGATAATACTGATTACTGTATAATATAAACACAGTAAATTTCAATTGTTCTATTTTTCTCTGAAATACACTTCATAGTTTTTGTCCCATTATTTTATCCCATTCTATTTCTTCTTGTCTATAGCTCTTTATGGTTTGCCAGTGGTTAGGCCAAGACTGATTTAGTCAAATGTTCTAAGATCTGCAAAATAACCATTCTAAGTAAAAGGCAGAGAATTATCTCAGTGTATAAGATAAGTTATTATCTTTTTTCCTCACACTTGTGTAACCCGTGTTAGGAAAGTCCTCTTTAGGTATGAACACAGCACATATATATATTTTTTTAATTTCTTAGTGTATTTAGAAATTCCAAACCATAGAAAAGTTAAAGTTTCTGAATTTAGATAATAGTTTAGAAGATTTACTTATATGCAATTTCTTTCTTAAAAAATGTTTTCCCTATTCTATAGAGAACTGAATTAACCTGGTGGTTTTTGTAACTTTTTGTGAGATACTACATTATCAGACTAAATCTGATTCAGCCAAGGGCTTTTAAACCAGTGAATATGATTTCTTTCTAGTCTGTGATATTCTTATACATATGTTTACAGATAATCAGCTCCATTTGAAGGCAAAATGAAAACCCGATTGATAACAGGGGAAACACACAGGACAAAATTTTTCCCCATGATGAACAAGGCAGTTTGATTCTAAATCAAATACATTGATTGCCAAAAAGTCCTAACAATGTCATCCTACAGTGCTGTAATTTTAACTTTGGTCTATACTAAATATAACTTTAACTTTGGTTTGCTTATAATTGACCTTATTACATTATATTTGATTGGATAAGCCTTATTCTGCAATATTCAGGAAATACTCCAAAGAGATGCATGCCCATGATCAACCATCCCTTTTTACCTACTTAGGGATTGAGTAGCTATGAGTTCTGTTGTGTTGTCAGATGCCACCAGTGCCCCCTGAATAAGAGATATTTAAAGCCATTGAAAGCGCCAGGTATCATCAAGCAGGAGCTTGACAATATGAATGAGAATTTAAGGAGACTGCTCCCAGTAAAGTTGTGGAATAATTGATGAACAAAGGAGAAGGGAGAAAGAGCATGACTGAGCTGCAAATGCTGTGAGATCATATAATTCCACCTGCTTATTCCATAAATGAAAACATGAAGTAACTGATTACTTTTAGATTAGGACTAAAGACATAATTTAGGAAGGAGTTTAGTCATATGAGATTTAAGAAACCTGATTCTAGACTTGAATTTGCCACTAATATTGTGCAAGATAGCTTTTCTGTGTCGCAGTTGACATAAACATTAAATGAGAATATTGGGTTAGGATTCCATGATGCTAATCTCTAACTAGGCTGTTTTAATTCCCAGGCTAATACTATTTCTTCTGAACATTTACATTCTAAATATGAACGTAGTAAATGGTGGTCTTTATCATCAGGTTAACATCAGGAAGTCCTGGCTATTATAATAATCATTATTCAATCAATATTAACAATTATGGGACAGATAATATGACATGTACTTTAAAATATATTAGATTTAATGTGTTTTGGTTTAAAGTTATCTAGCGAATTTTACTTGTTTCTTAACGATAGAAATTTTTTTATTTTTAAAAATATATTAAGCACTTACAGAGTATCACCCACACTTCTGGATTCTAGAGATATTCAGAAGTATGTAGAAAAGGATTCTCTGTCCTTTTGGCAGAGAGAATTGGTACTATTTCAATACAAGTTAAAGATAATCTCAGAGTGTGATCATTCCTTTTAAAAAAATAAAACTGACTTTTATAGATAATATTGGGTGAAGTGGCTGAGGGATGGGAAGATGTTGCTGTAGATTGGATAGCCACCTCTAACAAGGAGAAATTCAAGCTAAGGAACACATTATGAGAACCCATCAGTCTGCTAAGATGCACAGAGATAGTAAGAGGTGAAGCTAGCTGTACTTCCTGGGTCAAATGGGGACTTGGAGAACTTTACTGTCTAGCAAGAGGATTGTAAAACTCACCAATCAGCACTCTGTAGCTAGGATTGTAAAATGCACCAATCAGCACTCTGTATCTAGCAAGGGGATTGTAAAATGTACCAATCAGTGCTCTGTAAAAATGTACCAATCAGCACTCTGTAGCTAGCAAGAGGATTGTAAAATGCACCAATCAGCACTCTGTAAAAACACACCAATCAGCACTCTGCAGCTAGGATTGTAAAATGCACCAATCAGTGCTCTGTAGCTAGCAAGAGGATTGTAAAATGCACCAACCAGCGCTCTGTAAAACACACCAATCAGCAAGATTCTAAAAGTAGCCAATCACAGGGAGGATTGAAACAAGGACACTCTGATAGGACAGAAACAGAACATGGGAGGGGCCAATAAGGGAATAAAAGCTGGGCACCCCAGCCAGCAGTGGCCACTCCAGCCTGCAGTGGCAACCCGCTCTGGTCCCCTTCCACACTGTGGAAGCTTTGTTCTTTTGCTCTTCACAATAAACCTTGCTACAGCTCACTCTTTGGGTCCATGCTATCTTTAAGGGCTGTAACACTCACCGTGAAGGACTGCGGCTTCATTCTTGAAGTCAGCAAGACCACAAACCCACTGGAAGGAACCAACTGTGGACACAATAGGAAGGTTCAAAGTTTACACGATGGGAATGAGCTTGCCCTTCAAGGAACAGAAAGGCTAATGTGGCATGATATGGGATTAAGACAGAGGTATAAGCCAGGGCCAGCCTGGAGGGTAAGTCAAAAGTGTCCACTAAGATACTATCCATTTATAATAACTATAAACTTTTAAATATTTAATATAAGTGTATTCAAGAGACATTTTTGCTTAAAACCCAAACTGACTAAACTGACTATCAATACTTCCACTTTCTATGGGGTGTGAGTGTGGAGACAGTGGTGTATGTGCACGTGTGTGTGCTGAAGCACAGATATTTCTCAAGAGTGCAGTAAAATTTTTTTACACCCCTTGAAGAGACTGGCAAAAGACAGACAATTGGGAAGTCCTGAAGTAGATATTTAGAAATGCACTTAGTGAGGCTTTAAATGTGCCTTGGCAATGCAGAGCTGAGTTTGGATTCCATGAAAGAAAGTTAGATTCTCTTATAAAGGATAAGAGGAAGTCTAGTCCATGTGATGTGGGCACCAACATACCTTTAAGTCTAGAAATATCCAATATTGAAAATTGTGTTACTGTTCTGTAAACTACTTTAGTCTCGCCCAACTTTCAGTAAAGTCAGCTATAAGAAAAATACTTTTTGTGAGCAGATTTGCTTTTTTGAGGGAATGAAGGAAAAGGCCTGAGTTCTATGCTTGATTTCATGCAGGGCAAAGAGAATGAAACTGATACAGGAATAAGACTTGGAATCCTGTGAAATGTGAAACCTGAAGCTAGAAGAGACCACAGGAATATAAGTCCCCTAGGAACGCACAGAAATCTTAAGAATTACATGGGATGGGTGGCTTGAGCTGTCATGTAAGTTGTATAAGTGTTTATGCATTTGTGCATTCATTTCCAGTGTCTCATCTCTGTGAAGACTCACAAAGAAAAAGAAAGTAATTGGAAGGGGAAAGAGGCAGGGGAAACAGGGAGAGAGGGGGGGAAAGAGCGAGAGAGAGAGAGGAGAGACAGAGAGAGAGAGGAGACTTTTTTCTTCGAAACTAAAAGTATCCATGATGCCAAAACACCCAATCAAGTTGGCAAGGGGGAAAGCAAGTTAATTTAGCTCTTTAATTCTTTAATACAGGGTGGTCAAAATAATTGGCCAACTGGCTAAGGTTTTTTTTACTTCCGAACCACTTGCTTTGGCATAATGTAGACACAGCTCAAAAATAAATATTTAAAAGTAGAGCTACATTCACTTTATTCCAAATTCTGAGGAAATTTCATGAACATGTTTTTAGTTTTATCAGAGTGAGAATTCATGTGAATAACTTGTCCTGTTTGCTCTAGGACTCTGGAGTTTAAGTGGGTCAGGGTTTTGAAGTGTTGAAAGATATTATAAAGCACTTACAAGTATTCAGCTAGTCAGACTGCTCAATTAGCTGAACATTTATAACCTCAAAATTTTGACAGAGCATGATTCATGGAGGAATGACCCCTTGGACAACAGATGGCTTTATTGTAGGTATGCTTGAAAGAAAACACACAAAGCAATAGAATTTGGAGGAAAGAAAAATGGAACATTTAGAGAAAATAAAATTGAACTGAGGGGTATGGATTGTACTCTTAAAAAAAGGAAATTGTTGAAAAAATTCACTGATATATTTCAAACGATGGGATGCCCTTTTTAATTTTCACTTAAGAATATTCAAGACATATATCTATGGGACATGCCACAAAACCAAAATAGACCATAACTAATATCATTAGGTGCAACCCATACTCAACTCATTTTACAAATCTAAATTAACTATTTTAAAAAAGTAACAGGTATTGGAAAGTAAGAACCAAAATGCCAACTAAATCCAGAACATTTTTTTTTTTTGTCTCCTCCCTACCTCTCCCCTGTAGCTAGGGCTGCTTATATTCTAGAGAGTATTCTGGAGAAGTATTCTGGAGAAACTAATTCAAAAGTATATTTTAGAATAACATTGTTGCCACCAAAATATGTCAAATTTTAATTTAAAAAGTTTTATCAAGGGGATACACAAGGGGTAACAAAAGGCACCCTGTGAAATATGAAGAATGGGTACTGTCATCCATGGGGCCTGAAACATCTGTAGTAGAGAAAATATGTCATGCCAGAGGGCTGCCAGCAAGTAACTTTCCTTTTCTCCCAAGTCCCACAGCCCCGAGGAAGTGAATTGGGGCCACTGGGCACCCAGGATCAGCTCAGGTGTCCAGCAACTGGGAGCCTGACCTCTAAGAGGTCTGGCGGGTCCCAGGCCGAGGAGAGTATGCCTCTCTGTGGTTCAGGAGAGTCAGGGGCCCTCTCTGTGGGTTATCAGCTTTTCTAAGCCGACTACTCCTATTTCATAGTTGAAACAACCAGACTTACGGAGCAGTAAAGGGACTTCAACCTGGCCACACTGAGTTAGCCATAGGTGCAAACAGAACACAGTCCTTTAAATCCTGCCATCATTACCTCTTCACAACTAGTATCTACTTATTAAAGGCACAATGAAGTAGTCTTCCTGCTTATCAACTTTTTAAAAGTAAGTATGAAAAAATTAATAATAAAAAAACAGAAAAGAAGCAAAAACAAATTAGTTTATACTTTCCCCCTCTGTACTTACATGGTCATTTATTTCTCCTTTAACTCCATTAAGTAAGAAGCCATTTTTATAGTGTAGAATATTAATCCTCTATTAAGTATTTTTTACAAATGTACACATACACTTTAACATTCTTGCATTTACTTGGTTCCCATTACAACTCTGTAGAGCTGATTATTGTTATTATTATTACCTGCACTTTATAGATTAAGAACCTGAAGCTCAAAGAAAATAATTTATCAAAAATCAAACTGCTGATACAGACTACAGTCAATGTTTAAACATAGAACTTCTGGCTCTAAATTACATTTCCTTTCCTTTCATTATGCACTTATAACTTGAATGAATCTAAATAAATGTTTTCCTACCAATTTATTATAAAACCTGCTGCCACCCCAATATGGACACATACTAAAAGTATAATTCTTGATTAATTTTTAGAAAGGACTTATAAAAGTTTATCAGTGTTGCGGAGATCATTCTTTACACATTCAAAAGCCTTTTTTCCCCCTTTTCAGTGTTCATAATTTGAATGATCTGGTAAATCCAAACAAGAAGCCCAACTTCAACATCTTAGATGTTTACTATTATTTCCTCAAACCTCTCCCCTCTTGTATATATATTATTTTTCTTTTTATAATTTGAAGAATCAGAAAACCCTTTAAGAAATGTAATCATTACAAATAAAACTGAATTAAAAGAGGAAAAACCTCAGGAGCAAGAGAGAAAAATCTAACAATGATTCTAGTTTGTTTTTATTACTGTGGTTTAGTCCAGAACAAAAGTGAAATATTGTATTCTGTGGCTGCACATATCATTTATACATAGAAGAAAGCAAAAATTGGCTTTGTCTACAAATATTGTCCACGAATGAACTCTTAGTTAAGAAGAAAAACAAAATAAATGCGACATACATTATTACTGATAGAAAATACAGTGCAGAACACAGTTAATCTAGTAAGTGCGTAATAGTCCACAAATTACTTACAAGGACAATTTAAGCCCTATCAAGGCTTCTGTGGTCTGCTTCTACGTGAGATACTCATTGTCACTGCATAGACTTTTTTGCCTTTCTGCTAAATGCAGCATGATTTTCTTGCCAAAACTGAAGGTAAGTTATTCTTATCAAATATCAGAATTGTCATAATTATGATTTTTAGGATCATCCAAATTAATTACAACTTCAAGTATTGACACAGACTAAAATAGCAAGAGTTACTGGTGATCTAAAACCACTCATGGCATGTCCCAGAGAGTCCTTGGCCAGGAGCACATGTAGCTTAAAAAAAAACACATAACCCTTTAGGCCCAGCAGGCAATTAAGACCTTGGTAGAGATGTCAGCCATAAGTAGGAAAAGACCTTTCAATTGTTTACATATAATTTTCCTTTAGTTAGTGAGAACTGATTTTAATTTTTTCCCTTCTTTTCTCAAACAGGACCATATGGGATCAAGTTTAGTGGGCAGCTGCTTCATTAAAGAGAGAGAGGAAGAGACAGAGACAGAGAGACAAGAAGTCATTTCTGTCTATCAGAGCCTGTGATTCTTACAGAGATGGGATGAGTGTCTATTCACTTACTAATCTTTAAGAATTTCTAAGGAACATTGATAGGGGCTGGACAGAACATGTAAACTAAGAAGACATTTCAGACATATATGGCAAACTAATTTAAAAAATGAAGCCTGGTGTCCTGAGATACTGATGCCTGGGTGGTCGAAGTGAGATCCTCTACAGTTATTTGGTTGTCGTGTTGCTTGTCAAATAACTATACATAGGGCTTTTGATCAATATTGATTTTAAAATGGTATAGTCAAAAGAATGTATTTAAGTTAAACAATTTTGAAAGTGTTCTGAAATATTTGAATAGAATTGACTATGGAATAATTGCAACTGCTATCTAATCACTAATAGCAATGTAGAGTTACAGTATCTTTGGGGCATGGTTTGAGAAAACCTTCACAAAAGTGTATGACTTTCATTTTTTTTTTTTTTTTTTTTTTTTTTTGAGACGGAGTCTCGCTCTGTCGCCCAGGCTGGAGTGCAGTGGCGGGATCTCGGCTCACTGCAAGCTCCGCCTCCCGGGTTCACGCCATTCTCCTGCCTCAGCCTCCCAAGTAGCTGGGACTACAGGCGCCCGCCACTACGCCCGGCTAATTTTTTGTATTTTTAGTAGAGACGGGGTTTCACCGTTTTAGCCGGGATGGTCTCGATCTCCTGACCTCGTGATCCGCCCGCCTCGGCCTCCCAAAGTGCTGGGATTACAGGCGTGAGCCACCGCGCCCGGCTCATTTTTTATTCTGTGGAATTGATGGAATAATCCCATCGGTATTCCATCAAATGTATTTTATTCCATAGGATAAAATACATTTCAATAATTCCATGGAATAGAATACATTTTCATTCTGCTGAAATTTTAATTTTACTTCTATATTCGAGAATATCAGCTTCTAGAGGAAAAAACATTCTGTGTCTTTCTAAATACATTAACTCTTTAACATAACTTTTAAAGGTGTTTTTAGGTCATCCAATTATGAACAGTGACTTGGACACCTTTACACATTCAAGAGTAGAATTAAAAAACAAATTACCTTTCAGAGTTTATTTGTATTTATTCATTTAAAAAATGTTAACTTGAAATTTACACATGGGAATTTCCAAATGAGGTAGCAGGCATTTGATATTCCTCTAGCACTTTTCACATTATGCTAACAAGAAGAAAGATTGACATAAAACAAAAAAATAATGATTCACAGTTTTGTTTTCATTTATCCTGACATTGTTATTTAAGACAAAGTACCTAAACTTTCTTAAAATCCAAATGTATGGTATAAGAGCCCAACAGAACCCTCAGGCTTCCACATATGGCTTTAATTCAAATAAGAAATTTCACAAGCCGGATATAGGTAACTATCCCCTCAAATTTCTCCAAATTCCCTGATTCACTGTATGAAGATAATTCACAGACACACACACACACACACACACACACACACACACACAAACACACACTGAACCAAACTAAACAAAACAAAAAATCCAAAAAAAACCCCAAACAGGCTCGGCATGGTGGCTCACACCTGTAATCCTAGCACTTTGGGAGGCTAAGGTGGAATGATTGCTTTAGCCCAAGAGTGCAGGACCAGCCTGGGTGACATAGTGGAACCCTGTCTCTACAAAAGTTAATTTTAAAAATTAGCTAGGCATGGTGATGCACACCTGTGGTCGCAGCTACTGGCTGAGGCAGGAGGCTTAATTGACTCCAGGACGTCAAGGCTGCACTGAGTCACAATTACACCACTGCAATCTAGCCTAAGTGAGAGAGTGCGACCCTGTCAAACAAACCAAAACGAAAACCAAAACAAAATCCCCCAAACAAACCAAGAACAAAAACAGAAAACCTGGGTAGATTATGTCCGTATTTACATGGAAAAGTTTCTGCTAATAGGATTCCTCCCTGATCTAAATAGGATGGAATGAAGAATTCAATTAATTCAGTCATCTGGGCAGGAAAGCAAGCTCTTAAGAACTGATGAGGATGTGCAGATTTTGTAGGGAACAGTCATGGGTTTCTCTGCCAACTTTCTCCCATCTTCAGATTGAGTCATTTTGGGGGAGTGGGAAAGCACCGCAGAAGAAACCAATCTAGAAGTGAGGCAGAGATGGGCTAGGCTTGAAAAACTTATATCCCAAGAGAGTCTCTGTGTTTTTCAACACGACAAGCTCCAGCACCACCCCCAAGCTTGTGTTACCTCCTGAGGGTCCCAGCTGCCAGGTGATTTTGTGAAGACGAGGCCTACTGGCTCAGGCATCCTCTTCTCTCAAGCCCCTTAAAGAGATTCCTGGCTTCTGTCTCCTTTCTGCCATCAGCTGCTTCTATTTGGGAGATATTTTCCTTAGTCCTGAAGCTGTCAACCAAATAAGTCTTGACTGTGCTATACCCACTGCATAAGTGAAATCAGTGAATCATAGGGTTATTTAGTACCAGAGTGTTGGGCAACACTGTCATTTTACAAAGGGCTGTAGCAATGGCTTCCTTTTAGCTAGCCTCTATGATTTATTATTATAAATTCCTCCAATTGAACTCCATGCTATATGCCAGAAGGACTTTGCCAAAATGAAATATTTCCTAACTTTTTGATTTCCTTTCCGATTTTAAATTTTTTGCAGCTCCTCATTACCTATATTGATAGGAGTGATTCCAAACACAGCGCACAGTCCAAAAACATGACAGAATACTCTTTATCTTCAACATATGAGAGTTGCTATTTCCCAAATATCTCCTGAAGAAGGTCTACTAGCATGGGAGTCTTTTCCTCAAACCACCACAACTCATTTTTGCAGGTACAGATGAAGCTGAATATTTCCAGTCAGTACGGGAAGAGCCTGATTCTGGGGTGAAGAGGAAAAAAATGTTGAAAAGTGGGAAGAACTACTGAGGCTGAGATGAGAGGACTGCTTGCAGCCAGGAGTTTGAGGCCAGCCTTGGCAACATAGTGAGACTCTGTCTCTACAAAAAACAAAATATAAATAAAATAAAAATATTAGCCAGGAGTGGTGGCATGTGCCTGTAGTCCCAGTTACTCGGGAGGCTGAGGCAGGAGGATGGCTTGAGCTCATGAGCTCCAGGAATTCGAGGCTGCAGTGAGCTGTGATTGTGCCACTGCACTCTAGCCTGGGGGACAAAGAGAAAGCCTGTCTTAAAAAAAAGTCGAGTGGAGGTGGGGAAGAACCATGGGAATGGGGAAAAAAAGACAAGGCAAGATTTATCTGCCAATTCTGTGGAGATGGCCTAGCTGGTGCCCACCAATGAGGATAACTGGGGCAGCAATGGGAAGGATAAGGCAGAATGTGCTTCCCACAGGGCCGGCTTCCTGGGCAAGCATCTTCTGTGCAGGTGCACAGATCCCCACGCTTAGTATAATGCTCTGTGTCTCCATCTTGAAATTCTCAAGACTTTTATTTTTGAACTTATGTTTTATAAATGAAGTCTTATGAGACAATTGAACATGCACATTAGAGCAGAGATATGCTCAATATGCAGGTACACTGCTCCTTGACGCCCATGAACAAGAATTCCAGTGGGTTCACAATGCATGAGAGTTCAGTGAGACTCTTGAGTACAAGGTAAGCACATCATGGCTATACTCAGGTAAGCACGTTATGTCTAGACTCAATAGCCCTAAGAGGGCATAATTTTCCTTAGAATCAGAACATGTCTTGAATGCAGAAAGAAGGCAAGGATGTTTTAAAAAACACAATTGCTAAAGAACTCTTCCATATATTTTCTTACTTGTGTTTCCTCCCTGTGTTAACCAAGTGCTTATACTAAAAATGCTGACCTAGAAGAAACGGGAAAGATGGGGGAACCCATAGGTTCTTTTCTTTCTAGTGATTCCTTAGTACCATTGGTAAGCTGAGGGTAGAAGGTGTTGGTAAGAATGTATGCATATCAACAAGTGAAATAAAAAAACAGTGTTCGTGGTGTATGTGTTAGTTTTGCGAAGCACTCCCACTGTTGTGGTAAGAATGAAATACACTGACATGTAAGAGCTATGAAATACAAACTGTGTAATTTCAGTGATTCTGCATGTGAGTTAAATACTTTTACATTTGCATTTAAAACTTGCATTGCACCTTATAAAGATTAATGGCAAAATTCATGTTAATAATTTAAATTTTTAACTTTACTTAGAACAACACTAAATCACAAACACCAAGGTAAGTTTAGAGAGAGAATACAGAAGAAAGAAAAAGCTCTATATTTTAGTCCTTTTAATGGCACTTTTTCCTGCTTTTTGAGCAAGGGATCCTGCATTTTCAGTGTGTGCTGGGCCCCACAAATTAAGTAGCTGGCCCTGCCACTTCTTTATCTTTCACTCCCATTTTGGATTCCACAGTTGGTTTGCTTTTGCTATTCAAACCCCAAGTACAAGACTGCTTGATGGATTCTTCTCTACCCTGTGGCTTGACACATTAGAGCTAGAGTCATTTCAGGTATAGACTCAATGCACGCTTTCTTTCATGATTGGGACATAGGCAGGATCGTGGCTGGAGACAGCCAAAAAAGTGGTTCAACCCTGGAAAAAACTCTCCTAATTTATCATCTTTTCAACAATTTTTAGAGGTAATATATTCACATGACAGTTGTTAGAACCATGGGGAAAAGTTGCTCAAGGACCCCCTATGAAACCCTAAATTGAAATTTCAACGTTCAGAATGTGAGATGTATGGATGAGTGCACTTTTTTGAGTACAGAGGTGCCAGCACCCCACCACAGCAGCCGGTATGGAGTAAACACACTGAAGAACACTTGAGAAAGAAATCCTGAGCCTCCCTCTTGGTCCCACGAGGGGCAGATATCACTATGAAAATACTGCTCTCCCCACTTTGCTGTCTTTTAATTCTGTTTTTACTGATAGCAAAAACAAAGGAAAAGTAGGTAAAATAACAGAGTTATGCAGATACAACGGTAAGAGGAAAAAAGTATCCTTTCCTTTCAAATTCAGAACCTGGCTGGGCACAGTGGCTCACGTCTGTAATCCCAGCATTTTGGGAGGCAGAGGAAGGGAGGATTGCTTGAGCCCAGGAGCTCTGGACCAGCCTGAGCAACATAGTGAGATCTCCATCTCTACAAACAAATTTAAAAATTAGCTGGGTATGGTGGCATGCACCTCTAGTCCTAGCTGCTTGGGATGCTGAGGCAGGAGAATCGTTTGAACCCAGGAGGTTGAGGCTGCAGTGAGCCGTGACCACCATGCCACTGCACTCCAGCCGGGGCAACAGAGTGAGACACTGTCTCAAAAAAATAATAAATTTAGAACTTTTTGTTTTTGGTAAAAACCTCAAGAGACTGGATGTGCAAGTTGTGTGGGAGGGCTTGGGTGGAATTGTTTTGCCAGGGGAGAAAAGAGGGGATAAAGAAGGTAGGGGAAGAGAGAGGGAGGAGAGAATCAGCTGCTGCATTGGGTTAGATTTTAAAAGAAAGTCTTTTTTTTTTTTTTTTTTTTGAGACAAAGTCTCGCTGTGTAGCCCAGGCTGACGTGCAGTGACGTGATCTTGGCTCACCTCAACCTCCGCTTCCTGGGTTCAAGCAAAAGTTGTCTTTAATCTTTCAGAGGATAGGAAAAATAGCTCATGTCTCATCCAATATTCTCTGTCTTCCTGATAACTTTTAGCTCTTCAGGTTGACTTCTTTCTGGGTACAGAATCAGTTTGCTTCGTTCCCTTGGTTCCACTCCAAAGGAAAGAACTAACTCCAGTGACTCCAATTTTACCATCTAGCATTTTGTCCAGCAAGTGGACTCTTTGGAAAGATGAGAAAAGAGAAATGTCAATAACAATATGTGGCAAAGGCAGAGAGCATTTCCACTATGAAGGGAAAGGCTGTTTCCTGGCCACCCTTAATGGCCTATTTCTTTCACCCTAAGTATAAAACACCAGGGCTTTCCTCACACCTGACCCCTGATGCTGCCAGCGCCAGAGAATCGAGTCTCTCTTCCAATTTAAGTTCCACATTTCAATAATATGTCTCAGTCATTCTTTCAGTGTGTGGACCTTTTTTTCTTTAAAATTATGCTAATGACATATTGCTAATATAAAATATCTGCTGCATTTTATAAGTTTCTAGGTTTAATCTGTAATTTTCATCATACCATAAGTGGGAAAAAAAGTTTTCTTGTGCTGCCTTTGTATTTTGGGCCCTAACACAGAGTGTCTCATGCTTGAGAACCTTATTTTCTGGACTGAGCTACTAGAGGTCAAGTGTCTTATGGAGATGAATCATTTTGACTCCAAGTGGAAATCATAGGCAATTGCTCACAATACCTGCTTTATGTTGATTCATGGTATAGCAGCCTTCAAGCCTCAGGGGCCTCACCTGCCCCTGTGTCATGAAGAAGCCATTTGTGGTTTTTGATCACGTGTGATCCTCCTCTGTGCCTACGGCTTTCTTTTTCTGGCCAATCCATCACATGCAGACAAAATCAGCTTTCTACAACACAAATTATATTGTGTTACTTCCTGCTCAGGCACCTTCAAGAAATTCCATGGATTTCAGAAGAATCCAAACCCCTTAGCACAGCATTCAAGACCCTTCCCAATCAGAACTCAGCCTCCCTATCTGGTATCTCTTCTCCTTGCTCTTCCCCTCACCTGTTCATGCCTGCCCCTTTTTAATATATATTTTTAATACTCCAGTAATTCTGCATAGCAGTCACTCATAGAGTTGGAGACATTCATTCACTCATTCATTTAGCATTGGGCATTAAATCTTCCTTCTTTATTCTTATATTGATGGAATGAGAAGAGGTTAGTTAAATGCTACTCATTCAGCCGAATTTTATATATCTAACTCTCATCAGAATAATTTGGAATATTTAATAAAAATGAAGATTTTTCAGCACTACTTCAGACCTAAATCAGAATGTTTGGGAAAGGGAGAATCTGAAGGTTAGGTGAGTTACTCATGTCTATCTGGTATATGCTAGAGTTTTAATATTCTATGTAATTGGCATTAAAACAACATCATTTGGCTTATTAATAGTGTCTCTTCTACTCAATAATCTCTATGCCACTTGAATGATTCTGTATGCCACAAGAATCATTCCGACTTTGGAAATACACAAAAGAAAAGCACATAAAGATTCATAAACTCCAGTCAAGTTCAGAGCCCCATCTTAGTGTGTGATGGGAAATAAGAGAAGTTAGACATGGAGAAGAAAGTGAGCCTCCATAAGTGGAAAGATTATAAGTGTGCACATGGAGGTTTTTGATGGGGAGCTTATTCAGCAAGTATTTATTGGCATTGATATGAGAAGCAATAGAGTTACAAGAAATATGGAGTCATCCAATGGCAGTAATTAATATTCACTTAACAAATATTTACTGGATGCTTTCTACATGTCAGTCACTGTTCAAGGTACTAGAGTTCAGCAGTGAACAGAGCAGACAAAACAAGCCCCTTCCCTCATGAAGACAGACAGTAAATATCACAACGGACTCCCAACATCCCTTCTGCCTTTCCTCTGCCAAACAGCAGCAGCACAGTGTGAGGAATGTTCTTCTGCTCAAGGAGTGGGTCAGCCTGGTTGATGGTAACCCTATTCTCCCTTGCCAATAGTTTTTTGAAGAAAGGGGCTTATGACCCAATTCTGGACAATTACATGAAAGGAAATTTCTGCTGGAAGCCAATAAAGGTATAGGAAACTAATTTATCTTTCCTGTTGGACAAGGAGGAGGGAGAAGCCTATGGCCTCAATTTCCAACACCAGAGGAGCTATTTTGGGATGAAATCAACACTGTTGTTGGAGAAAAAGAGATATGGAAATAACTTACAAAATCCACCGTCCCAGAAGCCTGCACTATCTCTGACCTTTTTTATTACATCAACTAATTCTGTTTAAGCTTTACTGTTGAAGCTTGAATAGTTTTACTTATAGCCAAGGGCATCCTAACTGATATACACGCATAACAATGTTTACATATCTCTTCGATCCTTGACAGCCTTGCTCAGGAGGAATATTCTCTGCTAATAAAAATAGAAAAGAAGAAAAAACTGGAAGTGAAGAAAATACCAGAAAGTTATTTTTTACCAATGTGCAAGCATGAGGCTTTGGGATTTAGAAATATGCAGTATGGGAGCAAGCTAACAGTCATTGAACATCCTCTGTATGACAATTCCTCTGCTAAGCACTTCACAGATTATCTAATTTTAATTTTTATAACAACTCTATGAGTTCAATATTATTATTCTTGTTTTACAGATGGCTAAATGGGCCCTGAGAGAGTTTAAGGAATTCACCCCGGCCATAATGTGCTGCGACAGGAATTCAAACTCAAATATTTTGGTCAGCAAATTCTATGCTCTTTACACTTTATCATAAACACTACTAGTGAGAAAAACATTTCTATGAGTGAGTTCTTATAGAGGAGTAATTGTCATGGAATGGTAGTGTGAGAATTTAAATAACTATGTTAAAGGAGAATGTGTGAATCTTTGTGACTAGAATTATAGCGTGGAAATGGTGAAAGCAATGAGATATCAAGGAATAAACCTCCAATAAAAGGTAACTAAATAGTATTAGCAAAAATTCAAAGGCAGAGCTAAAGTGACTATTTGGGAATTATTTGCATATTGCATAGGTGTCACAAATGAATTCTGGGGGAAGCCCAGTAAAGGATTTGTTCATAGGAGGAGCTGGCAAAGCAGAGAATAAAAGGTATGAGAAATATTGGCTTAAGTATAAGCAAAATCATATGCGAGGTTCCTGGAAGAAGAGTTTAGAAATGATATGAAGAAAGCCTGTCAAAATGAAAAATGGACTAATTCATCATGGTACTTTTGGACTCATATTTAAGCCAGAATGGTAATGTAGTTGAACCAAGTTTATTTGTCTATTCATTTGAGCAAAGAAGTGTCTGGAAAAATCACCCAAAATCTGGGAGGTTGGCAGACATTGGAACTTCAATTCTCTTGCATTCCCAATATAATAAATTCCCTGTTATTTGTAGGGGAAGAGAAAGTGTAAGGAAATTTACTTTTGCTTATCATGGGGTAGATTAGACAAGAACCTCACATGCAATTCTTGATCCATCATGTTGCATGGACCTCAGAATAGATTCACCATAAAATCTGCAGAGAAGTAGTAGACATTTAATCCTCTCAATAATCAGGTGGAATTATTGTGTTAGCTTCTGTTTCACAATTGAAGAAAGGGGCTGAGAGGGTAAGTAGCCATAGGTTATGCTACCTGAGGGAGAAGATTAGGATTAGAATATAGGTGTGTATGACTCCAAAGTCCTATGTTGATCCATTTCTTGCAGATCTCTCTCCCAAACTTTTAAAAATATTCCTTCCAGAGGAACAAATATAAAATGAAAGATTCAGACGCAATATTGTTCTTACAGTGTTTACTATTAGTTAAGAGATGGACACATAGAGGAGAACAACACACACTGGGGCCTTTTGGAGGGTGATGGGTGGGAGGAGGGAGAGGATCAGGAAAAATAACTAATGGGTAGTAAGCTTAATACCTGGATGATAAAATAATCTGTACAACAGATCTTTATGACACAAATTAACCTGTGCAACGAACCTGCACTTGTAACCCTGAACTTAAAATAAAAGTTAAATAAAAAGAAAAAATAATAATGGCAGATCTTCACACAAAACAGCAAATTTATTTAGCTTCAGTCATGGTACTCTTTACAGTACTTTCTTCTTTTAAGTTTAATTTAATTTTGGATTCATGGGGTGTATGTCTTGGTTTATTACATGGATATACTGCATGATATTGAGGTTTGGGCTTCTAATGAACCCATCACCCAAATAATGAACAAAGTACCCAATAGGTAGCTTTTCAAACTTTGCCCCCCTCCCACCTTCCACTTTTTCAGAGTTACCAGTGTCTATTATTTCCGTCTTTATGAACATATGTATCCATTGTTTAGCCTCAGCTTATAAGTAAGAACATGTAGTATTTTATTTTCTGTTTCTCTTTACAGTACTTTCTAATTAATGTTTACAAATACCACATTGTAGCCATTTTGCAGGCTTTTGTAGAGTAACTGAGATTAAATTTACCTTTCTGCCTAAAATAACTGGAAAACTAGACGAAATCTCTAAAACCATGATTTTCAAGAGGTAGACAAGAGATACCACAAGTCAGTGATTCCTAGGAGAAGCAAAACAAATGAAGTGACTCCAATTATCTGCCTAAGAGAGGTTTTAGGCCATAGTACAGGGAGAATGAACCCAAAGAGAGCCTAGTGATCTTGTTGAGATGAGACAGAGTTGGTAGTCTGAGGAGGTTAAGGCAGCTAGGATTCAAGTGGCAGACTCAGAGCAAAGGGATCTGGACAGAAAGAGAGCTCCAGAAATCTACAGAGGAGCTTCCTTAAATCTTTGGCTGAGTACCATATATACATTAGAGGAAAATGCCAGAATCCAGAGAAAGAACCACTGGAAAGAAATATCTGGATAAATGACTCCAAAGCTCACACAAGGGAGGGAATGGGTTGTGTTTTCAGCAAGAATTCAGAGACCTAGTTCATGAGACAGAATCCTCCAAAGGTATTGCATCAGTAGTGAAGATAAAGTATCTCTAATTAAAAGCTATTCTGGACCCAACGTAGTAAAGCCTAAAAGCAAATCTTAAAACTGATTCCTAAAATTCATCTGTATGCCAGAACAGAGATTAAATCATTTTTTAAAATACAAAAAAAATCCGGCACTCAAAAACAAAATTTACAATCTTTGGCATCCAATCAAAACTTATCAAACAAGCAAAGTAGCAGGATAATAAAAGCCATAATGAGGAGAAAGATCAGTCAATAGAAACAGACCCAGCAATGAAAAGATGACAGAATTAGTACATAAGAATATTAAAACAGGTATTATAAAATTAAAGAAACAGGCTATCAGCAAACAACGGACAATGTTAGCTGGAATAACATATGTCTAATTGGACTCCAACCACAATAATGCAGAACTAAATTACTGAATGAATCACTAATTATGCTCACTAGAGTTTCACTACAAAGTACAATGAATATGCAAACATTTACCATAAGTCAAATACCATAATAATAATTTCTAGAATAAATGAAGAATGAAATACTTATTGTCCCTGCTCTAAAGGATTGCACATTTTGTTCAGAGTCAGAAGACAAGTAGAAGACTTGCTGATTTGTCTGGTACATGACAGATGATTTAAAGCACCATAAAGAAAAAAAAAAAGAAAATATAAGAGCCAGTCTCAGATAAATGCTTTGTAGAAGAGGGAACACTTCAGCTGGGTTTTTGAGAATGAGTCAAAGAAATCTGAGCAATAATTACATGGCAAGAAAATATGTTCTATATGTAAGAAAAAATTAAGAATCAAGGCAAGGATGCAAGAGAATAAAGAGTGTGTTCTCAGAGTAGTAAGTGCTGTAGTGCTTCTCATCAGCCGGAGAAGGAAGCATAACATTCTTGAATGTCAAGAAGAAAGCTAGGGTAGGTATAGTCCTCTTACCTCCCTATTAATTTCCCACATTCCTTACCAATTCGCAACCTGGTATGTTATCTTAGAAAATCCAAGGAAAAAAATTTAAAAATGCAGTAAAAATGTTGTGCTGGTGGGTGTATTGGTTTGCTAGGACTGCTGGTAAGAAGTATCCACAAACTGGGTGACTTAAACAATGGAAATTTATTGCCTCACAGTTATGGAGTCTAGAAGTCCAACATCTAAGTTTTTACAGGGTTAGTTCCTTCTGGAGGCTCTGAGGGAGAATCTGTTCCCTGCTTCTCTCCTAGCTCCTTGTGGTTTGCTGGCAATCTTTGGCATTTCTTGGCTTGTAGATGCCTCACCCTAATCTTTGCCTTCATCTTCATATGGCATTCTCCCTGTGAGTGTGTCTCTGTTCAAATTTCTCCCTTTTATAGGGACAGCAGTCATATTGGATTACAGACCCACTCAGCTCCAGTAGAACTCATCCTGACTTGACTAATTATATCTACAATAACCTTATTTTCAAACACATTCTGAGGTACCGGGGTTTAGGATTTCAACACAAATTTTGGAGGGAACACAATTCAAACCACAGCACTGGAGAAATGCTGAGGTCTTTTAATAGGGGAGAGTCTTGATCAGGGTGGCCCTTCAGGAGAATAATGGCAACAGTGCATGAATTGGGCTCTGAAAGTCTCTAGTCACATCTTCCCTGCTTTGTTCAATATCCAAACACACACATACTTCGTTACCAAGCGATTTCCTGCATCCACCATGCCTTCCTTCCTTTCCGCCTTTCCTATGCTGTTCCCAATCCTGGGATTTCCTACCCCACTTACAGCTAATTCCTCCTCTTCCTTCAATGCTTATCTTTGAAAGTGTCCTAATCACATTCATAATACATAGGATTATGGCTCCAATTTTTTAGAAGCCTTTCCTAAACATCTCTCCATCTGAAAGGTGGAGTTCACACTCCCTCTGTCATGTAAAAAACTTAACCTGCATGTATTAGAGTATGTATTATATTTTCCTATAATTTGTGTACATATTTTTATTTCATGAAACCATTATACACCTCAGGTTAGATACGGTATCTCATTCATCTCATCTCTTCCAACTAGCTTGGTGAGTCATACCTATTAAATAAAGAGAGTGGAGATACCGAGGCAGCTAATTTTCTGTATATACTAAGACTTACTCTTTGAAAAACTGGTGTGGATTATAAAACATAACCTCTACATAGTGCTTAACATATGCCTAGCACTGTTCTAAGCGCTTAATATGTATTTCTCATTTAATCTTCACAAACACTCTGTGAGCTGGGTACTACTGTTACTCCATTATGTAGACCATGAATCTGAGGCACACAGAGGTTATGTAACTTGCTTGGGATTACATAGCCTGAGTGAGTGGCAGATGTTACAATCTGGCCCTCACCCATGCTGCCAAATTGCCTTTCAAAGACATTTGCTCTCTCAGTCAGGGACCTTTACTTTGGAACTATTTTCAGCTCTGCCACTAATGAGCTGTGTGATTTTGAGCACATTATTTAGCTTTTCTGTATTTCTATCTCTTCAGTTCTGAAATGGGCATAGTAATAGCACCATCTTCACAGAATTAATCCATGTAAAGCAGATAGAACATTGTCCAGCACTAAGGCCACCACCACACACACACACACACACACACACACACACACACACTCAGAATAACTGAGAATTTATTGAACACTGTGTAGCTAATTGAAGCCATACTGCCTCCTGCTGATGATTAATAGTGTCTGGCTTCTGAAGAAGGATGGTATTGGCAGGGTTTTTTTTTTTTTTTTTTTTTTTGCCTTTTTATGAAGGATGGGACAGAGCTGTCACTTTATATGAAAACAAGAAAGAGGAGGTCAGAGGTGTTTTTGATAGCAACACAAAGGACCTTTATATGGCTTTAAAAAGGATTGCAGTGTTAGAAGTCGAAGACCTTGGGCTTCCATTGGTTTACAGCAGTCATCTTGACCTCTCTTCTCTCCTTATAAAGGGGGCAATGGAAAGGCAGCAGGGAAGAAGGAAGAAAAATTTAGAAAATATTTTAGAAAATAGGACCTTGAAAGGAAATTAAAAATCTGAATTCTGCACAATAAGAAAATCCTGTTCACTGAGCCTGTTGAACAGTTATCAACAATTCTTGAGAAAATTCTAGCAGTTTCTATGTGGAGCCAGTTGCTTTCTAATTGCTACAGCAGGCTACCACTGGGAAGAACAAAGGAAATATTTAGCACATCATAAATTCTTCTGCTGCCCCGTAGAGTGGCTGGAGTTCAGATTACACATTTATAACTAGCATTTGAGAGCAATTTCTCCTTCACTTTGAGAAAGTTTTTGGGAGGCACTGTTCCTCCTACGATTCTGGAGGAATACAGACCCAGTGTTTAAATTTAACAATCCAGTTCATTTGTGTTGGGATATGGTGAAGCTTGGAAAGATGTAACAGTGAAATACATTTTCCCTTCCCGAATTTGCTTTTTAATGGAAGTCGATTTCTCAGTGACTGGGAAAGTGTACCTCAGATACTGGTGAGTTGTTTTGACAGCTCTCCGACCTGGGTGGTGGTCTTCTCTGAGGACCAAGACTGAGACAGAAGAATAGGCAGGACCTAAAAATAGACTCAGTTCACACAGTGAAGACAGCAAGTGGGAGAGAGGCAGTAAACATGTTTCATGTGGAGTGAAGAAGCTGTACTACAGAGCTAAGGAAGAAACCACCACAATCCAGTAATGACAACAAGAAGCCACTTGAAGCTAAGGAGTCAGAGGTCAACTGAGATGGACCTTGCAATTGCATGTATTTTACAGCTGAGGTACATGAGGGTCTGCAGTGTCTGACTTGTCTTTGCCTTTGGAGAAGATAGTTCAATTCTCTACAGATTTTGATGGGCAAGTTTTCTTAGCAAATAGAAAGACCTTGTCAAATAATTGGATGGTTTATTATTTATGAGTTGTCTCCACATTTAGGTCCTTATGACTGGCCATAGCCATAGGAGTATGTTGTAATTCTTCACCCAGATGATTGATAGAATATAGGAAGCCATTCTCCCCCATGACAGTAAGTTGATGTTTCACTCCAATACGTGGTAGAAAAGGCTGAGATTCATGTCTTTCCAATGAACGAAAAATGTATGCTATTTGTACTTGTGCAGCTATATTTCCTATTCTCCCCGCCCATGGAAAAGAATTGATAATCTTCTCACTAATTTGCCTTAACTTTTACTTGTGTATTAGCTATATTGGGGAAAATTTTCCAAATAAAATTGAAAAACCAAAGAAATAAAAACTAGATAGATTTTCTATTTATATGAGACTTACTCCAAGATACAATTTCTATAGATTTGAACCACAGAGCAGATTTTGTCTTTTTCAGGATGAACCTAAGCCATAACCTCACTATCTTTTCTACCCAAATTTATAATTGAAGCTTCATTTTGGTTTTATAGTGAAACATTACTGAAAGTTGGATAAATTTAACTTACGGTTTTGCTGTATAAGTAGATAAGCTGACTAAATTGAATAAGGCAGCTATTTAGTTGTCACATTTGTTCATTTAATGTTTACAGTTTAACTTCCAATATCTGCTATAATTTTGTCCACCTATCTGTTGCTTGACATGGCTGAATTTCTTGAATTTCTCGAATTTCTCAATTATATTTTCCATACAGCCCATACCTCAGTAGGAAAGAAATAATCTCTTTGTTTACACAGCGTATTCTCTGAACATAATCTAGTTAGGTAGTAAAGTTTGTTTGTTTGTTTGTTTGTTTTGGAATCTAGCATGATAACAAGTGTTAAAGGCAAATTAAAAATGATTCTATACTTTTACAATATCTGATTTTCCTGCACCATCATTCAGATGCACATATGAACTGCAAGAATTTATATCATGTGCACACCATTGCTTGAAAGCAAAAAGACTAGCCATATGTTTGTAAAAATATATACATATCTTAATAAATTTTCAATATTCAAAAAAATGAACAGAAAATTAGTGAAATGTATGGAGTGAGGAATAAAATAAGAATATTCGCTAACAGCTTGTCAAGAAATATGATGTTTGTGAATCTACACTGTCAGTTGATTTTCACAACAAATATATTATCTCTATGCAGCCAAAAGATTTCTAAACTCAGCCAGTGACTCGCTTACTTGAAGCAACACTTGACACAAACAAAATCCAATACAACCACTCTTTTGGATTTCATTTTGATAAAATTTATTTCCTATTCATAGGCATTGATAATATTGGTCTAGAATAACCAGATGCCTATGGAAATTTTGTTGAATAAGTAATTAATTACTATTTAAACTACACACTCTTACTGACATTTTAGTAACTCCAAGAAATTCAAGTATTTAAAAAACGAGCACAATATAAGAACAACCTCCAATAAATGTAATTCTAAGAGGGAATCTTTTATTGTTGTGAAGCTTATAAAATTGAAGGTCTCATGTTTTAAGAAGATAAAAAAGGAATTCTTTCTCTGCTGTGGAATAAATGGACTATCTCACCCATGAATAATGATTAACGTCCTTTCAGTTGGAGAAAAGCCTCCTAGGAGTTCACACCTGCAGCATTTGTGAATTACAGGCCCCCTTCCCTTGAAAGAAACTTAATAATCACTATTCACAGGTGAAGTGTGCTTCAGTTGGATATAAAAAGTTGAGATAAAACCCGTCTGCTTTGTTTCCAGTGCTGTTATTTTCCCAGCATTCCATCCCAATCTGTCACTGCAAAAATACTTGAGCAGCTTTAAAGTTATCCAAAGGTGATGTTGTAAATACCTTTTCTTTTCAGCTTAGTTCTGTGTTTATCAGAAATTCAAAGGTGGTTTTAAAGGTCAGAAAAATAAGCTGCCTAAAAACTTGGATTGAAACCCAAGTAATAAGGTCGGCATTTTTACAATCGTACTCTTCTTGTTGCCATCTAGGTCTAAACTGCCCTTCAGTTTCTTCATTTTGAACCGAAACCTACCAAGTCTGGCCATATAAGTATACATTTAAATAAGAATATAACTATAAAGTATAAGTTTGCATATAAGTTTGAGTGTAAAATTAAACGTACGCAAATGTAAATAAGAATATAAATGTATTTTTCCAATTTGACAGAAAGGGTTTTCATTATTCTTGTTTCCGTTTTAATCTAAGGAAGATGGTTATGTCATCTTCTCTCTACTTAGAGGTCATGGATAGCCCCACATGTCATCTACAGTTTGTTCACATATTTTCTTGGCTCACAGGATGTTTTTAGAAATGTCAAGCTATAATTTAAGATCTAGAAAATTTTACATTAAAAAAATCTAAATTTTGCAATTACTTAAAAAGTCTTCAGCTCTGGCAACAAACACTCCACTTGTATCCCCTCATGCTAAAAAGCTGACTGAAGCTGAGCATTGGCTGCTTTCTGTAGATCCAGCTTCTATCCTTTTTTTCAAAGCTACATGACTCATTTACTGCTTCCTCCCTGAACCCTGAGTGTGTGATCCTAGAAAAACCAAGTTATCATTCTTTCATCAGCCCTCATCTTTTCATATGGTTACTATTCACTAGCCAAACCGACCATAACTGTGTTTGAGTCTGCGCTTATGAATAGTTAGGTTTTAGTAGTGGAAATTGTGGTTTAGATATGCATTCTTTCATTTCTTGACTTTTAGACAAGCATTATATGAAACACTGAGGATGTAAAGATGACAAGGCAATTCTACCTTCAAGAAGATTACAATTTAGTTGGAAACAAAGAGATATGCAGTAAACACATAAATAAAACTTGCAAGTGCAATGATTAGGTATGGTAGGGGAATTAGAATGTGTAGAAGAAGGTCACCTGACCTAGGCAGGATATGGAAGACATGGCAAAGTTGAGGGGAAAGAGGGATAGGTTCAGATTTGGGCAGAGAAGTCTCTGCTGGGCCTTAGAAATTATGTAGGAGTTGGGGCAGCCAAGGGCACTCATGAGGAACAGGGAGTGAGCCAGTGGTTTGGTATTTCTCTTCTTTTGTCTTGGATTTATTTATGATAACCTGCTCTTTAACTTACATGTTATGCTTTTATTAAAGAAAACAAGAGTACTCAATATGCAGACATTCTTATATTTAAACTATCTATCAGCTATTTCACCACACGTTTTTTTTCCTCTAGTTCTGAATTCAGCATTATTTCTAACACTGTGATACTTTATGAACATTGCTCAAAAACAAATTTTACCACTGTAAGTCATATATTTTCCAAATACCCATCTACACTTCAGACATCATCCTTAGATTTTCATCTATGACCAAATCTGGAGAGATTTTAGCTCATGTATGAGAAAAAGAAAGAAAATAGAAACAAAAACTGTTTAGTAAAATGAAAACCCACCCCCACCCCCAACACGCAAAGAACACACAGAAAGAAACCTTATACAGAAATGCAATTTGTTAGGAGCTAACGTTATTAGCCACCACTGAGATAAGCAAAATTGATCTCAGACACAGAAAAGGAGGGGGAATAGTTTTTTCAGTGTTTTCTAATTGAATTTTAATATTTGATAATAGCAAACATTTTGTTTTGATGAAGCCAAATTGTTCACTAGTCTTAAGATTACAAATTAATTACATTTAGGATTACAATAAAGAAGAATGCCTACCAAGTAGAAGCAATAAAACATTCTAATGTAACTGCAGGGTTAGAATTATTATCTCATAAATAATTCATTTGTGAAATGCAATTTTTGTTCCTCTTTTAAAATATAAAATTAAAAAAGTAAGTGAAGGTCTTGTGGGTTTGTCATTGGTGTGTATTTAAAGAATAGTAATAGTTTTCTCATCTAACAGAAATGAAATCTGCTAATGTTGGGATATCTGGATTTTTTAGATTATGTTGTCTTTTATTTGAAAAGAAACTTAAGCTATAAAACACAAGAGAAAGTGCTTAAGTACCTTCACACATATTCTTTTCAGTAAAATAATGTCAGCCATCAAAAGCCGTTTCAAGTGCAATCCGTACAGTAATAGTTAACTAGATAAGTTCAAGTTGGCAGTTCTTGCAGTGAGTTCAGCTTCCAACTGTATTACCATTCCTCATTTCTTTGTTAGTTGTAATAGTAGGTTGCCAGGTTTTTTTCTTTCAAAAGCTTATAAAATTCATAGTTAAGAGGCAGGTCTATGAAAATTTAAAACCAAAGGAGAAGATGAATTCAAAAGCAGCTGCTTATGGAGTTTTATTGCAATATTTCACTGCAAGCCATGATGTCTTCACAGCAGCTTCATACTTAAAAGATTCTGAAAGTTGATTGATTGTTTCCAAACTGCTACATAGTTTTATTTGATTAACCATGTATATTTTTGCCAATATGTCTGGCTACCTATTTAAAGTTAGTGCATGGCTGGCAGTATTACAAAAACAGATTTTAAGGATTGGAATCAGATTTGGCAGTAAAGGATTTGGTTCCAAACTCATAGGTGATCTTAAAATTTCATTTGACATAAAAAGAAAAACTTTTCCAGTCAAAAACAAAAGATTCTACTTTCATTGAAAAAAAGCTTCTTGGCTGCCAAATATGTTTATTTTTCTTATGTATTTGCTCTATCACTGATTCCTCGGAAGAAAGAACCTCAAGTGATACTATTTTAAAATATACGCACATACACACAAAAAATTTAATCAAGATCTTTAGATGTGAAGTAAAAAGCTTACTCCTTTAAAGTAAAGAAAAAAAAAAAGACATCTTTTCAAAAGTTCATTGCAATAAAAGAATCTTTTGTCCTTCCTCTTGGCATTTTAAGGTTTTAACGAGTTGTTTATATATCTCAATGGCTTGAAAAGACAGATGTATTTTATGTAATCTTCCATGTAAGCTTTTTTCATTTCCCTTATAAATTACTTTTCCATATTTTAAAATGTAGTTGTGTTTTCAAGGAAAAAATGGCCAAAAAATATGAGCCGTTATTTGTTGGCCACCACGAACCTTTAGATAAAGTAGGTATAAATCACAGTAAGCAATAAAATTTCATCCTAACTATAAACCACAACTTTATTGAAGAAATGTCTATTAAACTTGTGTTGTCTCATTTTCATTTTACCTGAACATTAATGTATGAGTTTCATTTGAAAGCTAACAGTTAACAACCCATGTTTCATATTCTAATTAACATAAGGGACATCTGTTTCAATTAGAGAAAGCAAACTTCCTAAAGATTCTATGATGAACTGCTTTTATCCTCTGTGAGCTAGGGAAGTGGATTATATATAACACATGAAGAAATAAAAAACAGTAAAGAGCAAAGATGCCAAGCCCCTGAAATATATAATTGAATAATAATAATTGAAGTACACACGTCAAGTTGTGTGTGTAGCAAGTTCAACCCACAGAAGCACAGACCTAATGAAATGGTTTCTTGATTTTTAATCTCCATAAACCTTTCCTCCTGCCTTTAACTCTTATAGGTTTGAATACAAATCAAACATAGACCTTAACTTCATCTGAAGAAGCTGGAGTCCAAAAAACAAACAGAAAACAAAACAACTTCTGCAATGGTTTAAGCAGACTAACAAACGTGTGCTTTGATGGATGATTAAAAAGCCCTCAAAGTTAAAGGGGCACAGCTGAGTACATGGCCTACCTTAATATTGCTGTAGTGAGTAATGAGATGCCTCTGGCTTATAAGTACCTAATTGTAATGAAATAATCCAGCCCAATCTTTAAAATTAAGGTAAAGTAAATTCTATTATTTGTGGTATACATAAAAAAGCAATGCGAGAGCTCCCCCTATTGACCCACAATAAAGTATAATGTACCCTGAAATATACTTCCAAATATACATAAACAATATAAAATTTCAGAAGTTTAAGGGATTTTTTTTTTTTAAAGATTGAGTTCATCAGTTTATCTTTGTAGAATCTGAGGCCTAACAACATTTATTGTCATGGGACAAATTAGAGTGGCAGGTTTGTCTCTGCACTGTTTTCTCTGTATTATAGTTTGACATCATACAGTTTGTATAATTCAGAAGTAGGAAAGGGCTAAAGAGACCCCGTTGACCTAACTCCAACTATCTCTGGTCAAATGGACCCAGAGATGCTAAGGGATCTGTATAGGTTTATGGCTTTTTACTAATAGTTGGGAATCAGAATTCCAGTTATATGTTATCTTTCTATTATTTCTGCTCTGGCAGTGTGTTTTGTTTTGAGCCCGACATTTTTATGTTCTTTTTGTAATTTAAGAACATGTTGTTCAAAAATATAAGAATTTGAAGTTCTGGAAAACAAGAGGACATTCGTGGTCAGTAAATTAACTATTCTTCGCCTTCTGATGACACATATTTTTTGTAAACTAACTAGCAAATGCATATTGATAGGGTCTTTATATTTTCATACATGCCCTCAGCTATTAAAATATTTATATGATATGTGTAATTGCTGAAAATGGTAACCTGCTCCTATTATGAAATCACAAAAAACATGAAATATATTTCTCTGATGTGCTTTCTGGTGAAAATATTTATTGGTCACTAATTTGTTAGTATTTATTGGTAATTAATTGGTCAGCATTTATATTAACACTACCATTCCTGTAATTAACCATGAGATGTTATTGATTATATTTATGACATGAACAGGGTTTTTCTCCCTATACTTGAAGGTATGTGAAGATATGTGTGAAGGTATGTGAAGTATGTATGAGTTCAATTAGTATGTTAACTCCTAGAGGGCAAGGGTTATTTTGTGCATCTATTTTTACGCATCTTTTTTTTCAAAGAACACAGATGCAATGAACACAGGGCTTTGAATGCAAGTTTTTGATTTGTCACTGCTTGTTATGCAGCTTCTATTGAAGTCTGCTCACAGGTGCCACTACTGATAGTCCTATTTCCGTTGGAGTGCTTTCCAGAATCCCACAACCCTAATGCCATACTCTACACATGACATTCTTTCAAAATGCTGAGGTCATGTACATATATCAAATTACCTTCCTTCATCCTATATGCTTAGCCTCTATTGTAGTTGATTGTAGAAATGTATGTGCAGAGAAATCAAATGAAACCATATTTACTGAAGAAAATCTTGTGCTTGGTGGTGAGAAGGGTAAGATCTCTGTTTTCAAATAATTTAGGACTAGAAAAGAATAATCCTGTTTCCTTAAAAAGTTGACCATCATCTATGTATTCTTCATACTTCTATCATTAAAAACATAAAAGTAACAGAAATGAGGGTTTTTTTTCATCAAAATGAAGTGTATACATGGCTTTTCTTTTCTCTGGTGTTGCCCCTCTGTTTTAAATTCTTCAGTTGTCTGTTACCTTTCTGTATCCTTCTTCATCCTACCCCCAAAACCCATAAGAAAGAAGCAGTCTTCTTAGAAGCTCAATGCAGGCAAATACAACGTATACAATATAGTTAAGTTTGAGAAACAGATTATTGCACTGCAAGATGCTACCCTCAAAGTGGAAATCACATAATTATGTATCAGCTCCCAAATTTGATTTTGCCTTTCAAAGAAGATTAATTTATAATGGTTAAAAGGCATTTTATTTATTTCTCCCATAGACACACAAACATTTCCTTAAGAAGTGTATAGAAGTGTATAGAATTGATGTAAGAAGTGTATAGAATTCATCATACTTGATGAATATATAATGGAGCTAATAAAACATACCACTGCCTTCTAGACATCTAATACCCTTACGGTAAGTTTGACCCTTGGTTAAGCACATCTTGTCTTTTAGTCACTTAAAAAAACTTTTTCAGAATTAATAATTTCATGGACATTGGGTAAATTAGTTGCTAGCTTCAGTTTCTGGTTTTCCAGAACTCTTCCTGGAATTTAGAATTAGAAGATAAAAATAAGTCATATTAAGGTAACTTTGATAGTAGAACTTTCAGATTTGGAAAAATAAGAACTAATGGGTGTTAGTAGGTCCTACAATATAATACGAATGAGCAATCTCATATATGATCAGGGGATGCTGAGTCTGGCCAGGGTTAGAGATGAAGCCAAAAGAAGGAAAAGAAGGCAGGTGACGCCAGAAGGATGCTATCTAGCCTCCATAGGATGTTAAATCACCCAAATTATTATAGCATCGGAAAATCAATTGGCTTCCTTTGTATTTTTTCCCTTTAGCCCTATAGCTGTATACATTCTTGTGTGAGGGTAGGGTTGGGGATAGGGGTGGTGGATTGTAGGGTGGAGGGCACTGGTGAAAGGCACTCAGCACAGTCAGGTGACATAAAGTTTAGCCATTGGCAAGTAAGAACAGTAAAGCTCGTAGCCACATTACTTGCTGAAGACATCTTTAAAATAAATATTAATCTCCACTGACCTGATCCCAGGCTCAGCTGTCAGTGTCATGGGATAAACCCAGATTTTAGCAGCAGACATTTTTGGTAACCAGCCATTAGACAACAGGCAAGCGCTTTACTTTCATTGAACCTCATTTCCTGTGCACAAAATGTTAAGATAGTTGCACGAAGATAGTGGTATTTAACTTTCATGGTGGTTGTGAGAATTAAATGAGATAAGGCATGTAAAATACCAAGTAGGCAGTAAATTATAAGTATGAATATCAGATAAAACTTGATCTAAGAATGAGGACAAGAGACATTATAGAAGAAAGGGCTAACTACAGTTCTGGAAGAGTTTTACTTCAGAAATCCAGTGATGATATAAATTCAGGTATCTGTCCCCCACCCGCTTTTTTATTTTTATTTTTTGAGACAGGGTTGCACTTTGTCACTCTTGCTGAAGTGCAGTGGCGAAATCATGGATCACTGCAACCTCCACCCCCTGGGCTCAAGTGATCCTCTCACCTCAGCCTCCAGAGTGACTGAGGCTACAGGAACGTGCCACCAGGCCCGGCTAATTTTTGTGTTTTTGTAGAGATGGGGGTCTCATCATGTTGTCCAGGCTGATCTCAGATTCCTGAGCTCAAGCCATGTGCCTGCCTCCAGACCTCCCAAAGGGCTGGGATTACAGGCGTGAGCCACCACACCTGGCCTAGATATCCATTTCTGAAATACTCGGAGTAGTAAGTCAAAAGGTAAAAACCACATGATTATTTTGATAAATTCTGAAAAATCATTTGATAATATTTTACATTCATTTTTGACTAAAAGTAAACTTTAATAAATTAGAATTTAAAAGATACTTTTAATGCAGTTAAAATGTATATACTTGTTGGTAAAACAAAATGCAATTAAACCAAGGATAAAGCAAGAAGGATGGCCATCCCCATATTGTTTAATATTGGTCTTGTAGAATTATCATTCCAGTGGATGAAATATTAAGAACTGGATAAAAAGATGCAATAATGTATAGAGGATATGGTTTAAATCTGGAAAATCCAAGATAATTATCCTAAAGAAGAAAAAAATCTTATTTGTAAAATACTTTCTTAATCCAAGTATTATATTAGAAATTGGATATACAGGCTATGAAATAAAAAGTTTGCTTTTAGCTACTAGGAAAGAAAGTTCTTTAGTGGGAAAAATGAAGCCCCACAAAGGACACAAATTAACAACAAATGTGGACACATCCATAATAGTTATTTTTAAAATAATCAAATCATAAAACAAACATCACAATACATTTAATTCCATTTTCGGAAGGTTGAAATATATTTATAATTAGGATTGTAATAGCTTTTTGATGCAATAACAAGATTAGTAAAAACTCTAAGTTAGTAGGTAAAAGTAACCGCAAAGGTTACTTAATTGCATCAGGTCAGTTCAACTGGCAGAACAGTTTTCTTACTATAAATCAGTGAAACAAAGCTCAGATGGAAAAGGGTATTTTTCTCGTACCCTGTCCTTTCAACTATTGCCCTATTCTTCATCCTAAACTTTGAGAAACACTTAATTTTCATTTTAATCTTTACTTTCAGTTACAGATCATTTTTTTCTTTCTTAAATTACACAGTAAATTCTGATTCACTGTGTAAAGTTGGGGCATGCGATTATAATACATGTGTAGTTTGAGATTAGAAATACATCTTGAAAGAATTATCAGGTAAAGTTAATAGAATTATAATTTATATTGGCCAAGTGCAGTGGCTTACGCCTGTAATCCCAGCACTTTGGAAGGCTGAGGTGGGTGAATCACTTGAGGTCAGGAGTTCAAAACCAGCCTGGCCAACGTGGTGAAACCCCATTTCTACTGAAAATACCAAAAAAAAAAAAAAAAAAAGCCGGACTTGGTGTTGGGTGCCTGTAATCTTAGCTACTTGGGAGGCTGAGGCAGGAGAACTGCTTGAACCCAAGAGGCAGAGGTTGCAGTGAGCTGAGATCGTACCACTGCTCTCCAGCCTGGGCGACAGAGCAAGACTCTGTCTCAGAAAAAAAAAAAAACCGATTATAATTTATACCAAAAAATGTGGATGTTTTATTCCTACTCAAAAGTTCAGGAGTATGGTCCTAAGAGTGATTTGGGAGTCCTAACCAAATGGGTGCTGATTATTAACTGCTACAGTCACCAGTATAACCATCCTTCTACCAAACTGTCTACTACCCACACACAAAAGTTTAGACTGAAAGATGAAAATCCTCAAGAGTAGATAGAAAAACGAGTTGGTTTTCATGATAAGAGAATATGTTCTTATTACGTAGTTAAATTATGTGAGAATCAGAACACACAATAGGTTTCATTCTGAATTCTGGATATACTTCTGAAAAAGCCAATTCATGATGGAACACAAAAATATTTACAGTAAAATAAACTTTAGACATGGAAAGAGTAAACCTTCACATTTGTGACTTAAGCAACACAGCACTAGTGAAAACCTGATTCAGTAACCCTTTTTCTTATCTCTTGAAATTATAAAGTTTCCTTCAGCTATTTTAAAAAAGAAATAGCTTATTAAATTACTTGCATGAATAGTTTCTGGACTTTCATTTCTGACAATACACAGATTAAGTGTCTTTAAAAACAAACAAACAACCCCCATTACAAAAATCCTAAAAGTGCTAGATAAAACTTTTAAAGACATCTTTCTAAATGCTTGACTATTCTGGCAAGAAATAAAGGAAGCAGCTTCACAAAGGCCAAAGGGAACAAGAAAGCATAGACCTAGAGATCTTTTACAGCACTAAATTGGACAGCTGCCAAGTGGGACATCTGCCAGGCCCTGGTACCCAAAGTTTTCTTTCAATGAACCAAGTGAATGAAATATAGATGATAAGGACTATGGACTGATCAGGTAAGAAGTTGAATTAAACATGGCCTCATGATGCCAGCACCTTCAAAAGGCAACATCTTTAGCAAAGAATTAACTAGAAAAAATATGATATCAAAAGAAAAACTAAAAAAATTGGCTGCGGATATAGGGGAAAAAAGCCTGAAAATTTTGTAACCACAAGCAAGGCATTTACTCAGGTTCTGAGCCAGAATTCATTCTATTTGTGTGGTCCAAAAACCCCAAGATGAAAATTTAGTTTAAATTGATCCTGGGTTGCTAGTGCCTTTAGCCACCTGGCTGAAACAAACATTTATCTTCTGTGGGGGATACATATTAAATCAGGGCCACAAAAATTACCCCTGTAAAGTGCTACAAACAAGGTCTCAAATCAAAAGTATAAAATACACAAAGACTACAGGCTTATTATAAAATAAATATACTTAACGCATTTTTAAAAGGTAGGGAAACTATCACAAAGGAATACCAGACTATCCCAAATGTTCAGGAATTTTTTTTTGGTGGAGGAGAAAAATAGAATCTCTATAAATAAAAACTAAAATAATTAATAGAATTCAGTGGATAGGCTGAATGAAAGATTTGACACAGCTGAAGAGAGATGTAGTAAATTGGAAGATGAATAAGAAATTATTGTTTGTAGAACACAGACACACACAGGAAATGTTAAAAATCAGTTAAGAGACATACAAGGTGGAGGAAGCATGTGAAACATATATCTGTTTGGAATTCCAGAGTGCAAGATGAGAAAATGTGGAAAAGGCAATACGTAAAGTACTCAGGGACTTTCCATAATTAGCAAAATACATTCAGATTGAGACAATTCAATGAATCCCAAGCATGATATATATTTTTAAAAATCCACTCTTGGACAATCCCAAGCATGATATATATAGTTAAAAGTCCACTCTTGGACAAACTGTAGTAAAATAATAGAACTTCAAGATAAAAAGAACTCACACTAGTTAGAAAGGTGATCATCAAAAAGACAGGAAACAACAGATGCTGGAGAGGATGTGGAGAAATAGGAATGCTTTTACACTGTTGGCGGGAGTGTAAATTGGTTCAACCACTGTGAAAGACAGTGTGGTGATTCCTCAAGGATTTAGAACTAGAAATACCATTGACCCAGCAATCTCATTACTGAGTATATACTCAAAGGGTTAGAAATCGTTCTACTGTAAAGACACACGCACACGTATGTTTATTGCAGCACTGTTCACAATAGCAAAGATTTGGAACCAACCCAAATGCCCATCAGTGAGAGACTGGATAAAGAAAATGTGGCACATATACACCATGGAATACTATGCAGCCATAAAAAAGGATGAGTTCATGTCCTTTGCAGGGACATGGATGAAGCTGGAAACCATCATTCTCAGCAAACTAACACAAGAACAGAAAACCAAACACCACATGTTCTCACTCATAACTGGGAGCTGAACAATGAGAACATATGGACACAGGGAGGTGAACATCACATACCGGGACCTGGTGAGGGGTGGGGGGCTAGAGGAGGGATAACATTAGGAGAAATACCTAATGTAGATGACAGGTTGATGGGTGCAGCAAAGCACCACGGCACGTGTATACTAATCTCCATGTTCTGCACATGTACCCCAGAACTTAAAGTATAATAACAATTTAAAAAAGAACTGAGTGGAAAAAGATTACCTATGAAGAAATGAACACTAGGCTGGTCTCTCAATAGAAAGAACAATATCTAGAAGACAGCATGGTAATATCTTTAAAGTCCTGAGAATTACCTGCAAATCTAGAATTATATGAAAGAGCCTATAAAAATATCTTACACAGAAATTAAGGAATTTTACTACCACCAACCTACTCTAGAGGAACATCCAAGGTACAAACTTTAAGAACAAAAATGTTTCAAAATGAAAAGCCTGTGGTACAAATAGAAATGATGGGAAAAGAAAATGATAAATAGGAGGGTTGTCAATACAGAATTTGACTCTATAAAATGATAATTGCCTAATAGATGAGGCTAAAAAAACAGAACTAAAACAAGACAAGTATAACATGTAAGTTGGGGAGAAGGGTGTTTACAATGCATTCTGATTTTCAAGAATTGCCTGTGAAGAGAAAAGAAATGGATTAAATGTGGACTTTCTTTTATTTATTTATTTATTTATTTATTTTATTATTATTATACTTTAGGGTACATGTGCACAACGTGCAGACTTGTTACATATGTATACATGTGCCATGTTGGTGTGCTGCACCCATTAACTCGTCATTTAGCATTAGGTATATCTCCTAATGCTATCCCTCCCCCCTCCTCCCACCCCACAACAGTCCCCGGTGTGTGATGTTCCCCTTCCTGTGTCCATGTGTTCTCATTGTTCACTTCCCACCTATGAGTGAGAACATGTGGTGAAATGTGGACTTTCTTAAGGTACTTTATATTTTAAACATTTCTTGGGTCAACACTAACAGAATAGAAATAGAGCGTAGAACTTCTAAATTGCTAGACAGATAATACATACAAACATACATGCATAGTATGCAAATCAATGAGTTGGAGAAGACAACCAATAAGTCAATTTGGGAACTAAAAAAATGTTTTAACGTGCAGCACAGATTGAAAAGATAAGAGACTGTTATGCCAAGAAGTTTGAAAACATAAATGAATTAAACAAATTTCCAGGAAAATATAACTAGCCAAAACTAACTACCAAAAAAAGAACATCTAAAGAGTCCTATTATATTAGAATATTGATCAGTGATTTAAAATATTACCACAAAGAAAACAAAAAAGAGTAATTTTAATCTTGAGTTATATAAAATATGCAAATATTCAAGGAATAGTTAATCTCTATTTTCACTGATACCCCAGAGTCCCCCAAAATGAAAGAACACTCCCTAACTTGTATTGTAAGAAATTACCTTGATTCAAAGAATCAGAGAAGTAAGTATGAGAAATTGAAATTTTAACTCAGGAATATGGAAAAAAATTAAAATAGAATATCATATGAAATTAGCAATGATTCTATATTATGACTAATTGTATTTATCTCACTAAAACAATATTAATACGTTAGAAAATGAGTTAACGTAGTTCACTACTTTAATAGATCAAAAGAAAAACATATACTTCTCTCTTATTTAGAAACATTCAACAAAATTCAATAGTTATTCATGCTTTAAAACAAAACAAACCAAAATCCTTCAGCAAACTTTCTCAAATTGATAAATATCCTATCTGAAAATATCCTATAATAAATGATATTAATAGTAAAGTGTTAAACATTTTCTTTAATGGCAGGAACAAGAATACCTGCTATGATCAATTTTATTCAGCATTGTACATTGTAAGATTTGACCAATGTAAGGTTAGAAAATAAATAAAATATCAAACACTGGAAAATAAGTAATAAACTCTTATTATTCCCATATAATATGATCATCTACATAGAAAACCCTAAATAATTTAAGATATATTAGCAGAATTAATAATCGTAATGCTATTTTGCTGATGTAAGATCAGTAATTAAATTCAATTTCATTTCTATATACCAACTACAAAGCATAAAATAAATGTTTTGGTATTTTCAAATTATTTGTTTAAATTGACATAAAATAACTCTACATATTTAAAGGATACATAATGATATTTTGATACATATCATGTATAATGACAAATGAGGGTAATTTGCATGCCCATCATCTCAAACATTTATTTTTTTTTTTTGTATTGGGAACATTCAATATTTTCCTTCTGGCTATTGAAATATAATATAATATAATATAATATAATATAATATAATATAATATAATATAATATAATATTGCTAACTATAGTCATCCTACAATGATATTAAACACTAAAACTTATTCCTCCTATCTAGCTGCAATTTGATCTGGTTATTAGTTGAATAGGAGAATAAAAATTTAAAGAAGACATTATTGTCAATAATATATAGTTACCTAGGAATAAATCTAACAAAATATATACAAGACTATTATTGAGAAAATTATAAGCTTTAATATAAGACAGTTTTTAAAAAGTTAACAGAGAGACAAAGCATATTTATGGGTAGGAACACTCAATATTAGGAAGATATCAATTCCCCCCAAATAATCAAGATATTTAACTTAAATTTGATTAAAATTCCAAGTTGGTTTTAAAAAGTATGTATGGAAAAGCAAAATGGCAAATACAGTCAAGACAGTACTCAAGAAGAACTAATAGTTATCATGACTTATAATAAAGCAATTGTAATTTTAAAAGTATGATATAGTGCAAGGATAAACAAGCCGACCAATGGCACAGAACAGAGACTTCAACGGACTAACTCATGCATATATGGGAACTTTACATGTAACAAAGGTTAAATAACAGATAGCTGGGGAAAGCGTTCAATACATGAAACAAGTCCAGTTGGTTATTCATATGACAACAAAAACTAAGTAGACTCCCTAACTTATGCCATAAATAAATTCTAGATGGATTCTGAACATATGTAAATGATAAACCTTCAAGACTTTTAGAAGACAGTATTAGTGGGTCAGGCATGGTGGCTAACACTTGTAATCCCAGCACTTTGGGAGACTAAAGCAGAAGGATCACGTGAGCCCAGGAGTTCAAGTGAGATCAGCCTGGCTGACATGGTAACCCTATCTCTACAAAAAATACAAAAACTAGCTGGGTGCAGTGGTGTATTCCTGTAATCCCAGCTACTCAGGAGACTGAATCAGAAGGATCACTTGAGCCTGGGAGATGGAGGTTGCAGTGAGCCAAGATCACACTATTGCATTCCAGCCTGGATGACAGAGCAAGACCTTATTTGAAAAAAAAAGAAGAAGACAAAGGAGAAGGGGAAGGGGAAGGAGAATGGGAAGGCGAAGGAGAAGGAGAAGAAGAAGAAGGAGGAGACAGTATTAGTGAATATCTTTGTACCTTTGACTCAGGAAATTATTTCATAAATATGACATATAGAACACAGACTAAAAAGTAAAATATTTATAAATTCAACAATATTAAAACTGAGAATTTTACTATGAAAAACAGCAAACAGAAAGTGAAAAGACAAACTACAAAATGGTTGACAGTATCTGCAATATCTCTATTTGCCAAAGGATTAGTGCTCAAAATGCATAAAGAATTTCTACAAATTGACTTTTAAAGAGGCAAATAGGCAAGTAGAGAAAAGAGGAAAGACTGGAATAGCCACTTCGTAAAAGAAACTCCCAGAAGATCAACCAACAATGGAAAAGATGCTCACCTCATTAGCAATCCGGAAATCCAGTTGAGGTGTCATTTTATATCCAGAATGGCAAACATTTTAAAATATCTGACAGTATCAATGGTTAGTGAGAATGTGATGCAATGACAACTTTTATAGACTGCGAGGGAGAGAATAAATGCATCATTTGGAAGATAGTTTTGGGGCATTTTCTAGGAGTTTAAAATGTGCATAGTCTGGGAGCATCTCCATTCCTAGATAAATGTTTTCACATATACATGGGAATCATGTACACATTTTTTTATTTTTTGTAAGAGACAGGATCTTGTTCTGTTGCCTAGGTTGGAGTGCACTGGTGCTAGCATGCCTCACTACAACCTCAAAGTTTTAGGCTTAAGCAATCCTCCCACCTCAACCTCTTGAGGAGCTGGGAATACAAGCACTTGCCATCAGGGCTGGCTGATTTTGAAATTTTTTGTTGTAGAGATGGGCTCCAGTTATGTTGCTTAGGCTGGCTTGAATTCCTGGCTTCAAGTGATCCTCCTGCCTTGGCCTCCTGAAGTGCTAGGATTACAGGCGTGAGCTGCTGCATCCAGTCCACGTACATAAAATCGTTGTTATAAAAATATGAAAATTACTCAAAGTTATAAAAATATGAAAATTACCAAATTCTATCAAAAAGAAAACAGGGTAAATATATAAAACACTAAGCAATATTTTTAGAGGGTGTATACATATGTGGCAAAATTGTTACGGGATCCTTGGGGTGTCGTTTCACCAGTCAGAAACCTCTGTGGCCAGTGGTGCCTTTGCCTGAGTTTTGCTCAGGCCCTCCGGGCCCACTTGGCCTGGCAGGTTGCACTTGGCTTACACTATTGGCCTGGATCCCAACCCTGCCAAGGGTGAGCAGAGCAGTGAGTGGTGTGTGAGTGAGAAAACGTGGGGTCTGGCCACTGCACACAGCCAGGCACTCTGGCTGTGATGGGGCAGGTGCTGGCTCTCTGTAAGGCTGCAGCTGGACCAGGCATACCACAAGCAGCTTCCATGGCTGGCACTGGGGAATATAGTTGCTTGAAGATGCCAGAAACCTCAGAACCCCAAAGAGGTGTTACAGCCTTGGCTCAGAGAGCTCCTAAGTCTGGGTTCCCTGAACAGTTGCAGCTCTTCTCTCCTTCTTTCTTCTCTTCTTCTTGTCACCTACAATGTGGCAAGCAAGGGGCATGTTTCAGCCCTGTCTGTGTTACAGCTCTTTTAGCACTGTCATTCAGCAGATCCCAAATTCTTATCCTGCATCCAGGAAGAATGAGGTTTGAGAACAAGTGGAGGGTGAGCAAGGCAAAGAGGAGTTTTATTGAGTGACAGAACAGCTCAGTGGAGACCTGCATTGGGTAGCTCCTCTCCACAGGCAGAGTGTCCCTATTAGTGTCAGCTCTCAGTAGAGAGGAGACCTGGGAGTGAGTAGTTCTCTGCAGGTAGGCCATTCTGTTGGGTGTTCAGCTCTCAGTAGAGAGGAGACCCTGGAGTAGGTAGCTCCTCACTGCCAGTGGCAATCCTGATGTCTGCTCAGCTCTCAGCAGAGAGGAGACTCTGGAGTGGGTAACTGCTCTCCATGGCTGGTCATCATCCCATCCTCTCTCCAAGTCTGGCTGAGTCTAGGGTTTTTATGGGCTTCAGACAGGTGGAAATATGTGCTGATTGGTCCATAGGCAGCCATGGGTGGGCCTAGAAAAAGCACCATAAGTTCTCACTCTAGTCTGTGGGGCTGGCAGCCCAGACTCCAGGTTTCAGGCCTTCCCCAACTTGAAGGTGGGGCTTCACTGGGACCCGTCCCTTTCCACCCAGGAGCCTGTCTGCCTCTTGCCAACATCCATGGTACCCAGGCTGTTGGTGTGGAGGAGGGGTGCCTGCAGGTCAGCACTGAGCCACCCTGTGCCCCCATTTGGCTTCCCTCCTGTGCGTGTCAGTGCCCAAAGCACAGAGGGGGCTGAGGCCACAGGGGGCTGGCATGTCAGTGCTGCCCCAGATGTGCACACACCCAGCTGGGTTGTGATAGTGCCCAGGCTTGGCCTCAACTTTGCTCTGAGATCAGAGCAGGTCCCGGGAGAAGGGAGAAGCCAGCCAATGGGAGCAAGCAGTTCTGTGCTGTGGCTGGGCAGCCCCAGCTGCACCCAGGGAGGGCAAGACTCCCACCCTGCCAACTCAGAAGGGGGGCAGGGCTTCCACCTCTGCTTAGCTCTCACCAGCTCCATGTAGTGCTCAGCCCCAGCTGTGCCTCCTCTGTTGCAGCTGGCATCATGGAAGTTGCTGCTCCAGATGGGCCCCTGCTGCTATCAAAACTACAAAGAAATACAAGAGAATGATAATTTTAAAATTCAGAAGAATATCAATGAATCTTTCAGAGACGTGTATAGGACTTCAAAGTATTAGTAATATTCTACTTCATAAGAAGAGTGGCAAATTTTAACAGGCCCATATGCTTTATATATACTTTTTGAGTGTATAAATTTTTGTAATTGATTTTTTTTAAAAAAAATTCTGAATATTTGTTGGGTTTCACAAAGAATAATAATTTTTTTTTCCAAAAGCAATGGTGATTTTGCTGCTAACTTTAGAGGATGTGAGAATAAGGCTATGTAAATACTCTCAAAAACAGTATACCTGACATTGAAAGTGGAGTCAATCTTATTTTATGTATCTTTGTAATTCCAAAAGATTTGTACTCACCATCTTTTGTAAAAGTTTTACTGGGTACAATGTATTTCTCTACTCTTTAAAAAATCCAATGAAACTATAGATTTTATTGTGTATATAGTATAGAGATTTGAAAGAGGCCACTGCAGTATCCCAATGATGAATATTGTTTGGTTATTTATATAGAGTCTCCAATTAGGTATTGTATCCTGCCCCGGGAGACATGCTAGGATTGTCCCACTCATTGGCTAAGCATTGATTTTGTATTTCTACAGGCATTTCTTATACTGAAATTCTATAACATAAAATGTAAACACTGTTTTGTCGTAGTGAAATGTTTCTACCATTGTTACTCTGATATTTGAACGAAAAGATTTTGTTGTGTGTGGTTTTTTTAAAAACAAGAATAATGTCATGAAGTAATTGTTTTTCACTTACACACAATGGAATGTAAGTACAACTTTATGGTTTAATTAAGCAGATAGAAAGCTGATAGTTTTTGTTCAAGCTTAAACAAGGACTCTGCTCAATACATTAAGCTAGTTTTGCTGTTAACATAGGGAAGCAAAGAAGGAGAATGTGCCTGATGCTCAGGATGTCTGATAAACCAAAACACATCTAGCAAAAATTCTCAGTTTAAGGATTTAAAAATTATTAGTTCATATTGAAGTAGGAACAAACTCTTTACACTGACATCCTGTTACTGTCTGGAAAAACAAAATGCCTTGTGATAAGTAATCAGATACATCATTATACACCTGTTAGAACAAAAAGTACTGTATGCTGACTGTCATAAAGAGTAGGAAGTAGGGACTGGATGCTTCAAGAGATTGGGCAATAATAAAAAGGCATCCTTTCAGCTCAGAGGACAGTAGCTGATTTTATTCCAGACAATGCTGGGAGATGCTGGAACTCATTCCTACCTGATGACTAACAAGGGCCTTATACAGGCCATCAGATGGTATCAGTATCAGTTCAGAATCTGATGGAAAGCTGTCCACACAGTCAAAGTTGGTATGAAGTATCATGATACATTGTAAGCAACTTCAGCTCAGAATATTTTTTTCATCTCCAAAACTAGAAATTAAGCCTGATCTTAATTTGTTGTAGTTGAAAGAATAACATATTATAGATTGTGTCTCTTTTTATTTGGGATTGCCAAAGCTACCAAATAAAAATAAAAGAAGCTCAATTAAATTGTAATTTCAGATAAACTGTGAATATGTTTTTATTATACATGTGTCTCATGTAATATTTAAAATACACTTATCCTTAAAAAAATTGTTCATTTTTATTTTAGCTTCCTGTGTTTTAGGTAACAACTCTTTCCCCACATGCTCCCTAGTCAAGTTCCATGGTTTTGGCAATAGTTTTTCTATAGTGATTTTTAAAAAGCAATTCAGGAGTGATGACCCTGAATTCAGCTTGGACCTGAGACTAATTCTGAACATCCGGAAGAGTTAGATGATGTAGGTTTATTTGTTACAGTTCTTGGACTATTCATGCCAAGAGAAAATAAAGTCTCTAGGTTAGCCAAAATGGGTGGTGAATCTTTGGGTCTTTGCCAGGTGGTGCTTCATTGATTCTTCCTGGCTTGATTTGCATAAGAATAAAGGATTCAGTAAGAATGGTGAAATGCAATAGCCTTTTCAAGATACTTAGATTCTGTTTTGCCCAATTTGACTAAAAGCAGCTGGTCTTTCTGAAACAGTCTTTTTTTCCAAAGAAAGCCAATATGAAGAGGAAAATGGCAAGTGTTTAAACTATAGATTGAACAATCATGTCCTGTTAGAATTTTGTGTCACTTCAAATCACTCCTAACAAATAATATAATTTAAGTAAATGTTATTTAAATTGCCCTTATATCTCAAAAAGGCAATAAACAATACTTGCTACAATCAATCTACCTATAAGTATTGACATGTGTGAAAAGTCTCAAAGGAAAAGAAGAAAATGTGTAATACATTGTGCTGGTCCTTTCCATATACATTATATTAACGTTATAATAGAGTTATAACAATTTGGTAGGAGAGGCATGGTAGAGCTATTCAAATGCATTGAAGATAGTCTGAGGCAGTATAATGGAGTGGAAGGAATGTGGACTTTGTAGTTAGACCATTACACTGCACTTATTTTTGAATTCACTTGGGAGACGGCCTCTTCTTTCATATGATTGTATTTTTCTCTTGCCCTCCTAAGCATGCCTTGAAATATCTCTCTCCACTTACTTCCCCCAGTGTGTGGGACAGAACCCAAGCAGCCCATGGTGTTGCCTTCATAGCGTAAGCTCTCTGCCCACTTTGGGCACTCCCAGAAAATTTTTTAACCTCTACTCCAGGGCACATCAACTCTCCAAATGCCTTCTTGGTGGGCATTTGAAGAGTTGGTGTGCCCTGGAGTAGAGTCTAAGAAACTTTGGCCAACAGAACTCATGGTGGCTACCCTGGCAGGTAGAACTTTGCAGGTTGGCATGAAGGTGGGCCTCCTCAGGCATCTTTACTGCAGAAAAGATGATGCTAACTGGAAATAAACTCAGCAAGCCTACATCATTTATTTTATCCCACATCAAGAACAGTGAATGAAATTAAGGACTGTTTGGAGATCAGAGCCCAAGAAAGAATAGAGTCACACCAGCACCAGCAAGAAGAGGTGGGAGTCTGTCAACCTACAAGTGCCTAGACCTTCAAAAAATTATTTTCTGGGTTTAATTCTAGCTAATAGCCATTTTCTAATGACAACAATTTTGCCTACGGCTGGCTCTCCTCAAATTGGTACTTTCTGAAGTCTGATGAGGCTCATAATTAAGGGTAGCTATAGTGGTTAATTGTATGTGTCAACTTGACTGGGTCACAGAGTGCCAATATTAACCATTTTTGCTGGGTGTGTCTCTGAGGGTGTTTCTAGATAAGACTAGCATTTGAATTGGTGGAATCAGTAGATTACCCTCCTCAGTTTGGGTGGGCATTATCCAATCCACTGAGGGCCTGAGGAGAACAAAAGGTGTAGAAATGAGAAATGAGGAATTCACTCATTTTTTCCTGCTTCACTGCTGAGCTGTAACAGCTCATCTCATCTTTCCCTACCTTTTGAACTCAGAATGAATTATACCACTGCTTCTTTGGGGTTCCATCTTGCAGAAGGCAGATTCTGGGATTTCTCAGCCTCCATAATTGTGTGAGCCAATTTTTTATAATCTCTCTCTTAATATATATATATTTCTCTCCATATACATGCATGCATGCGTGTGTGTGTGTGTGTGTGTGTGTGTGTGTGTGCGTGTGTCCTATTGGTTTGTTTCTCAGGAGAACCCTAATAAAATACTCATAATGTAACTCAACCTGGTGAGTGAAGAAAAACATACTCCCTCTTTAAGACAATTCCGTGGATTCAGAGCAAACATCCCATGTCCCCCTGATAATACACTGTGCTGACTACTCCTCTTTTCTCCTTTTAATTCTCCTTTAGCTGGGCATGCTAAATAGAACCCCTTCCCACAGAGAAAAGATAGCTGCTGAATTTTCCTATAAGAAACGCAACCCAGTCATTACTCCTTAGCACTTATTTGTTAAAAACAGAAACAATGGCATTCATCCTTACACATTGGAATGCCCAGTTGGGCATTTTTAGAAGAGGGACTGATTTATAAGTTAAAGCCAGTTCTTTTATGGGTAAAGGGACAATATAAAGCATGGGCAATTATATGAACAGGAATATCAATGCTGTTGATTCATTTTATATCACCACTTGTAATACTGTTATTAAATTTACGTAAGACCAAATCTTTCTTGCAGGGTCTTTGACCTAATTGAAAGGTCACTTGAGACATTGTAGCACTTGCCATCCTCCTGAGGAGCTCTACATTTATTGACTTCACTCAAATCAGTTAAGAGTGACGCTCTGGCATGTGGTCACTGCCATGTCTTTACATCTCATCACAGCCTTGCCATTGATTTATGCCACTCTTCAAGTCTGACTTCCTCCTTCATGCCATCACACCCAGTATAGGCTATCCTAGTGGTTCTAAACATGACTGTACAACAAAATCTCTGACGCTGGGGCTCAGGAATCTATAATATTGAAAAGCTTGCCGTCCAGGATATTCTAGTGCAGCTAGTACACCGACCATTATCTACGGACTTTATACAATTAGCCTGGGCTAGTCCCCTTTGAAAAATTTTCCCAACTCATTGCCAGATATTCCAATACTACCAAAATTCTTATTTTAACTTTACACAACTCCAGGACCTAACCTGCTACTATCAGCTTTCCTACAGTTTATCCATGCCCTTGGAACTTCCTCACTGAGAAGTTTAGTAATGCCAGGTTCTAACTTCCAGTGGCCTGTTACCTGGCATCTTAAGCATTGATCCTACTTTATAAACACACATGGCCCATGAAATCCTTCCTTCCCAATTCCCAAGCTTCTATAGTTGTTCCTTTCCCTCTAAAATCATTGATGTCTACTTTTTCTCTGGCTTACTACGCACTGAAACTCAGCACACCTGTGACTGGATGTCAATGTCTTACTAAGGCAAACCTCATCCTATTTATGGAATAGTATTGCCCCTTCACTTGCTGTTATGCACTCTGTTCTGAGAGGGCAGGGACAATATTGCAGGCATCTCTGAATCCAGTAACACACGCTTCTTCACACATGAAATGTATTAGAGGCCAAGTGTTGAATAATTTATTTCACCCTGCTCTCCTTATTTGAAATTCACCTTCTATGCATGCTCGCTCATCTACTTGACCTATCGTTTAAAGCATAGCAAAAGGCTCATTTCTGATGACTCACACAGTTACTATTCCCATCATTAAACTCGTTCAAGCCTAAACTTTATGAAACAATTTAATATTCATCTATTCACTATTAAATTTTATCCTATATTTTATACAATCTTAAGTATACATCTAGATTTCAAGTTCTTTAAGGAAAAACTGCATCTACAAGTTTGTGGAAACACTCACAGCATGCATCACAAATGCAGTGTTCAATAACAGTTTGAAGGCTGAGCACAGTGGCTCATGCCTGTGATCCCAGCACTTTGGGAGGCCGAGATGGGCAGACCACCTGAGGCCAGGAGTTGGAGACCAGCCTGGCTGATATGGTGAAACCCTATCTCTACTAAAAATACAAAAATAAGCCAGGCGTGTTGGTGGGCGCCTGTAGTCCCAGCTACTCAGGAGGCTGAGGCAGGAGATTCACTTGAACCCAGGAGGCAGAGGTTGCAGTGAGCTGAGATCACACCACTGCACTCCAGCCTGGGAGACAGAAGAGACTCTGTCTCAAAGAAAAGAAAAGAAAAGAAAAAAGAAAAGAAAAAGTAAAAAGAAAGAAAGTCTGCAATGACTTTCAGAAGAGCTGGGCTAGGAGCTGTGCTAGAGCTGCTTCTTCTATAAACTAGACATGGAATCCTGGAGAAGTCATTGACCTTATTTCAGCCTTGGTTTCCTTATCTGTGAAAAATAAAATTCAGTCATACGATTTCTAGTGGTGCAGCCAATTCTGATGTTCATCATCTGGGGACATTCTAGCTGCCTTAGGAAACTGCTGGAGTTGTATATTTGTTCTACCTCTTTCCTCTGCCAGGGCCACTGCTCTTTCAGACACCCACTTGGCTTACTCTCTCACTTCCTTCAAATCTCTGCTCACTTTTCACCTTCTCAATGAGGTTCATCCCACCTACCCTATTGAAGAATTCAATCCACACTTCTCCCTCACCCTCTACCCTACCACTGCATACTCAATCCTTTTCTTGATGTTGAGTATTTTTGGTTTTTTTCATAGTCCTTATCACCTTTTAACATCTATGTAATCTTGTTATTTATTATATTTTTCTTTGTTTGTTTGATATTTTAGAGATAGGGCCTTGGTCCGTCTTGCAAGCTGGAGTGCAATAATGTGATTATAGCTCACTGCAGCCTCGAAATCCTGAGTTATAGGGATCCTCTTGCCTCAGCCTCCCAAGTAACTGGGCTTACAAGTGTGGACCACCAAGCCCAGTTTTTTTTTTTAATTAATTAATTTATTTAGTAGACATGAGGGTCTCACTCTGTTTCCCAGGCTGGCCTCAAACTCCTGGCTTCAAGTGATCCTCCTGCCTTGGCCTTATTCTGTTTTATCATGTCTCTCCCACTAGAATGTAACTCTTAAAGGCCATGGAACTTAGGCTGCTGTGCTCACTGGTGTACTGGGAGCACATTGAACAGTGCCCTGGCAGTTATACTCAACAAATATTTGCAGAATGAATGGATCCATTTATAATGGGAACAACCTTTTATAAATGAGATTTTTAGAATCCAAACTCTCTGTAACCTGAAACCATAAACATCATCTTGACTTTGCCTAGTAAGACTGACTGAAAAATAGAAGCTCTAAGGCAGAGGTAGGGATGTAATTCTAATAATAATAGATATCACATTGCTGAATTATTTCTTAAAAATGGGTTAGAATGCATTCTTCTAAATGTGTCCTTGACAAGCTTTACATGTAGTGAAACTGTAACTCTTTGGAATCCTGGGGAAATGATGCATTTTTGTTACAAATTTTAACCACTGATGTTGAAATGTGGTACCACATATTCATAAACACAATAGTACTAAATATTAATGATTTTTCTTTGATGAATACATATTTTATTACTCAGTGTTCTGAATTGCAAATAAGTCTCTCGCTGTAACTGTAAAAGAAGATAAAGAAAATGTAGAAATGTAAGATAAATTTATTTTGCTCAAGTACATACCCTTAAATTGATAATAATGCAGCATTCTAAAACTCTTCTTGTGATTTGCTAAACGTTATGATTTGCCTATTTAAAAGCAGTTTTTAAAAGTGAATTTGATCAATTAAGGATTACAATTTTAATCAAGATTTAGTCAAGACTTTACTATGGAATAAATTTTATTTTTCTTCCTTTCTATCACTATTCTATATATTTTAAAGCTCTGTCTTCTCTCTGGTCTGTGTCCAATTTTTGGACTGTTTTTAGTTTATTTGCGTCTCAGCACCTCATCACCTTCCCAAGATTAAGAAAAATGAAAGACAAAACAATGTCAGGATTGGTTCTCTGGCACTGTAGAGGAAGATTGAAGAAGCCATCTCAGTAGAAGCAGTTGCTCTATTTGAAGAAGATTGAAGACGTAGTGCTCAGGTGGGCATGGAGCAGAACCACTGTGCCTGAGGCCACAGTGATGGACAGAAAGGGGAGCAACAGTGGCCTGCCACCTTGATAAATCAGAAGTTCTGTCCTATGGAGGTCATAGGGAAGTGGGATTACTTCCTGGTTCTCCTGGAAATATAGCTTACATTATGATCCTCCAGAAGAATCCACTCTCCACCACTGTTGACCAAGAGGAACCAATCCTATTGTAATAAGGTTATTAAGGTTCTATGCCCACAACACTTCAAAGTCTTGAGTGGCTCCATAGTGACTCTGAGGCATTTTAAGGACTAGGAAGACCATAAGACCATTCTTGTGTTCATTCCTCTGTCTACATTTTCTCATGATTCAGCCAGTTTGCATTTAATTTCACTAATACTGAATGTGAGATTTCAGTTCCTTTCCAGGAGGATTGGGTATTGTTAGTTCAAGCGCAACTTTCTAGCTAGCAATTATGTTTCACACTGCTGGAAAAATTCCCTTAGCTACTTCACTCTGTCCCTAAAGTGATTCACTTTTTGTTTTAAAAGAATTTCTGATCCCTTTGTGGATATGAACATTTCCTAATATCTTAGCCCCTGTTGGGACTCTGAGCACTTGTGGAGAATTTGTCAGTATGAAAATAGGTAATCACTGGTATGCTGGTGTAGGTCAGGGCATTGCCCATTAAGATAGCATGGAGGGAAATAAAAATGAGATTTTTAGCATGATCTTACATGTTATAAGATCAGCTTGAGTCTTGGACTTTGGTGAGTTGGCAGGTATTTAAACGTTTGGTTTTTAAAATGTTCTTTCTATGGATGGACTAACATTTTTCAGAAAATTTTCCATGAAAATTAATACATTTTCTGCTTTCAAGTTAATTTTTATGTTTTTATGAATAGATGTGAAATAGAATTTAAGATCTGGGAGAGACCATCAATTGAGTCTTGAAATTGACAGAATTGTGCACTTTCCCTTGAAATCTTTACACATAATTTCAGAATGTTGCTCTCTGCTTAGAATATCTCCACTTCTACTACTACCTCCTGCTTCCACCCCATCCTCCAGCTTATTTCATGTTAGGAAAATTCTTCATTCATTATTTTGTTCAGACATCCCATCTCTGAACTCTTGGCACTGATAATTGTTTCATCTTCATTGCTTCTGTTACACTTTGTACATGTATGTCAGAACTTATCTTTCTATGTTTTGCTATCTTGAGGTATTTATTTCATCTACTAGACCTGAGCTCCTTAGGGTGTAGACTTAGTTATATTTCCATCTATGATATGCATAGACTATGGTAGAAATTTAATATCTTGAGAGAGCAAGTTAAATTCTCAGTGAATTAATTTAAAATACAACGTTACTTGGGTATAAAATCTCTTGTACCTAAGTTCATAACTTACTTGTATTTTGCAATCATACCTGAAGAGCTAGAATCTTTCCACCACTTTCAGGTATTATATTCTAGTGTAATAATACATCAGAATGCATATAAAGTTAATACAAAGTACTTAAAATGAGAAAAAAGTGTAGAAATAAGAAAATAGCTTTTTGTTCAATGATTCTTGGTTGTATTTATGTTCTAAATTTCTTATAACTCAAACTCAAACCAAATAAACGCAAAGATAATGTACATTTGGAGTTTTACTGTATATGAAATGTAGTGTTGTATGAACTTAGTATGTGACATATAATATATAATGTACAACTCTTCTGAATCTGTGAAAAATTACATTAATAAAGTTAGTTTTTAAAAATAGCTGGCTGGCCAGGCACGGTGGCTCACGCCTGTTATCCCAGCACTTTGGGAGGCCGAGGCGAGCGGATGACGAGGTCAGGAGATCAAGACCATCCTGGCAAGCATGGAGAAACCCCGTCTCTACTAAAATACAAAAAATTAGCCAGGCATGGTGGCATGCACCTGTAATCCCAGTTACTTGGGAGGCTGAGGCAGGGGAATTGCTTGAACCCAGGAGGCGGAAGTTGCAGTGAGCCGAGATAGTGCCACTGCACTCCAGCCTGGTGACAGAGCAAGACCCCGTCTGAAAAAAAAAAAAAATAGCTGGCTATAAAACTGTCTTTGATGTCCTTGTAAAAAGTCCCAAAGACTATATATATATATATATATATATATATATATATATATATATATGCCAAACATCTTTGCCAGAATGATTCCCCAGGTGAATTTATTATTGAAGACATTAAGGTCATGATTGAAGACAATGGCCATAGTAAAAAAAGATTAACTGGCAAGATTATATATTGTAGTTCTGTTTAGTCTTCAATTTCTGAGGCTGATAGTTTAATAAATGCTTTCACCTTCATGATAATTGAGCCAATGTAACTGTATTGAAGTTTATATTTCTTAGATTTGTTGGATATGTTTTTCAACTCTACATTTTACTTATCATAAATCACATTCTCTGTTTCTTAAATTCTCTCATATTTTTCCTATTCATGGAAACTTATATAAATGTATAAAACTTATTGTAACGAATTGAATCTGGAATGCAAAACGTTCTTATTTATTATTCTGCTGGCAAGCTAAAGATTTTGGATCTCTCATGGACAAAAGGGCACATGTCCAGCTATCAGCTATCAGACATTTCCACAATGCATCAGTGAGATTCTACATTTTCATATTTCTCTTAATAGATTCTTTTTGTCAGTATCAATAGAGAAATTTTACCTTTGTGTTTCATAATTTTAGCATAATATCTGTTCTAAATCTATGAAAAAAGTAACAGATTATAAGTTTGTTCATTCCATATTTGTTTTGTTATCATATACATAACTTATAAAATTTAATTACTCTCACCTAACAGGCTAGAACAATTCCAAAAATCTTTATAAAAATAAACATATATATAATATGTTCTTTAAGTTATTATTGTGAAGAATGTTTCCAATCAACCTATCCAAAATATGAATTGAACCCCAAAAGTATTTGGATTGATGTAAATGGACAGAGGTTTATGTGGCTTTTTTTTTGGTAAGGGTAGCAAACTGTCAATGATGGATGAGGTGAAAACTCCATGACTGATGCCTTCAGATGCCCACACAGAGTGCCTGTGGTCTTATTCTGCCCCCACTGTGTACACATACAGCATTCTGCAAGGAGGCTTATCCAGAGAGACCATTTCCTTTGTTTCTCCTACAGAAGGCAGTCTAATGGCCTCCTGAAACACTGATGAGATCTATCTTACACAGGTTGGTTCATGCTCTAGATTAATGTGTCTCTAGCTGTGGCCACAAAATCCAGCAGGCAAGCAAGTGATTGTGAATAGTCCACAATGCACTTCCCTATAAAGTCAAGCATTATCTTTATGCGGTGTTAGCTTCACATATAATGAATTTATGCTGTGATTAACTAGATACTAATAATTAAAAGCATCTCTGAATTCATTCATGGAGTAACAAAAATATCACTGATTACATTATGTGGCAGCAGAGGGAACTGTTGACACTTAACACAGAATCTTTGTACAACAAAATTTGGGACTCTAGGTCTTAAACCATTCTTTCATTTTCATTTAAATACTCAATACATTAATAGGAACAAATGTGAAATGCTATGACATTAATGTGAAAACTGCAACTTTATGAATACAACAAGTGCCCCTTTATCTGAGGGGATATGTTCCAAGAGCCTCAGTGGATGCCTGAAGCCTCAGATGGTACCGAACCCTATACATGCTATGTGTTTTCAATCTAATAAGCAAGGGGGTTCCCAAGTGACTAACTGGTGGATAGTGTATGCAGCATGGATACACTAGACAAAGGAGTGGTTCATGTCCTGCCTAGAACGGAGTGGGATGGTGAGAGATTTCATCACACTACTCATAATGGGGCATAATTGAAAACATATGAATTGTTTATTTCTAGACTTTTTCATTTATTATTTTTGGACTGCAGTTGACTGCAGGTAACTGAACTTTGGAAAGGAAAGCCACAGAGAAGGCAAAGGACTACTGTAAATTTTTCATTGAGAAGCTCTTTAAAGAATGTACCTTTCAAAAATAATTGTTGTTTCAATTTGCATATCCCCACGGGAAAAGAAAATGATCAATGGTAGCACTGCTTAGTGAGTTTCACTTTGCAAAATCACAGCTTCATATAATCACTTGTTAATTTGACTCAAGATGAGCTCATGACATCACTTGCATAGTATTCCCTAGCAAAAGCCATTTGGGTTTTTGGACATGACACATGGCAAGAGCCTTGCAGACGACAGTCCAGCTTCAGGGGAAAACAGATTTGCTTGTGCTTTGCTAGTGTCCTCTCTAGTCCTCTCCCTTGCAGGTCAACACTGAACATCAAGATACTGCTTAGGAGAACTCTGTTAACTTTTTGTATTTATTTGCCAACCCCCAGAGCATCAGTGACTTGCTTGCTGTTCCCCTGAAAATTAACTTGGCAAGTATTGAAGGCTTAGGAGGAAATCAATACAATGTGTAAACAGACTGACTAGAAACCCTTGCTCATTTTCTGTAATCAACAAGTCATTAATCAACAACAAATACTTATTGAGCACATCCTATCTGACTTGTTAGCTCTGATGAATTCACAATAGCCAAAGGGGCTATCACAGTGCTTTTAAACAGCCTTCCCCTCTGGTAAACCTTCCCCATTGCTCCTGTGTATTTAGTTCCCTGTATCACATGCATATGAAGGAAAATGACCCTTCCTACTTCGTGTATTTCAGAGAGAAAAGGTTCAGATCCACCTGTCCTTGGAGAGCCTGAACCAGATTAGCAACCTAGCTGATCTTTGCACAGTTAACCTGTGTGTGGTTATGGTGTTTGAGAGACTCATTTATTAATCCAACATGTATTTATTCAGCGCTATAACATTTGAGGCTCTATGACATATATAGGTTGAGCTGGAGATAAAGGCTCTAGAGACAGAGGAAGCATTCTAATGAGCTCAGTCACAGTCATGGCATTAAAATGCACTTTACTATTTGCTGATGTGTAGAAATACAGAGTATCAGAATGTTAGAACTGGGCTCTGAACACTTCCCCTATAGGAGGAAGAAAATGCAAAGTACAGATAGACCATCTGCTCTCCTTTCTTGGCATTTGAAAATGAGACTCTGTGTGAGAAGCTCTGGGATGGCCTTTTGCTGTTCTGTGGGGCTGCTTTGCATAGATTCATCAGCTCTGGGAACAGCAAGTCCTCCAAAGAGAAAGGGGAAATCTGGCTCATTGCATTCTGTCAAGTAAAAGAGGAAAATTCACGTTTGAAACACCTTGAAGGTTACTAGAGAAAAGAATCACATAAATGCACTCCTTTTCCCCAAGGCTAGGCTACTGTCAGCAGAAGATGATTGAGTTAGCAAAGGCATTTCCCCTTTTTTCTAAAATTTTCAGCATTGTAAATTCCACCCATACATACACACTGCCCCTACTTGACACCCCCCCTTAAACACACCCTTTACAGACAGCATCTGAGTCTGCCAACTTTGTAAACCTTCTTATTGAACTAGGCCAGACTTCTCATCACAAACATATACCATGGAGGAAATAGCTGAAATGGCTTAAATGGTTTAAACTAGCCATTCCATTGTACTGGTGAGAAAGGAAAATGAGAAATACAAACTAAATAATTATGCGCTGTTTACATCTGTAAAATGGTGCAGAAAACTTATGCAGACTTTACTTTTTGTTCTACCTTAATGTTCTCAAAACAATTGCTCTACTTCCCTTATGGTTAGGGATCAATATAGAGAACCACAGAAGAACATCTCTTTCTGAAGGAATGAATGACAGCATTATATATACCAATTATTTCATTATTGTTCATTGGCCCAAGAATTTATACATAATATGCACACTATAGGTTTATTTATATTTATTTTTAATACTTAGTGATGATGCCATTATATGTTTTTAAACTTTTAAATTTAATTCTGTAACTGGTCGCAGGAAAAAAAAGTCCACTTTTGTGTGGATGAATTTGTAAGAAAGATCCAGGTATCTTATAATTCCTTTCTCTTTTATTGTTCCATTTTAAAACTTCCTACTAATTTTCTACCTTTTCTCATTGGCCCAAGTAGTATTAGAGCTTTTATTACTCCTTAATGTTTTATCTCATTATTATTTTTTGCTCCATTACTAATACTCACAAATAGGACATCAGCACATGTAAAAACCATTTGGTATACTCCAGACCATGAGATCCAGGAGACTCCTGCTACCTGGAAAGGACTTGATTCATTTAGCATTGCTCATTTAAAATATTTTCTTTGGTTAGTCTAATGCTTGTTTTAAATACTTGCGTGCTTCACTTTAAGATTTATTACCCCCATTAGCATTGCTTTGCTGAAACTGCAGTATGCATTCTAACAAGTATCTACAATTTATGATGGTAAGTTCAAAGTTGTGTAATTATTGTTGTAATTTCCAACTCATTCACTTGTCACTTTTTATTTCCAGGCCTTCCCACAAAAATTTCCAAAATTAAAAAGGCTCTTGTCCAACTTGGTCTTTGTTCGCAAGTTAATCATTTTAGCTTTTAGTGAAGCAAAAATCTGCCTTAAAATATATCATTCTTTTTTTTCCTATTTAATGTACAAAGATGGGTCACCAAAGCTCAGAAAATCTGGCAAAGTGAAACACTCAAATGGCTGATTTGCTAAATGTAATATTTTCGGAATATAATGTTTTTAACTAATATTTCAGAGTTAATGGATAAAAGTATAGTAAGCTTTCTTCCAACATGTTTTTGAAATCTCAGTTGAGAAGACCTTGCTAGACTGCACAGAGAAATGAAGCTTAGTCTTATTTCCCTCTCTAATTCATCCATGCATGTAGATAAAGCCACTGTAGTCAAGAAGTGTTATTTGAGCAGCAACACCATGCACTGCATTTTCATCAGTATCCTGTTTTTCTGCTATTGCCGATTTTCACCATTAACCATTTTTCTAGCCAGTACTTTGACAACAACTGAAGGATCACATTTGCATTTCACAGAGGTTCTCATGTACCAGTCTTTGGGTCCAGTAGGTGCTTGGTCTTAGTTTTTCAAAAATGTATCTCCTCCCATGTAACAAGATCATCTCTCATTGATTATAACAAAAAGTTATGATCAACTGACAGAATATGGCATGCATATTTTCAAGAAATATTTGTTTCTTGCCATAGCAAATTACTGGGTTTCAAAAAAAAGGTTTTTTTTTCTACAATAGTTGAATCGTCCATTGAAAATTTTCAGGAAAGTTGTTTGCCTGTTGGTAATCCTAGTATCTATTTTTTAAACTTTTTGTAGGAGTGAAATCCTTCCTCCAAATAAAATATAAGCATAAATTCCAATACATAAAAAGACAAAATGAAGTTTCTCTGGTTAAGGTGAGGGTAGTGATTTAGAGCCGCATCAGCTCAGCTCTTCTTTTGCTGGTTAAGATGGTTTCTGAGGCAACTCTAAGGACTCCTAAAGCTCTGAAAAGTGAAGTGCTTCAACACCATTCTCCTAAGGTTTTACTTTTATCCTTTTAGCTATAGATATTATGAGTTAACAGGCATGAGGCATACACAGTTTCATGGAAATCAACGTCAAGTAAGGGAGGTAACATCTGCATTTGTCACTCTGGAGCTAACCCAAATGACAGATCTAAATTCAAATCTTGAACAAGTTGCATCATCTTTTGTAGCTTTAGTTTCTTTCTCCAAAATTCATCATTAATCACCTACCTTGCACAAATGTTGCTAGGAAAAATGTAATAACATATAAAAAGACCTCAGTAAATGTTAGTTCTCATCCCATGTAGCTATCAATTCTTCTTTTGATAACTTGGTATTTCAAACAATTTTGTAGATCATCTATAAAGCTCTTGTTATTATGTATACAGGCAAAGCTCATTTTATTGTGCTTCACAGATATTGTTTTTGTTTTATTTTTTACAAATTGAAGGTGTATGGCAACGCTGCGTCACCATTTTCCAACAATATCTGCATATTTTGTCTGTGTCACATTTTTAGTAATTTTCACAGTATTTCAAACTTTTTCATTATTATTATATCTGTTATGATGATCTGTAATCAGTGATCTTTGATGTTGCTATTGTAGTTGTTTTGAGGCACCACAAACTGTGCCCATGTAAGACGGTATACTTAACCCATAAATGTTAGGTGTGTTCTGATTCCTCCACCACCCCAGCCATTCATTCCACTGTCTCTCCTCCTCTTTCTGTTACCTGAGACACAACAAATTGAAATTAAATCAACTAATAACCCTACAATAGCCTTTAAGTGTTTAAGCAAAAGGAAGATTCCTTCACTTTAAATCAAAAGCCAAAAATGATTAAGCTTAGTGGGGAAGCTATGTCAAAAGTTGAGATAGGCTGAAAGCTAGGCCTCTTGCACCAGTTAACCAAGTTGTAAATGCAATGGAAAAGTTCCTGAATGACACTGAAAGTGCTACTTCAGTGAACACGCAAATTAAAAGAAAGTGAAAGCCTTATTGCTAATACGGAGGAAGTTGTAGTAGTTTGGATAGAAGGTCAAACCAGCCACAACATTCCATTTCAAAACCTAATAAAGAGCAGGGCCTAATTCTCTTCAATTCTATGAAGGCTGAGAGAGGTGAGGAAGAGCAGAAGAAAAGTTAGACACTAACAGATGTTGGTTCATGAGGTTTATGGAAAGAAGCTGTCTCCATAACATAAAAGTGCAAGGTGAAGCAGTAAGTGCTTATATAGAAACTGCAGCAAGTTTATTCAGAAGATCTAGCTAAGATCACTAATGAAGATGGCTATGCTAAACAACAGATTTTCAATGTAGACAAAACAGCCTTCTATTGCAAGCATATGCCATCTCGGACTTTTGTAGCTAGAGAAGTCAATGCTTGGCTTTGAAACTTCAAAGGACAAGCTGACCCTCTTGTTATGGGTTAACGTGCTGCTGAACTTTAAGTGGAAGCCAATGCTTATTTGCCAGTCCAGGAACCCTAGGGCTTTTAAAAATTATGCTAAATTGGGAGGATCTGGCAAGATGGCCAAATAGGAAGAGCTATGGTCTGTAGCTCCCAGCGAGACCAACACAGAAGGTGGGTGATCTCTGCATTTCCAAGAGAGGTATCCGGTTCATCTCATTGGGATTGGTTAGACAGTGGGTGCAGCCTACGGAGGGTGAGCAGAAGCATGTTGGGGCATTGCCTCACCCGGGAAGTGCAAGGGGTTGGGAAACTCCCTCCCCTAGCCAAGGGAAGCCATGAGGGACAGTGCCCTGAGGGACAATGCTATCTGGCCCAGATACTACATTTTTCCCATGGATTTGCAACCCACAGAGCAGAAGATTCCCTCGGGTGCCTATACCACCAGGGCCCTGGGTTTCAAACATAAAACTGGGCAGGTATTTGGGCAGACACTGAGCTAGCTGCAGGAGTTTTTTTATTGTTGTTGTTGCTGTTGTTGTTGTTGTTTTGTACCCCACTGGCACCTGAAACTCCAGCGAGACAGAAACATTCACTCCCCTGGAAAGGGGGCTGAAGCCAGGAAGCCAAGTCGTCTTGCTCAGCAGGTCCCACCCCTCATGGACCCAGCAAGCTAATATCCACTGGCTTGAAATTCTCACTGCCAGCCCAGAAGTCTGAAGTCGACCTGGGTTGCTCAAGGTTGGTGTGGTGAGGGGCACCCACCATTACTAAGGCTTGAGTAGGCGGTTTTCCCCTCACAGTGTAAACAAAGCTGCCTGGAAGTTCAAACTAGGCAGAATGCACTGCAGTGTAAAGCCACTGTAGCCAGACTGCCTCTCTAGATTCCTCCTCTCTGGACAGGGCATCTCTGAAAGAAAGGCAGCAGCCCCAGTCAGGAGCTTATGCATAAAACTCCTGTCTCCCTGGGACAGAACACAAGGGAGAAGGGGTGGCTATGGGCACAGCTTCAGCAGACTTAAATATTCCTGCCTGCCAGCTCTGAAGACAGCAGCAGATCTCCCAGCACAGTACTAGAGCACTGCTAAGGGACAGACTGCCTCCTCGAGTGGGTCCCTGACCCCTGTGCTTCCTAATGGAGAGACACCTCCCAGCAGGGGTCGACAGACATCTCATATAGGAGAGCTCTGGCTGGCATCTGGTGGGTGCCCCTCTGGGACAAAGCTTCCAGAGAAAGGAACAGGCAGCAATCTTTGCTGTTCTGCAGCCTCCACTGGTGATACCCAGGCAAACAGGGTCTGGAGTGGACCTCCAGTAAACTCCGGCAGACCCACAGAAGAGGGGCCTGTCTGTTAGAAGGAAAACTAACAAACAGAAGGCAGTAACATCAACATCAACAAAAAGGACACCCATGCAAAAACCCCATCCAAAGGTCATCAGCATCAAGGATCAAAGGTAAGTAAATCCACAAAGATGAGGAAAAACCAGTGCAAAAATGCTGAAAATTCCAAAAACCAGAATGCTTCTTCTCCTCCAAAGGATCACAACTCCTCTCCAGCAAGGGAACAAAACTGGATGAAGGATGAGTTTGACGAATTGAAAGAAGTAGGCTTCAGAAGGTGGGTAATAACAAACTCCTCCAAGCTTAAGGAGCATGTTCTAACCCCACGCAAGGAAGCTAAAAACCTTGATAAAAGGTTACAGGAACTGCTAACTAGAATGACCAGTTTAGAGAAGAATATAAATGACCTGATGGAGCTGAAAAACACAGCACGAGAACTTCGTGAAGCATACACAAGTATCAATAGCCAAATCAATCAAGCAGAAGAAAGGATATCAGAGATTGAATATCAACTTAATGAAATAAAGCATGAAGACAAGATTAGAGAAAAAAGAATGAAAAGGAACAAACAAATCCTCCAAGAAATATGGGACTATGTGAAAAGACCAAACCTACGATTGATTGGGGTACCTGAAAGCGATGAGGAGAATGGAGCCAAGTTGGAAAATACACTTCAGGATATTATCCAGGAGAACTTCCCTAACCTAGCAAGACAGGCCAACATTCAAATTCAGGAAATACAGAGAACACCACAAAGATACTCCTCAAGAAGAGCAACCCTAAGACAAATAATCATCAGATCCAGAGTTGAAACGACGAAAAAAATGTTCAGGGCACCCAGAAAGGTCTGATTACCCACAAAGGGAAGCCCATCAGACTAACAGTGAATCTCTCTGCAGAAACCCTACAAACCAGAAGAGAGTGGGGACTAATATTCAACGTTCTTAGAGAAAAGAATTTTCAACCCAGAATTTCAGATCCAGCCAAACTAAGCTTCATAAGTGAAGGAGAAATAAAATCCTTTACGGAGAAGAAAATGCTGAGGGATTTTGTCACCACTAGGCCTGCCTTACAAGAGCTCCTGAAGGAAGCACTAAATATGGAAAGGAAGGAGCAGTACCAGTCACTGCAAAAACATACCAAAATATAAAGACCAACGACACTATGAAGAAACTGCATCAACTGATGTGCAAAATAACCAGCTAGCATCATGATGACAGGATCAAATTCACACGTAACATTAACTTTAAATGTAAGTGGGCTAAATGCCCCAATTAAAAGACACAGACTGGCAAATTGGAGAAAGAGTCAAGACCCATCGGTATACTATATTCAGGAGACCCATCTCATGTACAAAGACACACCCAGGCTCAAAATAAAGGGATGGAGGAATATTAGCAGCAAATGGAAAGCAAAATAAAGCAGAGGTTGCAATCCTAGTCTTTGGTAAAACAGATTTTAAACCAACAAAGATCAAAAAAGGCAAGGAAGGGCATTACATAATGGTAAAGGGATGAATACAAAGAGAAGAGCTAACTATTCTCAATATATATGTACCCAATACAGGAGCACCCAGATTCATAAAGAATGTTCTTAGAGATCTACAAAGAGACTTAGACTCCCGCACAATAATAGTGGGAGACTTTAACACCCCACTGTCAATATTAGACAGATCAACGAGACAGAAAATTAACAAGGATATCCAGGACTTGAACTCAGCTCTGGACCAAGCAGACCTAATGGACATCTGCAGAACTCTCCACCCCATATCAACAGAATATACATTCTTCTCAGCACCACATCACACTTATTCTAAAATTGACCACATAATCGGAAGTAAAACACTCCTCACCAAATGCAAGAGAACGGAAATCATAACAAACAGTCTCTCAGACCACAGTGCAATCAAATTAGAACCTAGGATTAAGAAACTCACTCAAAACCACACAACTGCATGGAAACTGAACAATCTGCTCCTGCATAACTACTGGGTAAATAGCAAAATTAAGGCAGAAATAAATAAGTTCTTTGAAACCAATGAGAACAAAGACACAACATGCCAGAATCTCTGGGACACAGCTAAAGGAGTATTTAGAGGGAAATTTATAGCACTAAATGCCCACATAAGAAAGGGGGAAAGATCTAAAATCGACACCCTAATATCACAATTAAAAGATCTAGAGAGGCAAGAGCAAACAAATTCAAAAGCTAGCAGAAGACAAGAAATAACTAAGTTCAGAGCAGAACTGAAGGAGATAGAGAAACAAAAAAAACCCTTCAAAAAATCAGTGAATCTAGGAGCTGGTTTTCTGAAAAGATTAACAAAATAGATAGATCACTAGCCAGACTAATAAAGAAGGAAAGAGAGGGGAATCAAATAGACACAATAAAGAATGATAAAGGGGCTATCACCACTGATACCACAGAAATACAAACTACCATCAGAGAATACCATAAACACCTCTACACAAATAAACTAGAAAATCTAGAAGAAATGGATAAATTCCTGGACACATACACCCTCCCAAGACGAAACCAGGAAGAAATCGAATCCCTGAATAAACCAATAACAAGTTCTGAAGCTGATGCAGTAATTAATAGCCTACCAACCAAAAAATGCCCAAGTCGAGACGGATTCACAGCTGAATTCTACCAGAGATACAAAGAGGTGCTAGTACCATTCCTTCTGAAACTATTCCAATCAATAGAAAAAGGAGAATCCTCCCTAATTCATTTTATGAGGCCAGCATCGTCCTGATACCAAAACCCTGCAGAGACACAACAAAAAAAGGAAAATTTCAGGCCAATATCCCTGATGAACATCAACGTGAAAATCCTCAACAAAATACTGGCAAACTGAATCCAGCAGCACATCAAAAAGCTTATCCACCATGATCAAGTCGGCTTCATCCCTGGGATGCAAGGTTGGTTCAAAATATGCAAATCAATAAATGTAATCTATCACATAAACAGAACTAATGACAAAAACCACATGATTATCTCAATAGATGTAGAAAAGGCCATCGATAAAATTCAACACCTGTTCATGCTAAAAACACTCAATAAACTAGGTATTGTTGGTACATATCTCAAAATAATAAGAGCTATTTATGACAAACCCACAGCCAATATCATACTGAATGGGCAAAAGCTGGAAGCATTCCCTTTGAAAACCAGCACAAGACAAGGATGCCCTCTCTTACCACTCCTATTCAACATAGTATTGGAAGTTCTGACCAGGGCAATTAGGCAAGAGAAAGAAATAAAGGGTATTCATATAGGAAGAGAGAAAGTCAAATGGTCTCTGTTTGTAGATGACATGATAGTGTATTTAGAAAACCCCATCGCCTCAGCCCAAAAACTTCTTAAGCTGATAAGCAACTTCAGCAAAATCTCAGGATACAAAATCAATGGCAAAAATCACAAGCATTCCTATACACCAATAACAGAAAAACAGAGAGCCAAATCATGAGTGAAATCCCATTCACAATTGCTACAAATTGTGAATTGATAATAGGAGGGCTAATACGCCTCCTAGTTTTTTGGGAATGGACCGTAGGATTGCGTAGGCGAATAGAAAGTAACATTCGGGTTTAATGTGGGGTGGGGTGTTTAGGGGGTTGGCTAGGGTATAGTTGTCTGGGTCGCCTAGAAGGTCGGGTGAGAATAGTACCAGTGTTATTAGGGCGAGGAGGAGGAGAAATAGGCCTAGGATTTCTTTAGTTGTGTAGTAGGGGTGGAAGGTAATTTTGTCATGTTTGTAGACATGGGAATTCAACTTACAAGGGATGTGAAGGACTTCTTCAAGGAGAACTACAAACCACTGTTCAAGGAAATAAGAGAAGACACAAGCAAATGGAAAAACATTCCATGCTCATGGATAGGGAGAATCAATATCATGAAAATGGCCATACTGCCCAAAGTCATTTATAGATTCAATGCTAGCTCTAGGATCATCCTGATAACCTTTCTCTTTGATCCTTTTGAATGACTACAATGTTCTACCCTCTTCTATTCATTCTCTATGATTCAGTCTTCTTTTCCAGAAGTCGTAACTTCCATTTCAGGTGGTGCAGTTCAGTTTATACTCTAAGCCAGGATCTGGATCCAGCACGGGTGCTATGATCCCAAAACCTGCTGACCTCTATCATTCCGTTTGTCTCTGACCACACCTAACTGCTCTCTGCTTTTGTCCAGACCTCTTGCCAGGCATTCCAATATGTTCTTATTTCTAATTCATGTAGATGACACATCTATATCACATCACGAGACATATTCTACATCCAATTCATAATTCACCCTTCAAGTTCTCAGGTTCATCAACTTCCCCCTGATTTTTCCTAGTACCAATTCAAGTGCCCTCCAGGAGGGTGGTCTTCTGAAATCTATAGTAACAGTTTTACAGTACCAAAATATTTCAAGTGGACAATGGAAAAAAATCACTATAATTTACTACAAAGGAGAAGGAAAGCTTTTGAATTAAAGCCTTATTTATGCCAGCATTTCTAAAAATGTTTAATTCTGGATAAAAATTGTTGTGTCTTAACATTCTGGAAGCATTAAAGTCATAACAAGATTTATTATATTTTTGTTCAATTCAGTGGCATTGGACGTCAATGCCACACCTTCATGAATTTTGTATGCCATGTATATTCCAGCAGAATAATAGTGCTCAAAGATTCAGAGTTTGTTTATATATGGGCTGCCAAAATGTATAAAACACTATAGGTGTCAAATATTGTTATTACTAAAGCAAATATGATCAGGTACTTCTTTCATGAAGCATAGCCGCAAAAGGACAACATTCTAAAGTCAAATACGGCTTGTAACCAATGAACGACTCTTCCATGTTAATTAGTGGTCATATATCTTTGAGTTTAATTAACTTGGAGAATACATACGTTAAGTATTGGATTTATGTTAATTTAGTGATTTTATGTCTCTGAGCCTGAGTAATTTGAAGAATACATCGATATATAGGCTTAACTGTGTGATTGGTTCAGAGATTACTTCTGATTACAAAGAATTGCTTTGGATATATTTTTCTTTATTTTTTATTTATTTTATTTTTTTTTAGATTGAGTCTCGCTCTGTTGCCCATGCTGGAGTGTAGTGGTGTGGTCCCAGCTCACTGCAACCTCTGCCTCCTGGGTTCAAGCAATTCTCCTCCCTCAACCTCTGAAGTAGCTTGGACTACAGGTGCACACCACCATGCCTGGCTAATTTTTGTATTTTTTTTTTTAATAGAGACAGGGTTTCACCATGTTGGCCAGGCTGGTCTTGAACTCCTGACCTCAGGTGATCTGCCCTCCCTGGTCTCCCAAAGTGCTGGGATTACAGGCGTGAGCCACTGTGCCCAGCCTTGAATTTGCATTTCTATATGCCATAGTCACAGGCTAGAAAAACAAAACAAAACAATAATTAAACCAATTTGGCCATTCTGCTAGGGCTTAGTCTTTTCCGTTTTGGAGGGAGATGTTGAGGAATAGAGGATGGAAGAGAAAAAAATGGATTTAGGTCATTCAAGGGAGAATCAAATTCAGCTGCAGTTAAGCAAATTAATTACTCAATTACATGCCACACTTTTGAACTCTTCTATAGTATGTATCCTTTGTCATTCTAACTTGAGTCTCATGTGCACCATCAGTACAATTTATGGCCCACTACTATTTTAGTTTGTTATTCATCATTTAAAATAAATTTTCCTGTGCATGAGACTATGTCTTTCCTCTTTGCAAGAGTGATTGTAGATATTTAGGGGACGCATGCCCACAAAACGGGGAGAAGTTATATTTTGAATATAAATATGGGGTCTACATTTTTAAAAATGTAATAAGTATCTATTGGAATGATTTGGTTATATTTTCTAGAAGATCTGAAAGTTTCAGTTTCTATATCTAATAAGATAGAATAAATTTCAAAGAAAAATAATATTTGGAGTCTGAAGAGAGAAGTATTGTGCATGTAGGAAAACTTCTGTGGTCAATGATATGCAATAAGATGATTTAGTATCAGCCTTACTTCCCCTAGGAGAAAAGCTTTTGGTAGCTGTTGTATGATTAAAGTATATTTTTCTATTACTCTGTTCTCATGCTGCTAATAAAGACATACCAGTGGCTGGGTAATTTACAAAAGAAAGAAATTTAACGGACTCACAGTTCCACATGGCTGGAGACGCCTCACAATCATGGAAGAAGGCAAAGAAGAAATGAAGTCAGGAGGAACCAAGATGGCCGAATAGGAACAGCTGCGGTCTACAGCTCTCAGCGTGAGAGATGCAGAAGACGGGTGATTTCTGCATTTCCATCTGAGGTACCCGGTTCATCTCACTAGGGTGTGCCAGACAGTGGGCGCAGGTCAGTGGGTGCGTGCACCGTGCGCGAGCTGAAGCAGGGCGAGGCATTGCCTCACTCAGGAAGTGCAAGGGTTCAGAGAGTTCCCTTTCCTAGTCAAAGAAAGGGGTGACAGACGGCACCTGGAAAATCGGGTCACTCCCACCCAAATACTGCGCTTTTCCGACGGGCTTAAAAAACGGCGCACCACGAGATTATATCCTGCACCTGGCGCCGAGGGTCCTACGCCCACGGAGTCTCGCTGATTGCTAGCACAGCAGTCTGAGATCAAACTGCAAGGCCGCAGCGAGGCTGGGGGAGGGGCGCCCGCCATTGCCCAGGCTTGATTAGGTAAACAAAACAGCCTGGAAGCTTGAAGTGGGTGGAGCCCACCACAGCTCAAGGAGGCCTGCCTGCCTCTGTAGGCTCCACCTCTGGGGGCAGGGCACAGACAAACAAAAAGACAGCAGTAACCTCTGCAGACTTAAATGTCCCTGTCTGACAGCTTTGAAGAGAGCAGTGGTTCTCCCAGTATGCAGCTGGAGATCTGAGAACGGGCAGACTGCCTCCTCAAGTGGGTCCCTGACCCCTGACCCCTGACCCCTGAGCAGCCTAACTGGGAGGCACTCCCCAGCAGGGGAACACTGACACCTCACAAGGCAGGGTACTCCAACAGACCTGCAGCTGAGGGTCCTGTCTGTTAGAAGGAAAACTAACAAACAGAAAGGACATCCACACCAAAAACCCATCTGTACATCACCATCATCAAAGACCAAAAGTAGATAAAACCACAAAGATGGGAAAAAAACAGAACAGAAAAACTGGAAACTCTAAAAAGCAGAGCACCTCTCCTCCTCCAAAAGAACGCAGTTCCTCACCAGCAACGGAACAAAGCTGGACGGAGAACGACTTTGACGAGCTGAGAGAAGAAGGCTTCAGACGATCAAATTACTCTGAGCTACGGGAGGACATTCAAACCAAAGGCAAAGAAGTTGAAAACTTTGAAAAAAATTTAGAAGAATGTATAACTAGAATAACCAATACAGAGAAGTGCTTAAAGGAGCTGATGGAGCTGAAAACCAAGGCTCGAGAACTACGTGAAGAATGCAGAAGCCTCAGGAGCCAATGTGATCAACTGGAAGAAAGGGTATCAGCAATGGAAGATGAAATGAATGAAATGAAGCGAGAAGGGAAGTTTAGAGAAAAAAGAATAAAAAGAAATGAGCAAAGCCTCCAAGAAATATGGGACTATGTGAAAAGACCAAATCTACATCTGATTGGTGTACCTGAAAGTGACGGGGAGAATAGAACCAAGTTGGAAAACACTCTGCAGGATATTATCCAGGAGAACTTCCCCAATCTAGCAAGGCAGGCCAACGTTCAGATTCAGGAAATACAGAGAACGCCACAAAGATACTCCTCGAGAAGAGCAACCCCAAGACACATAATTGTCAGATTCACCAAAGTTGAAGTGAAGGAAAAAATGTTAAGGGCAGCCAGAGAGAAAGGTCGGGTTACCCTCAAAGGGAAGCCCATCAGACTAACAGTGGATCTCTCGGCAGAAACCCTACAAGCCAGAAGAGAGTGGGGGCCGATATTCAACATTCTTAAAGAAAAGAATTTTCAACCCAGAATTTCATATCCAGCCAAACTAAGCTTCATACGTGAAGGAGAAATAAAATACTTTACAGACAAGCAAATGCTGAGAGATTTTGTCACCACCAGGCCTGCCCTAAAAGAGCTCCTGAAGGAAGCGCTAAACATGGAAAGAAACAACCAGTACCAGCTGCTGCAAAATCATGCCAAAATGTAAAGACCATCGAGACTAAGAAGAAGCTGCATCAACTAACGAGCAAAATAACCAGCTAACATCTTAACGACAGGATCAAATTCACACATAACAATATTAACTGTAAATGTAAATGGACTAAATGCTCCCATTAAAAGACACAGACTGGCAAATTGGATAGAGTCAAGACCCATCAGTGTGCTGTATTCAGGAAACCCATCTCACGTGCAGAGACACACATAGGCTCAAAATAAAAGGATGGAGGAAGATCTACCAAGCAAATGGAAAACAAAAAAAGGCAGGAGTTGCAATCCTAGTCTCGGATAAAACAGACTTTAAACCAACAAAGATCAAAAGAGACAAAGAAGGCCATTACATAATGGTAAAGGGATCAATTCAACAAGAAGAGCTAACTATCCTAAATATATATGCACCCAATACAGGAGCACCCAGATTCATAAAGCAAGTCCTGAGTGACCTACAAAGAGACTTAGACTCCCACACATTAATAATGGGAGACTTTAACACCCCACTGTCAACATTAGACAGATCAATGAGACAGAAAGTCAACAAGGATACCCAGGAATTGAACTCAGCTCTGCACCAAGTGGACCTAATAGACATCTACAGAACTCTCCACCCCAAATCAACAGAATATACATTCTTTTCAGCACCACACCACACCTATTCCAAAATTGACCACATACTTGGAAGTAAAGCTCTCCTCAGCAAATGTAAAAGAACAGAAATTATAACAAACTGTCTCTCAGACCACAGTGCAATCAAACTAGAACTCAGGATTAAGAATCTCACTCAAAACCGCTCAACTACATGGAAACTGAACAACCTGCTCCTGAATGACTACTGGGTACATAATGAAATGAAGGCAGAAATAAAGATGTTCTTTGAAACCAATGAGAACAAAGACACAACATACCAGAATCTCTGGGACGCATTCAAAGCAGTGTGTAGAGGGAAATTTATAGCACTAAATGCCCACAAGAGAAAGCAGGAAAGATCCAAAATTGACAACCTAACATCACAATTAAAAGAACTAGGAAAGCAAGAGCAAACACATTCAAAAGCTAGCAGAAGGCAAGAAATAACTAAAATCAGAGCAGAACTGAAGGAAATAGAGACACAAAAAACCCTTCAAAAAATTAATGAATCCAGGAACTGGTTTTTTGAAAGGATCAACAAAATAGATAGACTGCTAGCAAGACTAATAAAGAAAAAAAGAGAGAAGAATCAAATAGATGCAATAAAAAATGATAAAGGGGATATCACCACTGATCCCACAGAAATACAAACTACTATCAGAGAATACTACAGACACCTCTACGCAAATAAACTAGAAAATCTAGAAGAAATGGATAAATTCCTCGACACATACACTCTCCCAAGACTAAACCAAGAAGAAGTTGAATCTCTGAATAGACCAATAACAGGATCTGAAATTGTGGCAATAATCCATAGCTTACCAACCAAAAAGAGTCCAGGACCAGATGGATTCACAGCCAAATTCTACCAGAGGTACAAGGAGGAACTGGTACCATTCCTTCTGAAACTATTCCAATCAATAGAAAAAGAGGGTATCCTCCCTAACTCATTTTATGAGGCCAGCATCATTCTGATACCAAAGCTGGGCAGAGACACAACCAAAAAAGAGAATTTTAGACCAATATCCTTGATGAACGTTGATGCAAAAATCCTCAATAAAATACTGGCAAAACGAATCCAGCAGCACATCAAAAAGCTTATCCACCATGATCAGGTGGGCTTCATCCCTGGGATGCAAGGCTGGTTCAATATACGCAAATCAATAAATGTAATCCAGCATATAAACAGAGCCAAAGACAAAAACCACATGATTATCTCAATAGATGCAGAAAAGGCCTTTGACAAAATTCAACAACCCTTCATGCTAAAAACTCTCAATAAATTAGGTATCGATGGGATGTATTTCAAAATAATAAGAGCTATCTATGACAAACCCACAGCCAATATCATACTGAATGGGCAAAAACTGGAAGCATTCCCTTTGAAAACTGGCACAAGACAGGGATGCCCTCTCTCACCACTCCTATTCAACATAGTGTTGGAAGTTCTGGCCAGGGCAATTAGCCAGGAGAAGGAAATAAAAGGTATTCAATTAGGAAAAGAGGAAGTCAAATTGTCCCTGTTTGCAGACGACATGATTGTATATCTAGAAAACCCCATTGTCTCAGCCCAAAATCTCCTTAAGCTGATAAGCAACTTCAGCAAAATCTCAGGATACAAAATCAATGTACAAAAATCACAAGCATTCTTATACACCAACAACAGACAAACAGAGAGCCAAATCATGAGTGAACTCCCATTCACAATTGCTTCAAAGAGAATACAATACCTAGGAATCCAACTTACAAGGGATGTGAAGGACCTCTTCAAGGAGAACTACAAACCACTGCTCAATGAAATAAAAGACGATACAAACAAATGTAAGAACATTCTATGCTCATGGGTAGGAAGAATCAATATCGTGAAAATGGCCATACTGCCCAAGGTAATTTACAGATTCAATGCCATCCCCATCAAGCTACCAATGCCTTTCTTCACAGAATTGGAAAAAACTACTTTAAAGTTCATATGGAACCAAAAAAGAGCCTGCATCACCAAGTCAATCCTAAGCCAAAAGAACAAAGCTGGAGGCATCACACTACCTGACTTCAAACTATACTACAAGGCTGCAGTAACCAAAACAGCATGGTACTGGTACCAAAACAGAGATATAGATCAATGGAACAGAACAGAGCCCTCAGAAATAACGCCGCATATCTACAACTATCTGATCTTTGACAAACCTGAGAAAAACAAGCAATGGGGAAAGGATTCCCTATTTAATAAATGGTGCTGGGACAACTGGCTAGCCATATGTAGAAAGCTGAAACTGGATCCCTTCCTTACACCTTATACAAAAATTAATTCAAGATGGATTAAAGACTTAAACGTTAGACCTAAAACCATAAAAACCCTAGAAGAAAACCTAGGCAATACCATTCAGGACATAGGCATGGGCAAGGACTTCATGCCTAAAACACCAAAAGCAATGGCAACAAAAGACAAAATTGACAAATGGGATCTAATTAAACTAAAGAGCTTCTGCACAGCAAAAGAAACTACCATCAGAGTGAACAGGCAACTGACAAAATGGGAGAAAATTTTCGCAACCTACTCATCTGACAAACGGCTGATATCCAGAATCTACAATGAACTCAAAGAAAACAAGAAAAAAACAAACAACCCCATCAAAAAGTTGGTGAAGGACATGAACAGACACTTCTCAAAAGAAGACATTTATGCAGCCAAAAAACACATGAAAAAATGCTCATCATCACTGGCCATCAGAGAAATGCAAATCAAAACCACAATGAGATACCATCTCACACCAGTTAGAATGGCAATCATTAAAAAGTCAGGAAACAACAGGTGCTGGAGAGGATGTGGAGAAATAGGAACACTTTTACACTGTTGGTGGGACTGTAAACTAGTTCAACCATTGTGGAAGTCAGTGTGGCGATTCCTCAGGGATCTAGAAAGAGAAATACAATTTGACCCAGCCATCCCATTACTGGGTATATACCCAAAGGACTATAAATCATGCTGCTATAAAGACACATGCACACGTATGTTTATTGCGGCACTATTCACAGTAGCAAAGACTTGGAACCAACCCAAATGTCCAACACTGATAGACTGGATTAAGAAAATGTGGCACATATACACCATGGAATACTATGCAGCCATAAAAAATGATGAGTTCATGTCCTTTGTAGGGATGTGGATGAAATTGGAAATCATCATTCTCAGTAAACTATCGCAAGAACAAAAAACCAAACACCACATATCCTCACTCACAGGTGGGAATTGAACAATGAGATCACATGGACACAGGAAGGGGAACATCACACTCTGGGGACTGTTGTGGGGTTGGGGGAGGGGGGACGGATAGCATTGGGAGATATACCTAATGCTAGATGACAAGTTAGTGGGTGCAGCGCACCAGTGTGGCACATGTATACATATGTAACTAACCTGCACAATGTGCACATGTACCCTAAAACTTAAAGTATAATAATAAAAGAAAAAAAAAGAAATGAAGTCATGTCTTACATGGCAGCAGGCAGGAGAACATGTGTGAGGGAACTCCCCTTTCTAAAACCATCAGATCTCGTGAGACTTATTCACCATCACAAGAACAGCATGAGAAAGACCTGCCCCCATGATTCAATTATCTCCCACTAGGTCCCTCCCACAACACGTGGGAATTATGGGAACTACAATTCAAGATGAGATTTGGGTGGGGACACAGCCAAATGACATCAACTTTTAATGTCACAAAATATTAAAGAAACTTTTAAATGCATTTTGTCCATATAATGCATGCAGCAATCTATGCCTAGTGGATGCAGCAGAGCATTGAAAGGTGTGCCCCAGAAAGCACTCAGATACCACTAACCCCTGGCTGCACTTACAGAAGGCCCAATCTGTGCACTGATTGCAAAGTCACGTCTCAATAGTGTAGATTTTATAAGAGAAAAAAACCGCTTGCAAAGAATGGCGTTCATAATCTCACAGGCTGAAACTCGGGGACTCTTCAGAAATTCTTAATACCGGGCAACAGGTAGTTATGACTATTCATCTAGCAATAATGTCCAGGAGTTGTATCATAGTCAGATACTTCAAGGATATATTTGACTGCTACAATATTTACATATCATTTAAATTGGATGTCACCAAGCACTCAATTATTAGGTCTTTACTACTTGTAAAACACTGAGTTGGGAGCTAAGAAGGCAAAATTAAATATATAGGAATCCATTTCCAAAAGATAATCATGTTTTAATTTAAGAAAATCAATGGGAAAGACTTTAAGAAATCTACAAAGGAATTAGAGTTTAAAAAAAAGAAAAGAAAAGATTTGGGATAACAGGGAATTCTAGAATCTTCATTGCTTTATTGCTCAGGTACCCTTGTTCTTCATGGTTCTCTTTAAAGAAAGTTTCCCTTCTCCATGACAGTGTTTGAAGTCATCTCTTTTGGTTCTATTCTCTGTTTGTGATCCTGTCTGCACAACCTTCCTGCAAACTTACCTCTGCTGTCTTGATTCTTTTCCTTTCTTGCTCATGTCTCTGGACAGCCAGCCCTGTGGCTGAAGATGCTTTGAGCCCCGCCAATGAATGAGGTGTGGAGGAAAGTGCGGAGCTAGTTTGTTACACTTATAACTAGGCATTGTCTGCTGTATGAATGAGACTGTATATAGAAAAATTAAAAGATCTGATTTTTGTTTACTTGTTATGTAACTTCATCCTTTTTTCATGTCTTTGTATGTTTTAAATTTATCTACAGTTTATAGCACATGATAACAACTCATAATGATTTTCCTGGCAGTCTCATTTAGGATAATCACTTAGCTTCTTCAGCATATCAGCCATAATAGAAGTTGCCTTTTTCTTCCCAGAAACTGAACAGTAAAAAATCATTCCATATACATACAAAATTGGATTTTACTCAGCTTTCCCCATATCCCACAGATGTCTAGGACTTTTCATCTTTACGTTAATTCAAAGTACTTTGGGTACAATCACAATTTCTTAAACTCATGAGGTTGAAAGTCAACCAATTTCTTTGCCTGTATTTAAAAAAAAAAAACTACCTGAATTAAGCCTTGCAATTTCTCCTTAAAACTTCCAATCTATCCTTTAATGCACAAATAAAAGTATATTTCAGGGACTTCTTGTTTCTCTGACAGAATTTTATGGTGAAAAACATTGGCCACGTACTGTTGAAATGAATATTTTCCCCATTGGTACATTATGTAATAAGCTACAACCTCAGAGCAAACATCTGTCCTATGGAATCACTACATGTAGAATTCTGAGGTCAAGTTCTGTTAAATGGATGTTCTCCAAAGTCATAGTTTCTTTCATAATAAATGACATACAAATGTCAACTTTATTCCGTACTTAACAGCTACACATCTATTATTATTTTGACCCTACAATAACATTTCCTTATGATGATGCCATTATTTTAAGTGTATAACATATCCAGTATGCTGGGGGTCAAAGAGCAGGCTGCCTCTTTTGTTTTTTCTTTTTCAGAATTTTCTGGGCAATGATTTCTTTTCTACTGCTACTTTTGGGTTTAGTTTGTTCTTCTTTTTCTAGCTCCTTAAGGTGCACAGTTAGGTTATTAATCTGAGATCTTCCTTTTATATATAGGCATTTATAGCTATAAATATCTCTACAATCACTGCTTAGCTGCATCCCATAAATTTTGGTATGTTGCATTTTTGTTTTAATTTGTCTCAAGCATTTTCTAATTTCCGTTGTGATTTCTTCTTTGAACCATTGGTTATTTGAGAGTGTTATTTATTTTCTACATATTTGTGAATTTTCCATATTTCCTTCAGTGATTAACTTCTAGTTTCATTCCATTGTGGTTGGAAAAGGTACTTTGCATGGTTTTAATCTTTGTAAACTTATTGAAACTTGTCTCATTGCCTAACCTGTGGTCTATCCTGAAAAATGTTGTGTGCACTTAAGAAGAACGTGTATTGTGCTGTTGCTGAACAGAGCATTCATTAGATTTCTGTGAGGTTGGAATATTGATTTCTGATAAAGTGACAAGAACAATTCAGTAGAGAAGGGATAATATTTTCAACAAATAGTGCTGGGTCAATTTAATATCAATATAGTTTTAAAAATGAACTCCTATTTATACCTGGCACAACACACAAAAGTTAATTTAAAATAGATCACACACATAAATATAAAACCTAAAACTATAAATGTGAAACAGAAAAATTTTTTGACCTTAGGTTAGGCAAAAGTTTATTAGAAATTATACCAATAGCATGATTCATAAAAGAAAAATTGGATAAATTGAACTTCAAAATTAAAAACATTTATTTTTCACAAAAGAAGCCTCATACTGGGAGAAAAATATTTATATGTCATATAGCTGACCAAAGATATGTATCAAGAATTTCTAAATAACTCTAAAAAATGTAGCAATAAGAAAATTTTAGAAAACCCATTTTAAAAACTGACAAAAGTTTTAAACAGACATATCATCAAAGAAGTTATACAGGTAGTAAATAAGCACATGAAAAGATGCTCAAAATCAGCAATCAGTAGGGAGATGCACATTGAAACCACGATGAATAGCACTACACACCTATTAAGACTGCTAAAATTTAAAAGTCTAATCACACCAAGTGCTGACGAGGATGTAGAGAGACTGGGACTCTCATACACTATTGGTGCAAATGTAAAATAGTATAACCACTTTAGAAAACTGTTTGACATTATTTTAAAAAGTTAAACATGACCTATCACATGATCCAGCCATTTCATGTCTAGGTATATACCTAAGACAAAGAAAGCACATGTCTACGCAAAGACTTATGCATGAACATTCATTGCAGCTTTACTTGTAATAGCTAAAAACTGGAAACAACTCCCATGTTCATCAACAAGCAAATAGATAAACAAATTGTGGTGTAACCATGTAAGAGAGCACTACTCAGCAATAAAAGAGAGTGGAACGTTGATACACATAACACTGACAAGTCTCAAAATATTAATATTTTGTGATGTGTTCTAAACTAAAGAAGCTGGTAATATTGATACATATATACATACTATCTGATTCCACTCATGCAAAATTCTAGGAAATGTTCATTAATCTACAGCAACAGAAAGCAGATCAGTAGTTCAGTGGTTTCCTGGGTTTGATTGTGGGAGAGAGAGAAGGGGAAAGGATTATAAAGAGCCTCAAGGAAACTTAGGGGAGTGATGGATATGCTCATTATCATGATTGTGGTTATATGGATTTATAGAATTCCATGTAAAAAATAATCTATTGTATGCCAATAATATCTCAATAAAACTGTTTTAAAAAAAATAATAAATAGAATCATGTCACTTCCGTGATTAAAATTCTTCAAAGCCTCCATGGTCTGAGAAAAAAGTCAGCTCCCTGGCATGTCATACAACGTTTTTGATGATGTGGTCTCTTGTAATTTCTCCACATACATCTACTGTTCCCATGACATGGAACAACGTGGAGCCCCCTAAAAAGTCATAACTTTTAAAGCCTGCTCACTGGGCAAACATTGCTTTTTCCTGGGTTTCAAGCCTCTACCTCTCTTACATAACAGACAGACACGCGCTTATCCTTTGAGATTCAGTTCAAATTACTTTTGTCGTTTCCTCACCGATTCACCAAGCAGTGAGGGCCTGCCTTTTCTGTAATCCCAAGGCACACTGTTTTAGCTACTCTGCTTACACTTTTGATAGACCGAATTTGTTTACCTTTTAGTCTTCTCCATTAGATCATGAGCCTTTGAGGGCAGCTATTCTGCTTTGACTTTCTTCCAGGCAGGCAGCAGAATTCAATCTTTTTTTTTTTTTTTTTGTTAAATGAATGTTTGATCTCAAGACTAATAAGGCAGAAAAATAAACTGTGTATATGAAATCATGGTCCATCAGAGCCAACTATTGTGACTGTTCTAAATATGTTCTGAAGATAGAAATTATTGCAGAAACCTTCTAAGCATCTCTCATAGAAAGGAGAAACAGGTTTATATCACATTTTCCATCAATAAATTATTCCATAGGCATCATCACCTAGATTATTTGTACCTCTCTTTGAGCCCAGTGAGATCTTGATGTTCAAACATCTCAAGTGTCCTACCTCCCCTGTTACTGAACTTAAAACAAATTTATTTGATTATTATATTGTCAGAGTTTTTAGGTGGAAAAATGTCTATAAAACTTCTCATAAGGGCATAAAATTGACTTAAAACCAACAGTGGTGGTATAATTAAATTTTTATTCATTTTGCCACATTTTCTTTAGGTAATTTTAAAAAACAATACAATACTTTAAAAATATTTCCTGCTTCCTGGTTTTTCCACTTTGACTTTGTAAAATGGCTTTTCTTTCTTAATTGAAAGGGCTGCTAGAGGATAAAGAGGTAGTAATACAATCAGGCCACCCTTTTTCAAATTTTGTTCTGTATTGCTTTCTACCTTAATGAAAACATTCTCACACTAAGCCTTAGTGATATCAAAGAACAACACAGCATTGTATTTAGCATTAGTTTAAATCAAAGAAAACAATTTTGTTGTTCTTTAAGAAATCTGAAAGCAAAATAAATCTATAATTTTTCATGTTTACATTTGGCACAGAAATATAATGTTTACAATTAAATTTGCTGTTAATTGCATCATAATTATTTTCATCTATTGAGTCATGTGAGAAAGGAACCTTCTCTTTAAGTGAGCTTGAAAGGCAAAATGACTGGGAAAATTCAGAAGGGACAAAGTTACAAAATCAGCTTCAGAAGAGAGACTCCTAATCCAATTGATTATGCCTCAGAGAGTCTGTGAGTTCCTTTTCCAGAGCTGAGCAATTCTTGTCTGCTCAGCTTTAAATAACTGTAAAATTCAAACTGATGGAACCATTCCAACCTGTGGACAGCGTGATTAATTCAGAGAACTTTGGCATGGTAACAAAGTCAAGTGTTTCTCACTGTGAGAAATTTTCAACTTATTTCATGGATGAGACCAAACAGATTTGGAAGTACTTTGCTTCTATGGGAATAGCATTAGAGAGGGAATAGCAATAACATGGTAAGAAAGAAGGCTGGAAAAGAACTGTCTCTGCTGGTGGTTTCTCATAGAGTTTCACTGAGAGCTTTGAAAAGGTTTGAGGAATTGTAGACAACAGGTGGGGAGTAAACCCTTGAAGTTTGTTATACTGCAGATAGGTGACTGATTAGTCAAGCACCAGTGTTGACCCAGTCATTCACTACACACTGAGCATTTATGATATGCAAGGTGGTGCTAGGGATGCAGAGTGCAGTGAGAAAGACACAAGATTTCTGGTCTGAGAGAGTGTTTTTCAAGGTATGATTTTAGGACCATCTACAGCCTTATGTGTATGTCAATAACCTTGCCATCACCCAAGTTATTAAATAAGAATTTCTAAGGGGCCGGGAGCAGTGGCTCATGCCTGTAATTCTAGCACTTTGGGGGCCTGCGGCAGGTGGATCACTTGAGACTAGGAGTTTGAGACCAGCCTGACCAACACGGTGAAACCCCGTCTTTATTAAAAACACAAAAATTAGCTAGGCATGGTGGCAGGCGCTTGTAATCCCAGCTACTCAGGAGGCTGATGCAGGAGAATTGCTTAAACCCAGGAGGCGGAGGTTGCAGTGAGCCGATATCACACCACCGCACACCAGCCTGGGCGACAGAGTGAGACTCCATCTCAAAAAAAAAAAAAAAAAAGAATTTCTGAAGATGTGACCTGGGAATACGTAGCGTAGTTTAACCTCTTACTAGCAATTGTTATGGGTCCTAAGTGTGAGACCCACTACCTGAGCTTCCATTCAATGTAAAAATAAGACAATAAACAAGCTATTGTGCTATATGGCATAATTTGATTTCTGTAATGAGAGAGTTAGAAACTGCTATACAGGTTTAAAGAAGAGGGAAATTATGTCTGAAAAAAAGAGTCTGAAAATATCTAAGAGAGAAGGAGTGTTTGAGATAAATTTCCATGGGATTATGGAGGATTTCTATGGTTGGCATTTAGAAAAGTCATGCTCCAGATGAAAAGAATACATGAAGAAAAGCAGAGTGTGTTTGTGAAACATTGATTTTTTTTTTTCTTTTTGAGACAGGGTCTTGCTCTGTTGCCCAGGCTGGAGTGCAGTGGTACAATCACAGCTCACTGCAGGCTTGACCTATGTGATTCCCCCTGCCTCAGCCTCTAGAGTAGCTGGGACTACAGGCATGTGCCACTGGGTTTAAGTTGGAAATTGGTTAAACTCCCTAATTGGTTGATTAGACATTCCATAAATGAGATGGTAAGCCCTACTTTCTTAGGGCTTTACATATTTCATAACTCTCTCTCTAAAAATGTGACATCAAATCCTAATATCTGCCCAATTTTATTTGAACCCTGTCATTTTTGTCCATCAAAATGATGCCTCTTGTCCAAATCTTAGATACTATAATTTGTGGCATTCAAACAAAGACTGAGTCAATCTAAGCCAACTGTGAATTTTTCTCTGCGTTACAAGCTGGCTTCCAAAATACAATTATATTCAGAGTCAGAACACTAATAATATTTGTCAGAGTATTAAAGAGCCACAATACAGAGATAACTACCATCCCTCTGTAGTCAAAATCAATCAGATAGAAATTCATTATATATGCAGTATAAATAGAAAATGGATATATAACAGTCATGTTATCTCTAATATTAAAATTTTAGCATAAAATGTCCTTTTATGTCTTCCTATATGTTATGAACACAGAGATTCAACAACTAAAATGAATGTAGAATATTGCTTTTGAAAGACACAAGTAATTCTTTACTTCTTGGCAAAAATAAATCATCAGAGAGATGACTTCAGATGAAGTCTGTGGCTGTACGATGTGTTCTTTCATTGCTTATCACGAAGAACCTGTTTTCAATTGTTCTGCCTAACAATTTTTTGGTAATTACATAATGATTTAGTCCATTTAGTAATTTATTATATGAGCAAGAGAAGAGAAATAAAGCATAAAACGATAAAAAGTATTCAAACTATCCAAACAAACTTAGAAGTTAAATACTACTGAGAAGCAGTAGATGTTTCCATAACTCACATAATAGCCACACATTACAATGTATTTGAAACACTTGCAGAAAACAGGGATCTGCAGTTTATATTGAAGCAGTAGGATCACTACTGTGATTTAATACGAAATTTATTCTGTACCCATTTTATAATAAATATCTTGTTTTTAAGGATATAAAAATGCATGTGTTTAAAATAGTATAGTGAATATATTTTCAGACAAATATGTTTATTACTTTTATCAGAGATAACTTATGATTCAATACTAATGCTAAATGAAACAGTGAGTAAAGAGAACTGCAAAATAGAAACATGCAAAGAAACAGTCTTTCAAACATAAAACTGATGTTAATAATAGCTAATATTTACTATAACTGTCATAGAATATATAGTTATTTTTAATAGGAAGTGATTTTTAAAAAGTGTCCATTAACATTTCATTTTATAAGACAAGACAGGTCATTAAAGTGGTATAATTTGCCCAAATTCACATCAGGAGATAACGAAAACTTTGATAATATATTCATTCAACTAATATTTCCTAAGTGTCTACTATACGATAAAAGTCAGAATAGTGTTATTTTTTGCTGACAGCAATGGCTGGGAGGAGGCTTGAGTGATGCTTATGGATACAGGTAATATTCCATGTCCCAGTCTAGGTAGAAGTTACACAAGTCTATTTTACTTCATTAAAGGAAATCTTGGAACAGTTCCCTTAATATTTGAGTACTTTACTGTATGTGATATTTCATTTACAGAGCTTACAAAAATAAAATGAAGGAACATTCTATAAGACAACTAACCTGGAGTTTTTAAAAAGGCAACATTAAAAAAAACACATGCAAAAAAGCACAACCCACAAAGACCAACCAAATGCAATTAATGCATCTTGACTAGATTGCGGATTAGGGGAAAAATAACTATAAAAACCTATTGGGCTCAAGTGGGGATATATGAATATGAAAGAAATCATAGATTATATCACAAAATTATTGCTAATTTTCTTAGGTGTGATTATTATTGTATGGTTCTTAGGAAATGCTGTATGTTGTATGGTACTTAGTGATAAAGTGTCAGGATGTCTGCCACTTATTTTTAAATGGTCCAGAAAAAACTGTATGGGTATGTCTGTTTGTGTGAGAGAGAGTTCAAGAGTATGTGTAAGAAGAATATGTGAATGTGATTTTGCACGCAAGTGTGAGCGTGTGAGTGTGTGTGGTAATGTGTGAGTGTGTGAGCATGACCCTGTGTGTGAACATGGATGAGAACGTGTGAGTGTGTTGAGTGTGTATGTGAGTGTGCCTGAGAGAACAAACTACAGCAGAGACAAAATTTGAACAAGTGTTAAATTCAGGTGTAGAGTACCTTCTACTTTTCTTTCAATATTTTTGTATTTAAAAAAAAGTTTCCAAATAAAAGGGGGACTTTAAAAGAAAACTAAGGCAGAAAAAGTAAAAAAAAAAAAAAAAAAAATGATCACTTGACCCAAATCTCAGGCCTTGAGCTTCCCGCTGAACTGCTCTGAGGCCCGAGGTGAAACTGAGAGCTGCGGAAGAATGTGGAAATAATGGGCCCAAGCCGCCGGATGAGTTATATTCTTCACACACAGGGCTCCTGAACACTCACCGTCCTCAATTTTATTTTTATATGGCACACATTTAGAAAATTTAGGAGCGTCCTGGAAAGTTGTAACAGCTGGTCTGCGAGTGTTGGGCCCCGGGGCTGGGGCTGGTTGAATGTCTGAGGAATTCGGAGGCCTCTGAGAGAAGCATGTTTCAGAGAAAGGCCCTAAACTGCCTGGGAGCCCACAGTGTGAGAAACAAGCCACTGGACGGGCCCTGACAGATGTTATGAAAGGGTGGTGTTAAGTGCCTTTTTCAGGATATTAAACCAGCATCCTAACTGGCAAAAAATGAATTGTCACTGACATTATGTCGGCCCAGCAGAGACCCTCTCTGCTACTTTCTGTGATCTGGGAACCATTATACACAGGCGATCGATAATGCTCCTGGGCTGGAATCTAAATAATGATTTCTAATAAAACCTACTTTAGACTGTTCGGGCCAGAGGATAGAGACAAGTCACAAAACATAATTGTCCTTACAGCCGCCCTCCCTCCCTTTCTCTCTTTTTTAAAGACCTGAATAATAGAAGAGAGATCTGGCGATAACACATTTAAAAAAAAAAAAAAAAAGCCTTTTGGTCCTGGCCAATCTGCTTAGCTAATGGCTGTAAACCGACACCCCTAATGAAATAAAAATGTCTCAGTTCAAGTGCATAGCTGCACAATTGTTAACAACACTGAACTCTGGCTACAATCCTGGTGATGGGTACTAAGTAACACACTGACAATTTCCCATGGCTTCCTCCCTGGCCCCTGCCTGTTGAAAAGCAAATAAAAGAATCCTGCCCAAAATTCAGGGACAGTAGCATCAGGGGTTTTGGTCAGTGAAACAGCAGGCTTTATCATTTTTATCTCTTTTCTCTGCTTGTGCAAGCGGACTGATTATTTTTCATTTCAAATCCCAAGGCCCATGGCTGATCATTGGCAAGGAGTGTTCTGTCTTGCCCGGTGCTTTTTTTAAAAGGCGCAGATGAGTTAGAGACACAGAGAAGTGTACATCCTTCAGCCTTTCCCGGCCCCTCCTTCTGCCCTTGGCCTCCTAGTGTTGCCCAGCTCCTCTGAGCCCTGTCCAAATGTGCTAAGACTGGAGGGCTGTGGTTAAAATGGGTTCCCCTGGCTCTCCTGCACAGCTTGCAGTTGTCTGATTTCAATCAGTGGCAGTTCCCTCCACATGTCCAACCATCAATCTTCCAGCGCCCCTGGATGAGTGAGGCACAACACGGGGCATGTTCCAGTTAAAAAATAGCCTTTGCCACAGCTTTCCCTCCTCAGCCACCGATAAGTATGCCTTTGATATTTTTATTAAAAAAGAAAGAAAACCCATTGGGGAATATGTTTCATTTCTTAGAGCCCAGACCAAAGCCCCCGAAGTTGAAGAGGATTGAGGTCTGTTGAGAGCGAAAACAGAGAAGAGGGCTGAGTTCTACCTTTGAAATTCCAGAGTTTTGCCAGGTAGAAAAGGCCCACTCTCCAAAAAACAGAATCTTTGCAGTCTCTTAAAGGATTTCCCATGATATTGATGGGCCTCAGCATTTTTCCACAAGCAGCAAACCAACATCACAATCTGCTGCCTCTAACCAGGAATGTGCAACATGATTTTGAAGGACATAAAATTTGGAAATAAATTGTGGTCCCCACGGTTTTAGCTTTTCTTCTTCATATGCACTGATGGATTTTATAGCACCTCAGATAGACTCACTCTGTCTCCTGTGTCATTGCACACCCAGTGGCAGGAAGGCAGAGAGGGTGGTGGTTGGGAGCATGTGGGAGGTGGGGACGTGTCTCTCCAAAGCAGGGCTCTCCTGGCTGGGCTCCTGGAGATGCCTGCCCACTTAGTCACTCCAGGAGACTGCACAGTAAACATTCTGTAGCCAGGTTCTGGTGCCTGTTTTAAAACAGGCTGTTCCAATTCACTTATGCTCAAGGGGCCCACCTACCTTCCTGGCAGAGTTACCAGAGAACTCTCTGGAGGTGCAGGGATGTAGACACTACAATCTCTGCACCTTTTGTTAATCTTTAAAGCTAAGGAGAGTCTGGCCTGGGTGAAGTTTATTCCAATCAGATTTTTAAATGAGGTCACTTGTCCATTGCTGGGAGGGACTTTTAAGTTATCAAGTCTTGTACCTGGCAACCTAAAAAAGGAACTTAAAGTTAAAAAGGGCCTATCTGCATCCCACCCCATCATGCCTGATATTCTTTGGGAGCTGCAAAGTCATCTGCTGTCCTTCTGGTGTATAAGGCCTTTTACTAGTGGCTCCAGTGCCAAAAACCTATAAAGGAACGTTGGGGAGCTAAGGAGGGAGTGTTTCTAAGTGGTATGGTGTGGTAATTTGGGATGAACAAATCTGTGGGTCAGGGAGGCAATTCTATTTTGGAAAACCTTAGAATTAGAAATAACAGAAAAGAACCTGGAATTTGAAGAAGCTGCCAGAACTTGTTCTAGGCATCTGGTACTGTGTATGCTTGGGATAAGGTTTCAGGAACATGGCTACCCTTCTGCCATGTATGGGTCCACAGACAATATTTGCAGAAGGTGGCATCCCCAAGATCTGAAGAAATGACTCATGTTAGAATGGGGGAAAGCGAGTCCTATCAGTTCCAAAAGGGGCATGAAGGAAGCAACATTTTCAGCAAGTACAGTTTTCATGGACAGACTGAATCCTGTGGCTTCCCCTAGTTGCTAGCTTGCCAGATTTTACAAAATTTTACTAGCTCTTAAATTTTAAGCTGTTGAATTGTATTATATTTTATTATTTATTTTATTTTATTTCATTCTGAGACAGGGTCTCACTCTGTCACCCAGGCTGGAGTGCCTTGATGCAATCATAGCTCACTGCAGCCTTGACCTCGTAGGCTCTAGTGATGCTCCCACTTCAGCCTCCAGAGTAGCTGGGACTACAGGCATGCACCACCATGCCTGGTTAATTTGTGTATTTTTATTTTCACAGAGATGGGGTCTCCCTATATTGCCCAGGCTGGTCTCGAACTTCTGAGCTCAGGCAATCTGCCCACTTCAGCCTCCCAAAGTGCTGAGATTACAGGCATGAGCCACTGCACCCAGCCTAAATTGCTGAAAGAATGAATGAACACAATTGTTGTTTGTGTTGATATTGATGATTGTGATGCCTGTGGTTTATGACATAACAACTAGACTAGAATAAAAAATGATTCATTCACTCAACAGATATTTTTGGAGAGGCTACCATGTGTTAAACACAGGTCTTAGAGGCAGAGATACAATAGAGAAGATATAGCACTGGCACTTCATGTAGTTTACATGCTAGAGGAGGAGACATACAAGTAACTAAATGGAAAAGGAAAACATACTTTGTTAGATACCGACTGATAAATACTACTACAGGTGGTTAGGGATGGCCCTTCTGAAAAGAGTTATTTGAATAGAGAACTGAATGATGAGAAGGAATAAGCCATAGAAGCACCTTGGAGAAGAATGTTCCATGCAGAGAAACCAGCCTGCATGAACACCCATGATAGGATGACCAGCTATTCAGTTTACCTGGGACTGAGAAGGTTGCCAGGACACAGGATTTTAAATGCTAAAAGCAGGAAAGTTCTGGGCAAACTAGGAGGAGTTGGTGCGTGGCTGCACATGCCAAATGAAAGGCCGTGAGAGAGGATGGGTAGGAGAGGTAGGTAGGGTGAGGTCCTGTGGGTCCCTGGAGACCATGGCCTGGAGTTATTTTATTCTGAGTTTGATGAGCGGCTGTTGTACGATATCTGTGGGTTTCAGGCACTTATTCTTGAAAAGGTTTCTACTGCATAAATGCAGTGACACTTGAATAATTTATTTTTCAATGTGAATGGATATGGGGTTAGATTAGTAAGGTTCTCATGTGTGCTTTCAATTCTGTGGAATTTTGGGAATGTGAAAAATATAACAAACTTACAGTTAGAATGGCCAGTTTTGTAGTTTGCTGAAGTTGCTACACATGTTCCAGTGAAAGAATGGGAGCAAATGGCAGGGAGATGGCCTTGATGTAAAGATGTTAATATTGCAGGCCTTCATTTATCAGTGGATCAAAGGAGAGAAGATTCATTTTCTTGGAAATTGAATTTATTTTGGGGAAAAGTTGGGTAAGGTTGCATCCCATTGCAGAGACTTTATCTGTGTAAGTTTGATAATGAGGGGGATTGTGTTGTAAATTTTGTAGGGTGGCAGGAAACATCAGGCATTTATCTTGGCATTGAGTTTCTTGGGCTATGTGGTAATCTGTATTCATTGTATAACTCTTTCTGGTGAACTGGGCAGAAGTAGAGCAGAACATAAATCCAGATGGAAAACAGAATGGAAGGTAACAATTGGAGACACTGTATAGTGTTACTATTGAAGAATATTCTTATCCTGTATTGACCCCTAGCAGAAGCTTCTGGAGGCAACATCAAACAGGCCTTCATAAAAGGCCGTGGGAGACTGAACTGATCGGCTCATTGTTCCCATGTGGCTACATAGTGGCCAAAGACTAGCAGAACAGCCTCACAATGGTGCTGACAGGATGTCTCTGACACTCTGCTAAGCTTGTTTCTCAAGGGGACAGCCCATCTCTAGTGTGAGTCATTAATCCATGTTCCCATCATCTCTTAAATGAATGCAAGAACATTCTCCTAATTGGCCTCCCAAGTTCTATTCTTGCTCTCCTGAAATCTGTTCTCAGCAAAACCATCAGAGTGATCTTTTAAAAGCAAATACATTCATATTTTGCACCCTGCTTTAAAATCTCCCAATAGCTTCCCATTATTCCCATTATAGTAAGAATAAAATCCAAACTCCTTTGCACGGACTGCAGAGCCCTCCCTCATCTGGCCCCTGCCTTCCACTCCAGGCTCATCTCCTAGTGCTCTCCCCTTCCTCAGCCCTCTCCACCCACGCTGGAATTGCCGCTCATCACAAAACAATCTATGCTTGTTCTGTATTGAGGCCTCCACACTTGGTAGTCCCATTCGCTGGAACATTCTTCCCACATCTTTAGTGGAGTTACTCCTTCATATAGTTTAGGTATCTACCTAAATGTCATTTCCTTAGAGAGACCCTTTCTGTCTCCAATATCTAAAAGAGCCACTGTTGTGCTTTCACTTTCTGTCAACTTGGCCTGCTTTATTTTCTTCACAGCACTCACCACTCAGCAGCCACCTGTTTCTTTTATTCCACCAGAATGGTAGGAAATCCAGGACCAATCTCACCAGCTCTGGCCACCACCTCCTCTTCCTCCTTCTTTTTTTTAATCTTGAGAATGTTTATTCTTTTGCTACATGGCAGTCAAGCCCAGGGTTGCTGTCCTTGTCTAGGAAATGATCTCTTGGTCACTCGCTCTCCTCTTCTTCTCTGGTGTTGATGGCTGCGCTTTGAATCGATCTCTTATTATGTTGCAGTGGTAAGATCTGAGGCTTGGGTTTGGTCTTTAGAATTAAAGTAGATAAAGATCGCATCTGACATGCTTTGGTTTTGGTGACTTGGGCCTGTTTATAATAAAAAGAAAAGGAATCCTGTGCTTTATCCTTCTTAACTCATTGAAGTTCTGCATTAGACAATTATTAGACTAGCTAATAATAAAAAGCTTTAATTCTTGCTTTTACCAGTCATTTTCTTATACATGTATGTCTCCCAGGTCCCAGGAAGGAGTTTTTGGTCTGGCAGGTGATTCAGACATTCCTGGGTTCCCTGCTCAACACAATATTAACATCATATCTTCAGAATACTCCACTCTATCATTCTCAATATTTAGTCTCACCAGAAGTACTTGAACTACTATTAATGGCATTAAAAGACTGTCTTTAAAAAAAAAATCCAGAGCAAAGGAAAAGCTCTAGTTATTTTAAAATACATTTGAGGCAGTGCATTATCATTTTCATCTTGCTTGCACCTTGTCCTTTCAGTGTTGAAATGACCAATGACATACTGATAATTAAAAGACAAACATCTTCACCATAAAACAGGGCAAAAAGTTAAATTTTCTGTTTTTATGTTGAAAGTTTACACTAAATAAACTAGGGAACGTTTAGCATATATTTCCATGTGAAAACTCCCTTTTCCTAAATTACATTAATGTGTTTAGATACGAGGTAATTACAGTTAATGAGGAACACTTTGCATATTGCTTTAAATCGTTTTTCAGTTTTTGCATTCGCTTACCATGGAAGCTGTGTTTGTACTGGGTTCAAGACTAATTGCTAGGGTTGAAAGCAGTAGGTATGAATTTTTCCTGTCTGGTAACTGAGTGCATGATTTTGTTCTTGAAAATCTTTTTCTCGATTTGGCTCGATGGACTTTGAATCCTTTGTATTTGAAATTCACTCTCCATTGAGTATAAATATAGTTTCTTTAGTCTCTTGCATGTTCTCTGCTTACTTATTCTTCTTCCCAGTCCGCCTCAGGATGATTAGAGAGAGAGAAAAAGAGAAAAAGTGTGTGTTTGGTGGGCGGGACTGAGAGAGGGGCTGGCAAATTTTATAGTTGTTTCCTTCCCAGCTCTTCCTCTGTAACACCTTCTAGCTCCTTGATTTCTTGTCTTGTTTTTAGGGGTCAATCTTCCTTTTCTTTCCTCCAATACTGCTTCATATTGTAGTCTCCTAAAAACCATTGGAGAGAATTGAGCACCACATTGTAGAAAGTAAAATATAGCACTTAAAAGCCTGTACTCTGAGGCCAAACTGCCAAGACTTGAATTTCCAATCTACTGCTTACTAGGTGTATGAAGTTAAGTGATTTGTTTTAGCGCTTAATTCCTTCTACTGCAAAATGGAAATAATATCAGTGTTCATCTTATAGGTACTGTTATTTTAAACTATGGTACATTAATTAAATGCTTTAGTACATGTAAAGTGCCAATAACAGTGTCTGGCAGTTAATAAGCATTCAACAAATGCTTTGCTCTCATTACAATCTTCCTTCCAAATCTTGAGTCATGCATATCATTTCCAAAAATGTTATGCCTGAGAAACCCTGAGCTGTACTATGGCTCCCCATATGGCCTATGCTCCCCTACCCAAACATGTCTGTAAGTTTAAATCAGGGTAAATTCAACACTGTGGACAGCTTGCAAGGAGAAAACTAATCACAATAAGAGTATCCACAGTGTCTGGAGGAAAGGTTAAGGCACATACACCCATTTGTCTTGAGGATGGAAAAGAAAGTGTGGATTTGGAAGTAATTTTATAGCTGGGAACCCTGGGATACCTTTAGTGCTGGCTTGCAGGGGCCAATCTGTTCTCCAACAAGTTCCCTCTGAGACAGCACAGACCTACCAGCCCAAACCCATTAGTATGGGGCTCTGGACACTCATTTTAATTTGATGGACACTTAGAAGTGCTTAACTACCCAGGATTTAACATTACCACCATGTCTCAGTCTTTTATTTTGGGTAAAGTATTATGTAAATATGTAATTATTAATTTTTACTTATATTTTCAAAAATATTATTTGTTTCCACAATCACTTATTTCAGCATGTAAGCTCCTAATGTATAAGAAATTTACATGTATGAAAGATGCATAGTAAGGCCAGGCACGGTGGCTCACGTCTGTAATCCCAGCACTTTGGGAGATCGAGGCAGGTGGATCACTTGAGGTCTGGAGTTCAAGAGCAGCCTGGCCAACATTGTGAAACCCTGTCTCTACTAAGAAAAAAAAAGAAAATACTCAGATGCATAGTACATTATTAAATGTTTTGAATGATAATTTCTTTTTTTAAATTATACTTTAAGTTTTTAGGGTACATGTGCACAACGTACAGGTTTGTTACATATGTGTATACATGTGCCCTGTTGGTGTGCTGCACCCATTAACTCGTCATTTACATTAGGTATTTCTCCCAATGCTATCCCTCCCCACTCCCCCAACCCCATGACAGGCCCCGGTGTGTGATGTTCCCCACCCTGTGTTCAAGTGTTCTCATTGTTAAATTCCCACCTGTGAATGAGAACATGTGGTGTATGGTTTTCTGTCCTTGCGACAGTTTGCTAAATGAAACAAAGAAGAAATTAGAAGGAGCTCAAAATTGAATAAATACTAGAATAAACAATAAAATAGTAATGGACACAAGAGAGAAATGAGAAAAAGAAAATACAATCAAGATAAATAGTTAAAAAGAATTAGAAAATGTTGAAATAGAAAATAGTAAAAGGAGGCAGAGACACATAATATGCATAATTGGATTCTGTATAAGAGGGAAAATGTAACAGAACAAATATTTAAAGCTACAATTCAAGAAAACTTTTCTAGAGTAAAACAAAAGCATGAGTCTAAATACAAAGAGAAGGTCATGTGTAATGGATATTCAACACCTGAACATTTTTAGTAAAGTCACTGGACTTAAAAAATAAAATCCTTTTGGCAGCTGCAGATATCAAAGAATATCAAGAAATATCAAGTCACTTATATGGTAGAAAAAAATTAGTCATCTCATATATTTGCATAACAATATTTAATATCAGAATATAATATTAATATTATTACTAATATTATTATATCTTATATACAGATGACCTATAGAAAGTACTAAATCCTGGAAATAATAGCACATCTTGTTTTTATGTGCCCATAAGCCTTTTACAGACATGAATCATACTAGCCAATACAGACAATCTCAGCACATTTCAAAACAATTAGAAAATTCTTAACACCAACTTTCTCAAAGAGAAAATTTATTCTAAAATTATAAAATGTCTAAAAAGTGATGATAATGAAAACACTTTACATCGGAACTTATGAGATATAGCTAACAGTGTCCAGAGAAAAAATATACATAGTCCTAAATATCTTATTAATAAACAGAAAGATTGAAAAAAATGAATTAAGCATGTGTGTTGAGTAAAAAATGAACAAATAAATATCAGAAAGGAATTAATAAGGATAGAATTAATAAGAAAGTAATCCAATGAATAAATAAGTGAAACCAATATATAAATCCAAAAACTGCCTTTTTGAAAAAATATTGAGGGCATGCTCCTGTAATCCCAGCTACACAGGAGCCGAGGCAGGAGAATCGCTTGAACCCAGGAGGTGCAGGTTGCAGTGAGCAGAGATTGCACCACTTCACTCCAGCCTGGGCACAAAGCACAAATACTCCGTTTAAAAAATAAAATAAAAAATTAGTTTTAGAAGGAGGTTCCAAGATGGCCAAATAGGAACAGCTCCAGTCTACAGCTCCCAGCGTGAGCAACACAGAAGATGGGTGATTTCTGCATTTCCAACTGAGGTACTGGATTCATCTCACTAGGGCTTGTCGGATAGTGGGTGCAGCCCATGGAGCAGGACGGGGCATCGCCTCACCCAGGAAGCAGGCAAGGAGTCAGGGAATTCCCTTTCCTAGCCAAAAGAAGCCGTGACAGATGGTACCTGGAAAATCGAGACACTCCCACCCTAATACTGCGCTTTTCCAACGGTCTTAGCAAATGGCGCACCAGGAGATTATATCCCGTGCCTGGCTTGGAGGGTCCCATGCCCACAGAGCCTGGCTCACTGCTAGCACAGCAGTCTGAGATCGAACTTCAAGGCGGCAGTGAGACTAGGGGAGGGGCATCTGCCATTGCTGAGGCTTGAGTAGGTAAACAAAGCAGCCAGGAAACTCGAACTGGGTGGAGCCCACCGCAGCTCAAGGAGGCCTGCCTGCCTCTGTAGACTCCACCTCTGGGGGCAGGGCATAGTTGAACAAAAGGCAGCAGAAACTTCTGCAGACTTAAACGTCCCTGTCTGACAGCTTTGAAGAGAGTAGTGGTCCTCCAGCACAGAGTTTGAGATCTGAGAATGGACAGTCTGCCTCCTCAAGTGGGTCCCTGACCCCTGAGTAGCCTAACTGGGAGGCATCTCCCAGTAGGGGCCAACTGACACCTCATACTGCTGGGTGCCCCTCTGAGATGAAGCTTCCAGAGGAACGATCAGGCAGCAACATTTGCCGTTCTGCAATATTTGCTGTTCTGCAGCCTCCGCTGGTGATACCCAGGCAAACAGCGTCTGGAGTGGACCTGCAGCAAACTGCAACAGACCTGCAGCTGAGGGTCCTGACTGTTAGAAGGAAAACTAACAAACAGAAAGGACATCCACACCAAAACCCCATCTGTACGTCACCATCATCAAAGACCAAAGGTAGATAAAACCACAAAGATGGGGAGAAACCAGAGCAGAAAAGCTGAAAATTCTAAAAATCAGAGTGCCTCTTCTCCTCCAAAGGAATGCAGCTCCTCGCCAGCAATGGAACAAAGCTGGATGGAGAATGACTTTGATGAGTTGAGAGAAGAAGGCTTCAGATGATCGGTAATAACAAACTTCTCCAAGCTAAGGGAGGATGTTCGAACCCATCGCAAAGAAGCTAAAAACCTTAAAAAAAGATTAGACGAATGGCTAACAAGAATAAACAGCGTAGAGAAGACCTTAAATGACCTGATGGAGCTGAAAACCATAGCACGAGAACTACATGATGCATGCACAAGCTTCAGTAGCTGATTCAATCAAGTGGAAGAAGGTATCAGAGATTGAAGATCAAATGAATGAAATGAAGCGAGAAGAGAAGTTTAGAGAAAAAAGAGTAAAAAGAAACCAACAAAGCCTCCAAGAAATACGGGACTATGTGAAAAGACAAAATCTATGTCTGATTGGTGTACCTGAAAGTGACAGGGAGAATGGAACCAAGTTGGAAAACACTTCAAGATGTTATCCAGGAGAACTTCCCCAACTTAGCAAGGCAGGCCAACGTTCAAATTCAGGAAATACAGAGAATGCCACAAAGACACTCCTCAAGAAGAGCAACTCCAAGACACATAATTGTCAGATTCACTAAGGTTGAAATGAAGGAAAAAATGTTAAGGGCAGCCAGAGAGAAAGGTCAGGTTACCCACGAAGGGAAGCCCATCAGACTAACAGTGGATCTCTCAGCAGAAACTACCAGCCAGAAGAGAGTGGGGGCCAATATTCAACATTCTTAAAGAAAAGAATTTTTAACCCAGAATTTCATATCCAGCTAAACTAAGCTTCATAAGTGAAGGAGAAATAAAATACTTCACAGATAAGCAAATGCTGAGAGATTTTGTCACCACCAGGCCTGCCTTACAAGAGCTCCTGAAGGAAGCACTAAACATGGAAAGGAACAACCAGTACCAGCCACTGCAAAAACATGCCAAATCGTAAAGATCATCGATGCTAGAAAGAAACTGCATCAACTAACGAGCAAAATAACCAGCTAACATCATAATGACAGGAACAAATTCACACATAACAATACTAACCTTAAATGTAAATAGGCTAAATGCTCCAATTAAAAGACACAGACTGGCAAATTGGATAAAGAATCAAGACCCATCAGTGTACTGTATTCTGTACCCATCTCACATGTAGAGACATATGTAGGCTCAAAATAAAGGGATGGAGGAAGATCTACCAAGTAAATGGAAAACAAAAAAAAGCAGGGGTTGCAATCCTAGTCTCGGATAAAACAGACTTTAAACCAACAAAGTTCAAAAGAGACAAAGAAGGCCATTACATAATGGTAAAGGGATCAATTCAACAAGAAGAGCTAACTATCCTAAATATATATGCACCCAATACAGGAGCACCCAGATTCATAAAACAAGTCCTTAGAGACCTACAAAGAGACTCAGACTCCCACACAATAATAATGGGAGACTTTAACACACCACTGTCAACATTAGACAGATCAATGAGACAGAAAGTTAACAAGGATATCCAGGAATTGAACTCAGCTCTGCACCAAGCAGGCCTAATAGACATCGACAGAACTCTCCACCCCAAATCAACAGAATATACATTCTTCTCAGCACGACATCACACTTATTCCAAAATTGACCACATAGTTGGAAGTAAAGCTCTCCTCAGCAAATGTAAAAGAACAGAAATTATAACAAACTGTCTCTCAGACCACAGTGCAATCAAACTAGAACTCAGGATTAAGAAACTCACTCTAAACTACTCAACTACATGGAAACTGAACAACATTCTCCTGAATGACTACTGGGTAGATAATGAAATGAAGACCGAAATAAAGATGTTCTTTGAAACCAATGGGAACAAAGACACAACATACCAGAATCTCTGGGACACATTTAAAGCAGGGTGTAGCAGGAAATTTATAGCACTAAATGACGACAAAAGAAAGCAGGAAAGACCTAAAATTCGCACCCTAACATCACAATTAAAAGAACTAGAGAAGCAAGAGCAAACACATTCAAACCCTAGCAGAAGGCAAGAAATAACTAAGATCAGAGCAGAACTGAAGGAGACAGAGACGACACAAAAAACCCTTCAAAAAATCAATGAATCCAGGAGCTGGTTGTTTGAAAAGGTCAACGAAATTCACAGACCACTAGCAAGACTAATAAAGAAGAAAAGAGAGGAGAATCAAATAGACGCAATAAAAAATGATAAAGGGAATATCACCACCGATCCCACAGAAATACAAACTACCATCAGAGAATACTATAAACACTTCTCTGCAAATAAACTAGAAAATCTAGGAGAAATGAATAAATTCCTGGACACATACACCCTCCCAAGACTAAATGAGGAAGAAGTTGAATCCCTGAATAGATCAATAACAGGTTCTGAAATTGAGACAATAATTAATAGCCTACAAACCAAAAAAAGTCCAGGACCAGATGGGTTCACAGCCAAATTCTACCAGAGGTACAAAGAGGAGCTGGTACCATTTCTTCTGAAACTATTCCAATCAATAGAAAAAGAGGGAATCCTCCCTAACTCATTTGATGAGGCCAGCATCATCCTGATACCAAAGCCTGGCAGAGACACAACAAAAAAAGAGAATTTTAGACTGATATCCCTGATGAACATAGATGCAAAAATCCTCAATAAAATAGTGGTAAACTGAATCCTACAGGATATCAAAAAGCTTATCCACCACGATCAAGTTGGCTTCATCCCTGGGTCGCAAGTCTGGTTCAACATATGCAAATCAATAAACGTAATTCATCATATAAACAGAACCAAAGACAAAAACCACATGATTATCTCAATAGATGCAGAAAAGGCCTTCGACAAAATTCAACAGCCCTTCATGCTAATAACTCTCAATAAATTAGGTATTGGCGGGACATATCTCAAAATAATAAGAGCTATTTATGACAAATCCACAGCCAATATCATACTGAATGGGCAAAAACTGGAAGCATTCCCTTTGAAAACTGGCACAAGACAGGGATGCCCTCTCTCACCACTCCTATTCAACATAGTGTTGGAAGTTCTGGCCAGGGCAATCAGGCAGGAGAAAGAAATAAAGGGTATTCAATTAGAAAAAGAGGAAGTCAAATTGTCCCTGTTTGCAGATGACATGATTGTATATTTTGAAAACCCCATTGTCTCAGCCCAAAATCTCCTTAAGCTGATAAGCAACTTCAGCCGTTTCAAGATACAGAATCAATGTGCAAAAATCACAAGCATTCTTATACACCAATAACAGACAAAGAAAGAGTCAAATCATGAGTGAATTCCTATTCACAATTGCTTCAAAGAGAATAAAATACCTAGGAATCCAACTTACAAGGGATGTGAAGGACCTATTCAAGGAGAACTACAAACCACTGCTCAACGAAATAAAAGAGGACACAAACAAATGGAAGAACATTCCATGCTCATGGATAGGAAGAATCAATATTGTGAAAATGGCCATACTGCCCAAGGTAATTTATAGATTCAATGCCATCCCCATCAAGCTACCAATGACTTTCTTCACAGAATTGGAAAAAACTACTTTAAAGTTCATATGGAACCAAAAAAGAGCCTGCATCGCCAAGTCAATCCTAAGCCAAAAGAACAAAGCTGGAGGTATCACACTACCTGACTTCAAACTATACTACAAGGCTACAGTAACCAAAACAGCATGGTACTGGTGCCAAAACAGAGATATTGTCCAATAGAACAGAGCCCTCAGAAATAATACCACACATCTACAACCATCTGATGTTTGACAAACCTGACAAAACCAAGAAATGGGGAAAGGATTCCCTATTTAATAAATGGTGCTGGGAAAACTGGCTAGCCATATGTAGAAAGCTGAAACTGGATCCCTGTCTTACACCTTATACAAAAATTAATTCAAGATGGATTAAAAACTTAAATGTTAGAACTAAAGCCATAAAAACCCTAGAAGAAAACCTAGGCAATACCATTCAGGACATAGGCATGGGCAAGGACTTCATGACTAAAACACCAAAAGCAATGGCAACAAAAGCCAAAGTTGACAAATGGGATCTAAGTAAACTAAGGAGCTTCTGCACAGCAAAAGAAACTACCATCATAGTGAACAGGCAACCTACAGAATGGGAGAAAATTTTTACAATCTACTCATCTGACAAAGGGCTAATATCCAGAATCTACAAAGAATTTAAACAAATTTACAAGAAAAAATCAAACAACCCCATCAAAAAATGGGCAAAGGATATGAACAGACTCTTCTCAAAAGAAGACATTTATGCAGCCAACAGACACATGAAAAAATGCTCATCATCACTGGCCATCAGAGAAATGCAAATCAAAACCACAATAAGATACCATCTCACACCAGGTAGAATGGCAATCATTAAAAAGTCTGGAAACAACAGGTGCTGGAGAGGATGTGGAGAAACAGGAACGCTTTTACACTGTTGGTGGGACTGTAAACTAGTTAAACCACTGTGGAAGACAGTGTGGCAATTCCTCAAGGATCTAGAACTAGAAATACCATTTGACCTAGCGATCCCATTACTGGGTACATACCCAAAGGATTATAAATCATGCTGCTTTAAAGACACATGCACACGTATGTTTATTGTGGCACTATTCACAGTAGCAAAGACTTGGAACCAACCCAAATGTCCATCAATGATAGACTGGATTAAGAAAATGTGGCACATATACACCTTGGAATACTATGCAGCCATAAAAATGGATGAGTTCATGTCCTTTGTAGGGACATGGATGAAGGTGGAAACAATCATTCTGTGCAAACTACCACAAGGACAGAAAACCAAACACCGCGTGTTCTCACTCATAGGTGGGAATTGAACAATAAGAATACTTGAACACAGGGTGGGGAACATCACACACCGGGGTCTGTAGAGGAGGGGGTAGTGGGGAGGGATAGCATTAGGAGATATACCTAATATAAATGATGAGTTAATGGGTGCAGCACACCAACATGGCACATATATATAGATGTAATAAACCTGCACATTGTGCACATGTACCCTAGAACTTAAAGTATAATAATAATAATAAAACACTGGTTGCATAAACTAATAAACAAAAAAAAGAAATATTGATTAAATCATTCACTGACCTAACTTGTTTTTGTTTAGAAATTAAGATAATAATTAGACTATTTTTGCTTAATTCTCAAAAAATCTAGATGCAAAGGTCATTTTTATTGGAAAATATTATTTACTAAAATTGACTCCGGAAGAAACAGAAAAATCTAAGCAGACCAAATTACATAGAAGAAATCGAAAAGGCTGGCAGAGAACTTCCTCTTCCAAAAAAAGCACAAGGTGAAAACAAGTTAACAGAGGGTTCTCACCAATGTTTTGGAAAATAATATTATTTAATCAGTTTCAGAGTTTAAAAGGATGGCTTCTGAGTCTTTTCCAGAAAATATAAATAAAGTGTAACCTAGATACCAAAACTTAATAAAGATCATGCATACATCTGTGGTATAGAATTCATGGCAGTTTGGTTTTTCCCAAAGTCAACAACAGAGAATGAGCCCCTAGAGCAAGTTTACTACTAAGATGAAGATTTATATAATGTAGTGTAAGTATGGAAGTCATACCCCATCACCTTTGCCATATTCTGCTGGTTAGAAGAAAATCATGGACCCAAACCATCCTCAAAGAAACTTGATTATACAAGGGCAAGAACACCAGGAAGCAACGTTAAAGTCTGTCCACCATAGACCCTGACACAAAACTATGTAAAACTCTAATTCATGAATATCAACACAAAACTCTCAGATAAAATAGTGACAAAAATATATCAACATCCTAAAACAGAACATTGTAATCTAGTAGAGATAATTTCAGAAATGCAAGGATGGTTCAACATTTGTAAATCTATCAGTATAATCCATTGTATTTATAGGTCTAAAAGAAAAAACAGATCATTTCCATAGTTCCACAGATGCTAAAAAGGCATTTAACACAATTCAGCATCCATTCTTATTTTTAAAAACATTTAAGTACTTAACACTTAATTAAATTATTCCTTATCATAATAAAATATATGTTAGCTTGATAGCCAGCTAGTTGATTCCCTCTAAATTAGGAAAAAGAAGGATGTGCAGTTGTACTGGAAATGTCAGTCAATGCAATTAAAACAGAGGAATAAATCAGAGACATAAAATTGGAAAGGAAAAAGTAAAATTGTTAGGTTTTGTAAATGACAATAAATAAGTACCGGGAACACCTAAGAGAATCAGTTAAAAAGTATTATAGGCAATAATGGAATCCAGTAAAACAAGAGTGGAAATAAATATAAACCAAGATCAAGTCTAAATAAGATGAGCATGGCCCCTTTCCTTTGATGATAGGAGACTCAAGATACCAGTGTTCTACCTTCTGAAGGCACCAGCCCTTCAATCTCCCTCAATGACTTAAGAGTTTAGTTTATTTCTCCACTCTTATAGTTTTCAGAATGCTGCACGTGCAACACCACACTGTTTATGACACCGTATCTCTTTTCTCTGAAACCAGGCCTGCAATTCAATTCCCCCAGGAAGACAACTCTAATTATACTCAGCAAATTCTCTGCATGCCATTAGTCTGCATACTCCTACACTTATGACAGCAGTTTGTCTTGTCCTAATTTGTATTTACTTACATGTTGCTTACTAAGTAAGTGTTAAGTGGTGCATGTTTGTTTGTCCAAATAAAGAATTTGAGAACTGTGTCTTTTCTATTCTCTTCCACTCATAGTGCTAGCTTTAGTGGTCCATACCCAAGTGTTTCATAAATGCTTCTTTTAATTTTTAAATCAATTTTCAAAATAGGGAACATATTTCCATAGTTCAGATGTTAAAATTGATACAGTAGCATATAGTGAAGAGTCTTTCTCCCATCTGACTTCCTATCTTCTCAGTTTCCATCACCACAAAATGTAATCCCTATTGTTATTTTTGTGTTTATTTTTCCAGAGAAGTTTTATGCTTGTGAAAGCCAATACAGTTATAGGGTCTCTTTTTTCTTACATTTTTTATATAAATGGTAGCATCATATATACATTTCTCTAAACTTTGTTTTATACCTAACAGTATATTTTAAATATCTTTCCATTAACATATTAAAGGCCTTTTCAATTTTTAAATCATACATATTATTTCATTATAAGGATATATTTTAATTTATTTAACCAGTACACTATTGATAGACATTTATATTGATTTCAAACTCTTGCTATTACAGTGTTTTCCAATTGGCATGACAGTTACAGGTAGATTGACATTAAAATTCTAGATAGATAATAGGTTCATTTGCAGTGAAATCATATATCGATGGCCTAGAACCACCCTAACAATCTAAGGTAACTTTTCATATCTATGTTCTAATTTATGATGTGTTGATTTCCCATTTTAATCATGAAAGATTCCTGGAGAGCTTCTCATTAAAGGCCATCTCCCATGTTTCCTGCCCCTGCTTGCATGGTAACTGTAGTAGGAATTCACTCATTTCTGCCACTCACACATAGGCAGATGATTCATGTGCACTGAGGCAGGAAAAGTAATAGCTACAGCTGTGAGCTATATATCGCCACATTGGTTAAGAACTTAGACTTTGAAACCACACTGCTTCCACTTGTGACTTTGAGGAAATTAACTTATTTGCATCTGAAGTTAGTGCCTCTCTAAAATGTGAATAATAATAGCTCTTACCCAGTGTCTGATAAGTAACACTACCTGTTAGTTAATATTATTACTCTTTTTAGTAAACATTAGCAAATGTACTTATCATTCATTATAACAGCAAAATCCTTACATTCTGCCTTTAGCTGACTAGCAGACACAATTGAGGTGGGCATTCTTAGAGGTTGTTCACATACCTGCCTAGAGCTATCGAACTTGATGAGAATCTGCAGAGCCATATGGCCAAGCACACCGACCAGAAGCTAACATTTGTATCAATAGTTTTGCACAACCTCCAATTCTTCATGCAAGCATAGACAGGGACTTGCATTTATGAACTGCCCCAAACTCCTGATTTTTAAGTTTAGACAGTGATCTGCAACTGTACTTACTTCACTGTAGTCATCCCTGCATGAATACTTAAGTGTTATTGATATAAGTATATATAACTATTATACTGTTCTCACACTGCTATAAAGAACTACCTGTGACTGGGTAATTTATAAAGAAAAGGGTTTTAATCAACTCACAGTTTCACAGGCTGTACAAGAAGCATGGCTGGGAGGCCTCAGGAACTTACAATTATGGTGGAAGGCAAAGGGGATGCAAGCACATCTTACCATGGTGGAGCAGAAGAGAGAGAGAGTGAGGGGGAAATTGCCACACACTTATAAACCGTCGGATCTCGTGAGAACTCACTATCACAAGAACAGCGTGGGGGAAATCCACCCCCCAGGATCCAATCACCTCCCACCAGATCTCTCCCCAAACGTTGGAAATTACAATTCAACATGAGATTGAGATTTGGGTGGGAACACAGAGCCAAACCATATCATATACTAAGTCTAACACCTACCTATTATTTCAGTATGATGAGTAATAAAGTAACAAAATTGTCAATAACTATTAAAATTAAAGCTATGTTTTAAAATAATAACAACCAGAGAACTCAAGCAAAGTAAAAATGAGTAAATAAATAAACCCCTCATTGTACTGAGCAGCCCACTGAGACCCCACACATAAAATCACCAATAACATTGAGTCTATGATATGACCAACTTTTCCCTGGGAAGCTGGAGCAAAAATTAGAGACAAGATGAAGTCACTGTTGCTGAAAATGGTAAGGGTTAATGGCAATATTGATTTAGTTCACTGACTACTTACTGCTCATCAATGTAATGGTGGAGCAATGGCATCTGTGCTCAATCTAATGGCTTTATATTTATCTGTTGTCCTCAAACCTCTTCAGAAACAAATCAATCTTAACCCCCCAGTTAAGCACAACTTTTCAAATACAATTGTGCTATTTAACTTCCCTAATATTATACTTTTAAAGCTGGCTTTGAAAAATAAAACAGAGGTTAACAAATATGAATGATGAATATAATTCTAGTACATATGATTCTAATACATAGAGTTTTTTATTTCTCATTTTCAAAATAAAACTTGTATAAAGAAAACAAAAATGCATCCCATGAGTTGGATCATCTAGTGGCACCTTGGAACCATTTCCACTCCCTCCTTTGCTCTTTCCTTTGCTGCAGGAGCTTCAGGCCTGAGTACATTACCCAGATGTCCTGGCTACTGGGTTCCCATTGAGGGTCTGCAAATCAGTGGTGCCTGTGTGAGTTACATGGCAGAAGGGAAGAAGGGCCATAAGGGCTCCCATGATGGAGGGAAATCACATGGGCTTCAGCAGAGGACAGATCTGATAATTTTGCTCCTATTTCCTGGAAACTGCTTCAGGACTACAGTCCATCAGGCCATCAGTGGTGGTTGCCTGACATTCCTGCCCTTCCCGATTTCCTGAAGAGTAGCAGTGGTTTCCTTGGCTTTTGTGCACTCTGCTCTTAACATGATTTTGTAAATCTTTGATCTCCTCTGTTAAATCCCTTCCCACTTGAACATCTTAGAGCAGATTCTATTTTCCCTCTCTAATTGAGACTGATACAGAGGTTTGTACCAAAGGTAAAGACTAGCAGAATCTTTTCTTAACTTTGGACTGAGGCAGAGGTTTCCTGGCTCTTCTGGGGCTCCACCTTCCCATCAGGTGTGACCACGCACCCAAGAGCTGGCCAGTGGAATGGGAGCAGAAACCAGGTTCCCTCCTCCAGCCTGGCACTAACAAACCTCCCAGATGTCATCCACTTTTCTTTCCCCACCACCTGCTGAATGGAGCTGACTCCTGAGGAGGTCAGAGCTCATGATGGAGAAGCTGCATATTCCAGATTGGGTATAGTGCTCCTCTGTTTTTGCCTCCCTCCCTCTGAAATCTTCACTAGAATACGAAGAACAATGTTTTATTGTGAGAAGCCACTGAAATATTTGTGATTATTTTTTATAGCAATTATCCTACTCCAATTAATGTATTGTTCCTGAAAGTAGGGACTATGTATTAGTCCATTTGGACTGCTATAATGGACTAAGACTGCATATTTTATACACAACAGAAATGAAGTTCCCAGAGTTCTGGAGGCTGGGAAGTCCAAGATCAAGAGTCTGGCAGATTCTATATCTGGTAGGGTCTGCTTTCTGGGTCATAGATGGTGCTTTGTTGCTTTGTCCTCACATGGTGGAAGAGGCAAAGTGGCTCTCTGGGGCCTTTTTTATAAGGGCACTAATCCTATTGTTCTCATGATTCAATTACCTCCCAAAGGCTCCATTTCCTAACACCATCATGTTGGTGATTACCTTTTATCATATGAGTTTTGTGGGGACCCCAACATTTAGATTCTAGCAGACTATATGCCACAATTTTTGTTTTTCTCATGGAGCTAAGTATATACGTCTGTATATGTATATGTGTGTATATATATATATACACACAACTATATATCTAATAGACAGTAAATGCTTTGTGAATGAAGAAAATAAAAGAAAAAGATAAATGTGTTTAAATAAGTATAGTTTAACAATTGGGTGATCATTGGAGAAGGCTATCTTCAATCTATAGTAGTTATTATGTCATGTGTATTTGAACGAGAAGAATGTACTAGTCTTCCAGGTTGTGTTGGATGTTATGGCTGAAGGCAAAAGTTAGTAAATATAATAGAAAGGTTGAAAGCACAGACACTGGGTTCCAATCTGCTCTGTCACTTACTAGCTGATTATTTTGAAAAAGATACTTAGACTCTTGGGGTTTCAGTTTATTTATCCATCCATTTCATCTGGGAATAATACTCACAGTGTAGCTGTCTTATAGGGCTGCTGTGTGGGTTCCATGATTTGACATTTTTAGAGTACTGTGAAGAGTGCCTGGCACATCATATTGTGTTTGTTAGTATTGAATATAAAAATATTAAAAGGTAGCCCAGGTTTTCTTGGTTTTGGCCATATTTTATGCTGTTTCTTTTCTATAATATCTTCCCCTCCTACAATGGTTTTGTACTGGTTGACATAGAGTGCTATTGAATAGAGTGATAGAAAAATGTGCGCTTTTTCCTCATCTTTACGGTGTTTAGATGTATTCTGGTTTGTCAGAATTGTTGATTAGAGTCAATAATAGTTTCTTATCTCAGACTTATCATTATTGCATTCTGTTAAAGTCAACAGTAAATGTCCCTTTTCTTTCACAACAGCTTTAAAACTTAGTAAGGTTTTAATTTTCTCTTATGATTTCTGAAAACCTTATTGATATCTTTTAGCAATGTGGGGTTTTATAGCCTCAGAACACAATGGCGTGTGCCACAGATTGCTCTTTCCATTTGTATTTTGTGTGTAGTACACAGCCAATGTCCTGCTTGCTGTAACCTTTCCTCTCAGTTACATGTTGTGACCTTCAGTGTCTCTAACTTGTTTGCCCACCACTACATTGTTCATCACACTCTCAGTTTTCCTGTCCTCCCTTCACTAATTCTGGATGTCCAACTCACTAACTTTTATGTCTTTCAGCTTCTCTGTGTTCCCATCTGTACATTCACACACACAGCTGTGATTTTCTTCTCCTGTCACACCTACTTTTTTGCTGAAATCAGCCATGTGTTCTCAGAAAAGCTTTCATATGCCCTCAAAAAGAACTTTTTAATGTAATGTGTAGTCTTTTGTCACTGCAGTGAACAGCACTTACGAAATGCTGTTTTTAATTTGTGCTGCAGAGCTCAAATGCATCATGTTCCTCTCTGAATTAGAGATAATGACCAGGTCAACTACCCAATATTATGACAACCTTCAACTAAATATCACTTCTCCCTCCACCTCCACCCACCCAATACAGTCATATAAACGCATATAAGTCAGTGGAGTGTAGGAAGAATCTTCAAGAAGACGGCATGCCTTTGATACCAGTTTGTTGCTGTCCTTTTCATCTTTGAAATAGAGTGACAGACACATTAAGACCCTTAAACCAAATGCTGTGGCTTTCTTCTTTGATTAGAAAGAATCTTTGCTTGAATTTTGTCGTTGCTTATTCCTGAATTCAAAAGACAAAGAATAGCTTATGATGAAGAGACCAATATTTAGTGTTCTATATGCAAGGTTCTTGGGGGAGTTTACAAAGTAGACCCTTTACAAGTTACAATGTTTTGTAAAGAAGTTTATTACAAGAGCAGTTGTTACATGTGTCTGTGCCTTGCATTAGCTTGGTGTTGTCTTGAAGGGCTCCAGTGTCTCGGAGTAGCAGACAGAGTTGGGCCACAAAGAAGAGGAGTGGGTAGGAGCAGAGACAAACACAGAGATACACAATGGAAGGCTTTTTGCGACATCTGTGTTCATTAAAGCTATCCTAAATGGAACAAACTAGGCCCCCAAACAAGGTACCACGATGGGGATGGCTCTGACCTCTCTAACATTCTAATATCACTGCAGTTTGTCTTCAGTCTCTTCTCGTCAGGGCTTTGGCAAGGCTCTTGGTGCCCTTTCTCGTCGTTCTCTGAGGCTCCCTTGCCTCCTCTCACTGGCCTCCTGGCATCCCCTTGGCTGCACCCTGTCCTGTCTGGGCTTCAAGGCCACGTGTTCTTTCTCCCCCCACCCCCCACTTCCCCACATTGCTCACATCACATTTTATTATCCTCTCAGTTTCTTGCTCATTTATTAGTTTGTTGAGAGAAAGAATGAGATCTGATTTATCTTTTCTGCGTATAAAACAGGGATATCCTGCAGGGGTATAGTAGAGTGCAAAAGTTCAATATATGTGTGGTAGAAAGAATGAATATTGACCCTGTGCCTCAAGATCTTGCTGACTTATGGGCTGACCAATAAAGTGCACATGGGTAAGAATGCAGCTGTGATTTAGCCTTCCTTGAATATATTTAAATATTTTTATTATTTAAAAAATAAACATGCTCATTTTGAAAACTTCAACAAAACAGAACTATATGAAGTAGAGACCCTCTTTTCTTTTTCTCCTCTAGCCCACTGCTCAGAGAGATCCATTACTGGTGTGTAACCTGAACACTCCGATAATGAGGCACTTCTATGCACAGACAATCACACAAACACATTTATAATATATGAGTTGCTGCAGATCTATCTATCTATCTATCTATCTATCTATCTATCTATCTATCTATTACCTATTATCTATCATCTATCTTATCTATCTATCATCTATCTATCCTTTATTTGAACAACTATGAAGAAATGCATGACAATCTAGCCCATGTTCTTCAACAGTGAATATGGCACCTGATCTTTCCTTACGACTCAAGCTTATCTATATGAACACCTATCACAACACACCAGTAATTTAGAGCCTCACACTTGCTGAAATCCTGTGATGCCCCCTAAAACTGTAGAGTCGATACAAGTTCTTCACCCAGCGATGACAGAGAGTGCTGTATTTTTTCCTAGGCCTGATTTCAGCATTTCTCCAACTCCTGCTTAGCTCTCAGTTGTTCCTTTTGCTTCTTTCAGTTGCTTGTTTCTTTCCTTCTAGTTTGCTGTCCGTAATTTATTACATTTGCAAATTAGGCTACCAGTCTTGCTAGAGATGTGCATAAAGTGAAGGTGAAGAAGTTCTAAGAGAGGGCTTCAGAGGGTTCTTTTCTAAATCAGATGCACATACCTTTGGGAATGGCGTTTGTGATTTGAGAGTTACATGCAGAAGAGTCCCACGTCAGGCTGCTGACAGGTGAGATCAGCCGAAGCAACCGAGACCTTGTGTTTAAAAAGTATCCCTAGCAGAGGGCTCGGCTCTGAACTGCAGAGTGTTGCTGGTTGGCAGAGACAGAGAATCAAACTGTGACCTAAAAAATAAAGGCTTACAAAAACAACAACAAAATAAACTTTCTGCCTATCAGCTACAGGATTGCTTAAATCTTGAAGTCATGTGAATTGTGAGAGTAACTAAGAGCTATCAGCTTTAACATACAGACATACTACAGGCAAAAGAAAATAAAGAGTTAGGGGAAGGGGGAGAAAGCCCTGTCAGTAGCTTTGAGCTGCCTCATTTTTTTTTAATGAAAAAATTGTTACAAATGGGTTCTTCAGCATATGTTATTAATTTCATTATCCTGGCTTCTTGCCAGTTAAGCATCAGGCTCTGGTTTTTGTGATTTCAGTTGCAACTAGTAAAACTCACGTGGGCATTAACAGAAACAGACAAGAGAACTTTTTTTCAAATCAACTGCAAGTGACTATTTTAAAGGCTTTTATTTCGTAAAACTAGTTGGAACATTTGTTTTTGTTGATGAGAAGAATTATGCTTTCCTAAAATATGATATTTCCAGCCCATGCTAGCCTTATTTGAAAGACTTTGAATAAATTATTGATACTGGCAAGTAAAATATATTTATGTTATGTTTTAGAATGTATAAAACTTTATAAATGTTCATAAAAGGCTTACTTTTTACGTTTTACTACACTACATAGTTTAAAAAAAATGAACACTATAAAAACCAAAAATGCTTTTCTTCTAGATGAAGATATTGTGATAAATACTTTGAGAGCAGAAAGGCAAATGCGGTATTAAAATTTCATCACGAAGACTCTTTATTATACCTTTTGAAATAGTGTAATTCTATCATTAAAAGGCATTATCCATGTCACACAAAACACTCAGGAATTAGCATCTACCTTTCTCTTTAAGCTGACATTTATTGAGTGCCAATTATCAACCAAGCACTTTAATAATACTACCTTGCTGTTTATCCAGCACACATTTCATACCAGGCAATGTGTTAAGTGTTTTATATAGAGTCTTTTAAAAGAAATACCTACAAACTTTTGAACCAGGTATTTCTAGCCCCAATTACAAATAAGAAACTAAAATCAGAGAAGGTTTGTCTTGCCCAAGGTCTTACTGCTAATAAATGTGCATAAGGAATTCTAATACTTAGGGAATATTTGACTCTAAGATTCAGGGCGAACAACAGCTCTGGTTTGCCTGGCACTGAGGAGTTGCATAGGATAAGGGATTTTTCAGTCCTATAACTGGAAAATGTCTAGATCGTCCACAATGAGTTGGTCACCCTATTAGAATCTGTCATTTTACCTGCTGTGCTGTCCACACTTGCTCTGCCCTGCTACTCCTGCTCTCTTCCTTCAAAGCCCATCAGTTGTCTGAATGATGCATTCTTTTTCCTTTCTTTTAACCTTGAGCAACAGTCCTCACACCACTTCATATTTTCAAGTTTTGAAAATCCTTCTAAGGACCAGGACATTTTAAATTAATATATCCCTTCACAGAATCATTCATTCCTTTGTTCAACAATGATTTATTGAATACTTTCCATGTGGCAGGCTCAGGGGTTACAATGGAAAACCAAGTCTGATTCTTGTGGTGCTCACATGGATAGGAGAGGGGACAGATAAGAAACAAATAAGTATATTCTACATCTGCTGGTGATTGAGAGTTGTGAAGCAGAGCAAGGACAATGGAATGAGATCAGGTTTGTTTTCTAATTTCGTATGCTGTAATCAGGGAAGGTGTCTCTGATGAGGTGACCTATGAGCAGTATTGAGATACAAGGGAGCATGGCATGGAGGTAATCAGGTGGCGCAGAGCCAGTGGAGGGAGCAGGGTTGGTTCAGTTAGGACCTCCCAGGCTCTACTAAGGAAATTGTTGGGAGGAAGTTGTGTATGAATGTGAGGTCCACTCTTTTTTTTTTTTTTTTTTTTTTTTTTCTGTTTCCCTTTCTTTATGTAGAAGGCATAAAAGCAGAGTATGGAACCCAAAGAAACCTTCCTTGAAATTTTCTACTTTGCAATTTAGCCCTGGTGACTAAGATCAGGTTAGAAGTTAGGACTGGAGAAGTAGAAATAGCCAGATGGTGATGAAAAAGAATTATGCTTAAAGTCTCATATTCCCGATCTTTATCGTGATTCTCAATGTACAACTTGGAATTGATGAAACTCAGTCATGTGAGCTGATACTTTCTTGAGTCCCTGAATCAAATAAGACAGTTATTAATAGTAAGCAAGTTCTCAGATGTTTTTGGTTCTAAGGTTTTAGCTGAGTGAAAGTATTAATAATAATGACAATAACCACATAAATAACTTGCATTTGAATAATGAGTTATAATTCTCAATGCCTTTTTCTTAGCATTATCATTTATTCCTCACAAAACCCAATGGGGTAGGCAGCAAACATATTAGCAATATCATTTTATACATGGTAAGCGTAAATTCTCAAAAATAAAACTTAGGTGATTCATCCAAAGCCATATTTGTAAAAGTCAATGGAGACAGGACTGCAACACAGACTTTATTCTTCGTTCAGTACATCCATGTATGTTCTCCATGTTATTTCAAAGTGATGTCTCTATTTGGAAACTGTAAACTAAGGGAAAACTGTCCAGTCTAGAAGTACATGTTTCCTTTGCCAACATCAAACACCATTCCACTGCCACGCTGCAGTGACTCAATCCATTCTGCTTTCAGGTTGAGTGTTCTGCTCATTGTAAAAAACTTCTTCGTGATCTGAAAGGTGAGACAGCAGTTGAGGGTTCTTATTCTCACTCTGCTCCCAACTGTCTTCTGATCATCTTTAAATTCCCATTTCCTATAGTGGAAGACTAGGGGAGAGGTGGGAATGGTTAATGGGTACCAAAAAAACTTGGAAAGAATGAATAAGACCTACTAGTTGATAACACAACAGGATGATTATAGTCAACAATAACTTTATTGTACATTTTTAAATAACTTAAAGAGTGTACCTGGAATGTTTGTAACTCAAAGGATAAATGCTTGAGGAGATGAATACCCCATCTCCAAGATTTGCTTATTTCACATTTCATGCCTGTGTCAAAACATCTCATGTATCCCATAAACATATACAACTGCTATGTGCCCAAACAATTAAAAATAAAAAACTAAGTAAATTCTCATTTCTCTTTCTTTCTGAGCACCTATGTAGTCTAGATGAAAGTAGACCTCTTATCAGCCCCTTTTTATCTCCTATCTCAACCCAGGAAATATTAAAACATTATTTCTAACACATTGGTCTCAATTTAGACCAACCTCAAATTGTACTTACCCTTTAAAAAGTTGTTTGATTCTAACCTTTCTTCAAGTTACTTTCCAGGCCATCTAATTTTCACACCCAACCTTCTTTTAAAAATTATATTCCCTATCTTCTTTCTTCTTCATCCTGCTCTTGCTTTCATCGTTTCATTAAATATTGTCATTCTTGCCAATCAAATTGTCTTCTTTCTTCCCATCCTCAGAGACTGCCAAAGCTTTCAGTCCTCCTTTTCTTTTGCACTGAACTCAGCCTATCCCTAGTGCTCCTATTACCAGTTTTCTTTCCAATCTAATCTTTCCTCACATTGTTGCAGAATGTTCTTTCCAGCCCAAACTGATTCTGACAGTCTCCAATGCAAAGCAATCTCTGTTGACTTCCATGACCTGCAATATGTAATCCAAATTCCTTAGCTTGGCATACAAGACCCATCACAAGCTGGTCCAAACCTCCTTTTTGCACTTTATTTCCTGCCTCAATCATTCTTTCTCCTTTCATGGCTCCATGCAGGTGCAAATGCTATTTCTTCTGCCTGGTAAATGCTCATTCATCCTCTAACACCCAGCTCAAGGGTCACCGTCTCCCATTCCCCTGTGTGATTCCAAACTATGTTGATTATACCCTTTCAACAGTTCTCGCCATATGGCAATACTGTTTTTCCACTTATGTGTCCGTCTCCCCAACTATGCTGTGTTTTGCTCACTGCTTGGCACATAGTAGGTTCTTTATAAACTTTTCAGTAAGTATTGATATGAATAAAGAAATTCATGAATGAAGTAAGGGAAGCAGGTAACTTTATAACATAAATATCAACATTTATGTCCTTTTATTCACCACGAGGGAATAAAAGTTCAACATTACAATAAATAACTTACATGAAAGTGTGTGTGTGTATACACACATTTGCCCCAGTAACTATTCCCTAAGTGTATTTCAACTACTGTAGTTTTAACAGCTGTCATATATGTAAATATTGCAATAAATTTGAGGTTGCAGTTTTATGGCATTGAAGTGAAAATGAAAAATTCCAGTGAAACACTATACTGCAGCAGTATCATAGAGGCTAAATATTATAGATCACTATCACAAGACGTAAAACCATGTGAAGTAGTGAACCTTTTTAACCTCTGATAAAAATGCACTGTTAAGGGATTAATAACATAGCTTTTATAAGATATAAGACACAAAAAGATAGATATAAGATATAAATCAGATGTAAAATGATAGGAGCATATCACAAAAAAGTAGATAAAATTGGATCAAGAAAACTAAATATTAAATAATATGTAAAAATTATTTCTCTATTCTTTTATCTTTTCAAATGTATCTGTAACATACATGTATTATTTTAATAATGGGAAAGACAAGTAAAAAATAGTGTGCTTACATAACTATAAGCTCTTTAAGTCAAAGAAACAGTTTAACCAGTGGCTAAATAAAATTTTTAGCTACTTAGATATTTTAATGTTATCATTAACAAATCTAATGTTTTTATATTTCTTTTAAAACAAGATTGTTTTCTTCTAATTTTAAGAAGAACTTATTTGTTGTGAATATCTGAAGGACAAAAAATTTAAATTACTCATAATTACACTAGCTACAGCAAGTGGAATTATGGCTTATTGACTAATTATGTCAATATATCCTCCTTATTCAGCCATTTAGCATATACATTTCTGTGTCCTTCTTTTATTTTAACCTATTAGTCTGTCTGAATTTCTGATTATTTCCTTAGGAAAGTTAGTCTTTGTATGGAGATGATTCCCAAATTTACATCTCCAGTCCTGACCTTTCCACTGAGTTCCAAATATAAGCTCACATATAAAAGTTCTTCCTTAATGGCTTCAGGCATTTCAAAATCTAGGAGGCATCTCAAAGTCAATGGGGCCAAAGCAACAACTGATTCCCCTGCCACATTTCCCTGTTGAAACTGTCCCTCCCAAATGTTCCCATGTCATAAGAGATCCCCCAACATGGGTAGGCCCATTTGCTTAGGTCAATAATCCATGGGTCGTTCTTAATTTCTCTCACTGCAGCTTCCTCCATCCAAGAGCTATCGGCACCTCATTCAAAATGTGCCCTTCAAAGCTTTTTATCTCTCCTGGTGCCTGCCACACTCTAGTGTAGTCTCCATCATCTCGTCTCTAGACTGCTTCAGTAATCTTCTCATTAGCTTTCCTACTTGAAATCCTGCCGCCCTATGAAGCCTGTTCAAGAGTACACCACAATACGAATGGTTTTGACTTGTAACACGACTTGAAAATGTCAATCATCACACTGAGACTGAGAGCTAAGCTTTTAGATGTGCCATCTAAGGCCCATGCCTACCCCTTGCGCTCTTCCCATCAGTACTTTGCTGGTAAATGTTAAAAAGTGGGAGTAATAAAAGTCCTGGTTTGTAGCATTTGCTGATTACTCTGGTGTACATACTCCTCTGGTATAAATCCTTACTGATTTCAAGCTACCAGCGTGATGTCACTGACCATGCTATTGAAAAGAGATGTTTGTAATCAGCTCTTAGAGGCAATATGAACAGGCCACAGCACATCACTGGGACCCAGCACACTGGGTCTTTTTGTTCCCACTGCACACTCTTCTGCTTTAGAGCCTTTGCATCTCTTCCACCAGGACCACACGTGGCTGGTTACATATTGTTATTCGATTATCAGCTGAAATATCACCTGTGGTAATTAATTTGATGAGTCAACTTGGGTAGGCTACAGTGCTCACTTGCCTGGTCAAATAAGAGCAAAACCAACTTGCTTGGTCTTCATTGCCGTGAAGATAAATTAGGTGGGATTAGCATTTAAGTCAGTAGACTTTGAGTAAAACATCTCATCCTCCATAATATGAGCGAGGCTCATCCAACAGTTGAAGACCTTAAGAGAAAAGACTGAGGTCCCCGAAGAAGAAGAAATTCTGCCTGCAGACTGATTTCAGATGCAGTAGTACAACATCAATCCTTCCTTGGGTTTCCAGCCTGCTGGTCTGCCCTGCAGATTTCAGACTTGCCTGCTCCCACAGTCATGTGAGTCAATTTCTTTTTCTTTTCTTTTTTTTTTTTTGAGACAGAGTCTCGCTCTGTCGCCCAGGCTGGAGTGCAGTGGCACAATCTCGGCTCACTGCAAGCTCCGTCTCCTGGGTTCACGCCATTCTCTTGCCTCAGCCTCCAGAGTAGCTGGGACTACAGGCGCCTGCCACCAGGGTCAATTTCTTAAAATAAACCTTTCTCTGTCTTTGTTTCTCTCTCTCTACACACACACATATGTATGCACGTAAGTATGTAACTATCTATCTATCTATATATCTATCTGTCTATCTAGAGATATGTATACACACACTATTAAAATGTATATACATCCTACTGGTTGTTTTTCTGGAGAACGCTCACTAATACATCACCTCTTCAAAGAGAGTGTCCCTGACAACCCCTGGTCACTCTTTAACATATTACTCCAATTTATTTTCTTCACTCTACATGTCACTTTCTATAATATCTTACTTATTTGTTTATGTACATGGTTATTGTCTATTCTCTCTTGGCCCCACTAGAATGAAAGTACCATAAGAACAAGTACCTGGACTGCCTTGTTAATTGCTGTATCTGTCATCTCCTTTGCCTGTCATAAAGTGGTGCTTTTCAAAAGTGTGGTCAATGAGTAATACTAAGAAATGTAGTTAGGGGGTCAAAGAAGATATTTTTAAAAATGTAAGACTCTTGGTACTTTAAATGCTTTATAGAAAGCTTGTATCAATTAGAACTGTCATCAGTGTCAGTATTAGAGTGACTATCTCAATATTCTCTCATTTACATCCTGCATTACTATTTTGGACAAGTTCTGCTAATATAACCAACCCCTTAACCATCCTTTATGTCCTACTAGTCCACTACTCAAAAGAACATCATCGGATTAGACAACCTGACATACACATGTGGCTCACAGCATGATACAAAACACCTCTTTACTTTCCTTCTAAATGACCAACTGTGCATACTGAGGCTATCTCAGACAGACATTAGAGAGTCATCCTCCCCTTCCCACTATCTCAGTTTTATTTTTTTCTCTCCATCCTAGTCCTGGGGTCAAAGAGGGATCTCCAGTAGCATTGCAATCCTGCAAAATAGGAGGGAATCAAGAAAAACAGCTCCTCCAGACCCAGGCTCACAGCAAAACATTAACACAGCAATGAATCTGCTCTTATAAAAGGATACTTGTTCTCTGTCTCTTCCCTGTACTTGAAGAGTAGCTTGTTATTGTAGCTCTGTATTACATTTTTAATAACCAGTAAAGCAAGCCCCCCAGAATACCTCTTCAAGCATTTCTTTGATTTTTTATCCTTTATTCTTTCTATTATTCTCAGACTATGGTCTCGGAAGGGAAGTTGGGTGAGCAAACCCGTCTAGTATAGGGTTGGGCTGGCGGGTGGGATGGAGGATGTGTGAAATCCCATTGTATATCCCCTTGTCCTCACTAATCCAGCAGACAAAGTGATATCTCATTTTAAGTTGGTAACATGTTTTATTATATTTAGTAGTCACAAATATTTTCCTCATCTGTGAGCTCTTATTTAGAAACACTTGGACCTCTTTCCTATTGGCAAACTTACTGGTTGGCATGAGCTCTATTTAATGACATAACCCTTTGTCATTTTTCTGAAAATACTTTTCGAATTTATTGCTGATCCCTTAATTTTGCTTATGAAAGGATTTAATGTATCACAGCTTGGGCTTTTTATATTGATTTTTTTCTTCTTTAGTGATTACTTCTTTTTCTGAAATCTGGAATTATATTATTATTTATATAAATTATGTATCATTTTATTTTTTGACATTAATTTTTAATTTATCTGAAATGTGTTTGGTTATAATATTTGAAGATAGTTTATTTAATCTACTGTTACAGCAGCATTCATTATATATCTTTGTAATTTATTTGATTTTTCGATTGTATTTTTATTTAATGATTTTATTTGGTTTATTGGAGTTTTGTTTATTTGTTTGCTTATGGTTATTTGCAGTGGTACTGTTGTCATATAGAAAATACTTATCATAATTAGGACTTGTTTCTAGTTTTTTTTCCTATTTCTTGAATCTGCCTTTTGATTCTTGAATCTAAACCACTCTGCCTTGTTAATGTGGCCCTGTATTACATTTTTAATAACCAATAGATCAAGTCCCCCAGAATACCTCTTCAAACATTTCTTTGATTTTTTATCTTTTATTCTTTTATTATATGCATCTTCAACAGGTGCTACGAACTCAAGAAAATCCCACTAGGAGTCCCACTGTCATACACTATATCTAGAACCTAATATGAGAAAAATGTCTGCCTTTAAAATGTCGAGGCTCTTATCTAGCAGCACGAAAAGATTACTGACTCTTAATTAAAATAAAAAATTATGGTAAAGATATTAAATGAATAGGTGATAGGTGAAAACTATAGAGATAATTTTGGGTAAATACCTGATTTCTGGATCCAGGCCATAATACCAATCTTCCCATCTCCCACCTTCACACAATTGAACATTCTGATTCTTACTGAGCACATATTCTTCGTGATGAAAACGATTTTGTCTTCTTTCAACACTCAGTTGTATATGCTACACATTCAGATACCTGATGTAAATTTTTGACCTTGCGTCTACAACATACAACAAAGTTGAAATGAAAAAATCATTTCAACTTTCATTTGAAGTGTGAAGGAAGCATTATATATCTTGTAATACAGGAAGGAGATTACCAAAGGAAAGAGGAAAATGATCAAATTAAGCAAATCTCATAACTCTCTTCTTTAAACAGAGGGGTAAACCAAAGCTAAAAGCATTCCAATGCATGACTCAATTCTCCTCTTGATCTTGTATAGTTAAAGATTGTGTATTCACAGAAGGCTCACTTCACTAAGGAAACCACAGTGAATCTATTATGCAGGAGCTCTTATTTCAGGATGTTGCTGCAAGAATTCCTTAGGGTTTTTCCTGTAACCTTGAGCAACCTCTTTAAACATCATTCACCAGTCACACACAACTATATATAATCATACATTACAAGACAAAAAAAAATTTCCCTTACTTTCAATTAGATTAGAAAGCCATATTTTTCTCAAAAACATTTTTAGTCCTTTTACCCCAAAGTTTATAATTACTTCTTTTATTTATGATTGTATGGAACAACTACAATTCTTAAATTAAGAGGATTTTTCAATGAACTCTAACCTTTCTATTGCAGTGCAAGCATAAATACTCAATTGTTGTTTGATTATTTATCAAGGGCTGGGCTGTGGGCTTAAAGTTTCCCATTGCATTTTGTAATTTACTAGATGTTTTGGAAATATAAGAACAAAGGATAGCCAGAACTCCAGAAAAATGTGGTATCTGATGAAAATATGGGAGTTTTAAATCTTACTATTTCCCCAAATTAATTTGCTTATAACCAATTTCCTTCTCACTTAGAAAAAAAATATATCCTGGCCCCTAACTAAAGAGTCAAATATTAGAAAATGCTTCACAGGAGCATAAATACTGGAATTCCTCAGAAAAACAAAATTCTTCTTTAAGTGGGATTAGAACCCTATTAATTCATTGGATAATGACAATTCTGTTTTTTCCTTTACTCTTGCAAGAGTGCAATGATTGCACCTCTTTCAATCTAAGAAATAATTGCACCACTATTGTTTTATCATGATATAATACCTGTGTTTGCCTGTCAAATACAGTATATTGAGTTGAGAACTAAGTTTGAGAAAAGTAGTATATAATACGGCTAACGTCCCCTTCAAGTCCTAGAATAAAAACTTTAGACCTTCTTAGAGATAACTGTTAACAGTTAGGAATTCTGACATTACCACACATTTTTTTACAAACAATAAAGGTGTAAAAAGTAATTTATCATTTTTGAAAATAATAAATAATAAATGTGTATGTACAGATAATAGCAGGAAAAATCTGTATGTACACATTTATTATTTGTAAAAAAATGTATATACATATTTATTATTTGTAAAAACTAAGAGCATCATGAACCTCATAGTGTCTAGTAAATATATAAATTGTTTTTAAAGCCTCTATTAGTGATACAGGATCAGATCAAGATTATTAAAAGTGAAAATGAATTTGGTACAACGAAATTACTTCTTGGAGGCAGCATGTTATGAAACTCTTATCATGCTCTGTAGTTTAACTGGAAGAGTTTCTACAGTTTAGGATAGAACTGGAAAGACTTCACATAATAATTGATGAAGACATCTGAATAGCTGGTATTAAGGATACATTCACACTTTACTTCTTTCATTGCCAGAACTTTTAGGCCATCCGTAGAAGCAGTAAACTTTACTAAGGTATTTAGACAATAGAAATATTCAGGAAAAATAAAGATGCACATTCTGGAAAAAAAAAAACAGTTCAAATCATGTTTAAAACAATTGTGTTTACGCACAAGGAAAGAAAAAATAAAATTTAAAGCATGAGATAATTAAGTGGCTTTTGTGGACTGTTACACATTACCTGTAACAAAGGGGAATAAAGTCATTGAGGCTTTTTTTTAATGAATAAACATATTTTTATAAAACATGAAAAATTTCTGAAAACCAATAACAAAGATATCTGGTGTGTGCGACATCAACATTCATTTGACACATTTTTTATTACAAATTTAATATATACTAGATTATACTCAAAAACTTCCAAAGTTTCCATTGCCTCCTAGAGTCATGATTCTCAATTCTAGCCTAGAAAGCTTTTTTTAAATGCTTTTGTCTGAGTCTCTTTCTTGGATAATTCAGTCAGTATCTCTGAAGGTGGAGCCCAGGTATTGGTGTTTTAATAAGAGTTCCCCAGGTAAATCTAATGTCCAGCAGGCTCCCATTATTTTCCTATATGAGTGTATATGTCACTCTGTATGATTTAATAACTACATTTGCCTTGCATTTTCCAATCTCTAGACACATCTTTGCTAATGCTTTTCCTTCTGTGGACTTCTCATCCCTCATACCAAAGTTTAACCGCTTGTTAAGACCTTCACAAGACACTAACAGCTATTGAGTGTTCAATCTTCCCATTCTATAGAAGTATTTACATCCCATACTGTACTTCACAGCCAAGTGGAGAAAGTGAGTAAGCTAAAGGCAAGAGTAAAACGGGGCTTGATAACAAGGGTAGAGGGTGCTGTGAGAAAGCACATAGTAAGAGCACCTGACTCAGACTTGGAAATCTAGGAAAGCTCCTAAGGAGCTGGGGCCTGAGGGATGAGTGAAAGTCAGGAGAGGAAAAGAGCATGTTCAGAACAAGAAAGAGCATGTGTGGTGGCTTAGAGTCAAGAGACAACATGGGTTATAGAGCAGGAAGTGCTCTCTATATATAAGGTGGGAAGTGGTTGTTGGCAAGTCTAGAGGGAAAAACAGAGGCCAGGTTATGCAGATAGTGTCAGTTTCTGTTAAGAGCTTGGGTTTTAATTAAGGAACAACAGTGAGCTAGGGAAGAGTTTTAAGAAGAGGGTTAGCACAATAACAAGCAGTTTAGAAAGATCACGTTTGCTGTGGTGTAGAGGCAAAATTGATTTGGGTGGGAGCAAGGCTGGAGACAGGGAAACCAGTCAGAAGGTTTTTGCAATAATCAAGATGAAAGATTATGGTGGCATGAGCTGGGCAGTGCCAGTGGCTTGGGCTGTGACACTGTCTGGCACACAGCTGCAAATGCAGGATCGTTCTTTGTAGAGAACTCCCTAGAGAGCAGAAGAAAAAGTTTCCAGAGCCATCTGTATGGAAGTGGTGGCTTAAGCCATGGAAGTAGAAGAGTTTTCCAAAGAAAAAAAATTAGAAGAAGGTAAAGGACAGAACCTTAGGGAGTGCTGACATTTAAGGGAAGAGTCAAGAAGAGGCATGAAATAAAGAACAGGCAAGTACTGAAGGGAAGCAACTTAATCATGTATTGACTAAGGCAAGATTTTTGGACTCCTCCTTGGCAAACTTGTCCACTGGTACCTAATCAGGCATCTGATCAGGTAGCACAGCCATCTTTTATTGCATTATATTGTGTATCTGTGAATTATTATTCACAAAACTGGAGTATAGATTCATTTAATTTTGCATACCTTGTCTTAAACATGCAGAAGTTGGGTTCAGTGTAGCACATCTTGGTGTCACCCCTATAAAATATTAGTAGAAAAAAAGAAACTGAAGACCAGAAATGTTAACAAAAATAATAAAAAAAGAAGGGAGGCAGAAGACGACGATAGCAGGAAAAAATATAGTTTTAACAATTGATAGAGATGAGGAATAATAAACACAGTCCCTAGAATTTTATTAAGATGGCATCTGTAAAGAAAGAGGTTTCTCTGACTTTCCAGACAGGACAGGTTATATGCTCCCAGGCACTGTGTGATTCACCTTTGTAGCATGCTTCGAAATTGTTATAAAATACCTAATTATATAACTAGTTAAAGCGTGCTCCCAACTCGGGCTGGAATATAAGCATCTAGAGACCCAGGGCCATATTTGTGTCTCCAGCTACTAGAATAATATCTGACAGGTGGAACATGCTCATTAACTAGTTATTGAATAAATGGGGGAGGATAAAGAGATCTCACGTAGAAAGCACTGAAAGAGAAAGTACAAGATGAAGGGAGGTGGGATTCAGAGAGATGAGAAGTATGGCCCAGAATGCAGGAGTCAACAACTGTTGTAACTTGAAAAAGCACTAATCATAGGGTGGCCATATGTCCTGGTTTGCCGAGGACGTCTCCAGTTGACACCTGTTCCCTCAGTGTAATTATTAAAAGTGCCCCCTTTCATTCTCAAAAGAGTCTCAGTTGTTGTGATGAATAAATATCTAGAACATTTAACTAGATATTTGAATGGAACATCAGATAAAGAAAAAAATATATATGTGTGTTTAAAAAATACAACTTTAGTTATATTTCATTTGGGGTGAAAGTTTATGGTGAGCAAAATAGTATAGAAATTAGCATACTATACCAATTTAATTATAAAATTTAAGATTTATTAGAATTCACTGATCTCTCTTTATTTGACTAATGTTTAGTCAAATAGTTTTTTAATTGTTTAATTTTAAGAATATAAACTTGGTCACAAGGTCCTGATTTTGTATTCTCAAACGCTATTTTCACCATGACACAATGAAACGTTTTGGAGTATAACTCTGCTTTTGATAGAAGGCACTACCAGGCTGTTCTCCTACTTCAAACAGCTGTCTGTAAACCCCACTCTTGAACATCAACCACCTAAATTTGCAAAGCCCTGGGAATTCTTTGGATCAAAGCATCTTTTAACTGAACAACACTATTATCAATTTGAATGTGAATTTGAAAGTTTGCCTGGTGGGTAGAATTGAATTGCCCTGCTGATTTTATTAAGCTGATCAAACTTCACTATCTTGTAGCAATTCTTTTCTATCTACTGTTCAGGATAAACAGATTCTCAAACTAATCCCAGAAAATACTGAGTAATAACTTTTCATTTCAGTGTGGGCCATGACAGGCACAGGTGAGGAGAGTTAATCAGTTGCAGGCTGTTCTGCTGCTCAAAGCAGCCAGAAATCCCTCTAGAATCTTGTTATTCCACAGCAGATGCCCCAGTTTGAGGAATAGTTGAAATTTTTTCCCTGCCCAGAGATGCTATGAATTTGTCTTATTCATTTTGTATCCACACTATCTGGTATATAGTAGTGGCTCATTATAAAATGTTCTGGCTTTTTTTTTTCAGCTTATTTAGCAAGTTTTTGTTTTTGTTTTGTTGTTTAGACACAAGGGTCTTGCTCTGTTGCCCAGACTGGAGTGCAGTGGCACAATCATAGCTCACTGCAGCCTCAAACTACTGGGTTCAGGTGATCCTCTTTTCTCAGCCTCTTGAGTAGCTGGGACTACATGCACACATACCACACCCAGCTAATTTTTAAAAAAAATTGTAGGGAGGGTGTCTCGCTATGTTGACCAGGCTGGTCTTGAACTTCTGGCCTCAAACAATCCTTCTGCCTTGGCCTTCCAAAGTACTGGGATTACAGGCTTGAGCCACTGCGCCTGGTGATTTAACAAGTTTTTTATACAATTTAGCAAAATTTATATAATGTGGCAAACAGAGCACTTACAAACATTTGTTGAACTGCTGAAATTGTTATCCACTGATTTCCCTGGAAAAGGATTTGAGAAGGCTCGTATGAAAGTCATTTATAGGTTTTTTTAAGAATTAATTGAGGTCATATTTTTGAAAATTATTGTTGACCTTACAGTTTTTCATAACTATGAGCCTTATTTTTATTATAATCATCATGCCAACACTTAGAGAATCAAAGTTACATAGTGAAGGAATAGTGTAGAGGTCATTGCATCCACATGAAATAGCTTCCATCCTCCTCAAAGTCCTTGGCTAGTCTTCAGCCTGATCATACCTGGGCCCTTACTTACTAAGCAGGGTGCTTTCAACTACTGCAGATCAGGGTTAATTCATTTCCGTTCCTGGTTCTGTTACTCACTAATTGTGTGAATGCAGAGAAGCCTATTGTTTGCTGAGTCTCATTTTTTTCATCTATAAAATGCTACCATTGTCTGCGCTTCTACGCTCCCATAAGACCTTACAGTTGCCTCTGTTATCTGAGCTGAGATTTATTGATTTCTCACTGTGTCAGATGCTGTTCTAAGCTTTTTATATCTAACTCATTAATGGAAACAAAAACTCTGTAAGCTTTTCTGTTTTCTTCCCTTTTTCTCTCCCTCCCTACCTCTCTTATTCCTTCTTCCTTCCTCGCATAACAAGTATATATATATATACATATATATGAGTATATATATATATTCTTCCTCCTATAACAAATATATATCCAAAGTTATACAGCTGCTATGAAATAGAGCCAGAACTCAAGCAATATGGTGCCAAAAATTCAAACTCTAACCACTTATTTTATTTTTCGTTTTAATTAAATGAGTGCACATCTTTTCTGACCACTAAAATGAGAGTTTCTTAAGACCAAGGACTGTATTTTATTAATATTTTATCTGCCTTATACCCAATTGTTTAGTTGGTATGGGGCACATAGTAGGTATGCCATGAATATTTGCCAAATATACAGCTGAGTATTTGCCCTGCTATCTCAAAAGGATCACCTATCACTCCTGTGATTAGGTTATGTTATGTGGCAAAGGTAAAGAGATTTTTTAGGTGAATTAAGGTCACTAATCTGTTGACTTTGAGACAGTCAAAAGAGAGGTTATGCTGGGTGAGCCTGACCTAATCAGTTGAGCCCTTTAAAACAGACTCAGCCAGGCATGGTGGCTCATGCCTGTAATCCCAGTACTTTGGGAGGCCAAGGCAGGCGGATCACCTGAGGTCAGGAGTTTGAGACCAGCCTGGCCAACGTGGCAAAACCCCATCTCTAATAAAAGTAGAAAAATTAGCTGGGCGTGGTACTGCATACCTGTAATCCCAGCTACTCAGGAGGCTGAGTCATGAGACTTGCTTGAACCTGGGAGGCGGAGGTTACAGTGAGCCGGGATCGCACCACTGTGCTCCAGGCAGAGTGACAGGGCCACTCTGTCTCAAAAATAAAAATAATAAAATAAAAGAGACTCAAAGTAGCAGCCAGAGAAGCACCTACTGGCCTTGAAGGAGCAAACTTCTGTGATGTGCAGAGGAATCACATGACAGGAAATGGCAGATGGTCTCCAGGAGCTGGAGACTTCAGTCGTATGTCACCAGAAACTGAATTCTGCCAACGCTCAGTGAACTTGAAAGAGAGTCATGAGGCTTAGACAAAAATCATGTGCATGGCTAATACCTTGATTTTAGCCTGGTGACACCTTAAGCAGAGATCCAGCTAAACTCATGACCAGACTCCTGCAGACCGTCAGTTAATAAATGTATGTTGCTTTTAGCTGTTAAATTTGTCATAATTTGTTGTCAACAGTGAAAACTAATCCAGAGCCACTCTAACATTAAAATTTGGGTTTTGTTGAATTTCTAGAATTGTGTGTTATGATTGGAAATATGAATTGACTTTGGAAGAGAGAAGTAAAAAGGCTGCCCTTCCATGGCATCCATCAGCATTGGTCTGTACAACTTTCTCATGTTTTATTTTTTTCCGCTTTACTCCAGATCCCCACTGCTATTCCAGCCCCCAATGGGCACCCTCTTTCATGTTGTAATATATATCTTTGGCTATGTAATGATCCTCACACAATACAGTGTTATTGAGCAATTGTGTGTGTGTGTGTGTGTGTGTGCTCTTAATTCATATAAATGATATTGTGTAATACTTCTCATTCTACTTCTAACTTTATTCTCTCAAGCTTATGATTTCAAAATGTAGCCACATTGGTACTATTCATTATTATCTAAAATTCATCTGCCACTTATCTATTTCCCTAGGTTTTGGACCTTTACCTAGCTTCCAACTGCCTTCTTCCACCAACATTACTGTGGTAAGTATCTTCAAACATGTCTGTGTATGCTGGAGAAATATACTCAAAAGGGGTATTGACTGATCGTAGGGTATGTGTTTACGTGGTTTTATTAGGTGCTGTCAGATTGCTTTCTGGAAGGCTAGCTTACATTTCAACCAGCAGTGCAGGAGAGTTCCTGTTTCTGCATAATCTTACTAAAACTTAGTGTTGTTTAATTATTTTTTTTTTTAGTTTATTCAATTTGATGGCTGTAAAATCTTACCTAATTAGCTGTTTGAATTTCCCCTTCTGTGACATTCCAATTCATGTACTTTACCTATTCTCTTTCATTCTTTCTCTCCCTCAGTCTCTTTTTTCTTCTCCCTCCCTCCCTTCCTTCCTTTCTCTCTCTCGCTTCCTTCCTTTTTTATTTTAATTTGCAGAAGTTTCTTATACATTCTGATATTGATCTCTTTTCACATGTATTATCATTATATTTACCAATTCTGTCACCTATGTATTTAATCCTCAATTTTAATGCATCAATTATTTTCTTATGATTGAGACTCTGGGGGCAATTTTTGTAAAAGCCTTTCCCACCACAGAATCACAATTTTTCCTTTCACATTTAGTTTTTTATTTAATTTGAAATTTATTTTTGTATGCAATATGAGGAAGGCACCTAATCTTACTTTTCCTCCTATGGACTTCTCATCCCTCATACCAAAGTTTAACCACTTGTTAAGACCTTTACAAGACACTAACAGTAATTTCCCTCAACACATTCAATTAGCAATCTATTTTTCCCCACTAATTTGTGGTATCATCTTTTATTATATATCAAGTACAATAAACAGATATAATTTCTGGGCTATCCATTCTACTTTTTGAGTCTGTTTGTTTCTGTGCTAGTGCCTCAGTGATTATTTTTTAAAATAATTGTTAAGTCTGAGTCCTATAAGAAGCAGACACAAAGATGGAGAGAGGGCTGGGAGCTAGGGGAGTCATCAGACCATCATGCCAGTCTGACCTCGAGTGGAGAGGCTATGGAAGGAAAGAAGAAAGGTTGCCAAAAACCCTCTTGGGCTGCTGTGCAGTTTTAAGGAGAGTTTGTTAAGGTTGTTGGAGAGTCCTGGAGCCAAAGCTGCCTATTAGAAGCCTTTCATGTCCTCCAGTATTGGGCTTACCCTACTATTCCCACCATGCTTAATGCTTGAGTAGGAGCAAGCCTATTCTCAGGCACAAATGCACCAACATGGTAAAGCATTTCAGAGTGCAGCACCTAGGGACTGGCCCACTCATGCTTGCTGCATTAGAGATGGAGAGGGGCACCCCTTTGTTACCAATATGGTGAATCCACATGGGGATTCAAGACTGAATCTTCTTTTCAAGACTGATTTAGTGATTCTTGGCCCCTAAATTTCAGAGTAAGTTTGTCAAATTCTTCAAAATATCCTGGTGAAATGTCTATTGGAATTGTATTGAATTCTTGGATTAATTTGGTAAGAATTTGTGTCTTTGAAGTGTTAAGCTTTGCCATTCACAAATGTATCATACAATTTTATTTTTTTCAAGCATTGTTTTATTTAATTGAGGAGGCTTTAAAGATTGTCCCATAAAAGCCTTGTGCATTCATTGTGGTTAAATGTTATATAATTTAGAAGATTGATCGCTATTTCAAAGTCTATTCACCATTTATTGGTTTATGATTCCTCAACACGTCACGCTATGCTTCTTTGGGTCTTATACGTGGTGAATAATCTACTTTTTTTTGGTTTTGGTTCACACTTTGTCCTTATGATTTCCATCTCTGCCATTTACATGGACACGTCTTCTCTTTGTTTAAATGGTATTATTAATAATACCTTTTCCACTTCCAAGTGTTTATGAGTGTGTCAAATAAGCCAAAGTATATGGCTTTGTAAAAGCTTTGTAAATGGAAAAGTGCTAAATAGATTAGCATTTTCCCAGGGCGTAGCAGAAAGCGAGTGCTCAAGAAATGCTTGCAGACTGGAGATGGAATGGAATGTTAGCATATTATAATAACATATTTTCATTTTCCATCACCCAAACTCTCTACTTGTTGTCTTCAGCTATACGATGGGCATAGCCCCTTGAATTTCTCAGATTCAATATCTTTTGTATTCTGTAAATGAATAGTGCCCTCTTCTTACTCCTTTGCCATAGTAACTTACATTTAGTAAAAGCTTCCAGGTACATGAGTGATATTTGCCTCCTGGGATGCATCTCAGCTTTTTAATATTAAGGGTGAAAATAGCCTTTTTGTGTAAGTTCAAATAAATATCTTGGATAGTGTCTTCAAATATAACTCCAAATCCTATGAGGTTTACCATCAGCTACCTGTCACAGACTCAAAGATAGTGAAGCAGAAAGCAAACAAGAGTGCCAAATATTTTGCAAATTATGACTTTACGTTATCAAAAAAGATTTCTTGTAAGTGTAACATAGGGAATATTCTTGTTAAAAATTCATGGAGTACCATCATTTTAATAATTTTATTAATTTATTAATGTGGTTTCTAAATTAGTTTTCGTATATCAATAAAATTATTTTAAAATATATATAATAGTTAAAGGACAGCTTCCCACTCTAAGTCCTCATTCAGAAAACGACATTTTCTGTTTCCCTCTACTGCTAATTTGCCATAATACATCTGTTTTTATCATTGACTTTGGATGTTTTTGTAGCTTGTGAAAATACTGAATTTTCAATTCCCCCTTAAACATTTCCCCATGATTCTTTTAGGCCATCTATTGGCCACTTTCCTTTAGCTCAGTAAAGACTCAAGAACAGTGCCTGCCTAATCCCCTATCACCATATAAATAGGCAATAAAGAATTTACAGCAAGGTCAACTCTTAGGGGGAAAATATTTAAAAGATCATTAAAGTAATTATTCCCTGGAACCTAAGGTAATTGTTTTAAAATCAGATTTCTAGAGTTGTATGGCAATCAAATGAGCAAAAAGTTAAGAGAGTTAGGCACAAAGTGTGTCACTGGTACCACATTCAGCAGCCTTTCAAATGATGGTTTAGATTTCATGGTGAAATCACACAGATTAAATGGCATTCATCGTGTCATTGGGTTTTACTGTGGGGCTGAAGATACAGGTGTAAAGTTCTCTTCTGGTTCTGCTTGATGTGATTTGAGTCGTTGGTCAAGGCAAGCTTCTTGATGGCTCGGTTTTCTGATTTATACTACGCTTGTCACTCACTTAAGGAAGTTTTAGGTGAAGAGGATGGAACTCAACCTGATTCATTCATTGGTGATGCACAATAACTGTATACTTCCCACCCAGGTTTATTTATTCAAACCTTCCAGACAGCTCCTTCTGGTGTTTGTCGGCCAAGACTTCTGTGTTATTATGGATGGCCCCATAGCAGCTCTCGCCATTGTAAATAAATCTCCATATTACAAACGGGAGGAGTCTGGCACAGAAAGAACACCAAACAGCAGCACTTTCAAGTATTATATATATTTTAACCAGGGTCAACACTTAATGAATAAGGAATGTTTAATAAAACACTTAGGAAATACAGGCACATATGTAAGTGCCAAATTATCAGAAATATCACTTACTGACATAATGTAACATGTTAATACACAAACCCCCAGGATATGATAATTTGTGTATTTATTTCTGAAAAGAAACATGACTGAAGACTTACCTAATGTCAACTGATTAAACTACATCAGAAGGTGTATTCATTTTCTATTGCTCCTGTAACAAATTCCCACGCAATTAGTGGCTTAATACAACATAAATTTACGGTCTCACAGTTCTGTAGATCAGAAGTCTGAGTGATCTTGGCTAGTTTCTCTGCTCTAGGTCTCACAAGGTCAAAATCAAGGTGTCGCCAGCCTGGCCTCTTATCTGGAGGCTCTGGAGAAGCCTTTTTCCGACTTATTCAGGTTGTTGGCTGAGTTTAGTTGCATGCAGTTGTGGAATTAAAGTCTTCATTTCCTTAGCGGTTGTGGGTAGGTGTCAGCAGGTTCTCAGCCTCTAGAGGCTGCCCCCATTCCCTGGTTCATAACCTCCTTCATCTTCCAAGTCAGCCACTGCAGAAGTTCTTCTCACTCTTCAAACCTCCCTAACCTCCCCTTCTGCCTCATCTGTCCTGTCCCCAGCAGGAGGAAGTTCTCAGCTTTTAAGGTCTTGTGTGATTAGGATTGTCTCTCTTCTTAATTACATCACAAAGTCCATTTTGTTGTGTAACATAACATAGTCATAGGTTCCATGAATTAGGATGTGGGCATCATTGGAGGACATCCTACCTACCTTCCACAGAAGGTAAATTACAAAGGAAAAAGTCACTCCACTGGATTTGGTCTATGTGCATCCACCTTTGACAGGCCTAGTGATAGGCAACATACTTGGGGAGAAAATCCATTATGTGATGTTTCCAATGGAAGCCTTATCTGTGAACCACCTCCCAGTTGAAAGCAGAGTTCAGTAGCCACAGAGTCTACTTAAAAGACCAAACAGAAAATTAGTGGATTTTTCAGTTTTTAGCTTCTGTAATACATCAGTGTCATTATTCAAAAAGCAATATTCCAGTCAATGGGCCATACTTATGTAAAATTATCTCCTAAAATAAATTTTCAATTGATAACTTTTAAAGTAAAACAAAAGGCAGCCATCCAGGGAGAATTATTAGCTTGCTATATGACATTGGTGGAACCAGTGCTTCTTGGACTAGATGTCTTGTACCTTGTGCCTCTTGGACTCAGAATTACTGAAAAGCTAATGAAAATTTCTATTATTTAAACTAGCTTGGGGAATAAAAATGAAGAATTCATTAGAAGGTAAATTCCCCAAGAACAATGATGGAGGATTTTATTCACTGATGTATTTTAAGCTCCTAGCATAGTCCCTGACACAGCATGAACATTTAAGTAACATTTGTTGAATGAATAAATGAATGAATGATGAATAAATGAAAGACATTCTATTATCAAGTACAGATTAACCTAATCTGGGCAATCTGTCATTATTTTGATTTGTGTCCTTGTTCATAAACAAGCTGATGATGTGTTGTAAAAATACATATAAGGAGATATTTTTAATGGACATCTCTTATAGTTTTCTTAATGTTATAGATCTATTATTACCATATGACAACCTCTGTGACTATACTGTGAACAGACTTGCCTCCTGGATTAATAAAAAAGTATTAAATGACACTCAAACTCTAAATTATATGTGTTAATTCTGTTCATTGTTTCAAACTTTCATATTTATAAGACCATTTCCCATAATTGTTGCATGTAGCAAAATTTCTGTTTTAAAAATGAATAGAACATGAGAATAGCAAGTGATATGTTAAAATATTAATGTTGGTAAAAGCCATGAATGATTGTTTTTGTTTGTAATCATAAATAAATATTATGAGCATTTTACTTTTATAGCCAGAATGCAATATCCTCCAGAAACTAGCAAAGGACTGGTCTTGGCACCTCCCCTGATACAATGACGGCCATTTCCTAATGGCCATTAAGGTGCAACAGGAGGCAAAAGGAAGATTTCAAGAAGTCGCAAAACTGGGATGCCACCTATAAAAATAAATAAATAAGGATTTGAGATGCCAATAAAATTATTTTAATAACTTACATAGTCTTTCACATAGATTTTTTGATATTAATGTTTTACATATTCACAATAGTTGTGAATTGAATGAAAATAAATACTAGCTGGAATCAGTTAATAATCTTAAGGAATTGTATGTCTTAAGGTCTATGGATTTGACAGACTCACAAAACAGGCTGGGAAAATATCCACAGATCAGGTATCAAGGCAATCTTCCATTCACTATACTTTCCTCTCTTGCATCTGGTAAGGCAGAAAAAATTTACCTTACATTTTTCTGGAGAAGTACTTGCTTCCCTAGGGATATTCTGCTACTGAAGCCTGCATGGATATAAAATGATGATCAGAAAGTCAAAGGTTTTAAAGCTTACAAAATAAATCTTATACTTCTCACCAACACAAATTAGAATTTGAATTCTTCAATAGTAAACAGAGTTTGGGAATTTGGACTACGAATCAGCTACATTCTGTAAGCTAGAGGATGTGACCAGGCTCTATGCAGAATAAATTGGTTAAGGCTGAAGGGGAAGTCAAGAGAGCATGCCTTGCTTCCAGGGACTCATACAGCTGTTGTATCAGCAGGGAAATGTGTCAGTCTTTGGAAGCAACGACTACTAAAAAAAGACTGCAATCCACAGTTTCTTATATGCAATTGCCTAAAGCTTTCAAAATTATAAAATGGGCAGATTATAGCTCATAGTTCATTTTGTATTAGAAGAGCTATTCTGAGCCTAAGAAAGCCACACAGAAAAATGCTTACAAAACCATCTAAAAATATGACCTGTATACACATAATTTTTCTATTTGCTTTCCGCATAGTCTTTAGAGGATTTAAAAGAATGTTTACCTCCTAGCTTCTAGGCATATATATTTGCAGGAGTCTTCAGACAGAAGGAAATATTCTGAAGAACTGTGAATAAATTTGATATGGGATGCATTTAACAGCTGGAAGGATTTCACACTTTGAGCCCAATTTATAAAACTTTCAGGTTGGCATTGTTTCAATTCTAGTCCTGGAAGTCATAATTTCCCAAGAATTTTTCAGGATTTGGATATTATTTGTGTAAGGAAAATGCATCATTTCAAAAATAAAGTTATCATAGCAGAACCTGGTCAAGCATAAATGTATAATTGCAGAAGAAATGTCTGAGAGCATTATCCCACTCCTACTCTCATTCAATTCAGACAGCCAGCTTCAGTTCTTAATGATCAAAGTCCTTTCTTAGTGAGAAAGCAGTCTGTATTTTCACATCCCATATCCATAATAAGCCCAAGAAACTTGCTACTGCATTAAAAGAGAAAATACAAATTCCAATATGATAAATATTAATAAAGAATAGAAACTAATTCAGTTTCTAATTTGTGTGGGTATATGTGCGTGTGCGTGTTTTGGTGGTAGTTGTGTGGGAGATAGAAGAAAAGTGAGATTAAAATGAAGAGACTCTGAGGAACTGGAGTGGGTTTGCTTTTACTGGTAAGATTAAGTATGGAAAAGAATAGTTGGCCAAGAGACAAACAGCAGGGAAGTGAACCAACCCTATTCTGCTATTGCTACTGTTAGCTGATTTGCTCTTTATCAGGTCTTGTGCTTCCAGAACACTGGAACGTTGATGGACAGTAGGAAAAGTGGGCATTGTATCCTTCCTTTCATAGCATCTCCTTGGAGAGGCCCCCAGAACCTTTTTGTGTGTCCAGATTTCTCTAGATTTGAAAAAGTGAATCAAAACTTGGACTCTGTTTTCAAATTGTGATTTGATGCAGCCTCAAAGAAAATTTCACAAAATTGCCAGTAATACAACCACCATCATGAAGCATCAAGTTGTCTTGGCCTTGCCTGGACTCATTGAAATGTCTCTCTTTGGCTCCATGAACCATTCTTTTTAACCCTAGTTGTGATTGCATTTTGAACCTCACATTATTACATAAATCTGCCTTGCTCTCATTTGTTTCAGCATTTACATTCAAATGCTTTATTTAAAGGAATTTTGATGTTTTTAATCTTATGAAAATTACCCTAGTACCATGGAAATGGTAGGGACCTGGGAGTTGAACAAAGTATTTTATATACTGGTGCTACTGTTTATTCACTGTGCAACTCTGAGCAAATTACTGTACTTCTCAGGGACTCACTTTAATCACTTGCAATGTATTGCACTAGATTATGGTAAAGATAGAGTAATATATGTTTTTACATATATACAGAAAGAGTGATATTATATAGCATATTTATATATGTACTTGAGAAAGCACCTGGAGTAACACATGAAGGATGGTGAGAGCTCTATAAATTACTACTTCTCATTCTATGTCATGTCAAATGCTGCACAACATTTTCAGGTTTTGTAAGAAGTGCCTATACAAGGGTTAAAAATAATTTTAGAATTTCTTTAGCATTTAAAACACTAGCATATATTAGAATCTCTCTCAGTCTAAAAGAAATGAGCCAAAGGAAATCAAACAAATAGCAAGAGTTTTATGCTAATTGTTGAATGCACAACTTACATAACGAGCAGTCTGAAAGATAAGTTTCTTAAGGAAAATGGCAGGAGTAACCACTGGAAGCCTATGCCACTGTAAGTTTTTCAATACTTGAAATCTGGTTTCATTAACAAATTATGTTGAATATCATGAAGAATATAATTATTTTAACTCCTGAACATTTTCTGATACAACTAATGCAAAACTGAAGATGTGGAATATTTCAAAAAATTACCTGCTATCACTCCACCACTCACTTTAAACAAATCTTTGGTCACAGGCCTAATTAAATAAATAGAAGTATGTTGTGCCCCTGGTGATGTCCTACTTAATTCCTGTCTGGCCACTGTGAACTGTGCCATGAAAACAAGCTGCACAGCTTCTGCTTGGCTCATAGCACACAAGATTACAAAATCTGCTGATCCCTGTTTTGTTTTAACACCTGTGAAAAAAATACAAGACTGTCATGTGGCACACAAAAGGCTCAGGTGTCTGCCTGTTTAGAAGCTAGCGATCCTGAACAGCAGGAGGAAATAAGGTTGTAATATTAATAAACACCTGCCAGTATTATTATACTCATTGGCTCCATCCCAGTGAAATAGTTAATCAGCTAAACCTAACAAAACAGTTGTCTAAGCACTAAGGCATTGTATATTATCACATCACTCCGAGTCTGCCCTGTGATAAAACATGAGAAACTGAGGTACTGTACTGTTTTGTAAAGTAGGAGGGCAGAGTCTATCCCTGGGCATGAGGTTAAAAATAATAACAGTTATTTTGAGAGCCCAGTTCATGTGTGCCAGGCACTGTTGTAGATGGATCCTGGGGAAATTGCAGTGAATGGGAAAAGAAAGGCCCCTGCTTCCATGGAGGCCACATTCCACTGGGAGAGACAGATGCCAAATAACAAGCCCAGTGATTCCCCATCCTGCTACACTCACTTCACTGGGCTCATCTTCCTCATAGTATTTATCAGTGAGATGGAGAATCAGAGATGGGTAAGGGACAAAGAGGACAGAGTGAGGACAGGAGAGGCCTGACTAAAGAAGAGACATTTGAACAAACATCCGAAGGAGGAGGAGGAGCCAGCCCTGGATAAAACTGGAGAAGACAGGCTGGGCGCAGTGGCTCACACCTGTAATCCCAGCACTTTGGGAGGCCAAGGCAGGTAGATCACTTGAAGTCAGGAGTTCGAGGCCAGCCTGACCAACATGGCGAAACACTGCCTCTACCCAAAATACAAAAATTAGCTAGGCATGGTGGCAGGCACCTGTAATCCCAGCTACTTGGGAAGCTGAGGCAGTAGAATTGCTTGGACCCAGGAGGCAGAGGTTGCAGTGGGCCAAGATCATGCCACTTCACTCCAGCCTGGGCGACAGAGTGAGACTCCATCTTGAAAAAAATAAAAATAAAAAATAAAAAAAACACTGGAGAAGACAGACTGCCAAGATAAATGCAGATGGTAAGGTGTGATACAAGAAAATGGAGGAGTAGGATTCAAACCAATTTCTGAACAACTACAAGCCTATGCTCTTCCCATGACACCAAGCAGAATCGCTTCTTTGGAGTAAAGGAAATATGGACGATACTATGGGTATTCATTATAATACGTGACTCTCACTTTCTAACGGTGTGAGCATGTTTACCGGCCTTGACTGTATGAGATAATCTCAGGTCCCATTCCTCAGGCAGGTTTTGAAGCACCAAAGCAACGTTACTTTAAAAACTTTACTTTTGCAGGACTTACTGCAAGTTGGCTCTTGTTTCTTGAATTATTCAAGTTTTTGATTTTTAAAGGTAGCATGTAATATGTAATACCATTTCCACACACAGATCAAATAGTTGAGAGGGAAAAAAAAGCCATCCAATTATGGGGGAGAAAAAGGATAGGAAACCACAACTTTATAAAAGTATCTGTTACTACCAAATATATTTTACTAATTCTATTTTGAATTAAATAAAAGAAGGAGATAAAATAGAAAGGAGTTATGCATATTATTAGGTATAAGCTGCTTGAAGACAGGATTAATGGCAGCTTTATCTCTATGTCCCAGACTGTGTCTTGCCCAAAAAAAGAGTTCAACAAATATTTGTTTAAAAAAATGAAAAATAAGTGATAACCATGTAATTGATCAGCAAATGCATTGCAAGGAGAGAGAATGATAATAAAATATTTGTATTATGTGGACAATAAGAATGCGAAGAATATTAATATTAAGGAAAGAAACCACAGAACAATAAAACAAGGCATTGCTTTCCCTTAGGAGAAAAGACAGCAAATAATAAACTTTAAAAGCCAGATAATAATATCTTGTGCATCAAAGAGTTGGTATAGACATTCGTTTTCCTTTATTACATGGAATATTTAAGCCTAGAAAATAAAAGAGCCTTATCACTATTTGTTTATATGAATGAAGATAGGGAGATAAAAATAAGTTTTAAAATATCACCACTTGCCCACCCTAAGGCTTTTAGTTATGAGCAACCAAAAAACTAGAAGCTATGGAAATAGAAAGGGGAGGCTGGAGACCCAAGCTACAAACCTGGTTTCTTTTACATTTCCCAATTGGACTGTTAGAACTGAATTAAAGAACTTTGCTGAATTATTCTGTTGGCCTAAGTACGTCTGGCCAGAAGTTCAGAAACAGAAACATATTGCAGAGGGCACAGGGGAGTCTCAGACAAAGAACTGTGGCATCACTCACACACACCCACACACTCACACAAAAACACAACTTTCTTGCTGGCGAATCAAGAGAGTAACCTCTTTAAACTCTTAAAATTAGAAAAAATAGGCATGAGTGCTCTGAACTAGAACTACTTTAGGAATGTTATAAGCCTTTTGTCTGTTTCAGTAAGTATGTAATGACACAATTATTAACCATTGTGTAAACATAATCGTAAATGAAAGACAATCTGAGTCTATTATAGTGACATCACATATCCCCTTTCTATACTGAACCTCACAAATTCAGACCTGGCCTGGTTATAATAATGACTATTTTAAATCATTAATGCTAGCATTGCACCATTACATTATTCTAACATGAAGCGAAATACTAAAGAGAAGTTATCATTTATATGCAAATAACTACTTAAAACACTTGGATCTTAGAAAACTAAATGAGCGTGCAAGGGATCATCAACTCCACTGTAAATGAAAATGTGCAGATATAGCCTATGTTAGAAATCGGCTAAAAACTAAAGAAGAAAATGTTTTAAAAGGCATGATTGGGTTGACAGTAAAACATCACAAAATATTTGATTGGACAAGTATAGTAAAATGTTAATGGCAGAGTCTAGGTGGTGAGTATGTAAATTCACTATAAAATTATTTCAACTTCACTGTTTACTTGAGAAAATTCTAAATATAATGGGTGAAAACAAGATTTAGGGAAACATTAAAAAGTGATAGCTAAGAGAAGTGCATTAAGAACACAAAGACCTGAAAGGGTGAGATGATACTATGCAGCATCACTGCCCAGTAGAGAGGAAGTACAGCATGGTAACTAAAAGCACACTCTTTGAAGTTAAACACATCTAGAAGCAAATCTTAGCTCTAGCACTGACCAGCTGTGTAACTTTGATGTACTTACTCTGTAAGCCCCTCTTTTGGCATCAGTAAAAGGGAGACAATATTGCCTACTTCATAAAAATATAAACATAAAAAGTCTTCACAAGATATTAAACATTATTCACAGTTGCCATTGCTAACAATTATGGAAACAAAATTCCATCAAGTATAGATGAATAAAGTAAGTGCATAAAACTAGCCCCTTAAATGATACACATGGCTAATGTTCTATCAGTTAAGATGTTTTGGGGTGCAAATAGTGAAATAAGTAAAGATCAATTTGTGTTTGGCTCACATAACAAGAAGTCCAAATGTAGAGGACTTCATGGTTGGTTAATTCAGCAGCTTAATGAAGTCAAATGCTCAGGGAGAATTTGGTTTCCTCTCACGGTCATAAGCTGGTAGCAGCAGTTTCAATCATTTCCTCTCAGTATTGCCTCCAAAGCAAGAATAAAAAGGACATTAATCCTTGCACATCTCTCTTGTTATCAGGGAGGAGGTATTTCCCTAGAAATCCTATAACCTACTTACTTTGTGTCTCATTATCCGGAAATGAATCACATATTTTCCCCCTGAACATTCACTGACAAAGGAGGATGAATTGCAAGGATTGGCTTAAAACAGTCATGGTTTATCCCCTAAATTTAGACAAGGGGTGCATCTTCCCTGAATGCAGTATTGTCAAATATCTGAAAAAAATCAGAATGGTGTTGGTTAAGAAAAATGAGGAAAATGGCCCTTGTGCTGGCAACCAACAGTTGCATACTATATATGCATAATAGTTATATGTTAATAAAAACACACACAAATTTCATGCTGATCATAATACCTGAGTGACATAAAATGAGAAGAACATTCGTGACATAAGAGTCTTTAAACCTGCTAAAACTTCCTGCAGCAAATATTCTACCAAAGTATTTCACACTGAAGTAGATTATTTGGTGAATCTATGCTATGTTCACCTTTGACTATAAAGGATGGAAGATTTTCATGAAACAAAGTGATTCCCTTTTAAAACCAATGTCTATCCTATCAAAATATCTCTGAGAAACCAAAATATACATAAAAGTCTTTTTCTTGATACCTTTCTTCAGGGTAAAATTTACAATTAACTAATGGATTCATTCATATTGTGGAATAAAAGCTTACAAATATCCATTGTTAGGAAAAATATTTTGATTGGAGTGTGTGAATTTCTTAGTTGGAAATAGTTACGACAAGAAACGAAGCAGAAATGGCACAGTTCAGTTCAAATTTTTACCATAAAGATGTTCTGTATATAAATGTGATATTCTGGACTGTTTGGTTAATGGAAAAATACAGTTTACTAATATTTAAGTTATAATTGTGTTAACTAAGACTAGTTAGGTAGATTTCTCTGTCATGGTTGCTAGAAAGGTGGACAGAGTCGAGCAATGTACATTATGAGACTTCTGGATAAACAAAGTTTTACATGAATAGGGACCAAGCAGCCCTTTGGAAAACATGCCCTAGGTCCCCAGCTAATAGTATTTTGTGAGCCTTGTATTCAAGCCAAAACTCTTTGAAAGTCCTGAGGGAGCTACAGTACCTAAGTTTCAGCTAATTTAGCATCATTTAAATGGGGCCATGCTATATATCTTAGAGTCTGGATTTCTTTATTTCCAATTATTTAATGGATTCACTGAAAAACAATTTTATAAAAAAAGACCCACATGATTTTCTCCTTTTGTGTGTAGAGAATACATCTCTCTACTTCTTGGCATTGAATTTGTTTCAAATCAGCAAATATTTCTGAGTTCTTATTGCAAAACCCTGTTGTGTTAGGTGTTTTGGAAGAGCAATGGAACCTAAAATACAACTCTGGACTTCCAGGATTTCGAGTAATATAGTGTTAAGTTATGGGTATCCTCAAAAATTATTTCTCAAGAATAAGTTCAAGGGATCTACTGTACAACATATTGACTATAGTTAATAACAATGTATTGTACACTCAAAAATTGTTGGGAGTAGATTTTGAGTGTTCTTACCCCAAAACGATAAGTATGTGAGGTAATGTAGATGTTAATTAGCTCGAATTGACCATTTCACAATTTATACACATTTCAAAACATGCTGTGTACTATAAACATGTGAAATTTCTATTCATCAGTTGAAATAAATAAATAATTTGAACAAATCTTTGTTTCTAAGATATTCTGTCATTTGCAAACTCTTTTGGAGGAACAAGCTCCTGGATGAAAGAAAATTTTAAACTACCAAGGCAGGTAGGGTACAGGATGGACATTGCAGGGAGACGTCTCCTATTTTTATGCACATCTATATTACTCAAATACTTTATTTCAAAATGAACATGTGTTTCCTTGTAAAAAAAAGTAATAAACATTTGCTTTTACCTTAACATTTTTGTAATGCTAATGATAGTTATTCCATATTCATAACCATCGAAGAGGTTATATTATGTATGCTGTAGCCAGCCTCCAAAATGCCCCCTGAGTGATCCCTGCCTCCTCGTATTCTTAGCCTCCTGTGTTGCCCTCTCACATGGCACTAGGTTTGGTTGGTATGACCAGTGGAATATGGCAGAAGAGATGTATATACTTCTGAGATTAAGATGCAAAAGACTGAGGCTTTCCTGGGAATGAGGCTTTCCTCACGATGAGGCTTCTCTCAGAATTCTTTCTCCATCTCTCTCTGTCCCTCATTCTCATTAGTGCTGTGGGGGAAGCCAGATATCTCATGATGAGAACAGTTACACAGCCCATTGAAGAGGTAGAGGTGCACCAGATGAAGAATTAAGGTCTGCCAGCCATCATGGAGCTTGAAAGTGGATTGTCAAGCCCTGGTTGAGCATGCAGATGACTGTAGACCCAGCCACCATCTTGACAACAACCTCATGAAGGCTATTAGCTAAGCTCCTGACTGTCAGAAACGGTGTGAGATAACAAATGTTTCTTATTTGATGTTTAGTTTGGGGATACAATGTTTAGTTTTGGGATAATAATATTATCCCAAATGATGCTTAGTTTGGGGATAAGTTATTATGGAGCAATAGATAACTAATAAAATATACAGTGTCATCCTCTGTACAGATGATCCCATCACAGGGTCTAGTTTGGTTACTGGAGAGCTTATTTATTGCTAGGTTAATATGCTCAGATTTTCTACCTTAAAATTTTATTCTAAAAAGTCCGTTATTCCTCAAAGCCAAGTATCTTTAGCATTTATTTTTATCTCATTTATTAACAGCTAAACAATTATTAAAATAAGTTATTTTTATATGCAAATTAGAATTTGCTATCTTTCAAATAACCTCTGTGATTGCTAGAAATGTAGGTTTGGAATACCTCTTTCAAATTTTTAAATTTTTAACTTTTGTTGGTACATAGTTGGTATATGTATTTATGGGGTATATCAGATGTTTTTGATACAGACAAAAAATGTGCAATAATCACATCAGGGTAAATGGGGTAACCATCATCTCAAGCATTTATCCTTTGCATTACAAACAATCCAATTATACTCTTTTAGTTATTTTTAAATGTATAATTAAATTATTATTGACTATGGTCACCCTGTCGTCTTATCAAATTGTGCTATCAAACTTCTTTTAACATATTTTTATTAGTTATATAACGCTATCTAATATGACAAAGACCCAAATCTCAGTGGCTTAAATCCATCAATCTGTTTCTTGCTCATGTAAGTCCAATATGGATATCCCGATAAATGGGAAGTTTATCACGTGGTTCTTCAAGCACTGTGGATTCTTCAATTTCATGGATCCTCGGCTGATCATCTGCATCTGGTCAGTAGATCAGGGAAGAAAGAGTGTGGAGGATCAAGTAGGATGTTTTTATGCATCAGACATGGAATTGGTCACTTCACTCATATTCTGCTAGTTAGATCTTTTGATTCTTCCCGATCCCAGGAATCTTCGTAAGGCCCAAAGCTTAGAAAATGGACTCTTTCCTAATCTTTAAGGCTACACTGATGAGACTTGAAAAATACATTCTCTCATTTAATTGCCTGTTTTAAAAATCAAAAACAGGCTATCAATTTTTGTCCTGTTTCTCTGCTGTAGCAAGTTGAATTTCTTCTTGGTTTGCTGTTGTTGCTATTTATTTCTTTTAATACCCAAATAACTCCCAAATAGCTTAGCACAGCTGACAGGAATGCTATAATTTGACAAATTAAAAAAAATACGTAAGACTAATACAATAAAAATCAATTCTTTGCAATTTAAATTTCACCAAGTTTCGTTTTATTTGTAAAGTACAAAAGGATTTGGAATCCTTGGGTTAGATCATATCTACAAAATGAATATTTTTTCTTTATATAGCCATTTACATAGAATCACCTTGTATGTAAATCTAATTTATATGAATTTTTATTTTATGAACACTTCTGTGATTTACACCAATAGTGTACTTTTAACAATTATTAGTATTTACTCATAAATGTGCATTCATATGCATACACTTGCTGCATTTATTTTCATACTATATGTACATTTACACTGATTCACAGGCCATCTGTTTCATGTGATTCCCACATTATTCTGCTAGTAAGTGGAGGGCCACCAGAGCAAAAACCGTAGATATGTAAAATGTTCATAATTTCTTGGCATGAATATTACTGCTACCCAGGAGGATAGTAAATTAGTCACTCTACTATAGAAAACCTTCTAAAGTTTTTTCCTTGAAATAAAATACATATTATTGATGCAAAAGAGGCAGGAAGCAACCAAATCTCCTATTTTAGGGCCAACTTTGTAGTTTCATAGTCTTATTTCAAGTACACCACAGAGGAAGGAGAATTGATAAATCATGAAAAAAATTACATAGAACTGTGAGTCTTATGTGTCTTTTTCTTCTGAAGAATAATTCAAGTGATTTAATGTGATTATGATTTATATGGAAAAGGAAGCAAAACAGCCCCAAAATCTGGATAAGCATTTAGCAATAATATGAAAGGTGACCTAATTCAGAACTGTAAAATGACACCCAGTGGGACTTTTATATTAATACAATGAACAAACATATGGGATTGGAAATTTTTCATTCAAATAGAAATTTTTGAATCACCCTAGAAAGTAACTAGAATGGTTTATTTATTTGAAGAATTAATAATATGACTACGAATACAAGGCTTCATTTGAATTCTGATCAAATTCTTACTTTGGGGGTCATTATTTTTTTGTCTTGGAGATTCAATAATGACTTAATAATCCCTGTAATGCATTAGTCTGACGACAAAAATTAAAAACCTGACTTTTAATTCTTCTTAGTTTTGTGTATTTAGGTAAAGCTTCTACCCGAAGCAAGTTTAATACCTTTTTCATCCATGTGTAACTAGGCATAATGACAGCCTGTAAGCCCACTCACCTCCAACACACAGAAATTCAAGATAAAATAAAAACACGTCATCTAAATACATAGCTGAAATTCACCAAAAGTAAGTTTCTCTATGTGCTTAGGATAAAATGAGAACTGAGCATCAGCTTGGTTAGCTCATGAGCTAATACTGTGACTCTTATAGTATAGGATTTATAATTCAGAATAATAAAATATCCAGGGATATAATCTTCCATGAACAAGATTCAGAAGGCATAAGAAACAGCACATTTAGACCTCAATAGCATGAAATAATAGAAATAATTTGACAGAATATACAGAATAAGTGTTTTTTAAAATGATGAAAGACACAAAAGGAAAAGTTGAAACTATATAAGAACCGAAAGGCATCATGAAAAAAAAAAAATGTCAGACTTAAAAAAGAATCAAATAATACACACAGGTAAAATAAAATTGCTAAACTGGAAGATAGATAATTTTGTTTTAAAAAATAAAAAACTAAGAAATTGTTCCAAATACAGAAAAGGTAGAGATTAAGAGTTGGAAAACATGAATGAGATTAAGAGATATGGAATATAGAATGACAAGATACAATCTATTTGTAAGTTACATGTGGAAAGAAAAAAAAGGAGAATAGGAAGAAGGCAATATTTAAAGAGTTGATCCTTGACAATTTTTCTAAATTGATGAAGGCTTGAATTCTCAAATTAAAGAAATATTATACCAAGCATGATAAGTAAAAGTAACTCCTCATCTAAACAAATTATTGCAGAAAACCACAAATTTAGAAAATCTTTTTTTTAAAAAAAGAAAAACCCTTTACTTACAAAAGAACAATGATTAGATTAAAGCAGATTTCTTCAACAAGGATGTAGTCAGAAGAAAATGGAATATCAAGTCATCATGCTGAGTGAAAACAACTGCAAAACAAATAAACCAACGTTTTCGAGAGAGGGGTTTAAAAGGAAACACTCTAAGGGAGTTTTGAGACAAAGATTCTGAAGGAGTTTATAATTGACAAGGTTTCCTCTGAATAAAACTCTTTTAAAATGTATTTTAAGAAGAAAATTTAACACAGAAGGAATATATAGAATGCAATAAGCAATGATGTGAAATAAAATTGGTCAATGATTGAACAATTATAAATAAGATTTGGTTATATATTTTTAAATGATTCATTTGGAAGTATATAAAAATAAGATGGAAGTAAAATACTGGATAACTGTTACATATAGGAAATAAACTGGAGTGAAGCTGCTTCAATGTTCCTTTATTGGCTAGGAGAAACGTTAGGGTTTCTAAGAACCACAGGGTTCTTAGGGTTTCTAAGAACAGTAGCATGTTAAATATTAAGGCTGATCTCTTATAGAGAAAGAGACTATAAAGCTTTCAAATTATAATGGGAGAAAAAAGGAATGGAAAAACTTGATCAATGTTAAAGAAGGCAAGCAAACAGAAGAAATAAAGAAAAGAGGATTAAATAAAATAAGATTATCTATGGCTCCCTATGTCTAAGAATTAAGTTCAAAATCCTCATCATGAAATAGGAAAAATATATAGATGGGACGATTTAACATTTCTTCAAGATACTATCAAATGGAAAACAACCACAGTATATTATTATATTTAAAATAATTGAGCTAAGATTAAATTATAAACTTAAAGGAATATGCAGCAAATTATGTAATCACTGAACAATCCAAAAAAATTAAAGTTAAAGTAAATTAAACAGTCAGATTTTTAGATAATATATTGTGACCTCTTCTCTAACAGATAGAATATCTGGCATGATAGAACAAGCACAAAAGATTTTTGGAATGTCCAGTTGTACTGGAACAGATGTGGTGGCTGAATGAAATAGTTCCTTCTGATGTGGTTTTTTTCTTCCATCTTCGACCCAAGGTTGCTAAAGTGAAGAGCCATCATTTTATACATTTAAAAATATAAGAAAGTTAAAAATAAAAGAAATATATGTTGTTCTTTTCCACAGTTGCTTTGGTTCACTTTGATACTCATGTGGTACCGGCTCTAGTCAAATAGTGACATTCGTGTTTTGGTCCTTTCATCTTAACATCTCATACATCATCACCAATGTGCTCATTCAGCTCCTCACTTCAGCTGTCCAGAGTGTGACTTAACTTTTCCCTCCCAAACCAGTGCTATAAATGGCAACATATTTCAATGGCCCTCTTACAATAAATGTAACTGTCCTGCATTCTGTTTCCTATGAGACTCTCTTTTTTCAGCTTCCAATGCAACAGTAATATCATCAGTAGTGTGAGTGGAATTGGATTTTTTTACCCTCCTCTACTTAGGTAATATGTGAATTTTAATTCAAGACTTGTGTTGAAGGTCAAGGTAGACCTCTTACTAGCTGTGAGACATGAAAAACAGCTAATCTCTTTGGGCCTTAGGTTCTTCATTTACAAAATGGAAGAATAATACCTGAACTGCTCACCTCAAAGGATTATTGTAATCAGTAAATGAGATAAAATACATTAAAGTATTTGAAATATGTAAATCTCCACAAGTTATTTTTAATTGTTTTTTAAGTCTTATTCTAGTGGTTGACTTTACTAGAGATAATTTTGAATATGACGACTTCTTGGACCCTGAATATTTTTCAGGCATCTTCACAGTAGTATTATTTATTCTTCAAATAAAAAAAAAATCTAGTTACCTTTCTGGGTGACTTGAAAATTTCTATTTGAATGCGAAATTTCCAATCCCATACGTTTATTCACTGTATTAATATAAATATCCCACTGGGTGTCATTTTACAATTCTGAATTAGGTCACCTTTCATATTATTGCTAAATGCTTATCCAGATTTTGGGGCTGTTTTGCTTCCCTTCTCATCTAAACCATAATCACATTAAATCACTTGAATTATTCTTCAGAAGAAAAAGACACATAATCATAGTTCTGTGTAATTTTCTTCTGAAACACGTAAGTAGTCATCTACATTTTCTTCAAATATTTTAAAAGTCATCTTGAAATGATTTAGTTATTCTGCATTGGGAAATCCAATTTTCCTCCAAATAATATATACTCATGTACTCCCTGATTTCTACTCACCTAGGTTCAAAAAGACCAAAATTTAAAAAGTCATCTAGAGAAAATGGGAGTTTACCCACACCCATTTATTCTGTTTGAGAACAAGTAATGTAATCTTCTACAACAATGTACAAGATATCAAATCAGCCTTCAGAAATAATCTATAAACTGACTAAATACTATGATAATAGGAAATTTAAGCCTCTTACTAGCTATTTTGCAAGTCCAGTAAAGGAACCAACTACAGAGGTAAATATAAAAACATTTGGATCTAATGTAAGAAATACTCCTCCTTTTAAAAAGGAATGAATCATACTTGCTAACTATAGTATGCTATAAAGTCAATAACAGATTCCTTCATCAAAGTGATATTAATTAACCACAAAATGTTCTCAGTGCAACCCAAAATGTGCCCAAGTAGATTCATCAGATTTAGTAAATTACTAAAAAAAAAAAAAGATAGAGACCAGGGACCAGGTCAGTCTCATAATAAGGTTACACACACAGACCAGACATGCACACAAACACATACTGACTCACATACACACAATACCATTTCCCATCACTATTTATTTCTCTCAAATAAATATGATGGCATATAAAATCTAGATGTTTTTATACATATTTTAAAAATATTATTTAATAGGTAATTTAAAAAAACATGTAAAACATCACAAATTGCAACTGGTCAACATAAACCAAAAGAAGGGAAAATTGAGAAATTTTGTTGGTATTACATAAGTAAGTAAAGGAAATTTCATTTGTGTATCTCATCTTAATATGAAATCCTTATACTGACCAAATGACAATGACTTCCCTGCAAATTCTAACTTTTGGTATCATGAAAATACAAAAATATGTTAAGAGATGGTTCTATCCTTCAAGGGGCTTTGGACAGCAGCCATATTTATTATAAATTAAGTATACTCGCTCTCTTACTACCTTAGTAAAAAACAAAAACAAAAATCCTGTCATAGTTATTTCTATAATGCACTTAACTCGTCTGCTGGTGGTCCTTTCCACAAAATTGTTTTAAAAATAAATATTTCAAAATGTCAGAGGAAAAGCAAAATGCCTTCTTAACAGATGAAAAATCTCAGCTTTGAAATGTATCTTCATTACATAGGAGACAAATCTTCCAAGGTATGCCCATGTAAGCAAACACTATACTAACGTTGTAGGTGAGTACCAACATCCCAGTGACTTATTCAAGGAATACTGGGTGTTCAATGGAATACCAGTGGTCTCAGGCACTCAGAATTTTAAAAGCAGAAAATGAGTTGCCATTGATCCTTCAACAGAGGTTTATGAAAACAATGCAGAGTGAGAGTGAAGTAGGTTTTGTTGGTTTAACCTGAGTCTGTGGTAAGTTCATCCAAGCCATTGCCTTGGCACTCACTTTGCCTGTTCCACCTTTCTATTTGGAAACACAGCAAACATTTCTACGTCAGATTTTTCTAGTTGTTTTCTAAAAAGGTTTATGGTCACAGCTGCAGTAGTTATGGGTTGGTTTATAGTGCATTGCCCATAGATGGGCCCATCTGTCCAACAGTCTGTGTGATACCATACCTTCTACAGACATGGGCCGCTCTTGAGGAGTGCCTATAAACCTGCTGTTAAATGGACCAGCTGTACTCATAAACCTACATTAGCAGCCTCAATCCACCCGCCTTACAAAAGTCATTGGCAATAAATCTATGTTCAGTCTATATATGCACTTTTAAGTATTTTTTTACACTTCTGAAAAGAAAATATAAAATATATCCAAGGCTTCTGTGATCCTGACTGAAATAAGAGCTGATTTCTTTGGGGTGTATAAACAACGTGTTTAAAGGCCTCATTTTCTATTTCTTTGCAAGATGTTTGTCTTTTTTCACAGTCTTTTTCCCTCAGCTTTAAAAAAAAAAAAAAGGTAAATGATCAACTTTGCTCTTTTTCTTATTTTCCTGAAATCCTTAGATAGGAAGTTCGAGGGCTTGGGCATGAGTTAATCCATAGTCACTATGTCATTTCTTCCAGCATGGTAGCTCACTGTGGAACCATGAACCAGCAGGTGTGAGTCCAACCACCTACCCTGGTTCAACTGTGTTGAGAGTGTGCATCTTCAGTGTGGCCAGGCAGGTACCATGCGCTAGCCCAAGATAGACCATCCTCACTCTCTTCATTCTCCATCAAGAGCCAGTGGTAATTAGCTAGTTCTTTACAAGAAAGGACTCATTTGAGGAAGCTACTTTTCCATCAGAAAGAGAGTTCTGACTCATTTTGTTTCTTAATCAAATGTGTTTCATAGAACATACTTCCGTGAAATTTTTATTACTTATTTTAGCTCTTTTTATTGTATATATTTATGATACACAACATAATGTTTGATATACATATACATAATGAAATAATGACCACAGTCAAACAAATTAACATATCATCTCATATAGTTACCTTTTACGTGTATGTATGTAGTAAAAGTACCTAAAAATCTAATCGCTTTGCAAATTTCCAATATACAACATTTTTAGCTATCATCTTTATACTGTATGTTAGATTCCTAGACAAGTTCATTTTGCATAATTGAAACTTTGTGCCCTTTGACCTTTTATCTCTCCGTTTCCCCCACCCCCCTGCCCCTGGTAACCTTTCTACTCTCTGTTTCTATATATTTAACTTGTTTTTCTAACAGCATTTGTTATGGCTTTATATTAGATAAAGCCTTGCATTTGAAGTCAGAAGTCTAAAGCATAGATTCCAGGTCTGCAACTTATTAAACAAGTGTTTGGGGACATATTATCGCATCTCTCTGAATTTCCTCTTCCACAAAATGGAGACATTTGCTGAATCTCAACTCTATGCCTTCACTTCTACTTAGTCTTGGCATCATATCAATTTTTCTACCTATTTCCAGAAACTGATTTTTTTCCCATTCCCATGTCCCACTGTAGATGTCTAGAACTAGAAATATTTTAAATTGGGACTATTGCAACAGCATCTGATCTAGTATCAACTTCCCAATTTTTCCTCTTTCTAGACTGTCTCTGAGATCTTGTGATCTAGTCATTTTCTTACTTAAATCATTTTAATTCCAAATGTATGCATAAATTTAAAGCTTTTTCTTAAATGACAAGACATTTCTTCCAATCCCAATGAGGCAACAAAAATATTTTGTTAAAACCAAGTTTGAAAAGAATTTCAAGTTATTTTGAGGATATAAGTTGACTTTCCAAATGAAGCAAATTTAAAAACCCTAAAAAAAGTTTCCTTTATTTGAAAATTTTTCCGCTTGAAATAGCTGTGTGTTTGAGAAATTAACAACAGCAGGTTTTCTATCAGTTTTGGAAATATAATCAACCATAATTTATTTTAGACAGCATGAATGATCCTTGGATAAATATATTACATATTGTATTAGTAATGTAAGTACTATCTCTATGGGGCAATCTATTGGCAATGAAACTGGAGATAGTGGTGGAGCCCTATCCCCCAGTTTCATTCAGTCTAGCCCTAAGGTCTCCTGGGTAGCAATTATTCAGAAATGGACTAGGTTTTATATCCATATCTGTATCTGTATCTCTGTCTATGTCTGTCTGTCTATCTATCCATCCATCCAATGAATATTTTCCAGTAATAAAAAAAGAGTAATTTATATCTCCACCTCAATTCTTTGTAACAGGAAGGGAGGCAGTCAGAAATTCCCTCTTTCTTCTCTAGCTCCATGTGAAGTATTTCAGATGATCTTGCAAAAGCCTTCAAAGTTACTGGTCCATTCTTTTCTTTTAATATTACTATTTTCCATGGTTTTCAGATATAACACTCTCTTACTTTCTACCTCTCTCTTTATTCATTTATTCTATTTTATTTGTTGCTTCTTTCCGCCCCAGTGAGGGTGAGTCCAGGCCAAGTCACAGGTGAAGACCATGCTTCTGTCGCTTTAAGAAGCACATTTTCTTCTACTTGGCCATTAAATGTTGTTGTTGCTCCGTGCTTAGTAGCCCTTTCCTCTGCTTGCTCTATATCTCTCCCTGGGTGATCTCATTTACACTCACAACTTCAATCACCACCTCCACTCAGACAACCCACAGATTTATCTCTCTAGCTGAGACCTTTGTTTGAGTTACAGATGCATATAATCAGCAGCTGATTTCATATGTCTACCAACCAGTCTCAAGTGTACTGCAAATTTAGTATGTCAAAAAATAAACTCATATCTTCCCCTCCAGACTTTGTTTCTTGTCACAGTGAAGGGAACTAATATCTATCAAGTTATATAAACCAGGAACCTGAGCTCATCCTTGAGACTTACCTTTTCTTTAACAAACTTGCTACATTCAATCCCTCATGAAATTATGCTAATTTATCTCCTAAATAAGCTCTGAAATCTATTCCTTTTCCTGAGTCTTTATTATGAACCCTGTAGAACCAGCCACCACAGTCTCTTGGCTGGTGTAAAAAAAGCCTCCCCTCTGGTCAATCCAAATCCACCTTGGCCTTCTATAATCCATCTGCACGTTCTGTCATATGTTCTCCATTGCTCCCTCAACCTCACTACTCCCCAGCTAAAACTTTTCACTGGCTTGCCATTGATCTCAGAAAAAGGAAAAAATTTTTACAATGACTTTTCAAACCCAGAATGGCCTTGTGCCTACCTGCTGTTTCAGCTCCATCTTGCACCATGATCCCTTTGGCCATAATTAGACCTTCTTAATCACCATTTTCCCTTTTGCTCCTCATCCTTTGGATCTGGAATATTCTTTATTTTCCAAATTGTAAAGTTCAAGCTTACTTACTCTTCAGACTTTAGGATCCTGAACACCTTAATAAGACCAAGTCTATTTACTGTAAGCTCTCTAGTACCACGCATATCTTCTTTCTCATACAATTCAAATTTCAACTTTTTATCGAATTTTGTGATATTTTTCCATTCCCTCAAGCATTTATTCTTTTTGTTACAAATAATCCAATTACACTCTTTTAGTTATTTTAAAATGTACAATTAATTTATTATTGACTACAGTCACCCTGTTGTGCTAGCAAATAGTAGGTTTTATTCATTCTAACTACTTTTTTTTTGATATGTGGTATTTTTATTGCTATCCTTTGAAGAGACTTTAAATTTCATATGGGACATTGTCCGCTTTTACTCACCATTGTATCTCCAGTGTCCAGGACAGTATGTGGTATATTGTGAGTGGTCAGTATTTGTTGCAAGAATGACTTAACAAATGAACATCCCTACAAAAGTAGGTCCACCTTTTCAAGGTGGCCATAGCAAAAGCATTCTGTCTACAAGAAGCAATATAGTTGGAGAGGGGAAGCATAGATCTTTGAGTCAAACAGATGTGGCTATGAAACCCCCTACTGTACCACTTAGAATGCTTCCTACCTAGAACCTCTGTGAAGGTCTATTTTCTTCTCATCAAAAGTGATGCTAATGATGCCTTCTTCAGGGCGTTATAAGAATAAGGGACAATAAGTACTTACTGGGTACTTAATTTAACAAATATATTCACTCAAACAGCAATTGTTGAGCACCTACTATATGGCAGGCTCATGACTATCCTTTTTGCTCCTCCGCATGGCTACTTACTCATCTACATTAATATCAACTTTGTCACTTGTTTGTCACTAGGTGCTGCCCCATAGTTACTCTTTTCTATGTATACATAGATTGTTTCCTCAAGACTGGGGACAAGTATAATGCACTACACTTTTTTTCTCTTAAATGACCTTCAATTCCTATTATTGAATATTTCACATAATAAGTGGGCAATAAATATGTTGGCTGATTCGTTTAGTAACTTGTATATACTAAATACTTAGATAATCACCAGGAAGAAATGCTTAAAGAACAAAAAAGTCCATAATCTTTGTTCCTAGACAATTTAAAATCAAACTTTATGGAGTAAATAAATGAGAATTGTTTAAATAAAGTATGTAAACTATCTAAAAGCATAAATATCACAGTGTATGTCAAGAACTTTGTCATTATAATAGGGTTTAAATATATGAAATGTAAGCTTTGAACAAATTAGTAGTTGCCCATAAACACCCTTAAAATATTTATAGTTTTAGCTCTTTTCCAAGTTCAAACCAACTTTTAGGAGACACTATGTAAATTAGAAACATTTTCTCACATATCCTTTGCATGTTTTGTGGGAGGTATAATTGTAGCAAATATGGGAAATATTCTATTTTATTTTGAAAGCAACCTTCAAAGGAATTTATTAAATGCCAGGGTCAAGATGTGAGTTTCTATTTAACAGACTGAGCTATACGTTAAAAGCAAAAAAAAAAAAAAAAAAAAATCAGATGACTTAACAAAACTAGAGAAATCTAAAAATGAACTAAGGGCTTAACTTCAACTTCCATTTATTCAATTTAAAATATCTGTAAATGTTGCTTATCCTGCCTGGGATAAGGTAAAATATAGATCTTGATCTTTAGCTCAGGAAAAAGGTCTTGCTAAGGAGTCAACATCCCTGGGCTAGGAACTCACGAAATAAAATTTGTATTTTTCAGTACACATATTTACTCTTAAAATAGCATTTTAAAATTACAGAAGTAAGGCCAGTTCATGATAGAGATTTAGAGAAATTTTAAAACATATACAAGAAAAAAAATCAACTCCCTTTCATGGGCATATGATACCAAAAAAAAAAAAAAAAAGAGAGAGAGAGATTGTCTCACTTCAACTCTAAGGGCAAATCAGAGAGGGGTGAATATGTCTGGAGTCTTTGGGATTTTGCTATTGCAGGAAGCCTGAGAGGAAATCCCCAACAAAATAAGCCTGACCCCTAGAAAGACTTAGTTATTGGAAGGGAGCTGCTATTCCAGTCTCAGTGCCACATGGGGTCCAGTGCTAGAAGTGGGCTCTCTGGCCAGTTCTTTATTAAGATCATATGTTGGTCCAACAGAAGGCTGGGGAATCCAGGAAAAGCTATTCCAATAAAACTTAATAAGTCCCTGGGAAATAAAGAAGATGATGCAGGTATTTCCCTAAGAGGAGGTATCACAGAAAGGAAATAAACCATATCTCCATTTTATCCAAAGAGCAATGAGGAGGTATTTGGTATCTGGAGGGAGGTCCTCAGTGCTTCAGCTCAGGTGGGAGAAAATGATGCCCAACAAATACTGGTGGAAGACAATTCTGTCCAACCCAACCCAGGGCAACAGCAGCAGGGGAGGCAAGATCTATAACAAGACTGCAAATGCAAGAAAGATATCCCCTGGTCCATGGATTTGGCAAGGAATGATGTCTTGTTTTAATTAGCATGTCTTTGATGACTAAGGAATGTTTAAAATTATGTACAAGTTTATTGGTCATATACATCTAGTGACTTGCCTGTTCATATCTCTCTTTTTATGCTGTGATGTTCATTCTTTTCGTTTAAAATGGTTTATAATCTGAAGATATTAACAATCTTTCTGCAATATGTTGATCCTATTTTTTACAGTTTGTAATTTGCTTTTTGGTTTTATTTATGTTTCAACCCAAATCTATCAATATTTTCTTTTATTTTCTCTACACTCCACTCCAAGATCAGCAAGACATTTGTCTTTAAGCTATTATATTTCATTCTATAAACCACCTGAATAAAATTTTTTAATATAACAGCCGTCTAACTCCTTTTTTGCATTTTTAAACCAAAGATCTGATTACCATTACTTGGATAATCCGTTACTTCATCACTAATTTGAAATCTCATCTTTATCACATTCATTTTACACATATCATTTATTAACGTATTTATCATCTATCCAATTTATTTATGCTTCCAATGATCTGCTGTAAATTCTAATGCCAGTGCCACACTGCTCTAAGTAATGTGATTTATAATTTATTTTAATATCTGATAATGCAAGTAGGTCTTATTGTTTTTCTTTTAAAAACAATCTTGCCTAGTTTCCTCCATTTATTTTTCCAAATAAATTCTAGAACTAGTGGTCAAATTTCAAAGAAGAGTTATTTTTGTGCATATTGGGTTAAAATTTCATTAAATGTATACATTAATATGGGGAAGAAGCGACAACTATACAGTGTTGAAAATTTCCATCTATATATTATCATATATTCCCTTCTATATAACCCATCTATATATATTATATATTCCCATCTATATATTATTATAATAAATGGAGAGAACAAAATATATCTCTCCATTTATTGTTTTATATATTTTTGAGTAAAGCTTTAGAGCTTTGTTTTCATTAGTTTCTGCATATGTCTTACTAAGTTTATTCCAAATTAGTATATATTTTTGTATATTTTGTATCTCTTCAAAAGAATCTTTTCAATCCATTATATTTTAAGTGGTATTTTTCTGTCATATAGAAAGATAATCATAATTTAAAATAGAATTCTTGATGAATATCTCCTTATACACAGTGTTTCCTCCAAATGCTTTGCAACTGATGACATTTAAGTTTTAGGTAAAGTGAAAAACCCATGGACTTTAGCATGAAACATACCTACCTTTCAATCTTGTTTTGACCATTTCTCACTATGCAAATTTGGTATGTCTAGCATACAGTAGGAAGAAAAATATTAGTTCCTTATTTCTCATCCTGTTCCTCATAGAACAATGACTTGGGAATTTCATTCGTTAGTTACATGAACTAGAAAAAATAATTATTATAAACATATACACATATGGGCTTTACTCATTAATTGCGCAAACATTCACTGACTAAGCACAAACTACCAGGCACAGTGCTAGGCACTGAGGATATGAAGGTGACAATATCTGCCTACTGAAATGTGTGGTAGTCTCAACTACATCTCAAGCCATCAGTGGGTTGACTGTTAGAAATCAGTGGATTTCTCTTCTGGATCTTTAGATAATGTGTCTGATCAATCTATTTCTTTCTCCTGAGCAGGTACTCTCATGTATGACTTTCCCATTTTACCAGCTTAATAAATGGTTCTCAGCCTGAGCAAACTGAAGCAAACTATTGGGCATTCCCATTTTCATTTCTGAAGTGACTGCTCAAATCTTTATTTCATTTTATGCCGATGCCTCGGGAGCTGACCTAGGATAAATGGAAGCTACCAACTGCCAACTGTGCTGTCAGCTGTGTGGCCGGGTCAAAGGTGCTGGCTGAGCTTGCAAATTCTGAAGGTTTGCCAGCAGTGAAGGTATTTGCCTTAGAGGGAAATGATGCCTTGTACATATCTCATCCCACAGTGCTGCTGAATGCGTCCATTTCAGGCAATGCCCAATTTGGAGAAAAGAAGAAGTGCAAAAAAAGATGTTTCTTTGACCTCACCGCAAATACGTAAAACCACCTGCAGATCCACAGCCACTCTAATCTTTGCCTTGGGCACACCCTTTTGCTTTAACAGTAGAGAAGAAACAAGTTTCTGTTCCCTCCGAGTGCTGGGAAGTGGCATGACAGCTGGTTTCCATGAGCAGAGCACATACTCCAACCCTGCAAAGAAAAAACTCCCCACAATGCTCTTTTATCTATTAAACTAAAGGGGGTTTTATTACACTTTTGTACATTCAATACATTTATCTAAATTTTTCTCGCATTGAATTATTGTCAAGAAAAGGCTGTTCTTGCATATATATATGTGTGTGTATATATATATGTACTTGTGATCATGCATAACTTAAATGCTAAATTTCTGATTTTTTTGGAGAGGATAACATTTAGAAAAAAATCTATTGACTAAACAAAAATCATTTGACACATGAGGTCAAACCTTAATTTAGCTGTAGGAATCATTGTCGTATCAATGTGGAAGTAGAAATAGCACTAAAAGAATGTTCTTTTTCTCCTGAAAGATGCACCCTCTGACCCACTTTGTGACACATAGTGAGGAGTTCAGTAACTATAAATGTTACCGATGACTCTTATCCTTGGTTTAACTCTGGGTTCTTCTAAATGCTTATGTAGAGTACAAATTATCTGCTGAAGAGTAGCCAAGGTTGCCAAGTGAACAGCACTGAAGACGTCAGAAGGGAGTGAAGTTTGGAAGTGAAACAGCAGCCTTTAAATAGCCCGACAACACACATCATGAGATGACTTCAGTGGATCTCCCATCACTACGGATTGGCTGTAAAGGAAAAATCCTCTTAAGTGTTTAATCCAGAAGATAACTTTTTATTCAATTACTACCAGTATAATTACTATACTATTGTTCAAGATTTTATTCGTTCTTCCTTTTTTTGTCCACTTTGTCTTTTCTTCCTCTAGAAATTCAGAACCTGAATGATTTCTCATTTGAGTCAATTTTGATCACTGCAATCATTAAATTAGACATAATTTAGAAACTTCTAATGAAAAAAGAACATAATTAAGCCAAATTATCAGAAGTTTTAAGGATTGAAAATATTATCAAACAATTTTTAATAGTATTTTTTCTAATAAAAATTCTGAGACATTGGATGAATTAAGATCTATTGATATGAAAGAATGCTCATGTAACTATGGAAAAGAAATTAACATTTAGTTAGTGTTCTAATATGCCAAGCATTATGCATATTAAACTAAGCATTTTCCATATTTTTTCTCATTTACTCTTTTTTACTGCCTTACAAAATATGTGTTATTGTCCCCAGTCTACAGGGCAGAAAACTGGAAATTCACAAAGATTAAAGTATTCAAGTTTAGAAAGAAACTGTTTTTAAGTGACAGAATCCGGATTAAAATCCAGGTCTGCTGACCCCGAGGCTCTTTCTCTTTCCATTTTATCCCATAGGATTTTCCACTCAGCCAAAAATTGAACTTTAAATTTTTACATATTTTTAAATTTAAATATATTTTTCCTCATTAACAACAAAAAAATGGAAAAGAAGAATTATAATTGGTAACATTGACATCAATTTTTAAAAATATTTGTTTCATGCAATAATAAAAATTGTTTTTCTTTTAATAGTAAATGATTTGAGTGAAAAAGTTATCACCATTGTAAATAAAACATAGCTTAATTGACTTTAATATTGCTAGCAAAATTAAATTTGTACTAGGCTCATAGAATAAATAAAAAGTGCATGCATATTTGCCACATTTAATATAGAATGTTTTTTGTAATTTTCAATCTTTTTTGAGTATACTTGCCAAAGCTGTATTTATTTAAGCTGTACAATGTGGTGATTTGACATAGGTATTCACTGTGAAATGATTGTCAAAGTCAAACTAATGTACATATCCAATCACCAATCACCTCACATAGTTATGATTTTTTGTGTGTGGTGAAAACACTTCAGATCAACTCTCTTAGCAAATTTTAAGTACATGATTCAGTGTTATTAACTATAGTCACCATGCTGTACATTAGATTCCAGAACTTATTCATCCTGCATAACTAAAACTTGTCCCTTTTTCTCCCTGTTTCCCCATCCTCCAGCCCCTGACTACCACCATTCTACTCTGCTTCTGCACATAAACAGGAGCATTCATTTATTTGTCTGTGTTGGCTTATTTAACTTAGCATAATGCCCTCTGCATTCATCCATGTTTTTGTAGATGGCAGAATTTTCTTTTTTCTTTTTTAAGGCTGAAGAATATTTCATTATAAGCACACACAGACACACACACACACACACACAGTGTCATGCATTGCTTAGGGATGGGAATACGACTGAGAAATGCACCTTTAGGTGATTTCATCATTGTGTGAACATCATTAAGTGAAATTACACAGACCTAGGTTGTAGAGCCTGTGACACACCTAAGCTCTATGAAATAGCTGGCCTATTGCTCCCGGGCCACAGACCTATACAGCATGTTACTGCCACACCAGCATCACCACAGACACTTGGCTAACCCAGTCCTCTATGAAGAAGTTATGATGGTTATGACATCATGAGGTGGTAGGAATTTTTCTACTACATTATAATCTTATAGGACCACAGTCATATATGTGGTCCATTGTTGGCTGAAATGTCCTTATGTGGTGCTTGACAGTATATATACACCACATTTTCTTTATCCAGTCATTATGCTTTCTCTTGATTTATTTTTGGATTCTTAATGATCAAAAGAAAACAACAAAACAGCTCTTTTCTCTGTCCTCTGTCAACCTAGTCCCTCATTTGTGATTCAACATCCCTAACTTCCAGATATATTTAGTGCTATTGGTTACATTTATATCTAAAAAGGAAACACAAAATCACGGTAAGGTGTAATTTTTTTTTAAAAAAAGAGCTTGTTAATGTGTGAGTGATGGGAATGTATCCAAACGTCTCTCTCCCTCCCTCCGTCCCTCTCTCCCTCCACTTGTGGTTGTTGGTGGTGATGTTTCTTCTGGATAGGCACACAGGTCCCCTCGGATGAGCCAGAGTCTGAACACTGTTGAAAATGGCCCCTTGAAGAACACAAACTCAACAGAAAGTCCCGTCAGAGGATACTCTTTTGCTCACCCAATGGTGTGTGGCCCTGTGGTAAGTTAGAAGTTGAAAGCCAATGTTATTTTTCCTTCTGCCATGAAAATGTGCCTGGAGTAACAGGGAGAACACAATTTCATGTGCTAAATTCTCCTCAATTTTATTCTCTGGAATTATTTCCAAGGAATATACCTCTATGGAAAGTTTACTCTCCAAAGCTGTAGTATTCAATATGGTAGCCATCAGACATAGGAGGCTGCTGACTGCTTAAGATGTGGGTAGTGCAGCTGTGGAACTAAGTTTATTTTACTTTAATTAATTTAAAATTTAAAACTGACATCATGTAAAACATTTCTGTTCAACACATCTATATTGATTTGGCAAGTACACTTGACCCTTAAACAACATGAGAGTTAGGGACACCGACAGCCCAAGCAGTCAAAACTCCAAATAGAGCTTCTGACTCCCCAAATACTTAACTACTAATAGACTGCTATTGACTGGAAGCCTTGCTTATAGTATAAACTGTCAATTAGCACATATTGTGTATATTATATGCATTATATACTGTGCTCCTACAGTAAAGTAAGCTAGAGAAGAGAAAATGTACTAAGAAAATCACAAAGAAAAGAAATATGTTTACTATTCAGTAAGCGGAAATGACCATATAGGTCTTCATCCTTGTCATCTTCACGTTAGGTAGGCTGAGGAAGAGAAGGAGGAAGAGTAGGGGCTGGTTTTGCTCTCTCAAGAGTGCAGAAGAGGAATAAAATCCAGGTATAAGTGAACTTGTGCAGTTCAAGCGCATGTTGTTCAAGGGTCAACCTTGTACAACATTTCACTTTAACTGTTGCATCAAATGTGAGATATTATTTAAATTAAATTTTATTTCTTGCTTTTTTAGTGTGGCTAATAGGAAATTTGAAATTACATATATAGCCCACATTATGTTTGTATTGCACAATGCTATTCTAGAGAAAGTAGGACAAAGATTCTGGTGTCAGACTGAATGGGATCAATGCCCTACTCCTCTACCTACCACCTGTTAAGCTGTGGGGAAATTTACTCAGCTTCTCTGTACCCTGGTTTTCTCATCTGTAAATACGTGTACCTACCTCATAGGGTTATGGGGATTAAATACATTCAGATTTATGAAGTGCTTAAAATCGTGCCTTACATACAGTAAGCACCATCTATACATTTCTAAATTGAGAATAAAAGCAAATTATTCCTCTCTAGAAAAGACAGATCAAAATTCTTCCAACGGATACTCAGTGAGAGCAAAGTTACCACAGTTAATCTAATGATATAAACTAAATATCTGTAATACATGAAGAATTTGAATAGATAGTTTTTTTTATTAAGTCCCCCAAAATGACACTTATGATACGGACCAACCAAAACACACATTCTTATGAAAGCGTAGCACTACCTTGAAATTTATTTTAAAACTCTTTACCAAAGGCAAGTGTAGACCTGGAGATACTGTTCTTGTTCCTGTGGTGTGCTCCTCTCTCTTTGGGGATTACTGAAACTGTCAGAGCACAGAACTCTGCTTAGATATCACTTGCTGTAAATGACAATCAACCACAAACACTTAATAGGTAGAAATATTTGTGTGTCTCTTTTAGTATTATAAGCAATTACGTCACTTAGATATAATTAAACTATCTAAAAAAAGTCAGTTAAAATTGTGATTCTTCTGTCAGTATATTTATTAAAATACACATAAAAGGTTAGTCAAAAAATAAAGTATAAATAAAACATTATTTTATAATTTTTTGTAGACAGAGGAAAATAGACAAATGTCATCTATAAAAACACACTCATTCAAGATCCTTTTCAGCAGTTAAACTAGACATCTTATATATTAATTTAGTACCATAAATCAGAATTAATATCCTTAATTGATTAGTCAGACATACTGAATACCTGCTATGTGGCTCTGCAAAATGAGACAAAATCCCTGTGCTCAAAACACTTAAATCTTTTGTAGATTTAAGTAAAATTAAGGCAAAAGTCAGCAATTTATTATTGTAGGGCTTTTTGCCAAACATAAGGAACATAAGGTCCATTTTGAGTGGTCTACCATTTTAAATATATTCACATTCTTTGCATTTCATTTTTTTGGGCAAGAGTTGAAAAATGTAATTTCTAATTTGAGAGAGTAGTTCTTTCCATGTTTCATCTAGCTGCCTTTATTTAGTGTGGCTATAGGTAAACAACTGTGGTCAATATTCTATAAAATACTCTTATGTTTCCCTAGAGGATAAACACACATACACACACACACACACACACGCACACACACATGCACGCACACAAGCACACATGCACACACATACACACACATGAACATGAACAATCACACAGATCCTCTGGAAAGTGAAGACAACCCCCCACCATCATCACCACCAAATAAAGCTAGGGAAATCCAAAAAGTAATGTGTTGAGCAAAATTAGGAAGATATTGTGCTTGTCATGCTACTTTCAGAGTGTAGCACTACCCTCACCTCCCCCTTGTCTGTGAAACACATCTGTGATTTCTTTACTAACCATTTTCCAGCCTCTTTCATAAAATAACGGTTGTGTTCTGGTGTTTTTCATTTTGAACACTTAGAGCATGTCTCCCATCTCATCCACTACCACATTGTTAAATCTAAAGTAGAAAGAGAGAGTGATCACTTCGGTGACACCAGTTGGCAGCAGAAAATGTGTTGTTTTCAATTACTGTGTATAAGAGCTCAGCCAACAGGAAGGCAACCTCTTAGGATGATGTGCCTAGAGAAAGAACCACCACAAATGTAGCTTGAAAATGGCAACTCCAACATTAAGCCTTATGAAGGGATTCTCAAAAGCAACACTAGTTAAGCCTGCAAGACTCTTTACATGGTTTTGCCCACTCACATGAAGGAAAATTATTTGCCCTCTAGACCAAATGACACAGGCAGACACAGCCTGCATCCCTATGGAGTGGTGTTTGAAAAAGAAGTTCATTTGCCCACCTTTTGCTCCAAAAGGTTGTCTGCTCCCTGCAATAGTAAAAGTTAACACAATACAGAAGTCTTGCAAATATAAAGGATTTGCAATTAACACTCTACATCAATTCTGATTTTCCATATTTTTTAGTAGGACCAGGTTTGCTAATAAATTGCCAGCTGTTAAAATCACTAAGCCTATTTTCATCACAACCACCACATAACAGGACCCCTGCAAATACCTGAGGCCTGCTTTTCTCTCCTTATACACTTATATATTGTTTTAGATGAAACATACCCTCCACCAGCATTTCTGGGGCTTCGTCGTTAATGACTTAAAATACAGTTACAAGGTTTGGGTGGTAAGTTGGCAGATCTTCAGGCAGCGTGGCATCTGAGCTGATCTTTCGCCCTTCTAAGGCTTGGGATTATTTCAAAAGAGAAAAAAACAGAGCAATAGTCAAAAGACAGGAAAGCCCCCCCCACCCAAAACTTTAACCAATCACTGCCTTGCCGAAAAATAGAGATTTTCAAAATGATGCTGCATCAGAAGGCAGGGTGAGAAAAGGGGCACAAGAGTAATTAATTAGAAAAAAGAAACTGAAGAAAAATAAAAGTAGTTCCCTCTCGATCAAATTATACACAACTCTGTTAAAATTAAGGAAGATGTAAAGTTTAGATTTTGAATTATGATCAATAATATCCACCCTTAATAAGAATCATAGATTTTCTGTCTTCCCTTCTTCCCACCAACCCCCTCCAAGAAAAAGTAAACAATTTATTAGAGGAGGCTTGTAAAAAATAATATTATATAAAGATTTTGACTATTTGGAGGAGATTTAGTGAAAATCACGTGCTAACAGGTCTAACTTCTCAATAGCAATGAGCTTGGCCCCTGAGAAAACATTATTTTCATCACGCCACTGCTTGAGTTATAATGCTGGTTTTGACAAGCTGCGTTCCTGGTAAAATGTTATTGTTGGCAAATGCGGACTGCAGGAGACAGCTTTGGGAGGCTCCCTCCTGAGTGGAGATGTGCAAATTGACTACTGCACCTGTGGGAGATTCAGGTACCTCTGACCCAGATTCGCTCTGTTTTCTAGCACCCTGTCCCTTTGTTCTGTAATGAGAGCCAAATGTTCCCTTTCTCCAGTCCCTCCGGCCCTGTAATGTGATGCCCAAATCAGCCTCACATGGGCCCCCTCACCCTTCCCCAGTCCCTGGCTCTGTTGCTACCATTGCTCTGAAATTGAAAAGGGGTTTAAAAGCCTGCAGTTCTCCCTGGTGACATGCTAACCCTCTTTGCTCCTGGCACGCTGATACAGCTCTGCCCTTCTGACTTTTTTTCACAGTGATCCAGAGGGCTAGCAGGTCAGTTATGGAAGCCAAATTTTTTTTGGTTTGTTTTGGTGGGAGAGTCCTCATACTTTTCAGCAGGAGAGACTCCTCTCTCTGCCAAATGCAAAGTCCAGTGAATTTTGTTATGCTATATAGGACTCAGAGCAGGAAATGCCTATGCGTAACTTAAATCATAGATGGTGCAGTTTAAATCCATGTTTTTCTGGCTGTTTCCTCCCCTACCCCAGCTCAGGAAAGACATGGGGAACGAAGTGAAGTCCTTGCATTGTGCCAAAGCAGCTGTGCTGTGCTCCAACTTCCATCTGAAAATGTCAGTATATGGCCTGGTTTGATTTAGAAAGTTTATCCTTTACCTAAGCCTGTCTGACCAGAAGCCAGTGCCCACACAGAGCTCAATCAACCACACTTCTGCTCAAGCAGGAATCTGCCCCCAAATCAAAGCAAGTCTTGGGAATGTTTCAGAAAAGAGTGTAAGGAGGCATTAGGGGACCCCTGTTAGAAATTCCTAATACTGTCCCTCCTACCTTCAACTAGCCTTCAGTCTGACTGAATACGATGGACCTAGAACATTCAAGAAGGCCTTTCCTTTTATCACTTTGGTCTCAAATTTGTTAAATAAGGCCTTGCATTTCTAGGCCTCCCCATCTTCCATTTCTGTGGACCCCCATATAAATTGTATTATTGCTGTAATGTCACATGTTTTTCGGAGATCACCTTTCTGCCAGGGCAGAGTTAGACTAGAGTTGAAGAAGCCAATTTAGGTTTAGTATTCCAGGCAAAAAGTTTTAAGGCGGTGAGAGTAAAGAGGAAGAGTCAAATTCAAGAGCTATTTGGAAAGGAGATTTGTAATCTAGCTATTTATTTAAACAGTAGGCATTTGTGCTAAGCGCTTTACACGCATTATCTAATTCAATAACATAAATACTATTGTTGACCTGTTCTGTAGATGAGGGAATTGAAGTGTAGAAAAAAATGAAGTAACTTCCCCGCTAAGGCGTCACTGAGCTAGAATTTGCATCTAAGTCCGTCTGATTCCAAAGCTCAGGTTCTTAACAGAAATGCTAAACAGGACTTAGTGATTGATTAGAAGCTGGAAAATAGGCCTGGGGATCAGAGTGATAATGCTATATTGAGCCTAGAAATACAAATCAAGATTTACAATAATACACAGTTTGATCTGAAAGAGACTTTAGCAATACAGGTCAACTTCCCCATTCAATAGATGAGGAACCTGAGGGTCAGAGGTGGCCTAATCCATGCAAGTTCATACAGTGTAATATTGGCAGAGCTCAAGCTGGAAGGCAGCTTCTCCCAGTCCCAGGCTGTGTTTTTTCAGCTGATCAATTTATCCGGCTAGTTCTTTTGAGCATCTCGATTTTCAGTGCATAGACAATCTGTTAATTTCAAAAGTTTTGACTAAAAGCAAAGCATCTTATCCACAAACAAGACTGTTCCGGCACAGGAATGTCTATACCTGCTGGAGGTAGGTACCACTGATCAATGCATCTCTGCTTCCGTGTCATTTTCAAGGGCCAGCTATAGGGCCGGAAGGAAGGGAATATTACAATACTCAGGCACTGAGTTCCCTGAACCAAATGAGCCAGCCAGCCGACCTGCTTAGAACATTTTGTTCAGAATCTCAAAAAATTAGTCAAAACAAAAGAAAGTTTAAAAATCTGCTGTTCTGCTTTCCAATGTAAGTTTCAGATATCATTCTCTACATGCATGTTAAATATTCTGCGTGCCATTCGAGGGTCAGTGCCATTATCTCTTGGTCTGTATTTTCCTGTCTCATATGAGACAAATTAGCTAACCATTTCCCTCCTTTGATTAAACCAGCCCAGCCAACCTTAGAGATAGGGGTCTTACTATGATGCCTAGGCTAGTCTTGAACTCCTGGCCTCAAGTAATCTGCCCACCTTAGCATCCTAAAGTGCTGGTATCAGAGGCATGAGCCACTATGCCTGGCCCCAACTTTCTAATTAAAGAAGAATTAACAACATTTGTATGAATTTGTTGTGGACAAACATTAACTTACATAGCCTGTGTTTGGGTGCCATGCTCTAGGTGAGGTGCTTTACATCTATACATTTATTTAATTCTCACCAGTATCATTATAGCTACCTTTTAGATAAGAAAATGAAGATAAGAAAATGTTTTTGGTTTCAGGTTACACGGTTAATAACTAAAACATTTGGATGTCTGTTCAAGCAGCTTCTTCCAAAGCTCCCGATCTCTCCACCCCAACATGCCACCTTCCATGTGCAATTGTTCAAAGGCACCTTGTGGCTTATGGTGCAAAGTCCAAACTACTGAGGAAGACACACAACCCTCTCCTGTTTCCTCTCTCTCTACATCATTGGGAAACAAACATCTTACACATGACCACAGGGCCTCTTTGCAGTTTCCCTCAACTTCCAAGCAATTTCAGTTGACCTAGCCATTGATCTCATTTCCCTTCTTTTTGGAAATCTCTCTCCTCACCAAACTGACAGCTGTTTTACAGAAACAGGCTGTTTTGCCCCAGAAGATACTGGATTTTCCTCCACTGTGTTATTTTTCATGGTTTTAGAGTCACTGGAAAACTAGGTGATTGTGAGTGGAAAAATTTTTCAATGTATACTAAAAAAAAAAATGCATTTGGAATAGAGGGAGCACTTGGGTTTCCGGCCACTCAGCACTGCTTCTCCATGTGCGCCGCCATCTATGACTGTAACTAAGGCATTCTGCCCAGAAGGACACACAGGGAAAATCATTGCTGCTTGGCAAACTCCACCCACTGATATGGCAGGAACTGGTTCTGCACTTTCATCCCACCAAAGCCAAAAGAAGGGACCCAAGGCACATATTCCTGACCTAGGAGGAAAACTTAAGTCCACTCTCAGCAGAATGAAAATATGACATCATCCATAGTACCTTATTGTCTTCAGGAGTGTGCAAGAAGGCTTCAGCTTTTCAGGCTGAAGAAGAATGCATCTTGTCCCAAGTAGTAGCACATATGTGAGGAAATAAAAAGAAATATCACCAAACTGAGAGCTCCAGAGATAATGACACTAGAGACTTGTAAAAAAAAAATTAATAGAAGTGAATAACACAAAACCTCAAACACAGCCATGGAACTATGCCCAGGGAGAACCATGCTTGTGCCCAGAGATTATACTTTATCATCTCACCCTTCTCTCCAGCCTGGAGAGACTTTCAGTCCTTACCTTCATCTTCATTTTAACCCCAAGAATAATAACATGGGCTTCTACCTGATGTCCTCAAGGAGGCATAGCAGCTTGTAGCAGGTGGAGATATGAACAATGTCCTTTTCACAGGCATGATCTGGCCCCTGATACATAGGTATTCACTTACTTTAAAAAAATACAACCCACAAAAAAATTCAAAACACTGCATAGTTTTTCAGGATTGCAGATACCACTGTGAGACCAAATCTTATTATATATCATTACTGAAAAGTCTCATGTGAAGATATTTTTGGAAAATTCAATTACATATCAATTGACCTCCGTGAACTAGCTATAAAAGGAGGCCTGCTGAGAATAATTTTGTAAGAGGAGGTTTACCTTTTTGATATATGGACTATGACCCCTACTTTATTTGTTTTATATGTTCTGTTTTTACTCATACTTTTCTTTGTTCACAGCGAAGACTTCTGTTCCAAATACACTGAAGAGCTAAGATACTCATACAACTTCCAGAATTACAAATTGCCTCCTTTTAAGAGGTCTCTCCCGTTTCTTCTAGATGGCATAGAAAGTAAAGTGAAATTTGGAGTAAATGTACTCGCTAATGTATCAAGTATAAAAATGTACAAAGGGAACATTTAAACCCAAAGGGCAAGTGAAGAAATCAGGAGCTGGAAGGCAAAGGCAGGGGAAATTTGAGGAACTCAAGTTTCATGGGGATATTAGGAGAAAGAGTATATATACACAGACACCAGTGCCAAGGCACGACATAAAGTAAATATTATAAAGTTCAAAAAAGACCTTCAACTATCAAACATATGGAATTTCCTTTAAAGTCTACTGGAATTTTCACCAAAAGCAGATCAATAGACATAAACAGCAGTTTATCCGAGATGACGCAATTCTAGTGATTCACGTCTATCTATCAATTCAACAAATGTCAGCTATACTGTGCTAAGCCAAATGAAAGGCTAATAATGAAGACCCTCTTCCCGAAGGATCACATTCCAGTAGCCAAAACAAACACTGCAACAAACAATAAGGCAGTTGCAGAGAAGGGAGTATACAACAGAAATCGAAGCATACACAAAACACAGTGGGGCACAGAGGGAGTGGTTAATTGTCTGGAGGGTGATCAGAGAAATCTTCCCAAAGGAAGTAATATGTAAGCTAATCTTGATGGAAGAGTAGAAGAACCAACATTTCAAAATGACAACAAAGATATCACATACTATGGTGAAACCCACTGACCGGGAGCAGTTTCATGTACAAAAACAGAAGGAGCCATTCAGTTACATTGAACAAGTTTTTCCAGCATTTACCTCTACCCTTAGCACTATGTTACACTTCTGTGGATATTAAGGAAAAAAAAAGATATAAAAGACAGATTTGTAATCATAAGTAGGAAAACAAGGCTTACATTCATAAACTAATAAGAAAAGAGAAAACAATTCAATCAAGTGCCAAAATTTGTGTATAGACACTAAGTACTGTAGAGGTCAAATTTTGCAATCTTATTATTTACTAGGCAAGACAGTGGAAGGTCTATGTTCAAGAAATATGATGGGTGAGAAAATGGTAATCATAGCCCATCTAATTAACATTTGTTCCAGGTAAGACATCTGAATCAATCATTGGAAATTAAATGCTTGATTGTTTAAAGAAAAATTGGCGGCCGGGCGCGGTGGCTCACGCCTGTAATCCCAGCACTTTGGGAGGCCGAGGCGGGTGGATCATGAGGTCAAGAGATCGAGACCATCCTGGCTAACAAGGTGAAACCCCGTCTCTACTAAAAATACAAAAAATTAGCCGGGCGCGGTGGCGGGCGCCTGTAGTCCCAGCTACTCGGGAGGCTGAGGCAGGAGAATGGCGTGAACCCGGGAAGCGGAGCTTGCAGTGAGCCGAGATGGCGCCACTGCAGTCCGCAGTCCGGCCTGGGCGACAGAGCGAGACTCCGTCTCAAAAAAAAAAAAAAAAAAAAAAAAAAAAAAAAAAAAAAAAAAAAAGAAAAATTGGCAATGGAGCAAACCTTACCACAAGATTATTTGCCAAACAGAACTTAGCATTCTTTCTTTTAACCTCTAATGGAATAGGTTGTGAAGTGTCTTTTGCTTTTTCCCATGATCTAGCTCAACTTTGAGAAAGATTTTGAGATCGCAGGTCAGCTTCTTGTTGAACCCGACTGAGTACTTAAGCAATTGTTGAGGTTGAGAATTAGATATCAGATGGTAAATTAAGACTGGGATTTTATTGAACCACAGCTTCCATGTATGAGGCTATTTCTCTCACCCTTTGAGCAGGGGCCAGGCCTTGTCAAGCCATGAGACTCTCTTGGAATAAGTGACAACAAAGGTGCAAGTTAGCAGAGACCAGGGACATATAACTGGCCATCTGTAGTCCATGGAACACCAGGAGGGAAATGTAGGTAATGGAAAGAAAAAGAAAAGAGGTTCTTTACAGCATAGCCAACAAACTGCTGCATAATTGCATAACAAACAAGCACTCCACCTGTAGTTCTATAAATACAAGAAATATCTTCAAATCTGCCAGACTCTCCTCTTAATGGCCTAATTCTAATAAATATATGCCTTCAATTAATCTTCTAAAATGGATATACAAATTATTAGTTTCTAAATAAAGTGTATTTAGCATGTAACGACGTCAAAGCAGTTCCTTAGCAAAATGGAGTGGAGGATAATGACAGAGTCTTTGATGGTATACAGGTGCATAACCACTACTTAGTGCCATCAATGACACAGAGAAGTGTGTGATGCCAAACACAGCTGGTTATGAATGCTTCATCCTTTTAAAATAATATGTCCAAAGCATAGGCTTTACCCCCAAGGAGATCTGAACACATTAGCCCAGTGCACGCATTCAGAATTCTATGTATTTTCATCTTCTAATTCTGCTTCTCTCAAATTGACTCAAGCTATGGTCCTCTCTGTCTCTGTCTCAAGGAAGGAAGGAAGGGAGGGAGGGATGGAGGGAGGAAGGGAGGGAGGGATGGAGGGAGGGAGGGAGGGAGGGAAAGAAGAAGGAAGGAAGGGAGGGAGGGAGTGAGGGATGGAGGGAAGGAAGGAAGGAGGAAGAAAGGAAGGAAGGAATAAGAAAGGCAGGGAGAGAGGGAAGAACCTTAATGACAGACAGATGAGAGAAAAATAGTTTATGGAGGTGTCTATGATTTACTTACCTGGATATGAAAACAGTCATGTGTCACTTAACAGTGGGTATACGTTCTGAGAAAGGTCACTGGGAGATTTCGTCATTATGCGATCATCAGAGTATACTTTTCTTATACAAACCTAGATGGCATGGCCTACGATACATCTAAGCTCTATGGTATAGCCTATTGCTCCGAAGGCTACAAGCCCATACAGGATGTTGCTGTACTGAATACTATAGGCAACTATAACACAATGGTAAGTATTTTTGTAGCTAAACATAGCTAAACATAGAAAAGATGCAGCAAAAATATTACATAAAAGATAAAAAAGGGTTACACCTGTGTAGGGAACTTACCATGAATGGAACTTGCAGGACTGAAAGTTGCTCTGGGTGAGTGAATATGTAATAAGTGAATGTGAGAGCCTAGGACATCGCTATATACTACTGTGGAGTTTATAAACATGATACATTTAGACTATACTCAATTTATTTTTTATATTTTAATAATAAATCAACCTTAGCTTACTGTAACTTTTTTACTTTATGAACTTTTTAATTTTTTAAACTTTTTGACACTTTTGTGATAACACTATGCTTAAAACACAAACACTTTGTACAGTTATACAAAAATGTACACAAGTTGGCCTAGCCCTACACAGGGTTGGGATCAACAACATTGTGGTCTTCCACCTCCACATTTTGTCCTACTGGAAGGTCTTCAGGGGCAATAACATACATGGAGTTGTCCTCTCCTGTGATAACAATGCCTTCTTCTATAAGACCTCCTCAAGCACCTGTCTGGGGCTCATCTGCAGGAAATGTTACACTTTTCAGAAGTACATCCATGATGCTTTGCTTGTTTTTTTTTTAACCATAGTTTTGCATGAGTAGTATGTTGTCCTACAACATCATGGCAGCTATGATGTCACTAGGCAATAGAAATTTTTCAGCTCCATTATAGTCTTATGGGACCACCTTCATATATGTCATTTGTTTTTTATCTAAATGTCTTTAGGCAGCACATGACTGTATATTTCTAGCTTTCTATCTGACAATTATTAGACCAGAACTAATACACCATCTTTATCCTTTCTTCCTAAACAGAAGATAAACTCAGAAATGAGCTTAGTCAAGATGTATATTTATCTACTTCAAATCTCTCAATGGCCACATTGATTGAGTTACCAGCGTCTTTCCCCTCAAACATACAAGAACCAAATCTGAGGTTTTGTTGCTTTAAACCCTCTTAATACTCCTTAGGTACTTTCAATGCAGCTTGTAGTCTAGACCACAAAGAAAATTAGAATAACATATGGCAGACCATATAGGCTTGAGTAGCCATTACAGTCAATCTTGCTGACTTCTATGTACTTCAAAACCATAGAGATTTTCATTCTCACTTTCTTTTTCTCCCTTTACAAATTGGCATTTACCAAAATAAAATAGGAAATGAAATTATATAAACCACTTTTATGAAATATTGTTGGTCTGGCTTACATTCCCAGTAAACTGTATGTATATTTATTTTTATGGCTTAAAATATTATGATTATACCTCACGTTTTTAAGCTAAAATGGATATAAAAAATAGGCAAAACCAAAGGAAAAGAAGAAAATATTGGTGTTATGAATGAACCTTCAATACCAAGGGCTTTTCAGTGTGTCTGTTCTCACGGGCTGAAAATCAGATACCCAATCTTACACAGACACTGTGGGATGTCATTGGGTTGTGGAAAGGATAAAAATCCTTCCAGTCTCTGGCCTTCCTAGGTTTTGTGGGTTTGAACAAAACACTTATAGCTATTTGGACTTGGGTTTTGTGGTTAATATATGATAAAGGGGTTATTACAATGTGATCCTTGAGTATTTAGGTCAGCTGTGGCCATCAATCAAGGGACACCTCTTTTTTGGCAGTACACACTTCCATGAAAAATTCTCTGGCAGATCCAAGTTAGCTAGTAATGACAGAGTAAACTCTATGTCAAGCAACATACTTGATAAATTTTGCATGTGCTATTGACTGACAGAAGCTCTGGCGTTCTGGTAAGCGGTATACACAAACCTCAAAGAGCACGAAAACCTCTTCTTTCTTTTCTAACTAAAGTTGGTTAAATTAAATACATAATATTCATGAAAGTTAAAATAGATAATTTAGAAGTAAGTTTACATTTTGGTGCCTATTCTTAGTTCCTTTTCTTTATTCTATTACAAATGATCTCCCTAAAACATCTTTTTTATTAAGCTAATTCATATTTCTGAACGATTCAATTCAATTTAACAAAAATGTCCTAAACTCCTAATGTATGCATACTTGACATGGTGCCAGTGTAGTGAAGGATAAAAGATAAACAAGAGACTGGATGTGACCCCACAAAATCTCAACATCTCATCCACATTCAACTAGGTGGTTATTTGTATTTTTCACGATCAAGTTCAAAGAGAGGTCAAGGTTGGTGGGGTCACTCTTTTTATTTGATTCTAGGTTTATCTTAGCTTGTTTGTGTTTCCCACTACACAGACACTGGCATACTGGGATGGTGCTTCTCCACCTTGTGAAAAAAGAAAAAAAAGACCGTTTATGGAGCAGCTAGATTGCAACTAGATCACCCTAACATCTGTCTTTCTCAGCCATTTCAAGTAAGGCAATGATAATTCTGATATTGAACAAGGACAGGAGAATCTGTTATCACCTACAGTGGTCTGTTATACCAGTTCTGTTCTTGGAAAAATGGGGAGAAAAACATATATAATTTAAACAAAAATTCTCATAGATTAAGAAAAATTTAAAGAGATAAGACTAAACAACCACTGAGTTCAGCTTGTGAATTAACTCAATGATTCTTCTGTTTATAACAGAACCTGTTAAGAGAAATTTCAACTCTGAGGTATGGATCGAGTGCTCACTGACTTCTATGTGATGCCTATGCATACATCAGGATGGGATTTAGATGATTCATTTCCACTTTGGCTTTTCTAAGAATATACTTCAGAAGGAGTGACATGGATTCTATGTATGGAAATAACTATACCCAGCAGCACTATTATAATTGATATACAATGTGAGACATATATGTAATTTTTCATTTTCTAGTAGTCATATTACAAGAAAGCAAAAAAGGAAAAGGAATTTGTTTTAACTATATATTTTATTTAATTAAATATATACAAATGTCATCTCAAAATGTAATTAATATTCAAAAATGATGAGACATTTTATGTTCCTTTTTTCATACTAACTCTTTGAAATCCAGGATGTATCTTCAACTTGGAGCACATAGCTCAATTCAAACTGGTCAAATTTTAGGTACTCACTAGTCACATATGGCTAGTGGCTGTCTTATTAGTCAGCACAGATCTACAGAATCCTTAACACAGCAAGGGATGCTATTATTAAACCAAACAAGACTATCAGTGTTGGCCTTCTGGGTTGGAGGACCAAATGACAAATTTTGTATCATTTACATAAGCTCCAAACAGCAAAAACAGTAAAAACTCCATTTTTTGAGATAACAGAAAAGATAACCCAATTTAAGTCTTACATTATTCTATAATCTGAGCAAAAGCTCCCATTAAACTTAACAAGAAATTAAATAATGTTCAACAGCATTTTCCTACCAATTACCTAATAGTCTAATATGATTTTATCATGAAAGTGTTTTTGATTCCAGATATTTGCCACCGGACAAAACCAAAAACCGTTCCCACCAACCAGTTCTCTGGGTGAAATGCAGTCACTTTCTATCAATCCAAATGAATATGCTCATAAAGAAAATAAGGAGCTTTAAACTAACATTTATATTATAGTGGTGTAGTCAAACTGCTCATCAGCAATAACAACAGTTTCTGGTGTAATTTGGCAGAAGGAGAGCATGCAACGGACTTCTAAAGATCAAAACCAACCAGATCTGTAATCGTGTGTTCAAACATTCTCATTTCAAAAAGATAGAGTTTATTTGTTTCTGAAACAGCTCATTTGGTATTCACATAAATATGTCCTTAACTTCCCTTCTAACACAAGTATGAATTCCTCAAAGACCACAAGAGCCAACTTTATACTTAACTATAGTGGAAAGTTTTGTCAAAATTGTATTTTTCTATTACTGAACTTTTATTTTTGTTTGTTTAAAAACTTTTACATTTTTTTAAAAAAATGTAAAATGATTGTACAGGCAATCCAGTTGTAATTGTGCATCCACCCTTTATATAAACTGTTTTTTTTTTCTTTTTTCTTTTTTTTTTAGGCAGAGTCTCACTTTGTCACCCAGGCTAGAGTGCAGTGGCACAATCCCAGCTTACTGCAACCTCTGCCCCCCAGGTTCCAGTGATTCTCCTGCCTCAGCCTCCCGAGTAGCTGAGACTGCAGGTGCGCACTACCGCATCTGGCTACTTTTTGTGTTTTTAGTAGAGACAGGGTTTCACCATGTTAGCCAGGCTAGTCTCAAACTCCTGACCTTCAGTGATCCACCCACCTCATCCTCCCAAAGTGCTGGGATTACAGGCATGAGCAACTGCATCCGGCCTATATAAACTGTTGATAAAGGCTTTTTATGAAAAATAAAAGCTCTTCCAAAACAACTTTGAATTTCTCATCATGATTTTCATGTTTTAGGATATTTTCTTCTCTCATGTTGCATGATTTTAATGACAAATGTTGAGTAATCATAGGAAGGGAGGTGGTGGGGTAGTGATGGACTTCAGTTCAGAAAGCCAAAGACCTGTGTGAAGGACTGTCCCTGGCCTGCCACTGACTGCCTGCAGGACCAAAAATGCATTGCAAGTTTCTGAGTCTCAATTTCTTCATCTATAAAATTTGAGAATCAAAATAAATCAGCCACCATAAATGAATAATAAATCAATAAATAAACTTCAAGATTTCTTGTATTATGTGAATTATTAGTGAAAATATGATAAAATTTTAAAAGCTTAGTCACTTGTTCAAAATCAAAGAAGCTTTGAATTTTCAAAGGACTTAACCTTGAAAAAGTAACCCATGTCAAGTTTTCATTGTAGAAATAAACCAGTTTTCTAGACAAAGGCTACAAAGTTTGATTTTGCCACTTCCATTAAGCCCCTAGTGAATTAAATTTTGACTCAGTATCACCCCTTCCAAAGCTAATACACAAAGAGGAAGACCCCAACACTGATTATTTAAGTGTAAAATTGTTGTGTATGGACAAATTAGTTAAATGTGTTCATTCCATCATCTTACATAGATACAAGGAAAGCCATGAGTGCTACTGGTGAACGTATATTTTGGCTACACCCTTTCAGGAGATAAGAAAAAATCATTTAGTTAATGTGACCTGAAAGAATGAATATATCTCCATAAATTGAGTATTATAATCCTTGTGAAAATATAAAATTGTGTCATATTGTGAGGATCAAAAAGACACTTAGTCTTTTGATTGTGTTTACTGTGTGTTAAATTTGAGAAAAGATCCAAAGATTAAGTGTAATAAATTTCCTGTGTATATTCATGAAGAAATCTCCATTTTTCTACAGCATGAAATGTTCAATGTGAATAGTCATTTTGTTTCTAGTGTTCTAAAAACAAGTAGTCATCAACCCAAAAAAACTACAGACATAAGTAGATACATAGACAGATAGATGATAGTGTGTATGTACACACACATACACATGTATCATCTTTAACTTCCTTACAAGATTTTGGTTTTGACTATAATTTCATAGGCATAAAACTTAATGAAAAACTGGCCTAATGACCAGGTTAAAATGAAACAGAAGAATGAACAGTCCCTTGCTCTATCTTCTAATGGAAAGCACTACTTTTAATTATCATTTGTTTACAAACAATGGTTTATGTAAAATTCAATCCCTTGCTTGTATATGAAATGTCTAGTTTGTTTAGTTGACATATGTATTCATTCACTCTCCTTTCCCATTTCTTCTCATGTGATGATTTTTACATTGTAATTAATATTTTTAATTATATGATAACTGCACTGGCTCTAAAAATAAATCCTTAGTTTGTATCTTGGCATGTCTGGATAGATAGCCATGCATTTTTATGTCTGTCATTCATCAATTTTCTATTTTTTATTTTTAATAAAAATTTTAAATTCAAGTGAATGTGTTCTACTTGACAACATAACCACTTTACAATATAAATTGTGTATATGTATAATAGACGTATAGATATATTTATAAACCATTCTTTCCAATCTTTTATTATAAAACTATTGTAGGAATATAATTTTAAGCAAAATAAGCCATTAAACAAACCAAAAATAATGAAAAATCAAAATATGCACACTGTGCAAAAACATAGTCACATAGATTTTGCCTTATATAAACTTCACTGTGCCTATGTGGGTTTTAACATATTTCCATGGCTTTAAATAGGAAAACATCTTAAAGCTCAGCCCATGGGAAACCCAAGCTTGATTAGTTTTCCCTTTTACTACAGTCTGCAGAGTGTAAAACACAGCACATCAGAATTGAATTTGTCATCTCCAGACCTCACAGGAATTTTAGGAACTAAATAGTTAGGAAGCCATCCTGGTACTTCTCTTTGCTTTAATCAAAGTCGAAGTTTCAATTTAAACATTCAGGAAATCTCCCTTATTTAAAGCAATCAACTCTTTGCTGACAGGGCCTGGCCTTACTGTGTTTAATTTTTTGGCATCGAGCAAAACTTGATTGGTCACAGCCAGTGCATGAGGGGTCCTCCACTTCCCTCAAAGAAGAGAAGGATTCCAGATCTTTGCTGCATTGAGCTTGAGACACTGGTACATTTCAAATCAGCAATACCTAAACTGGAAAATAGAGCAAATGAGGGATCTCAGAATCAAACAACTGTCCTATCAGCAAGTGGTTCAGCTGTGAAAGAATAAATTTGAGACAAAATTGGTCATGCTTCTTTATTCCTCCATTGATTTCTCTGGATTCTGTGATGCTTTTTGGAATATGTGGCAAGTCACCAACCTGCACTTTAATTTCAAGATTTCAATTTACTATAGATCAAGTAGAAAACAGATTTAGTGAGGCATAGATGGAGAGGGGGGATTGTGGCATATTTAAAAGCGAGGCACCACCAGCATCTCTCAGGAAAGTGTATTTAAGGAACACTATCACATGATACAGACCTAGAGGCAGATGTAAATGTAGGGGTTGAGATGGAGACAGAGACAGACATATCCTACTACGCTTAAGAAATCTGCTGAGAAAAGATTGCTAACAAATAAAACTATACCAATTATCCTAAGATTGAAGAGCATCACTAGAGGTCTGAAAAATAAATCATGCAGTCAAGAATTTGGAATGGCTGAATCTATTCTCAGAGCTCTCAATGGCTCATCTCCTTACACTGAGCTCTCAAAGATGGGAAAAAATGATGCAGAGGCTCTTTAGTTTGGTTACTCCATGGAGATACAGCCAAAGCATTGCTAAAAATCTTCTATGCTAGATTCAACTCTGATCCTTTGCAGTCCTCCAAAGGGTTAGTTCTCCAATAATCCTTCCTTCCGAATAAAAAGCTTAGCGATTTGATGAATTATATAATAAATTTACTAGTTCTTATGAGCAGATTATCTAGAAGGTACTATATTGAAACATTTTGAACTTTTAAGATGGCAAATTTTGAAATAAAAATCAGATAGTGAAAATACTTCATGTTGGCAAAATGTTTCAAAATGCACAATATCTTAGGGTGTTTCTAAAGCTAATTTCTACACAGGACTCTGTTATTTCCCAGAATATTTATTTGGCCTATGCATTAATGTTAGGGTTTCCATAACAAAGTACCATATTGGGTGGCTTAAACAAAAGAAATTTATTTTCTCACTGTTCAGGTGGCTAGAAGTACCAGATCAAGGCCTGGTAAAGCTCTTTTACTGGCTTGTAGGTTACTTCTGGCTATGTTGTCACATGGCCTTTCCTGTGTGCACAGGGTAGGCCAGGGGGTGGGGGAGTTGTCTCTCTTTATAAGGACATTAATCTTATCATCAGGGTTCCACACTCATGACCTCATTTAAACTTAATTACCTCTTCTGGGCCCTATCTCCAAATACAGCCACACTGAGGATTAGGGCTTCAACATGTGAATCTGAGGGAGGGCACAGTTCAGTCCATAGCAGCCTATTAGCAAGATTTAGGATATATATGTTGTTTATCTACCACAAAAGAAGAATTCTCTTTCTCACTATGAACTCACAAATCCACATATAGCTTCTTCCTCCAAAGGCACACATGTTTATTGTCAGAGACAAATGACATTCTTGGAAATTAATATGTGCATTTGTGTGTTGCAGTGCAGAAATCTGATACGTTTTCACTAGAATGTGTAAGTTTCATTGCTGCTACTGACGGAAAAATGGCCAATTTACCACTGAATTCCACTCACATTCTAGTCAAATTCAGATGCTATAAACAAAAAATGTTGGGAGATTCAGACCCTCTACAAACCAGATTATTATTTACAAAATGACCTACAATAATTGTACTCAATGATTTTATGGTTTTATGGAAATGCGTCTACTCTACCCAACAGAAAAAGAAACCTGTACAGAAGCTGCTCACACAAAGTATAAGAAGAGGTGTTACCCACTTTTTGGGTACAGTGAAATGCCTGTTACACTTTCATTTTTCATCTATGGCATACCACAGCTCAAAACCCAAGGGCAAAGAACTCACTTAACTAAGATACATCCCATACATGACAAAAATGAGACTGCCTTTCCTGCAAGATGATGTAATATTTAAGGCAAGTATATTGTATTACTAGGTTTTCTGCATTTTTTCCTTGAAACTGTCACCATTTGGATATGATAAGTGAGGACAACTATTTGATATACTGTATTTTATTTCCTAGTCATGCATCATCTGAGCCAGAGCTTCCCCCGAGTGTGGTCCGGAGATCCCTGGGGGCCCTCTGGTTAGTCTATAATGCTTCATGAGGAGGAAGAACTTGGTGGAGCAGGAATATGGAGTAGAGAGTGATCACTGCAGAAAGCAATTGTAGTGATGGAAATACTTACCCACAAGAGGGGGCCAAGGAGCAGAAGCCTGACAGATCTAAAGAAAAAAGATTTATCACTCAGGCATCATGGATAGAGGGAAAACATGAAACTACTAAACCCTAGGACCACTCCTCTAATCCAGGACTGTATTTTCTTCTTGTTAGCAAGCCATGGGGCCTCACCTTGCTCTTCTTTTCTCTAGCTCCACCCATTGTCTCTCTGGATGTTCTCCAACATCACCACCCTGACCCAATTTTTGCTAGAGAGTAGGCAAAGTCCTCTGATCATTCCTCTCTCAGAGTGTTAGCAATGACAAGATCTCTTCTGTTTCATGCAGTTTGCTGCCTACAACTAAGGGGGAAAGCAGAGAATTTTAAATAAGTAGCAAATGTAGAAATTTACAGATATCTCAGAATTCTTTTTTTTTTTTTTTTTTTTTGAGACGGAGTCTCACTCTGTCACCCAGGCTGGAGTGCAGTGGCGTGAACTCGGCTCACTGCAACCTCCACTTCCTGGGTTCAAGCGATTCTCCTCTCTCAGCCTCCTGAGTAGCTGGGACTACCGGCACACGCCACCATGCCGGGCTAATTTTTGTATTTTAATTTTTAATTTTATTTATTTATTTTGAGACGGAGTTTCACTCTCGTTGCCCAGGCTGGAGTGCAATGGCGCGATCTCGGCTCACCACAATCTCCGCTTCCCGGGTTCAAGCTATTCTCCTGCCTCACTCTACCTAGCAGCTGGGATTACAGGCATGCGCCACCACGCCGGACTAATTTTTTGTATTTTTAGTAGAGACAGGGCTTCCCCATGTTGGTCAGGCTGGTCTCAAACTCCCGACCTCAGGTGACCCGCCCTTGTCGGCCTCCCAAAGTGCTGGGATTACAGGGGTGAGCCACCGCGCCCAGCCTAATTTTTGTATTTTTAGTAGAGATGGGGTTTCACCATGTTGGCCAGGCTGGTCTCTAACTCCTGATCTCAAGTGATCTGCCTTCTGGGATTACAGGCATGAGCGACTGCGCCCAGCCATATCTCAGAATTCTTATACCCCTATGGGATGGTAACTGGATTTCAGTCCTTTGCTTCTGGGGACAGGACTCTCTGCTCGCCTCTTTCTCCCTGTTAGGACATGAGATTCCTTACTACAAGGCAGAAATATTTAGCTGGGGGAGTATTTGGGGTATCTCATTGGTGTGCCTATTCCATAAGTGGGTTCTTTGCATTTTTGATGTGTTGGTGATGGGCAAAACTATATTAAATGGCCTGTTTAATAATCCCACACTAAAAAGTCCCACACAAAGTATTTCTGCACACAGCATTTAAAATATTTTTTCATACTATTCTGTTTTTTAAAATGCACACAGAGTTAAAACCTATTTAAACATTGAATTGGATTATATAGTGAAAAATTTATCCACCCACTTTACAACAGTCCCACAATTGGCCCTATCTCCATCCCAGTTGTCCATTGGAATGTATTAGGTTGTCACTATATACAAGATACATCATACACATAAATAAACTTGTACAAAAATGAGGATATGTGTGTATACATAAATATCTTTTGTTTCTGAATGTAATGCAACATACTGTGCACTGTCCCAAAAGTCTTGGTGAGAATTTTAAGCTTTCATAATTTTAGAAGTATAACTTCTGTGACTAAGCACAGTGGCTCACGCCTGTAATCTCAGTACTTTGGGAGGTCCAGGCAATTGTTTCACCCAAACTACTAGGTCAGAAATCATTTGCCTTGCATTGCCAAGTGAAAAAGGTATTTTTAACGTAATACGTGTAATATAATCCTCCTTCAGTAAAAAACAAACCCGGCCAGGCGCAGTAGCTCAAGCCTGTAATCCCAACAGTTTGGGAGGCTGAGGCGGGCAGATCCCCTGAGGTCAGGAGTTCAAGATCAACCTGACTAACATGGAGAAACCCCGTCTCTACTAAAAATACAAAATTAGCCGGATGTGGTGGCGCATGCCTCTAATCCCAGCTACTCAGGAGGCTGAAGCAGGAGAATTGCTTGAACCTGGGAGGCGGAGGTTGCAGTGAGCCGAGATTGCACCATTGCACTCCAGCCTGGGCAACAAGAGTGAAACTCTGTCTCAAAACAAACGAACAAAAGCAAAAAAAAAAAAAAAAAAAACCCAGAAACATAAAAAACACTATGTATAAGTGTATATACTGTGTGAATATGTCTGAGCAACAAGGTAGAGATATATAACAGCCTTTTACTGTTAGATAGCTAGGCTGAAGGGCAGAGGGGTGGAAGAGTAATAGAGAGGAGGAAGAGAGGGTTACCTTTAGTTTATTATTTCACTTGGTAATACAGACATAGAGTTCTTAAGTAATTTTTCAAAAAATCAAATAAGAGGTGTGGTGCGGCGGCTCATGCCTGTAATCTCAGCACTTTGGGAGGCTGAGGTGGGAGGATCACTTGAGCCCAGGAATTTGAGACCAACCTGGACAACATGACAAAACCCTGTCTCTACTACAAATACAAAAAATTATCTGGGCATGATGGTGTACCTGTGGTCCCAGCTACTCAGGAGGCTGAGGTGGGAGGATCACCTGAGCCCAGGAAGTCAAGGCTGCAGTGAGCCGGAAAAAAAAAAAAAATCAAATAATAAACTCAAAGTAAAAGAAAAGCCTCATTAAAAAAAAATAGAGTGATGAGTTTTATAAAAATGCCAAAGATCCATGTATGGAGTTTCAGATGAATAACTAGTTATGGGGATTGGAAATAAGTAGATCAATTAACTCCCTGTATTTATTTATTTTTTTATTGAGATAGGGTCTCACTCTGTCACCCAGGCTGGAGTGCAGTGGCACAATCATGGCTCACTGCAGGCTCCGGTGATCCTCCCACTTCAGCCTCCCGAGTAGCTGGGACTATAGGTGTGCACCACCATGCCTGGCTAATTTTTGTATTTTTTGCAGAAATGAGGTTTCACCACATTGGCCAGGCTGGTCTTAAACTCCTGGGTTCACATGATCCACCAGCCTCAGCCTTCCAAAGTGCTAGGATTATAGGTGTGAGCCACCACTGCGCTTCGTCAGACCCTCCCCCATATTTATATTAGCTCTTCAGAAGTTACTCCTTTTACAGGGAAAAAATATATTGTAACTAAACTATGTGTAAAATTCAGTGTTTCAGACACAAGTCTCCACCCTAGTCTGTTAAATGAGTCAAAATTTATATGAAAATTAATACTGATGTCTTGAATACCAAGTCAAAGGTAGGGGAATATGCATTTAAATAAAATACATCTAATATCAGTAGACTGAGTTGACTGAAATAGCTGTTCAAATGGACAATGTGCACATACCCTTGTAGACATGCAAGATATTAGGACCTACGCCAAGAGCAAACCAGGCAGCAGATCAGAAATATTAGTGTTGTCTTCTCTTTTCTATTGCTGCATTTATTAGGTTTTCATTTGTGGTTTTGCAAATTTGTGTTTATGAAATTTATGTTTATGAAATTTATGTTTATGCAAAAACTGAATATACTTCCTGCAACTATGTAAGGGTGTTCACCGATGCTCAAAAGTTCCTGAATCTATTTCCTTCACACACCAACTAATAATGCATTTTACAAGCAGTGATTACACTCTAAAAAAAAAAAATTCCTACATTGAGGGCTAATTCTTACCCTCCTTTCTCTTCTGTTTTCTCTTCTTGGTCCCTTTCCCACCAGATTGAAAGACAAACATCCAGGATAATAAAACAGCAGTTATGCAACTGAGAAAAAACCTAAGAGGGGCACTGATAATTGGATTGAGGCAACAATGATAGTTTATTGAACACTTATTATATGCCAAGCTCTGTTTGGAGTACTTTACACGTCTTAATAATTTAATCCTCATGACAATTTTGTCCATCAAGGCAGATCTATATTTATCAGAACCATCAACAATAAACCAGACAACAAAAGTTATAATATAGCAAAAGCAGGCAACTTACCAGGTTCTAGCCTCAAGCCTCATAAGCAGTAAGACAGAGGGAAAGTTCCAATGACCTCATCTTTCTGCTCTGCCTTGACCTCCCTTAAATCGCATCCTCTAGATGGCACAGAGTTCTCAGCCTCAGTAGGAAAGCCAATCAGGTCATCCTTACACCAGGAAAGTAGTGAAATTTCTCTGTCTTTGATTTGGGTAATGTTAAAGAATTTTCCAATTTCATTTATTCTTTTAATGCTTTATCTTCAAAATTAAGGAAGTCTTGGACTCATTTTTCAAAGTTTAAGTGTGTGCTATTAAATATACTACACAAATGATAGGTGAAATAAACTTTTTTTTTCTGGTGAATCAAAAGAGCAAGATTAAGATGAAGCCTACTAGCCAGTTATTACTTAGTTTCGTTTGATACCAAGTCAGGGTGCATGAAAAGTTACAGCCAGATTTTGGTTGACCATCTGGGAAATGTACAGAAATAAAACCTCACTGTCCTTAAGAAAAGTTGCAGGATTCTACTCCTAACAGTTCTCTCAAGTCTTGATGCAATCTGTTGCTGCAAGTCTTTCTTTCTTAGGATTTATGAACACTTAGCCAGCAGTAAATTCTACCAGATATTAGTGCTCCACCTCTCATGTCACTGGAATCAGTATCTCCAAGAGGGTCTCTTTCAAAGGAAAACAGTAACCAACAGTGAGCTGTACTGTCCATCTTCAGGCAAACTGCAGTAGAGAGACACAGAAAGTCCTTGGTCTAAGGGTATAGTCTGCTCGCTTCCTCCCAATGTGTTCCCATATCTGTTTGGGGATCTCTCCAGTCTGGAATAAAAGTATGCAAGTGCAAAATCTGTTTTCCTGCAGAAGCTTTCTCTGCAGCTAACTTCCATATCCCTACTGTGCCTCCCAAAGTCTGATAGTCTTAGCCTGTCCCAGTGCCTTGACCTCCTGTCATATCACAGAAAAAGGAGCATTGAAGAGAGTCTCCATCACCTTCTAGGCCTAACCCCCCTTGACACACCCTGGGGCATTTGAGTTTGGGGCATTTCCAACTTAAGAAAGGAAAGCAAAATCACATTTTAATTTTGGTGTTATGAATCTGCCAGAAAATAGGGGGCCTGGAATAGCCGTATGCTAAAAAATACTGGTCAAAACCACGATGAGACTTTTTTTAAAAAATAAGAGGTTACGCAAAGTTCTGGCTCCTCTTCTTTCCCAGCTGCTCTCTCCCAGACCCCTTCACTATTCTAAGGGCCGGAAAGACTTCTATACACAGGGTCATTTGTGGTCAACATAAAGTAGACTGTAGACTTGGCCCCACTCACTTTGCCTTGTTAAAAATAACATTAATACACATTCATGGTAGAAAATTTGGAATATTCAGAGAAGTATGAGAAAAATAAAAGTTACTCTTAGGCCCACCACTCTACCCCTTTCTTAACTGCTGATCTAAAAGCAAACAGAGGGATCAAAAGAGCCGATAAATGCTCCCAATGTTTTCCGGGCTCTTTTTACATAGTTCATACCCAAATATTTATTTAGTCAGGGAACAGGCAGCAAAATGACTAAGCAAAGGCACTGCCTTAGAACAAAGCATCTTAGAGGCAGAATACACATGAATGGTCATCTTTTCAACCTGAACCACCACCCAGGAATCACCTCCATGTTACCTCTGAGAGAGTATATGCTGGAGTCAGCTCATTGCTTTCGCAAATGCTCCTCTAGATAGTTGGCTCGGCTATATGAAGTTCTGCTTGCTAAGAAGTTCTACTGACATCATGTGCCTCTTACCCATTGGTCCTGATCCATCCTCTGGAGCAACATAGGATCAGTTTAGCTCCATTTTATGTTGTCCAAAACAACCAAATATTGCATCCTCCAAAATCTTCTTGTTTCAAGGATAACCTATTCTGGACATTCTACTCTGAATGAACTCTGCTTTGTTCAAATCATGGCATTCAGAACTGAACAAATAACTCTAATGTTACTGAATAAAATCCACATGTCACGTCATTTTCTGTGATATTGATACTGAATATCTATTGATATCAACCTAATAGTCAAAATACAGTTAGAAAACATTTTCAAATCATAATAATAATCAATTCAATCTCACTGGCCACACTCTCCACTGCTGATGGAGGCAGTGACATTGGCCATAATCACCCTACTCCAACAGACTTGAAAGGACACCTGAGAAAATTTTAGTGCCTCTATATATGCCGTGATGGTTAATTTTATGTGCCAACTTGTCAAAGCTATGATGCACAGTTGTTTGGTCAAATACCATTCTAGATGTTGTTTTGTAGGTATCTTTTTAGACGTAATTAACATTTAAATCTGCGGGCTTTGAATAAAACTCATTATCCTCTATAATATGTGTGAGCCTCATCCAATCATTTGGAGGCCCTAAAAAGGGGAGTGGAGTGGCTCCGCAAAGATGAAGGAATTCTTCCTGTATGTTGCCAGTCCATTCCTTAAAATCAATCAGTCTCTTACCCTCAGTCTCTCTCCCTAATACATGTGTATACGCCGTTCTCCTCTTCCTTTCCTTTCTTTCCCAGCTACTCCTTACTTTCTCTTCTTAATCTTGACACACTCAGTCAAACATGGACCCTTAGCTGAATCTGGCCTCAATTCATCTTCTACTCTCTAGATAAATACCTTCACTTCTGTATATGAATCATGGTTTTCTTCGCCTCATCTCCAAGCAACTATTTTGTGGTATTTCCCTTTACTGAAATGCTTAGTACTTGCTGTCCAAGGAACCACAGTTCTTCCTTCAAAGCTCTGACTCGAATCACTTCGCAAGAAGCCTTACGGTGTAAACTCATGTGGCTCTGCCAACTGAGGCCTCCAGGAACTTCTATAAAACCCACACCTCTGTCATCTGCCTGCTTCTATTCTATATCCTTTCTTGTGTGCTTTCTTGTTGGTTTGTTCACATTTTTTTTGTTTTATCTAAGTTTATATTTTACATTTATATTAAAAGTTCTTTAATGACAAGGAACATTTCTTATTCTCTGAAGTCTTGCCATGAACATAGTTCAGGGCATGGAGGCTTCTTAATAAATATCCTTCACTATAACTTATTCAAGTAACTCAAGGTTTGCCTGTGTGAATAAAGAGCTAGAGACAAAATTAGCCAGGATTTCCATAGCGTTTAGCCTCGTTTGGGTCTTGTTTTAAGACCACTGAGAGATTTAAACGTCTTGTTATTTACCAAGTTCTATGAAGACAGACTTCCTGTGGGTTCATTGTTAAACTTTTTAAGTTCTCCAAGTCAGCATGTGCTGAAATTATATGCAATGATGTGGTACTCCTCAGAGTTTAATGTGCACAGAACTCACCTGAAAATGTTGTTAAAATACTGCTTCTGATCAGAAGGTCTGGGTTGAGCCTAAAATTCTGCATCTCTAACAAAACTGCCAGGTTTTTGCTGCTAGGTGATGCTGATGGTGCTGGTCCAAGGACCACACTTAGATGAATGTGGGTCTAGTAGAAAGAACATAGGCATTGAAGTCAGAGCTGAGCCAAAACTCTGCTCCCTCACCTACTAGTTCTGGACAATGCCTAGATCTACAATATAATGTCAAGTTTAAATTTAAAAATGTATGTGAAAGCATGTGGGGTAGTGTCTGGAACTTACTAAGTGTTCAGTAATCTTAATTTCTTTCCTAGTATGTGACTGACTACCCCTGTCTACGTGTGTTATACCTCTCATAATACCTGGCTCCTTAAAATTCTGTCAGTTTCTAACAATGATATTTCCCCCCTCAAACATCTGTATTTGCTTTCTTTTTAATTTCCATTTACTTATTTTTGGTTTTGAATAATTTTGGTAAAATAAGAAACTGTTTCTGTACTTCATTCATTTTCATGTCCATGGTCATTCCACATATCATTGTGTGGGCTTTGAAGTCTAATGGACCTAATTATTCAAATCTTGACTCTGCTACCTATTGGCTAAAGTCTCCTGCAAGTTACTTTATCTCTGTAAACTTTACTTTTTCCCTTTAAATATGAGGATAATAGTTACCTTGACTTTAGAATGTATTGGGAAAACTAAGTAAAATAATGTAAGAAAGATAGTAAGGGCCTAATTCTTAGAAACAATTTATGTCACAGACTTCTTGTACTTCATTTCTTAATGATAACGTTGGCAGAACTACAAAAGAAACTTAATGCACAGCCTTAAAAATTATCCACTGTCAAAATCAGGGTTGTAACAGAAGAGTGGGACTCAGATCTGGAAGGGGGACATTTGTGTTGAAGAGCCAAGAATCTAAAGCCCCAGAGTCCACTAAACCTATTGACTATCAGAAGTCCTTTCTACTTGCTAGAGGAAAGCAGGCTTCCCTTTCCTGAAAAGGCCTTTCTTGAGTCAGGTGCCTTGCAAGATGATGTTTATGTTCCTGAAGAGTAACCCCTTCATTATTTATTTCCTCTGAGCAAACATTCAAGTCAAATCTCAGCATGATCCAAATAGGGAAATATAGTCCCTGTTTTCAGAAAAAAAAGTCACTTACACACCCCAAAAATGCTAAACCTGGCAAAAATATAAGCGCAGGAACCAGGAGACTATATATGGGAGTGCTTTACAAGGATGTAGGACTAGAAAGGGCAAAATACAAAGGGAATTAGTTTATAAGGTTGGTCAGAAATATTTATTGACATGGGAGCACTCTCACATGACAAAGAGTTCAATGTTGCATCAGTCTGCTATTGTTACAACCAACCACACAATCTCAGTGACGTGCTACAGTGGACATTTATTTCTCACTTTGCTGAGGTTTGGCTGATATAGCCTAAGTTTGGCTGAGATTACTCCAAACTATGGGTCGAAGCTAGATCTGCAGCTCATGTCTTTCATCTTCCTTGAACCAATGGTTATTCAAGGCATGTTCTTCTCATGGCCAAAGATTGGAGTCCAGAGGGCCAGCCCAATTATGCATCCATACTTCAAGCCTCTACTCTTACCATGCTCAGTAACATCCCAATGGCCAAAACAAGTCATGTGGCCAAGTCACATAACTAAATGTTTTAAATATCTAAAAAAAGGAATTCTTTTTTTGCATGATATGGTTGTCTACCTAGAAAATGAAAAGAAGGTATAAATAAAATATTAGAATAATAAAGAGACTATAGCAAGATGTCTAGGTAGAAAATCAATATACATAGGGAATTGCATTACTATTTGCTAGAAAACAATATTTTAAATATAATCTACAAAAATGTACCATTTACAGTTGAAACAAAAAGGAAAAACGTAAAGATAAAATTCTAATAAGAGATGCTCAGAATATGTATGGAGAAAATGGTGAAACTCTGAAAAATTGAAGAAGACCTAAATACTTCAAAAAAAAAAAAAACATATCTCATGTTTAAGGTAGGAATACACAAAATCTCCACTTAAGGATATAATTTCTTTCCAAAAAATTTCCAAACTTCGTTGGAAACCCAACCAAATTTTAAAAACCCAAGCAGACTTTTTCAATGATTTTACAAATAATTATATAACTTATACAGAATGGAAAAGACCCATGTGGAGCCAGAACATGGAGGACACAATAAAAAGAGTAAGGATGGAAGAGAAATATATTATAAAGCTAAATAACAAAGCTGTAATATTAGAATTGAGATAAATAATTTTATCCACTAATCAGAATGAAGAGTCCAGCTTGAGGCTCACATTGGGGGTTAGGGCAATTGGTCATCCATATTAAAATAAAATTAAATCAAATCTTATTGGTATGTCACAGCCACCCTTTAACCAAAGAGTAATCCCAATGGATTAAAGACTCAAATTTGGAAAACAAAATTTTAAATTTAAAAGACAATACAAGAGATTATTACAAACTTGAGATATAAAAAATTTTTATGAAATGGTGCAGAACAGGCCAGGTGCGGTTGCTCACACCTGTAATCCCAGCACTTTGGGAAGCCAAGGCAGGCGGATCACGAGGTCAGGAGATCGAGACCATCCTGGCTAACACGGTGAAACACCGTCTCTACTAAAAATACAAAAAATTAGCTGGGCGCTGTGGCGGGCGCCTGTAGTCCCAGCTACTTGGGAGGCTGAGGCAGGAGAATGGTGTGAACCCAGGAGGTGGAGCTTGCAGTGAGCCGAGATAGCGCCACTGCACTCTGGCCTGGGCGAAAGAGAGAGACTCTGTCCCAAAAAGAAAAAAAAGAAATTGTACAGAACAAAACTATTAAAAAGTTGATAAATGTGGCTACATTCAAATTATCTCCATTGGTCAAAGTGGGGCACTATGGGCAGGAATTCTCCCAGGTCGTGCATACATGAGTACCAAGTGAGTTCCCATGCTACGGTATCAGAGAATTCCCAGGCAGGAAGGAAGAGATGAGACCCACACTGTTTGAGAAAACATATCAGCAGGTGCATTCGAACAAAGCTGTTTACAGAGCATGTGGAACTGGGCACTGCATCGATGGCTGGATAAGAGGTGGAACGGAAAGTTTATAAAGTGGTGCACAAGCCACCTCATGAAAGTTAATTTTGCTAAAGTTAGTCATAATTCATTTTTGCTTATTTAAAGATTTTTACTTAGAAACTTATATTGATTATTCAATAATTCCAACATCTCAATTTGCTTGTGGTCACTACTGAAACCCACTTATAGTGCTTTTGTGTGCACTTAATGATCTTTGATTCTGACCTTGATATGATTTGTCTTTATCCATGAAAATTTGTGGCTTAAATTGAGGATGATTACCTTTGGAGAAGAATTATGTTTGTTTCTATCAGAAGCAGGAAAGTACTACTGGCCTTAGGCAACTTTGTCTTCCTTGGGGAGTTCTTGGGTTAATAATCCTAGAGTCTGATTCATTTCACCCATTTTGTTCATGGTCCAAGACATAGTTTCCCAAATTGTAGCACAAATACAGGCATGTGCCGTAAAAGTAAAGTTATTTTTGAGTGTGTTCATGGTTCCATTTTCAGCATGTTTTTGTGTTGGAGTGACAGTTTCTTTAGCATTTTCCTTTATTGCCTGCAAGCCGAGAAATATGATAAAAATGTTTTATGGAGAGGATGTTTTTTTCCCCTAGGAGGATCCTTCAGAGTATCTTACCTACCATACTGACAAAAGCCAAAGTCCTGAACACATAATTTTGGACAGACCCTGGCAGCCTGTAGTTGGCTGCTCTCAAACTACATCAATGCCTACTTTTCTTTATATAAAACATGCCATGTTTGCTGCCAGCTATGCATTGCTCCTTTTCATCATTTTAATCACTTTAATCACTTCAGTGTAGAATTTTCAAATAATCTTACAATTGCTATAAGATAAGGAGGTGTGAAAGATTGCCAGTTCTTGGTTTTCGCACTCTTTTCCTGAAACTACAGCTCTTTGTCTGCTGTTTTTATTTTAGAGGAAAAAAAACAAATGTCTAGTTTTTATAACTAGTACTTTGATTAATTAAATGATATCACAAGATAAGAACATAAAGCTGACCATGGTGCTAATATGAAACAATTGATAATTTGGTCAGCAAATTCCAAAATAGTTTGCAATTATGCTTTTACTTTGCAGTTCTGTCCTATAGCCAGACAGAAAAATGCATGCCATTTAGCAATTCAAATACAAGCATATATCATCTCAAGTTTAAATCACATACCGAACAACGTCATTAGACCACTATAATTTTCCTGCTTTGCTGTGGCTCTAGAATATAAAATATTCTTGGCAAGGCATGGTGGCTCACACCTGTAATCCTGGCACTTTGGGAGGCCGAGACAGGAGGAATTACTTGAGCCCAGGAGTTTGAGGCCAGCCTGGGCAACATGGTGAAATCTTGTCTCTATTTTTTTTTAAAAAAAAAACTTAAAAATTATTTTTGAAAAAAAAAAAAGAATATAAAACACTGTCTCTGGCTCTCTTTCTTTTACATTCTGGAAACCACAACTTTCAAAGCCTTAGAACTTGTAGTCAGAAAAACATAATCTATCACGATGGTTTTCCTGTTTTCTTTCACAAATAAACCAAATTGTGAATTTAAAATTTTGGCACCATTTAGAATCTTAAAGGCACTTTAGCTAAGAGCCAACATTTTTTCCCCTCCACTGGCAGTCGAAAGCATACTTTCTAAGCCCTTGTTGATTCAAGTAGCAGTGGCTCCCTTGTAGAGTTTCTGGTCATATTTCATTAGTAGTTTAATTAAACTAAGAAAAGAAGTGAATAATATGATCAGATCAGAATTAAAAACTTCATATTTCATGGTCTCCTAAAAATACTTTCTATACCACTTTTCTCCAGCTTTGAGTTTTATGAAATATTCATAATTTTACCTTCTGATATATTTTTCTTACTTGAGAAGATGAGACAATGAGTTCATGCTTACAGAAACGAACTCATTTTCTAAGCTTCTGCTCCAAACAGAGGTAATTCTAACCAACATTTCCACTTAAAATAAAGTTCGACAAAGTGTTTTTGAGTATATGCTTAAAGGAAATGAAATCTACTAACATATTGAAGAATTATTGGGACAGATAATGGAAGGAAATAGAAGTCTGTGAATATGAGTCTGAGAGTTGAAGCTATCTTCCCTCTAAGAACACTTCTTCATTCTGGATGGGGCAGCTGTAAGGCTGACCTATGCATTTGACAAACCAGTAGGACCAGGGATCAGAAATTGGAGTTCAGGGCCTGCCAAAATTGTAGAGTCCTGGTAATTCTCTTTGCTTTTGCTACACTATACCTTTGGAATTAAGGGTGAACTAGAAGTAAGGAGACCTTCACAGTTGCCAGAACTTGGCTTTACATCATGAAATCTTTGAAATTGGACTGGATGAATCCCACCTTGCCAGTTCTGCCCAAATATCTGACAAAAGCAAATGTAAATCCTCCCTGGAGGAAGACAACATCATCTGAAGCCTCAAATTATTTCTATAAGCAAATTTACAAAATCAATTAATGGCATATAATAAAAAATAATAAGTCACACTTGGAGAAAACAACACATTTAAGGAAAATAGCAGAAATAATAAGAAACAGAAATTTGCACAAAATGAAGATAAAAGACACAGACTATAAAATAACTATGCTTTCTATGTTCAAAGAAATAACAGACAAGATTGAGTATTGGAACTGGAAGTTATAAAGAAAGAATCAAATGGAAAATGTGGAATTTAAATGACATTTATCAAGATTAGAAAATCAGTGCATAGGTATAACAGCAGATTTGACCTAGCAAAAGATGAATTGGTAGCTGTAAAATAAGAAAAATAAAATATATAGAATAGGAAAGAGAAAAGGAGAGAGGTAGAGGGAGAAAAGAGAAGGAGAACACAGAAAAGGTGATACAAGATTTACAGGAAAGATTAAGAATTCTAATGTATTAGTATTTAAAACATCACAATAGAGGAAAAGAGAGCAAAAGAAATATTTGAAGAGATCATTGTTGAGAACTTTCAAAAACTGATGAAAGATATTAAACTACAGATTCAAGAATGCTCACAAACTCCAAGCAATTTTTTTTTCTTAAAACATCACACCTGAAGGAGGAGCCAAGATGGCCGAATAGGAACAGCTCCGGTCTACAGCTCCCAGCGTGAGCGACGCAGAAGACGGTGATTTCTGCATTTCCATCTGAGGTACCGGGTTCATCTCACTAGGGAGTGCCAGACAGTGGGCGCAGGCCAGTGTGTGTGCGCACCGTGCGCGAGCCGAAGCAGGGCGAGGCATTGCCTCACCTGGGAAGCGCAAGGGGTCAGGGAGTTCCCTTTCCGAGTCAAAGAAAGGGGTGACGGACGCACCTGGAAAATCGGGTCACTCCCACCCGAATATTGCGCTTTTCAGACCGGCTTAAGAAACGGCGCACCACGAGACTATATCCCACACCTGGCTCGGAGGGTCCTACGCCCACGGAATCTCGCTGATTGCTAGCACAGCAGTCTGAGATCAAACTGCAAGGCGGCAACGAGGCTGGGGGAGGGGCGCCCGCCATTGCCCAGGCTTGCTTAGGTAAACAAAGCAGCCGGGAAGCTCGAACAGGGTGGAGCCCACCACAGCTCAAGGAGGCCTGCCTGCCTCTGTAGGCTCCACCTCTGGGGGCAGGGCACAGACAAACAAAAAGACAGCAGTAACCTCTGCAGACTTAAGTGTCCCTGTCTGACAGCTTTGAAGAGAGCAGTGGTTCTCCCAGCACGCAGCTGGAGATCTGAGAACGGGCAGACTGCCTCCTCAAGTGGGTCCCTGACTCCTGACCCCCGAGCAGCCTAACTGGGAGGCACCCCCCAGCAGGGGCACACTGACACCTCACACGGCAGGGTATTCCAACAGACCTGCAGCTGAGGGTCCTGTCTGTTAGAAGGAAAACTAACAACCAGAAAGGACATCTACACCGAAAACCCATCTGTACATCACCATCATCAAAGACCAAAAGTAGATAAAACCACAAAGATGGGGAAAAAACAGAACAGAAAAACTGGAAACTCTAAAACGCAGAGCGCCTCTCCTCCTCCAAAGGAACGCAGTTCCTCACCAGCAACAGAACAAAGCTGGATGGAGAACGACTTTGACGAGCTGAGAGAAGAAGGCTTCAGACGATCAAATTACTCTGAGCTACGGGAGGACATTCAAACCGAAGGCAAAGAAGTTGAAAACTTTGAAAAAAATTTAGAAGAATGTATAACTAGAATAACCAATACAGAGAAGTGCTTAAAGGAGCTGATGGAGCTGAAAACCAAGGCTCGAGAACTACGTGAAGAATGCAGAAGCCTCAGGAGCCGATGCGATCAACTGGAAGAAAGGGTATCAGCAATGGAAGATGAAATGAATGAAATGAAGCGAGAAGGGAAGTTTAGAGAAAAAAGAATAAAAAGAAATGAGCAAAGCCTCCAAGAAATATGGGACTATGTGAAAAGACCAAATCTACGTCTGATTGGTGTACCTGAAAGTGATGTGGAGAATGGAACCAAGTTGGAAAACACTCTGCAGGATATTATCCAGGAGAACTTCCCCAATCTAGCAAGGCAGGCCAACGTTCAGATTCAGGAAATACAGAGAACGCCACAAAGATACTCCTCGAGAAGAGCAACTCCAAGACACATAATTGTCAGATTCACCAAAGTTGAAATGAAGGAAAAAATGTTAAGGGCAGCCAGAGAGAAAGGTCGGGTTACCCTCAAAGGAAAGCCCATCAGACTAACAGTGGATCTCTCGGCAGAAACCCTACAAGCCAGAAGAGAGTGGGGGCCAATATTCAACATTCTTAAAGAAAAGAATTTTCAACCCAGAATTTCATATCCAGCCAAACTAAGCTTCATAAGTGAAGGAGAAATAAAATACTTTATAGACAAGCAAATGTTGAGAGATTTTGTCACCACCAGGCCTGCCCTAAAAGAGCTCCTGAAGGAAGCGCTAAACATGGAAAGGAACAACCGGTACCAGCCGCTGCAAAATCATGCCAAAATGTAAAGACCATCGAGACTAGGAAGAAACTGCATCAACTAATGAGCAAAATCACCAGCTAACATCATAATGACAGGATCAAATTCACACATAACAATATTAACTTTAAATATAAATGGACTAAATTCTGCAATTAAAAGACACAGACTGGCAAGTTGGATAAAGAGTCAAGACCCATCAGTGTGCTGTATTCAGGAAACCCATCTCACGTGCAGAGACACACATAGGCTCAAAATAAAAGGATGGAGGAAGATCTACCAAGCCAATGGAAAACAAAAAAAGGCAGGGGTTGCAATCCTAGTCTCTGATAAAACAGACTTTAAACCAACAAAGATCAAAAGAGACAAAGAAGGCCATTACATAATGGTAAAGGGATCAATTCAACAAGAGGAGCTAACTATCCTAAATATTTATGCACCCAATACAGGAGCACCCAGATTCATAAAGCAAGTCCTCAGTGACCTACAAAGAGACTTAGACTCCCACACATTAATAATGGGAGACTTTAACACCCCACTGTCAACATTAGACAGATCAACGAGACAGAAAGTCAACAAGGATACCCAGGAATTGAACTCAGCTCTGCACCAAGCAGACCTAATAGACATCTACAGAACTCTCCACCCCAAATCAACAGAATATACATTTTTTTCAGCACCACACCACACCTATTCCAAAATTGACCACATAGTTGGAAGTAAAGCTCTCCTCAGCAAATGTAAAAGAACAGAAATTATAACAAACTATCTCTCAGACCACAGTGCAATCAAACTAGAACTCAGGATTAAGAATCTCACTCAAAGCCGCTCAACTACATGGAAACTGAACAACCTGCTCCTGAATGACTACTGGGTACATAACGAAATGAAGGCAGAAATAAAGATGTTCTTTGAAACCAACGAGAACAAAGACACCACATACCAGAATCTCTGGGACGCATTCAAAGCAGTGTGTAGAGGGAAATTTATAGCACTAAATGCCTACAAGAGAAAGCAGGAAAGATCCAAAATTGACACCCTAACATCACAATTAAAAGAACTAGAAAAGCAAGAGCAAACACATTCAAAAGCTAGCAGAAGGCAAGAAATAACTAAAATCAGAGCAGAACTGAAGGAAATAGAGACACAAAAAACCCTTCAAAAAATCAATGAATCCAGGAGCTGGTTTTTTGAAAGGATCAACAAAATTGATAGACCGCTAGCAAGACTAATAAAGAAAAAAAGAGAGAAGAATCAAATAGACACAATAAAAAATGATAAAGGGGATATCACCACCGATCCCACAGAAATACAAACTACCATCAGAGAATACTACAAACACCTCTACGCAAATAAACTAGAAAATCTAGAAGAAATGGATACATTCCTCGACACATACACTCTCCCAAGACTAAACCAGGAAGAAGTTGAATCTCTGAATCGACCAATAACAGGCTCTGAAATTGTGGCAATAATCAATAGTTTACCAACCAAAAAGAGTCCAGGACCAGATGGATTCACAGCCAAATTCTACCAGAGGTACAAGGAGGAACTGGTACCATTCCTTCTGAAACTATTCCAATCAATAGAAAAAGAGGGAATCCTCCCTAACTCATTTTATGAGGCCAGCATCATTCTGATACCAAAGCCGGGCAGAGACACAACCAAAAAAGAGAATTTTAGACCAATATCCTTGATGAACATTGATGCAAAAATCCTCAATAAAATACTGGCAAACCGAATCCAGCAGCACATCAAAAAGCTTATCCACCATGATCAAGTGGGCTTCATCTCTGGGATGCAAGGCTGGTTCAATATACGCAAATCAATAAATGTAATCCAGCATATAAACAGAGCCAAAGACAAAAACCACATGATTATCTCAATAGATGCAGAAAAAGCCTTTGACAAAATTCAACAACCCTTCATGCTAAAAACTCTCAATAAATTAGGTATTGATGGGACGTATTTCAAAATAATAAGAGCTATCTATGACAAACCCACAGCCAATATCATACTGAATAGGCAAAAACTGGAAGCATTCCCTTTGAAAACCGGCACAAGACAGGGATGCCCTCTCTCACCGCTCCTATTCAACATAGTGTTGGAAGTTCTGGCCAGGGCAATCAGGCAGGAGAAGGAAATAAAGGGTATTCAATTAGGAAAAGAGGAAGTCAAATTGTCCCTGTTTGCAGACGACATGATTGTTTATCTAGAAAACCCCATCGTCTCAGCCCAAAATCTCCTTAAGCTGATAAGCAACTTCAGCAAAGTCTCAGGATACAAAATCAATGTACAAAAATCACAAGCATTCTTATACACCAACAACAGACAAACAGAGAGCCAAATCATGGGTGAACTCCCATTCACAATTGCTTCAAAGAGAATAAAATACCTAGGAATCCAACTTACAAGGGATGTGAAGGACCTCTTCAAGGAGAACTACAAACCACTGCTCAAGGAAATAAAAGAGGAGACAAACAAATGGAAGAACATTCCATGCTCATGGGTAGGAAGAATCAGTATCGTGAAAATGGCCATACTGCCCAAGGTAATTTACAGATTCAATGCCATCCCCATCAAGCTACCAATGCCTTTCTTCACAGAATTGGAAAAAACTACTTTAAAGTTCATATGGAACCAAAAAAGAGCCCGCATTGCCAAGTCAATCCTAAGCCAAAAGAACAAAGCTGGAGGCATCACACTACCTGACTTCAAACTATACTACAAGGCTACAGTAACCAAAACAGCATGGTACTGGTACCAAAACAGAGATATAGATCAATGGAACAGAACAGAGCCCTCAGAAATAATGCCGCATATCTACAACTATCTGATCTTTGACAAACCTGAGAAAAACAAGCAATGGGGAAAGGATTCCCTATTTAATAAATGGTGCTGGGAAAACTGGCTAGCCATATGTAGAAAGCTGAAACTGGATCCCTTCCTTACACCTTATACAAAAATCAATTCAAGATGGATTAAAGATTTAAACGTTAAACCTAAAACCATAAAAACCCTAGAAGAAAACCTAGGCATTACCATTCAGGACATAGGCGTGGGCAAGGACTTCATGTCCAAAACACCAAAAGCAATGGCAACAAAAGACAAAATTGACAAATGGGATCTAATTAAACTAAAGAGCTTCTGCACAGCAAAAGAAACTACCATCAGAGTGAACAGGCAACCTACAACATGGGAGAAAATTTTTGCAACCTACTCATCTGACAAAGGGCTAATATCCAGAATCTACAATGAACTCAAACAAATTTACAAGAAAAAAACAAACAACCCCATCAAAAAGTGGGCGAAGGACATGAACAGACACTTCTCAAAAGAAGACATTTATGCAGCCAAAAAACACATGAAGAAATGCTCATCATCACTGGCCATCAGAGAAATGCAAATCAAAACCACTATGAGATATCATCTCACACCAGTTAGAATGGCAATCATTAAAAAGTCAGGAAACAACAGGTGCTGGAGAGGATGCGGAGAAATAGGAACACTTTTACACTGTTGGTGGGACTGTAAACTAGTTCAACCATTGTGGAAGTCAGTGTGGCGATTCCTCAGGGATCTAGAACTAGAAATACCATTTGACCCAGCCATCCCATTACTGGGTATATACCCAAATGAGTATAAATCATGCTGCTATAAAGACACATGCACACGTATGTTTATTGCGGCACTATTCACAATAGCAAAGACTTGGAACCAACCCAAATGTCCAACAATGATAGACTGGATTAGGAAAATGTGGCACATATACACCATGGAATACTATGCAGCCATAAAAAATGATGAGTTCATATCCTTTGTAGGGACATGGATGAAATTGGAAACCATCATTCTCAGTAAACTATCGCAAGAACAAAAAACCAAACACCGCATATTCTCACTCATAGGTGGGAATTGAACAATGAGATCACATGGACACAGGAAGGGGAATATCACACTCTGGGGACTGTGGTGGGGTCGGGGGAGGGGGGAGGATAGCATTGGGAGATATACCTAATGCTAGATGACACATTAGTGGGTGCAGCGCCCCAGCATGGCACATGTATACATATGTAATTAACCTGCACAATGTGCACATGTACCCTAAAACTTAGAGTATAATAAAAAAAAAAAAAAAAAAAAAAAAAAAAAAAAAAAAAACATCACACCTATGTGCAAACTTACTGAATAAATGAGACAGAAGGATAGAATACAAATCTTAAAAGTAGCAAGAAAAATAAGACAGTTATCTTCAAAGCCACAAAAGGTACACAGAGAGCTGTCTTCTCAACAGGCAAAAAAATAAAAGCAAGAGAATGGAGTAATATATCTATAAGTCTGAGGAAAAAACCTGCTAAGGTACAAATTTTATACCCAATAAAAATATACTTGAAGAAGGAAGGAGAAGTAAGTATTTTTCAGACAAACAGAAATCGAGAGAATTACTTTTCTAAACACTTGCACTAAAGGATAGTCATCAAGCATGAGGAAAATAAGTTCAGATGGAAGGTTGGGATGCATGGAGAAATGGAGAGCAATGAAAAGGGAAAGTATATTGGTAAAAATAAATATTGATTGTAATTACAATAATATATAACTGAAATAGTGAGGTATTGGTAAAAGGATAGATTAGATCAATGGATTAAAATGAGAATCACACAAATAGACTTATGCATATATAGATTATTGATTTATGAGAAAGCTCTACAGAGCAGTGGGGAAAAAAATGTGCTGAGACCATTGGATATCAATATTTTAAAAATGGAAGTTGTTCCTCTATATCATAAGATACAAACAGAAAATAATTCCAGTTAGATTTTTAGATCTAATTGTAAAAGGCAAATAAAAACAAACATTCTAGAAAATACTATAAGGGAATGTCTTCATGACCTTACAGTGAGAAAAAAACTTTTCAAAAGACAGAAAATTCACTAACCCTATAGGCAAAGATTGATAAATGGGCTACATTAAAACTAAAAATATCTTTATCAAAAGACAGTATCAAGAGAGTGAAGAGGCAAGCCTCAGGCTGGGGATAGTATGTGCAGTACAAGTATCTGACAAAGGGCTCACATACCAAGTCTACAAAAGATATTTATAGATAAGTAAGAAAAAGGCAGCTCAATAGAAAAATGGGCAAGAGATTTGAATAAGTACTTCAAAGAAGAAAAAATCCAAAGCATTCAATAAACATCTGGAAGAGGGTTCAATCTCATTTGTAATATGGTTTGGATCTGTGTCCCTATCCAAATCTTATGTTGAATTACAATCCCCAATGTCGGAGGTGGGGCCTGGTGGGAGGTGACTGGATCATGGGAGCAATTTCTCATTGTTTAATGCCATTCCCCCTTGGTGTCATCATCACGATACTGAGTTCTAGTTGAGATCTGGTTGTTTAAAAGTGTGCGGCACCTCCCCTCCTTCCTCCTGCTCTGGCCATGTGATGTGCCTCACTCCCACTTTGCCTTCTGCCATGGTTAGAAGTTTCCTGAGGCCTTTCCAGAAGTAAAGGTTGCTATGCTTCCTGTACAGCCTGCAGAACTATGAGCCAATTAAGGGTCTTTTCTTTATAAATTACCCAGTCTCAGGTATTTCTTTATATCAGTACAAGAATGGACTACTAAAATTAGCAATCATAAAAATGCAAATAAAACCAAAATAAGTAACTACTATATATCCACAAGAACTGCTAAAAAGGAAACAACTGATAGCCACAAGAGTTGGTGAGGATGTGGAACAAATAGAACTCTCATTACCTGATGATTGAGTTGTAAATTGGTATAACCTCTTGGAAAACTGTTTGACATTACTTACTGAAGTTGAACTTACACATAACCTATTGACTCAACAATCTCTACCCAATGGCAATGAGTGCATGTGCCCCAAGAAACAGGCATGAGAATGTTATAGTAGCATTGTACCTAATAATTTGAAATTGGAAATAACTCAGAAGTCCATCAGAGGTAGAAGAGACAAAGAAGTTCTGGTATATCCATACAATCCTTGTGAATTATTTGATAAACAACTAAAAACAACATTGGGTATGTATCTCTCAAATATAAAGTGAAATGAAAGACCCCAGACTAATAGAATGCGCACTCCATGATTCCATTCAGGTAATCTTCAAAACTCTGACACTAAATGAAGTGTTGAAGGATGCATACTAGTACGGTGTATCTGTAAAGACCAAGCATGAATGTGATTACCATTAAAATGATGGTAATAAACATTTGGAGGAGAAGGAAGTAAGGAATAATGACTAAGGTATATAAAGGGTGTTTTGAATTTGGGAAATTTGCTATTTCTTCCTACTTCATGATTACAAGGGTATTCACTTTGTAATAAATCACTTAACTGAGAATTTTTGTTCTGTTTTTGTTCTATATGTGTGTTTATATATCACAGTAAAAAAGTTAAAAACTAAACCAATCTAAACTAAATAAAATTAATTTTGGCTCAAGAGTCAACTTTTTCATAGGGAATCATCTTTTGTGATTTTTTTTTTTCAGGCTACAAAGAGTAGAGAATGATATGTGAAGTATAGAATATTTCATCTTGAGAAGAAAATGGTTTATATATTGTGAATATAACAAAAGTTCCTGTGCTTGTGGTTTTGTTGTGTTTTGCATTGTTTTTAACATTTCTTAAAGAGATTGTGTGAGACCATAACATACTGCTTGAAGGAAACTATTTTTTTCTTTCTTTCCTTTTCATACTTAGCGAATACAAACTAAAGAAAAAAACAAACTACTACAAAGAATATATTGCTATACAAAAGCAACTGAAATTCAGTATGAGAATGCGTTGACCTCTCCCTTTTCCTTTGTGTTGACTCTTAGTTCATTTTAGCAGACTGCTTTTGAGTTTGTACCTTCTGTCTCGAGTTTTCCCCTTTTCTCTTAAAGAGTTTCTTCAAATTACAAGTACCCCAAAACAACCTTAATTCAAATGTCTTTAATTATAAGTTGAAATGCATGAGTTCCCATTTTCTACTACTTTAAAATTTCCCAACAATGATGACCTCACTGCTATTCTGAAGTTCAAAACCACATACATAGCTACTAATCCATGGTGGATTTGTGCCAAGCGTTACTCCTGTCCTCCAAACTCACAACACTGATCGGATTGTGATCATTAAAACCCCTCAGGGATGAGAATTTTACATGTTTACACGTATCTTCTGCTCAATCCTCCTTTGCTCAAGCACAAAGGTTTTTTTTTTTTTAATTATTCTGAACATGGAATCGGGTTTTTATATTGATATAGCAGTTCTATGCATGCTCTCTTGCCCAGGACATAGGTATCTTGAATAACTTATGACTAAAACTATTCAAGTCAAAAGGAGTTCTATGAGAGTAAGTCCTGTGGGATCTGACAGCCATTAAATAATGTATTAAATTAACACCCCAGTTCTCCACAACACCCAATTAATCACTACATCCTATTAATTATTTTTCTTAAGAGAACCCAAGCCAACATCATTTCTTGCTCAAATGACTGCCTAGGCTCTCTTACTGGTCTCCCTGGCGGTAATCTTGATCTCTTTTGGACAATTACACTAAAGGTAAAGATATCCTCTTATTCACTGTTTAAGTTTCTTCCTTCCAAAGTTTCTCAGTGTTCTCAGAGTAAAGTTCAAATTCATTAGCAGGCCTCCAAAGCCCTTCCTAATTGGGCTTCTGATGACATGAAATGCTTTGTGCACCAGCATCTCGAATTACTTCTGGCTGCCCAGGATGTACCATATTCTCTTCTCTTTTTGTGTCTATGCACTGTTCCCTGACCGAGAAAGCCACTTCTATGCCTTCCCTCTTCCTCTCAGAACTTCACACGGTTAACAGCTATTTCCTACTTGGCCTTTCAGTCTCAGCTTAGATGTTACTTTTTTTGAGTCTCCTTCTCTAAATACCCAAGTCTGGATTACATACCACCCACCATTTGTTTTCATAAGACTCTATACTTAGCCCCATAATATTCTTATCACTTTGAATTAACTGTTCATTTCCTTTTCTGTCTAAACCACAAGTCAATAAACGCTTAGAGTGCGGGACTTTTATCTGTCACACAGCTAATACCAATGGCTAGCACTGTGCTGGCACAGGCTGGGTACAATACTAAAAATCATAATTCAATGTTGAATGAATGAAAAAGTTCAGCTAAATGTGGCTTTTAAAAAGACGTACTATTGTTCACTATTAAACGGTAGTTAATATTAGGTAACTCTGAATGGAAGAATAGCAAGAGAGCAGAATATATAAGTAGCTGCTTCATGATGGACCGAGGTAATGATATCATAAACTATAAACAGAAGGGAAAATGTTTTCAGGATGTACTGAAAATGTGCTTCAAGTATCTTGCCAAACATTGAGAAAACCATGTTAATAAGCATTAGCTCCAAAAATGGACGTGATGCTTTTCAAACCCCAAATCAGAACATATGGTTTGACTAACAATTTTTGTAGTGTATACCTCTATTTACATAGACACTTAAAATATTTTAAAATATATCATATTTAATTTGACACAATGAATTGCCCTTCCTGAAAATACTGGGAAAAAACTATGCTAAAAATCTGAAATATGTGGTTTTTGAACCTATGAATTTAGAATGTTTTTGATGAGAACATGCAAAGTAAAGTAAATAAGAAATTTACATCATAAATTTCAGAGGTAGAGCAGGCTCTGGGATTGGCTTAATTCAGTGGCTGCATCTCCATATCTCTGCTATTCCTTTAGCTGTACTTGCCTATGTGGCTGCATCCTCAAATTGGTATAAATGGCGACAGCAGTACTAGGCCTCACACTGGCACACCACAATGTATTTACAAGAGAAGAGACTACTCTCTCAGAAGAGCCCAGCCATCTTTCTTCATGTCTCATGGGCCCAAATTGGGTCGCACATCACATATAAAATAATTGCTGTGGCTACATTGATTTAGCACTGTTTCTGAACCTGTTCCTGTTGCAAGGATAATGGGATTACTGTTTTTCAGACATAAACTTCCTTAGAAGCTCTTGGGCTGCCCAGAAGAGATACGGACACATAAATAGAAATCAGGACATTCTCAGGAAGGAGAAATGGGGCAATGGTTGTTGGAGAAGACAATCAACAATTTCTACTCTAATGAAGAATAGCATAATTGTTTTTCAATTTTATTGTCAATTGTTTTTTATAATTGTTTTTCAATTACGCTATATAAATAAGGTATATAAAGGGCATACCTATGTTATGTAGATTTTAGCAGGATTAAAATTGAGCTAAAGCTGTCTTCTAAACATAAAGCGTTACATTTTAGCGCATAGTCTGTATTACTCTGAATAACACATTCAAAGGCTCACCATTTCCCCTTTGGCGAGTAATAAACCAATTAGAGGACAAATTCCAAATGGAAAACATTATTCTAACCCAAAAGAAGAATGGGTGTTTAAAAAATATTTTCTGACTGGTTAAAAAAATTGTTTGAGCAGAGTATTATTAATAAAATATGTGTACATGGAAAAAATTATACAATTCTTAAGTTGTATATATATTTTTATGGTCAAAGGATTGAAGTAGACATACCTATGCTGTTAAGTGCTTTGGTCTTTTGTTTCTCAAGAAAAGTAAAAAGTATACATAATACACAAAAATCTGTTTATATGTCTTGATTAGAAAATGCATTTAAATTGTGTGTTTCACTTTTCTAGCTTCCTCAAGAAAATCATAACCCAAATTTGACAATATGAGCAACATAAAGACAAAGTAAGGAATATATACAACTCATTCTTAAACTGAAACTGCCTTAAAGCACCAAACAAATGATTTGCTGTATTGTGTGCCTGACTTGGCTGTGCTAGCAAATTCAGCCTGAGCCACATGCCCCCAAGATCATAGCTTTATGCCTTTTCCCACACACAAAATCTCATAATATGCATGATATGATTGGTAACATTCAAGTTAGAAACATAAAGGAAATTTGAAAGCCATCTTTATTTCCTCCATCAACTCATTATTTATATTGAGAATATTTTCATTTTGTTTAATTAAGGTATGCTTTAAATTTTTTATCAACAAAAAGCAAACTTAAAATGTAATACATTTTACATTATAACAGTTTGCTTTAATAACTCTAGACTCTCTTCAAATAATGTTGGGGTTATATCATCCTACGTATATTAAACCAAGGTAAACACTAACTGTATATATTTTTTATGTTCAGTTCAGGTGCCTAAGTAGACAATATTTTAAAATAAATAATAATATAGAACACAGCAGGCATTTAATAATTTTTCATATATTAAATTGTATTTCAAAAGAAATAAAATGTTATGTGTTAAAATGCATGTATGTGTATATATATATATATATATATATATTTCTTTTAGGTTCCAAACAACAGAAAATGTCTGTGTGTGTATGTGCAAAAAATAGAAAGGAACCATGGTTAGACGATCTTCAGTGAAAGCAAATTCATTATTTTCCTGTTTTTACATGTGTAGAGTTCACAAATGTCATCCCGTTATAAGGACATGTGGCTTACAAACCATTTTAAAACTAGAGCTTCACAGCTTCTTTTAGTGGCTCTAAACTGCGCTTATTGCCAGGTTCACTGTGGTTACCAAAACTTTGTTTTTCTAGGACTGAAAATATTTTGTTACTCAAAAACCATGTCATACTATTTACATAAATATGAATAAATTATATTTATCATATAATTTAGATAAAGAGAGCTTAGGTCAAAATCAAAATAAAAACAGGTTATTTGCACTTGAAGCAACATGTCTTTGAAAAGTCCGAAAGTATTTATAGAACAGCCCTCATGATGCTGTTCTAGCCTTGACTCCATCACTCTTTTCTTAAAAGTCTTCAACTTTGTCCAATTTCCAATTGCCTTAAGTGTTTGCGCTGCTATAACAGAATACCATAGGCTGGGTAATTTACGAAGAATGGAAATATGTTTCTTTACTGTTCTGGAGGCTGGAAAGCCCAAGATCAAAACAATGGTGTCTGGTAAGGGACTTCTTGCTGCATCCTTACGTGGTAGAAGGTGGAAGGGCAAGAGAGACGAACATTGTATTCTCACATGGAAGAGCTAAAAAGAGAGTGAGTCCACACCCACAAGCCCTTTTTATAATTGCATTAATTCATTCTGCCCTCATGACCTAAATGCCTCACAAAAGGCCACACCTCCCAACACTGCTGCATTAGGAATTAAGCTTTCAACGCACAAATTTTGGAGGGGATACATTCAAACCATAGCACCAACTTTCCAATTTGTGTCTCCTACATAAGAGAGAAGATTCTGTAAAGGTCTTAAAATATCAAATAAATGAGGGATAAATATAATAAACACAAAATATTAAGAAAAGTGGTCTGCCTCTTAAAAGGGGGGCCAAATTTTTCAAATTATTCCGATGTTGCTTAACTATCTGATACCATAAAGAAAGATGAGAATCTCCTCCATTTATTTTATAAAGATAGCACAAATTTATTGCCAGAATCTGTAAACTATGTTCCAAATAAAATAAAATTGAATGTGGAACTATTGAATTACAGATTTTTAAACAGCATTTGCTGCCCCTTATATATTGATATGTAAATTAAAACCTTGCCTTGCTTGGATATGACTAGTATTCAGTCAGAAAGAAGTCATTTTTCAGGGACTTAACATCAAGTAACTAGTGCAGTCCTGCCTTTTTGTCCCGGGTCTGAGATTTGAGTTTTGGCTCAGTTTTCTGTGCCTGAATCTCTTGCTTGACAATCTACCCAGCTCTGCCCAGCATCCATCCTTTGAAAAGTACTTCTGAATTTGAACACATTTGCTTAATTAAGGTCCCAAAACTGCTGACACTAATCCTGAGGCTTACTGCCTTTGACTCACCTTCAGAGTGGGACACCTGCATGCTGACTTATCTGAACTGGCTGATGTCAGAGCTGTTACTGTCTCCATGCTGCTGGACCAGGCAGCATCTCAGAATATGGCATTCAGTCTGTCCCTTCACCATCTGACTAATCCTCATAGGCATTTTGGTTCTGGGTATCAGTCCCTCCAAGCCTGACTCCTTTTGATTACCTTTAACCAAGCAGTGCCTGACAATGACAGACTTTGCTTATATATTATCTCACCACCCTTAATCACTATTCTTTGTATATGTCTCCATAACAACAACTAAAAAAGGAACACTGATGTGACACTACTATCAATAAGTCAGTTTCCCCATGGAGGCACACACACACACATACACAAACAGATAAATACATATATAGACACACACACACAGAAGGCTAGATGACAATTAGCCTATAATTTCCTAAATAGGTAGAATTATCTTAATTACTCATGAAACCTATCAATAAGTCAATTTCCCCATTCCTCAATAGGTTATGGGGAAATTGACTTATTGATACGTTTCATGAGTATTTAAGGCAGTTTCTTGCACTTAGTAGTACCTGGCAGATGCTTGTTCAGTGACTGAGAAACTATATGCCCAATTTCAGTCATGGTCCTGCTTTCCACACCCTTCTTGTACTTTCTAATGACACATCTAGTCTTTCTAATGACTTTTTATTTCACTATCAAGTCTTTTTATTCCTATTACACTTTTTTTCCTCAATTCTCAGGAGTGAAGCTTTCTGGATGAAGTTCTTTAGAAAATCTTGACACCCATTGTGGTCCCGCTGGTAAAACTAAAATGCCTTAAAAACGTTAATTTAGTGCACGAAAAACTGTTAGAGCAACATTTTATCCAATATGCATATTTCAAAATACATTTGAATATATACTAATATCAGTTGTATCTCCCTTCAGATTAACCAGCACATTGTGTTTATTCAGCATCAAGAAATCACTTACTATGTCATTTAGAGGGATTAACAAAAAATGTTTTAGGGTAATAGCGAAATGTCAGGATCAGTACTGGCACACACAAGGAAAGTTTCTGTTTGAAATATGGCAGTATTATTAGGAGAGGAGGCATGTGAAATTCTATATGCTACTTTATTAATGTGGGCAGCAACATAATTTCTCAAATAGTTTTGTCTGACTTTCAGCATCAGTGGCAGTAAATTTGAGACACATTTCATTATTTTATTATAATTTAACTTATGGCATGTCTGAATCAAGTGTCACCCATCATTAACTAACCACCTATCACCTACACATATATTTTCACCCACCCATGTTTTCTTATTGAGGCCAGCCTATCATGTCTTACCAAGATTGTCTTCCTAAGCACCTCCTGAGTCCATGTTTCTCACAGCCCTGTCCCTATTTTGTCTCCTTTCTCATCTGTTTTCTTTTGGCCCTGCTCTCAGTGCTCTCTCTCTGGTCCCTAAGCTACCCTGTTCCCACTTGAATGAAAGAAAGCAAACTGACTTTGAAACATTTAAGTAGATCCCTTGCTTTAATGTTTTTAACATCATGAAGGTCTATATTGCCTTCACTCAAAGCCAAAAACCGTTCCATATTTATATGAATTAAAGCTACCTGTGGACCAAGAGATCTTTGACCTTGACTCTATCTTAACTTGATTGCTAGGCAATTATGAAGAATAAAGGATAACAATATCTAACTAAAAAATCATTATGAGGATTAAATGAGATTTTGTCAATGTGTTTTACTCTAATCAAGGTAATGTATTAGTCTGACTTAACTAGGCTTTTCCATAACAATCAGACTCTTGTCTCAGGACAAAGGGTGTAAGTTTAAAATCATTTACATAATTCTGACCTAGCATTTGTAAATAATTATATTTAAATCAGAATGTAGTTTTCATATAAAAGAGTCATCCATTGGCCTAGTAACTGGCTTCATGTCATATTCAGAAAAATAATTAATTATAATTATAAGCATAAACAATATTGTTTTTAATGTAATATATATCACCAAAGTAACAACTAATGGATCAAATTAACAACTTCCAAATAAATATGTAAATTAAGTAGATGCTGGAATAACAGTCTTCTTATCCATATAGGTTCTTTGCTGTAAAATTAATTCTATGGGTAGAGTTAATCATCTTCTATATTTGAATTTGATCATTTTCTATATAGAAAATTTAAAAGTAACAACTTCAAAACTAGTAGAACTAATAAAACAGTTATCTGTAAGATAGTTATATTATAAATAGTAACTCAATAGCTTTTGCAAATGTTTCTTAGTGATGGTTCCATTTGAAAAGTATTTACATGGTTTTTTTTTTTTCTGTGAGATAACAAAAAGAAAAGAAGATAAAAGTATTTACAAAATGATTTCATTCAAAATGTTAGCCATGGCCGGGTGTGGTGGCTCATGCCTATAATCCTAGCACTTTGGGAGGCCGAGGCAGTTGGATCACTTGAGGTCGGGAGTTTGAGATCAGCCTGGCCAACATGGTGAAACTTTATCTCTACTAAAAATAAAAAAATTAACCACGCATGGTTGTACATGCCTGAAATCCCAGCTATTCATGAGGCTGAGGCAGAAGAATCGTCTGAACCTGGAAGGTGGAGGTTGCAGTGAGCTGATATCGCGCCACTGTACTCCCGTCTGGGCAACAGAGTAAGACTCTGTCTCAAAAAAAAAAAAAAAAAAAAAAACTAGCGACAAAAATCAAAAAACAAAGCAAACAGCACAATAAAAACTTCCAGGAAAAATTAACGACAAAAACGAAGAAGGAATAGGAAAAGTGGAAACAGGAGGAAAAGAATGGAATAGAATGAGGACACATACAAAATAAGTTTTCAAAGAATTAATCCTTAATTTTATTTTGCAGGTTAATTTTACAAAAGGAAGAAATCATCTTACCGACTATCAAAACATACTGTAAGGCTACATGAATTAAGATTCTGATAATGATTAAAAAATAGACAAATAAAAAAACAAAGACAGTAGTCAATTCCATGCTTATGTTAATATAAGAGTTTGTTTATATATTTAAAAAGTGACATTTTGAATTCCAGGGGGAAAATGAACCGTATAATAAAAGACTTTATTAAAACAATCCTCTATTTAGGAAAAAAGAATTACCCTACTCATACTATATGTGAAGAATACTTTCCAGATAGATTAAACATCCTAACATAAATACAAAAAGGAATGAATAATAGAATAGAACATAGTAAAATTATTTCTATGTCTCCCTAATCAAGACATAAAATCTCAAAATCATAGTTCAAAGAAAAGAGAATGTTTAAATTCTTTAAACTTTTCTTTTGAACAAACAAGAGACTGATGTGGCAGCCACAGGTAAGAATGTATCATTAAGCTATACACTGTATAATTTGTTCTATCAGCCAAAAATTAGAGATAATATAAACAGTACATACACATATCATCTGTTAATAAGAGTGAAGTAGGCTGGGTACAGTGACTCACAACTATAATCCAACCACATTTGAAGGCCAAGGTGGGAGGATCACTTGAGCCCAGGAGTTCAACACCAGCCTGGGCACCATGGAAAAATCCCATCTCTATAAAAAATATATATATATGTGCATAAATTAGCCAGGCGTGGTGGTACACACCTGAAGTCTCAGATACTGAGGAGGCTGAGGTGGGAGGATTACTTGACCCCAGGAGGTGGAGGTTGCAGTGAACTGTGATTGAACCACTGCACTCCAGCCTGGGTGACAGAGAAAGACCCCGTCTCAAAAAAAAAAAAAAAAAAAAAAGAGTGAAGTAAATGTTCATATACTGCCTAGAACACTGTTCATATTATGTTGTTGAGTAAGAACAGCAAATTACAAAATGTCTTAATAAAATGTTATAATATGATCCCATTTCTGTAAGAAAAGCAATACACACACACACACACACACACACACCACACACACACACACACACACACTTATATGTGCTCAGAAAATTTTTAGAAAAATAGATGCAACATTAGCCAACTTGTTAACACTGTCATCTCTAGTGACAAAAACTGGAAGAGAGGCTGAGGAGCTTTCATGTTATACCATCTATACTTTTCAATTACTCTGATGTGTTTTTTTAAATACAAGCATGTACTACATATGTAATTTTCCTGAATTAAACTTTATTTTTATAATAGTTTTAGATATACAGAAAAATTGGAAATTGTACATAGTTCCCATACCCCATGCCAAATGTCTCCTTACATGCATTAATATGGTACATTTGCCAAAATTAATGAATCAGTACTAATACATTATTATTAAATAAAGTGCATGGTTTATTCAGATTTCTTTAGTCTTTTCCTAATGTCCTTTTCCTGTCCAAAAGTCCTATTTGGGATGGCACATTACATATAATGGCCGTGTCTCCTTAGCTGTGGCAGTTTCTCAGACTTCCTTGTTTTTGATGAACTTGACAGTTTTGAGGAGTATTGGTCAGCTATTTGTAGGATGCCTCTCTATTGGAATTTGTTTAATGTTCTTCTCATGATAAGATTGGGGTTTTGGATTTCGGGGAAGAAGATGATGAAGGTTAAATGTCATTTTCAATCACATCATATCAAAGGTAAATGTTATCAACATGATTTATGACGGTCCATGATGACCTTAATCACCCGACTGAATTAGCATTTGTCTGGATTCTCCACCTGTGAAGTTCCCCTGCCCACCCAGCCCTGTTTTCACACTGTACTCTTTGGAAGAAAGTCACTACGCACAGACTGCTCTTATGAAGCGGGAATTTATGCTCCCCTCCTTTAGTGTATTTATACAAAATATTTGGAATTCATCTATAAAGGAAATTTGTCTCTTCTCCCACATTTGTTAATCTATTCAATCATTTATTTCTGTAAGTACGGACTCATGGATATTTGTTTTATACTATTAGTTATAAGCCAATACTACTTTATTTCTTTTAGTGCTAAAATTTTTCCAGCTTTGGCCATTGAAAGCTCTTTCAGTGTTGGCTTCTGTACTTCTTGGACATACCTCCACCCATGTGTTTTGTTGTGTTTTTGAGTAATTTCTTACTTCTTGGCACTACAAGATGTTCTGGGCTTTTTGTGCATTTTTTTTCACCAGCCCAAGAATCAGCCATTTCTCCAACGAGCCCAGGTTCCTTCTATTGGAGAATGGTATAGAAACAAAGATCTGGGCACTAAATGCGTTCTTCACAACTAGAGTATTTTTGCTTCTAAGTCTCTCTGTTCACAAAACAACAACAACAAAAAAGTCTATATATACTAACCTCTGTAAATACAAATATCTATAAATATTTCTATAGCAACCACCTGTATCTACATTTAGCAAAACATGAGTTCAGGCCAGTCGTATGGCTCATGCCTGTAATCCCAGCACTTTGGGAGGCCGAGGCAGGTGGATCACTTGAGGTCAGGAGTTCCAGACCAGCCTGGCCAACATGGTGAAACCCTGTCTCTACTAAAAATACAAAAAAATTAGCCTGGCATGGTGGCAGGTGCCTGTAATCCCAGATACTTGGGAGGCTGAGTCAGGAGAATTGCTTGAACCTGGGAGGCTGAGATTGCAGTGAGCCAAGATTGTGCCATTGCAGTCCAGCCTGGGCGACAAGAGCAAGATTCCGTCTCAAAAAACAAACAAACAAAAAACATGAGTTCATACTGACTTGTGTCCAATTCTAAGCCAATACTACACCATGCTGGTCTCTTTCTCTTGTGTGTCTGTGGATTTTCACTCCAAAAGTGGGAAGTCTGGCTCCCACCGTGTACCACTCATGTACTTAATTTTTTGATTCCATTGTACATGTACATCAGTATCAGAATTATTTCCTGTACACCTATGAGGAACAACTTCACCAACCATAATATAGAGCTCACGTGCAGTTTCTTTTACCTTTAGTCTTACCGACTCTGCTCGTTTCCAAAGTCAACATCTTTTGCCTTCACCCTCCTCAGTGAGGTGGTTCCTTTATTTTTTGTTACAATTGTAATGCAGATATATTCTTGTTACAATCTCCATTTTTTCCTGAGATCCTTCAATCTCCTATACAATTTTTTTTTGTAATTTCATACTTCAGGGTTCACTCTTTCTTCAGTAAAGTTCTATGGGTTTTGACAAATGCATAATGCCATGTATCTACAATTACACTATCACACAGAATCGTTCTACTATCCTAAAAGTCCCCTTTGCTTCACCTATTCATCCCTTCCCCCTCCCCCACAACCCCTGGCAACCACTGATTACTTTATTGTCTCTACAGTTTTGTCTTTTTCAGAACGTCATATAACAGAAATCACAACAGTATGTAGCTTTTTCAGACTGGCTTATATCATTTAGGAAAAAAAATTTCTCAAGCAAGTAATTAAGATGTAATTCATTTAAAGTTTAGAAAAAGGAATATAAATATCTAGTATAGATTAAAGTTTATTAGCATCAAATTTAAAATACATGGTCTTTATAGTGCTCAGAGTCACTAGGATATGATAGAAAATACCCAACAAGCATCCTTTGTGAAAAAGTCCTTAATTCCTAACCCTGTAAATCAAGGCAGGAACTGTCCGCAGGAGCACACTGGCCAGTCTTAATTGCTGGGGATGGCTGGTCTAACGGGAGAGGTAACTTCTAAAGAAACTAGGATTTATCCACAGCTAGAATTCAAACCATTTAAGGGATATGGTTAAGAGAGTAATTTTATTCTAAATTTGTTATTTCAATACCAGACCTTTTGAGAAACCATATTATGTTTAAAAACCAAATACCCATAGGTATGATACAGTCAAAAATATCCTCCACATGGCTTAATAGCGTACTATTTAAAGTGCAAAAATTATACCACACAGAAGCATGAGAAAGAAATGTAATGATCAAGCGGTTAAAGGGAATGTATTCTACTTAAGGACAAACGATTGTTTCCTGAAAAACGGCATTTAGACAAACTGCAAGCAAAAATATATTTAAGACATTAAAAAAATTTATTGTTAAACCAACATCTTTAGGTAAGAGAATGTTATTTAAATTTAATACTGGAGTTGAGATAGATAAAAATAAATCCTTATGAATTATTCAAATAGAAGATGCAGACAGTATTTTGTTTTTAGACTCCTAGGTACCACTCTCACTACAGTTCTGAGTCAACTACTTGTATTGTGGTGTCCTTAACTCATGCCAAAGCCAGGAAGTCCTGAACCAGAAATCTTCCAAGAAAGCCTATTCTTATGCGATATTTAATCTGATCTTTTTGGCAAGTAAAGACAGAGAATAATTTTGGATTGGGCTTCTGAACTTTTTGGCTGCTTATCTAAAGTGAATAGAACCAAACTACTGAAGGCTTTTGTACTTAAAACAAACAAACAAACAACAACAACAACAAAAAAACACTTCTTTAGGGAAAAAAAGGTAATTATATTATTTCTTTAAAAACGAATTCAAAGAAGATTTGAGTTACACCTTCCAGATTTAGGCCAGAAAATTCTATTTTTTCTTATGATCAGACAACAATAAGAAATAAATACCTATGGGCTTCTCTCAGAACAGGCATATCTTTCCCAAATTCTTTAAGATGTCTAGAATAAAACTATGACACTACCCGGGATTATTTAAATTTGAAAGATTTGGGGAACTGAGAGTGCAAAAGCCTGGTAAGGGTTGTCAAATTATCTAAGATTTTGTTTAGTTGAGACCTTTAAAAATTACTTTTAGCCAATGGAATGGAGGCAGTTTTTTATAGAAATTAACATTTTTCACCTACAAATTGGCAAATATTCTTAAAAATTATAACATGAAAAAAGTGAGGATATAAGGAAATGGACACCTATACATTGTTGGTGAGAGAATAAACAATTCTTAGACTATTTTAGTAATAAAAGTAAAAAGCCATTAAACCATGTGTATCTTCAACTCAGTAATTCTATTTTCACTCAGGGAATGGGTCCAAGGATTTAGTTACAAGGATATTCATCAGATCACTTACAATTGTAAATATCAGAAACATCAAAATGTCCAATAATATGCATCGTTGATTTTAATGAATAAAAAAAAGAACATAAATGATCCTTCTAAACCTTTCAACTTTACCAATAACCTTATTGGATAAGTGCAATTCTATTCCCACTGAGGAAATTTACATGTGAGGAGATTAAGTAACTTGCTTGAGTTCATACCCCTGATAAGCAGCAGAGCTGGGATTTGAACCTAGGTTACGTCAGTCCAGAGTCCATACAGTTAATCACAATGAACTATGGTTATGGCTAATATTGACTGAGTTCCTACTATTTCCATCAAGCTGAGCATATTACCTGTCATATTAACCTCTCTAGTTCTCACAACAACTCTATAGACACTCATTATCTCTATCTAATTCTTAAAGAAATTGAAGTCATTCTCAGTAATAGGAATATTTCTTCCAAGCTTGTTTTCTGCCATTAACCCTTACCCTTGTTCTTGCTGTTCCAGTTAAAAAATAATTCATCAAGCACAGAACACTAAAACTTTCATCACTCTTAGAAATCCACTCCTCCTTTACTATGCAGCCATAAAAAATGATGAGTTCATGTCCTTTGTAAGGACATGGATGAAGCTGAAAACCATCATTCTCAGCAAACTATCTCAAGGACAAAAAACCAAACACCGCATGTTCTCACTCATAGGTGGGAATTGAACAATGAGAACACTTGGACACAGGAAGGGGAACATCACACACCGGGGCCTGTTGTGGGGTAGGGGGAGGGGGGAGGGATAGCATTAGGAGATATACCTAATGTAAATGACGAATTAATGGGTGCAGCACACCAACATGGCACATGTATGCACATGTAACAAGCCTGCACGTTGTGCACATGTACCCTAGAACTTAAAGTATAATAAAAAAATATGTATATATAAAGAGAGAAAAAAAAAAGAAATCCATTCCTCCTTGAGATCTGGGGAGGCACATGTAGATTTGAAAATCTTCCCTTGATTAATTTCAAAATCATTCTCTTGAAAAGATATTTTTTATAGAACTGTATTTTAAGGAAGTGGCCCTCTTCTAGTTTCACTGAAGATGGGAGAGGGTGTATGAATTTTTATTCATATTAGCATGTTTCAGCTAGGCAAATGGAGTCAATGTGCCTTTTTTTTTTTTTTTTTTTTTTTTTTTTTTTTTTGAGACTGAGTCTCAGTCTATCCCCCAGGCTGGAGGGCAATGGTGTGATCTCAGCTCACTGCAACCTCCAGCTCCCAGGTTCAAGCGATTCTCCTGCCTCAGCCTCCTGAGTAGCTGGGATTACAGGCGCCTGCCACCACACCTGGCTAATTTTTGTATTTTTAGTAGAGATAGGGTTTCACCATGTTGGCCAGGCTGGTCTCGAGCTCCTAACCTCAGGTCATCCACCTGACTTTGCCTCCCAAAGTGTTGGGATTACCGGCGTGCACCACCGCACCTGGTGTCAATGTGCCTTTTATGTCATATTTCACTAGTTAAAATCTGTATATTACTTTTGAAGTTAAAAAATTAATATTGAGTTTTTTTCTTTTTAAAAGGAATGTACCTGAAAGAAGAAATGAAGAACTTCCTGAGTTAGGAACCGAACCTCTGTCTCAAGCTCCATAATATATAATATATTCAAATAACAACTGGTCAACTCTGCAGTTGTAAGTTTAGCACCATATTTGATAATTTAATATTGTGCTCTTTGGCCCAGCTAGTTCTCTTACTTTGTGACCTTTAATCCTCTTTAGGAAATAGCTACAGTGCTTTTTGTAAAACAGAATTTCTGCCTGTGGAGAAAGATTATATAGTAAAATAAAAATATTATCCTCCCAACCAATTCCTTCAACTTTATTTTGAACCCTCAGTTCAGCTGATCAAATCAGATCAGAGTTTGGTTCTTATTAAAAGTGTTAAATTTTTGTAACTTATAGCAAAGACAAGTGCAGGAAAAAAGTTTTGCAATTTAAAACATTTTGAGAATCAAAAAGCAAGGCTTTGAATGACTCTGGTAATAAAGTTAATCCATAAATAATCAATACAGAGGACCCTTGGACTAAAAAGGGAAGAATTAGTTTAAGAGGAAACCAAGGATTGATACTGCATTGGCAAGTGTCCATGAATAATAATCTTGTGCCCTGTCTCCAATTCCAGGGCCTGTGAGGGCATGAGAGGAAGAGTGATGAGCTGATGGGGGAGATAGGATTAAATACCTCATACACTCATACAACTATTGTATATTTTAGAGTATAGAATGATGGTTATCATACTTTAGCATGCATCAGAATCACCTAGAAGGCTTGTTAACCCACATATTGTTGAGTCCACATTAGGGATTCTGATTTAATAAGTCAATGGTGGAGCCTAATAATTTGAATTTCTAGCAAGTCTCAGGTGATGTCAATGATACTGATTAGGGAACACATTTTGAAACCACTGGCATAGAAGACTTGTCTTTTATTTCCCTGTTGTGCTGAATACTGTCCCTTTACCCTTCCAGATCTACTTTCTACTGTTCTCCACATTGCTCTGAATTCCAGGAGGCTGGCTGTCCCTGAGCAATATGAGTGAATAATCCCCTTCTCCTTTGGTTACTAATTGGTTTGAACTAATGGAGGATACTAACAGAGGGGAAAGAAGAGAATGGCATTGGTTATTTATTCCCCAGGCCCCCTCTCTGCCCTGTCACTGCAGATTGACTGCCTCCCTAAAGAAGGACACAGAAAATGTCATGAGGCCCTCTCCAGCCTTCCATCATTGTTCTCTTGACTTGAGTCTTACACCTACAGGTGGTAACAGTTTCCATTGCCTTTAGCCCTGGGTTCCTGGAAATTCCTTACTGTGTTCCCAGAACATGCCCAAATATTTATAAATAGTCTCTTTTTTAGTCTGATCAAATTAGTATTTCCAGCATAACAGATGTTTCCTGTCAGTATCCTAATACAGCAGGATAAGTGGTCATGTTTAAGTGATTGCTTCCCCTACATCCAAAATGTCTAGGATGAGAAGGTCTACAATAGCTCTGCTGAGTTTTTTGTAGTCCTGAACTTGAAAGCTTTATATGTCTCTCTCGAGGATGTGAGGAGAATGGTCCTGGAGGAAGGAGGTTCTTTATTATATAGTGACAGAAAGTTTAGTAACACTGCCACCAGCAGTAATGTGGAAACAGAAAATTACCAAATGCATCACTTAAAACTGTGAATATAAGCGTGCCACTTCAAGTGCAATTCATGACCAGCCATTCTGAGCCACCAGACAGAATGCATGTCCCTCTGGTCAACTATCCTCTCAAGTAGCCAAGGAGATTTCAAGGCAGTGTGTTGAAGGTGCTGCTTTATTTCTTCTTGATGCATGTATTAGAATATAAGACAGATATGCTGAAGGAAGAACTATTAACAAGATGGAGGCAAGGATTGTCAAAGTTGAATATTCCCAATTCTCTAAGTGGCAAAATTAAAATAGTAAGAGATTAAGAATCTGTCCCTGGATGTAAGGATCATCTCCAGGATACTGTGAGAGAAACATGGGCCAAACACGAAGCTGAGAGTGTGACTATAAAATCTCTCAGGACTTCATAAAGAGCTAAGGCATTGTCTCAGAAAACCACTTGATCATACAATGGGGCTTTTGTCTAATGGAACGAACCTCAATAAGTCATTAAGTTCAAATTAAGGTTAATTTGTTACTCAGCATTAGATAACTAATTGTAGTATACTGTAAGAGTCATATTGTGGCTACAAGATTAATGATTGTCATGAGGCCCACTCAAACATCTTGCATGGCTAACACTGTGTGTCACTTAGCAGTGTAATACAATGTAGCCCAGGGACTTCCAGGAAACCAAGTCACCTCAGCACAGACACAATTCTCAAAAACCTTGAAAGAAAGCTTACCCTTACAAGAATAGCTTAAACTCTCTTTATGAAAGAAACACCTGATAACTGATCTGGCCTTGAAAACCTTCCCAGTCAGGCAATCATCTGACCCCTAACTGTATCCAGTTCATGCCACTGGGCTGCTCCTGCTATCTGTCTTGTAAAAGCACTGCATTAATAGCTTGAACATCAGATGGCCTCTAAGATTCATCTCTGACATCAATCAGACTGATGGGGAAAAGTTGCCCCTGGGGAAACTGATTAACTGGGACCACCCAAGAGCCCCAGACATGACTACTACACTATGTTGTTGAAATTTGGGTTATTTTTCATTGTTGTTTTGCATAACTAAATTTGAGTCCTGAGAATGCAAATCTGCAGCATTTTAATACCCCAAAGGAAAACACAAATTCGACCAGATCAAAACTGAATTCTCATTCTCTGTCTCATTGCATGGACAAATCTTCCATCTTCTCAGTCACTATATAGTCCCTTCTTGCAGCTCTCAACTCCTAGCGTGCACACACACACACACACACACACACACACTCATACTCACACTTGCACTCAGTAACTGGATATAATAGATTCTGCCTCCTTAATGATGCCCTACTTTCATTCACATCTTAGTGAAATGCTTTTTGCCTGAATTATTGCAAACCTGACTGATCTGATGGCTTAGTTTCTCACAGATCTATCCACAATGTTACTAAAAGAGTGATTGTCCTAAAATGAAATTCAGGTTATAGCCCTTTCCTTTATAAAGAACTTTATTGGTTTTTGGGAGAAAGCTCAGACACAAGTCTTGCCATACTTTGATTCCTGACTATATTTCTGCTTTATCCTCCACAGCCTTCTCACACAGATCCTTTCCTCTGACCACACTAGTTTACAAAACACATAATGTTTTCTTTCTCTGTGCTTTTCATACATATGGTATACACAATGGAGGTTGCTCTTTCTTTACTTTTCTCACTAGCTAATTCCTTTTCACAGTTTGAAACAGCACCAATATAATGTCCCTAACTTATGGGTGTGTGACATTAATCAAATTACTTAAAATTTCTGAGCCGTTATTTTCTTATAAGTGAATGGAGATTATAGTAGTATCTATATTCTGGGCTGGAAGGGAGGATTAAATGAGATATTAAAAGAGTTATTAAAAGAGATACTAAAAAAGAGATAATAAAATGAGCATTAAAAGAGTTTATCAGAGTGTCCAGCATGATATCATTTTTTGTGTGTTTTCATAGCACCACATAAAGAAATTTCTTTTTAGAACACTGTGACCTTGTTTAAAGAGAAATGATGTCAGAATGCTAAGATCCTAGGATGCCGTTTGGAAACTCAGATTCATACCTGTCACTTCAAATGCAAACAACACAATCATTCTTCTCAACCAGCCATTTTGAGCCATTAGACAGAATGCAAATCCTCCGGTCAACTAAGTACTCTCAAGCATTATTATTTCCACATTTTTTCCTCTATGAACTTCCTTCCTAATTATTTTCAACACTCCTTTTGAAAACAATGTTTCATTAAAATAAATTTCACATTCCCATATTCCAAAAACACTCCCTCTACAATCTTGTCTTACACTAAAATCTTCCTCTTGCCCCAAAGCCTTTTGAAATGATGGGTGTTCATTTTCCCACAATGTGTTTATCAAAACATCACAAAGACAATATTTGCATTCTCCTCTTTCCCCTTTTCTGCGGCTACTTCTAGACCATTGCTTTTCTACATTTAGGAAAGTGAACAAACAGCAAAAAAACTCTTCAAAGTTCTGGACATTTCCTCACAACGTGCTGTGTCTTTTTGGATAGAGTCTGATCTCATTTTTTATGCTTTATCTTTTGTTATCGTTTTTAAAACACTGGTAGCCTTTGTTTCTTTTTGGTGTGTTCCTGCTATTTGCTGTCATCTGCTAGTTTTTCCTCATGGTGAAGTGCTTACTTGAGTGTGTTTGTGATCTGGATTGTGACCTTATCTTCAGAGAATCTCGAGAATGTGTCTTCCTCCAGAGTTGTGTTATTTTTACATAACTATACAATTATCATAAAATTATTATAGAAAGTGGGCATTATTACTTCTACAATATTGTTTCACAGCTTTGGCTTCCAGACCCTACAGAAAGAGTAAATTCAAATCTCAAAATCAAGGGCCAAAGGGAGAAGGCATGGATACAAATAACCAAGGAGACTCATTTCCCATCCTCACCCCAGGACAAAACAGATAAACCTCCATGTCATCCTCTCTGCTGTGTCAGAAAACCATGATTGAAAAATGCCTATCCTGACAGGCAGTTTGTTTCTGATACACCACTTGATTGAGGTTGTATCCCTGGCTTTACACAGAAGACTCAGAACTTCTATCTCAACATAACTTAAGGCTGAATATCCTCTTTCCAAAAGCATGTAAAAGCCAAGTCCTTGGCTACTAAGATTGAAAAATACCCCCAGGCAACTGCAAAATAAACTCTGACTGTTCTGGTTTTCATTTTCCTCTTGGTTTCTAACTTCCAGAGATTTCCTTATGTCTACATAGATGTGTGCTTATATGCATGTAGGCATTTATGTATGTATATATTCTTGCAAGATCAGTTAGACATTTAAATGGACATTTGTTATATTGTATCCAGCAATACAGAAGGGTTTTCAGGTTTTCTAATCTGCCACATTGACAGAAATTGAAGTCTGCTGGTCTATTTCACCTATTTTTTTTCTTTATGTTTTCTTCTTACTTCTAGTTTCAGCCTATTCAGAGCTTTGACTTTTCATGGTCCCTGCTAACAGCTACATTCTCTTTACCACATGAATACCATGCTTCATAGATTTCACTATTGACATGCCCAAGAGAAAGGAAGGTTTGTCCTAGCTAATGATGATTATTTCCTGCTTAAAAAGAGCTTTGCATAGCAGGCCATCATTATAGGCCACTGGTCAGACTGTAGATTGGCTGCCCCAGTGTTAGCGACTCACAAGTGGGTTCAATTAGCTATGATCACAACAGTGTGGCCATTCGTCTACAAAATGAATGCTATCTCAGCAGACTCTTCAGTGAGGCAATTCTCTTATATAGTGACTATCATTATGAAAGTAACCATGAGACAAGATGGCGCCAAAAGTGAAGAAGGAAGCTCCTGCCTCTGCAAAGCAGAAGCCAAAGCGAAGGCTTTAAGGGCCAAGAAGGCAGTGTTGAAAGGTGTCCACAGCCACATACACACAAAAAAAGATCGCACGTCACCCACATTCTGGCGGCCCAAGACACTGCGACTCCAGAGGCAGCAAAAATATCCTCAGAAAAGCATTCCCAGGAGAAACAAGCTTGATCACTATGCTATCATCAAGTTTCTGCTGACCACTGAGTCTGCCACGGAGAAGACAGACGACAACAACACACTTGTGTTCACTGTGGATGCTAAAGCCAACAAGCACCAGATCAAACAGGCTGTGAAGAAGCTCTATGACATTGATGTGGCCGAGGTCAACACCCTGTCAGCCTGATGGAGAGAAGAAGGCATACGTTCAACTGCCTCCTGATTACAATGCTTTGGATGTTGCCAACAAAATTGGGATCATCTAAACTGAATGCAGCTGGTTAATCCTAAATATATGTATATCTTTTCACTGTATACATGCCTCTCTGTCAATTTCTGGTTGGACTGAGAAGCCATATACAGGCACTGACGTTGTAACAGGACTCGGGCAAGATTCCTGTTCTACTTATCCTTTTGAAACACTCACCCTGCCACTCCACCATGCTTGATCACTCCAGAGATCTTTGTGACTAGAGTTAGTGTCCCAGGAAAACTAGAATTCAGAACTTGCCTTTATGGTTGAAGGTAACAAGAAGCTTTACAATAACCCCTTCTTTTATCCCTGGAAGAGGCTATGTGTGAAACCATTGCGCAGAGTTTGAAGGGCATTAGCATCCATTTCAGGGGAGTGTAGGTTGGCTGGCTTTTGGGTAGCATTTGTCCTCACACACCCATCTACTATGTCCAACCGGTCTGTCTGCTTCCCTCACCCCTTGCCCAATAAAGGACAAGGACTTCAAAAAAAAAAAAGTAACCTACATAGTGAATGAATGACCTACCTAGTGCCTTACCACCTGGAAAACCCAGGAACATTACTTACACACCAAAGAAGTGTCAGTATGATAAAACTGTGTATTCCCTTTCAACCTATTCCCACCTTATCCTTGAAGTTCTTCTTCCGGTCTTTCCCACATACACCCTAGTCTCCTTCCTCCCATTTTCATTTCAGCTTAGCCAAAGGCTCCCCTGGGTAGAATTTTTCTCACTCCAGTAGGTTCCTACGAATGGTATAATTATGTTGTCTTAAATTCCCAGATCCTAAAGCTTGAAACCATCTCTATAGATGGTCTCTAGATCTCAGAAACCATCTCTACAGAAAAATTGGAAACAGATTGCCATTAGGTGCTAGCTTCTAAGGCCAGATATCAGTATTTTTCAACCACAGTTTTCTGACATATTGGTTCCAACAATTGTGAGATAATTTTAAATATTTTGTTATTAACAATAAATGCATAATACTTATGAGGGATTTGCTTTTATTTCATAACTTCACTTGCATCATGATCATTTGCATTCTGAGTGAAAATTTTAAAATAAAATTATAAGTAGTGTATCAGTGAAATCTCTGTAATTGGAAACTACAGACATAAAATTCATTGGAAGGAAATCAAGGAGTGAAGAGGGGTCCAAAATGTATCAAAGGATGAAGAACAATGCTTCAGAATACACAGAAAGTAAGTCAGTTCCCAAAGCTCAGAAGCAGGAGCTCCCACCGTTGTCTCCCAGCTGGCAAAGGCTGCTGAGGACCCCGCTATCAGGAGGGAGGAAAGCTAACCATTAACATACTGCTTATTGTTCTACTCAAGATTCACATTCAAAAGCAGGGCAACTGATTGGTCTAGATTTGTCCTTGACTAGAAGACATCAAGCCTCTGATTATAGCAGTAAGGATGCTGTTTCAAAAAGGAAAATGAATGTTGAGCAGTGAAATAAAATAAAACATGACTGCCTACATAGCAGTTTCAGTAAGCAATGCTTGTCTGCTCTGTTTTCTTACTTAATGGGAAGAGCAGATGGAGAGTTACAAAACAGTAGGAACCAAGAGTTTTATACAAATTCTAAGCATCCTTTATATGAGCCCTAAGCATCACATTTTTTAGAAAAAGTCAGTGCTTTAAAAAAATTATGTATGTGATGAAGATAGCTCCTGATTCAAATACAGAAGCAAAACTAACAAGTATAATATATATGCTTTGTAAATATTCTTAAATCAGTAAATGCAAGCCTATCACTTGTTACAAAACAGAAAGGAAAATAAGTTCTCTACTCCCATCTCAACAGCCTCCTTTGTTTACCCCTGATTTCTGTGGAGGTTTTCAGGCCCTCCTCTCAGTTTCTTCATGCTCAGTGCTCATTGTGTGTGAGTCATGACAAGGCTCTCAGAAGCAGGGTTACCAGAGTGGGGCTGGCATCAGCGATCATTCCTGAAGTGCCAATGGGCATGATGTGCAGACAATTCCAGGCTCTTCCTTGCCTTCACAACTTTTGGTAACAGGTGCAGCAAATGAACTCCTGCCACCGTCTTCCTTAAATGCACACAAATAAAGCGTTACCATGTCTTGGATGTGAAGTGCTGCCTACTTCCATGAATCATATTTTGTGTTCCTGACTCTGCAACTGGGAATTAGTCATTTAGACTTAATTAGTTTCTTCAAAATTGCAAATGCCTGTGCCAATAATTTAATATCCAGATATTATTTATATAGCCATATAACATCTAGAAAAATGCCAATTTACACACTCAACCGATAACAACAAATATATATATTTTTTGCACTCTGCCGACAAAACCCCAAATGAACTCCGAGAGTCATGTGTTGAAACTGGCTGCTCTCCTACATTTGTAAGGGCAGTCAGAATTAAGGGCTGACTTTCAGCGATGCTGAATCCAACCAAGTGCTTGACAAGGCTCCATTGAAGGAAAATGCAAACGGAACAAATCATGCTTCAGACAACTTGTAAAGTTGTATTTAAATTTAATAATTTTATTAGATTTTGACTAAATGACAAAATTACATGACAGACATGTATTTTTTTAGGTACCTAAATCACAACTACTAGAGAAACAAGCATGCCACTAGAAATATAAATAACTCTTTGAATCTGATGCTCCGTTTTTCTACCACAAACACATGCTCAAGTGTGTAGAAATGGGTCTCATCCTTAGCTTTATTTTTTATGCATTTAATATTTGCAGAGACAAAAAAAGAGAAAATTTAATGTGTGGACTGTCCCTGAGATATTTCTTAAATTATTTGCAATCCTCACAAGAGTATCATAATCTATTTTGCTGAGGATGAGCAAAGCACATTTAAATTTCCAACTCAACCAACAACAATCTTTGAGTTTCTACTGTCATTTAAGTATATGTAACATCTCCGAAAGTGACTAGAGAATATTTTCTAGACACAAGGGTTTGTTGTTAATTTAATAAATATTCATTTAACATCTACTAATATGGATATAATCGCTAAACAAAATAAGCCTCATTACAATTTTTCAAAGTAGGAAATGCATGATTACCAGTTTTGACCATCAGAGTCTCTAATAATTGCTATTTAGTGAATACATGATACAAATATCAGTATATGATGATATATGGAGAAATTATTTAATTTGGTGCCTGCTGGAAAGGGCTAGTGACCTAGGTCATAACTTAACAGGAAATGATGAGCTGGGTTAATCCCAAGGGTTCCCACCCTTGGGAACTTGAATTAAGTAATATTGATCAAGTGAGGCAGTTAATGGTGAATATAAAATTGAAAGGGTGTGATAGAAGTGAACAGAGAAATCATGATAGGCCAAATTCAAGGAAGGGTCAAGTTCAAGAAGAATTGGAAAAGGATAAAATAGTTGCCAAAGAAAAGAGATAAAGTACCCAGTCCCAACAGCGAATTGGGTTACCGCTCCAATTTCAATGCATGTACTGCCTTGAAGTTCCTTTTGTTCTGTTACATTGCTTGGTACATGGCTTGAGCCTTTTTTCCTTAAAAAACAAACAAACAAACAAAAAAAGAGCCCAACTAAGGTATAGTCTATGCCTATTAATCCTGAGAATGGCTGCATAATGCAGCAGCTGTCTCTCCAAGAATGCTGGGTCTGCAGTTTCTCTGACAATTAAGTGTTCTTTGCACCATCAGCCATCTCCTGCTCTGGTGACAGAAGGTGAAAAGTTAAAGCCCTATTGGCACTAATAATATCTTCCTTTTCAGTTCCTGACGCAAATATCAGACATCTCACTTGAGTAAAAATGGACCCTACAGCACTTCTTGTGCAATGACTTTATATTTCTCTCTCGGGCAACAGGGCTAGAAAGTATGTCTTGTTAATTACTCTAGGCACTAATATATTTTTTAGTGCTGTGCTATATGCCTAAAATGTAAAGATAAACTAGCCCTGGTACTTACCTTCAAGGGGTTCGGGTCCACACTCTAATGGGAAAATTCACATGCAGCTAGTTGCAGAAGGAAATAATGAATGCTCAAGTCTTTGTTTATTTTTTTAATATGTTGTTCATCTTTTCCTAATTAATTTATGAGTTATTTATTTATTCTGAATATAATTGGAGTTCTTTGTTCCATGTGATCATTGTGAATACCTTCTTCTAATCTGTGACTTGTCTTGTATAGGAACAATGTTCTAACAGAGGAAGATTTCTGCCTAAAAGTATCAGAAAAGAATTCACTAATAGCATTGAACACCAAAATACATGTAGGATTTCATTAGGCAGAAAGTGGTAATGGACTTTTAAGATGAGACAATTCATAAGAATGAGTGATGGTATGGAGTTGAAAAAGTGTGAAGCTTAAGAAGTAGCAGACCTGGAACCCAAGACACATGTGTCAAGTGAAGCACAATGGAACCTTGGAGGCGGCGGTTGCAGTGAGCTGAGATCATGCTACTGCACTCCAGCCTGGGCAATAAAGTGAGACTTTGTCTGAAAAAAAAGGGCAGGGAGGTGGGTGGAGGAAATTAAACTGAAATAATAAAGGACATCCATTATGTGTCATGCAAAGAAAAAGAGGGAACCAGTGGAGATTTTTCTAAACATTCTTAGGTAGAATCCTCTGATCTTAGGTATAATGAATTTTGATATATAACAACCATTCCAATCAAGACATGCAATATTTGAAATACCCTATAAGGTACTTTCATGTCCCTTCTAAGTGGAGCCCTCCTCACCCTCGGAGGTAACTATCAATTAGTTCTGCCTATCTTGAACTTTATATAAATGACATTCAACAGTCTGCATTCTTTCGTATCTGGCTTTGTTCTATCAGCATAATATATTTGCAATCCATTAATGTAGTGTGAGCCAGTGGTTCATTCATTTTTACTGCTGTGTATACCTTACTTGTATGAATATATCACAATATATTTACCATTTGTCTTAGTCAGCTTGGGCTCCCATAAGAACATACCATATAGAACATTATTTTCTCACAGTTCTGGAGGCTGGAAAGTCCAAGAATAAGGTGCCAGCAGGACTGGTGTCTGCTGAGACCTCTCTCCTTGGGTTACAGATGGCCAGCTTCTCACTGTGTCCTTACTTGGCCTTTCCTTAGTGCCTATCTCTTTCTCTTCCTATCATGAATGCTGCATTCTCATGACCTCTTCAAAAACTAATTATGTCCCAAAGACTAAGTCTCCATATACCATCATATTGTGGGTTAGGGCTTCAGCATGAATTTTGAGAGGACACAATTCAGTCCGTAGCATCATTTTCCTCTCTCTGAAAATGTTGATTATTTCGTTTGGGGCTATTGTAAATAAAACTGCCATAAATATTTTTGTACAGATCATTATGTAGACATACACACTCATATCTTACATGTACATATCTAAGAGTGAGATTCCTAGGTCATTATCTTTAGCTTTAGAAGATAATGCAAAAACAGTTTTCTCAAGTGGTTGTAATAATCTTATTTCTCACAGCAATGTATAAGAATTTTACAAAATAAGAATTTTGATTTGTGTCTGTCCTAGCATTTAGCATTGGCAGTCCTTTTAGTTTAAGTAGAACTGGTACAACATAGTGATATTTCTTGTGTTTTAAATTTGTATTTCCCTGATGAGCAATGATATTAAATACTTTTGCAAATGCTGATTGGCCATTTGGATATCCTCTTTTCTGAAGGGTCTGTTCAAGTCTTTGCTTATTTTTTTAATATGTTGTTCATCTTTTACTTATGCTTTATTTACTTATTCTGAATATAATTGGAGTCCTTTGTTCCATGTAAGCATTGTGAATACCTTCGTCTAATCTGTGACTTCTCTTTTCACTCTTCCACGGGTGTCTTATTAACATGAGATCTTAATTTAAATGAAGTCAGATTTATCAAAATTTTTTTGTTTTATGGATGGTGCTTTACATGTCCTTCTTAAGAAATTTTTGCCTATGCCAAGGTCATGAACATATTTTCCTATAAAATTTACTTTATAAATTTTGTCTTATCATTCATATATTTAGGTCTATAATCCATCTCAAATTAATTTTTGTGTATGGTGTGAGATATGGATCAGAGATAGGGCTAAAGATTCATTTATTCTGTATGGATATCCAATTGTTATAGCATCATTTACTGTAAAGGCCATCATTTCCATATTGCAATGATGCACATCTTTCTGGAACGTAAGTGGCCATATTTGTGTGGGTTTACTTCTCGATTTTTATATTCTATTCCATTGAGTCTTTTGTTAGTTTTTTTTTAGTTGCACCTATATATACTATCTTGATAGTAAATCTTGAAGTACAGTAATATAAATCCACCAAATGTGTTTCTCTTCTTCAAAATTGTCTTGTACTTTCTAAGACTTTTGCAATTATGTATAATTCTAAAATCAAATTGACAATTTTCACATGCACAACACACACACACACATTGGGATTTCATTTGGAACAATGTTGATTCCATAGATCAGTTTGGGGAGAATTTAAATATTAACAATATTGAGCCTTCCAATTCTTGAAAGTGGTATGTCTTACCATTTGTTTAGGTCTCCTTTCATCTCTCAGCAGTGTTTTATAATTCTCAGTGTAGAGATAATATGCATCCTTCATTAAATCTATTCTTAACTATTTAATTTTTTGATGCTACTATGGAATTAATTAATTTTACAATTTTTTCCACTGTTTCTTGGTAATAATCAAAATAACTGATCTTTGTATGTTTATCTTGCATCTAACAATTGTATTAAATTTACTTATTTCTGTTACCTTGTTTGAAGATGCTTTTGGATTTGAATTGTACAATCATGTGATTTACCTATTTCTTATTTTTCAACTATTTTAACATTTTATTTATTTATTTTGTCTAACTGCAGTATTTACCATGGAAGGATTTTGAAGAGAAAAGTGACCTGGTTGCATTAGTATTTTAAAAGATATTCTGGTAAAGGTGTGGAATATATATAGAAGTGAGAAGTTAAGTCTGAGGAAATCTAATTAAGGAAACATATGTGGGAATCCAGAGATAGATGTATATCCAAGAAACTTTTCAGAAATATAATTGACAAGGGATGGCAATCAATTATAGAAACTTAGATCTCCCACCAGGGTGCCTAGCCATTACATGGTATAAGGGACATTTTAAAAAAATAAATGAACTAAATGTAGGTTGGGAACAGATAATACAGATGAACACATTTTGAAGATCTTTGATATCCAACTTAGATCCTATTTCCATATCTTACAAAACTAAACAAATAATTTTAACACCTACAGAGGTTAGGTATCTGCTTCACCTAGGGGAGAGAGGGCAGATAGCCCTGAGTAACCATGGTTTGAATTCTCTGACATGGCTAGGGAGTCTAAGTGTGGAATCCAATGAAAGCTGTTTTATAGGTTGACCAGTGGCCTGCAGCTGTATAGTGGCCTGATTAAAAAAAAAAAAAAAATGTGCCCCAAAATAGAAATAAGTTTGGACAGGCTGTTTTACTAATTAGAACCATAAAATATGAAGAGATTCAGGTTGTAGGAAGCAGAAGCAAAGCTCAGAGGAAGCCTATAGACATTTAATAGAAAGAGTAAAAGCCATGAAGAAACCGTAGTCAAAACTTTTGGATTAGCCAAAACTTTTGGATTAGCCAAAGTTTTAAGGTAAAATAAAGCTAAGAGGAAAAGAAAAGATCTAGGGACAAAGACAAGTAGCAAGAAGTATTTAAAAGGAAATTCAACAAATATAAGGGGACATCAAAAAATTTGTGGGAAAATGGAATTAAAAGGTAAAAATAAAAACTATAAACTTTGTTTCTCAACATAAACTTTATCAAGTTCAACATATTTTGTAATCAATGATACCAGCCATTTAGTCCATTCCTAAAGGACTGAGGGTCTTGGGAATTTAACCATGTCAATGCAGTCTTTTTTACATTATTAACTGAAAAAAAAAATGAGTGCCTTTTACAACTTTTTAAAGATTAGGAAACAAAAAGAAGTCAAAAGGGATCAAATCAGAACGATGAGTTGTATGCCTAATAATTTTTCATTGAAACTCTCACAAAATTGTCCGTTTTTGAGGAGAGGAATAAGCAGGAGCATTGTCATGGTGGAGAAGGATTCTGGTGAAGATTTCCTGAATGTTTTTCAAATAAAGCTTTGGCTAACTTTCTCATAATAAGCAGATATCATCCTTCTTTGGCCCTCCAGAAAGCCAACAGGCAAAATGGCTTGAGCATCCCAAAGAACTCTTGCCATGACCTTTGCTCTTGACTGGCTCACTTTTGCAGTGACTGGACCACGTCCACCTCTTGGTAGCCATTGCTCTGATTGTGCTTTGTCTTCAGAATTGTACTGGTAAAACCATGTTTCATTTCCTGTTACAATACTTTGAAGAAATGCTCAAGGATCTTGATGCTACTTGTTTAAAAATTCCATTGAAATTTTAACCAATTGAGATGTCTACAGTGTTGGCTATTGTTTCTGCTGTTAATCATCAGTCCTCTTTAGAGCATGAACAAGATAAATTTTTTTCCTCACAAACTGATGTGGACGGTCTGCCACTGCAGGCTTTGTCATTAACATTGTCTCACACCTTCTTAAAATGAATTATACATTTGTATACTTCTGATTTCCTTGGGGCACTGTTCCCATAAATTTTTCATTAAGCACCAGTGATTTCACCATTTGCCCAACCAAGTTTCACCATAAATTTGATGTTTGTTCTTGCTCTAGTTTTAGCAGAATTCACGTTGCTCTATTACGGGTTCTTTTCAAACCAACATCTTATCCTTCTTAGTGACTCAAACTAGATCCTGTTTATACATGTTATAACAAGTTAGTACAAGTTTATTTGGGTGCAAGAGTTTTTGAAATCTATGCATAGTATTTTCAGAATACCCATTTTGCATGAAATTTATGAAGATCCATCATATTTGAGTACTTACCATGTTCCAGGCATGTTTTTGGATTCTGCAGATAAAGCAGCAAAAAAAACATTAAAAAAAAAATAAAAACCTGCCCTCATGGAAAGACTTTACGTTAGTGTGAAAAGAACAATAGAATAAATTAGGAAATATATAGCATATCAGAAGGGGTAAGTTTCATGGAGAAAAGTAAAGCAGGAAAGAGAAATTATGTGTGTTTCATGGAGAGGACTATTTTAAAATAGGGTAAAGAAAAGTGTAACTAAAATGACAATATCTGCAAAGACCTGAAGGATGCGACAGAACCAACACTGCAAATATCTGAGAGAACAGTGTGCCAGGCCAGGAGAACAGGCCCAGGGTAGCCATGTAAGAGTCTGCCTTGAGAAAGGGGCACCTTTTCCTGAGTCTCACAAAGACAACCTTTAGGCTAATGGAAGTCCTGGAAGCAGCCACTACAAAAGCTCTGAGTTAGGAGCACATTTGGCATGTTCAGGGAACACCAGAGAAGACAAGAAAGGCTGGGATGGATTAAGCCAAGAAGAGTGTAGGAGGAAGAGAAGTCAGATGTATTAGTGGCCATGAAAATACACCCCTCAGATCTCTGCCTTCCAGGAGGTAATTGACTGATGGCCCCAGTTGCTACATTCTAGAATCCATTACTGTGTTTTTGCCAAGGCCAATATTCCCACAGGGTGCTCCCCAGCCAATAACTGGGTGCAGCAGAAATACTAAGGCAGGCCAATCCTTGAGCAATTTTGGACTTCACTTATGGCTGACTTCAGCTACAGGACTCCCTGATGGTTGGGCACTGCAATCTAAGAGGCTCCCACCCAACCCTGCTTCCTCTCTTCTTTCCTTCACCCGAGGACTGACTTGCATTACAGTCTTGATGGCTCTCCCACCTTCATCTGGCTCCCTTCCTGTTTTTCCTCACAGGTGTGTGTGAAGGTGCACTTTAAACAGATTGATCACTCCCAGATACACAGTGTCATTGGTTGGCTGATGCAATGTATCACCAATTCCCATGATCTGCCCCATCAATTAATTAACTAACCTATGACACTAGCATCTGCTGGAGTCAAGTCCAAGTTCACTCCCCTGTTTTGTACAGTGCACATGTAAGTACTTGTTACTCACTTTGGGGATCCAGTCCGTTTAGCCAAGTCAGTGTCCAAGCTTCCTTCCCCCGCCATCTTTTTCTAGTCCCCATTTACCTTGCATCCCATCCCAGCTAGACTCTATGGTTGGGCTTCTGGGATGCAACACAAATTCACCCCAGTTACAATGGCAACACAATAAACTTTCTTGTTCTTGTGGTCATAAGTTTAGTAGAAAATCCTCTCGTAGTAGTCAGATTTTCTACTTAAAATAGTAATCCCAGCTACTCAGGAGGCTGAGGCAGGAGAAACGCTTGAACCAGGAGGCAGAGGTTGCAGTGAGCTGAGATTGTGCCACTGCACTCCCGCCTGGGCAACTGAGCAAGATTCCGTCTCAAAAAAATAAAAATAAAAATATAAAGTAGTATTCCCAGAGGAGAAATTCACTTCCACTAGAAAAACTCACAAGAGGTCGATGTTTATTAGAGGTCCCTCATGGCCTGTGGGTTTTTCTTGGGAAGTTGGTCAGCTCTCCTTTCATCGGGACAGCCACAAAATTGGCAGAATTATGATGATATTGTAAGTCTATGTGAGTTAGACATAAATAAGCCATTTAATTTCATCTCTTGTAACTTTGGTCTTTCTCCATGTGCTCCAGTCACAGGGCATCAACTGTGCCTCTCCAATCAGGCTGCTCCTCTCACCTGGACAGTGAAATGGACAGAAGGTAGTAACTCTTAGTGGCTTTGTTCCTTTGCATTATTCTTCTACTCTAGTTCCTTTTCACACATGGAAAGAAATGAGAAGCTGCTATGTTCATAAAACCTCAGAAGTTTCAGGCAAATATGATTTTGAATAAAATATGTCAACATATTTTTATATTTTTAAAAAGTTAAACTCTCCTCCTTTTTTCTTAATATAGTTGACATCTCCAAAGAAATGATAGCAGAGACATAGCTTGGAAATAAAAGTCCCGGGGGGGGTCCATTTCAAGATGGCCAAATAGGAACAGCTCCACTCAGCAGCTCCCAGCGTGATCAATGCAGAAGATGGGTGATTTCTGCATTTCCAACTGAGGTACCTGGTTCATCTCACTGGGACTGGTTGGACAGTGGGTGCAGCCCACAGAGGGCAAGCTGAAGCAGGGCGGAGCACTGCCTCACCCGGGAAGTGCAAGGGGTTGGGGGATTTCTCTTTCCTAGCCAAGGGAAGCCATGACAGGCTGTACCTGGAAAAACAGGGCACTCCCAACCAAATACTGAACTTTTCCAATGGTCTTAGCAAACAGCACACCAGGAGATTATATCCTGCACATGGCTTGGCAAGTCCCATGCCCACGGAGCCTTGCTCCCTGCTAGTGCAGCAGTCTGAGATCGATCTGCGAGGCAGCAGCCTGGCATGGGGAGGGGCATCCGCCATTGCTGAGCAGGGGTTCCAATCCTAGTCTCTGATAAAACTGACTTTAAAACAACAAAGATCAAAAGAGACAAAGAAGGCCATTATATAATGGTAAAGGGATGAATTCAACAATCAGTAATAACAAACTTCTTTGAGCTAAAGGAGGATTTTGAACTCATTGCAAAGAAGCTAAAAACCTTGAAAAAAGATAAGACGAATGGCTAATCAGAATAAACAGCGTAGAGAAGATATTAAGTGACCTGATGGAGCTGAAAACCATGGCATGAGAACTACGTGATGCATGCACAAGCTTCAACAGCCGATTCGATCAAGTGGAAGAAAGGGTATCAGTGATTGAAGATCAAATGAATGAAATGAAGTGAGAAGAGAAGTTTAGAGAAAAAAGTAAAAAGAAACAAACAAAGCCTCCAAGAAATATGGGACTACGTGAAAAGACCAAATCTACTTCTGATTGGTGTACCTGAAAGTGACGGGGAGAATGGAACCAAGTTGGAAAACACTCTTCAGGATATTATCCATGAGAACTTCCCCAACCTAGTGAGGCAGTCCAACATTCAAATTCAGGAAATACAGAGAATGCCACAAAGATACTCCTCGAGAAGAGCAACTCCAAGACACATAATTGTCAGATTCACCAAAGTTGAAATGAAGGAAAAAATATTAAGGGCAGCCAGAGAGAAAGGTCGGGCTACCCACAAAGGGAAGCCCATCAGACTAACAGCAGATCACTTGGCAGAAACTCTACAAGCCAGAAGGGAGTGGGGGTCATATTCAACATTTTTAAAGAAAAGAATTTTTAACCCAGAATTTCATATCCGGCCAAACTAAGCTTCATAAGTGAAGGAGAAATAAAATCCTTTACAGACAAACAAATGCTGAGAGATTTTGTCATCACCAAGCCTGCCTTACAAGAGCTGCTGAAGGAAGCATTAAACATGGAAAGGAACAACCAGTACCAGCCACTGCAAAAACATACCAAATTGTAAAGACCATCAAGGCTAGGAAGAAACTGCACCAACTAATGAGCAAAATAACCAGCTAACACCATAATGACAGGATTAAATTCACACGTAACAATATTAACCTTAAATGTAAATGGGAAAAATGCTCCAATTAAATGACAGAGACTGACAAATTGGATAAAGAGTCAAGACCCATCAGTGTGCTGTATTCAGGAAACCCATCTCACATGCAGAGACACACATAGGCTCAAAATAAAGGGATGGAGGAAGATCTACCAAGCAAATGGAAAACAAAAAAAAGCAAGGGTTGCAATCCTAGTCTCTGATAAAACAGACTTTAAACCAACAAAGATCAAAAGAGACAAAGAAGGCCATTACATAATGGCAAAGGGATCAACGCAACAAGAAGAGCTAACTGTCCTAAATATATATGCACCCAATACAGGAGCACCCAGATTCATAAAGCAAGTCCTTAGAGACCTACAAAGAGACTTAGACTCCCACACAATAATAATGGGAGGCTTTAACACCCCACTGTCATCATTAGACAGTTCAACGAGACAGAAAGTTAACAAGGATATCCAGGAACTGAACTCAGCTCTGCAGCAAGCAGACCTAATAGACATCTACAGAACTCTCCACCCCAAATCAACAGAATATACATTCTTCTCAGCACCACATCGCACTTATTCCAAGATTGACCACATAGTTGGAAGTAAAGCACTCCTCAGCAAATGTAAAAGAATAGAAATCACAACAAACTGTCTCTCAGACCACAGCACAATCAAATTATAACTCAGAATTAAGAAACTCACTCAAAACTGCACAACTACATGGAAACGGAACAACCTGCTCCTGAATGACTACTGTGTAAATAACAAAATGAAGGCAGAATTAAAGATCTTTGAAACCAATGACAAAAAAGACACAACGTACCAGAATGTCTGGGACACATTTAAAGCAGGGTGTAGCAGGAAATTTATAGCACTAAATGACGACAAAAGAAAGCAGGAAAGATCTAAAATCGACACCCTAACATCACAATTAAAACAACTAGAGAAGCAAGAGCAAACACATTCAAACCCTAGCAGAAAGCAGGAAATAACTAAGATCAGAGCAGAACTGAAGGAGATAGAGACACAAAAAAACCCTTCAAAAAATCAATGAATCCAGGAGCTGGTTTTTTGAAAAGATCAACAAAATTGATCGACTGCTAGCAAGACTAGACTAATAAAGAAGAAAAGGGAGAATAATTAAATAGATGCAATAAAAAATGATAAAGGGGATATCACCACCAATCCCACAGAAATACAAACTACCGTCAGAGAATACTATAAACTCCTCTATGCAAATAAACTAGAAAATCTAGAGCAATGGATGAATTCCTGGACACATACACCCTCCCAAGATAAGCCAGGAAGATGTTGAATCTCTGAATAGACCAATAACAGGCTCTGAAATTGAGGCAATAATTAATAACCTACCAATCAAAAGAAGTCCAGAACCAGACTGATTCACAGCCAAATTCTACCAGAGGTAGAAAGAGGAGCTGGTATCATTCCTTCTGGAACTATTCCAATCAATAGAAAGAGAGAGAATCCTCCCTAACTCATTTTATGAGGCCAGCATCATCCTCATACCATAGTCTGGTAGAGACACACCAAAAAAAGAGAATTTTAGACCAATATCCCTGACGAACATCGATGCAAAAATCCTCAATAAAATACTGGCAAACCGAATCCAGCAGCACATCAAAAAGCTTATCCACCACGATCAAGTCGGCTTCATCCCTGGGATCCAAGGCTGGTTCAACATACGCAAATCAATAAACATAATCCATCACATAAACAGAACCAAAGACAAAAACCACATGATTATCAAATATAGATGCAGAAAAGGCCTTCAGCAAAATTCAACAGCCCTTCATGTTAAAAACTCTCGATAAACTAGGTTATTGATGGAACATATCTCAAAATAATAAGAGCTATTTATGACAAACCCACAGCCAACATCATACTGAAAGGGGAAAAAATGGAAGCATTCCCTTTGAAAACTAGCCCTCTCTCACCACTCCTATTCAACATAGTGTTGGAAGTTCTGGAAATCAGGCAAGAGAAAGAAATAAAAGGTATTCAATTAGGAAAAGAGGAGGTCAAATTGTCCCTCTTTGCAGATGACATGATTGTATATTTAGAAAACCCCATAGTCTCAGCCCAAAATCTCCTTAAGCTGATAAGCAACTTCAGCAAAGTCTCAGGATACAAAATCAATGTGCAAAAATTGCAAGCATTCCTATAGACCAATAACAGACAAACAGAGAGCCAAATCATGAGTGAACTCTCATTCACAATTGCTGCAAAGAGAATAAAATACCTAGGAATCCAACTTATAGGGGATGTGAAGGACCTCTTCAAGGAGAACTACAAACCACTGCTCAATGAAATAAAAGAGGATACAAACAAATGGAAGAACATTCCATGCTCATGGAGAGGAAGAATCAATATTGTGAAAATGGCCATACTGCCCAAGATGATTTATACATTCAATGCCATCCCCATCAAGCTACCAATGACTTCCTTCACAGAACTGGAAAAAAACTACTTTAAAGTTCATATGGAACCAAAAAAGAGCCCACATTGCCAAGACAATCCTAAGCTAAAAGAACAAAGCTGGAGGCATCACCCTACCTGACTTCAAACTATACTACAAGGTTACAGTAACCAAAACAGCATGGTACTGTTACCAAAACAGAGATATGGACCAATAGAACAGAACAGAGGCCTCAGAAATAAGACCACACATCTACAACCATCTGATATTTGACAAACCATCTGAGATTTGACAAAAACAAGAAATGGGGAAAGGATTTCCTATTTAATAAATGGTGCTGGGAAAACTGGCTAACCACATGTAGAAAGCTGAAACTTTATCCCTTCCTTACACGTTACACAAAAATTAATTCAAGATGGATTAAAGACTTAAATGTTAAACACAAAACCATAAAAACCCTAGAAGAAAACCTAAGCAATACCATTCAGGACACAGGCATGGGCAAGGACTTCATGACTAAAATAACAAAAGCAATGGCAACAAAAGCCAAAATTGACAAATGGGATCTAATTAAACTAAAGAGCTTCTGCAAAGCAAAAGAAACTACCATCAGAGTGAACAGGCAACCTACAGAATGGGAGAACATTTTTGCAATCTACCCACCTGACAAGGGGCTAATATCCAGAATCTACAAAGAACTTAAATTTACAAGAAAAAAACCAACAATCCCATCAAAAAGTGGGCAAAGGATATGAAGAGACACTTCTCAAAAGAACACATTTATGCAGCCAACATGAAAAATACTCATCATCACTGGTCATCAGAGAAATGCAAATCAAAACCACAATGAGGTACCATCTCACACCAGTTAGAATGGTGATCATTAGAAAGTCAGGAAACAACAGATGCTGGAGGGGATGTGGAGAAATCGGAATGCTTTTACACCGTTGGTGGGAGTGTAAACTAGTTCAACCATTGTGGAAGACAGTGTAGTGATTCCTCAGGGATCTAGAACAAGAAATACCATTTGACCCAGTGATCCCATTACTGGGTATATACCCAAAGGATTATAAATCATGTTACTATAAAGACACATGCACACATAAGTTTATTGTGGCACTATGCACAATATCAAAGACTTGGAAAAAACCCAAATGTCCATCAATGATAGACTGGATTAAGAAAATGTGGCACATATACACCATGGAATACTATGCAGCCGTAAGAAAGATGAGTTCATGTCCTTTGCAGGGACGTGGATGAAGGTGGAAACCATCATTCTGAGCAAACTATCACAAGGACAGAAAACCAAACACTGCATGTTCTCACTCATAGGTGGGAATTGAACAATGAGAACACATGGACACAGGGCAGGGAACATCACACACCGGGGCCTGTCGTGGGGTGGGGGGCTGGGAGAGGGATAGCATTAGGAGAAATACCTAATGTAAATGACGAGTTAATGGGTGCAGCACACCAACATAGCACATGTATACCTATGTAACAAACCTGCACGTTGTGCACATGTACCCTAGAACTTAAAGTATAATTAAAAATAAAAAAGAAGAAAAGAAAAGAAAACGTTTCAGAAAAAAAAAAAGAAAGAAAACAAAAGTCCCAATGTAAACCAAGTTTAGAAAAAAATGAGATGGGAAAATACTCAAGTTGGCTCACCTTTGGTAAACAGCAAACTGTAATTTTGGAAGCGAGAAAAATATCTCACAGAAAACTCATTTTAAAATTTGTGATGACTCTTTCTCTCCTAGAAAAGCAAACACATTCACAACTATTTTAGTGTAAGCAAATTCAAAACTTACAAATTCCTCCCAATTTATAAAAGTTTTTAAAGTTAGAAAGAAAATTATCAGTCCCAATAGAATTGGCCAAAATAAAAATATATAGAAAGATTTGGAGGGAGTCAGGAAACCAAAACAATTCCAATTTTACCAACGTGCATCATTAAAGCCCAACCCTGCTGCCCTTGTTAGTGACACTGTAGGTGGACACTGGGGTAGAAGACAAAGGTTCTTGTCAATTCTTGGCATCATGGTACGGCGACCACAGGGAGTGAGAACTGTAGTGAGGAAAAACAATTAGCCTTGTTCTTGGTGTCCTCAATTTGTAGGATCAAGATCAAATGTTGGAAGCTACAATGAGATGGATTTCACACTGGTAAAAGTAATATTTTCAGATGTTCAGAGGTTTCCAAACAGAGTAAGCTTCCTGGTTCAGCAGTGGGATTTTCATCTTTGGTTTGTCAGAGGCCAAGCAACTATTATACTTCACAGATGGTTGTAAAAAAGTATTTCCCAAGCTTTAGTCATTTAAAGACTTATATCATGAGTTTCTATTTATGTCTTGATTTTTTTAATTAAAATGATACCTTCTTTGCTTAAATACATTAATGTTGAAAGCAGTAATATCTTTCATATTAAAGGTTTGATGTCTTGATATTATCCTTTTTTCCAAAATTCTTTAAAATAAGCACATAATGTAAAACATTCACTCATGATCCATCTAAAGTCACCTCATGTACCACCAGTGCTACACATTTCCACTTTAGGAAACCTGTTATAAAAGACACTTAAGCAGAGAGGGGCCTTTAATATCCTTTTCCCTCTGAGATCTATGATTCTAAATAGTTGATAGTTGCTGAAGTGTGACTTTTTTCTTTTGTGCTGCTCAGCATAGAGGAATCATTACAGTCACATAGAAACTTCAGCATCAATAGACTTTTATCATTTCAAAAAAGTGCTTTCACTTTTATTATCTTATTTTACCTACTGAGTTCTGCACAGATATACTAGGGATGAGAAAATAAAAGCACATAAATTTGCATTAAGCCTAACATCACACAACTAGTTCATGGATAAACTAGGTCTACAGGTCAACTCTTACTCTGATGCTCTTTTTATTAAAATAAATTCATCTTTAGTGAAGAGAATTAGTTAAACCATTTGCTGTTTTATACAGCCTTTGATAAAAATATTTTTCTAAATTAGTTTTCCTTTATTTCCCCAAATGGGAAAACCATGGCTCAAATAGCAAAGAAATCTCTGAAAAGAAAAAAGGTTTTCTTGAATACTTCATCTTTACACATTCATATGAAAACAGAAAGAATAGAAAATGTTATTTCACTTAAAATAATTATCATGGTAATAAAATTCAAATGTTTGAAGGAGGAATTTGGGTAATGCCACATTTTTTTCAAATAATTGTTCTTGAAATTGTTTTGAATGTCCTTCTGATATTCCAATAAATCAATTAAGCAACTTGTATTTTTTGAAGACCACATTTATGCTCAGCACTAGGATAGATTCTGTGGAAGTTTAGGTAAATGTATAAATCAGTGTGTCAGCAGCAAGCTTATAATCAAGTTAATAAAACAAATCTAATACTAATGGAAGAAATAGCAAATAGTTTATTTGATGGAAAAACCATAACTCTAGTGGATCTTTTATACCTTTCAATAAGACACTTATCCTCTCTGAGTTCTTTCGTTTGTAAAATAAGAGGGCTGACTTTGTTCTCCTCAATTTCTGAAATTCTATGTCTTAGGGTGGATAAAATTAAATAAAATAAGAAAATCACTAAAGAAATGGGTAAAATGCAAAAGAGATCAATTTGATAGTCATTAAATACATTTTGCAAAGCACTGCTTGAAGTGATATCAATATTTAAAATGTAATTCAACTATAAGGATAAGTTAAAATTGTAGTGGATTAGTTAACAAAAAATTCTTAAGCAGCTATTCATACCATGCACTGTTGTCATAGCTGCTGGTGATTCAGGCAAGACTGCCTGTCTATAATGGAGCTTATAGTCTAGGATTGGGGTGGGAAGCACCAAAGACTAAACATTAGTTCAGGTATAGGTAAGTGCTACTAAGAAAGCATGCACAGTAACTTGATAGAGTCTAGCTAGGGCAAGTGCAGAAGGAATTGCTATAGATCATTGTTATGGAGCCCTTCTAAAAAGGTGACTTCTGAGTAGAAAGCTCCTCAAATGATTAGAAGAGGTCATGCAAAGATTTTGAGAAAAAGAGTTTTACAAGGAGCCAAGAACAAAGGCCAAATGTCTAAGCAAGGAGCAACCTAAGTATTTCTTAAAATAAAATAGAGCAAAAACTATAGGAACAGCCAAGAAGGTTGGAGGATGCTGAAGTAAAAATGTTGATAACACCTTGTGGTCCATGGCCATGATTTTGGATTGTATTGAAGGCATGTAAGCAAGAATCAAGTCATTCCTGGGAGTTTTCATCGGATTTTGGGTGAACTACCTATTAACAACCACAGGATCATCAACGACTTCTGATTTCTTCCTGAAGTTCCTTTATCAAGGGCAAATTCATCTTTGCTCTGGTTGTTCTCTTACTCCTTCTTCTGCCCATAGACATCAGTGCTTTCTTTCTAGTAGCCTTCTTGTTAGAATCTAAAATCATCTATGCCACTGTTTCACACTTAATGGTCCACAGGATGATCTCACACATTCTCTGGTCTGACAAACTTCAGGAGTGCAAATCTAAACAGAGCTACCTCATCTTGGCTCCACAATTAAAGTAGCTAGCCCAACCATCACTCATCTTTCAGAATTTTTTTTTTTTAGATCCAAATACTGACCCAATGCTGGGGTCAGAGAGGGTCTTATTAAAGCCCTTTCCTTTTGAATTAAGGTGAAAGAAGACTCACAGCATATCACTTCCTCTCTTAATATCCTGTCTAACCTTTACTCTTTCTACCTTCTATGTGGGTGACAGATTGAAAAGATCTAGTTTTTGCCCATAGTCTTTGAAAATTTGATGTTATTCAAGCTTCTAAATCATATTGTCAGTTTACTAGAAACGCAGAGGGACATACTAAACAAGAATGCAATCAGTAAAATCCAGAATGTGAAAAACTACAGGACAAACAACCCAGTTTTTTCAACAAATTAATGACAAGGGCAAAAAATAAGGAGGGGAAAGAAATCTATAAATTAAAAGAAACTGAAGAGACACACCAACCAAATATGAGTCATGGACTTTGTTTAGATCCTAAGTCAAACATGCTAACTATAAAAAAGTTATGAGACAATCAGGGAAATGTGAACACTGCTGGATATATGATGATATTAAGGAAACACAGTTAAACTTTTCAGAGGAATAATGGTATTTTGGCTATGTTTAACATTGAAGTTTTCTTATCTTTTAGCAATACATACTAAGATATTTACAGATGAGGTGATATGATGTCTGGAATTTGTTTTAAAACAATCCGCTAGCGGATGGAGAAGCATAGAGATAAAATAAGACTGGTTATGTGTTGAAGCCCAGTGATGAGTACAAAGGGATTCATTCTACTATTCAACATACTTGTGTAAGTACTCGAAATTTTCCATGAAAATAAAAAAGAAAACTGCTTCATGGTCTCATCACTTTCTTTGAATTGTGGCATTGATTGTCTTGATGCCTCCATTGAAATATCTATTTAAGATTTTTCATATGATGTGTTACCTGTACCTATATGGCCAATTCGTGGGCTGCCTTGTAGGCTGCTCACTTCTACCATACAGTATTGCTTCTCCTTGGAAACTCACCTTCGACAACTGGTCTACTTTCTCCCCGACCCCTTCAAAACAGTGTTGGACAGTCATACCATAATGGAATCAGCATGATATGGAAAGGAACTCCCCGGATTTTTGGTCTATAAATCACTTTCTTCTACTATAGTAATTCTGAGATTGAAAAAGTTCTATCATGAAGTTCTGTGTAGGAGACAGCTATGGTTCTTATCAGTCTCAAGGGAGTGACTCCATTTTGAGACCAGACACTTTAAATTACATCCATTGATGCCTCCACTTTATAGCCCTTTAACATAATATTTTAATGTAGATGATTTATGAAATATCAGTTGCACCTCTGGAGTACGCTGGAATTAAATGCCATTTAGAGTCTTTTCCTATGATGACATTATGTCACTCTAGACCCTTTCTCTGTAAAATCATTTCTCTTTTTTAGTATCTGCTGTAAATTTTATGATTGATTGCAGATATTTGTCTGCAGGGCTCAAAGTCCTTACACTTCTTTCTTGTGTTGCATTCCTCATTAGGTCACCCAAAAAAAACAGTGCCAAAAGCCGTTATGAAGACAGACATTTAAAGGAATTTTAGGGTGAAGCTCATGAAAAGCAAATGAAAAGAAGGAGCTACATAATATGCTCTGCTTAGTGTTTCACTTTCTCTAAACTCAAATAGTCTTCTTTTTACAAAACAGGTAAAAGAGAGGGCAAATTAAACTTTCTCACCACTATTAAACATTACAAGTTACAGATGTATTTCAACTAGGCATCATTAATATGTCACAAATTATTTAAATTATCTTTCCCTTCTCAGCAATGGCAAGGAAATCACATACATACACACACACAGATACACACACACACAGTCCCAAAATGATAGTGAATTCATATCACTAAGTAGAATTCCCCAATATCCTCATTGTATTTCTTTGCACACTAAAATAATGTGTTTGTGGACATGAAGAATAGACAAGGAGCTATAATCTCATTTAACCAGAATATGTAGATACTTACAACTTAATCTCTTATTAGCAATTGGGAAAAAAGATCAAAGGTTGGCACTGATATATTCGCCAGCTAAAAGAAGGACACAGAACAGGTCATTAAAATTATAGACAAAGTTTGAAAATATAATAAAACTCGCTACCCAAATTCCATTTATAAGGAGCAAATTCATTGGATTAAGTAAAATCTTAATGTGATGAGTGAGAACAATAAACCAAATTAGCCTGGTAATACTTTTCATAGAATTGCAAATCTAAAAAATCAGCAGAGGAAAATAGGTCTGATTAGTGGACTCTGAAGAACAATGATTTAAGTGTGTCCTCTAAAGGCATTGAGATACCTGGGATAAGTAGTTTTGCAAATTATGAAGGAGCAGACATCTGAGAGGGTGCCTGACCAAGGAATAACTACTAATGCTAGAATATCAGCCAGAAGGGGAGAAAAAGAGCACATGTAACAAATGCAATTGAGCAAAAAATAGAGATTACCTTCAGGGACTCACATTTTTATGGATTGCTTAGACTTTCAAATGATACTATTATAACATTAAATGAATGACTAGCTCTTCATAATAACTATATTTACAGTGCTCATTATGTATTAGAAATTGCTGTAAGCACTGCACCAATTTTGTAATCTTCACAATAATCCTATGTAAAGGTATTGTTATTATGCCTCATATTACTTGTGATAAACTGAGGCATGAAGAAGTTAGTTAACTTGCCTCAGGGAATGGTTGAGGTACAGCTACCATTCCTTACTACCCCTTGCCTTTGAAAAGACAAGACGAACTTACATTAAATAATTAGAGGGCAATTATAAATACATTCCAAAAGCTATATGTGCGTAACAAGAAAATGTTGAGAACGGATATGCATACATTAGAGAAGGGGCTTGGTAAAGGAGTGAAAAAAATCATAATATGTAATTAGGATAATTATAAAATAAAGTACTTTCACATTTGTCATCTGATTCAGGGGAGAAATAAAACAACCTGCATAAAGATGGTAGAGAAAAGAGATATGATAGACCACAGTCTCAACCTGAGTTAGCAAAATAAATTAAAATAAATGAAAAATGTATACATAGCACCCCAAGAGGTAAGAACCATGAGAATATACCACCATCACACTTAGTCAATTTATTTTTTGCCACCATGTGATCTCTGGATACAGCATCTGGAGCTCAAAAATGCTGGTAAATGGCCAGCACGGTGGCTCACGCCTGTAATCCCAGCATTTTGTGAGGCCGAGGCAGGAGGATCACCTGAGGTCAGGAGTTCGAGACCAGCCTGGCCAACATGGTGAAACCCCATCTCTACTAAAAATACAAAAATTAGCCAGGCGGGGTGGTGCACACCTGTAATCCCAGCTTCTTAGGAGGCTGAGGCAGGAGAATCCCTTGAGTCTGGGAGATGGAGGTTGCAGTAAAAATTTTCATTTTTACGATAAAAGATCTATTTTTTTTCCTTGCTGTGGTCCAAAATCAGTATTAAAGTAGATAAGGTAAGCCCCGAAGGATGCAAAGGATAGGCCAGCTGTAGCCAGGGCTGTGTTGGGAAACACAGGTTAGAAAACCTGCGGCGATAATGATCCCATTCATTATCTGACAGGAGAGAATCAGGGCCAGCTAGTGTTCCCTAGCGTGAACTTTTTTCTATCCAAAGTTCTCTTCAAAGTAGTCTGCATAGTGGAAAGTTGTGAAGAATATTTTATGGCTGATGTTAAAAGCTTACTTTAAAAAAAAGTTTAATGAAGGAAAGAATGAAATGTTGTTTTTAAAAAGATAGGATCTAGTTTAGATTTAGGAAAAATTTCTTGGCTATAAAAGCTTTCAATCTCTGTAATAGCATAGCAACGTAAATTATGAACTCACCTTCTCTTAGCATTTTTATGGCTGAAAGAGAAAATGATATTGCTGGCCTGCCTGGAATAGGAACATGGACTAAATAATTTCAAGGATTCCTTCTTGCTGGTTGATTTTGGGATAACTTCAGGGAAGAACAGACTCAGTCTACTGTTAGGTTTTTGGCTTAGTCTCAAGTGACTGCAAAGGTTTAAAAAGATCTGAATGAAAACATTCAGATGCATGAAGTCATTATGATATCTTAAATATACTTACGTCAAAATCCTTGAGGATGTGAAAATATGTTTCTACTGACCTTCTTGTATCTAGTATCTGCTGGTCCTCAGCAAATTTAGCTCTGGTGTATCCCTAGCACTGAGGCAGAGGTTTCAAATTACTGATGAGGTCTTCTGCCTCTTTAAAGGTGGTATTAAGAGTACCTAGGAGTTCTGAGCAATATCGTCCCTTTTTAGATCTGTCCATTCATCATGATCCCGTGCCAGAATTTGTTAGGTAAACATGATTGACAGACAGCCATCTTTATCCTTTATATGGCTGGAGGTCAGGCCTGGTGGAAAGTAATGCTTTTTTAATTAGCTGTTAGAGGATTGAGTTTCCTTTGTGTGGATTGCATGCTGCTGCTCTCTCTCTCTCTCTCTCTGAACTGGTATCCAAAGTGGGTATCTCTTATGTCTTACATGCTCAGTATAACTCAGATGACTGAAGAATAGTCATAAAAGATTCATATTGGAGCTGTTTTATAAAAATTTTCACAGCTGGCAAAAAAATAGAGAAAGAAAACATACTTGAAATAACAGAGTTCTCAGGAAAACGAGAGATCTTTTTAAAGGCTATCTCGGTAAATAGTAGCTGCAAAGAGAAAACTGTTTTGTTGCAATTCTTTGGCTGCAAAAATAAAATAAACATAATTTTTAACCCTAATGTGCAAAATATAATTTCCTCCTAGGAATTGGTCCTTCCATTTAAAGGTAAAACGAACCCCTGAAACAGTTCTGGTTTGGCAGAGTTTGCAAAAAAAAAAAAAAAAAAAAAATCAAAGCAAGCATCCGTGACTAATTCGATGGCACTGTACTTCTTCTGCATCTTTTGTGAGGCAGGATGTTCACTTCAGAAAAAGCTGATGATTTTTATGCCTAAAATAACTAATTCAGCAGTATGTGAAACCACTGTGAAATGAAAATGGGAGTGCACAAAACACTGATACATATTCAAACCACATGCTTTTTATTTAAGTGTAAAATTGTTGGGTTACAAAAGAAACACTCCAGCTTATAATATGAACTTCTAAGTAGTTTCTAAATATAGTGACTAGATATGATGGTCTGGTATCAGGGCTGAAGTTATATAAAGATCCTCAAAGTGAATTTTCAACATTATGAATCAAAAATAAAATCAATTGTTTGTATGCAATGTATAAATAGATCCAGACTCTAACTCTTTTGTCTGGTTTCATGTCTAAACTAGTCTATTGATTTTCTATATGGCTTTTTGTTTTTAATTTCATTGATTTCTATTCTTTTATTTATTTTCTTCTTCTTGCATTTATTAAACCCAAATATTTCTTATGGTTTCTGAAAGTAAAAGTTTAGATAGTTGATTTGAGTGCCTTCTTCTTTTGAGATCTTTCTTCCATCATGAACTTTTTTCTCTCTCTCTCTTTTTTTTTTTCTTTTTTCATTAAGAGGTAGTATGATATTTAAGAGAATGAGATCTGGATCCAAACTGCCTGAGTTTGAAAGTCACCTCTGCCACCTACTAGCTGTATGATTTTGGGAAAATTACTTAAGCTCTCTGGGTCTCAGTTTCTTAATCTGATAAATGGGCTTAAAATACTTTTTGCTTATTAGATTTTTTTAAGGAATAAATGAGTAAATATATGCAAAGAACTTAGAAGTTTTTGCAATATGTGCAATTTGCATGCTATTACTACTTCAAGTAGCATACATTTGTAAAATGTGTATGCTGAACAAGTATATTTTACATTAAATAACCTAACTTCCTTTAAATAACACATCATCATTAGTAAATAATTCCTTGTTTTTTTTTTCATTTGTGATTCATTTCTCACTATATAAACAAAATATTGGGTTGTATTTAGAAATGAGGAGGAAAATCTACTTATGATGTTGATGGCATCTATCATTCAGTGAAGGTCTCTAAGCCAATCACATACAGTTTCAACCCAGATAGTCTTGGAGAGGTCTCTGCATGAGACCTCTGCATGTCTTGTTTATGGCAACCAATGATTAATTAGAATTGTCTTTACTACCTAACTAAGCTCCAGGAAATTAATTCATTAGTAAGCTATGTTTTTTTCTCTTTTGAGTGACATGGTGAATACATTGTTTAAACAAACAATCACAAAAGCAAATATTAATCATTCTTTAAGAGTCATGACTATAAGACCAGATGAACTGCACAATTTTTTAAAGAATCAACAATGAACCAGTTTTAGACGTCCCAAAATGATGTAGCTTTGCTGGTTTCATGCGTGACGTTAAGCAGGCAAATACTTCTTCCTACATCTTTTGGCTTTGGACAGAAAAATTGGTCTGTATGATCTGAAACATGAACCATATTTGATGTCATTTGAATTTTTAGCTTGGTAAGGTTGAGTTTTTCCCACAAAGGGTCATAATGGCTGTCAAAAAAAATCCACATATAAAATTTGTTTACCACAGTGTAAACAAGCCATTTAATCTGCAACCGGTCTGGCTGCACGTGAGGATGCCAAGCAAAGCACCAGCAGAGCTGAATGATGTTCACAGTAGAGATTCGTGTAATTACACGACTTTTAGCCAACACCTGGCATCTTTGCTTATAATGTGTGTATATGGGATTGGCAGCCAGGAGTTGTGGGCAAATACAATTAAAATGAGAAAATCAATTTTATTGAGCACTTATTATATGCCAGGTAATGTGCAAAAGAAGCCCTCTATGGATCATCTCATTTGTTCATTTGAATGAAAGCAGAATTACAAAAACCTTCTAAAATGGACAATTGTGTGAGGGTTGCAGGTAACAAAGATGAGCTGTTTTGGTCTGTTGGGATATGCATCACTGAATATGATTTTAAAATGCTCATTTGTGGCTGGACGCGGTGGCTCACGTCTGTAATCCCAGCCCTTTGGGAGGCTGAGGGGGACAGATCACCAAAGGTCAGGAGTTTGAGACCAGCCTGGCCAACATGGTGAAACACCGTCTCTACCAAAAATATAAGAATCAGCTGGGCATGGTTGTGGGCACCTGTAATCCCAGCTACTCAGGAGGCTGAGGCAGGAGAATCATTTGAACCCGGGAGGCCGAGGTTGCAGTGAGCCAAGATCACGTCATTGCACTCCAGCCTGGATGACATGAGTGAAACTCCGTCTCAAAAAAAAAAAAAAAATGCTCATTTGGGAAGGGTTTTTTATGCCTCTGTTTCTCTCTGTGTTATGCTATTGCAGTGCCCTACCTGAAATAGCTAGAGTTCTCATTGTTTATACGCACACTCATATTCAAATATTAATGAATGTATGCAGCTTAAAATGTATTGCTCTCATTGAAAGAAATCTGTTACTGGGACAGGTTTTAGCTACATATTTTTATTAATCTTAATTATTTTTGCTGAGATCTAGTTTTGAAGGGAAAATGCTGCCCCTCTGGTGTTTCATCTCATTAAACTACTCCATGAAAAGGGTTTGCTAGAAATGTATAAACAAATGCAGCATTATGGGTCTAATTAGCTAGAAGAATACCTGTATAAATGGAATTTGTCAGTCACAAAGCAGAGACCCTTCCCCCACTTACTTATATAATAATCCTGGCTTTCAGAAGACTAATCTCTACACACCATCTATACAGCATCTAATTTCCTCATCAAATTCCTCTGCTGGGTTTAGCCATGCCTGTCAACTTCCCAGCTCCCTCTTCAATAACTGAGTTTATTCTTAGTGTCTCGCCAATGAACATTCCTATGAGCACACCCATGAAAGAATTAAGTCCAAATTTCTTTATTGCTCCCTCTTTCAAGAAAGGGTTTTCGGCTCACTCTCCTGGGAAAGGTCACAGGTAATTTTGGCTGGTCACTTTTGGGTGGCAGATTGCAGCCAGCACATTGGGCTCTTTTGTTTAATGGTCTCACTGACCACCAAAGGCGCTCACAAGCTGGAGTGAGACCGTTTGGAACAGGGAGGAGGCAATAATGTAGGCAGGACCGCCAGACTCAGTCTCCCTTTAAACACAAAGTAAATTGCTTATCTTTCATTTCAGGACAAATGTAGCTGTTCTGCAAGCAAACTTATATTCCTTATTGCTTATACACTAACTTTGTTGAATGTCTGAAGAGTTTTAAGGCCACTTTTTGTGATGGAAAAAGGGCCATGAATGGCTTGAAAGCAAACTCCTTTTCATGTTATTTGACAGTGGAAGTTCATTTAAATCTTTCACACTGAATCTCTTTGAAATGGCTGTCTTTCTAGATGCTCAAAAGGAAAGTGGGCCCTCAGTAAATTGTAGAAATTCATAGCCACTGAACTGACCATTTTTAAAATAGTCATCATCTATGGTGCTATGAAGGTTGAATCGTATGCCCCCCAAACAAAGATGTTACAATACTAATCCCCAGTACCGCAGGATGTGGCTTTATTGGAGATAAGGTTTTTACAGAGGAATCAAGTTAAAATAAAGTCATTAGGGTAGGCTCTAATTCAACATGATGGTGTCATTATAAAAAGGGGAAACTGGACACAGGGACACACACATATACATACTGTGTGAAAAAGAAGACAGAGATCAGGATGATGCAGCAGAAGCTAGACTGCCAGCCAACCACCAGATGCTAAGACAGAAGCAGGAAACAGACACTCACAGCCCACAAAAGGAGGCAAACTTGCCAACACCTTGATCTTGGACTTCTAGCTTCCAGACGTATGAGACAATTTCTGTTGTTTAAACCAAACAGTGTGTAGAACAGTAACTTGTCAGAGCAGCCCTAGGGAAACTATTAATAGCATAAATGTTAATGATAAGTTCAAGGATTTTTTTCAAAAGATAGGTGGAACTGAAGATTCATTCTTTGCCCACAAATAAATCAGTGGTGGTTCTAAAGGTGTAGAATAGATTCTGCTGTTTCATAGGCTTCTTCTTGAGCAAATTAGACATGCTCTTTCCCTCTACCTACATGACTATCTAAATCGGATAAGTGGGCTGGGCACAGTGGTTCACGCCTATAATCCCAGCAATTTTGAGAGACGGAGGTGGGTAGGTCGCTTGAGATCAGGAGTTCAAGACCAGCCTTGGCAACATGACAAAACCATGTCTCTACTAAAAATACAAAAATTATCTGGGCATGAAGGTGCACACCCGTAGTCCCAGCTGCTAGGCAGGCTGAGGTGGGAGGATCACCTGAGCCTGGGGAGGTCGAGTCTGCAGTGAGCTGTAATCGTGCCACTGTACTCTAGCCTGGGCAACAAGTGAGATCCTGTCCAAAAAAAAAAAAAAAAAAAAAAAATTATTGGGGCAACAAAAGAAAAAATAGGCAAATTGGGCTACATCAAAATGTAAATAAATAGATTGCGTAAGTCCTCTTATTGCCCTCAAAAGCTAATAAAACCTCTGAGCCAGAGTTCCTCAACCTCCACAACACTAACATTTGTTGTGGGGACTGTCCTGTGCATAGTAATATGTTTAGCAACATCCCTGGCCAGTAGATGCCAGTAGCAATTTCCCCTGGGTTGTGACAATGTCTGCAAACATTTTCGGCTGTCCCTTCAGTTGGGAATTGCTGCTGTAAACATATTTCCAGGGAGTAATTGTGATCTTTTAACACACACACACAGAAAGAATTATAATTGACATGCCCTAATTCTCAGGTTTTGTGGCCTTCAGAAACTTTCTCCAAATCTTCGTAATAAATGCCTTGTTTTATTCACAGGCAAACCAATTCTATTCAATTCTATTATTTACTAAAGGCCTCTCATTTACATCTCTACGTGAGGATGGAAACTCCTTGCCACATGAATTTCACAAAACTGACCTCAGAAAGGTATGGATTAAAGCTCTTGCCTAGGAAAGCTTGGTAGGCAAAACGGTCTCTGCCTCAAATACTCACCTCTGCCATTGAATCATGAAAGTCATAAACACTATGTTTTCAAATGAACATGACTGTGCTCCAATAAAAGTTTATTTATGAAACCAGGGGAATGGCTGGATTTTGGCCAGGCTGTAGTTTGCTAACCATTATTCTAAAAAGAATAAATAGCTTTATCTTTCCATGTGTCACTACTGATGCTTTATATGTTGGTGCTTTATTGAAAAGTCACTCCAGATAAAAACTATGCTGATCTTTTTTCATTAAGTCTTTATATTCCTGTATATGATTGAGAATACTAATAATTACATTGGATATCTCAATCATGGGATAAAATCAGGGCTGAGGACATCAGCCATTCATTGCAGTAAAGAGAAAGATGGTTGGTTCTTATGTTTCACTTCTGCTCAGGAGGGCAAATTGGACCTGCCTGGGCTGTAGGCCTACTGTACCATCCTATCTATGGCATGGCTGCAAGGGCCACTGCTAGAGCCTGTGGGCCTTTATGGGTTGGCCCTTCTCCTGCTGACCTAAACAACAGTAAGGACTGATTTCCTGGTCTGACTGCACTGGAAGCCCTGAAGGCAAGGCCTGCATTGCATTCATCACTGTGTCTCTGAGGGCCCAGTACAAGGAATGTCAGAAGCACTCAAGAAATTGTGCTCAATTCATGCTCACAAATCTTTGATCTCCCTGGTACAGACTTAGTGGTATCACAAAAGAGATTTAACCTCAGTGAACAGAATACAGTTCGAAGAACAGAGTTTAGGACACAAAAGTAGTTTCAAAATAACCTCAGTTATTTATTTCTATTTTTAACACCATAAGGGGATTTGTAGAACAGAGATACATCTTTAAAATTGCCCTTTTTCCCTGCTATCCATGTCTTTGTTAAATTTAGTTTATTTTAAAAATATACATTAATACCAACTACATGCAGGACAATGTTCCTAACACCAGGAATATGGAATCCTGCCTTCAGGTCAGAAAGAACTCTCATTCTCCTACAACAAATTTCTCAGAACAAAATCCCCCCAACCCTGGCATTAGTGCCTCCTGTCATCCTTTCCCTTCCCTTTCCTTCCAGTTCTTAGTTATTAAACCAAAAGAGCAGTCTGCTAACAAGCCAGGCTCCTCTTTAGAAGGCAGTGCAAATGAAAAACTGGGAACTCACAGGAATAATTATTTAATCGCAGAACAACACATCCTGCATCTTGATGTATGATGTTGTGTTTTGAAGCTCCAAATCAGAATTCAAACAAACTTCTGTTCCTTTTGAAAAACAAAGGACTAGCTACTTCCCCTAAGGCAGAAGAGAAAATGAGATGTTTGACAAGAAGAGGAATATAACAACCACTACTACCATTTATAATTTGATGTTCTTTATAGTAGGTAATTTGTGGCATGCACAATGTGGACACACTTTTCCCTCTCTTGAGAATGCCAGTCCTGTTGATGTTCAAAACCTACACACCATTTGTACTGAGCATGAATGTATTAGTTTTCTCTTCCTGCATTAAAAAAATTACTACAAACTTAGCAGCTTGAAGCAACATCCATTTATTATATAATTACACAGCATAGCAGAATTTCTGTCCGAGGACTCACCACACTGAAATCAAGATGTCAGCCAAGGTCAACATCCCTAGATGGGATAGAAGAGATGATGGGATAGAAGAGGACTCCATGTCCTCTTTCAAACTCACAAGATCTTGACTGAATTCAATTCCTTGCTGCTGTAAGACTGAGGCCTCTACTTTCTTTCTGGATGCAAGGTCAGCATCTCTTAGCTCTGAGAGGCTCCCGTAGATCTTGCCTTGTGGTCCTCCCAAGGGCTGTTTCAGTCTCACAACACAGCAGCTGACTTCTTCAAATCCAGCATGAGCATCTCTCCAACCTCAAGGAGCACTCAGTCCCTCTTTTATAGGGTTCATTTAATTAGAATAATCTCTGGGATTGATCTCCCATCATATTCACAAGTTGCCCACATTGAAGGAGAAGACAGTATACAGGAAGTATGCACTGGGGACAGAAATCCTGAAAGGCCACCTTAGAATTCTTCCTACCATTACTGCTGCAATGACATTGGCAACAACTTATCCCAAACCACTATATATAAGAGTTTGAGCAGGTTGAGCACCCCAAATCTGAAAATCCAAAATCTGAAACACTCCAAATCCAAAACTTTTGAGCACCTATAGGTTACTCAAAGGAAATATTCATTGAGGCATTTTAGATTCTGGATTTCTGAACTTGGGATGCTCAACTGATAAGTATAATGCAAATATTCCAAAATCTGAATAAAACTTGAAAGCTGAAACACTTCTGGTGCCAAGCATTTCAGATAAGGGACACTCAACCTGTATATATACTCTGTATGCATATAGAGTGTGTGTGTGTGTGTATATATATATATATATATATGTATATGTATATATATATATATATGTATATGTATATATATATATATGTATATGTATATATATATGCATATACATACAGAGTATATATATATGCATATACATACAGAGTGTATATATATATACTCATATATATACACACATATAGAAGTTTAAATATATGCTTTTACTATATATAAGATTTCATATATATGTATATATGTGTATGCAGAGTATATATATGTGTGTGTGTATATATATTATATATATATTCTGTACAAATACACACTAACACACATACACTTAGGAACTCACTTTTAAAGATGGACTCCCAAAATATATAAAATCATGCACATAAGATCCTCAACCATCACATAGAATATTTATTATGTATTTATTAAGACTATTCCACCTAGTGGCATATGCATTTAATGCTCTCATTCCACAAAATGAAGTGCAGTGTTGAGATAACCATGATGATGCAGACAGAAACCCACATGTGCCTTTCAGGTAATGACTTTCTCTTGCTTGGAAAACTACAAAGTAAATTTGAAACCATGGGCAACACGGTGGCAGTCACATGGATAAGATTAAAAAAAAAAGAAGAGGAAGAACAGAAACATCAGGAGCCTTTAAGCTGTTTTCTAAATTCAGAATCACCAGAATATTTATGTTGGCAGCATCCCTTAACTCTCAGCAGGAGATTTGACAGAATGTACTCTATACATAACCCGCACAAGCCCCAGATCAAGGGGAGAGTATTTGCATAAACAGAATCCTAGAGACCATGTCATCACTATCTTTCTCTTCCTGCTTCTTCCTTCTCTACCCTACAAGCAGGTTGTATTGAGTTTCCTGGGCTACCTTCCATGAACATCAAGGAATGCAACAGAGATGAATGTTACATCGACACCAGCAGTGCCACCACAAGAGAAACTGTTTGTACACTCTTTTCATTTCTCAGTGCAAGCAAGCATCTAAAGACTTTGCACCTGTTCTAGTTAGCTCTGGCAAATGCAGTCTGTATTTATATTAATAGAATGATGTTTTCATAACAAAATGGACATGTAGGGATTGTGGCATTTACTTTGGATGCTCTCATATGTGTGCAGATTGGGAGAGGGATGACTGTTACATAAAGTCCCATGGCAAGGGAAGAAGACCCACACATCCCACACTGAATCATCAGGGGACAGTTTGAGAACCTTTTGTGGAATGACCAGAAACTCAAGTATTAGAAATTAAATTAGATACTTGATAAAGAGGGAAATAAGCTGGATATAAATGGGCTTTTCATGGGTAGTTTGAAACTATGAACTCTTTCGTGTTCCATCTCCTGTTTCTGTAATTTGTGTCTTATCTCTCCAGAGCAGAGCTGAGAACTGGTGAGATCATTTTTGGCTCCATTCCTGAAAGTTTGTTTTGAGTCACCAGTGTAAATATTGCCCACCCAATCCGTACATTTGCACAAATTAACTGAAACCAGCTACCCAATTCCTTGTTCATATTTGGATCTGTTGATTAACCCTGACAGCTGTAACCTCATTAGTCCAAGCTCTGGCCATAGCTGAGCAGCTGTCAAATTAGGAGGAAGTGGACTCACTGAGGTTGCCTCTATGGACCAGGCATGTTAAAATCAATAGGCGCTCTAAAAGGTTTCAGTTATGATTCTAATTCTAATTTATGTTGTGCTGTGGGCTCTTCACCTAGATCTATAATATGGCCCCGAAATTGGTTGTTTTTGAAGAAAGCAGGGGCTCTCTCACAAAGCGGGAACATAGGTTTTACCTGGAAGACACTGGGTCTGCATAGGTTGGAAATGGGTTTTTAGCATGCATTGTAACACAGACATTTTAATATATTTTAAAATATTAGTTTCTAATGTATTTTTTGGCAAGAGTGATTCTGTTAGTTTTGACAAGAGGCCAACAGTGTCCTGATCAGAGGAATAAGAAAGATCCTGCGGCTGGTACTCACTAGAAAATGGAGATAAGTAGGTAGGAAAGAGTTAGAAAACACTCCTATAGGAATGAGGTTTTCCTAACTAGAACACAAAGTTCTTGGGGTGAATTCTGTTCATTTCTATATGAATCTGTAAGGAGGAATTGGGAAGTGAACATTCACAGTATCTACTAATTAAAACCTGGATGTTCAGGGAAGGAGATCATTTTCCATCTGCCAAAGTGTTGAAAAGGACCCTGGGATAGGGTCAAACGCAATGTGTGAATTTTCTTGGCAGCATTTTCATCATGGGGCGATAGCAGGTTGGAGCAGAAGATGGTCTAAGAAAAATCTGGAGACCTCAGTCCTGGTCCCAGTTCTGCCGCAGTCTACTAGTATGGGTGTTGGAGGAATCCTCAATCTCTCTAGATCTCAGCAGACTCATTTATAAAATGAGGACGTTTCTGAGATGATTGCAATGGTCCTGTCCATCTGCAGTGATTAGAGCCTCTCAGAACAAATACATTATTATAAGAATATGCTCCATCATGGCCCAAGGTGGGTCTACATTCTAATTTTCTAGCTTTAGGGAATTCTCTTCCAGTCTTTTGTAGTGCCCTGTAGCCTATTATGCAGGCAGGTACTGTCCTTTGGCACCCCCTGGTGGCATCTGCAGCTGTTAAACCTGCCTTAATCATGGGGGCCTCACCGGTAAGAAGGCTAACTGTGGGGACTGGTAGGAGCCCAGGTGCTGTTTACAAGGGAAAAAAGCAATCCAGAATCTCATTTTTCCATTTTAGCTTTTAACTCATCGCATCTTAGAGGCTTAGATAAGCATGTTGATTTTAAAAAGCAGCTGTATTAATCAGATGCTAATAAAGCATCTAGCTTTCTTTAGGTTGAAGGATTTTGCGAATGACCAGGACTTCTGTTTCTATTATTGTGAGAAAATAGACCAAGAAAAGAGGAAGTATTTAGGTATTTAGTGGAAACCAAATGCTTCCTGTGCACTTGACTAATTTAAAACTCCCAGAAAATATTGGATAATGTGTACCCTGACATTTCCTAGGTATAGATTAAAGCAATAAAAAAATATTAAAAGGTTACTGAGCTTTTTCCTACCCCTTTCCTTCAATTTAAAAATCATTTACAAAGGAAGCTCTGAAAGTCAGAAGTTAGATTTAAAAAAAAAGGGAGAGAGAGAAAGTAGGTTCTTAATGTTATGGAATGACAGGTAAATATATTTTAACTATTGTGAGTCCTTATAATCCCTCAAATCACGATCATCTACAGGTAAGTTATTAATTAGATTATATTTGCCCTAATTGCATCAGTTCTACTGCTTTTGTTTACAATTATCGTCTTGCTGCGACTTTGGAAGTGTATTGAAACTTTGTAAAAAAAAATTGTCTTTGATTTACTGTAAAAGCATCTACAACATTTTTAATTTAAATGATTTCAAATGCCAAAAGTTTTGACTATGCAAAGAAACTAAGTAAATACAGTATAAAGAAAGAGGAAAAAACCCACAAAACTTTAATTATTCTAAATTACGTTAATTTAGTTTGATATGATTATAACAACTATAACTATTTCCAGGTAGGGCTAAAAGAAAAAAAAAAAGTCATAGGAAAGAGAAAAGTGAATATTCCCTAAAGGAGAAAAACATTTCTTTGCCATGTTTACTTGACTCCTTCTGGCAAAAGGCTGTTAACAGTTGTACCACACGGTTCAACCAGAGCTTGTTTCCAGAAAAAAAATATATATAATTGCATCTCAGAGATTTGGTTTGGAAAATCTGCTTTTGTTTCCAATGCCTTGTCTCTTTTCAACCACGTTTATAAGCATTTTCCAAGGTCTTTACGAGCACTTTGCCTGCCTCTCCACGCTCCTAAATATCACCCTCTCCTCCTTATGGCCAGCCACGTTTTCAGCCTTGGCCAAGGAATAAAACATTGGTTCACCTCAAAGGCTGCCATTAAATTTACCTCATTTATTGACCAGCAGGAGGTGCACCACCCTACTGAGGTCAGCCTTAGCTACAATGCTGCAGAGCCTATTGGCACCCCAGACTGCTACCCTGTTAAATGACTGGCGGGCCCCCTGGGCCAGGTAAATCCTACTGTTGACATATTGGTGGCAATGCCCTTGGAACACCTTTGATCCATTAGTATACTCTCTCCATTCAAGGGTGTATTTTACTGTGTGTTGACTAAAAGCAACCAGGTATAGAGGAGTGAAGGAAACAAAGTGAGCTCCTACTGGAAGAATAAGCCATTTATACTTCTCTGCAGTAGATATCAGGTCTACTAGGACATCAAGTTTAAGGCAAATAAAGCCTTGAGAATTCCACTCTTTGGATAGAACCACCATGGGGCCTCTGCTGCCCTTGAGGTGGTCAGTAGTAAACTGCCTACGAACGTGCAAGCTCACTAAAAGCCATGCTTTCACTGCTGAATGGCCCTTTGGCATGGATTTCTTTGCTTTTCCTCATCATCGCTTTGTCATTCTGTAAAAATGTGAGCTCTGTCAGCACAATGACTATTTAAAACAACCTTGAGTACTTGAATACACTGTTACATAGTAATAGTGCCTGCAGTATCTGCTTGTATTTTTTAAGAGGCTGATAAAAGATCATATTCAATATAAGGGGGCGGGGGGTTTCCTTCTCTTGATGCAATTAAGTACATAAAAATGTGCCAGATGGGAAACGCTAGATATCTGAATAATCATTTTATTCATAGACCGTCAAATGGCATCAGGCAATAATCCCTTAAATGTTCCCACTTTAAACCCTGCAAACACGCCACTCTCAGTCCTGACCTGGAGTGACCAGGTTAGATGGTCAGGGCTCTCAAATCCGAATGCTGATTCAGGCCTTCTTTCTCTGCTGCCAATAATAGTTCGTCTAGGTGCCAAATTTAGTGGTGGTTTCTTATGATGCGGATACCTGTCCAGCAGGAATTGGACTGCGACCACAAGCCATTTTCCTTAAGCCACAGAATAACTGTCAGATGGTAACTGCTGATAGTCACTGCTCGCCAGGCTCAGCAGTTTCCAAGTAAAAGACTTTTGAGCCCCCTATTAATCCCACAATTAAACAAATTTTGTCATTATGTAGAAATTCCCTGGGGTGAAAATTCAATGTTCGATCTTCAATTATTTCAAAACAAAACAAAACAAAAAACAAAACAAACAGAGCAACAACAACAAATTCCCTTCTTTTCTCCCCCATGGCTTGGTCCTTTTCCTCTTACTCTTGTGTTAATGATTTTCCGTTAAGCCACATCAAATTCTGTTGGGCATCAGTGAGAATTAAAGTTTTTCAAATTTCAAGTTTTATTCATGCATCGCATTCTTCTGAGAGCGAAAAGTATTTTTGAAATCTTTCTTGTACAGGTTCTGTCTTGTGTAGGCAGAGTATAATTTTTCTCTCATTTTGTAGAAGAGGGATCCAAGATACCCTCTCTGGAGTAGTACCATGCTAAGCAGAAGGTCATACTAGTAGTAAAGTGCCAAAACAAGAAAGCAAACAAAATCAGAAAGACATTGCATTGCTACTAATCATTTTATGGGATGCTGAGACCTCTATATGTACTTGTATTCTTGAGTTGAGTCCAGCAGACTTGGACAATGTGTTTCAGGTTAAGTGTTAACATGAACAGACAGAAGTTTACTCTGGGTAAGGCTGACTTCCTGAAGTAAATTTCCTAGAAACCCCATATTGTACCAATTTCTGTTTCATTTCCCATAAATGAATAGCAAGCATTGTCATGTATGCTAATACCTAAAAAAAAAGTGTTCCTGAAGCTGCAAAGTAGCATAAGTTCTTAATAGTTAAAACGTTTCAAATAAATATGTAAATATAATTTGTGTATGTATATGCATGCATGTGTGTATGAAGTGTGTATGTGTGTGTGAGTGTGAGTATGAAGGAAAACAGTAAAATATGTTTGTAACTGGAACGATTCACATTTGGACTCTGAAGTCTAAAGCACAGTCAGTGAGGAAAGTAAACAGTACATTAAGCTTCCCCAAAATGCGAAGGAAGACTGTTAACCATTTAGAAGCTACTGTACTTTCCTTTGACTGAAATTGGCAGTCTTTCTTGAAATAAAAAAGCGTCACTATTTTTTATTAGAATAAGCTTGAATCTTCATGACATTTTATCTCAGAAGCAAATGCATAATTGTAAAATTTCTGTATGTAAAGCACCCTGTCTTCCTGACCTTGTAGAATTTCGGAACTGAGGGGCCTTGGGCTTCATGCAGGCTCACTCATTCATCTTACAACAGAAGACTGTGAGGCCCAGATGTGTGGAGAGAACTCTCCAAAATTCCATAGCTTGGGTCAAGACCCTTCAGGTGACAGTGGACTTCAGCCTCTCCACTCTTCCCTCACTGGCTAACTATTTCAACAACATCATAAATGCTAAGATGTTGAGATTTCTCTGTCCCTGTATAACACCCATCTGGCCTCTTTTCTTGCATCTTCCCTGCAGAAAACCCCAATTTTAAAAAATTATGAACAAGCCCACTGGCTCCATATATTCCTAGCTTGTTCCCCAAACTGCTGACTATAATTAATGTCTACTAATACTAAAATTGTCTTAAGCATAGACACCCACAAAAAGTTCTTCAAAGTTCTAAACCATATAATATACATTTTACCTGCCAACACTGGAGTAATGAAACAGGGAAACAGACTGAGTTACCATAGGCCAAACTAGAGAATACATTTCAAGTGTCCTGAAAGTTTGAAGACTAAGAATGGGCTCCAAATGCCCTCTCTTCATCCTCCTCTAGCACACCAAGAGTGTCTTGGAAATCAGTCTGATTTAGAATGAAAAACACAACCAGTTTCTGATAATCATTTCAATTGCTAAGTTTCCTTGGACACATTTTCAAAGTACTTGAATGGAGCCCCACATGCAAATTATCTTCCCTGAAAAGAAAGCCTTTGCCGGCAAGCAAGCTGGCTGTTGAGTTTTTGTGGCAATGGCATAGAGACACAAGGTATTTTTAACATTCTTGTTTTGTTCTTGTCTCAACTGACACTAGTAATTTGAGAGATGTTGAGGGTGTTACTGAATATAAATTTGAAGAAAAATAACTCTTCCATCTATATTATTAGAAGTAGAATGAATATTCAATCAAAGATGAATCAAAAAGCTTAGATTCTGTATATGGGCACTTACCTTCCTGAATACAGACTCTTCCCATGATCCTTTCCTCACATGGAGCATCCACAAGAATCATACTGCAATTTGCAACCAATTGTGCTCTGGATGACAGAAATCTGTCCCCACATTCATTTGAAAGCTACTTTTATAAAATTATTGCATTCAGAGCTAGAGATGACAGCTTTTTTGCAGAAGAGAAAACTGAGGTCCTGAGAGCCAAGCTATTTGCCTGAGGGTAAAGAATAAGTTAAGGCTTCATTTAAAGACCCAGATTCTAAACCGTTAGCTAAGACACCACCTCTCCACCTTTCTAAATGGTTAACACCACCCATCTCTCATACTCAAAAAAGTTTTCTTCTATGTTTGTATTGAATCGTTCATTCTTAAATTCATTCCTCTTCCTTCCTTCTTCTTTTCCACCTTCTTCTCTCCTTTTCTTCCTTCCTTTCCTTCTAGCTTCCATCCTTCCTCCCCTTGGATTAATATTCATTTACCATATGCCAGTCATTGTGATGAGCTCTGGAAACTAAGAAAAGGATATGATCCATGACTCAAAGAACTGTTCATTTTTAGAGAAGACTGACCTGGTTACCAGCAGGTCCAAACTCTTTAATGTGGTTTATGTGGTCCTCCACTCTCTGATCCCTAACCCATCATCTCTAGCTACTCTCCCTCTTCTCTATACTCCAACCTTACAGGATCCTTTGGGATCACTGAATAAATTCTTCCCAGCTGTGCCATTCCATATGTTCACTTCCAGGACATATGTGATGTCTCTCCCCTACCCTCCTCATTCAGCTGGCACCACACCATCCTTCAGGTCTTAGTCTAGATGCTTATTCTCAGGGAGTTCCCTGAACCAAAAGACCACATTAAGCCTCCCTGTTAATTTGCAAACATTTGCATTATGCCTTTCTATTTCTCTTCACTGGTGAGTTCAATAAGGACAATGATCAGTAACTGACTTATTCACTCTTATATGCCCATTTTCCTAGTTCAGGGCTTGGCACCTAGTAGAGACTCAATAAATGCTTATTGAATGAAACAATCTGTTTAGCATACAGTGGAAACACAAATGAGAAAGTAGTTAATTCTATGTGGGGGGGCAGTCAGTTGGTGTCATCCATGTTTAATTCATATGAAGGCTTAGGATGAATTTTATAAAATCAAATGGATACATAGCATGCCCAATTTCCCATCTTTCTGTTTTGGTAAAAATAAAAACCAATAAATAAGATGAGGTTTTGTTTACACTATGTGCCAATGATTTTACTAATATAGGTATGCAATGCCTTCTCTACAATTCTAAAATCCAAAAGAAAATCTGAAAATAGAAAATTTTTCATAAGTATGGGTAACAAACTTGCTGTTAACTGACATGCTGTTACAGTCTTTATTCTACTTTCTATGAATATTCATGCTTTGCTGCAGAAATATCAATGTTATTGGTCTGTATTTATTCCATTTTGTATGAATGTTTGTTCTGGGCAGAAATGTTTTATTTCATAGCTCCCTCAGGATGTCATATAAATCCAAATTTGAGACATGCCTGGCCTCCAACATTTCTGAGATGGGAATGTGAATGTGAATTGCTATTACCACCTTGCGTTGCATTCAAATTTAGCCCATTGAAATTATCTCTCTTTTTCCAATTTTCTCCCTGATTAAAATGTTTTCCTACTGAGTATAACAGAAGTAAACATTACAGAATTTTAGAAGCTGAAAGCCCTAGTAATAAGGCCACGCATATGGACCGTTGCTGGAACTGAGGTGGCCCAGGGTCTTAAATGAAGGTCTAGAACCAAAAGGTCCTCTTCAGGCTTCATTTTTAAAGTTTATGTGATTAGTGAGGTGGAATGTTCTTGCCCAACTGCCTCATTTTATGGGGAAAGAAAATTGAGTTCCATGCAGGAATAGTGACTTAAAACAACAGCCTGTTTACTGGAAACAAATCATACCTGCTAGGTTCATTTCTTACTTAGGGAGGTAACTCATAGACAATAGAAATTATCCTATGAACAAAATGGATAAAACTTGCCTGGATGCTTTACAATGAAGTGGATTACCAATCAAGTGAAATATCAGCACTTAGCAATAGCACTGTGGAGGGAGGCCAGGGCTCTATTCTTAAGTCTGTCGTTCTTCATATTTTTATCAGTGGATGAAGTGATGAAGGTAGCAAATGAAAATTTTGTAATTTTCAAAAATTTTCATAAATTTTGTAGCAAATTTTCATTTGCTACAAAGCAAGTCAAGTGATACAGAATAAAATATTTTTGGGAAAGGAAAAATATGGCTTACAAAAAAACACAAAACTATCTAGTGGTTTAATTAAATGGTTGGCAAGTTCAACATTCCCCAAAAGGAATTCATGCACCTTCACACAATTAGCACCCCCGAATGAGGGAGATGTAATCCTTCACTGCTTTATTCTGACCAGACATTCCTGGGTCCTGTGCTCCTTTCTGGGAGCCATGCTGTAAGAGAGGCTGAATTCAGAGGACCATAATTAGGAATGGAGACAGTAGTCAAAATTATATTTACTGGATAGCTGAGTAAGGTGGCTCACACCTGTGTAATCCCAGCACTTTGGGAGGCTGAGAAGGAAGGACAGCTTGAACCCAGGAATTTGAGACCAGCCTGGGCAACATAGGGAGACCCCATCTCCACAAAAAAAGTAAAAATCAGCTGGCTGTGGTGGTGCACACATGCAGTCCCAGCTATATAGGAGGCTGAGAGGCTGAGGTAAAAGGATCGGTTGAGCCTGGAAGGTCAAGGCTGCAGTGAGCTGTGATCATGCCACTGCACTCCAGCCTGGGTGACAGACCTCGTCTCAAAAAAAAAAAAAAAAAAAAAAAAAAAGCAAACAAAAAATATTGGAAATTCTTAACCTCAAGGCAGGATTTCAGGAAGCTGTAATCACTGCCTTCACATAAGGGTTTGTCATGTGAGAAAGGGATTAGATTTGTTCCATGGTGTTCCAATTATCAAAACGTCAAAGAGACAGATTTTGGTTCAATACAAGCAAGTTCTCCAAGGAACAGAGCCTTATTGCCTATTTTCATCTCAGAGCTGGTAGCTGAACAGATCACTGGCTAAATGTACAGGAGTTTCAAACTGCAGTAAGTTATGCTTTGAGCAAAGATTTTTAAAGTATGATAGAGAATTGTATCTCAATAAAGCTATTATCAAAAAGAACACAATAGAAGCAAAGAATTTGTCACTTTTATCTTCCTTCTCTTCAAAACGTCATGAATTAGTATAAAGAAATGAAACAAAATTATTACTGAAAAGCAAACAAAGTAAAAACAAGGTAGTCTAAAAATGAAGTGTTAATGTTAGGCTCTCAACTCTCTACCCGCAACATGGAAACTGAAAACATGAACTATTGCTTATATTACTCCACCAGAGATGCACAGAATGATTACTGGCCCTGTTGTTTGCCAACCCGTTTCTACAACACACAAAACCAAAGGCTACAAGAGTGTGAGTCTGATAAACCATTCATCCAAACTCCCTCTACACATAACTCTGAGTTACCTACACTAAATTATATTCAGATTTTGGCAGGCAAACATCTTGGAAACAAAATCGTTTTTAAAAGCACTGATTTTTCCATTAATCTCAAAGCATAAATGGAATTTTTAAAAATGTCAATCGAATGTCCACAGTGGGAACTTAAGAGCAACCCACACGTTTCCTTTAAATATGTATGTAAAAAGGGCTCCACGAATAAATGCATAATTCAAGAAATACAAAGACGGTGAATTTTAAAAAATTTAAAAAAACTGTAGACAAATAAAAGTGACAAATAATCTGCTCTGTTTTGTACAATTTTTAAATGAGACTGAATAAAAAATGCCACTTATTTAACATGCAACAACTATCAAATCAGTTCCAATACTAAGAATGTTGGCGAAGAAGATCATTTCTGCATCTCAGTCAATTTCTTAAAGAAAAACAGAAACTCTACAAAGTTTATTCTACCCTGACATATTTTTAGATTGTGAAAGATGGCTGAGGGAAAAGGCGGCAGCCTTACCGTTATTTGATGAAGGTCATGAATGGTTAGTAATTCTTTGTGGGAAACGTTATGGAAGATCCATTAGAATAAGAACAGATTACCATGTTCCTGTTGCCTCCAGATAGGTCAGCAATAATCTGGCCATATTTCCCGGGAAGAGAAGAAAACAGCCAGGCAGAACCTTCTCTAATGGCAGTGTTTTCAGATGGCCGGAGAAGTCTCTGGGGCTTTCTGGTTGGCTGACGGCTGGGGTATTACAGAGCAGGGTATGCAGCCATGGATCATTACCGATTGGCACACCTATAGAGCGAACTACTGTGGTCCCAGATACTCTATGTTTGCTCAAAGACGTGCTCTGCAGTATTCAGAACTGAGGGAGAGGTAATTTATGGCATAAATCCATGTTTTTTTGGAATCACTAAATTTAAAATTCTCCAAATATATTATGAAAGTTCTGCAGTATGTACTACTAGTTTCCCAAATAAGACTATGTAGATTTTTGTGTTTCTTTGTCTGAATGATATTTTTTCCCTTTTTTCTTTTTTTTTAGTACACTGGGCCAATAATTATAAAAATACACTTATAATTTCTCTCTGTATTAATTATAGAAACAGTGATACTCCAGAAATACATTAGTGAGATATAGTGGTTTGTTTTAAACCATGGAGAATGTAGTGGTTTGTTTTAAAAGCTACATATATTCTAAGAGTTTGTTATTTATTCTGATCATATGTCAGTCCTATTTTGTTGGTATTTTAAAACAAAATCCCTCTAAGAATAGAATGATGGGAGTAGGGTGGGTATGATCTGTTATTTTGTAGCCTGAGGTTAGGCATAGCCAGGAAGTGGCAAATCTAGAATTCAAACTCAGGTAACAACACTACAGAGCCCACATTCTTAGTTAATATGCCCTTTATCTTTTGTACCTCAGTTTCCTCATGTGAAAAATGGAGAGTGATCAAAGGTCTCTCTCCAGGGTGTGAATGTGACATTCACTTATAGATAGTTACTATCTATAAGGTCCTTAGATAGTGCATGATACAATAGTGCAAGCTCTATATCACTGATTGTATTAAAACAACAAACAAATTAGCATTTTATCCAAAGTCACACAACTAGTAAGAGTCAGACCTGGGACCCAAACCCATGCAGTTTAGCTACAGCCTACATCCTTAATGTACATGCACTACTGCCTTGGAATCACACTGATTCACACCATTAAACACAAAATGAGTGTGAAATGCCACTACTAAATTAACTTAGTAGCATACCCAGTTTCAAAAGTATCTGGGATAGAGATAGTCAACCATGGAAATGGGTAGTTGTCTTGTTAGCAACTAAGAGACTAAAATTTTCATCTGGGTGGGAAGGAAAGTACGGAACCAGGTGGACTGTATTCCCCACGGGTCCCAGCACTTGTGCAGCTGTTCTGTGAGGCTAAGAGGCTGAAAATAGAATTGAGCACAATTGCCAACATGGCCTAACCCTGCTTCAGCCCCTGTAGAAAAGAAAATGTTTATAGAAGGAACATTTATTGATGATTTTTTTTAAACGCTAGATTTAGCATTAGTCATTGATTTGCTTCTAAATATTCAGAGTCTTAAGAGGGAGAAGGTTGTTTCTCAAAAGCAGGTACATACACACAAAAATCATTTCAATCATCACTGAGGAGGTTCTATTCATAATAAAAGAGTAGAAAGCATGTTCCTTTAGATGTGAAAGGAAGAAAAGAGGTTTTGAGTTTTTTCCTATTATCTTTTAACTTGGGAAGCAAACTGAAGGAAAAAAAAAGATGGATTTTTTACAGGTTCCTGGTCCCACATCTCTCTATGTTTTGTCTATTACTTGCATTTCATCAGCTCAATGTAAACACCACTGCCCTTGCTCCTGCCAGGTTAGGAAAAACAATTCAGCCTTCCAGGAAATCACCAGGACTTTGAACTTATATCTTGATGAGTGAAAATGTGATGGAAGAATGAATCAGAAGGGCTGAGTGAATGTTTTGGAACCCATTATATATTGTTATTCATACAGTTGATCATACCAGAGAATGATCTTGCCAATTAGCACAGCCCTTGCAAAGCATCCCACATCAGGGAAGCTGGCTAGTTAGCATCCTCTCCTGCAGCCTCAAACCCAAAATATGGCTCAAGTCTTTCATCGCTTGTCGTACTTTTGTAAATAACTCCAACCATATGAAAGGGTTTTCTTTCTTTTGCTGGTAACCATGTTTACTCTATATGTACTGTACAACATAAGTTATGACTTTTTGTTTTGGGTTCCTTTTTTAATTAGTTTTTCTGACCAGGGACCCTCTGTTGTTGAAACAGATGTTGTGGGGCCCAATAATAGCTCTCAGCTGCCAAAAGCAAAATATGAAACTGTGCCCAGACCACGCAGAACAAATGACTGTAACGAGGGGATGGTCGAGTCCAAACAATAGAGCAAGTTGACATTTCATATATATAGCAACTTATGTGTGAGCATACACAGGCTGTACTCTCTTCTCTCTTTTGAGTAACTAGCCTGAAAGACGTGTACAAATGAGCTCCAAGGGTATTCCTTCCCAAAACAAGAACACTGATATGTACGCCTAGGAGCTAAAACTCAGCTAACTCACAAACTGAAACTCGAAGACCTTCCCTCACACTCTCACCCAGTCTATAAAATAGACCCAGACAAAGATAGCTCCATGAAACTAGTTCTGTGTTTTGGAATAACAACCAGCTTTAAAAAAAAAAATCAGTAAACCTAAGATATAAATGCAACATAGGTTCACCAGAGGAGTGTGACGATAAATGTTTTAACAACAGGCTCTCTACGGAGTGGGGGTGGCGGGGGGACAAAAGTTGTGACATGTAGTATTTTCCCATTTTCATGGCGTAAATATTCCCACCATGATCAATTTCAGGCTTTCAATATGACATCACTTAATGCAGAGTTGGGAAGAACCGTGCAGTAGGACACAATGTAATGGCATCAAGAATGTCAGTAATTGAGAAATGTAGTAAAGTAATTAGTAAGTAATGAGGTTGAGCATTTATTGCCTTTGTTTTTAATACAGTTTGCTTCATTGTCAGGTTATATAAATTAATTGTTAATTGACTGTGCTTAACAACAAACTCCCAAGACTCCTGAAAATTAGGCAATTGGCTCTCACAATCCAGTAGAAGCTGACTCTAGCACATAGCAAGATCACCACCACCACCATATAAAAGGTCATTTAATGCTCTTCTATTCTGATTGTAATCCTCAGACCAGCAGCATGGGCATCTCTGTGGAGCTTGTTAGCTCCCTCCTCACACCTCCTGAATCAGAATCTGCCTTTGACAGAATCCCCAGGTTTTTGCTGGGCACATTAACATTTGAGAAACACTGAACTAAAGAACAATGTGAGTGGATACTAAATTAGGGAATTTTGAAAATATATACGCAGTTGACCCTTGAACAACATGAGTTTGGACTGTATGGGTCTAGCTATAGGTTAATTTTTTTCAACTAAACACAGAGGGAAAAATATAGTTTCAGGGGGTGCAAAACCTGCATATGCCAAAAGCTGACATTTCCTATATATATTATATTTTGGCAGGGCAGACTGCAGACTTTGAGTTTTCAAGGATTTAGGTATACACAGAGAATCCTGGAACCAATCTCCTGAGTATACTAAGCGATGACTGTGCTCACTTTTGTACGTGCTAGAAGCAAATGGATTTTTGAAGAAAGCCCCTAATAATCATGATATTTCAAAGCAGCTGCAAAGAACTACTGCAAAATCCATAATGTCCTGACAGTTTTGTTTGGGTGAATTCTGGATAAAAGTCTATTGGTCTCCCTGTGGCTTTGGAGGCAAGGATTCTGCTGTTAAACCCCTTGAGTTAAAAATCCTGGTTTGCTGCCAAATTTAACAGCTGAGGGATAGCGGCAAAATTATTTAACCTCCCAGTACCTCAAATTTCTCATGTGCACAATGAGATGATATTATTAGTACCCATCTTATTGAGTAGTTGTAAGGAGCAATTAAAGTGCTTGCCCCAGTGCCTGGCATATAGTAAGTGCTCATCAAACTTTAGTAATTATTTATATTTCCCACAGGGGAAAAAATTCCAAACCATTTCCTATGTATGAATCCATGTTTAAAAATAGAAAGGTGTGTTTTCCTTGGTATGCTTTCTGAGAATTCTGATTTTGATAGGAAACTTTTATACCATTTTTATTCCCTATGATCGATCATCGAAAGTAACAATTAAAATTACTTCTAAAATATGTCCAAATTTCAGAGCTATTCTTTCCAACTTCAAAAGTCACCTGTAGTAGTCCTAGGAAAAGGTCTTACATTCATAAAAAAGAGACTCAAAGAAGGTATGGCCTCATCTGCTCAATTTTGTCTCAGCTGCATGTGCTGCCTTGAACTCTGTAACTGCAGGAGAGTTCAGGGGGGCAAAGAATAAATTGTAAGAACCTGGACTTTAGTGATGCCACTGAGTTCTGCATTACCAAACCTGGACAACTTGGAGCAGCTCCACGTGGGAGCTTTTGTTATTTGAGATAATAAATAGTCCTTAGTGTTTAAACTGAACTTTGAGTTATCTGAACTCATGCGAATTCCATCGTGTTAAGGTGAGTTTCAAAGTGGCAGAATGACTTGCCCAAATTAGAAGTTCCTAATGGAGCCAGGCTTCACAACACCCATGTGTTTCAAGGTGCATTTTTTCTTTTCCCTTTCTTTCTTCTCCTCTCTCTCATCTCCTCTCCTCTCCCTCCCTTTCTTAATAAACTCACAGTAAATATCACCATTTCAAATTTGTTGAACAGCCAACATGATCCATTTGTATATGCAATATGTCCAGTGGTATGATCGAGGCCAAAAAGTCCCCAGGAAGCTATAGACAGCTAAGCAGGCATTCATTCCAAATTCTGTGATTTGAGTAGACTTGCCCTTGGTAACTATGGGGGAGACAGCAACTGTGGTATAAAATTACACCAACGCAAATCAAAAAATTACTCAGTTATTCAAGAAAAGAGATATATTAAACTGACTGTTTAGTATTAGGAAGGAAAAAACTTATTATTTTTGAATTGATTTGAGTATTTGCAATATTCGGCCAATATTGTTGGTATAACCTAGCCTTTTTTTCCCTGAAATATGCAACCCTGGGATATTTGTTCAACAAGACAAACGAAAGCTACATCAATGAAGTTCTATCCAGGAAAAAAAGAAATTAATTCGAGTGATTTTTAATGCAGGGAACTGTTTCCACAGATGATAAAGAACCTGAGAAACCATGCTGAGGACAGTGAGGAAATCCAGAGATTAGTGACAAAAAGGACGTCCTTGATTTGATAGACAAAGAAGATGCTATTGTAGAAGCCAGGCCACAAGACTATTCAGGAGAAGCTGGAATAATAGCAGGCAAGTCAGATAGGAGCTAGAGCCATGGAGGATATGCAGTCATTGTTGAAGATGCCACCAGAGGCAGAGAGCTGTCCTGAGAATCACCCTGGCTTTTCTCTCCTGCCCTCAGCTATCTCATCATAGCCACCCATTGGTCGAGCCCAGCTGGAAGCCAGCTGATATCTGCACCCGGGAAATGTTGCTTGCAAAAGTATCAGGAGCAACGTCAGGAGCAGAGCACAGCACAGCAAGAGTGAGCAACGGATCTGAGGACCACGGACCCAGGACCCTCCCCTCCCAAGGGCTTTAGGTAACACTTTTTTTTTTTGAGACAGTCTTGCTCTGTCACCCAGACTGGAGTGCAGTGCCGTGATCTCAGCTCACTGCAACTTCTGCCTCCTCGGTTCAAGCAATTCTCCTGCCTCAGCCTCCTGAGTAGCTGGGATTACAGGCGCACACTGCCACGCCTGGCTAATTTTTGTATTTTTTTAGTAGAGACGGGGTTTCACCATGTTGTCCAGACTGTTCTCAAGCTCCTGGCCTCAAGCGATCCGCCCACTTCGATCTCCCAAAGTGCTGGGATTACAGGAGTGAGCCACGGCGCTGGGCCTTAGTAAACATTTTTAAACTCCCTGTAAGAACTTCTTTACTGATTCAATTTGCTATTACACTTCCTGTCAATGCAGTTGAAAATGTTTCAGAGGAACATGTAGGTCAAAGATATTTTTATTCTACCTTATTAGGTTTCCAATCAGAATACTTAAGAATTCATTCATTCTGAAGATGATGGTAACTAACTCTAGTCAGCAAATAACAATTCCATTTAGAAAGAAGATTTAGTGATGAGACTATTTTAATCAGACACCAACCTTCCTTCTGGTGGGTAATTGAGTATTGAACCAGGCTTAAAAACAAAATAAGGGCAGACACGGAGCACAGTTGAAACCATGAACTCATTCTCACATTCTCTCATCAAACCAAAAGGAGTTTTAAGAGAGGAGGAGAAGGAGAAGGAAGAAAAAAATCTGCATGCAAATCAGGAGCATTTTATCTACTATGCAAGTCACAACATGGAAGTTAATATTGAGCTTTGAATTCTCTAATAATTCACATTCTTTCAGCATTTTGCTCTCTGAAAGAAACCTATTTATTTTCCATGGTCTAACTAGATTTCTATTATCTGGGTTGAAACAAGTGGCTATAAACTGTATTTTTATATATTTGAAGACATCATGTACCTTTTCTCTATGATATTTGTCTGAAAGCATAGTAACACATTTTCTGAAGATTGAGAATTTTCATTCCTCCCATTTTTCTCTTGCAGGGTGAGTTTGCTGGCTTATAGTCCCACCTTAAAAAGACAGATTCCAGACTCATTCTCAGTTGCAGACTGAGTGGAGAAAAGTCCAATTTTAATTGAAATTTAAATCCCACAATTAGGCTAGAAGAGCACTTTCTCAATGGATTCTTTGGAAGGTTATCTTTTTCTAAGTTGTATAACTAGGAAATGAAACGGATCATCAAGCAAATTCGTTAGTTTTTTTCATTGCCCATCAAGGAAATGTTTAGTTCATATATCAATTCACTTTTTTTTCCTTTCTTTTCCTTTGGTATTAAGTGATTTTTATCTACAAAACAAGACGACCCAAGGCACTACAAAATGACTTGTAAGTTGATATTAGAAAGTAGGGAAAAGAAGGAATTTTAAACAAGATGAGTGGAGGAGATTGAATACCAATTACTTGAATAAGGCACATACTTTTTACCCTACACAGAAAATCAACAATGTGTGTGTTAAAAAAATATCCCATGTATTTAGTGAGTGTTTGGAAATGAAATGAGAATATTAAACTTTATAAAGTGTTTGGTTGGTTGCATTAGATGGGTACCACTATTTCATGAGATGGATTGATGAAACACCTTTATTGCTGTCAGAACTCAATACAACAGTTCTCATCGAGCAAGAAACACTACAGAAGTATTGTTTGGCAAGAATTTGAAGTCATGTTTCATATCAATAGAAATTATGCCTAAGGGCTTGTGTGTAGATTATGTATTAATTCCAAAAAATGTGTTATAGCTCTACCTGGAGAAGACACTCAAAACCAGGATATTGAAACACTTGAATGTTCACAAGAATATTAGTGTATAGATGATTCCCAAGTAGATTGAGAAGAGAAGTAAGGAACAGGCCTCCTGTAACACTCTGAGCTCTTTTCTAGAACAGCACATAATGTAATGATCTATTGTTTGTCTGTCTCCACTACTAAACCTTCAATCCCTTCAAATTAGGAGTCGTATCTTTTAATCTTTATCCCTAGTGCTGGCATACTCCAAGACACATTGGGAATTTTAATCATGGTTTTGAAATAATAGAATGACAACATAGTATAATGTTTACTTGCATTAAAACCTTTTATAAATGTAATTGAAAAGGAGTAATGTCATGGAATCTAATTCTCAGATTTGATCTGAAACATTGGCCTTATAAGGGAGTGTCTACATTTGTTCTATTTAATGAGGGAGTTTTCCCAGCATTATTGACATTGGCCATGCAAATTAGCACCATGGATAAATATACAAGATTTGATTTTGCTTTGTTCAAGGAAATAATCAAATTTATAAATTGGGGCAAAATCTTTACTTAAATTTCTTATCTTGGTTTATGAAGCAGTAAGATTTGTGACTTGTAATAAGATATTTGGAGCCACATTGTAAGTCATAATAATTGGACAATGCAGATCATTGCCATTTAGAATGTATAAGTAATTCAAACTTTTAAATTGGTACAACATGGAAAAATTAATCTTGCTATAAATTTTTATTCAAAAGATGTAGACTACATTATTCAAATTATAATCCTAAATGCTATTTTCCTATCTTCTTTGATGTTTAGTTTCATAAAGATTTACATGTTACATTTCTTGAAGCCAAAATGTATCATATTGCCTATGCTGTGAAGGGTTTCTCAATGGCTTTTAAAAATGCACAGCATTGAGTGCTCAATGGTGTGGGTATTTATTATGCCCCTGAAGGTCAAATTTACTATTGTTATTTGGTTATTTCAATGCCTAACTTTTCCTAAGCTGAGAAAAATAGGTTGCCCTGTTTAATATGGTCTTATTTCCACTGCTTTCCAGATTTCTGATGTTACAGTTACACAGTGGAAATTCTGTTGTTTTTCCGTGTTTTTTCCCCACTACTATTTTTATTTTTATTTTTTATTGAGGTAAAATATACATGTATAATTTACAACTTTGTTGTTGTTGTTGTTGTTGTTGTTGTTGTTGTTTTTTGAAACAGAGTCTCGCACTGTCACCTAGGCTGGAGTGCAGTGGCACGATCTCGGCTCACTGCAACCTCTGCCTCTTGGGCTCAAGCGATTCTTCTGGCTCAGCCTCCTGAGTAGCTAGGATTACAGGCGCGTGCCACCACACCCAGATATTTTTTTGTATTTTTAGTAGAGAAGAGGTTTCACTATGTTGGCCAGGCTGGTTTTGAACTCCTGACCTCAAGTGATCTGCCCGCCTTGGCCTCCCAAAATGCTGGGATTACAGGCATGAGCCACCGTGCCTGGCTTTACCATTTTTAAGTGTACAGTTCAGTGGTAATAAAATCATTTATATTCTTTTTGCTCCCTGCATGCACCACTGTCTCCTTCCCAGCTTCTGGTAACCACCATTTCACTCTTTATCCTCATAAGTTTTACTTTATTAGCTCCCACATGTGAGTGAGAACATGTGATATTTGTCTTTCTGTGCCTGGCTTATTTTAACATAATGGCCTCCAGTTCCATTCGTGTTGCTGCAAATGACAGGATTCTGTTCTTTTTCTTTATGGCTGGATAATATCTCATTGTATATGTGTACCACATTTTCTGAATCCATTCTTTTGCTGATGGGCACTTAAGCTGATTCCATATTTTGGCAATTATGAATAGTGTTGCAACAAACATGGGAGTGCAGATATCTCTTTGATATATTGATTTCCTTTCTTTTGGATATATAATCAGTAGCGGAATTGCTAGATTATACAGTGCTTCTATTTTTAGTTTTCTGAGGAACCTCCATACTGTTCTCCACAGTGGCTATATTAATTTACATTCTCACCAAGAGTGTACAAGGGTTCCCCTTTCTCCACATCCTTGACAGCATCTGTTATTGCCTGTCATTTTGATGCAAGCCATTTTGACTAGGGTGAGATGATATTCCATTGTGGTTTTGATTTGCATTTCTCTGGTGATTAGCGATGTTGAGCATTTTTTTCATATACCTTTGGCCATTTGTATGTCTTCTTCAGAGAAAGGTCTGTTCAGATCTTTTGCCCGTTTTCTAATCAGATTATTTGTGAGGGTTTTTGTTTTGTTTTGTTGAGACAAAGTCTTGCTCTGTTGCCCAGGCTGGAGTGCAGTGATGTAATCTCGGCTCACTGCAACCTCTGCTTTCTGGGTTCAAGCAATTCTCCTGTCTCAGCCTCCTGAGTAGCTGAGATTACAGGTGCCTGCCACCATGCCTGGCTAATTTTTGTATTTTTGGTAGAGAAGGGGTTTCACCATGTTGGCCAGGCTGGTCTTGAACTCCTGACCTCGAGTGATCCATCGGCCTCCAAAAGTGCTGGGATTACAGGTGTGAGCCATTGCGCCCAGACTATTTGTGGGTTTTTTGTTTGTTTGTTTGTTTGTTTGTTTTGCAGTTGAGTTATTTGAGCTCCTTATATAGTCTGGTTAATAATCCCTTGTCAGATGGGTAGTTTGCAAATATTTTCTCCTATTCAGTAGATGTGTGTTCATTTAGTTGATTATTTCCTTTGCTGTGCGTACTACCAGCTTTTAAAATTGTTAAATCAATAGTCATAGGAAGTAAATACAATAGTCACTACATGATAGTTTTAATTGCCAAGTGTATGGAGAGTTGATCATTTCTTCCTGCTTGCCTTCTAGACAGCCATTGTAAGGGCATTGGCCTTGATCCTAGCCCCTGGTTGAGAGCTGGCCTGGGTGACTTGGGTATCATGATACTCTAATCTGCCTCAGGTAATTGTATGAACTGAGCACCTGAGCCAAGGATAATTAAGTCATATGCCTTCCAATAACATTTGATGTGGCCTAGATTGAAGGGAAAAAATGATGGCTATGATCATTCAGATTTCTTTTCTCAGTGATTTTAAGTAAGAAGAAATTCCCAGAGAGCAGTTAAGTCCATGAGCCAGTTAACATAAATTCTGAAATGGCACCAGGATGCTGTGGATCATGACCAGCCAAAGCCATGTGTAAGCCAAAGTAACGTTAGGGCAAAATATGTGAGCCATAAAAAAGAGGACAGAGTGGTTGCCCAGCAGGAGCAGAGATGGCCCAAGACTGCACAGCCTGAAGGAAGCCTGGGCAGTACTGGTCTCAGCATTGCCTCCTTTCCATTTCCACTTCATTAGTTCCAGCCCATGCATGAATGTCTTTCCAGCAGTTTCCCACAAGGAAAATAGCTTTCTTACTCTTCCAATGGTAAACATAAGACATCAAAAAACAAACAAACACAAAATTTAAATACAATAAATAATTTTTTTAAATAAAAACCACTGTAATGCTGTGATTGTTTTATTGACTAGCCATCTGGGCTTTTCTTTAGATATATTTTGGTATTCACATATGATTTTTCACAGCTGGTTTGTAGCTTGCATTTTTGACTCAAATGTCACGAACATATTTCCATGCTCATAAATATAGCTTTGCAGCATTATTTCTAATAGTTCATAGTATTCCACTGTATCCATATACTATAATGTCTAACAGAAATGTCTTCATGATAGACATTTATGTTTTTTCCAATTTTCCTCTACAATAAATAACGCTGAAATAAATCTATTTGAGTATTTTATATATATATATCTTATAGATTTATTTTTGTCTATTTTTATAATTTAAAATTTTCAAAGTGGAATTATTATTAAGGTGCCCACTCTTTTTTATTGTTGATTCAATGATATGATTAGCAATTTACATTATGAGCTATTCACTTTCCTAAACCATTGTTAACACAAAGCATTAATCTTTTCCAGTCAGAGAGGTGAAAATTGCTATCTCTCTTTTTAAATTTGCCTTCCTTGAATCATTACAATGTTTTTTGACTATTTGTGTTTCTCCTCTTGTGAGGTTATTGTTCATAAACTTTAACCACTTTGCTACTAGAGTGTTACTTTCTTATTGATTTAAAGGGTTCTGTATATATTAAGATCATTAATATTTTGTTTAGCATATATGTTGTGAATATTTTCTTAGTATGCTAGTTGGCTTTTAAATGGTTTAAAATATATTTTGCATTCAAAAGTTTAAGACATTTCATAGTCAAAATTTATCAACCTTTTATGATTCCTGGTCTTCTTGTCATACTGAGAGCAACCTTCCCAAGAATATAAAAATATCCATGCTAATTTTCTTTGAGGATATTTATGGATTCATTTTTTATATTTATATATTTGATCCCTTCTGGAATTTATCTTTGTATGATTGAACTAAATATTCAGTTTAATTTTCCCACAATTTTATAGAGTTAGCCCTGCACCACTTCTTGAATAATGTATTGTTTTTCCACTGGCTGATTTAAAATGCTACTTTTATCATGTACTAAATTCCATGATATACTGGAGAGACTGTGCAGCATAGTAGCAAAGCAGTTTGACACTAGAATTAGAAAGGTTTATGTTCACACCGACTAACTGTGTAACTTTGGGTGAGATACTAAATTTGTCTAAGCCTCAGTTTCTTTGTCTAAAATGTGGGAATAATAACGCCTCATAGGACTGTGTGAGGAATAAGTGATAAAAGATATGCAGAACACCCAGCCCAGAATCGGGCATTATGAAAATTTCAGTAAAATTAGTTACTAGCTGTACCTGAGCTTATCTCTCTCCGTAGTCTAGGCTGGAGGGCAGTGGTGTGTGTGATCATAGCTCTCTACAGCCTCCACCTGCTGACCTCAAGCAATCCTACTGCCTCAGCTTCCCTAAGTGCTGGGATTACAGGTGTGAGTCATCGCACCCAGCTTGATTATTCTCTTTTTTTTTTGAAACGGAGTCTGGCTCTGTCGCCCAGGCTGGAGTGCAGTGGCGCGATCTCGGCTCACTGCAAGCTCCGCCTCCCAGGTTCACGCCAGTCTCCTGCCTCAGCCTCCCGAGCAGCTGGGACTACAGGGGCCCGCCGCCACGCCGGTCTAATTTTTTGTATTTTTAGTAGAGACGAGGTTTCACCATGTTAGCCAGGATGGTCTCGATGTCCTGACCTCATGATCTGCCCGCCTCGGCCTCCCAAAGTGCTGGGATTACAGGCGTGAGCCACCGCCCCCGGCCGATTATTCTTTAGAAAACTCTTCCCTTGAAGTAATTTGAGTGGCCTAGTTAAAACAATAACAATTACTTTAAGCATATACAAATTTGGTATAATATCTACTTCTTAGAGTTATGGTGAGAGTTGAATTCTAATATAAATAAATTGCCTAATAGAATATCTGAAATATGGAAGATATTCAATAATTGGCAATATTTTGATTGTTATGATCTCAATTTATTATCTATCATGGTATTCAGGTAAATTATTACCATAATAACTTCATGTTCTAAAAAGTGGCAAGCAGAATTCTGCATTGTTACTAATTACTGTACAAAGGATGAATTCCAATAGTAAACTTAAACTTAACTACACACAAAAAATCTTGAAGATCATTTTATTAGTCCATTTGCCTGCCTATAAAGGAATACCTCAGACTGTATAATTTATAAAGAAAAGAAGTTTATTTTGGTTCACAGTTCTGCAGGCTGTACAGGAAGCATGGTGCTAGCATCTGCTTCTGGTAAGGGCCTAAGGAAGCTTCCAGTCATGGCAGAAGGCCAAGGGTGTGCAGACCTATCACGTGGTGAGAAAGGGAACGAGAGAGAGAGGGGAGAGATGCCACACTCTTTTTAAACAACCAGACCTCATGTAAACTCATTGCCACTTATTATTGTGGGGTAGGCACCAAGCCATTCATGAGAGATCTGCCCCCATGACCCTAACACCTCCCACCAGGCTTCACTTCCAACATTGGGGATCACATTTCAACATGAGATTTGGAGAAGACAAACATCCGAAGTATATCATTCTGCCTCTGGTCCCCCAAATCTCATGTCCTTCTCGCAATGCAAAATACAATCATCCCTTCCTAATAGTCTTCCTCAAAGTCTTAATTGGTTCCAGTGTGAACTCAAAGTCCAAAGCCGCAAGTCTTATCTGAGACTCAAGACATGTTTCTTCCACCTATAAGCCTGGAAAATAAAAAATAAGTCATTTACTTCCAAGATACAAAGGTGGTACAAGCATTGCATAAACATTCTTGTTGCAAAAGGGAGAAACAGGCCAAAAGAAAGAGATCACAGGGCCCACACAAGTCTGAAACTCAGCAGGGCAGACGTTAGACCTTGAAGCTCCAAAGTAATCTCCTTTGACTATACATGTCCGACATCCAGGACACAATGGTGCAAGAGGTGAGCTTCCAAGGCCTTGGGCAGCTCTGCTCTTGATTCTTTGCAGGGCACAGCCCTCATAACTGTTCTCATGGGTTGGAGTTGAGTGCCTGTGGCTTTTCTAGGCTCAGGGTACAAGCTGCTGGTTGCTCTACAATTCTTGGGTCTGGAGGATGGCAGCCCCATTCCCATAGATCCACTAGAACATGCCCTGGTGAGGACTCTGAGTCAGGGTTCCAACCCTACATTTCTTCTCAGCACTTCCCTCATAGAGGCTCTCTGCATGGGATCTATCCCTGAAGCAGGCTTCTGTCTGAACATCTGTGCTTTCCCATATATCCTCTGAAATCTTGGTGGAAGCTGCCAAGCCTTCTTCATTCTTGCATTCTGTATACCAGCAAGCTTAACACCATATGGAAGCTGCCATGGTTTATGGTTTGCACTCTCTGAAGTGGCTGCCTGAGCTGCATCTGAGGCCCTTTGAGCCAAGACTGGAGCCAGAGAGGCCAAGATTGGGGGAGCGGTGTCCAGAGACTGAGCACAGCAGCAGGGTCCTGGGCCTGGCCCCTGAAACCATTCTTTCCTCCTTGACCTCTGGGTCTGGGATGGAAGGGGCTGTCTCCAAGCCTTCTGAGATGCCTTCAAGGCCCTTTTCCCATTGTTTTGGATGTTAGCAATTTTAGTTATGTTAATCTCTCTAGAAAGTGGTTCCTCCATAGCCCTCTTAGATTCTTTCCCTGATAATGGTCTTTCCTTCTCTGCCACAAGGCCAGTTTTTGACTTTTCCAAGTTTTTTACACTTTACTTTCCTTTTAAATATAAGTTCCAACTTTGTCATTTCTTTGCTACTATATCTGATTCTACGTTGTTAGAAGCAGCCATGCTGTTTCTTGAATGCTTTGCTGCTTAGAAATTTCTTCTGCCAGATATCCTAGGTCATCACTCTAAAGTTTAACCTTACACAAAGCCCTATGGCATGGACACAAGGCAGTCAAGCTCTTTGCTAGAGCATAACAAGGGTGACCTTTGCTCCAGTTCCCAATATATTTCTCATTTCTATCTGAGACTTCATCAGCCTGGCCTTTACTGTCCATATCACTATCAGCATTTCAATCACAGCCATTCAATCAGTCTCTCAAAAGTTCCAAACTTTTCCCTTTTTTCCTGTCTTCTTCTGAACCTTCCAAACTCTTTCAACCTCTGCCCATTACCTAGTTCCAAAGCTGCTTCCACATCTTCAAGTATCTTTATAGCAACATCTCCTCCTTGGTATCGATTTTCTGTATTAGTTCATTCTGCATTGCTATAAAGGAATACCTAAGACTGGGTAATTTATAAAGAAAAGAGGTTTATTTTGGCTCATGGTTCTGCAGATTGTATGAGAAGTATGGCACTGGCATCTTCTCCTGGTGACAGTCTAAGGAGGCTTCCAGTTATGGTGAAAAGTGAAGGTGAGGCAGGCATATTACATGGTGAGAGAGGGAGCAGGAAAGAGAGGGGAGAGGTGCCACACTGTTTTTAAACAACCAGATCTCACATGAACTCACTACCACTAATTACTGCAGGCAGGGCACAAACCATTCATGAGGGATCTGCTCCCATGACCCAAACACCTCCCACCAGGCCCCACTTCCAACAATGCAGATCACATTTCAACATGAGATTTGGAGGGAACAGACATCCAAACTATATAAATCATGCTACTAGAGATGCAGGTTTAGTACCACAGTTAGTGCATTGGAACACGTTGCTGGAGTAGGCAAAAGATGAGGAGGAGAGTGGACATTTCAACTTTCATTACTTCACTGGCCCAAGATAAAATTGAAACTTAGTGCTAAAATTACAAAGATCTAGGTGGTACTTTTACAGACCTTTATCCAAAGATATGTACACAAGGATGTAGATGGAGGGAAGCTGTGCAGAGCATTTGTTATGTTTTATGATACTATGTCTAAAGGGGTAAATAAGAGTTTGCATATGGCGAGGCATGGTGGCTCACTCCTGTAATCCCAGCACTTTGGGAGGTCGAGGCGGGCAGATCACGAGATCAGGAGATCGAGATCATCCTGGCTAACATGGTGAAACCCCGTCTCTACTAAAAATACAAAAACAAAATTAGCCGGGTGTGGTGGTGGGCACCTGTAGCCCCTGCCACTTGGGAGGCTGAGACAGGAGAATGGCATGAACCCAGGAGGCAGAGCTTGCAGTGAGCCGAGATTGTACCACGGCACTCCAGTCTGGGTAACAGAGCGAGACTCCGTCTCAAAAAAAAAAAGAGTTTGCATACTTTTTAAGGTTGCTGCTGGACTCCAAATTAAAATTTGAGAAAACTAATCAATGGGCCATTTTTCTGAGAGTAAACAGATCTCTGGGCCCAATAATGAATATAGTATTTTTTTCATTCATTCATTCACTCACTAATACATTCAACAACCAGGGTCTCCTCTCACAAATTATTTTCTATCATTAGGAAAAAAGAAAATTCTACTGTCCTCCTTTACCTCTGATAGAGGAGAAAGGAAATAATTTCAGAACTCTAGTCAAGATAAATATAAATTTGTATTATTATTTTTAATGAGTCTTCCAGGGGAGGGGAGTTTCTCATCCAAACCTCCCACACAAAATACCTGAAGTACAGTATCTTCTCACTACAAGCATAAATCTACTAGTTAAAGGGGAAAAATGCATAAATAAGAAAAAAATGCCAAATTATTTTTGTTTGGTAATTTCCTATTTTAGCAAAAGCATTATAACCAATTGGTGTCTGATTTTAAGAGTTTAAAATGCCTATGATACACTGCATAATATGCCATCTGGGTAATTCTGAATGTTAAAAGCAGTCACCTTACCTTTCGGTTCTGAGGTTATGTTCATGAAGAGAACTGCAGTTGGTATCACATTGCACAAGCTCCCGGAGCTTGGGGGAGAATAATGACATGAATCAATAATGCTGTCTGGGAAATGGCTTAGAATAAAATATTACAGAAGGGCACGAACATCACCCAGGGGGAGACTTTGGTGCTGATTAAATATGGCTGCCTCAGCTCTCGTCCATGCAGTGACAGATGAGGAAGGAGTGCTTACTTTGGCTTTTGCTACATTTTTCTGAGCTAAGGTTACTCAGGTAGCATGAAAACAGGGTGGTGCATGCCAGCTTATTTAGCTTTGCTGCACTTGGACGCCCCCTGAAGGTCAAAATTGCACACATAGGAAAAGAATTTCTTCAGCACTTTCAACTGAAGCCATTACTTACAATCAGTTTCCAACTCTCTATTCTTTTCAAGGCATCTTTGTAAAAAGTAGTTAATAAACAAAATAAAGCATTCACACCTAGACTTCTTCTTTTCACCCCACACCCCAAAGGAAACAAAAAAGATAGTTCATTTGTTTAAGTTAACAAAATAAATTGTGTATGAAGAATTAACAAAATACTCCAAAAGAAATTCGGATTTTAAAACAATCTAGATAAATGTCAACTTTGAATCATATTTGAATGCATGAAAAAAGAAATAAACAAACAAATTTGCACTGCCAGGGCCAAGAAATCGTTCTTTCTTATTTTCTCCATGTGTGAACTGCTAAGTTTTGAAAACATATCATGCCACAAAAAAGAAATACAATGTTCTCCATTCCATCCAACTCTACTATGAACTTATCATAGTGCTAAACTCAAAAATTCAATACGTTTATCCTACAATAAAGTTTATTTTGGCCTTTCACAGAGGCAAAACAAACAAAATTTATTTTGTCCCTGAGAGTAAAAAATGTGGGTGGCAGAGACATTAGCCATTAGTAGTACAGACACTGAACTTACTCCGTGTGTAAATGCCTGTGTCCCTGGGTACTCTGTGATTGGAGAGACAGGTCCAGGAATGCTTGCTGCCAACTCAGCTCTGTTATAAATTTGATTGAAACCATTAGCTAGAATATAATGAATTCCATGTGTCAGTCTTATTTGGCATTTTTTTAAGATAAGATTTTTAGAACACATAATTGTGATAAATCTATTCCAGATAATTTATGTTTTTCTCTTTTTAACTAGGATTTTTTTCCCACATACGTATTTTAAACAGTCAAATATGTACTTACATATTAACTGTCGGTTATGACTCTGCTCTATAAATTTACACTTCAAACCACATTTTCCAGTATCTTTCTCCTTGGGAATGATTGAAGCATCTAGGAAAACAGATAACTTTTTTAGGCCACTGATACCTAAAACCTTTTTATTGAAAACTAGACTTACTTGAAACTTTTTCTCAAATGTATTCCCTGAATTTTTTTTTTTTTTTTTTTTTTTTTTTTTTGCGCTGTCACCCAGGCTGGAGTACGGTGGCACAATCTGGGCCCACTGCAACTTCCACCTCCCGGGTTCAAGCGATTCTCTTACCTCAACCTCCCAAGTAGCTGGGATTATAGATGTGCACCACCATGCCTGGCTAATTTTTGTATTTCTAGTAGAGATGGGGTTTCACCATGTTGGCCAGGCTGGTCTCAAACTCTTGACCTCAAGTGATCTGCCCACCTCAGCCTCCCAAAGTGCTGGGGTTACAGGCATAAGCCACTGCACCTGGCCTGAAATTTTTAAATAATTGAACAGAAAGTATTTTGTGCAATCTAAATCCTGAAAACTCAAGCATAATAAGTGTGTATTTCAACATTTTATGTTCTAAAACCTTTATTTTAAAGCAATGACCAGTATTCAAAAGTTTGTTTCAGCCAGTACCATATATGAAAACTGAAGAAGAATCTACTATAACTTGTAAACACTAAAGTATCCTAAATCTAAATTAAATCGGCCACTCCCTAATGTTTCTAATTCAGATAGGTAAAGATACTAAATCACATCTTTTCTTTTTTTTTTTTTTTTTTTTTTGAGACAGAGTCTCACTCTGTCACCTGGGCTGGAGTGCAGTGGCATGATCTTGCCTCACTGCAACCTCCACCACCAAGGTTCAAGTGGTTCTCCTGCCTCAGCCTCCTGGGTAGCTGAGATTACAGGGGCCCACCACTATGCCCAGCTAATTTTTTGTGTTTTTAGTAGAGATGGGGTTCCACCATGTTGTTCAGGCTGGTCTCAAACTCCTGACCTGGTGATTCACCCACCTCGGCCTCACAAAGTGCTGAGATTACAGGTGTGAGCCACCATGCCCAGTCTAAATCACATCTTTTAACAGAAGATTTCATCCAAGCGTATGGACATGGTCTTTTAAAATATGTATACGCATATGTATACCAATAAAAGGAAATACAGACCTCTCCTGCACAACTTCCATAATACATTCTTGAGAAACAGACATTCTTTGAGAAAACATTAACTGAAAGTCAATTTCCCATTATTTGTAGTGGAAAAAGTTAAAATGTGCTATATACTAACCCCAAATCACCAACCAAATTATTAAAACACAATAAGACTCCTCTATATAAGTAACAAGACTCCTCTATGTAAGTAACAAACTAGTAAATCAGAATATAAACTGCTTAAAACATCAATTTTTAATTACTGAAGAATTAATATTGCAGTCAACACATGCAGTTGCTTTGTGTGGAGTACCATGGCCTTAACACCAGCAGCCTTTTACATGCCATTCTGTTACCAACGATATTTGGAATATAATATGAGTTTTTCCCATAGACCAATGAGTTTGGGGGAATATTTTTTTTTCCTTTACAAACATCAGCTAAATAATGTTGTTCTGAGGAGATATGCATGTTTAGTGATTGAAAAACAGAGGTCTTTTAGGAAAAATGATCACCAGGGAGACCTCTGACAGAGTGTGCCTATGTGCCATTGTCACTCAGTAATGCAATCAGCTGCCTCAGGAGGAACTCTTTTCTCTCTTCCTGGAGAGCAGCAAGCCCAAAATGAATGAGTCCACGATTGCAACAGCACCCAGCCACTGTCATCAGTCTTCATTTCCCGGAGTAGTAGTAACACACTGCTACAACCTTGGTGGCTGAAAACAACAGAACTTTATTCTCTTACAGTTCTGGAAACCAGAAGTCCTAAATCAAGGTGTCAGCAGGGTGGTTCCTTCTGAAGCTGGGAGGGAGAACTTGATCCATGCCTGTCTCCTGGCTTCTTGTGGTTGCCCACAACCCTTGGCATTCCTCGGCTTCGGAACACACTCCTCCAATCTCTGTCTCTGACTTCACATTCCCTTCTTCCCTGTCTTCTCCCCTCTCTTCTTTAAAGAGGACACTGTCCTTGGATTTAGAGCCCATCCTAATCCATGATGAGCTCACCCTGGATTCCTTAATTTAACTACATCTGCAAAGACCCTTTTTCCAAATAAGCTTGCAGTCACAGGTTCTGGGTGGACAGACCTTTGGAAGGGAGAGGGACACATTTCACCCACCCCACCGTTCAAGGTTGAGTTTGTCTGATGTCACCTCTACTAGAAACCAGACCTGCAGGGGCAAGGCCGTCATTTGCCACAATTCTCCTTCCTCTACTTCAGCTACTTTAGCTCCTACCTCTGTCATAATTATCATTAGCTGAGTTTCTTTTTAAAGGAGAGACCTAAACTTCACTTACATCTTTACAAGAGATAATCTGATATAACTAATTCGCAGGATTTCTTTAAACTACCACAGTCTATACACCTAAAAATTAGCTGAAAGGGCCAGGGGCCCGAGGGTCTGGTATGAGTGACCTGTGTCAGGCACCATGCAGGGGTCTCTGTGGAAACATGTCAAGAATTCTTGTGGTTTTTCTGATTTCCTTGCCTAAAAACTGCTTCTAATTCACCTCCATTAAAGTGGTTAAATAGAAATCATTCTGACTGAGAAATGGTGTGTGGAAAAAAACAAACAAACAAGGAGTGATCCAAAGAAATGGCATCTTTGATGGGACTGCAGATTTTATCACTTGCAACTAAGATGACAATTAGAGTACTTGTAGCCCACCAAGAAAATGAGCTAACAGGCTTGACCCAGTTTTTATTCATGTGTAAAGTAAAATTAGTTCATGGTTTTTACAGATGTGGATGAAAAGTTTATACATTTTCACAAGCACATACATTTATGTATATACTACCTGTGTATAATTTATAAACAAATATTCACTGATGTCGCTGTCAAAGCATTTTGTTCTTATAAACCGATTTTCCCTTTCTGAGATTCCCCTGCCCCCGCTTTTCTCTTTTTCCTCTTTTTTATTTTTTTTAAATAAAGTTTTCTTTCAAGTCCTCTACTGTTACAGTGTTTCGGCCATCAAAGTCCTCTTCTAGCCATTTTCATTTACCTTGTGACTCTGACCCTTTGTGAAGCTGAGCATTTTCGGAGTAAACTGATCCCGTGGGTCCCCAAGGATGTTATTCTCATTTATTCACTCAGCCCTTTGAATGGAGCAGCCTTCACTTGGCAGGCGTTCAGCAGACCAAGATTCAAAGAGCACACAATCCTTTTTCTTCCAGGGCCCTTTCAAAACACGGCCCAAGGTTTGTCGAGGGGCTTTAATGGATGTCAGTCATTTAGCATGTTACATTTTATTCATGGCTGCCAGTGAACGTGGTGAGTAGAGAAGGAACAAAAGAAAACAGACAGACAATAGGGGAAAGGGATAATTTTCTGAGCCTTTTGTGACGTGACATCATAGAGGGCATTTTTGAGCTGCCATTACTCATGATGGGGGAGTTAAAATAGACGAGTTAATGTGCTTGTATTTAAAGCCCCACCGAAGCCTCCTAAACAACTTCAGAGCCAAGGTTTCAGGAAATCAGGGATCAATTTGAAACGTAGATGCTCTGGATCTGAGACAGCTGCGGTGTGGGGCGGCCCTATTTTTTCTCCCCAGGTGGGGTGATGGAGGGACGGAGTCCCTCTTGTGCCCTCTGCGTGGTCACCTCTGACAGCTGCCTCTCGTTTTCTGAACTTCAGGATGTTTGGAGGCAGTCTCTGGGGACCAGCAGTAAGACACGGAAGCTCAATGACAGTCCCAGCGGGCAGAGAAACGGGGACAGAGGCAAAGGCTTAGGGCTGCGCACCTCTGTACCTGCCAACTGGTGTGTCATAGTTGGGCTAAAATTACTGGCTGGTCAGTTATCTGATTAAAGAAAGCCTTTCATTTGAGGCTTTAAAAAAAAAATCCAGACTGAAATTTAAACCTTCTAGTAACTTACCAAAACTTTTTTTTTTTTAACTTGGGCATAATCAACCTCTGGGGGGGAAATGATAAAAAGGTACAGAGAGAAACACTTTGTTACTGGCTACAGGACATACATTGTTCTGAGATTCTTTTTCTTTTTTTTTTTTTGTTTTTGGTCCAAAAGCAATGTTATGTACGTGAAACTAACTGTTGGCATCAGATTTAATCTTACTTATCTTCACACACACATACACACACACGCACACATGCACGCACACACACACACACAGCTACCAGGCCAACTGTATTTTTAAATTAGTAGAATCAATTGATTAAATAAGGTACCAGTGTTCCCCAAAAGCAATTCATTTTTTATTAGTTTTACAATTGCATTGAAATCCCTTTAAATTATAGAGTTCATGAATTATGCCTCTGTCAGGCAGCATCAGAACTACATTTTTATGGCTCTTGGATTCCACAGAGGCTGTTGTGGTTTGAAAATAACAGAACAATGTGCTGTTGCTTCACCAGCCGGTTAATGACCTGCCTCATAGTTAAAGGCCTTAAACCACACAGGGCAAGCTGGGCTGAGCCACCCGGGCCAAAGCTGCCTGGCTGGATCCAGGCAACAATAGGGAAAACATTCCAAATTTCATTATTCAGTCCATGCTGAGTTGACTTCTTGAAATTTTATTAATAATTTCTCCACAGGTTAGGCTGTCCTGTTTGCTTTACCAAAAGGACATTGCAAAGTTGTAGAGTCAGTAAACAGCAAAGCACAGGAAAAAGGTGAAATGCCAGGAAGAAACCAAAAGCACTCTCAATCTGTACCCTGGGGTTTCAAGGGTAGAAAAAAGGCATGCCCCTTTGTTAGGAAAAGAAAAGAAGAAAATGAGGAGGAAGAGAACAGATGGGGGAGCTGGAGAAGGGAGGAAAAGGAGGAGGAGGAAGAAGACGATGGAAGGGAAAAAGCAAAAGAGGAAGGAAAGGAAAGACTTGTCACCATCTCTCAATTCATAAATGTAGGACCTATCTTTAGATATCAGCATGAGTGAAGGATTTACAATAAAGAATACCATAGTCACTAATACATATACAGAAAAAGCTTTAGAAAACTGTACAAAGATGGATGCTGACAACAGCAATTTTTAATCTGTTCTTTTCACGTAATGTTTCTACCCTACGATTCCCAAGAAAACACAACACACCTTTGCAACACGATTTTTGCCATCAAGGCAAACATTATTAGTGTTTACCTCTTACTCTGTTTCCAGTATATCTTTTCCCACACAAGGTACAAAGCGACAACCTGGTTGACACACGCCAAGCTAGATCATGAACTATTGCAGTTAGAATCAGAAATAAACCTTGGGAAAATATTTCTGCTATGGTTGCTGAATGTGACTTTGATTCAAATGTATTTTACTGCCACTTGGCTACCCATCTTGACCTCTTTTATCCCAGTTAAGAAATGGCAAAAGGAAGAAAGATATAAAATACACTGTGTGTGTGTGTGTGTGTGTGTGTGTGTGTGTGTGTGTATGAGAGAGAGAGAGAGAGAGAGAGAGCCATTTTCTCTAAATGCATAAAAGAATCCTGAGTGGGTCATCGCGAATATGAAGATGGACTTCAGTTTAAATTTAAAAGAGAAAATTTTGCCCTAGATCCTGACTATGCCTCTTACAGGGAGTACACGAAAGGACCATCATAGATTCTGTCTCAGACTCCCAAGAGCCAGCAGCCCCACCCTCCCTCCTGCTGCTCAGACAGGTGGGTACACAGGTCACTCCTGGTGGCCAGCAACTTGCCACTATTGAGTCAGCCTGTTCACGAATAACTGTAATTGTTAGAAAAGCATTTTCTTCTGGGAGCCTAAACTTACCACTCTGTGATTCCACCATTCATTTTAGTTCTGTAACTCTGCGGAAAAGTCTACCCCCTCTTCTACCGAACAGCCTTTGAAATTGTTAACACAGCTTGTCATTTTCTCTCGCTAAATGAACACATTCCCCCAGTTATTCCTTATATGATATGGTTTCCAGACCCTTCACCGTTATTCCTTTGAACATGTTCCAGTTTGCTGTCAACTTCTCCCTAAAAATGTAGTGCCCAGAACTCAATAGAGCACTTCCTGTGTGACCAGCAGCAAATGAGGTTAGACTAATAATTTCCTTGATGTGGACACTATATTTCAGCTAATAGACAATAAAACTGAGTTAGGTGTTTAGCAGTAGGTCCACACTCTTGGGTTAGATTAACTAGCATTAAAATATGTAAATTTACCTTCCATATGCTACCAAATCAAATATTCACTATTCTCCACACAAGAAATAGATTATTCGAACCTAAATGTAAGAGTTATGTTTATCCTGTTGAATTTCAGTTTATTTGTTTCAACCACTCTTTCTAGCTTATAAAGTTAGTTTAATGAATTATTCTCCCCCAACAAATTAGCTAATACTCCTCATTTTGTATCACTTGCAATTTTGACAAAACTTCCTTCTTTGTCTAAGGCATTGAACAAAAGAGGGGAGTACAAGTGCTTTTACAGATAAAGAGTTCAATAAAGAGCCTGACACCTAGCATTCAATAAATGTTAGCAATGCTTATCATAAAAACCTTTCAGAATCCTTCCTCTGGCAGGCATCCATTCCTTCTCTCAAAATAGTAGCTTACTGGCCAAATGCACTGGCTCACACCTGGAATCCCTGCATTTTGGAAGGCTGAGGTGGGCGGATCACTTGAAGCCAGAAGTTCGAGACCAACCTGGCCAACATGGCGAAACCCCATCTCTACTAAAAATACAAAAATTAGCTGGGTGTGGTGGCAGCCACCTATAATCCCAGCTACTGGGAAGGCTGAGGCAGGAGAATCACTTGAACCCGGGAGGCGGATGTTGCAGTGAGCTGAGATGGCGTCACTGCACTCCAGCCTGGGTGACAGAGCTAGACTCTGTCTCAAAAAGCAAACAAACAAAAAAACAGTAACTTATAGAAACTTGGAAAACAAACAACAGCAACAACAACAACAACAAAAGATATCTTATAAAGAAAAAGGAGAAGAAGGAACATGAAAATAAAGACTCTCCCAGCATATTTGCCCTTGAGAAGGCAACCCTGCCGTAGCCCATGGCTGGGCAGCTGGTGACATTCAGGAGTCTGGAACAGCTCGTGTCCTCAGAGTTCCCTCTGAGATGTGCTCTCATTTGCTCCTGGCTTTTCCTCTCCACTATTCTAGTCTAAAAAAGAAAGAGCTAGTAAATTTGGAGTGTAAGTCCAAGAGTTTGCATTTTATTTCAATGAACAATGTTTCCATTGTGTCCACATCAGTAAAATGGTGGTTAGAAACGAATGTTGTAAGAATTATTTATCTGTGGTTTAGGAAAATAACCAAATAACCAAATATGTTTTACTGTGGCAGGACAACATACGATAGAAGGTTTCCTGCTGACTCCAGTTGCATCTATAAGCATTTGCTTGAAGGCAATTCCCTTCAGTGAAATATAAAAAAGTATAATATTACACATTTTTGAAATATATGAAAAAGTATTATTAAAACCACTGAAAAAGACAGTTCTGAAATCTGGTAACTGCTGTAACTTTTTTCTTCTGTTTCCTCAATATATCTACATGTATTCTTTATTTATAAAGTAAATAAATCAGCCTTACACGGTGGCTCACACCTGTAATCCCAGCACTTTGGAAGGCTGAGGCGGGTGGAACACCTGAGGTCAGGAGTTTGAGACCAGCCTAGTCAACATGGTGAAACCCCGTCTGTACTAAAAATACAAAAATTAGCCAGGCATGGTGGTGCACGCCTTAGTCCCAGCTACTCGGGAGGCTGAGGCAGGAGAATCACTTGAACCCAGGAGGCAGAGGTTGCAGTGAGCTGAGATCACACTACTGCACAGAGCGAGACTCCATCTCCAAAAAAAAAAAAAAGTAAATAAATGGTCTTTATAATGTAGGCTTCTGGTGTACATTAAATGATTTCAAATAAATGAGGGCTTTATAAAGCAACATACTATCTCTTCTTTTCTTATCTATGTTCCCTAATTGCCTATCTGTATTGTGGAGAAAGGCAAAAATAATAATCATTTTCAGGAAAACAGGATTTATAAAATAGAAGAAATATAGATTTTATATTTATAAATTTTAGTCCTTCAAAAATAGCCATATATTCGATAGCAAAATTAATGTAATCAGGATGCTGGAAGCAAATTGAGGAGGTGGATGATTTTGCATATCCGATAGTAAGTGTAAAATTTACATTTCTGCTACCTTCTCATATTTTTTACTATTTTAAGGTACTCAAGGAACTCATTTTTAAGAGACTGATATTTTTGCTCATATCTATATTTTCCATATGAAAAATAATTTTATATGAAAAAGTTCTAATTATGTTACATTTGAATTCATCACAGTGACTTCTTAATCAATTTATGAGAAACAAACAGGCATGCATCAACACCCTCAGGTCTGATAAAATAATGTTAAAGAGTTGTAAAAATACAAAGATGTGATCTTTTTAAGAGACCCCCTTTGACTCTGGAAATATTATGTAAATAGGAAAAAAAATTAAAAAGATCCCCATAACAGAGAGATATGGTGAAAAGGGCTTTTAATCAGACCACAGCCACATGTCATGTACATGGGGAACAGGCTGTGCCCTTGTTCTCTGCCCACTTCTATAGTCCATGAGTGACCAGGCTCCCCACTGTGACTTGAAGGTCATTAATCGTGTTCTGTCTTAATCACCAACCCAGGGTCCTACAGTTACTGAGGCATGAGTGAATGAATGGGAGTGAATGGAGAACAGGAGTCCTCACTGGCGCAGGTCCTTCCCCCCGGTGCGAACACCATCAACTGAGAGATGAAGCATCTGACAGATGAGGCTGTTCACTGCACTGGCTCCTGCCTTCCCTTCCTAATGGTTTTGTATATGTGTGATTGACTTTGGTTATTGATTCTTTGAAGGTTAGCTGACATCAGATACTTTAAATATCTGCCCACACAATGATGGCTGAGAAAACCAATGAGAAAGAAATTTTTCTAAGTTAAGACACTTGTCAAACACAGCTAGCTTTAAGTAGACATCATTGCACTAGGGGACCACTTTGGTTTTTAAGCCTCTTTGAGAGACAGAGGGCAAGCCTTTGTTAGCTCTTCTTCTGCTAGAAATCTGCTTCAGACCTGTTGATGTTATTTTTTTCCCTGACTTCTGTAAATATTTTATAATTATCAAAAAAAAGCTTTCTGAAGAATTATTTACATTTTTCTTCATGAAGATAAAGGAACTGATTTGTTCATAACTTGATGTTTACTTAGAAATTCCTATATTCTAAGCATTTTATTCTAGAGTTCAAAAACCTCTCCTATAATTTTTCTAAATGTTTCACACGTACTTTTTTTTTATTCATTGGAATATTCCCTTCTTTTCATTTAACATAAATACAGTCCTCATACCCCACCCCATCCCCCAAAATAGAATAAACATTACTTTTTTGAGAGTTTGCAGAGCATGGAGGTGCTTCTGTTTATTACTGCAATGATTTTATAACATAGGTACAGTATTTGTACTCACATTATGAAATAGGATCCTGTGTTTCAGAGGGTTTGAATAACTTTCCCAAGATTACACAGCTAAAATATATGGAGCTAGGAGACAAAGTATAATTCTGTTCAGAGTAATACTGATTCCCTTCTACACTCCCTTCTACACTTCAAAACAGCTTCTCAAGCTCTAACATGAGCCTATATTTAACACCAGCTTTCCTTAGTACATAAGGACCCTCAACTCATCAATCAAGGCTACAATGATCATGCTCTACATAAGAAACGCCTGTATCTTCCACTGATATGCTCAGGGGTGTGCGTGTGTGCGCGCGTGTGTGTGTGTGAGCGGGAGGGGTAGGGGGAGGGTCTTGTTTTTTGTATTACTTAAGTGCACTGGCACTGATGGTTATGTGCATTAAAAAGCACACACAAAAAAGTGAAAACATATTTTTCTTTATTGTCAGAAGAAAAAAGAACGATCCATGTTACCTCAAGAACGATCCGTATTACCTCAAAACCTATATGGACATTACAATGTCAAACTCACCTTATTTTTTTTCTAACATCCATTTGATTAGATCATTTTAAAATTTATTCTGACTACGGCACCATACTTTTATGCATCATTGTATATTTGAAATTAAAGGGTTTACTGAGTTGGCAATTATAGGGAGACTTTAAGCAAAAAACTAAACTATTATACAGAAGGCCCAAATTACAGCAGTGTCCAGTTGTACACCGATTTTATCTAGATCTCAAGGACAGCACTAGACCTTAAAATACCAAACTTTTATTTGCATAGTCAGTTTCGAGTTAGTAAGAAAGATCAAATATGCACTGTATACAACAAAATCTAAGAGAACGTTTGCATAATGTCAGCAAAATATGATTGTAACAGTGACAGGGTAAAGTTACTATTAAAAGAATTGTACTTATTCATTTAATGCTTAAAGTTGTCATATGAGGTGAGTACTCATATACCCATTTTATAGGTGAGGAAACTGAGGCACCGAGTGTGTTGATAGCTTGCTCAAGATCACACAACTAGTAGGTAGTGAAGTCAGGATTTTGACTTAAGTAGCTGGTTGTAGAGTTCCCGTGTTTAACCACTACACTACTTTGATAACACTAATATTGTTATTATTGTCCTTTTTTTTTTTTTGATACCAAATCTCACTTTGTTGCCCAGGCAGGAGTGCAGTGGCACAATCACGGCTTACTGCAGCCTTGATCTCCTGGGCTCAAGGGATCTTCCCACTTCATCCCCCTAAGTAGCTAGGACTACAGGTGTGTGCCACCATGCCTGGCAAAAAATAATCTTAATAAAAATGTTCAGAGTCCACATAGAAAAAACACCAAAATTCCACTTAAAGATGTATTAGACTGAGTAAATAGAATCTTAACACATTTTTGGTGAGGAATCTGAATGTTTTACCTGTGTAACTCTTTTATGTTAATGACTTCAATGTAATTTACGTTGAATGCCATATAAAAATTGCTGTTAGTACTTTATTACTGTTCTCTTTTAGGATACCTCAACATTTGAATTTTACCATAATAATGTGACTTAGTTTTCTTAGTTTTTGTCATTTTTAAGATTCTGGCAAATAATTTTAAATAATTTATTTGTTACTAAAATTTGATATATCCTTAACGATCATTCAGCATATTATCAAACTATATAACCATCCTAAAATACTTGATGAATAAATTAATAAAAGTTAATGTTTCTCAAAAAAAAAAGAAAGAAAGAAAAGAAAGAATGAACAGGTTCTCGGGACTGTATTGGGTCCTATGCAGGCTGTCATCAGTACAATATCAGTTAATGGCAAGAAAATATTGTCTTGCCATTTAATAAGGTATTACTCTAAATTCTGCTCCTTGCTCAATTGAGTTATTTAGCACTGGAAGGCATTTAATAGCATCTCTTGGAGAGATATATATATATATATATATATATATATATATATATATATATAAAATAACCAGGGCCCTGAATAGGTTGTTTAAGAAAACATAGATGATGAATGGTTTAGCCAGATCCCAAACCAGGGCCTCGGATTCCCAGTCCAGTGTTTTTTCCCACTGCACCAGATTCATGTAAAACTCTAAGACACACATTTTAAACAGGATATGCAATTTGGAAAATTTACTTTGAATTATAACCTTGTGCCCTCATTATTTTCCACCACTATTTATCTTTGTATCTTTCTCTATCCTAAGGGTCCTCTCTTTTGGATCACTGTTATCTGATTTTTCTAAACATTCCTCCTTGTCTTTCACTTTCTCTTCATAATTGCTTTCCATTTTTAGGCCCTATCTCTACTTATATCTTTACTCTGAGTTTACTCTTTCTGTATTTTTTTGAAAATCCCAAGAGGAGCATTGTTTTGGTTTTGAAGGCACCAAGTAACATGTCTTTATAATCAAGAACTTGGATGCTACTTACATATTCCAGATATCTACAGTTATCCTTGAAATTGATTTCGCCTAATTTTTATAAAGTTATCTAAGCCCTTTCATCCCTTTAAATATCTGTTTTGAAATTTGCTTTGTAGGCTATGAGAATTCTGTAGATGAAAAAAAAATAGAATGAGTGCGGTTAGGATAAAGAACAAGACGTTGGCGTGTAATCAATATGATTCAGTGGATAAGTAGAATTTCCGATTGTTATATCAGTTTTAAACCAAATTATGCATCGCCCAATTCAGGAAGCTTGATTCTTCCAACATGCTTGAACTACTTTCTGGCAGAGTTAGATGCTTTGAAAACAGAGCAAAAACCAACAGAGTTTATGGTGTGGTAGAGTCCTATGGCCTCAGAGTTTCTGAAAAACAAGCATGGGCCCTTTAAAGACAAGGGATTTGCTTCACTGGATACATTAATGCTTACAAATGTACTGTTATCATGCTTGGGTAGCCAATATTTCATATTTTGACAACTTCACACATTTCAGAATTAGGATCAGCAAAGAATTTTGAAGGAGACAACCCTGAGTACAAGTTCTTAGAGTTTTATTTAACTTCCTGAGCCTCATCTGTAGACACTGCAAGGTTGTTATGACAATTAAAAGAATGTCTACAAAGTGCCACACAATGGGTTCCCAGTGAGTGATATGATGATCATGATGTTACTAAAATCCCATATTGATTTAAAAAAAGGGAAGAGAAAACCATGCCTCTGGATAAATCCTCCCAGCAGATACAATGAATACCAAATAACATAACTGTAAAAATTTTAAAGGATAACAACAATTTACAAATTAGATTGGTGATTCAATAAATAAGCCTGATAGGAAAAAAAGAAAGGTACTCTTAGAAGAAAACCCACAAAAGTTAATCTGATCAATTGATAATGTTTATATTTGCCCTTGATGTAATCAATAATTTTAAAAGGCAATTTTAAAGAAAGTCACAAAGAGTCATTACTATGTTAAAATTATTTTTCCCAATGTCTTTCATTTTGCCGTATGTAATTAAGAGATCATAAAATATTTTTTAAAATTCACCATTTGTAAAGTTTTATTATAAACATTGTATTTGTTTTGTAATTCTAAACAGTAAATGATCCAGGGAGAATCTGCCGCCTGGTAAGGAAAGGCAGACATCTACTCTATGTAGAATTTTAGAATAATCGAAAATCAGACTGACGAACAGGATAGCAAACCCTTGTGGAAAAGCAAATTGGTGAATCCACACAGCAAAACTTTCTCAGGTTTTCAGTTATGAAAGCAAAGTTCTCTATTGTTGCCACGTATTTTATTTGTCATCTCTAAGCCAGACATCACTTGACAGCAGCTAGTAGGCCCTCTATATGTGTTGATGCTTCACTTGCTTACCACAGGACAAGGGCCCTCCAGAAAGGGAAGCATGCTGGGTAGGTGGAGATCCTTTTTTGCCTCTGGCAGACTCAGCAAGAGGTGACTGATGCTAAAAAGAACAGCGATAACCCTTTTCTGTTTGCTAAAACTAATGTTGTTCCTATTATTCTAATTTTGTTTACTTTAAAAATTAAAAGTAGTTATTTGAATCAAGCAACATATTCCCAAAAACAGATGAAGTGGACATTTTAATACAGACTGAAGTAAAAGAAACATTGTACTGTAGCTCCCTCACATGGATCTTAAGTGTTGAATAACAGCCTCCAGATAATTATTTCCTCTATCCCATACTCTTCTCCCTTTTGGGGTGCTGCCCAGGTAAGCAGCCAGTACTAAGTATCTGATAACATGCCTTGTTGGGCCATGTAGAATAATATTTTCTTCTGAGCCCTGTAATTTTGCCCCTCCACAATCTAAGGGTCCACGCCCAGCACATCTCGTCTCCTGGGAAACCCACAGCAACTCAGTGGCCAATAGTTATACTATTTCTACTTCTTCCAAACCAAGACGAAGATGATTTGAAATTTCTGTTTGTTTATTGCCCGCTGAACATACATTCCAAAAATACTGGAGAAAATACGAAGATGAAGTATTCTCTGAATTAGAAGCCAAATGTCTCCTCAAAGCCAATTTTACTGGTTGGTTATATTATGTTTGTAAAGGTTATTTTATGGAATCAATTTACATTCACCTCTACTATCAAATTTAGTAAGTGTTAATTATATTTCTTATATAAGAGGAGGCAAAACTTTAATTTTTTGCATATTCTCTGCTAGGTATCTTTATTTTAGACACATATCGAATTTTTGTATTTACCTAAACACTCTTAGTTCTATTTTAGAGATTAAAAACTAAGGTTCAGCTTATATCCAAAAGACAGGGAACAACAAATGCTAGCAAGGATGTGGAGAAAAGGGAACCCTCATACACTGTTGGTGGGAATGTAAATTAGTACAACCACAATGGAGAACAATTTGGAGGTTCCTCAAAAAACTAAAGATTGAGCTATCATATGATCCAGCAATCCCACTGCTGGTTGTATACCCCAAAAAAAGGAAATCAGGATATGGAAGAGATATCTGCACTCCTATGTTTGTCGTGCACTGTTTGCAATAGCTAAGATTTGGAAGCAACCTAAGTGTCCATCAACAGATGAATGGATAAAGAAAATGTAATCCCTATACACAATGGAGTACTATTCAGCCATAAAAAGAGAATGAAATGCAGTCATTTGCAATGGTCCTGGAGATCATTATGTTAAGGATAATAAGCCAGGCACAGAAAGACAAACATCACATGTTCTCACTTATTTGTGGGATCCAAAAATCAAAACAACTGAACTCATGAACATAGAGGAGTAGAAGGATGGTTACCAGAGTCTAGGAAGGGTAATGAAGGGCCGGCAGGGAGGTGGGGATGCTTAATGGGTACAAAAAAGAAAATAGAAAGAATGAATAAGGGCTGGGCATACTGGCTCACACCTGTAATCCTAGCACTTTGGGAGGCTGAGGCAGGTGGCTCACTTAAAGTCAGGAGTTCGAGACCAGCCTTGCCAACATGGTGAAACCTCGTCTCTACTAAAAATACAAAAATTAGCCAGGGATGGTGGTGCACACCTATAATTCCAGCTTCTCTGGAGGCTGAGGCAGGAGAATCGCTTGAACAAGGGAGGAGGTTGCAGTAAGCCAAGATCGTGCCATTGCACTCCAGCCTGGGCAATGGAGCAAGACTCCATCTCAAAAAAAAAAAAAAAAAGGATGAATAAGACCTACAATTTGATAGCACAATAGGGTGACTATAGTTCACTAAGAACTTAATTATACATTTTGAAATAAATAGCCTAACTGGATTGTTTGTAACTCAAAGGATAAATGCTTGAGGAGATGGATACCCCATTCTCCATGATGTGCTTTTTTCATATTGCATGCCTGTATCAAAACATCTTAAGTACCTCATAAATACATACATGTAGTATATACACCACAAAAATAAATAAAATTCTAAAAATTTTTTAAATAAACTCTAAAAAATCAAGTTTATTAAAAATAAGTACTCACACTAAATATATTGTTGCTTTGATGCTAAGAATGATATTTAAAGTTTATGTTGGAAGATGTCTCACCCTGGAACTTTTTAAAAAAATCTGTTTCTTAAACTGCCAGTGACTTCTCCTAAATGGTATTTGGGAAAAGGTTCATGTTGCTTGGGTTGTTGAGTTCTCAAAGGAAAGGTGAGGGATGGAAAAAATTCTAGGTGTTGGTTTTTTCTTCACAGGCTAGCGGCAGAGAGAAAAGAAGAAGTAAAAATTAGTATTGTCTTGATATCAAATTGGTATTTGATAATTGTATGCTTATGTTGAACAAAATTTGGGGAAACTTAGCTTCTCACATAGTGTTCCAACCAACTCAACACCTTCCCCACTTTTGCCCAACTATTCCCTTGACCTCACTAATGCTTTATATGAAGTATATACCTCAGTTTGTGACTTAGAGTACTCCTAAACAAACCTTTCCGCAGATCACATTTGTGTAAATCAAATCACATTCATTATCCTGCAGTAAACGCAGTCTAAAAGGACAGATTCCTCAGTGCTGTGCTTAATCACACCCAAATTTACAAACCCAATAAATCAAGACATCAGTGCATCTGACTGTCTTCTGGTGTAGAACACGTGTGCATTTGCTCCTTAGCAAGTTCATGGTGCTCCAGTACTTGACATAATAAGTCTAGGAGCCACAAAGAAGACTCTCTGAGGAACTGCACGTCTGAAGAGAAGATGTGGGCATGAACTTGAATCAGCTAGAATACTGGGGGTCAGGAGGAAACGAGGAATGAGACTTGTGTTGGGACTTTGGGGGAGTTCTGCAACTATTCAGAAACAGTCTCCAAAACAATCCATTTTATTTCAGTAGAAATTTCTAAATTTCTTAATTTCCCAAGGAACTGACAAATAAGATGATAAAGATAGATATTAGACAAACTAGGGTGAGGAATAACTTTTAAAGTTTCTCTCAATTATTGAGCATTTTAGATGCCCATTATTTTTCTGCCCCAATTCAACTCAAGAAATATAAACACCATGTCTCCCAGATGACATATGTAAGTCACATTCATTATGTCCCCAAACGCTTATATAACAAGCCTTCGGTTTCACAGCAAGTGGCGAAGTTGATGGTAAAATGTTTTTATTTTCCTCCTCCTGGTAGATGCTTGTGTGAAGTGATGGAACTCCTTATCCTACCTTTTATATGCCGTGGCATGTGGGAATGCAGACATAGCAGAGAAGACTTGAGTATATTGAGTGAAGGACCTTAGGTATGGAGAGGTAGAGGACTGGTGAAGGAAGCAGGAAAATTAGTAAATGGCCTTCCTCTCCTGTACTCTGCACTCTAACTTTCAGGAAAAAGTAGTTGTAGTCAATCTCTCAGGGTATTGGTTAATTCTTCCTTCCAGTTTAAATGGTTCATGGGTCAACTGTTGACCTCCTCTGCATAAGACAGCCTTGAGCAATCGCCTCCTGAGCAGCAGGCTGGGCAAGGTTCCACATTCCATGGTCCTTTGCTGGAGGAGTTGGACACAGGAAGAGAGAGAGAGAGCATAAGAGACTACTTGCAGTCCACTAAGCCAAGAGCACTTTTGCTTCTGCATATCTCAAACATCTGAAAGCCTATGCAGGTTTCTGTTTACGGGAGAAACTATCAAGGATGCCAGCAAAATACACACCAGTTTCCTAATTTCCAAGTGTCTATGGCAAAGTAAGAGCTTTCCATTTCCAGCACCAAAATACATAACATTGCATCTGATGTGCTGCTTATTTATTCTCTTTAAACTTTTAATTCAGAAGCTCAACTTGTCTTAAATGGCTTAAAGCCCAAACCAACACAGCAGTTACAGCTCTCTGACATATTGTTTGTAACCAGAAAAATCAGCAAAGCCAGAAGCTTTCTGCTGTGAGCACTTTTGTTTCCCCTCTTTTGTTTTATTAACCTCTCCACAGCTGGTGCAGTCGAAAACACTCTTTCATCACATGCTTAGCAGAAGTTCAAGTGTAGCAGAGAATGCAGCCAAGAATCTGTCTGCTGGATTCACTGTCAGAATGTCATGTTTCACTTCTAACTTAACTCCTATCTGATACAGATGACGGAAACAGACAAAGCAAATCTGCAACAGGAAAGGCTCTCTCTCTGGACCCTCTCAAACTGATTAATAATCCAAGGATTCGAGGACAAGTCAAATAGCAGAGTAGTAATATTTTCACATTAATATAAGAATTCAGGATTCACAGGATTTTCTGCTTGTCCATCCTTTTTTTTTCTGATGTAGTAAACAGCCTACAGATCACAAAGCTACTGAATTATGAAGCAATAATGCACTCTTGTCTGACACTACTTAGAATTTATAAAATAGATTAAAAATTAAAATAGTATCAAAAATTTACCAGACTTCCTGTTTCCTTCTTTATTTTAATGAAGCATTTATATTCCTAGTCTTTGTACATCAATATCTTTTTTGTAGGCTAGGGAGTCTTTATCAGAATTGGTTACTACTCAGGTAAATACACACTTATATACTATTGCTACAAGGTGATTATTGGCTGTTGGAATTTTTTTAATGTCATTAGATGAGTACTCAAGTTACTTTTCTTGGAGAGAGGATACATTTTCAGCAGCATTTCCCAAACTGCCTGGCTTGGGTAAAAGTTTGCCTTTATTATAACAGAAGTATTTTAGCTTCTTTCCTAATATGTTCATAATTATAAAAATACTTCAAATTTAGTGAACTATTGTTGGCTTCATCTCCCAAATGTAGGAACACACAATCCTTTTTCTGTTGTGACATTCAATTCATAAGCACATTAACAGAAATTAAGTATCTCCTAACACTTGAGAAAAGGTAATACCTAAGTGATGTCTCAGCCATCTTATCCTTTCCCCCAGAACTTCCAAACTGCCTCAGGACCCAGGGATCAAAGTGTTAGCACCCGGCAGAGCACGAAACTTTAAGAACTTCAGAAGTCCTGCTGATGGTCCAAGTTCCTGCCATATATATTTCTAAATATTTTTAATATCACTGCTAGTATCATAGTGGAAATATTCATTTTACAAATATTTATTGAGGACTTAATGACATACCAGATACTGTTCTAGGTCCTGGCTGAGCTAGTCCTAAATGACATAGATAAAAATACCTGCAATGAAAAGAAGTGGACAGATTCTGGTTGCGTTTTTGAAATAAAGTAATCAGGACTTGCTGATGGATTTGGTGTAGGGAGAAAGAAGAGAGAGAATTCAAGGAAACCTCATAAGTTTCTTACTCAAGCAACTGCTAGATGAAGGTGCTATTTATTTACATGGGGGAGAATGGGAAGGAGTGGGTTTGCAAAGGTACGTTTCACAGTAGACTTGAATTCACAGAAACATATATGGTAAAACCTATGAGAAAACTTTCAAAAGAACACAGAATCACTTACCCTACCTATGTGCCAATTCTTCATCTATAAATCTGAGACATTAATATCTACCACACATAATTCAAGAGGTTGTGGTAATAATCCAACATGGTAACAGATATGAAGTTATTGTTATTGTTGGAGAAACATGGGTCACTATCACTAACACCATCACCCAGATTTCTGGGAACCATTATATTTGGTTCTTCTAGGCTCTCACCAGATAGGAATGTGGGTGGTGGAAGCTCATAGAACAGAGAAGAGTTGTAACAGTGGAAGGTAAGATCAGCAATTAAAATCTCCCCAAAATTAGGAGACTGTAGAGATGGTCTGTACATCAATTACAACATTTCAGAAATGGTTTCTCAACCAATCACTTTTTTATTATTTATTTATTTTTTTTGAGATGGAGTCTAGCTCTGTCTCCCAGGCTGGAATGAGGTGCTGCAATCTTGGCTCACTGCAACCTCCACTTCCTGGGTTCAAGCGATTCTCCTGTCTCAGCCTCCCAAGTAGCTGGGATTACAGGCACCTGCCACCATGCCTGACTAATTGTTTCACCATGCTCGCCAGGCTAGTCTCGAACTCCAGACCTCAAGTCATCCACCTGCCTCGGCCTCCCAAAGCACTGGGATTACAAGCGTGAGCCACCTTGCTCAGCCCCACTTTTCTTAACATTAATGAAAAACTGGACCAATTTTGACATTGTTTTACATTAGATAAATAGGATTAAGATAAATTGCAATTGGATAAATTGCAATTAAACTGTCTTATCTAATATAATTATGAAAGGCAAGATAAAGGGCAGAGAAAAGGAACAAATGATTTCATTCATATGCCTCACTCATTTTCACATTTCCCCACTCATGACTTTGGGCAAGTTGAGTCTTTGCATCTATAAGACATGGATCATGAATGCACTGATTACACCTTACTGAGTTGTGGAAAGAATCCAAAGAAACAATGCATGTGAGCATGCTATTCGAATGGGTGTTGTTATTTTACCAGCAGAACATATAGAAGGTACACAGTGGAAAAACTATTTGCAGGCTACAGTTAATTATTTGTTTTATATCTTCTTACTTCACCCCATGGCAACCACAGCATCTTGTATGTATTCCAAAGCGTTTACCACCCTTCACTGGATTAAATGAATTATTATTGAAGGTAGCAGATGACAAAAATATCATGTGTCTAATATACTGTACCTAGAGGCTTAAGTTCAAAGCTTTGGCACGATTCCTAAGGTACTTTGCACCTTCCACACCATACCAACCAACCCTTAAAATTCTAAGTAGTTCAAATTCTATGCCAATATTTCTCAGCTTCCTCCTTTCCCCTCTGTTACGGAATGAATAATTTAACTTTCTGAAGCTTAATAAAAAGTAGACAGCATCGTATAGTGGTTGAAAGCATAGAATTAGAGTTAGGCTGCTTGGGTTTGAAACCTAGTTATATGACTAACTTTTAGCAATTTATTTAACCATTTTGTACTCAAGCAAGATAAGGAAACTGATAATACCCATTCCATTTCCAGGGTTGTCATTAGGAGTAAATAAGTTGTTACTTATTTAAAGTGCAGAGAACAGTGCTTGGCACCTAGTATGAATTCAGTAAGCATTAGATGACATTATGTCCTCAGAATATGATATGGCATCTATAATAGAAAAAAAATTAGGCATGGATTTATTCATGTGACTACATCTTAATACTATTGTGTAGAAAATTACTACGGAAGATCCTTGTCACTAAAACAGGAAAGATTTAAAGCTCAGTTAGAATGTTTACATACAAAACGGATTGATTAAACAAACATTTGTGAGATGTATACCAAGCACCAAGGATGGTGTCCATGTAGGGAGTATAAAAGCAAACATACTCAAACCCTGTCCTTGAGCAATTCACGCTGCAGTCAGAAGAATCAGTTAGAATTATTAAAATTAAATGATATTTATTTGTTTATGCTAACCTAATTCCAAACTTTCTTACATAAGTAACACAATGTGAAAGGTGCTAGAACAGACAGAAGCACAGAGAACAGTGTTGTGGAATTCTGAGTAGGTGGCATAACTTGGGGGAAGCCATTTGCAGAGCCATGAAAAGAGGAGGAATTGAAACTGACCTATGGTACTAGATAAAATGGATTAAAAGCACTTCTAAGAAAAGATGATGCTAGGTCAGAGTCTTAAATGATAAGAAGAAACTTTATTAGATCGGACAATTGGGGAGCAAAGGATAGGTATTTACAGGTCAATAAACAAGAAGATGCATGAAAGGATGATGTAACCTGGGGGTCTGTGGAACTAAATATGGCAGAAATGAAGAGTGTGTCTGCACACATGGAAGGAGTTGAGGGTAGAGAGTTTGTCAAGGGTCAAACTATGCACAGTGGGGTACATTAGGTTTAGAAGTGTGGTCTTAGTGCTGAAGTAATGAGATAGCTTTGAAGGATTTGAGCAAAGGGACATTATTATCAGAAGCATGTTTTTGAAATATCTGACTCTGACAACGTCCTCACCCCATGCCCAGGCTTCTTTACTCCCCTTCTCCTGCTCTGTATTCCTCCATGGCACTTAACACCACTTGATACATTATTTGATGTGTTGGTTGTCAGTCTCCCCCAACCAGAAAGTAAGCTTTGTAAGGACAGGTAATAAGTACCTCTCTTGCATTAAACATTTAATGAGGAAATAAATAGCTGGCATATGAGGCAGATTCCATACAACTTCGTACCTTCCCACTCACCCACTTATTTAGTTTACTTTTCTTCTGGAGAGCAAGCTTTTTTGGTGGAGTAGCCAACATTCTGTTAACATGAGAATTAAAATCTTAAGCAGGACCAGGTGAGGTGGTTCATGCCTGAAATCCCAGCACTTTGGGAGGCCGAGACAGGAAAATCATTTGAACCCAGGCATTTGAGACCAGTCTGGGCAACATAGCAATATCCCATCTCTATAAAAAATGTAAAAATTAGCTGGGCAAGGTGGTTCACACTTAGCTATCCCAGAGGCTAAGGTGGATGCCTTGAGCCCAGGAATTCGAGACTGCAGTGAGCCATGATTGTGCCACTGCACTCTAGCCTGGGCAATAGAATGAGACCCTGTCTCTAAAACAATAAAATAAAGTAAAATTTTAAGCAGGATTCTCATGGTTACTCTTTCCAATTAGCATTAAGAAAAGCCATTTAAATATCAATAATCCATTGTGACTATTTCCTCAAATAAAAAGGTTAAGCATCGGCCGGGCTCGGTGGCTCATGCCTGTAATCCCAGCACTTTGAGGGCCGAGGAGGGTGGATCATGAGGTCAGGAGATGGAGACCATCCTGGCTAACACGGTGAAAACCCGTCTCTACTAAAAATACAAAAACTAGCTGGGCGTGGTGGCGGGCGCCTGTAGTCCCAGCTACTCGGGAGGCTGAAGCAGGAGAATGGCGTGAACCCAGGAGGCGGAGCTTGCAGTGAGCCGAGATCACGCCACTGCACTCCAGCCTGGGTGACAGAGCGAGACTCCCTCTCAAAAAAAAAAGAGGTTAAGCATCTAGCATTATCCAAAATAGATCTCAAAGGCCATGTGCTTTTAAAAACAGGTAGAAATCGTGTGATAGAATAGCGTTATTTAACATTTCATTTCAAAGAATTAATAAAAGCTCATCATTTCTACAGTTTTGTTTTACTCTAATACCTTTAGGAAGAAATATAATGTGATGATTTCTGAATTAGGACGCCTTGACAGTAAGAGTGTTTTTGTAATCTATAACTTTAATCCCTTAAATGTACATTAAGCCAGGTGAGGTGGCACGTGCCTGTAATCCCAGCAGTTTGGGAGGCCGAGGGGGGTGATTACTTGAGGCCAGGAGTTCACAACCAGCCTGGCCAACATGGCTAAACCCCGTCTCTACTAAAAATGCAAAAATTAGCCAGGTGTGGTGTGGTGTGCACGCCTGTAATCCCAGCTACTCGGGAGATGAGGCACGAGAATCACTTGAATCTGGGAGGCGGAAGTTTCAATGAGCCGAGATGGCTCCACTGCACTCCAACCTGGGCAACAAAGCAAAAACTCTGTCTCAAAAAAAAAAAAAAAAAAAAAAAAGACAAAAACAAAAAACATTAAATTCCTTAAATATATAGAATGCTTGCATACTTAAATAATTATTTAGTTAATTATATTTAGTGAAGTTTTAACACAGGCAATTCAAGAGGGCCATCTAAGATCCACCAGGTTTTCCTGAATTAGGCATGCTTTCATCGCTTCATTGTTTCCTTAAATTTTCTTACCACTTGGGTGAAATCAATTGGATTTCACTGTGCCATATGCGTCATGAGTCTGAGCTGCTTTGGGACGTTTATTTATTTCTGGCCTTTGATCACCAGTCTTGTCCCCTCATTCTGAGTAGGAAAATTCCATGCTTGATTCTGTCAACCCACATCCTGCAGCCCTGAAAGCACAGGATGTAATTTTCCCTTGCCATCTCCAGAGCATTTTAAGCTGCTCATGTCTCACTCCTTGATGACTTCCAAGACCCTCTCTCTGGTTGTATCTCTTGAAAGAGGCCAGCTGGGGCTTCCCTGGCTGCCCCCATTGACTGACCCTGGTTTCTCCTATGCCTGTCCGTGCTAGGTCTCATTTTACCAAGTCTAAATTTGGTAAACCACAGTGGGCCCACTCTCCATCGTCAGTTCAAAGCAGTCCCCTACTTATCATTGCTGTCACTTGCTTAATATTTAGGGGACTACTTTAGATTTCTTTTCTTTGGGAAATTGCTCGGCTGGAATGTGATCTCCAGAGTTTAAAATTCAGTCCGTTGCTTGCTGTGACTCAGAAGCAATTACTATTCCCACCCAGAAGAAAATTTTTCTGAAATAAGTACCCTTTAGAAAAGACAAATTTAAGAAAAGTTGTCCTTTTTAAAAGCCAAGGAAACAATTTAAATACTATTACTGAAAGACTTTAAAGCAAAATGTGTGTCTTAAATGTTGAATAAAAAAATTAGGTGTTTAAATTCAATCCTGAAAATTAAAAATAACAAAATAAAGAAGGAAGAAAAAAGAAAAGGAAAAAGATTCGAGGTAAAAGCAGAACTCCAAAGAATAAGTAAAGAGTGCCTTACATTTTTCCATGATATTAAGTGACTGTGCTGATGTAGCTTTTGAAATGTCAGGAACTGCAAAGGGTCTGGGATGTTTAGACCCCACTTGTAAGTTAACTAGCTAGCTAGACACAGTTCTGTAAATGTCAGAAACATGAGACTTCTGGGTCAGAGGCAAAAGGCTCTGTTACTCACAGCACAGCAGGCAACATGAGCTTCACACTCCCGTTGGTTCCACCTTGTCCCCCAAGTGGCATGGGAGTGATGCAGGTAGACCTAGGTGAGTGCTACGCAGAGTTAGTTGGTCTGTGTTGTAACCGAGGAATTCCAAACTTAGGAAAACCCTAATCTAATAAGGGCTGCTAACAAGTCTTCTTATCCTTTTCTAGTGAGAGCTATTATCTTTATTATCCTAGTCAGAAAGAAAATCTTCCACCTATCCCACAGGGATCTCTATCTTTCAGGGATGTTTGCAAACATGCATGGCCAACAGCCTTGAAAAGGTAGTCTGAAACAAAAATGGTCGGAAGATATGTAGAAATGATATGAAGAAGTGACCTAAACAATACCTGTACCTTGATGTCATTTTTAGAAATATAAAAATTTCGCTGAAATTTTATAGGAACTATCACTCAAAATTATAAAACTTCATTACAGAGTTCATCAAAGCACAAACATGACCACCATTAGCTCAACAAATATTTTGAATCTCAAAACTAGCAGAATCTTTAAAAGTAATTTTAAAGTATGACATATTAAGTACTTTTTACATCTGGCAAAACATAAATTTACTTCATAAGACAGGATGTTCAACTAATATATACGACCTGACATTAAGGCATAAAAACATCCGTGGGCTGATACAAAGTAAAGGAACAATAAGGACAATAGTGAGGATTTTTACAATTATGTACATTTCTAGGGGTAAGTGTTTTTATTTTTATATAGAAACTTGAGGCCGGGCACATTGGCTCACGCCGGTAATCCCAGCACTTTGGGAGGCCTAAGCAAGCCAATCATTTGAGGTCAGGAGTTCGAGATGAGCCTGGCCAACATGATTAAACCCTGTCTCTACTAAAAATATAAAAAATTAGCCAGGTGTGGTGGCACATGCCTGTAATCCCAGCTAGTCAGGAGGCTGAGCCAGGAGAATCACTTGAACCTGGGAGACAGAGGTTGCAGTGAGCCAAGATCGTGGCACTGCACTCCAGCCTGGGCAACAGAGTGAGACTCTGTCTCAAAAAAAAGAAACTTGAAGAGAAAACCTACTACATTAAAAATGTAAAGTTGGATATACAATGATGGTTTTACATCTTTTCCTTTCCTCTTATAACTTAAGCACCATCTGTGTGCTCCCCACTCTTAGCTAGTGTGTCTCTTATTTCACTGAGAAAAGAGAATTGATTAAATGAGAACCATGTCATTTTCCATCAAATTTACCAGCCTACCTATCCATATCTGTATCCTTTGTCTTCCTCCTATTAAACTGAATTGAATCTTCCTTCTCTCTTTTAAGGCTATTTTATACCCCAATCTCACCCCTCTTGAGCTTTTTCAGAGACTTTTTCTTGCAATTGTCCCCTCCCTCTCTCCTGCATCATCAATTCTTTCATTATTACTGGCTCATTCTTATCACCATGTAAACGTGCTTCCAAAATGTCTTGAGAAAAACCTCCCTGGGCTTCAGGTCCTCCTTCAGCTTCCCCCCAATTCCCTACTTCCTCAAAAGAGTTCTCTAAATAGTCATTGTCTCTACCCCCTCACCTTCCTGTCTCCTCACCCAGTGATTCTTCCATCCACCACTTCACTGAGGTCACTATTGTATAGGTCAACTTTGTTAGTAGCATATAGATAAAATTCCAATTCATGACGCTAGTTTATAATAAGTAAACAATTGTACTTAAAAACATAACAATCAGCTGTCTAAGTTATAAAATACAGACAATCCTGTCTTCTCTACATCACAGGGTTGTGAATCAAATGACATCGTGAACTTAAATATTTCAATAAGCCACAATGTACAACATATGTAAGTGTTATTATTTTCAAAGGCATGGATTTTTATAGTTCTTATCAAAGGCATGGATTTCTATAGTTCTTATCAAACCCTACTGTAACCTCAGAAACTAGAAAATAGTACATTGTCCACAAACATTTTTTGAACAAATAAATGAATGAACTGAAACACTTAGTTTCGTGGAGAATTGTGGCTAGAAATGACCAGAAGCACCCAACTAGAGTGATGTTAAAGAACATAGCAGAACCTAGAAACTATACTTTTTTTTTTTGAGACAGAATTTCACTCTTGTTGCCCAGGCTAGAGTATAATGGCGTGATCTCAGCTCTCCGCAACCTCTGCCTGTCAGGTTCAAGAGATTCTCCTGCCTCAGCCTCGCAAGTAGCTGGGATTACAGGCACGCACCACCATGCCCGGCTAATTTTTTGTGTTTTTAGTAGAGATGGGATTTCTCCATGTTGGTCAAGCTGGTCTCGAACTCCCGACCTCAGGTTATTTGCCTACCTCGGCCTCCCAAATTGCTGGGATTTCAGGTGTGAGCCACTAAGCCCAGCAGCACCTAGAAACTATAAGCAAAAAAGTTATTCCTTCCATAGTAACAAGCAGAACACCCATCTAACACCTTGAATAACAAATAAGCTCTCATTTTGTTCAAGAAATTATCTGAGCCTTCAAAGAACTGTTCTTGTCTAAGTTCCCATTTAACTGAGAAGCTGTCTGACACAGTCACACAGCAAATAAAGATAACAAATACACACACCTCTGTATTTGTATTTGTTACACAAAAAAGAGGTGCTTTTTGTGCTTAGCCAAGACTCAAACATCAAGGCCATCAACTAAAATAGCCAACGTAAAACATGATAAACTCAGTAAAATATATTTCTTATCATCTGGTAAGTCATTTCTTTAGGATACAGTTAAACTGATCAACATCTTGAGGCCCTGAGCTACATACATCGTAATAGCCTACTTTGCAAAACCACACTTAAATTATCATGGTCTATCTATCAAATATTTAAATTTTGGTGGCCCACATGATGATATTCTCCAAGTCTTTGAAAACTTTTCCACATAGTCTAATGAGGCACTTGGAGGCATGACTGGTCAGCATCAGATTGAAAATAAATGTGCTGTTTCCAGATATTTCCTTCAGGATTGGCTGACATCAGTCTACCATGTAACAGTTTATGGGGGAGAGCAAGAAAGCTTGACTTAAGAACAGCCCTGCCGCCAGAGTAAACAGTGCGACAAACCAAGGAAACTTAAAGCACATGCCTTATTGTCAAGTTTAACTTGTTTGACACCCAAACAGCCATCCCAGCTTCTAAAATCTCATTTCTGTTTCAATAATTTATACTGAATCATGAAGATAAAACAAACACATTTGTTCACATAAATATACGGTAATTATAACTGCTGCCAAAGAACTCAATTTGTCACTGTTCCCATGTACTATATGGGAAATTGTTAGAAGTAATAATAATGACAGAGAAACATCACAGAGAAATGTGACCAAAGCAATATCAGTCAGGAGCTAAGTATGACACATTCTATTTCTTTCTAAACTACAGATAAGCCTGTATGTACCTAAAATATAAGGTGATATCATTTTGCCAATATATTCTCTCTTCCTACGTATCTTACATACCATCCTCCTGAGTTATAGTGTACAAATCTTTGAAAGACATGAAGAATTATAGTTGAAAATTATAAAGAGAAAAAATAAATCACAAAGATTATAACATGAAAATTATTTCAATAGTAGAAAAATATATTTATATAGAAATGTTACTATATTAAATAATATATATCTTATTCTTATATATACACATATGTACATAAAAGACTAGAATAAAATATACTATAAGTTTTTTATGGGGTTATGCTGCAGTGACAAATAATCCCAGAATTCCTTCATCTGTTATACCCTCATCTGTTATGTATTTGGGAGTGATTTATAGTGATTTACACTAATAAAGGTTTAATTCTTGCTCTAGTTTCATGTCAGTTGTAGCTCTGTTTTGAGTCTTCTTTGTTCTACTTATTTGTACAAAGTAACAGCCATTTTTCAGTGCTTTGTTCTTCGCACGGTCAAGAGAAAAAAGCTAAAGAGAAACGAAGTGCTGACTTTTAAAGGTTGCACTCAGAAGCAGCCCATCATTTCCATCACATCTCATTGGCCAAAGCAGGTCCCATAGACAAGACTCACTTTACTGGAGCAGCAGGAACAATCCCCTCACAAGGAGGACCCCACACATCACATGGAGAAGTAGCGACTACTAGAAAAAATAATATAATTTACAGCAATAACCATTATCTCTTGGTGGTGATATTAGGGCTATTTTTCTTTTTCCTTCTTATACTTGTATATTGGTTCCTTTTCTATATAATGAACACGTGTTACTTTTAAAAGAAGAAAAAGTAAATGTCACACACAAAAAGAAATCTATTGAATCATACCACATCATTCACCTCCCACTTCACTTTCCTCCTGTCATCTGTGATGAAGTGTGTTCTGATGTATCATTGGCCGTGGGTGTTGATCTGTTGGGCTGTCCATTCTTTCTCACTGAGTCATGTGTAGGCTTCCTTTTCACGCCACACAGCACTATAAAATCGACCTACGAACAGTATCAATTACATTACTGAAGAGTGGATATTGGTGCGTAGCCCAGTGGTTCTCAGCTCAGGACAATTTTGTTTTCCAGAGGTTATTCTCGATGTCTGGAGACATTTATGATTGTTACAACTTGAGGGCAGGAGGTGCTTTGGTATCTAGTGGCTAGAGGAAAGGGATGCTGTTAAAGGCAGCCCCCCTCAATGTAAAATTATCTGGCTCAAAATGTACAATAAGTACCAAGGTTAAGAAACCATGTGGTCCCATGATAACATGATTCCTACTTTAAAAGACCACTGAGAATCTTGCAAGTGCTTTGACACTCAAGTCCTTCAGCCTTCAGGCCATGCATAGTGATTTCCTAGAGGCTGACTATCACATAAATGTGATCTATGGCTGAAGATGGTGCTGGGAGCTGGATTTATTGACAAATCAAAGCACACAATCACATAGCTTGAGGACTTTTGCCATCAGGACTTAGGGGTTAATACTGAAAATTATTTAGAAATAATGTCTGGGTGATGACTGTGAGATTGATTCGTAAGAGAAATTGCTCTGGTATTTTGCACAGGAAATTGTTGCTGACATGAAGAAGAGTATTTGGAAACAAGCAAAGAATGTTGTGACAGTTTGTCAGTCATGAGTAACTGGAAATCATACAATTATTACCATCATTTGTGTACATGTCTGTCACTTTACCTTCATCTGTTATGTATTTGGGAGATGGAGGAGAACAAGAGTGAGATCACCACAATATTTAGAGGTATCTTGTAACATTTGTATTACACATTGTGTTCTCAAAGGTTATTAATTGACTACAATCAATTCTAAATTTAAAACAAATGTTACACAAATTTCTCAATTTAAGAGATTATTTTATAAAAGCTCCTACTTATAAACATTATTTTGAAATAATTAAAATGTGATCCATGTCCTCTTCAACTTGCCGTATCTTTCTCTATGCCCTATACTAGAAGTTTCTTCCCACCAAAACTCAGTGCCTTCTTTTTGCCATCTTTCCTATGCCAGAATTCCATATCCTCACAAAATACTCACTCCTTCCTACCTAGTATGTGAATAAGGATTGCTATGCCTATAACACTTCCCACAGTGTTTAACTGTGTCTTCCCACTCAATTATGGCCTCTAAAAAGGAGGCCACTTTGTAACCCAGATGTTTATGTAATGTCCAGTACACCGCAAGTATTAATTGCTGATTTTATGTTAATATATCCTCTGAATGACCAGATTTCATTGTAAAGGAAAAATGAATCTGAGGGTTTTTTTTATATTAAGAGAAGAATAACTAGCCTTTCAAAAGAATACATATGCTGACCCAAAGGAATAAATATCTAATAGTAAAGTTCCACCCAGAGAGATAGTAGAACAGGAAATAAATTTTGAGGCAAAAGAGGCTTCCTAGGTTCAATTCATTACTTAAAGGCAATGGCCTACTCCAACATGACCAGGCCTTGCTCTGCAATAAAGAACTAAAGCTACATCTAGCATATTGTCCATTACTTGGGTTCCTCAAACTAAGAAATAGTTTTCTTAAAATTATGGCTGATGAAATTCTAACACATATTGCAAGGAGATGGCCAAAAAAATATTTATCTGCATGTTAACAATACCAGCTTGATTTAGGATATATTTGTCATTGATATTTTTAAACATATACCTAAACACTACACAGAATTCTTCTCAATTTCACAGTTTATTAAGTTATATTTTTATAAAATAATATGATAGTTTGATTGCTGCTTTTATGGGAGGGGGGATTCGACTTTCATTTGAACTTTCTAACAATACACACTCTGGCAATAGTTGCTATATCTTTCCCCTGGTTGCCCTTAATCTTAATGGCTACACTTAATTTTTGGTGCTCTTGATGATATTTAATTTACCATTTTATTGTGTACTTTCTTCTGTTGATAACAAATAACATTTTTGACATATGTCATCTTTTCCACTGAAAGTTCCTTGAGGGAAGGATTAGATTGCAGACAAGTGTTACCAGTTCACCAATGGGTTGTGTTTCCAAAGTCATATCTTTTCAACGGATATTTATTGATCAGCTATCCCATGCTAGATTCTGTGCTAAACATTGGAATAAGCACAGTTACTTAATTGGAAGTTGATTTGTTAAAACTCAGAATGCATTTTTCCATAAAAGCAGTACTTTAAAAGGAAGTTAAAATCCCACATGATCCCCACAAATCAATTATATATGTCACATGATTCTATTGCATTCATTTTATGTTCCTATTAGGTTGGTGCAAACGTAACTGTGGTCTTTGCATTGTTGAAATTTTTCATTTGACATTTGAATACATTCTTAAATAAATGTGGATATGTTATACATCATTTTGATGCACATTTCTCATTTTTTAACTAATAAAAAAATTATTACTAATAAATAATTACTAAAAATATTATTACTAAAAAAATTACTAATAAAAAAGTAATAATAATTACTTGCTGTTTATTTTATATTTATTTTAGACTTTGGAAATATTGTTAGACAAAAAGCAAATTCGAGCAATGTTCTTACTCGAGTTCAAAATTGGTCGTAAAGCAACAGAGACAACTCACAACATCAGCAACGTATTTGGCCCAGGAACTGCTAATCAACGTACAGTGCAGTGGTGGTTCAAGAAGTTTTGCAAAGGAGACGAGAGCCTTGAAGATGAGGAGCGTAGTGGCGGGCCATCAGAAGCCGACAGCAACCAACAGAAAGCAATCATCGAAGCTGATCCTTTTACAACTGCACTAGAAGTTACCGAAGAACTCAATGTCAACGACTCTAAGGTCATTCAGCATTTGAAGCAAATTGGAAAGGTGAAAAAGCTTGATAAGTTGGTGCCTCGTGAGCGGAGTGAAAATCAAAAAAATTGTCAAGTGTCATCTTCTCTTATTCTACACAACAACACGAACCATTTCTCGATTGGATTGTGACATGCAATTAAAAGCGGATTTTATACAGCTGACTATGACCAGCTCAGTGGCTGGACCAACAAGAAGCGCCAAAGCACTTCCCAAAGCCCAACTGGCACCATAAAAAGGTCATGGGCACTGTTTGGTGGTCTGCTGCCAGTCTGATCCACTACGGCTCTCTGAATCCCATCGAAACCATTACATCTGAGAAGTATGCGCAGCAAATCGATGAGATGTGCCGAAAACTGCAACACCTGCAGCCGGCATTGGTCAACAGAAAGGGCCTAATTCTTCTCCACAATGCTTGACCGCTCTTCACACAACCAAGGCTTCAAAAGTTGGAACAATTGGGTTACCAAGTTTTGCCTCATCCGCCATTTTCACCTGACCTCTTGCCAAGCGACTACCACTTCTTCAAGCCACTTGACAACTTTTTTCATGGAAAACCCTTCCATAACCAGCAGGATGCAGAAAATGCTTTCCAAGAGTTCATCAAATACCGAAGCACCGATTGTTATGCTATAGGAATAAACAAACTTATTTCTCATTGGCAAAACTGTGTTGGTTGTAATGGGTCTGGTTTTGATTAGTAAAGATTGTTTAAACCTAATTATAACGACTTAAAATTCATGGTCTGAAACACAATTACTTTCTAAAAAATTTTTATTATTATTATACTTTAAGTTCTGGGATACATGTGCAGAACGTGCAGATTTGTTACACAGGTATACACGTGCCATGGTGGTTTGCTGCACCTATCAACCCATCATCTACATTAGGTATTTCTTCTAATGCTATCCCTCCCCTAAGCCCCCCACCCCCCGACAGGCCGCAGTGTGTGATGTTCCCCTCCTTGTGCCCATGTGTTCTCATTGTGAAACAGCAATTACTTTTACATCAACCTAATAGAAGAAGAAAATTTAAATTATGGCACATCAAAATGTTTTCTACAAATGGTAGAAAATATTATAACACTTTATAATATTGCAATGAACAAAAGAGGAGCTGAATTTATTCCCCACTCCATACTCCCAGGGTGGATCTTGTCTCCTCTGAGTCAATCAGCATGTGACATTGCCCTGACTGTTCTCTGTGCTTCAGACTGAAGGGAAAGATTCCCTACCCCTTCTGAGGCAGGGAACTCTTCCTTTCTCCATTGGAAATGACCCAGGAAGGGACAGTGCTGATTCCCCCTGGCTGTTCTGTCACACAGGATAAATAGCCTGGACGGGCTGGGTGTGGTGGCTCATGCCTGTTATCCCAGCATTTTAGGAGGCGAGGTGGTGGATCACCTGAGGTCAGGAGTTCGAGAGCAGCCTGGCCAACATGGCAAGACCCCATCTCTACTAAAGTACAAAAATTACCCAGGCACAGTGGCACACACCTATAGTCCCAGCTACTCTGGAGGCTGAGACAGGAGAATCGCTTGAACCAAGGAGGGGGAGGTTGCAGTGAGCCAAGATGTTGCCATTGCACTCCAGCCTGGGTGACAGAGCAAGACTTTGTCTCAAAATAAAATAAAATAAAATAAAATAAAAAAGAAAAAGAAAAAAGAAAGAAAGAAAGAAAAAGAAAAGAAAAAAAGAAATAGCCTGAATGGTCCTAGGCAGGGTATGAGAGAAACAGAGAACACGCGCCCTTGACATGGAGACAGCAACATGGGCCATCTCCATGTTGCTAAACTCACCACCTCTGAAGCCTGACTTATTTCTGGGATCTCTAGGATATAATATAATAATTTTCCTTTATGTTAAGCCAGTTTGTTTCAGGTTTTTATTACTTGCAGCTAAAACTATCTTAAACAAACCAATATCAAACCTTTGGGAATAGAGAACACGGTACTGTTCTATTCTTCTTATTCTAATCCTGGCAATAAGACTTCCTCTATAATTTCCAAGACCTAATTTTTTTCTGAGACTTCACTGGGCAGATATCTTTTTGCTTATAGAGGAATCATTCCTGATTCCTGCTACAGCCCACGGCGCCTCACTTTTTCCCCAAACCAGAAAGAAAAAAAAAATCTTCAGATACTAAAGGAGGCAAATGGCATGAAGCCCAGAGACAAGCTATTTTTCTTTTTCCACTTCAAATAATGCTCAAATCTCAGCCAGTTTCTTTTCAACGGTTCACCACCACATCTAAAAATCTAAACGTGTGCTGTATTGGTAGTTGCCTTGAATTCCAAATTACCCTCAACACCCGTTCCTAATCATGGAGATCTTGATTGGAACTAAATTTGTTCTCTGTGTAGAAATCACTCATGTTCCAAGAGCAGTTTCTCCTCTGGTCAAATTAGCTGTGTAAATATTACAAATAAAAATATATGTAGGGGCAAGTGGATTACAAAAAGGCATTTCCTTATAAATGATCCATATGACCCCAAATTAGAATGTGTCTTGCAAATAGGGAGAGCCTGGGAAAGATTATTAGACCATAACAACTGGTGCCCATAAACTGCATTAGACTTGTAGGCCAAATTCTCACCAGTGTAAAGCTTAAAAAAAAAAGGATGGCGGGGAAAACAAGGGAAAGAGACAGAGGAAAGTTTTAGGTATAAAATTTAAAAATCTTAAAATACAGGCCGGGTTTTAAAAAACAAGGGGAGGGATAGTTTGGGAAGAATACATAGATTAAGGATTTCCTTGCTTTTTTCCAAATTTCTGCCTTTACTGTGTCTCCATCCTATTGTAAGCAATTTAATTCATCCATTCATAATTTTATAACAACTTGTATTTAAATCTGGGTAGTGCTTAGAAAGAAAATAAACAAAACACACCCAACATCTTTTATCATTACATCAAGCTTAGGGAGAATCTTTAGTGTGGTGCTTTCTTCTCTTATAAAGATAGTCAACCACATTATAAAAGGCTTAAAGGCATGAAAATACATACCTATAGCACCATTACATTCTACTGTTTTCCTAGGGAAAATCCTATTTATCCTATGCATGAGTCAGTCCCATGGAACAAAACTGTGAAATTTTGGACATCAAGTCTCAATACAGGGGAAAAGTTCAGCAATAGAATACAATTGCTCTTTTTCCTTTGTCTCCTTCTATTATAACATTGAGTGGGAATTTGTTCATTTGATCTTCATCTAAGGAAAAGAAGTAAACAAATCTTGCTAAGTGTTCAGCCTGTTTCAAACCAACACTCTGACTATCTGGTGTTAGACTCTCAGGCAACAATGATTACACTTTGATGGTATATTTTTCAGAGAATCATGTAGGCTAAAGGAAAGAATTATATACATTTTGTCAGGAGAACTTTCTTTTTGAAATAGAACCACATATATGCTTTATACTATTTATGTGTGTGTAAAATAAAACTATTACTATGAACAGTGTTCATTATAAGTAACAAGTAGTGAATTGATTGTAGCTTAGAATAAACTGTCTTACAAGAAATAAGAATATAGATACAAATCATAGTTCAACACTTACCTAAAACAGTTGTTAAAGCCATAGATCAATTCCTCTGAGTTTAGATGTTACACAAATCAATAATCTATAGACCACCATGTAATAAATCATGCAATTTCAAATTAGATACTTATTATTAAAATACCCATCCTATGAAACTCCTAGACACCATCAAAAAATTACTCCATTTGAATGAAACTGCTTAAAAAAGGACTCTGTGTGTGTGTGCGTGTGTGTGTGTGTGTGTGTGTGTGTGTGTGTGTTTCCTTCTTCAAAAAGATGAGGCATCTGTTAGATAAATGTGAATGAGAAAAGACATTCCTTCTTGGCCATATCACATAATGTCTCCGTTTTAACCAAGTATTTTACCATATCATGTCTAACTTTCTCTGCCTTCATTTTAAATGTTCTCCCACCCTCCACTAATCCATCAGATTTCCCACTAATCTCAAACATTCCCTTCCACTCCAGGAGGGTCTTTAAATGTATCCCTCCAGATGCCACACTCAATTCTGCTATTATGATGATGATGACTTTGTTCTTGCTTGAGGAAAGCAGAAAAGTTCAGCCTCACTCCCACCACTATTTTCTTACTTGCCCTAATCCTTTGCATCTTAACTGCCTCCTCTCTCATCACGCCTCTGCAGCCTGACTGATATGTCTCACATCTCTTCATGACAGAATCACACATAAACGAGTCCCTGGTAACTCAGCTCTCACTTGCTTTGATTAACCAGTATTATCATTCTCTTCCCAACCATGCTGTAGACCTACTGAGAGCAAGCACTTTGGTTCTCTCATAGAACAGCAATGTAAGCTACCAAAGTTTGCATGTTGATTGATTCTTCCTATTTTTTTTTCTGCAAATCCTAGCTACAGAAACTTGTTCCAGAAAATACTTTAGTGGAAAAAAGCAAGTAGCAAAATAGTATACTAGAGTACACTATAGAGTATAATTTGATTTGTGCTAAAAAAAAAAAATGATATACTTAACATATGTTTCTATAGGCTGTAAAAGTTCTAGAAAAATGTACCTCAAACTGTTCTCAGTAATTACCCCTGGAAAACTAACAGGTAAACAGGGCTTAGGTGAAAAGGCAAGAAGTGATATGGGTTATAAGAGGCTTTAACTTTTCCTTTAAATTTTTTTAATATTTGTAGGCCACAGTGGTTCACGCCTATAGTCCCAGCTCTTTGGGAGGCCGAGGCAAGTGAATCACCTGAGGTCAGGAGTTCGAGACCAGCCTGGCCAACATGGTGAAACCCTGTGTCTACTGAAAATACAAAAATTAGCCAGGCAAGGTGGCACGTGCCTGTAATCCCAGCTACTCAGGAGGCTGAGGCAGGAGAATCTCTTGAACCCCGGAGGCAGAGGTTGCAGTGAGCTGGGATGGCACCACTGCACTCCAGCATGGTCAAGAGAGTGAGACTCTGTCTCAAAAAACAAAATTGTGATATTTGCTTTTATAGAATGAGCATTATCATTTTTATAATTTCAAAAACCTGGAAAAAGCAGAGAACTGATAAGTACAAACATTATACCATGTGATTCACTTCAGTTTTTATGAATATTGCATGTTTTCAGAGGTGTTACCCAGCAAGTTTAAAACACAGGGCCAGATCCTGCTACCTGGAGACCTTTGAAATTGGCAGTCCAGCCAATTCAGCCACTTTTAATTCATTCAGTCAATTCGGCCACTATTAATACATTCAAAAAACTTACCATGTCATAGCTAACTGTTGCTTCTTTGAAGAAGTGCCATATGAAGATAAATATATATTGATAATTCATAAAATTTGAACAACCTCTCTGTTTATTTGGTTGAATCGATACCTTATAATGCAGGGAAAAATATAAAAGTCATCAATGACACCTCCCTTGTTGGGTAATCTTTTTATACTATAACCTGGATGGATTCCCTCTGAGACTAGGCCTGTGCATACTCTGGCTGAGAAAGGTTTGACTGACCATCGCCTTAGAGAAATTTGAGGCTTGCTGGATTGTGATGGTTCTCAAACTTTAGCAGTCATCAGGATCACCTGAAGGGCAAACAGATTGTTGGCCTCCCCTCCAGAATTTCTGATGCAGTAGGGTTTGGGATGGGGCCCCAATATTTGCATTTCTAACAAATTCCCAAGTGGTAGTGATGCTGAAGCTGCTGCTCCAGGAACCACATTTTGAGAAACACTTTTCCATGGCTACTGAGGCTAACCTTTGTTCTTTACTTTCTCTCTTTTTTTTTTTTTTTTTTTTTTTTTTGAGACAAGGTCTCACTGTCAGTCAGGCTGGAGTGCAGAGGCACAGACCTCGGCTCGCTGCAGCTTCAACCTCCAAGCCTCAAGCTATCCTCCCACCTAAGCCTCCCAAGTAGCTGGAACTATATAGATGCCCACCACCATGTCCAGCTAAAGTTTAAAATTTTTGTAGAGACGGGTTTTGCCATGTTGACCAGGCTGTTCTAGAACTCCTGGACTCAAGTGACCCACCTGCCTTGACCTCCCAAATTAATGGGATTACAGGAGAGAGCCATCACACCCAGCCTTGTTCTTTGCTTTTCAAGTAACAAGGAGACTCCTTTTCCCAACTTAAAGTCTATAGTCATTTTGATTCAAATAAAATTGATAAAAAGTAGATTGGCCAATTAATATTTCAATACTTAGAGTAAAATCTCTGGAGCTTTATAATCCCTGGGATTCATTTTTCTTCATCAGATCATTTTCTCTGCCTTACCACAATCAACATTTCTAAATTACCATTTACCTTCTCATTCCCTTCAATTTCTTATCAATTAACTAAAACCAAGAATCCTTGAAATCATATGAGTAGGTTAAAAAAGGAAAAAAAATTAAAAATAACACACCTAAAAACAAATCATTTTCATCTTCATTATCACCTAATTGAAGGCATAGACATTTCCTGTGAACGTATGTGCTTAAACCCGAAGAGTTTTCTCCACAGCACTTAAAGATTCTGGCAGGTTTCTTGGTCAATGATAGAACAAGTTTATTCAAAATGAATTGTAGCCATTTGTTGGATGAAATAATTTGTTGTAACATGAAAATCATATATTCTCATCATGTTCTTCAGAAGATTTTACTGACTTAAATGATGAGTTAGCAGTTACAAGATGCCTGGTGTCTACGTTAGAAACACACCAGTTGTTCAGGAAGGCAGATTTTCCTGGCCTCCGCTTAACAGAAATATCTCTTTTGAGACTCATAAAAAAGACACTGATAAACAACAATCTTAAGAACAAACTTCAACAAAAACTACAGTCATTTCTTATGACTGCTTCTCCCTGCTTTCCTCAATGCCTGCTGAGGGCATAATGCCAAATGCAGTTCAGTAAAAACAATTCCACAAGGGGCCAAATCAATCTGGTCAAAGCATGTAGCTGTCTGGTAGGCTGGCAAATATGAGAAAAATAGGAGAAGTAAATGGAATGCCTATCCTTTTGGTACTGCTCTTCATTTTTTTTTTTTGGATGGTTCTTGCTCTGTCGCCCAGGCTGCAGTGCAGTGTTGAAGTCCTGGCTCACTGCAACCTCCGCCTCCCAGGCTCAAGCAATTCTCCTGCCTCAGCCTCCTGAATAGCTGGGATTGCAGGTACCCACAACCACACCCAGCTAATATTTGTATTTCTAGTAGAGACAAGCTGGTCTGGAACTCCTGACCTCAGGTGATCTGCCCGCCTTGGCCTCCCAAAGTGCTGGGATTACAGGCAGGAACCACTGCGCCCGGCCTGCTATTCAAATGTTATTTCTAGAGACAACTATGGTAAGAGCCAGGCAGCTGAAAAGGAAGAGGGGAAGCAGTGTTACATACCCAGTGAGAGTGCAGGGGTGTATGTTGCTGCTAGTGCCGCTGGCGTGGTTGTGGGTGGAATTGTTGCTGTTAGAGGTATCGCAGTAGGTGGCAGGCAGCTTGCAGTGAGAGAAGAAATGATTTCCTCCTCCACTTGTCATAATTTTGCAAATATGAAGGCAGCCCTGGCCTTGTCAGTCCTCCACCATCTTTGGGCTCCAGCGGTGCATACTCTCCATGGGAGAACTGCTAAGTTTTCAGCCGGCTTTGGTGGGGCTGCCACTGATTAAGTGGCTGATTTTCCGTTGACCTGCCTGTTAGCCCTAGTCCCATCCCTCAGGAAGGGTTTTTCCTGTGTAAACCCTGCAAACTAGAAGGTACCTAAAAAGACATCCTGCCATGGCTATCCAGGACACTTCCAAATCCGTCATATTGACTTTTACAGGAAGACCTAAAGACCCGCTCCACGTGCGTTTCAATATGATCATATGTGCCTTGAGAAACACAAAGAGGAAAGAATAATGCTATATTCTGCCACTGTTTACATACATTAAATAACATTTAAACTTTGTATATGTTGTAAAGAAGCGGGAGGATGTTCAAGAAGGACTATGTGTCTTTGTAAATAAAATACAAGTGGATTCAGACATGTCTGTGAAGAGGGGCAAAGAAACAAGATACTACCAAATGGTGTACCATAAAATGGGACTATTTTTTTGCCACTCTTTCAGTCCCTCTCTCTCAGTTAGATGGATCCACACAGGGAAATGAAGCTTTCAGTAAACAAGGGTCTGCAGTTATCAAGAGTACCAGCTAGCTCTTTTATTGGCATATAAACAGAGAGAAGGCTCAAATGCCCAGACTGATTGCTGACGTCTTAAATATTCCCTTTCCTCTGGGAAAGCTAACAGGAGAGTTTCTTTAGGGTCTGCTTCTCTTTCCAATTTCTACTTTTCTAACAGCTGTCCTCTCTTTCCAAGATAATCAAAAAATAAGAGTTTCTTAATTTTTGTGTTTGGGGAATTTGAGAATCAATTTGAACTTGAGAAGTTTGGATTGGATGCACACTGTATTCCAGAAAAAAAAAAAATCAACTTACTGCTTTGGAAAGGCCAAAGTAAAAATAGATTTTTGTCTTGTTGAATTGTAGTCCTCTGAGTTCCCTTTGAGCTTGTGATGAAATATACACATTTATGGGACATACCTACTTAGACATGGAAATTAGACACTGAATTAAGTTTTTAAATGATATTTGAAAACTCCAAAGAAAATCAAACAAAAATTAACTTCTGAGATGACTTATCATGTCAGTACTAGTATATATGGTGTAGTAAAAATGTCAAAGCAAAGTACTGGAACATTTACCATTAAGTTATACTTTGTGTAGAGCTTATTTCTCTTAAATATTTCAAATAGAATCTCATTAACACAAAATTTTGTTTTGGCAGTATACATTTCTGAAAGTTAGGAAACTTACCCCATCCTTATTTGCATCTTACAGAAACCTGGTGTGAAACACTAGCTTTAAAGCCAAACTACCTATAGTTTATTATTGACTATGCAATTCTTTTGCTGTTGGAGCCAGTGGGTTAGATTATTTATGCCTCAGTTTCCTCCTCAATAAAGGAAGATAATAATGGTGTCTACATCATAGATTAGTCTAATAGATTAGTCCAATAGATTAGTCCACTGACTAATTTTCCATCAGTCATTGGAAAAATTAAGTATTTTAATTCATGTGAAAAAATTAGAAACATGCCTAGCATATGCTCAAAAATTATTATTACTACTTTACAAAATCCATATTCCTCAGACACTGCATGTCCTTTTTTTTTTTTTTTTTGAGATGGAGTCTTGTACCGCCACCCAGGCTGGAGTGCAGTGGCACAATCTTGGCTCACTGCAAGCTCCGCCTCCCGGATTTACGCCATTCTCCTGTGTCAGCCTCCCGAGTAGCTGGGACTACAGGCGCCCGCCTGGCTAATTTTTTGTATTTTTAGTAGAGACAGGGTTTTGCCATGTTAGCCAGGATGGTCTCGATTTATTGACCTCGTGATCTGCTTGCCTTGGCCTCCCAAAGTGCTGGGATTACAGGTGTGAGCCACCGCACCCAGCCTGTTTCTCCTTTTAATCCATTTTGTGCAAATACATTGTTAAATCCTTTTATTTGGCCACAAATTTTTATTATACCTAGGACTGCAATACTTAAATCAGATAACAAACTAATGTATGGAAAAATCAGGATTCTTAGATTAACAGTAGCAAATGTGCATTCTTCAAAGGCCCTGACCTTGGACCTGGGGATTCAAGGTGTCCACAGTAAAGCTTTGATCTTTAACACAGGATGCACCATATACATTTGTATAAACAAAGGAGATAGACAGATACACAAACCTCTCCAGCAATCTTGCTCACCATCATAAATTTTCTTTAAATTGGCCTCTACTCCCAAAACAAGGTCTGGTTGGGCAGAAAAGAAAAACAAAAATAAGAAGTACCCTAATTGAAAAGTGATTGGGTAAGAGGGGGCTCTTCTGATCGTTTTCACATTCATCCCAATATTATTGCTGTCCCCCTATGTCCCCTCCTCCAAAGGGGAAAGAAAAAGTTACCACAGGTGGAAAATTGCTTCTGGCATTAATCCTCCTAGCTCAGATCAAGAAAATGGATATCAGTAATCTCTTCTGGAATAGCTGCCATTATTCATTTTAGTACCATGATAAAAATGCATAGGGAAAAAAGGCTCTTTGGCCACTTTCAAAGAAACTCACTGAAGAAATAAAATGAACAAGCTTATCTGTGCATACTAAAATCCCAATTTCATCCAACTTGATTAGAAAGCAGAAGTAAGACTCCGTTGTTTCTTTTTTTTTTTTTAGTGTATTTTATTCCCTTAGGGGTTTTGCCAAAAGGCAGACTCCTAAGTTATCAAACTCAGAATTTTCCCCAATCCCTTATTTTTCCAGTTTGCTTCTTGCGGTTAACTCCATTACTAACTTATAGCGATAAACACCTGGAGTCCATCAAAAACAAAGAGAGGCTTATTCAGTGGGTACAGCCCGGCCTGCTGAACACCCTGAGCAGAAACAAACTACATAATATAAGACTTGAGCAGGAATATGTTTTTTATGATGTGCCAGCATAAAGGGGATCAAAGTCTAAAGCCAAATAAATAGCAACTGGGCACCAGCAGAGGAAACATATTTAGACTTTAAAATAATCAAAAACAAACCCAAAGAACACTAACACCCTCCACTTTCGGCAGTCATATTTTCCCTCTTTTTAGACATGGCTTAAACCTGTCAAGAGTTCTGAAGCTAATCACTGAATCTAAAGAAGAATCCTGCCTTTCACTGAGGTTGTGACAATCACCAAAAAAGACTGGGCCTGAATAGATAGACCCTCCCCCAACTTCCCCCACCCCCTCAGCCTCTTCATGCCAACCCCCTCCTCCTTCCTCTACTGGCCTATTATTAAATTTACCTTGGCCACGTTATGGAATTTGCCGGCTGACATTAACCCATTTATTAAGCTTGACTCCTCCTTATCTAAAACATCTCTAGGCAAACTGAAACAATCTGTCTGCCATCCACTGATTGGCAGGGGAAATTTTTCCAGGTGGTACAACTAGCTCCCTTCAAATGACTCGCCAACGTTATTTTAGCCTGGCAGAACGATGGAAAGAAGGCCTGAGCAACACGTATTTGCTGCCATGTTTGGTACCCCCAATGTATTTACATAAACAATTTTGAAAGATTAGTAGTACTGAAAAGAAGTTGAGGATGGGGGGCCCAGCACCAAGGGGAGGAGGTAGATACAAGAGCCGAGAATTGACAGGCTTACCCCTGAGGGCAAAAAGCTACATCTGTATTTGATTTGTCAGGGATTTACGTTAGTGAAACTTTAACTCTGCAGATGATACATAAGATTACACTTACAGAACAAGCTTATGCAAATATAGCTTAAACTCTATGGTATGTGGCCCAGACAGTGAATTTGGCAGATTTCATTGAGTCTGGTGGCTGGATCTAATAAATTCATTTACATAAAGGATCAGGACATCTGGAAAAGTAGCATGGTGGTTTATTGAAACATAAATAACATTAATTGAAAGGTTACAGATATGCAAAACACTTCATGTAGGCGATACAAAATGTTATAAAGTTGCTTCCCTATTTGAATAAAGCAAAAGAGAAGACTATCTTGCTAACATAAACAGAAAAGGTAATTTCCAGGATCTAATTTAAATGTCACTTTACATAGTGAGAGTGAAAAAGGTAACCCATTTTGCTATCCTGCCTTTGTAGTAAACCCTCTTTCGAAACCTACACTGGGCTGCCCTCCTGATACATATCTTAGGCACTAATTAGCAGCAGCAAAGTAGTAACATAATTAAATTTATTTTCAGCTAGAAATCCCCAAACTGTCATGCCGTTTTGTAGACAGAAAAGCATGGTTGAGATCTCAAGCTATTTCTTCTGTGAGTTTATTTTTATTTTAGTGCTGTAATGTATACTCACTGGTAATGTGGATTGCCGGTTAATGTCTCATGGAGTTGGTTACCATCAGCATAATAACAAATTACCCAGAGGAAAATGAGCAAAGATTGATATCATATGATTTAAAAGCTGAGAGGAAAGCTCAGGTGGTTTACAATCATTTGAGTATCTCAAGATTAATTTATAACTTGGTAACCCATTCAAACACCCCTTCATCATTTATTCTCAAATAAAGAGATGACTTAACTGCTCAGTCATTCAAAATGCCTCCTGCCCAAACCAATAGCAAGCCATTCCTTTTAAAAGGACTGTTTTCTATAAGTCATTATCAACATGCTGACTTTGAGAAGTCATGCAAATGAGGAAGCAGGAAATCTGACATTCTCTCAGGTATGGTAATGGAGTGGATGGAGCCCACTCCAGAAACTCTATGTAGGTTTGACATAAAGTCATCACGTAAAGAGCTGTTTGACCCAAATTGAAAGAGGAACTCCAACAAAAATTGTTTTTAAATGAAATAAGATTTAATGGAGTGATTGATATACTTTGTAGAATAACGAGATTTTTTTTTTTTGAGACGAGTCTCGCTATGTTGCCCAAGCTGAGTGCAGTAGCGCAATCTCGGCTCACTGCAAGCTCCGCCTCCCAGGTTCACGCCATTCTCCTGCCTCAGCCTCCCGAGTAGCTGGGACTACAGGTGCCCGCCACCACGCCCAGTTAATTTTTTGTATTTTTAGTAGAGATGGGTTTCACTGTGTTAGCCAGGATGGCCTCGATCTCCTGACCTCGTGATCCACCAGCCTCGGCCTCCCAAAGTGCTGGGATTACAGGCGTGAGCCACCGCACCTGGCCAACAAGATTTTTTTAAAAGAGGCTAATATCCTAGATGACCTTTCTTTCCATTATATAATAAGAAATTAGACAACATGATTTTTGTTTTTAAAGCAGGTAATATGATTAGAAAATGAAACAAGTTTTTACTGACCATTCACATTTCAACTCTTTCCACCATGAATACAATTTAAAGGTTTTTTTTTTTTTTTGAGACACAGTCTTACTCTGTTGTCCAGCCTAGAGTGCAATGGTGTGATCAAAGCTCACTACAACCTCCACCTCCCAGGTTCAAGAGATTCTCCTGCCTCAGCCTCCTGAGTAGTTGGGATTACAGGCACCTGCCACCACGCCTGGCTAATTTTTGTATTTTTAGTAGAAATGAGGTTTCATCATGTTGGCCAGGCTGGTCTCAAACTCCTGACCTCAAGTGATCCACCAGCCTTGGTCTCCCAAAGTGCTGAGATTACAGGTGTGAGCCACTGTGCCTGGCCAAGAATGTATAAAATTTTAATACAGTTGCTGATAGGGTTTCTATCAGAAATTAAACTTAACTGATAACTAAAATTTGTCAAGTACAATACATTGTCACAATAAATTTCTTCCCCCAAAATAGATGTTTTTTCTTAAAAAAAAGCATTAAAGGCCGGGCGCGGTGGCTCACGCCTGTAATCCCAGCACTTTGGGAGGCCGAGGCGGGCAGATCACGAGGTCAGGAGATCGAGACCATCCCGGCTAAAAACGGTGAAACCCCGTCTCTACTAAAAATACAAAAACTTAGCCGGGCGTAGTGGCGGGCGCCTGTAGTCCCAGCTACTTGGGAGGCTGAGGCAGGAGAATGGCGTGAACCCGGGAGGCGGAGCTTGCAGTGAGCCGAGATCCCGCCACTGCACTCCAGCCTGGGCGACAGAGCGAGACTCCATCTCAAAAAAAAAAAAAAAGCATTAAAAAAGATTTTTCATAAACAGCTAAATGACAATAGACACATTGAAAAAAAAAGCAAATCATGTTTATTGATTCTTATGGCTCTCCAAAGAACAAGTTTGAAGTTTTTATACAGAAATGTCAGTTGGTTGCACAGTGATAGAATACAAACATTTGAATCTATTTCAAACAGATTGGCCTTGTGGATGTAGTTCATCCAATAGCACATCTCACTGCTGCTCCTCCCATGGCACAGCTGGCCATCAGTGCTGCTGGGATGCCAGGAAGCACTTCTTTACATACACGGATAGTGGCCAGTCTGAACATTTTTTTAAATTTTACTTTAAGTTCCGGGATACATGTGCAGAATGTGCAGGTTTGTTACAAAGGTATATGTGTGCCATGGTGGTTTGCTGCATCTATCAACCCACCATCTAGATTTTAAGCCCTGCATGCATTAGGTATTTGTCCTGATGCTCTCCCTCTAACCCAATGCAAGGAAGCTAAGAACCTTGATAAAAGGTTACGGGAACTGCTAACTAGAAAAACCAGTTTAGAGAAGAACATAAATGACCTGATGGAGCTGAAGAACACAGCACGAGAACTTTGTGAAGCATACACAAGTATCAAAAGCTGAATGAATCAAGCAGAAGAAAGAATATCAGAGATTGAAGACCACCTTGCTGAAATAAGGCATGCAGACAAGATTAGAGAAAAAAGAATGAAAAGGAATGAACAAAGCCTCCAAGAAATATGGGACTACGTGAAAACACCAAACCTATGATTGGGGTACTTGAAAGTGGCACAGAGAATGGAACCAAGTTGGAAAACACACTTCAGGATATTATCCAGAAGAACTTCCCCAACCTAGCAAGACAGGCTAACATTCAAATTTAGGAAATACAGAGAACACCAGTAAGATACTGTTCGAGAAGAGCAACCCTGAGACACATAATTGTCAGATTCACCAAGGTTGAAATGAAGGAAAAACTGTTAAAGGCAGCCAGAGAGAAAGGTCAGGTCATCTAAAAATGGAAGCCCATCAGACTAACAGCAGATATCTCTTCAGAAACCCTACAAGCCAGAAGAGAGTGGGACCAATATCCAACATTCTTAAAGAAAAGAATTTTCAATCCAGAATTTCTATCCAGCCAAACTAAGCTTCATAAGTGAAGGGGAAATAAGATCCTTTCCAGACAAGCAAATGCTGAGGGGTTTTGTCACCACCAGGCCTGCCTTGCAAAAGTTCCTGAAGGAAGCACTCAATATGGAAAGGAAAAACCAGTACCAGCCACTGCAAAAACACACCAAAATGTAAAGGACCAATGACACTATGAAAAAAACTGCATCAAATAATGTGCAAAATAACCAGCTAGCATCATGATGACAGGATCAAATTCACACATTTGATATTATTAACAATATTAACAATATTAACCTTAAATGCAAATGGGCTAAATGCCCCAATTAAAAGACACAGATTGGCAAATTGGATAAAGAGTCAAGACCCATCGGTGTGCTGTATTCAGGAGACCCATCTCACGTGCAAAGACACACATAGGTTCAAAATAAAAGGATGGAGGAATATTTACCAAGCAAATGGAAAGCAAAAAAAAAAAACAAAAACAGAAACCAGGAGTTGCAATCCTAGTCTCTGATAAAACAGACTTTAAACCACCAAAGGTCAAAAAAGACAAAGAAGTGCATTACATAATGGTAAAGGGATCAATGCAATGAGAAGAGCTAACTATCCTAAATATATATGCACCCAATAAAGGAGCACCCAGATTCATAAAGCAAGTTCTTAGAGACTTACAAAGAGACTTAGATTCCCACAAAATAATCGTGGGAGACTTGAAATTTTTTAAATAGATCCAATACTTGGAAGAAAAGTGATGGCTTTCTGACAAAAAGAAATGTATTGTTCATATTATTATAGCAGGCCCCAGTGGTCAGAGTAAGTTTTGATGTAATTAGAATGGCCAGCAAGTAGCCTACCCATCCAATTAAATCCTCACAATGAGTTTAAGTAGGTAGGCTTCAGCCATTCAGAAGGTTCGTTTTCTTGGACACTTCCAGAAAGACTAAGATTAGACCTCAAATTCCAAACATCATTTGATGCTCATCTGTGTTTTTGCAAATTTTTGACCACCAGGAAGGCAGAGTTCAATAGGAAGTGCTCACTGACTTCCCCTTAAATCATTGTATGAAGTTCCAGTAAGAGTTTCTCAGCCCATGTGGGATTTAAGCAGGAAAAGCCACAGGTAATAAGAGGAAATATACAGAGCTCACAGAGGTCAAATTCGAGGTTTGTTTCCTATGACAAGTCATCTATAATATTTATGCATTTAGTAAATAAGAATGCCTGTTTCATTTACATGATTGGGATGTAATCTATATTACAGAAAAGATGTTAAGAACCCTTGAAAACAGGGCTGCACATCTGTAACATGCTTTGATTGAACAAGTACAACTTAGGGACACCAAAGTGGTGAAATGAAAGAGAAAATTGGTTGGTGCACAAATGTGTCCCTGGTTGACAATTTAACCATTTACTAGTTCCAACATGTTAGGCAAGTTACCCAGTGTATCTCACTTTGCTCAGGTACTAAGTGGAGATAATAATTGTACCTACCTGGATGGTACTGTAGTAAGGATCGAATGTCTTGATACATGCATAATACACTTGGAATTGTGCCTGGCACATGCATCAGGCTTTGCTACTGCTACTACTGCTGCTGTTACTGCTGTAACCTGAGAGCCCAGCAGAGAATGGCATGTAACAGCTACCACATAATGATGTCTTCTACTATAATTTCTAGAAGGAGCTGAAAAATGGCAATAGGTTGCTGAGAATAGTTTATCAAAGTAATCTCACTTAATTCCAAAACAGTGAATAACCAGAGGCCTATGGACAGGTCACCAATACGGAAAAAGGAAAGAAGCATTTCTTGAAGGGAAATCTTGAGACGATTAAGAGTGACTGATTTGAGAGCCATACACCAGAGTGAGAAATGCCTGAGACTAAAGACATCGTCGCAGGAGTAAACGAAACAAAGAGAAAGAGAAAACTAAAAGAAGAAAAAATGTCAAAAAGGTGAGAGTGGTTAGAGGAACTTGAATCCAAGGATTGAAAGGAAGAGAGTAAGGAGAGTATATAACCATTAAAAAGGTGTGATTTCCCCAAAGCAGTCTTCAGTAGAGTTGTTGGGGCAGCAAGATTCTGAGAGATACTGATGTACTGTCAACTTAACCAACTGAACAGTCCATGTTAAACTAGTGATAAGTACAGAAAGATATAAAAAGTACACAAATATCACCTTATATAGAATGTAGAAGATACTGAATTCAAGGTATTTTTGAAGGAAAGGAATATTAAAAGACTATTCCCACGACATCAACAACTACTTCCCTACATGTTCACAAACCTCATCTTGCCCCCTCCTGAACAACAGACCCATAATAACATCTGGATATACTGCAGACTCCTCAGGTATCACCAGCCCAGAGATGAACCACCTCCTCCACTGCCTCTCCTTCCAAAAACTTCCTCCTCGTTTGTCAGCAAATGACCTCAACAGAGTATCAGGTGGCCAAACTCAGTGCTTCCCTTCATCTCTTCCATTCACCTCCTTAGCCAATAAAACAGTAAATCCTGTTGACTCTGCCTCTTCCAGTTCTTTCAAATCTAGCCACCCCATCTCTTCTTAGCCACTGCCTTGTCTAAGACTTAGCAACATTTCATTCACCAGCTTAAAGTCTTTCATTGACTTTTTTGCCTACAAGTTAAAGTTCAAACTCCTTAGTATAGCATATGCGGTTCTTTTTTAATTTTTAAAATATTTGTATTATTTCAGTTTTCTTTACTTTTCTTTTTATATAGTCAAGGTCTCACTGTGTTGCCCAGCCCGGTCTTAAACTCCTGGCCTCAAGGGAACCTCCTGTCTCAGCCTCCCAAAGTGCTGGGATTATAGGCATGAGCCACCATACAGCCACATATGCAGTTCTTTACCATACCAAAGAGAGAGATGGGGAATCCTTACAGAGGCAAGTGTTTTGTTATTAATAGTTTGTGATATAGAGTGCTTAATTTTGCTGGAATTATTTTTCTTCTCAGCCTAGTTCAAAAAGAAACAATGACAAGAGAAAGAGCACCTCACCAATCATATTGTTCCCTACTGAGTCAATTCATTACACTCTCTATCACAGAACGTACCATGAATGTTTCACAACTCTGGATATCTGAACATGTTATTTCCTGTCTCTCTAACTGGCAGGCTCCCACCCATGCATCCAAGATTCAGCTCAGATATCACCTGCTCTATGCAGCTTTTCCCAACTTCCCAAGGCAAAGTTTATTCCTCTCCACTGTGTTCCCACAGCATTTTAGGACCTCTCCCATGAAATATATTTTCCATTTAAAATCTCATAGCCAGGTTCTCTAGGGCCAGGCATAATTCACAGGAGGTGCTTAATAAATGTCTATTGAACAAATTGAATCTAGAGGTGTCTAAAATGAAAGTTCCATCAGAAGTAGGTAACAAAGCAAATGTACCAATTAAAATAATTTCTTAAAGACAGATGGATGAATATCACTTAAGCAGAAAAGAATTCCCAAGAGCTATTGTTGGCAACTAAACATAGTTAAAAAAATGAGCTAGAAAAGAGTTACAAGAAAAATAATTTACATTTCAAATCATTATTTACTTGTGGTTCTAACCTTGAGAACATTTTAGCTGGATAAGTGTACTCATGCTTGTTGGAGGAAAATCCAAGTTTTTCATTGTCTGGTACACACCAAGCAGTACAACCACTTCCGTCTCCCAAATAATTCCTTTAGCCCTGAATCTTATCCACAAATTTGTCCACTGCCAATCTTTCCACACTCTCCATGCTGCTTCAGAATCTCTTGTCCTCACCATATTTGTGAGTAAAATTGGGTGACTGTGCCTACTTGGTATTGCCACACAACTAGCAGAAAAAAGGAGTGAGAGCCAGTGCCTGACGGCCCAGCTAGCTGAAGTCCTATCTGCCACCCAGGAATAATGTTAGGAAGACAGTGTAACTTCCCTTTTTCTACACTTCAACTTCCAGCCATTACAAACTATTCTAGTGATTTGTTTCACCCTTTCTTACCTTGGCCTGCCCTAACATTACCTATTTGAAGGTGGACACCATCTATACTCATTTGCTGGGCCTACTGTAAGAGGTGCCGCTTAAATATCTAGGCCCAACCAAGCGTGGCGGCTCACGCCTGTAATCACAGCACTTTGGGAGGCCGAGGCGGGCGGATCACGAGGTAAGGAGATCGAGACCATCCTGGCTAACACGGTGAAACCCCGTCTCTACTAAAAATACAAAAAATTAGCCAGGTGTGGTGGCGGGCGCCTATAGTCCCAACTACTCGGGAGGCTGAGGCAGGAGAATGGCATGAACCCGGGAGGCGGAGCTTGCAGTGAGCCGAGATAGCGCCACTGTACTCCAGCCTGGGCGACAGAGCGAGACTCCATCTCAAAAAAAAAAAAAAAAAAAATCTCTAGGCCCAAGCATTGGTTACATCTATTCTAGTTATTTTCATAAAACAGTTCTGTAGTTTGACACCTGAGGCTCTGTGAGTGATTGCAAAGAAGGCAGTTTTAAAACATGGCCTCAAAACTCTTGACACCCTCCTACTATGAGGTGGAGCACGTGTTCCACTCCTTGTGCCTGGGCTGTGGGGCGGCGTGACCCATAGACAAAGGAAATGCCACTGTGTCAGCTTTTGAGCCCAGACCTTAAGAAACTGACGAGATCTACTTCCTGTCTCTTGGGACACTGGCTCTCAGAACACAGCCACCACGCTCCTAGGAAGCCCAAGCAGCCCAGGTCAACTGGAACCAAGGCCCCTGGTTTACGGTCCTGGCAGCTTCAAGGTGACGGCCAGCACCCACTTGCCAGCCAATGCGAATGAGTCATCTTGAAAGTAAACCCTCCAGACCCCCGGGGAGCTGCCCTTTCTGATGCTAGGAGGCACGAAAAAGGGTTATCCCTGCTAGCATCACTCAAATGACAAACTGAGGTACAAAATAAATGACAGTCATTATTGTGAGCCTCTAATTTTTAGGATGGTTTGGTACAGAGCAATATATAACTGTTAGAGCAAAGTAACTGACCAATGAATGATAAGAAACTGTTCAATTCCAGACCAGGTTTTCATATTAAAAAAACAAAACAAAACAAAAAACCATACTGGATTTATAAGCCATTTAGCTGAAAATGTCTTTCTTAACTTATTATTCTCAAAAAGTTTAAATCATACAAAAGTCATGAGATGAGTTTACCCATCATGTACGTACCCATGACCTACCTTAAATAATTTTTAATGAATGGTAAATCCAATATGAATTTTAAAGCAAATCCAAGGCATCATATCATTTCATTCCTAAATACTTGCAGTATGTCTTTAACAGAAATCAATTATTTTTTAGAAAACATTTAAAAATACCATTTTTGCATCTAAATTAGCAAGTCCTTAGTAGTATCTTAATATTACCAAAGATCCTACCACTATTCAAAAAAAATTTTTTGAGACAGGGTTGGCTCTGTTACTCAGGCTAGAGTGCAGTGGTGCAATCTCCACTCACTGCAACTCTGCCCTCCACACTCAAGTGATCCTCCTACCTCAGGCTCCAGTGTAGCTGGGACCACAGGCATGCACTCCATGCCTGGCTGTTTTTTTGTATTTTTAGTACAGACGGGGTCTCGCCATGTTACCTTGGCTGGTCTCAAACTCCTGAGCTCAAGCGATCCCAAAGTGCTGGGATTACAGACATGAGCCACCATACCTGGCCTGTTTGCTTTTTTTTAATTTGTTAAAGTCTGTATTCACACAGGGCATTAAGCAGATTTGTTATTTAACCCTCATTAAAAAATCTGTAGATTCTCCCTCTTGTTTTATTTTTTCATCATTTTTACTTATTGAAGACTCCTAGTCATTCGTCCTGTAGATTTTCTCATATTCTGGATATTGCCAACTGTATGTCTGTGGTTTGGTTTAACAAGATCTTCTGTCCCCTATACTCAGGTCGTATCCAAATACTTGGTACACTTCAATTGGATTTTTGAAATTTCTTGTTTTGCTAAAAATCGATGCTTTGAGGGTTTTCTCAAAACTGATGTTTGAGTCATGAAAGACACAGTATGTCTTTGTTCTACAATCTTATTACTGAGAGAGCAGTGGCCCAGTTCAGACTTGGTGACAGTGCCAGTTACTTAAAAAACAACTCCTTGAGTCTAATGATAGCCATGCAGGTTCATTAGGAGAAGATCAGATCTTCTCCTAAATAACTCTGACTTTTACTGCCCTGCCCTCCACAACACAAATAACATAAACTCATTCATTTTACAAACAGTAAACAAAGATGAATAAAGTAAAGTACTTGTCTTCAAGAAGATCATACTCCAGTGGAACACAGAAATGTGAAATTTATAGGACAAAGTGGCAATTGCAATTACAGAGATAAGCAACGTTGCAAAGACACCTCCCTGGGCTTACTTCTCTTTTGCCAGTGAATGAAGCTTTCCGCAGGTCATCAGCAGAACAGCAGATAGTATGGTAGCTGAGAACACAGACTCTAATATAAGCCACTGTCTGGTTTCAAGTCCTGGCAACATCAGTTCAAATCCTCTAACCTCTGTCTGCCTCAATTTCTTTATCTATAAAACAGGGATAATAAGAAAACAACAATAAATTATTAAGGTAAAGATCGTTAAAGTAGGAATTATCAAAATTAATGCATGAGAAACACTGAAATCAGTACCTAAAACACAGTAGATATTTATTTGCTCCTATGGAAGTTACCATGAAAATGTATGGCCTTAATAAAATGTTTAAAATCTCTTTTGAGATAATAGGCTACTAGATCGGTACCAAAAAGTCCTGCTTGTTAGGAAAGGCTAGGTCTCAGCTGAAAGAAGCCTCAATCTAGTGTAGATTTTTTGAAGACTACAATAGAATATCTAGACACAGGGACCTGCGTATAGGCAGAGTAAGAAGTTGTCTATTCAGAATTGTTTTAGGACTTTGCCCTTGCTCCAAATAAACTATCTTCCCACAGGGCCATTGGAAGTGCCTCTGGGTCAAGAATTTCAGGATGCATGGTCTCATTTGTCCGGGAAGGAGTAATACATCTAGATCACTGAACCTGGCAAAGCTTCATTTTTCAGATTAGTCATTCCCTTTTCTTTAAGACTTTTCTTGAGGAACCAAATGCAGGAGAAGTCATTTTGATGTTAGGAGGAGGTTGGGAATGTTCTAGGCCTCCTAATATGCCAGCAGAACAGATTCATGTAGGGTACTGAAGTAAAAGGCTATAATCACCCAGTGAGTAGCTTGGTATCAGGTATCCAAGATAGGAGTGAACAGGTATCTTAAAGGCAACCCTCACTGCACAGTTTATGCCAGGCTAAACTTTAGCCTGCCTTCATGCTATCTCCTTCACACCTATCCTGCCATATAGCTAATATCCCTTTGTTTAGTTCAAAACTCTTTCCTTAGCAAAAAAACTATACTCGGGAAAGCATCTAAAAGGATCTGAGGCAAACCACTTACACTTTTGGTTTTAAGACTTCTTTTGAATTCTAGAATGAAAAGTTATACTTCTCATTAAAGACCTTCCAAGACTTTGAAAAGAATAGTGCTTGCTTTTACCAGGGTACATATATATATATATATACCTTTTAACCTGCCATGCAACTCTTGCTAGTTTAATGACTAGACCTTTAATTTAGCCAATAATTGTGATATCATTATGGGAGCCCTGGAGTGTCATATAAAATGTTATTCTAGTGGGCACATGGGATGATCATTCAGATGCACAGTCAGAAATGAGAAACAAACTTGGGCATTAATAATTCATTGCTTGCAATTTTCATCTCAAAGAAACATTTGAACGATGATGCTTCTTTGGTTGGCAGCCTTAGATATTCATTAAACTTTATTTGAATTTTACATGGTCCTATTAATTCATTTAATGCCATTTTGTATGAAAATAATAAGCAATTTTAAAAAGCAAAAGATCAAACAAAATGTGTTCATCTAATAAGATTATTCCTAAAAGTTCACAATTATGAAAAATAATTAGATGATCATTTATTTCATCCAGATCAATATACCTGTTTATTTAAAATTATTTTTAAGTGTAAGGATAAAAGAGATTACATTCATCCATCTCATTAATGATAATGAATGTATTTTTCACCAACTAAATCAACTCATTTTTGAGACACTTGTGATTTTCTTCCTTATTAGCATGTCATACCAGGGAAGGATTATTGTGGCAGCAATTTGTTTCAGATTTACTCTGTCAGATCAGCCACTGATGACTTGAGACCACCCTCATCTGAGATAGAAAATGGAGCTTTTTGTTGAAATGCTGGAGTAGCAGATCTAGTCATATAATTTGAAAACCTTTAATCACGAACTTTTCTTATTTGTCATTTCTTCCTAGTTCTCAGTCCAAGTTATTTTCTTTAATATTTAGTGGAGAGAAGTAAAGCATTTGAAACTTTAGTTTGCCTTTTCTTTTCAATATAGTTAATGGAATCAAAACTCCTTGGGAACAAAAATATGCAAAACAAGTATACATGAACAATACTTTTAAATGCACCCAATTTTATTAGAATCATATCTACTGCTCTTAATTATGTCAAACAGAAAAATGAGATGGATTTAAAAATAACAAACTTTTTTTTTTTTTTTTGAGACAGAGTATTTTTCTGTCACCCAGGCTGGAGAACAGTGACGCGATCTCGGCTCACTGCAACGTCCACCTCCTGGGTTCAAGCAATTCCCCTGGCTCAGCCTCCCAAGTAGCTGGGATTACAAGCACGCACCACCATGCCCAGCTGATTTTTGTATTTTTAATAGAGACAGGGTTTTGCCATGTTGGCCAGGCTGGTCTCAAACTCCTGACCTCAGGTGATCCGCCTGCCTCGGCCTCCCAAAGTGCTGGGATTACAGGCGTGAGCCACTGAACCCAGCCAAGTATATGGAATTTCTATAAGATTCTGTATTCCAGATGTGTTTGGAATTAATAAATTATATTAAACTTTCTTAAAATGAAAAATGATGAACTGATGGACTAAATAATTTAATGTGGTGTGATGCAATAAAGGAAACTGAAAAAGATGGTGGGAAAGTTACTTGTGTTCTAATCCCACATCTACAGTATACAAACAAAACACAATATCTGGAGCAAGTCATTTAACTTCTCGAAGTTTTGTTGACTCATCTTCAAGCAGGGGATATTATTTATCAGCTTCAGAGCAAGGACTGGACCAAATTTTCCACGGAGTTCATTTGAAGCTCACAGAACTACTATTTTATAAACATCTACAAATTCGTCACAACCTTCATGATTGAAAATTAGATCATAACAGCACAATTAAAATTTTACAAGCCATTAACCATCAAATTTAAGCATCAATCCAAATTACTCAGACAAAAAAAATTGTAAAGCTTATATTCTTAGCTAAAAAATATGATTAATAAGTAGCAAATTATTTGTATGTAATCATGAGTTAGATTTATGTAGATATGTTCATTTATAACCAATTTTGCCTTAAAAAATACTTAAATCAGTAATGTAAAAAAATCAGCAAGGTTCAAGCAATCTTTATTCTTACCTCAGAGTAGTTTAATAATCATAATCACATCTAAATATAATAGAAAATGCAAGGAAAATTGCAAAATATTTTTAAGAGCGGCATTTTTAGAATCAACCTTGCAAATGGCCTTTTAGAAGTCTCCACTGTGTAAAATAAATATGAAATGTATTCCTTCAATTCAGGCCTAAGCCCACCCATATAAGGTGGTAAAGAGTTCCCCTTTCAAATCTCTCAATTTTATATTTGGGTATGAACAATTACGTATATGTATGCATCTGCTTGGATGGGTCCACTGAGTATGTTTAAGTTGTAGGATTTTCCCTTGCTTAGTGCATTATACTTACAAGAAAAATTTGTACTTTCCCAGCCAACTAAATAATAAAAAAAATTTAACTCATTTTGGGATTTTCCCTCACTCACATACACACTCGTTCAACAAGCACACACACATGTGCGAACACACACGTTTTAGTTGTACTAAACTTAATGTGAAATTTTAGATTAGAGTCTCATTTATTGGCAATTCTGGGAAGGGGTTTTAGCTTAATCCTCAGTTAATGAAACCCTTGCTAGTGAATTTCCTTTGTCAACACTGCATTTAATGTATAGTGCTTCATACCTGCTAGATCATCAAAACCCACAAAGTGATTAGGTTCAACTGGAAAGCAAAAGTTGGAAGGCAAGATTTTTGTAAAAATTTTATAAAAAGATTATGCTCAGAAATTACATGGGCTGACTCTATTTAAAAACTATTTTCCAGTTTCTGTGTTTTGCTGTTAAAAGCAATGAACAGCCTATGCTTCAAACATAAACCATTTCTTGGAAATCAAGCCTGATTGATATATGGCTTCTTGAATAAAAGCAATCAGGTCAGATACTGGCTCAGATTAAACCAGTATGGCCACTTTTCCTTCTTTTGTCTTTTCAGGGCTAGACACATACATGAAAATGACTTTTTTAAAAAAATTACTGCAAATACCTACCCAGAATTGTTGGCAAATATAGTACATATGACAAACACTGGGTTTAAAGGAAGCTATCAGTGATTCATATACTATTTTACATTACCCCCCTTTCAAAATGATGGGCTACAATAACATTCAGTAAATATGAAATATACATAACAATTTTTCTTTGGAGGAATAAGAGACACTTCTAGATTAGGCATTGTCTTCTAATATGGTACCCAAGGTAGCTAAAGCAGAATTACCTCTAATAAGTTAACAGTCACAAGGCAGAAATAGGCATTACAGAGATCATCAAAGGCAAAAACACTTGGATTTTAATGTGAAAAATCTATTATATAGTTGAGGCTTAAGTTTACTTAATAGCATAAAACCTACTTCTTTGATCAAAAAGTATATCAGAATTCCACTTTGATCCCTTCATCTTTGGTGTTTCTTCAAGGGAATTAATTCATATCACTATATCACTTTAAAGCAATAATATTAGTTCTTATTCAGAATAAAGTAGAAGACAGATATGAGATCAAAAGTTTATTTTTTAAAAATTGTAAGATACTGCATATTTAAAACTGGTCTGCTAAAAAAAAAAAAGACTTCTTTTGTATGAATGGTTTTTATATTTAAAGTTGCATGATATTAAATTAGCATGTAGTTCAGCCAAATGCCTTCCAGTAATTTTTTAGTCTTGTCAGTTTAATTGTTACCACATTCATTTGAAGAAAAGCTAAAAAAGGCTGGATATAGTGGCTCATGCCTATAATTCTAGCACTTTGGGAGGCTGAGGTGGGTGGATCCCTTGAGCCCAGGGGTTCGAGACCAGCCTGGTCAACATGACGAAACCCCACATCTACCAAAAATACAAAAAAGTTATCCTGGTGTGGTGGCACACATCTGTGGTCCCAGCTACTCGGGAGACTGAGGTAGGATAACGCTTGAGCCTAGGAGGCAAAGGTTGCAGTGAGCCAAGATCTGGCCTCTGTACTCCAGTCTGGGCAACAGAGCCAGATTCTGTCTCAAAAAAAAAAAAAAAGACTTTAATTCAAAATTCCTTGTAATATGAGATATAATTGTTTTGAGTGAACTTCTTTGATGCTTGGCTACACACACACAAAATCTAAAACACACAAAGAATAAAAAATCCAGATAGAGGCCTAACCCCTAGGTATGAAAGAAAAATGTCTACCAGCTCTTCACAGAGATTGGCATTAACTCCTATGCAGTAAATAGTGTGAGGCTTAATAATAATTCAATTCTGTCCTTTTAGAAATTCACCAAACCTTTGTTTCCATGACCCCTATTTCTAAACTCATCAGTCTGTTACTTCAGTGTGTAAAAAGTATTCTCTTTTCTTTCCTCTAGCTATACTACTCACTAATTTTTTTAAAATTCTGAATTTTTGTTCTACATAAAGGTATGTCATGATAAACATGACTTTAGACTTTTATTATATAATACCAAGAGAAAGAAGAGGTACATATACATGTGTTCCGATGCATATATGTAACGGCAACTTATATTACAATGAGAGGGTTTGTTTCTAAAGAAAACTAGTCATCAAAACAGAAAGTCAAAGATGGGGGTAACGGGTATACAGCCCTTTCTCCTGTGTACTGGGTATGTGTGTAAATAGTCTGTCATCACCTTATTCTGTCTCAAGCAGAATGGTCTGTGACATGCAGTAGGCTTTGCCCAATGTTATTAGAATATCCTTCCCTTTCAGGCAGCTATTTAAGTGTGGATTCAGAGCTCTTTCTTCTCCTTGAACTAGTAAAGTGGGAATGTGGTATACTCCTTCTTTACAAGAATATTTTGGAATATATAATAATGCATTGATTTAAATCTTTGCAATAGGTGCTGTAGTATTAAGAGCCCCTGAAGAGCCTTGAGCTTTTGTGGAAGTAAAATCTCTATAAATAGTAATGAGGTCAATTTTCTCATATTTTGAAGGGCACGAATGAAGGTTTATAGAAGGGGATGGAGCAAAGGGAGCATAAGCCTGGATGTCATGATTTTCAAGTGTTTACAACACTTCTGTTCCAGTGACAGAGCAAAGCTAAACTTACAGTCCCTTTAAAATATGAGACTCAAGCTCATTACTACCATGGTGGGTATTCTCTCCATTCTTTTACTGCACCCTGAAATCATTCCTTCAGTTTATAGGTGAGTTTACAATATTTTTAAAAGAAAGGAAAAAAATCTCAAATAGGCCAATTAAAACAGCAATTCAAACAGGTAGTATGAACACCATTTGGATGTCAGTATATACCCATAGAAGAAAAGTAGGTAGGGCAATTGGGAATATTTTAAATCTTTCATTAATCCCTGTTGGAGACCTGAAAAAATAAATGAATTAATGACACTTTGTATGCCTGTTATCTATGGGTCACAAATTTGGCTCTCTATGATTTCAAGCAACAAAAGCATAAATTCAATTTATAAGATTCAATATTCATAAGATTCAAACATAACAACTATTTGGGAAAAGTACTCCTTATAGTGAGGCTAGAGAGAATGCTTTCCCTTGAGGTTCTCATAAGCTGGACCCCATGTCATGTAACAAGCAACATCCTAAATGTGGATACAGCAACACATTTATTAATAATAGGGGCATCTTTGCTACAATCAAAGATAATGGCCTCATGCCAAAGGGCAATTTCATAAAAGCAATAGGAGTGGATTTTGGGAGAAGACAGAGGTGGAAATCTTGTAGCTTTTTCACTCCTGTTGTTGGTTGAGTGGGAGGGAGTGTTACAACTCTTTTATTCCCACCACAGGCAAGCTCCAGGTTCTTGTCTCATGACCAAGAAGAATAAGGCACACAGCCACCAAGAGTGAGTAAGGCAGAGTCGGATTTCTTAAGTGACAGAAAAGCTCTCAGCAAGGAGAGGGGACCCAAAATAGGGTTGCTGGCTGAGGAGCTAAGTTCGGGGGTTTTATGGCCTGGGAAGGAGGACTGGTCTGCACATCTTGGAGAAGGCACCACTCAGAAACAGAAAGGATAGTGAAAAGAATCATTTGGAGGCAGAGGTGAAGGCTTGGCCCACAACCAAACAGGGGCTGGAGTGATGTTACTTTATCCAAACGAAGATTTGGCCCTCAGCCAATCACAGAATATGTAAAATAGGTGAACAGTAAGGACCAATCAGGAGAAAGCACGTGAAACAAGAAAAAGGCACACCAAGGAGAGAGAAATATGTCCAAAAAAGGAGTGGAATTTGTTCATCTGGGTTCATAGTAGGTGTTTCCATTTTGGGGCCTGTAGCTTGATTTTCAGGCTGTTCTTAGTTTGAAGTTTTACCAAGGACCCACCCTAACTCCCTGCCTGACCTGGTTTCTTCCTTCCTCCTCTCTCAGAAGTCAATGTTGTGCAGAGTTGTGGCTCTCTGTGGCTTCATGTTGGAATAGAATTTAGAATATTTATGAGTGAACAAACAATAAATATTTACCTATATATGTTCACCTAAGACAATATTCTATAGATATTCACCTAAGCTTTGAAACCTATTGAGTGACATTAATATAGATTAAAATTCCTATCAAGTACTGAGAGTTATCAAGCAAGAAAACAATGAAACTTTAGTAAAAGATAGTTATAGAGGGTTACTAGAATCTCAGTGAACATACAAATTTGCTATTCTTAATACAATGTGGAAAGAAAAGATTATAATATTTATTTAAGGGAAGAAACATGTGCAACTATTCAAAAAAAGAACAATGGAAATGACGATAATGGTGATTAGACCTACTATATATTAAAATCCATTACAAATCTACAATTATATATACATATGGAATTGGTATAATATCAATGGGCCAGATCCTAAGACAGTTTTGCTGGAATGAAATAAGCTATTTAGAAAGAAAAACAGTCTGAGACATCCAGCAGAAACCATAACCCAAATAAATTCCAGTTCAATATAAAAGTGTGTTACTACAAAAAGAAATTTTAAACTAATAGAAAATATAGGTAAAACCCATGTAATCTCCTCTTTAAAAAGGACATTCTTAAACAAATTTTAAGAACAATCTTCAGTAAACTAAACAGTCATGCAAAAGATGCAATGATGAAACCTAACTGGATTTTGGATAAAGTAATAAAAGACTATAAAATAATGAAAGACTTATTTGAGGAGCAATAGGAAAAATTCAAATAAGGACTGGATATTAGATATTATGTAATTTTTGGTCAGGCACCATGGCTCACACCTGTAATCCCAATACTTTGGGAGGCCAAGGCAGGTGGATTATCTGAGGTCAGAAGTTCAAGACCAGGTTGGCCAACATGGTGAAACCCCGTGTCTACTAAAAATACAAAAATTAGCTGGGCATGGTGGTAGGCACCTGTAATCCCAGCTACTCGGGAGGCTGAGGCAGGAGAATTGCTTGAACGTGGGAGGCGGAGGTTGCAGTGAGCCAAGATCACATCACTGCACTCCAGCCTGGGCAACAAGAGTGAAACGCTGTCTCAAAAAAAATTAATTAATTTTTAAAAAAGATATTATGTAATTTTTGTTAATTGTCTTAGGTGTTTTAATGGTATTGAAGTACACAGGAGAAAGTCCATATTCTTAAGAGATGCACAACGAAGAAGATAGCAGCCCAGTGTCATGATGTCTGAAGCTTACTTTCAAATAGTTCAACAATAATAAAGAAATCTCTCTCATATATTTATATATACACATATATATACATATATGTATATGTATGTATCATATTTTGAAGACAGAGAAAGGAGAGAAAATGTGACAAACTTTTATCAGCTCGTGAAATCTAAGTAAAGAGTATACAGGGCTCATTGGATTATTGTTTTAATTTTTCTGAGTCTGGAAATTTTAAAACAAAAAGTTGAAAGAAAAATAAAGTTGAAAACCAAAAGAACATTAGATTTAATGAGTTAAAAGTGTAACACATCTATATGTTAAAAAAAAAAAGATACTTCTAAGTTACATGGCAAATGCTTATATTTTTAACAAACAAAAGGTTCATAAAAGTTATTAAGGAAAACATTAGAAAACCCCAAAAGGAAAAATGATGCAAACAGATGCTCCCCAGAAAAACTTCAAGTGACTAATAATATATGAGAAAATCATCACTGAGAAAATAATGTCAATCTCACTAGTCATCAACAAGGGAAGATTTTTTTCCCCTATAAAAGTTAGCAGTTTTATTTGTTTATTTGTTTTGTTTTGTTTTGTTTTGTTTTTAATGGTTATACTTAATACTACAAAGGGTGCCAGAAGAGACATCTTTTCAGTGTTGAAGGGCTTGCAAAATGGTACAAGAATTCTGGAAAGAAAATTTGAAGTGGTTTCAGAAACATGAAGAGTGTGCAAAATTTGATCAAGTAATTATGTTTCTGGAAATTTATTCCACAGGAATAACCAAAACTTGGACACAGATTATACACCAAAAATATACATTGTCACATAATGCAGTTATAATAAAGTAAAATGAGAAACAATTTCAATGTCCACTGTTAGGGTATAGGTAAGCAAAATTTTACTACATGGCACATCCACGAATAGAACATTATGACGTTGCTAACAATGTATATAAAAACTTTAATGACATAAGAAACTTCTTATAATAAAATCTTGAGTGAGAAAAACAGAGTACCAAGCCATACATGCACTATTCCTCCATTATGAAAAAGGTTTATTTAAAAATCGTGAAAAAAATGCTGAAAAAAATACCATGACAAAATATGAACAATGGTTGCCTGTAGGTAGTGTGATTATCCATGTCTTGTTTCCATTTTTATACTATTCTGTATTCCCCAAACTTCTTGTTGTGAACAATACCTGCTGCTAAGTGAGATATAAATAAAGTTCATTTAGAAATGCTTGCAAAGACATTAATAAAGAGAAAGAAGAGAGCCTTCAGGTTACTTTGAGGTAACCAAAAACACACTGGAGCCCATCCAACGCTGACTTGGTAATATAAATACATGTGTAACATAAATATTACATAATATTTAATATGTTTATATTTAATAATAATATATAAAATGCATTACGTAAACAGAAATAAAAACAAATCATATACCCCAGAGGCCAAACATAACTTTTTGAAGACTTTCCAAACAAGCTCTGTTTTTCTGTGTTTTTATGAGGGTCAAAACGTTCTCCAGAGTTTTTTGTTTGCCTATTTGTCCTGTTTTGTTTTGTTTTTATTTTCAGATAAAAGAATTGAACATTAAGTAAGTGGGAAACTCTGACATGGGGAAAAAGAAAGTTGTAGGACTATAACCGAATGAAACACTCTGAACATACACTTCTGCCCTGTACTACTACTCCGTATTTGTAATTAGACACCTCTTTGAGCAAAATTAACTTTTTTGAATCATAGAAACTCACTTATCTTAACAATATAAATCTGTTCTGCATAAAAAAAATCAAGATATGGGGAAAGACATACATATTATTGGTTTAAATTTTTCACATATTTATTTTTAATCTCCAATTAAATTTAAAGACTTGGACTGGAAAAATCAATCATTTTGTTTGCCCATGATTTCCCTGTGCTTCCTAACACTGTTTTAAGATCTACTCATACCCCCTTTCTCAGAGAGAATGTTCCCACAGGACTCACTGAATGCACAGAAAGACATATGACCCAGAACCCAGGCATGGCTGATTGGACCCAAAGGTCACCTAATCCAAGTGCAGTCTCTGTGATTCTCTCTTCGGAGAATTTCCAGTTAAAATACAGAGAGGCCCAGTTCATTTTCTGAGGGTACTCTACCTGTCAAGTTACTGAATTGGTGGCTGGGATTAACACCTTATTTTTGTGTTAATAAGCCAACCAACAGAGCTGGTCTATGAAGAAAACCAAGAAAAGAAAGTAGAAACCCATCGCTATGTGATGAACACAAATGATGCAGAGAAAGTGGGTGGATTAAAATGCTGTGGTTTCTGAGGGCTTTCTAGTTCTCTATTTCAGCACCTCACTCAGGCCTGCCTACACATCCTACCTTTGGTTTCATATATCTAATATCTTATGAAAACTTTCCCTTTATTTAAACAAGCTTTAGTTGTTATTTTGTTGCTTGCTACCAAAGCATCTGTCTTAGTCTGTTCTGACTGCTATAACAAAATACCAAAAGTTAAGTAGCTTATAAACAAAAGAAATTTATTTATCACATTTCTGAAAGCTAGGAAATCCAAGATTAAGGCAAATTTGCTGTCTGTTGAGAGCCCATTTTTCTGGTTCATGGATGGCACATTCCCACTGTTTCCTAACATAGTCGGGGACAGCCCTGTTTATAAGGACACAAACCCCATTCATGGGGGCTCTGCCTCCATGACCTAATCACCTCCCAAAGGCCTCACCTCCTAATACCATTAAATTGGTGATTAGGTTTTCAATGTATGAATTTTAGGAGGCCACAAACATTCACAACATTCAGACCATAGCAACATCCTTAGGTAAAATATATACTTTTCCTTTCTAAATTACAGTGAAAGGTGGACAAGCTGTGTATTTTTTATCCATCTTTAACAGATCAGGAACTGAGTCAAATAATTTAATATCACATGGCTAGTTACTGAATCCATGGGACCTGAACTTAGATTTCCAATTCTAGTTCTTCTGCTGTTAACTCCTCTGTGTCCAAAGGGCAATGCTGTCCTAAAAGCCATTGAATACATCAGCAGAGGTCTGCTTTCAAGGTGCTATAACTGGGTAATTGCTACATCCAGGTCCTACTCTGGTAGCATTGTGCAAGGAGGCCATGGGTGAACAGTTCAATTGAAAGCCTCAGGACCACTTACTTATAGTTCTACCACCAAATTTGTAGAAAAACTCCAAAAAACTGTTTTGACATTAACTGTTAACCAAAATTTATTGCAGCTTCTATTTTAACTACAGCTATACTGTCGGTATTTAATTGTTCTTTTCATCAAGAGAAAAGCAAGTGAAAATACTTTCTAGTTCCAGTGTTTAAAATATTCTGTAAACTCAATCAAACATCTTCAAATCTATCTAAAGAGGAATAAACAGCTGAAGTCAGCCAGAATCTACTCTATGCTCTTCAATATAGTATAACTAAAGAAATACAGTTAATTTACTAATACCTATTATAATAGCTACCTTTGTTTTTGAGACAGAGTCTTGCTTTGTTACCCAGGCTGGAGTGCAGTGGCTCACAGCAGCCTCAACCTCCCTGGCTCAAACGAAACTCACATGTCAGCCTCCCAAGTAGCTGGAACTACAGGCACTCACCACCACACCTGGCTAACTGTTGTATTTTTTTATAGAGATGGGCTCTCCCTATGTTACCCAGGATGGTCTCAAACTCCTGGATTCAAGCAATACTCCTGCCTCAGCCTCTCAAAATGCTAGGATTACAGACAAGAGACGCTGTGCCTGTGCTACCATTTTTTAAGTGCCTACATTGTGCCAGGCACTTGTCTGGGTTCTTTGCACATGTTATTCTTTCATTCATTCAACAAATATTTATTTTATTGATCATACTATGTGCCACTCGCTGTTCACACGTGACAATTCCTGAGAACACAACAATGAACAAAATGAAGTACATGCTCTCAACAAGTTTCTTAGACTTCATTTAATTGTTACAATCAACTCACTGTTGTTATCATTTTTTTAAAGGAGGAAAATATCCCCCCAAAAGTTAAGTAATTTACGCAAGGTCACCCAATTGATGAGTAACCTAGACTTCAGACTTGAAATTTCAGATTCTTTCCATTTGACCACATTGCCTCTCATTAAATCATTGAGTATGGAAAGTGAGACATATTTATAGCCAGGAGAACATGGTTATGAAGCTGATAATCACTGATAATCCATGCCAGGACCTTCTCACATATATCAGTTTCTTGATGCATTTACTACAAATGTAGATTACTTTCCATAAAGTAATACTCCCATTGAAACCAATATTTCCTAAAACACTTAAACAACACTTGAAATATATCATTGGATTATCACTGGATCAGAATCTAAAATACTCCAAAGTCAATAGAAACAACTTTCCAGATGTTCAATATAAGGTGAATGCAAGCAATTTCATTAAATCAAATTAGGCTAATTTTGTTTTTATTTTAATTCATTCATATATATTGAGTTCCTCTTATGGGCCAGAATCAGTTCTAAGTGCTTGAATACTAGAATGAAAAAACAAACTCCTACTCCAATGGAGTTCATAAAAAAAAAAAAAATGTTGTCATAAGGTTGCAAGTGCAGAAAAGAAAAATAAAGTATGGTATGGGACTAGGGGCATAAGGGGCCAGGACTTATCATTTTAAATAGGCAGGTCAAGAAGGGTCCCATTGAAAAGGTAAAATCTGAGCAAATTCCTAAAAGAATTGAGACAGTGAGCCACATGGGTATCCAAGCAAAGGACTCATCAACTTCAGTTTTCCTAAGGTGAGCATATCGAGGTTATCGGGAACATCAGGATCAGAGAAGTAGCAGGCACCGGGTTATGTAGGATCTTATAGGCCATCATAAGGAGTTTGGCTTTTACTCTGAGTTACATAGGAGGTTATTGGAGAGTTTCAAACAAAGAAATTGTATTATACAACAACTGCTTAAAAGAATCTCTGGCTGTTGTGTAGAATAGACCATAGGAAAGCACAGGGTGGAAACAAGGAAATGAGTTGGGAGGCTAGTAATAACCAAGGTGGGGGATGATAGCATCTTCCATCAAGAGTAGAAGGGGCCATATTCCTGGAGATATTTTGATTGTAGAGCCAGTAGGGTTTTCTAACAGACTGGATGTGGGGTTTCAGAGAAAGAAATCAAAGGTAACAACACGGTTTTTTTCTCCAAGCCGTGGGGATGATAGAATTGCCTTTTACCATGGAAGGAGGAGCACGTTTGAAAGGTTAGTTGTTTGGGCCATGTTATGTGTAGTTTGCGACGTGAAGAAAGTCTTTCTCAGAAGTGACTGCCAGTGTCAAAAGCTACTGATAGGCTGAGTGACAGGAAGCTGAGAGACTAATGGATTTAGCAATATGGAGGTCACTGGTAACTTTTGACAGAAGCTGTTGTGAGGGAATGAAATGATAGGAATGAAAGACTGTTTAGTATGGATCAAGAAGCAATGGGGAAAGAGAAATTGAAGGCAGCTGGTAAAGTCGCCTTTTTTGAGAAAATGGGCAAAAACTGAAAGAGAAAAAAAGAAGTTGAGAAAAAAAATTTAAATCACAGGTTAAAATTGAGTAGCATTTTTATTTGCTGACAGAAATGGCCCATTAGAAAGCAAAGAATTGGGTCAGGCACAATGGCTCATGCCTGTAATCCCAGCTCTTTGGGAGGCCAATGCTAAAGGGTGGCTGGAGGCCAGGAGTTTGAGATGGGGCTGGGCAACATAGCAAAATCCCATTGCTATAAAAAAAAATTAATAATTAGCTGGATGTTGTGGCACACACCTGTTGTCCCAGCTATTTGGGAAGCTGATGTAGGAAGATTACTTGAGCCTGGGAGTTTGAGGCTGCAGTGAGTTATGATGGCACCACTGCACTCCAGCCTGGGCAACAGAGTGAGAACCTGTCTCTAAAGAAAAAGAAAAGAAAGGAAAGAAAGAAAGCAAAGAATCGATGGGATCTATTCTTGCAGAACAAGAGTAGATGAGATCGATCTTATCCACTTCCAGTGAGGAGGCTGATATTAGAAGTGTGGGTAGTTCATTCACATCATAGTATACATGCTTTTGTGATTGCAGTAGCTCAGTATATTACATAATTTTTATTATTATCCTTATACTACTGCTATAGAAATCAATTTCTTTGCAATTTGCTCAAAAGACTGTACCTATTTTCTCACATAAATTTAATCAAAAATTAGTAATCTTGTTTTATTTTTATCGCTTTTTATCTAAATTTATTCTATGATAAATATTTCAATGTTTACACCAATGTTTACATCATGTAGCAGTGTGTGCATAAATATTGAGAGGCAAGTTGTAAATTTAAAGAGGACACAGTCTTCCCTGGGAACCTATCCCCTAGTTCTCTGCTGCATGGTGTACTATTAATTATTCATCATTCAATAAACTCTTCCAGGGAGTCTGTGTCTGGCTGTCACTCTCACCATCATTGCAGTACACTGAGCTCCATAGAGACAGCACTGGGGCAAGTGAAAGCTGGACTGGCACAGGGTGACTCTGTGCCTTGATGAAGAAAAATAATGAAACATGGGCAGAGGAGATCCTAAGAAGCTGAGAGGCAAAATGTCTTCACAGCATTCTTGTGCAAACTTGTCGGGAGGAGCACAAGAAGCAGCACAAAGATGCTTCGGTCAATTTCTCAGAATTTTCTAAGACGTGCTCAGAGAGGTGGAAGACCATGTCTGCTAAAGAGAAAAGAAAAATGTGAAGATATGGCAGAGGCGGACAAGGCCTGTTATGAAAGAGAAATGAGAACCTGTATCCCTTCTAAAGGGGAGATAAAAAAGAAGTTCAAGGATCCCAATGCACACAAGAGGCCTCCTTTGGCCTTTTTCTTGTTGTGTTCTAAGTATCACTAAAAAATCAAAGGAGAACATCCATCCTGGCCTATCCATTGGTGGTGTTGTGAAGAAGGTGGGAAATCTGTGGAACGACACAGCTGCAGATGACAAGCATCCTTAGGAAAAGAAGGCTGTGAACCTGAAGAAAAAATATGAAAAGGATATTGCTCCACAACAAGCTAAAGGAAAACCTGAGGCAGTTAAAGAGGGAGTTGCCAAGGCTGAGAAAGGTAAGAAAAAGGAAGAGGAGGAAAATGAGGAAGATGAAGAGGATGAGGAGGAGGAAGATTAAGAGGATGAAGATGAAGAAGATGATGATGATGAATAAGTTGGTTCTAGCATAGTTTTTTTCTTGTCTATAAAACATTTAACCCTCTTGTACACAACTCATTTATTCTAAAGAAAGAAACTGAAATGTAAGGCTATGTAAGATTTGTTTTTAAACTATACAGTATCTTTTTTTGTATAATTAACACACTAACCCACTGTGTCTTTAAATAGCCCCGTCTTGGTGATATTCTCAATAGCCACTAACCTTGCCTGGTACAGTATGGAGGTTGTAAATTGGCATGAAATTTAAAGCAGGTTCTTGTTGGTGCACAGCACAAATTTGTTATATATGGGGATGGTAGTTCTTTACATTTTCGGTTGTCTCTGATGCAACTTATGCAAAATAATCATTGTTCTGTTAACTGAATACCACTTTAATTGCAAAAAAATAGTCGCAGCTCTTTTGTTGTCATTCTGAATACTTACAAGTATACACAATTTTTTTTTATTAAAACAAAAGAAAGAGACCCTTCCACTTTGCCTTCTGCCTGATTTATCTCCTACCTCACTGACCATTCCTCCTCCTGTCTGCAGTTCTTTACTCTTTTCCATGATCCCATCCTTAGCTCCCTGTATCTTCTCCTTTTCAATTTATCTCATTAGAAAATTTACTTGGTTGTACAGTTCAAAGCACCTCTTCTGTATGCTTCTTCTCCATTTTACTTCTTGACCCTTTTAGGTGACAGTCAATTGACAGCAAAGCATCTCAATTTAAAGATTCTGGAATTATCTCAAAGCAACATAAATAAAACCAAACAAATCATCTCTTGGCCTTGCTGTTTGTGACACGGTTCTGCTGGTTCATTGGGCTTGCATCCTCTAGTTAGGGTAGATTCCTCCCATTCTTCTATTTCCTCAAATGCAAACAGACAGAATGGAATGTTCTGATCCTTTTAATGCAATTGTTTTTCCTCTCTTGTCCTGCCCTCTTTATTGCCACAGCTACTTGTCTACGATACCACTTCTTACCTCACACTGCATTGATTGAGCTGACTTCTAAGTGAGTTCCTGCTTTCAATCTCTCCTGGACCCAAGCCATTCTTGCACACACTAATGCCTGGATAATATCACTAAAACGTATTTCATCATGTGATTTCTCTAATCAGCAAGACTTAAAGCAAAGTGGAAACTTTTAGCAGGGCATTCAAATCCCACCACCACGTGGGAGTTTATCAGTTGATCCTTACATGCTCCACTGTATTTATCTTTCTCCATTCTATCCTAGGGGCAGTTTACTAAAGCCAAGCTCTTTACTTTCCTTAATATACATAATGTATTCTTTCCTATTATTGTTTTCCTTTAGCATCTCCCTCCCTAGGAACTATCCATATTCAACATCTTCCTCACGACCAAAATTCACACACAAACCCCATAAGTTTGTCCTATAATTACCTGCCTCACACCCTGACTCCCCTCAGCAGGTTAACAGCTTAAACTTGGGGAAGCAAGCCTTGAGCAACCAAACAAATTTAAGACACAATGATCTGTCAATGACAGAAGTTACAATAGAGGCAAAGCTATGGGAAAAAAAACTGAGGTTTTGGATCTGCATTCAAACTCTCTCTAGATTTCAAACAGACATACAAACAAGCTTCAGAATTATTAATACTTTAAAAGATGTTGTATATATTAATTATAGCCAATAAGAATTACCTAGTTTGATATTTCACACCTTACAGAAAATAAACTCGATAATTACAAAGGTCACAGATTATTTTGTTTTGAGTTTTGTTAATAAGAATCTTCCATTTTTTTTAAAAAAATCCTCATTTTGAAAGCACAAGAGTTCTATTTGGTGCTTTGTAAGTATAGATAATAATCTTATTTTTTAACTGGAAAACAAATCTTATAGTTTTATAAAGCAAAGACTTCAGGATCATATTCTCTAGCTTTCAAGGGTATATATTTATCAATTAATAATGAATCTATTCACTCAGCACCTTATCCTTGTGTACAACGTTATGAAATTGATGGTAAAGTGCAATTTGTCATGCTATATTTTTACAACCGCAGGCCTGTGTTAACTATTCTCTGCAAAACAGAAAATGTTGTTCTAAGATTTATTGAACATTTAATGTGAAGAAATAAGTACTCCCTTGAGTATTTCCTTTGTATAGAGAAGTTCAGATAAATTGCTTAGCTCATATAGATTGTAAATTCTGGTATTCAAATCAAGTCTGTGTGTGGTTCCAGAAGCCATGGTACAAATCATTACCTCCCATTGTTATCTGCAACATGGTACTCCTTACTCATTCTGCCTAATTAAGACATAATCTTGACATACTTCTCTACCTAGAAGAAATTTATCCACGAGAGGATTACAGTTAAAAATCTATTCTTCCCTCATAGTAAATGTTATCTACACAAACGTGTGGCTTACATAGAATACATGATAGACTACAAAAAAGTTAATACATGTATTATTTCCATATGCACACTGATTGAGGCCCTGAGATATGGATTGGGATAGTTTGATTCAATTGGGGAAAATTTTTAGTAAAAATTTATCTTTAAATCTTGAAAATTAGGTGCAACAAAATTGGAAGGAAGAGTTGGGCTACTTAAGGACTGGGGACAGGTGGGCAGATGTGATTAACAGTGTGAAGTGAAAAAGAGAGAATTGAATACAAAGCATAGGATGGGGGTTTCCCTGACCAACGCAATGACAGATTTGAGTGAAAGAGTATGAACAGCACAGCCACATGACCATAGAGACATATCTAGTAGGGTCATGAGTCTTGCATTTACTCAAGGGACAACTTTGAAGATGGTTTTTGAGAAATAAATTTCCCATACATATTCAACCAATTTGTATTTATATAAGGTGTTATGGTCTAGAATTTTGGCTATTTAAACTATTGCCTAGCAGGAACCACGGATGTCAGCATCACATGGCAAAGTATAAGAAATACAGAATCTGTGGCCACACCATTGACGTACTGAATGGGAGTCTGCATTTTAACAAGATTTCCAGGTGAGTTTTGAAAAGCACTGTGGCTGTGTTCCAATCTGATTTGGTCATTTCCTTGTTATGTAAATTTAGGCAATTCCTTTCATCTCTAAGCCAAAATTGCACATCTCTAAAGTTGGGAGAACCTCTGCCATGCTGATTCAGGGGATTTGTAGAAGGATCAAATGAAATGAACCATGTGAAAGCACTTTGAAAGCTGTAAAACGTCATTAGACATCTCTCCTGAAATGGGCATCTGCATCCAGGAGAAATTCAGCTGTCTCCACTATCCCTTTACACAAAGGAAGGCTCAGAGAAGCATCTCACTTAGTAAAACAAATGTCTTACTCTGTGTGTGTGTGTGTGTGTGTGTGTGTGTGTGTGTATACACACATATATGTGTATATATATATATTCTTGTTTTTTTTTTGTTGTTTTTTGTTACACGGTCTCACTCTGTCACCCAGGCTGGCTGCAGAGCAATGGTGCAATCTCGGCTCACTGCAGCCTTGGCCTCCCTAGGCTTAAGTGATCCTCCTACCTCAGGCTCTCGAATAGCTGGGACTACAGGCACATGTCACCACACCTGGTTAATTTTTTTGTATTTTTGTAAATACAGTGTCTCATCACATCGCCCAGGCTAGTCTCGAACTCCTGGGCTCAAGCAATCCTTCCAAATGGATCCTTCCAAATAGATCCTTCTAAAATGAATCTATATATTCAAATAACTTATTTGAGCTGATTATCTGCTACCATAAGTAATAAATAGGGAAAGGAAAACCTAAAAAAATTATGCATAAGAATACTGTCATCTTGGTCTTCTCCTGTATCATAGTTTCTAAACATTTGGAAAATATCATGTTTCAGTATGCCTGAAGAACCAGAAATTACCTTTTTTTTTTTTTTTAAAGGCAAGAGCCAGTGTTGTTCTCTATAAAGCAGCGTAGGAGTTGAATTGTGAACAGAACAGTCTACAGGGACTTGGACTCAGTATTCAAAGTTTATAGTCCTTAGTTATCAAACTGCTGGTAAAGTAGAAAAATACATCCAGGGGACCTTGATTGTTCTAAATCATGGCTGACTGTTTGGCACCATGTCCTTTGCCCCTACACTGTGTCCTGAGAGGCATTTTGAATCTGCAAAGCCTACCAGAAAACAGGAAGTGGGGGTGAATGGGGAGGAGAAATGCATCTTCTAAATTAAAAACGGAAACATGGATGCTGACGTTAACAAAGTTTCTTCAAGGAGAGAGCCCTAGGTAAGCAAGCGTAACTTTGAAGTGACCCACAAACATCACCCTTTAAAGAACATTCTCCATCTCACCCAGATTGTATTTCCCATAACTGGAAATAAAAGCCCTTTGGGTTCTGCTAGAGTGAATGATTTTCCACAGTCACAAGACCGAGTGTCTAAATATTCCTAGCAAGCTCATGTATTTATTGAATCCTGCTTTTCGAGCTTTTTTCAAACCTTGGTCTTGGAAGAATGAGAGAAATATAACCTGGAAGTAAAAATCCAGGTTTTCTTGGGCTCAGGAAGGGATTTAATATAAATTGCTCTATTAACAAAATGTCCTTTGTTATAGCCCCAAGGAAAAAAGAAGTCACCATGGACAAAGCGTTTTCTAAAATGCTGTCCCTAGAATCCTACTGGTGTCTCACTAAATCTCAAGCACTGCTATTCCATTTTAATACCCCACTCCCATTTGTTTAACTTTCCACTATATTATTTTCAAGCCTTCCCATGATGCTCTTAATAAGTAAACAATATTATCTTGTCTCCAATTCAGATTTAGTATTTTCTTATTATCTTTACAGATAAGATCAGACTTTGTACATTGTATTTAAGAAAGAATTTATATAGCGATATTATACACACAAACATACACTTTTACATAAAATCTTTCAAACAATGGTGATGAGCACCAGCTTTGGATTTATAGATATAGCTATTATTACTGTATTATTCATTTAAGACAAATACCAACTAATGAGAAAAAAATCCAAAAGAGCCTCCATAACACAGGCATTAAGAGCATTCAGATCTGGGAAAGATAGTTAATCTCTTGAAACTTTTGTTTCCTCAGCCACAAAGTGGAGATAATACCAGAGCCTACAGCACAGAGAGGTGTAAGAATTACAAGAGGATGTATTAAAATACTTGGCCTGCTGGGCGCGGTGGCTCACACCTATAATCCCAACACTTTGGGAGGCCGAGGCAGGTGGATCACTTGAGGTCAGGAGTTTGAAACCAGCCCGCCCAACATGTTGAAACCCCGCCTCTACTAAAAATACAAAAAATTAGCCAGGCATGATGGTGCGTGCCTGTAATCCCAGCTACTCAGGAGGCTGAGGTGGGAGGATTGCTTGAGTCTGGGAGGCAAAGGTTACGGTGAGCCGAGATCATGCGATACGGCACTCCAGACTGGGTAACAGAGCAAGACTCCATCTTTAAACGAAACGAAACTAAACTAAACTAACATAAAATAAAATACTTGGCCTTATAAATGCTAGCTACTATTATCTATGTCGCTATTGTTTTTATACCTTTATTATTAAAGCCCTTAAAATTGAAATGACTTTTAATGTATCTCTTAAGATTGCTATTCAATAGACATTTTACCAATGCTAAATATGGGGAAGCAATGAAACACAGCTAATGTCAAGCGCCTAAATTAGAAGTAGGAACAAGGTTTTCTGAGTTCTCGGCCTATTCCTTTCTAATCTCTTCTTAGAACTTAGCCAACACTGAAAAGGCAGCACTTCTGAATGAAGATAAAGGAATCTACCAAAAAGTAGGTTACGCAAGTTTCCTAGGAACCAAAGTTATGTGAGTCGTGCATATATGAATTGGATTCATCTAATCCATTCAGTTTGAATATGAGTATTTACATTAAAATTCATGAAAAATACAAAAGCATTATATATATTGCAAACTTATATTCACCATACGTTGTTGTTAATGCTCAAGCAGGAACAAAATAAAAGAAAAAAGTATAAAGGTAAAATGTGTATATTTTCCCCCATAAGTAATTTTTGCTTCATTCTGCTTTGTGCTTGAAAAATCATATAAAAATATAAACAATATTCCTATTTTAAAACTCTTTCATTTTGTTTTGTTGTTGTTTAGCATTTATAGATTCTGGAGGTTGGGTGCGGTGGCTCACGCCTGTAATCCCAGCACTTTGGGATGCCGAGGTGGGTGGATCACCTCAGGTCAGGAGTTCAAGACTAGCCTGGCCAACATGGTGAAACCTCGTCTCTACCAAAAGTACAAAAAAATTAGCCGGGTGTAGTGGCAGGCACCTGTGATCCCAGCTACTTGGGAGGCTGAGGCAGGAGAATCGCTTGAACCCGGGAGTCAGAGGTTTCAGTGAGCGGAGATTGCGCCGTTGCACTCCAGCCTGGGCAACAAGAGTGAAACTCCATCCCGAAAAAAAAAAAAAAAAAAAAAAACAAAAAAAAACACACAAATAACTTTCTGAGAAGCTTTCATTTTCATATTGTATATTTGATGGATGTTTCCCAAGATTTTAGACCAAATATCAAATTTTCCATATAGTACCAAACGTGACACATAATGGGTTCTCAAGATACATATTTGTTAAGTTAAAGAATAGCAATTTATTGTGAAAGTGCCTATGCCTACACACAATAGACCCTTAATAATAAATGATTTTTGAATCTGAATGTTATTCTTTGTTTACCAAAATGACAACAGAATTGTAATGAAAGGATTATAACATGGTTGACCATCGGTCAAGTGGAAAACCTTCTAGACCCCATCTACTTCTCTGTTGTAATGGTAAGGTTCCTGAGTACTCTAGGCAGCTCTTGAAGCGCAAATCAGATGAAGTGGGCCTAACAGTGTTTCTTGAGTGTGGGATGGTCCATAAAGACTTCCTTGAAACCTCACTTTGAAATACGCTGCCCCACCATCCTCATGATAACTTTGTATTGATCAGTCTTTGAGCCATAGGCTGAAGTACAGTATAAAGAGTCGTATTTCTTACCCCCTATTACATATGACTTAATATCTTTTGGCTAGAGACAAAAGTTATATCAGATATATTTAGAGAAAATGTATGTAATGAGAGTGACTAATGTATCATGACTTACAAATATCATGCCTAATATGTTTATTAGCTATCTTTACATGTTTTTGAAAGTTGTAATGTTTGAATGAGCAACAAATTGACCAAAAGCTAAACACTAATGTGAAAATTGAGCAGTGTTGGATATAGTCAGAGGGCAGGGAGTTGTGAAAGACTAAAGAAAAGATGGATGAGAAATATGAATACAAAGAAGTTATTAGAAAAATGGGATCAAACCCAGAAGAGAGGACGGTAAAAGTCAGAGGAATGCCCAACTAAGAAATCAGAGTATCAGAAGGCTTCAGTTATCATGCTGAACTTGAGAGTTAACCTTGTTCCCTACAAACTATGCCTGTCTATACTGGGCTGAAACTATCCTAAATCAGTAGGCGTAGTGGGCCTTGATTATAGCAAAACTCTTGATAAAGTCTTTAAAAATAAATTTGTAGATGAAATAAATATCACAAAGCATAATTTTTTTCTAAGACTTATCCTATTGCCTTATATATGGATAGCAGACACTTATATGGAAAGAATGAGGACTGTGATCTGGGGAATACCACATTAAATGAATTCATAGCTGGCTGATAACATATTTATTAATCAATGCTTTACTATCCTCTCTATTGAGAGTTATTGGAAGACAGAGATCATGTAATATTATCTTTGCAACCCTGGCCTGAGCAAAGGGCCTAAATACCCAATACATATCTGCAGATCAACTGAACCTGGAGGGAGATAACCAGCAGCTTATCTCAGAATGCAGATGTTCAATTTTTTCATCTGTGATTTGAATGAATACCTAAGAGGTTTTAAGCAAATTAAATGTGTGGATAACATGAAAGCTTAAAGGATAAGATGCTTTAAATACTTGATTGATCAAGAGGCCACCACCACTCATCTTAAATACAGCACTTAATGGGAACTATAGCAGCAATAGTAATTGAGCATTTATATGAAGTCAACACCATTAGGAACAACTAGATGCAAAGGTAAACTGAGGGAAAACCATGTTGCCTGCCCTCAAATGAGATTATTTCATTTTTTTCCTCTGAATGCCATTTAAATAAGTAATAAAAATTTAAAATGTAAGTCCTTGGAAATATCTAATATATGTAATTAACTCTGATTTAAATTTCGGGTGAATTTGATCAAACATTGAGAAAAGGTTTGAAACTTTAATAAAAGCCAGAGCATGAAACTTTAATTTAAAAAGGAGCAGTTTCATGGAAGTGTCCAAAAATAATTTTGCAAAAAATAATATTTTTTGAGTGGCCACCAGACAAAAGTGTTGAGTGACCAACTAATTTGAAAAACTGATTGTTCCCCAGTGTTGTTAGAAAAAAAATTATAGCATTAATCGGTTTTGAAATAGGCCTTTGCCTGGACTAAAATTTTGCCCAAATAAGATACAGGGTCCTTCTGGCACACTTTGAGCTTAGGATAGAACCATAGAAACTTAGAGACACTACCTTACATTTGGAAGCAGTTCTACTTTCTTAGCGAGAGGATCACGGGAAACTTCTGTACCTGTAGGGCAGTGGAGATCAAGATGTGGGAGCCTGGGTTTCTGACTGACCTTTCAGCAAAGGGTACCCATTTCACAGTGGCAAAGATGACGGCCTTAGCTTCCCCTTTCTTTGATTTCAAAGGTTTATTTCCTGCCATCTCTCACAAAATAAAAAGACCAATTCAGAGGTAAATTTCTGTATTAAAAATGGAAACATCTGACATAAGCAGAAATGTGCAGAGAGTCATATTTCTGACTATGTAATTTTACCCTCTGTTTTCAGGAAGAAATTTAGAATTTTCTTCTCCAAACTCATAATTTTTCTAGTATATTGTCATCTCAACGTGACAGCAACTTGAAGGAATAAAAATTTGAGGGAAGGAAAATTAAAACATCCCTTTCAAAGAATACAGATTGCCATGGAGTAGTTCTGAGAAGTTCAGAAAAGCGGTCCAATGACTAGCATGTTGCCAGATCATTTGCCAAAATGTTGACATGAGAGTTCCCTGAAAACTCTGTTTTACATTTCCAAAAATTTCAGTGAGGAAATTGCCAAAAGAATAAACAATCAGTTCAATTGCATACAGGGAAGAATAAGGTCTACGTCCAATGTGCATATTCTCTGTTTATAGCTGGGAATAATTTAAATTACTTTCCTAGCATTCCTTTTCTCTTTTCAAGTATAAAGTAACTCAAAAATTAGGTAAAAATTGATGATCTAGCAATGTTTCTCTGGCTGCCATACAGTATGGGCAATGAGTTCTAGACTCCAATTTATTGGTTTGTCAGAAAGTTTGGTTATTTTCATCAATTTAGCTTTACATTTAACATTCCTCTGCTTAATTGAAAACATGCGGACACATTTGGTTAGTATGACATTCCTACAAAAGTAAAAAGGGCACTTTGTTTCAAATTCTGCGCAGTTTACCAGTAAGTTATATTTCTCTTGCAGCAACAATTAAACACACACTTCGCACTTTATAGCAAGTCCTTCCTAATCCCTATTATCAATGGGTACAACTCAGTTTTGACAAATATCCACTCAGCTTGGTGGGGGAAAGAGCATTATCCTTAACTTTGTTTTAATAATTGAATAAATGGTTTTCCGGGGACTAATCCTGGGGTTTTAAAACATGGCCTTTGGAAAATTATGACCATTTTAGGAGCTCATTTAACCCCTTTCTCTATTTCTTGTCCTCCTGGGATCCTGCTTCTAAGTGATGGCAGAAGATTGAGATCTGAGCGGTAAACTAGTAAGTGCTACAATTGATTACTGCCTGTTCTTCTTTCTTTTTCAATCCCATTGTGGAAAATGACTCTGGATGGGTTTATGAAGTGAGTTTAGTGAGAAACAGGTTTCTAGGATTTGTACTTTCTCTGCTTTGGCAAAGTAACTCCAAATAAGCCAAAGATGCACAGCAGGATACCTTGTATAGCTAAAATACAGTATTTTGAGATAGACTGACACTTAAAAAAATGTTCAATCCCCTTTTCCTGTTAAAAAATAATGCAAAGAATAAGGTGGAAACACGAGAGGAAGTATGATCAAAAGGATGAATAAAAAGGACCCCTCATCGATGATGACAAGGTGAGTCAAATTACAGTCACTCCATGCTATCCACAGAAGTTGGAATTGCCCTCTGATATCTACCATAGGCCCACTTCTGGAGACAGAGCCCTCATTCTTTAGCAGATATGTACTGAGTGCTTACTCCATACTACTCCCCTAGACACTACTGCTACACATTTGTAGCCCCAGGGAAATGAATAAGACAGATAGGGCCTTGCTTTCCTCTACTTACATTCTAGTCACCCACCAGCTTCCTCTGCATCATTGGGTGCCAGTGTGACCAAGTACTGAAACCAGAGCACAGTCACTATGACCATCATGTCAGAAGCTGGAGCAGGGAGGTCACACACCAGCCATGAAGGAAGACAGTTGGCCTGAGTGGCTGACCAGGTCCAGAGAGGGCCAGACGTCAAAAAGGAGGGAAAGAGTGGGGAAAAGTGCCAAGGGCAATAGTAAGGATTGGTGACAGGCCACCAAGCTAGCAGTTCTCACCAGGTAGCTCACAGGCCGCCTCCTGCCCCTGGCTTGTTTGCCCTCATCCCTTTGCACAAAACCAGAGATCTTCCAGTGCGTAAGTATGATCCTGCCACCCCATTCATAAAACACGTTAAGTGAGTTCCCATTCATTACACTGAAGGTAAAATAAAAACCTACTGTTTACAGTGCCTTTATAATTGAGTTTTTCTCTCTTTTGCTGCCATCCACCCTCGACTTAATACTCCAACCATTCTTGCCCATGCTGTGCCCTTTGAGAGGAATAATCCCCTACTCCATCCCACTCTCCCCACCTCCTTGCCTAAAGCTGTTAGAATTCCAGGTCTTGGTTAAATGTTACTTCTCCCAGATAACCTCCTCTGTCCCTCTAAATCAGAGCTTGTAGGAAAGCAGGTTTGCAATCAATGCATATTTAAAATATACTTCTGGGCCCACTCTGCATTAACTGAATCATAATCTCTGGGGCTAGGGCCCAAGAATTGCACTTTTTAGCAAGCATTCCATTTATACTGAGGCACATGTAATGTTTCAGGACCACTGACTTAAACTCTGAGATGACATAAAAAATATTAACCCATACAGTACAGTCACCAACCAATCAATATGGACCAATTGGGACAGATGCCATAACCAATCAAAATGGACTCTGGCTGTTGATCTCCAATATGTACTAGTATGCACTAACAATAGTCAGCTGCTGCTATGCCGTGTTTCATTCCACCATGCCCTTTCTCTGGGCTGGAATATACTGGCTGATTTTTATTTAGCACTTCTTTCCTGCGTCACCTCTATTAACTTTCAAGATAATCCTGCTATTATTATTTTCATTTTACAGAGGGCAAAACTGGCACAGATGTGTTAAGTAACTTGCCCAAGGTCATACAGCCAGGGTGTGCATTAGAGTTCAAATGCAGCCTGGCTCTGGAAGCCTATCCTACACTGCACCTAGCATGGTATGTCTGAGGCTGCATTTGAATTGCCAGTCCAGATGTTTGACTTCTCCAGTTCACTGTGATCTTCGTGAGGGTAAAACCTAGTACTTAATAGGTGGTCAGTAAATATTTGGAGAGTGAATGAGATCATACTAATCCAGTGTAGGATCAAGAGGAGTAGAGGAATAAATAGGAGGCTGACTGACTTCTTGGACTATCTCCTAGAATTCCGAAGCTATCTTTTATTTTTATTTATTTATTTTTTTGAGACGGAGTCTCACACTGTCTCGCCGGCTGGAGTGCAGTGGCGTGATCTCGGCTCACTGCAAGCTCCACCTCCAAGGTTCACGCCATTCTCTTGCCTCAGCCTCCGTAGTAACTGGGACTACAGGCGCCCGGCCATGAAGCTATCTTTTAAAGGACTTCAAGGAAAAGGAGCTTGGGATGTTGCAGGAATGAAGATATAGGAACTATCTGAGGCCACTGAAATCCATGAACCTAAAAAGCACAAGCTGTAGAATTTGCTTTCCTGCCCCAAACATTTTTATCCAGAGTGATAAAAAATGAAACTGACATACATACCATTGGCCAGTAAAACCACGCCAGAAAGGTTAGAATCAACAGAGAGGCACTAGGCCTCAATGGTCCATGGAATTAATTTCTTGGAAAAACCTCTCCAGAATGCCTGTTAGTGGAGCCAGATAGAGCCCACAGCCTCAGTATCAACACCAGCTGCGTCATGTAGATCCACTGCACAAAATCCAACACTCGACATCTTTCTCCAAAATATAGTCAGTTCCTTCTCTTGGGTTGGAGCACTGTGACTGTCACTTACACAGCCTTATCCTTCTGAAATGTGGGCCCATCATGAACTTTCCATAACTGCTGCAACACAGCACTCCCTCCTTCTGGCCTTCTTACCTTCACGAGGCCTTGTCAACCTCCCCTGCAGTTCTCCCCAAAGTCTCCCCAACTCCAGTTTTGCTGCTTTCCAGGCTAAACTGCATTTCTGCTAGGCAAACAATCTTCCTAAAACCCTCTAGAAGGGAGGCGACACTTTACCTCTACCCTCCTAGGGCTTCTGGTGGGCCCTGAGAATTAAGTCGACATAAGACAGATTAACAAGAGAAAAGCATACAGGAAAATGAAGACCCAAAGAGGTGGCAAAACCTAAGTGCTTATATACTAGGTTGGACATAGAGAGGCAGTTGTAGAAAAGTCACTAAAATATATGGAATGCCTTTGTCCATTTGTGATGCTATAAAGAAACACCTGAGGCTGGGTAATTTATAAAGAAAAGAGGTGTATTTGGTTCACTGCTACAAAAGAAACATAGCATCAGTATTTTGTTTCTGGTGAGGGCTTCGGGCTGCTGGTTCTCGTGGTGGAAGGTGAAGGAGAGCCACGTGAGCAGAGAAGAGATCCCATGATGAAAGAGCAGAAGCAAGAGTGAGAGACAGAGAGAGAGGAGGAGGAGGTGCAAGACTTTTTCAACAACCAGTTCTCCCTGGAACTAATAGAGTGAGAACTGCCTCCCCGCCCCACAGCCATCCCCCAACCCAGGGACAGCACTGATCTGTTCATGAGGGATCCACCTCCATGACCCCAAACACCTCCCATTAGGCCACATCTCCAACATTGGAAATCAAATTTCTGCATGAAGTTTGGAGGCTTGTGTAGCCAAACTAGAGCATTAGAGGACCAAAGAAAGATAAGAATTGCTTTAATAAGATCTGTGTGTGCAGAATTCTCTCAGTCTTGACTCCCTATCTCTGGTGATAAGAACGTTTCTTACCTCCAGAATGAGCATCTTTCACATGAGAGATTTATCGCCTGCTTTTAGGAAGAAAAGGGGAGGTCAGTGCACCCTTCTTGTACCTTCTGTTCTTCAAGTGTCTTTATTTCAAAATCATCCTTACGCCAAGTTGCACATTTGGGAGTGGCATATTCTGCTACCTTTCACCTCCTTTCATCAAAATGCTATACTTTATATGTCAATCCTAAAATCAATAGTTCACCATTACCCTCAGTATAAAGCTCACACTGGCTTTCAAAGTTCTTATATTATTTCTGCCTTCCACCAAACACATCTGTTCAAAGTTGCCCCTGAGACTTCTCAACATAAGCCAAAGTCCCTCACCCTCTTCCCTAATATAATTTCTCTGACATCAGGGAACACAAAAGCATCTCTCTGAATACCTATTTCCTCTCCCTGAAGAAGGTCCAGTTAGTGATGCCTCTTCCATAGAAGCCCCTTGATCACTCAAGTCCATGTAGTTCTCTCCCTGATCTGAAATCACATAATACTCATCTTTTGAACCGATCCCTTTTGACACTGATTATACACTGCATTGATTTGTAGTTGAGCTGTCCACACTCAGCACAGCACAGTCCAGTGCTGCTCAGGGGCCATGATACCTGGTGAGTGCACTTTAACTTACAATGGATTCAAGTGCTTTGTCTTAGTGACTCTTTGCTACCTTAAAAAGTATTCAGATATTTGACCAGACACGGTGGCTCACGCCGGTAATCTCAGCACTTTGGGAGGCCAAGGCAGGCAGATCATGAGGTCAGGAGTTTGAGACCAGCCTAGCCAACATGGTGAAACCTTGTCTCTACTAAAGATGCAAAAATTTAGTCAGGTGTGGTGACACGCACCTGTAATCCCAGCTACTCGGGAAGCTAAGGCCGGAGAATCACTTGAACCTGGGAGGCAGAGGTTGCAGTGAGCCAAGATCGCACCATTGCACTCCAGACTGGGCAACGGGGCAAGACTCAGTCTCAAAAAAAAAAAAAAAAAAAATAGTATTCGGATATTTGGGGAAATCTGACAATATTTATTTACTAAAATTCTTCTAATTAAAATTGGCATCTTTGCATCCAACTCAAGAAAGAAGTCCAGAAATCAGTGCACAGAATGATGCTCTGATAGATCTCCAGGGTTGCAGTGGGACATGGAAGGAGAAGCACTACTAGTGAACCAGAACCAGGAGTATTGATAGTATTTAGAAGTCATTGTACATTCTTCCAACTACCCTCAGAAAGCCACATTCTTTTCCTTTACATCCAAACCTCCAATGATTCCCACATTGTTAGCAAAGTTGTAAATCTTTGGGAATAGCCCCCGTTCTCTTTATTTACCTCATTTTCCTAAAGAAATGCTTGAAGCATCCAGCTTTAATCCTGGACAGCTCCCATCTTAGTCTTAAGAGATTTTCCATTGTTTTCTGTGCCTAGACTGGACCTGAACTACATCTTATCTCTGTTTGGACTTGGGATCTTATAGTTGGTCCTCTCCTAGGGCAAGGGAACAACTAGGCAAGGGCAAGATTAGGGAAAATAAAAGTTAGGTTTCACTTCCCTAACTTCACTTTAACCTGACAACATATCACCTTCTGGCTAGCCCATTTCCGAGCCTCCCTCACACACCATCGGGTGACACCAACCCCACCATTTGCTCCCACCAAGCTTTGGTCTAATTCAGTGATAGAAGGGAGGGAGCACAGCTGACCTAACCATCTAAATGTAGAAACTAATAATTGAAATTAGTGCATGAAACTGGTATAAGCAAATATAAAAATTATAGAACTTTTGTTTTTAAGAACAGGTTATGATGCTTTCAGAACTAGGAAGAGCAAAAGTGTAGAGTTCCAAGTGAATAATCTAATTGGATGAAAATGGTGAAGTCTTGTAAGTAGTACTGTACACTGACTAAAAAGGCTCACTTCGATAGCTACAAATTTTTTAGTCTGATTCTAAAGTACACATTTCCATTACAATCCTGTTTGCTATTTTTAATCAGTGACTTTTTCATAGGTAGAGCGAAAATCAATTAAATTTAGCCTATGCTTGAATTGCCATAATTTTTCTATCCCTGAGCTAAATAAAAAACTTTCTATTACCCAGTGAATCAGAAAAACAAACAAACAAACAAAAATAGTTGCAAGGACAGTGAACAAGAATCCCAAACGCCACTTTAACTCTCTAGTGACTGCCCTTTCCTGTAATGTCTTCTGCCATCCAGGGCCTGCATATCAAGGTCTTCCCTGGCCTACACTTTACTATTTGGTTATCTCTTTCCAGAAGATAATTCTATTTCCCATATACATTTGATATAGATATGCCGTTTAAAAAGCAAATAATTACAATAAAAAAATATACATTCGGGGAGTGCTTATACAACTCAAATTTCATCTGGCTAGGGGATTTTTGACAATGATAAACCACTAGACTTTTGCTTTTTTAGTTTACACAGTCATTAGGCAAGTTGAGGAGAACTACAGTCTACATGCGCAGTGGGGCACATTTGGAGACCTTTATAATTTGTCAAGAATTAGACTCTTCCAAAGAAATATTTTACATTTATTAAGGATTGATTCCCCTAAAGTCTTTCTGATTATATTACCCACTATAACACTAAAATCTGAACAGTTTATCATTGTCAATAGACTTTCCCAAGAGAAATATATATATATATATATATATACTTTTTTTTTTTTTTTGAGACAAGGTGTCACTCTATCGCCCAGGCTGAAGTGTGGAGTACAGTGACACAATATCTGCTCACTGTTGCCTCAACCTCCCCTAGTCAGGTGATCCTCCACCTCAGCCACCTGAGTAGCTGGGAGTACAGGTGCACCAACACATCCAGCTAATTTTTTTGTTTGTAGAGAAGGAGTTTATCATGTTGACCAGGCTGATCTCAAACTCCTGGGCTCAAGCAGTCCACCTGCCTCTGCCCCACAAAGTGCTAGGATTTTACAGGCGTGAGCCAATGAGCCATTGTGTCTGGCCCCAAGAGAACAATGGTTTTTTTGTTTGTTTGTTTGTTTTTGAGACAGAGTCTCACTCTGTCTCCCAGGCTGCAGTACAGTGGCATGATCTCGGCTCACTACAACCTCCACCTCCCAGACTCAAGTGATTCTCCTCCCTCAGCCTCCTGAGTAGCTAGGATTACAAGTGCCTGACACCATGCCCAGCTAATTTTTGTATTTTTTTTTTTTTTTTTTAGTAGAGATGGGGTTTCACCATGTTCACCAGGCTAGTCTTGAACTCCTGACCTCAAGTGATCTGCCCACATTGGCCTTCCAAAAGCACTGGGATTGTAGACGTGAGCCACCTCGCCCGACCGCAAAAGAACAATCTTTATGGAAAATAGTATCACATATTCATGTTGGTAACTTGGTTCTATTATCAAGATATCAGATGGATTGGAATTTCTAATTTCTAAGTTATCCATATTAGACAGAGATGCAATTAAGTTTTTGTCAGTTTGAAAATCCTAGATAGAGGAAAGAGGTTGGATTAAAAGATAAAAAGTAAGACTGTTTAAAATAGAAAATAAATACCTAATTAATTTATGAAAAATATGCCATTGCCAGGTGCAGTGGCTAATGCCTGTAATCCCAGCACTTTGGGAGGCCGCGGTAGGCAGATATTATAAGGTCAGGAGTTCGAGACCAGCCTGGCCAACATGATGAATCCCCATCTCTACTAAAAATACAAAAATTAGCCTGGCCTGGTGGTGCATGCCTGTAATTCCAGCTACTCTGGAGGATCATGCCACTGCACTCCAGCCTGGGTGACAGAGCGAGACTCCATTTCAAAAAAAGAAAAATGTGCCATATACATTATTGCTACATCCAGTGTAGATTGATACTTAGATGAAAATTTTGCCCAAAAAAAAGTGCTACGTTTTTATTTGTGTTTTCACTCTGTCTAGTCAATTATAACATTTAAAAGGCTCATACGTAATACTTTTAAAAGTTTACCAATACTTTTAAAAGTTTACTATCTTGAAAATGTAACTCCCTTTGGGGAGTTTGGCATGCTGTTCTTGGATTCTTGTCTTCATTGATATTTCATTAGGGTTATATCCATGAGTGAGGTCTTGGAAATCTGGTAACCAACCAATTTTTCATGACATAATGTGACTAACTCCCTAGCAATATGGTGCTAAGACCAAGAAAGTGAAATTTCCTCCATTGTCTTTGGCTGTAGCTAAGAATTTCCTTTCAAAAAGACCACAAAGCAAGACCCAAGCAGTTTAATAATCCTGATGAAAACAGAGTGAGTAAAAGGAATGAGCATAGACAGAGAGACTGGGAAAACCAGAATGGTAAGGAAGGAAGCAGACACACGGAGGCAAAGACAATCAGTCACCAGCATTGACTTTATGCGGGGTTATGAACCAGGATATTGGGGAAAGAGAGTGGGGGTTGAGAATAGGAGCTGGGAGGAGGGGTTGTTTTTAATATAGTGTTTTTCCTTTTGGTTTTTTCTTTTAATCCTGTGGTGTTGAAAGCACAGCTTTCTCAAAGATGATCTGACCTATAGTCAACTTTATAAATCATTCTCCTAACCTCATAAGCTGAAGGTCTGCTATGGAGATCTGTAATCAGCATGTAACCCATTCTCCTAACCACATACTTTTAAAAAAATAACATAACATAAACTAAAATAAAAATGTCTAATATCCTTATGGTCAGCTCTAGAAAACAAGTTCCAAGATGTGGTGCTTTGTCTTTTACTTAGAAAACTTCATATACATCAACACTACTTAAAGCTATTATTTGTTAATTCAGGGATCAGTATCTTGAACATGATCTCCACTGACATTTTCTAAAATCAATAGATGTAGGGTGCAAAGCAATGAGAATTTGTTAATAGCAGAGTTACCGCCTCAAAATTTAAAACTATGAAAATTCTGCTTTTAAAATTATAATTAATGTAATCCTAAGTTTTCCAGTTATTTTGAACCATTCCTGTGTGTAATTGTATCACATCAACCTACCAACTGACTAGTAAATAGACTGGTTTCTGCATATCACTTATACAATCAAACGTGAATCTGTAGGACAAGATGTAAAAAGCTAAGGTCCAGAGTAGCTCACGTGAGGTGCCACAAAAGTGCCAAAGGCTGTTAACAGCATAAAACAATAAACAAGGAAATATATAATAGGATTGCAAAAATAACAGCATGGTTCCAGATATAGGAAACTTTTAGTGTCACTATGTTCTGTATTGGTCATAGCCCTCCTAGGTTGCTGTGGCTGCAACTGGGTATTATATTTTCAAATGGACAAAACAAAATGAGACAGTGTCCAATGGAGGGCAATTGGTTTAGAAGACAGGAACTATGAAGAAAAGCTCCAAAAACATTTGTCACAAAATCATTTCTGTGACAACTTGGGAAAGAAAAAGCGAGGGTCAAATATAACAGTATATGTTAAAGGTTGAAGGAGTAGTCTAGTCTCTACAGCTTCAGAAAACACAAGCACATAGTTTTGCTAATACTATGTTTTACTCATTATAGAGCAAAAATGGAGTCGTAGAAAGAAATGGAGACAGCCAATTATTACCTTGAGCATCAAGCAGGGACTGTGTGATCATGTGCTAAGGGGGATGACAAAAAGATTCACGGCTGGGCGCGGTGGCTCACACCTGTAATCCCAGCACTTTGGGAGGCCGAGGTGGGTGGGACATTTGAAGTCAAGAAATCGAGACCAGCCTGGCCAACATGGTGAAACTCCATCTCTACTAAAAATACAAAAATTGGCCAGGTGTGGTGGTGGGCACCTGTAATCCCAGCTACTCAGGAAGCTGAAGCAGGAGACTCACTTGAACCCGGGAGGCAGAGGTTGCAGTGAGCCGAGAACGCACTGCACTCCAGCCTGGGTGACAGAGCAAGACTCCATCTCAAAATAAATAAATAAATAAAAGATTATTTTCCCCCCAAACTATGATTTCATAGCTATCAATGCATAATTCTTTGCCAAACATAACTTTTCATTTAAAACTTTTAGAGATCAAATAGGCAGAAATCACTTAAAAGTTTTAATTTAGCTCATGACAAAGATGCATAGCCATCCTTTAATATTCACTAAGTTTACCCTGGGCTTATGACAGTTTAGTGCACAGTAAATATTGTTATAAATTATACACTCAAGATAAAATAATAAGAAAAGGCAGAAGAGTCAGACACCACTTATAATACTAAACATGCTAATAATAGCTTAGTAATAATATTTCCTAGCAGGTGAAGACTATTACATGCAGTGTAACATGAGAAAAATGTTAAACGTAAATAGTGGCACCAGAATTTAAAGTTGGCAGAGCTGATGCTATCACTAACATTTCATAGAAGATTTCCATATGCCATTTTTGCATAATAAAAAGGCCATAAATATGCTTTGGTTGGGCCACACACACATGCACGTGCATACACACAGGGATAACTCAGACTCCCTTGCTCCCTAGACTCTCTTCTCCATGTCACTAATTAATCCATTTAGTCATCAATTATCTAAACATATATTTATATCCCCATTATAAGAGGATACAGTTCCCTCTTTTTAAATCCATTTCCTTGAATTCTACATACTTTACAAGCATTCACATCTTACTATATCAGGCTATAATTTTAGTAAAATCTTCTATTGTATTTAAGGAATTACTTGGTGGGAACTGATTAGAAGACTTTAACTTAAGTTCCTCTTGAAGGATTTTTTTTTTTTGCCAAAGTCCTTCTATTTTCTACAAATGATTATATTTCTTCATGCCCACATGTTAGTGATTGCTCCTAGAGTTGGATGCATGCTGGGTAGACCCATAACAATCATTCATGCTTAGGATCTATGTAGCATTTTCCATTTTTATCTATCCCCTTACCTTGATTAATTTTTCTTCCTAGCACTTTGCACTCCCTGACATTTTATAACAGGTCCACATCTCATATCAAAAACCCTTAGGACCAGTTGTGTTTCAGAATTCAATTTTTAAAAAAATTTTATAAAGGCTTTATGGCATACTCTCATCAGGGTCCATGGCAGCTCTCCATGATCAAACATTAATACTTCTTCAATGCATGGACATTCCTAGTAAGAGAGATAATTAAAGACTACAAATAACTTCACCTTTTTTCAGGTCAAGTTTTGCTGCCAGATGAGTTCAAGTCAGGTCAGATTTTGCTGCCAAATGAGTTAGGAAATACCTTTTAGTTTGAAGAGCTTTTTGAATTTCAGAATCACAGGTAACAGATTGTGGACCATAAATATTTACTCTATTTTCTGTTCATCCCTCCAACTAGGATTTAAGAGCAATGGATACCTGAATATTTTGTTTAACTTCTTCACTGTGTCTCCAAAGTCTAGAATATGAAAGACATGATCTCAATAAATAGCTGTGAATGAATGAATGAATGAATAAATGAATGAGAGGATCTGATATCAGAGTTCTGCCTAATAAGGGATCTCCCTTACTTTGGCATATTTTATGCCAGATCTTCTCTCTTTGGGAACTTGAATAGTAATACACAGAGTGGGATGCAGACTATGGACTGACGCTAAAACTAAAAAGCAAGATAAAACAAAACAACCTATGGACAGAAAAAGCATTATGCAAAAGCAATGAGGCAGTAAAAGATATAAGTAAGCAGAAACCATGAGGTATAAGCAGAGAAGAGGTCATTAGTCAGAGACAGGGTTCTCAAATATTAATATACAGAATTACCAAGACAGATTGTTAAAACTCTGATTGCTGAACCCCACTCCCTAAGTTTTTAAGACTGAGGGTGCTGTTTTGGTTACCGTAGCCTTGTAGTATAGTTTGAAGTCAGGTAGCGTGATGCCTCCAGCTTTGTTTTTTTGGCTAAGGATTGACTTGGCAATGAGGGCTCTTTTTAACCTAGGCAATACCATTCAGGACATAGGCGTGGGCAAGGACTTCATGTCTAAAACACCAAAAGCAATGGCAACAAAGGCCAAAACTGACAAATGGGATCTAATTAAACTAAAGAGCTTCTGCACAGCAAAAGAAACTACCATCAGAGTGAACAGGCAACCTACAGAATGGGAGAAAATTTTTGCAATCTACTCATCTGACAAAGGGCTAATATCCAGAATCTACAATGAACTCCAACAAATTTACAAGAAAAAAAACAAACAACGCCATCAAAAAGTGGGCGAAGGATATGAACAGACTCTTCTCAAAAGAAGACATTTATGCAGCCAGCAGACACATGAAAAAATGCTCATCATCACTGGCCATCAGAGAAATGCAAATCAAAACCACAATGAGATACCATCTCACACCAGTTAGAATGGCGATCATTTAAAAGTCGGGAAATAACAGGTGCTGGAGAGGATGTGAAGAAATAGGAACACTTTTACACTGTTGGTGGGACTGTAAACTAGTTCAACTCTTGTGGGAGTCAGTGTGGTGATTCCTCAGGGATCTAGAACTAGAAATATCATTTGACCCAGCCATCCCATTACTGGGTATATACCCAAAGGATTATAAATCATGCTGCTATAAAGACACATGCACACATATGTTTATTGAAGCACTATTCACAATAGCAAAGACTTGGAACCAACCCAAATGTCCAACAATGATAGACTGGATTAAGAAAATGTGACACATATACACCATGGAATACTATGCAGCCATAAAAAATGATGAGTTCATGCCCTTTGTAGGGACATGGATGAAGCTGGAAACCACCATTCTCAGCAAACTATCGCAAGGACAAAAAACCAAACACCGCCTGTTCTCACTCATATGTGGGAACTGAACAATAAGAACACATGGACACAGGAAGGGAGCATCACACACCAGGGCCTATTGTGGGGTGGGAGGAGGAGGGAGGGATAGCATTAGAAGATATACCTAATGTTAAATGACGAGTTAATGGGTGCAGCACACCAACATGGCACATGTATACATATGTAACTAACCTGCATGTTGTGCACGTGTAACCTAAAACTTAAAGTATAAAAAAAAAGAAAAGACTGAGGGTGCTTGAGAATTTACCTTTCTAAGGTGAAGCTGATTGTATTAGTATATTAGGGTTTTCCAGAGAAACAGAACCAATAGGATATGTGTGTGTGTGCGTGTGTGTGTGTGTGTGCATGCACGCGTGTGTGTACATATGTAGTGAAAGAGAGAGAAAATCCCAAGATCTGCAGTCTGAAGGCCTGAGGACCAGGAGAGCCAATAGTAAGTTTTAGTCTGAGTCCAAAGGCAAAAGACTGATGTCCCAGATTGGTTTTTGTTTGTTTGTTTGTTTGTTTTTGCTTTTTGTTTTTTTGTCATTGTTTTTAGATGGAGTCTCTCTCTGTCACCCAGCCTGGAGTGCAGTGGTACGACCTTGGCTCACTGCAACCTCCTCCTTCTGGTTTCAAGCAATTCTCCTGCCTCAGCCTCCTGAGTAGCTGAGACTACAGGTGTGCACCACCATGCCCAGCTAATTTTTGTATTTTTGGTAGAGACAGGGTTTCACCATGTTGGCTAGGCTGGTCTTGAACTCCTGACCTTAGGTGATCCACCTGCCTTGGCCTCCTAAAGTGCTGGGATTACAGGCATGAGCCATAGCACTGGGCCTGATGTCCCAGATGTAAGGACTGTCAGGCAGAGACCGTGAATTCTCCCTTACCTGACTTTTTATTCTATTCATGCCTCTAACAGACTGGATGAGGCCCACTCACACTGGGGTGGCAGTCTGCCTTAGTGAGTCTACTGATTAAAATTTCATCTAGAAACACCCTCAGAGACATACCCATTATAATATTTAACCAAATATCTGGGCATCCCATGAGTCATTCAACTTGACACATAAAATTACACTGATGCTGCTGATGTGGAGACCACAGTTTGAGAACTGCTGGCACACTTCATAAGCAATATTTATTTTACAAGGCACATGTGAGCAATTATTTAAATTCCAGTGCCCTTCAAAAATAATTTGAGTCTGCTCATCTGTAAAAGCATGTCAGTGTTCCTATACACTCTTGATATTCAATTTGATTTCCAATCCTAAAATGTATTTTCTTCTAGAGAAAAACGATAAGAGATCTCTTCTCATTGCAAAGCTGATTGTAACTATGAAGCAAACTTTTTTGAAATTAAGTGAAACTCGTGTTTAGTATTGTCTCAGAGACATCAAAGAACAGGTCTCCACAGAAAAGAAATTTCAGTATTCCTGATTCCTCTGGATTTACTTGTGGCAGCTGCTTATTTTCTGGCAGCCAAAAGTCTTGAATTTCAAGTAACACAGAATAAACAATATAAGTCCATCTGAGCTTAAGGATCTAACAAAGTTGCTCACTGTCGTGGCACGAAATCTTTATGCACCAAAAACTTCATAGACTAATTTTGATTGCTCTTAGCAGTGTAAAAGAGGAGCTACACAGCTTGATTTTTTAAACACTCAGATCAAAATTATCGTTATAAAAATATTTTGAATGTGTAAGATTTAAAAGTAAAGTCTTAGAAATCCATATCCTCCTAATTAATAGAATTATTTCCTTGGGCATAATTATACTTCAAAGAAAGTAAATGCCATTATTCACTTGCAAAGACAAGAAAATAAGTATAAATCACTGTAATGCTTGTAGCTCACTGGAAAACTTCTAGAAAAAATATTTTATTACCAAATGACACCCAGGCAAAGCTACCTGCACAGCTTTCCCCTGGGAGGAAAACCATAGAGGAAGGAGAGGTAGCCTAGGCCATTATTTTAGGTGATTGATCCATGGGTGATTAATTATCATATACAAATATGGGTGTGACAAAGCATATAAAAGGCACTCAAAGTGCATATCTGGGTCACTTGATGCTCTTGTAGAAATGAGCGATGGATCCCTAAAGACCGAAGTATGCATAGTACCATAGTCAGGAAAAAGAAGATGGAAAAGGAAGGATCAAAAAGTTGATGGCAGGGTTTTTTTTTTCCTGAAGTCAATTTATTTTTCTTTGAGCTAAAAGGACTCTGCCTGGAGGCTGGTGTAAAACAGTCCTGCCAGGAAGCCACATTCATCACACCAAGGAAAAGCACCACAGGGGAGACAGCATGATAAATACCTGGTTTGGGGATCCCAGGATAGAGTGTCCAGATATGAGGATAAAAATGTATTTATCTCTTTGAAGCCTGGGCTCGAGCACAAATAATATTCTCAGTAAAGTTTGTTTCAAAACACTCAATCGATTCATTAGTTTAAGACATTAAATATATTAATTATATGTTGCTCCATCATATTCTAAAAAGGCTGATAGAGTTGCTCACTGACCAAGGACACACATGCAAGTTATTTGTTATGGTGATTGCTTGCTTTGCAGAGTCTGTGCCCTTGACCCAGCCCCATAGATCAATGTCAGGCCAAGTAAGATCTCTAGCAAAGGACAACATGAACCCTCTCCTCAAGGTTAGGCTTTCGAAGTTAAAAGCGTATCGTGAATTCTAGGATCAGACTGGCCTGAGTTTGAATTTTATCTCCAAACTTAAAGTTGCGTGACCTTAAGTGACTTAATCTCTGGAAGCATTAATTTCCTTATATATAAAATTAAGCTAATTATAAACCATGCCTCAAAGGATGTTTGTAAGTCAAATGTGAATTACTATATATGAAGTGTCTATGTCTGCAACATAGTAAGTGTTCAATAAATATTAATTATTACATTATTATTTTTTATTGTAGAGCTTCTCTTAATGACTTTCCATGAATTGATTCATCAGATTAATTCATCATGCTGTCCATTCCTTCGTTAAACATGTTAGACTGATGTCCATGACATTCTAAGTGCTCTCAATAGCAGACTATTATACATCTTAGAAGGGCTGTACAATATTGTTCCTGACAGTTTTATGCTCTACAAAAGTCAAGTTTATTCCCAAACCTGTTTATGACAATTGTACTTATTGAACTTTTGGAATTTAATAAATAAGATGCACATTTATGAAACAGAAAAGCGAAACCAAAAAGTATCTCTGTGAAAACTAAGTTAAATCCTTTGGAAAAATAAAAGTGAATTTCTGTCAAATTAAATGATGAAATTATAAAAACATAGAACAGTCACAATAATCTAGAAAATACTATACTCGATTGCCTCACAAGTACTTTGAGATCTTTCTAGGCTGGGTATGGTGGCTCACACCAGTAATCCTAGGACTTTGTGAGGCTGAGGCCAGGAGTTCAAGACCAACCTAGCCAACACAGCAAGACCCCATCTCTTCAATAAATAAATAAATTAATTAATTAATTAAAGAGATCTTTCTACATTTTAAAGAAACTAGAGATGGAATTTGTAAAGGGCGCATTTTAGATGTTGCTTATGGAAGAAAGGTAATGCAGGGCTGCAATCGGCAGACCAACATGTCAAGAAAACATTAGCCCTACATCATAAGATTGATAATAAAATGTCTGTATATATCTTTTAAATTAAAATAAAAGGTTTGCTCTACAAATATATCATCCCTCACTCCTTTAAGTGGAGTTTTAAAAGGTAAGTGACCATTGCTTCTCCAAACTGAATCAGAAGACTTTCCACAGCATTATGCAAATACCTTTATTCATTAAGCTCCTTTTTAAAGAGTTCTACATTTAAATAAGGAAGATGTTGGTCAAAGGACACAAAATTTCTGATAGATGGGAGGGAAAAGTTGAAAAGACCTATTGTACACTACGGTGATGACAGTGGATTTATTGTATACTTGAAAACTGCTGACAGAGTAGATTTTAAGTGTTCTTTCCATTTTAAAAAAAGTATGCAAGGTAATACATAGCTTAATTAGCTTGATCTAGCCATTCTACAATGTACACATATATTGAAACACCAGATTGTACAGCATAAATATATACAATGTTTACCTGTCAATTAAAAATTAAAATGCATAAAAATAAATTTAAATAGGTTAAGGGAAGAAAACTACTTTAGGAAGCAGGTAATCCCTTGTTCTTTGTGATTTACCCACAACCATATTCAGTCACATAAAAGAGTACTTCCTGCAGTATATGGGATCCCAAACCAAAAAGTGTTGTCATGAGGTGGGAAAAGAGGGCAAATAGGGTAGAAGTTCTCAAATGTTGTTCTCCTGAGTGCCTCAAAACCACCTGGAGAGGCTTCCAAAAATATAGATTTCCTAGGGCTCATTCCAGCATCCTGATTTACTAGGTCTGTGGTAGGGACCAGGAAACTGGGTTTTTTGCTTTGTTTTGTTTTCATTTTCTTTTTTCTTCTTCTTCTTTTTTTTTTTTTTTTTTTTTTTTGAGCAGGGTCTCATTCTGTCACCTAGGCTGAAGTGCAGTGGCGTGATCCCGGCTCACTGCAACCTCCATCTCCAGGGTTCAAGCGATTCTCCTGCCTCAGCCTCCCAAGTAGCTAGGAATACAGGTGTGCACCACACCCACTAATTCTTGTATTTTTAGTAAAGTCAGGGTTTCATCATGTTGGTCAGGCTGGTCTCAAACTCCTGACCTCAGGTGATCTGCCCACCGCCTCAGCCTCCTGAAGTGCTGGGACCACAGGCGTGAGCCGCTGCACTCAGCCACATATTGTTTTCTTTCTTAGATGCTTCTGATGGATAACTAGATTTGAGAAAGACTGATATTGAGCCATGCTCTCTAATTGAAACATAATGTGAGCCACATTTTCTAGTAGCCTCATTTTTAAAAGATAAAGGAAACAAAACTTTTTAGTAATACATTTTAATTTCTTTTTGTCGCCATGGCTGGAATGCAGTAGCGCGATCTCCACCCACTGCAATCTCTGCTTCCTTGGTTGAAGTGATTCTCCTGGCTCAGTAGCTAGGATTACGGGCATGAACTACCATGCCCGGCTAATTTTGTATTTTTAGTAGAGACAGGGTTTCACCATGTTGGCCAGGCTGGTCTCAAACTCCTGACCTCAGGTAATCTGCCTGCCTCGGCCTCCCAAAGTGCTGGGATTACAGGTGTGAGCCACCAAGACTGGCCTCATTTTAATTTCTTAATAACATACGTTATTTAAACCAATAAGTCCCAAATATTATTATCTCAACACGATAGCCAATATAAAATTATGAATCAGCTATTGTATATCCTTTTCACTTGTACTAAGTCTTGGAAATCCAGCGTGTATTCTACACTTACAGCACATCTCAATATGGACAAGCCCCACTGCAAGTATTCAACAATTGCATGTGGCTACTGACTACTTTATTGGGAAGGGCATATATAGAGTGTAAAGGAGTAGACTGTCTTGGTGATATAGGCTCTCTTGATAATGGAACTATAGCTTGAAGGTTCACAACCACTAAGTGGTTAAGGAAAGGAGATGATTAGAAAGGTCAAAAAGGGAAATGAAAGAGCATGGAGAATCCAGGAGGAATATGCCACCTAACTGGAAGGCTTATGTGCTGTGAGTTTAGGAAGTGTGCACAAATATAAAGGGAAACAAGTGAAACTGGTGTCCGTGCACTCAAGAAGGGAGAAAGTTTGAAAACTCTAACGAGGTAAGAGTAAAAAACTGTTTACCATGCAACTCCAGTTTTAAAATCCAAAAATAGAATTCCCACAAAGTTCATGCTCACCTTTCAGAAACCCATGGGACAGTAGAGTGTGGAATAGAAATACTTTTACAGAGAAAGTAAACTGCCCAGTGTAAAAGCAGCACATAGTAGAAGCATTTCCAAATGTTTTAAGCTGTGCACACACTTCTTGCATTTATCACACTATTAGGTTAGTCAAAACACATTTTGGAAGCTGAAATAATAAGTCTGAACAAAGAGCTTAACACAGGGCTGATGCACATTCTCCTGTGGGAATTCAACTAATGTTTTTTACTTAAAGATGTCAACAGTAAAATATTCTAACCAGGAATATCACAGCCTCTAATGCTGTAAATCAAATAAAACATTTGTGAAGGAAAGTTCCTGAATTCTTCACCAAACACTTGTATCAATGAAAAACAATGAGAATATAACAAATCCAATGTTAGATGTTAACGGAGATGTGTGAGGATCAGATTGCAGACTTTTATTATATAGTATGCAAAAATTCTATAGGATCCCAGTTTTATTTTTAAATCTCAAGCCTAAAGTTGCACCCAAATTTACATATCTATCATATTTCTTGGATACATTTTTCCATTCTTTTCCTCTTACCCAATGCTCACAAATGTCATAAAATTGGCTTTTAAGCCAACTATAGAGGCACTGATAAAATTCTAATAATTCCACTTAAAATGAAATTCTCTGATATGCAGATTTACAAATACATAAAGATGATGGCAGAGATGCCCCATTTGGGGCTATATCTGGTACTTGTACACTTCATAGAGGCACTGGATTTTCACTGTTCTGTTGTCTACACTTTTGTTCAGGTTAGGGTGGCCAAGGAAACTCAGGATCCAAACTAGAAACAAGCAATAACTTGACAACATGAGCATCTGGTTTGTATATTTACATGCACATGTCCAATGGCTGCATATTAATGATTAACAAATTAATAGATTTGTCTGTAATTCCTATAGGGATAGATCCAAAAGGTGTTTGAATTCCCACCAATTAACTTTTAGCAAGGTAAACAGATGCTAAACATATATCTTTAATAGGCCCAATAAATACTATTATCAATTAATAGAACCCAATCAAAACAACAGTAAGCAAAACATTACACTGAGAACAAAAGTGCTAATTTACTGATATGCTAGTTTAGGTCAGTGCTCATTTTCCAGTGTATTAATTTTTTTCATTTATTCATTCAACTAATGCTTGCATTTTCAATATGCAAAGCCCTTTGCTAGGTACAACACTAAGTTAAGACATTACAATAATTTCTTCTTTATGTTCGATCCATGAGCATTGTGCATACTTGCAAATACAACTGCAAGATTAATGCACACTTATTTAAAAAACTATGCCATGGTTTAAAGACTGTATTGATTTCCTGAGTAACCAGCCCGCTCTCTTCATCATAGATGAATGCTAACTTTTCTCCCAAAAGTTCCTCTACCATTGCAGAGTTGGTATATAAATTGCTTCCCAAATGTTGCGATATTGCAGGTTTATTTTTTTTTCCTTCTGTTTATTTTGGGTTTCTCTGGCTATCTAAGTGTCCTCTCATTTATCCTACACAGATGTCTTCCTCTTTCGAGCTCTTTCTTGATACAGGTGAACCAGTGGTGGCCCATTTGTCAATCCTATTTTACAAATAAATATCATGCAATAATCACAGCACTTGCTAAATAAATGTAACAATGAAAGAGATTTTGGGTCTGGAGGGTGTACTGCCAAGGAAATAGAAAAAGTGAGTTATTATCATCACCTTTCTATGAACCTTTGATTGGCTGGAACTTAATTTTCCAGAAAGGGCATCATCAGTGTGTAAACTTCCCCAAAATGTATCCTAATTCATCTTTCCATGTTTATGATCAGCATAGATCAGCATGGATTTTGACCATTTGAAATCCAGCCTGCTTTATTCTCTACTTGCAGATGTCTAGTTTCATTCTTTGCTGGGAATTTTGCATTAGAACCTCAGTCTCCTCTGATTTGTCTCTGCAGTTTGTTTTACAGAATTTGTACAAAAGCAAATTCTCTTTTATCTTCTTTAGCTTTCCCAAATTGTTCCTTTAGAATATCCTGTATTTGTATATCAATCTGTGTCCAAACAGGAAGTGAATGGCATATTTAAACTGGATAACTGAGCAAATTTTAATAAAAGAATTGTTTACAAAAAGAGTAAGCAGGGTTTGAAGAAACAGCAGGATGATATAGGATTCCAGGACTAGCAACAGCAAAAAAGCTATTACTACCCTTGGAGAGTATAGGGGCTGCCCTACAGCCCTACAGGACTAAGTTGAACCAGCAGGAAGCCTGGAGACTAAATACCCTGGCCTCACCCACTTCCCACCCTGATAGTGCCTCTAACTGGGAGAACACAAGAGATGCTCATGAGTGCAGTTCATTCAGGTCAGACTCCCCACAAAGTTGGAGAATGGATTTAGAGAAGCAAGAAAAAAAATTACCAAGGACAAGCCTGAGATGATGTCGAGGTTTGTTTTTTGTTTTGTTTTGTTTTTTTTGTTTTGTTTTTTGAGACAGAGTCTCACTCTGTCTCCCAGGTTACAGTGCAGTGGTGTGATCATGGCTCACTGCAGCCTTGACCTCAATCAATTGCTCAAGCAATGCTTCCACCTCAGCCTCCTGAGTAGCTGGGACTACAAGTCCACACACCACCATGTCCAGCTAATTTTTGTATTTTTTTGTAGAGACAGGGTTTCACCATGTTGCCCAGGCTGGTCTCCAACCCTTCAGCTCAAGAGATCTGCTGGCCTCAAGTCTCCCAAAGTGCTGGGATTACAAGAATGAACCACTGCATCTGGCCTGACGTTGAGGGTTTTTTTTTGTTTTTCTTGTTGTTGTTTTGAGAGGGAGTCTCGCTCTGTCGCCCAGGCTGGAGTGCAGTGGTGCGATCTTGGCTCACTGCAAGCTCCGCCTCCCGGGTTCACGCAATTCTCCTGCCTCAGCCTCCCAAGTAGCTAGGACTACAGGGGCCCACCACCATGCCTTGCTAATTTTTTCTATTTTTAGTAGAGACGGGGTTTCACTGTGTTAGCCAGGATGGTCTTGATTTCCTGACCTCATGATCTGCCCGCCTCAGCCTCCCTCTTGATTCTTACATCCCCATTTTTGTGGGGAGAAATGTACCTTTCCACGATTTAACATGAAGCTTGAGGGGTAGCTGCCATCTTTTTATCGACTCCACATTCCTGGCCACAGGGATCAGTCTAAGAGGTGAAGAAGTGACCCAAGCTGGACCAGACATACTGCTCCACTCCTCCCATTCGTCTCTTAACCCAAGAGGGCTCATCCAAGTCCTTCTCTAGAGTTTATGAACATAGAAGCAGAGAGACTAACACTGAGTTACTTTCTGGTCATGAGTGTGATGAGCTGAGCCTGAGAGTTCCTGGTGGCCATAATTTCAGCCGTCATTGAGGAGTCTAATGTGAGGGAGTGAGGCCTTATTTATTCTTTTGTCTTCACCCTGCTTCCCCCCACAAAAGGAAGCCTATGCATGTGTATTTCCCTTTGCCTGGAAGAAACTTCTCTGGGCCTATTTAATTTCTCCTCCTCTTTGATGTTTCAATTAAAGAGTTACTTCTTCAGGAAGCCCTTCCTTACCTCTCTATAAAAATGAAAATTATGTTTTAACAGAGGAAAATATATAATACACAAGTAAGTAATTTAAATACAGAGTGTCAAATGGTGGTGAATGGTACAGAGACAACTTAAGAAAGTGGAGGCCGGGCGCGGTGGCTCACGCCTGTAATCTCAACACTTTGGGAGGCCAAGATGGGTGGATCACCTGAGGTTAGGAGTTGGAGACCAGTCCGGCCAACATGGCGAAACCCTGTCTCTACTAAAAATACAAAAATTAGCTGGGCATGGTGGCGCACACCATCCATGCTACTCGGAATGCTAAGGCAGGAGAATCGCTTGAACCCGGGAGGTGGAGGTTGCAGTTGGCCGTGATCGCGTCACTGCGCTCCAGCCTGGGTGACTGAGCAAGACTTTATCTCAAAAAAAAAAAAAAAGAAAGAGAGAGAGAGAGAAAGAAGAAAGGAAGGAAGGAAGGAAGGAAGGAAGGAAGGAAGGAAGGAAGGAAGGAAGGAAGGGAAAGAAAGAGAGAAAGAAAGAAAGAAAGAAAGAAAGAAAGAAAGAAAGAAAGAAAGAAAGAAAGAAAGGAAAGAAAGAAAGAAAGAAAGAAAGAAAGAAAGAAAGAAAGAAAGAAAGAAAGAAAGGAAGGAAGGAGGAGAAAGAAAGGAGCCTTAAGACTATTATTTCAGGGATCATTTCTATGGTTCGTTACTAGGAATAGAAAGGAGTCAGTACAAAGAGGGGTTGCTATTTTCAATAGGCTAGGATGATCAAGAGAATGTCTTCCTTAAGTGTCATCTGAGCAGAAATCTGAGGGGGATGAAGGAGTGAGGTATGCAGAAACACAGGGGAAGACCATTCTGTGCAGAGGAGACAGCAAGTCCTGAGGTTCTGAGGCAGGAGTATGGTTGGTACTATCAAAGAATAGCAAGGAGGCCATTGTTGCTAAGTAAAGTGAGGGAGGGAGGAAGGTAGGGGAAAAGGTTATAGAGGCAGCAGACAGTCAGATTGAATTAGGCCACTCTAAGGACTGCCTTTTACTCGGCGTGAGATGGAGAGCTACTAGAGGATTTGAACAGAGGAGTAAAATGATAAGTTTAGGTTTTCAAAAGATTCCTGTGGCTGCTGTTTGGGAGAACAGAATGTCAGGGTCAAAGGTGGAAAGGGGTTAGAAGGCTATTGCAGTTATCCAAGTGAGAGAGATGATAGTGATTTGGACCAGAATGGACGCAGTAACGGTGGTAAGAAATCATCACATGTAGACTGAATGTTGAAGGCAAAACCAACGAGATTTGCTGACAGAGGTGACTATGGAGTATAAGAGAAGAAAGGATACAAGAATGACTCCAAATTTTTTGGCCTGAGCAATTAAGAAGGTAGAGTTGGTCAGGTGTGGTGGCTCATGCCTGTAATCCCAGCACTTTGGGAGGCCGAGGCAGGTGGATCACCTGAGGTCAGGAGTTAGAGACTAGCCTGGCCAACATGGCAAAACCCCGTCTCTACTAAAAATACAAAAAAAATTAACCGAGCATGGTGGTGTGTACCTGTAATCCCAGCTACTCAGGAGGCTGAGGCAAGAGAATCTCATGAACCCGGGAGGCGGAGGCTGCAGTGAGCCAAGATGGCGCCACTGCACTCCAACCTGGGCGACAGAGCAGGACTCTGTCTCAAAAAAAAAAAAAAAAAAAGAAAAGAAAAGAAAGGAAAAAGAGTTGTCCTTAGAGTAATAAGGAAGAGTTAGGAGTAGAGTAAATTTTTTGAGGAAAGATCAGAAGTTTGATTAGAGAAGCCTGTTACACATCCAAGTAGAAATGTCAAGTGAGCAGTTAAGTCCATGCACCTGGAGATTAGGGGAAAGGTCTGGAATGGAGATGTAAATTGGGAAGCCCTCCACATACATAAGGATAAAATCACCAAGAGAGTGAGTGTGGATAGAAAAAAGAAGAGATCCAGGAAGGAAACCTGAGTTTGCAATATTTAGGACAGAGACAAGGGGAGAAATTGGCAATGTGACTGAGAAGGAGAAGCAAATGAAGCAGGAAAAAAACAGAAGGGTAGAGGATTCTAGAAGGCAAGTAAAGAAAGTCTTTCACAGAGGAAGGAGTGATCAACTGTCAAATGCCACCCAGATGTCAAGAAAGTTAAAAGACTGAGAATGAACCATTAAATTTAGGAACATGGAAATAACCAGTGACTTTGAGAAGACAAGTTTCAGAGAAATGTTGACAGCAAATACCTTATTGAAGTGAGTTCAAGATCAACTGGAAGTGGAGCTAACAATGGGGAGAACAGACAACTCTTTTGCTGAGTTTTGCTATAAATAGGAATCAAGAAATTAGGACCACAGCTTAAGGGAATATAGGATCACATGCTTTGTCTATTTACTCTGTCACCCTCCTTTCACCTAAAATCTCCACCACCTCCTCCTCCCTCATCCTCTTTCTGGCTAATGAGCTTACTTCCTTATTCCATTGAGAGAAAATAAAAACAATCAGGAAAGGCCGGGCGCGGTGGCTCACGCCTTTAATCCCAGCACTTTGGGAGGCCGAGGCGGGCGGATCACGAGGTCAGGAGATCGAGACCATCCTGGCTAACAAGATGAAACCCCATCTCTACTAAAAATACAAAAAAATTAGCTGGGCGTGTGGTGGGCGCCTGTAGTCCCAGCTACTCGGGAGGCTGAGGCGAGAGAATAGCGTGAACCTGGGAGGCGGAGCTTGTAGTGAGCCGAGATTGCGCCACTGCACTCCACCTGGGCAACAGAGCAAGACTCCCTCTCAAAAAAAAAAAAAAAAAAAAAATCAGGAAATAACATTCCCAAGTTGCTACCTCCACATCTAACCTCCTATCTACATCCTTATACACTGAGAGGAAACAAGTTGGCTTGGTTGTGTGCTTTTCTGCAATAATGTTCAGCTGTGTGGTGCAGGAATGGATGAGAAGAAGTGTTGTATGAACCAGGACAGGGGTTTTATTAGGTAAGGATGATGAAGGGTGCTGGAGACAAAGACAAAATAATTTTAAAATTAAAACTGCAATTCTATTCTCTGTTACTCCCGAAAACATAACAACAGCCCTACTGTCAAAGCCAGGGTCCTACCAGTCCAGTAGGATGGCTCAATCTTGGCAGAGATCCCAAGATGGCGGCGGCTGACATTAGCCTTAAAGTATAGAGACACACTCAAAATATGCGGCTTCCTTTGATTATTCATTCTACAACTTTCCTCTATACTTATTCAAATCTTTCCCTTTTCAGCATATATCATCTCTTGGAGTAATGTGTTGTCTATTCCATATGTAAAGGAGATTTTTTATTTAATTATTCGATGGATTAACCTAAATGGTAATGGGAGACTGTTTTTTCAATCTGTACTATTCATCATCTCTGTTACAGTATTCAATTATCATGTTTCCAGAATTAAGAGCCCCCATTTTAGCTTAATCATATTTGTCAGTGCAAATAGTATTTGGCACCCCCAACACAGAAAATGTGATCATAGATCATATTAATGTCCTCATTTTAAGTACTTTTGAACGAAATATCTTAATTAGCCATTGAGGAAAGCACATAAGAAGTGTGTTCCCTACCTTCGAGAAACTCTTAACCAAAGATGCAATCTATAGGCTAATTTGGGCTGTACAAATGAGGGGCCGGGAGAGATAAGAAAGGGCAGGCAGAGAAGAACTAAGAGCAAGGAACAAGATTATCTGACCTCATTGCTCAAAGACCTGAATTGTAACTGAAAGAAAACACAAAGGACTCAACGTCAAAGAACTTCCAAGGCCGAAGGCCTAGACTTTGGAAATATTTAAATGAAATATTTAAACTCGTTTTGTTTCTTAGGTGACAAAAAAAATTCTACATAAAGTAAAACATTGTGTTAAACACTCAGTAAATAGTGTGCAAAAATGAATATTCTGTTTGGGCAATGCTGTTCAGAGCAGCAACAGCTCTAAGTGGCTACAATCAATGCGCTTAACAACAGGGGCACAAAGCCACAGTTGAGAGCTGAAGCCAAGAGCAAGGGTCTGAACAGATATAAACACCCATTGGACTGAACAGTTTTCTATAATCTTTCTAAATAATCTTTAGACAGGCTTCTATAGACCCCTTAGGACTGGGACCCTAATAAAGTCCATGGCCTATGAAAGCTATTTATAAAACTTTTCGGAGAAGGTTACACAAATACATTGTCTCAAGCACTGTGTAACTAAAAGTTATAACCTATTCTATAGGGAATATTTGACTTTTAACAGATCTTAAAACTATCTTTATATAGGGTAGGGTTTTGCAAAGAAAAAGTAAACAAATTGTATTCTTTAAAAATATTATATACATTTAAATTTGCTCTGATAATTCTGTATCATAATAACAACCACCATTATTTATGTTTGAGACACTGGACAAAAGCACTTTATACATATCATCTCATCCTCACAAAAACGTTATGAGACAGGTATTATTATAACTATTTTAGAGAAAAAAACATGAGGTTCATATAAGTGAAATGACTTCTCTGTTGTTTCACAATCAGTAACTGCCAAAGCAGGATTCACATCCAAGCTCCCCTGACTATAAAGCCAGTGTATGTTGACCAACCACAAAATGAGAGAGAGAAAGAGAGAGAGATACAGATACAGGTACAGACACAGACATCTTAAAAGCCCTTGCATTCACCTCTCTGAGTTATCACTTTTCAAAGGCCTTAGTATGGACACCATAAGAATCTCCAATCTGATGCTCAGTGGTTGGCCCTACAAATAGACCAAGACTCTGTCAAATATCACATTTTAAAGCCCTTAGCATGTCAAAGAGGGTTAAAAATTAGTACCAGTGTCCTTGTTCACAATTACTTAATGAGAAGGCAGAACATATTGAAAAAGAAAAGTGAAAAATGTTTCAAGATCAGTTTTGCCCTCCCCACTATTTATGGAGCCCAGGATAAACCTCTGACTGCATTATGATTAAACATCTATGGTTTTCATTTATTCAAACTCACACTCAAGTCATTATTTCTGATATAGTAGCCCTGCCAGTTGACATAAGCTGCCAAGTGGTAGACTAAATTTCAGGTTCACGTTTGAATCTCTGGTGAACCCATAAAAGCTATATTTATGTATGTGATAGCCTTGGATTTTAATGGAAAAATGGTTAGCATATTAATAAAATGTTCTGCTTAGTACATACAAGTCAAATTTATGCCAACATGGAAAGGTTGCTTTCTCAAAAGAGAAAAAAAAAAGCAATCATAGCCTGAAGCAGATTATGTGCAGATATGAGGAAATTAAAGCTCAGATGTTAGTTAAAATGAACAACAAAAATCCACATTTTAAAAATAGGGTTTGGAGAAATATCTCCTAAACAAGGCTCCTAAGAATATAGAATTTAAAATGAAGATAAAGGCTGGAAGGCAAGTCTCCATTCAAAGAATGGAGACAATTTTTAAATCTTTTCTTTGAATTTTTGAATAATTCTTTGAATCTTTTCTTCCTTAACCAGGGTTAAAGGTCTAATATCAGCATCAAGGAAACTTCTATTTAGGCCTTTATTTCTCTTCTTTTACTTAAAGTTAATAAAATTTTTGATTTTCCAAGTGGCTGGTTAGATTTCCTGAAAGAAGCTAAGAAAGACTATTCCAAATTTTTCACAAACAAAACATAAGTAAATTTATTTACAGATATATAAAAAAATTCAACAAAATAAACCCAGTTTGTATATTACAGATCTGTGTTCCTTAGAAGTTGCTTCCTCAAGGAGAGGTATCCAATTGACATGAAAAACGAGCTGAGGCCTTGAGGTCCATGGATTTACCAATCTAATATTTTATCTCCTGCATTAACAGTTGTAGCAGATATCAGTAGTTTGGATCATGTATGTATTTTTTTGACCTGAGACCCAAGTTCCATATTATTATTAATGTATGCTTAGAAATTTGAGAAGAAATAAAGAAAATGAGTGTCTAGTGTTCTTAGAAAATTACTACTCCATAAAAAAACAGAGATTAAAAATCCTACAGCTGTAGAGCCAAGCTCTTTGTTATGCATGCACAGCTTTCTAAATCCCATAAAAATCTCAACATCTGACCCATTTCACTTTTACAGGGGAAGGGCCTGTTACACTGGAAAATATGCGTAAAAATCTGCAGCATTCAGAGGCATTAAACAGTTTTATTTCACATTTGTTTCCTATGTACCCTACATAGGAAACATACATTCCTCTGTTCTATGTACATTGTAGCACCTGCTGCTAAATCTCTACTCTCCATCAGCTCCCAGCCTTCTCTTTTCAGAAGGGATTGAGTGTCTTTTTGAACGGCTGAAGTAATGCTGCCATCTCCTGTTTGCTGGATAGAATGTAATGAAATTACCCTCGAAAGGAATGAAAAGTAAAATTGGATAAAACTACAAACTAGAGACTGTTGGCTCTTTTATAAATTTTCTCTAGCCATAGATTAAAAACCAATCTTATTCAAATTGACAATGTCATAATAATGTCTTAAATTTGATATGTCTTTAAATAAAAGTTATTCTAAAGAAATTTTGGTCCTTATCTAAACATTAAATTGGTACTTCACCTCATTTTTCAGAATATTGCTCTCCTCATGTTACCTAAATTTCAGTCATTTATTTTTTACAATGTAAACATGAAAAAAGTAAACTTTAAAAATAATAACCATATATATTAAGTTTTAATATTAGCTAAAGTGTTCTCAGGAAATTGATTTATCACCAACAGTCTCAAATTTAGAATACTCACAGAGAGTATGAGGAAGGCAAAAGTTAACCAAAACAGTAGAAATCACTGTCTTATTTTGGAATTTTACCAAAGTAGATACAAATAATAAAGTAACTTTAAAAAAATAAACTTTAAAAATTTATTTTTACCTCTAACTCTTAGAATCTGAAAACATATCCACTAGGGAAGTCCATGTCTTCAAAAATACATAGATTTTCTTTTGCTCTTATTCTTGCTATAAATCTCTTGGGCATTAATGTGATCATGTTCCCCAGGTTTTTGTGAATAGGAATAGCATTCTAGTTGAGGATGAGAATCTGTGTTTTAGGCTGACTAGTTAAAGAGATCCTTAAGAGACATTCTCTTTTCCAATTACAAACATCAGCATTCTGCTGACAGGGTCTCAGAAGAATGTGTACTTAACCCAGTATTATATTTAAAAGCCCAATTCCCCTTACAATCAATTATAGGTAGCAACACTCCTCATTTAAAGTTATTATAACCGCTTCTAAAAATTAATTCTTATTTGTTTATTTCATGGCAAGGCAAAGCAGCTGCTGTAATCTTTTATAAAATGTACCCTCATCATACACTTCCAGACTGGTTTTCTTCAAATCACTGTTTTCTGGGCAAATAGCTCCCCTTCTCTTCCCTTTTCTTTAAACGTGTCTCCTTGGCCTTATTAATTCACCTGTGTTGCTCCCCTACTGAAGGCTTGACAAGACTCAGTGTTGTAGATCCCTCTTTCTGGAGAATTCACCATGCTGAACCACTGTTGTTGGTCTGGATAGTACGAAATAAGTAGAGATCAGGAAAATATTGCACAGTTTTTGCACAGCAAACCTCAGAAGTGCAGAGCATTGCAAATGAATGGCTTATGGAATACTATGTTTGTACATTTGAGTTTTAGCTTTGTATAAACAGTTTTCTTCCAAATCTCTACATGCCTTTTGTGGAAGCTACCTACCAATTTATAAAATATAATTCTTCAGGGCTGGGCACGGTGGCTCACGCCTGTAATCCCAGCACTTTGGGAGGCCAAGGCGGGTGGATCACGAGGTCAGGAGATCAAGACCATCCTGGCTAACATGGTGAAACCCTGTCTCTACTAAAATACAAAAACCTAGCTGGGTGTGGTGGTGTGTGCCCGTAGTCCCAGCTACTTGGGAGGCTGAGGCAGGGGAATCACTTGAACCTGGGAGGTGGAGGTTGCAGCAAGCCAAGATCACGCCACTGCACCCCAGCCTGGCGACAGAGCAAGACTCTGTCTAAAAATAATAATAATAATAATCCTTCTACTTATATTAAATACAAACAATTCTAATATTCGACAAAATGGCAAATCCTATAATCAGTCAGTTTACCCAATGTTCAAAGGCTTCTTGGGTCATGTCCTGGAACTTGGGGTTCTATCTTCTCATTTGGAAAATGAAGGAATCAAACTAGACCATTTCTCAAATCTCTTCCATCTTAAAAACTCAGACTCGGCCAGGCGCAGTGGCTCACACCTGTAATCCCAGCACTTTGGAAGGCCAAGGCAGGCAGATTACCTGAGGTCAGGAGTTCGAGACCAGCCTGATCAACATGGTGAAACCCCGTCTTTATTAAAAATACAAAAAAATTAGCTGGGCATGGTGGTGCACGCCTGTAGTCCCAGCTGCTTGGGAGGCTGAGGCAGGAGAATTGCTTGAACTCGGGGGGCAGAGGTTGCAGTGAGCCGTGATAGCAACACTGAACTCCAGCCTGGGCGGCAGAGTGAAACTCCGTCTCAAGAAAAAAACAAACAAACAAACAAAAAACAGAAAAACCTCAGACTCTAATTCCAGTAGAATCTGCAGTGGAAAAATATTGTCACATCAGGCCTAAATTCTCTAGAGGCAAGAGAAAGCATGTTCTCCAGAAACACAGGAAAGAAAGTAGGAAGGTCACATTTTGGTCTGGCCATATAATTACTTCTAGAAAATAACAAAACCAATAATGATAATAGAGACAAGGTGGCTGCTGACACTCAGGAAAATCACAATTGTCATTAATATTTATTTACCTTTGGTGACAGTATTAAAGAAGATCACTTATGTCATTAAGAAGAATACTATAATAGTTTGGGTTGTTTGCTTTAATTCCCTGAATTTTGCATCTTTTAACAATAAGCTAACTTTGGGAAATGATCATCATAAACATAAATATACCTTCTTGTTTTATATTAAATGGTTAGTCTTAAATAAACCCTTGTATTATGTAAGAGTCCTTCCACCATGGTAGACTCTCTTCAAAAGACTAAAATAAAAAATGAAGCAATTTGGGAATCCCCTAAGATAACAAGATGTTATTATAAAATAAATCCCCATTATTTATTTGCACAATTATTTAACTATTATTATCAAGTCACTGAAGTAGAAATCAAAGAGTCTATAGAATTCTGGAATCACAGAACAAGGTTAAAAGGAGCTGGCTTACATGATCTTCCACTCAACTCTACTGAGTTTTGTTATTATTTACATATTATTTATATGTTGGGGCCAGGCACGGTGGCTCACACCTATAATTTCAGCACTTTGAGAGGCCAAAGTGGGTGCATCACCTGAGGTCAGGAGTTTGAGACCAGCCTAGCCAATATGGTGAAACCCCGTCTCTACTAAAAATGCAAAAATTAGCTGGGTGTGGTGGCTTATGCCTGTAATCCCAGCTACTCGGGAGGCTGAGGCAGGAGAATCGCTTGAACCTGGGAGGTGGAGGCTGCAGTGAGCTGAGATCATGCCACTGAATTCCAGCCCGGGTGACAGAGCAAGACTCCATCTCAAAAGAAAAAACAAATAAATAAAATAATATACATATATTATTTTTTGTTTGTCTTCCAATTTAGATAAGGCAATATAAATATTATTAAATATATTGCTTTTTTTTTTTTTTTTTTTGAGACGGAGTCTCGCTCTGTCACCCAGGCTGGAGTGCCGTGGCGCGATCTTGGCTCACTGCAAGCTCCGCCTCCCGGGTTCACGCCATTCTCCTGCCTCAGCCTCCGGAATAGCTGGGACTAGAGGCGCCCACCATCATGCCCGGCTAATTTTTTTGTATTTTTAGTAGAGACGGGGTTTCATCGTGTTAACCAGGATGGTCTCGATCTCCTGACCTCGTGATCCGCCCGCCTCTGCCTCCCAAAGTGCTGGGATTACAGGCGTGAGCCACCGCGCCCGGCCCTAATTTTCAAATTAGAATGTCTTAGTAGGAGAATAGAGTTAAAGTGCACAGGTAGAGGAACATTTTATTTGCTGCCTTAAAGATTTTCAGCACAAGTACAAATCCGTGAACTGACAATGATTGTAAGTTCTTTTCACTTCAATAAAATGCTATTTCAATTGAGACTTTCTGTGATCTCCAGAGAAAACAGTTACTCAGTTCTATCCAATGCAGTGAAAGTGGAATCAGTCAGATAATATTCAGTTTATTTACATTTTCTTTTTTTTTTTTTCGAAACAGAGTCTCGCTCTGTGGCCAGGCTGGAGTGCAGTGGCACAATCTCGGCTCACTGCAACCTCCGCCTCCCGGGTTCAAGTGATTCTCCTGCCTCAGTCTCCTGAGTAGCTGGGACTACAGGCACCCGCCACCACGCCTAGCTAATTTTTGTCTTTTTATTAAAGATGGGGTTTCACCATGTTGGCCAAGATGGTCTCGATCTCTTGACCTCGTGATCCATCCGCTTCAGCCTCCCAAAGTGCTAGGATTACAGGCATGAGCCACCGCACCCGGCCTATTTATATTTATTTTCAACTAACGATTGCATCAAGCTGAATTTCCAAAATAAAAAGTGAATGCTGGCATTTTGTTTTCATTTTTTAACTTGAGAAAATCACCAGCGTGGGGCAAAAAAAATAACAAGAATCCTCTGTACTAATTTATAGTGACCTGAACATTTTTCTCTCCCTCTGTCTCCCTCCCTCTCCATCCCTCCCTCACTTTCTCTGTCTCTTTTTCCCACTGCCTCCTCCCCAACACCAGCAAGAAATACAGCTTTTTTTTTTTTTTTTTTTTGGAGATGGAGTCTCATTCTGTCACCCAGGCTGCAGTGCAACCTCTGCCTGTCAGGTTCAAGTGATCCTCCCACCTCAGCCTCCTGAATAGCTGGGATACAGGCATGTGCCACCGTGCCTGGCTAATTTTTGTATTTTTAGTAGACACAGGGTTTAATCATGCTGGCCAGGCTGGTCTTGAACTCCTGACCTCAGGTGATCTGCCCACCGCCTCAGCCTCCCAAAGTGCTGGGATTACAGGCATGAGCCACTGCACCCAGCCTAATACTTCTGCTTTTAAAGCATTACCTCCATTTGCTGCAAATAAACTTTGAACACGGACTTTAAAAGTGTCCCGTACTGGGATGTATTGGATTCATTGGCCAGGCAGGTTTCTGACTCACAAAAGGTCGTGTTGTTGCCCATTGCTATGACAGGAGAAACACCTTCGCAGTTTTACTGCAATATAGAAGTTTATTTGAAGACCAGCTCACTTCTTATCGGTTTTATTTTTACTGCAACCCAACACAGTAGTGTCAAACCAAAGTGACTGTTAAACTTCATCTGTCCTGTATTCTATACCGAGCATTTCCAGAAGGCAGCAGTGCAACCCAAAATACTTTGAATGAGACTCACTTCACGAGACAACACTAGGCAACAACAAAGTTAATATGACAAGTCCGCCTTTTATGCCTTGATGATGCTACTAAAAAATCTAACAGATTTATTGTATATCATTTCCTCTTCACATACAACTCTGAATTCTGCTTTTGCACTTTAGCATCGTTCACATTATGTTATCATTTTCATTATTTTAGAGTAAACTTTTCTAGAGTCTTCACATGATAGAAATTTGGAATATAATATTTTGAAAAGGATAATTTTATTTCAAAATGAAGCTTGTGGGGAAATGTAGAAAAGGTTTTAATTTCTTCTTAAATTATATGTGTATTTCCTCCTGAAAGAGTGGCATAGCTGCATCACGTTACGACCCTCGTGGGGCTAAGTACCTCCCTGCAAGACACAACATGTACCCATTTAGCAAAACATCTGCTGACTCCTAGAATCCATCAAGTTTATCCAGCTTCAAATCTACAGGAGAAGGCAGGCTTTTTAATTTGTAGCATTTTATATGCTAATATTTTATTTTCCCCTTATGGATCTCATATTTATTTTTTTTTAATGTGCATTTTGCTTCTTTTCACCTGGGGGCAGCACTGTGAAATATCACAGACCTTTGACTCGGTATTTCTCTAACGAGCCAACCAAGTACAAACAGGATTTTTATATCCATTTGTAAATTTTAGTTGGGGGTAGTTGAGAGAAGGAAAAATAAAAAGACAAATACTACATTTGTGTAAGGTTTAATTCACATCACTCATATAATTCCGTGCTGTTGGCATATGTCTCGATAAATAAGCTTCAAAAAAGAACTTATTGCAATGTAAAAATAGTTTCTCTGAATTCACATGCTTTTTACTGTTCCCAGGTCTCACAATGGCCTTTAAACGTATTTTTTCAGCTTCTTAGAGCCATGTACTCCATATTGTGATAGGATATGTTTCTATGCCCTGCTCCCTAGAGTGGAGCTGGAGAGAAAGGAAGTTGAGACAGCTTGGCTCCACACTCGACTCAAAGCAGCCCAACCTAGAGACTTACTTTCGTTGCCAGAGGAAAAGGAACCTTAAAAAATAGAGGGTGAAAAAAGGCTGAGGAGTTTAAGACTGAAAAGAAAGCCCACAAACAAACAATTGAAATATCTGAGTTCCTACTACACCACGCACTGTCCTAGGCACGGGAGATAAAGGCTCAGAACATAGATGATGCTTCCATGGAGCTATGGTGTGGAGAATTTAATCTCCAAAGTATACCCCTTGCCTTGATCATCTCCAAATTATGCCCATTTTCCAGAATAGGCTTTCTCTGGAAACTTGTTCTTCGGGTAGTTCTAGGCATATTCTCAGTATGGTGGAGAAAACATTGAAAATCAACGGTTTAAATTTTTATAATTTATTTGTATTTCACACATATATATTGCAATTGAGCAAAATTAGTAACCTTGGAAGAAAGATAAAAAACAGCCAGTGTCCACTGGTGGTTACAGAATTCTAATTGATATCATTTATAAAACTTAAACTGGCCGGGCGCAGTGGCTCACGGCTGTAATCCCAGCACTTTGGGAGGCCGAGGCAGGCAGATCATGAGGTCAGGAGATCGCGACCATCCTGGCTAACACGGTGAAACCCCGTCTCTACTAAAAATACAAAAAAAATTAGCCGGGCGTGGTGGCGGGCGCCTGTAGTCCCAGCTACTCGGGAGACTGAGGCAGGAGAATGGCGTGAACCCGCGAGGCGGAGCTTGCAGTGAGCCGAGATCGCACCACAGTACTCCAGCCTGGGCAACAAAGCGATACTCTGTCTCAAAAAAAAAAAAAAAAAAAAAAAAAAAAAAAAACTTGAACTACTTAACTACTTAAAATTACAACTAATTGAAATAATGTTATGTGAGTTAGAAAATTAATGCCAATGTCCTTTAGTATTTAAAAAGTTTAAATGTAAATGGTCTAAGAGCAAGGCTAATTTGGTATTGTTATTATTATTGGAAGCTTTCATTAAACTCAATCCAAATGATGGATAACAGTTTGTAAAAAGCAAATAAATGCAACCAGAAATAGTAAACTAAGCTCAACAATATCCTATAATCTCTATTCCTACAAACAGAATTCTCAAAATCTTCACAGAATGCGATAAGAATCTTTTCCTAGGGTGAACCTGCTATAGTCCCTGCTTCTTACCTTGTCTTCCTGTTTTTCACTGACCTGTCCCTCAGCTGGCATCAGTTTCTTACTGCCCTCTGCTGGCTAGGCATGAATTCATTCGTTTTAAGCAGTTTTGTTTTTACAACTTAAAGTACAGACAAGTATATAAACTCACTTGATTCACAAAACATAAATTTTTAAAAAGATTATTAATGGCACTCAAAATTAACCCCAAGAATGTACTGTATCTTTATTTCATTTAATTTAAAATGTTTTATTGGCATTTGGCCTTCTTTCTCAGTGCCTGCTTGGGTTTCTTCCAAGTAAACTTTCCTTTAAAAAATAAAAATAAATATTTTACTTCAAAAGCAATACATGTTGATTAGAGGAAAAAGAAAACAAGCAAATGGAAAACCTTCCTAGAAACATTAACACCTTGATGTATACCCTTCCAACCTGTCTTCTCTGCCAGCATGTACCTTTATATTCTTTTTTTTTTTTTTTTTTTTTTTTTTTTTTTTTTTTTTTTGAGACTGAGTCTCCCTCTGTTGCCCAGGCTGGAGCGCAATGTGCGATCTTGGCTCACTGCAACCTCTGCCTCCTGGGTTCAAGAGATTCTCCCACCTCAGCCTCCCGAGTAGCTGGGATTACAGGCGCCTGCCACCATGCCTAGCTAATTTTTGTATTTTTGGTAGAGATGGGGTTTCACCATGTTGGCCAGGCTGGTCTTGAACTCCTGACCTCAGGTGATCCGCGCCCACCTTGGCCTCCCAAAGTGCTAGGATTACAGGCATGAGCCACCACTCTCGGCCCCTTTATATTCTATATTATTTTAGTATTTCCTCCTTTTCTTTTTCTAGAAAATGCTATCCTATTGTACGTTCAACTACTTTTCAAAACATGTATATTAACAAATGCCCTTCTATACTATTTCAGTGGCACCCTAATATCCCATTAAGTAAACATATATTTTATTCAATTCTCCATCAACACAAAGTATTGTAGCTCTGTGATGAATATACTTACAGCTATGCCTATTCTTTTATTTGAAATTGGCCTAATAAAGGTTTTCTAAACTAAAACATTCTGAATTGATGCTTTACGATTTTTTCTCTCCCTGGCTGGGTACAGTGGCTCACACCTGTAATCTCAGCACTTTGGGAGGCCGAGGCAGGCGGATCACGAGGTCAGGAGTTTGAGACCAGCCTGGCCAATATGGTGAAACCCCGTCTCTACTAAAAATACAAAAATTAGCCAGGCATGGTGGCGCATGCCTGTAGTCCCAGTTACTTGGGAAGCTGAGGCAGAATCACTTGAACCCGGGAGGCGGAGGCTGCAGTGAGCCGAGATTGTGCCACTGCAATCCAGCCTGGGTGACACAGCGAGACTGTCTCAAAAAAAACAAAAAACAAACCAAAAAAAAAACCAAAAATTTTTTTCTCTCCCTTTATCATCAAAAAGTGAAAGGCAAATAGAACCTCACTGATTGGTAGGGTCTCAGGAGGATCACCAGGGTTTCTATCTTCACAATCTTTGTCACTCAGTTTGGTTAATTCATATTTAAAAAACGAACTCAAAAGAGATGGAAAAATACAACAAAAAGACACTTCTGTCTCTTCTCTGGCACATTTCCTTCCAAAAACTAAGGTACTGTGGAAGCCAAATTAAAAGTGTGGTGATGAAGACCGTCACTGAACATTTAGCAAAAAAAAAAAAAAAGAAAGGAAGAAAGAGGAGGAGGAAAAGGGGAGAAAAAATACTCTGAGGAATGTTTTACACAAAGTAGGGAAGAGCTTAGAAAACTGCCCATCAACATAGGTGAAGAATCCTTAGGAGGAAGATTCATCCTCCTCCCCAGTATTTGTAAGCCTTCCCAAGCAAAAGCCAGATTTGAATACAACTTATCAACACACTAAGATTATGATCTGTAAACTCTGGGAAAAGAGCTGGCTGAAACATCTCACTTATGATAAAGCAATTTGAATTGAGATGTACTGTTATATTTGAAGTGTCAAAACATGTTTTCAAAAAGGAACTCATGATTTATTTTTGCCTGGGATCGGCTTGGTCCCAATCCTTCTGAACATTCTGATGTGTCGATACTTCTATATCCCAAGCCACCAGCAGTGAGTCAGACTGGTGCCCTGAGTGAGTCTGGTGGCCTCTCCCCAGGTCACCTCCTTAACCACGCCATCTCTTTTGCTAGGACTTACTGCTGAAGTTGTTCTTCTAGCACATGGATTGACCTTTCTGAAAATGCCTGGCTGGGAGGACAATGCTGTACCCTTCTCTGCCATCAGCCTGTCCCATCCTTTTCCTGGAGTGGTGATGGCTACTGACCTTATTCCTTGACTACATAGTCTCTTCTCTCTCAGTGGCTCTCAGGAGTACTTGTGATTAACATAGTCCTTGAGCACAACTCTTTAAATAACGAACTCATTTAAAAAAAGAAATTCAAACTCCATTAAGGGCTAGTCCTCAGTAAGCCTAGCAGATGTTTCCACACTTTCCTACGGTTTATAAGCTGTCTATGTAATGCTTCTGTTGCCTCAACAATCCAGTTAAAGACTGACAGTACTTGTTTATAACAGCAGTCTAATACAGCCTTTTTACAATTTCTCTTTAGATGTTTTTTTTTTTTTTTGAGATGGAGTCTTGCCCTGTCTCCCAGGCTGGAGTGCAATGGCGCGATCTTGTCTCACTGCAACCTCCACGTCCCGGGGTTCAAATGATTCTCCTGCCTCAGCCTCCCGAGTAGCTGGGATTACAGGCACCCACCACCACACCCAGCTATTTTTTGTATTTAGTAGAGACAGGGTTTCACCCTGTTGGCCAGGCTGGTCTCAAACTCCCTGATCTCGTGAGCCGCCCGCCTTGGCCTCCCAAAGTGCTGGGATTAAGGGGTGAGCCATCGCGCTTGGCCTCTCATTCATTTTTTAAAGCATTTAAAGTGGTTTATCAGAAATACATAGAATACGCTAATAAAATCACAATGAGGCAAAAAAAAAAAAAAAAAAAGAATAAAGAACAGAAAGAAAATTGAGTCTTTCATTTGGAGGCTCTTACAGCCAAAGAAAACAGGCAGTCACAAGTCTCATTGTCCATGGGTGCAAGAAAACATCAAGTGCTAGGCTCAAACAGCTCTCCTTTTGGGTTCATGAGGGATGTCCTCAACAAGATTCTGAGCACACACAGCAACCAATGTCATAAAACAATTTTCCCCCATAAAACAATGAAGACATCTGCTTCTGTCCTGGCACTTTTGCTTCAGTGGGCTCCCCAGTGAATTCCATATAAGCTACACAGGCAAATCACACTCTGAAGCCGACATTACATTTGCACTGAGTTTTGAAGAATGAGTAGGAGATATCTAGATGGAGAAAAGTAGAGGTACTTCAAACAGAACAAACCAAAGTTATGAAGAGATGGACATGATCACTTTTCAATAACTGTAACTCAGAAGTCTGGATGAGTAACTGGAGTGGAGTGACTCATGTCTTGAAAATCATCTGGATGAGACTGACAGTAGTAAGACCTATACAGCGCAGGTAGGAGTTGAGGATGCCAAGGCCTTTGGCTTGGGAAAGTGGTACGCAGTAACAAGTGATAATGAATGCAGTATGGTGCATACCACACAGTCAGCTTTCTTTTCCTCTAACAAAAACATGTTAGTGATGGTAAAGTTCACTTCAAGGCACGCAAAATTTGAAGAGCAAGTGGGTCTTCCTTGGGAAATTGTCTGGTACAGCTTAGAGTTGATCAAAGAAAACAAAATAGACTTGGGAATCAGGGGAAGCTGTGGGAGTGGGAGAATGTCTCAGGAAGGCTGCAGAGAAGCAAACATGCTCACCTGAACTCTGGAAACTATTACAATTGAAAGCACAGGCAGAATAAGAGAAAGAACTGAAATGTGGTAAAGGTCAAAATGCTAACACAACAGTACTTAAAATCCTGGAGGTCAGGAAAAGGCTGTGATTGAGCCACTGCATTTGACCAGAAGCTGCTGGAGGACAACAGCCAGAAAACCGACAAAGTCTGAGGATGGAGACATTTTAATGACTTGGAGCAAACACAGAGCAACAGTAAGGGAAGATGCAGAGTTCAAGGTTAGATTTGGGGCCAGGTACAGTGGCTCATTCCTGTAATCCCAGCACTTTGGGAGGCCAATCCAACACCTGAGGTCAGGAGCTCCAGACCAGCCTGGCCAACATGGTGAAACCCCATCTCTGCTAAAAATACAAAAATTAGCTGGGCATGGTGGCATGCGCCTGTAATCCCAGCTACTCTGGAGGCAGAGGTTGCAATGAGTTGAAATCGTGCCACTGCACTCCAGCCTGGGTGACAGAGTGAAGACTGTCTCAAAAAACAAAACAAAAACAACAAAAAAACTTGGGAGATTAACATTCCTTCTGACTTTGGTGTTTTGCAGCTGAGATGACAGTGGACATGGAAACACCAAAACAAAACAAAAAAATCTGAGCCTGGACAATGTGGTGAAACCCCATCTCCACCAAAAAATATGCAACAGGCACTCAAAAATGTCTACATAGATTGGTCATACAAGGAAACTAGAATTCAAAGTGAACTTTCCTCAGAAAAGCCAGAGTACATGAGGTTGACAATTTCAATGTTAACACACAGTTCCAGGTTATACACACTTCAGAAAAAATCTCTCAGAGCTCCTTGCTTTCCATGAGGGTACTCAATGTCACTACCATGCTAAGGTCAACCAGCTTTAGCTATAACTACCAAACCAACCAGTACGGGAGACCCTACTCGGAGATTCTCAATCAAGGTTTAAGACGCAAAGAAAAACCTTGGTATAGTCTTCAAAACCAGGATTGGCCAAGTATATGGCCTCACAACATTCTTTTAACGGTACCTTTATCCAAGTTTAAAATACACCAAACACCAGCCATGGCTTCTCTCACTGCGATTTCTAGGGACTGGGGTGCATTCAAGCCCCTCTCGCTCCTGCACAAAAGGCCAGGAATGGTGGCTCACACTTGTAATCCCAGCACTTTGGAAGGCTGAAGCTGGTGGATCACCTGCTGTCTAAGTTCTAGACCATCCTGGCCAAATATGGTGAAACCCCATCTCTACTAAAAACACAAAAAAATTGCCAGGCATCTGTAATCCTAGCTGCTTGGGAGGCTGAGGCACGAGAATCGCTCGAACCCAGGACAAAGAGGTTGCAGTGAGCCAAGATTGCGCCATTGCACTCCAGCCTGGGCAACAAGAGTGAAACTCCGTCTCCAACCAAAGAAGTCAAACGAATGTCCACAAGCATTCCTGGGTATCATAACACTTGTCCCACATGCAAGATATGATCCTGGCCCAACTGTGTACTTTCTACTAACCTGCCCAGCAAGTCTACTCACTGTCCTTTCATAGACTGCAATCTATTAAAAACACAACCTCTCTCTCCAAATTCTAGGCTAGTCTAGTGAGGGATAAATGCCCATAGCTAAGTAATCCTGGCCATCACCAACACTGCATGGCAGACCTATCTTTGCTAAGGCTGTCCAGGTTTGAATTGCCCCATGATGCAGTCATTGGCTGGGGAGAAGACTTTGAGAGCAAGTTTCCAGTTAATCTGTAGCAATCACTTTGCGATGATTACATTTTACTTTGCTAACAGGGACCTTATTTTACTGCCCCAAATAAAAAGCCAGACATGAGGAATGTGAGCCAAAGATTTATTTCTTCATTTCTTGCATTTGAAATACTCTTCAATGACATCCTTGGCCTGAGACTCCTTGCCATAGTCCTTAAAAAAAACAAAACACGCATGCAATTTCTTGTTAATATTTAGGAATTTCACCAAGCTATTAGTATCAATTATAGTGGAGCTTCAACAATTAGCTATGTCTTATAAAAATGTTTCCCATCACTAAGATTTGTTATAGCCATTCTCAGGGACCTTAACGACTTCAATGTCCTTAAGGCTCGTAACATGGCTTTACTATTGCCAGTTTTTAAAGTATGTCTGCACAAACACAATCAGGTAAGCAGATTCATTGGCTGGCTTGTAAATTACAGCTTTTATTTTTTTCCTGAAATGCAGAAAATGCTTTAAACCTGTTGAATCAGTTTTTTCCTTTTATAAGATCCTCAACTTATTTCAATACAAGGTTTTATATGATTACCCAGCATAACCTTCATCCCTAGAATAAACGGTGACTTACCTTAACTACTACACAACTGCAACCAACCACTTTACGGGGTTTCCCCTCTCTGTCAATTTTACAAAGGCCTACCCATTCTCCTAGTTTCTTGTTGTCATCAACCTATTGGGAGAAAGGTTAAAAAAAAAAAAAATCACATTAATAGACATTAACACTACCAAAATTAAATGAAACCCAAAAGGTGGCTGTAATCAGAAGGGTGACATGGCAGTTTCCTCATGGCAGTTCAGTAGAGGGAGCCAGTTGTCATCATGTACAGCACTAAGATCACCTACAAGCCTGCTACTAATCTTTGTTGTATACCAACGTCAAAATTAGGATTCAATTCTGCAGGTATAAAATGCTTCTACCTACAATCATCTTTAAAATGGCCGACAGTATCAGGTGCACGTAATGTTTACACCTGCACAAAATGAACAGCTTGAGACTTCACAGAATTTACCCCCATATACAAGCATCACTGAACATTAGTCCCAACACAATCCTTAGCAGCCTTACCTTAATTAGGTTGATTTGGTGTTCAGCACAAAGGGCCTCCACCAACTTGACATACATAGGCTCATCACAGTTGGATGCAAGCACACAAAGATGGGCTTGGCGCCTGAAATTCAAATTACAATGAAAATGGAGCTAAAACTCAGATCCAAATCCATCATTCTTGCATTTTAGGAGGGTTATCTTTGCACTAACACTTGCGAAACATAAGCAGCCAATCCACTGAACACATAAATGCGTACAAAATTGCTTGAGTCTGAAGAACCTGCTAGGGAGCATATACATCTTCAATTAACCTACAACTGGTCTTCAGTAAAACCTCTGTCCCTGACACACTGAATTGGTGTAAGTCATTTTTAAAACTTCTGGCCAAAACCCAACCATAATAGCTTTCTTGTAAGCCAGCTTCATATACCTAAAGAAACATGTGAAAGGCCGGGCACGATGGCTCACTCCTGTAATCCCAGCACTTTGGGAAGACGAGGGGGGCAGATGACCCGAGGTCAGGAGTACCAGACCAGCCAGAGACCAACATGGCGAAACCCCGTTTCTACTGAAAGTACAAAAACTAGCTGGGCATGGTGGCGTGTGCCTGTAATTCCATCTACTCGGGAGGCAGAAGAATCGCTTGAACCTGGTAGGTAGAGGTTGCAATGAGATCGCGCCACTGCACTCCAGCCTGGGGGACAGAGCAAGACTCTTTGTCTCAAAAAAAAAAAAGAAAAAAGAAAAAAAAAAGACTGTGGCATTAATGGAACAGTTATGAAATGCCATGCAATAATGCCGAAATAGAAATACAGAAGACTCATACTAGGACCTACTAAATACATTAAACAATAATGCCGTTTCCATCGGATTGAACTGGCTAGATTACACCAAAACGAACTTGTCCTGTAAAACCTTAAAACTGCATTTAAATTCAGCTCAAGAGTAGGTTGATTTGTCAATGCCACCACCCTAAAAAACACATTAACTCGATCCATTCAAATACATTAACAAATATCCCAAATTCAAATAAATCACAGCTATTATACTACTAAATTCATCTAGGACCAAATGCTTCTGAAACCTGAGTTTGAAATTCCATTAAATTAATGCTTGTTTTGCAAACTACCAGATGTAATGTGGCTCTCCATCTCATCTATCTGCCAGATAAGTATAAGACTGACTAGCTCCACAACCTACAGGTTTGTCAGACTCTTATGTTTCACTCATAAAAGGAGTGAAGGGGTATCCGACAATTAAAGTCATCATTCAAACACTGTAGTTTTGAGTGCTTATCCCCATTCCAAACAGCAACCCACACATTTTAAGTGGGCTTTATAGATCTGAGTTCTGATACCTTTTCCTAGGTTTCCGGTAGGACGGATGCCATTCAGAACTTTTGCGCTAACACCATGAACTCCATGCCTTCTTCCCTTGGGTGGCAGTTTTGTTCCGGTTGCAAGAACCCACAGTATTGAGACTGATACACGTACTTGTCTAAGGCTTTGGCAGCTTCGCGAATTCCACGTGCTAGGCCATCGTGGATGAGGGCAGTCTTCAGAACCTCTTGTAAAGCAGTATTAACGTCCATTACACCTCCAGCAGCAATGCTTAAACGCGACACATCAGAACCATCAGTTAAAATCCTCACACCACATAAGGCCTTGCACTCAGCAAAAGCTAAGTGTACAACAGACGCGCTTACGGCGACCCGTTTGACCCAGTCCTGTTCCGCCAGCTCTAGCCCCACGCCTCAGCCGCACCCCGACCCCAACTCCAACCCCGGCCCCTGGGCTCACCCTTCCTCGGCCATGGCGGTGGGTTACGGGTGAAGTTGAATCTTGAACGCACTAAAAAACAAAAGCATTGACTTGTTAAAGAACCAGATACTCGTCACGAATCCCAGCAAGAACGCAACGAGCCACAAATTATAACCAATACACCCCCCTGCCGCCTCGCTCAACTTACCCCAAGCCTCCGCCTCCGCGCGACTCGGCGGCGGCAGGGAAAGAGGCCTCATCCGCACGCATGCCGGTATTTAAGGGTTTTTCAGGTCCCCTGTGCGCATGTGCACTCCCACCCTCGAAAGAGGTGGCTCCCGCAGTGCCGGGCCTGGGGAGTTTCTGTTTCCGGATTGAGGCGGTTCTGAGGCAAACGTACTGCGAGTTTTCTATCTCTGCCAGGCCGGTCCTTGGCGAGTGCAACAGGCACTACGCGGGCAGCTTCGCGTTGTCCTTCTTTGCGGAGGCGTGGCCCACCGAGGCCCAGGGAACTCATTCTACGGAGCGCGACAGAAGCCAAACAAGTGTGTCCGCGTGTTCTTTAAGGCACCTAGAGCCCTGTATCCCGCCGAGCGCCAGTTTTAACCCTTTCCACACCACGTTCTACTTTCCTGTTGCTTCTACAAGACCCAGCCTCCCCAGGCAGCGCACTTTGTTCCTTCGCTTCTAAGTCACCCTGAGAGACCATGTTTGTGTCGTTGTGGGTGTGATCCTCATCTTTGTCTTCATGAAACGAGAGCCTACATGCTTTCACTCTTCCAGGCTGGAGTGCAATGGCGCGATCTCAGCTTACTGCGACCTCCGGCTCCCGGTTTCAAGCGATTCTCCTGCCTCAGCCTCCCGAGTAGCCGGGATTGCAGGCGCCTGCCACCACCCTGGCTAATTTTTTGTATTTTTAGTAAAGACGGGATTTCACCATGTTGGCCAGGCTGGTCTCGAACTCCTGACCTCAGGGGATCCACCCGCCTCGGCCTCCCAAAATGCTGGGATTAGAGGCGTGACCCGCCGCCCCCGGCCGCTTTCACTATTTCTAAGCCCTTTCCCTGCGGTGTGTTGGTAAAGCGGAACCCTGCAGCCAGGGGTCAATTCTAGTTTCTAAGTATAGCGGGAGTCGCTTCTGAACGAAGTTTGTTCTGCTTTGTTTGGTTTTTAACGACGCGTTGTGCTCGGAATACACAGTTCCGCGCAACTCAGAATTCCTCAGGTGCATTTTCAACACCTACAATGTGCCTGACGCAGGGCCAGGTCCTGGGACTACAGACATGAAATATCCAGTCTTTGAGGAGTCCATTTTCTTCCAGGAAGCAATATTTTAAATTTGGAAGTGATTGGCCATTCCCCAATCCCCACTTCCAAACCAAACGCACGAAACACTACTGAATATGATCAATACTGCCTTTGTGTTTAATTTCCTCTCCTGGGTAGTCAGCCGCCAAACCAGTGAGCAATTATTAGGCGCTTGGCACGTGCCAGCGCTGTGAATCCAGTGGGCAGATACTGTTAGACTGGTGAGTGCAGCGAAAAAAACAAAAATGGGTAACGCAGTAAGAGCACCAGGGAGTTCACCAGAACAGAGACCTGCTGTAATGTTAATAAACTGATAGAGTTCAGTTTACTGATAGAGTTCAGTTTTAGATTTTCCGCTGGTTTCAGTTTCATTTTTAAAGCGTTGAAGCTGCTTCTCTGTCAGTAACTCATGCAAATGTTTATTGAGCTTTTGATTTAAAAAAAAAAAAAAAACGAGGAATTTATAAAGATGATTCATTCCTGTAGCCCTGGTTTGTTTGTGGTGGGATTAAGATTTTAGACAAAAATCAGAATACCTCAGGGCCACAGAGGAGATACAAAGTGGCAGGGGGTTAGGGAGTGGGGATGGTGTGAAAAGGTAAGAGGACCTCAGGCTTCTGGCAGCATTCGAAACAGGCTCAAAACAAAAACTAAGAGATTCCAAATCGGTGAGCATGGAAGGAGAGGAGGGTATTCTAAATGGATGAAAGTGTAGGGGCAAAGGCATGAAATCCTTCTTGCCTTTTTTGGAGGTTATAATTAACACGTTTGTATTTTTGAAAGAGAATGTGGCAAATAGTCTTTCAGCGCATTTCTCATTATCTAAAGACAGTACAGTTGATATGCTAAGCATATTAGATTCCTTCCCCAAACAAATTTTTAAGGAAGAAGCAGGGAATTTGGGAAACCTAAGTGAAAACATTCACTGCCAAACAGCATATTTATGTGGGGGGAAAATGATCAAGTGCCTTGTTAGCTAAGGCAGTTGTTCCCAGTACCAACCAGCTCAGACTTGGTTTCTATCTTTCAGCAGCTGCTAATCTGTTCTATTGACTCAGACATCGTGGATCTCTGCTTTAATGTTTCACTGCACTAAAATGTCTTTTCACACAAACCTCCCTCCTTAGAGGGAGCTACATTTTTTTTTAAGTCCTACTTATATAACCTACTTATATAACTTATATAACCTACTTATATAAGTCCTACTTATATAACCAGTTCTAACCCCCAAAATGAAGTCAGGGGGCACACTGGTGATACAGGGGTTCTTTAATATAGATTCTCCTAGTTCACTTTTTTTTTTTTTTTTTTTTTTTGAGATGGAGTTTTGTTCTTGTAGCCAAGGCAGTGTCGGGATCTTGGCTCACTGCAACCTCCACCTCCCAGGTTCAAGCGATTCTCCTGCCTCAGTCCCAAGTAGCTGGAATTACAGGTGCCCACCACTATGCCCAGCTAAGTTTTGTATTTTTAGTAGAAATGGGAGTTTCACCATGTTGGCCAGGCTAGTCTGGAACACCTGACCTTGGTTGATCCGCCCACCTTGGACTCCCGAAGTGCTGGGATTACAGGTGTGAGCCACTGCGCCCAGCCTCCTAGTTCACATTTTTAAGGTTACCTCCTCTCAATTTCAGAGACTGGTAAAGGTGGAAGACAATACTACATAGAGGATAGTGGTTGGTCACTCATACCAGCAGAGTATAACACATGTGCACAAATATGAGTCTGACACACATATGAAAACTAAATGTATTCTGAAGTTTGTTTTAGGAACAATACTGATAATAACAGGCAATTTGTTTCACTTTTTCTATATGCCAGATAAAGCGCTAAATTCTTTCAGGCATTTTTCCCCTTTATTGTTATGGAGACCCTATCTGGTAGTGATGGTATTAGCCCACTTTAACAGGTCAGGAAGCCAAGGCTTAGGTAGCCCAAGATCACACAGCTAATAAATGTGGAAGCTGGTATTTAAGCTCAGTGGACTTCAAAGCCTGTGCTCCTAACCCTTCGGTCATTTGAATGATTGCCAGAATGTGGAAAGGAGATTGCCGAGAATTCAAGAATGACTCTCTACGTCTCTGGTTTGGCAATAGTACAGCTAGTTCTATCCCACTGTGCTAAAAACTATATAGATGGAGGAAGGGAATATTGCTGTTAGGCAGAAAAATTTGCATTTGGATTTAGAAATTTGGATTTCTGAATTATCTAAGTGTAGATGTGTAGTTTGCTAGGGCTGCCATAGCAAAGTACCACAAACTGGGTGGCTTAACCAACAGAAATCTATTATAATGCTGAAGGCTGGAAGTCTGAAGTCAAGGTGTTGGGAGTGTTGGTTCCTTCTGAGGGTGTGAGGAAGAATCCATTTCACACATCTTTCCTAGCTTCTGGAGGTTTGTTGGCAATCTTGGTGTTCCTTGACTTGTGTTAGCATAACTCCAATCTTCGCATGATGTTGTCCCTATGTGCATGTCTGATTTTGTGTCTGAATGTTTCCTTTTTATAAGAATATCAGCCATATTGGATTAGGGGCTCACCTGCTCCAGTAAAACCTCATCTTAACTAATTACGTCTACAACAAACCTGTTCCAAATCAGGTCTTGTTCTGAAGTGGAAGGGGTTAGGATTTCAACATGTGAATTTTGAGGGAACACAGTTCAACTCATAACAGATGACAAGGAGGAGATACAGAATGATCAAATGAAAGAAAGCATCTTTGAGATGAACTGCAAAAAAACTTACTTTGAAGACCAGAGCTGGAGACAAAAACCGGGCTGAGGCATAATAATGATTTTATATCTTGGAGTGGTCAGGAGGACCCAACTGTGCAGGGTTAAAATTCCAGCTTACTTTGCGACCTTTGGCAAGTTATTTTCTTTCTGAGCTAGTAAAATGGTGGTAATGCTATAATATTTCTGTGAGGATTAAATGAGATAGTCATTTAAAGTGTTTACCACTATGCCTGTAAAGTAATTTACCTTATAAAGAACTTCATATGAAAATACATGGAGAGTTTCTTAAATATTACCTTTCTCCTGTCCTAAACCATCCAGCACTTAGTACAGTGAATTGCATATTGGAGGCTAAACACATGTGTACTGAATGAATTCACTGAGTGAAATAAGATTAAAGAAGCCTCTTGGGGCCGGGTGCTGTGGCTCAGACTGTAATCCCAGCACTTTGGGAGGCTGAGGCAGGTGGGTCATGGGGTCAGGAGTTTGAGACCAGTCTGGCCAACATCGTGAAACCCCGTCTCTACTAAAAATACAAAAATTAGCTGAGTGTGATGGTGGGTGCCTGTAATCCCAGCTATTTGGGAGGCTGAGGCAGGAGAATCACTTGAACTCGGGAGGCGGAGGTTGCAGTGAGCCACTGCACTCCAGCCTGCGCGACAGAGCAAAACTCCACCTCAAAAAAAAAAAAAAAAAAGCCTCTTGTGTAGATGTCATACTTAAAGGAAAGCCATGTTGAGGACTACCATAATAAATTAGAATTTGTTGGGAGTTAGTTGGAAGCTTTGAGCATCCCAGAAAATCACTTTTAATTTGAAAACTTCAAGTTTCCTTACCTTTGGGGGTAGAAACTAAATACAATGGATGGAAATGAGTGATAAGAAATAGGAGAAAAAAACTAAAAAATACTATACTGCTGCAACTCAGGAACATATAGGCTTAACTCTCATTTATTATAGCATGTAGTTTTAAACATACTGAAGAAAAATTAGTCATAGCTGAAGAAAGATTTGAATAGAATCCCATTGTATCAAAGGAAGAATTAAAGGAAAAAGAGAAGTTGCAAAGAGAGAAGAAAACAGAAAATAAGAAAGCAGATGCACTAATAAGAGTGGGATAGACTAATAAAGGCTGTTGGTAGTAGCTTGTAAAGTTAACATGTTTATTAAGTGAAAACAAGGTTGTAGGGGAGAATGGGGCTAGATTATTGTATAGCTAAGTATGAAGCCTGTGCCAATAGCTTATATTTTTGGAGGTTTTGTGTAATTATCATCTAAATTTTCACAAGTCTTAGTAAGAATATATCTTCACCTGCTTGTTTTGTAGTTTTTATCTGTTCTTTTTTGTTGTTGTTGTTGTTTTCTTTAGAGACAGGGTCTTGCTATGTTGCCCAGGCTGATCTTGAACTCCACTGTGCCCAACCATCCACTTTTTTTTTTTTTATTGCTACCAGATGTTACCCACAACTCTTGGGGTACAGTAGCTGCACACTACAGGGCTGACTTAGAGTTCATGGAAACTAAACAAACATACTATGGAATATAATTAGAGATAATACTTTATAAGTATCATCCTGAGTAGCTGAGATTACAGGCGCCCGCCACCACACCTGGCCAATTTTTATAAATAAACTAATTATAAACCAACTACGCAGTATTTTTTTTTTTTTTTTGAGATGGAGTCTCGCTCTGTCGTTCATGCTGGAGTGTAGTGGCACGATCTTGGCTCACTGCAACTTCCGCCTCCCAGGTTCAAGCAATTCTCCTGCCTCAGCCTCCCGGGTAGCTGGGATTACAGGCACCCGCTACCACGCCTGTCTAATTTTTGTATTTTTAGTAGAGACAGGGTTTCTCCATGTTGGCCAGGCTGGTCTCAAACTCCTGACCTCAGGTGATCTGCCCGCCTCAGCCTCCCAAAGTGCTGGGATTACAGGCATGAGCCAACGCACCTGGCCGCTACACAATAATTTATAAATGAAATAAAGAGTAGTGGAGGGTAGAGAAAAGCTTAAATTAACATTAAATTGATTCCCTTAGGATACAAAGAGGGCTGGTGTGGGGGAGACTCCAGCCCTCTCTGCTGCTTCCCCTGCTGTTATCTGCACAACATTTCTTTTGAAAATGAGTCCTGATGTTCTAAAATGTATTTGATGCATGCAGTTCTTATTAGAGAATCATTAGAATGAAGGCAGTACCACTCCTATTCTTATAACTGAAGCTACATTAAAAAAAAGTCCTGTTTTATATTTGTAGGTTCTAATCCTACAAATGAATGCGAAGGGCAGACTGGTGATTCAAGGACTCTTTGATTTAGATTCTCCTCTCTATCATTTTCTGACTCTGCAGCCTTGGTCAAGAGATTTCCAAACTCTGGATCTGCAAAATGAAGTAGGCAATTATACGAGATACCCTTAAGCACTTTTTCAGTTTCAGCATTCTACCTCGTTATTTTCAAACAATTTTCACTGCTGGTAAATGTTGAACATCCTATGCTGTCTGCTATATTAGTTTTCTGATTTCACTTGACTTTATCCACATGACTATGAGCTGCAGTTAATGCCTGCTTCCCTCCTATGTCTCCAACTTACAGATGATATCTTTATTTGTAAATAACAGTTATTGCTTTTTAAATATTAGAACAAGTAAGCATGTTCATTGTAGAAGATTTGAATAATACTGTATCAGTGATAATTCTTTGCATGCAATGGAATGAGCTGTGGCCAACATTTAAAAAATGAATTTATTAGAAATGTACTGGATGGCTCAGAGAACAGAACAGTTTGTTTGAGCAGTCAGGTCTAGGGAATAGTAAGAATAGAACAGTTTGTTTGAGCAGTCAGGTCTAGGGAATGGTAAGAATAGAACGGTTTGTTTGAGAAGTCAGGTCTAGGGAATGGTAGGAATGGAATAGTTCCAGGGGTCTTGGTTATAGGACCTGATCAAAAGCCTCTTAAGGCAGTGCTTTATAAAATGACTATCAGAGGATTTTTCACCCAATCCATCAAAGATTATTAGTTTAATAAAATACAACAAATATTAATTACTAGGAGGTTCTGCAAGACTAACCTTCTTGCAGATAACTAATGTAACTCTGAAAATGTTACAAAACAAAACAAAAAATAACTACCTGAAGACACTGGAGAGTGACCAAAAGCAGACGGAACTAGGGGATAGGTGTGAGGACCAACACTAAGAAGAAGGAATGACACTGGATGATTTTCCATTTTTATGAGTGTTAGCACGAGGAGACCCTTAGTCAGTGCTACACGGAACAACTAATAGAGTTCCTCAGTTGTAATGCCTTAAAAAAACCAGAGAACAGAGTTCTATTAGTCAGTGTTCTCTAGAAGGACAGAACTAATGGAATATATATTATATTTTATATATATTCCATATATATAAAATATAATATATATTCTCTATATATATATATGTATATGTATATTTTTTGAGACAGAGTTTTGCTGTGTTGCCCAGGCTGGAGTGCAATGGCATGATCTTGGCTCACTGCAACCTCCGCCTCTTGGGTTCAAGCAATTCTCCTGCCTCAGCCTCCTGAGTAGCTGGGATTACAGGCATGCGCCACCACGCCTGGCTAATTTTTATATTTTTAGTAGAGACGGGGTTTCACCATGTTGGCCAGTCTGGTCTCAAACTTGTAACTTCAGGTGGTCCACACACGTCAGCCTCCCAAAGTGCTGGGATTACAGGCATGAGCCACTGCACCCGACCCATATATAAGGTGAGTTTATTAAGTATTAACTCACACAATCACAATGTCCCACAATAGGCCATCTGCAGGTTGAGGAGCAAGGAGAACCAGTCTGAGATCCAAAACTGAAGAACTTGGAGTCCGATGTTCAAGGGCAAGAAGCATCCAGCATGGGAGAAAGATATAGGCTGAGAGGCTAAGCCAGTTTCTCTTTTCACATTTTCTACCTGCTTATATTCTAGCCACACTGGCAGCTGATTAGATTGTGCCCACCCAGATTAAGGGTGGGTCTTCCTTTTCCGGCCCACTGACTCAAATGTTAATCTCCTTTGACAACACCCTCACAGACACACCCAGGATCAATACTTTGTATCCTTCAATCCAGTCAAGTTGACACTCAGTATTAACCATCACAAGAGTTCAGAATAACCATGGCACTGGAAATTGAAGAAAGGAGGGAAATCCCAGAAAGGAGAGAGCCAGAGAGGGGAAAACCAGAATTTTCCGTGTATACTCTGCCTCAATCTCTGGCTGAGCTCTGAACTACACACACATGGGGTAGCACAGTGGCTTATGCCTGTAATCCCAGCACTTTGGGAGGCTGAGGTGGGTGGATCACAATGTCAGGAGTTCAAGACCAGCCTGACCAACATGGTGAAACGCCGTCTCTACTAAAAATAAAAAAAATAGCCAGGCATGGTGGCGCATCCCTGTAATCCTAGCTACTCAGGATGCTGAGGCAGGAGAATTACTTGAACCCAGGAGGTGGACGTTGCAGTGAGCTGAGATTGTGCCATTGCGCTCCAGCCTGGGTGACAGAGCGAGACTCCATGTTAGAAAAAAGAAAAAGAAAAAAAAACCTCCAAGCAACACAGGTAAGGCTAAACAAAATGCACAGAGATTACAGCTGCTGCTTTTCCCATCACTGGAGAAACATGAAGTTTGAGTCAAGGCAGGTAAACTCTCTGCTAAATTCTTTTTTAAAATTAATATTCTTTGGAAGAATGTAACAGAATCCAGAATCTCTGCAATGTATCATTAACAATGTCTTCGATATGATCCAAAATTATGCTGTATACCAAAAAACTAGAAAACATGACTCATACTCAAGAGAAAAGGATCCCAAGATGATCATATGTTAGAAGTAGCAGACAAGAATTTTAAAGCAGCCATTAAAAATATGATTAAGAATGTAAAAAATGTTCATAATGAATGAATAAATAGGAAAAGTATAAACCATAAAAGAGTATCAAATAGATATTCGAAAACTAAAAAGTAAAATATGAGAAATAAAAAATTTACTGGAAGGGTTCAGCAATAGATTGGAGATGATGAAAGAGTCAGTAAACTTTAAATAAATCCGAAATTATCCAATAGAGAGGGAAAAAGCCAATTGAAAAAAAAATGTATAGAGCTGCAATGATCTGTTGGGCAAAATTTAAAGGTCTAACATATACTCAATTAGAATACACAAGACTAACATATAGGCAGTTGGGGTGCCAGAAGGCAACAAAATGAGGGAGGAAACAATATTTAAAGAAATAAGACTGGGCACAATGGCTCACACCTGTAATCCCAACACTTTGGGAGGCCGAGGTGGGCGGATCACCTGAAGTCAGGAGTTTGAGACCAGCCTGACTAACTTGGTTAAACTCCATCTCTACTAAAAATACAATATTAGCTGGGCATGGTGGAGCATTCTTGTAATCTCAGCTACTCAGGAGGCTGAGGCAGGAGACTCGCTTAAAACCTGGAAGGCAGAGGTTGCAGTGAGCCAAGATCATGCCATTGCACTCCAGCCTGGGCAACAAGAGTGAAATTCCATCTAGAAGAAAAGAAAAAGAAAAAGACAGAGACAGAGAGAGAGAAAGGAGAGAGAGAGAGAAAGAAAGAAAATAATGTTCAAAAGCTTCCCACATTTGGTGAAACACATAAATTCAGATTCAAGAAGCTCAGTGAACCCTGAGAAGAATAAATACACACACGTATACAACCCTAGGCATATCATAAGTGAGATATTAAAACTCAAAGTTAAAATTACAGTGGCATTTATGGGGAAAAAGACACATTACATACAGGAGACCAATAATACAAAATTCCACTAATTTCTCTCAAAAAATAGGAGCCAAATGAAAACAGAACCACATCTTGAAAGGGCTGAAAGACAACTTGCTACCCATATTTCTATATTCAATGAAAGGCTCTTCCAGAATGAAGACAAAATGATGACATTCAGAGCTAAACAAAAACTAACAGAACTCATCACCAGAAGACTCATACTTGAAGAAATGTTACAGAAAGTTACTCATGTCGAAGAAAAATGATATCAGATGGAAAATTTAGATGTTCTAGAAGGAATGAAGAACACTGAAAATGGTAAATATGTGGGTAAATTTCAGACTATTTTTCTTTTTGATTAAATAGTACATATAGCTATCTAAAGTAAAAATTATAATATTGCATGATGAACTTTGTGTCTTCATAGATATAATGCGTATGACAACTAAAGAATGAAGGATGAAGAGAGAAGAGGTGGCTGCTGGGTAAGGCCACCTGTATGAGTCTAACAGTCTGCAAGGTTCTTACATTTTCCATGAAGTGCTACAATATTAATGCTAAGTGGACAAAAAAAATTAAGAATGTGTGTATTGTAATTCCTAAGCAATGACTAAAAATAGTTGAAAGAAATATAGGTAAAATGATAACATACAAATTACAATGGAATTCCAAAATCTCTTTTTTTCTAATTAAGCCAAAATAAGGTAAAAAAAAAAAAAAAAGAAGAAGAAGAAGAAACAAATGAGTAAAAAACAGATGGGAAGATATAAAACAAATAGTAAAATGGTAGACGTAAACCCAACCCCATCAATACTTACCTTATATGTAAGTAGAGTATCTTCTCAAATTAATACATGTTAATACCAGAGGAGGGGAAGTTTTCGACTTGTTTTATGAGTGCAGAATTACTTACTACCAAAGCCTGACAAAAGAAAATAAAAAGAAATTACAGATCAACATTACTCATAAACATAGACAAAAAAAACCTCTAACAAAATATTAGCAAATTGATCCAGCAATATATAAGAAAAGAGAATACATCTTGACCAAGCAAGATTTATCTCAAGAATCCAAAGTTAACATTAGACAATTAGCATTAGACCACTGATCAGTGTAATTTATTAAATTAACAGAATAAAGAAAAAACCATGTACAATAGACGCAGAAGTACTATTTGATAAAATTTAACACAAATTCATTTTAAAATTTCTCAGCACATTGGGAATAGAAGGTAGCATCCTTAATCTTCTGAAAGGCACATGTGAAAAACCTACAGCTAACCTCATACTTTATAATGGAAGACCAAGTGTTTTTCTTGTAAGATTGGGAACAAAGTGAGGCTCTCCATTCTCACCACATTTATTCACCATTTTACTGGGCGTCCTAGTCAGTGCAATAAAATAAGTGAAAGAAACAAAAGCATACATTTCAGAAAGGAAGAAGTAAAACTCTATTCGCAGATGGCATAATTGTTTATGTAGAAAATCTAAAGGAATCTATACAACAATGACTAGAACTAATGAGGAAATTTAGCAAGATTGCAGGATACCAGATTAATATAAAAGTTCATTTACCTTTATATATAATCAGCAAATTGTTGGAAATTTAAACATAAAAATATCAATTTTAGTAGCTTCTAAAACTAAGGTATTTAGGAATAAATTTAACATGAGGCATATAATACCTACACGGTGAAAAATGTGAAAATGTTATGAAAGAAATATCTATATAATTGGAGAGATATACTATGTTCATGGATTAAAAGCTTAATAGTGATTCAATATCAGTTCTCTCCAAATTGATATATGGAGTAAAAAAAATACCAGTAAGAATTCCACCAGGTTGTTTGGAGAATATGAGAGCTAATTGTGATATTTCTCTAGAAAGTCAAAGTAACTAAAATATTCAAACCACTCTTGAAAAAGAAGAACGTACTTGGACACTTTTTACTGCCTGACTTCAAACACATTGGGTCTTGATATGCAATGGAAGCAAGTGAGTGGAAGAAGCTAGCACCACCTAAAATCTCTTCTGGTGAGAGTGGCAGCATTCTTGAGGAGTGGGGATGATGTTCTAATTACAGTGTCTCATACCTGGCTCCAGTGGTATTGGCAGCATGTGCTGGAGATGTACGTCCAGCAGGGTTGCAGTGCCATGCATACTGGACCGCTTAGGTGGTGTGACTTTAGGCACTTAGCCTCTAAGTGGTATGCATGATCCTCCTGATGATACTATGTGTTACCTAATAATCAATGATGAATTCATTTTCTGCTTAAATTAGCCAACGTTGCTTTGTTTTTTATTAGCAACAGGGAACTCTGACTGATAGAAATGCCAGGAAGAAAAATAGAAAGGTGAAAGGACAAAGGAGGACTAGGGCTGTATTTGGATAAGGGCATAAGAATGAACTTCTTAGCCGGGCGCGGTGGATCACGCCTGTAATCCCAGCACTTTGGGAGGCCGAGGCGGGAGGATCACCTGAGGTTGAGAGTTTGAGACCAGGCTGACCAACATGGAGAAACCCTGTCTCTACTAAAAATACAAAATTAACTGGGCATGGTGGCGCATGCCTGTAGTCCCAGCTACTCAGGAAGCTGAGGCAAGAGAATCGCTTGAACCTAGGAGGTGGAGGTTGTGGTGAGCCAAGATAGCACTATTGTGCTCCAGCCTGGGCAACAAGAGTGAAACTCCATCTCAAAAAAAAAAAAAAAAAAAAAAATGAATGAATTTCTTGGCCAGGTATGGTGGCTTACGGCAGTAATCCCAGCACTTTGGGGAACCAGGGCAGATGGATTGCTTGAGTCCAGGAGATTGACACCAGCCTGGGCAACATGGTGAAACCTCATCTCTATTATTAAATAAATAAATAATAAAAAAGAATGAATTTCTCTGAGGAGGTGGCATTTAAACAAAGACCATATTACTCCATTTTAGTTTGTAAAGAAACAAATATTCCATATGTGTATGAATGTCTAAATGAGCATATCAAACTATGAATAGATAATTGTGGTAGGCTGATAATGGATTCCAAAGATACGTCCACATCCTAATCCCTGGAACCTGTAAATGTTACCTTATATGAAAAAAAGGGTCTGTGCAGATGTGACTAAATTGGAGAACTTGAGATGAAGAGGTCATCCTGGATTATCCAGGTGGGCCCTAAATTCATTCAAAATATCCTTACAAGAGACTGGCAAACGAAGATTACACACAGAAAAGAAGAGGCACAGTGATCACAGAAACAGAGACTACAGTGATGTGGCACAAAATGCCAATAGTCACTAGAAGCTTCAAGGGGCAAGAAACAGACTCTTCCCTAGAGCTTCTAGAGGGAACATGATCCTGCTGACACCTTGATTTTGGCTCAGTGAAACTGATGTTGAACTTCTGGCTTTGAGGACCTTGTTTTAAGCTATCAAATTTGTGTTGATTTGTACAGCAGCCCCAGAAAACTAACACAATAATATATTTGATTATAAAACTGATTATCTGAAGGGAGAATGAGAGGTAGAGATTACAAGAGGAGCGGAGGATAGGGATATGAATAGACTTTATGTAAATTAAAAGTAGATGGACACATAAGAACATAGATTTTTTTGAGAACATAAAGAACAAGATTTGCATTAAACATGCAAGAATTATTGCAAATGGGGAGAGGAATGAGAATGGAGATACAAGGAAATAGATGGCAACAGAAATGAAACATTCAATTGGCAAGATACAGTTGGCAAGATTCAGTTGGCAAAAATTCAGATGGCAAGATACAGTTAGGGATACTTCCTATAACATGGAGGAAAAAAAAAGAAAAAATAATAACTAGCCAGGTGTGGTGGCACAGGCCTATAGTCCCACCTACTCGGGAGGCTGAGGTGGGAGGATCAGTTGAGCTCAGGAATTTGAGGTTGCAGTGAGCCATTATATGTCATGGTAGCTTGGGAAACAGAGTGAGACCCTGTCTAAAAAAAATAAAATAAAATAAAAGAGAGAAGAAAAAGAGAAATAAGTAAAAGGACCAGTTTGGGTGACCCAACATTCACATAAAGTGCAGTCCAGAAAGAAAATAAAAGAGGAAATGTAATCATCAAAGAAATCATTCAAGAAAATTTCCCTCTACAGATTGATGTTAGATTGAAGAGAAAGCATAGAGTTAAATGAGATTGGAGAAGCTGTCAGGGGTTAGATCATAAAGATTTCATAAGGCTACTTTAGGGAAACTTTGCTAGATTGGAACTTTCTTTTCTTTTCTTTTTTTTTTTTTTTTTTTTTTTTTGAGATGGAGTTTCACTCTTGTTGCCCAGGCTGGAGCACAATGGTGCTGTCTTGGCTCACCACAACCTCTGCCTCCTAGGTTCAAGCGATTCTCCTGCCTCAGCTTCCCGAGTAGCTGGGACTACAGGCATGCGCCACCATGCCCAGCTAATTTTGTATTTTTAGTAGAGACAGGGTTTCTCCATGTTGGTCAGCCTGGTCTCAAACTCTCGACCTCAGGTGATTTGCCTGCCTCGGCCTCCCAAAGTGCTAGGATTACAGGCGTGAGCCACAGCACCTGGCTTAGAGTGGAACTTTCTGTTCAGAGTGGTTCTCTAGGTTCTCCTTTACAACTTGCCCACTGGGGAATTTTTTTTTTTTTTTTTTTGAGATGGAGTCTCGCTCGGTTGCCCAGGCTGGAGTGCAATGGCATGATCTCTGCTCACTGCAACCTCCGAGTCCCAGGTTCAAGCGATTCTCCTGCCTCAGTCTCCTGAGTAGCTGGGTGCCATCATGCCCAGCTAATTTTTGTATTTTTGTAGAGACGGGGTTTCACCGTGTTGGTCAGGCAGGTCTCGAACTTCTGACCTCGTGACCCGCCCACCTCGGCCTCCCAAAGTGCTGGGATTACAGGCGTGAGCCACCGCGCCCGGCCCTCACTGGGGAGTTTTTACATAACCTTCAAGAACCAAGGTAACATCACTTCCTCAGGAAGTCATCCAGGACCCATTTGCCAAAGTAAATGGTTCTTCCAATATGTTTGTATACAACCGATTGCATTATAGTAGATTATTAATTAGTGTGAATTTCATCTGCTAGAAGGTGTGCTACTTGAGGGCAGAGTCTGGATGGGGCTCATTCCTCTTTAAATTCATAATGCCTGGCACAAAGTGGTAACTCAGTCTTTTGTTTTGCTTTGGCTTCAAAACAAGAATTTCCCAGTCCTTAAACTTTATTTATTTATTTGAGACAGAGTTTCGCTTTTTCACCCAGGCTGGAATGAGGTGGCACAGTAATTACAAACTTACTATCAGCCATACTGTGTACTGGAACTGACCTTGTACAGTGGATCTGAGGCAGATTCTCAGTCGATAAAGCTACCCTCACACAATTCTTTTGGATCTTGGCTCACTGTAACCTCCGCCTCCCAGGTTCAAACGATTCTCCTGCCTCAGCCTCCCTAGTAGCTGGGATTACAGGTGCCTGCCACCACGCCTGGCTGATTTTTTTGTATTTTTATAGTAGAGACAGGGTTTCACCATGTTGGCCGGGCTGGTCTAGAACTCCTGACCTCAGGTGAGCTGCCCACCTCGGCCTCCCAAACTGCTGGGATTACAGGCATGAGCCACCGTGTCCAGCCAGTCCTCGAGCTTTAACACTTCCCAAATAGTAAATACGGTGAAAATAAGTGAAACCTATTTTTTATGCAAGAAAACTGTGAGTGTGAGAGTAAGGTAGCAGCCATCATGTTCATGTGCTAACTACTAACACACTTTATCGCCAATGCTCACAGCCGCCCTACGAGATAAACATTATAATCTCAGTTGTACAGGTAGAGAAACTGACCTTGTCATCCAAAGTTACACACTGCCAGCAAGTGCCCTGGCTTGAATCCCTGGCACCTGCCTCCAGAGGTCGCACTCCTAGCCACTTCGCCATGCTTCCTCGATATTCATTAGTATTCTTGCAAATATTTTTCGACTCCAGGTGCTTCACATAGGTTAATTCATTTCCGGTTCAATAGTGTCTGGCTTCAGTAATTACGAACACTACCGCATTTACCCACTGTGAAAAATAATTCACTCTTTCAAAGTTCCTGTATAACCTAATTTTCTAATTCACTTTTGTGTCTTTCAGTTGAGGTACTCCCTGCCTTTTCTGTGTCTACATAAGCTTCCTTTCTTTCGTTTCGTAGGAATAAATTGAACTTATTTTAAGATTGAGGGGGGTACAGCTGTATGGAATATAGACTCATCTTTTTTCACTCTCTGTCACAGAATGAAAAAGGACACCATGATATAGCAGCTGAGGTGGTGGATTAAGATAATGAGGCGGGGGGGGGGCGCAAAACAAAAAAAAAAGGAGCCTTGCTCCACCCCTGCCCCGCCCCCGGCCTCCTCCCGGGGACCCAGAGTCCTGGAAGGCTTTGGGGAGCTCCGGGCCGGGCGGATCGCTGCCTGCAGGGAGTCGGGGATGCCAGGTTCCAGCTGAGCAGCGGCCGCCCGCCAGAGTGCCAGTGGCTCCTTGGAGGTCGAGTCCAAGGACGTGGCTTGAAGCCGGGAGCTGGGGCGCCGGAGTCCACGCACCGGGGATGGAGGCGCTGGGTGACCTGGAGGGACCACGCGCACCAGGAGGTGACCATGAATTGCGTGGCCGGGAGCCCGGAGACCAGCGGCGGCTTCCGGCGTGTCTCTTTAGCAACGATTGAATTGCTTATAGCTTGATCTGTTTCCGAGAGATTGGAAAAGGCTGGGGCCTGATCGTGGGGTTCGGGCCAGCGTTTCTTTTCTCTCTGGACGGGGTAAAGTTCCAGGATTGGATATGTGTCACGGTTTCTAATGACTTTCTAACCTATACCTCTGCTTTTTAAGTACTGTGTGTTTAATGCATTCAAATAAGTATGCCATTAGGCAAATGTAAAACGTTACCTTTCAAGTACCCATTGTTGTTGCCTTTCTTTTTAACTTTCATTTCCCTTTCTCATCTACTACAAACATTTTACAAAGATTCGTAAGACTTCCTCATGTTGCACTGATTTTTTTTTTCCTTCTGGACTGCAATGGCAACCTCTGACAAATAGAGCAAAGCAAATGTATTTCTCTTAAGTTTTTCCTAAAAACAATTTAATTTATAAATGGCTGATGGATTTGCTTGGATATTTGGAACTCAGTAATTGATTTCGTGTTTTTAAATGACAATTTAGCCCTGGAAATAAGTGTTAAATTAACTGATGTAAAAGACCAGTAATTAGGGTAAAAAAAAAGTATTTATTTATGAATTTGTGGGACTTGTCTATCCAGAAGCATACCGCTGTAAATATTAATTCACCAGCTGAATGATTTAGCTTGTTTTCTCCTACTTACACTTCATTTGACTTCAATACTGCCTTAGAAATCTTTGTTTTTTGTTTTTGTTTTTGTTTTTGTTTGTTTGTTTTGTTTTGCTTTTTTGAGACGGAGTCTCTCTCTGTAGCCCAGGCTGGAGTGCAGTGGTGCGATCTTGGCTCACTGCAAGCTCCGCCTCCCGGGTTCACGCCATTCTCCTGCCTCAGCCTCCCGAGTAGCTGGGATACAGGGGCCCGCCACCACGCCCGGCTAATTTTTTGTATTTTTAGTAGAGACGGGGTTTCACCGTGTTAGCCAGGATGGTCTCGATCTCCTGACCTCGTGATCCGCCTGCCTCGGCCTCCCAAAGTTCTGGGATTACAGGCGTGAGCCACCGTGCCCAGCCGAAAGCAGTACGTTTTCAAAACGGCAGTAATGTACAAGGATTGTGTTCCATTTGATCAAATGTGCTATATTCAAAATAGCCCTAAGCTTAGCAAATGATATCTTCAGAGTGCAACATATGTGCACAGAAATCACATTTGTGTACTTTAATCAGTAGTCTCAATTATATGCCTAATTGCTGCATGTTTGCATTCAAGGTGATGATCCTGCAGGAAGTGCAGGAGAGACCCCCGGGTGGCTTTCGAGAGAACAGGTTTTTGTACTGATATCGGCAGCTTCGGTGAACTTAGGTTCCATGATGTGCTATTCTATACTTGGACCGTTTTTCCCCAAAGAGGTAAGACATTTTTAAATCCTTAGGACCTCTGTTTTTTTGTTTGTTTGTTTTTTAAAAGCCTTTTGAATTATTTTATTTTATAGTATATAAAATGTAAAAATCTGCATATAGGACAGATGGTGTATAGAACTCCAGCCAATAGAATACTTCTTATAGAATGCCTGATACCAGGAAAAAAAATCCAGTCAAAAAGAACATCTTCTTGGGAGGTAATTCACCTAAAAGTAGTTGATCTTCTGAGAATTACTTTTCTTACCATGTAGTCTGATTAATCTTTATTTGGTTTCTGCAACTGAAACAAAGGAGTGCACTGAATAACTGAGATTCAAATGTTACTGCAATAGGTCTGTGTTAAGACAGTAACTATTTTCTCGAGGTTTTATTCACATTTTAGAATTAGGACGTTTTGATTCCCGACCCCCCTTCCTTTTTTTTTTTTTTTTTTTTTTCCTTTCGAGACAGGGTTTCGCTCTTGTTGCCCAGGCTGGAGTGCAATGTTGTGATCTTGGCTCACTGCAACCTCTGCCTCCCGGGTTCAATTGATTCTCCTGCCTCAGCCTCCCGAGTAGCTGGGATTACAGGCGCCTACCACCACGTCCGGGTAATTTTTTTTTTTTTTTTTTTTTTGAGATGGAGTCTCGCACTCTCGCCCAGGCTGGAGTGCAGTGGCGCGATCTCGGCTCACTGCAAGCTCCGCCTCCTGAGTTCACGCCATTCTCCTGCCTCAGCCTCCCAAGTAGCTGGGACTACAGGTACCCGCCACTACGCCCAGCTAATTTTTTTTTTTGTATTGTTTTAGTAGAGACGGGGTTTCACCGTGTTAGCCAGGATGGTCTCCATCTCCTGACCTCATGATCTGCCCGCCTCCGCCTCCCGAAGTGCTGGGATTACAGGCGTGAGTCACCGTGCCCGGCCGAATTTTTGTATTTTTAGTAGAGACAGGTTTTTGCCATGTTGGGCAGTCTGGCTTCGATCTCCTGACCTCAGGTGATCTGCTTACCTTGGCCTCCCAAAGTGCTGGGATAACAGGCGTGAGCCACCACGCCCAGCCCCGGCCCCGCTCCATATTCCCTCTTTTGACTTTAATTTCTTATGGACTCTAGCGCCAATGTTTATGCAAGGGAGGAATTCTGATTAATAGGGCCTATTCCTTCTAGGCATAGCCTTTTATATGGTGTTAAGATTTATAGCTAATGACACAGATTCAAAGATAATAATCCCTAGAAAGTCCAACTGGATTCTAGACGTCAATAGGATATAGTATGAAATGAATATGACTGGCTTGGAGTGTAGACAACATATCCATGTGTTTTATTTTGTGCTTTTTGCCAAATCCTTGGCTCACAGTGCAGTGGAAGCTTGTTAGTCCTCCAACTGCCTTTTAAACATGTAGTCCTTCGTTCTGTGTGTTACAAAAGAAGATAAAGTGGCTTCTCTGCTAAAGGAACAATATTGCCATGTACCCATACAGTGCTCTCTGGCTTCTAGTACACATTACCCCTTATTTATCCATTTAATCCCCGCAACAACCTCATACAGAATCTTGAGAATCTCAGCATGTTGCAAATGAAGAAACGGTCTCAGAAGTTGTGACTTGCCCAATTCAGTTCTATTAACTAGAGGTTTAATGAGTCCCTTCTCTAGAGCAGGCTAAGCATGGGATGTGTTAGGGTAGTATAAAAAAATCAGGGAAATGGCTTTCTCTTGTCTGCCCTTTGGGAGTGAAAAAATATGGGAAAAAAAAGGTTCCAATAATTTGGATATCCCTTAAGAAAAGGATGTCCAGAATGTTATAAGACTGTTTTTTTTTTTCTTTTTTTAAATCATTTTCTTCTGGCTTCCCTCTATCCATACTAATGTTATGAGAGCCTAGAAAGAAGAATGGTTAATTCTGCCATACATGGAGTGTGGATAGCAGAAGAAAGGGCGTTACTGAAAGGAACTTTCAGGCTAAATCTAAGTTGGGGCTTTTTTTTTGAGACAGGGTTTCACTCTGTCATCGAGGCTGAAAGTACAGTGGCATGATCAGAGTTCACTGCTGCCTCAACTTCCCAGGCTCAAGAGATCCTTTCGCCTCAGCCCCCTGAGGAGCTGGGGCACAGGCATGTGCCACCACGCCTAGCTATTTTTTTCTATTTTTAGTAGAGATGGGGTTTCACCATGTTGCCCAGGCTGATGTTGAGCTCCTGAGCTCAAGCAATCCGTCCACCATGTTGGCCAGGCCTCTCAAATGCTGGGATTACAGGTGTGAGCCACCGCACCTGGCCTAAGGTGGGCCCTAAGAAGTGTTAATTCTTATGGTGAACAACAGAGATGGAGGTGTTCTAGGTATAGTCACAGGAAGAGCAGAGTGAATGGCATGTTCCTGGGGAACAACAGACAGCTTCTTGATGTGGCTTGAGCCTGGGGTGAAGTGAGGTCTAATAGGAGACAGTGGATCTGAGGAGGCAGGCCTAAGATAGAAAGGAAGGGCACTTGTCAAGGACTTAGTCAGTGGGCAGTCATCAGAGGTGTTTGAGCAAGAAAGAGCAGTCTGGCCAGACTTGGGATTTTTAAATAATAATAATAACAATAATAATGCCAGGCATGGTGGCTCACGCCTGTAATCCCAGCACTTTGGGAGGCTGAGGTGGGAGGATCACCTGAGGTCAGGAGTTTGAGACCAGCCTGGCCAACATGGTGAAACCCTGTCTGTACTAAAAATACAAAAATTAGCCAGGCATGGTGGCACGTGACTGTAGTCCCAGCTACTCAGGAGGCTGAGACAGGAGAATTGCTTGAACCCAGGAGGTGGAGGTTGCAGTGAGCCGAGATCGCCCCACTGCACTCTAGCCTGGGCAACAGAGTGAGACTCCATCTCAAAAAAAAAAAAAATTAAAAAAAAAATAATAAGAGCCTGTGGAATTGAGATGGAGAAGAATTGGAGTGAGTGAATCAACCAGTGAGAAGGGCATTTCCTAGCTCAGCTGGAACTCAGTGAGTGCAACTAATGTTAGTTTCCTCTAAGTGAATAGGGACAAAGGAAAACCATGCTGTGGGTGTGTGCTTTTTAAGTTTTTGATTGAGTTTTGTGCTTATAGGAAATGATGACCAAAGAAAAAAGTCAAGCTTTTAAAGAATTAAAGTTCATTTTATTCAGAAGTCTTACCGAGGACTATAGGCTGAGTATTTCAGTTCACAGTTCATGTACAGGTAGTAGAGACTCAGTACATGCACGGTCACATCAAAGTTTGGGTGTAAGAGTACATCTGGTTATAGATTATGAATGTACCTTTGGTAATAGTTTATAAACGCATAATCACAACCCTGTTAGATGTTATCTTATGTGTAGGAAAAGGCAAAGCTGGGGCATTTATCATTTAAGGAATGTAATAGCTCAGGCAAGAGATGTGGGGGACCATGTGCTCTATCCTGCTCTGTCTTCAACTCATCCCTCCCAAGAGTTGCATGTTGTCACAGAGTCAGGGGTTTTATGACATTATGCTGGCAAGCAGAAGTGAGCAAAATGTGACTTCTTACATTTGCTACTTTTGTCTCGCCTCGCAGAGGGAAGGCTGAAAGAAAGGAGATAGAGGCAGGAGAGAGAACATTCTAACTTTAAAAGCTGTAAATATGAAGAGAAGGCTTTGATTTTTCATTTCTGATTAAAATCTTGTGGTCAACAAATGCATTGGTGAAGCCTCACCCTTCCTCCTGCATGTTCTGTCATTTTTCTTATTAGCTAAGCTAACTGGGCAAAGGAAAAACAGTGCCTTTCTTAAATTATGGTGTGGGATTCCTACTTCTATTCATCATTTTTCTTGCCACACTCATCTTTTGTCAGAGGACCAGAAATTGCTTATTTATTTATTTATTTATTGAGACAGAGCCTCGTTCCATCATGCCCAGGCTGGAGTGCTGCGGCATCGTCTCAGCTTACTGCAACCTCCGCCTCCTGAGTTCAAACAATTCTCCCGCCTCAGTCTCCCAAGTAGCTGGGATTACAGGCGCGCATCACCACACCCAGCTAATTTTTTTGTATTTTTAGTAGAGACGGGGTTTCACCATATTGGCCAGGCTGGTCTCGAACTCCTGACCTCAGGTGATCCACTCGCCTTGGCCTCCTAAATTGCTGGAATTACAGGAGTGAGCCACTGTGCCCGGCCTAGAAATTGCTTTTAATAGCTGTTTTTGCTTTCCTAATGTGAAGCAGGATCCATGTTCCAAAAATGACATTCGGCTGCTGCTGTAGCATGTGGTTCTAGCACATCCTGTGTCAGCATTCCATTTCCACAGCGAATATGGGAACATGCACATGATGGAAACTGTAGTGGCTCATGACCTGTAACCTTTGCAAGTTCCTGTCCTCATCTATAAATGAGGCCAGCTAAAAATGTATCCTTTATTTAATTTAATTGTTGTTAGATACCATGTAAAACGGCACTTAATAAAGAGATTCTGGCTCATAATGAGGGTCTAATAAGTATTAATTGCTATAGGCATTATATATTTTCTGCTAGATTCTAAATTAAATACTTATCAGAACTATTAAGCAAAGAACATTGATAATGCAACTTGACTAATGAATGTCCTTCCTTCCTTCCTTCTTTCCTTCTTTCTCTTTCTTTCCTTCTTTTCTTTCTTTCCCTTCCTTCCTTCCTTCCTTCCTTCCTTCCTTCCTTCCTTCCTTCCTTCCTTCCTTCCTTCCTTCCTTTCTTCCTTTCTTTCTTTCTTTCTTTCTTTCTTTCTTTCTTTCTTTCTTTCTTTCTTTCTTTCTGACAGTGTCTTGCTCTGTCACCCAGGCTGGAGTGCAGTAGCACAATCTTGGCTCACTGCAACCTCTGACTCCTGGGTTCAAGTGATTGTCCTGCCTCAGTCTCCTGAGTAGCTGGGATTACAGGCACGTGCCACCACACCTGGCTAATTTTTGTATTTTTAGTAGAGACGGGGTTTTGCCATGTTGGCCAGGCTGGTCTCAAACTCCTGACCTCAAGTGATCCTCCCACCTGAGCTTCCTAAAGTGCTGGGATTACAGGCGTGAGCCCCCATGCCCGGCACGCATATTTTTCTTATGCGTTAATTGACTCCTTTCACAATACTTTCTTTTTGAGGAACCTGACCCGTGTGTAGTAGAAATGTAGACCTCATGTTCCAGTTGACATACAGCATAACCATTTGTCACAGTGCCATTAAAGGTATTTTAATGAACTCTCTCTTGTATCCACACCATTATTTCCTGTGGTTATTAGTACATGGAAAGGGAATGGCTGGTTATGAAGCCCAAGAATTATGGGCTTAAATCGTGCCCAAGCCATTACCATGGAGCTGTGGGCCCATCCTCTCTGCCCTCACCCACCACCAAGTGCTTAGGGACATTTCTGAGGACTTTTCCTAGAGTAAGAGAGAGATCCTTCCTAAAATTTAGCTTAGAACAATAGAGTTCACTTCTCTGGCTTCCTGTGGTATGACGCTATGAGGAATGTATGGTTTATTTAAAGAAGCATAGTCTGACATGCAAAAAAAAAATCCTTGAAAAAGACAAAGATTGAATGATGATAGTATCTTTACATGGGAAGGGATGGAGAAAATTTTTATCATCAATTGTAGAGAGAAAAGATAAAGAAAGGCAATCATGGTTATAGAGAATGGATGTTGAAGAGTGCAAAAGTATGTGCGCATGTGTGCATTTCTGTATTATGAAGTTATTTGCGAAAATCCAAAGCTCTGCCAAAAGGATGGATCTAAACTGGACTCTTCTGACCATAAATATTCACTGCTGGTACAATGCCTCATATATATAAGACGGTCAATATATGACAGTTCGGGCTTTCCTTTTGTAGTATGCTAAGTTGCCAGTCCTATCTTAAAGAAATTAAACTCATATTTTGATTCCTTAAATTTCTATAGCTAGAACCTGATTTAAGGATTTGCAATAGTTCCGGGACTTGACAAAGTTTTTTAAACTTTCTATTTTTATATGTGAATGTAGTTGTGTATCACAGTAGCATTTGAAGTTCAAAAGAAGTAGATTTATGATAAATATTATCTGTAGCAAATTTTAGGAGCTCCCTGATAGAATAGGCTATAAACATTAGTAACTGTAATTGATGGATGATAAACTACCTTGGCTGTTTCAGGAGAACGTAGAATGTCAGGGGAGCATCTCTCACCTGTGTTGTTGATGACAGGATGGAAAACTGTCTTCTCCAAACTGTCAGGTAATTGGTATTACTGTCAGAAACAGAGACCTAGACTGATTGGGCCTTGGTCTGACCCATGTGCCCACTCATGGAACTTCCTATTCTTGAGTTTGAAGACTGGCCAGTGTTTTTTGTTTGTTTCCTATAAATGTGATACCCAAAAGGAAGTGTGTCTGAATCAGCTGTTTCCTCAGTCCTGTGACTATGCAATAGAGCCCAAATTTCCTTATCCAAGGCATTTTTTTTGTGTTTGTTTATACACTCTGATTCTGACTTTTGCCACATAAAGCTAACAATTCTTTATAGGTATGGTGAGTGAATTATTTTCATGTAAGAGACTATGGTTTACTATCTAAACTATTAATAGTTTCCCTTCCTTCCCCACCCCATTTATTTTAAAAGAATAATCTTTTTGAAACTGATATACAGATAAAGTTCACAAGAAGATGATGCCCTGATCTATTATTTCCATTTTTTCATATTGATCTAATTTTTCTTTGAAACTTTGTTTCCGTTTCTATTACTTAAAGGCTGAAAAGAAGGGAGCCAGCAATACAATTATCGGTATGATCTTTGGATGTTTTGCTTTGTTCGAGTTGCTGGCATCCTTGGTATTTGGAAACTATGTAAGTATAAAGTTCATATGCACATCTTAATTTTTAAAAATTATATGATGGATTATTTTCGTTTACTAGTCTAGAATTTGCATTGATACAGAAATAGCCATCGTTATAGTTTTATAAATTGTGCCAGTGTTGACAGTTCTCTCCTCAGAGTTGATTGATTTTTAACTCTTTCCATGTTTTTAAGCAATGAGTACTGTCACCATATTAAAGAATTATTATAATATATTAACTGTACATGTCTTCCCCTATCCTATATTTGCCAATACAGTGGATTTGTTTATATCAATATAGACTTTCGGAAGTCATAAATTTACCACTCTTCTTTGACATTTATTATAGCTTGTACATATTGGAGCAAAATTTATGTTTGTAGCAGGAATGTTTGTCTCAGGAGGAGTTACAATTCTCTTTGGGTAAGTCATTTTCTGATTATATTTGGGAGCTTGAACAGATTTTGTAATGTATCTTCTGTTTAAATTGTTAAATACTCTTTAAGTCAATGGTTCCATTTATTGTCTGTCAAATGCATAGCATGTGACTAATGGCAGGAGTTGAGTAAGTAGAGAACAGGGATAAATGGCATTGATTTTAAGGAAACAGGCCTCCGGGGGATCTCCGTGATGCTTGCTACTGAACCTACTCATTAGAATTCCTGTGATTGTGAGTGACAGAAACTTAACTCACTTTTCTGAGTCACGGAAACTTACTAGCTTCAGTAAAAAAGTGAATTTCTTTAATAAAGTGTCAACTCAAAAAATATCAGAATACAGATTTGAAACGATGTCACGAGAAATTTTTCTTCTTGTGATTTGAACAAGCCCTCCCCTTTAGGTGGCAAGGGGACCCCTAGCAGCTTCAGTAGAAAGTGCCAGTTTCCTAATAGTTCCTATTAGAGTCACAGAATGAAGCCCCGCTGGCCTGACCTTTGCTGATGGCTGTAGCCATGGGGAAAGAATGTTCTGCTTGGCCAGGCCAGGTCACATGCTCAGTTCAGAGCATGGAACAAAATGGTTTCCCCCATTGCTACTTCCAGAAAAAGGAAAAATGAGTGCCAGAGGCAAAACAGATGTGAAAGTTCCAAATAATGTGGAAGAGCTTATATAAGTACATGGGGGAACATAGAGGAATACCAGTATAGTAAGATTATAATGAAGTAAACTGAAGAAAACTGTTATATTAAATGAAATGGGGTTAAAATTTTTTTGGAAGGGTCGTTTATTTTCTTTCTTTATTCCTTTTTTTTTTTTTTTTGAAGGTTTCAGTCTGACTACGGGAGAGATCGAAACTGGGTGCTTTCTTCTTTATAGGTCTTGTCAGAGTGATTCTACATGTTTTTTTTTTTTTTTTTCTTTTTGAGATGGAGTCTCACTCTATTGCCCAGGCTGGTGTGCAGTGGTGTGATCTCGCCTCACTGCAACCTCCACCTCCCAGGTTCAAGCCACTCTCTTGCCTCAACCTTCCAAATAGCTGGCATTACAGGGGCTCACCACCATGCTTAGCTAATTTTTGCACTTTTTTAGTAGAGATGGGATTTCGCCATGTTGGCCAGGCTGGTCTCGAACTCCTGACCTCAGGGGATACACCCACCTCAGCCTTCCAAAGTGCTAGAATTACAGGCGTGAGCCACCACACTCGGCTGATTCTACATATTCTAAAAAGGTTTATTTAGTACTATCATCTGGGGGACCAGTTATATCAGCAGAAAAGGGCAACTAAGCTGTCATTATGACTCAAATTGTTATCAAAAAAAGAAAAAGGTTAATTTCCTCCTACTGAAAAGACAACAAAGCAACTCTTTTAAAAAAAATCATATTCTAAAGCAATTTATTATAAAAATTATGGGTGAGGTACTATTCTTTTTAGTGAGTACAGTTAAAAAGGAAAAAAAAGAAAACAAGCTTGGCATTTGAGAATTGTCTTATTCCTTTTTAGTGTATTGGACCAAGTTACAGATGGGCCAGTATTTATTGCTATGTGTTTTCTTTTTCTTTTTTTTTTTTTCTTTTTCTTTTTTTTGAGACAGAGTCTCACTCTGTCGCCCAGGCTGGAGTGCAGTGGCACGATCTCGGCTCACTGCAAACTGCGCCGCCCAGGTTCATGCCATTCTCCTGCCTCAGCCTCCCGAGTAGCTGGAACTACAGGTGGCCACCACCACACCTGGCTAATTTTTTGTATTTTTAGTAGAGACGGGGTTTCACCGTGTTGGCCAGGATGGTCTCGATCTCCTGACTTCGTGATTTGCCTGCCTCAGCCTCCCAAAGTGCTGGGATTACAGGCGTGAGCCACTGCGCCCAGCTGATTCTACATATTCCAAAAAAGTTTATTTAGTGCTATTATCTGGGGGACCAGTTATATCAGCAGAAAAGGGCGACTAAGCTGTCATTATGACTCAAATGGTTACCAAAAAAAGAAAAAGGGTAATTTCCTCCTCCTGAAAAGACAACAAAGCAACTCTTTTAAAAAAATCATATTCTAAAGCGGTTTATTCTAAAAACCATGAGTGAGGTACTATTCTTTTTAGTGAGTACAGTTAAAAAGGAAAAAAAAAAAAAGAAAACCAGCTTGGCATTTCAGAATTGTCTTATTCCTTTTTAGTGTATTGGACCGAGTTCCAGATGGGCCAGTATTTATTGCTATGTGTTTTCTAGTGAGAGTAATGGATGCAGTTAGCTTTGCTGCAGCAATGACTGCATCTTCTTCTATCCTGGCAAAGGCTTTTCCAAATAACGTGGCTACGGTATTGGTATGTATTTTAGAAGTATTTCCCACTTTCCTTTGAGTGTAGGCCAAAATATTTGCCCTTCCAAGTTAAAGCTGGGGTCCATTCTTCTATACTTGCATTTCTCTACTCTCTGTATTATTGTTGCCTTTCACCCCGAGTTTGACTAGCAGCAAGCCTGTCAATAAATGTAACATTGGTTTCACTTAGGTGCTCTTCCTGGTTTTAGAATTCCCTGAATGGGCAGTTTGACAGGTAAATGTGGTCCAAATCAGTCGTTCTTTTTACCACTTAAAAAAAAAATTTTCCTTTGTAGTTTTTTTGCTGTCTCCCCGTAGCCTAGATTGTGGCTGAGCTGCCTGAAGCATTCCTCTGCTTTAGAAAAGAGTTATCCCTAGTGGCAAAATAATCAATTCATACTAAAGGCCTTCTTCCACTTTCCCCAGATTTATGCACGGGATCTTAGAAATCATCTCAAAGTCCTTAAGTGTTTCTGTGCTGTCTGTCTGAGGAGTGCTTTTGCATTTTGACATAAAAATCCAGATCCTGGTGGCATGATATTGACATGCGTTTTTGTGTACTGCCTAGATGCGTATAGACCTGGTATTAGTGACATATCAGATTCTCATCCCATCTCTAGGCAGCTGCCTCTCTGATCCCCAAGAAGGCTTTCCCCTCGTAGCTCTCTCTCTCTCTCTGGGCCCACGCACTTCATATCATAGTCGGTATGGCGCCCTTATAGCATGTAATTGTTCTCTTAGACTTCAGAGTCTAATCAGCTTAGTACCGAGGACTCCCTCATTTACTCATGTAACAATGTAGTTTGAAAATTTTTACCATCAGATAAACCCTTTGTGGTGTAAATAGTCCTTCCCCCCAACCTTTTTTTTTTTTTTTTTTTTGGAGTGGGGGATGGAGTCTCGCTCCGTAGCCCAGGCTGGAGTGCAGTGGAGCGATCTCGGCTCACTGCAAGCTCCGCCTCCCGGGTTCACGCTATTCTCTTGCCTCAGCCTCCCGAGTAGCTGGGACTACAGGCGCCCGCCACCACACCCGGCTACATTTTTTTTTGTATTTTTAGTAGAGACGGGGTTTCGCCATGTTAGCCAGGATGGTCTCGATCTCCTGACCTCGTGATCCACCTGCCTCAGCCTCCCAAAGTGCTAGGATTACAGGCGTGAGCCACCGTGCCCGGCACGTTCTTCCCACTTTTTATTAAGCATTTATGTATATAGCTGGATAGGTTTATGGTAGGTTCTATTGCCATTTGGCCGGCATACCATTTACATTTCCAGAAAATTTATTTCTCAGAAAGGGCTCAGAAGAACACCCGTCTGTTGATATGCTCATTAAGATAAGGGTTTATGGTTAAGCAAGTTTGGAGAGGGCTGTCTGCTGTCCTCTAACTTAGAGATGCCCAGTTCACATTAATGTCTTTAGACCTTGAAAATCCTGGAGTAGGGATACTTTATTAAATGTTCCACAACTCACTTTAACTATGGAACCATTTTTTTTCTTTCTTTTCTTTTTTCTTTTTTTCTTTCTTTTTTTTTTTTTTTTTTTGTAGAGACAGGGTCTTGCTGAGTTGCCCAGGCTGGTCTTGAACACCTGGCCTCAAGCAATCCTCCCACTTTGGCCTTCCAAGGTGGCTGGGATTACAAATGTGAGCCACCACACCTGGCTGTAACTATTTTTTCAAACAAGACTTGTTGATCTCTTAAAGAGCTGGTATTCTGTGGAACACTCTGGAAAGTGCCACTTAATAAATTCCTATGATAATGGTAACAATCCATTGGATTTTCTGATCAGCAAGAGACACCAATGTTGCTGTACCAAGTTTCTGTATAAAATTGCAGCCAACAGCTAACACACTAATGTGATAATTGATCTGGATGGCTTATTGTGATTAAAGAATTTCAATGTTCTTTATGAAGTTTTGAAAGTTATTAATGGTATATTTTTGTGTACTCTATAAGGTCTAAGGATATAAGGCTGCAAGCCACAGATCTCTGTTTAAGGTCCCTAAAAACTAGATTGATTTAAAATGTTGCAATATCTATAGTGGTAAACCCTTTTTTTCCATAGCATTGTTTTGTTTAACTTTAAACAGAATAATTTTATATGGTACAAAATTCAAAAGTTACAGAAGGGAACATAGAATATAGTAAATATATTCTACATATAACAGTTGCTCAGCCTTTGTATACACATCAGTTGTGCAGGTGCCCAGCCCTCCATCCCCTTAGGGGAAGGCAACAGATATTGCAGGTTTCTTGCAGAGAAATTCCACATATATATATGTACACACTGACACACACACACACACACACACACACACACACTGAGAGAGAGAGAGAGCACGAGAACAAGAGAGCATGATTTCCCTCCCCCTTTTTTCTTTTCCTTTTTTTTTTTTTTAACTGGACAGGACTATTGCAGTATCCCTCTTTTTTCTTTACACAAATGGTAGCAATACCATATGTACCATTCAGCACCTCACTGGTTACACCAACAATGAAATCATCTTGGAGATCTTCCTGTACCTACATATAAGGAGCTTTCTTACTCTTTACTGTTCTTACTGTCTGTATAGTATTTCACTGCGTGGATATAACCTGGTTTACTTACATCGTTGATGAATATTTAGATTATTTTCATCTTTTGCTATTGCAAAACTCTGCTATAGCACATAAGCTTGTATACATACCATGTCATATCTGCATGTCTAAACTTGTAAGTTAAATTCTTAGAAGTGGAATTCTGGGTCATAAGGTATGTGCCTCAATTTGCCAAATTGCCAAATTGCCAAATTGCCTACCGGTGTTCACTCACTAGCATAGAGTGTTCGATAGAGATAGGTGAAAATTGGTATCTTGTGGTTCAAATTTGCTCATTTCTTTTAAAAAGTGAGGGTGAACTTCTAAAAGATCTTTGTATTCCATCTATATGTCAATAATTTATAGCATTTGCCCATTTTTCTATGGGTTGTTTATCTTTTCCTCATTGTAGCTCTCATGATGTATTTGGGGAATTAGTTCTTTGTCATTTTTTTCTCTGTTCTTCATTTATCTTTTGATTTTTTTATGCATAGTTTTCGTATTTTCATGTAATCAGATTTGTCAATCTTTTTTATCTTCTGTGTTTTATGTCACAATTAGAATACCTTCCTTACAATAACAATTTTTTTAAAACTCCCATATTTTATTTTTCTAATATTTTTATGATTTCAATATGTGCATTTAAATTTTGGGGCCATCTTGGGAGTGTGTGTATGTAAATTATGAAGAAGATAGAAATTTTTTTAAAGATAGTACCATGTTAATTCTTCAAATGAAATATTTAAACTGATTTTTTCTTTTTCTCATTTTAAGGGAAGTCTTGAGACTTTTTCTGGACTGGGGCTAATACTAGGTCCTCCTGTAGGTGGCTTTTTGTATCAATCCTTTGGCTATGAAGTGCCTTTTATTGTTCTGGGATGCGTCGTTTTGCTGATGGTACCACTCAATATGTATATTTTACCCAATTACGGTAAGTCCACACTTATTACTCATTTTAAGAACCTTAAATATATTTTTATACCTTTGTAAGAGACCAGTTTTACCAGTTATTATTTTATATAATCAAAAATAGCTTTTAAAAATAACTGATTCTTTTTTCAGTAATGTAGGCAATTAGTTTATATGAATTTCTGTAAATTACAAATTCTTTCCAACCTTTAGAGCTAGCAAATATTTAATTTCTGATCATAAACCATTACCATACGCTATGTCTATGAGAGGTTTTCTTGGACTGAACTAAATATCAAAACCAGAAGTTTCTGTGGGCCACATATGGCCCAGTCTTCCTAGAAGGCTATAAGCTAGGAGAACAATGCCCATCCTTCTCTCCCAGTGGTCCTTGCAGCTGTCCTCACAGCGTAGCTCAGATACAAGGACGTAGATTCAGGTGTTCTCATTGAGTAGTGCTTTTAAAAAATTATAAACTGGGCCAGACACAGTGGCTCATGCCTGTAATCACAGAGCTTTGGGATGCTGAGGCTGGCGGATCACTTGAGGCCAGGAGTTCAAGACCAGCCTGCCAACATGGTGAAACCCTGTGTCTACTAAAAATATAAAAATTAGCTGGGCATGGTGGTGCACACCTGTAGTCCAAGCTACTCAGAAGGCTGAGGCATGAGAATTGCTTGAACCCAGGAGGTGGAGGTTGCAGTGAGCTGAGATCGCACCATTGCACTCCAGCCTGGGTGATAGAGCGAGACTCTTCCACCCCCTCAAAAAATTATAAACTGGTATTTAAAAAAAAATCTCTAGGATTGATAATATTAAGGCTGTAAATGTAGATTTAAGTATTCCCAATTAGTAGTATTTTTAAAAATTGTTATTATTTCGCTAGGCGCAGTGGCTAATCTCTGTAATCCCAGCACTTTGGGAGGCCGAGGCGGGCAGATCACCTGAGGTCAGGAGTTTGAGACCGGCCTGACCAACATGGTGAAACCCCATCTCTACTAAAAATACAAAAATTAGCCAGGCATGGTGGTATGTACCTATACTCCCAGCTACTCAGGAGGCTGAGACAGGAGAATTGTTTGAACCTAGGAGGCGGAGGTTGCAGTGAGCCAAGATCATGCCACTGCGCTCCAGCCTGGACAACAAAGTGAGACTCCATCTCAAAAAAAAAAAAAAATTGTTATTATTTTAGAAGAGTTTATAGCTAGATGCTAGAAAATCAAATAAATTTTAAAAATTACTGATATTGGCAGAATTTTTTATTTTATAAGTTCTACCCATTTCTTTACCACCTTTTAGACCCATAGACAATATGGCTTTAGCATTAGGTGGCTAAGAGTCATTCATTATATCTGCTCACCAAGTCCCCTCTCCTGTACTGCTCTAAAAAAAAAAGCTTCTAAAATAGAGTCATGGACATGTCAATTATCTTATTAAAATCTTTAAATCCAGTAAGTTCAGGAGATCTATTGTACATCATAGTGACTATAGTTAATAACAACATATTGGACACTTGAAAATTGCCAATAGTAGATTTTAAGTGTTCTCACCATAAAAAAATAAGTATGTGAGGCAAAGCATGTGTTAATTAGCTTGATTTACTTATTCTACAATGTATACACATATCAAAATATAATGTTTTATACCATAAATATAGGCAATTTTTACTTGTTATTTTTTAAATAAAAAATTCATAAATCCATGAAATGTGAATGTTATCCTGAAAGCCACTGGGAGCTATTGTTAGAATTTTTTTTTTTTTTTTTTGAAACAGAGTCTCACTCTGTCACCCCGGCTGGAGTGCAGTGGTGTGATCTTGGCTCACTGTAACCTCCGCCTCCCAGGATCAAGCAATTCTCATGCTTCAGCCTCCCGAGTAGCTGGGAGTACAGGTGCATGCCACCACACCTGAGTACTTTTTCTATTTTTAGTAGAGACAGAGTTTCACCATGTTGGCCAGTCTGGTCTCGAACTCCTGACCTAAAGTGATCCTCCCACCTTGGTTTCCCAAAGTGCTGCGATTACAGGTGTGAGCCACTGCACCTGGCCTATTGTTAGATTTAAGTAGAGGAGTCATATGATCTGGAATATCTTTCTTTCACTCTACCTAACCCTTACTCATCCTGCAAAACTTGATTTTATTACCTTTTCTGGGAGGTTTTTCTTTTTCTTTTCTTTTCTTTTCTTTTTTTTTTTTAAAGACAGAGTCTTGCTCTGTCGCCCAGGCTGGAATACAGTGGCGTGATCTTGGCTCATTGCAACCTCCGCCTCCCGGGTTCAAGCAATTCTCCTGCCTCAGCCTCCCGAGTAGGTGGGATTACAGGCCTGCGCCACCACACCTGGCTGATTTTTGTATTTTTAGTAGAGACAGCGTTTCACTATGTTGGCCAGGCTGGTCTCGAACTCCTACCCTCGTGATCCACCCATTTTGGCCCCCCAGAGTTCTGGGATTACAGATGTGAGCCACCGTGCCCGGCCCTTTTCTGGGGAGTTTTTCTAAACCTTCTCGATCACTGGACTAGATTTTGTGTAAGTAGTGCCATAGTGGTCAGTATTTTTCCTGTCCCCTCACACCTGAGGACAACCCCACCCCCCCATCTCTAACAGTAACTTCCTGTGCAGGCTTTGTCAGCCAGGGAGTCATGTCCCTTCAAGCAAATACCCCAAGTTTTCATTACTTGGTCTTCAACAGCTTAATTATACTAATTATGTTTCATTTTCATGGATGTTTTAATATATTCTCATTATGACAACTTTTCTCACCCTGGATTTTAGGAAAAGGGACTATTGTGCAATAATGATTTATTTCTTACCGTAAATACATAATACTTCTTACTTTCACAATAAATGTAACCAATTAAAATTAGAATCTTTTATAATTTATATTTTAAAAGTAACTAACATCCTTAGTATATACAATTCAAAAATCATACCAACTTGTCTCCCTGCTGGCAATACCTCACTGAGCCACACAGTGGTGTTTCTCCTCTTTCTAAGTCCAACTACATCCTGCAGTTTCTGTAGTTGAGCATCAAGGATGTGCTCAGATTTATTTCACCATTGAATACTTGGCTTATAATTAAGAAACTAACACCTACCAGGGGTGGTGGCTCATGCCTGTAATCTCAGCACTTTGGGAGGCCAAGGCAGGTGGATCACGAGGTCAGGAGTTCAAGACCAGCCTGACCAACATGGTGAAACCCCGTCTCTACTAAAAATACAAAAATTAGCTGGGTGTGGTTGCGTGTGCCTGTAATCCCAGCTACTCGGGAGGCTGAGGCAGGAGAATCGCTTGAGCCCAGGAGGTGGAGGTTGCAGTGAGCTGAGATCGCACCACTGCACTCCAAAAAAAAAACTACTGTCTCAAAAAAAAAAAAAAAAAAAAAAAACTAACACCACGGTTTAACTTTTATCTCTTATATCCTGAAAAAATCTAAGGATAACACTTAAAATAGCTGAACCACACTGCATGATGTTTATATTTGGTCATGATTCAACAAGTATTTACAGAATAATGAACTGTGCAGGATGTAGTAGGAGAAATGGGGATGAATGAGGGCCATCATGGCCATCAAATAGCTTCCACATCCATAAGTGGGAGGCTGAGGTGGGAGGATCGCTTTAGGCCAAAAATTTGAGACCAGCCTGGGCAACATAGGGAGACCCCATCTCTAAAAAATTTTTAAATTAGCTAGGTGAGGTAGTGCACACCTGTAGTCCCAGCTACTTGGGAAGCTGAGACAGGAGTATCACTTGAGCACGCAGGAGTTGGAGGCTGCAGTAAACTGTAATAACACAACTGCACTCCAGCCTGGGTAACAGAGCAAGACACTCCATCTCTTAAAAAAAAAAAAGAAAAAAAAGCTTTCATGTCTGATATGATTTTGCTGTATCCCCACCCAAATCTCACCTTGAATTATAATAGTCCCCATGTGTCAAGGGGTGGGGCCAGGTGGAGGTAATTAATTCATGGGAGTGATTTCCCCCATACTGTTCTCATGGGAGTGAATAAGTCTCACAAGATCTGATGTTTTTATAAATGGGAGTTCCCTTGCACAGGCTCTCTTGCCTGCAGCCATGTAAAATGTCCCTTTACTCTTCCTTCGTCTTCCACCATGATTGTGAGGCTTCCCCAGCCATGTGGAACTTTGAGTTTATTAAACCTCTTTCCTTTATAAATTACCCAGTCTCAGGTATGTCTTTATTAGCAGCATGAGAACAGACTAATACATGTCCAAACCTGATATTATCTCTGGCCAGGATGAGTATAATTGTTACAACCTGTAACCTAAGACCCCTTCTTCTCCTCACACTCTGATTCCAGTTGATTCTTTTTAAACTTGGGAAATTGTTTTTAATAAATTGAATGTGGCCTCTAGGTTTGAATAATTTATATGCAAGTATAGATGGTATACAATTTTAGGCAAACTCAGAGATTGAGTCATTTTGATTACCAGATAAAGATGGTGTTACCAGTTTTCCAAATAGTTAAAATTAAGAGATTTTAATTGCTTTCATTTTTTTTTTCTTTTTTCATTTTTTCCCTAAAGAGTCTGATCCAGGTGAACACTCATTCTGGAAACTGATCGCTTTACCCAAAGTTGGCCTTATAGCCTTCGTCATCAACTCACTCAGCTCGTGTTTTGGCTTCCTCGATCCTACTCTGTCTCTCTTTGTTTTGGAGAAGGTAAGTTACCTGATTGCTGAAGAGTGCTGCATTGTAGCAGGTGGATGTAACTGCTTGTTCTTGGGCCCTGCTCTGTGGAAAGACCCTTGCGTGGCTGGGAGAAGAAGGTAGAATGGGCACTACACACCGAGGTAGCGTGTCCCTCTCTACCGTCCCTGTGAACTAGGAACCTGATTCAGTAAAAATGAAGGAAGTCTTTCACTAAGTGGCCTTAACATTGGTTTCCTTCTTTCCAAGAACTTGCTCGTGTCATTGTAGGTTTAGCTTGGGCATCATCCGTGCTGCTTAACAAGGACACTTTTCCTCTATTTGTTTGAATTGCAATGAGACATTAGGGGTACACAGTAGCTCATTTGATGTGAGATGTGCTTCTTCTATAACAGATCCCCCCTGGGTCCACTTACTTTTTAAGCTGCTTCATATAATCAAATGACTATGGACTGTATTATTCTGGGATTTGAGAAAGGAACCAAGTATCCTTAGCATTAAAAAATAAAATGTTGAATTCTAAAAGTTTGATGTCATTGAAATTTGTTCTTAGATATTTTTGAAAAAATATTATTACTGACACAGTGAAGTCCATTACCAGGTGTGGTAGTTAACTATACTGGAGAATTAATATGTGTTGATAAAAGGCAAAAATGACTAACTTCAACCCATAATGACTTTGAGGCACTAGATTTAAAATAGCACAGAAACTTAAGTTTCAATATATTTTCTAATATCAACAAAGTTGCTTAATATGGTCATTTCCAATGCTTTCTGAACATTTACCTATCATAGAATGTAAAGATTAAAATTATTTTTTCTTATAATTTTACACTACCCCTTGAAATCACTGAAGACAGTTTGGGGTACTTCACAGGTAAACTTGGGGACTGTTATTTTAGTGCCTGGTCCAAGATTTAGAGAGTATTATAATATTGCCTTTAGCCAGTGAGTATCCATAAGGTACCCAATGTCAGGCTTCTGAGCCCAAGCTAAGCCATCATAACCCCTGTGACCTGCACGTATACATCCAGATGACCTGGAGCAACTGAAGAACCATAAAAGATGACATTCCACCATTGCGATTTGTTCCTGCCCCACCCCAACTGATCAATTGACCTTGTGACATTCCTCCCCTGGACAATGAGTCTTATGATATTCCCCACCCTGCACCTTGTGTCCCTCGCCCCTGCCCGCAAGAGATAACCACCTTTAACTGTAATTTTCCATTACCTACCCAAAGCCTGTAAAACTGCCCCAAGCCTATCTCACTTTGCTGACTCCTTTTTCGGACTCAGTCTGCCTGCACCCAGGTAATTAAAAAGCTTTATTGCTCACACAAAGCCTGTTTGGTGGTCTGTTTACACGGACGCGTGTGACACCCATAAGAAAAATGTTTTATGATTATACTGACACAGTCCATTTAGATCATCAACAACCTGTATTTTTGAGCTGTTTTTCTGTGCTTTTAAGAAGCTGTGTCTAAACAACAACAACAAAAATCTATAATCTCTGGGAAATCCAAGTTGTTTGTGTTTATCTTTTTTGTTTTGTTTTGTTTTGTTTGAGATGGAGCCTTGCTCTGTTGCCCAGGCTGGAGTGCAATGGCACGATCTCGGCTCACTGCAACCTCCTCCTCCCAGGTTCAAGCAATTCTCCTGCCTCAGCCTCCCGAGTAGCTGGTACTACAGGTGTGTGCCACCAGGCCAGGCTAATTTTTCTGTAGTTTTAGTAGAAATGAGGTTTCACCGTGTTAGCCAGGATGGTCTCGATCTCCTGACCTCATGATCTGCCCACCTCGGCCTCCCAAAGTGCTGGGATTACAGGCGTGAGCCACCGCACCTGGCCCGTTTGTGTATATCTTATAATAAATCTTTTTTGTTGTTTCTCAAGAAAATTTAATTTATTTTTAAGTGATGAGGAAGACAGGAGGTTTCCTCAGAGATAAATATAATCGACCCATTTGTGGCATGGGAGGTAGTATAGGCCCTACTTGTTCCTGGCTGATGATGGACTATATCAGAACTTTTTTTGCTTTTGAGACAGAGTCTCACTGTGTCACCCAGGCTAGAATATAGTGGCATGATCTTGGCTCACCGTAGCCTCTGCCTCCTAAGTTCAAGCAATTCTCCTGCCTCCACCTCGATTCTCCTGCCTCCACCTCCTGAGTAGCTGGGATTACAGCCATGCGCCACCACACCAGGCTGATTTTTGTGTTTTTTAGTAGAGATGGGGTTTCCTCATGTTGGCCAGGCTTGTCTCAAACTCCTGACCTGAAGTGATCCACCCGCCTCAACCTCCCTAAATGCTGGGATTTCAGGCATGAGCCACCACACCCGGTTTTACATCAGACCTTGACTCTCTCAGGGCTATTGGTGGTGCCTCACCACTGCTGCTCCCTTTTCAGGTGGAAGTGCTGCAGCCCATCCTATTACCCAACTCCAACCTAAGAAATCTTTAGAAATTTATTTTCCTCTTTTTCTGAATCAGAAACCCTATGGTTGGAATCCAAGAATCTCTTTTAGCAAGTTCTCCAGGTAAATTTTATGCACATTGAAGTTTGCAAAACATTAATTTACATATAAAAATGCTCTGAGTTATGGAAGCAAAATATGTTTAATGCCAAAGGCTACAAAGCAAAAAATCTACTCTTCTGACTTCTGGTTAGGTTGTCCTCCCATAGAGAGAAAAAGTAACGCATTTTCAAAGGTAAGATGAAAATTAGGAAAATGCAGAATATTATTAGTAGACTCATGGTAATAAGAGCTAAAGAAATGGTAGAGGGAAAAGAGGGATGTTTACTTAAAAATGACTTAATTATGTAACTTTAATATAGGATTTCTTTTACAGTTCAATTTACCAGCTGGATATGTGGGACTAGTATTCCTGGGTATGGCACTGTCCTATGCCATCTCTTCACCACTATTTGGTCTCCTAAGTGATAAAAGGCCAGTACGTACACTTAATTTATATTTGAGTCACTTTTGTATGTTTAGAGCAGTGGTTTTCCAACTGTTCCTTTGGAACTCTAGGATTCCACTGGTTAGACTTGATATATTCAATTGGACTGATGGAGAGGTTTCAGTGTTTTCTATCACCCTAAGGGTCAGCTATCACACTAAGCCAGTTCACTTTAAATTGCTTCACCTGGGAAAAGAGGAAGAGTCTTATGCTTAAAAAAAAATAAATTGGATTAGACTTTCCTTTTCTAATTTCTTCCCCCAACTTTGTCGTCCAGACTGGAGTGCAGTGGTGCGATCATAGCTCACTGCAGCCTTGAATTCTTGGGTTCAAGTGATCCTCCTGCATCAGCCTCCTAGGTAGCTGGGATTATAGGCATGTGCCACCACATCCAGCTCCTAGATTAAACTCTCTTATGAAAAAAGCTCACTTGATGTAAAAAAATGGATTGATCTTAATAAATAGGGCAAAGTCCTAGAGGCTACTGTGGACTTGATCAAATTGAGAGATTCTTCTTTAGGAGGAGGTAATTTAGATTTTCTGTGTGAGTGAAAGAATTGACCACATAAATATGCACTGGTTATCCCATAGCCTTTCTGATAAAAAGAAAAGCAAAACAAAACAAAACAAAAAAAACCCTTCTGTTCTCTTTCAACCAGGTTTAAACCATTCAGTCCAGATGATCAGAGTACAGAATTAGTACTGTTAGTAAAATCTTAAACTTCTGCGGTTTTAGGGCTTATATTTTGCATTTCCCTTGATTTCATTTGCATATTTATTTATCAAGAACAGAATTACTTGTGGATTACTTAGTAACCCAGATGTCAAAAAGCAAGTATCTTAAACAGTGTTTGGAGCTTGGTTTTCAGACATAATCTTACATAACTGAGCAGATATGGTACCCCTGTAATTTTTGTCCTGATTCAAGTAGTTTATAAGGGATAATTTTACTGGATACAATCTTAGTCCATTCAGGATACTATAACAAAATATCGTAAACTGAGAGGCTTTATAAACAATAGAAATTTATTTCTCACAATTGTGGAGACCGACATGTCCAAGATTAAGGCACTGGCAGATTTGATGTCTGATGAGGGCCTGTTGCCTGGCGCACAGATTGTCATCTTTCACTTTAACCTCACCATGATGGAATGGGCAAGGGAGCTCTTTGGGGCCTCTTGTATAAGGATACTAATTCTATTCATGAAGGCTGCACCTTCATTAACTAATCACCTCCCAAAGGCTCACCTCCAGATACCATCACATTGGGTGTTAAGATTTAACATATAAATTTTGGGGGGACATAAGCATTCAGTCTCTAGCAGGTAATTTTTTAATAATGTGATTTTTCTAGGTATTGTAACTATTAATACTTGGTGGGTTTTTTTTGTGGTCACTGCTTTTTTTTGAGACAGAGTCTTGCTCTGTTGCCCAGGATGGAGTACGGTGGTGTGATCTTGGCTCACTGCAACCTCCGCCTCCCAGGTTCAAGCAATTCTCCTGCCTCAGCTTCCTGAGTAGCTGGGATTACAGATGTCCACCACCCTGCCCAGCTAATTTTTGTATTTTTTTAATAGAGACAGGGTTTCACCATGTTGGCTAGTCTGGTCTCAAACTTGTGAGCTCAAGGGATCTTCCCACCTCGGCCTCTCAAAGTTTTGGGATTATAGGTGTGAGCCGCCGTGCCTGGCCGGTTACTGCTTTTTATAATGAGTTTTTTCGTTGTTATATTTGTAATAGTTCATCATGTGCAAAATCTGATCTGCAATGCACTCCCCTGCTAAGAAATCTTTGTCCTTTGTTCACTTTCTGCCTTGTTATATATCGTCATTGCTTGCGAGTTTATCATCTCCTTACTTTCTTTTAAATGTAAAGTTTTGTTTTCTTCATTGTATTTGGGTTTTTGAATATCATGATTTGTGTTTTTTACTAATGTTTTACGTTGTTTGATTATGGAGGGTCTTTGCCTCTAAGAATCATTTTGACTCTCTTTCTCCTTTACCAGCCTCTAAGGAAATGGCTTCTGGTGTTTGGCAACTTAATCACAGCCGGGTGCTACATGCTCTTAGGGCCTGTCCCAATCTTGCATATTAAAAGGTAATTTTTTTCTTCTTCTGTATGTTTGGCCAAATAACATTAGGAATTATTTCGAAAAATTTTGTTTTAACATTGGTATAGTTTAGTATTTTGAACATTAATATTTAAATAATTAACTTTAGGACTCTATTGAATTGTTAGGCTGACAATATTTTACCCTACTAGAAGCTAGCAGTGGGACAACAGAAAAAAATGCATAAAATCTGTCTCAAATGACAAAAATGCATATTCTCCTTCTGTATTTCAATTGTACATACTTGTTTATACTTTTGTTATATTTTTAAAATAGAATTTGTTGCTACTTACCTTTAGTTGATAGTTCTTAGAATATATTTTTGTTTTTTTTTTCTTTTCTTTTTCCTTGAGGCAGGGACCAAATCTATTTTTCTTTCTGTATCATCCTTAGCATGTAGTAGCTGCTTATTAGACCTTGCTTAATGTAATTTAGTTGCTAAAATAAACTGAACTTCTTAGACCTTTTCAGGTACTTCTGGGATAAAACATAGTAACCTGGAAAGGAAGGGGTTTCAGAGTCCTTCAGACCTGAGTTTACATTTTGGCTTTGCCATGTACTAATAAGCAAACCACTTAACTTCCAAGAGCCTCGGTTTTCTCATCTACAAAAAGGAGCTGATAATAGTACTTACATTACAAGGATTAAATCTGGTAACATATATTAAGTAACTGGCATAGTCTCCTCACATGGAACAAATGTGTTTCCTGACTCTTCTTTTACCTCTTTCCTTCTATGCCATCTTTAAATTAATTGAAGTTCAAAGCCGAGTGATTGAAAGAACAGTTTTAGTACTGACGTTTTCACCAATTTTGAAGGGATTTTGTCTGGTGAGAAGAAGCCAGGTTGGCTCCAGATATGTGATATGTGTAACCAAAGGACCAAAGAGATGGAGATATCAGGATGAATTCCCCCCCACCCCCCCGCCCCCAAAACTGTAAGGAGCTAAAGGACACTCTAACTGAATGAAATGGGTTAGATGGGAAAGGGAATGAGACTAGGCACATAATCGGTGAAATAACTTATCAGGGATCCTCACTTCCTTAGCATTAAGCTTTGTGTTTGTTAAAACGCTAATGTTTTTCTTTTTGTATTTGTTTTCTCCAAAACCCTTTTGCAGTCAGCTCTGGCTGCTGGTGCTGATATTAGTTGTAAGTGGCCTCTCTGCTGGAATGAGTATAATTCCAACTTTCCCGGAAATTCTCAGTTGTGCACAGTAAGTTACTTCCATTGCTTGAAGAGCTGTATTGTGAATAAGTAGTAAGTATCACAGGCTTTCTTGAATTTCTCAATTTTGCAGCATGTTGGATATTTTTGCCCCAATGTTAAATCTTCATGATTTTGTAGCATATGATATTATGATATAAATAGTAATAATACACTAATAGAAATGATAATAGTACATTAATAGCTAAAATGGGTTGTGGACAGATGTCTGGCTTGGTTTATGCCTCAGTATGTAAGTAATTTTGAAAAGCTAAAGCAAAATAGATAGGTCTCAGCATTGTTCCTCTTTCATGGAGGAGGTCCATGAGAGAGCCTAGAGTGACCAGCATCTGTCACCTGGTCATCATTCTTTTGTTTAATAGGCATGATGATGAAGAACACTAAGTACTATGGCTGTGCTGGGTCAGTTCAATAGTTCTCATGGGAATAAGGAACTATCTCTGTTTTTTAAAAGTTGCCTTTGTTCTCTTTCCATCTTCATCTCATTTTAAGAATTTCTTAATTATATATTTTTATAAGTATTTAATGCAAATGAGCCATGCTTCTTAATATCATATATATATGCAGAAAAATTATTTCTAGAAAACCATGGAGTAAATGTAACTATGAAAATTCTTTTAAATAAGATTTGCTTTTTATCTTAGAAGCAGAGTATTCTTGCTGTTGGTTTTTTTCCAGATTATCCTTGGTTTATCTTAATTGATCTATCATACAATTTTTTCTTTCACACAGGTTTTCCTTTTAATAATGGATACACTCATGTCTCTTTTTGCAGTGAAAATGGGTTTGAAGAGGGATTAAGTACATTGGGACTTGTATCAGGTCTTTTTAGTGCAATGTGGTCAATTGGGTGAGTAGTCATTTAATTTCTTTCTTTTTTTTTTTTTTTGAGATGGAGTTTCACTCTCATCACCCAGGCTGGAGTGCAATGGTGCGATCTTGGCTCACTGCAACCTCCGCCTCCCAGGTCCAAGAGATTCTTCTATCTCAGCCTCCTGAGTAGCTGAGATTACAGGTGCCCACCACCACATCTGGCTAATTTTTGTATTTTTAGTAGAGACAGGGTTTCACCGTGTTGGCCAGGCTGGTCTTGAACTCCTGACCTCAGGTGATCTGCCCGCCTTGGCCTCCCAAAGTGCTGGGATTACAGGCATGAGCCACTGTGCCCAGCCTCATTTAATTTCATTCATACTTGCAAGATGGAAAATATTAATACTATCCCTGCTTGATGTTGATGAAGAAATTGAAACACTGAGGGATCAGATGAGTTTCTCAAAGACAAACAGTTCATCTAGGGGAAAGCCAGAGTTCTAATCCATACCCTTTCACTCAACAATCAATGCCTATACCAACAGTTTAATACTTAGTCAAAATGGTTTCATATACTTTATCTTATTTGAGTGGTATTTATAAGTTCCTTTAATAGAAACATGTCTCTGATTTTTACAATTTATTCATTTATTCATTCATTTGTTTATTTTTTACCTTCTACCAGAAGGGTAACTATGCTAACAATGTAATATATTGTTTTGAATTGAGTTATATTAGTTGCAAATACTGAGAATAGAATAATATAAAGAATTTTTTAAATCTGTTTCATATTTTTTATTTTTATATAAGCCATCAACTTTTCAGAAGCAGTAATAATTTCAAAATTGTTAAAAAATTTTGAATGTCATTATCAGGTAGAATTATTTTCTTTTACTGAATGCTGTGCCCAGGAATTAGCTTTATCTTTAGTACTTATCTTCCAATGTAATGAAGACTTACAATTGAAGGATCATGTAGCTTTTCATGAAGTAATTATTTATTTTTTGCACTATTGAATACTTTTTCTTCTTTCTATTGTTAGTGCTTTTATGGGACCAACGCTGGGTGGATTTCTGTATGAGAAAATTGGTTTTGAATGGGCAGCAGCTATACAAGGTCTATGGGCTCTGATAAGTGTGAGTAATCAGTCTTTTATTTGCATTTTCCTTATATTTGTGGAAAAACTTGACTTGGAAAATTTACATTAATCAGTACTTTTAATTGTGTTTAAGGGATTAGCCATGGGCTTGTTTTATCTACTGGAGTATTCAAGGAGAAAAAGGTATGGTCAATTTTGGGGCTTTTTTTCTCTCTTTAAAAGTTAGCCAGTGCAAGTGGAAAATAAATAACATTTTACATTTATTCTTCCAGTCAGTGGATTTCTAAGCACTCTGAGGCTCATCAGTTGGTAGATACTTTTTTAATTTTTATTTTTTGAGATGGTGTCTTGCTCTGTCACCCAGACTGGCATGCAGTGGCACAATCTCAGCTCACTGCAACTTCTGCCCCCCGGGTTCAAGCGGTTTTCCTGCCTCAGCCTCCCACGTAGCTGAGATTACAGGCATGGGTCACCATGCCCAGTTAATTTTTGTATTTTTAGTAGAGACAGGGTTTCACCATGTTGGCCAGGCTGGTCTCGAACTCCTGACCTCAAGTGATCCGCCTGCCTCTGCCTCCCAAAATGCTGGGATTACAGGCGTGAGCCACCATGCCCGGGCAGTAGAAACTTTTTTAAAAAGATAGTTGGATGGAGATACAGGTACTGGTTTTTTGTTTGTTTGTTTGTTTTTAAGATGAGAAATATTGAGATTCATCTCTTCTTTCCCTCAATGTAGGTCTAAATCTCAAAACATCCTCAGCACAGAGGAGGAACGAACTACTCTCTTGCCTAATGAAACCTAGTCCGATGGATCCTGGATTGATACAAGGTTGAGAAATGAATGCTCCTGGCCTTAAACATCACCGTAGGAAGGGTTTTTAAAATTTTACGCGCAAAACTCCGTGGACCCCGTGCCAGTGTCTTGGAAGTGTCAACGTGTTTTTGGATGATCCTGTATTGGGCTGTACTTACTGTGATACTGAAAAGCTGTCCTGCTGAAGCAGCTATATTTGAAATATTAAGTATGAAAGGAGTAATTAAAAACAAGCAAAACAAAACAAGACTTAGTTTTTAAATGACCAAACTTGTCCTTAAAGATGTTGTTATTAACTCGAGTTAGTTCTTATTTCCTCTGTTTATTTTTTATTCTAAGTACACTGATTCTGTGAATGTACCTTTTTTATTAACAGGGAAAGAAATGAATTAATTTGATATGCTCTAAATACATAAAGGTGCTTCAAAATATGTAGAAACATTACTATGAAATCAGTTTTTAAAAGATATACTTTCTCTTTGTCCTGAGGTTTTTCGGTCTTGTTCAAAAGGAAGAATTCTTGCCTGCCATACAGAAACTCTCTAGCACTCCCTGACCTTAAGCTTTTCTAAAAATTCTGTTTGTGTGAAAAGTACAAGAATAACAATACTTACAACTTCCATTTTTGTAACCTACGTTCACTTATGATCTGGATTTATAAACATTACTTGGTATAACGTTTTTCATTTCCTTTAATGTCTCTGTTTTTTGGCTCTACCATCTGTTTTGTTTTTGTTTTTATCTATATCTTGGTAGATGTATTTCATCCCTAGAGCAGGTCAGCCTCCTTCCCCTAATGCGAATGCTTGTTTTGTTAGGGAAGGGCTTCCTCCAACTTCGTGTGAAATTGTGATGTTGAAGTGAATAAATGTCTATTGTGTAACTCTCATGCTTCTTGGTCTATTTTCATGGTGTAGTAGCCACATTTACAGTAATTTTTTTAAAGAAGAAATGGTTTTATCTATTCATTCAAAAATATCTTTTGAATGTCTTCTCTGAGCTGACACTATGCCAGATGCTAGGGATTTGGCTGTGATCAAGATAAACACAATCTCTGCTTTTATGTAACTTATACTGGTGGAAGAGACGAACAATAAATAAATATCAGACTCTCCAATTATCTTACAGAAATGCTAAGAAGGAAAAAAAAACATGGTGATGTGATAGAGTAGTTGGCTGGGTTTGTTTAGATATGGGTGCCTAATTTGAAAAAGTCCATGGAAGTGCGACCTTTGAGTTGAGATCTAAAGGAAGAGGATGTAACCACCATTCATTCTGACAGGGGACAGTCCGTAGTATGTGCACAAGGGCTTGACATGGTCAAAGATGAGGTTTGGTCTGCTGGCTGGAGTCTAGTAAACTGGAGGCGATGCCAGAATCTGATTCACATTTCAGAAAGTCCATTCTGTCTGCATGTGGACAGTGAGTGGGGATAGGGACGGTAAAGGGAATGGAGGGGGAGCTTTGGAAGATTTGAGAGAGACAATAATGGTTTGGACCAGGGAGCTTGTGATGGAGAGAAAAGGCTCTATCTGGGAGTGGAACCAACAGAACTTGCTGATGTGGAGGGAGGAGAGGGGAATCTAGGAGGACTCCTAGGTTTTGGCTTGAGGGTGTGGGTGGATGGTGGTGACTCTTAGTGAATTGGGGAATAGGAGCAAAACGGATCCTGAAGTGGCAAAAGTTCAAGCCACCATGGGATGTCATTGCACACCACCAAAACCAAAAATATGGAAAAGGAGGACAATACCCAGGGTAGGAGAGGATGGCTTTGGAAGACTGCCTGGCATTGAGTGTCAAGACTGGATGTACATCTGTCTTGTGATCTCTTCATTTCCCTATCCCCTCAAACCTTTCACTCTTGAACCTCCAGAGGGCGATCCAATGTCTGAGGAGGACAAATGGCCTGCAATTCCCTTCCCGGAGCAGTGCCAGGACAGAGTGTGACCCTGGCCCCCTGCACCCATGTGGCATGCAGATCTGGGCCTTGATTGCCTTAAGTCATCCTGGCCCCCTCCAGGACTTTTTTGACCTTCATGTCCACCCACGCAAGGACAGCCGCCCTTCCTCAGCCCGGTGGTCTTGGATGCGGCTGAGTGCCTGCAGTCCCTGCCACTGTCACTTGGGGCCACTATTAAAGCATGAGTCTGCAGCTTGCACCTTCCTACCCACTATCTGGGCCAGCCTATTCTGTTACCAGCACAGTTGATTGTTGAGAATTCAAAGTCAACGCAAGGATTCGAGGCTCTCTGGGGAGAGAACTTCCTTCATCCCCATTCCCAACACACGGCTCTCAATACTTCCCTTGGATAGCAGTGTATTTAAAGATGCTATGTACAAAACCAAATTTACTCCTTTCTCATTTTGAAATTTTGCAAGTATTAAGATAAGTGGGCCGGGAGCAGTGGCTCACGCCTGTAACCCCAGTACTTTGGGAGGCTGAGGTGGATGGATCACGAGGCCAAGAGATCAAGACCATCTTGGTGAAACTCCATCTCTACTAAAAATACAAAAGTTAGCTGGGCATGGTGGTGTGCGCCTATAGTCCCAGCTACTTGGGAGGCTTAGGCAGGAGAATTGCTTGAACCCGGGAGAAGGAGGTTGCAGTGAGCCGAAATTGCGCCACTGCACTCCACCCTGGTGACAGAGCAAGACTCCGTCTCAAAAAAAAAAAAAAAAAAAAAAGTCACAGAAAAGTTTAAAAAATATGAGAAAAGACAGAGGAAAGAACACTTTGAACAAGAAAACCAAAAGGTAGGTCAAAACTATCAAAGGAAATCTCTGTGTATGTGTTTGTATTTTTATATATTTATAGTCTTCTAAATGTAACAAGGCTGAGCAGCTTAAAAGAACCTTTTTAATAATGAGAATATTCTATATAACTGAATGTGGAATATGTTAGTAATAAAAGGAATCTTTTATGTTAAGATCATATTGCAACCTATACATTATAATATGATACATAAATCAATCCAAAGGAAAACTAAAAAGGTTAAATACAAATCACAGATCATTTTTAAAAATTAAACTTTAAAAATTTTGAGATAATTGTTAATTCACATGCAGTTGTAAGAAATAATAGAAAAAGATCATGAGTATTCTTTCCCTGGTTTTCACCAATGATAACATCTTGCAGAACTATAGTACAATAGCACAACCAGGATACAGAACATTCCCATCGCCACATTCTTCACGTTGTCTTTTTGTAGCTACACCCACTTCCCTCCCATCTTCACTTCTGGCAGCCACTAATCTCTTCTCCATTTCTATCATCTGGTCATTTCAAGAAACGTATAAATGAAATCGTATTGTATGAAACTTTTTGGATTGGCTTTTTTCAGTCAGCATAATGCCCTTGAGTTCTATTGGCATTGTTGCATGTATCAATAGTTCAGTTCTTTAAATTGCTGAGTAGTATTCCATTGGGTGGCTTTAAGACACAATGGAATACTACTTTATTTGTTACAAATAAAGCAGCTATGAACTTTCAGAAACAGGTTTTTTGTTTGTTTGTTTGTTTGTTTTTGCCAGGGGCGAGGGTAGAGGGTGGGATATGAAGCATAAGACTTCACTTCTCTGGAATAAATGCCCAGCAATACAACTGCTGAGTTGCGTGATAATTGCATGATTAGTTTGTTTTCAACTAACTCATTTATTTTAGATAAGAAACTTGATTTTGACAATAAATATTAAATATCACGCATTAATGAAATATCTGGTCAGCCATGGTGGCTCATGCCTATAATCCCAGCACTTTGGGAGGCCGAGGTGGGCGGATCACCTGAAGTCAGGAGTTCAGGACCAGCCTGGCAAACATGGTGAAACTCCATCTCTACAAAAAAATACAAAAATTAGCCGGGCATGGTAATGCCAGCTACTCAGGAGGCTGAGGCAGGAGAATCGCTTGAACCTGGGAGACGGAGGTTCCAGTGAGTTGAGATCACGCCACTACACTCCAGCCTGGGTGACAGAGCAAGACTCTGTCTCAAAATAAATAAATAAATAAATAAATAAATAAATAAGAAATATCCTATTTACTTATTTGTTTAATGATCAAGATTTAAATACGTCACAGATACCCTCTCTAACCTAGCTGGAAAAGATGTGGATAATAAATTCTTATATAGCCAATCAACTTTCATTAAGTGCAATTAATAATTGAGAAGTATCTCTACACATTCATATCAGAAGGAAATTACCCACAGGGTAGTCCCATGATACTCACCATTTCTTTGGTGTCACTGTCACATGACCCCGTTTTATGAAACAAACCCACAGGAGGGGAGGCTCAGACACAACATATTTACATGGAGAAGCTAAAATGTTATTTAAAGTATTAACAAAGGAAACTAAATTCTGCATAGCCAATCTTCATTAAGAGCAGCTTGCAACTCCTAAATATTTGCAGTAGTTTCTTTCAGAAAACCTACAGCTGGACTTCTAATCCCAGCTTACTTATAGTTGAGTATTACAAGGGACCACCTAGGAAAGCATGATGTCATAACAAATTTTGACTTGTAGCTCAGTGCAATTTTATCATCAGTACTAAAACAATTCAGAGTGTATTTCATGTTGATGATAGGTCAACAATAGCATGCCAGACACAAAAAGCAGTATATTATATCATTTGTTTTTGTCAGTCAAGACAAAAATTGAATACCGAATCAATCAAGTAACATTATTGTATATTTCAAAAATGACAGCCATGAAATCAGTTATTGCATAAATACAGGTAGGTTTTTTTTTCTTTTAAGAGAATTAAAGCCAGTGTAGATAAATCTTTCATCTGAGAATAGTACTAATACCTTTTCTTCTCCCTATATTTTCAGAACTTTTGGCTATGATTATTTCTTCTATTGTTTTCTGTTCTATCACCATGTTTATTGGTCGGCTTTTGTCTCTTTCGTTTTAGTTATCTGATAAAAATGCGAATGGCTTGGTGGTTCGTGTCTTGGTTGTTAGTAAGCTGGGTCCAGCCTGTAGTTCTGGAACACGATTTAGTGAGGGAGACAGGGATGTGAATTAGGAAGTAGGCAATCATCTCATGCAGTAAGACAGCTATGGCATTGGATCGTATGCTTGCTACTGCATCTTCTGGAAAAACAGTATTATTGCAGTAAAGCAACATTATTAATTGGAAAGAACTGCATGGGAAAGGAGGATCTGCCCACAGATTCTTCATTCATATAGCTGTGAGAATTAAGAATTTGTCTTAATAATAAATTTATTAAATTTATCTTTAACATCTTAAATTATCTTAATTTATCTTAAGATCTGCCCACAGCTTCTTCATTCATATAGCTGTAGGAATTTATCATAACACAGCACTGAAAACTTTGGTGAGATGATTCAGAAGAGTGAGAATTTCCAATTGATATTGTGCATGAATTGATCTTTCCATATAAACAAACTCCATTCAGTAGAACTATGGCATACGACTCACATTTTAAGGTGTTTAAAAAATGCAGACAAATGCCAGACTTCCATTTTTCTGTTTTTGCATGTAGTCACTGTGGTTAATGTTTTAGCCTACAAGAAACTGAAGAAACAGCTCATAAAGAATTTCTTCCCCTACTGGAGCCTCTAAATTCCTGTCCTGTCAGCCTTCCCCAGAGGAAGGATAAGCAGGGTAAAGGAGGTGCTATGATCCTGCCCTGCCTCCATGCCTGGCTGCCACCCAGAGAGGGAAAGGAGTAGAGCCATGATTCACTTTTCAGAGAGCTGCCAAGCTGTTTTCTAGAGTGGCTGTACCATCCTACATTCCCAACAGCAATGTGTGAGTAATCCAGTTACACAGCAGGTTGTTTAGCATGTTTTTTAAAAAATAGAATGGTGCATGAAATAGGTGGAGTGAAAGCTTTTTATCAGAAAGAGAATCTGTGGTACAAATGGAGGGAATGCCATCAAGATTAGCAAGTAGAAACAGAATTTAAGTTCATAATTTTAGGAGAAACCATTCAGATCAGGTTGACCTGGAAGAAAGGAAACTTGAAAGACTTTGTGGAGACAGACAGAACAATGCAAACATAAAGAAGTAGACACATTGACATTCTTTTAACAAGACAGTAACCAAGGACAGGTGGTTATGTCACCAAACCCTGGGTAAAAGCTGCCTTGGGCATGGCTCTTGTAATAGGGCCTCCATCTTGTAGGAATGAAGCAATAGTAATAATAGCAAAAATTATTCAGCACGTATCACCATTGTGCAGATAGAGGAAACTGAGGCACAGAGAGGGCACAAAACTTGCTCATAGTCACATAGCTAGGAAGTGGCTCAATCCCAGGCATTCTGGCCCCAGAGTCCATGTCCATGTTAATTATTATTAGATACCACCATGACCCTTATAACTTACAGTGAGAAAAAAGCTCTCCATAACTAGATGCAGGACCATACACAATTTAGTTCTCTCTAATTTGAAGGACAGTCTGGAGTGGGATCTGTCTTACAGTAAAAGAATAATGTGCTAAAGAGAAAGACTATGACATGAATATGAGAGTCGACTTAGGCTTTGTAGGCTAGAGAATCTCCTGATTCTATTGCTGTGGTTCCTCTGCTGAGCTTGGTTCAGTAGAAATTGTGTCAATGCTCCTCGCCTGTGTCATCTGGCCCATACAACTCCTTGAAAGAAAAGCTCAGGAATCAGAATTGCCAGGCTAGAATAAAATAGACACTCTTTCTCCTGGTGTCTGACTGAAGATGCAGCATCCTTGAACCAGCAGCTGCTGGGACTCCTGTCTGTCATCTCAAAGGGTACGGCCCACCCAGAAAGTGAAATCAAAACAGGAAGTCACCAGGGGTGACTGGAGGAGCACAGGCCTTGGAAAGGAAAGCAGCTGAGATCCAGAGGAGTGGAAGGCTCCCCCTTGACTAAAGCTGTAAGTAGTTACCTTGGGCTGCAAACATTATTTTTTCTTTGCTTCCTTGCTCACTGAAAATAAACAAGTGGCATTATTGGTGGATTGCTGTGACATTCTCATATTGATCAATAAGACATAAACTTTTCTATTTTTAATCTATCTTTTTTTTTTTTAAGTCTGCGATTTCCATGATATTTTCTTACCATACCCTTTCAAACGCATGTCTCTCCAACTGCCTACATAAATCAACGAGTGACTTGGATCCAGTTCCTGTGGATTTATTTCTGTGGTGACAGTCATCCCGACTTTACCAAAAGCTTTTAATTCAGTCAAGAGAATTTTTAATTTTTTAAAAGGACCGGCTGGTGAATGCAAGAAACTTTTGGCAGGGTTAATAGACTGGCATAGTGGGTGGACCTATGAGATTAATATTGTTAATATTTTATTTTAAGGAAGCAGGAGCTGTCGGAAAGTAGGGGAGGATGCTACTAACTCAAAGGGACTTCTGCAACTTCAACCCTAAGTTTCTGAGACAGGAAAACAGACATGTTGGTTGAACCATGTGAAATTACTTTTGCTAGGTCAAAAACAGTGATGATTGGCAATTTCATGTTGCACAAGCATTTCCATCTAGCAGTGCTTTCAGAGAATCCAAGGCTGTGATATATCATTACCTTCTCAGATTTGCTCTGGTTTCAGCTGTGTTCATTAGCTATCTGAAGCATTGAACACCCATCCAACTCTAAAGCTGGAAGATTACCTCATCTGAATGAGACCTGGCCCCAAAAGATGGTTAAAGTTCAAGCTGGTTCTTTTCAAGGCAACCTTGCCTTTTACAGGGCCTGACTCAGTCTCACTAAAGCCATATGTAATACTCCAATGGTGTAGAGACAGAAACGTTTTTCTTTGCCATTAAGTACTTTTTTTGGATACAGTATTGTACTTTTTTGGTATACAGTATTAAGAGGAACAGTTTTAACACTGGAGCCTGGCTTTTCTGCCTATTGTTGCTTCTTATTCTTATTTTGACGTGTCACCCTTGCTGCCTGTGAGAATGTCATTGATAATAATACATGATATTTCCCATTCTTTGTTTCTCAGTTCACTTGTCATTTTGCATTCAGGAGAAGGGACAGAACAGGAAGTCCAGTAGCCAGTGTCAGAGCCTGGAGCAGCTCCTCTCCTTCCTGGGGTTGAGTTCCTTGGTTTTCTTGTTTCACCTTTGCTACCCCACTGCAGTTTTTCTACCACGCTGGGTTTAGCACGAATCAGGAGTTGATGCCCAGGTACCCTGTCAACCCCATTTCATTCCAGCAGTTCTTCAGCACGGTCATCCAAATAGACTAGAATTTGAATTGAACAACAGTAGTTCTGTGGGCCTAACAATGAAATAATATTAAGCAGTCAGGATATTATATTACTAAATAGTCACTCACTTTTGTTAATTATTGTCATCTGCGTTGTAGTCTTACAGAGGACTTTCACATATCTTTAGGAGATAGAGCAGGTATGATTACCTAAACTTTTAGATGAGAAATAGAGGTCCAAAGAAGTGGTGCAAAGCAGAAACTACACCCCTATGCTTACTCTTGAGAAAGTGGGAAAAAAATGAGGTTTTTAAAATTAAAGACCTAAAACCTAGTCCAATTGAACATTATTCTAACAGATGATCAGATTCACAATTAGAAACAAATATTTGAGCTATTACTGTTTTTCGTTTATTTGCTTGTTTTTTATTTTTGAGACAGAGTCTCACTCTGTCACGCAGGCTGGAGTGCAATGGTGCTATCTCGGCTCACTGCAACCTCCTCCTCCTGGGTTCAAGCAATTCTCCCGCCTCAGCCTCCTGAGTAGCTGGGATTACAGGCGTCTGCCACCATGCCCAGCTAGTTTTTGTATTTTTAGTAGAGACTGGCTTTCACTATGTCGGCCAGGCTGGGCTCGAACTCCTGACCTCAAATAATTCGCCCGCCTCGGCCTCCCAAAGTGCAGGGATTACAACCATGAGTCACTGCGCCCACCCCAATACTGTTTTTTTTTTTTTTATGGTGACTCTTTGACCAAATAATTTTTAATTGATTTTAACTTTTTACCCCTTTAGCTAAGTTCATTAATCCCAAAATGGCAAATTAGGAAGTAGGCTCTTTTAGCAACGAATTACAATTAATCAATGTTCCCTGTGGCAAAATAACCTTACTTTATTTTATAATTCAGTTAAACTAAAAATTTTAATCTTTACCTGATCAATCATCTTTATGAAAAGTCAACTATTGAAACTGTATGTCCTGAATTTGGTTTTTTACTTCTGAAGATTTAAAACAATATCAATGACCTCTACAGCAAATATTTTCTTCACATCTCAGGGATTTTCCTATATTTAAATTGCTCCTTCATTTACTAACTTCTAATTCTTTTTTGCAATTACCTTTGTTACTCAAATTCTCAGTTTCAATGAGACAATTTTTAGATGCTTCAAATAAAAAAACAAAGGAGGGAATTTAGTCATCTTGATTTTATATCAGAAGTGATTTTCCCTTTCCCTGTTAGCCAAACAAAAAATCCAAAACTCTGATCAACATCATTTCTATCTTTTACAGCCAAGGACAGAGAAAAACATCCAGATTTGGGAACACAATAACAGATATGATTGTCCCCACTTCTACTGCCAAAATTATAAAACTGTTAACTCCTCCTCATCAGCTTACCTGACTACTTAAAAGCAAAAGAGTTAATTAAGTATTACTAATTGGTGATACTAGATCAATGAAGGTAGGTCATGGCCCAAATTGTACTTATGGAGATGGAAGAGCTTAATTGTTTTTATTAGGCATCAACTGCATCAGAAATTTCATTAGCACTTAGCAAATTTGCCTATGGTCTTCTTAAGGTGATCATTTTGAATTGGGTTCTTTAAAAGACATGAATGACTGGCTGCAGTGACTGACACCTATAATCTCAGCACTTTCAGAAGCCAAGGTGGGTGGATTGCTTGAGCTCGGGAGTTTGAAACAAGCCTGGGCAACATGGTGAAACTTCCTCTCTACAAAAAATAACAAAAATTAGCCTGACATGTTGGTGCGTACCTGGTGTTCCAGCTACTAGCGAGGCTGAGGTGGAAGGATCACTTGAGCCTGGGAGGTGGAGGCTGAAGTGAGCCATGATCATACCACTGCACTCCAGCCTGAGCAATAGAGCAAGACTCTGTCTCAAAACAAAAAAACAAAAAACAAAAAAACCCCAAAAGACACGAGTGTTCAGACACTCAGTTGCAGACATTAAAAGAGAGCACAGACACATGTGCTGTTTTAGGTATAAAGGAAAGACTCTGGAATCAGGAATGAGAAGCGAACATCCTGCTCTGTCGCTCTAGCTCTCTATGCCTCAGATTCCTATCCTGTAATAAGTGGGCATTTGGGTTACATGATTTCTAAACTCTAACAGCACTCATAATCTATTATATACCAATCACCTATGCTAATTTACTAATTATACACTAGATAGTATGGTTATATACTAACAGTCTATTATACAATCTGCTAAAAATTCATAAAAATATCTATCCCTTTACATTTTCCACAAAAGGGCTTGACCATTTTTCCTGAATTATTTTTAGTTTTCTGCTCTATAGAGATAAGAAAAGTTATTCCTTTAATAGAAACTTCTATTCAAAGCAGAAAATATGAGCAGATCTTATTTATAGCCCCTAGGCCCCATTCTTAACAAAACATTTATCTCAGTAAGAAGGAAAGCACAGAATAAACTTTGTTTAATCGTACCTACTCTTCTATGCTGTCTAAAAGCATTTCCGTGACTTTTACCAAAGGGCTGGATAAAAATAAAACAAATCCTTTATTTGGCAGGATTGGGCCTGGGGAAGGGAGAATATGAATGTCCTAAGAAGGCATCTGAGATCACATCCTGTATTTGTTGTTATTATTGTTTTTTTTTTTTTTTTTTTTTTTGAGACGGAGTTTCGCTCTGTCGCCCAGCCTGGAGCGCAATGGTGTGATCTCAGCTCACTGCAGCCTCTGCCTCCTGGGTTCCAGCGATTCTCCTGCCTCAGCCTCCCGAGTAGCTGGGATTACAGGCGCCCACCACCACGACCAGCTACTTTTTGTGTTTTTGGTAGAGATGGGGGGTTCCACTATGTTGGCCAGGCTGGTCTTGAACTCCTGACCTCAGGTGATCTGCCTGCCTCGGCCTCCCAAAGTGCTAGGATTACAGGCATGAGCCACTGCACCTGGCCTGTTAGCATTGTTTTTAAACTCATTGTTGTTATTTGCTGCTAACAAAAATGTAAGTTACATCTTCTCCTTATTACAACACAGATGATCTTTATCACCAATCCTGGACTCTTCCCCTTCCCTGGCATCTTCCTCCAAAGCAGGGGGTGGGGAGGGAGGAAAAAGAAGGAGGAGAAGGAGTAGGAGGAGAAGGAGAAGTAGGGGGAGGATGGGGAGGGAAGGGTGAAAGAGAGAAAGAAGGAAAGAAGCGGAGTATCCTGAGGCCTGGGGCCCCTGAGCTGAGATTCCTCCTCTGGCCTAGGTGCCTCGGGGTATTGTTGCTGTAGGCACTAACTATACAGCAGTGAACAAACCAGACACAAAATCCTGCTTTTCTGGAGCACATGTTTTCAGTCCTTAATAGCAATAAGTAAGTCAGAGTGTAGATTTGGGTAAATTTTGTTATCAATATTGTCCTGTGTTACATTTTCTTAGTAGTAAGTATTTAATATTTTCCCCCCCGTCTAAAAATAAACACAATGTAAGTGACTCAACAGAACCAAAAAAATTGTTGTCAATTTTTAAATTTAATAAATGAGATATTTGTTGGGATGTGATTTTTTTACACGAGAGTTAGTTATGAGTTTCTATTAACAAAAGCTGGAATTGTTCTATATTTGAATTCGGGTGTCTTTTGGAAATTCAATATTAAATCTTAGTACTAATAGTACATGCTGTTCAATCCCTGTAATACTTTCTGATTGTCTTAAATGGACTGCAACTTTTCTTTCTTTAAAAGTGGTCAGATATATTGCGTTCTTAAGATTATAAAGTAGGCCAAGTGCAGTGGCTCACGCCTGTAATCCCAGCACTTTGAGAGGCTGAGGTGGATGGATCACAAGATCAGGAGTTTGAGACCAGCCTGGCCAATATTGTGAAACCCCATCTCTACTAAAAATACAAAAATTAGCTGGACGTGGTGGCGCGCACCTGTAGTCCTAGCTGTTTCAGAGACTGAAGAAGGACAATCGCTTGAACCTGGGAGGTGGAAGTTGTAGTGAGCTGAGCTTGCGCCACTGCATTCCAGCCTGGGTGACAGAGCAAACTCCGCCTCAAAAAAAAAAAAAAAAAAAAAAAAGAAGAAGAAGAAGAAGAAGAAGAAGAAGAAGAAGAAGAAAAATGATGATAAAGTAAAAGGCCAGTAACTGGCAGCCACATGTTATGCAAACATTCTCCCCTCTGTAAATACTACATGAATGTTATTTTTGCTTTCAGAAATCACTAAACCTTGGCCATGGTCACTTCCTCTTTTCCAATCTCTGTGGCAGTTTTTGCCCTAATAACCCTGCAGGTTGGTACTCAGGACAGTTTTATAGCTGCAGTGTATGAACATGCTGTCATTTTGCCAAATAAAACAGAAACACCAGTTTCTCAGGAGGATGCCTTGAATCTCATGAACGAGAATATAGACATTCTGGAGACAGCGATCAAGCAGGCAGCTGAGCAGGTATTCTCTTATTTCTGTTAATCATAATGTACACGAGGGGCATGGGAGCTGGTGGAAGACGAGAGAGCTGAATTGTCTGTGTTGTACATGGAAAAATCATTTTTATTTTGCTTGTTTTGAACAGGGTGCTCGAATCATTGTGACTCCAGAAGATGCACTTTATGGATGGAAATTTACCAGGGAAACTGTTTTCCCTTATCTGGAGGATATCCCAGACCCTCAGGTGAACTGGATTCCGTGTCAAGACCCCCACAGGTATTTTAACTATCTTAGTCTTTTGTGCAAAAGTAACTCTCTAAAATGCGCACGTTCACCAAAGCAAAATGATTGCTCTTGAATTACCATATATGTGGTATATGTTATGGTTATATTTATCTCAACATTTGTCAGATTTTAAAAAATTGTACTTAGATACTATTTAACAATCTTTTGTGATTGAAAATCTTTATTAAATTTTGAGAAAATGTGTAAATAGGGTATTCCTGCAAGAAAAACTAAGGGAAGAGATCTCATAGATACAAGTAGTAACTTAATTTCTGAAGTAGACAGTGGATTGTGTTAGGAATACATTCCAAAGCCTCTGCTGAAGGGACACCCTTTCAATGTTATAGAGTCTCTCCATTCCAGAGTTGCTTCTTAGGCAGAAAGACTTCACCATGTATTTTCAAGTGAATCATAAGACCTTATGCTTTGAAACTGCATTTTCCTAGGCTCACAAATCTAATTTTCCTGGGAAAAGGTTATCTAGAAACCTTCTAATATATATTAAAAATCTGGGTCCTACTGTCATCCTGGAGGTGTCAACGTGGCAGTTGCATGGACAAGTCTGGCATGAAAAGACAAAATTATATCTGGAGATAGAAAATCAAATGTCAGCATATAGATGGTGTTAAACACCATGATGAGTTCACCTGTGGAGTGAGTTAGAGAAGAGTTTAGGTATAAGGCTTGAGCACTAGGAAATTCTAGTGTTTAGACTCGGAAGAAAACGAGGAATCAGCAGAAGAGTCGAAGAAGAGCAACCAATAAATAGGAAAATGAGAGGGTGGGTCCAATAGAGAAGTGAGGTGTTTCCAGAAGGAGGTGTAATTAACTGTGCCAACTGCTGTTGAAAAGTTAAGATGAGATCAGGTAAAATGTGGGGGTCACTGCTGGCATTAGTAAGAGTTTGGGTGATAGAGATACAAGTTGGAGTGCTCTGAAAGGGAATGGGAGAGGAGGAACTGGCAACAGCAAGAGGGACTGATCTTTTGAGGAGTTTTGCTTTAAGAGAGAGATGAGGATTAAAGCAATATTTGGAAGGGCATGTTTGGAAAGGTCAAAAGAGGTTTTAATTTTATTTTTTAAAGATGGGAGGTACTAGAGGATATTTCATTGCTGATGGGATGTTTCAGTAGAGAGGAGACCCTTGATGAGGCAGGAGACCGAATAATGAATTTCTGGAGCAATAGATACCGTGTGGGAAGCATTCATCAAGTGTATAATCATCTGTGGCTTTTAAAGTATGATATTTTTAGGCATAGTTTTTGTATTAACTTAAGTTCCACTTAAGTGGTTACAGTTGCTATCGTTTCCATATAAAGTGACTAAAATATTTTTTTAAAATTGAAATTTCTTAATTATAATTTGGTTTAGATTTGGTCACACACCAGTACAAGCAAGACTCAGCTGCCTGGCCAAGGACAACTCTATCTATGTCTTGGCAAATTTGGGGGACAAAAAGCCATGTAATTCCCGTGACTCCACATGTCCTCCTAATGGCTACTTTCAATACAATACCAATGTGGTGTATAATACAGAAGGAAAACTCGTGGCACGTTACCATAAGGTAAGAGAGAGTGACGGACGTGTAAAATGGAGCGTGTTGTGAGTGGTCAATGCTGGGTTTAGGAGTTTGAATTTCATTCCCTATATGATACAATATTACTAGAGGGTTTTTTTGTTTTGTTTTGTTTTTTGTTTTTTGAAAGTGGGCAATAAAGAAAATGACACTTTTGGCTGGGCGTGGAGGCTTATGCCTGTAAGCCCAGCACTTTGGGAGGCTGAGGCAGGTGGATCACTTGAGGCCAGGAATTTGAGACCAGTCTGGCCAACATTGTGAAACCCCGTCTCTACTAAAAAATACAAAAATTAGCGGGGCGTGATGGCACATGCCTGTAGTCCCAGCTATGTGGGAGCTGAAGCAGGAGACTTGCTTGAACCCAGGAGGTGGAGGCTGCAGTGAGCCGAGATTGTGTCACTGCACTCCAGCCTGGGTGACAGAGGGAGACTCTCAAAAAAAAAAAAAGAAAAAAAAGAAAAAGAAAAAAGAAAATGACACGTTGTAAAAAACTACTCAGAAAAACATGTAGGCAGAGAACTGTTAAAAAAAAAAAAAAGTAGCATGATGGTCCAGGATTGAGATAAACTTTTTGCACATATAAAACAAATAATTTTAACATAAAAAAAGATACTAAGGTGACTATAATCTGGGCACTGTTTCAATAATTTTATATTTTTTTAGAGACAGGGTCTCACTGTTGCCCAGGCTGGAGTGCAGTGGAGCCATCATGGCTCACTGTTAACCTCAAACTCCTGGGCTCTAGTGATCCTCCTGCCTCAGCCTCCCAAGTAGCTGAGACTGTAGGCATGTGCCACCATGCTAATTTTTAAATATTTTTTTGGAAACAGAGTCTCACTACATTGCCCAGGCTGTCTTTGAACTCTTCACCTCAAGCAGTCCTCCCACCTTGGCCTCCCAAAATGCTGAGATTAGAGGCATGAGCCACTGAGCACAGCCATAATCTAAATACTATTTAATATTGAAATGGTAGAAAGATGTTTCAAAATTGTATGAATCAGCTTTGCATAAGTTAATTTGCTATCAAACCACAAAATACCTTATTTTCTACACCAGCTAATTTAATTACCATCTTATAGATTTAAGATCAAACCATAAAATGTTTACTTTAAATTCTGAATTGAAAAAAGGAATCAAATAACCTTTAAGTCATAATTTTATACTAAACTAGGTAGAGAAAGAAGCCTGGCCTTTTAAATGGATATGTGTGATGTACAGGCAGTATGAATGTCCCTTCTCCACACCCAGATATTTTGTAAGCATCTTAAACTGTAGCCTCAGAATCTTTGGAGTGGAGAAATTATCTCCTGGCAGTCTCAGTTAAAATATAAATATTAATTAAGAGGAGGGATGTTAAACCAATGGTTTTCAAATGATTTCGATCATGGACCCCTATTGGAAAAAATCGTTAACATAAGTCCTCAATATATGTATTTTTGTGTGTGTATTTATAAAGTGCAACAATTTCAAAATGCTTTCTTCATAATTTTGTGGATTTTGACAGCTTCTTTTCATATATATCACTGCATTTCACTTTCTTCTTAAAATGTGTCTCATAGTAAAAATAGAAAGGTCAGTGCTTCCATTTTCTTGCTTGGGAGATTGTTTGCATTATTTGTATTATCTTTCAATGCAGTTTATTTGCAGTAATCATTTGAAGCTATTCTGCCATTCTGTAAATATGCAGGATGGCACAGTGCACTGAATGTGGACAAACTAGCAAGGAACCTGCAGTCACCCTGTCTAAGTTGAAAGGCTCTCACTCTTCCCTGAGGGTACCTCAGGGACCGTTTGTAACCCATGACCTCTGACATATGTGAACCTAATGAGAATACCTTTGTCGATCAATTCCTTTTTTTTTTTTTTTTTTTTTTTTTTTAGGCAGAGTCTGGCTCTGTCATCCCGGCTGGAGTGCAATGGCACGATCTCAGCTCACTGCAACCTCTGACTCCCAGGTTCAACCCATTCTCCTGCCTCAGCCTCCTGAGTAGCTGGGATTACAGGTGCATACCACCACACCCGGCTAATTTTTGGATTTTTTAGTAGAGATGGGGTTTCTCCATGTTGGCCAGGCTGGTCTTGAGCTCCTGGCCTCAAGTTATCTGCCTGCCTTGGCCTCCCAAAGTGCTTGGATTACAGGCATGAGCCACCTTGCCTGGCCTGTCAATTCTTAAAATAGTAGTAAAGCCCAATTTCTTTTCTATTTTTTAGATATTTTTTCTACACTGCAGACCATTTTATTAACTGTTGATTCCATTTATTATATTAGACTAAGTTTTTTTTTAGTTTACCTAGAAGGAATCGGGAAATTAAATACATTTCTATGGTAATTTTGAAAGGTGGGCAAGAGTCACTGAGATTACTTTGGATGGGACACTAAAGAGAGAGATGACATCTCTCACCTGACTTACAGGTATTTATTATGCATCTATTAATATTACGTTTCTAGGCACCAAGGATTCAAAGAAGAATAATGCATGTTTTTTAACTTTTAAGAAGCTTATAGGGCCAGGTGCTGTGGTTCATTCCTGTAATCCCAGCACTTTGGGAGGCCCAGGTGGGTGGATCATGAGGTCAGGAGATTGAGATCATCCTGGCTGACACGGTGAAACCCCGACTCTACTAAAAATACGAAAAAATTAGCCGGGCATAGTGGCACGTGCCTGTAATCCCAGCTACTCGCTTGAACTCAGGAGGTGGAGATTGCAGTGAGCCGAAATCATGCCACTGCACTCCAGCCTGGGTGATAGAGCGAGGCTCCGTCTCAGAAAAATAAAATTAAATTAAATTTAAAAAAAGCTTACGGACTTTGGGGTTTATGGGGGGGTATTTGGCTCTTAACTGAGAGAGAGGGAAAGAGAGAGAAGGGAGAGAGAGGAGATGAGAGATGCTATGGACGTATGTTACATATTCCTCCACATTTTCCTTAGAAATTTACTTCCAATTGCCAGATTTATCCGCTTCCTAGGAGATTCCCTGCAGTTGACCATAGCCAAATCTGTTACCAACTTAGAGGGTTTTTATGAGTCATTTCTTCAACAAATAAGGTTTTACTGGTTTTCTCCTATCCATTTGTTGTAGTACCACCTGTACTCTGAGCCTCAGTTTAATGTCCCTGAAAAGCCGGAGTTGGTGACTTTCAACACCGCATTTGGAAGGTTTGGCATTTTCACGTGCTTTGATATATTCTTCTATGATCCTGGTGTTACCCTGGTGAAAGATTTCCATGTGGACACCATACTGTTTCCCACAGCTTGGATGAACGTTTTGCCCCTTTTGACAGCTATTGAATTCCATTCAGCTTGGGCAATGGGAATGGGAGTTAATCTTCTTGTGGCCAACACACATCATGTCAGCCTAAATATGACAGGTAATTCATGACCAGGTTAGGTTTCATCTTATATTTTTAAGTGCAGAGAAATGAATGCCTCAGTTATGACTTGTATTAATTTTTTGCTTATTGGAAATTCTTACTGTGTTTGTCATAGTTTCACAATAGAAAAAAAAAGCTAGCACTTGATTATAAGCTATGGTTATACTAAGACCTTTATGTGTATTATTCATTTAATTATTACAATAATTATATGAGATAGATAGTGTCATCCCAATTTTGCAGATGAGAAAATTGACATACAGAGAGTGCAAGTAATTTGCCAAATGCTACCCAGCTACTACTTTCCTCAGTGGCCATGGAAGCCTCTATATCTTGCCCTTTGTCTCCTCCTATGGCTGCATGGCATATCCTCGTGACATGGCTGCTGTCTTCCTCTAGAGCAATTAATGAGAGGGGACAAGAGAGAAAAGGAAAGAAGCCACATTGCTATTTATGACTAGTTACCCACCATCACTTCTGCCATGTTCTATTCATTGGAAGTGAGTCACTAAGTCCAGCCCCTCTTCAAGGGGAAAGGAATTAGATCCTCCCACCAGAAAGAAGAATTTTAAGGAATTTTTGGATATATTTGAAAACCACCACAATGAGGAATAGGGGAGAATTTTTATTCCCTTTCCCCACCTTTCAGGAACTCCTGACTACAAAGATTTTTGTAGTTGGTTTAATTTTCCATAATGCTAATAAATAATGCTATTATATTTAAGGTTTAATTGAAATGAGACCAAGGAATGTTTATTTTAATCTCTTCCATTAGAGAATAGAAGTAGTTAGGTGTTCAGTGCAATTAGAAGCATGTATCCTCTCTCATCGTGACTAATATGGTGGCGTGATCACATGCCCAATTCTGATGGGGAAATTGGCAGTTTTGGTTTTTTTGTGTGTGGTGTTGTTTTTAGAAGACTTGTCTTTCATTCACAGGAAGTGGTATTTATGCACCAAATGGTCCCAAAGTGTATCATTATGACATGAAGACAGAGTTGGGAAAACTTCTCCTTTCAGAGGTGGATTCACATCCCCTATCCTCGCTTGCCTACCCAACAGCTGTTAATTGGAATGCCTACGCCACCACCATCAAACCATTTCCAGTACAGAAAAACACTTTCAGGGGATTTATTTCCAGGGATGGGTTCAACTTCACAGAACTTTTTGAAAATGCAGGAAACCTTACAGTCTGTCAAAAGGAGCTTTGCTGTCATTTAAGCTACAGAATGTTACAAAAAGAAGAGAATGAAGTATACGTTCTAGGAGCTTTTACAGGATTACATGGCCGAAGGAGAAGAGAGTACTGGCAGGTAATTTCAGTTCAAATGAAAGGGCATTCAAGTGAAAGGTAAATTCCAGGTTAACTTTTTATATTTGTTCCAGAAAACCAGGTGCTTTTCCTTGGCTTGACTCCATGCATTGATGGCAACACACACACACACAACACACACACACACACGTGCATTTATGCACGTACATACACTGGGATAAAATATTTACAATGGGAATTAAGTATAATCTTATTGCTTGCTTTAAGCATATTTAAAAAATTATTAACCTAACCATGATGAGTTTCGATTTGACTAATAAACCAGCCTACTGTGGAGAACATCAAGAAGACTTCCTTAAGTGGGTTTGCCAACATATCTAAATTATAAACAGTCTTATTTTCACTTGCAAAACTAACAGTAAATAGAGATACTACTTTTATTTTAGTTTCTCTTCTAATCAGATGTCCCGGGTTTTGTATAGCTTTCTTTTTCTTTTCTTTTCTTTTTCTTTTTTTTTTTTTTGAGACAATTTCACTCTGTCACCCTGGCTAGAGTGCAGTAGCATGATCTCGGCTCACTACAACCTCTGCCTCCCAGGTTCAAGCGATTCTCATGCCTCAGCCTCCTGAGTAGCTGGGACTACAGGCATGTGCCACCACACCTGGAAAAATATATATATATATATACACATATACAAAATATTTTTAGTAGAGACAGGGTTTCACCATGTTGGCCAGGCTGGTCTCCAACTCCTCACCTCTGCTGATCCGACTGCCTCGGCCTCCCAAATTGCTGGGATAACATGTGTGAACCACCACACCTGGCCTTGTATTGCTTTCAAATGACAAATTTTAAAGATGAAACTTTTTATAGAATGTTGGCTCTGAATTTGTATTTTCCTATTATACTCCATGTCCCACTGCCTTCTTCTAAAGAAAAGGATTGGGAAGAGAGGTGAGATTAAAGGGTGGAAAAAATTTTAATATCCTTTCAGCTTCAGTACTCTTCAGTACTATTGTTGCCCAAAGATCTCCACTTCATTGAGCTCGATGCCATCATCTGACATACCAAACTAATGGTTTAACTCTAATTCTAAACTGACTTCTTTCTCTTAATCCGCTTGTTATTTAGGAAGTGGGTTGATTCTCAAGTCACTGGCCATTTTTAATAAAGCAGTTAATTATAAGACACATGATCCAAATCCCTTTTCAGAGAAAGATAATGTTTGCTTCGCTGTAGTTAAAAACTAAGGCAACATTTCTGGTATGAGTAACTTCAATGTAAGGCATTGCGTTTTATCTGCGTTTGTTCCACATAGGTCTGCACACTGCTGAAGTGCAAAACTACTAATTTGACAACTTGTGGACGGCCAGTAGAAACTGCTTCTACAAGATTTGAAATGTTCTCCCTCAGTGGCACATTTGGAACAGAGTATGTTTTTCCTGAAGTGCTACTTACCGAAATTCATCTGTCACCTGGAAAATTTGAGGTAAGAGGACTTTTATAAGAGTATTTTCATTTTATATGTTCTCTGAAGTCAAGTAAAACAAGCTATAGCCACTCTGCCAGTTAACTTCTGCTGTGTAACAAATTTCCTCAAAACCATTTCTTTAGCCCTGGTTCTGTGGGTTGGCAATTTGAACTTGGGGTAGGTAGGCTGTTTTTCTGGTCTGAGATAGGCTCAGTTGACGTTGGCTGGGCTCATTGTGTCTGCCATTGGCTAGTGGGTTGATTAGGACTGACCAGTTTGTGATTGCCTTGTCCTGGACAGCTGGGATTATTAAGGCCATCTCTCCCCGTGGTCTCTCATCTTTCAGCAAACCTGAGCTTGTTCACATGTTAGCTGAATGAGTCCAGGAGCATCAAGAGAAAAACAAATCTTTGCAAGTTCTTTGCAAATCTCTGCTTGCACCGTGTTTGCAAATGTTGCATCAACACAGGAAGTTACATGAGCAGTGGTGATTCAAATGGTAGAGAAATGAAGAACTCAGACCTCTCAATGGGAAGAGCTATAAAATCACACGGCAAAAGGACATGGGTCAAGGAGGGGAAAATATTGTGATCATTTTTTCAATTTATAACAACTAATTATAAAATGATGATACTTCATTGGAAGAACATAATAAAGAACATACCTAGAACTGTGAGTCTGAGATACCATTCATTGAAGAATGTTTGTTTATAGATTTTTAATTTCCTTTTGTCACTAGTGAAGACAAACAGAAAATCAGATGTTTATTTCACATTTTTTTTTAAACAGAGTCTTGCTCTGTCACCCAGGTTAGAGTGCAGTGGCATGATCATAGCTCACTGAAGCCTCAAACTCCTGGGCTCAAGCAATCCTCCTGCCTCAGCCTCCTGAGTAGCTAGGATTTAAAGGCATGTGCCACTGCACCCAGCATTTGTTCATAAATTACAGTGGCTGTAGCTAATTAATTCACAAATTAAGCTGGCTTCAAATTAGAATTATGACTCTGCAGGCTTATATCTGCTAATATACAACACTTGCACACATGCACATACACGCATACATACACATATTCCAGTGGTTTGAATATTAATGTCTTCTCTGAATTGTGGCAAACAGTGGCAGGGTTTCAGTAACTAGGGTGAAATCATTGCATATTCTATAAAATAGGGTCCAAGTTAATTCAATCAAGGCATCAAGTAAGGAAGTCTTTAAAATTGCAGATTGCTTATGGTCATGTATCTGTATCTGCTGTGTTATCAGAGTGGAATATATCATACTTATAAAAATGCTTAATTCTATGAAACCAACAATTTAACATACAGTGTAACCTTAAGGCCATAAAATCCAAAGATCAGGAATGCTTTGCTGCCATAGAACCTGTTTAGGCAGAATCTCATGAGCAAATTGAGGCTGGAATAAAAGCTGAAGTGCCAACTACAGAAAATCATGATTAAATCTACAGCAAGGAGTCTGGGGCTAAAATCCAGTAGCTAAAAGGTGGCTGGACTGACATAAATATCTATCTGAGATCACTTCAAGGAAGTGAGAGAGAGAAATCAGGGTCACCAAGGTAAACTTAGGAGGACATAGGGTCTAGCCATATTGATGCATTATATTCTGTAAGCCTGAAGATTTAAACTGAGCACACAATCTAATTTTCTCGTACTACTTTGCCACTTTTTCCATGTCTTGTACTCATAGAAATCTATCTCTTTGAGGAATTGTCCCATAGTAGGACTGAACATTTACCTGATGAAACTACTTCATCCATGGGAGAAGGACAAAAAAATGCTAGAGTTTTCCAAACTAGGTTAAAGGTCCAAAGCCAGAAATACCATTTCACTCTTACTCTGAACCACATAAGTGTTTGAAGGTGGATGGTGATAGTGCATGAAGAGTTGGAGAACGTAAATAATTTATTCCATTACTACTTCCTTTCTTTGTTTTAAAAATTTCATCCCAAATGTCTTCAGGCAGTTAAGAAGAGTTAGAGAATGATACAAGAGAATACATGTTTAAATGCTTAACTCCATAGTATTTGTACATCTCAACTCTTAAACATTTTTTTAAATTATTTTTAATTATTATTATTATTTGAGATGGCGTCTCGCTGTGTTGCCCAGACTGGAGTGCAGTGGTGCAATCTCAGCTCACTGCAAACTCTGCCTCTTGGGTTCAAGCGATTCTCCTGCCTCAGCCTCATAAGTAGCTGGGACTACAGGTGCATGCCACCACGCCCAGCTACTTTTTGTATTTTTGGTGGAGATGGGGTTTCACCATATTGGCCAGGCTGGTCTCGAACTCCTAACATCTAGTGATCTGCCACCTCGACCTCCCAAAGTTCTGGAATTACAGGCATGAGCCACCATGCCTGGCCTTGTTTTTAATTTTTGTGGGTACATAGTAGGTGTATATATTTATGGGTTACAGGAGATATTTTGATACAGACATGCAATGTGTAATAATCACATTAGGGTAAATATGGTATCAGTAGGTCTCAACTTTTAATGATTCTGTGAACTTGTCATGCTGTATCCCATCTCTGGTTCCTTCTTAGATGGAAGGAAGGAGGGAAGGGGGCATAGCACCTACCGTTTAAATTGGGCACCTGTAATCATTATTTGGATCTTGTCTTACCTGCTCCAGACCATTTGCAGAAGAAGGAAATGAGATATAGATTGTATTACACCAAAAAAGATATGAAAGAGCCATGTGACAGCTGGCAGGGAGGGTCTTTGGAATTGTAGTCCCTTGGAGGGAGCATCATGATGAGGGTGAGGCAGGTCTTTATTTTGTAAGTGTAGATTCTCTGTGGCATGACTTTCACTGAAGTTCATCAGGTTCTAAGGAACAGATACTAATCAAATTTGCAAGATAGATAAGCGAGAACACCAACTTGTTATTTTAAAAAATAGGTTCCCTTAGCTGGGAACAATGAACTGTATGTCAAGGAGACTCTTCATTGGCAAATCCTCTCAAAAGTACAAATGATAGATCAGTTTGTTTTGTGAGTGCAGAATTAAAACAAAAGGAGTTGGGCATTCTTGGAAAAGATTTCCAAGAACCCACAGAAGCCTGAGGCAATGTGATTCTTCTCTTTAGGGCTGGTGATCTGAAGACCATGTAGGATCAAGGTGCCCACTTTCCTCAAAAAGAGCCAAAAAAAAGTCCAATAACCCATTCTTGGTTTTTTTAGTGCTTCTTTTCTCTAGAGACCTTGCAGGGCATGGCCCTTCTGTGAATATGTTGTTTCTAGAAACAGCAGTCATAATATTGAAGATGACAAATGTTTTACATCAGTCATGCTCATTATGGCTTCTTGAGTAGCTTCTCAGTTCTGTTGATGGATGCACACTCTCTCCATAGATATTTACACGTTATCTTAGAGGATCACTATTGCAGAGATTTCAACACACTTGTTGTGTATCCTCAACCCCCACCACCACTTTAGTTTTATGTTAAAAGGGTGGTGTTACTCACCATGCCCACAAATGTGGAAACATCTTGCTTTAGCACCTTAGGCAACTCTGGTGTATTGTCAGAAGCACTGGCAGAGTCTGTTCTCTGTAACTAACTAGTTAGATAACCTTGGGAAAGTCACTTAACCTCTGAATTTCCTACTCATAGAAGAGAATATTTTCCTCACTGATTTGGTGAGGATCAAATATGATAATGCATGTGAAGACACTTTGTGAATGGTGAAGTACAATCATTATCTTCTAGGATATTTAGTCATTTTCTCCTCCCAGTTGTAAAGCATCTGTTTTCCTAATTTTCAATTTCTTCTCCACTCCAACTAATTTCCCAATTTTCAATTTCTTCTCCATTCCAACTCCATTTCCACAACTAATGGGTTCATTTTCTTTTATTCTTGTTCTGTTTATTGACTGTCTATGCATGTTTCCTTCTGTTCTTGTTCAATTGCTTTGTACATATTCCTCTCTTATGAAAACTCCACTGTGGCTTCAGGCTAGATCTAGTCATTAATGCCTTTCACAGTCTGATCTCCACCTTCCTCTGATCATATTCCTTCTTCTCTTCTTCACTAATCTTCAGCGCTAGCCAGTGGTGTGATGTAACTTTAAACAATTCCTTCTCTGAGGTAGAAAACAAAAAGCCCTGACTTATGGAATTTGCCAGTTTTCATTGTGTCAATATTCCCGCCATGATCCCACCAGCTTCAAGAATGGATCTGTTGGCAGAGTTTGATAGCTCACGCCTGTAATCCCAGCACTTTGGGAGGCTGAGTTGGGAGGACCATTTGAGGCCAGGAGTTCGAGAACAGCCTGGGCAACATGGTGAAGCCCTGTCTCTACTAAAAATACAAAAATTAGCTGGGCTTGGTGGCACGCCCCTGTAATCCCAGCTACTGGGGAGCTTGAGGCAGGAGAATCACTTGAACCCAGCAGGCGGAGGTTGCAGTGAGCCAAGATCATGCCACTGCACTCCAGCCTGGGTGACAGAGCGAGACTCCATCTCAAAAAAGGGGGAAAAAAAGAATGGCTGTGTTTAACAGCCAGCTGTCCAATTTCCTGGAAATTTAACAATCTGTTCTCATGAGCCTGTGCACCACTAGCTCCAGCACACCACTGGTTTTAACCAATCTAGAATGAGAACTCACATTGCCTTGATCTGTCACACACACTTCTGTCTCAGAATGAGCCTTTGCTGGTTCAATGTCCACTTCCCACAATGTCTTCCACCATACAGCCCTTGAAAGAAATTCCTAACAGCTTGAGTTTTTGGCAGCTTGTGTCCCACTCCGTGAAACAGACCAGTTCAGTTTTTTTTTTCTCAGACCTCCTAGCACTTACCTGTTCTCTTCTCTGATACACTGATAAACTGATTTCTCTCTTTATGTTTAGAATCCGCTCCATTTCACCATTAGCTCTTTAGCTTCTTGAGGGAAGGATGTGATGTATAACTCTCTGGTTCCTGATTGTCTTGCACATAATCGAACTCAATGAATTGCTGCTGCTGATTTTGACTTTCCATTAATGGTTACATTTGATTGTTGAAACTAAAATCTTGGGCCCTCTTGAATTGCTCTAGTCTTCATTATGTAGTAAATGGCTGTCCCCTGCCTGGCCTACTTGCTGCATCCTCCTAAATCAGAAATGATTTGACTATACATTATATCTAGGATGGTTTCAAAATGATTAATTTGCTTTTAACTTCTATGTTAAGAAAGCTGACTGTACTTTTCCCACCTTTTCTTTAGGTGCTGAAAGATGGGCGTTTGGTAAACAAGAATGGATCATCTGGGCCTATACTAACAGTGTCACTCTTTGGGAGGTGGTACACAAAGGACTCACTTTACAGCTCATGTGGGACCAGCAATTCAGCAATAACTTACCTGCTAATATTCATATTATTAATGATCATAGCTTTGCAAAATATTGTAATGTTATAGGGCGTCTCTTTATCACTCAGCTTCTGCATCATATGCTTGGCTGAATGTGTTTATCGGCTTCCCAAGTTTACTAAGAAACTTTGAAGGGCTATTTCAGTAGTATAGACCAGTGAGTCCTAAATATTTTTTCTCATCAATAATTATTTTTTAAGTATTATGATAATGTTGTCCATTTTTTTGGCTACTCTGAAATGTTGCAGTGTGGAACAATGGAAAGAGCCTGGGTGTTTGGGTCAGATAAATGAAGATCAAACTCCAGCTCCAGCCTCATTTGCTTGAGACTTTGTGTGTATGGGGGACTTGTATGTATGGGAGTGAGGAGTTTCAGGGCCATTGCAAACATAGCTGTGCCCTTGAAGAGAATAGTAATGATGGGAATTTAGAGGTTTATGACTGAATTCCCTTTGACATTAAAGACTATTTGAATTCACCTAGTTTTCTGTGCTAATGTTTATCAGGAGATTTACTTTCCAATCAAAAGGCAATGTCGACATTTATTTCTACAGTGAACGTAGTTTTGAGTGCTAGAAGAATTGATGGCTATTCCAAGTTCATATCAAAGGAGACCTGACCCAGGGCACTCATAGCCCCAGCTGTCCCACCTTAAGGCTATGGCGTAATTTAACAGGCAGAAATCTCATAACACAAAGACCATGACAGTTAAAAGTTACACTATTTTCAGCATTTGGTTGACTTTTTACAAAATACACATATTCCATGCTACTTGAAGTAAACTAGTATATTTGTTATTGATCATTTAATTCAGATACTCTTAAAATTAAAGAACTGATTTTGAATTTTCAGATTTATTTTCTGATTTTTATCTCCCAAAGTATTTTTAAATTCAATACTTTTACATAAAAAAACACAATTGAAGCATTTATCTTTTGTTTTTACATATTGTCATAAACCTACTTATGGATTTGATTTTAAAATTCTACTAAAATACACTAGAAAAGTAAGATTCCTTTTATAATCTCGTGGTTAGTATTAAGAGAAGAAATATGGAAGTTAAGCCACACTTTGTATTTAATTTTGAGAAGAGCATACATATTCCCTATGTTCAGCATTGGGACATCAAAGATGGCAATTTTAAAGCTGTAATGAACGTGCATTTGTGTATATAGTCCAAATCATATAATCATCAAAGTTTTATGCTCTTTTTTCTTTTTCTTTTTCTTTTTTTTTTTTTGAGACAGAGTCTCACTCTGTCACCCAAGCTGGAGTGCAATGGTGGGAGTTCAGCTCATTGCAACCTCCGCCTCCTGGGTTCAAGTGCTTCTCCTGCCTCAACCTCCCAAGTAGCTGGAATTACAGGCACCCACCACCATGCCCGGCTAATTTTTGTATTTTTAGTAGAGATGGAGTTTCGCCATGTTGGCCAGGCTGGTCTCGAACTCCTGACCAGGTGATCCACCCACTTTGGCCTCCCGATGTGCTGGGATTACAGGCATGAGCCACCATGCCTGGCTTCTTTTTCCTTTTCATAAAGTATGGGACATTTAAAATTTGCCAAGTTTTGCTTGAGGAAGTTAGATGTTGTGCAGTGGTTTTGCAGCATGTATTTTGGCTCTTGGGCAATGACGTTTCATTTGCAGAAGTTTAGATGTTGATTGAAAATCAACAGCTGACGTTAAACAAACTGGTTTGAGTAAGATACAAGCAAGGAGCTCCTTTCACAGAAAGGGACAGTTCTGATTCAAGCTTGGAGCTCTCAGCTGTACCTCAGTTTGTTAAAAATAAAAACAAAAAACGAAAGCACCAAGTGCCAAGGAAATTAAAGAGCACTTAATGCTCTACTGTAAAATTGCCTGCACCACATTTTAACCCATCTCCACCGTGGTTTCTCACATACATTTTATTTTATCAAACAACCCAAGCATAGTTTCATTTGGCCTTTATATTTCTTTGATAACTATCTTTCATCCCATTTTATTTTATTTTTACTTATTTATTTATTTATTTTTTGAGATAGAGTCTCGCTCTGTTGCCCAGGCCGGAGTGCAGTGGTGCGATCTCGGCTCACTTCAAGCTCCGCCTCCCAGGTTCACGCCATTCTCCTGCCTCAGCCTCCTGAGTAGCTGGGACTACAGGCGCCCGCCACCACGCCTGGCTAATTTTTGTATTTTTAGTAGAGACGGGGTTTCACCATGTTAGCCAGGATGGTCTCGAACTCCTGACCTCATGATCCGCCCACCTCGGCCTCCCAAAGTGCTGGAATTACAGGCGTGAGCCACCGCGCCCGGCCTCATCCCATTCTAAAATTTCATGTTAGTTCTTGAGTCCCTTGTGGTTCTGGAGATAGTAAACAAAGCTCTTATTTTCTCCTATTTGGCTTTCATTAGGCTTTTTTCCTGAAATGCTCTTTTACAACTTCCTGGTTACAGCCCCCTGTATTACAAAGTCACATGCTCAGCAGCAGCCTTCTCTCAGGGCTCACTACCTAGCCTTCCTTCATTCATTCAGGAAGCATTGATCACTTACTATATCCCAAGCACTAAGTACTGAGACAGTGGTCTATGCATTCTCTTTGCTCCCTTTGCCACTCTGTGACATTGCCCCCTTTGATATGATCTATTTCCATAATTTCTATGATATGCTCACAACCTGCTTTGCAACTACACTGCCCCTACTTTCTACTTTCTTTGCATTTTGACCTGTCCTCATAGTGTTGGCTCATTGCTCTGTACAGGTGATTTCTGTCAGCATTCTTTCTGTTTTGGCCTCTTTCCTAAATTCTTTTTACATTTCTAACTCCATTCTGACCATCATTCCAAGATAGTCCATGGGTGATAATGTTCTAAAAGATATCTGAGGCTGGATGCCTGCTTAGGTCAATATGGTTATTATACCCACACCCACACTCACATGCTTACACTGAGCCACACGCAGCTACTTCCAATGAAAGCATTCCTGAGAAGACATTTGGACAAAGAAACAGGGACAACTGTGAAGAGGATTTCTTGAGTATGTAAATAAGACAGAAAGTACTTGGAATGGGAAAGAAAACATGCCTGTAATCCTGGTACTTTGGGAAGCTGAGGAAGGAGGATTGCTTGAGCTCAGGAGTTCAAGACCAGCCTGAGCAACATGGTAAAACCCTGTCTGTACCAAAAATACAAAAAGCCAGCCAGGTGTGGTGGTGTGTGTCTGTGTTCTCAGCTACTCGGGAGGCTGAAGTGGGAGGATCACTTGAGCCTCTGAGGTCAAGACTGCAGTGAGCTGTGATCACGCCGCTACACTCCAGCCTGGACAAAAGAGCAAGATCTTGTGTCCAAAAAAAAAAAAAAAAATCAACGATTTATTTGAGAATTTCTAGACCACGTGAAGCTAAGTCAAAGGAGAAAAATAATGAGAGTGAACTGACTAATTTCAATTTACCTGTCTTCAAGAATTCTGTGACATCTTATATTGTTTGAATATGGATTGAACAACCCTGCTAAAAGCTTTGATCAGTTATGTTATAAACCTTTGCTTCCCTGTTCTGTTTCATTTTGCATTTCAGAAATTAATTTTAAAAATACTGCACATCTACTACCATCTGATCTTTGACAAACTGGACAAAAACAAGCAATGGGGAAAGTATTCCCTATTTAATAAATGGTGCTGGGAAAACTGGCTAGCCACAGGCAGAAAATGGAAACTGGACCCCTTCCTTACACCTTATACAAAAATTAACTGAAGATGGATTAACGACTTAGATGTAAAACCCAAAACTATAAAAACCTTAGAAGAAAATCTAGACAATATCATTCAGGACATAGGCACAAACAAAGATTTCATGACAAAAACACCAAAAGCAATTGCAACAAAAGCAAAAAATGACAAGTGGAATCTAATTAAACTGAAGAGCTTCTGCACAGCAAATGAAACTATCATCAGAGTGAACAGACAAACTACAGAAAGGGAGAAAATTTTTGCAATCTATCCTTCTGACAAAGATTCAATATCCAAGAATCTACAAGGAACTTAAACAAAAATTTTGCAATCTATCCACCTGACAAAGGCCCAATATCCAGAATCTACAAGGAACTTCTTTTCCACAAGAAAAAAAACAAACAACCCCATTAAAAAGTGGGCAAAGGGCATGAACAGACACTTCTCGAAAGAAGACATTTATGCAGCTAACAATCACATAAAAAAAAAAAAAAACTTAGCTGGGCATGGTGGCTCATGCGTGTAATCCCAGCACTTTGGAGGCTGAGGCGTGCTAGTGCTATGATCAATACAAGGACCAGAAATGGATCAATTCTACCTTGGAAGACCAGAAGGATGTCACAGACAAGCAGAATAAGATAATCAGGGCATTCTCAATAGAGTTAGTCATGCATGCAAAGACATGGAAGTATGCTTCAAGCAGTGTTTAATGTATTACGGAGGAAGAGGATGCAAGGAGGAAGGATAAGGACAGACGATGTAAAAAATAAGACTAGAGAGATAGTCCAGAGTCAGTGTTGAAACACAAATGAAGTCTAGACTTTATCCAGAAGCTGAGAGAAAGACACATTGAAGAGTTTTAGAGTCAAGTAGCCATGAGGGACTAAACAGTTTAAAAACTAGATAAATTTGATGGCTTTTTGAAGGATGGAGTGGAGAAAGAAGTTCTAAAGGCAGAGTGGCCAGGAAGGAGCCAGTTGCAGCAGTCCCCTCAGGGTAGTGGAGACAGTACAGGGACATGCTTGAGGAACAGCAAAGAAGTCAATGCAACTGGAGCCGAGTGAACATGGGAAAAGTAGTAGGAATTGTTAGAAGTGACAGCTTATAGTGGTTTTTTTAGGCATTGTAAGAACTTGGCCTTTTACTCTGAGTAAAATCGAATGCCACTGATAGGTTTTTTTGTTTGTTTATTTGTTTGTTTGTTTTTTGAGATGGAGTTTCACTCTTGTTGCCCAGGCTGGAGTGCAATGGTGCAATCTTGGCTCACTGCAACCTCTGTCTCCCGGGTTCAAGTGATTCTCCTGCCTCAGCCTCCTGAGTAGCTGGGATTACAGGTGCATGCCACTGTGCTCAGCCAATTTTGTATTTTTAGTAGAGACGGGGTTTCTCCATGTTGGTCAGGCTGGTCTCAAACTCCTGACCTCAGGTGATCTGACCGCCTTGGCTTCCCAAAGTGCTGGGATTACAGGTGTGAGTCACTGCACCCAGGCCATTGATAGGTTTTGAGCAGAGGAATGATATGATTAGTCTTATATTTTGATAGAATGGCTCTGATTGTTGTTGTGCAAAAGTAGAAGTAGTGGTACAAAAACCAGGTGCAAGGGTTTGGGAATAATCCAGACTAGTGATAATGACGGCTTGGACCACAGTTGGTGTAGTAAAAGACCACTTGCTTGAACGTGTGTAGAGTGAGAGAGACAGAAAGAAGTAAGGGTGACTCCAAGGGTTTTGGCCGGAACAAAAGGGAGATGAGAGAAGCCGTTAATTGAGATCTGAAAGACTGCTGGTGAAAGAGCATCAGGAGCAGAAGGTCAGGAGCTCAGTTTTGTTCATGTTGATCAGATAAGCCTTCATACAGTCAAGTGGAGATTTTGAGTAGACTGTTGCCAGATATAAGAGTCTAGAGTTCTCAAGAGAGGTTTGAGGTAGATATATAAATCTGTGAGTCACTAATATTAAATATATAGATGGTATTTAAAGAGATGAAATGGATGTAATCACCTAGGAAGTGAGTGTAGATAGGAACAGAAGACTTCCAAAGGTTGGGCTCCAGGGTGCACCAGTGTTGCCAAGTCAGGGATGATGAGTAGAAACCAGAAGAAAAAGTCCAAAGAAACAAAACAAAGTAAACAAATACAAAAACTAAGAAGAAAGAAAGAGGAAAACTAAAAGGGTGTGAAGAAGAAAGTACATTAAGAATGGGATAATGGCAGCTTTGTCAAGTACTACCAAGACATTGAGTAAGATGACATTGAGAATTGACCATCAGACTTAGTAATAGGGAGATTAATGGGAACTGGACAAGGCAGTGAAGTCATGGGGGTAAAATCCTGTCCATTGGGAGGACAGGAATTGAGGCAAGGAGTACATACCATCGTGGAAAGGAATTTTGTTATAAAATAAAGCTGAGAAATGGAGCAGGAATTGGAAGGGGATGTCAGATCAAAAGGCTTTTTTTTTTAAGATAGAAAATGTTACAGGATAGTTGTAGAATATATAATAGGATATTTGTGTTTTCTTTATTGTATCCAATAGAGAAAGAAAAATTGATGATAAACAGTAATGGGGCTGGGCACGGTGGCTCATGCCTATAATCCCAGCACTTTGGGAGGCCGAGGTGGGTGGATCACTTGAGGTCAGGAGTTCTACACTAGACTGGCTAACATGGTGAAACCCTGTTTCTACTGAAAATACAAAAATCAGCCAGGCATGGTGATGTGCGCCTGAAAGCCCAGCTACTCGGGAGGCTGAGGGAGGAGAATTGCTTGAACCTGGGAGACGGAGGTTGCAGTGAGCCAAGATTGGGCCACTGCACTCCAGCCTGGGTGATGGAGCAAGATTCCATCTCAAAAAAAAAAAAAAAAAGGCCGAGCATTGGTGGTTCACGCCTATAATCCCAGCACTTTGAGAGGCCGAGGTGAGCAGATCACTTGAGGCCAGGAGTTTGAGACCACCCTGGCCAACATGATAAAACTCCATCTCTGCTAAAAATACAAAAATTAGCCAGGTGTGGGGGGCAGATGCCTGTAATCCCAGATACTTGGGAGGCTGAGGCAGGAGGATCTTTTGAACCTGGGAAGTGGAGGTTGCAGTGAGCCAAGATTATACCACTACACTCCAGCCTGGGTGGCAGAGTGAGACCCTGTCTCAAAAACAAACAAACAAAAAAATAAACAAAGTAAGAGAGAAGAACTTCTAGAGCAATGTCCTTGGGATCCAGTGCTCAAAGATAGGGGCTAGACTTAAGTAGGGTCAAGAGGAGTCATTTACAGTAAGGATGGGGGGAGGCAGAATTTACAGGTACAAATGGCTGGCAGGTGGGTTGATACTTGGTGGGAGCTTGTGGAAAGGAGTTCTTTTGAGTTGGATAAATAGGCCTGAAGTTCAGAACGGAAGTTTGAGCTAAAGATAGAGACACAGTCATTATCCTTTTGTAGAAGATAGTTGAAGGTATGAAGTAGAAAAAAACCTGGGGCCAGGGGAGAGGGTAGAGTAAGGGACTGAAAGACAGTGAACAACAATGTGGCTACTGGCCATAAGTGCATTAAGAGTTTAGAGAAGGGAATAGCAACAAGACTGGAGAGGCAATGGATTTGAGCTCGAAAGGCAGGATTTGGTCAGAATCATTCCAGGATCAGAGCAACAGTGATCATGTTACAATAAGAAGAGTACTTTTAGCTAAGAACACAAAATATAAAATGGAACCAAGAGAAAGAAGGCTCTTACTGTCTGCTTTGATTCAATATATGCATGGGAAGTATCTTAATTAATGACAGCAATGGTCAAGGGAACTCTAATGGATTACAGTATTGAGGGTTAGGGTGGGAGGAGTGGGATCAGAGAGGCTGATGGAGAGCCTGAAAGAATTCTTATTTATGGGGTCAGGAACTTGATAAGGAGAATGGAGAGGAGGTTTTACAATGAGTTTAGAAATAAAGATTTGGGGAAAGCCAGTAAACTCTTAGATATTTTATTACAGCACCTCTCCTTTAAGATGTGTCCCTTACATATTTAAAAGAAGAATTATATTTATTGTAATACAAAACTTCTGACTCTAAACTTCTTAATCCTACAATAATGCCAGACTGTCATAAGGATTATGTACCAATACAGTGTTTCAAATAACTCATAGCTGCACGCCTTATACACCTAGGAAGCAAAGACATTACTAACAACATTGGGTAATCAAATATTTAACTCAAGTTTCTATTGATTTCAACACACAAAAAAAGCTGGTACATTTCCTGGAACTAGGGGCTGGGAGAATGAAGGGGAATTCCCATATGTTTCCTTTTGATTCTATTCAGAAAGTCAGGTGAACCAAGAAAAGAGTTAGAATTTCAACTTGAAATATGAAAATTATTTTCTTCTCATCCCAGATCAATCCATCTGTTTTACATAGTTTCCCTCTTCTCCTCAGAAATTTTTTTGGAAAAGAACTTATGTCTGATGTCTGATGAAAACAATTTATGTCAGACATAAACTCAGAATTTAGGGCTGAATTTATGTTCATATGTCCTTATTTCCTGAAATGGTATCAGGGCATAAGGACATATGGAAACACTGTGGGGTATCTGGGAGCAGAAATATTTGGATAATGGAAAAGTTTATTGAAACCAAGGGACTTTGAATTATAGAAACAAACCAAACCCAAAATAGACACAAATCTCCATAACTTACAATTTTCCTTAGATCTTAGAAAGAATCTCAAGAGGGAGAAGCAGTGTTAATTGTTCTAGAATCAGAGATTTAAACCTTAAAAAAAATTCTACATTTTAAATTAACTGATATTCAAACAAGGAGATTCAATCCAAAATTGGGCGAGGGAAGTGAATTTAACTAATCAAAAAACATTTACAGAGCTTAGCACAGTATAAAATTCTATAGAAGCAGCAGAGAATTATAATGTGACCCTGCCCTTAAGGGACTTATAAGGATGATATGTTTAAAAAATAAAAGAATTAAAGGAGAACTTAACACTTTTTGAATTATTGATTAGTCTTCATATGGAAGCGGGTTTAAACTGTAGAAGACAGGTAAAGTAAATTGCATCTCAATAACAAGAATGTTCTTAAAATTGGCAATGTTCAAAGGTGGAATAGACTGGCCCATCAGGTAGTAGATTCCGTCATTCAACATTCATTCATATATTGAGCTTTCACCATCTGTCACACATGTGCTGGGGTGATGAGGTTCAACAGTGAGCAGGACACTTCCCTTACCCTCCAGGGGCCACATCCCAGGATACATCATCTCTGTCTAGATGTTTATTGGACATGGATGTTCTGAAAGAAAACAGCAAGTTTCTTTTTAATCTCTTTAAGAAGACAAAACATACATATATAATATTAAGTATTGGTATAATATTTAAATTAAAGGTCAAGACAACAGCAAGGAGTGAGAGACATTCAGCAGCACAGAAAAAAATGCTATAGGAGTTCAGAAATATCACTTAGGACTGGAGTGGATTTGGGAGGACTCTAGGGGGAGCTGGAACTTAGACGGATGGAGAACAAGGGCTTTTCAAATAGAAATGGCCATACAAATATGTAAGTAGAGTGCTCAACAAATTGTTGCTATGATGACTACCTTCCAATATTGGCCCTATTAATAGAAATGTTGGCTTACCAGGAAAATTTTTTTTTATTAGAAAAGACTTCAACTGCCAGTGTGTTTTGGACTGGGGTGAATTCATCTGGTTGGCTCAATCTTTTAGTGTTGACTTGACTCTGAACAATGTCAACAACTGCACTGTACACTTGAATCAATCCAATTACGTCCTGGCTGTCAGTTTTCTTGCACAACATCCTTTCTCAATGCTGTGTTGTGTAATATATGTGCAAGAAAATATAAACAGCTGATTGCCAGGAGGGATTTAATGTAAAGTTTTTCCAGTGAAACAAAACGTAAGAATCTGAGTTTGTTTTTCAAAGATCACTAAATTTTAGTTATGATTATATCACATTTTCCAAAATGTGTGGCAGTTTTTGCCCTCCTTGCTCTGAGTGTTGGTGCACTGGACACTTTTATTGCTGCAGTATATGAGCATGCGGTGATATTACCAAACAGAACAGAAACACCTGTTTCAAAAGAAGAAGCTTTGCTCCTGATGAACAAGAACATAGATGTTTTGGAGAAAGCAGTTAAGCTGGCAGCGAAGCAGGTATTACCCTTTTATACTTGTAAAGGAGACTTGCAGTTTGGTCAAAGAGTATTTGGAATTCATGACAAACTTTTTTGCCCCACTTGTTTCGAGCAGGGTGCACATATCATTGTGACCCCAGAAGATGGAATCTATGGTTGGATCTTCACCAGGGAGAGCATTTACCCCTATCTAGAGGATATACCAGACCCTGGAGTGAACTGGATTCCATGTAGAGACCCCTGGAGGTAATATCATATCATTAATTTCTAAACAAAAAGTTGTGATTTGGTAAAACACCAACAGTAAACTCACTGAATTTGACTGGTAATTGTGTTGATAAATAGTCAATCTGTGGCATAGGATGTAGATGCTTTTTTTTCCCTGTAATTTCAACTTTTAGCTTAGATTGAGGGAGTACATGTGCAGGTTTGTTACATGGGCAAATTGCATGACGCTGAGGATTGGGGTACAATGATTGCACCACCCAGCATAGTATACAACAGGAAGGTTTTCAGCCCTTGCCTTCCTCTCTCTCTCTCCCCTCTATTAGTTCCCAGTGTCTATTGCTGTCATCTTTATGGCCATGAGTTCCCAATGCTTAGCTCCCACTTATAAGTGAGAACATGCAGTATTTGGTTTTCTGTTCCTGTGTTAACTTGCTGAGGATAATGTCCTTTGGTGCTGCAAAAGACATGATTTTGTTCCTTCTTGTGGGCACCTAGGTTAATTCCATATCTTTGCTGTTGTGAAAAGTGCTGCGATGAACATACAAGTGCACGAGTCTTTTTGGTAGAATGATTTCCTTTCCTTTGGGTATATACCTAGTAATGGGATTGTGAGTCGAATGGTTGCTGTGTTTTAAGTTCTCTGAGAAATCTCCAAACTGCTTTCCACAATGGCTGAACTAATTTACATTTCCACCAATAGTGTGTAAGTGTTCCCCTTTCTCCATAGCATCTTTTATTATTTGACTTTTTGTTAACAGTCATTCTGACTGGTGTGAGATGATATCTCATTGTGGTTTTGCTTGGCATTTCTCTGATGATAAGTGATGTTGAGTGTTTGTTCACGTGTTTTTTGGCCACTTGTATGTCCTCTTTTGAGAAGTGTCTGTTCATGTCTTTTGCCCACTTTTCAATGGGGTTATTTGTTTTGTTTTTGCTTATTGATTTAAGTTCCTTATGGATTCTGGATAGTAGACCTTTGTTAGATGCCTAGTTTGCAAATATTTTCTCCCATTCTGTAGGTTGTCTATTTACTCTGTTGATAGTTGCTTTTGCTGTACAGAGCTCTTTAGTTAAATTAGGTCCTACATGTCAAGTTTTGTTTTTGTTGCAATTGCTTTTGAGGACTTAGTCATAAATTATTTTCCAAGGTTCATGTCCAGAATGGTGTTTCTTAGATTTTCTTCTAGGATTCTTATAGTTTGAGGTCATACATTTAAATCTTTAATACATCTTGAGTTAATTTTTGTACATGGTGAAAGATAGGGGTCCAGTTTCAATCTTCTGCATATGGCTAGCCAGATATTCCAGCACCTTTTGTTGAATAAGGAGTCCTTTCCCCATACTTATTTTTGTGAACTTTGTTTGAGCTACAGATGGCTGTAGGTGTGCGGCTTTGTTTCTAGGCTCTCTATTCTGTTCTATTGGTCTATGTGTCTGTTTTTCTAACAGTACCATGTTGTTTTGATTACTGTAGCCTTGGGTAATGTGATGCCTCAGGCTTTGTTCTTTTTGTTTAGGATTGGTTTGGCGATTCAGGCTCTTTTTTGGTTCCATATGAATTTTAGAAATTTTGTTTATAAATCTGTGAAAAAATGACATTGGTAGTATGTTAGAAATAGTGTTGAGGCTGGGTGCTGTGGGTCATGCCTATAATCCCAGCACTTTGGGAGGCCAAGGCAGGTGGATTACTTGAGATTAGGAGTTTGAGACCAGCCTGGCCAACGTGGTAAAACCCCATCTCTACTAAAATACAAAAATTAGCTGGGTGTGGTGGTGTGTGCCTGTAATCCCAGCTACTCGGGAGGCTAAGGCATGAGAATTGCTTGAACGATAGAGTGAGACTCTGTCTCAAAAAAAAAAAAAAAAAAAAAAGAAGAAAAGAAATAGTGTTGAATCTGCAGATACTGCTTATGTTTCATAGTGTATATCATCTGGCATATCTCCTGTTTGGTAAATGACTTGAGATACTGATGACTAGTTGGTTATTTGTTGCAATTGTCTTTCAACAATAGTAGGTGTGACCAGGCGTGGTGGCTCACACTTGTAATCCCATCACTGTGGGAAGCCAAAGCAGGAGGACTGCTTGAAGCCAGAAGTTTGAGACCAGCCTGCGCAGCAAAGCCAGACCCTATTTCGGCAAATAAAAAATTTAGCCAGGTGTGGTGGCTCACACCTATAATCCCAGCTACTCGAGAGGCTGAAGCAGGAGGATCACTGGGGCCCAGGAGTTTGAGGCTGCAGTGAGCTATGATTGCACCACTGCACTCCAGCCTGGGTGACAGTAAGACCTTGTCTTAAAAAAATAGTAGGTATAGGCCGGGTGTGGTGGCTCACGCCTGTAATCCCAGAACTTTAGGAGGTGGAGGTGGGCAAATCACCTGAGGTCAGGAGTTCGAGACCAGCCTGGCCAACATGGTGAAACCCCATCTCTACTAAAAAATACAAACATTAGCTGGGTGTGGTTGTGCATGCCTATAATCCCAGCTACTCGGGAGACTGAGGCAGGAGAACTACTTGAACCCAGGAGGCAGAGGTTGCAGTGAGCCGAGATCACGCCACTGCACTCCAGACTGGGCAACAGAGTGAGACTCCATCTCGAAAAAAAAATAGTAGGTATATACACAATTTTTATAGTAAATGTGTTTAATTGGGTTTGAACAAAGTGAAAAAGTTGGAATATCTAGAACCTGTGTCCCAAATACAAGTAAGTTGGTTCATCCATGGACACCTGCCTCCTTCACAGGAAGAGTAAAAAGATGAATGAGCCTGTTTCCAAAGAGCTTTGCTATCACTGTCATTCAGAATGCAATCAATATGGCCAATGGAAATTGTATAGGACTTGAAAAAGGAAGCCCTACTTCTGGGACCACATTTTACGACCACCTAGCTGAGTGATGTAAGCGTATAACCTAAATGCTTAACATTTCTGTTTCATTATCTGTAAAACAGGGATAATAGAGTCCCTTAATTCTCTTACAGATCAGACAAGAGTAATGAAGTAATACACATGGAATTTGTACATTGTGATGCACTCTCCAATGCTAGCTGTCACTATTCCTTTTTTTTTTTTGTTAACAGAAGGGACTGAGTCTGAACTTCTTTGTGTTCTTGTCCTTTGAGAGACTTTAGTAATTATTAGTAGATGTAATTTAGGCATAACTTTCTTAAAGAAAATATGCATAATAAATATGATATCTGTGAAATAGATTATTTTAGTTGTATTAACTTTTAAAAATAGTTTAAGATTATTTCTTTAAATGGCAAAATTGATGGGTTAAGAAGTCATTTAACTTGCTAATTTTAAATTTACATGCACCTGTTTAGAACTACACCTATTGTGCAAAAAGAGAAACTTCTTTGATAATTTTACCTATGTGAAATTAAGTGGAAAGTCATGCTTAATGGTACAACATTCAGGCTCAGCTATGTGAGTCAAACCTCACTCTGGGATTTTGCCCTTTGGAAAAATATTCTCTAAACATTGCATGGTCTGTGTTTACAGAAACCATGTCACTATGATTCAACATCTACTTGCTTATGAGGCGTTTCCCAGAACAGGAAGGAATCATTATTTGCTGCAGTTGATGAGGCTTACACGAAAATGTACTGTATTTGACTGGGCTAATGAAACTGACTTTTCCAGGGAAAATATATCCATAAATTTGATAATTAGCTATCGATAAATTATTTTAAGTTGGGAAAGTAGGTGACTGATGAAATGTCAACATTATGAACTCTTACACCTACTTATTCAAATGACAACGTTTCAGTTTTGTGTTACAGAAAGGAGAAATCCAGTATTTAATATAATGATAATATTGGAAAAGAAAGTCAGTTTTCTCCCTGGTGATATTTATCCCTGAAGAGAATAGTAGAGAGGCATGCGGTCATCCTTGTGCATTTAAATATTTAGAATGCTGACATGTCAAACAGTTCCATGGGCTTTTTTCACGAGTAACTAGTAGGAAATATTAAATAACTCAAATTATTTAGTCAAGAAAAGAAAAATTAAACAAAGTACATGATAAAGTTATTAAAGGTCTTAATGAATATGAATATTAATAGTACTTCTCTGTTTTTTTTAGAAGAAAATAAAAAGAAAAGGTCTAAACCAGTAGGCCATTAATCTGTCCTTTTTATTCAAAGGTTAGTTTAACCTCAATTGCAGAGGGGCTGTGAGTTCATAGAGAGACATGGAATGGCCTCTAATCACACAATCCATAATAGCAATTTTCATTTACTGAGCACTTACTTGGTCCCAAGAACTGTACCTGGTATACTATACCCATTATTACATTCAATTTATGTAGTTGGCATTACTATTTGCATTACAAATATGTGAAAAAAGGAAGGCTTATGATCTCATGATTGATCATTAGATTGGCTGGAATTAAAACAGCTATGTCATTTAACTGTGCTAACGGAATGGACTCTAAGGGCCTAGATGAACCATATTATAATAAAATTTTTAGTGACTAGCAAATCCACTTATTTAACAGAGTGAGCTGGTTGCTAAACATTTTTTGTCTTATTTTCTGCTGAAATCTGCCTCACTTTAACTTCCTTTCGTCTTTTTCCTGCATTCTATGCTATGTTCACACATATGACCCATCTCCTATAAATTAAGCCTTTCAAATATTTGAAGCCAGCTATCACCATGCTACATTCTCTTCTTATACCAAGGATAAATATCTTTAATATGGATGGACTTGGTAAAACAATTTCATGTCTGTACTTATCTCAGGATTTCTCATGTGGATCCACTAAGGCAGAAAGGAAGCTATTGTTTTACATTTGACAGATGAAGAAACTGAGTCAGTACAGTGAAGTGCTTTTTATTTTTTATTTTAATTTTTAACATTTCCACTACTTACAGCTATATTTGTTTTTTTATAGAGACAATCTGGAGGGTACAAACTATTTACTGTCACCTGGCATTTCTGTTTCCAACCACATCTCGTATCAGCAACCTTGTACAAATTATGGCTTGGATTATAGAAAAGGTCCTCTCCATTAGCAGAATCTGCTAAATTTCAAGTGCTTCATATATCTTCCTGGGAGCACTTCATAAGAGAATGTGCTGCTTCTTTTCATCCTCCTCTTCCTCTTCCATCTTTTCTTTCCTTCAGTCTTGTACTGTAATCTGGAGTTTGGCATAGTAAATTAGGTTAGCTTTCAGGAAGATAAACACTGTATCACATGAGAGTTTTAAAATATTTTCTGTTGATTCTTGACCTAGAGCTGTTGTGTTATGGGCAATGGGCAAATAAAGTATCACTTTGGTATTTCAGAAATCACTAAAATATAGTAAGTTTGAGGAAATGTCTATTGAATTAGATTCGGCAACACACCAGTGCAACAAAGACTCAGCTGCCTGGCCAAGGACAACTCTATCTATGTCGTGGCTAATATTGGGGACAAGAAGCCATGCAATGCCAGTGACTCTCAGTGTCCCCCTGATGGCCGTTACCAATACAACACTGATGTGGTGTTTGATTCTCAGGGAAAACTGTTGGCACGCTACCATAAGGTGAGCATCACTTGTGCCTTAGCTCAACTTGTTACTTCTTCTGTGTGCTTGTGGTATGTATGTGTGTTTGTTTGTTGAATGTTGGGGAGAGAACTGTTATAGATGCATCTTATAATTATTACATCATAGTTGAAAAGGAGATTTAATTCAGTTCCATATAACCGTTCTGGGTTTGCATTTATCATAAAACAGAATATGGTAGAGTATTTAAATGGATGTGACAATAGCCACACAAAGCTTTTAATGTTCTCTGAAAAAGAAGTAAACATTCTGTTTCATTCATGATTTAATATCAGGTTCATTTTTTAGCCCAATTTGTTAGCATTTCATACTAAGCTACCATGTATTCCATTAGGACTTTTTTGATTGCAATGAAAACAAAACCTCAAATGAAAATGGCTTTAAAAAGATGGAAATTTCCTTGCTTATGCACATGTAAAAATGTGTATCATAGAAAGGACAGGTCTCATTTCAGTGCAGTCTGACACTCAGAGGCTCCAAAGTTATCATCCACCCCTCTAGCTCTCCTAGCCCTTTGTTACAGCTTCTTTCTCAGGGGAACTCTCCTTTTAGAAGCCACATTGCTGGAGCAACACGAAATTCACATCTTTATCAACAAAATCTACAGGAAGGGTGTATTTCTCCCTCCTAGAACCTTGCAAAGGCCTTATCGCTCCTTGATTCAATTAGGTGACGTGCCTTTCCTGAGCTAATCACCAAAGGATGAGGGATAGGCTGCCACATGGGAGGAGAAAGGAGGAGCAAGAGGCCTCCATGGACCACAGAGGTGGGAAGTAGCTCTCCCCAGAGCACACACATGCACACAACAGGCCAAACAAAAACCTGAGCAAAACATATGCTGTACTCCTGAGCCCAGGTTAAGTGGAGTTTTGGAAAAAGAATCAGGCTGAAAAATAAAATAAAATTATGAATGGCTTACTAATTAATAATATGTAGCAACTGCATTGTCTAAATTAATTTTCAATGGACTTCACTTCTATAAACCTGGCAGTATCATTGGGACACATGACAAAGTTTATTTTATTAACATAGTAGTGCTGTTGAAATTTAAAGAATATAGTGGAAAACAATCTGAGAAGTGTAGGATTCAAGATTTCAACCTGTGATTTTAAGATACACATTTTCACATTTTAAATATCATTTGTACATGTGGTTTCATTCATTGGTTGTAAAAAAAATAAAGTTTTTTTATTAATGTCACAGTAAGAAAATGTATAGATGGTGGTATAGTGGGGATGATTTTTACAAATGTATATGTAACAGTTTTATTTTGTTGTTGTTGTTGATTTTGGAAATGGAATCTTGCTCTGTTGCCCAGGCTGGAGTGCAGTGGCGCGATCTCGGCTCACTGCAACCTCGGCCTCCTGGGTTCAGGGGCTCCCCCTGCCTCAGCCTATGAGTAGCTGGGATTACAGGCATATGCCATCATGCCTGGCTAATTTTTTTTGATATTTGTAGTAGAGACAGGGTTTTACCACATTGGCCAGGCTGGTCTCGAACTCCTGACCTCAAGTGATCCACCCGCCTCAGCCTCCTAACATGCTGGGATTACAGGCGTAAGCCACCACACCTGGCCTATGTGTAACACTTTTAAACCTGCATGTCAACATACATGAGAGGAAAGATTTAACGGGGAAAGACTTAACTGATCACATCTATTTGGCAGTTTTCTTATTAATTTTCTTCTTCTTTGCTTTTTATTAACAGTACAATCTTTTTGCACCTGAAATTCAGTTTGATTTCCCCAAGGATTCAGAACTTGTGACTTTTGACACTCCCTTTGGGAAGTTTGGCATTTTTACTTGCTTTGACATTTTTTCTCATGACCCAGCTGTGGTGGTGGTGGATGAGTTTCAATTGACAGCATTCTCTACCCCACAGCATGGTACAACACGCTGCCCCTCCTCTCGGCTGTTCCCTTCCATTCAGCATGGGCCAAGGCCATGGGAGTCAATCTACTTGCTGCAAATACCCACAACACCAGCATGCACATGACAGGTAACTCACGCGGGCCTGCACCAAGTGGGAGTGACAGTCTTAGGAAGGCTTCATTGATTTTCAAGCCACAAACTTTTGTTTAATAACTTTATTACCAATTTTAACATCACAAAATTAATAATAGCATTTGTTCCTACTTAAGGAACGTTCATTGTCCTTGTGAATAAAAGAGGCAAACATTATTATCTCAATTTTACTTGAAAGGAAATTGGAGCTGGAGGAAGTCATGTAAAAAAATCAAAGAGAGTTCTAAGAAACTTCCTAGCCAATGTGCATTAGTAATATCGAAATAAGTCTGGTTGTTTAAAGAGATAACCTACAGAGCAGAAGAAAATATTTGCAAACTATGCATTTCATAAAAATCTAATATCTAGAATCCATAAGGAACTTAAACAAATCAACAAACAAAAAACAAACTATCCCATTAAAAAATGGACAAAGGACATGAACAGACACTTCTCAAAAGAAGACATACATGTGGCCAACAAGCATGTAAAAATGCTTAACATCACTAATCATTACAGAAATGCAAATCAAAACCACAATGAGATACCACCTCGCTCCAGTCAGAATGGCTATGATTAAAAAATAAAAAACAAACAGATGCTGGCGAGGTTGTGAAGAAAAAGGAAACACTTATACACTGCTGGTGAAAATGTAAATTAGTTCAGCCACAGTGGAAAGCAGTTTGGCGATTTCTCAGAGAACTTAAAACAGAACTGCCATTCGACTCAGCAATCCCATTAATAGGTATATACCAGAAGGAATATAAATCATTCTACCATAAAGACACATGCACTTGTATGTTAATTGCAGCAGTTTTAGCAATAGCAATAACGTGGAATCAACCCAGGTGCTCATCAACGGTGAAGTGGATAAAGAAAATGTGATACATATACACCATAGAATACTACATAGCCATAACAAAGAATGAAATAATGTCCTTTGCAACAAGATGGATGCAACTGGAGGTCATTATCCTCAGCGAATGAACACAGGAACAGAAAATCAAATACCTCGTGTTCTCACGAGTTGAAGTTAAACATTGAGTACACATGAACACAAAGAGGGGAACAATAGACACCAGGGTTTACTTGAGGGGGGATGGTGGGAGGAGGGTGAGGATTGAAAAACTACCTATTGGATACTGTGCTCACTACCTGGGTGACAAAATCGTTTGCACACCAAACCCCAGCAACATGCAATTTACCCATGTAACAAACCTTCACACGTTCCCCTTCTATACCTAAAATAACAGTTGGAAGAAAAAAATACAAACAAATAAAAATATTTCAAGCATTAAAAAAAACTTGTTGAAGTGATAAAAATCTCTTTTGACTTAATCAGGTTTTTAGAGTTTCTCCTTTATCATATCCATGTTCAAAGTAATGCAGGCTTCCTTTTTAACTGTTCTGTTATTTGTTGAATAACAAATCCCAAACACAAATAAACTAAATCGTCAGTGGAGAGCTAAAATTATTCTTCACGTTGGGGGATTTTCTAGTTTGTTGCTAAGTTAGCTTAAAACTATGCCCCCCAAGTCAAATGATAATTTCAGTGCAAGTAGTACCTTATGGAGGACACAGAGTCAAATTGGAACTTAGGCCAATGTAACAGCTATCTCCTTAACTATCTTGAAAATATGCTTTAATAACTTTGTATTTAACTTCACATGGGAATATTCTATTAGTTGGTCACCATAACAAATCTGAAACCAATGTTTGTATTTATGTTGCTTGTAGGGAGTGGAATCTACGCCCCAGAAGCAGTCAAGGTGTACCACTATGACATGGAAACAGAGAGTGGTCAGCTGTTGCTATCAGAACTGAAGTCTCGGCCCCGCCGTGAGCCCACCTACCCTGCAGCTGTTGACTGGCATGCGTATGCCAGCAGTGTCAAGCCATTTTCCTCTGAACAGTCAGATTTTCTGGGGATGATTTATTTTGATGAGTTTACCTTCACCAAGCTTAAGAGAAATACAGGAAATTACACAGCTTGCCAGAAAGATCTGTGTTGTCACTTAACTTACAAGATGTCTGAGAAGCGAACAGACGAGATCTATGCCCTAGGTGCTTTTGATGGACTGCACACAGTAGAAGGCCAATATTACTTACAGGTAGAAATGCTTTAATATGTTAAAGTGGCCTTATTATCAGTTTTTCTTCTAGGTCATCATTGCCTTTCTTTGAAAATTGGGCTGGATTTAGCTAATTTTATAATTAGTAATGTTATATTTATCTCTGAATTTTGTCCCCAGAACACATTATTTGTTCAGTCTTAGCAAGAACAGAATTAGTTCTTTTAGTTGAAAGGCAAAAACATAAAGCAAATTGATTAGTTCTCAGCAGGCCAGGTTCAGGTTTCAAAAGCTGCAATTTCTGTGTATTCTCTTTTCCCGTCAGGTTACTTTAGAGCAGTGTTTTTCAAATTGTCTTCAACTAAATCCAGAGAAAGAAGGATATTTTACCTCATAACCCAGTGTAGCCAAGTGGATGTGTGACTGAATAAAAAAAAAGATATTTAATTGAAATAGTTTATGAAATAATTTAAAATAGAATTAGAAATAGCTATTATTATGTGCAATGCACTCTGATTTTTAAAATCCTAGTCTATTCTATTTGACTTCAGTATAAAAAGTGTTAATCCTGACCCACTATATTGACTTTAGGATTCATTAATAAGTTGTTACCTGCAGTTTGAAAAATACTTCTTATGAGGCAATTTAAATATGCATTTATAGTTTGAAATTGCATTATTTAGCTGAGAAAATATTTGCAAGTTTTCTGACTCCTTCTCTTTTCTTTTCTTCCATAGATATGTGCATTACTGAAGTGTCAAACCACTGACCTGGAAACGTGTGGAGAACCTGTGGGGTCAGCTTTTACCAAGTTTGAAGACTTCTCCCTCAGTGGCACATTTGGAACGCGTTATGTTTTCCCACAGATCATTCTAAGTGGGAGTCAGCTTGCCCCTGAAAGACATTATGAGGTAGGAGGTGTGCAGGATGATAAATTCCTTTGAGCAGAGTAGATGGGTAGAGCAGCATAATGAAAATCTTTGAAATAATGAGAGTATAGCAATATCGTGGTTCACATTCTACAAGAAACACCTTAAATATGTGGAAACTATGATATGGAATATAAATTGTGGTTTTAGATTGCCATTAGGCTGTGATGGAGAATTTGGGGTTCATTTTTTTAACATAAATGTGATGTTGATATTCAAGGCAACAGGAAATTCACAGAGAAGCTAAAATAAAAATGTTGACTGCTGATAATGGCAATAATGTTGTCATTTGCATGGTGTAGAAGGTGCAAATTAAATACATTAAATAATGCATCTACAACTTATTTTCTGGGTATACTATTTTGAGAAGTTGTTATAATTATAGTAATAACTAATATTTTGTATAGTGTTTCATGAGTTTGAAGAACATATTTTTATACATATTATTTGACCACCTGTGCAACAAATTTGTTGGCTGCACTTTCGCACAAAGTCCCTCTACTTTCAGACTTGAAACATGAACCTGGGTCTTCCAACACCAAATCCTGTGTGATTTTTACCATTCTACACTGCTTTAGGAGGGAGTGATCTTGCCTGAGAAGGGCTCTAGGTTGTAACCTAAACTCTGCACTGAAGTTAACCCTTTGCTTTCTTTGACCAGATTTCAAGAGATGGACGCTTGAGGAGCCGAAGTGGAGCCCCTTTGCCTGTCTTAGTTATGGCCCTGTATGGAAGAGTGTTTGAGAAGGACCCTCCACGCTTAGGGCAGGGATCTGGGAAATTCCAGTGATCTCCTTTAGCAGAGCCCTTTTAGGATTAGCCTGGCTAAGAAAGGAAGAAAAAAAAGAGATCCGTTAGTGTCTGTTTAGAAAAGATGTTATAAACTTACAGAAACAAATATAATAAACTGAAGCAGATTTGAAAAGCAACAAGTGTGTGTGCAAATTTCACATTTTACATGTTTGGTATAGCACAGGTTCATTTATGGGAGCCGCATTCATCCTCCATGTATGTGAGTTTAAGTATATGTAAGTATGTATATGTATAGTGGAGCGTATATTTAAATAGGAGGAGGTCCTAGAAAAATCCTTTTGCAGTAACTGCACTAATGTATGCAAGTGTTGTTTCCATCATATGATGGTTAATTTTATGTGTTGATTTGACTGGGTCATGAGATGCCCAGATAGCTGGTTAACCATTGTTTCTGGGTGTGTCTGTGAGGGTGTTTCAAGGAAGAGAACAGCATTTGAATTGGTGGACTGAGTAAAGCAGACGGTCCTCCCCAGTGTGGATGGTCATCGTCCAGTCCCTTGAGGGCCTGCAGAGAAAAACAAGAAGGAGGAGGTTTGAATTCATTTTCTGCCAGACTACTTGAGCTGGATAGAGATCTTCTCCTGCCTTCATGTGCTCCTGGTTCTCAGGCCTTCAGGCCTGGACTGGAATTGACACCATCAACTCTTCAGCTCTCAGGCCTTCGAATGACACCCCTGGCTTTCCTGCATCTCCAGCTTGCAAATGGCAGACCAGACTGTGGGATTTCTCAGCCTTCATAACTGTCTGAGCCAATACCTTATCATAAATCTCTTTCTCTCTCTCTCTCCTGTTGGTTCTCTTTCTCTGGAGAACCCTGACTAATGCACTTCATTTGTAAATACATAGGATGAACTTTGAATATGCAGAGGGTATTTGATTCCAGCCAATTAAGATACAGGAAATTAAAGAATAAGGACATCTTTTAAAGTAACTATGAACAACTTTTTAGCTAGTATTGTCCCTTTAGTCATGACTAATTTGACTCCTAAGTTCTATTTATATGGAAATTGGATACTTGAAATGGATTTTTTTTTTTTTAATTTTTTTGAGACCGAGTCTCACTCTGTCCCCCAGGCTGGAGTGCATGCAGTGGCACAACCTCGGCTCACTGCAGCCTCCGCCTCCCTGTGTAGGGAAAAGAAAGAGAGATCAGACTGTTACTGTGTCTGTGTAGAAAAGGAAGACATAAGAAACTCCATTTTGAACTGTATCCTGAACAATTGTTTTGCCTTGAGATGCTGTTAATCTGTAACTTTAGCCCCAACCTTGTTCTCACAGAAACATGTGTTGTATGGAATCAAGGTTTAAAGGATCTAGGGCTATCCGGGGTGTGCCTTGTTAACAATATGTTTACAGGCAGTACGCTAGGTAAAAGTCACCGCCATTCTCCATTCTCGATTAACCAGGGGCACAATGCACTGCGAAAAGCTGCAGGGACCTCTGCCCAGGAAAGCCGGGTATTGTCCAAGGTTTCTCCCCACTGAGAGAGCTTGAGATATGGCCTCTTGGGATGGGAAAGACCTGACCGTCCCCCAGCCCGACACCCGTGAAGGGTCTGTGCTGAGGAAGATTAGTAAAAGAGGAAGACCTCTTGCAGTTGAGATAAGAGGAAGGCCTCTGTCTCCTGCATGCCCCTGGGAATGGAATGTCTCGGTATAAAACCCGATTGTACATTTGTTCTATTCTGAGATAGGAGAAAACCGCCCTGTGGCTGGAGGCGAGACATGTTGGCAACAATGCTGCTCTGTTACTCTTTATTACACTCTGGCCTACATGCACATCCAGGCATAGTACCTTCCCTTGAACTTATTTGTGACACGGATTCCTTTGCTCACATGTTTTCTTGCTGACCTTCTCCCCACTATCACCCTGTTCTCCTGCCGCATTCCCCTTGCTGAGATAATGAAAATAGTAATCAATAAATACTGAGGGAACTCAGAGACCGGTACCCATGCGGGTCCTCTGTATGCTGAGCGCCGGTCCCCTGGGCCCACTATTCTTTCTCTATACTTTGTCTCTGTGTCTTATTTCTTTTCTCAGTCTCTTATCCCATCTGACGAGAAATACCCATAGGCATGGAGGGGCTGGTCCCCTTCATCCCTGGTTCAAGTGATTCTCCTGCCTCATCCTCCCAAGTAGCTGGGACTTCAGGCACACGCCACCACATCTGGCTAATTTTTTATATTTTTGGTAGAGATGGGGTTTCATCATGTTGGCCAGGCCAGGCTGGTCTTGAACTCCTGACCTCAAGTGATTTGCTATCCTTGGCCTCCCAAAGTGCTGAGATTACAGGTGTGAGCCACAGGGCCAGCCAAAACAGAAATTTTTTGAAAAATAAATTAGGTCAGCTGGGTGCGGTGGCTCACACCTGTAATTCCAGCACTTTGGGAAGCTGAGGTGGACAGATCACCTGAGGTCAGGAGTTTGAGACCAGCCTGGCCAACACTGTGAAACCCCATCTCTACTAAAAATACAAAAATTAGTTGGGGGTGGTGGTGCGTGCCTGTAATCCCAGCTACTCGGGAGGCTGAGACAGGAGAATCACTTGAATCCAGGAGGCGGAGGTTGCAGTGAGCTGAGACCGCATCATTGCACTCCAGCCTGGGGCAAGAAAAGCAAAACTCCGTCTCAAAAAATAAATAAATAAATAAATAAATAAATAAATAAATAAAATAAATTATGTCGTTCAGATCACATCTCATTTCCTTCTGAAATTATTCTGTTCTGAAATCTACCCAATCTTGGTTGAGCCCTTCTCAGTGGTCAGGGGTTTATTGCAGGCTGTGCCAGGCTGGGAGCTTCCTAGACAGGACCACCATGTCACCTTTTCCCCAGATACCTCTGGCCCACTGTCTTGGCTCTCTTAGTCATTTTTCTGGTTGGTCACTGATTAACTCTGGAAAGAGATATGCTGAAGAGCAGCTGGGTTCTCTGGGTTATGTAGGAGACACCTCTTTGTCCACAGAATGTTTGACAAACGCATTTCTGAACTTTTCCTAGGTGTTTATTTCCACCTGCTATAATTCAGTCCAGTACCAGTAAGTCAGAGATATTCTGGGTGGCAGAAAATGCACTCGGTTTCCCCCTCCCATTTTTCCTGGATTCTCTCTTCAGGGACTATCACTCTCGGATCTTAGGTTTGTGCCCCCGATTCCTCTGTGTGCAGTAGGTGGGCATCTTCCCTCTTTATCGCCTTACATTTGTTCCTTCTAGAATTCTTTCTTCTCTTTCCTAAGCCAGTTGTCTGTAGGCTGCATTATGTACTCTGGTTGCCCCAGCTTCCTTGGCACCTCTCACCTCATGGCATTTTTATGTAAGCTGACTCCTGCCCCCCTCTTTATTAAAAGGAACTTTAAAATCAAATCTCGGGGCAGGCTACCATAACTCACACCTGTAATCTCAGCACTTTGGAAGGACAAAGCAGGCAGATGGCTTGAGCCAAGGAGTTTGAGACCAGCCTGGACAATATGGCAAAACCCTGTCTCTACAAACAATAACAACAACAGCAAATTAGCCGAGTATGCTAGTGTGATCCCAGCTACTGGAGAGGCTGGGGTGGGAGGATCACTTGAGCTCAGGAGTTGGAGGATTACTTGAGCCCAGGAGATAGAGGCTGCAGTGAGCCAAGATTGTACCACTGCCCTCCAGCCTGGGCAATAGAGTGAGACCTTGTCTAAAAAAAAAAAAGTCAAATCTCATGGTCAGTTCTCAGCTCTTACTAAGCCTGTACTTCTTGGAGTAATTTTACCCCCCACACTTTAATGCCTTTCGCTTTTTATTTTCGTTGACCTTTTTGTCTCTTCTCCCTCCTCCAACCACATTTATTTTGTTTGTCATTGATATAAATGATGCACTCTGCTAGACTCAGCTCTCACAGCTGTATCTTCCTTATCTAAAATCTTTCTATGGATAGTGAAGCCACTCTTATGGCTTTAATTAATATTTCTGATACAGCAGAGTATAACTCACTGGTAAACAAAAAAATTTTTTCTTTCATGAGAGCAAGTTCAAGCCACATCATCATGTTTACAGGCTACATTAACAATGCAAAAATAGTTTTATTAAGTCCTATGCAGAGATATGTATTATTGTAACATTAGCAACTTGTGATATTACAGTTCCTGGCTTATAACTCCCATATCCTTTGTTAGGGTTTTTTTTTTGTTTGTTTGTTTGTTTTAACATTAGGGGGTTTTAGGCCTCAGGAGCAGGCCTCATGAAACAGAATCTCCCTCTCTGACCTTACCCTGTCCTCCCTTTACCTACCTAAGGCAGGACTATAATCTGATTGTGGCTCAAAAGACCCTCATTTCAGAGAGGGTCCCACCCCATACCCTAGAGGAAGAAATGCTATAAAGAGATGTCAAGACAAACCTGAACAGACAAGCTTTACTGGGTTTCCCCACTCAAACTGTTAGTATGGGATCATAACCTTTTTGTCCAATCGCATTTCTACATGGTTGTCAATCGTGACTATGTAATGAAGCTTCCATAAAAACCCAAAAGGACAGGGTTCGGAGAGTTTCCTTACAGCTGAACACGTGGAGGGTTCCTGGAGGGTGGCACACCTAGGGGTGCGTGGAAGGCTCTCCAGTCCTTCCCCCATACCTTGCTCTATGCACCTCTTCATTTGTATCCTTTGTAATATCCTTTACAATAAGCCACTAAAGGTAAGTGTTTCCCTGAGTTCTGTGAGCCACTCTAGCAAACTAATTGAACTAAAAAAAAAAGGGGTCATGGAAACCCCAACCCAGAGCCATTTGGTCGGAAGATCTGGAAGCCCAGACTTGTTACTGGTGGGAAGGAGGGGGCGGTTTTGTGGGACTGAGCCCTTAACATGTGGGATCTGATGCTATCTTTGGATAAATAGTATTTGGATTGAACTGGAAGATAGCCAGCTGATGTCTGATGCAGAGTCAATTGCTTGCTTTCTAGTGGGGAGAAATCTCCACCTACTTGGGAGTAACCAGTCTTTTGTGTTAGTTGTTGTGCTATGAGACCAGAGGAAAAATGGATTGTTTCTCCTAAAACCAGATTAATGTCAACAAAAGAATTGACATTGTGTTGTAGCCACTAAATATTAAAATATGGGCGTATATTTTGAGTAGCAATGCAGAGGCCGACTGCCAATCAATCTTTTATCAGACACAAGTATATGGACACACTTTTACATGCTGTGCACATGGCTTTTCAGAGTTCACCAGGTGAAGTGCAAGAGGCAGTGCCCACTCCACTCAGTCCTTGCTCTTCCCTCCTTTTCCCTTGTTTCTGGTTCTCTCTGCGTAAGCTGGGCAGGACTTGCTTCTGAGTTCCTCTGGGGACCTGCTGCCTGGGGTGGGGTGATCACTGCTGTGCTAGCAAAATCCAGAATACTGTGGGTCTTGCCCTATTCTGGACAGTGCGATGTCATGTTTTCCTTGCAAAAGGCAATCTGCTCCATCTATGCAAGTTTGGTTGGAGGAGTCTGGAGGTATCAATTAGGGCTTTTGTCTACACTCAAAGTCATTTCCTTGGAGACAATTCTCCCAGTTTCTACTTTGTGTGAGCAGAAGGGCTGCATTTGGGGACCTTGGCTGGCTGTAGCAGTAGGGTTAAGGATCCAGAGAACCAGCCTAGGAGTTGTAGTAGAGGCTGCTGGTGCCTCCCAGTTCCATGTCCTGCTGATGATACTCTACTGCAAGAACTGCACTGTTTCTATTTCTATTTCTTTCTTTCTTTCTTTCTTTTTTTTGAGACGGAGTCTCACTCTATCACCAAGCTGGAGTGCAATGGCGCAATCTCGGCTCGAGGCAACCTCCGCCTCCCGGGTTCAAGCAATTTTCCTGCTTCAGCCTCCCGAGTATCTGGATTATAGGCGCCCCCGCCCCCCACACTGCTCCCTTCCATGCCCAGCTAATTTTTGTATTTTTAGTAGAGACAGGGTTTCTCCATGTTGGTCAGGCTCATCTCAAACTCCTGACCTTTGGTGATCCTCCCGTCTCGGCCTCACAAAGTGCTGGGATTATAGGCATGAGCCACCGCGCCTGGCCGAACTGCATTATTTCATCTGAAGATTTGCTCTCAGCTAGTACATGCTAAGTAGGCCAGAAAGGGTAGATTCATGTGGCAGTGACATGCTGGAGGAGGGACAAGGTTATTGGTCCTATGATTTAGTCTCAGTCTTTTAGTGAGCCTGTACCCCTGGGTTTATGAACTTCACTTGGCTTTTTTCTTCTGCCATTAGTTGGCATAAAAACAAGCTAGAGATGAGATTTTCCCTTTCCCCAAGTTAAAGATTAGAGTGGCTGGGGTTGGCATTTTTCCTTCCCCTAGGTAGGTTAGGCTCTGGTAAAATACTTTACTTTGAGGGCAGGCTTTTGTTAAGAAGAACAGACCAGAACTCTCAAGGTTGTCCACCCTGAGCCTCCACCAATTCGTCAATTACAGTTCAAGTGAACCCACGGTACTGGCGCCAGCCGCAGAGGACTCTGCTCGCAGTACACTCTTAACCTCTGTATCTGCCTATCTCTGCAGTTCTGAGGACCGCAGTTTATCCTGTGATCTCAATTCTCTGATGCATCCTAGAAAAGTTGTCGATTTTCATTTGTTTAGCTTTTTTCTTGGTGTGAGCATGGGAAAAATGACTGCCAAGCTCTTTATGAGTTGGACTAGAAACTCCACGGGAGGTTTAATATTTTTAATCTAAGAAGGTCAAGAAGTAATTTTTTAACCTCTTGCCAACTCATCTCAGTTTTAACTTTTATTTCAGTGCTTCCTTTTACAAATTGTTACATAATAATGACATCTTTTTGTGAAATATGTGGTATTCCCACCCACCTGGGCATGGAAAGGCCCTAAGAGGTCAGCAAGCAGTTAGAGAAGCTGGTGTTTACCGGAAACTCAGGAGAACCAGCCAACCACAACCCCTGGGTTACCTTGGCAATTGCAGAATAAATGCATTATAGTTACTAAAGTAAAAAATTAGATATGCCTGTTTGCAGATTGAACTATAAAAATACCATTCAAAGACAAATAGATCTAAAAATAAAATGGAAAAACATAAACACTAATTCTGTAAATATTATACTTAATGCACAACTGAAACAAAATTTGCCAGCTTACTCAATATCAAAATCTATGAACAGTTTTTCTATTTTATATAATTTCCCTCTCCTCTCTCTGGATCTCGCTCCCCAGCTCATTTTTTCTTTTTTTTGCTCTGATTCTTTATACACCTCTGTTGCCTCTGTGATAAGCAGCTTCAAAGATGGTTCCTAATGCTTTATTGGATAGAATACAACAAAAGCGATGAGGTGTTGCTTCCCCAATTACATTACGAAGCATCCGTGGCTTCCATCTCCAGTGGGTTCACTTGCTGTCTGGCTCTAAGGGAATCCAGATACCATAATGCGGGCTGCCCTATGGTGAGGTTTGCATCACTAGGAACTCATGTCTCTGGGCAACAACCAATGAGGTCTTGATCCCTGCCGTCAGCCACATGAGGGAGCTTGGAGCTCGGAAGTGAATCCTCCTGGAGTCAAGCCTTGATATAGCTAGCCCTGGCAGCTGCTTGACTGCAGCCTTGTGAAAGAGACCTTGGGCCAGAGGCACCAGCTAAACTGCCCCTGGATTCCTGACCCAGAGAAAGTGGGAGATGATGTATTTTTGCTTTTTGAAGCTGCTGAATTTGGGGATAATTTGTTATATAGCAATAGAAAATGAGTAACTCTTTTGTATTCCTCTTTGTCCTGGCTTCCCCATTTTGAGGAAAATAAAGTAAATCAAAGTGTAGAGCTGAAATATTCACATGAAAATAATAATAAAGTTTTAAAATTATTTGAATGTCTTGTGTTGACATTCCAAAATATATGAATTCCAAAAATTTATATGTTGAAGTCCTAACTGTCAGTATCTTAGAATGTAACTTTTTTGGAAAAGGGGTCATTTCAGATCTAATTAGTTAAGATGAAGTTATACTGGAGTACAGTGGGCACTAAATCGAATTGGTCCTATGATTGAGTCTCAGTCTTTCAGTGAGCCTGTACCCCTGGGTTTATGACCTTCAGTTGGCTTTTTTCTTCTGCCCTTATTTGGCATAAAAACAAAGCAGGTGGATCACCTGAGGTCAGCAATTTGAGACCAGCCTGCCCAACACGGCGAAACCCTATCTCTACTAAAAATACAAAAAATTAGCCTGGCGTGGTGGCGGGCGCCTGTAATCCCAGCTACTTGGGAGGCTGAGGCAGGAGAATCACATGAACCCGAGAGGCGGAGGTTGCAGTGAGCCGAGATTTCGCCACTGCACTCTAGCCTGGGTGACAAGAGTGAAACTCCATCTCAAACAACAACAACAATAAACAAACAACAACGATGACAAAAAAAGCTAGAGCTGGGATTTTCCCTTTCCCTGTGTTAAAGATTAGAGTGGTGTCCTCACAAAAAGGGAAAACTTGGATACAGGCACACACATGGGGAGAATAGCATATGAAGAGACACAGGGAGAAGGCAGCCATCTATGGGTCAAGGAGAGAGGCCTGGAACACATCTTTCCTTCACCGCCCTCAGGAGGAACCAACTCTGCTGACACCTTCATCTGGGACTCCCACCCTCCAGAACTGCAAAGCAATAAATTTTTTATTTTTTACACCACCCAGTTTATTGTATTTTGTTAGGCAGCCCTAGCGAACTAATGTACATAGAGTTCTTGAGTTAATCTTCACAAATTACTGCAATAAGGTAGGGTCTTTTGTTATGTAACAATGCTATGAAATCATAGCGTTTTCTTAATTAACTTCCGTAGTTTAAGGTACTAAGTTCTGGACACCACGTGTCTTCTTTCTATAAATACCAGGACATGCTCTGTTTTTCAGCACTCATTGGACTTCAGCATGACTACTCAGTTGCCAGCTTACGTGGCAATTTTGCTTTTCTATGTCTCAAGAGCCAGCTGCCAGGACACTTTCACTGCAGCTGTTTATGAGCATGCAGCGATATTGCCCAATGCCACCCTAACACCAGTGTCTCGTGAGGAGGCTTTGGCATTAATGAATCGGAATCTGGACATTTTGGAAGGAGCGATCACATCAGCAGCAGATCAGGTACCATCTCTACCATCTCTCCAGTGTACTGGATTCTATGAGAAAGGAGGGGGTCCTAGGAGACAGGGCCACTGTCAGGGTCAGTTACACTTTTAGATGATATATGTATCAGAGTAGCCAAGAACCTTTATTTTACAGTTAGAATTCTACTTTCCTCTCAAAATTAGAGCAAGGACTTCCCTAAAAGTAAGAACAAAGTTAAGAAAAGAACAATTTGCTCATTATCAAGAAGCAGCAGACCTTTGAGGAACTGGCCATAAATTCAACATCTTTGTTCCCCTTTTCTGGTACAGATGGAGGATGGAGGATAAATGGGTCAGGGACTAGGTGCTATTTTCAGAGTATTAGTGGCCTTCATGTACTCATGTGCTATTAAGGCTTTGCAGGTTTTCGAATAAATTTATAATCTGAAAACAAATTTAAGTTTTCAATTCCTTGCCAGCATGCATTATATACTTCACACTTCATTCTAATTACAAGATAAAAGTATATGTAATGCATTGTGAGTCCTTAAGTTTAGTGAAGGTTTCAGTTTGAAGTTAATCATACAGTATAAATTGTGGTTTACACAAATATTATTTTAAAAGCTATTGATCGATTAGGTGTAGACCAGGAATACATGAAGTGTGATAAAAGTCATGGATAAATGTGTATTACATATATCTATAAATATATATTCTTTTGTGTTGTTGAGTTAAGGTCTCACTCTGTCACCCAGGATGGAGTATAGTGGTGTGATCACGTCTCACTGCAGCCTTGACTTCCCGGGCTCAGGTGATTCTCCCACTACAGTCTCCAGAGTAGCTGGGACCACAGATGCATGCCACCGTGCCCAGCTAAGTTTTGTATTTTTTGTAGAGATGGGATTTTGCCATGTTGCCCACGCTGTACTTGAACTCCTGACCTCAGGTGATCCACCTGCCTTGGGCTCCCAAAGTGCTGGGATTACAGGCATGAGCTACCGTGACTGCCCTATATTCTTATATATACTAATATTTAAAAGGTTATCAGGAGTTCTGATGTTCTTTTTCATCCTTAGTCCAACTATTTCCTTGAAGGTCACAGAGCTTTTTAAGGTGACTCTCTAATTGGAAGGTGCCCAGGTTAGCTCAGGCAGTACTTGTAGGCATGGGACAGTTCAAGTAACCAGTTTGTGGCTCCTCTTTTTCTGAGAAGCAGGAATCATGTTTGCAGGGGAAAGCTAGGGCAGAGGAGGAAATAAACAGAATATTTAAGTTATTAATCAGTCTTGACACAGGCACAGTCATCAGCGAAAGTTCAAGGAGAGGCTTGGTTCCAGGATAAGCTAGGTTTATAGTTAACGACTGCCATAGGAAACAACAATGGCAGGATTAGAAAATTAAAATGCTTGACTAAGCCAGGTGCGGTGGCTCATGTCTGTAATTCCAACACTTTGGGAGGCTGAAGCAGGCGGATCACCTGAGGTTGGGAGTTCAAGACCATCCTGACCAATATGGAGAAACCCCATCTCTACTAAAAATACAAAAATTAGCCAGGCGTGGTGGCAGATGCCTGTGATCCTAGCTACTTATGAGGCTGAGGCGGGAGAATCGCTTGAACCCGGGAGGTGGAGATTGTGGTAAGCCGAGATCTAGCCATTGCACTCCAGCCTGGGCAGCAGAGCGAAACTCCATCTGAAAAAAAAAAAAAAGAGAGAAAAAAAAATGCTTGACTAGAAGCCCAAACCTCACCATTATGTAACATATCCATGCAACAAACCTGCATTTGTACCCTTTGAATCTAAAATTAGAAATAAAGAAAAGAAAAGAAAAAGAAAAAGAAGTGACAGTGCACTGAAAAAAAAGGAAATTAAAATGCTTTGGAAAAGAAAATAAATTATAAAAATATAGAAAACAAAATAAGATTTAAGGGGTGTGGGGGAAGCCCAAATAGTTGTTACTCAGCCACTCAGCTCCTCAGCTCCTCTTGCAGGCCCCCCTTTGGATTAAGTTGCATTTTTAACAGGGTGCGCATATTATTGTGACTCCAGAAGATGCTATTTATGGCTGGAACTTCAACAGGGACTCTCTCTACCCATATTTGGAGGACATCCCAGACCCTGAAGTAAACTGGATCCCCTGTAATAATCGTAACAGGTAAAGAAACAACTTGTGAAAAATTCACTAGTAAACATCAACTTGATTTACCTGGGAAAACTTTGTTGATGATCATTGCATAGATCCATGATCAATTCTTAAGTTTCAGTATAGCTTATTTTTCATCTACTATGGGTATATTTACTGGGAGAGCAAATATGAATTATGAAGTCACAGAAGTCAGAGCTAGAAAGTAGCTTAGAAATCATCACATTCAGTGTGAACATCTCTGGTCTCTGACTCCTCACCAGTGAACAGAAAAATATTTCCCTGTGTAGGTCTGTGATTTGAAAACTATATGAGTAAATGGCAAAAGAGAGTCACATCAGTTTAAGATTAATAGTTTTCCTTTCTCATTGCTAAGATAGCTGATGAGGTTAATGTAGTAAAGTCCTTAAAGTGTAAGCTGATTGTAATCTAAGAGGTGATATGGCAGGATTTTAAGTGGTTTAAGTCAGGTCTCGGCTACAGAGATATTAAGTGTGGTGAAAGCAGCACTATTAATTTTAATGTAAGGAAACCAATATCTTATACACCTAAGAAAATCATGTCGATTCACATACTTCTTTCTGAATACACATGGCTAAAATTATTTTAGGAATTCCTCTTTTGGAACTATTCTCAAAACCGCACAACGCCAGTTAGAATGGTGATCATTAAAAAGTCAGGAAACAACAGATGCTGGAGAGGATGTGGAGAAAGGGGAACTCTTTTACACTGTTGGTGGGAGTATAAATTAGTTCAACCATTGTGGAAGACAGTGTGGTGATTCCTCAAGGATCTAGAACCAGAAATACCATTTGACCCACCAATCCCATTACTGGGTATATACCAAAGGATCATAAATCATTTTACTATAAAGACACATGCATGCATATGTTTATTGCAGCACTGTTCACAATAGCAAAGACTTGGAACCAACCCAAATACCCATCAATGGTAGACTGGATAAAGAAAATGTGGCACATATATACCACAGAACACTACACAGCTGTAAAAAAGGATAAGTTCATGTCCTTTGCAGGGACATGGATAAAGCTGGAAACCATCATTCTCAGCAAACTAACACAGGAACAGAAAACAAAACACTGCATGTTCTCGCTCATAAGTGGGAGTTGAACAACGAGAATACATGGACACAAGGAGGGGAACATCACACACCGGGGCCTGTCGGGGAGTCGGGGGCTAAGGGAGGGATGGCATTAGGAGAAATACCTAATGTAGATGATGGGTTGGTGGGTGCAGCAAACCACCATGGCACGTGTATACCTATGTAACAAGCCTGCATGTTCTGCACATGTATCTCAGAACTTAAAGTATAATAATAATAATACTAAAATTAAAAATCCCACAGAAACTGGCTGGGTGTGGTGACTCATGCCTGTAATTCCAACACTTTGGGAGGCCGAGGCAGGAGGATCACCTGAGGTCAGGAGTTTGAGACCAGCCTGGCCAATTTGGCAAAACCCCATCTCTACTAAAAATACAAAAATTAGTGGGGCGTGGTGGTGGGCACCTATAATCCCAGCTACTTGGAAGGCTGAGGCAGGGAGAACTGCTTGAACCTGGGAGGCAGAGGTTGCAGTGAGCCAAGAGAGTGACACTGCACTCCAGCCTGGGTAACAGAGCTAGACTCTGTCTCAAAAACAAACAAACAAACAAACCCACAAAAACTACTTACAGAGACACCTTGATTTTGACAAGGTGGATTTTGATAAATTCCAGTGTTATTTATCATAATCATTTACTCTATTCTTATTTAATTGTACCATAATTATTTCTTATTTAATCATGTCATATGTCAGTGCTTCAGTTTCTAAAAGGCAAGCACTCTATTATCACTTCCACTATGAATTGAATTGACTTATTTCTGAATGGCCTTTCCCTAGAACCTCATCTCCAAGGGCCTCCTGAACATCCCCACAAGGATGTCCCATTCACTTCATTTCAAGGAACACGGTTGCCCATTTATGTTTTCCATCAACTAATGATGTCTGAATGTCTTGCCTTAATTCTCTCTGTCTCTCTCTCTCTTTTTTTTTTTTTTGAGAGAGAGACTCTGTGTCGCCCAAGCTGGAGTGCAGTGGCGTGATCTCAGCTCACTGCAACCTCTATCCCCCAGGTCCAAGCAATTCTTGTGCCTCAGCCTCCCGAAGATGACAAGTGTGAGCCACAACACCCAGCTAGTTTTTTGTATTTTCAGTAGAGATGGGTTTCACCATGTTGGCCAGGCTGGTCTTGAACTCCTGGCCTCAAGTGATCCACCTGCTCGGCCTCCCAAAGTGCTGGGATTACAGGTATGAGTCATCACGCCCAGCTGCCTTAATTTATTAACTCTGCAAATTTTTTTTGAGTACCTATTATGTCTAAACATTGTTCTGGGCAATGAAGTGAACAAAACAGATTAAAAATTCCTGTCCCCTTGAAATTTATATTCTAGTGTGGGGAGGTAATAAATGTTTTAAAAAGATAATTATCTATCTATCTATCATCTATCTATCATCTATCTATTATCTATCTACCTATCTTTATATAGGTATCTTTCATCTGTCTACCTATCTATGATATGAGGTGGAAGTAAATGTTATGGAAAAAATAAAGTGGGGAAGGTGAATAGGGTGGCAAGCGTGGGGCTGAAATTTTAAAAGGTCGTCTGAGGGCATCACAGTGAGATTTCAGCAAAGACCTGAAAGAAATGAGGCAATAGATCATGTGAGTATCTGAAAAAAGTGCATTCCAGGCTGAAGGAATTCTAAATTCCAAGATCCTGTGGTCAGAGTATGTGTCTAACCTATGGAACAGAAAAAGGGTTAGTGTGGTTACAGTGATGTGACAGAAGAGGAGAAAAGTAGGAAATGGAGGCAGAAGGGCAGGAGGAGCGCAATGTTGAGAATAGACTCCAGGGTATAGGTCACCAAAGAAGCAGAGGGCAGTTCAAAAGCTGTTGTGATCATTATGGCATAGAGATGATGGGTCTGAGACCAAGAAATGGTAGAAGTTTAGGTATTGAGAAGTGGACAGATTCCGAATAAAGTTTGAAAGTAGCACTGGCAGGTTTTGTTGAAAGACTGGATGTAGGATGTGAGAGAAAAGGAGGACTCAATATCCTTCCCTGCTCTCATAGAATCAGATCTCATCTTATTGAGTATGTTTGAAGTATGCACATAGTTGATTGCTTTCTCTTCTCATATTCACCAAACTTTTGGGACCTACATCACCTCTTAGACTGAGCGTTAAAGGAACAGGCTCTCATCACTTTTCTTTTTTATTTAATTTATTTAGCATTTATATGTCATATCGTTCCAGAAGGATTTGAAGTTTCTAATTATATCTAATATAATTAAAAATAGGATACTTTAGTTCTAACAACAAACTAGAACCCATATGAATAGAGGAAGCAGTTGTTATGAGGCATCATGGTAAAGAGCTGCTCATTACAACTGGATGTTAAGTATAGTTCTAAGAGTTTCTGAGCAGCTAAGAGAAGTACAATTTTGTTCAGACACTTTGATTGCATCATAGAAGAAAGCTTGCATATTTCTTCAGAGACAAACTATGTCTAATAACCTAACTTAAAGATGAATTTACTTATTCAACTGTTTTTGTTAATTATTTTATTTTTAACTTTCATGGGTACATAGTAGATGTATATATTTATAGGGTACATGAGATGTTTTGATGTTTGTACACAAGCATGCAATGGTAACAATCACATCATGAAGAATGGGGTTTCCATCCCCTCAAGCATTTATCCTTTGTATTACAAACCATTCAATTATGCTCTTTTAGGTATTTAAAAATGTACAATTAAGTTATTATTGATTATAGTCACCCTGTTGTGCTATTGAATACTAGACCTTATTCATTCATTCTAACTATTTTTTTGTACCCATTAATCTCCTCACTTTCTCCCCACTCCTCCCCTAACTACCCTTCCCAGCCTCTGGTAACCATCTTTCTATTCTCTATCTCTATCTCCATGAGTTCAATTGTTTTGATTTTCAGATCCCACAAATAAGTGAGAACATGTGATGTTTGCCTTTCTGTGCCTAACTTACGTTATTTCACATAACCTAATGATCTCCAGTTCCATTCATATTGTTGCAAATGACTGGATCTCATTCTTTTTGTAGCTGAATAGTACTTTATTGTGTACATGTACCACACGGTTGTTTCCAAATTTTGGCTATTGTGAACAGAGTTGCAATAAACATGAAAGTGCAGATATCTTTTCTATATACTGATTTTCTTTTTGAGGAGTATATACCCAGCAGTGGGATTGCTGGATCGTATGGTGGCTCTATTTTTAGTTTTTTGAGAAACCTTCAAACTGTTCTCTACAGTGACTGTACTAATTTGCATTCCCACTAACAGTGTATGAGGGTTCCCTTTTCTCCACATCCTCACCAGCATTTGTTATAAGTCATTTTAACAGGTGTGAGATGATATAATTGTACTTTTGATTTGCTTTTTTTTTTTTTTGAGACAGAGCCTCCCTCTTGTTGCCCAGGCTGAAGTGCAATGGTGCCATCTTGGCTCACTGCAACCTCTGCCTCCTGGGTTCAAGCAATTCTCCTGCCTCAGCCTCACGAGTAGCTGGGATTACAGGTGCCTGCCACTACACCCAGCTATTTTTGTATTTTTGGTAGAGACGGGGTTCCACCATGTTGTCCAGGCTGATCTCAAACTCCTGACCTCAGGTGATCCTCTTGCCTCAGCCTCCAGAAATGCTGGGATTACAGGTGTGAATCACCATGCCCGGTTGATTTGCAGTTTTCTGATGATCAGTGATGTTGAGCAACTTTTCACATGCCTGTTTGCCATTTGTATAACTTCTTTTGAGAAATGTCTGTTCAAATCTTTTGCCCATTTTTGGATTGGATTATTAGATTTTTTTTCCTATAGAGTTGTTTGGACTTCTTACATATTCCGGTTATGAATCCCTTATAAGATGGATAGTTTGCACATATTTTATCCCAATCTGTGGGTTGTCTCTTCACTTTCTTGATAGTTTCCCCTGCTGTGCAGAAGCTTTTTACCTTCATGTGATTCCATTTGTCCATTTTTGCTTTGGTTGCCTGTGCCTGTGGGGTATTACTCAAGAAATCTTTGTCCAGACCAATGTCCTGGAGAGTTTCCCCAAAGTTTTCTTTTAGTAGTTTCATAGTTTGAGGTCAAATATTTAAGTATATAATTCATTTTTATTTGATTTTTGTATATGGTGAGAGATAGGGGTCTACTTTCATTCTTCCGCATATGGGTATCTGGTTTTCCCAGCACCATTTATTGAAAAAACTGTCCTTTCCCCAATATATGCTCTTGGCATCTTTGTTGAAGACGAGTTCACTGTAGATATTTGGGTTTATTTCTGGGTTCTCTCTTCTGTTTCATTGGTCTATGTGTCTGTTTTTATGCCAGTACCATGCAGTTTTGGTTACTAGAGCTCTGTAGTATAATTTAAAGTCAGGTAATGTGATTTCTCCAGTTTTTTTTCTTTTTGCTTAGGAGGGCTTCTGGATCTTCTGTGTTTCCACGTAAATTTCAGAATTTTTTTTTCTATGTCTGTGAAGAATGACATTGGTATTTTGATGGAGATTGCATTGAATCTGTAGAATGCTTTGGATAGTATGGGCATTTTAACAATATTGATTCTTCCAATCTATGAACATGGAATATCTTTCCATGTTTTGTGTCCTCTTCAATTTCTTACATCAATGTTTTACAGACTTCATTGTAGAGAGCTTTCTCTTCTTTGGATAAATTAATTCCTAGGTATTGTATTTTATTTATAGCTATAACAAATGCTATTCCTTTCTTGATTTCTTTTTCAGATTGCTTGCTGTTGGCACAGAAATGCTACTGATTTTTTATGTTGATTTTGTATCCTGCAACTTTACTGAATTTGTTTGTCAGTTCTATTAGTTTTTTGGTGGAGTCTTTAGGGTTTTCCAAGTATAAGATAATAACATCTGCAAACAAAAATAATTTTCCTCCTTTCCAATTTGGATGCATTTTATTTCTTTCTCTTGTCTGATTACTTTAGTGAGAACCTCCACTACTATGTTGAATAATAGTGGTGAAAATGGACATTCTTGTCTTTTCTAGATCTTAGAGAAAAGCTTTCAGTTTTCCCTCATTCAGTATGATACCAGCCATGGGTCTGTCATAAATGGCTATTATTGTGTTGAGGTATGTTCCTTCTATATCCAGTCATTGAGGGTTTTTATTATGAAGGAATGTTGAATTTTACCAAATATTTTTTCAGTGTCAATTGAAATGACCATTTGGTTTTTGTTCTTCATTCTGTTGATATGATGTGCCACATCAATTGATTTGTGCATGTTGAACCATCCTTGCACCCTTGGGATAAATCCGACTTGGTCATGATGAATAATTTTTTAATGTGTCGTTGCATTTGGTTTGCTAGTATTTTGTTGAGGTTTTTTTGCATCAATGTTCATCAGGGATGTTGGGCTGTAGTTTTCTTTTTTATGTGTCTTTGCCTGGTTTTGGTATAGTATAATACTAGCCTCATTGAATGAGTTTGGAAGCATTCCTTTCTCTATTTTTTGGAATAGTTTGAATAGGATTTGTATTAGTTCTTTAATTGTTTGGTAAAATTCAGCACTGAAGCCTTTAAGTCCTGGGCTTTTTTTTGCTGGGAGATCTTTTATTACAGCTTCAATCTTATTATTTGTTATCTGTCTATTCAGGTTTTGGATTTCTTTGTGGTTCAATCTTGGTAGGCTGTATGTGTCTAGGAATTTATTCATGTCTTTTAGGTTTTCCAATTTATCGGCATGTAGTTGCTCATAGTAATCTCTAATGATCTTTTGAATTTCTGCAGTATTGGTTATAATGTCTCATTTTTCATCTCTGAGTTTATTTTTCTTCTATCTTTTTTTCTTAGTCTCACTAAAAGTCAATTTTATCTTTTCAAAAAGAAACTTTTTAGTTTTTTTTGGATGTTTTTTATTTCAATTTCATTTATTTCTGTTCAGATGTTTATTATTTTTCTTCTACTAATTTCAGGTTTGGTTTGCTCTTCCTTTTCTAGTTTAAAAAAATATATCATTAGGCTGTTTACTTGAAGGTTTTCTTCTTTGTTAGTGTAGGCACTTATAGCTATAAACTTTCCTCTTAGAACGATTTTGCTGTATCCCATAAGTTTTGATATGTTGCATATCCATTTTCATTTGTTTCAATAAAAATTTTAAATTTCTTCTTAATTTCTTCATTAACCTGCTGGTAATTCAGGAGCACATTGTTTAAATTCTGTATGTTTGTATAGTTTTCAAAATTCCCTTTGCTATTGATTTCTAGTACTATTCCACTGTGGTCAGAGAAGATACTTGATATGATCTCAATTTTTTTTAATGTTTTAAGATTTGTTTTGTGACCTAACATATGGTCTCTCCTTGAGAATGATCCATGTGCTGGGGAGAAGAATGTTTATTCTGTAGCCATTGGATGAAATTTTCTGTAACTATCTATTAAGCCCACTTGGTCTGTAATGCAGATTAAGTCCAATGTTTCTTTATTTTTTTTTTCCTTCTGGATGATCTGTCCAATGCTGAAAGTAGGATGTTGAAATCTCCAGCTATTATTGCATTGGGATCTATCTCTCTCTTTAGCTCTAGTAATATGTCCTTTATATATCTGTGTGCTCAAGTGTTAGCACACTTGTGTGCTCAATTGTTATATCCTCTGACAGAATTGACCTCTTTATCATTATATAATTAATTTCTTTGTCTCCTTTTATGGTTTTTGTCCTGAAATCTATTCTGTCTGATAAAAATATAGCTACCCCTGCTCCTTTTGTTTTCCATTTGCATGGAAATCTTTGCTATCCCTTTATTTTCTGTCTGTGTGTGTCTTTATAAGTGAAGTGTGTTTCTTGTACACAATCGACCATTGCCATTGATTTTTTTTCTTTTTTATCCATTTAGCCACTCTATGTCTTTTGATTGGAGAGTTTAGACCATTTACATTCAATGTTTTATTGTTAAGTAAGGACATACTCCTGCCATTTTGTTTTTTTGTTTTCTGGTTGTTTTGTGGTGTTGTCTTCCTTTCTTCCTGTCTTCCTTTTTGTGAAGGTGTTTTTCTCTGATGGTATGTTTTAATTTTTGCTTTTCATTTTTTGTGTATCTGTTGTAGGTTTTTTGATTTGATGTTATGCAGCTTGTAAATAACAACTTATAGTTCATTATTTTAAAGTGATGACAACTTAACATTGATTGTATAAACTAACAAGCAAAGAGAAAGCTAATAAAAGCTTCATACTTTAACTTCATCCCCCATACTTTTAATTTTTAATACTTTCTATTTATATCTTATACTGTCTATGTCTTAAAAAGCTTTTATAATTATTATTTTTGATTGGTTCATCTTTTAGTTTTTCTACTCAAGATATGAGAAGTTTACACCACAATTACAGAGTTATAACACTCCATGTTTGTCTGTGTACTTACTAGTGAGTTTTGTACCTTAAGATGCTTTCTTATTGGTTATTGATGTCTTTTTCTTTCAGATTGAAGAAATTTCTTTAGCATTTCTTATAAGAGAAGGCAGTGGGTTCTTTTCTGGCTCAGGGTGGGTCTAGAAATGCCATCCAGGAGCTAAGTCCTGGAATTGAGGACTTTAGGAGTCTGCTTGGTGCTTCATGTTACTGTGGCTAAGTTGGTACCCAATTTGTAAGACAAAGTCCTTTTACTCTTCCCTCTCCTTTCCTCCCCATGCCTCCCCATGGCTACAACAGCTGGGAATGTGCTGGGTCACACCTGAAACCAGCATGGTACTGGGTCCCACCCAAGCCTCGTGGTGAGTACTGCCTGGCTATCACTGATGTTTATTCAAAGCCCAAGGGCTCTTTAGTTAGCAGGTGATGATTCTTGCCAGGACTGGGTCCTTCCATTTAAGGCAAGAAGTTCCCTTATAGCCTAGTGTATGTCTAGAAATATCATCAGGGAGCTAGGGCCTGGGTTGGGGGATTCAGTACTCTACTTGGTGCTTTATTTTACTGTGGTTGAGCTGTTATCCAAGTTGCAAGACAAAGTCCTCTTTATGCTCCTGTCTCCTTTCTTAAGGCAGAGGGACGGAGTCTCTCAAAGCTGTGAGCTGTGCTGCCTGGAGTTGGAGGAGGGTTGATGCAACCACTCCTTTGACTACTCCAGCTGGTGTCTCACTAGGTTATGTGCGCTCCAAGGCTACTGGTTCTGAGCTCAGTACAGCACTAGGACTTGCCTAGGAATTGTAGTCCTTGTGGCCTAAATCAGCTGTCCCCAACGTTTTTGGCACCAGGGACTGGTTTTGTGGAAGACAATTTTTTAATGGACAGGGTGGAGTATGCTTTCTGGATAAAACTGTTCCACCTTAGATCATCAGGCATTAGTTAAATTCTCATAAGGAACATGCAACCTAGATTCCTCAGATGCACAGTTCACAACAGGCTTCCATTCCTATGAGAATCTAATGCTGCAACTGATCTGACAGGAGGCAGAGCTCAGGCAGTAATGTCACTCATCTCCTACTGTGCAGCCAGTTTCTAACAGGCCATGGACTGGTACTGCCGTGCAGCCCAATTCCTAACAGGCCACAGTCCATGGCATAGGGATTGGGAACCCCTGGCCTAGACTGCCTTTCAAGTTTATTTAGAACCCCAGAGAACTTTATCCCACATTGGTGATCCTTGGTAGAACTCAGGTTCTGACTGCTGGGTAGGACAATTCCTCTCTGACAAGAGCTGTTCTAAATGTGCCCTCTGTGGGCACTGGCTGAATTCTGTGCCATGTTGCTTTCTGCTGTTACATGGCAACACTGACTTCCAATGTAAAGTCCCACAATCACTGTACTTTCCTTCCCCCAAGGGCACAAATTTTCTCTCCACACCATGTGGTAACCTGGAGGATGGGGGAGAGTGGTATTGGCAATTAAAGACTTTCTTTCTTACCTCCTTCAGTGCCTCTTTCCTTGATATGATTTTAAAACAAGGTACTGTGATTACTCTTCTGATTTTTGGTTCTTATGAAGGTTCATTCTTGTTGTGGATGGTTGTTCAGTTTGGTGATCCTGCAGGAAGACAATTGCTGGAAGGTTCTATTTGGCCATCTTCCTCTGCTTCCTCCTCATCTTTTATTTCTTCCTCTTGCCTGATTGCTCTGGCTAGGACTTCCAGTATGATGTTGAATAGAAGTGGTGAAGGTGGGCTTCCTTGTCTTGTTACAGTTCTTAGAACAAAGGCTTTCAGCTTTTCCCCATTCCATAGGATGTTAGCTGTAGGTGCTGACATATACGCCATCTATAGCCTTTATTATGTTGAGGTATATTCCTTCTGTATAATAAAGTGCACATGTCTGAATTATATATTACTTGCCTTGAGGGTGCCAAGAAACTATTTATACTGCCTAGAATATTAACCTTTATTATGCCTAAAGAGTTCATTAGTCAAATGTTGGTTTTGATGTAGACCTCATAGTTTAAAATTTAACATTTAAATTAAATGGGTTATAATTTTTAATACCACCTAAATACAATATATTGATCCAATATAGAAAGTTAGATCAATGTTAGAAATAAAGAGTCACAGTGTACCTTTCCAGACTTGTCGTTAGCATTTCATATTTATAGTTTTAGCTTTGATTTGAATGTTTCACAGATGAACTTAAATCAACACATAATTCCACCATAGCATAATAGTAATTAGGCAGTTTCCCTAAATTTGAGAACATTGCCTTAATGTAGTTGTGATGTTTTGAGGCTTCATAGCTTAAATCCATTATACCATTATGGAATCTATAGAGCAGGGCTATGGAGAAAGGCTTCAGAGAAGTTTTTTTTGCTACTATAACCTTATTTAAAGAAACAAACAGAAAAAAACCCAAACGTATTTGAAGTCTGCTTAAATATTACTGTTAAATGTGAAGTGTTTATATCTAACATTCATAATCATATGAATGTCAACATTTAGTTTCGAGTAGAAAAAGATAAATCATTACTGTGAGTTAAGAAATTTAAATGGAGATGTGTGAGGGAGCATGTCCATTTCATCCTTCCCATCTCCACCCTCCCCAGAGTTTCATCCCCAGGGTGCCCTTCTTGGTTTCCAGCCTCTGGTGTTCTGCTTGGGGTCTTGACTTCTTCCCATGCCACTCAGGCTCAGCCCCAGACTAGAACAGGGTTTGGGAAGCAGTGGGGATAGCCAAGATGGGTGTCAGTGGGTGGCCCAGCAGTTTCTGTCCCAGGAGTGGCCACAGGCCAGGGGTAGTGGTGGCTGTGCATGTGGCCAGCCTGCTGCCATTGTCCCATCCTTGTCAGGGCCCTCTCTTTCACCTTACAGCATCTGAGGGGCAGAGCTCTAGAGGGTTTGGGCAGACAATGCCTCTGAAAATTTTTTTTTAAATAAAATTTAGATGACAAGTATATATCATATATGCAGTGACCAAGCATATAACTACTTTACAGTCATCTAACTGCTGTAGCAATGATATGTAACTACAGTGTCAAAACACCCTGACAGTTTTCAGAAACCCAATGTGGAGACCATCTGCCATATCTTACTTTTTCTTTAGGTACAATATTCAAATTCATATTGATTTTGCTTACATATGAATAGTTTCAAATTTGTTCACATATGGTTTAAACTTTTTGTCCCTATTGTCTTACTCAGGCTTGTGTAACTTAAAATGAGCCTGAGCATGGGTCTACACACAGCAAGATGTGTAATAAAAACACAATTTTAGTGCTACTTTCAAAATTCATGCTATTAAGAAAGATGCTGTTTTCAAAGCTGAAAAGATCATGAAATGGCTAACTTACATATCAGAGGTTGGATAATTCCTTACTATTGAGGTGTTATATTTTCTGTGTAGTAAATGCCTTCAAATATTAACTGAAAGATCAGTGAAGTCATTTTCCCCTTCGTGATTCCAACTTCATTTTGTTTATTTTGAAGATAATTAATATTTTAATTGCAAAAGAAAATTATAGCATTGGAAAATTTTCTGTATATGGAGAATAACAATGAACCAAATTTACCAATTAGGGAACCATTTCAGGAATTGTTGGATGGTGAATTTTTCTTCAGTAACTATGCTTTAGTTGCAATGCAGTATGCCCAGAAACAATCCATTTCAACTTCTGAATGTTTGATTTGGAACATTTGTTTGATGAGTATTCAGTTAAACACTTGGATACAAACTCTTTCCAGAAGGTCACATCTCTACCATTTATCTTGGAATGTTTCTGAAGACATTCTACTCATTTTATTAACTGTATACACTTCTGTTTTTGGATCTCCAATATGATTATAGACAATATCAACATAGAAGGCTTTGATTTAGACTCCAAAGTTTAGAGCATTTGATCTTGACATGCCTTAAATTGGGCTTCCAGTCAAAATTGAGGCCACTTCTCCTTTCAAATGGCAAGTTCCCTTGAATGAGTGAATAGTGGAGTTGTAGAAATTGAAAGGCAGTAGTAGCTTTCACTTTACATTACAACTTCTCCAATGCAATCTTTTCCATTCTCATCAAGTCTGAAACCGTGAACCTATATTCACCTATTTGGAACACATCAGTTGCCAATGGGACATCCCTTTCCTCTTCTATTGATTTTACAGCCGAATAGAAGAAGCTCAGTTCAACACATCCAAGGTGCTTGGGCTGCACCTTCATTTAACACAGGAATCTGTCCAGTAAATTCACAGAGAAAATGCCTTTGTGTTAAAGCCAAAGAACTGAATTAGACTAACATCTTGTACTTCAAAGTCCTGTAGCCTTGCAGTCATTCTGAGGCTATTGTCTATCATGTGCAAACTCAATTAGTCTCAAACCACAGATCTTTAACTGACATCTAGACTTCAGTTCCAACAAGGCATTCAGCTGGTGTAGCAGTTTCTGACAGTCAGGTTTCAGTACCTCTATCATCTTGATAGTGATTGAGCCTCAGTGGTAACCACCCTTCTTGGGCCTGCACTCACCTCACCCCACGAAATCCAATCTCAGAGGCCTAGGAAACAAAGCAAACAGAGAGGCCCAGGGAGGGGAAGCCTTCCTGGGTGGATGTCTCTGCAGAGCCACCAAGATCATATTGCTCTCATCAGGGTCAGCTTGGAGCTGAAGGGCTGAAAAGGCATTTTGATATTTGATTGCATATTATTTCATACTGTTATTTCAGAGTTTTGTGTGCACACATTGTTTCTTCAGTAAGCCTAATGCTTTATAAGCATAGCAACCACATCTGACATTTCTATGTCTCTCACATTGTATGCTTGGACAGCTCTGCCTGGAATATTCTTCCCCCAGTTGCCCACATGTCCAATATAGTGCTTTGTGTTGTGTCAAAACCTAATGCATATTTGTTGAATATTTAACATGTGCTGATTTTAGATTAGTAAATATCTTTCCGATAATTGATGATTTTTGTTATACCTAAAGATTGAACACTTTGAAAGCAGCCTTAGAAAATGCATTTCAATTATTCTCTTTCACCTCCTCCTTCTGTGCCCAGGGCAAAACTCTGCATGGATTAAGGACTCAGCAAATATCATGGATGAAGCAACAGGCAGATTTCAGGCACCATAAGCAAACTGAATTTTTAAACCCTAAATTAGGACATGTGGTCTAATTTTGGAGCATTTTATGTATACGCCAAACAGCCTGAGAAATGTAGCTTGAATTGAAATATATTAGAATACATGAAGACTAATAGAGTCAGTAGGAAAATATGTTTGTCATCAGAACTGTTTCAGAAATCCAAAACACCAACCTACTTATTCCACCACTTAAGGTGATCCAAAAAGACTGGGGGTAAACATGTTTCAAGTGGTTCAATGTGTTGTAATTTATATCTATGCATTTCAGATATCAATTGAAGCAAAGGTGGGTTAAACTATTGAACGGTTGTTCTTTCTTACAAACACATTGAAATAATAATTTTCTATATGTATTATTATATCCTTTTCCAATCTTTTTCAAGGATATGTTTTATAGATGATTGCTATGGCTTTCCTTATATTCATTATACAAATTTGTTTGTAGATCTAGTAGCCAATATTTGATGTCACCAAATTTTTATTCATACAACAGTTATCTCAGCCTTCTCAGCTATTCTTCAATAACCATTTATCATTTCAGAGTTGTGCAATAGAGGATAAATATAGCAATATGTTAAATATTATTTTCAAAATTGTATTTTAATTGCTTTACTGGGACAATTATTGGTAACTTTGTAAAAGAATAAAAAAATCAGGCATTAACAAATGCTCCAGGATTTCCATTGTTTCATACTAGCTGGTACTGCCCTAGCCAATCCTTGTTACCTCTTATTTGAACAATGGCAACAGCTTCCTAATGAATCCCCTGCATTTAGTCTCTCACTGTTCCAGTACATTCTACACTCCGTGTTCTATTTATCTTTATGAAGAAAATTTTGACCAGGTTGCTTCTGTCTTCAAAGGCTTTAATAGTACCTATTTATTACTAAATTTGGAACAAATCTTAGCCTCTTGTGCAAAGCTCAATATCCATCCTTCCTTCCTTCCTTCCTCCCTGCCTCCCTTCTTTCTTTCTTTTTTTAAAATATTTTTAAACTTTTTATTTTTTTGAGACAGAGTCTCACTCTGTCACCCAGGCTGGAGTGCAGGGGCGCAATCTCAGCTCACTGCAAGCTCCACCTCCCGAGTTCACGCCATTCTGCTGCCTCAGCCTCCTGAGTAGCTGGAACTACAGGCACCTGCCACCACGCCTGGCTAATTTTTTGTATTTTTAGTGGAGACGGGGTTTCACCGTGTTAGCCAGGATGGTCTCGATCTCCTGACCTCAGGTGTTCCACTGGCCTCAGTCTTGCAAAGTGCTAGGATTACAGGCGTGAGCCACTGTGCCCTCTCCTCTCCTCTCCTCCCCTCCCCTCCTCTCCCCTCCCCTCCCTTCTCTCTTTCCTTTCTTCTCAAATCTGAGAATGTCTTCATTTCTCCCTCCCTTTTGAAGGGCAGTTCTGATGGATATAGAATTCTTGGTTGTCAGATTTTTTTTTCTTTCAGTACTTTAAATATATCAGCTCAATGCTTTGTGGTCTCCAAAGTTATTGATGAGAAATCTGCCGATAATCTTATTGGGGATCCCTTGTATGTATGAGTCACTTCTGTCTTGCTGCTTTCAAGATTCTCATTTTGTCTTTGGCTCTCTACAATTTGATTATAGTGTGTCTTAGTGTGAGTCTCTTTGAATTCATTCTCTTGGAGTTTGTTGAGCTTCTTGGATCTTTATATTCATATCTTTCTTCAAGTTTGGGAAGTTTTCAGCCATTATTTCTTCAAATAATCTCTCTTCTCCTTCTGAGACTCCCACAGTGCATGTGTTGGACACTCAATGGTGTTCCTAAGGCTCTGTTCAATTTTCTTTAATATTTTTTGTTGTTGTTCTGCAGACTCAATAATTTCAATGGTCCTGTCTTCCAGTTCACTGTTTCTTTTTTCTACATGCCTGAATTGGTCTTCGAATCCTCCTATAAAATATTCATTTCAGTTATTGTAATTTTCAGCTCCAGATTCTTTTTAGGTTTTCTATCTTTTTATTGATATTTCTACTTTGTTTTGTTTTTTGATTTTCTCCACATCTTCCTTTATTTTCTTAAGCTTCTGTAAAACCATTGTTTTAAAGTCTGTGTTTAGTAGGTCTGTCATGTGGTCCTTTTCAGGGATGATTTTCGTTGGTTTATTTTTCCTTTCTTTTGAGTGAGTCATACTTTCCTGTTTCTTTGTATGATTTGTGATTTTTTTGGTTGATAACTAGACATTTGAATCTTATCACATGGTTACTCTGGGAATCAGATTCTCTGGGTTTGCTATGTTTGTTTGTTTGTTTGTTTTGTTGTTGTAGGATGTTTGTGTTGAGGATCAGCTTGAGATGTAAATTTAAGGTCTTCTTAGACCTTTTATGAGTCTGTACCTTTCCCTGGGCATGTATGGCGACTTTCTAAATTTCCCTGTATATTTAATTGCTTATTCCTTAAATGTCTCACTATCCAAAGGAGAAAAAGAGAAAATAAATAAATAAATAAGACACTGGTTCTTTAAATCTCCTGGAAGCCACTTCAGCCAGAAAGAGGGCCTGCAAAAATGGTGTGTCTGTATGTATACACAACAATAGCTGCTTGCCTTTGCATTTGTACCTCCATGATCAGAAGCAACAATTAGTGATCAGAATGCAGATCTCGTATATTTGAAAGACAAGGTCATTATTGTCCACCCTGCTCCCATAAGCTGCCTGCAAGCTGCTTTAGGAACACAGACATGGCAGCCTGTCACAGGGACAGGGGATGAGGAATTGGTAACCACTATTGAGCTAAGAGCTAAAATGGACTGAAATTAACTGTAAGTTACCTTCCAAGCATTCTTCTGGAAGTTGCAAGCACTAGAGCTCCAAAATAGTAATATTAGACAGATTCCAACAGTGCAATTGTTATCTAGGTGGGGAGAAAAATTCCCTGCTCTGCTATCTTCCCAGCATCCCTCTACCTCTAAATTTTTGTTAACTCATTCAAAAAAATTTTTTTTTGAGATGGAGTCTCACTCTTGTTGCCTAGGATGGAGTGCAATGGCATGATCTCAGCTCACCACAACCTCTGCCTCCCAAGATCAAGCAATTCTCCCACCTCAGCCTCTTGAGTAGCTGGGATTATAGGCGCACGCCACCAGGCCCAGCTAATTTTGTATTTTTAGTAGAGACGGGGTTTCTTCATGTTGGTCTGGCTGGTCTCGAACTCCTGACCTCAGCTGATCCACCCACCTCGGCCTCCCAAAATGTTGGGATTACAGGCATGAGCTACCACACCTGGCCCCCCAAAATTTGTTTTTTGAGACAGGGTTTTGCTCTGTTGCCCAGGTTGGAATGCAGTGGAACTCACTGTAGCCTCAAAATCCCAAGTTCAAGCAATCATCCCACCTCAGTCTCCCAAATATCTGAGACTACAGGCACACACCACTATGCCTGGCTATTTTTTTTTTTTTTCATTTTTTGTAGAGAGACAGTCTTGCTTTGTTGCCCAGGCTGGTCTCAAACTCCTGGGCTCAAGCAATCCTTCCTCCTTGGACTCCCAAAGTGCTGGAATTACAGGCATGAGCAACCACACCCACCCCAAGATATTTTTTAATGCCTCTCTTCTGTTAGACAAAATTTTAGTAAACGGGATATGTAAGTCATTGATCTATGATATCCACAGGATGCTGCAGACATTATAAGACAAACACGTAAGTGAAAATATGACTATAGATTACGATAAATGCTATGAAGAAAAAATACGTGGTCTGGAATCTTATCCTACAGTAGGTTCCTACAACCAATTTTACTCAAGCATGGGCTTCCTCTGAACTCCTTTCTTGTCTTAATACTTCTCTTCTAATTATTGTTATTTAGAATTTACTTTTGCATATATCAAATAATAGGTTTAGGCAACTATCATTCAGGATTTTGTTGAGAGTTAAGATTGATTTACAAAGATTTTTTTCCTCCAATAAACATGTATCAGATTTGGCCAGACCCCAGTACAAGAAAGACTCAGCTGCCTGGCCAAGAACAACTCTATCTATGTTGTGGCAAATATTGGGGACAAGAAGCCATGCGATACCAGTGATCCTCAGTGTCCCCCTGATGGCCGTTACCAATACAACACTGATGTGGTATTTGATTCTCAAGGAAAACTGGTGGCACGCTACCATAAGGTAAAATTAATTTGCAAATAATCCAATTAGTTAATGCCTAATGAAATAAAGTGGGCAAGGAGAAAAATATGTTATTGATAATGATAAGCACACTTTAGAAATCGAGTAGGGGCAAAGCATAGAAAGTAATGATAAAGCGTGGAAAGCTCCTATAAAGAGGCTTAAGGGGTTCCGTGTACATATAAGAACACAGGAGTGTGTTTTCAGGAGTGTGTAGCAGTCAGAAAGTGCCGCATGCATTATGTTGCCTAATGTTGCCTTTTGGACTTTGTCCTTTTAAAGGCATACCCTGGCAATGGGTCAAGGCTAGAATGAAAAACTGCTTACCACATAGACTCTGTCTTGAGGAGAATGGAACAAACAAAGTTCCTTGCCAAGGAAAACAGTTAAGTCTACTTGGCAAACAGAAGTAATCTATTTTATGTCTTATAAGATTCCAGTGGGTCTTTATAGATAAAGATACCCATGTACATATTTGTAATGTGGAGACTGAACTAAAGGCCCAGTTTAGCTAGAATGGCCTCTGATTCTCTAAAGCAAACTCATTTCCCATGAAAACACTGATCATAGATGAAATTGGCACTAAGATGTGAGCTTGTACTTTTTCCCACACTGTGATGTCCAGATCAACTTCCTAAAATAATTTTTTTCTCTTTATCTTCTGTTTATTGCAGCAAAACCTTTTCATGGGTGAAAATCAATTCAATGTACCCAAGGAGCCTGAGATTGTGACTTTCAATACCACCTTTGGAAGTTTTGGCATTTTCACATGCTTTGATATACTCTTCCATGATCCTGCTGTTACCTTGGTGAAAGATTTCCACGTGGACACCATAGTATTCCCAACAGCTTGGATGAATGTTTTGCCACATTTGTCAGCTGTTGAATTCCACTCAGCTTGGGCTATGGGCATGAGGGTCAATTTCCTTGCATCCAACATACATTACCCCTCAAAGAAAATGACAGGTAATGTGTGATCTTAAAGATATGCAGGCTGATGTAATCAGAAAAGAAAAGAAAAAAAAAACATGTTTTTCTAGCTAACGCATACTCCTTAATACAATGTTTTCCAGCTCTTAATTTTTGAACATCTAGCTGTTAATATGCTATAGAATCAATCTCAGTCTAAATTGTTTTGTAGATTTATTTGGTTTTATTTAACTTGATTTTTTTTTCAAAATATATGACTTCTTACATACAACTCTCCCTTCTTGGCTTCTTGGTTTCATACTTTAATTGATTTCCTCTCACTTCTCTGTCTTTATCAGCATGTTTTACTGAAATTAATAAAACATATAACTTAGAGAGAGTAAAATGTGAATATGAGGTTAAAATAGTAATAACAATTATGAAATCCCTTTTTACTTTCCAATTTCAAATGATGTTTTCAACTTATTACTTCCAGGAAGTGGCATCTATGCACCCAATTCTTCAAGAGCATTTCATTATGATATGAAGACAGAAGAGGGAAAACTCCTCCTCTCGCAACTGGATTCCCACCCATCCCATTCTGCAGTGGTGAACTGGACTTCCTATGCCAGCAGTATAGAAGCGCTCTCATCAGGAAACAAGGAATTTAAAGGCACTGTCTTTTTCGATGAATTCACTTTTGTGAAGCTCACAGGAGTTGCAGGAAATTATACAGTTTGTCAGAAAGATCTCTGCTGTCATTTAAGCTACAAAATGTCTGAGAACATACCAAATGAAGTGTACGCTCTAGGGGCATTTGACGGACTGCACACTGTGGAAGGGCGCTATTATCTACAGGTAATATTTTGATGTCAGAAGAGTTACTGGATAAAATAAAGACACTCAGTTAAATATACAGTTTAGATAAATAATGAATGATTTTTTAGTATAAGCATATCACACTTTTGGGGATTTATGTATGCTAAAAATTTTGTTGTTTATTTGAAATTCAACTTTAGCTGGGAAGCCTACAAATACAGGCTAAATTTATTTGCTAAATCTTTTTTTTTTTTTTTTGAGACAGAGTCTCACTCTGTAGCCCAAGCTGGAGTGCAGTGGTGCATCAGCTCACTGCAAGCTCTGCCTCCTCGGCCAAGCAATTCTCACGCCTCAGCCTCCCAAGTAGCTGGGACTACAGGCGAGTGCCACCATGCCTGGCTAATTTTTTTGTTGTTGTTGTATTTTAGTAGAGACAGAGTTTCACCATATTGGCCAGGGTGGTCTCAAACTCCCCGAGCTCAGGTGATCCGCCCACCTCAGCCTCCCAAAGTGTTGAGATTATAGGCATGAGCCACCGTGCCCTGCCTATTTGCTAAACCTTGAAACCTTAGATGTCAGTTCAATTTTAAGCTGATTGGGAAAAGGCAGGACATTTACTTGCAGTAGCAGTATTAAAAATAAATATTCAAATTACAGATCATTATAACAGGAGTTCATTGAAAACCCATTTTATTTCCTGCCTGAACAAATTAAGCCATTTTCCTTATATGTTCACAAATGCCTATCTTGCTTTATAAAGAGTTTGACACTAAGTATATCCTGGATATGAATGGGGTTGACCACCAAGATAGTTCAATGGAATGGTTTATTGCTGCAAAGATCCAATCTCTCATTGCTCGCAAGTGGCCTCCATGGTCCTCTCATTCTTCTCTTCTCTTCCTTGGTCTGGCCCCCATCTTATCTCACTTAACAGGGCTTCCTATTGACAGTCTGACAATCTCAGCTCCATCCAGTCAGTTCTCCATATTGTAGTTACAGAAATCACAAAAAGCTGTTTTTGATTATAATACTGTCTGGCTTAAAATTCTTCACTGACTTCTAATTGACAAATCAAATTTCTTAACATGAAAGACACACAAAGTCTAGATGTGTGGTCCCTTCCTATTCTCTATCCTCTAATCTCACTTCTACTTACAAATATCCTGGGCTTCTGCAATATTGAAATATTTTCCCATCTCCTATTTGCTAGCATATGCAGAACCTCAAGGTGTTTGCACAGATTGTTTGGTCCTTTATCCGTGGCGAGCCCCACCTACTAATCTTTCATAGCACTTTTCTGGTGTTATCGTCACCAAGAGGGGTTCCTGGATATTTCCCACAGAGCTACTCCTACCTCTCCAGATGAGTTAAGTACATCCTTTATGTGCTCCCAGGACACCCTATGCTTAGCTTTATCAAAGACATATTATGTCATAGTATTCACTTACTTATTTGAGACTGAGAACCCCTTGAGTGCTGAAATTATGCCAACTGCACAGTATTTTGTTTGCTCTATGATAACTACCCTAACAATACTTTTTCGTTTTAGCAAATGAAGGCCTACTATATGCCAGGTATTTATTTAGTGTTAATGATATGAAGATAAATAAGCATAGATCCTCCTCTTGAAGAATTCAGTCTTTAGTAATGGAGAAAGACATTTGAACAGATAATTTCAGCATAGGTTGGCATGTGATTGTCCGTAGAATGCACATTTTGCTGGAGGAGTACTAAAGAGCTCTACTTAGATTAATTTGGGAATGCAGGGAAGTTTCTGGAGCTGATGCTATTATCCAGGTGAAAAAGAGTAGGAGGGGATTCTTTGTGGTGTGAAGAGCATGAACAAGGGTGTGGATGCAGGCAGGAGCAGGGTCTGCAGGGAACAGCAACAGGTCAGTGCTACTAAGGCAACTGAGGCATGGCTTGCGAAGCTGGGTTTGGTGGGAAATAAGCCTGGAAGCAACATCCTGTCCTGCAGGATCTTACCTAGCACACTTAAGATTCAGCCTTTATTCTGTGGGTGATGGTCAGCTGGTGGAAGTGGTCCAGTGAAGGAATGATGTGGTCAGATCTACCTTTGAATATATCATTTTTACTACTCTGTAGATGATGGAGCAAAGACCCAAAAGACTAGATTATTAAAATAGTCTTATTAAGGGTCTGGACCAAGACTGTGTTTGTTGGAATAAAAGCAGGGCATGGAGTCTAGACATATTTAGAAAATGGAACTCAGTGGCCAATTTGATGTGGAACAGGAAAACGGAATGGAGAGTCCAGAATGTGGCAGATTTCTGGCAAGAATGGCTGGGTGGGTGAGATGCATCTGACAGATCAGGAGGCAAGAGAGGAGCAGACTCACTGACAGTGGGTAGAGGCTGAGTTCAGTTATAGATGTGCTGGTTTTGAAGTAGTTATGAGACATTCAGCTGGACCCAGCCAGTTGTCTGTTGAATACTTTGGTCTGATGCTTAAGGGAGATACTAGAATTAGAAATATTGTTTCAAAAATCAGCAAGATACAAGGGGCAATTAAGCAAACAACAGTGAATGATACGACAAAGGAGACTGTACTGACAGTAAAGAACTATTGACAAAGTAGAACCTTTGGGAGCTTCGGTATTTGGGGCAGGAAAGGACAGAGGACAAGAAACCTGCAAATACAATTAAGAAATAAAGGAAAATTTAAAAAGAGAACATCTGGTAGATGCCAAGGAAGTAGAGACTCTTGGAGGAAAGAAATCATGAGGTGTATTAACACAATACGTTGACCATTATTAGCATTTTTGAGTATAATTTTGGCAGAATTTTCTGAGCTCATAATGATAGGATGATGGGCAGATTATATTGGGTTGAAAAGTCAAAGGGAAGTGAATGCACTTTTTTCCCCAAGAAATCTTATCTGAGACAAGAAGAAGAGAAGCAAGACAATGGTTTAACAGAGACTCATGGTCAGGAGAAATGTGTGTGTATGTGTGTATGTGTGTGTGTGTGTTTCTCAACAAACGAGAGAGCCTTGATTGCCTTTGTAGGTCTAAGAGAAAGAGCTACAAAAGGAAAAAATACATAAAATATGAGAGGAATCAGGTCCAGTGCAGTGGCCTGTAATCCCAGCACTTTGGGAGGTCAAGGCGGGCAGATCATCTGAGATCAGGAGTTTGTGACCCCTGTCCAACATGGTGAAACCTGTCTCTACTAAAAATACAAAAATTAGCCAGGCATGGTGGCAGGCGCCTGCAATCCCAGCTACTTGGAAGGCTGAGACAGGAGAATTGCTTGATCCTGGGAGATAGAGGTTGCAGTGAGCTGAAATTGTGCCACTGCACTCCAGCCTAGGCAACAGAGTGAGACTCTGTCTCAAAATAAAATAAAATATACAAGGAATCATTACTCCTACTCAGTGTTCCAAGGTGCTGGAGGAAAGAGGGAAAAATAGTATCATGAACACAGGTACAAAATGTCCAACAACTGGAAATTAAATGAATCATATTGTAGAAGAACATTTATTGCCATAAAATTATTACCATATACCATATGTTATATTAACATATATAGCCTTATATATGTGACATTCATATGGTATTATATTGCTATATAAATTTTTAAAATTAAAATATAAATTGTGATGTATTATTTTTAAGTTAAAAAAAGTTGGTCACAAAACAAGAGAGTAATCTCTTAGCTCTTCTTCCCTCCTTTTCCTTCCTGCCTCCTCAATCTTTTCCTACCTTTTTACCTCCTCCAGAGTCTTGGCTCTACCTAAAGAGAGTTGTGGGAAGTTCTTTCTTAGTGTTGTGAGGTAGGTTAGCTTTGTCAAGTAAAACCAAGCTTTCTGTTTATCTTGCTAGACGGTGATATTTCATCTAAACGATTGGTACCAGATATGTTTTGGAATCTTCCTATTTAAAGATAATAATACATATTACTTGATATTACCAGCAGAGTCTGGGAAAATACCCAGAATCAAACATATTAATATATCTATTGGAAAACATGGGATTATTCACCTTAAATAGCTTGAATAAAAATGTTATAGCCTTATGTTAATTCAAGTTAGGTCTTAATGCCAATGTGCCAGTGGGTTACAAAAATCCTTTATTTTCAGAAGATTTTGGATTTTTGTATTGAAGATAAGGAATTTTGGTATAATATTATATTTATAATTTTTCATAGTCTAACTGTGATGATATATTATGCTTGAAAAATCTCGATTATCACCAAAAGCTACCTCCAAACCAAGGGAAGAGACACAAAGAGAGGTAAAAGTGAAATAAACCCCTATCTTGCCACACAGATTTTCCAAGCATTTTATAGCAAATATGCATAATTTTGTTTATATCAGTATGTCATTGCAAACATCACTCAGAGTTTTGCTTTTATAGTTTTTCTTTGTTTTTCCTAAAGTTATTAATTGCCTTATTTTTTTAAATTTCGTTAATTTTCTTTGACTTTTTGTTAAAACCCCATATCTTCCAACAGCATCTCAGAATAATTTTTCCACAATATCATTTTCATAAGTTTATCTTGAGCTAAAAATAATAACCTTTCTCTGCACTGGTTTCCCTCTAGTCATTCTGCACAGTTGTCATATTGAGATTTCCTTTACTGTCATCCTAGGAATGCTCTCTTAGCTATTTCCTTGTTTTAGGTTCTCTGTTTTTCTCCTTCTACCTTTATTTGCTCCTTTGTTCTGTTGTAGTCAACGCTGTCTAGTCACATTGCTCTAATCTGAACTGGCTGCTCTCCATGCCTTGTATACGATAGGAGTCATCCTGGAATCTCCCTTTATCCTCATGGTGAAGATTTTTCTTTACCACTTCCCTGTGTGGATTTCCTGTTTTCTGTTCCCCGTCTTCCTTGTTTTGGGCTTGTGCCCTCTTTCTTGTTGTTAACAGTTTCCGGAAAGAGAGTGATCGGGATGCAAGATTTTTGAGACTCACTGGTCTGAAACTGCCTTTCCTCTTAAATTTAGTTAAGTATTTCCCTGGGCATGGAATTCAAAGGTGGTTATGACTTTTCTTCAGGATTGTGAATGTATTTATATCCTCCCATCTTACGTTGCTATTGAGAATTCTGAAGTTCTTCTGATTCCTGATTCTTTGTATGTGTATTCCTCATTCCACACCTTCCCCAGAATGCATGCAGAATTTCTTCCTTTCTATTTTCTTTTCTCTTTTTCTGAAACTCTTATTATTGGGATCTTCTGCCTCTTGGATTAGGGCTCTAATTTTCCGACATTTTCTCTGCTATTTTTTACTACTTTATTTTTCTCCTCTACTTTCTGAGAGATTTCCTCCTCTTGATCTTCCAAATCTTGTACTGAATCTTTTATTTTTGTTAACATGTTCTTAATTTCCAAGAACTCTTTTTTCTTGTCTTCGGAGTTTCAACACTTATTGTTGTTTTGTGCATGTATTATTTTTTCTTCTCTCTCTGAGGCTATTTAGGAAATTTTTTATTGAAGCTCCTCCCCCCTGCTTCCTTCAAGTTGCTTTTATCTGCTTTTTTATTTGCTTTTTCATGCAATAAGTTTTTCTCACATGTCTGGTAACTCTTGGGGATTACCAAAAACTCATAGAAAATTCTGACCATGTGAGTAACACTTGCCAATTTTGAGCTTCATGATAGAATGATCTAGCTGGACCTTTTGCTGCGGGGAAATCGGAGGTAAGTGTCTTTGGAGACTTCCTCTTGGGATGGTCAGGTCTCCCAGGTTTCAAGATTCTTCTAATTTCCTTCTTGAATCAGTTGCCTAATTTAGGAAATAAAAATACAGGATCTCCAGGTAAATTTGAAGTTCAGATAAACTTTGTTTTTTTTGAGAGAGTCTCTTTCTGTTGCCAAGGCTGGAGTGCAGTGGCATGATTTCCGCTCACTGCAACCTCTGCCTCCCGGGTTCAAGCAATTCTCCTGCCTCAGCCTCCCGAGTAGCTGGGATTACAGGTTCATGCCACCACTCCCAGCTAATTTTTTATATTTTTGGTACAGATGGGGTTTCCCCATGTTGGCCAGGCTGGTCTCGAACTCCTGACCTCAAGTGATCCGCCTGCCTCGGCCTCCCAAAGTGCTGGGATTACAGGTGGGAGCCACTGCTCCCAGCCCAGATAAACATTTTTTTTAAAAAGTGTAAGTATGTCCCATTCAATATTTAAGACATACTTATACTAAAAAATTATTTGTTGTGTATCTGAACTTCACATTTAACTGGGAGTCTTGTCCTGTGTTTTACCTGGCAACCCTATTCCTGAAAGATAAATCCTTGCTGACAGCATTAGGGATCCAAGTGAGGAAAATGGCCTTGCAAGGTGTGGGTGGGGGTGGAGGGGGAACGTTTTCAACATTCAGTGTTATTTATTCAGGTAATCCCCTTCAACTATGTCTCTTAAACTTTCATCTAAAGACCATCCACTTTACCCTCTCTGGAAACATTCTCCGTTATTTACTGGAGTAGGGGAGGATCAGTTATCTGGTTTTTTGGAGGACTTAGTATCCAAGGCATCCTTCACAACTTTCTGCTCATTTATTTTCCTTTGACTGCCACAACTTTACTCCTAGCTCTAGGTATAGAGCAGTCCCAGTGATTAATTTGAGTGCTTTGCAGTGTAGATAGGGATTCTTGGCTCTTTCTACTGCTAGTTTAGGACCTGGTTTTCTTGGGTCTGCTGAATCAATTACTACTTTTTGTATCAACATCCTAGTTTTTAAAACTGTGTTGTGGTCTATCCTCCTATTTTCCTACCTTTGTGGGTTAAAAAAAATAGTGTTCTTTTGAAGGATTGTAGGAAATAAAATTGAAGCATATGTTCATTCTACCTTTACCTGAAAGTTACTTCTATCCCATCTTAATACACTTGCACTGAAGTGATTACTTTCCACCTGCAAAGTGGAAACAATAAGACCAGTTAGCGGCTGCTGCTTTAGTCAAGCAAGAGATGAAGGTGACTTGGAATATGCTGTACAGATGGCATTAAATGAATATGGATCTCCTTTTGGAAACTTTTCATCTGCATGGTGAGATGACTCACATACTTAGATTTTATATTCAAATAGCTACGTACTATAGTGGAAGAAAAACTTAATGGAGAAGTGTTTCAGTTCTTGCGCAGTATAGAGGATATGACTTTTCCAGATTACAGGGGTTGCCTCTAGGTCAACTCTAGGGCTCATTACAACTCTGAAGCTCTTTTATTGTGTGAAACAGGCAATAAGATATGATTTACACAGGTGCCTAAATTAAACCTTTAAACACATTTTAAATTCTTGATAATTAAAATCATTAGTAACTTGAGAACAATGAAGATATAGCTGTTCATGGCTATAGGCCAAGGATCTGATTGCTTTTACAGGGCTAATCTTTTTGACAGTGAATTGCAGGAGGCACTGGGGCTTAAAGCCCTTTATTTTTATTATTAGTTGTATTAATTATTCAGTGATAAACTGGATGACTCTAATGAAGAAGTAACATTATTTTACCAAATAAAGTGGCATAGGCATTTTTCTAGATCAAGAGAGTATTTCAGTTGACTTTCTCATGTTTTTTTTTTAAGAGCATCTAGCAGTTTATTTAATTATTTTATTCTATTTTTTATCTTTAAAATTTATCCTAGCTTTATTGTCATTAACAAATGAAAATTGTATATCTTTACAGTGTATGATGTGACGTTTTGATATGTGTACACACCGTGAAATGATTAAATCAAGCAAATTCACATATCCCACATGACTTTCTTATGACTTACTGGTTTTCATGACTTCCCTAGATTTGTACCCTGTTGAAATGTAAAACGACTAATTTAAACACTTGCGGTGACTCAGCTGAAACAGCTTCTACCAGGTTTGAAATGTTCTCCCTCAGTGGCACTTTCGGAACCCAGTATGTCTTTCCTGAGGTGTTGCTGAGTGAAAATCAGCTTGCACCTGGAGAATTTCAGGTAAGAATCTTCGAATATTGCCAATTAGTTTCATGTAAGAGGAAGCACTTTTTGATATAAAAATCTGCTCAAGTGCTTACAAATATCATAAAATTTCCATTTAGAAAGGTTAAGATTATCCTTGGGGATCATGAAGGACATTGAGCAGGCTGCATTTCTTGTCTGGAAATTCTTAACATAATAATTACTGTGTCCTTCAGAATAAAAAAATATATATCTTATTTTGGGGATTATAGGGAGTTTAAAGTCTTCCAAGTAGAAAGAAGATTCAACGAGAGTAGTTTCAGAACCAGTGCCATTGGAGCCCCTTAGGACCACTGGGGAGTGATGGCCTAGGGAAGTTGAAAGGAGTCCCTCTCGTCGAGTGAGTCAAGGCTCTGTGTGATGGTAGAAGGAAAAGAGACAAGGAAAAGCTGAAGAAGAGAGAATTTGACAGTGGCGGATGTTAGCAAAAAAGCAAAAACTTTTTAAAGTTCAGAAATAATCCCTTGCTTCACATGTGCTCTGCCCAGCCACATTCTTTCGCTGACTTCCTGCAAGTTCTCCTCCCACTCCCCGTTCCTGGTAGAAACCACTGCTGGGGTGTGGGAGGACAATGGAATGGTGAGGAGGTTGTGGTGAGCAAGAGACAGGAGATGACAGATGCTCAGTTCAAATCCCTGTTAGTCAATTGCTTCGGGCCATTGTGGGGAGTCTTTATCTTGTCTGAGAGGACTAGGTTTCTCTTCTGTATACTGCCAAATCCACTGGTTTGTGTTTATTAACTCTTACGGCGCTTCCACAGGTAAGTAAATTAGAAGACATTGATTACGGGCATCTCACTAATAAATGAATCAGTGCCAGTTTCATAGCTCCAATTTTTCTTGTACTTGGCAACATTTCAAATTTTTCTGATAGAATGGAATTTGGCCAGTATTTTTGTTTCTTCATTCTGTTATAGTAAATTTTAAAAGTGATTTATGGGATTGTAAAACTTGAAGGTAGCCTTTGCCTACTTTTTTGTTTTAATCAGGTGTCAACTGACGGACGCTTGTTTAGTCTGAAGCCAACATCCGGACCTGTCTTAACAGTAACTCTGTTTGGGAGGTTGTATGAGAAGGACTGGGCATCAAATGCTTCATCAGGCCTCACAGCACAAGCAAGAATAATAATGCTAATAGTTATAGCACCTATTGTATGCTCATTAAGTTGGTAGAATATTGACTTTTTCTCTTTTTTATTTGGGATAATTTAAAAAATGATGGATGAGAAAAGAAAGATTGGTCCGGGTTAATATTATCCTCTAGTATAAGTGAATTACTAGTTTCTCTTTATTTAGACAAACACACACACACCAGATAATATAAACTTAATAAATTATCTGTTAATGTAGATTTTATTTAAAAAACTATATTTGAACATTGGTCTTTCTTGGACGTGAGCTAATTATATCAAATAAGTATCACAAATCTTTTACGCAGAAGAAATAAAAACTACGGGTAGAAAACATAAGAACTATCATAAAATTTACTTACAAGGAGGCTGCTCTTGTTACCACTTTTATTATATTACGTATCACTTATTCAGCTCTGCTGAAAATTTCCAATGACTTTGTTTGTTTGCTCTTTTTGTTTTTTACCTAAACAATACATTTTGATTCTCTTGTGGGTTGATAATGTCTCCCCAAAATTTACATGTTGAAGCACCTCAGAATGTGACTGTATTTGGAGACAGGGTCTTTAAAGAGGTAAAATAAGGTCATTAGGATAGACCCTAATTCAATATGACTGATGATCATAAAAGAAGAGGCGAGTAGGGCACAACAGGCACAAAGGGAGACCATAAGGAGACACAGAGGAAGGACAACTCTTTACAAGCTAAGAAGAGAGGGCCTCAGAAGAAACCAACCCTGCCAACACCTTGATCTTGGACTTCCAGCCTCCAAAACTATGAGAAATAAATTTCTATTGTTTAAGTCACCCAGTCCATGGTACTTTGTTAGGCAGCCCTGGCAAATGAATCAAAGACCCATTCCTGTTCCTCTCCCCACCACTACTGTTTTCTACTGTAATCTGAAGCTTCAACAAAAGGCTTACCTGGTAAGAATATTCAGCTGGTCTGGGTCCTCAAGACTCCAATAGACACTCTTAGAGAAGGATTGCTGATGGATTGATAGTGAAACCATTAGATCATTGAATTCCTCTGGAATTAGAAAACCAGAGAGTCCCATTTTAAGAAATTAGATATTTAATATAGCATTGTGTGTTCTATTTTAGTAACAGCAGAATCTCTTGACATTACACAACTCAGTGAAACAACATCATTTAAGCCAAAATATCTCCCAACTGACTGATAGACTCTGAGCACTAATATCATAGTGCTGTGATGATGGACAATTACATAGTACCGATAACAGCCATGCACTGTGCAAAGCATGCCCTTCTGCACAGGAGAGCAAGGCACTTGCAGTAGTGATCTATGCCAGCAAAACATCATTTTGAGACAAACATTTTTGTGGCAGATGTTTTTCCTAAAAAGTACTATATCATCCAAGAAATATTTGAGTAAAATCCCTTGTTCTTTTGGGTGACATTAACTGACATTTGCTTTTTTTCAAGACCTAATAGAAAATAAGAAAGCCCATAATGTATTTAGAAACAGGAATCCTCAGAGCAATTCTCTGTATTCTCATATAATTTCAATGTAAAACAGAAAACATATTGATGTGTTGGTGATAGGCTTGAATTATTAAAAACTTCAAAAACATCCTAAGTGTTTCTTTTTTGCTCAACGTTGTCAACTATAGTAGGTCTCCCTTGTGGTGTAATGAATTGCCCCCAAACTATTATCTTAAAACAACAAACATTTATTATCTTATAGCATTTCTGAGGGTCAGGATCTGGGACTGGCTTAGTGGAGTTGTTCTGGATCAGGGCCTTTGGAAAGTTGTAGTTAACTTGTCCCCAGGGCTGCCATCATCTCAAGGCTCGGGTGGGGCTGGAGAAAATCTGCTTCTCAGCTCACTCACGGCGGTTGCCAGGCCTCCATTCTTTAGGATGCTAGAAAAACTTTCATAAAATGTCATCTGGCTTCTCCTAGAGCAATGATACTGAGAGAGAAAGCACATGAGAGAAAGAGCGAGGGAACTTGGATGTAAGCCACAGTCTTTGAAAACCTAATCACAGAAGTGACATCTCTTCTTCCACATGATGTTGGTCACATGGACCAACAATGGCACAACGTGGACAGAATCAAACAGAGTTGAGAATATCAGGAGGTGGGGCTTCATGGGGGCCATTTTGGATGCTATCATAGTGAATATATGTATTTATATTTATATCTGTATATATTGCAATGTAATTTAAAAAATAGGATTGTTTTCCTTTTCTTTTTGCTATATGTGATATGTATTTCAAAATACACTCCCAATAGTTACGTCTGAAAAGCACTACACTAAAAAACTTTCTATACATTGAATAATTAAATTAAATAATCTAATAATCTCTACTTTTGGTCCATAGTAAATTTAAGTTAACTGTTTGCCTTAACTACAGTTTGTGGCAAAACCATCTCCTTTTAATATACACAAGGGACTTTTTTTTTTTTTTTTGAGACGGAGTTTTGCTCTTGTTGCCCAGGCTGGAATGCGATGGTGTGATCTCAGCTCACTGCAACCTCTGTCTCCTGGGTTTAAGCGATTCTCCTGCCAGAGCCTCCTGTGTAGCTGGGATTACAGGCTGGGATTACAGGCATGCGCCACCATGCCTGCCTAATTTTGTATTTTTAGTAGAGATGGGGTTTCTCCATGTTGGTCAGGTTGGTCTCGAAACCCGAGCTCAGGTGATCCACCCGTCTAGGCCTCCCAAAGTGCTGGGATTACAGGCGTGAGCCACCATGCCCGGCCCGTGGGACTTTTGCATTCATTTTTCAGAAGCTTACTTTGTAGGGGAACATACATTAAAAGGTAACAAAATAAACAGCATAAGTTCCAGAATTATTAATTCATGAAGTGCAACCACTAGGAAAAGGGGTCTTAAAAACATCACCCTCTTTACTGGATTCTTTGAAGAAACCAAGATTTTTTTCCTAATAATCTGTTTTATACACAATATATACCAAAAATATATAAATATATAAGTATATAACAAAAGTGAAAGAAACTGACTCTTAATCACAATGTTCTGAATAGCAAGAGGAATACTAAAAAAGTCAACTAGAAAGTCATGTCAACGTCAAAATCTGTTCTGAAACACATCACTTTGATTTTATACTGAAAGCCGATACCTCGAATTTCCTCTGCTTCGCTGTCCTGTGGTTGTACTGGGCATGTTCCAAATGTATCACTTTTATTTTTATTTCAATAATTTCAAGTGTTATTTTAGATTCAGGAGGCCCATGTGCAGGTTTGTTACATGGGTATATTCAGTAATGCTGAGGTTTGGGGTACAAATGATCCTGTCACCCAGGTGATAAGCATAATACCCAAAAGGTAGTTTTCAGCCCTTTCCCCCTCCCTGTTTCCCAGCTGTAGTAGCCGCTAGTGTCTGTTGTTACCATCTTTATATCTATGTGTACCAAATGTTTAGCTTCCATTTAAAAGTGAGAATATGCAGTATTTGGTTTTCTGTTCCTGCCTTAACTTGCTTAGGATAATGGCCTCCAGCTGCATCCATGTTGCTGCAAAAGACATGATTTTGTTCTTTTTTATGGCTCTGTGGTATTCTATGGTGTATATGTACCATATGTTCTTTATCTAACCCATCACTGATGGGCAACTGTGTTGATTCCATGTCTTTGCTATTGTGAATAGTGCTATCATGAACATACGAGCGCATGTGTCTTTTAACAATTTCTTCTCCTTTGGGTATATACTTAGTAATGGGATTGCTGGGTCAAATGGTAGTTCTGTTTTGAGTTCTTTGAGAAATCTCCAAACTGCTTTCCACAGTGGCTGAACTAATTTACATTCCCACACCAACAGTACAGTGTTCCCTTTTCTCCACAGCCCCACCAGCAGCTGTTATTTTTGACTTTTTAAATAATAGCTATTCTGACTGGTATGAGATTGTATCTCATTGTGGTTTTGATTTGCATTTCTCTGATAATGAGTGATGTTGAGCATTTATTCATATCTTTCTTGGCTGCTTGGATGTCTTCTTTTGAGAAGTATCTGTTCATGTCCTTTGCCCAGTTTTAATGGAGTTTTTTTTTCTTGTTGATTCAAGTTCCTTATACATCCTGGATATAAGCCTTTATTAGACCTTTGGTCAGATGCAGTTTGCAAGTGTTGTTTCCCATTCTGTAGGTTGTCTGTTTACTCTGTTGATAGTTTCTTTTGCTGTGCAAAAGCTCATTAGTTTAATTAGGTTCCACTTGTCAGTTTTCTTTTTTGTCGCAATTGCTTTTGAGGTCTTAGCCATAAATTCTTTCCTAAGGCTGATGCCTAGAATGGCATTTCCTACATTTTCATCTAGATTCTTGTAGTTCCCAGGTCTTATGTTTAAATCTTTAATCCATCTTATCAAAACAATCTACAGATTAGCACTATTCCTACCAAACTACCAAAGTCATTTTTCACAGAATTAGAAAAATTATTTTAAAATTCATATGAACCAGAAAAGAATCCCAAGAGCCAAAGCAATCATAAGCAAAAAACAAAACAAACAAACAAATAAACAAAAACAAAGGCAGCGGCATCACATTATCCAACTTCAAACTACAGTAAGTCCACAGTAACCAAAACATCATGGTACTGATACAAAAACAGACACACAGACCAATGGAACAGAATAGAGAACTCAGAAATAAAGCTTCACACTGATATAGTTTGTATATTTGTCCCCACCCAAATCTCATGTTGAATTGTAATACCCGATGCTGGAGGTGGGGGTCTGGTGGGAGGCATCTGGGTCATGGGGATGCGGCTTTCACAGCTTGGTGCTGCTTGGCAATAATGAGTTCTCACAAGATGTGGTCATTTAAAAGTGTGTGACAGTCCCCCTACTCTCCCTCGCTCCTGCTTTTGCCATGTGAAGCACCTGCTCTTTCTTCGTCTTCTGCCATGAGTAAAAGCTTCCTGAGGCCTCCCCAGAAGCAGATGCTGGCACTGTGCTTCCTGCACAGTCTGCAGAACCATGAGCCAATAAAACCTCTTTTCATATAAATTACCCAGTCTCTGGCATTTCTTTATAGTAATGCAAGAACAGTGTAATACACACACCTACAACCATATGATTTTTTACCAAGTAGACAAAAATAAGCAATAGGGAAAGGACTCTCCATTCAGTAAATGGTGCTGGGATAACTGGCTAGCCATATGCAGAAGAATGAAACTGGACCCCTACCTTTCACCATAATTTTGGTTTTTGAAAAGAGAGTAAAATTCTTAGATGAGGAGAGTATCCTACACTTACAATAATACTTAGGCAGCATGCTCTAGTGTGCAATGGAATTATTGTTTTAAGTACAGAAAATGCAAAAACAAATCTATGTTCTAATAATATTCTTACCTATTTGGGGTTCATGTAATTTAAATGAAACCTAGTAGATAAAAATGCTATGTAAATATGGGACCTAGTAAATCTAAATATCTGTAGCACTTCAAATATGATGATAATGATAAACCAATCTTAAAATATGAGGAAAGCACCTATAAATTAATAGTGCTGCATTATAGTGCTGTTACTGTGTATACCATTTTTATCATGGCAACTTGTAGATTAAACATAAACAAAAGCTTGTACCCTTCAAAATTGAGATCTATTTTTTCTTCTTTTTTTTTTTTTTTTTTTTTTTTTTTGAGACGGAGTCTCGCTCTGTCTCCGAGGCTGGAGTGCAATGGCATGGTCTTGGCTCACTGCAACCTCCACCTCCTGGGTTCAAGTGAGACTCCTGCCTCAGCCTCTCGAGTAGCTGGGACTACAGGCATGTGCCACTACACCTGGCTAATTTTTTGTATTTTTAGTAGAGACGGGGTTTCACCATGCTGGCCAGGATGGTCTCGATCTCCTGACCTTGTGATCCGCGTGCCTCGGCCTCCCAAAGTGTTGGGATTACAGGAGTGAGCCACCGTGCCCAGCAGAGATCTACTATTTATCCAGAGTTCTTAGTGAACCCAAGGAGAAGGTCATGGAAAAGTAACAAGATCTAACGTGAAACAATGATGAGAGGGAAGGAGTAAAGAAAAGGGGAGGGGAGGAGAACTAATGAGAGTTCTCCAAAATACAATAAAAACCTGGCACTTTCAAAAACTGAATATGAAGTTTCTTAAATTGGCAAGGCAGAGTAACGTGCACACACAGATGTACATGTACTGATGGCCACACACACAGGCCAAAGCATATTTGGGGACCCACATTTGGACACAGTTGCAGACTAAAACGTGAGTCAGCTGTGTTTCTACTTCTAGAAAAGTGCTATGACAGAGGCCGGGCGCAGTGGCTCAAGCCTGTAATCCCAACACTTTGGGAGGCTGAGGCGGGCGGATCACGAGGTCAGGAAATCGAGACCATCCTGGCTAACACGGTGAAACCCCGTCTCTACTAAAAATATAAAAAAATTAGCCGGGCGTGGTGGCGGGCGCCTGTAGTCCCATCTACTCGAGAGGCTGAGGCAGGAGAATGGCGTGAACCCGGGAGGCGGAGGGAGCCTCCGTCTAAAAAAAAAAAAAAAAAGTTTGTTTGGGTGTGGTGCTATTGACACAGGAAACAGACCATATATTCCTTCAAAAGCCAGCCTTCAAAAATGCCCTCTTACAGGGAAAAGCAACTGGCTTGTGGTAGAGGGCTGACTTCCGCTTAACAGTGATGTCCAGGTGATAATCTCATTCTCCTCCAGCCTCCAGGCGTCTCAGGAGTATCTGTCTGTTACACTGTTTTTTTCTATTCATAGCTCAGTACAGTTGACACTTGAGCAATGCAGGTTGGAACTGCACACATCCACTTATATGTAGATTTTTTCAATAAATATATTGAAAAATATTTTGGAGATTTGTGACAATTTGAAAAATCCTGCGGACAAACCACATAGCTTAGAAATATTGAAAAAATTAAGAAAAAGATAAGTAATGAATGCATACAATATATGTAGAAACTAATTTATCATTGATTGCCATAAAACATATGCAACTCTATTATATAAAGTCAAAATTTATCATAATACACATGCACTTACAGACCACACATAATCCCATTTGCAATGAAGACAAATGTAAACATATGTAAAGATGCAGTATTAAATCATTACCACATAAAATTTATTGTAGTATTACATATTGTACTACTGTAATAACTTTATTGCCCCTTCCTGTTGCTACTGTGGTGAACTCAAGTGTTGCAAGACTCTGCTTCATGCCCTGTGGCACTAATCATCTTTGCATGAGCAGTTCCTCTTCAGCAAATTGGGGATTGCAGCAAAAAGTGATTTTGGGGTTCTTGTGTATTTTTCATTGTGTTTAGTGCAATACCACAAACCTTGAATAACACCATGGGACCCACAGGAAGTGCCACTAGTGATGGTGGAAATGCTTCCAAGAAGCAGAGAAAAGTCACATTACAAGAAAAAGTTGAATTGCCTGATATGGACCATAGATTGTGGTCTACAGCTGCAGGTGCCCCTATTTCAGACAGATAATTGTATTTTCTATTTTCTATGGGTTTCTTAATACCATTTTTAAAACTTTATTGTAAGAATACAGCAAATAATACATAATACATATACAATATGTGTTAATCACTTATGTTATTGGTAAGGCTTCTGGTCAACAGTAGGCTATTCGTAGTTAAATCTGGGAGGAGTCAAAAATTACATTTGGATTTTTCACCGTATGGCAGATGGGCACCCCTAACACCCACATTATTCAAGAGTCAACTGTATTTGTCAAATATCCATAGCCAGGCATGAAGATTTTAGAGCTTTCCTAATCCTGGACTGTGGTTTCAATTTAAACTTAGAGAATTTGGGCTTACTAGAGTCATTCATTTTGGGGGCACAGATGCTAGAGAGAGGAAGATTTCTCTGCTCTGGCTCGTACCCCACTAAAACTTCAATAATTGCAGGATCAACAGGACACTGTGTTTGGTGGTTTGCAGACAAGAGTACACTGGACTGATGACGCTCTCTTGCAGTTCTGAGACAGGACACTGGGATGAGTGGAGCCCAGGTGCTAGGATCAGGATAGAAGGGCCAGCCGAGCAGCTGATGGGAGCTCAGGAATGTGGTCTATGATCATGATAACACAATGCTAACTGTCATGGGGAATGGTTTTGTCCCAGAAGGTGGGACCAGAGAATGCTCAGTGGGGTACTGTTAGACTGACTGTCTTCATCCAGCTTTTGGTCCTTTTCTTTTTTCTTTACTAAATTCATCTTTGTGATGACAGGAGAGCTTCAAAGCATTATCCAACAGAGACTTAGGGAGCCAGCAGAGGCGAGGGAAAGAAGATAATGTGGGCATCAGCTCAGGACATTTTCTCCATCTCAATTCACTCTTTTTTGTTTATTTCTCTTAAAAAATGCCAAACCTCCCCAAAAATTGCTGTGGTGTTTTCATCCTTCTTTTGCTGAAAGTTTTCACTTTCAAGTTAATGGAGAAAACAAGGGAGAGGAAAAGTCTCTTATATCTCTACAAATACATCTGTATAAAAATTTAAAAAAATAAAAACAACACAGAACTTTGAGGTTCCTAGAGCACTCAGTCCTTGGAGAGGGTTCCAGTTGCCGGAGTCTGCTGGTGTAGTGAAGGATGCTCTCACTGGCCCTAAACCCCCGGTCCTGCAAAATATTCAACATTGCAAAAAGGAAAGAAAAAGACCAAACAATTGTGAAGTACAAAAATGCCCCCACAGTATTCCATGACCCCTTCACCCTAACATTCTGGAGGCAAAGCATGCTCCACCTTTCACACCTTCCAAAGGATGGCTGCTCTTTTCCCACGCTGGACCAGCCCCTCAGCACCTTGCTCAGTGCATTCTACCACACATGTGTAGTGGCCCTAACAGGAGTTATTGTGTTTGTTTCAAATATATTTGAAGTGTGTTTTAGTGTCGCTGAGGTATAATAATAATACGCACTTTTCAAGTACCTACGAAAACTAGGAACTTTCTCACACAGAACAATCCTGTTAAGCAAGCATTATTTATTTCATTTTAAAAGGATAATGATTGATACATATACACAATATAATACTATGCACCCATAAAAAAGAACAAAATCATGTCCTATGCAGTAGCATGGAAGGAGCTGGAGGCCATTATCCTAAGCGAATAGGAACAGAAAACCAAACACCACATGTTCTCACTTATAAGTAGGATCTAAACATCGGTTACTCATGGACATAAAGATGAGAACCATAGACACTAGGGATTACTGGAGGGAAGAGAAGGGAGGGGGCAAGGGTTGAAGAACTAACTATTGGGTACTACGCTCACCACTGGGGTGATGGGATTGTTTGTACCGGAAACCTCAGCATCACACAATATACCCTGTGTCACAACCCTCCACATGTACCCTCTGAATCTAAAAAAAAAATGTTGCAACTGTTTACAAAATAATAAAAACTAAAGGATGACATTCAGACTTAGAGAGGTAAGGGATTATGGTCCCCTACTTATAACATTTTGACTTACAAATTTTCAACTTACGATGATGCAAAAGCCATACACATTTAGTAGAAAGTGTACTTCGAATTTTGAACTTTGATATTTTCTTGGGCTAGCGATATGTGGTATGATATTCTCTCATGATGCCGGACAGTGGCAGCGAGCCAAGCCGCAGCTCTCAGTCAGCCACGTGATCACAACAGTAAACCACTGATACCATACTCCACAGTGTATTCAGTACACTACATGAGAAATTCAACACTTTATTATAGGCTTTGTGTTAGTTTATCTTTCCCAACTGTAGGGTAGTGTTAAGTGTTCTGAGCATATTTATGGTAGGCTAGGCTAAGCTCTCATGTTTGGTAGGTTATGTGTATTAAATACTTTTTTGACTTAATAATATCTTCAATTTATTATGGGTTTATTGGAACATAGTCCAATAAACTGTTATATAGGCATCTGTAATATATTCAAGGTTAGCCAATAAGTTGTTGAGCTGGAATAAAAGGCCTAGTTCCTTCTACCTCAAATATACATCCCCTTTAGACCGGGCACAGTGGCTCACATCTGCAATCCCAGCACTTTGGGAGGCCCAGGCGGGATCGCTTGAGCCGAGGAGTTGGAGACCAGCCTGGGCAACATGGCGTGACCCCCTCTCTACAAAAAAACAAAAACAAAAGATTAGCTTGACATGGTGGCATGGACATGGCTCTGTAGTCCTAGTCCCAGCTACTCAGGAGGCTGAGGTGAGCAGATCACTTGAGCCTGGGAGACCGAGGTTGCACTGAGCCAAGTTTGCACCACTGCACTTAAGCCTGGATGCAGAGTGAGATCCCATCTCAAAACAAACAAGAATGTATATCCCTTTTGACCATGCCATACTTTCTCTTTAAAATTGTATTAATCAGCATAGGCTAGGTTGTGATGTAGTAAAAAATAACGCCAAAAATTTTATGGCTTAATACAACAAAAGCTTATTTCCTGCTTACGCAGAGTCCTCTCCAGGGCAGCTAGCCTCTATGCCCACAGGACCACAGGCTTTTTTCATTTTGTGTCACCTCCTTGTCAACCTGTGCTTCCGTAATTTCTGGAGCATGAGAAAAGAATATGGGGGAATTGCACATGCCTCTTAAATGCTTTCATCCAGAGTGATGCATGTCATTTTCAGTCATATTTTATCGGCTAAAGCAGGTCATATGGCCATGCCAAATTTAAATGAAGTAGGAAGTGTAATCCCCTGCATGTCCGCCATGACACATCAGGGCTGATGTTATCATTCTTTTATTCTCCAACATATAATATCATTACACTACTTGTCTTCTGGTCTATTACTTTGTTGTCAGCCCTATTACCTGTTAATTGCAAGCCAATACCACCTGTTCCTTCAAGGGTAAGGCTGACATAAGGTCTATACATTCCCTATCCTTTCCATGGATCTGAAGGCAATTTTACCTTTATCCTCTTGTCCAGAGAATGGAAAGGCATTATTAACATTTTGTATGTAATGCTTTATAGTTTACAAGATATTTTAAACATGAGTTTTACATATTTCACAAGGTAGGCACATTTTTCTCCATTCTACATTAGAGAGCAGAGTGTCACGTTCAAAGTTCCTAACTTATGTGTATCAAATCCTTAAACCAGAATCATTCAACTTCATGCTTACTGCTTTCTCTACCACTTTATGTTGCTAGTATTTTCTTACTAGCAACTACCTGAATGCTACCCTGTGCTTCTTTAAGAACTCAATGTTCTTATGTGCTTGACTTAAATGTCAAGCCCGTTTAAGTTTTGGATATTGATTTGTTGCTTAACAATTATTAAAGCCAAATTTATATTGCATCCTTACCTTTCTAAGAGAGATATGCCACATTCCTCAAAGTCAATCTTGTAGCTTTAATAGCACAGACCTTGATACAATGCAGTGTGAGGGTTAAGGTGAAAGTACACAATTAATATTTAAACTTATATATGTGGAACAATGATCATAATTAATCATATCTGTTGATGTGGTGTGGAGAATAAGAATTTTTCTTGGGACATTAGGAGAAGACTGGCAACATAAAGAAAGAGAATTTTTCTGGCTTGGAAAATAAATTTAAAGGGATCAATGAAAATACGTTAACAGAAGAGTGAGCTCTTTTAATCTTGCTATTTTGAAATTAGTTCTGTTTGGTGGTCCAGCTATAGAAATACAGCAAAGGTGCTTATCAGCATGAAAAGCTATTTAATCATCCACACTTTCTGGAAACTTTGGACTCCTGGCAAAGCAAATAGGGCCCAGGTGTCACTATGGTAGTAGATTATCTGATAAATAGTTAATATTTGGACAAGATGCATTCTAGACATGTTGACTGGATAAACTTTGGAGATATTAAAAATATTAGAATTAGAAATTCTGTTTTATTAGATTATGATGTTGATTAAATGAAACTGGTTTTGAACCAGTTGACTTTTTTTCTTCCTGTTTTTGGTAAAATTTTGTTTTGCTCCATTAAATAGAACTAACAGAGGGTTTGTTATCTCAATATGAGTAAAAATTAATTGAAAAGCCTGCTGTCATGTGTACCTAGCTAGTACTGGAAAACTAGTTGTTGTGGAGATCAATTACAAAAGCACTGTGGTAAGAAAATAAAATCTGATAGCCTGACAATAACTTCCTAAAATACACACCTGTAATTTAATTTTACTGGAAATAAATATGTGAAAGTTATCTTCAGAAACTGCTGATAAAATGTTATACTATTTTTATAGATTAAGACAATTACAAACACCATTTTGAAAATGATTTGAAATTAATGTTACTGTGTTGTTTCATCTGCCTAGCATTTAATTAATAATAGTCTACCCATTCATTCATAGACAGGTGTTAAGTAAAGTTCTCATTCATGTAGTAGCCTCATGTAGTTTCCCTCTCCAGGTATTTTAAGGATCTGTGGGAGAAATCAGCTAAAGAGATGGGAAACTCTTTAATTTAAATTAATTTTTTTTTTTTTTTTTGAGACAGGTTCTGACTCTGTCACCCAGGCTGGAGTGCAGTGGTATGAACACGACTCACTGCAGCCTCGACCTTTTGGGCTCAAGTGATCCTCCCACCTTAGCCTCCCAACTAACTGGGACTATAGGCATACACCACCACACACAGCTAATTTTTGTATTTTTTTGTAGAGATAGGGTTTCACCATGTTGCCTAGGCTGGTCTCAAACTCCTGGGCTCCAGCGATCCACTGGACTTGGCCTCCCAAAGTGAAGGGATTACAAGTGTAAGCCACTGCACCTAGCCTAATTTAATTTTTATTTGCAAATTCTTGGTAGTGGTTAGGAGCTAGAACCCGATTCAGACAAATCTGGGATCAAATTCCACAGCTGCTTCTTAGTAGCAACTGATTTAATTTTCAGTTCCTCTTTTTTTTTTTTTTTTTTTTGGTAAAGTAATGGTTAAAAACAACGTCTATTATTTAGAGGTGCTATGAGAATAAACGTGGGATTTCATGTAATTCCCTCAGCCTAGAGACTAGTACAGGGTTAGTCAAAGCTCTTCCTCCTCCCCTTCCTTCCTTCTTTTTCTCCTTCTCTTCCTCTTCCTCATTCTCTTTCCATGTTTCCTCTCCCTCCTCCTCCTCTCCTTTTCCCCTCCTCTTCCTTCCTCCCCTCTTCCTTCTCTTCCTTTTGCTTATTCTTCTTCTTTGTTACTTGTTACTTTCTTATTACTGACAATTGCCAAGCTTAGGCTGCACCTGCACACCCAGTATGTTCAGGCTCTGCCGTCAAGAGTTCCCAAGATGCACAACAAGGGTCTGAATAACACATGGTGGGAAATCCGCTATTGTAAATTGTTCTAGTTTCTCCCAAGCAATGGTAAAGGTTGTTTCATGCTGGGTCACTCCTTTCTAGAGGAGGAAGGATAAAAATCCACGTCTTACAAAAATTTGTAGAAGGCTGCCCTCTATAGGTACATGTAAATATAATATCTGGGTAAGAGATTCAAAGTTCAATTAGAAATTAGCATTCAAGGTGTAGTTTCTTAGGGATGGTTCAGAATGAGAAAATACTCTTCCTGAAATGTATAAGTTGAGTGGCTTGTTGACATGCTCCTCCATTTCTGGTGGCCAACGAATGGATATATAGACAATCCTCTAACGCTCCACTCTGCAATAATTCAGAGTAGGTGGTATCACGATGAGTTTATTTATCAGTCATCTTGTTTTCTGAAAGGAGTTTTGGGAGATGAATGAGACCTGCTAACAATTGGTCTGTCCTCAGGGCTCTGAACTGAACACAATTTTTGGAGGACCACTTTGCTTTTTAACCTCCATATTATTATTAGCTTCCTTAACTATTATTTACTGAGCTTCTACTGAGTTCCAGGGGCTGTGATAAACCTTTTATACAGAAATATTCCAAATATACTAAGATATTTTTATGTAAATGCTCTTGATGTGCTAAGATATTTAGATAGACGTGCCCCGTTATAATATTTTATCTAAAATGTAGGGATCTACATGAAGTTCTCTACACAGTGAACCAATTCAGTTGCTGTTTGATTCCTAACCCAGAAATGGCTTCATATCTTTTGCAATGTTAGTAGAAGACATTATTGTCATGTTCTGTATTTATACACTCTCTAGTTATCATAATAATTATTAATGCTGAACTGCATTGTAGCTTAATCTTTAAGGAAATATATTATTTACTACCCTTTGTAGTCAGGAATAGAGTGATATAAAGTTGTCTTACATAGGGAATCTATTTCAGTTCTGGTTCTCAATACTTTAAGTTCAGAAAATCATTTCTCTAAATTCCATCAGATATGATCAGACTATTGGAAACTGAGCCATTTTTTTTTTTCAGGCAGAGTCTTGCTCTGTCACCCAGACTGGAATGTAGTGGTGAGATCTCGGCTCACTGCAACCTCCGCCTCCCATGTTCAAACGACTCTCCCTGCCTCAGCCTCCTGAGTAGCTGGGACTACAGGCATGCACCACCACACCCAGCTAATTTTTGTATTTTCAGTAGAGACCGGGTTTCACCATGTTGGCCAGGATGGTCTTGATCTCTTGACCCCGTGATCTGCCCGCCTCGGCCTCCCAAAGTGCTGGGATTACAGGAGTGAGACTGAGCCACTTTTAACAGAACTCACCAAAGATGATTTCTAAACCAGAATGAGTCTAGTCATTTACACACATGGGAGAAATAAAATAGCAGCACAAGGAGATAGAACTTTGGAGATAGGCCTGTGTATAATCACCAAATTCCTTAGCTTCCTTGAGCATCAGTCTCTTTAACAAAAATGGGATTAATGTTTCCAGACTCTTGGTATTGGCAAGAGGATTAAATTTGAAAATGCAATACAGGACCAGATATCCAGTAAGCACTCCGTAAGTGATTGATTGCTTACTACTAAGCCAGTCGGATATACTTATTTCAGAACAGCAGTACCTTCATGATATAAAACTGCTTGGGAAACCTAATATTACTTATAAATTACTTGCTAAAAATTATTTTAAAATCAGAGTAAAGGGAATTTATCTGCTTACAGAATACTTTTTAGAAAGCCATGATAGTTCTGTTGGATCATCTTTATACACAATAGGAATAGAACTGCACAACTGACCATATCCCACGTCCCATGCCAGGAAGCACTCAGTTCTGGACAAAGCCAGGTCTATGCCAATGTGATTTCAGGGGATTTAAGCCACATTGTTTGTATCAAGACCTTTCTCCTGCCAGCCCCAAATTCCACATGTGGAGACATTTCTTTATGTATGGAAGACCTTATGATTTGCCTGTGTACTTTTAATGGTGAACATCTCTAGCCATGGTCATATTCATTTTGCTGCTGAAAAGTTGGGGCCCCTGACAACTGTATTCCTGAAAAGATGGACTCTCAAATGAAAAGAAGAGAGCATCTGAAGAAAGGGGAGGTGGAAGGAGGTCAGACAAAATCTTCACTAACTTTACTGTAAAAAATTGAGGGATGAACAGGAAAGAGGAAGGACCCTCATAACAGAATTCTGAAGCCTGAAACACTTCTGGAACAGTTTCCAAGAAATAACCAATTACATCCCGGGTAAGCTTATAAAGAAGTTTATATACAGTGTTTTGTGGAGATAAGACTGTTTTCTTTTTATGCCAGCAGAAAATAGCTAAGCTTAAATGTAAGCATCTAATGCAATTGTAAAGACTGATATCCTTTTCCTTATTTTTGCCTCAGTCAACTGATTTTTTTAATATTGCAAATTATATTTTTACTTTAGTTATCTTTTGTATTTTTAGTGGAATGGACAGAAGAATCTTACCAGGAAAATGGCTTTGAATTCCCATCTTCTTGCTTTGATTAATGGTAGGAAGTTCTCATAGTATCTCTTCTATAGTCTATATCAGGGGTCAGTAAACTATTTGTTGTACATAATGTTTTTTTGGAACACAACTGCACTCACTCATTTACTATTGACTATGACTTCGTTCATATTACAATGGCAAAGTTGAGTAGCTGCCACAGATCTGTGGCCTACAAAGCTTAAGATATTTATTTTCTAGAAATTGCTGATTCTTAGTTTGTGTAATAAACAAAACCCCTATAAATATAAAAGTAAACATTTTACTCCTTGGTTATGCATTTCACAATTTATCATCACCTGAAAGGATTTGATTTTTTAATAGTGCTGGCTGATTTTGCTACTTTTCTTCTATTATGATGGAAAACAGTCAATATTTGTGCCAGTTACACACCGGCCTGTGCACCTGCTTTCAGTACCTCTTTAACAGTCAGAGCATTTTAAGTACACCTTAGTTGATATTCAGTCCCCGTAATGGAACCAACCTCTTCACTTATAGGGCACCAAACTCCTTAATCTCCTGAGACTGATTCAAAAATAAAAAGTGCACCAAGCTCCCAAACTCTTCTTCTTATATTAATACTTTGTTACCCATAAACTCTGTTGTCATAAGCTAACTTGAGCTAAAATATCTGTTAATATTAGTGGGTGTAGTCCTCAGAGAATTTCTTCTTCATTTATTGCTTTACATTGAAGACACTGTGGGAAGTGTGAAATAAAGGATACAGCTGCAATCAATTATTATAATAAAGCACAACAGGGGATATGATACCTGCATTTTAAAAGAAAACTTCCAGAAAAAATACCTTAATCCAAAGAAGCTGTTCTAAAGAGGTAACTTTGGGTACACTTGCCTATTATTGGGCAAGATGAGTTAGGGTAGATAACTTAGGTTCATGGGGTATTCAAGTTATATCACATGATCTCTCTAAATGTTTAATTGTGGTATAGTTGTATTGAAGTGATATGTAGAGGCGTGAGGACTGCAGTATATTTAGTCTGTGGGAAAAACTGAAGAGATTGATCACAAATAAGCTGGGAGGAAGGTAATCTAAAAAAGAGTCCCTGCAGCATGACTTTGCAAAATGGGCCTTACGAAGTGGAATGCTGCGGAACAAGAAGGGCAAGACAAAGTCATCTGAATTTGATTGCAGGTCAAAATTAGAATGTCAACCCTTTGACCTGGAAGGTAGAAACTTGGTCTTGTTCATGGTATTCAAAACACTGAGCACTGCGTCTGCCATCTAGGAATAGAAGATACTTCTTTGATAATTCCTGAATGGATGAATAAGTGAATGAATGAAATAATAGATGGATGGAATAGAAGAGATAAAAGAAACAGAGGAGATTATCTATGCGAATCTACTAACTTTACAGGTAAAGATTCTAAGGCCCAGATATATCTTCTAATGAGAGGTAATATTTTGAGCAAACACAGTGAGCATTGAAGCGAATAAAAATTCCAAGGTCCAAGTAAAGTTAACATCATCAAATATCAGTTCCATTCACAAAACCATTAATACAGCTAATATTGCACATAAGTATATGCAAGAAAATGTTTGTAGTACATCATTATGAGGTATATAAAAATACATTCCTAAGAAATAAAAATGATTAACTGTATTACAAGGCCATATGAAAAAGAAAGATAAAGTTCTAAGGAAGTGAAAGCATGAGAGAAACTGATTTTAATTGTAAGGTGAAAGTAACAAGTGAATTGAGTTTTGAAGGATGGGTAGAGTTGGATACATTGGTGTTATGGGTTGAATAGTGTCCCCCAAATTTCATACATTGAAGTTTTAACCCCCAGTACCTCAAAATGTGATTGTATTGGAAGATGGGACCTTTAAAGAGGTGATTAAGTTAAAATAAGACTGCTAGGGTGGGTCTTAATGCAATCGCACTGGAGTCAGAAGAAGAGAAAATTTGGATACACAAAAAACACCAAAAATGTGTAAGACCATGTGAAATCACAGTGAGAATGCAGCCATGTGTTAGCCAAGGAGAGAGGCCTCAGGAGAAACCAAACCTGGTGACACCATGATCTTGGACTTCCAGCCTCCAGAACTATGAGAAAATAAATTTCTGTTATTTAAGCCATTCTGTGTTATTTTATTATGGCAGCCCCAGAAAACTAATACAGTTGGGAAGAGGAGGAAGAGCAAGAAAGGGAAGGGTTTCTCTTCCTTTTAAGGCTTGTAGCCTCCTGTATTTCTTGTAAAATCACTTCTTCCATCACCCTGAACCCATGCTCCATCAAATACATCTTATTTGATCTTCACTCTTTCTTTCCTTCTGGTTCATCCTGCTGTCTGACAAACCCTTTCACATTTATTCTAATCAAACTTAACAAATGCTTCTGTTGGGAAAATATAATTTAAAACAAAATCTCCTTCCAACCCAGAAAACCATTCCACAAAGGTAGAAGAGAAAGAAAACATTTTTATTATGTGATGCACATCATAGGCAATCCACTAAGATATTGTGAAGACAAAAAGACACCTCATTCTTTTATATAGGCAAGCAGATGCAATCCATTCCAGATATTGTGATGATTAATTTTGTGTGTCAACTTGATTGGGCCATGGGGTGCCCAGATATTTGGTTAAACATTATTCTGTGTATTTCTGTAAGGGTGTTTTGGGGTAAGATTAGCACTTAAATTGTAATGCAGATTGTCTTCCTAGTATGAGTGGGCCTCATCCATTCAGCTGAAAGTCTGAATAGAGCAAAAAGGTTGACCCTCCCCTAAGTAAGAGAGAATTCCTCCTGAGTGACTGGCTTTGAACTAGGACATTGGCTTTTTCTTACCTTCAGACTCAAACTGAGACATTGGCTATTCATGGGTCTCAGGCCTGCTAGTCTTAGGACTGGAACTACATCATCAACTCTAATGGGTTTCCACCTTGCCGACTCACCCTGAACATCCTGGAACTTGCCAGCCTCCATAATGCATGAGCCAATTCCTTTTAATAGAACTCTTTCTTTTATTTCTCACAGTTCTGGAGTGTGGGAAAACCAAGATCAAGGTGTTGGTATATTTGGTATCTGGTAAGGGCCTGCTTTCTGGTTCATAGGTGGTGCTTTCTCTCTGTGTCCTCACATGGTAGAAGGGGAGAACTCTATTCTCTCTAGCTCTTTATAAGGGAACTAATTCCATTCATAGGGGCTCCATCTTCATAACTTAATCACTCCCAAAGGTTTTAATTAGTTCCACCTCCTAATACATCCCATTAGGAATTAGGTTTGAACAAATGAATTTTGAGGGGCACAAACATTTAGACCATAGAAACATCCTATTTGTTCCATTTCTCCAGAGAACCCTGATGAATACACACATTTTCTTCAAATATACTATAACTAGTGCTTATGTAAGAGGACTTGACAGCACCATTTGTTACACATAATTCATCCTAAACCCACATGGTAGTTGGGGTAACCATCTGTGTTAGCTAATTGGTTTTAACCAAGGTAAAAATCAACTACTCTTTATGACTAGAGGGAGTTTTGCAACTTGGAGCAAGTAGTAAGCTGAGGCTAGTTTCCTGCCATCCCACAGAATCTGGGAGACAGGGTGCTATCTTCCTTAATGTTTACATTTCTAAGAGATGGTTCCCAGTCCTTGAGAAAGACATTCCTGGATCATAATGCTGACCGGAGGCTGAGTTAGCATTAAAAAATTTACCTACATTTTAAAGAGACAGAGAAAGACCTTAAAGCACAAGTTTTCTAATATAAAGACTCTTTGAAAAAGGGAAAGCAGGGAAAATCTCTTTTCTTATATTCTACAGGGAAAATGAAACCTCTTGTTTTTAATTTGTATTTGCTCTACATTTCCCTGTACTTCCCATTCCTTCAAAATATTATTCCATTTCTCACCTTCTTTTCATTGTCATATGTCTCAAAAAATTTATTTACCCTGGCTACCTTTATTTTCTTAACATACAATATCTTCTCTATGGTCCACAATACTCCACTAACATTGCTTCCAAACCATTAATGACACCTTTTTAAATCCTTGACCATATGCTTGATCTCTATCCTTACTCTAACACTCAGTAACATTTTACACCATAACTTTATTAAAATTCTTCTTCCCCTCTTGGCTTTATTGGTCTCTTTTTTATCATCCCAATATCTGGAAGTACTTTACTTATATATTGACATTTCTTACAGTTCTGTCTTCCTCCCTCTTTCTTTCCCCTTCTGGGATTTCTCTTATCTTCTGCCACAGACAACTTTAACTATTACCACTAGGTGAATGCCTTCTGAATCAATACTGCAAGCTCTGAGATTTCTCCTTTGTGCTAGAGATGTGAGTATTCAGCTAATCTGGTAGAAATCTGTCAGTCAACCAACTAGTAGTTAGGGATCACCTGCTATATGCTAGGCCCTGGGGTTATAGCAGTGAACAAAGCATACAAAGTCTCTGTCTTCAGGCAGGTGCGGTGGCTCATGCCTGTAATCTCAGCACTTTGGGAAGCCGAGGCAGGTATATCCCTTAATCCCAGGAGTTCAAGACCAGCCTGGGTAACATGGCAAAACCTCTCCTCTACAAAAAAAAAAAAAAAAAGGAAAGAAAGAAAAAGAAAACACAAAAACTAGCTGGGTGTGGGTGTGGTGGTGCATGCCTTTAGTCCCAGCTACTCAGGGGGTTGAGGTGGGAGAATCCCGGGAGGTTAAGACTACAGTGAGCCATGATTGCACCACTGCACTCCAGCCTGGGCAACAGAGGGAGACCCTGTCTCAAAAAAGAAACAACAGAAACCAAATCTCTGCCTTCATGGAGTTCACAATATCTACAGGAATGTCCTATTCAATCGTCAAAGCAGTAGACAGTAGGCATGCATGTCCGAGGATGTAGATCATGCCGTCACTAAGACCCATTTGGTGATGGAGCTGATAATTAGCTTGAAATTCAGTGGGTTCAGAGAATGGGAATTAAGATATTTTTAGGTTTTATTATTTTTTTTAGGGGTATGTGTGTGTGTGTGTGCTTAACAGAAACGAAAAAGCAGCTTTATTTCGAATGCCCACAGTAAACATTCAAGACAGTTTTGTTGACAAAAAAAGATGCTGAAATAAGAATAACATTTAAAAACAGGATTGTTACTAACTAAAGGACTTTAATTGTCCACTATGAAATTAGTTTATTAAGATTAAACAAGAGCTTTTGTGTGTATTTTCCTATTCTAAATTTAGGTGGTTTGTGAAGTCTCCGAGGATTGTCTTTGCAGATTCAGCTTATATGCGGCCTCATGCATGAAGCCTGTCCTGGCTGCCCTGAGGGGTTTCCAAATCCTTCTTCTGCTCTCTCATAACACAGCCTTTATATTTCCATTTAGCAATCCCTCTATTGTGCAACAAATATTTATTTGTATGTCGATCTCACTATTAACTCTACATTCCTAGAAGAAAAAATCATTATCCAATTAAATAAGTTTTCCAGTTAAAAGAAAGAGCAGGAGATGAAGAGAAGATTTACTGCCCGTGCAGTTTTGTAATTAGCACAGTGAAACTAAGAGAATTCCATATCAATGTAATCCTTTGATTTAAAGGCTTTTAAAAATGAATAATTAATTTATCCAGTAATTCAATGTTACTCAGTAAGCCAATATTTATTAAGCATCTACGGTTTGTCAAGCACTGTTTTTTTTTTTAATTTTTTTAATTTTATTTTTTTATTTTTAGACGCAGTCTGGCTCTGTCACCCAGGCTGGAGTGCGGTGGCTCGATCTCAGCTCACTGCAAGCTCCACCTCCCGGGTTCACGCCATTCTCCTGCCTCAGCCTCCCGAGTAGCTGGGAGTACAGGCGCCCGCCTACCATGCCCGGCTAATTTTTTGTATTTTTAGTAGAGATGGGGTTTCACTGTGTTAGCCAAGATGGTCTTGATCTCCTGACCTCGTGATCTGCCCGCCTCGGCTTCCCAAAATGCTGGGATTACAGGCGTGAGCCACAGGGCCCGGCCTGTCAAGCACTGTTTTAAGCCATGGCGAGAGACTAATGAACAAAGCAGACAAGAGCCTTGATTTCCTAGAGCTTAATAAACTCTTATACATGAGGTATTGTGCTTGCCTGCAAAGAAGACTGATTCCTGGTAAGACAGGAATATGTATGATTCAGGCAACATTAAACTCATTTTGAGAAAAATGAATGACATTTTCTATGTACTATTAACAAGAACTGAACTTGGATATTATTTCTTGAACCAGCCTTTAATATCTGGAGACTTCTGAAGCAGCAGTTACATTCACTTAGTAAAGGGTAATTTCACTGTAAGCCCTTTTGCTTGTTCTATCACTGCTTTTAATAATGGCTATTTAGGTCACAGCTGACCCATTATGGGGTGCAGTGTTTCACTAGCGATCCCAAGGCAGGAGAATGGGGCAGCAGATCTCCATGGCTTCCTTCAGAAATACAATTGACACAGTTAATATTGCTTTGATCATGCTGTGTAACAAATGACACCAAAACTCGATAGCTTAAAATAATAGCAACTTATGCTCATGAAGGTCTGCAGGTGCTGCAGGTCTTCATGCCCCTGACTGTTCCACATGTCTCTCATCTTCCTTGGACAAGTGGCTGAGCCGGGTATGTTGTATTCCTGGTGATAGGATAAAGGACATTCATCAACATGTCCTCCCAAAGACTAGGTTTGGAACTGGAACATTTTTATCTCTGTTCACATTCTTTTGGCCAAGACATGTCAAATGGCAAAGTTCAAATTCAAAGGGCAAAAAATGTATTTTCTACCCCCAATGAAGGGAAGACAAAGGATGTGAGGAGGGTGAAGAACCGAGCCTGATAATCAATGTGTCATAATGATGCTTTAATCCCATGCAGAGTAACAGATAGTAATGGAAGAGAAACAGCCCTTGTCCAGCTCTTCGTTTTGCCATATTGGAGGATCTGGTTCCATGTAGAGAGGGTCATTTTGGAAGTTTTATATATAAACACTTTTTCTTTTTTATATTTAATTTTTGATTTACTTACGTTTCCCTATCTTTATTCTTTGCTTTATTCTTATATATCTTCGTTTTTTTCTCTTTTCTGTTTTAAAATAATTTTCATTTAATCAACTTTTATTGTATTCAAAAGTCTAAGTGTAAAAACTGATAAAATAGGATAGGCACAGTGGCTCACGCCTGTAATCCCAGCACTTTGGGAGGCCTAGGTGGGTGGATCACCTGAGATCCGGAGTTCGAGACCAGCCTGGTCAACATGGTGAAACCCCATCTCTACTAACAAAACACAAAAATTAGCTAGGTGTGGTGGCAGGCGCCTGTAATCCCAGCTACTTGGGTAGCTGAGGCAGGAGAATCGCTTGAACCAGGGAGGTGGAGGTTGCAGTGAGCTGAGATTGCACCATTGCACTCCAGCTTGGGCGACAAGAGTGAAACTCCATCTCAAAAACAAACAAACAAACAAACGAAAACTGATGGGATAAATGTGTGTGACCATATAACATTTAAGATGGTGTTTTTCTATTGTGGTTAATAACATTACCGGGTTGTAATTTCCAGTAATTAAAAGAAGAAATAGAATAAAATAGGAAATATCAGACTGACTTAAACAAAGTAAGGGTATTTTTTAATGAAAACTTTTACATTTGTTATGGGTGCCTACCTACATATGTACTGAACAAGAATATAAAATGTATTTCTTCCTATAGTTGTGGTTCAAAAGTAGTTTGAAAGCCATTGCTTTAAAGTATTTTCTAACTATAATATGTTATTGGGTTTGAGTACATTCTATTTTTTAAAAATATTCATTTGTTGGGTACAGGTCATCTCTTTTGAAAGCAAGTTGTTTTTTAAATGCTAGTTATTTTCTTTGTACAGGTGTGTAATAGAGAAGTACTTTTCTTTCAAATCAATCAGCAATTAAGTCAGTTTTAATGGACATGTGTTTTCATTTATGTGCTGTTAATGCATCGCTGTGGTTCCTGGTGGCCCACGCTTGGAATTATTTTTAAAGTAGTTGTAATATTTACCTTCTCTATTTAGCTTGCTCACTGCTAGCTTCCTGATGCTGGTTCAGAATAAAAGCTCCTCCCAGTTATATTTCTTGATAACATATTGTTAGCTTGTTTCAGAAAGATTTATTATCAGCTTTTGTTTTGGATTTTAATATTTGCGTCATTCTGTCTATGTGAACTGTGGCCTATCATAGAGCAGCAGTGGGCTCTAGCCAGCAGCAGGTATCCAGGAGATTGATGCAGACTGGTCCCAAAGGCAGTGTTCCTGCTGTCTGCTCATCCGCTGACTGTGTTCACTCTTACCTGAGCAGGTGGGTCTGAATTTGCTGAACAGCCAAACCAAATCCTAGAGACTAACCCAAAGGCCTAAAGTAGTATTTTACAGGAAGAATGCTAAAGATAATGAGATTTATCAATGGCTTGGTACTTATCCATCTGTTAAAATTTAGGATTATTTAGTGCGAAGATTAACAAGGGTTTTCTGTAATTTAGTTGCTTAGTAGCCCCTTTAGCAAGAGAAGCTAAAAGAATGGTTATATATTTTTAAATAGCTTGCTTTACATGTCTTTTAAAAAGTGTTGTTTCTCTTTTATTAAAAATTCATTTATGGAAAGCTAGGACATTTGAAAAGTTGAAACTTTTAAAAAATCTCCTTTTCTTGTTAATGAAGAAAGAAATTCTATGCTGTGTACATTGGCTAGTTTTAACATCATGTAAGGAGTCCTTATAGATTTTTTTAGGTTTTACAATTACAATATGTCTTATTGTTACTATATACACAACTAAACTGCAAAACCATAATCTTATTTGCACAGATATTATTTGTGCAAATATATTTGGTAGGAAAAATCCCAGTACATTTTCAAATGTATTGTGTCATATTAACATAATCCCTTTCAACTTAAACTAAATTCAGTGTGTGTGTATACCTGCCATATATTAGATCAATTAACTTAAGAACCTTTTAGTTACATTACCTAAATCTGATTCATATTACTTTATGCATGTCAAAATAGCAGAAACACTTTCATGTATAGTACATTTATCATAATATTGCTGGTGACTGTTTTACTCTTATTTGTTGGTTTGTGTTGATGTAGGAGCAAACAAATGAATTTCGTCCCATTTCCTGTTTCTTTGAAACAGAAATGGTTCACTTCCAGCAATGTTTCATCTCAAGAACCATGACTTAAACATTTAAAAATGCTGTTTCCCCTCACCCTGGTCTCTTTCCCCCTTTAGAAATAAGTATTTTTCAAACATATTTTAGTATGTTTATTAAAAATACTGGAATTACAGAGCTACAAGTATAGTTTTGGAGTAAAATTATTATTGTCTATTTTACATTTTATAATAGAACAAAAACAGGAAATGAGTTCAGTTCAGTAATTTAGTAAAAGTATAATTTTAGTACAAAGGTAAAATAGATAAATAAATCATGCAAAGAATTATACAAGTCAAAGAAACAAATAATACAAATTTATTGATAATTATTCACCAATAGTTTTTTAAAATGAAACTCAATTTATAAACAATACATTTACTTTTATTAAAAAAATTTCTAGTTATGAAAGTGAAACAGTCCCATAGAAAGAAACTTAGAATATGTCATAGAGATGGAAAAGTAAATAAAATTCACCCATAATTCACCACCCAGGTAAAAACGTTGCTAAAATTTTGTGTTATTTTCTTTTTGTTGTTAATCTTTTTGTGTGTTTTTTGAGTTTCAATCTCACTATCTCTGAGTAAACAATATTGAGAATTGGAGTATTCCATTCCATACTTATTTCCCATAATTACATAAATGCATGTGAGTGTGTATCCCTATTTATGATATTTTTAAATACTCTGCAAATGTTTTCTACTTAACAATATATTGACATATGATATTTTAGAATACATAATTGTATATTTTTAAATAACCTGTAAATGTTTTTTCTTTACTTAAAAATATACTATTGACAACTTTCTGTCTCTATATAGAAAGAACCAGATCATTTTATTTAACATCTTGTTAAATACATATCATATGTCTACTGATATATATATATATATATGTAAGTCTGACATCAAAGTTTAGATTATTTTACTTTTTTCTTTCGTTGCTATTACAAAAACAATTGCACTGAACGGAGCTGATTCAAACAATGTGAGCATTTTAAATTTTAAAAAAATGCTGCTAGACCAACTGTCCAAAATTTAATTATAACTACGCATCTTTCCATCCAGTCAAGAAGTTTAACTTGCCAGCCCCTCAGCACCCCTGATAACAACTAGGTGTTATTAAGATAGTTAGAATTTAAGTTTCAGGCCAATGTTAAGTGTTTCCTTGAAATTTATTTGTTTTTCATTTTGAATGTTCTTTTAACAAGCATTGTATTGTGTCATATTAACATAACCCCTTTCAATTTAAACTAAACCTTACTTTATATATTAATCATTGTTGTTGCTTTTATTTTTCATCTCTTGCTATTTATAAATTTTTGTTTTGATTTAATTTTTATATTGCTAGAGTATTTCCTAGAATTTCTCAGCAGGTGGTCATAAATACATTGTTACTGTCATTCTTTTACTCTTATATGATCACCCTTTTGACTGCATATAGGATTGTTGAATTGTCATCCTATTTCCCTCATAATTTCTAACCTCATTCTATTGCCTTCTGGCTTCCAAAATGACAGAGGAGATGTCCTATGCTAGCCTGAACTTCTTTCCTTTTAAAATAACCAGTTCTTTCTATTTGGGTGCTTATACAATCTTTTTCCTTGATACTCAGAATTCAGAACCAGGCTAAGTATATGTGCATGAATTTTTTTTAAGGTTCTATGAGGCACAGAAATGAAAATGAACTCCTCAGTTCATTTGTTCATTCATTCAATTCTTTATTCCCTTTTGTGCTCAGTACATGTTGTAGATATTTTCAGGCCTTGGAGCTTCAGCAGTGAATAAAACACATGCCATTCCCTTCTGACATCCTACTTCTATATATATATTTCATCTTATTGTCTCTCCCTCCCCCTATTTATCTCTGTTTCTCCCTTTCCTTACCTTCTGCCTATAGTGACCCATTAGAGTGCATCTATTTAAATTTAAATATATGTGTATTCTTGACACAGCACCTTGATTTCCCTTGCATTACTCTTGGATGTTTACTTAGTTGTTGATGAACACTATCTACAAGATGCTATTATAAGCATTTTATAAAAATTAACTCATTCCAGCTTCATAAGAGCTCTAGAAAATAGTTTTTTTTGTTTTTGTTTTCTTTTTGTTTGGTTGTTTTTCACATGAGGAAACTGCAGCCTCTGGAGGCTGGGTAGTATGTTCAAGGTCACAGGACCAGTGAATGGCCCAGCCAGGACTTGAACCAAACAGCTGAGCACTAAAGGCCTGCTCTTCCTCACACAGCTCCAACCTCACAAGGGCAAAGCGTTCGATTTCCCCTGCTTCTTGTCCCTCTGCAGTCACCATCTTCCCCATCTCTCTAACTAGTACCTCTGTTTTTCAAGCTGCTCAAGCCAAAGCCCTGTTACTTCCCTCCATGACTTTCTCTAAACCGACAATCAAGGCTATCTACAATTCCTGCTGGCTGTTTCTTCAAAACATGTCCAAACGTGATCTCTCCTCTCCACCCTGACAAACATTGCTGTGCTCCAAAGCACCATCTTCTCTCACCAGGTGACAGCTTCCGTTGCAGCAGCTCCCTAATTGATCTCCTTGCTTATGTCTTTGCTTCTCTGCATCTGTTCTCAAGGCAGCAATCGGAGTGATACTGTTAGAAAAGTCAAATCAGATCGGGTGTGGGGGCTTACTTCTGTATTCCTAATGCTTTTGGAGGCCAAGCCAGGAGGATTGCTTGGAGCCCCAGGCATTCAAGACCAGTCTGGGCAACTTGAAATACCTCCTGATGGTACATATCTGTGGTTCCATCTATTTAGGGGGCTGAGGCAGGAGGATCTTTTGAGCCCCAGAGATTGAGGCTGCAGTGAACCATGATGGCACCATTGCACTCCAGGCTAGGTGACACAGCAAGACCTTGTTTCAAAAAAAAAAAAAAAAAAAAAGAATGAATGAATTTGTATTTCTTTGTTTTTTGGCTTAATGTATGTGAGACTCTTCTATTTTATCCACCAGATCCGTGATTCAGTCTTTAGTTGTGATTATTCTCTTTTATAATTCTTTCATGGGTTTTCAAAATGTCTGTATCATTTCTTTTGGTTTCAAATGTTTATCTGTACTCTAATTTTTAATCTCATGTGTTTCTACTAAATTTTATTTAAAGTTCTTACTTTCCTGCTTCTATAGTAGCTGCCTTTTCTAGTTGACTTGGCCCCTCCCTGTGCTGCTACTGTATTTTGTTAAATGGCTTCTGAACTTTCATTGTTAGCTCATATCAGGGGTGTAGGATTTTTTTTGGCGGTCATGAAGACTGGGCTGTCAGAGGATGTCAGGAGGAAGTTTTCCTCTCACCTGCAGATCTATTTACAATGCTTGCTTCCAATTCTTTAATGCTGTGACTTTCCTCACTCTTGATTTTTTAAAAATGTATCTTTTCATCAACTATATTTCCATTTTAAAACAAAATTTGCCAGAATTATTTTAAAGTGAATTCGATGCTTAATTTGTGCAGAGGTCATTATTAGTCCTTTCATGGCTCAGTTTCCCAATTCTTGAGATCCTAATTCTTATACCTTTCTCAAAGGATTACCTTAAGAGTATTATTAGGAGGTATTAGGTATAAGAATCTTACACCTCTCTGCAAGTAATTTGTTTCCTTTTTAAAGTATACATGGGTGCTATAAGCCCTTGAATATATCGTAAAGTCATATTTCCCATATTTAACATTTTGTGGTTTCAAACGTTTTCTTATTGTTCTGTATACAGTGCCCCATTTAATTAAAAGATACAGTGTTCCTGAGAAGTTTAAGGTCAGCCTATATTTGTTCCTGTAAAGGTACATTATTTTAGGGCTACAGATTTGTAGGAAGAGACCAAACTACACTTACTATAAAGTTAAATTCTAGACTGTTAGCTATAGATACAAGTACCTACCAGCTGTCTTAAATTAAATAAGAACATGACATAGAGCACGAGAGACCAGAAAATTTCAGCAGTGTCTATTTCCCCAGAAACACTGATGCGAACACATGACAGCCAACAGCACTCTCATCCAGGATAGAACCTTGCTAGATTTGAAAGTGTGTTCTTGCTATAAGCACTGCTCTTTTAAAAGCTGGGCTTTGAAACACCTTTTGAGAATATCTGATCCTAACAACTATTCTTCCATTTAAGGACATGGTTAAAAACTTAAGGGTTTCTTGGTTCGGGAACCAAATGCAAAGTCAACATGTTTCCAATCCCAGGTGTAGAGAGAGAGAGGCTAGGGACCAGGTGTCTCCAGAAAACATTTTCTATATTTGAGGACTATTTAAGGGATTCACCTAGCATTTATGTTTTTTTCCCAGAACATTTTAAATGATTTATCTCCTTTGCCAATCATAGACTTGTGACCTTTCATAAACTCAAACTGGTTGTATTGGCTACCAGTGTTTTCTTTATGATGCTCCGATGGTCACCGATTGGGCAAGAACCAAATGAAACATTAAAAGTTTACCAAAGGTTTGAGTGTGATGGTTTCTGTGGGTTCATACAACTTTTATATAACGTTAGCCAAGATCAATAAGAGATCGTAAAACAACAGTATATTTAGGTTAACACAAAGTTTAGTTGCAATTTTAGGTCCATATTTCTTTTAAATTCTCTCCCACAAATCAATCAGGGTATCATGTATTTTAGACTATTTATTATCAAAGCAAGCACAAGATAGCCATCAAAAGTTCTAGAGCAAAAAGTCACATTCTGGCATAGATTATAATGTCCCATGTCTCTGTCTCCAATTTAGCATTATGTGGTAACTGCAAAATTACCAGACAGAAGAAAAACAGTGTCACTTAAACAGACACACACAAAGAATAACACACACAAAAACCCAAACATGCCGACCAGGCATTGAGATAGTGGCTTCTGCCTGGGTCAAAGACATTTTGTTTATTCTTAGTTTCCTTTAAGGTATGAAGTGGCCCCTACTTTGAATTGCCCAGAAACTTAACTGCTCCACATTTTTCTTCTTGGTGACTGCTTTTGCATGTCTATTTGGCTTGTGCATTCGGGTAAGGACACACTAGTATATTCCTGGTGGAAGGCTCTTCACTGTTGCAACTACAGGCCACTCCACTGTCATTTTCTTGTTGGGATGCCAATTTCCTTGGGGGAAGGAGCAGAAGATCTTGATCTTTTCCTAAATCTGCTTTGGAGCTCAGGTGATTTTCTCCTGTAGGAACTGGGCATGCTGAGAACCTCTTCATCCAAACCTGCACAACTGCCGCCTCCCCTAGGCTTTGTTCATTAGGACACCACTGTTTGCAGCTTAGTTTTCAAAAGGCCTTGTCTCCCCCGCACTCCACCCACTACTCTGACTCTATGATTGCCTCTTTTGGGGGACTCTGGGGACCTCCTTTTCTTTTATTTGATGGTGAATTTCTCTTTTGTTCAATATCAGCTATTGAACCTACTCTCCACACCTTCCATAGAGTTCTTACCTACTCCTCACCTGTTAAAAAAGAGTGGTGAGGAGGAAACCAATCACTTCTTATTGGCTTAGAAGCTATGTCCTTGAGTCAATAATATAAAATAAACCAAAGAAAAGGGGGAAAATAGAAGCAAGTTCAGGTTGTGAAATATATAGCTTCAGGGAAGCCAGGAATTCTTCTATCCTTTTCTTTTATCTCGTATGTCTCTGGTTCAGTAAGGATGACTTCCCTTAAGAATAATGTCTGAGCCAGGTGCGGTGGCTCACGCCTGTAATCCCAGCACTTTGGGAGGCCGAGGCAGGCGGATCACGAGGTCAGGAGATCAAGACCATCCTGGCCAACATGGTGAAACCCCGCCTCTACTAAAAGTACAAAAATTAGCCAGGCATGGTGGTGTGCGCCTGTAATCCCAGCTACCAGGGAGGTTGAGGCAGGAGAATTGCTTGAACCAGGGAGTTGGAGGAGGTTGCAGTGAGCTGAGATCCTGCCACTGCACTCCAGTCTGGTGACAGAGCAAGACTCCATCTCAGAAAAAAAAAAAAAAGCAGAATATCTGAAAGTCAGAAGCTTTATTTACACTTTTACCAAAAAAAATTCATATCTCAATCACTTCTTTTTTAGTTTTTCACCTGAAGGCCAAAAGTATTTCATATAACCTCTCCTCTGAACACCAATGGAAAAAAAAATCACCTAGCTTGTACCAGTCACAGAGCTCCAGATTTGTAGTTTTTGCTGCCTTGTCTATAAAAATAGCAGTAATAACTCACTTATATTAAAATAGTTACTCATGCTTGAAAGTATACAGAACTTGATGAATTTAAGTAGGTTATAGATGGGCAGAATGCAGCCTCACATACACACACTACTGTAGGATTACATCAAGTTCTAGGAGACATTGTGAGAAGTGTGGTCTTAACATCAGGCAGGCACAGATGCAGCATGTCACCATGCAGGTTTCTTTGGCCTGATAGGGGCGCATGGCTGACAATGTCTCAGTATTGGCTCTGGGCATATTTTTTATGCCCCTGTTCTTTTACATTTGAGACTCATGTTCTACCATTCTGGAAGAATTTATGTGAAAATGTATGTACTTATGTGATCACTTTGGCTGCTTGTTGGGGATACTTTCTGTGGAGAGACAGGAGAAGAAGCAGGGGAACCAGCTGGGAGGTTATTAGATTAATCTGGAGATTGTTGGTGGCTTGGACCAGGATGGTGATAGTAGTAGAAATGAGGAGAAATGATCTGATTCTAGATAACTTTTTAATGAAGGGCCAAGATCATTTATTGATGAATTGGATATGTTGTTGAGTGCGAGAAGCTAAGAATTAACTCAAAGTTTTGGATGGAGGACGTTCAAGAATAGAGTTGTCATGTTCTAGATATATAGAGAGCAGAAGGAGAAGCTAGGCACAGGAGGGAGGTCAAGGGCTTGGCTTTAGACAAGTTAAGTGGTGATATCCTGTGGGAAGCAGGAAATACTAGTCCAGAGTTCAGAGGGAAGGTCAAAGCTGGAAGTATTCATATGATACTCATCAGAGTGTAGACTATGCCATAATACAGCATGAAATCACCAAGGGAGTGGTTATGAATAGGAAAGGGAACTGAGGACTGAGACTTAGTGCCAGTGAGATGAAGAAGAACCGTAACAGCCACTGACAAGAGCAGCTTGTGAGATAGCAGAACCACAGCGGGGTGGTGACCCAGGAGCCGAGGGAAGAAATTGTTTCAAGGGGGAATTGAAAGGCCAAGCAAGAACTTGAGGCCTGATAACTTACCACTGGGTTTAGTAATGTAGAATAACTTGGTTAAGAACTGTTTTGGTGGAGTATTGATGATGAGATTCTCATTACAGTGAATTTTAAGAGATAGGATTAGAGGAATTAGAGACAGGGAGTATAAATGACTCAAAGGGTTCCTTTCTGATAAAGGGGTAGTCGATAAATGAAAGAAGATGTGAGCTTCAATAATTCTTTTAAGGTGGAAAGTATTACTGCATATTTGAGAGTGAAGGTATTTGGAAGAGAACCACTGAAGATGCAGGGGAGAGAGAGTTGGAGGGTATATCTTGGAATAGGCATAAAGAGATGGGTATGGGGCACATCTGAGGAAAGGCCTGTGATGGGAGAGAGTCCATTCATTTACAGTAATTTGCAGCAATAAGGGAGTGGGCTGAATATGTAAACAGGTATAGGCTGGAGGGATGTGGACATTCTCTTCTGATTGCATCACTTTTTTCAGTGAAACAGAATGCAAAGTCATTAGGTGAGAGTAAGGATGTGAATAAGTATTTGAGATTCAAGAAGGCATGAAATAGTCATCTCAGAGAGGAGAGGAATGAATGTAACAGGGAAATGGAGTAGGATTCCTGAGCAATTGTAATGGTCCATTTTTGTTACGAATTTAAAAGAAGGCTATTGTGTGTTTTTCTATGCCACATTCAGTGTGCCAGAGTGGAGTGAGAGGAAAACTGCATTTAACCAGTGTTCAAATTTAGCCAGGAAAGTATGTTAATGTGAGAGAGCTTAAGATAATGCCAGGAAATACTGGAATCTAAACTGAGTAAAGAGGTAGACATGAGTAAATGAAGGACAGTGGAAAGGTGTGTAAAATAAATGAATTGAGGGCTTCGAGTTGAAAAATTGTTGGAAAGGAAGCACTAGTGAAAAATTGTTGGAAAGGAAGCACATGGGCTGGGAGGACAGGATGTGAAGCTTGAAACCAATCATTTGGATGACTCTTGTCATTGATAATGACATCCGGGGATATGACCATGGAAGGTGAGATGAGATGGAGGCGAGTCTATGATTGTTAAAAGATAGAGGTCGATGAACTAAGAGTCCATTATTGGAAGGATCATTTAGGTGGACAATAAAATTGCTAAGAACTTTAGCAGGAGTAGCGTTACGGACAGTGACAGTAAGCCAGGAACTCATATCTTCAAGAAGTACAGAGAGATGACTTGGGAGTCTGTACATGCCTGCAATAGGAGGAAGTTGGTATGGTTTGTGTCCCCACTCAAATCTCATCTTGAATTGTAGTTCTCATAATCCCCACGTGTCATGGAAGGGACCTGGTGGGAGGTAATTGAATGATGGGGGAAGCTACCTCCATGCTGTTCTCATGATAGTGAGTGAGTTCTCATGAGATCTGATGGTTTTCTAAGGGGCTTTTACCCCACTTCACTCTGCACTTCTCCTTGCTGCCACCATGTGAAGAGGAATGTGTTTACTTCCCCTTCTACCATGACTGTAAGTTTCCTGAGGCCTTCCCAGCCCTGCGGAACTGTGAGTCAATTAAACCTCTTTCCTTTATAAATTACCCAGTCTCAGGCAGTTCTTTGTAGGAGTGTGAGAATGGACTAATACAGAGGTATAGCATGAAGACATGAACTTCAAAGCTTGCAAGGGGTTAGAGGTTAGGGTGGAAAGATCTTCAATGGCAATGAGTGTAAGTGGACACTTACTCTTTCTCCAGATCATATAATATGAAGAGGTACAAGGAATGTAGGAAAGAAAACAGCCGCCATTGACAAGGTTGCAGGGGAGAAGGTATCCTGAGGAGAGAGAGTTTTAGTTAGAACAAAGAGTGGGAAGCAGATTTAAAAAAAGAATTTTAGGAAATGGAATAAAGACCATGAGTCCCCAAGGGCACTCTTGGAAGGGTTTTGTGAGTAATACCACAATGGGAAATTGGTTTGGATTAGGAAATGAGTAGAGTAGTATAGAGATGAAATTCTGAACAATTAGGAATGGGTGGTTAATGGAATCCGGGACAAAGCTTATGATAGGGTTAGTGTTCATGACCTTCTGTTGGAAAGTTGAGGCACTCTGCCCGGGATTTCCTGCCTTGCTAGACAGATCTATTTTAAACTATAAGTTCTATCAACATATTTTTAATTCATATGTCATTTTCAAACATTAGATGATTAGATCATTTACACAGAACTGTTTACTTAGTTAGGTAATCAAACAGCAATTTGTTAACTTCCCATATTGCTATTGTATATTCAACCTGGAAACTTTGTATATACAGATAATAATTATCTCTAGCTTGTAAATTCTTAAAGCTGAAAGAAAAGAAACAAAAACACTATTTTGCCAGGTCCTTAGATAAGCTTTCAACTCACAATGTTGTCATAGAGCACTTAAACAAATAAATCTATTCAAAAACAATTTATAACACTTCAAAAAGCACTCATACAATGATGTTTAATATTCTTTAAGTTGGGCAGACAAATTATTCTACAGATGTGGCATTCATACTATCAACAATTTCTAAGATACTGTGCCTAAGGCTTGATGTCTCTTAAACCAGTATGTGCAAATATGAGCTTGCGGTAACCTCTGAGTCATTTTGGTCAGAGCCACAAAAAACAAGGCCTATGAATTTGCCAGATGGCGTTTTCATCTTCTGTGAATTTCCTCTTCTAAAAGTGAAATTTGTATTTTGCTTTATTTCCACCTTCCCTTACTTCTTTTTGAACCCTAGTTCCTACTGAGAGTCCCTACTCAATATGACATCAGGAAGAAATGTTTTTAAGAGTCAGGAATAAATAAACACTTCTGAACAGTGATTTTGAGTGTTGTGTGGTTCCTTTAGTAAGTCAACAAATAAGTAAAAGAAAGAAGGAAAAGAGAGGGAAATAGTGGAGGAAAAGTCTAACTAGAAAATATATAACTTAACTGATTGAGTTTAGTTAAATGCAAACTTAAATTTCATAGTAAGAAATCCATCATTGTTTTAATGAAATCATAATCGTAATTCAAATATTGCTTAGTTTAAATAACAGTTTTTGTTTGCTGTTTAGCTTCTATCATGGAATGAGCCTGTGTGTCTTTTTAAATAAATCTTACAGATTTATTTGGTATAAATATGTTTCCTTCTGGGAATAGAAGACCAAAGGAGATTAGGGGAAAAATGTTCCAAATTTATTAAAATATACATTTTCATACCTAGATATTGCATTTCTCTCATTCTAAACCATCAGCCCAGAGGGAAGGGAAAAAGATAAAAAGGAAGGCAGACTCCTGGAATTCTAGGAATTGTTGCTGTTTTCTAGCATTTTCCTACCAAAGTGATAGACTATAGGACTTCATTGCCAGAAATTTGTACTCTTCCCCAAGCTCTTTCTCCTTCCTTCCTTCTTTCCTTCCTTCCTTTCTTTCTTCTTTCTTTCTTTCTTTCTTTCTTTCTTTCTTTCTTTCTTTCTTTCTTTCTTTCTTTCCTTTTTCTTTCTTTCTTTTTTCTTTCTCTTTCTTTCTTTCCTTTCTCCTTCCTTCCTTCCTTCCTTTCTTTTTTCTTTCTTCCTTCCTTCCCTCCTCCTCTCCTTTCCTCCCTCCCTCCCTTCCTTTCTTCCTTCTTCCTTTCTTTCTCTCTCTTTTCTTTCTTCCTTTCTCTCTCTCTCCCCCCTCTTCTCTTTATATATATGTACATGTCTGTGTATGTGTTATATATGTGTGTGTGTGTGTGTGTGTGTGTGTGTGTGCATGCGTATGTGTGTGTGTAAGTCCAAGTTCTAGAATTTAGCTCAGAATTACAGGGTCATATAGAAACAAAAGGGACAGTTTCAAACTGAGTCCCCTGGAACTTTGAGGTTCTTCAGTGAAGTACAAGAAGAGGAGGCCTAGTAGAAGATGCCTACTCATAATAATTTTTTTTACCTGTTTTATAAAGTGAGATTTATTGGATTTCAGAACTTAAAAACTAAAAAGGTTGTGTGCCTTGCCCACGGCCCACATGGAAACTCAGCTTCCCTGGGCTCTCACCTCAGTGCTCTTTGCACCATGCCACTTCACTTCTTACCATAGACTTTAGTCTGTATATCAAAAATCCTTAATAAGTGGGACCACAATATCATTCTTCACTAGTAGGTGCCATTATTTAAGACATCATAAATTCTTATATGAAAATTTAAAGCTTAATTTTTAAAAATTGACCTCAAGTTGGTTCTTTCTGCAATAGAGAGAAAGACTGGACTGATATCAAAGAAACTGAACTAGTAATTGAGACCACAGCTCATATTCAAGCTTTAATGATTTGTGAATTAAACTTCAATTTCTTGCCAGTAAAATGAGGTTAATGAAGCATGTCATGTCTTCCTTACAAAAAATGATGTTGGTCTTATAAATGTCAAATAAAACTGTAACTGAAATAATGCATGGAATATATGTAGAAGTACTTTGCAAGCTGCAAATAAATATATGTAAGCTTCTTCTTATTACAATTAATTATAAAATAAGAAATATATAATTTACGTATGACCAAGTGCAGAAGTGGGCATAGTGCGTATTAATTCTGCACAAGAGGCACATTTAAAAGACTTCTTGTCTTTTTCATAAACATATTTTAATTCCAAATTTTCTGGCAATTTCTTTCTACCCTTTACAATGTAAGTCTCCCCCACTAGACTGGCTTCCTATGGACACAGATTGTTTCCATAGATTAAGATGTGTGATCATAATCATCATTTGATCTTCTCTGACCTACAAATGTGGCAGTTTCATATAGTTCAACCTAATAATTTAGCTTCATATTTCTAGAAGAATGTCCAGCTCCAGGTAAAAGTTTTTTAAAAATTGCTGTACTGAACTATTGAATGGAACTTGGAAATAAAGTCCCTTCCAAAATAACTATTCTTCAACAGAGAGTAATAGGTAAATGTTTTAGAAGTGAGAGGACTCAAATTGCCAATGATTTACTCTTTTATTTTTCCTCCTAGGTTTCTGGGATAAGTATGTGCAAATAAAAAATAAACATGAGAAGGAACTGTAACCTGATTATGGATTTGGGAAAAAGATAAATCAACACACAAAGGGAAAAGTAAACTGATTGACAGCCCTCAGGAATGATGCCCTTTTGCCACAATATAATTAATATTTCCTGTGTGAAAAACAACTGGTCAAATGATGTCCGTGCTTCCCTGTACAGTTTAATGGTGCTCATAATTCTGACCACACTCGTTGGCAATCTGATAGTTATTGTTTCTATATCACACTTCAAACAACTTCATACCCCAACAAATTGGCTCATTCATTCCATGGCCACTGTGGACTTTCTTCTGGGGTGTCTGGTCATGCCTTACAGTATGGTGAGATCTGCTGAGCACTGTTGGTATTTTGGAGAAGTCTTCTGTAAAATTCACACAAGCACCGACATTATGCTGAGCTCAGCCTCCATTTTCCATTTGTCTTTCATCTCCATTGACCGCTACTATGCTGTGTGTGATCCACTGAGATATAAAGCCAAGATGAATATCTTGGTTATTTGTGTGATGATCTTCATTAGTTGGAGTGTCCCTGCTGTTTTTGCATTTGGAATGATCTTTCTGGAGCTAAACTTCAAAGGCGCTGAAGAGATATATTACAAACATGTTCACTGCAGAGGAGGTTGCTCTGTCTTCTTTAGCAAAATATCTGGGGTACTGACCTTTATGACTTCTTTTTATATACCTGGATCTATTATGTTATGTGTCTATTACAGAATATATCTTATCGCTAAAGAACAGGCAAGATTAATTAGTGATGCCAATCAGAAGCTCCAAATTGGATTGGAAATGAAAAATGGAATTTCACAAAGCAAAGAAAGGAAAGCTGTGAAGACATTGGGGATTGTGATGGGAGTTTTCCTAATATGCTGGTGCCCTTTCTTTATCTGTACAGTCATGGACCCTTTTCTTCACTACATTATTCCACCTACTTTGAATGATGTATTGATTTGGTTTGGCTACTTGAACTCTACATTTAATCCAATGGTTTATGCATTTTTCTATCCTTGGTTTAGAAAAGCACTGAAGATGATGCTGTTTGGTAAAATTTTCCAAAAAGATTCATCCAGGTGTAAATTATTTTTGGAATTGAGTTCATAGAATTATTATATTTTACTGTTTTGCAAATCGGTTGATGATCATATTTATGAACACAACATAACGAACCACATGCACCAACCACATGGATTTTTTTTTAAATCAGTTACTTGAGTCAAAGTATGTATGGTGAGTTAAATTATGATGCTTATAGGTAATTTCCTATTTGGGACATAGTAGGTATACGCTTTTCCATTCTTACCACACATAATGGAACTTTGCAAATCCAGTATTTAAAGGCCTACATTTTATATAACTTTTCCTGCCCTTAGAAGAACTGCCATGAGTTTACTGTGGTACCTTAGTCAGCTGTTCAGTGGTGGAAACTATAGGGCTGAATTTGAGGATGCAAATCAGAATGATTTTGTCATATACGTATACATGTCCTGGTCACATATGTGTATAAGTCTTTTAGTAAAATCAACTAAAAGTACACACATTAAATGTTACCGCTAAATAATTGTTGACACATAATTTATTTGTATTGTTAATATATATTCCAATCCTTAAATATCTTGATCTTCACATTTTTAAATTATGTTTTTCTGATTCTCATGCTTCTAAGAAATTTGAAAAATAAAGGAAAATATAAAAATAAAATATATACAAACCAAATGAAATTAAAAAAATGTTATTCATAGTATACTTCCTGGTAAGGATTATATCATCTAAAATTCTTTATTTTATATTAATATTTCTCTTTTTCAACTTTTATTTTGGAGTCGGGGCATATGTGCACATATTAACTAAATATAATGCATGATGCTGAGGTTTGAGCTATGAGTAATCCCTTTTTGTGGCTGTATAACGTGACTGCACAGATGTACAAATATATTTTTAACCATTCCCTATTGTTAATTCCAGTTGTTTCTAACTTTTCTAAAAATAATATAAATTAAATGAAATTCCTGCTTTTTACCTGCCACTGAAGTCATGAAAATGTCTAGAAGGATTTTACCATGTCTTAAGGTCATATCTGGCATGATAGGGTTCAAAACACAGGCTACCTGGTATTAAACAAATTCACTTTGCTGGGCTCCACAATACACAGAAGGAGAAGCAGTCATCCATCAAAGTAGCTAAACATGAGGGCCAACAAGAAGTATAATCAGACTAGATGTACCATGGCTATTTAGATGGCATATATAAAAATACAAAAGAGGAACAAATAATGGTTTCAAATAAGATTCTCTAAAGGAAGTGGGCAAACATTCTAAATTACAAGCATTCATCAGCAATTGAGCTGATGAATACAAACTTCACATGGTCTGTTTCAGATTGAGTATCACTGGGGATTTGGATTTACCTTCTGCTCATGAATAAGTTAGGGTAAGGCAAATGATTTTAAACGTAACTAAATGCACACTGCTGCGTATAAATTTCTGTTTACAAATCTGAGGATCTCCGGAGGATATGTGAAATCCTTCCAGAAATTATAGTCTGTTTCTGGAGTATATATTTTGTTTCAATGATCTGTATCAATTTTTGCTCTAGTACTTTTAAAAACATTATGTTTTATGTTTTTAATTTAGTACACACAAGACTAAATAAGTAGTGTCCCTAATCACTCTCAGTTTCAAAAGAGTTTTTTTCACCTGTGAGACCAGTTTGACTTTTTTCACCTGTGAGTCCAGTCTGTCAAATTTTAAAAAGGAAACAAGCATTTAGTGAGTTTTCTATACTTTACAGTAATTTTATGTGCTGTTCTTCATTTGCTCCCATAATTCTTCTTAAGATTACTCTGAAGTGTTTTGTGCTTTTCTCTATGTATGTTTTGCCTATTCTGAATTTTTTTCTAAAACCATTATGTTTTCTTTGTAATCATTACTGCTGGTTATATAATAAAGTTTATATTAGCTTTTCAGTTGACTCGTTTGGGTTTTCATTATACAAATCATGTTATCCTCAAACAAGGCTAAGTTTTATCTTCTTTCCAATAATTATGATTCTGATTTATATTCCTTACTGTACTTCATTAGTTAGAATTTCTAAATCAGTATTGATAATGGTAATAACAATCATCTTTGTCTTATCTTACATTTACTTTAAAGTACTATACAGGTTTTAGCATTGATTCCACATTTATCTTGGGACAAGTTCATGACTCAAATAATTTTACATTTTTCACTCGGTACTAAAGCTCTTACAGTCTATTTTTATTGTAGGTTCTGTTTTTAATATTCATAATAAGTAATAACTGCCCCTCTCAGCAAAACAAAAAGAAAGGCTTGCTTCGTCTTTCCATATTCCCAGCTTTGCTGTAGCTTCCCTTTCCTCATGAAAGGTGTTTTTGTCTTTTGATTTTCCGGAGTCTATATAACAACTGGAATCCAATTCACTTTTGAGGTGTTTTTTATTCCAACTAGTTATAGTTCATTGGAACTATAATAAAAAGATTGACCCCCTGCCTCTCCCTTTAACTAAACAGATGAGTAAATTACTGATATTTTCAGAATTTTCTCTAGAATTTGAATCTCTAACAAAGGGATAGAAACAGTGATTCTTAGCAGAATAATTAGCAGAAAACAATGAAATCATGTGGGTGTCCATTTTATCCAAGCGGTAAGATCATGAGCAGACTGCTCATGTTAATATCAAGGTTTCTTTCTTCCCAGACTCCAGAACTACCCACCTGTCTGTTCATTTCCAAATTCAGTTATCCAGCATGGATTCCACGAATCCCAGATAGCCTGCTAATTAATTCCTCTTGAGAATAGCTTTTGGTTGCATCCACAGAAAGAACCTTAAGTTGACATACAAGATTATAGCAAATACCAAGAAAGCAATTTCAATGACACTCCTTCCCCAGGTCAAGATAACTTGCAATCAAAACGGTCTCAACCTCCACCCTCTTCTCAAAGAGGAATATTCATATAAATTTCCACTCCAGATCAGTAAAAGAAGTGTTAGCAAGGAAGTTTGTTGGAACTGATTTATTAGCAATAATAATAATGCCGTCTTAAGAGATCAGTGAACTGGAGTCCATCTTGATTTTGAAGTCAGTTCTTGAAGTCAATAATCCAATCTTTAGAGACTCATAAATATTTGCCAAAAAAGTAGTGCAAACCAGATAAACTCCAATTCCTTGTCCATTCTGATGAGCCACAGTGTCCCTTTAGTTCCCAAGAAGAACCTGAATATTAAAGGTGTAAAGAAACATTCAGAATGATTTATGGTTCTAAATTTAGTAGATGATAAAGTGTACTGACAAAATTATTATTTAGTAGTTGAGATATGCACTCAAAATGTAGATGATGTAAGAATCAGATTGAGAGTTTTGTTTTTTGTCTTTTGCTTTTTTAAAAAGATAAAGTACGTATGCATTTTCCAAAGTGCTTTAATATAATTCACTGAGTACGTGGCCAGATATTAAAAATATTGTAAGTAAACTTGACAGATCCTCACCTTCTTCTCCATATCTCTCTTCCTCCTAAACCTCCTGCCTCAAGCCTTTAAGCTCCCAGTGAACTTAGGCTGCTCTAACATTCATTCCATTGAGGCTGGTTCTGTTGTGATTCACATTAGCTTCAGCATTTCCTTTGTTTCTTTCATTTTTTACAGTGGGAAGACATTATTGACTCACACAAATTAAAATGTTCTCAACATATTTATAAATTAAAGTGATGTAGGAGCTTAAAATTAGGCCACCCACAATGATTTATCAATGGCAGGTATCCATCTTTTTTTAATTATACTTTTAGTATCAGGATACATGTACAGAACGTGAAGGTTTGTTACGTAGGTATACATGGGCCATAGTGGTTTGCCACACCCATCAACCCATCATCTACATTAGGTATTTCTCCTAATGCTATCCCTCTTCTTGCCCCCTACCCACTGACAGGCCTCGGTGTGTGATGTTCCCCCTCCCTGTGCCCATATGTTCTCATTGTTCAACTCACACTTATGAATGAGAACATGCGCTGTTTGGTTTTCTGTTCCTGTATTAGTTTGCTGAGAATCATGGCTTCCAGCTTCATCCATGTCCCTGCAAAAGACATGAAATCATTCTTTTTTATGGCTGCACAGTATTCCATGGTGTACATGTGCCATGTTTTCTTTATCCAGTCTAACATTGATGGGCATTTGGGTTGGTTCCAAGTCTTTGCTATTGTGAATAGTGCTGCAATAAACATACATGTGCAAGTGACTTTATAGTAGCATGATTTATAATCCTTTGGGTATATAACCAGTAATGGGATTGCTGGGTCAAATGGTATTTCTAGTTCTGGATCCTTGAGGAATCGCCACACTGTCTTCCACAATGGTTGAACTAATTTACACTCTCACCAACAGTGTAAAAGCATTCCTATTACTCCACATCCTCTCCAGCATCTGTTGTTTCCTGACTTATTAATGATTGCCATTCTAACTGGTGTGAGATGGTATCTCATTGTGGTTTTGATTTGCATTTCTCTGATGACCAGTGATGATGAGCTTTTTTTCATATGTTTGTTGGCTGCATAAATGTCTTCTTTTCAGAAGTGTCTGTTCATATCCTTTGCCCACTTTTTGATGGGTTTTTTTTTTCTTGGAAATTTGTTGTAAGTTCCTTGTAGATTCTGGATATTAGTCCTTTGTCAGATGGATAGACTGCAAAATTTTTCTCCCATTCTGTAGGTTGCCTGTTCACTCTGATGATAGTTTCTTTTGCTCTGCAGAAGCTCTTTAGTTTGATTAGATCCCATTTATCAATGTTGGCTTTTGTTGCCATTGCTTTTGGTGTTTTAGTCATAAAGTCTTTGTCCATGCCTATGTCCTGAATGGTATTGCCTAGGTTTTCTTCTAGGGTTTTTATGGTTTTAGATCTTACTTTAAATCTTTAATCCATCTTGAGTTAATTTTTGTATAAGGTGTAAGGAAGAGGTCCAGTTTTAGTTCTCTATATATGGCTAGCCAGTTTTCTAACACCATTTATTAAATAGGGAATCCTTTCCCCATTGCTTGCTTTTGTTTGATTTGTCAAAGATCAGATGGTTATAGATGTGTGGTGTTAATTCTGAGTTCTCTGTTCTGTTCTATTGGTCTATATACCTGTTTTGGTACCAGTACCATGCTGTTTTGGTTTCTGTAGCCTTGCAGCATGTTCAAAGTCAGGTAGCATGATGCCTCCAGCTTTGTTCTTTTTGCTTAGGATTGTCTTGGCTATACACACTCTTTTTTGGTTCCACATGAAATTTAAAGTAGTTTTTTTCTAATTCTGTAAAGAAAGTCAATGATAGCTTGACGGGAATAGCATTAAATCTATATATTACTTTGGGCAGTATGGCCGTTTTCATGATATTGATTCTTCCTTTCCATGAGCATGGAATGTTTTTCCATTTGTTTGTGTCCTCTCTTATTTCATTGAGCAGTGGTTTGTAGTTCTTGAAGAGGTCTTTCACATCCCCTGTAAGCTGTATTCCTAGGTATTTTATTCTCTTTGTAGCAATTGTGAATGGGAGTTCACTCATGATTTGGGTCTCTGTCTATTATTGTTGTATAGGAATCCTTGTGATTTTTGCACATTGATTTTGTATCCTGAGACTGCTGAAGTTGCTTATCAGCTTAAGGAGTTTTTGGGCTGAGCCGATGTGGTTTTCTAAATATACATTCATGTCACCTGCAAACAGAGACAATCTGACTTCCTGTCTTCCTATTTGAATACCTTTATCTCTTTGTCTTGCCTAATTGCCCTGGTCAGAACTTCCTATACTACGTAGAATAGGAGAGTTGAGAGAGTGCATCCTTGTCTTGTGCCGGTTTTCAAAGGGAATGCTTCCAGCTTTTGTCCATTCAGTATGATATTGGTTGTGGGTTTGTCATAAATAGCTCTTATTATTTTGAGATATGTTCCATCAATACTTAGTTTATTGAGTGTTTTTAGCATGAAGGGTGTTTAATTTTATTGAAGGCCTTTTCTGCATCTATTGAGATAATCATGTGGTTTCTGTCATTGTTTCTGTTTATGTGATGGATTACATTTATTGATTTGTGTATGTTGAAATAGCCTTGTACCCAAGGGACAAAGCTGACTTGATTGCGGTGGATAAGCTTTTTGATATGCTGCTGGATTCGGTTTGGCAGTATTTTGTTGAGGATTTTTGCATCAATGTTCATCAGGGATATTGGCCTGAAATTTTCTTTTTCTTGTTGCGTCTCTGGCATGTTTTGGTATCAGGATGATGCTGGCTTCATAAAATGAGTTAGAGAGGAATCCATCTTTTTCTATTATTTGGAATAGTTTCAGAAGGAATCATACCAGCTACTCTTTGTACCTCTGGTAAAATTCGGCTGTGAATCCATCTGGTCCTGGGCTTTTTGTTTGTTTGTTTGTTTTGGTTGGTAGGCTATTAATTACTCCCTCAGTTTCAGAACTTGTTATTGGTCTATTCAGGGATTCAACTTCTTCCCGGTTTACTCTTGGGAGAGTGTATATGTCCAGGAATTTATCCATTTCTTCTAGATTTTCTAGATTTGTGTGTGTGTGTGTGTGTGTGTGTGTGTGTGTGTGTAGGGTTGTTTATAGTATTCTCTGATGGTAGCTTGTATTTCTGTGGGATCAGTGGTGATATCCCCCTTATCATTTTTTATTGTGTCTATTTGATTATTATCTCTTTTCTTCTTTATTAGTCTGGCTAGCGGTCTATTTTGTTAATCTTTTCAAAAAACCAACTCCTGGGTGCATTGATTTTTTGAAGGATTTTTGTCTCTATCTCCTTCACTTCTGTTCTAATCTTAGTTATTTCTCCTCTTCTGCTAGCTTTTGAATTTGTTTACTCTTGCTTCTCTAGTTCTTTTAATTGTGATGTTAGGGTGTCGATTTTAGATCTTTCTTGCTTTCTCTTGTGGGCATTTAGTGCTTTAAATTTCCCTCTAAACACTGCTTTAGTTGTGTCCCAGAGATTCTAGTACGTTGTGTCTTTGTTCTCATTGGTTTCAAATAACTTATTTATTTCTGCCTTAATTTTGTTATTTACCCAGTAGTCTTTCAAGGAGAAGGTTGTTCAGTTTCCATATAGTTGTGTGGTTTTGAGTGAGTTTCTTAATCCTGAGTTCTAATTTCATTGCACTGTGGTCTGAGAGACTGTTTGTTTTGATTTCCGTTCCTTTGCATTTGCTGAGGAGTGTTTTACTTCAAATTATGTGGTTGATTTTAGAATAAGTGCTATGTGGTGCTGAGAAGAATGTATATTCTGTTGATTTGGGGTGGAGAGTTCTGTAGATGTCTATTAGGTCTGCTTGGTCCAGAGCTGAGTTCAAGTCCTGAATATCCTTGGTAATTTTCTGTCTTGTTGATGTGTGTCTAATATTGACAGTGGGGTGTTAGAGTCTCCCACTATTATTGTGTGGGAGTCTAAGTTTCTTTGTAGGTCTCTAAGAACTTGCTTTTTGAATCTGGATGCTCCTGTATTGGGTGCACATATATTTAGGATAGGTAGCTCTTCTTGTTGTATTGACTCCTTTACCATAAGGTAATGCCCTTCTTTGTCTCTTTTGATCTTTGTTCATTTAAAGTCTGTTTCATCAGAGACTAGAATTGCAATTCCTACCTTTTTTTGCTTTTCATTTGCTTGGTAAGTCTTCTTCAATGACTTTATTTTGAGCCTATGTGTGTCTTTGCATGTGAGATGGGTCTCCTGAATACAGCATACCGATGGGTCTTGACTCTTTATCCAGTTAGCCACTCTGTGCCTTTTAATTGGGGCATTTAGCCCATTTACATTTAAGGTTAATATTGTTATGTTTGAATTTCATCCTGTCATTATGATGCTAGCTGGTTATTTTGCACATTAGTTGATGGAGTTTCCTCATAATGTCAATGGTCTTTACATTTTGGTTTGTTTTTGCAGTGGCTGGTACCCATTTTTCCTTTCCATATTTAGTTCTTCCTTCAGGAGCTCTTGTAAGGAAGGCCTGATGGGACAAAATCCCTCAGCATTTGCTTGTCTGTAAAGGATTTTATTTCTCCTTCACTTATGAAGCTTACTTTGGCTGGATATGAAATTCTGGGTTGAAAATTCTTTTCTTTAAGAATGTTGAATATTGACCCCACTCTCTTCTGGCTTGTAGGTTTTCTCAGAGAGATCCACTGTTAGTCTGACAGGCTTCCTTTTGGGGGTAACCCAAGCTTTCTCTCTGCCTGCCCTTAACATTTTTTCCTTCATTTCAATCTTGGTGAATCTGATGAGTATGTGACTTGGGGTTGCTCTTCTCGAGGAGAACCTTTGTGGTGTTCTCTGTATTTCCTGAATTTGAATGTTGGCCTGTCTTGCTAGGTTGGGGAAGTTCTCCTGCATAATATCCTGAAGTGTGTTTTCCAACTTGGTTCCATTCTCCCTGTCACTTTCAGGTACACCAATCAAATGTAGGTTTGGTCTTTTCACATAGTCCCATATTTCTTGGGAGCTTTATTCATTCCTTTTCATTCTTTTTCTCTAATCTTGTTTTTACACTTTATATCATTAAGTTGATCTTCAATCTCTGATATCCTTTCTTCTGCTTGATCGATTCGGCTATTGATACTTGTGTATGCTTCACGAAGTTCTCATGCTGTGCTTTTCAGCTCCATCAGGTTATTTATGTTCTTCTCTAAATTGGTTATTCTAGTTAGCAATTCCTCTAACCTTTTATCAAGGCTCTTAGCTTCCTTGCATTGGGTTAAAACATGCTCCTTTAGCTCAGAGGAGTTTGTTATTACCCACCTTCTGAAGCCTACTTCTGTCAGTTCGTCAAACTCATTCTTTGTCCAGTTATGTTCCCTTGCTGGTAAGGAGTTGTGATCCTTCGGAAGAGAAGAGCATTCTGGTTTTTGAAATGTTCAGCCTTTTTGCACCGGCTTTTCCTCATCTTCATGGATTTATTTACCTTTGGTCTTTGCTGTTGGTGACCTTTGGATGGAGTTTTTGCATGGTCATCCTTTTTGTTGATGTTGATGCTATTGCTTTCTGTTTTTCATTCTAAGAGTCAGGCACCTCTACTGCTGATCTGCTGGAGTTTGCTGGGGGTCCACTCCAGACCCTGTTTGCCTGGGTATCACCAGCCAAGGCTGCAGAACAGCAAAAATTGCTGCCTGCTCCTTCCTCTGGAAGGTTTGTCTCACAGGGGCACTTGCCAGATGTCAGCTGGAGCTCTCCTGTATGACGTGTCTCTCAACTCCTTCTGGGAGGAGTCTCCCAGACAGGAGGCATGGGGGTCAGGGACCCACTTGAGGAGGCCGTCTGTCCCTTAGCAGAGCTTGAGCACTGTGCTTGGAGATAAGCTGCTCTCTTCAGAGCTGGCAGGCAGGAACATTTAAGTCTGCTGAAGCTGCTCCCACAGCTGCCCCTTCCCCCAGGTGCTCTGTCCCAGGGAGATGGGAGTTTTATCTATAAGGCCCTGACTGAGGCTGCTGCCTTTCTTTCAGAGATGTCCTGCCCATAGAGGAGGAATCTAGAGAGGCAGTCTGGCTACAGCTACTTTTCTGTGCTGCAGTGGGCTGTGCTCAGTCCAAACTTCCAGGAGGCATTGTTTACACTGTGAGGGGAAAACAGCCTACTCAAGCCTCAGTAACGGTGGACGCCCCTCCCAACACCAAGCTCGAGTGTCCCAGGTTGACTGCAGACTGCTGTGCTGCCAGTGAGAATTTCAAGCCAGTGGATCTTAGCTTGCTGGGCTCCATGGGAGAGGGACCCTCTGAGCAAGACCACTTGACTCCCTGGCTTTATCCCCTTTTCCATGGGAGTGAATGGTTCTGTCTTGCTGGCATTCCAGGTGCCACTGGGATATGAAAAAAACTTCTGCAGCTAGCTCGGTGTCTGCCCAAATGGCCACCCAGTTTTGTGCTTGAAACCCTGGGACCTTGTGGTGTAGGTACCCAAGGGAATCTCCTGGTCTGTGGGTTGTGAAGACTGTGAAAAAAGTGTCGTATCTGAGCTGGATAGCTCTGTCCCTCATGGCACATTCCCTCAAGACTTTCCTTGGCTAGGGGAGGGAGTTCCCTAACCCCTTGCACTTCCCGGGTGAGGCAATGCCCCCACACTGCTTCTGCTCACCCCGTGGGCTGCACCCACTCTCTAACCATTCCCAGTGAGATGAACCAGTTACCTCAGTTAGAAATGCAGAAATCATCAGCCTTCTGCATTGGTCTCACTGGGAGCTTCAGACTGGAGCTGTTCCTATTTGGCCATCTTGTCCAGGAATCCCTCGGTATCCCTCTTAATAAATGTACAAGTCAGATAAGAAATCACAGAGATGCCAAACTCTAAAATTTGTTTTTTGATCAATGTTTTAACAATGTGATGTGGTAAAGTAGTATTTTTCAAGCCAGGCTGCTCCTAGGGAGATTTTAATTAATGAAAATATTCAAGCCCTCATTATCGAAGATGATCTGTGGTGAGAAGGGCAGGCTTGGGAGCTAGACGCCATGGGTCTGCATTTCTGACTCCAATATTTATCAGCTATTATTTGGACAAAGTTATTTAAAAATGCAAAACCTTCATTTACTCAGCTATAAAGTGAGGGCAATGATCTCACCTCCTTCAGTAGATTGTTGATTACTAGATGAGAAGTTATCGCCTAGCATGGATCTTAACATGTAAAATCCCTTGGTGAACATATATTATTAGTGGTATTCTCTGTCATTTTATTGGTGTATGCTATAGTGGTGTTTACTCAGCATATGCTATGGTACTGCACACAGAGATGTTAACATACACAGACATTACATGTCAGTTCTTTAAAAAACAAAAACTAGTGTGGAATCCCAGTATCCTCCTTCCTAACAAATTTTACAATTATAATTATGCAAAAAAGGATAGCAGAAGAAGATCTATTTCAAGCTTTATGCAAAAGGAAGTAACCTGGTGGCACATTTGTGCATAATCTGTGATATGTCAGTTATTTGAGAAACTGGGGGGATTTTATTTTGAAAAAATTTTATATAGCATGTATATATACACATAAGATAATTTATATAAGAAATTATTGGTATATGTATATATAATTATATAGCACATAATCTATAAATACATAAATTGTAAAGCTATAAAAGTAATTTATATTTTGATATCAATCTGCAAAACACCTATTATCCACCAATGTAATTAAGCTTCATGAGAACTCTGTGTAATCTCTGAAGCACACTAGTGTAGAGCACTCTGAATCACCCTGGCATATGGAGACAAGCTCAGGCTTTGGAACCACGTCAGCCGGGGTTAAAATCCCGGTTCTCTTTGTTGCTCCCATGCTTTCTGTCCTTTCTGTTTTTGCTCCTGCAGCCCTATATGCCTGAAATGCCTCCCCCAGGTCCCTCGCTGTAACTGGCTGACATCTACTCAACTGAAAAGGCTCATCTTGAGGATTACTCTCCAGGAAGCATTCTGTTATCCCCTCAGGCCAGGTAAGTGTCTCTCTGAACTCTCAAAATATCCCACGCCCATCCCTGTCAGTGCATGTATTGATTGTGGTGCCCTCTGCCCTCACTGGACAGTGAATTGCAGAAGCTAGGGACAGTGATTTATTAAGTACTGCTGTACTTAGCATCATGTTTGGCACAGAGAAAGTCACTCACTGTATGTTTTTTAGCTGGATAAATAATAAATAATAAGGTGTCCAAGGGGACACAATTAATAAATGTTAGAGGTAAGATTTGAGCCCAAGTCTGTCAGGCTATGTGTTAGTCCATTTTCACATGGCTAAAAAGAACTACCCAAGACTGGGTAATTCATAAAGAAAAGAGGTATAATTGACTCACAATTCCACATGGTTGGGGAGGCTTGGGAAAGTTATAATCATGGCGGAAGGGGAAGCAAACACATTCTTCTTCACAAGGTGGCAGAAGAGAAAGAGCGTATGTAGAAGGAACTATCAGACACTTATAAAACCATCAGATCTTAAGAGAACACACTCACCATCACGAGAACAGCATGGGGAACACAGCCACCATGATCCAATGACCTCCTACCCATTCTTTCCCTTGACACATGGGAATTATGGGGAATAACAATTTAAAATGAGATTTGCGTGGGGACACAAACCTAACCATATCGGGCTACAAACTCTACCCACTTTCCTGTCTCAGGAAGTAGGGTCAACTGTGAGAATACTGTAGGGATTCATAATTTTATCCCCAATTAAATTTAAGAGAATGTGCCTATGTGGGTTTAATTTTGGCAAAAAAAGTGTATTCTTTATTAATATAATACAATTTTAAAAGCAAAGTTATTAAAACGTATATTCTGAAACCATTAACTAGATTTGACTTATGGCCTTTTACCTGGGCCTGTGTTGGATCCCTAACTGCATTGAAATTATTTGGGAGGATGGGATTGAGACTCAGAAATCTGCAATTTTAATACATGACTTGGTTTCTTTGAAATGAATGCAGTTCTAAGAACCATTGATTTAGATCTTTAATAAAAAGGAATTCTAAGCTTTTCAGTATATATAGTAGGTTAAAATTTTAGAGGAATTATGAAGACTACAATGTTTAACACTTCACTCAGAAGCCTCGGCTGTGAGCTCCTGTAGGCAGCCTCATTCATACCCCGTCCCTGCCACAGAGCCTGGTACAGGGTTGCTGCTTGATGAACATTTGTCAAGGAAGGGAGAGAAAAAAGACATATTGACTAGAATGCAACAATTTTAAACCAGCAAGGAAAAACTTTATTTCTGAAGTTAGTTCTTGAGATTTCAGTGTTTTAATATTTTCTCAAACTAATGGTACCTTGATCGTCTAAGTCAGGGATTCCCAAATCCTCTCAGTATGAAGATTGGTGTTAGTTGTGACAAACTTTTTATAGGTAATTGTAAAGTGAGAAAATCAAAACAATGTGGTGAGCTTTTCATATCGGAAAACTTATTCAATTTAATAGACTGTTTGTTGTCTAAGATTATGTCCTTCCTGAATTTCCAAGATTAATATGCTCCTTTCATTTAGAAAATATAGTGATAATAGAAAGTATTGAATAAACCTACATTTGTCCCCCCAAATTTTTTTTAAAAATGTTTATTAATGAAATATCAGAATGCACTATTTCAGCTTTTCAATTGCCCTAGTGGCAAGAAAGGTGTTTGGGGCAACAAGATCTTATAGTGGGCTTGAGAAGGACCAGGGAGACTATGGTCAGTGCCAACCATCAAGGAAAGTAAAAGCACAGGGACTCCTAACAACCCACAGTCACAATCCACTAGAGACTGGTGATAAAGGCAACAGCCAAACACAGGCAAATTCTTGCTACTAAGAAAAAAGTTGGCCTTATTCTGTATTATTCCCTCTTCTGGCAGAGGAGCTTACCTTATTCAATATATGCAGTATATCTATAATTTTAATTTTTGAAATTACTTATTAAGGGACAAACCAAATGAGTATTTAATTAAGGGTTTCCTGTATCAGCCAACCAGGGCTGAGGAGTGATGTTAGTTGAATGGTTTTCCTGAAACTTCTGTTATCTTCCAGATAAGAAACTCCTTGCTCTTTGCTCATGTGCCAAATCTATAAACATTTACATCAAATAAGTATATAGACTAAGGCACAGGTCACTGTCTTGCTTATCGTGCATCAGCTAAAGTTTTCTTTCTCAGGTTTACATTTGGCCTTTGCTTAATAGTCTGAGAATTCCCCAGGTATTTGTTTCCTCATATAAAGTTTGGTGATAAATGTTTTCCTCTCTCCACTAAGTACACCTACTTCCCCAGTGACTTCTAGTGTGAAGTTATTTCCCATCATCATCAAAGCCAAAGAGCAGATGTGTTAATGATGCCCTCTGGTCTCTATTTACTCTGAAGTTTGGCAAATAAGAGTAATGTGAGAGAGATGCTGTTTATAGGAGTCTCTTTGGACTGGGGACTCAAGTTTACCAAATCACAGCTTCAAAGTGTCAAACTGTAAATGAATTGAGGTAGGCATTGGTAGATAGCCAATCAACACATTTAATTACTTCTATAAGCAATCCTCTCAAGACTCCTTTTAACAACCAGAGAGTTTGTAAACAGTGATCTCAATCTTATATGCTTGAAATGTGTTGATAACTCTAAGCCCAAATGGCTTAAAGTTTTCATCTTGTCTGTGTCTTCTCCTAAATGTGGGACGTTACAGAAAGTTTTGAGATTAAGTAAAAACACACAGATCATCACCTGGTCTTCCTTCTATGGTTTGTATTACTAGGAACAATAAAATAAAACACACAACAAAACACAATGAAACACCACAGTACAATGTGTTTTACAACCGTATTAGACTAGAGGTGGAGTTACCAGAATGCTACATTAGAACATGAGCAGCCAGATCACAGATTAGCTCTACGTTAAAAAAAAAAAAAAAAACGCAAAATGGCAATCATTACCTGGGTAATTAAATCACTTGAATTGTTTTCTTCATCACTCCTATTACCACCAACAAACAAAGGAAGCCAGAATCATTACTTATGATATACCTGGAAATACATTGGCCTGAGTTTGTTTTCAAACACTTGTGATGACCGGCTGCCTAGCAATGTTTCACAACAGAAAGTATTTTACTAAACCTCTTTAAATATCAGTTTTCTCACTTCTATAGAAATATGAATAATATTTACATTCATATTTAATACATAACTTTCAAGGTTCAAATAATACATAACTTTCAGGGTTCTTGTGAAGAGGTATTCATTAATTAAATTATTTACTTATTCCTATAACAAGTATTTATTGTGCATGTATTATATGCCTATAGGTGTGTTAGCTAGATGCTAAGGATTCAGATGTGAACAAGACCACTATGTTCTCCAACCCTCTGGAATTTCCATGGGAATTAAATGAAGTTTTCTTTCCCAAAAACGGAAATTATTTTTATCACTTATTTTTTCAGTCACATATGATAACCTTTGCTAAATGAAATGAGATACTTGTCATGTATTTGAATAATGTACAGCATATAGTTCATAGCACATGATTAATAAATTTGATTTATAATTATTATTTACAATTCACTTCGCCATTGTACCTGGTTCATAGGCACAGAAATAGAATTAAAACCTATATCCCTAACTGCCAATTCTGAGCCCAGATCACAGGATACATCATCCTATATCATTATATGATATATTGTAGGAAACTCAGAAGCTTACTGTTGTGATCATATTCTGATTGACATCTAGTTTCCTTCTTTGTCTGTCCAACTCATATAAAATATACTGGTGATTTCCCATCAATTGGTCTTCTCCTTTGCAGTACGTGCCCAACGTTCTACATGTGCTGAACTAAACCAAATCATCTCACTACTCACCCTTCTCTTCCCACATTCTCTATTGAATCGCTCTCCTTGCAATTGCTCAAGCTGAAAACCTGGGGGTAATCCTTGACTCCTCCTTCTCCTTACTCCTCATCCACCAGTCAAGGATGGGCAAGGCATCTTCATGCAAGTCTTAACTTTCCCTTCTAGGGACTCTGGATTAATTCCCAAAGTGGTTTTTATTCCTCAAGTCTTCACCCCTCTAGTTCATTCTAAGATCTAAAATCAACACCCTAACATCACGATTAAAAGAACTTGAGAAGCAAGAGAAAACAAATTCAAAAGCTAGCAGAAAGCAAGAAATAACTAAGATCAGAGTAGAACTGAAGGAGATAGAAACATGAAGAGCCCTTCAAAAAATCAATGAATCCAGGAGGTGGTTTTTTGAAAAGATTAATAAAATAGATAGACTGCTAGCCAGACTAATAAAGAAGAAAAGAGAGAGGAATCAAATAGAAACAATAAAAAATGATAAAGGGGATATCACCAGTGATCCCACAAAAATACAAACTACCATCAGAGAATACTATAAACACCTCTATGCAAATAAACTAGAAAATCTAGAAGAAATGAATAGATTCCTGGACACATACACCCTCCCAAAACTAAACCAGGAAGAAGTTGAATCTCTGAGTAGACCAATAACAAGTTCTGAAATTGAGGCAGTAATTAATAGCCTACCAGCCAAAAAAGCCCAGGTCCAGACAGATTCACAGCTGAATTCTAACAGAGTTAGAAAGAGGAGCTGGTACGATTCCTTATGAGTCAATAAAAAAAGAAGGACTCCTCCCTAACTCATTTTATGAGGCCAGCATCATCCTGATATTGAAACACGGCAGAGAAACAACAAAAAAAGAAAATTTCAGGCCCATATCTCTGATGAACATTGATGTGAAAATCCTTAATAAAATACTGGCAAACCGAATCCAGCAGCCCATCAAAAAGCTTATCCACTACAATCAGGTCGGCTTCATCCCTGGGATGCAAGGATGGTTCAACATATGCAAATCAATAAACTTAATCCATCACATAAACAGAACCTATGACAAAAATCACATGATTATCTCAATAGATGCAGAAAAGGACTTTGATAAAATTCAGCACCACTTCATGCTAAGAACACTCAAGAAACTAGGTACTGATGGAACATATCTCAAAATAATAAGAGCTATTTATGACAAACCCACAGCTGGTATCATACTGAATGTGCAAAAACTGGAAGCATTTCCTTTGAAAACCAGCACAAGACAAGGATGCCCTCTCTCACCACTCCTAGTCAACATAGTATTGGAAGTTTGGGCCAGGGCAATCAGGCAAGAGAAAGAAATAAAGGTATTCAAATAGGAAGAAAGGAAGTCAAATTGTCTCTGTTTGCAGATGACATGATTGTACATTTAGAAAACCCCATAGTCTCAGTCCAAAAACTCCTTAAGCTGATAAGCAACTTCAGCAAAGTCTCAGGATACAAAATCAATGTGCAAAAATCACAAGCATTCCTATACACCAATAACAGACAAACAGCCAAATCATGAGTGAACTCCCATTCACAATTGCTACAAAGAGAATAAAGTACCTAGGAAAACAACTTACAAGGGATGTGAAAGACCTCTTCAAGGAGAACTACAAACCACTCCTCAAGGAAATAAAAGAAGACACAATCAAATGGAAAAACATTCCATGCTCATGGATAGGAAGAATCAATATTGTCAAATTGGCCGTATTCCCAAAGTAATTTATAGATTCAATGCTATTCCCATCAAGCTAACATTGACTTTCTTTACAGAATTAGAAAAAAACTATTTTAAATTTCATATGGAACCAAAAAAGAGCCCGTATAGTCATGACAATCTTAAGCAAAAGGAACAAAGCTGGAGGCATCATGCTACCTGACTTCAAACTATACTCCAAGGCTACAGTAACTAAAACAGCATGGTACTGGTACCAAAACAGATACATAGACTAATAGAACAGAACAGAGTCCTCAGAAATAACACCACACATCTACAATAATCTGATCTTTGACAAACCTAATAAAAACAAGCAATGGGGAAAGGATTCCCTATTTAGTAAGCGGTGTTGGGATAACTGGCTAGCCATATGCAGAAAACTGGAACTGGACCCCTTCCTTACATCTTATACATAAAGTAACTCAAAATGGATTAAATACTTAAAAATAAAATGTAAAACCATAAAACCCTAGAAGAAAACCTGGGCAATACCATTCAGGACATAGGCATGAGCAAGGACTTCATGACTAAAACACCAAAAGCAATGGCAACAAAAGCCAATATTGACAAATGGGATCTAATTAAACTAAGGAGCTTCTGCACAGCAAAAGAAACTATCATCAGAGTGAACAGGAAACCTACAGAATGGGAGAAAAATTTTGCAATCTATCCATCTGACAAAGGGCTAATATCCAGAGTCTACGAGGAACTTAAACAAATTTACAAGAAAAAAACAACCCCATCAAAAAGTGTGCAAGGACTATGAACAAACACTTCTCAAAAGCAGACATTTATACGGCCAACAAACATATGAAATAAAGTTCATCATCACTGGTCATTAGAGAAGTGCAAATCAAAACCAAAATGAGATACCATCTCAGGCCAGCTAGAATGACAATCATTAAAAAGTCAGGAAACATCAGATGCTGGAGAGGATGTGGAGAAATATGAATGCTTTTACACTGTTGGTGGGAGTGTAAATTAGTTCAACCATTGTGGAAGACACTGTGGCGATTCCTCAAGGATCTAGAACTAGAAATACCATTTGACCCAGCAATTCCATTGCTGGATATATACACAAGAGATTATAAATCATTCTACTCTAAAGACACACACACACATATGTTTATTGCAGCACTATTCACAATAGCAAAGACCTGGAACCAACCCAAATGCCCATCAATGATAGACTGGATAAAGAAAATGTGGCATATATACACCGTGGAATACTATGCAGCCATAAAAAAGAATGAGTTCATGTCCTTTGCAGGGGCATGGATGAAACTGGAAACCATCATTCTCAGCAAACTAATACAGAAACAGAAAAACAAACACTGAACATTTTCACTCAGAAGTGGGAGTTGAACAATGAGAACACATGGATACACGGAGGGGAATGTCACACACCAGAGCCTGTGGGGGGGTGTGGCCAAGGGGAGGGATAGCATTAGGAGAAATACCTAACGTAGATGATGGGTTGATGGGTGCAGCAAACCACCATGGCAGGTATATACTTATGTAACAAACCTGCACATTCTGCACATGTATCCCAGAACTTAAAGTATAATAATAAAAAAACTTACTAATATCTAATCTATTTATTCTATTAATTTTGCTAGATGTATATTAAAACATCTCCCACAAGGATTGTAGGTTTTGTCTGTTTTCTCTTGTAGATGTCACTTTTCCCTAATACTTGGAAACTTTATTATTAAATCTAGAAATATATCTTCTTGGTAAATGAAACTCTTTTTTACTATGTATCCTTTTAACTTGCCATGTTTTTGGCCTCAACATATTTCTTTTCTGATATTAGTATGAGTATGGATGCTTTCTTTGGTTTATGCTTTTTCTGATATATGCTTTTTTAATCTTTTTACTTCCAAATTTTCTTTATTCTTATGTTTTAGATCTATGCTTAAAGTTTTAGATCTATGCATATACAGTTAAATGAAAAAATAAGAGCAAAACAAATTCCAAAAGACAGTAAAACATTTTCCAAAAGACAACATGCTATCCATTTTATAAAGAGTTCTAAAAACAAGCCAAACAATGTTTTGATTTACTTATATAAATACACATGGCACAACTATTAAATAAATAGAAAAACGATAAGCACAAAATTTAAGAGAGTAGCTACCTGAGGTGATAGGCAGAAAATACCATAGAGATGTATGTAAGCTATTGTTAATCTAGTTCTCAGTCATGTATGTTCATTTTGTTAGAAACAAACAAATAAGGCAAGCAAGACATACTTGGCATAATTATTGTAATTAATTCAAATTCTTTGTACCTGAGTTTCATTAAAAAATGTGAACTTATGTTCGTGACATACCCCTTTTCTTCAGCTTAAGGTACAAAATAAGATCATATCTCTTTGTAATATTCAAATTAATCTGCATTTTTCCCATTTCCCTTAGGGTCTTGTCTTTTGGTTATATTCTCTGAGGACTGAATCCAAAGACTGTTTTCCCAGGCTGCTAGCAGGTGTCACTGTTGAAAATAGGTGGTCCCCCTTTCTGTTGATGCCATTCCGACTGCCATGACATGGAGACACCAGGTTATGGGGGGGAAGCTGTGGTTTCTAAGGGCTTAGAAAAAACCAAGAGGAATGAGCTGGTACTCATTACATTTGCATCACTGCAGAGCTGTTATTCTTAAATCTTGTGTTCAGGATTGGAGACACTGGTTCTGAAGACTTTTCTTAGGCTCAGCTGTATATTGTTTGTCTCCAGGCTTTGATTTTAACTTTTCACCCCTGGTTCTCCTCCTGCCATCTGTCATGGTCTGTCCTGAGCTAATTTTTTAAAATTTTTTGTAGAGATGAGGTCTCACTATGTTGCCCAGGCTGGTTTTGAACTCCTGGGTTTGACAAGTCTCATTCCCTTTGCTCCACATAAGTTCCTTTGCGTGTTAAAAATACACATTAAGTTCTAACCTTCCCCTGCTACTCGTCTCCCACCTACATAATTAAAAGAGAACACTTAAGTAATTCTTTACAGAAACCAGAAAGTTTGTCCAAAATGATTTTTGGTCTCTCCCAGAAGAAATAGAAGTTGCTGGCAATTTTTGAGTAGCAATGTGTTTTGCTATTTCTACCCTTTTGGCTAATAGGTATAAAGATTTCTTTTAAAATACTTTCATATACATGATCTTATCTTATCTCATTCATAATATAAATCATTATTTTATCTCATCTCATTCATAGTATAACTATGAATATGCTTTGAGATGAAAAGAGATTTTTTTGTTGCTGCTCCTGTTTCACTTCTTCAAGAACTACTAGCCAGGCGTGGTGGGGCATGCACCTATAGTCCCAGCTACTTGGGAGGCTGAGGCTGGAGGATCGCTTGAGCTCAGAAGTTCAAGGCTGTAGTGAGCTGTGATCATGCCTGTGCATTGCAGCTTGGGTTTAAGAACAAGACTTCGTCTCTAAAAAAGAAAAGAAAGAACTACTAAGGGAGGTTCAGCCAGGACTAGCTATGTATTTTCACAAGGTCCAGTACAAAATGAAAATGTAGAGCCCCTTGTTAGAAAGTTATTAAGAATTTCAAGAGATCGCATCAAAGCATTAAGCGTGACTTCTTCAAAGCTCAGCTTCCATTATGACGGCACAATCTGCACGCCCAAGCAGTGGCCGTAGGCAGAGCCAACGGAGATCACACAGAGCACTGTAATTTTTATTCATGCAGGACCCCAGTTTCTTCTAATGACCAGGGTTATATTTCATCTACATCTGGGGTATCTTGCCTCCCATGGCTGTCTCATCAGAGCAACATGAACTTTCACATTTCAAAAGAACACAGACAAAAAAGGTAGGCCCTTAAACATATGACTAAGTTTAAACCAGTAGCATCTGAGAAGATTTTGGCATAAACATGTGAATTATTTACAAAGATAATAATTATGCTCAATTCCTCCAGATCTAAAAGGGTTGATGAAATGTGTTCTTTTAATCACATTTATCAAAGAAAAAATGAGGAAGACAATGGGTAAAGCCTCAGTGACTAGCATGTGAGACAAAATATGGACTGTGACTGTCAGATCTTTCTGAAATGATGGAGGACACATGCGCATTCTTCTGCTTGAACCAGAGGTCCCATCCATGTGTGGTTGAGATCAGGCTCCTTAGGTCCCCCCATAACTCAAGGGCTCAGATTTGTTTTCACAGCCTTTATGTAATAGCAGACTTAGAGCCTTAAATGCTGTAGGTGATAAAATCTTAGGTAAGCAGAGACTCCTGGGAGGATGGAGGAGTGGTTTAAGCTCATTGAGCTGTTAAACTTTTGAATGACAAGGATTTTGCTTTCTTTTTTTTTTTTTTCACTTTCAGATTTAATCCCCTTAAGACGAATTGTTAAGTTATAAATCAGCACAACTCACATAGTTTAGGTCTTCTGGTTCCATATACACATTAACAGTAGTTAGAGAAGAAACAAAGAAAAAAGTTCCTTCGGTAAGGAGTTAACAATGGAATCTTCTGCCGGTATGTGGAAGATGAGGGATTATGAAACAAAGATCTGTGTTTTCTCTTCCTTGAGGTTTTCTTAAGAAGTAAATTGCCATCCTGATAATGCCGTCGATTGCTGTTGCATTAGGTCTTCCTTTTTGAATTTTGGTCCTGTGCAGAGAGAATGTGTAGGCATGTGGAAGATTGTGGAAGGTGCAGGACTTAATATGAATTTGTAATAAAAGGCAGTCATTTTAACATGTGAACGAAATAACATGCTGCCTTCTGGCAGTGTAACAAGTTTCCTGGGAAGAATATTTAGAATCCTGGAAAAGCTTACCTCCTTATAAGTGGCTGAGCAAATGATCTATCACTGTCTTAACTATTAAGTATTTATAACTGTCTTAAGTATTGACAGTTACCTGGCCTTTTTCCTTACAATCCCATTTCCTCTTTTTCTTAGGAGAAATCTTTTCTGGTCAAATGTGTACTTGAACCTGCTAATTATTTACAACAAAGAAGGAAGGAAAAAAGGAAGGAAGGAGGGAGGGAAAGAAAGTAGCTTTCTTTTGATAGTGTGCTATATATCAGGCATTACGCTAAGCCTATTCATATTATATATTATACCATCCATTTAATATGTTAAGATTCATTAACTTTAAATATTTGATAGAAATTGAACAATCAAAAGAAATCAACAGCTTGGGTAAGGGCAAAATAATTCAAGGAAATGAGAAACAATGATTAGCTGGCAGAAAGACATAGTGAAATCCATTAAGTCTTAAAAGTGGTTACTAGGCAGGGTGTGGTGGCTCACGCCTGTAATTCCAGAACTTTGGGAGGCCAAGGTGGGCGAATGATGAGGTCAGGAAATGGAGACCATCCTGGCTAACACAGTGAAACCGTGTCTCTACTAAAAATACAAAAATTAGCCAGGTGTGGTGGCACGTGCCTGTAGTCCCAGCTACTCAGGAAGCTGAGGCAGGAGAATCACTTGAACCTGGGAAATGGAGGTTGCAGTGAGCCGAGATTGCACCATTGCACTCTAGCCTGGGCTACAGAGGGAGACTCCGCCTCAAAAAAAAAAAAAAAAAAAAAAAAAGTGGTTACTAAAGCAGAGGAATATTTATTTACCAATGAAGCATTAATCATCAAATATAAAGACTAGGCAAAAAGAAAAGACATCACAAAGAAAAATCAGAACATTCTGCTTCCTCCTCCCTACCCCTTAAAAAAAGAAAAAATAATAATAATAAATAATTAGAAAAAATAGAAAATTCTTTGTCATTGTGGTCATGGTTCTGTAGTTTGATCACTTTCTCAGGGAATATAGAAAACACTTTTATTTTAACAATTTAGTAGAATAAAATTTATTTATTCACAAGCAGAATGGGCAAACAATTCATTATGTTACAAATCTTTATTTTTTTGTGTCTGAGCTTCTTTTAGAAACGTAACAGTAATGGCGAAAAGATCTGACATTCCATTTAACTCTATGGCAATCCATGTATCTATAGATGCTTATGTTAACAAGTTTAAAAATAGAAAAAATGACCCTTGAAAGCTATAGCCTTTAAAATACTGCTTTTACATTTAGCTTTCCTTAGACAACAAATATGAAAGATATGAAAGATACGGTTTTTGAAAGGTTCAAACTGATGATAGATGTCACATGAAAGAACTATGTCAAATAAATTATGGGGGATGTGATATTTAAATGGGATTAAAATTATTATTTGATGAATTCATCAAATAATCATCTGATATACCCCTCCATACTTTGTGGCATGTGTATGAGGAATTCAAGTGTGAATGTAGACATCATATTATGTGTTTCAAGAACGTTAGTACTTAGAACTAATTATCTAATTAAAGTTTCTGACAGTTAAAGGGAAAATTAGTCAAGCCCTGTAGCCTATGATTTTAGAATTAGAAAGATTCTGCATGATTTTAACAAGAGTGGGTGCAAGATGATTAATAATATCAAAGTGATTAAGCCAGGAACACAAAGAAGTTTGCAGGCAATTAAATCTTAAAATATACTGTTGTTGGAACAGAAAACCAAACACCACATGTTCTCACTCATAAGTGGGAGCTTAACAAGAGTACACGTGGACACAGGGAGGGGAACATCACACACCAGGGCTTGTCAGGGGGTGGGGGGCAAGGAGAGGGAGAGCATTAGGAAGAAATACCTAACGCATGCGGGTCTTAAAACCTAGAAGGTGGGTTGACAGCTGCAGCAAACCACCATGGCACATGTATACCTATGTAATAAACCTGCACGTTCTGTACATGTATCCCAGAACTTAAAGTAAAAGAAAAAGAAAAAAAAGTACTGTTGTTGTTAAATTGCCTTAAGCACAAGAATGTTGTATGTGTTTTAAAAGGATGTTCGTTATTTGTTGTTGTTTTTTTTTTTTTAGCTTTACTTTCTAAGAAGTAAAGTGATTTAAAAATAAACCAACAAAATTTGCTTTGGATTTCCTACGCTTTTTAATGAGCATACTGAAGATGGTCAGAAATCCTTTTTTCTTTTTGATAATACTGCATTTTCTCTCAGTATTTTCTTCTCTGGTGATGCCTAACTGGTCAGTAGGTGGCTAACAAGAAATGACAAGTAGCTAAAAACCTTAGTACCAAGAGGGAGGAAAATCTCTCGCTTCTCTTCTTTTTTCTTTCTGTCTTTTTTTTTGTGTGTGACAATGTTAGGAATAGCAAAATGCTATATGCACATATTAGAAACCCCTACTTTTTAATGTGTGTTTTTTAACTTTTATTTTTATGTTTTTTTAACTTTTATTTTAGGTTCAGGGGGTACATGTGAAGGTTTGTTACATACGCAAACTCGTGTCATGGGGTTTGTTGTACAGATTATTTCATCACCCCTGTATTGAGCCCAGTACCCAATAGTTATCTTTTCTGCTCTTCTCCCTCCTCCCGTCCTCCTCCCCGCTCTGGCCCCAAGTAGACCCCAGTGTCTGTCGTTTCCTTCTTTGTGTTCATAAGTTCTCATCGTTTAGCTTCCACTTATAAGTGAGAGCATGCAGTATTTGGTTAGAAACCCCCATTTCAGCTGTTAAAAATGAATATAGTTTAAGAACTGGTTGTACACATTTTAGACAGATCTGGATAAAACTGTTCTGATGAAACTCTTTCATGAATAAGTCAGCTGTTTCTGTAAACAGCATTTAGGGCGTCGGCAGAGACCTCAAATGCAGTTTGGTAGTGTTTCTATTTTGTGGTATGCAATCACCCAGGTGGCAGATATAAAGATGTTTAGTTCTATTGCTCAAATACGTCCCATCATACACCAGGCCATTAGTTCTCTGCAAGTGGGGACGAGGCCCCTGAGGAGGAAGAATAACGAGGAGAAAACTGCCTTGGAGTCGCCACTTGGCATCAGTTGGAGGAAGCTTTTAATTTCAAATCTGTACTCACTCTCTTGTAACTAACTTAATTACTTTAATTTAAAAAAATCATTACCCAAATTTAAGAACAAAATGGGAAATCTCTTTTGACTAATGCTGGCTAAGAACACTGGCTTGAGGAACAACAATGAAACTAGAAGCACTTTCTTCTCTCCCTCTATACTCCCCTCCACCTTGTATTCTCTCTGCGGTGTTTTAGGGGTCCCTGAGAATTCCTTTTAGAAGGTCTCGGAACACATACAGCCTTGTGTCTTTTCTTCATCATACCTTCTGTGTAGAACAGGCTTTTTCTCTTCTGTTCAAATCCTACTCACCCATTGAGACCCAGATCAAAAGTCATATCCTTGCTGGAACATTCCTGTGCAGTCCAGCCTGAAAAGATCTTGTCCATTTTTGATCTTGGATTGTACATTTTGCCTGGATCTCTTTTTGGTCAGGTGATCGCCGCTGTTGCTTTCATCTGAGGTGCAGAATCATGTAGGTTTTAAGTGTTGATGTGCTTTGTCTCTTCAGCTGCATTGTAGAATCTCTGCTGCAGGGTTGACCTTCATGCTTTCTTCTTCCTTTCCTTGTATCTTTCATATTGTGGACATTCAAGAAAAATGTCTTACTCTCTTTGTGATACACTCTTATATCACAGAGGCTGGTAATTTATTTGTTTATCTCTTGGTAACTGGTAAGGTCTGATATGTGTGAGGTCACTGAAGGCCAAAGGCATTTCTTCAATATTAAGAGTTATGCTTTGCATATAGGCAGCTCTTTTTTACCTAATGTACTTTTTAAAAAGAAAATCATTCTAACTCATGAACGTGTTACATTTCAAATATATATGGAAAGAATAACATGCAGATTTTAATATGTAAAATGAGCATTCTGGCCCAACACAAGGAGGGCATGGGCTTAATTTTCTTGTAGTAGAGATGGCTTGCTTTCTAAAAGTTCTCTAGCCCTCTGCTCATAGCCTTGTGTGTGGCCTACGCATGGCAACTTGTCAAGCTGTCATTGCATAGGGCTCTGAGTTACACTTGCTCTTCACAAGTAACTGAGGGTGGTCCAGCTTTGGTCTGTGCCCACCTCTGACTTAGCTGCTTTGGCTGATGCCATGCTTGTTAAGAATTCATGATTTGCCTTATAGATTGACTCTACCAGATAATTAGAGGTCATTAGATGATTCTTCCCCCTTAAAACAACATTCGTATGAATAAAACAAAACACAGCACAGTGAAAATAATAGAACACAAGAATGAAATTGTTTTCAAATAATAACCTCCTGATCCCACAGGTAATAGATCACAATCAAATCAAATCTGATTATATATTTCTGACTCCTTGGAGGAAGAAGTACATGTATTGTCTAATAGATATCTATTCTTCCTACACACGTAAGATACAGCTCAATAATTTGTTTTTTCTTCTTTTAAATTTCAAAGCCTGGCATAAAGTAAGAGCTTCCTAAATGTTGGTAGTATAGAGGAAAGTATGGAGTAAATAATGATTTTTTTTTTTTCTCGAGATGGAGTCTCTCTCTGTCTCCCAAGTTGGAGTTCAGTGGCACAATCTCGGCTCACTGCAACCTCCACCTCCTGGGTTCCAGCGATTCTGCTGCCTCAGCCTCCCGAGTAGCTGGGATTACAGGCACATGCCACCATGCCTGGCTACTTTTTGTATTTTTAGTAGAGATGGGGTTTCACCATGTTGGCCAGGCTAGTCTCAAACTCCTGACCTTCAGTGCTCCCCCTGCCTCGACCTCCTAAAGTGCTGGGATTACAGGCGTGAGCCACCGCACCTGGCCAATAATGATCTTTTAAGCCAATTAGGTTACAATTCTACAAAATTACAAATAAAGATTAAAATAAGTAAATGGGAAAGATCATGAGTAATATTACAGCATAAATTATCTTCCTTGATTCTTCTCTGCCTTTCTTGAGTTTTTCTATGAAAGCATATATAAAACATAGAATATTTATATTCTGACAAAATTCTATCTGTTCTTGTTTTTTGAAGGAAAAATTCAATTGCTCTGAATATGGAAATAGATCTTGCCCAGAAAATGAAAGATCTCTGGGTGTCCGAGTGGCTATGTATTCATTTATGGCAGGATCCATATTCATCACAATATTTGGCAATCTTGCCATGATAATTTCCATTTCCTACTTCAAGCAGCTTCACACACCAACCAACTTCCTCATCCTCTCCATGGCCATCACTGATTTCCTCCTGGGATTCACCATCATGCCATATAGTATGATCAGATCGGTGGAGAACTGCTGGTATTTTGGGCTTACATTTTGCAAGATTTATTATAGTTTTGACCTGATGCTTAGCATAACATCCATTTTTCATCTTTGCTCAGTGGCCATTGATAGATTTTATGCTATATGTTACCCATTACTTTATTCCACCAAAATAACTATTCCAGTCATTAAAAGATTGCTACTTCTATGTTGGTCGGTCCCTGGAGCATTTGCCTTCGGGGTGGTCTTCTCAGAGGCCTATGCAGATGGAATAGAGGGCTATGACATCTTGGTTGCTTGTTCCAGTTCCTGCCCAGTGATGTTCAACAAGCTATGGGGGACCACCTTGTTTATGGCAGGTTTCTTCACTCCTGGGTCTATGATGGTGGGGATTTATGGCAAAATTTTTGCAGTATCCAGAAAACATGCTCATGCCATCAATAACTTGCGAGAAAATCAAAATAATCAAGTGAAGAAAGACAAAAAAGCTGCCAAAACTTTAGGAATAGTGATAGGAGTTTTCTTATTATGTTGGTTTCCTTGTTTCTTCACAATTTTATTGGATCCCTTTTTGAACTTCTCTACTCCTGTAGTTTTGTTTGATGCCTTGACATGGTTTGGCTATTTTAACTCCACATGTAATCCGTTAATATATGGTTTCTTCTATCCCTGGTTTCGCAGAGCACTGAAGTACATTTTGCTAGGTAAAATTTTCAGCTCATGTTTCCATAATACTATTTTGTGTATGCAAAAAGAAAGTGAGTAGGCTTTTTCTGCATGAATAAATTGAAGCAAAAAACTAGAATTTAGAAGAATGAAGTTGTTTAAGATGTGTGTTTTTGTGCATGTGTGTATTATTTTAGCTACCATAGAAAGCTGTTGGTTTCTAAGACGAGAATAAAAAAAGGAAGCTTCTCTTTGAGCCAAGAATCCCTCCAATAGTTTTCAGAATTCTTTACACACCCACTACTTCCTGGTAGAGAGAAAAGAAAGAAAATTAGAAAAGTAAAGAGAACATGGGGGAAAGCCAGAGATGGAACAAAGAGGACACACAAAAGCTTTTATACTGTTCAAAAGGGGTCAAAACATAGGCTGAGCTTGGGAACTGCTTGTCTCCCTCCCCACCACAGACACTTTGTGTGATATTCCCATTTCATTTTTGTTCCTCAGTATCTTACCAGATGTACTTTGAAGCATCAGCAACTAAAAATGATAGGTAAGTAAATATGGAAATAACAATTTCAAAAACTCATATTCTTCCAGGAGTCAGTTATGTGTTAGCTGAGAGTTAAGCCTTTACTAGATTCTGCTGTTGTGAGAACAAACGTTTCTTAACTAAAAGAAGAAATGGCAAACTGAGTAACTGGGGCGACAGACTCCAGGCAGGTTTTCATTCAGGAGCCATCCTAATCACAGCAGCTGGTTAGTTCCCATGTTACATACAGTAGAACTCTGTCCAGTGTCTTCCTTTCCTCCGTAGGCTCATCCACATTTTGTATTGCTATTTGGTGTTCTGGTGTTTTAATAAATGTGGAATATCTACTAAAGTTTTGTTTTCAATCCATCATTCCTTTTTGCTTGATATTTATACATGTATTTTTTAATAACAGAGGAATGAGAGGAAGAAATAAAGAAGAAAATTATTAACTTTAGGTTGAGACTCATTAATAACTGATGGGCTGTGACCAGTGATGTGTTGGTTTAAGCTCAACACTGGGCTCTAAAAAGAACAGTCCTAATTTGTAGAGTTTGATGATTTCCATGGTATATACATTTAAAAAATCTTTCCTTATGAGTGATTTTAACCTATAAATGTAATGTCCTGAAATGTTAAAAAACTTCTCTTGAAAATAATCATGGGTGGTTCCAGCATACCACTGGCTGTGAACAATATTTTTAATGAAAAGCAAATTAGAATAGAAGAAAATAGATAGTATCAAAATATATCACTTGCACCGAGGCTAAGTATAGCCTCATGAAGTTTTATTTTCAGTTATATCTCGTGTGTGTGTGTGTGTGTGTGTGTGTGTGTGTGTGTTTATACATGGTAGTGAACTGTGTTTCACTGAAATATTCCTTGTTTAATTTCTTCATTTCCATTATAGCAATGAAAATTGTGAGTTTTCAAGAAGAGAGTAGTTATATCCAGGTGTGGTTATGAAAGTAAATCTGTCAGTACCTTTTCAATGTCCTTTTATGTTTCAAAACATAATCACCCTGCTGTGTTCTAGTGAGGATGACAGAGTGATCCAGTGTCCTGTATACTGGCTTCCTTCTACCATTCACTCTGTCTTCATTTCCCAGGATTAGTAAAATCATGTTCCTCAACACCGAGAATTTTGTAGTAAGTTACAGATGTGAAAACTGAGCCTGGGGGATTTAGTGGTTTACCCTGGATTCTGTGTTCTTTGTTTACTGAACTTTTTAATTTTTTTCATATTTGTGACATTTTAACTGGCTTTTTTTTTAAATAAAGATTTTCAAAATTCAAATTTGTACAAATCACTGAAGTAAAAATAAAAATTCTCTCACATCCCAATACTTTCTTGTTACATTCAGGAATCAAAGTGTAAACAGAAACATTTTATGATTCAGACAATTATTCCTCCCTTGGATATTAGCCAGCATTTAATTGAGCCCACAAACCTGTGTATTTTCAATATACGGAAACTTCTGTACTTAATCTTTCCAGAATGACCATGAAATCAGATATAAAATTGCCTTTCATTTGGAAAAAAATAAAACAAACTGGGTCATTAAAAACACACAGAGATGCCTGTAATCCCAGCACTTTGGGAGGCCCAGGTAGGCGGATCATGAGGTCAAGAGATGGAGACCGTCCTGGCCAACACAGTGAAACCCTGTCTCTACTAAAAATACAAAAATTAACTGGGCGTGGTGGTGTGTGCCTGTAGTCCCAGCTACTTGGGAGGCTGAGGCAGGAGAATCACTTGAACCCAGGACGCGGAGGTTGCAGTGAGCTGAGATCGCACTACTGTATTCCAGCCTGGCGACAGAGTGAGACTCTGTCTCAAAGAAAACCAAAACCAAAACCAAAACCAAACCAAAACAAACAAACGAACAAAAAACCCAGGGTATTTCAATATCCCTTGAGAAAGTTAAAAGAGCAGTCCCACTGGGGCTCCACAGTTAGTGCCTATCTGGAAGCTCCTGGATCTGAGTTCTCTACTCCAATTCTCCTGAGAGCAGAAGCAAACTTATATATGAATCATATACCTTAATCCTCTACACTAAACTTTCTGGAATTTCCTGATGTCGCACCTGCAAAGCCACAAGAGGACGGTCATTGATTCACAACTAACTTTTCAGGAAAGGGAAGGTACTGGGTCAATAAAAAGAATTGGAAATGTTCTAATCTTTTTAAATTATTGCTGATTTATTCTCTTCTTCAAAATAATTGAATAGTGATAGTTGTATTTTATAAAGAATCAGAAATTGTTGAAATGGGTTGCAATTGAGAAGATAGTTTTTAACTAAAAAACAATCATTATAATTTTCTGGTAAAAGGTCTTAAATTTTCCATCAAAATTCATTTGACAAGGTTGGTAAATTTTTATATAGTGGCATATAAAATACTTTTGCAAAGTACAAGAACTATGCGAGACATGATTCAGTAAATGTAGTTAGGTATTTCAACAATGCTAAAATGCACTTTCCTCTTTGGCATTATGTATCAATAATTTTAGATTTCAGTCTTAAATTCCAAGAGCCCTAGGGCTGTTAGAATTTAAAGGAGAATTATTTATGACATTATCCAAATTTGTGTTCAAATGAGAAACCTTTAAAAATCTGCTTCTTTGTACATGTAATTTGAGTTAATATATTGAAGAAGTGGAACACTAATAGCTCATATCTTCCTTTGCTGATCTTTCTTATCTGTTTTTCCAACAAAGAAAACTGAAAGGAAATTATAATTTACATTTATTTATATGCTTGTACATACATACATAGGTGGCAATGGCAATTGTTAAGTTCTTTGCCCAAATAGGTGGATCCTAGAAGAGGAGAACATATTTTATGGCAGTAGTGTCACTTTTATTTGGTGCCATGTAGAGCACATGTACAAATGCTTGCCTCTATGCTCAGAACCAGATTGTAGTCTACTACAAGTTATATGGTATTCATCCTGGAAGGCTGTGAAAATTAGATTCCTAACTTGGTGTTGCTATTAAGTCATCTCTGCCTCCTACTAAAATGAATGTGTCCAGACAATCAAAGATTCTCTTCAACAAGTATTAACTCCATGATATATTGCATTGCAAATCTGACTTTTTCCAAATGTATGTGGCTGGAGATATGCCAACCTTAGTCAGTGCTTAAAACTAAAACTTGAGGAGGAAAAGGAAAAGGTCCCAGTGGGAAATTATTTGTAATTATTAATATTTGAACATTTGTAACTTTAAAAAATGAGAATTCCATAGAGGCTATGTGATTCAACATAATAGATAACATAAAAATTTTGTTGGCCTCCATAAAAAAATTAAAGGAGCTAGCATAATTTTTATGAGGAAAAGCAGGGAGGAAGGCAGGAACAATGTTAATGGCCGCAAAGATCTGCATGTCAACTTTGAACGTATAAACAGGTTATGAAACAGTAAAAGTTTATTTGCAAATCAGTTATCTGGAAATTAGAATACAGTTTTCCAAAAGAACATTGTTAGTTTGTTAGAGCTGGTTATTGTGAGCCTCATTGTGTTCTTACTAGACAGATGCCCCACTGTGGAATGTTAAGATAACGATGAGGCTAGAAACTGCATCACATAATATATCTTTGTAAATATTTCGTTTATGGACTTCTCCAGTTCTGAAAGTATATGAATTTTCCCTTATGTGTATAGGAAGTTGCACATAGTGAAAGATTTGATCGCATGTTGAAACATCTTATAGAATCATCCCAATACTTAAAACATGGAACAGTTACTTATATGTAAGACCCATGTGAGGTTGCTTAAATGTCGTGACTGTGATCAATAAGGTCATAGGGGCAACTAGGGTGTGGCAGAGTCCCCTGTGTAATCATTAACTGCGTATGTATTCATGGACTTAAATACTGTATGAGTTTAACTGCAAGTCTGTATTCTGCAACAGAAAATTTCCTTTTATCTTTGAGAGTATGTGAGTTTTAACTGGAAGAAAATCCCCAACTCCTCTAAGTGGTAGATAAGGTGCAAACATTACATATGGGACTGAAAAGAGCCAAGACAACCCCATCTTCACACCTTAATGGGACACGGAGGGGTGTCATGCCACTAGCAGCAGCACCTCCCAACTGCATTTAGCTGAAATACTTCCACTTTTGTTTTCTTCTACTAACACTATCTCTGCCCAGACTCAGAATCTCTGGTTTTCTCATGCTATAGGATCAGTAAATTATATCTACACAAAATCTCTCAGCTCCTCCTGTCTAAATGCTACTTTGGGAGGGGTTATTTTATAAGAATACCATCAGCAATTCAATACCAGAAGAAATTTTCATGAAGTGTGCTCCTGAAACGAGTCCATTCATTTATAGGGACATTTTAAGCACATTGAATTAGTTGCTTTCATTGAAACAACACAGATATTTTTAAAGCAGTAATAATTTACAATTTATGTGTATGTTTATTCATTCAAACATATATCTCTAGCGTATACTAGAAGCCTTAACTTAGATACTGAGAATCCAGTGGTGATGGATAGACAAGTTACTTGTCTCATGGTGGTGAGTTAATATATTTTTTAACACAGATATAAATTCAACAATTATTTCTTAAGGCTATCACTAATGTGCTCAAATGGGGCCCAGGCTAGATGTTCACAACATTTCCTTGGTGAAAACCAAAGAATAAAGAGAGGCAATGAGTGGAGGACTACCTATAATGGAGAGAAACATATCCTCAATATAATTTTTAACAAGAGAAAAGCACACACATTTATTTAATATAAATTTTACATGACACAGGAGACTTCGAAAATGAATACTGCCTCAAAACTCTAAAAACTGTGTATTTTTCTGAACAGTCATGCAAAAGTATGACAAAAGGATATGATACAGTAGTAATAAACTGGGGGCTAACTTAACAAGGCCTGTTTGTTCAAATTCTTCTTGATGTTTCTGTGTGACATTCTTTTCCCCTGAGTATAGGACACAAGAGAGTCTTATGACCTATTTTAGGAGAAGACCAGATCATTCTTTTAGGGTCTGCTTCAGGGAAAAAGTGGGAGAAGGCCAGAGTAAACTTGCTTCCGCTATTTCCTCAAATGCCAAGGTGCCATATTTTGGGGTACCCTATCCTGAGCCCGATCAACTTTTCCTTTAAAAATTTTTAAAATTACTATGGATACATAATAGTTGTACATATTAATAGGGTACATGTGATGTTTTGATACAGGCATACAATGTGTAATGGTCAAACCAGAGTAACTGGAGTATCCATCATCTCAAGCATTTATTATTTTTTTGCATTAGGAATATTCCAATTCTACTCTTTTAGTCATTTTAAAATATACAATAAGTTATTATCAACTATAATCACCCTAATGTGCTACTTAATACTAGATCATATTCATTCTATCTAACTGTATTTTTGTACCTATTAACCATTCCCTCCTTATCCCCCTCTCCCCACTATCCTTTCCAGCCTCTGATAACCATCATGCTGCTCCCTATCTCCATGAGTTCAATGCTTTTTTTTTTTTCTTTTTTTTAGCTCCCTAAATAAGTGAGAACATGAGATATTTGTCTTTCTATGCCTGGCTATTACAACTAACATATTGTCCTCCAGTTCCACTCATGCTGTTGCAGATGACAAGATTTCATTCTTTTTTATGGCTAAATGATAACTAATATTGATCAGGCATGTCCCAGGACTGCAAGTACCATTCATAGAATCTCCGCATTGAGTCCCAAACTTTATTTCCTATTTTTCTTTCATCTTGTTTCTCTGCTCTTCTGTTTCCTATTTGTTTACAAGAAGATGATCTAATATGAACCAACTTTCTGTTACGAATGATTCACAGACTTTCAGAGCTGGAAAGCCTGCAAGGCTCATCTAGCCCTGCACACCTCCCATCACCAAGGGCTCACAGCTGGCTGATGGCAGAAGCTGGACTAGGAGAACTCTCAACGCAAGGCTCTTTTGCTACCTCCTCTTTGGAAGTCAGTGATGTAAACTTTTAACCTAGAGAAACAAGGGAGTCACATGGAACAGTCAGCTCTATAAAAGGTCCTCCTAAGACTTTGCAAGGAGACACCTTCCTGTGACTTGGTAATAAGAAGTGTCTCTAACCAGCAAAATTCAGGTTCTTTTATCACAACGAGGTGACTTTTCTTCCCCGTCGGTCAGGAAGAATGACAGAATCAAGAAAAAGGAAGGGAACTTCTAGCACCTTGAGATGAGGAAGGGGCCAGTTTTTGCTCTTTCTTGGGGGTTATTTCTGTGCTCTTTCTTAGGATTCTAAAGCACAAACTAAACTGAATCTGCCTAAATAGATGAACTTGTTAAATGTACCCTGCAGTTGAGTCTTTATATAGCTTGGGAGAATTCAACATAGGCCTAGGGTGTCTCCTCTGTCTGATTCACTCAAGATTGGGCCTGCTTTTCTGTGGCCCACTAAGCAGACTCTGTGCTTTGTTATAGGCACAATGTCAAGCTTCTCTTGAGGCTGCTAGGGAGTGGCTTTTCAGATTGATGTGTATTCCGAAGCAAATAGCAAAGCAAGCGTGACCATTTATTGGAAGTTTTTATTTATGCCATTTGTCCACCCTCCTTTATTCAGCCCACTGTGACCAAAAGGAGTCATGTGAGATTTGAGTAACTGGGTCTGTGAGTGTGGAATTTGTAATTTTTATTGGTCTCTCAGGGATGGAACATATGACATGGCTTCACTAGTTAGAATCTCAGAGAAGCTATAAGACTTAAGAAATAAGGGAAGGAGCATGAAGAGTAGAGGACAGGAGAGGCAGAGGGAAGGACAGGAAGAGAGTAGCAAACAGAGAAGCTAAGAAGCATTGACCCAGGTGCATGTTTTAACCCATAGGTACATGGCTTTCAACAGCCATGTTTCATGGTACTGCATGTTTCGGCAGCAATATGCCATTTATAACTCTTAAAACATTTGCACACTGTTTACAAATGAAGATTTCAAATTGTCAAAAGAATGCCTAAAGAAAAACTTTGGTATTTCACTTGGTTTTTGTGTATTGAGTAATTTTTATGATGCAAGAGATATTAGCAGCCACATTCAAAACAGTTTATAGGAATGTATCTGTTCAAAGTGAAAGTTGCCCAAACATTCTTGAAAATCTCCCATTTCCTTACCAGGAATAAAGCAGTCAATAGATAAACCTATGTTGGATAGATGGATGGATAGATGGATGAAATGGAGTTAAATAGAATAACACAGAAAAGAATACACAGCTGAAAATTGTCATTTTTCTAACGTACCAAGTAACTCAGAAAGCAAACACAGTTGATATAATTTAAAATATTTAAATAAATTACAATTGAAGTGAATTAATAATAGATAACTTTGAACAATCTTGTACTATTAGGAGCTGAAATTTACTGGAATCATTTTAAGAAGAGAAGAAACAGTGACTCATCCTCCTGGAAAGAAATTTCAAGGGATAAAGCACCATGGATCTAACTTATATTCCCGAAGACCTATCCAGTTGTCCAAAATTTGTAAATAAATCCTGTCCTCCCACCAACCGCTCTTTTCATGTCCAGGTGATAATGTATTCGGTTATGACTGGAGCCATGATTATCACTATTCGGAAACTTGGTTATAATGGTTTCCATATCGCATTTCAAACAGCTTCACTCTCCCACAAACTTTCTGATCCTCTCCATGGCAACCACGGACTTTCTGCTGGGTTTTGTCATTATGCCATACAGCATAATGCGATCAGTGGAGAGTTGCTGGTACTTTGGGGATGGCTTTTGTAAATTCCACACAAGCTTTGACATGATGCTCAGACTGACCTCCATTTTCCACCTCTGTTCCATTGCTATTGACCGATTTTATGCCGTGTGTTACCCTTTACATTACACAACCAAAATGACGAACTCCACCATAAAGCAACTGCTGGCATTTTGCTGGTCAGTTCCTGCTCTTTTTTCTTTTGGTTTAGTTCTATCTGAGGCCGATGTTTCCGGTATGCAGAGCTATAAGATACTTGTTGCTTGCTTCAATTTCTGTGCCCTTACTTTCAACAAATTCTGGGGGACAATATTGTTCACTACATGTTTCTTTACCCCTGGCTCCATCATGGTTGGTATTTATGGCAAAATCTTTATCGTTTCCAAACAGCATGCTCGAGTCATCAGCCATGTGCCTGAAAACACAAAGGGGGCAGTGAAAAAACACCTATCCAAGAAAAAGGACAGGAAAGCAGCGAAGACACTGGGTATAGTAATGGGGGTGTTTCTGGCTTGCTGGTTGCCTTGTTTTCTTGCTGTTCTGATTGACCCATACCTAGACTACTCCACTCCCATACTAATATTGGATCTTTTAGTGTGGCTCCGGTACTTCAACTCTACTTGCAACCCTCTTATTCATGGCTTTTTTAATCCATGGTTTCAGAAAGCATTCAAGTACATAGTGTCAGGAAAAATATTTAGCTCCCATTCAGAAACTGCAAATTTGTTTCCTGAAGCACATTAATAAAAAGCTGTTGCAAAAGTGAATAGAATATTGCAAATGAGATTGTTATTATTTTGACTTGCAGCACATACCTTACATCCCCAGATCACTGCAAACATGATACTATTAAATTTCAGTAATCAACGTTAAGTGTTCTATCACCTACACAAGAGGTACATTCACTATCTTTGACTAGTAAATCAATTACTCAATTATTTGTTAATTGTTAACCCACTTCCAATCCACACTCACCTCTGACTGGTAGGGAAAATGTACGAAAGAAATATAAAACATAGTTCAGACTAGGTTGGCCTAGATTTACATACATGAGATAATTAAAAAGCAATATAAGAATTTTTTAAAAAGTGTTGGCTTTGGTTCCTATCTGATACCATTCTAGGAATTCAGGAAAAGGAAGATCATGCGACCTGTGGGTCCATGAAGGAAGTGTACCTTAAGGTTGACCTCTATTAACAACTAGCGGCCTGCCTTATCATATGTTTTGGGAGAATCATTAACCATCATTTTTACAAACTATTCAGTTATTTTCTGATACCTTTAGGCTCACTACTGCCATAGGTGAAGCAGGTTGATTATGAATCACCATATGCAATTTGAGCTTTTGCCTTTGCGATTATTAACTTTGTGGTTTACATTTGAAGTGACTTTCTGGTTCCTGCTTCTCTAGAATCTTAATCTGCTTGGTATGTCTCCATGATTGGCCAGCAATCACAAGGCCTCTCCTTGTGCTTGTTTCAACCACTTTCTCCAAAAGTCTTCCTTAGGGTACCCCCCAAACAAATTTCATGACACCATAATACCTATGATCTAAATCAGATCATTAACTTTGGTGAACATTTTTTCAGTGATTTTTCTGTGAAGTATTAAGAGGTCAATAGAACCTTCATGAATTGGGAAATACATGAGCACACATGTCAGTCATGTCCACAACCCCTCATACCTGGGATTATGTTGTAGGAGGGAGAAGAAGAGAAGGAGAAGGAGAAGGAGAGTAGAATGTTCCCTTTTCTTCCTTTTCTTTTAATTTTAAAGTTTTTTGTATGTTTGTTTTTGAGACAGGGTCTCACTCTGTCACCCGGGCTGGAGTCCAGTGGCACAATCTCGGCTCACTGCAACCTCTGCCTCCTGGGATCAAGCAATCCTCCCACCTCAGTCTCCCAAGTAGCTGAGATTACAAGTGTGTGCCATCACACCCGGCAACCTTTTGTAGTTTAGTAGAGACAGGGTTTCGTCATGTTGTCCAGGCTGGTCTTGAACTCATAGGCTCAAGCAATCTGCCCTCCTCAGCCTCCCAAAGTGCTGGGATTACAGGCATGATCCACCCCCAGTGCACCCAGCCAAATGTTCCCCTTCTCCTGACCAAGGTCAGCCTTAGGTGAAACTTTGAAATCGGAAATTTTAATTTTGTCTTTTTCCTGTCTCTTTTCTAAGTTCTTCTCTCCCAATACCCAGATACTCTTTGTCCTAGATCCAATCATGGAAAATTATCCAGGCTCAACTTCCGTCTCGAAGGGCATTATAATTCAGTAAGGGCTACCTCCCTGTCACCATCGTTACAGTTTTTATTCCCTCTACTTGTTAGGCAAAAAGTAAATGTGCCTAATAAATGCGTAATTGATAGCAGTAAAATATTCTCATTTTTACCAAAGGATATTTACCTTTGCATAATTACCAAAGGATAATCCAGTCTAAAGGCTGATCTCCATTTGAACAATTTTGGCTCTATCTAGGAAGGGACATTAAGGTGAGAAGAACTGCCAAGTGTCTTCTTCCTGATAGTCTCATAGGACAGTAGACATCACCCACTCATGCCTCTCCCTTCACAGGTGAGGACATTAAAATTGACTTTCTCCACTTCTGTAGTGATAGATCATTTATACCCGCTGGTCCTTCTACTTGTGGCTTCTTTTCAGTTCCTGTTTTAAAAATTCTTATTTGTTTCTCTACTTATTTATTTATTTAATTTGGAGGGATATTTATTTAAACTTTAATTTTAGAATCAGGAAATGCATGATCAGGTTTGTTACCTAGGTATATCACACGATGCTGATGTTTGGAGTATGGATGAATCCGTCATCAAGGTAGTGAGTATAGTGAACTCCAGGTAGTTTTATTCAATGCTTACTTCCCTCCTTGTCCTCTCTTGTATTCCCCAGTGTCTACTTTTACCATTTTTATGACCATGTGTACCCAATGTTTAGCTCCCACTTATAAGTGAGAATAGGCGGTATTTGGTTTTCTGTTACTGCATTAGTTCGCTTAGGATAATTGTTTCCAGCTAATACATGTTGCTGCAAAGGATGCTATTCCATTCTTTTGATGGCTGTATAGTCTTCCATGGTGTATATATACCACATTTTCTTTATCCAATCAACTGTTTTTGGGCACCTGGGTTGATTCCATGTCTTTGCTATTGTGAATAGTGCTGAGATGAACATACAGATGCATGAGTCTCTTTCAAAAATAACTTCGATGTTTATCTAAGATTCAGGGGGTACATGTGCAGGTTTGTTACATAGGTATATTGTGTGATGCTGAGGTTTGGGATATAAATAATCCCATTACCCAGGTAGTGTCTACTTCTTTACTCTAAAAACTTCACAGTGTGTATGTTTGTGTGTGTATGTGTGTGTGCATGTGTGTGTGCCCATGCATTACTCTGGAAGCAGGATTAGAGGATTTAAAGAGGGGAGGGAGCAGTACAGGGACAGCTGGCTTCAGTTGGGACATTGGCACATGGCTGTTAGAATGAGAACTGTCTGTAGATATACATCTACCTAGATAGGCGTGCAGTAATCTATTTGGATAGACTTAGCTAACTAGCTGAATGAAACCGATAGCTGTAAGGTTATACGGAATCTGTGTATATTCATTAAGGTAGACATTGAGTACTCATTAAAGACTATAAATATTCATTTGGAAACTCATCTGTAACATGCCTTCCCTTCCACCCCTGTCTTCTCTCCCGTTTCACAGCTTTCCAATCGATTCTGCAGTTATCTGGCGTTGACACTTTTCTCTTAAGTATTTTAAACAGTTTCTATGCTAGGTCCTTTTACAGGCCCCAAGCCCTCTCCGCCCAGTCTGGGCATGGGGCTGGTCTGTACAAACCGGATTAAGGAGTTCTCCCTCTCAGGGTTTCAGATGACAGTTTACCATTGGGAAGCACCTGCAGGAGATCAGCTGGTGGAAGGAGGGTGAAATCGGGTACTTATCCCAGGCAACCTTTCTTCCACATTGCCCTGGGGCTGGTTGTGTTCCTCTAGGAAAGGCCATCTGGAGTCCCTCTCCATGCAGTCATCCTCTCAAAATTCCCATAACTGCTTCCTTCCCCTGACACGTTCGGTCTAGTTGAGGTGGCGGTTCCCTGCTATTGCTGCCCCTGGCTATGAGACTGCTTTTTCCTGGTTTCCTTAAACACTGCCCACACCACACCCTAGTAAATGGTCCTTTATTAAACTCTCCTCAGTCACCCAGGTTGGCTGTGCCATCTGTTTCCTGTTGGACCTGATAAAGATAGCTTTTCATTGCTCTGAGATAAAGTTTTGAAATTCTTCCCGAAGACATCAAGTTTTGTACGTACTCAATTTGGTCTTCTTTGTCCTTGCACGTCGAATCTCTCCTCTCAGCTGCACACTCCTCTGAAGGAATCATTGCCTCCTCAGTTAGTCATTCACCCCGTTTGCCCTATGTGGGGGACTATTCACCATCCTCTTCCATTTGGCTAATTTTTTTTTTAATTTTTAAGATCAGTTTGTCAGTTTGAGTTTTCTGTGTTCTTTTTGCTTTTAGAAAAGATACGTCAGCCTGGCACAGTGACGCATGCCTGTAATCGCAGCATTTTGGGAGGCTGAGACAGACGGATCACCTGAGGTCAAGAGATCAAGACCGTCTTGGCCAAAATGGTGAAACCCCGTCTCTACTAAAAATACAGAAATTATCTGTGCATGGTGGCACGCTCATGTAGTCCAGCTACGCAGGAGGCTGAGGCAGGAGAATTGCTTGAACCCAGGAGGCAGAGGTTGCAGTGAGCCTAGATCATGCCACTGTACTCTAGCCTGGCGACTGAGAGAGACTCTGTCTCAAAAAAAAAAAAAAAAGAAAAGAAAAAAAGAAAAGAAAAAATATGTTAAAATAATTTTGGTTTTTATTTTGGCTTTTATAACCAATATTTCGTTTATAAAATAATATTGAAAAACCTAGCTCTTCCTTAAAATTTCACTTAACATGTAACTTTTATTTAACTTATAATTTATAAACTTTAACTTATGATTATAACTTATAAGCAGAAGTTATTCTGTATATACATTTAGCAACTTTTAACACCTTTCAAGTGACAATTACAGACCAGTGAATTGAATTCCCTTAATATTTTATTTGAATTTATTACATTAAAATGCTCAAGTTCTCTTACTGATGATTTAATTATCAGACACATAAAAACTTCCATAATACTTAAATTGTAAACTTAATGACTTACTTACAAATACAGTGAATTTGAAGATTCCTGAAATTATAGTACCTTTTATAAACATTTTAAACTTCTCTTGTGCCTTTCCACTTAAAAATTATGTCTAGATCAACTATTTAATAATATATTCTAAGTGGTAATCACAAAGTTATTTTAAGTCTTTTAACATGCTAAATTCTCTTAAACATTACCAATATTATAAATGACAAATATATAAAGATCATTTCCAAAATGAATACAAGCGATATTGATTTCCCTTGTCATTTCTTTTTTTTTTTTTTGAGAGAAAATGTGCTAATCATATGCATATAATACATTCCTGCAAATGCACATATCCCAAGATTTACAATGGGAAAAACTGGTTTTGAATGACCATATATTGTTTGTACTAAATAAGAATACTAATTTTGCATCATTAGATTTGTCCCAAATAATGGCTGACAATTTTCTTTCTTTTTTTTTTTTTTTTTTTTGAGATAGGGTCTTACTCTGTCACACAGGCTAGAATGCAGTGGCACAATCACGGCTCACTACAGCCTTGACCTCCCTGGGTTCAAGCTATCCTACCACCTCAGCCTCCTAAGTAGCTGAAACCACAGACACATACTGCCACACCAGGCCAATTTTTTACTTTTAGTCAAGATGGAGTCTCACCATCTTACTCAGGCTGGTCTCGAACTCCTGGGCTCAAGCAATTTACCCACTTCGGCCTCCCAAAGTGATTACAGGCTTGAGCCACTGTGCCTGGCCGACAATTTTCTTAACTCCCTTTGTCACTGAACTGCAGCAAGGCCATGTTTCTTATTGCAATGTTATCTGAAACATCTCAATGAGGTTGAGGTTAACTGCTTGCAGTTTTATGAGCTCTTTAGTTCATGCACAACCTGCTGCAAACTCTTATGAAAATAAAACAAAACATTTTTTTTTTAATCCATAGCCCTAATCCTTTCTGATCAGTATTTATTTTTTTGGTATTGTCTTTTTTTTTTTTTTTTTGACTTCTAAAGGTCTTAGAGCTCCAGAATGTTCTTAAAGTGTTTTTACTTGTACATTGTCATTTTCTATACCTAATTCCAAGCCTTCACAAACTTAAAGATAAGGGTCCTTTAGACCAGGGGTCCTCAACCTCCAGACCACAGATGGGTAATAGTCCTTGGACTGTTAGGAACTGAGCTACACAGCAGGAGATGAGGGGCAGGCAAGCAAGCAAAACTTCATCTGTACTGCATTTACAGCAGCTCCCCATTGCTCGCATTACGGCCTGAGCTCACTGCCTGTCAGATCAGTGGCAGCATTAGATTCTCACAGGAGCATGAACCCTATTGTGAGCTGCGCATGCAACGGATGTAGCTTGCACCCTCCTTATGATAACCTAATGCCTGAGGATCTGTCACTGTCTCCCATCACCCCTGGATGGAGCCATCTAATTGTAGAAAAACAAGCTCAGGGCCCCCACTGATTCTATATTATGGTGAGTTGTATAATTATTTCATTATATATTTACAATGTAATAATAGAAATAAAGTGCACAATAAATATAATGTGCTTGAGTCATCCCAAAACCATCTTCCCCCACCTCATTTGTGGAAATATTGTCTTCCAAGAAACCAGTCCCTGGTGCCAAAAAGGTTGGGGATGGCTGCTTTAGACTACAGCTAAAATAAAGTTTTAATTAAATTAAGTTAAATTAAATAGAATTTGATAAAAATAAAAATAAAGAAAATCTTATTTTAAAAATCATAATTTAAAAAATTCAGCACATTCATTCAAAAAATATTTTGAATTCAAAAAATTCAAAAAGAGTCAAAGTCTACACACTAAAAAATAAGTCTCTCCTTAATCTCTGTTCTCTGGTCTTTCAGACATCCTCCTCAGAGGTAGACACTTCTTTAAGATATGTAAGAAACACAGGCCTATCTGTAAACAATCTTGTATGTACATATTGCTCCCACACACTTTTAAAAAATGGCAAAATATTACACATGCTAATTTTAATCTTGGTTGTTTTACATACTGTCACATATTAGAGTTTCATTTTATGTCAGTAAACATAGACCTGCCAAATTTTTTGAAAAGTCTACAGAATATTCTATTATTTGGAAATATCCTAATTTATTTAACTAGATCCCTACTGTTTCTGGTCTTTTGCTACAACAAATAATGTTACAATAAATATCCACAAACATGTTTCTTTATGAGAATGCATCAGTAAATACCGTGGTTGTTTGATTTTTTGAAATGTATTTTACTGCATGTCAGTGATTGTATTATATCACTGCTTTGTCTGTGGTTGAGTAAAGTACATATTTCTTGCTGCCCACCAAGGGGCATATAGCACAGAACACAATGGTAAGCTAGAATTAAACCCTGTCCTCTAGCTATCTGCATTCTGGTGGGAGAAAATAAAACATGTGGACAGATGAATATATACTTTGCAAGGCTTTTGTCCAATAAAGTAAAAGAAATCTGATTTGAATCATTTGAATTTTGTATTTAATTCAGATTTATTTGTTAGTTAGTGTATGAGAAAAAATTCTATTAAAAATTCAAGATTTCAGTTTATGAGTACCTGTTGGTCTGGTGTGTTTTTTCTTTCTTTGTCTCTTCCTTCTTTCCTTCCCTCCTTCCCTCCTTCCTTCCTTCTTTCCCTCCTTCCCTCCTTCCCTTCTTCCCTCCTTCCCTCCCTCCTTCCTTCCCTCCTTCCTTCCTTCTTTCCCTCCTTCCCTCCTTCCTTCTTTCCCTCCTTCCCTCCTTCCCCCCTTCCTTCCTTCCCTCCTTCCCTCCTTCCTTCCTTCTTTCCCTCCTTCCCTCCTTCCCTCCTTCTTTCTTTCCCTCCTTCCCTCCTTCCCTCCTTCCTTCCTTCTTTCCCTCCTTCCCTCCTTCCCTTCTTCCCTCCTTCCCTCTCTCCTTCCTTCCTTCCCTCCTTCCTTCCTTCCCTCCTTCCTTCCTTCCCTCCCTCCTTCCTTCCTTCCTTCCTCCCCTCCTTCCCTCCTTCCCTCCTTCCTTCCTTCTTTCCTTTTTCTTTCTTTTTCTTTTTGTTTACTTTGTCCTTTTATCTTTATTGTATATTAGTTTTTTTCTTCTTTGGGGATGAGCAGTTAAGAGTGGTTTACTGGTACGGTAATCTCAAGGAAAGATCATGTCTTTTTAATGTCCAAAGCATGTAATTGTTTTTCCTTTTACAAATTAACCTTTGTTGTTCCTACTTTTAGAAATCATTAAATCCTGCAATTCCAGGAGTCATTTTATTCTCCATGGAGCTCCAGCATTGCTGTCAGAGCAGTTCCTCCTCATGGCCGATTGGGGAGTTCAGAGCCTGTGCATTAAGCTGTCAGGTTGGGAGAGCATTGAGGAGTCATCTTCATGCCAAATCATCTTATTTAGCCAAATACCATTGAAACATTTGAGTTCTTTCCTGGACCTGGACCTGGCCAAATACCTAAAGCCATTAACAGATCTTCTCCCTCAAAGAAGGCATGTAAATGTTTTACATTATTGTCAAACTGTAAACAATAATGAACCAGCTCTTTAGGTAAAAGAAGTTAAACAATACTACTACTAATAATAATTTGCCTCTATAAAGGGACTTTTTCCAAACTCTCGAGGAACCAGCTGTAGCTGGGTAGCATCCTTCCCTCAGGAGTCTGAGAACACATTCTGAGGGGCCCCTGTTCTGTGCTTCTAGGTTCTGATAATTCAACCACTACTTCTTTCCCCAATCTAGGGAGGTAGATGCCTCCTACAGTTACTATTAGTAGTAACCTCATCAGGGTTTTTTTGGTTTATTTTTTGTTTGTTTACAAATGCTTTTTGCTCTTTAAGTTTTCAAATGTATTTTAAACTAATTTTCTAAATTAACTTCTTTCTGTTGAAATAAAAATTTTCCATTCTATTCTCCTGACTGGACCCTGACTGAAGCAATCAAAATTTATAAAAATATACTATTAAGTATAAGACAGAAATTTGGAAAGAGAAGTTTTATAAACCCAGATGAGCATATAGAGGAAATCCAACATTTCCAGCCATCCCCATTCACGAAGGCATTTAATTTCATGAAGAATATCCACAGAGGACATAATAAAGTTAGTCCTTACCAGTTGATTTAAATATGAATAATTTGTTTCTATTTCTACAAGAGCAAGCTTTGGGCTGGGAGCGGTGGCTCATGCCTGTAATCCCAGCCCTTTGGGAGGCGGATGCAGGTGGATCACCTGAGGTTAGGAGTTCGAGACCAGCCTGGCCAACATGGTGACACCCCATCTCTACTAAAAATACAAAAATTAGCCAGGCATGGTGTCAGGTGCCTGTAATCCCAGCTACTCGGGAGGCTGAGGCAAGAGAATCACTTGAACCCAGGAGGTGAAGGTTGCAGCAAGCCAAGATCCACCACTGCATTCCAGCCTGGGTGACAGAGCGGGACTCCGTCAAAAAAAAAAAAAAAAAAAAAAAAAAGAAAAGAAAAGCTTTGCTGTTCTCCAAAGTGTTGTGTATTTAAGTAAAACAACTGTGTGGTGTTGATGAATAATAAAATTATCAATGGAAACTCCTTGAAGCTTAGTGTCTGGAATTATGGCACACTAATGGAAATGTCTTCCCCAGTGATCGTGAAAATACCGTGGTGGTGATGAAGAGTCCCCTTTTCATCCAATTGTGTTGAAGCCTTGTTCTTTTTGCGTTTAGCTTGGGCTAAGACCTTTATTTGAAAAATTATGAACTTAAAAGAACTGCAGTATGAAGGAATATCACTGACTTTTGCATGGCAGGAAAAAGATATAAATGAGTCAAACTTTCACTAGAGATTAAAGAATTCATGGAATCAATGCATTATCAAGCATTTGGTAATAAGTGGACGGAGCATGGGTTGTATTTCAGCTACATTTTCTCCTTCCTCTCTCCCATCCTTCTTCTCTTCCTCTCTTCCTCCCTTCCTTCCCTCTTTTTCATTCTTCCTACCTTTGGCCTTGTGTGAGGCTAGTCCTTGTTGTCCCTCTGAGGTCATAGCAATGTTTGCACAGAACTGAAGCTCCCTCCCAGAGCCATTTCTCTGGTGACTTAACTATAATCTCTTGCTGGCAGCACACCGAAGGTTGTGAAAAGACACACGGGTCAAAAGCAGGACATAGGACACTGCCCCTAGAGGCATATTTTAGGCATAAATACTGGCAGCAGCACAGCCTGCTAGGAGCCTACCTACAATAGTGTGGCCCCAAGTTCCTAGGATGTGAGTGTGAGCAGGGCAGACAACAAGAGAACACAGTGCAAATTTGCTTGGTAAGAAACCGTAGTGTAACAGATAACTCACCTTTCAATTATATTAATTTCACCAGCCTAATTAGCCAAATTTTGGCAAGCCAAAGGAGAATATATTAGGACAGAAAAAAATTAGATAGGTTTATTTTCTTTGTTTGCTATTTTTTGTGTGTTGAAAGATACCCCTCTTAAAATACTGACCCATAAAAATAAATCTGGGTCATTTTCTTAAATCACTGAGATTTGAAAGAAACAATGATGGGAAGACCCACAGCAAATCTTTCTTAAATCTAATTTACCAATAATTTCCCTTACCTATGCCACTATTGTAAGGATGAGATATATCAAAGTAAGATAAAATTATTATTTCTGTGAAAATGGGGGCAGAAGTAGATTGTTTGGGCTATGTAACCAGTAAGAGAAAAATCATGCCTGATAAAGCAGGTATGATACGTCCTCCCCTAATTTTTTCCATTTATTTACAATGCATTGCTGAACTAGTTGAGCTATATTTCCCTCTTCTTATTTGATGGAAATATGTGTACACTAACATATTTCAGGGTTCTAGTACTGGAGAAAAAAAGTATTGCATAAATCCCCTTTTCCTTGAAATTCCAATAATTGTTTACATTTTCAAAATTATTATTTCAGAGTTCTTGTTTATGTTTCATTAGTCTATCGTCTTCTCCCTTAAAGAACTACATTTGAACGAAAAAGCTATGCAGTTCTTGCTCTTATCTCCAGAATTGTCAACGGATGTTTCTTTCTGCCTCCTAGAAGAAATAACTAATAATTTCCATGGGTGGTTGTTTGCAATGCTGTAATTAATTTAGCCCTTTGTTGCTGATGCTTGGGGGAAATGTTATTGGTAAAAAAGAGAAAAAGGCACAATAATATCCCATGAAAAAAGTGAGATGCCATAAAGGGCTTAACTTTATTTTATTTTGTTTTTAAAAAAATGCTGTATCTATCTTTTCTGAAGGCGAATCTCCAAATAAAAGGAATCTTTATTCTGTTAAGTTTTAAATAATAAACAAAACTCCAACTTGATTTAATTTTATACTCAGTTCCCTTTAGCAAACAAGCAAGCCAGCAGTCATATTTTCATGTGGTTACTTGTTTTCATAACTTTTCACCAAGAGCTTAAGATAGGAGTTTGAAATTATTCTTATCTTTGACATTACCTTAACAATTCACCCATGTAATAATTTTAAACATATATGTGGGTGTCTTACTCTATCTTCTTGTCTTAAACTAACACTTAAATGTTTAACCATTTCCTTATTATATGTAACTGTAATATATGAGAGAATACTGTTAATTTCTATAAGTTGTTTCATGCCATGTTTTTCAAATAAATAAATAAATAAATAAATTCACTTTACAAACTGAGGAGGTTAAATTATATTCTTTCAGTGATTAGATTTTCAAACTTGGAAGTTAAAACTCTAAAACTGTATAATGAAATGTAAAATTTTGTATGGGGAATGCTTTATTTATGAATATATAGTGGCAAATGCTGAAATGACTTTGTAATTGTTAGCTTTCTTAAAGATTGATTTTTAAAAGAATTTAAAAAGAATTGAGGAAAGGTTTTTAAATTACAAATGCAGGGGAGATAAAGAGCAGGCTAAATTTAACTTATTAAATAAAATATTAGATATTAAGATTTGATTATTTGCAGCCTTTTAGAACTTTGGAACCAAACTGACTAGTAAACAATTTATTCTGTGTATTCTGATTGCTAGTCTGCACTTTATAAAGGAGCTGAACACATCTTTGTTCTTCTTACATTTTATTTCCCTATGGCTTGGTGTTTCAAGTACAACTTAATTGTTTAATATTTGATTGGTATTTAAAAAAAACCCTAAAAAATTTTAAGAAATCAAGTTACTATATCCAGAGCAAATAAAACATGTCATAATGTTAACATTTAAAATAATATACAGTATTGGAGATCATTGCTAAGCTATTGTAGCAAATAGTGAAAATAGTATTTTTAAAGGTGCTTGTATTTTTATTAATGTCTTTTTCAATTAAATCTGGTGAGGATGTGCTTGTGGGTTCATTTTCCCAAAGGACCATTCAGTTTTAGCCTATTCTCAGGCCAAAGTCCATTTCAATTGGCCTTAGATCGCATTCGTCACCAGAATTACACATCCAGCTCCGGCACTGGAAAAAACAAATCAAAACATGTCATACTCTGGATAAGTCAGTCCCATTATTTTCACATTACAAGGGCAATGGCATTAATTATACAAAATGATAGATTAAACAATGAGCACTCACACGTATCACATTTGTTACGAATATAAGACGAAAACAGGGGGAAAGGACCTCAACTTGAGCTTGAATTCATGAATACAGCTGCTAAATGAAAGGAGATAAGCCACAGATTTATAGAATCTGTTATTTGTGGGTTTTTCCTTTATATTTTTGATTATTCACCTATAACTTTGTGATCCTCAGTATATTTTTAATTTGCCATAATATAGCTCAAAACTCTAAAAACTATGTTGTTCTCCATACTGGAGAGATAAATGTTTCCTTAATCGAATAGTATGTCATAAGTGGCAGGATGGAAAGCATTGGCAAATGCTCACACATAAAGTTAAAAAGGAAGCATCAGCATAATATTCAGATCATAATTATTGTTTAAGCTAAACATTAAATAATAGTTCCACAGTTCTTCATAATCCTTGAGGAGATTTTATTGTTTAAAAACTGTCCAATATAAGCGAGACAGGAAAAACTCAATCTGCCTACGGATTCGGAATCCTGTGTAAGGTTAATATTAGGGCAACTGGAACATGCGTTCACCTGCATGCAGACTCTCAGCCCTCCCCTAGAATCAGAATCTGTGTTTTAAAAAGATCCCTAGGTGACTTGTATGCATGCAAAGCTTTAGGAAGCAGTGCTCCTGGTCAGTAGGGAATTCATATTTGGATTGTACATGCAGGCTTAGTTTGGCCTCTGAAAAAAGCTGTGCTGCTGGTGATTTGTATTGTTGTACTGTGTCTTTCTCACACAGAACTGAGAGGAACACAGCACTTTTGAACAAGATTCATAGTACCCATGAGACAAAGATGATGAATTTGCCTGACCCTCAGAACCCCCCAACAGTACAATTTTGCTTTAGTTCAGTTAACAATTCATGCCCTAGAAATGTGAGGCCGGTGCTGAGTGTCTGGGCCATGTACCTGGTCATGATCGGGTCTATAGTGATGACAATGCTGGGCAACATGATCGTAATGATTTCCATCGCTCACTTCAAGCAGCTCCACTCCCCGACCAACTTCTTGATCCTCTCCATGGCCATCACTGACTTTTTGCTGAGCTGTGTGGTCATGCCCTTCAGTGTGATCACATCCATCGAGTCCTGCTGGTATTTTGGAGACCTCTTTTGCAAAGTCCACAGCTGCTGTGACATCATACTCTGCACCACCTCCATTTTTCACCTCTGCTTCATCTCAGTTGACCGTTACGATGCTGTTTGAGACCCATTGCAATATGTCACCAGAATTACCATCCCTGTCATAGAACTCTTTCTACTCATCAGTTGGTCCATTCCCATCCTTTTTGCCTTTGGCCTGGTATTCTCAAAACTAAACATAATTGGTGCAGAAGAGTTTGTTGCAGCCATTGATTGCACAGGTTTGTGTGTGTTAATATTTAATAAGCTCTGGGGGGGTACTGGCCTCCTTTATAGCTTTCTTTCTCCCAGGGACAACCACGGTGGGAATTTACATACATATTTTTACAGTAGCCAGGAAGCATGCCATGCAAATTGGCACAGGTTCTAGGACTAAACAGGCTGGGTCAGAAAGCAAAAAAAAAGGCATCCTCTAAAACAGAAAGCAAGGCCACCAGGACCTTAGGCATAGTCATGGGAGTGTTTGTGTTGTGCTGGCTGCCCTTCTTTGTCTTGACGATCACAGATCCTTTCATTAATTTTACAACCCTTGAAGATCTGTACAATGTCTTCCTCTGGCTAGGCTATTTCAACTCTGCTTTCAATCCCATTTTATATGGCATGCTTTATCCTTGGTTTCGCAAGGCATTGAGGATGATTGTCACAGGCATGATCTTCCACCCTGACTCTTCCACCCTAAGCCTGTTTTCTGCCCATGCTTAGGCTGTGTTCATCATTCAATAGGACTCTTTTCTGGTGGGGAATCTTGGATGCCCTTTCTCCACACAAGTAGGGGCATGAATTGACCAGATAAGGAGATCCTTCCAGTTGGCGTAGTGAACATCTAGGTAGGAGTTATAGATGAGCCTTCCAGGTATACTAAAGCTACCAAAGCGGTCCATTTCTGGGCTTTGGGGAAAGACAACTCCAATAAAAAGAATCTCTCCCAAGTCTTACTGACTCCTGAGATTCCAAATTAGGGATCTAGAATTTTAGTCTTTTGGCTTAAATCATATAGAGATTTTCTTACTTTAACTTGAAAACATCAGATGCAAAAGCAAAGTTGGTTTCCACAATCATTGACAGCCATGTATATCTGAGTTTATCTAAATCTTTCTTGAGATTGTTGTTGCTTGTTAGGGAAGTGGGAGAGAGCCTGGGCATACAGGAAGTCTGAGTTATGGAGCATGCTAGTGATGCGGAAAGGGAGAAAGACACAGACAGTTGTAGTTACTTCCAATTGTAATGATTTTGGCTGAAACCCCTTTTCAGAAAGAACTGATGTGAGATTTGCAATATTTGATAAAATTGGACTGTCTTACTAAATGAGAAAAATGAATAAAGAGTTTGGGAAAATATGCTTTCTTTCTCCCAATATACACTTTAGATCCATGTATGTATGCAGCCTGTGTGTACACATAGTGGGGATGCGTCCATGTCTTTCATGTGTGTACATATATTCATTATCCTCCCAGACTGAACTTTACAAGGGTGTCCACAAACATTAGCTCAATAGTTTTTCAAAACAGCTCCAAATGCTCTTCCTAGGCTAGGCCAAGGAGAGTGAAGCAGCCATTTTCATTCCTAAACCAAATCTCCTCTTCCCAGGACTCATCTAAGCTGAGCAGAGTAACCATTATCTCAGGGGGAATGGTAATTTCCATGATACTTGCTGTCTGTATTAAAAGTCACTCGGTTCAACGAACATTTATTGAGCACCTACTATGTGCCAAGTGTTGCTCTGATTGTGGTTCAGAGATAAATAAAACTCAAACCCTGGCCTCAAGGGAATTTTGACTTCATAGGAGGGACCATAGCCACTCAGTTACACTACAGGGTAATATGTGTTGTGACAGAGCCAGGCACAAGAGGCCATGAGAGCATGGCAGAGGAAAATTTAGCCTGACATGGGGTTGTGGAGAGACTGCCTGCATTTTTGACCAAAGACTGTAGCATCAGGTTTTGTAAGGGAACCAGAGCCTCTATTAGAGTCAAGGGAAAGCTGGGGAAGTGGAGTTAGAGCATCAGAGAAGGGGTCACTAAGCCAACTTCCTGAAGATCGGCATGAGGAAGCAAGTTTGAGCAAGTACTTTCACCCACTGAAGTGAAATTGCAAAGACAGGGCATATGGCAAAGTCTGTGGTAAGCTGTTGCCCCTGGGTAGCTACTGTTCTGTGGTCCTTACCCAGGAATTCAGTGGTAGATCTGGGACCACTGTTGCTTAGCAATGTCAGCAGAGAGGAAGAAGAGCCGGGTGCAGAGTAGAGCTAGGCCAAGTGTAACTTATAAATAAGAACTTATAAATAAGAAGTTAACTGGCTTATGGTTCTGCAGGCTGTACAGGAAGAATGGCTGGGGAGGCCTCAGGGAATTTACAATTATGGCAGAAGGCAAAGGGAAAGCAGGCACATCTTACATGGCTGAAGCAGGAGGAAGAGGCAGAAGGGAGGTGCTACACACTTGTAAACAACTAGATCTCATGATAACTCATTCACTATCAAAAGAACAGCACCAAAGGGGAAATCTACCCCCATGATCCAAGCACCTCCCACCAGGCCCCACCTCCAACACTGAGGATTACAATTTGACATGAGATTTACACGGGGACACAGACCCAAATCATATCAGACAGATTTTGAGGAATCAAGAATTATTCTGTCCTATGTGCTCTCAAAGGCAGGCAAAGACCGTCCATAGACAACAGGCTATAGAAAGAGAATCTCTGAACCTGAGTGAAGTCTGCCAGTTTGAGCTTGTACTAAGAACACTTCCATCTGGCTTCATAATTTCAGGTTATCATAATTAGCACAGCCTCATTATAATCGATTTTGTTAAAGTTGGCGGTAATTTGAAAACAAATTTGGTTTCTAGTAAGTAAAGTGCAGAGGAGGCTACACATGATGCAGCGGGGAGATTTAAAAGAAATAAAAATGTTCTTTTATTCAAGACCTTTAGCAGCTTGCTGCAACATTAATGAATCCCTAAGGTAAGCAGGAAACCTTAGTAGATCCAGAATCCAATTACTTTTGCCTGTGATTGTTATGTAATGGAATGTATTTCTAAAAGTCAGTGGAAGAAGGGATAAGAGCCCTAACTTGGGAAGGTTAACAGTTATCTGCACTAGATATCCACTCGAACTCTTGTCTGCCCAACTCAACTTTCTACATGCCAGAGACTGCACTTTATGAATTTTAACTCATTAATATTCACAAGATTGTGACACAGATCATGTATTATATTCAATTAATAGATGAGAAAACTGGACACAGTGGTGTTAAGTAATCTGAGACATAGAGATCATACAATTGTGTTACATATTACATTTTAGTAGGTCTGATGTAATCTATCCCAGAACAGAAAACCTTTCCCTGTTTCTTCTTCAGCCTTATTCCAGCTACAGGACATTTGTTTGTATTTTTCACAAGTTCTTGGTCAAATTAAATATAAAGCCATAGGACTCCTTGGCCAATTATATGTGGATTATGACTTTTAAGCTAAAGGGGTTTCAAGGTACCTAGTAATGCAATATCCTTCCTTGTGTCTGATTAAGTTCTGGAGCCAGATATGTATTTCCACACATATGAAGCTGGCATAAGGCAAGATTCCAGCGGTAGCCAGGCTATAGGGAGCTTTGCCTTGGGAAACACTGGGTTTAGCCATGGATTTGTAGAGAAAGGAGAGGTGCATACCAACCTCCTTCCTTCTTTTTGACCTGCCCCACCTCCTCTTCCAGGCCCCTCTGGCAGATGTAATTTGGTGTCACCTCTAGAATTCTGTCATTTTTACAACTTTAGTTTGACTGATACTGTGAAATGGTTTCTCTGTAACCATAAAGAGGCATACCAGCTTCTAAGATATCAAGAGGCAGAGAGCAGAATACGATTCAACATGTTATTTACCTTGATAATATCCCTGTGAAATCAAGTTACACAGGTATAATTGTACCTACTCTTACCAATGGGGAAGCAGAGAGAGAGGTTAGGTATGGCATAAGAAAGGATGAAACAGGAATTTAACTATTCTTCCTCCAGGTGAACTGCTTCATCTACCATGCTTTCTTTCACCATCACAAAATATAGTGCTCAAAAAACACATAATGATGAATCCTGTGTGGAAGTCACAAACCACCCCTTCATGAACCAAAAAACCCATGATCAATTATTCTCAACTATTTCTCATGTTGAGAGAAATATACACAAATAATACTAAAGCAGAAGAAAAATAAGAAACTCACTAAAAATGAAATTAGAAAATATATAGCAGCCATTAGCAGGCAAGAATACCTTCAAAACATCCCAGAACTGAAAAATTAAAAAAGAATATATACATCCACCGTCTTTAAATTTTATCTCTAATTAATTGTCAGGGTAAGTGATTCTGTATTGAGGAGGAACCTTAAACAACTGAGACTTGCAAATAGTGCAAACTAGGTCCCATGGTGCCTCTTCACAGCTTATTTGTATCATAGCACATGGAGGAGTAGTTTCTATTGAGAGTATAAAATCGTTAACTAATTGCACACCTGTCATTGTGGCCAACAGAAGAGTACTCTGACATTCCCTGTGTCCACCTGCTCCAAGAAACATTTTTTCCCAGGAAGGGATTCTGATTCCTACCTGTGTAAGTAACTTAGAAACTCTGAATTCAATATATTAGGACTTGGTTAATAATTCACAGACTTACATTAAGATGTTAAATAGATAAAATCATTTTGCCTATCAAATAGTTATACCAAGATGTGTAAACACTTTGTGTTATCATCATAAAATGTGCAGCATTTAAAGCTAAAATAGAGCAATTTTCTACTCTTTTAATTATTAATATTTGCATGCTGAATTCTTCTCTTGGGAAGAGTTGGCATGTAGCTAAAAATCTTAATCTGCTAACTTTATTGTCAATGTATGTAATTCTTAAAGAGAGAAGCTAGAAGTTACACTTTTTCCAAGGAATAATTTATTAACAAGAATTAATTGGTCACTTGGTTCAGATCTTTGCTTTAAATTTCACTTTACATTTGACAAAAAATACCTTATCAAAACGTAAGAGACATTCTCTATTATTTAATACTACCTATGGATATAATCAAGCTTTCTTTGAGGAAACATTCAGCTTACATCCTTCTTTTCTTTCTTTAAGAATACTACCTACACTAGTTTTAAAGTGCCTAGTCATATAAACTAGAGCTAGCAGAAGTAACTCTCATGAAACCTTGAATACTATGCTGCATTTGATTTTCAGGGCACATTTGATTCAGTACCCAGGGGCACTGTACTATGTTCCAAACTGTACTTTAGTTTCTTCCTCTTCGTTTCACTCTGTGATTATTTAGCAGACATATTTTTTTTTTTTTTTTTTTTTTTTTTTTTTTTTTGCCCTCCAGTGGAGAAGGTGGCCAGTTCTCAGACAGAGGAAGAGTAGAAATCATAAATGAGAGCTGTCTTCATCCAAGGTGCTGAAGAGCACCCTGCGGCATTCTGCTACCAGGTGAATGGGTCTTGCCCCAGGACAGTACATACTCTGGGCATCCAGTTGGTCATCTACCTGGCCTGTGCAGCAGGCATGCTGATTATCGTGCTAGGGAATGTATTTGTGGCATTTGCTGTGTCCTACTTCAAAGCGCTTCACACGCCCACCAACTTCCTGCTGCTCTCCCTGGCCCTGGCTGACATGTTTCTGGGTCTGCTGGTGCTGCCCCTCAGCACCATTCGCTCAGTGGAGAGCTGCTGGTTCTTCGGGGACTTCCTCTGCCGCCTGCACACCTACCTGGACACCCTCTTCTGCCTCACCTCCATCTTCCATCTCTGTTTCATTTCCATTGACCGCCACTGTGCCATCTGTGACCCCCTGCTCTATCCCTCCAAGTTCACAGTGAGGGTGGCTCTCAGGTACATCCTGGCAGGATGGGGGGTGCCCGCAGCATACACTTCGTTATTCCTCTACACAGATGTGGTAGAGACAAGGCTCAGCCAGTGGCTGGAAGAGATGCCTTGTGTGGGCAGTTGCCAGCTGCTGCTCAATAAATTTTGGGGCTGGTTAAACTTCCCTTTGTTCTTTGTCCCCTGCCTCATTATGATCAGCTTGTATGTGAAGATCTTTGTGGTTGCTACCAGACAGGCTCAGCAGATTACCACATTGAGCAAAAGCCTGGCTGGGGCTGCCAAGCATGAGAGAAAAGCTGCCAAGACCCTGGGCATTGCTGTGGGCATATACCTCTTGTGCTGGCTGCCCTTCACCATAGACACGATGGTCGACAGCCTCCTTCACTTTATCACACCCCCACTGGTCTTTGACATCTTTATCTGGTTTGCTTACTTCAACTCAGCCTGCAACCCCATCATCTATGTCTTTTCCTACCAGTGGTTTCGGAAGGCACTGAAACTCACACTGAGCCAGAAGGTCTTCTCACCGCAGACACGCACTGTTGATTTGTACCAAGAATGATTCCTTCTACTAAATGCAGGCAAGGAGTAGGACCTCACAGGAAAGATAAGTGGCACTGTGACCGTGGGCTGTGTGGTGTTGAGTTTGTGGGCATGCTTCCAGGACAGCATGGGTTAAGTAGAAGAGAAAGACAAGCTCCTTAACTTGGAAAGGGATAAAGCACTCCCCACATTCAATGTTTTATATATATGTATGTATATACACGTATATATATATATACGTATATATATATTTATTATACTTTAAGTTCTAGGGTACATGTGCACAACGTGCAGGTTTGTTACATACGTATGCATGTGCCATGTTGGTGCACTGCACCCATTAACGTCATTTACATTAGGTATATCTCCTAATGCTATCCCTCCCCCCTCCCCCCACCCCACAACAGGCCGCGGTGTGTGATGTTCCCCTTCCTGTGTCCAAGTGTTCTCATTGTTCAATTCCCACCTATGAGTAAGAACATGCGGTGTTTCGTTTTTTGTCCTTGCGATAGTTTGCTGAGAATGATGGTTTCCAGCTTCATCCATGTCCCTACAAAGGACATGATCTCATCCTTTTTTATGGCTGCATAGTATTCCATGGTGTATATGTGCCACATTTTCTTAATCCAGTCTGTCATTGTTGGACATTTGGGTTGGTTCCAAGTCTTTGCTCTTGTGAATAGTGCTGCAATAAACATACGTGTGCATGTGTCTTTGTAGCAGCATGATTTATATTCCTTTGGGTATATACCCAGTAATGGGATGGCTGAGTCAAATGGTATTTCTAGTTCTAGATCCCTGAGGAATCGCCACACTGACTTCCACAATGGTTGAACTAGTTTACAGTCCCACCAACAGTGTAAAAGTGTTATTTTTTATAGTACATTGGAGGAAAAGGAGAGCAAGAAATCATCTTAATATCCACTGGATAAGCCAGAACACTGTGCACATATTTGGTTCCTCATTCATTGCTTCCTTGAAACAACTAGGATGCAACAACGGAAGGAACAGAGCCCTGAGGTCTGGCTTTCTGAGTTCTCACACTGGTTCTGCCACACAGAGCAGCCAAGAGAGATTTCAGCAATCTTTGAATCCTCCCTCCTCCCACCACAGATGGGAGTTTCCTCATCTAAAATAAGGTGTTTGTAATATTTCCTTTCTACTGTGTTCTTAAGTGAAATATGGCATAATCTAACTTCAGGAAACCTAGTTTGAATCATAATTTCGCTTCATATTTCATAATCATAATCAATTGTTTAGAATGTCTCTTCCTCAAAATGTTCATTTTAGAAACCTCGTCTCCTAAAAACCCAAGCACTAAGCAGATTTGTCATCCAGGTTTGTCCATTGTGATAATCACTGAGTAAAAGCATCATATTCTTGAAGGAATGTTTTTTCTTATCTTTTTGAATAATTTAAACCTGAACATAGTTGGAATATTTTGTTAAGTGATAATTATCCACATCTTTCCGTTTTATTATTTCTTTCTTTAAATTTTTCTCACACAAGTTAGACCGGCTATCTTTCCAGGAACACCAGTACATGTTTTTGTTTTTGTTTTTGCTTTTTATAAAAACAAGTCCCCATGCCACGTGCTTGCTCGGAATTGAACCAAATGTTTCTCAGCAGCAATTACTAGTAAGGGCACTAGCACCTTTATGTACAGCCTGCCTGTCTTCTCCTGAATATTTTCCTAAAGCCTCTAATCACCATTCCTTTATATTTATTACTGAGATTTTTTCAAATTAATAATTGCTTACTTGAAAAACTTCTTTATAAATTAGTTCAAAGCCTCAAAGCCTCTCCACTACAGGTGCACAGATAGCTGTAGCTATAGATGCAGATACAGGTGTATCAATCTCAATAGGTAAACTTAGACAATGAAGGAGGGAATGTGTTTCAAGAGCAATTCATATGCCAATAGTCAGATAAGTAGACGTTAAACAAATACTTAAAACAATCATTCACATGTCAATAATAATCACTAAAGGAGTGGCCGGGCGCGGTGGCTCACGCCTTTAATCCCAGCACTTTGGGAGGCCAAGGCGGACGGATCACCTGAGGTCAGGAGTTCAAGACCAGCCTGATCAACATGGAGAAACCCTGTCTCTACTAAAAATACAAAATTTGCTGGGCGTGGTGGCACATGCTTGTAATCCCAGCTACTCGGGAGGCTGAGGCAGGAGAACCGCTTGAACCCGGGAGGCAGAGGTTGTGGTGAGCCAAGATTGTGCCATTGCACTCCAGCCTGGGCAAAAAGAGTGAAACTCTGTCTCAAAGTGATAATAATAATAATAATGGTAATAATAATAATAATAATTGAAGGAGTAAATATCTTATTTTGTCAATGAAGTTAGCTAAAATGGGTTTATTCTGTTTATTTATATATAGATATATGGAGAGAGAGAGAAGTGCTATTAACCCCAAACTTTCCTCCTTATTTAAAAATAATTGTTGTAAAAATATTTTTCCACGTATTCTTTAGTGCTTCATTTTTCTTTGGAATTAATTATAGTTTATTTTTTGTTAACTCTTAGGCATTATTAAATAATTAAATTACAGATGAATTATAAACTAAAACTTATCCTAGTATATATAGTTTTGAGTTATTAAGAAGCTAGAAATACTATGCCTTTTGTATAACAATAAATATAATTTGCAACCTATAAGTGAGTCATTACTTTAAAAAGCATATTTTTCTCTTGCCTTTCTAGAAATAAGCCACCCCATTCCCAATCAACTGAGCATAGCAGTCTCCATCTTGGAAGTAAAAGATCCGGCTGCTTCACAAGGTGGAGCTCTGAACTAGTCACTTCAACAGAAGCAAGAAATGATTCTGCTTCTTGCACATATTATTGTTTCCTGTTAGGTGGAGAAGGCTGCCTTAGCCAGATAGGCCCTCAATGAAGAGAAGGGAAGGAGCTAACAGTTACTGAGAACCTATGATGTTCTGCATCTCACTTAATGCCTATAAACCTGTGAGGTGGATATTATTACCCTTACAGGGCACACAGATGAGGCACGCAAAGATCTGGTAATTTACCTTGGCATCCTTACTTGAAAATTCTTAATCTATCTTCTTACTTGAAAGCTGTTAACCTATCTACTATTTCTCTGAAATATTAGGGAAATCTGGACAGCTAATAAATCTGTGAATAGGACTAACACTGAAAACCAGATAGGAGACTCCAGTTTCCAGTGAATCACAGAAACACAAGGACATGTGTGTCATGATACAATGTTTGCATCACCAAAGAACCAGGGGAGAATGAGAAAAAGAATCGCACCTTCAGTGGACACCACAAACGGAAGCATGAGCTGATGGTTGGAGAGGGGAGGCACCCGACCCCAGGATTTGAAGCCCAGCTCTTTCATCCTCTTCGTTAGGAGAACAGAATGTAAGAAGCAAATCTGTTGCCCCCAGAAAATTGGGTTAGGCCCTTGGACAAATGAAAGCATATACTCAATGACATTCTCTTGAGATCTTAGTAGAATGTCTGTGGTGATAATAACCCTTACTCGCTCTCCCTAGTTGAGTGAGAGTTAACCACATGTAAGGCAAGTGTTATCGATTTTTTGTGCCATGGACGTTTTTGACACTCTAGTAAAGACCACAGACCCCTACTCATGATGAAAACTTTTGAGGGAATAAAGTTTTTTTAAAAAAACATGGAATTATAAAGAAAAACAATTGTTAAAATATAATTATATAACTATCTTAGAAATAGTCAAATTTGTAATATAATCATACATGTGCTTCTTTTTGAAAGCATCAGATAACAAGATCTGCTGACAGGTACAATAAAACTACTGTAATTTCAGAGTCGTGATGAGCATAAATGAAATTTTATAATATCTGCAACAACTATATTGAGATATGAAACTATTAATTTCTATTGGTGACAAACATGAGAGGTAGTGCTAATACCACTGTGGTTTTACCTATATTTAAAATGGAAGGAAGTGATAAAATTTCAGATGGAGGTTAGTAAATATAAAGATAAAATTTTTTCCTATGTAAGTTTAGGGACCTCCCGATTTAAGAATTTCCTTTAAATGTGAACACTGGGGCATTCTTCTGAGCATGAAAGCTTTGTGATCCTATGTGAACAGAAGGCAGTGACAGTCACACTTCACCATTAACTGCTGAAAGGCTGAAGCCTCATAAAAAATCATCTTTATCAAGAGCATTCCACTGGAAGATTACTTGACAAGCACAATCATTTCTTGGTGCTTTTGTGCTTGCTTAGAATTTTTTGGTATTTAAAAAAAAATTCCTGCTTCATTAAATGTATCAGCATGGTTGTAAATTTCATGATAGGTCTTTCTTGTTTTATATAAACCTGATCATTATATTTTTCTACAAAGACCTCTCAACTTAATTATATTGTTTTCCTACAACTTAGTCAAACCACATTATAACTCATCCCAGCTGGCAGCGTGTGTAAGTATGTAATACACTTGAGTGTATGTGTGTATGAGTAGAAATAGCTGTGTATGTGTATGAGTATATGTTGTGTGTATGCATAGAAATATATGACCTATATGCCATATAGATGGACAAAGGTTCTGAGGAAGGCAATTTCCCTAGCAAGTTCCCCTCTGTATCGCTTCTGATTCACTCTGTTTTATAAAGTTAGTTCGGTAGAGAGCATCGAGAATCAAGAGGTCACATTAACAGCAGCCTACAAAGTGAGAGAGAGAATGAGGCCCCTTCTCCTATGCAGAGCTTTACAGGTTGCATATCTTGTCTCTGGAACTCTGATGGCTGTGAAGTTGGAAATGTAGAGGAAACCTCTGACCACCAAAGAGAAGGGATTCACCATCCTCAGAGCTGGCCCTGGGCACCTATCGTATGTTGCCACTAAGAGGTTTGTTTTCTACACTTTCCACCTCTATTCTATGCTCTTTTCCCACTGTAGTTTCCCTCACTGTTTACTTTCTTGGAAGGAGCAAATGTCTCAGACCCACTGATTTTGGGCTTGGTTATGTGACTTGCCTCAATCAATCAACACAGACTGATGTGGCACTTGTTATATTCAAACAGAAGCTTTAAATGTAATTGCATGGTTCAGTCCAGCATTTGCACTTCTTCATTCTGCCCTGAGAACAGATTGTCTCAGTCAGAGCTGCTCCTTTAGCCTGGGTCCTAGAGTAAGAAGATGAGAAGAGCAGACCCACAATTAACCCGCAGCTGGAGCAGAGCTGTAGCCATCCTGCAGCCCTGATGGAATGTAAGCAAAAATAAATGTTTATTGTCATAAACCACTGAAAGTCTGTTTGTTGGGCTGGAAAGTTGACTAATTATAGGCAAAATCCCTGTGTCTGTCCCATGCTGCCTCTGCCTATTCTGTTTCTGTCCTGCTAACATTGAAAGTACCTGCCAGTGTGAAGAGTGACCTTTCTCAATTTCCACACCTTGACCTCACCTAAGTGTATTGTGAGGGGCAATACCAGTGATCCTGGAATAGTTTGAATTCACAGGGCAGGCAATTTTCCTGCATGCCTATTCAATTCTTCCCTGCTCGAGAGGGCTTGGACATCCACTGTGGACCTGGGTCCTGAACAGAAAGCCCAGGGGCTCTGAAAGCCTTGCATATGTGTTTGGAGGTCCAGAGTGCATGGCCTTGAATTACTTCTCCCAGGCCTTAGGTTTGAAGAAGCGCAATATTACTTCAAATACTTCAAATGTGATTTTTGTCAGCCTCTCTATGTTTATTGAAAACCTGCTATGTGCAGAATGTGATGCTATAATCTATTGAATCCAAAATTCCAGAAATGTCAACACTGCACCCAAAAAGCTTTCAGTCCAAAGGAATAGAAATAACTATAAGTAAGAACAAACAAAGCAGTGTAAAATCAGTTCTCAACAAAGGTAGAACAAAGAGCTACAGTGATCACAGGAGGGAGTTGTGGCTTATTTCTAGAGGGGCCAGTATTCAAGAGCAAGAGCTAAGGAGTCAGACAGGCCTGGACAATTTCAGATTTAACCCTTTCCATTTCCTGTGTCTTGGGTGAGTTGCCTCTCCTTAGCCTCAGGTTTCTCATCTGAAAAATGAAGACAGTAACACCTACTTCATTGTGTTGTGAAAATGAGGTGAGATAATCATGTGAATAAACCAATTGTTGAAGTACTTGGCACACAGTAAGTGTTCCATAAATTGTCACAATCACAAAGACTTAATTTAAAAAGAAGTGGAATTTGGACTGGGTTTTAAAGATAGGTCGCTTCCCAATGGGTATAAAAGGTAGAAAAATATACTTTGAAGTTAAACCAAAAGAGCGGTATACAAACTAATAGCTACTTAAAACCGCCTTTACTAAACTTGAGTGCTTATTCAAAAAATCTGCAAAGGGGCTAAGTTCAGGTAGGTTAACATGGTTGTTCGAAATTCATACAGTCAGCAAGGAAAAGAGCTGAGACTTAAACCATCTGTGCTCTCTTGAAGTGTCTATGTGATTTCTGGAACACCACTCTTCCTCTTTTCCAGGAGCAAAATTTAAAGGACTTAGCTGGGTTGAGTCTTGCTGGACATGGTTAAGGTTGACAGAGTTGAATAATTTAATATATTTAAGACAATACAGATGATATGGTTTTTTTATTTTCTTTTTAAAATAAGTTCTTTGGTTTATAAACATTATAACTCATTGCATATGTACATAATTTAGGAAATGCCCAAAAGCACAGAGAAGAAAAGAATTTTTTCCTAACTCCCACTTTCTAGAGAAAACTGCTGTCAACGCTTTATATGTTCTAGTCCTTCCGCTCAAAGCATGCTGCTTTGAAATACAGTTTGTTGATTGTATTTCTCTATATTTATTTTTCTGCGGGTTTGTGATAATTTGTGAGGCTGATATTCATTTTCTGATTTCCAGGAGAGGGTCATAGTGATAGACCGAATTAAGGATTCCATGTATGTCATCATGGCAGGGATGGAAATGGGACAGACCTGAACACCATCCTTGCTAAAAGATGAATTGTAGCAAAGGTGCTGTGCTAGTTTCCCATTGCTGCAGTAACAAATCACCACAAATATAGTGGTTTAAAACAACAACAAAAAATTATTATATAGTTCTGGAGGTCAGAAATCTGAACTGGGTTTTATAGGGCTAAAATTAAGATGTCAGCAGGGCTGTGTTCCTTCCAGAGGCTCTAGAGGAGACTCTGTTCCACATCTTTTCTGGCTTCTAGGGGCTGCCTGCGTTCCTTGGCTTGTGGCTGCATCACTCTGACCTCTGTTTCCATTACTGCATCTCATCTGACCCTGGCCCTCTTGCCTCCCTCTTTCCCTTGTAAGAACTCTTATATTACATAGAGTCCATATTGATAATCCAGGGTAATCTTCACATCTCAAAATCTTTAATTAAATTACACCAACAAAGGTCCTTTGACCAAGCAAGGTAATATAGTAACAGGTTCTGGGAATTAGGATATGGGCATGTTTGGGGGAGAGGGGATGGTGCTGCCTACCACAGGCCCCTAGGGTGTTCTTCCCTTCTATTTAATCCAAGACCTTATATCTTCACTATCAATTACTTTGAGTGCCATACTATCAAAGCCACACATTCCCACATGCTCCTGACTTAAAAATTGACTGAATTCTCTTGACTTCCAGTTACACATGCTAATTCAATACTAGCTTGAAAAAATGTGGCTTTAGCCTGAAAGCACAGCACAGCTACTAAATGACACTAAAGAAAGCACAACTTCAAGCAGGGAGACATTTCAGTGCTTGGGTGTGTTAAGGGCAGCTTTCTAGATAACATCAACCATCCTGAGGAACAATCAGTAGCTTAGATGGGTTTGACTCAAGTCCTCATGTAGTTAAGCGTTGGGAAAGGAGAATTTATTTCATTGACCTGTTGCTTCCGCAACTCAATCCAAGCCCTATTTCTGTGTGTTCTTTTATTTCAGGAAAAAGACATTAGGAGAAAGAAAACTCCCCAGGTCTCAGCACTACTCTTTTCTGTGAGTCCCAGGTAGTTCATGTTCTGCTGCTACCATGGTGCTGGTTACCCTGGCCTCTGACACTGAGTTCCACCACAGTCCTCACTACTCTCTTTCTCTCCCCAAGTTTTCAAACTGCTCCACTTTGTACTCCAGGTGACTCTCCTGCAATATGTGGCAACTCAGTCAGGCAAACTTAGATCATCTGCTTCCTAACTGATGGTCTTTTGATGGTAAATGTAGCATGGCATTTGAAAGTTTGTGTATGAAAGTCTCGGGGTAGAACTCTGTACAATGCCACTCTCTGCTACATTCTGACACTTACAGACACTCCTGATCCTAGTCATTTGGTGCATTCCAGACCTGTCTTTCATTCATGCTTTCAGGTGAATTCCTTGCCTGCTTGGAGCTCATTTTCCAATACTGCTGCCCCTCACAGTGCTTGGGGTAATTTTTTCTCTTTTTGTTGTTTTTGATGGTTTCCATCTAACCCCATGATCAAATCTGTGAATTCCAGTCCCAGTGTTGGCTTGACCATCTCTCAAGTAACTTGGGTTATCATCAAAATCGGCTTCTGAGAGCTAGCCTTAGCACACCAAACTCCACTGTGGGTACACAGAGAAAGCCCTGCTATGTTACTCACATGTGCTTGTATTAGAAATTCTAGGACTGGAAGGAACTTTAGTGGCCATGGATTGGAGTTACATTATTTCACATTAAGGTCCAATAAGATAAACTGACTTGTCTGAAGTCCCACAAACTATGATTGGCAGAGACAGGACCTAGAACCCAGAAACCTAATGTTTGGCCAGCACAATTTCCGTCACCTCAATCTTGCTTTGAAGGAGGATTACACAGTAGGTGAAAGTAGGACCTTTATAGTTAACAGAGCTGGCTCCAAATCCCAGTCTGCCTCTTACCAACACTGCTCGGGGCCATGCTGCTTGAAATGTGTAGGCTTCAGAAAGAGTGCAAGCTGGAAAATAGCTTAGAGGTTTCTCTGAAAATGATTAGCAAGCAAAGATATGTTTAATAGTAACATGAAACTCATGAATGGTTCAGATCTCAGGTATCAAATATTTTCCAATAAACTTTTTTTTTTTTTTTTTGAGACAGTCTTGCTTTGTCACCCAGGCTGGAGTGCAGTGGCGTGATTGCAGCTCACTGCAACCTCAGCCTTCAGGGTTTAAACGACTCTTGTGCCTCAGCTTCCCAAGTAGCTAGGATTACAGGTGTGCACCACCATGCCAGGCTAATTTTTTTGCATTTTTAGTAGAGATGGGGTTTAACTATTATTGGCCAGGCTGGTCTCTAACTCTTGGCCTCAAGTGATCCACCTGCCTTAGCCTCCCAAAATGCTGGGATTTTACAGGTGTGAGCCACCATGCCCAGCCCCCATAAACTCTTTAGGAAGATTTTTTTTATTTCATAGAGTGAGTCCTTTGAAATAGTTTTCTATGATTGAGTTTTATTGATTGAGTTCTAAGAATGAAAAGGCTTGCTGAACACTAGATGTTAAGAGATTTAGTGGCACATTCAACAAGTCTTCAGATAAGGCCAACCTAGCTATTTTATTCTTTTAAAAATGCATCTAAGGCTGGGCACAGTGGCTCAAATCTGTAGTCCCAGCACTTCAGGAGGCCAAAATGGGAGTATTGCTTGAAGTCGTGTTTGAGACCAACCTGGGCAACAAAATGAGATCCCTTTTCTACAAAAATAAATTTTTTTTAAAAATTAGCCAGGCATGGTCGCACACGCCTGTAGCCCCAGCTACATGGGAGTGTCACCTGAGCCCAGGAGTTTGAGACTGCATTGAGCTATGATCATGCCACTGTACCCCAGCCTAGGTCACAGCAAGACCCTGCCCCTCCCCAAAAAAGCTTATAAAAAGAATGCATTTTTCCAGGCTTAATAACTAGGTAATGAGTTGATAGGTGCAGCAAACCACCATGGCACACATTTACCTATGTAAGAAAACTGCACATCCAGCACATGTACCCCAGAACTTTAAAAAAAAAAAAAAGAATACATTTAATGTATCCTCCCAATGCTGGGGAATCTATTTCTATTTTATTTATTCACTCATTTATTTACTCAACTGACCAAAGTAAAACAACAACATAGGAGCAAAGAAATAAAACACCAGTACAAACTGTCTGATTTACTCATAGTGATACTTCAGCAAGTATCTGACCTCCTGCAGCTTACATGTCATTAAGAGACAGACAGTTAAAACACAAGAAAATAAACAGATGAATAAGATTGTAACACATTCTGATATGTACCATGAAGGAAATGATATAAAAACAAGGTGAGTAAAAGAATAAAACATGGATAACAACATTAGCCGAGATCTTGATTTTTCTGAGGGAGCGATGTTAAAGCTGAGACCTGTGTAAGGAACCAGCTCCGTGAAGATCTGAGGACTGAGTGATCCAACAGATGAAAAACCCTGTGCGAGTCTCCTGAGCGACCTAGTACAACAGATGGGATAGCCAGTGCACAGCTCCTGAGGCATCCTGTGGGGGGTAGCCGAGGGGCTGGGATTGGACAAATATATTTGGAGCATAACAAGTAAAGGGAGAGCAGAATAGGTAGTGGGTAGAGAGTTGTGCGGGGCTAAGACTATGCAAAGCCTCATAGATCAGAATCACAGAGTTAGAATTTTATTCCAAACACAACAGAAATTAGGCTTTGGGTTTTGAATTATGAATTCACCATAGCCCACAGTGACCAAGATCTGATGCTGGGGCTGGTCAGGAGTCTATACGACCTAGTGGGTTTTTCTGTGTTTGCTGCTGTGGTTAAAATTAGCCATAGCATCCCCTGCCCTCCATCTCATAGCTCTGCATCGTGACTCCATTAGCCATCTGGTAGAGGGCAGCCCTACTAGTGAAATATTAATTGTTCTTGCATTTAAGTCTTTAATCTGTCTTGAGTTAATTCTTGTATAGGATGTAAGGAAGGGGCCCAGTTTCAATTTTTTTGCATATGGCTAGCCAGTTCTTCCAGCACCATTTATTAAATGGGGAATACTTTCCCAATATCTTGTTTTTTTGTCAAGTTTGTTGAAGACCAGATGATTCTAGATGTATGTTTTCATTTCTGAGTTCTCTATTCTGTTCCATTGGTCTATGTGCCGGTTTTGTACCAGTACCATGCTGTTTTGGTTACTGTAGCCTTGTAGTATAGTTTGAAGTTGGGTCGCTTGGTGCCTCTTTTGTTTTGTTCTTTTTGCTTAGGATTGGCCTGGCTATACGAGCTTTTTTTAAGTTCCATATGAATTTTGAAATCTTTTTTTTCTAATTCTGTGAAGAATGTCAATGGTAGTTTAATGGGAATAGCATTGAATCTATAAATTGCTTTGGGCAATATGGCCATTTTCATGATATTGATTCTTCAGTAGGAGCTGAACAATGAGAATACAAGGACACAAGGAAGGGAGCATCACACACTGGGGCCTGTTGAAAGAGGGTAGGGTGGGGGCAGAGAGCATTAGGGAAAATAGCTAATGCATGCTGGGCTTAATACCTAGGTGATGGGTTGATAGGTGCAGCAAACCACCATGGCACATGTTTACCTATGTAACAAACCTGCACATCCTGCACATGTACCTTGAAATGTAAAATTAAAAAATATGCCTTTACATGTTTCTACTGATTGCTCCAAGACAATAACAACCAGGCTATTGCAAATTCTGGGGACTCTGTCCCTGATGCTGACCCACTGTGTGATCTCTAGCAAGATATCTTTGTCCCATAAAAGGACTGGCTGTCTGGCTCTGCTTGTAACCACTACCTTTTGGGAAATATTGAAAACTCTACTAAAACGATTGAGTCTCATTCATTCTCATCACTTCTGCATTGTCAACAGGGCATTTACTATGTAACACATATATAGTACATGTTCATTGGCTGAAAAATTAATACTAAATAATACAAAAGGAGAAGTTTAAGAAAAAGATGGTATAGAGATCTTTGAGAAAACCTGTTATTTTTTCCATTCTCTTTTTCTCAGTTCACTTCCTTATGGATTTATACAGCAAATACCTGTGAGAGAATTTGGTAAGAAGTTTTATTTTCACTTGTTGGATTTCATTTTCCAGATTACTTCATGTGGCAGAAATGCTTATTTCTCACCTAACAACCAATGGGTTAATTTCCTCCATAGCATCAGAATCTTCTCTCCCTTGGGGAAACTGAAGTTGTCAAGTAGGGCTTCAGAGAGCCCCTCTTCCTAGGTCTTCCTCCTCCCTATTTCCAGGAACATGTGTGATTTGGCTGGAACTCCTGTAGTCACTTTGGAACCATTAGACAAGCATCAGGAAAATCTGTACAGCATCCTTGACTCTAACATACTTGAGTCAGCCAGCCGAAGCCAGCAACTATCTCACTTAGACTTAATATTGATTAAAATAAACACTAATGAGTTTAAAACATTTTCTGCCAAATTGAAACCCTGAGAGATACATCATTCACACAATGTGATGTCCCATCCAGTAAAACAGTGTTTGGAAGAGGCCTTTGTGTGCAGCAAACATTGTGCTTATCGTCCTGTGTTTTTCAAGCCATTAGGTGGACTGTCTGCTTGGTTCTGGCTAATAGATTTAAGTGTTCATGTGTTCTTTCAGGCTGAAGTATAGAAGTCTCTTGTTGAAAAGATGGAGCCATGAAATCAAAGCAACCTGCACTATGTTGAGGACAATTGCCCTGATATCTCCTCAGACTCATAGTGGACTTCACATGAGCAGGAAATAAACCTTTGTTGTGTTAAGCCACAGAGTTAGTTGAGGTCGTTTTCACTTCAGCCAAGTCTAGTCTATGCCCAACTTAGGAACAGTGTATCCATGACCTGTAATTGGCCCCAAAGGTTATGGAACCCCCAGAATAGTACACTAAATATTGTGTATATGTGATTGTGTGCATTTTTCTAGAGAAAGAATACATAGATTTCAGCATATTTCAATGTGACTATGATCTAAAAATTATCAAGAACCACTGACTTATGAGAGAAACTCTAAATGCTAAATATCTTCTTGTGGATAGCATTTATTTAACTGTACTTCTTTGTAATATCCCTTATTGTTTGTCCTAAACTCTCATTTCCATGTCGAGAAAAAAAATTGAGCTTAGAATTCAAATAATTTGGGTTCAAAGTATGGCAAAGATTTTTTGCTAACTGTATAACTTTTTATTTTTTGAGACAGAATCTCACTTTGTTTCTAGATGCGATCACTGCTCACTGCAGCCTCAAACTCCTGTGTACAAGTGATCCTCCCACCTGAGCCTCCTGAGTAGCTGGGACTACAGGCATTCACCACCACGCCTGGCTAACTTTTTCATTTTTAGTACAGACAAGGTCTCACTATGTTGCCCAGGCTGGTATCAAACTCCTGAACTCAAGTGATCCTCCCACTTCAGCTTCCCAAAGTGCTGAGATTACAGGCGTGAGCAACCGCACCTAGCCTACTAGCTGTATAATTTCATGCAAGTTAATTTATTTCTCTCTGAGTCCCAATTTTCTCATTTATAAAATGACCAGACTATAAGATTAATATGAGTTTTGTACCTCTGTTTTTAAACATCAATTGCTAAATAAATATTATTTAACTTTTACCATAGTTCATATATATTTACTTCATTGTTTATGTTCATGCATTCTCTCCCCATCTTGATTTTTAAGTCCTGGAGGGCTAGAATTGTCCTATGGCTCATTTTTGTTTTCTCTAGAGTAGTGCTGTCCAATAGAAATATAATTTAAGCTACATACATAATTTTACATTTTTCTAGTAGCCACATTTTAAAAAGTAAAAAGAGAAAAGAGAAATTAATCTAAATAACATATTTTTATTTAACCCAATACATCCCAAAATTGATAATTTCAACATGTAATCAATATTTTAAAAAGAGACATCTTACATTCTTTTGTTTGTCTTTGAAATCTGGTATATAAATTCTACCTATAGAATATCTCAGCTCAGACTAGCCACATTTCAAGTCCTCAATAACCACATGTTGCTCATGGCTACCATACTGGACAGTGCAGATATAGGGCTTAAAATAGTATGTTGATTGATGGATAGATTGATTGTGACTCTCTTACCCAAATGGTGTGCTTTAGGCCGACTGATCTTATTGGCTATCCTTTTTTGTATGCTTAATTGCATTTGATGCACCACTAAATTTATACCTTTCATGAGATTTTTATTCTGCCTAGAAATTCCTTTTCTACTATTGTTTTTTCTATTTAAACCAATCCTCCACTGCTTAGCTGGTATTATATTCTAAGTTCTCCATGGAACCTTCTGAGATTTTTCAGTCTGCAGCATCCAGTCCCTCCTTCAAAGTCACATAATTTATCCCATTTTACATACTGTACAATTTATCTTATACATCATAATTGACAAAAAAAAACATGTTATGAGTGCTTACTCATTATTATACCATGGGTTGGAAAACCACCTCTACCTTTTAGAAATACAAATTGAATGAAGTGTATTGTATGTGAAAGACCAAAAGACCAATACAAGATTAATAATACATTAGGTAAGAACCAAATCAACGATAGAGATGGTGTTCCTTAAATATTTTCCTTGGACAATAGCTCTGTTATTGAGCTCCTCATATCAAAAGAGTACCCATGGTTTAATAAATGTTTAGAATGCACATTTAAACAAAATTGGACAGGTTTTTGCTAAAACAGGACTTCTCAGAGTCTTTAATATGCCAATATACAGTGTTCTCCAAGAACAGAAAAGAGTATGCAACAGTTCCAAAACATTGTTGAATCAGAAATCTTTTTCCTTGGAGCATTTTATGTGATGACTGTTTTGTAAAGCCTCATTTGAGAAATGTTTCTTAGAAAACAATTATGGGAGCTGAAACTTGAGCAGAGAGGGGAGAATGTCTCCAAACCACAATGGAGGATGCCCAGGAGAAGTAGAGGTGCAGGGTTTGGATGCCAACCTTGGGAGGGTTTAAAAGCGTGACTACTTCTTGCTTCTTGGTGGTTGTTTAGTTGTTTTATTTTCTTTCTTTCTTTTTTTTCTTTTTTTTCTTTTTTTTTTTGATAGAGTTTCACTCTGTCACCCAGGCTGGAGTACAGTGGCATGATCTCGGCTCACTGCAACCTCCACCTCCCAGGTTCAAGAGATTCTCCTGCCTCAGCCTCCCGAGAAGCTGGGACTACAGGCACGTGCCACCACATCCAGATAATTTTTGTATTTTTAGTAGAGACGGGGTTTCACCCTGTTAGCCAGGCTGTTCTCGATCTTTTGACCTTGTGATCCACCCGCCTTGGCCTCCCAAAGTGCTGGGATTACAGGCGTGACCCACCACGCCCAGCCTAGTTGTTTTATTTTCATATTCCCTAAACACTTTGCACTTTCTCAGTTTCTTTGCTCATGCCTGAAAATCGCTTCCCATCCTTTCCCTCCTACAAAAATCCTTCTTAAAATTTAAGGCCCTACTTGAATGCCACTTCTTTAATACATCTCCTTCATTTTCCATCCAGGTCTGAATTCTCCTTTCTCCTGTGTTCCTTAAACACAGCCTTTTATAGCTTAAATTCCCATGCATTCCAAGTCTTAATTACTGGTATTTTGGGTTTTGCCACAAAATATTCTAAGTTCCTGGTTTTCTATTCCTGATCACACTGAACCAAGAGTCTAGTACACACTCAGTCTTCAAAGATATATTCAGAATGAATAAATGAATGACTGTAAGGATAAGTGCTTTGCTGTCTTCACATAGACAGGCTAGAAACTTTATCAAGCAGGAATTGTGTACTCTATATTTTTTGAATAAACTTTTAATTTCAGAATAGTTGTAGAATTACTGAAAAATTGCAAAGATAGTAATGAGAATTCCTATATACCTTGCAAGAAGTTTCTCATTAACATCTTAAACTCATATAGTACATTTGTGATAACTAATGATCCAATATTGTTATCAATATAGCAATAAAATTTCCATTCATTATTCGGATTTCCTCACTTCCCCTAATGTCCCTTTTCTTTCTAGCTTTCCATTTAGGATGCCATACTACGTTTAGTTGTCATGTCTTCTTAGTTTCCTGTAGATCATGACAGTTTCTCATACTTTATTTTTGATGACTGACAGTTTTGAGAAATACTGATCAAATATTATGCAGAATATTCCCGATAAAGTTTCGTCTGACATTTTTCTCATGACTACATGGGGGTTATGGATTTGGGGAAGAAAGGACATAGAGGTAAAAGCCATTCTCATTACATAATGTCAAGAACACACAATAGCCACATGCCTTACTACTACTGATATTGAACCTTAATTACCTGGTTGAGCTAGTGTTCGCCCTTTTTAAAATTTTCAGTGACCAACATTGCTTCTTGCCAGAGTCACAGCTTATTAAAGACAAAAATGGGATGTTATGCCTGTGTCTAAGGCATCTAGCACTGATTTCCATACAATATAGGCACAGGTTTCATGTTTGGTAAATGGAAAAAACATGGATGAATACCTGAATGCTTCTCATTGATGTATATTCCACATGGCTTCTAATCTTGCAAATTCCTTGCTGTAATTAAGTTTTAATATAGAAAAAAAAAGAAAAGAAAGCTAGAGACTGCACTTGAAAGATATCCTCCCTAAAGGAACAAGTAATATTCAATGTGTATGAACTGAATAATGTAACACAGGGCTCTATTCATACCAACTCTTTAAACAGTTTTGTGCAATAGCAAGAACAGCAGCCAAATAATCATCCTAACATCATTCTGGGAAGTACAGTGGCTTCTGCTTCCCACTTTGGGGGAGGAAATAATTACAAGAATGACAGTAACTGGTTTGACAATTACAACAGCCTGGTCAAGATGATGTCTTCATTTGCAAATTGCCCCATACACCCTGAGATCTCTCCCAAGATTGAATAAATTAAATTAATACCTAAAAGGACTCCTGTGGTAAAATAACCAAAGCAAAAGAAACCAATAATTTGATAAAGGCTATTCACAAATGAAATTTTTGGCAGGCTGGGAAAGAGTAGAAAGCTTTGTAAAGAAAAGAGGAAAGGGAATAAATAAAAAAAAAAAAACAAATATTTTTAGGAAAAATACCAGAGCAGAGGGAAGAGTCAATGGATTAAAAGACAAAAAGTGTCTGCAGGGAGTGGGATATGCTGAGCTCTAAAGCAGTTAACAAATAGGAATTTAACATTTGTTAGCCAAGTAAATACTTTTGCAGAAGGGACAGGAAAGTGCACATCTTAACAAGACTGAAAAACATTGATTTGTTTTTCATTTGAAGAGCAATTTATTTGCTATTCATTCATAGTCTTACTTGATTTTTAAAAACTCATTTCGCTTGGTAATTTTAAAGGTATCCTGAACTTCGTCTATACAACTGCTTATATATGTTCAGAAAACAAATTCATGGTTGCTGAACTGTTCTTTAAAACCTGACCAGTTACAATAACTTTTATTGCTTTCCTAAACCATGGGTAAAATAAAGCATAAATCAAAGGATTCATGGCTGAGTTATAATAAGCACACCAACAGCAAATCTCATAAATACAGGCAGGGGTTATAAAGCCCATAAAGGCATCAATTAATGAATCAATGCTATATGGTAACCATGAAATCATAAATGCTACCACTGTGACCCCCAGGGTTTTAGCTGCTTTTCTCTCTCTCCTGGCCACTCTGGCTTTGTAACTCTCTGAGGATGATTCTGTCTTGCTACCAGTATTTTCTATCTTTTTCGCCTGTCGTCTAGCCACAAGAAATATGTTACCATACAGAATTATCATAATAAAGGTAGGTATAAAGAAGGATAGAAAATCTGTCAACACCCAGTTTTGATTTACAACGGTCTGACAACCTCCTATACAGTTTAGGGCATCAGATAATTCCTCCAGCCCATCGTCATAGACACCTGTGTAGAACACAGCACCGCTGTACATGAGGGGCAGGATCC